>NC_000004.12:118921381-121421381 GCF_000001405.40 Homo sapiens
AACCCATCTTCGACACAACAGCCAGGCTGACGTATCTAGAACATCTATCTGCCCATGCCACTGTCTTGATTAAAATCATTTGGAAGCTACACACAGTGGTTTGTGCCTATAATTTTATCTACTTGGGAGGCTGAGGTGGGAGAATCACTTAAGACCAGGACTTTGAGCCCAGCCTGGGAAACATAGTAAGACTCCATCTCTAAAATAAAATAATGATAATAATTAAAAAACCCTTCGATGCTTCCCCACTCCCTCCATAGCAAAGCCAAAGCTCTTTAATTTGGAAAAATAGATCCTTTATTAATTATGTCTTGTCTAATTCTCTGCCTTATCTTTCTATTGCCACTTAAGCTTTAAATTCCTACAACATCAAATTGCTTACAGTTACTTTTCATATGCACACACACACACACACACACACATACTCTTTTTTGACATCTTGTTTTCATTCTTGCTTCTCCCTCAATATGCAGTCCTCTCCCTCTTCCACTTGATTAACTTTTGTCACCTCTCCAGATAGCCAGTCTTGGCCCTAAATTAATTACCTCATCTCAGTGTTTTTATAATACTCTGTGCATATCTTTGTCACTTAACACATTGTTTCACAATTATCTTTTTATAGGACTGTTTTCCTCATTACTGGGAGTGCCTTGAGGGTTGGGACTGTATCCTGTTCATCTTTATATCCTTAGTGACTAGCATGGGCTTATAAATGGTTAAATAAATGAGGAGGGAGTGAATGTCCAAGGCAAGCTTGCATAAAAAATGCCTCCTTGTACTTGAGTGTAATTTTTTAGCCATTGAGTAATTCCAGTGAACCATGTGTAGATTTGTTACTCTGGAGTTGTTTCTGTTACCCTTTTTAATTATCGATTCGAATCAGGTGTTGTCTAAAGTAGATGTACGTCTGCATGATAGGGTTATTTCTTTCCCTGAAGAAATCCTTCAGGTTTACAGAAAGAAAAAAGTTGGCTTTCTGTAATATAAGAATATATATTATAAAAATATAAGCCATACAGGTAGATGATTCCTTTTGGAAGTAAAATGTATTTGTGGTGCTCCTTACTTTATCCTTCTAAATAATTCCCTGAGGAAACTCTAATAGTTTACTTACTAGCTTGATGGTGTAGTCAAACAGGTTTTGCTCTCCACTCTTTTTTTTTTGAACCCTCTTTTCTACCTGCATATTCACAGGATGTAGATATTTGCTACTTATATATTCTACTGGAACCTACATGTTTATAAAAAGGGACACATATCATCTTTGTTCATGTAACCAAAGAGGGTTAAGGTAACAGCCTTTTTTTTTTTTTAGAAGATCAACTGGCATTTTCTGATTTCTGTTAGTTGTGAATATAAGGCTTTTATTATAATGGGATAGAGAGACTTAGTGTTGTCTTAAATTTTAAACTCCAGGGAGAAGTGTCTGGTATTTTTCACATTACGTTTAGAGATCCCAGACAGATATTCGGCTCCAGTCTGTTAAAAAATAAAATCTTTTTATTAGAGTATCATCCATATAGTATAGTTTAGCCATATTTGGACTAGCTGGACTTATCTATAAATATATCTTTAGTTATACATCTGTACTTATAGGACAAAGTAAATCTTTAAAATAAGATAATGAATTCCATGGATATCTATTAAAGGAACTGTGGTTTCTTGCATATATTTTGGAAAACAAAATATTCTCTGCCATACACACAACACGATGGCAGCTTCAGAAAATTGGCGTTTCCTGGCAGAGTCATGGAATCAACCTAAATGCCCATCAACAGTAGATTGGAAAAAGAAAATGTGGTACATATACACCATGGAATACCGTGTAGCCATAAAAAAGAACAAGATCATGACCTTTTCAGCCACATGGATGGAGCTGGAAGCCATAATCCTAAGCAAACTCATGCAGGAACAGAAAACCAAATATCATATGTTCCCACTTATAAGTGGGAGCTAAACATTGAGTACACATGAACACAAAGAAGGAAACAACAGACACCAGGGCCTATTTGAGGATGGATTGGGGAGGAGAGAGAGAATCAAAAAACTACCTACCAGGTACTGTGCTTATTACCTGGGCGATGATATAATCTGTACACCAAACCTCCATGACATGCAATTTACCTATATAACAAACCTGCACATGTACACCTGAACCCAAAATAAGTTAAAAAATAATAATAGAAAATTGGTGTTTCTGCCATATTGCACAAGTAACATACAATTTAAGAACCCAAATATTGAACTTTGAGTTTGCTTCCTAGTTTGAAATACAAACAAGATATTAGCTGACCTGTAGCATCTCTTCTAGAATGTAGATCCTGGCTGTTGAGTCCAGCTGAGAAAATGCCTGCAGAATACAGATCTACTTAGGAGAGATATTGGCTCTTAACATTCTGTAGCCTTTGTGCTACCCCTATATTGAAACTCCTTCTCAGCTTCCAGAACCACTCTTATGGAAAAATTCTTGCACGAGGAAAGGACAGACATTTCAATAGACTGCACTCAAAAAAAAAAAAAAAAAACCTGAGTTCATGTGGCAACATGTTTTTTAAGAAAGTCTTGAATGAATTGTTATTCTAAGTTTCAATTAATGATGATCTCAGCTGGAATAATTTGCACTTTTATGTAATTTGTGTTTCAATACATATGTAGTTGACGGGAGCTGTCTAGATACATCAGATTTACACATCTGTCAGTAAATCAAAGATTTAAATGTGAAAGGCAGTACCCAAGTGCTCCGTGTGGGTGTATAGCATTCCCCAGCAGATTAAAGACCAGCAAGTCAATACAAAGTTACAGACATATCAAAAAGCAATCTCTTATGTTACAGGTATATCCTTATTCCAGGACTGTACATGTCTGCAGAAATCCTTTGCCCATTTTTCCTGAACGTGGGAATCTACAATTGGCCGGAAAGGGTCAAATGTTAACAGTATATTTTAAATGCAAAATACAGAAACTTTTAATTTGGTGTTGGCCATTGCCTTTTAGTTGTTATCATTAGAGATGAACAGAATTATGAGCATTCTGAGTAACAATGTGGCCCTTAAGAGGGTGGAAATATTTCCCCAAACATGCATTCTGTACATCGGCAACACAGAAGTTACTAGGGGACTCAGAGCAAAGAAGCCCGAGCCCTTGGTCAGTGTGGCTGGATGGTCATGGATGCTGGCATTTCCTCTCCTACCTCTGCCCACATATACCCATCTTTTCAGACACTTGACAGGCACTTGGCCTTTGGCCCTATCCTGAGATATATGGCACACTTCCTATGTGGACGTGCTAGAGGGCTGTAGAATCTCCAAAATGATATGGAGAAATTTTCTTTCCAATTGTCTTCTCTGACCAGGCAAAGCTCAGTATTTGGAAATTGGACAATCTATCCTGCTGGTATATCTGCTGTTTTAAAGGAAGATTTTTCTTTAGGCCACTCTATAGGCAATGAAGCAACTCCTCTTTAATTCTATTTCTGTCAGTCTCTCAGTTGCAAAAGCCCAAATAGTGTGCATTTGAGTTGAATAGCTAACATACTACTGGTTTATAGAAAATTATTCTGCACATTTTTGCCCTAGGCACGTAAAGTCTATCACATCACCTCCATGGCTGCAGTACTGCAACCACTAAATTCTTGGAGTGAAGGATAGGCTTGTTTTCCTTGCATGGGATGTGCACAGAAATGCACCATTAATTTCACTGTGGGGCAAGATGTAGCACTTTGCTAGAATCTGTGTTTACAGTTTAATTATTTTGGTGGAGTGCACCGAAGTTTTAAGAATGTGATCATTTCAGTGCCATGGTTATTCAAAAAAATGTGTTTTAGGGAGACATGAGGATGGCACATATCCCTAACATAAGAGAACCCAAGAAAATATAATTTTATTACCTGGACTGACTGACATGTGAAGCCCTTCAGATGTGATTTGCTACCTAGGCTCACCAGCCAGTAATATGCCAGTTTTAAACCAGATGACTGTTGGCCTCAAAAGCCCAGCTGACTTGGAAGTAACACCTTGTCATTTTTTTTTTCTACCTCCAAATCCCACTCCAGTGGCATGTTTTTCTAGTCATAGTTTATTATCGTCACCTATGTCTCAGGCTGTCCACCTTAGTACAAGCCCCAGGTCTGCAGAGCTTGTGATCTTTGTCATTGTTTCCCCCTTGTCCTTCAAGACTGGTCTGTAAGGACAGAGGCCTAGATATCTTGAGCTCTGCAGCTTTTCCAGAACAACATTCATTACCTTTAGACTTATTAAAATCTAATCCTAATAGGGTTCCTGAAGTAGTTGTATTCAATTATTAAAATCAGCGGGTCAGTTTAATTCTGTCCCCAGTATATTTTTAAGAAAAGGAAATGGGAACTATTTTAAGGATAAACAAGTGATGTATGCCTTCCTGCACAAACTTATGGGTGGGGTGTGTAATTATAATTCTGCTCGGTGAGTTTGGATAACAATTACAGTATAGAGTTGGTGCTCTGAAATCTCAGTGTGACAATTCCCCAACCTTGACATTTCAGAAATTTCCAGATATTTAAAATAAACGTCTAAGAAGTACCATGATTTTTGCTAGGTACTGGGCAAACAAAGATAAATTAGACATGGATCCTGCCTCCAAAATGTGCACAGTAGTCGGTGGGAGGGCAGTAGATTATCCACCAGGCAGATGAGTAGGAGAAATATGGTTGCAGGAGATGGAGCATGCCAATTTGCAGTGACAAAGGTGTAGCATGGAGTGTTTGCAGAAATGTAAGCACTTCCATGTGAATGGAGAACGCAACTGGGGATTATAGGAGGTGTGCTAGAGAGGCAGGCAGAGGCCAGATTAGGTAGGCTATTGCAAGCAATGATACAACTCTTCCTCCTGTGAGTAGGTGATAGGGAACTATTCAAAGCATTAGCAAAAATGAATTTTTTTCACATAATTCTTGAGTCCTGGTGAGAGAGGAAAAATACTTTTTATATATGTATGGAGCTGCTGGGAAGCTATTTCAACAGTGGAATATAAAGATGTGAATTATGACAGCTGGAGTGGGCTGAGGTAAATAGGACATTGTTAAGAAATGTTTAGGTAATGCAGTAGAAAGGTTTTGATGATCAGTTAGAGGTAAGAAAAAGAATAATAAAGGTGATTAAATATTCTTTCTGCCATGGTTAAATGGTAATGGCACATAATTAAAAGGTAATATATTGCACTTCCTGGAGTTGTATGGTGCAAATCTATACAAAAACACACAGCAACCCTGAGAGCTGGGTTGCAGTTTGGTCTCTGAACTTTTTATCAGTTAAAGCAAAGAAAAGAATATGATCAGTTAAAAGAGGCACCTTGTTAAATGGTGTAATGAAACAAAAACTGAAAATGCTGTAAGTTATAAAATGTAATAAATGTAGATGATGATTATTATAGTCAAATAGGCTTTTCTCTAGAGGAGCAGGGTGCTGTTGTCCAGCTCCCTTAAGTCTGTCAAATCCCCACAGTACACGAGCAGATTCCCTTCTTCCAGACCTTTCATCCACAGGGAATGAGAATGCTTCTACTCTATGCGGGATGCCACTTGGTTAACGGGATACTGAAGCAGCATTGATTTACCCTCTATTGGTCCCTGCGTAGGGCACCCCTGCTCATCAATTGAAATCTATTTCTTAGAGGCAAACTCAGGGAGACACTGAGCTGTCCTCCTGTATCACCTTCACTCTTCTTCTGGAGTCTTCTCCCTCTCCTTTTTTCTTTTCAAGCAACACCCAAAACTTTCATGCAAGTTAACTGTCTTGGTCTGTCTTGCTAGTTTGCCCAACATGCACAGCTTTGCCTGGATCCTAGCAGGTTCTGGGCAGAGAGGCAAGATGAAATTTCTGCCATGGATATTTTCTGCATTAAAAAAATCCATAATTTGACATTATTCAGGTATTCACTCTTCATTTCTTTCATTGACTGTAGCTGCTGAATTCTCTTTATTTTTTATTATTGATAAGACATAATGTTAGGATCAAAAAGGGCCCTAAAGATGACCTTGACCAGTCCTGTACTTTGACAGATGAGGAAACTGAGGCCTAGAAAAGTAAAGTGAATCATTAAAGGCTATACAACTGGGTGGTATCTGAACCGAGTCTAAAGCGCAAGTCCTCTGACTCTCAGAAAAGTCTTTCTTCCATTACCATGCTGTTTCCCAGGGCTTTCTTGAAATTTCATGTAAGAAAGAGAGAGAAAGAGGTATGTGCTTGAGTTTCAAAACTTTGGAGAGTGTTGAATATTTAATGTCCTGACTACAGAGTTTGCAAATGCTGTGCTGCTACCTAGTAATTGTTATTAAACAATGAGATAGATAGATAGATAGATAGATAGATAGATAGATAGATAGATAGATAGATGATAGATAGATATATAGATAGATAGATGATAGATAGATAGATAGATAGATAGATAGATATCATTTGAATTTTTATAAAATTTACCTGTGCTATCAACTTTGGAAAAATGCATTCTGCCTGTATGTGTTGTACTGGCATTATACAGAAATTGGTCAGGAAACTGTGTTGATCTACACAGATTAAACTTTGCCTTTATAATGGAAATGTATTAAATATGTACATTTGTGAATACTTCTTGAACTCCATCCTGGGAGGAGGAGGTTGTCTGCAGGGTACTCAGGATCTGCAGAGGCCAGGCTGCTTGGCTCCCATCACAGGAGGTTTGCTAGGCAACCCAGAAGGAGCTTTCAAACAAGCCTAGATATTCCTGCCTGGCCTGCTGCCATTCTCCAAGAAGGCAAGTAGGCACAATAAATTAGAACTGGACGGTAACAGTTCACATGTTGCCCTTTAAGAAGTGTTGATATTTTATGGCAAGAGGTTTGTTTGTACAGAACTAATCAGTCCATGTAGGGGTTTATTAGCTAATTGGTCAGAATCAAAACTTATAAAAAGCATTTGGAAAACAGTCATCTGTGATTACACTGAAGGAAAAAACCCTTAGATGAAGTCAGAAATGTTGATCCTTGAGAAAGCTTGCCAACCTGCATATAAATTTGTGTGGGAAGAAATAAATTTAAAATAAGTCCTTCTATACTAAACTTTAAAACTTCTCCATGCAAGGAAAAAAAAAACCAGATGGCATAGGTTTTATGAGGTCATAACTAGTACTTTGAGACTTGAAATTCCAGACCAGTTCCAGTGGCACCCACATATTTGCAGTAACATTTATGTAGAAAGATTAGACATTACCGAAAGTCTCAGGCCATCCCCATGCAGATACAAAAAGATGCTTTTTCTTTAACCCTCTTTTATTTACTCCTTTATTTTATAAATGCCTGGTGAAGGAGGTTAGCCTGTTTATTAGAGTGAATCAAAATGGTTAAACCTAGTTATCTTGGGATACTGTGAGACAAAGTTTGATTATGTTGTATTTTTGTATTTGTATACTGATATATAAATACCTATGTGGTAAGATGTAAAGCAGCTTCAGAAGCCTTGGGTAATAAATTGTTTCTTGTTCATGAACTAAGCCACAATCCACAGCCATGTACTTTTTGTCCCATACTTGCTTGATTGTAGTACTTATAATCTTGTGATAGACACACTTGTTTAATTAACAGTTTTCCATAGAAGTTTGTGAGCTCTGTGAGGAAGGAACTGTGTCTATTTAATTCACTGTTTCTTTGCCAGCATTTAGGAAAGTACCTGGTCCTTGGCCACATAAAGAAAAAAAAAAGAAAAAGGAAGGAAGATGTATAGAAAGAGATAAAGGAAAAGTAGGAAGGATGGAGGAAAGAAAGGTAAATGGGAAAAAGGAAAGGATGGAGGGAAAGAGAGAAAGGAAGAGGAGAAAGAAGAGGAAGTGGAAGAGCAGAAGCAAATAATAATCATAGTAATAAAGCCAGTTTAGTGGCTACTTTTTATTTGCCATAAAAATAAGGAACTGGCCAATTCTTTGGATCTTTTCAAATGGAATGTTTCTAAGTTTGCATGAGTAACTGAGTTGTATGTATCTCTAAATTTATATCAACATAAAGAATTCTGAGTATCCTATAAGAAAATCATATAGCCTCTCAAAGTTTTAAAACCATAAGGCTTCTAATCTCATTTTGACTATTTATTTAGAAAAAAATAAAAAAAATTTTGCTACATTTTCCTAAGTAAAGTGAAGAGCTGTCTTTTAGTTTTTAATAGAAGAACTTGTACTTCATTTATTCTTCAATGGAATCCCGCCCCTCACTTTAGCCAAATGATTTCTCCAAATCCTCATTTTTTTTTGTTGTACAAATAGAGTCGCTCAATTATCTCCCAAGGCTCTACAAAATCGAAATAACTTTTTCCTAAGCTAATTATTGTGGAAAGTTCCAAAAAGTACATGTGTACATTTTCTAATAAAAATATACAGTGATTATCATAGATCGATTGGTCTGGTTTAAGTCAAATTCCATTAATCAAAACCTTCAATCAACGGATTTATCGTGGATGCATACATTTGGTTTCTAATTTATTTATTGTCTACATTCTGCTTTTAGAAGAAAAGGGAAAAGGACCAATAAGCAGGTGGTTAGTATTAATTTAGTAAATAGAAACTACATCTTCAATAGTATATTGTTGGAATAGATGGTTATAATGATAAACGTCTTTAAATTAATGTTCATAATAATGGCCAGATAGAACTCTAAGAATTTGCAGATAATCTGCTGTTTAAATAACATTGTATTAGGTACTCAAGCAGAGATAATATAGATGTGCCATATATGTTAGCAATAATGAAACTTCTGAGCATTTATTATGTGCC
Organism: Homo sapiens; assembly: GCF_000001405.40. Taxonomy (NCBI): domain Eukaryota; kingdom Metazoa; phylum Chordata; class Mammalia; order Primates; family Hominidae; genus Homo; species Homo sapiens. The sequence continues at coordinate 118,930,151 of NC_000004.12, forward strand.
AGGTATAATGCTAATGCTTTATCTACACTTGCCTCATTTAATCCTCACAAAAGTCCTATGAGAATTGTTTTTCCATTTTACAGACCTAGAAGCTAAGAGAGAAATAAAGTAACTTGTAAAAGATCACACAGTTAGAATTTTAACATAAATTTGATTCTGACTTTTTGTCAGTTGTTCTAGTTATCATATTTTAGTACTTTTTATCATCTCCTTCATTGCTTCCTTCCCACCCTTACTTAAACTGTGTGGTGCATACTTCTGTATAGCATTTGCATATTGTATGGGAATAATTTGCAGCTTAAAAAAACTTTGCCTTTTTTATGAGAACACAAGCTCTTTGAAGTCATGGTACAGGGTTTTTCCTATTTGCAGCAAAGGGCCTAGGGCAGTGCCTGTAATCTAGCAGAATTCAGCGAATGTTTGTGGAATAAATGAGGGGTTCTATCTGGGTGTATTGCCTCCATTAGATTACAAATAGCATATGCTGGGTGAGGTGGCTCATGCCTGTAATCCCAGCACTTTGGGAGCCCAAAGTGGAAGGATTGCTTGAGCCCAGGAGTTCAAGACCAGCCTGGGGAACATAGGAAGACCCCATATCTACAAAAAAAAAAAAAAAAAAATTAGCCAGGCATTGTGGCACAGCTGTAGCCCCAGCTACTTGGGAAGCTGAGGTGGGTGGATCACTTGAGCCCGGAAGGTTGAGGCTGCAGTGAGCCATGTTAGTGGCACTGCACTCCAGCCTGGGCATCACAACACTACCTTGCCTCAAAAAAAAAAAAAAAAAAAATGGTAAGTATCTTGAGGAGAGGGAAATATCTCACTTGTGAATTCTTTACCCACAGGGATGACTCAGATTAAGATTTATTGAATTGAATTAAGGATTTAAATGAGTGCTATACAATAAACATTATATTGTTATATTTATTATGTTAACTGAGATGTGAAAATACTATCATATCTTAGATACATGTTCAATAAAGATAGATAAAATACCTTACAGGACTTTTCAATGAAAAAAGAATACAGTTTGTTGGATTCTCACAATAAACCTCAGAAATTAAGGATTCATAAGTAAAAAAAAAAATTCAGGATTGAGGGGTCTATGACTTGTCCACATTCACAGAGCTATAAGTAGGAGAGCTGGGATGAGAACCTAGGTCTCTGACTATTAGTTTGGGTGCTTGCTATGATATTTAAACTATTATACTACTGACATTTCAATTTGTGAAAACAATTCCCCAAATATCTAGAGTTATTATGCTATTATTGTTTTTAATATTTACTGAAAATTACAAATTGATAGGTTCTTTTGTGAAAAAATTTATACAATATAGCCATGATGTGCTCCCAAGGAGCTTTACTCCTCCAGGAAATGCAGGGAAAACCAATCCTGTGTTGAAATAAATCCATAGCACTCCTTTTCTTTATAATCTAAACTCTATAAAGAACTTATCTCTGCTGTATAGATCAGGAATACCCTGGAGTAAGCGAGGCATAGAAAATTATGTAAGCAAATCAGTGGGATCCCAGATTCTCAGAAACCAGCTCCACACCCAATCCATTACTACCGACCTGTATACAATTAATCTCTTTCCATTCCTTTGGCTAAATTGAATCAAGAGCTCTTTGGTTGGGATTGCCAATAAATGCCTCAGGCTTTTATGGAATGCCTAGTATAGGGACTGCCTTACACATAATAAAAAAATCAGTAAATGTTTGTCTATTTCCTGGGTGAAAACTCCTTACTACGTCAGTCAGTAATTTGAATTTGGTGAGTTACAGTTTTTGTTCTGAATACCGTCACTGCTTCAAATTTCTACTTGTTTTAAACTCTGTTCATATTACTCATTTTGCAAGCTGTGAATCTAGCATAATGAAGTATAGGCAGTGTGCCTGCTGCTATAAGTAAGCCATTGGATTTTGTGGTCATCCACATACTTGTCATCTTTTCTCTCAGAAGGCATCTTTTTTTCTGACTGAAATAGGATCATTTCCAAGCAGTCTTCTATTCATATATTTCTTACTATTTATAAGAATTTTCACTTTGAGGATCCCAGGATGTTCAAAAATAGATGAGAGCATTTTCTTTGGCCTACCTGTATTCTGAGATAGAGGCACCACTGACCCCACAAGAAGTAAGGCACCATTTAAGGTGGAATTCAAAAGAAGATACCAGGTTAGAAAAATAAGTCCTCCGAAAAGCTTCCCATCCTTTCCTTCAGAGTTACAGCAGAGTTTTGAGCTTGTAAACTTGTTTGCATCTGACATGTTATTGTTAATAAAATATTTTATCCTATGAAAGTAAGCATCTTGAAATAATTTATCTTCTGCTGGTTATAAACTTAAATTACTTAGACTGGTTCTGATTTACATTGGCCAACAAATACCTAGATTTAATATTTTGTAGATAATCGATTTTTTTATCCTGGTTAAACAAGAGGCCTTCATAGAAACTGAGCACAGACTAAATTTATGGTTCACGTTCGGCAGAAAATGGTTTTCTCTACGTCAATATTAAGTTGAAACATAAGAACACCTGTGTAAGAATTTGTTTTCTGTAATTTCAAACTGATAACCTTAAATAACCATTGTTAATAAAACTGATAGAAAAGTGGTCGATAGTTCATTGGGATCGTTGTATTGAAACAAGAACCTGTCTTTGTGGAGTGTCCCTTACAAATCTTCCAAGGACTATGTGTGGTCCCTACAACAAAATTTCTCACTTCTCTGTAGCTGTATGAATCTTGCCCATGAATAGCAATGCTGCGAGGAAACATGAACTGTAACATGCTCCACCCTGAAAATTCACAATTTTATTTTAATACCAGAACTTGCTAAAAATCCATTTTTCTAGGAGGAGCACTAAGAAAAAGGCCATAAAAATAAATAATGTTCAAGGAGGAAAGACAAGTGAAAATATTTTATGTCAATGATGAAAAAGGAAATAAGTTCGGGGTTTTCTTAAATTATTTGAATTCAGTTCAAAGGAAAGCCTTAAGTTTCCTTTACAAATATGCTGGCAAAGTAATATTTATTATAGGTTTCCGAAGTTGGACTATATCAAGTTCAATAAGGAACAAGGTAGAACTTTAAGTCATGTTATTTAGGGTAGTGCATCCTGGAATTTTTATTGCAGTGCCATATGTAGGAAATGAAAATATTTCTACAGCATTTTGGGCAAACAGGCAAGGCTGCTCCTGACCAGAGGCTACTGATGTGGGGTCTTAGTCTGCCTCTGGCCCTGGCCAGATGCCCTGAGGACTGAGGGAAAACATCAATACCTTCAGCATATCAATTGGCCACAAGTCAGCAGCCAGGAAAGTTCTATCCTGGAGGCAAGGTTGATATTACTATTTAGCCTCAGTATATGTTTGTAGTTTTCACTTTTTATTTTTAATCACATATAAACATAGATAAGTAAGGATGATAACTTTTGAATCCAGCTAAGGATGACTTATTAATATGTGTCAAAACCCAAATTCTATAGAACCAAGGTTAAGGAGGATTGAAAAACAACATACAGAATAGTTTATGGGTCTTATAGTTCTAGTGTTGAGAAGTTACCAAAACCTTAATCAAATCAAGAAATTATTTAAGCAGTTAATATAATCTGTTCACGAGGTCATTAACACTGTAGGATTTCTAGATTGGTCATAGCTGCTTTTTGCTGTTGTTGTTGTTTTTTTTTTTTTTTTTGGACAGTAACCTTGCAAGGAGAAAAAAAGGATTGAGTTTATACATGTAGGATGAAAAGTTTCTATAAAACTGCTTTAGATCTTTAAATTCTTATTAATTTTTCAGTTGCAATGCTAGTTAACATGGTTTATTCTGAAAGAGATACTGATGGTTATAGAGACCAGTTTTTTGGATAAACTAGGATTTACGTGATTCAGAGATCAGTTTTAGCGAGATCTCTTGATTGCTGTGTAGACCCTTGTATGCAGACTGCAGTTGGTCTCTTTTCACTTTCTGAGAATGGGATACTACTTTACACATAATTGGATAAGAATCAGGAATAATTTATTTGCATGTGTGAAAAATACACTTAAACAGCTTAAATCAAAAGGAGACTCCACTGACCCGTGTAATCGAAAAGTCCATTGGGACACCTGGCTTCGAAAAGGCTGGATCTACTAGTCTCGTGATGTGATCAGGTCCAGGTCTTTCTCTCTTCAATTCTTTGCTTGGTTTCCTTGTTGCTGACTTCATTCTAGGCAAGATCTCTCCTGTGGTTCTAAGATGACTACCAGTTACTGTAGAGACTACATACTTCTCAATGCATAACTCATGGGAAGAAAGCATATTAGTCCCAGAATTCTCAAGACATCAGAACTGGATTAAATTACATGCTCACCCCAACCCAATCACTGTAGCCAGAGAAATGAAATGCACCAAATACTTAGCCTAGCTTCAAACCCCTTCCCACCACTCCACAATGCAATGCCAGTGAACTACACAAGTCATCAAATGGAAATTTATGGCTTTTAGAGTGGTGAGAATGGATACTGGAGACATAATCAACTCTACAATGGAATCTTAGAAATAGAATGAGACTTTAGAATCTTCAGCCAAATGCTTACTGACTGATCAAACTTTATAAAACATTAAGCAAAAATGGTCATTTAGTCTCTGAAGATACCACTCATGCCAATGAACCAGCTACTACCTTCTGAGACTGTTTGATTTTTGAACTGTTCAGTTTGGCAAAGCCTGTCTTATATTGAACATAAATTTGCTTCCCATTGTCCTTTATTCATCGGTGTTTATTTTGCCCTTTTTAGCCACAGAAAGTAAATTCAATCCTTCCACATTACAGCTTTTCTAGTATATATTAAAATATTAATAGTTAAGATAGTTATCCTAAGCTGCTTTCTCCAGGCTCAATATCCCCCATTCTTTCATCTGTTCTTAATATTAAAAAGTTTAGAATACCCTCACTATTTTGGCCACTCTTCTTTGTATAAATTCTAGTTAATCAATTCCAAACTCAGACACACAATTCCATGATACGGACATAGAGACTCCCAGTGAGGCCACTGGGAAGTAGTTTATTGCTATATGTGTGAGTAGAAAGAGACTGAGTCTAAATCTTTTGCAAAATAACTTTAACAGCAGCTTGCTGAATAAGCCAGTCTCAGAAATGATTACCTTCAAGTAAAATATACACAGCCAGAATGAGTGCCAAAAATATGTTTTGGAACATGATCTCTCTAATCTGTAATCATTAATACTGGGCTTAATTGCTTAATTTTTTGTTGTCGTGGACCTGATGTTTGATTTTTAAATTTTTATAAATTATCAGTATTTAAATCAATGTATACATAATAATACAGTTATGTGCTACATGTGATAGTAAACAAAGGACCACACAATGGTGGTCATAGAAGATTATAATACCATATTTTCACTGTACTTTTCTATGTTTAGATGTGTTGAGATACACAAATAAGTTGGCCGTTGAAAAATGCAGGCGCTGGGGCGCCAACCCCCAACAAAGCTTAAAATGTGCGTATAACTTTTGACTCCCCCAAAACTTAGCTATTAATAACTTACTGTTGACTGGAAGCCTTACCAATAACATAAACAGTTGATTAACACATATTAATATCTTGTACACTATATACATTATAAACTGTATTTTTACAATAAAGTAAGTTAGAGAAAAGAAAATCACAAGGAAAACATATTTACTATTCATTAAGTGGAAGTGAATCATTACAAAGGTTTTCACCCTTGTCATCTTCATGTTGAGCAGTCTTCATGTTGCGTAGGAGGAAGAGGAGGGGTTGATTTTGCTGTCTTAGGGGTGGCAGAGGCAGAAGAGGGGAGGAAACAGAAGGGGAAGCAGGAGAGGCAGGCACATGTGGTGTAACTATAACTGAAAACAAATGTGCCTAAGTGAACCCATACAGTTCAAACCTGTGTTGCTCAAGGGTCAACTGTACTTATCATCATCCTACAATTGCCCAGGGTATTCAGTACAGTAACATGCTGTGTAGGTTTCTACCCTAGGAGCAGCAATTGGCTTTGCCATATAACGTAGGTGTGTAGTAGGCTATACCATCTAGGTTTGTTTAAGAACACTCTCTGATGTTCGCCTAAGGGTTCATTTCTCAAACATATCTCCATCGTTAAGCAATGCATGACTGTATATGTATGAACTCTTCAATTTAATGTATTTAATATTTATTAATTTATTTTGAGACAGGGTCTTGCTACGTTGCACAGGCTGATCTTGAACTCCTGGGCTCCAGTGATCCTCTTGCCTTAGCCTCCTGAAGAACTCTTTATTTTTTAAGATAATTCTTTTTATTTTCTCTTATAAAAATGAAAGAGAAAGAATTCCATCAAAATGGCCGTGTTCAGATACTATTCGTAAACTGAACTCTCAGGTCACTGACATTACTGTTAATGCTCTCCAGCAGCGTGATAACCACCCAGGGTACACAGCCTGGAGCATTTTGTATGGGAAATTTGACAAACAGATGGTCCCACAGCTGTTCTATGGGGGTAGACAGCTGTCTTCCATCTATTTCTCCATTTCCCCCATCCTATCCATCACTACTATCTTCTTAAACATAAGATCACTAACAATTATCTATTAAGCCTGTGGTGTCCTCCTCTCTTTCATGAAATACTTACACTGGTGTTAACTCTGAAAAGGACTGGTCCCCATCAGACACAGGAGAAGTGGGAGGAAGTTGAGCAGTGGTTTAAGGAAAGCCTGTAATGAGGTGTCTGGAGCGCCTCTCTCTTCATCCAGTCCACCACCAAGTCTTGTACATCAAATCTACTTCCACAATACACTTCACATACACTCTCTTTCTCCCAATTTTACTGCCACCAGTAGTCTAATCATCATCATCAGCCACTTGGGACTCCTGCAATGACCCCCAAATTTGTCTCTTTTCATCCTCCAGTCTGTTTTCCAAACAGCAACCCAAAGACTTTAAAATGCAAACAGGACCATGTTTGTCTTTAGTAAAACTCTCCAGTTACTTTTCACTGCACTTAGGATGAAATACAAAATTCCTCATAAGTTTTGCAAGGCCCCGCCTACATGTCCAAGTACATCTCCCTTCATTCTCTCTATTGCTCAGTACATTTCAGATACACTCATTTCCTTTCATTTCCATTACTAGAACAAACTCTTTTCTGCCTTGGGACCTCTGCACATACCTCTCCCCTGCTTGAAACACTCCCGGTCTCTTTGCCTGACAAACTCCTACTCATCATTAATTCTCAACCAGTGTCGTTTAGTCTCCATTCTTCCCTAACAGCTCATTTTAGGACCCCATGTTATATTCTCCAAAAATATCCTCTAATTTTCCTTTGGAGCACCTACATGTGTACTGCTTATGTGTCTAAAGTCTGCCTCAGACAGTAGACCATAAACTACAGGAGAAGTGGCTTGGCCTACTGCTGGATCTCCAGGGTGTAATCAGATTGCCTGGGTTTGAATCCTTGTGCTCTCACTTGGCAGTTGACCTTGAATACTCAGCCTCAGTTTCTTCACCTGTACAATAAAGAAAAAAAAATATAACTTTTAAAAAAAGATTATTGCAAGAATCAATCACAAAATCCTTGTAAAATACTAGAGTGCCTGGCACATAATAGGTGTTCAATCTATAATGGTTATTAGTACAGTTGTCCCTTGGTATCTGTGGAAGATTGGTTCCAGGACCCTGCTTGGATACCAAAATCTAAGGATGCTCAAGTCCCTGGTGTGAAATGGCATAGTATTTTCATATAACCTATATGTATCCTCCCATATACTTAAATCATTTCTAGTTACTTATATTACCCAATGCAGTGTAAATGCTATATAAATAGTTGTTGTACTGTATTTTATTTTTAAAATATTATTTTGGGCCAGGCACGGTGGCTCACACCTGTAATCCTAGCACTTTGGAAGGCCGAGGCAGGTAGATCACCTGAGGTCAGGAGTTCAAGCACACCTGGCCAACACGGCGAAACCTCATCTCTACTAAAAAATACAAAAAATTAGCCAGGCGGTAGGCTGTATAGCCGGGTGGCAGGAGTCTGCAGTCCCGGCTATTTGGGAGGCTGAGGCACAAGAATTGCTTGAACCCGGGAAGTGGAGGTTGGCAGTGAGCTGAGATCGCCCCACTGTACTCCAGTCTGGCTGACGGAGCAAGATTCCATCTCAATTTAAAGAAAACATATGTATATTTATATATATATGTGTACATTATTTTGAATTGTTATATCGTTATTTTTTATTGTTGTTGGGTTTTTCCCAAATATTTTTGATCTTTGTTTGGTTGAATCCATGGATGCAGAAACTGTAAATATGGAAGGCCAACTGTATATTATTATTGTTTTAAGATGCTTACATATTGTAGGCAAAAGTCAGTAGGAAATAATAGCTATTTCTTGAATAATTCTAAGAAGTTATTGTTATTCAAATTAGAACAGTGCTACAAAAATTGTTTTCACTGGTAGCTTCCCTGTGGTTTTCCCTCAGTACTTTTTAAAACTGTCAGATATTTCAGGCTAGCCATCCTAATACATAACTTAGTCTCCATTTCAGAGGTTGTCTTAAAATATTTGAGTTTTTAAACAATTTGTAAGAGATATGTAAGTACTTACTTTCAGATGCATTGAAAAATAAGTCACCATTACTTTCTGTTTTTTCCATTGAGATTGCTGAGCTGAGCATATTTCATACACAGAGCACTCTGTTTGGGCCTCTTGACAAAGAAATTTTATTTTTATAAACTTCACCTTCTGGAGATAATGATAACCTTTCCTTTTTTACTCTCTATATTCACTGTCTTCTTAATGGTATTTCCATGGAGGAGCTTTTTATACCTTCATCAGGGTACAGTAAAAATGCTGCCCTGTGTAAAAGGATTATGATGGTGTACAGATTTTCACTGTCAGACACCTTCCTTTGGGTAAATATTTATGTGAAATGAGGCACCGAATTTAAAATAGTCCTAAAGAAGCTGCATACTCTCCTTGACAACAACAACAAAGAAGTTTGTGTGTGCACAGTTGGTTTAGCAGTGTCTGGCATAGAGAAATGAAGACAAAAATACACTTTGGTCCTGTAATATTTATAGCATTGCCAGTTTAACCGTCGTGTCCTATTTAGGAATATTTTTTGAGTGAGCTTTATTTTAATATCCAAGAGCACAGTCTTAAGTTGCTGAGCGACGCTCAAGCTAACTGGAGAGGACAGAGAAGTACTTGCGTGCTGTTCTGTGAAGGATGAAGAGGGAACTTGGCGTTGGTGGCATCTTCCTAAATTCTTGCTTACTCCAACAAAGAAGACATTGCTAACAATGAGGTAGCCACTTGCAAATGCTGTGTTAAGCTTTGTAGGCTTTTGTAAGAAACATTGTCTTCATGAGTTTATACGTGAGAAAGGCAAGAGATTCCGTTTTGTAATTCTGAGTAATGCCTATCCACGTATGGCAGCAACTTGTGTGTGTGGCGCTCCTATTATGAGAGAGTGAGCCAGTCCACATAGTGCTCATATTCCAGGTGACTGCAAGTGAAGCTAAAATGCATCATGACTTTTAAATTTTGAATCTTTCTGAAATGCACATAATCTTCACTTTAAAAACTAAAAATAATTGCCATCATATTATAGATCTATTAAAAATTTACATATGCTGCCTGACTTCCCTAATAGAGTTACCCGTCATGGTTTAAGCTCCTTAGAGACTCAGTGTTCTCACGTAATATCACTTTTTGAACTGTGTTTTGTTAAACTGTGTGAATGTGCTGGCTTGGCACTAAAGGGCATTAGAGTGCCACACACAAAGCATTTTAGCCTTTTAGCCCTTTCTCTCTTCTTTTTTTTTTTTTTTTTGTTTTTTTTTGAGATGGAGTCTTGCTCTGTCCCCGGGCTGGAGTGCAGTGATGCAATCTTGGCTCACTGCAACCTCCGCCTCCCGGGTTCAAGCGATTCTCCTGCCTCAACCTCTCGAGTAGCTGGGACCACAGGTACACGCCACCAAGCCCAGTTAATTTTTGTATTTTTAGTAGAGACGGGGTTTCACCATGTTGGCCAGGCTGGTGTCGATCTCTCGACCTCATGATCCGTCCGTCTCATGATCCTCCCAAAGTGGTGGGATTACAGGTGTGAGTCACTGCGCCTGGCCGCCTTTTCTCTCTTTTAAGCTCTCAGCGTTTCTGTCAGTGTGTGTGAGCATGTGCTCTTCTAGTTCTGTCTTCTCTCCCCTCTAATTTTCTATTTCTAAACATCTGTGGGTTAGAAAACATTAGAATTACTTCTGAAATAAGAGTAAACTGTTTTCAGCTAATTACCCAAAGGACTGCCTTACAACTTGTGAAAGCATGCAAGCTTTCATTTTTTTTTCATTCATTTGACAAATATGTATTGAATACCCACTATGTGCTCGTTATTGGACTGAGGACAAGATGGTGAGAAAACTGGTCCCTGCCACTGAGGGAGACATTAGTATGATGAGGTCGGTGCTGTAAGGGGTGCGGTCGGACCCCCACCCCTACCTGGGAGTAGTCAGGGAAAGCACCCAAAAGAAGCAATGCTTGGGGCTGAGTCTTCAACAAAGACGCTGGACAGGATGGTTTTTCAGATGATGAAGGGGACACTGACAGAGTGAGGCTGGGAGGAAGTGGAGGAGTGAGAGCATTCCAGACAATGCTTTTCCTCCCACCTCCCACCTCTCTCCTGTCACCCCCATCTCGCTCTGCTTTGAGGACTCCTCTTGTTCCTGTTGATTCATGTTGGTGCTCCTCCGGGTTCTGCCCTGGACTCTTCATTCAGCTCCCTCTTTCAGGGTCATCTCATAGCTGCCGTTACTGTTCCTTGTAAGTGAGTTTAAAATCACTGGGACGTAATTTGTAAATGTTCCACCTGTAGAGCATCTCTCTTCCCTGCTCCAGAGCAGCACATCCAACTGAGTATTGGACATGTCGACTTTCATGTCTAACAGACACCTCAAATTCAACCTTCCCTCCAGATTGGATTCTCTTCCTGGGTTCTTTGTCTCAGTGAAAGACACTACCAGACAAATCTAGTCAGGTTTTTGAGCCAGAAACCTTGACTTCTTCCTTTCTCCTCCTCCCTTTCAATTCATCAGCTCTACTTAGTTCCTCATCTTGAACATCTTTCCAGTTTGTCACGTTCTGTTCATTCCCAGTCACCAACTGCATTCAGGACACTGTCAATGTTTTCCTACATTGCTTCACTAGTCCACTAACTGGCATCTGTCCAGCTCTTTCCTCACAATGCAACCAGAAGGATCTTCCTAATAAGAGAGATCAAACCTGACCACCTGAATCAAATATTTAATGGCTTCCAATTGCCTTCAAGATAAACACCCTAAATGAATCTGCCCTCCCAGTCTCCTACTGCAACTTGCCTATACCAGGCCATTTATACATTTTTTATCCTTGGATGACATTTATTTCTCATGTATTCACCTTACTGACTCTAATCCTTCCTCAGGGAAGCTTTTCTGGCCCCTCTGACTGGGATAGGGTCCCCTTTCTGTCTGCTTCTTGTCTCAATGATTTTAATTTGTAGAGGTGACTGAATGATAACATGGAGAGGCAGAGGCTCATGCCACTAAGCTTTTTATGACTTACATTTCCCGAAAGGAGGAGGCAGCCCCACTATGCAGACCACACGGGGAAACACCAGTGCCATTCAGAAAGCAGAAAAGAACGAGGGGAAGGCAGAGGCCACCGCCTTTACTGTGTTTTCCGTAGGAAAGGCAAGGCGAGTCAGGGGAAACAGTTTAGGGTTAGCCAGTTTTAATAATTCTGGCAGGCTTTGGGACATAGGAGCTATCCCTGGTTGGCTGGGTTTCTAGTCCTGTGTTGATTTAGGGCAGGAAATATTGGCTTAGTGTGTGAGAGATAAAGGAAGTGGTTAGGGAGATGGACTCACTAATGCTTGGTTTACATATGAAAGGAATACTGGACGGCAAGTTATTTATCATATTAGGAATTAACTAGCTCTGGGAAGGACAGTCTCTCCCCAGCCCTCAAGCCTTTCTATTCCATCAAAATATCAAAACATCATAAAATACAGAATATAAAAAACATGATTAATAAATGCACTACTCTACCACCTATTGTGGGAAGGTACGTATCTCACTATATTGTAACACATGTCCCAAACTTGCTATGTTGTTTCTTGAGAGCAGACATCTGTCTATCTTGTTCACCACTGTAACCCCTGTGCCCGGCATGGGGTCTCTGGCACTTGGTATATGCTCAGTAAATATTGACTGAATGAAAGAATGAATGGACAGCTTTCTATCTTGTATACATAGTTCGTGTTTCACCTGGAAAGCACAACATTTTTTTCTAAATTTAGATTTTGCTCTATCAATTAATTAAAACATATTTTCATTTACTTTAAATGTGAGGGTTTTTTTCTTTCCTTTCAAAGTTTAATCTGGCTCAGCAGTATAATGTATTACTTAAAACCCTATAAAGAGAATGACTCATCTCTACATCCCTGTGTCAGCCAATGGTTCTTTACTGGGGATAATGTTGCCACAGGGGACATTTGGCAATGACCGGAGACATTGTGGTTGTCACAACTGGCATCTAGTGGATAGAGGCCAGAGATGCTGCTAAACTTCCTGCAATACACAGGACAGCTCCCCTAACAACAAAAAATTATCTAACCTAAAATGTCAGTTGGTCAGGTGCAGTGGCTCACACCTATAATCCCAGCACTTTGGGAGGCTAAGGTAGGCAGATCACTTGAGGTCAGGAGTTCGAGACCATCCTGGCCAACATAGTGAAACTCCATCTCTACTAAAGATACAAAAATTAGCTGGGCATGGGGGCATGCGCCTGTAATCCCAGCTACTTGGGAGGCTGAGGCAGGAGAATCTCTTGAACCTGGGAGGCAGAGGTTGCAGTGAGCCAAGATCATGCCACTGCACTCCAGCTTGGGTGACAGAGCGAGACTCCATCTCAAAAAAAAAAAAAAGTCAATAGTGTTGAGGTTGAAAAAAAACTTTATTAAAGGATGGTGTGTTGACAAGTTTACCTAAAAAGACCTCACACAACCAACCATGTCCCCAGACTTCTCCATGAAGCAATTACAAGGTAACTTGCTGATATCTTAGAAGTAAAGACAGCAGCCCTAAGGGGAAAAGTAATTTTCAGAGGAGAAAACATTGCAAGCTACAAGAGAGGGGCTCGGTATCAGAGCAAATAATTAGGTAGATTGAGACATGGAATGACAATGCTGAAGTCAGGGTTTAGCATGAGAACCAAAATCATAGGCTTTTTAGCTGACAGTTAAAAGGTATGACTAAATTAACATAAGTGATGTGGGGGAAGGGAACAATTATATAGAATTTATAACTTCAAAGTTGCTCTCTTTAAAATTTGAGTTGTTTTTTCATGCTAACATGCTGCCGTTGATCAAAGAGATGCTGTCATATCTTTTTGGAACTGTCTTCATGTGTCATGCTCTTTTGAATATCATCAGTGGTAGTAAACATTGCCCTCTGAGGCAGGAATTTGGTTTTAGGAAAAAATTAAGTTACTTGAACCCTATATAAGATGAATAAGGAAAGTCATCCATACTCCCAATGCCATTTTCATAAAAATTGAGGACAGGCTATAAATTAAGTAAATCTGACTCTAAAGGCAATTTTAAAATGAGTGTTAGAAATGTCTTATGCCAAATCAACATCACTGTGCTAAGTGTGTACCTCTCAAGGTGACTGTTTCAGGAGGAACACTCATATTGAGGTGTGTGTGTTAGCAAAACGTTACTTGACAGTTATGTTGCTTTCAGTGCTACATACCTACGTGGAAGTAACGCCACATTTGTGTACAACCAAATTTCTGTTAAGATGTTTATTAAAGATATTACTGTGCTTTTTACATGTTAAAGTTTAATTTCTAAGCTGTGATACTACTCTTCAAAATCTGGGAATTCCTAGATTAGGCAAGAATTTTATCCTCAAGTTCTTTTCTTTGATGTCAGCTTTACTTTGGCCACATAGGCTTAATCTAGGATGGCTTTTTAGTGTCAAATCAAGTGCACATTAAGTGTACTTGAGATAGATTAGTGTTATAAAAGGATAATTAATAAAATAATGCTACCAGTCTACTCGCAGTAGACTACCAATTCATTGCAGTTTGCCTGGGACTGTCCTGGTGCTAAAATTGAAACTCATACTTCTTGGGAAACTCTTTAGTCCTGGGGAAATCAAGTTACCCCAACCCCAGTTTCTTAGCTAACTCCTTAATTATTTTTGGAATATCTACAGTAAAAATAAAGCAATGGCTCCACCAAAATAAATAAAATAAATGGACATATCCATATTGGGAGTAGCAGAACAACTTGAGTCAAATAGCAACAAATATCAGCCAAAACTAAGCTAAGCCACTCACTGACTGTTAACGCTGATTCAAACTAGAGTTAGATGCTCTATGTTACGGCGATGGTTCAGGCCGTGTTTTACCAACTAGTAATAATTACAAAAAAAACACCCAATAATAATATAACTTTTAAAACTTTAATCCATCATGCTTAGAATGTTTGTTTCAGTTCTCTTAGGAGAAATATTTTGATAATTAATGTCTTTGCACAAGGAAATAATTGCCTTATGTAGTTTTTCAATGGCTTTGTATGATGTATCTAACAATTTTATAGAATGCCTGAAAAATACCCAGTGGTGGAGTTTAGCTGAAAGTTAACATTTAAAATATACCATCAATCAGGAGCTAGTGTTATACAGATAAGAGAGAGAATGGTGTGGTGGTTAAGCACTGCAGTCAGGATCTTTGTTGACATCCTACCTTACCACTGACTTGTGCATGACCTTGGACTAGTTGGCCTCTCTGAACCTCAGCTCCTTAATAAAACTTGAAACATGCATAATTATGGTATTTATCTTCTGGCATTTCTGTTTATTAAATGGTAATGAAGTACAGTACTTAATGCTGTGCCAAGCATAAACACTCAATAAATGTGAGCCATTATTATTCGCACCTACCAAAAGTTCCTAGAATAGTATTTTCTGACAATGTTTCAGAGTCATGTTGTCTTTTTAACTTATTTCCTATCCACTGGTACTTTTTGCAGAGGATCATGTTTTAAAAAATGTACAAAGAACACAAAGAATTTTGATACAAGATGTGTAATTATATCAGCTTAATTGCCAAAGATCAATACAGTATTACTTTAAGAAAATATTGGCAGGAAAGAAATTATCCATGACATAACCCTTTGCAAATGCCCCCAAATGGGAATGAGTTAAAGAAAAAAACACACTAACTATATCTTAGGCAGGTGACACTGAAACATATCTTACCTGGGAGAAGAAAGTGAGATGTATTTGTTTTATCTATTAAGATAAAAATGCTAGAAATCAAGACATGACATCCCAGGATAATTGGTTTGCAGATTTCAAAAAGCAAGATGATTTGTCCAGAATTGCCCTATATATTTATTTTCCAAAGTTTCATAACACAACATACCTACCTCAAAACTAGGGTACTATATACATGTAGTCAAAATAGCCAACAATTTGTTCCTCAAAAGTTTTTCTTATAGCTGTCTTGATGGCAGCTACTTGACTAAATAACACTTTTTTTATTTTTTGTTTTTTTTTGAGATGGAGTCTTGCTCTGTTGCCAGTCTGGAGTGCAGTGGCGTGACCTTGGCTCACTGCAACCTCTGCCTCCCGGATTCAAGCAATTCTCCTGCCTCAGCCTCCCGAGTAGCTAGGACTGCAGGCGCGCACCACCACACCTGGCTAATTTTTGTATTGTTTGTAGAGTAGGGGTTTCACCATGTTGGCCAGGATGGTCTCGATCTCTTGACCTCATGATCTGCCCGCCTCGGCCTCCCGAAGTGCTGGGATTATAGGCGTGAGCCACCACGCCTGGCCAATAACACTTTCTTTAACACTATTAGGAAAATACCTGGAAAAAGCAAGATGACATAAGTGTAGGGCATTGTGGATCAAGGAATGTCAGCATCACATCATCATCTAACCAGAGGCAGATTGAAAGAAAAAAAAAGGGAGGACGACTTATATCTAAGAAGTTCCCCACATGAAATACTGTAAGTGGGTCCAGATGCCATAACCTTAAAAATGTGTATCCTACCGTAATGTATATGGTTTTATTTTCTGTATGAGACATGACTTTAAAGGTTTAGGAAGAAAAGTAAGGAAGGCATCCGTTAAAAGCAACACTCTTGACAAAATGAGGGCTCAAGATGGGCTGTTTTGTGACCTCCCATACTATTTTGAAAACAGCTGGCTGGTGATTAGGAAAGGTCAGTGAGAGTCTTACTCTTTCTGTAACCCAGTTTTAGAAATCTGCCACCCAAAAAGAATGGAACAACTCTTGAAGGATTCCACAGTCCGGCGATCAGACCATGGTCAGCCTCCGCTTTCCTATGAAAGCCCTACACATCGTTCGCTCGTTCTCTGCTGTATTCTAAATATAACATGAAAGCAGTAACTGATGATCCCTTTTATGTTCTTTATTTTTTAGAATTGGTACATTTATGTCTTGATTAATATTGTTAGAGATTGTAAAGTCCTAGAAAGTTACAATAAAGTACTTTAGTCTCCTTATAATTTCACTCTAACATTTCAAATCCAAGATAAAATAATTTAGCATGCCCTCTTTCCTAAACACCTTATACAAAGTGCTTGAGAGAATGCTATGCGTGTTTTAAGAGTGAAATTAATAAAGGTTTTTTCCCTGTAGAAATTAGTGTCATTAAAAGAAATATATTTAGGCTTGGACTTTTGGGTCAAGCCCTTTGAATCGACAAGTTGTTTCACTGAACTTATTAGTTGTGTTGCTTTCAGGAAGTCACAGTTGCTTTCCTGTGACTTTGTGAAGTCACAGCTAAAATTCTTGAACCAAATCCTCTTCCTAATCTGCTCTATCAAAATGAATATTTCATTGGTGTTTTATGTTTTACAAGGGATTACATTGTTGCTTGGCTTTAAGTCAGTTGAATTCATCTTAAAGCATATGGAATTCTGTGAAGTTCAGAATTTCTCATGATACACTTCTCTGTCATCTCTGTACTATCTCTTTTACAGCCTGATAGGGAAATGGTTTACATCAGGCACAATGCATATTCGAACAATAGGTTGTGAGCAGAGTAATACTACCTTTTATGGGCAATGAGACACGTAATGTGGCACAGCCTTTCCCTTAAGCTATATAGCAAATGGGACACAGCACTTTGTTTCTATGCCTGGATTCCCATACAATATTATTTTCTAAGTATGTTCATGTCAACAGCCTGAGCCTTATTTCAAGCAGTATTTCCTCTTGAAGTGCAGAGGAGGAGAATGACCTTCAGTTCCAGTCCTCTTAAGTTTGATTAAAGCCACCTGCAATAAGTTTATTTCCTTGAACTCTGCTGTTTAACCTCTGTCATCTTCAGCCCTCTTCCTCTCCCTGTCGGGGCAGAATTGGTATAATATTAATAAAACCTAGCCCAGGAGAAGTAATCATCACACTTCTGCTTTAGAATTGATTCTCTTGTTAAAAGGCTGTTTCGAACCATATGTAAAATTAAATCAACAATGAGAACAACTTAAGAAAATGTGGCAGTTTAATTCTGGCATATGCTTTCATAGCACTGTGTGTGTGTGTTTGTGTCTATATAATATGTGTATGTACATATAAGTAATATATGCCTACATATTAACTTTTAGGACAATGTAGCTCAAAATTGACATGACTTAAATAATAATGAGTAGACTGGATACCATTAGTATTGTCCAAATGACTCTCATTGCTTAATGCCACTTTAGTTTTGGGGATCTGATTAATGTTTGATATTTCCAGGAAAGCAGAAATCATATTAAATGTCCATAATGGTCCAAAAGGAAACTTTTTTGGTTAGTTAATTTGGTTAGTTAGTAAGTAAAAGAATAAAAAAAACACTTTTTTCCCTCTCTAGAATTTTTGTAACTAGAGGTTCAAAATGTTTGGTGTTGCGCTCTGTCTGATTTCATATTTCCAATAGTGGTTTTCAAAAGATGAAAAATTTTAATTAGTTGATTGCACTAATAAGATCCGATTTGTTAACATTTTGGTTCATAGGAACAGAATGAAGAACCAATTAACCAAGTACAGGGTAAAACTCAGCAGTAGGACTAAAATGTCCATTTTCTTAAGGAAGAAAAGAAGCAGACACTCAACAACCATTTTCTGAGTCTACATGGGGAATCCATATAAATACACAAGTTTTTATTGTAGTGTGAAAGAATCAATGCCTATCAATTTACGTTACTTAATGAAGGTAAATTCCAAACCCAGCATTTCATTTTATTTGGTGTCTTTCTTTTATGTTGCTATAAAGGAATACCTGAGGCTGGATAATTTATAAAGAAAAGAGTTTTTATTTGGCTCACAGTTCTGCAGGCTGTACAGGAAGTGTGGCACCAGCATCTGCTTCTGGTGAGGACCTCAGGAAGCTTTCAAACACGGTGGAAGGGGAAGGGGAGCAGGCATCAATTGCGAAGGAAAAAGAGAGAGGAAAGAGGTGTCACACTCTTTTAAACAACCAGCTCTTATGTGAACTAATAGAGCAAGAACTGACTCATGACTGTGGGGAAGGCACCAAGACATTCATGAGTGATTCGTTCCCATGATCCAGACACCTCCCACTAGGCCCCACCTCCAGTTGGGGATTAAATTTCAATATGAGATTTGGAGGGGACAAATACCCCAATTATATACTTAGTTAACTTGCATGGGCTTAAAGCATTCACTGCAGTTAGAGTTGCTCCTCTGTGCTCAGTGGTGAAGGATCTTCCTTAATCTACCCACTGGAGGGTTTTAGAATAAGAAAGCCTGGGTTTCCTTGCAGACAAATAAAAATCTCTGAGTAGGGCCTTGGAATTTAAAAGCTTTCCAGGTAGTTCTAATGTGTAGCCAAGAACCTTTGGCAAGCCTAAGGATGCTTTGTCAATGGGAGTGATATGTCCCCCCAGGAGCATGAAAGTTGATGTGGTGGTGGTGAAAAAATTGTAGGAATGACAATGGTTCGTGGACCTCTAGAGAGCCACAATAGATAAACAGTTATACGGCAGATCCGAAGCATTTGCATTTCATGGTGGGGTGGTGGCAGGAGATTATTAGAAAAACAAAAGTCTAAAAAGACTCCCTAGGAAGTAATAATGAAAAAAAGTTGAAAAACACTACCCTAACCCTATGAAATTGCTGCTATGGCTTTTGGTAGTCCAACTTCCTTCCAAAATGCAAATCTAGTTGAATGCTCTTGCAGGTATTGGTAGAGAAAAATAGCATCTTTAAATTATGTTACAGCCAAGTGTGGTGGTTCACTCCTATAATCCCAGCAATTTGGGAAGCCCAGATGGGCAGATCACTTGAGGTCAGGAGTTCGAGACCAGCCTGGCCAACATGGTGAAACCTGTCTCTACTAAAAAAAAAAAAAAACAAAAATTAGCTGGGTGTAATGACACATGCCTATAATCCCAGCTACTCGGGAGGCTGAGGCAGGAGAGTCGCTTGAACCCAGGAAGTGGAGGTTGCAGTGAGCCCAGATCAAGCCACTGCACTCCAGCCTGGGCGACAGAGCAAGACTCTGTCTCAAAAAATAAAATAAAATAAAATAAAATGAAATATTCTATTACATGTCAATCACTGAACTAGGGGCTTCTACACATGCTATCAAGTCGATCGTCATTACCCTGCACTTTTTTTTCAGAATACAAATCACAAATATAATTAGTTTTACTTGATTTTTGTTTCAACTCTATTTTCAAAATGATTTATAATGAAAGTTACTGTCTTTATGAAGCTTACAAAAAATTCCATTTGAAGCTATGAGGCCACTAGGTAGCTTTAGCTTTAAATTGCTTTCACGTTAAATAATTGTCAGATGCATTTAACCAAGTTTGAAAAAGATGACATTCTGTTAAAAGAAATCACAATAGAAAACTGCCACATTCCATTCTCAATAATACTATTTTTCTAAAGAATTTTAGAAAATCATCATTTCATTAATTTGTAATAAGTTTTAGTGTATAACACCCACAAAAGGCAAGTATATTTAAATACCAATGGTTGCATATAATCTTTTGCAAGGATATAGGTTTGTTTTAAAATGTATCTGGGATTTTATTTTGTTCAGTTATAGCGAGGCCAACAGATCAGGAGATAATTACCATTGAAAAGATAGTTTGCTACTCACAGTTCCCAAGGGTAGGGCCACACAGGACAGCCCAGGGAAACACCAGGGTCAGTCAGAAGCAGAAGCAGAGAGCAGAAGGCATGGGCAAGAGCCTGTATTGTGGTTTCTACAGGAAGGAATGCGCCAAGCAAGGGGAGTAGCTGAATAGGCTTAGGATTTGATAATTTAAATAATTTTGGCAGGTTCTGGGTTATAAGAATGGTCCCCAACTGTCTGGTACCTGGTGCTAGGGTGACTAGGACAGAGGAATATTGCTTCTTGGAGTGTCAGAGCCAGGTAGAGGAGGCAGTGGGAATGTGGACTCAGGGTTGGTTGGCTTACTTATGAAAATGTGCTCACAGGCAAGTGGACTATCTCTAGGAATCACCTAAGCCTTGGAAGGCCAGTCTCTCCTTGGTTAGTGAGGTCCCACATGCCAGAGCATAAGAATACAGAAAATAATATTGTTAAAACAGGGTTTTATAGTTAATAAAAGGTTGAGTCTCAGAAATTCAGATCCATAAACTCGATTGGTTGTGAAAAAGGAGAAAGCTATCCAAATGTCATGAAGAAATATAACTGGGTGCAATGAAATCTGGTCCATTTCTACACAACCAGTGTAAAGATATTGAAGTCTTCATGCCATTGTATACATAAGTCAAGAGAAATTACCTATCCTAAATGGTGAAACTTGTTGGGAGGAGGCAGATGGAGGCAGGATTTTATTGACATTGTGGTCTTGCTATTTATATCTCCTGTCTTATTTCTCTGTGTGCTTGGTCTATACAGACAGTGTGTAACTGATGGGAGTTTAGATACTTTCTATTACCACAGATCTTAGTTTGTCTGTGCTGCTAAAAATACCACGGTTCTGGAGGCTATGAAGTCCAAGATCAAGGTGCCAGCAGGTATCTGTCTGGGGAGGGCCCCTTCTCTGCTTCCAAGATGCTGCCTTGTTGCTGCATCCTCTGGAGGGGGAGAATGCTGTGTCCTCATATGGGATGGAAAGGGAGAACTGGTCCCCTCTAGCCCTTATATAAGGTCACTTATCCCATTCATGAGAGCTCTGTCCTCATGACTTAGTCACTGCCTAAAGGCCCCACCTCTTAATACAATCACACTGGCAATTAAGTTTTGACACATGAATTTTGGAGGACATTCAGACTATAGCACCAGACAATGCCAGTACATGAAGAAACAGCAAGTTTGTTGGGACCCAAGGGCAAAAATCTGTAGTTTCAAAAAGTATGAAGAGTTTTGTTATTGTTGTAGTTGTTATTTTTACTGCTCAACAAAATGAATACAACATTGTATCAAAAAAATCTAAATTTTATAGTAATATAGGCCATGGCTGAAAATCTAACCCAGGTATTTAGTACTAGCATGTTACCTTTCCAAACGTGAATTTTTCATAATAAAATTCATGTTGTAATACCACTCTGGAGGCTAGAAATAATTTGAAAAACGTAGGAAATAGTTGAAGATTAAAATATAAACTTTTTTAAGAAGCTAAAGCTGAATTTGAGAATGTGGCTAAGATGTGCAACCACAATGAACTTTTTAATATTTCATCCCAGAATTAAACTTCTCCTTCCAGTCTCAGGCAAAGGAGAGGGCCCACTCTTCCAAATATAGCTGAGAATACAACCCAAGTAAGGAGTCTTAAAAGGGACTGACCTGAGCTAGGCTTTCTCAGTCCCTTCTGTTAGTCTCAACAATCAGGCAAGACAATTATCCTCTGTCTTGAAGAGTGAGTGAAGGGTTATGAGAGAAGTGCATGAGTCCCCAACCTCCCAGCTCTGGAATAATTACAAGCAGGGACTGGAAATCCCCTTGCACTACTTTGAAGATTATTGTGAAGATCAATTACAGACGATGTATGCAATCTGTCTATCCACAGCAATAGGTATTTTCAATGGAAAGAGATAGTTAAATTAATCAAGACTTCATTTACCACATAGAGGATTGTTCCTTCTTCTGATAATGAAATTTAGTAAAATCACTTCTTTTTTATTTTTTTCCATATCTAAGAGTAAACTTTTTTTAAAATTTTATTTTATTATTATTATACTTTAAGTTTTAGGGTACATGTGCACAATGTGCAGGTTTGTTACATATGTATATATGTGCCATGTGTAAACTTTTTAATTCACAAGAAAAGCAGATGTTCTGTATGAATTCAAGTTACTTGTAATTATGTATTTTGAATTAACTCTAATTAATTTTATATACAATTCTCAAATTTCATTCTAGTAAGACAGGTAAAATTGGTAAAAATATCAGAAATAATGTAATACCAAACTGCAAACATGAATATTATATTTTACTATTTCAATTGTTATTGTTGGTATTTTAGTTAATCACATTGGATAGTAGGTACTTCATTCATCATTCTAGATAGAACAATTTAGCACATTTGTTCAAAAATGAGGATTTGCTCTCTCAGCAATGATACCAATATATATTGTTTATTAAGAGCTTTATGCATCAGACAGTGTGCTGGTGCTTTACAAAACTTTATTTCTAATAGTATAACAACCTCGGAAGGAATTATTATGATACCAATTTTCTAAAGGAGAAAACTGAAGGTCAGAGAGATAATTTTTAAAAAATTATACAGAATCAGAGTAGTGGAGTCAGGATTCTAACCCTGAATCCTGCAAATTCTTTCCTTTAAATATGTCTTTCTGCCTTTCTGTAGGAGAATTTTATGTGAAAAGAAAGAAAACAAGATTATAGTTCCCTCAATGTAACTAACAGAAGTGACCTTGGAACTTCACTTGATTGAAGTATATAAGGGACAGGAAGACAGCCCTTTTTTAAAGGCTCAGTATGAGTTTAAACACGTTGGTCATCTTCACGTTGTTTGGTTGATTTATCCAAACGATGTTGAGAGCTTAGAGAACAATAACACAAGTTTTCCTGCATTGATTCTAATTTGACGCTTTTAATGAGCACACCATTGTTTTCATGGTTTTTTTATACCCTGAACGTCTCCCTTCGTAGGATTCATCACAATTGTAAATTCTTTGTTGAAGTTTGTGTCAGATTCTAACCCCTGAGCAGGGCAGTGATGACTTAGTCGTATCACTGTATCCCCCATTGCCCAGTGCGGGGGATAGGACAGGTGCTCATTACACATCCATTGGCTATTTGAATGAGTTAATGACTAATGGTATAGGGTTCTCAGAAATGAGTGGCAGAGGTATTATCAACTTCAGCCAAGAAAAGGAGAGACTCTGGAGGACTCAATCTTCCTTGAACTGTAGCCTTTTTTTTTTTGATAATTAAAAATTACTCAGAATTGCACACACCATGAGGCTTTCAACACTTTGTACCATATGGAAATATCTGTTACATTTTCATAATTTGCATGTATAACTGCAAAATCACAATGCTTATTTTAGATTCCTAGGAATTAATGTAGATTGCCAAAGATCACCAGTGTGAAGCTCATAAGCCAGCATAAAATAAGGTATTGATGAGCTCCAGGGAGAATAAAGGATATTTATCTCTCTTGATTCTCTCCAGTGAACTCCTCTCTAACAAACTGGACCCTCTGGGCTTGGTGAGGAATAGATCAGAATGCAAAAAAGTTGGAGCAAAATCTATGTCATGTGCTTCCTCTTCCTCTACCCCAGAAGGCCATGATTTCTGCAGGTCCTTGTCTATCTCTGCCCTCCTGATATTTAGCATATGTCTGTCTATGTGGGACTGCTCTCTCCTCAAGTTTTGCACCTAATTTCTCTTAACATTGGCAATTGCCAATGTTCTTCACATACAGGTTTCATGATACAGTACAGTTATTATATTACAAAGCTGTACTTTCATTTCAGTTTTTAAAAAGATTTAAATATATGGGTTTTCATGTAATCATATTTTGTAGTCTGTATCTTTAAAACAAAAAGTCACTTAAAACACTGACAATTTGCCTCCAAATGTGCCTTCAATATCTTCATTTTTTAAGAGTGCTTTCTCTTTTTTTTCTCGCTCTTTCTTTTTTTTCCAGTAACTCCAGAAAGATTATGCATGGGAAAAGTCCTAGAGCCTGCTTCCAAACTGCACACAAATGGTAATACAAAGTGCCCTTTCATATGGGCTCAGCATTGCCATCTAGGGACTATGTAGGTCTCAAATGTGAAACGATGTTCAACCAAAAATGGGCATTTCAGTTTTAGGCAAAGTCTTGACTGAAAATAAGTCTGCTGCCCATGCTGAAGCCACACTAGGCATAATTCAGGCATAAAACTGAGCCACAGGGGGAAAATACTTATTTGTATTCTTGAAATAGATGAAATTTTTACATTCTCCAAATCGACTGGTTAGTTGATCAAGTATCCTTCAGATATAGATTTATCTGAAAAACCATTGTCTAATATGGTTTTATCTTTCTCTCTCTCTTTCTGTCTATATAGCTATATACAAGGGAGTCTGTGAGGGAGAATAATAGCTGGCTTTTACAAAGTACTTTATGTGCCAACACTGTTCTAAGCACTTTACACAGATTAACTCATTTAATCCACACAATAAGTATATGAGGGAGGTATAATATGATCCCCATTTTTACAAATTAGGAAATTTAGGCATAGTAAAATACATTGCCCAAGCCCATACAGGTAATAAACAATGACTTGCACCAGACAGTCTGACTCCAGATTCTGTGCAATTTTTTTTTTTTTTTTTTTTTTTACACAGAGTCTCACTCTATCACCTAGGCTACAGTGTAGTGGTGTGATCTTGGCTCACTGCAATCTCTGCCTCCCGGGTTCAAGTGATTCTCCTGCCTCAACCACCTGAGTAGCTGGGATTACAAGCACTCACCACCACACCTGGGTAACGTTTGCATTTTTAGTAGAGATGGGGTTTTGCCATGTTGGCCAGGCTGGTCTCAAACTCCTGGCCTCAAGTAATCCACCCTCCTGGGCCTCCCAAAGTGCTGGGATCACAGGTGTGAGCCGGATTCAGATTCCATGCTTTTTAACAACATGCCAAACTGCTTCTAGCCTCAGAGAAAGTGAAACATAATGGGAAATCTAAATAGAAATGATAATTCAGCAATATGAACTGTCCCACAATATTATGTACTTAGATGGCACATGGCCTCTAAGATAGCAATAGCTGCAGATATAGAGTATGCATTTCCCCTACCTGTTTTACTGTGGATTGGGGTAATCAGGGGAAGATTCTTAGGAAGAAAACTATTGAATTGGGCCTTCTAAAGTGGCAGAATTGGATGAGAGAAGTAGCGGATAGAAAGCATTCTCAGCAGGAAGAAAGGTTTGAGCCGAAATATACAAAGCATTATTATAGGAGATAGTGGGAAGGCCAGTGTGCCCAGAGCAACAGTCTCAAGTAGAGAAAGCAGATATATTTAGAAAAGTTGCTTAAATCCAGATGTTACAATGATGTGACTCTCATGTGAAGAATGTGGACTTCATTTCATAGACAAAGCAGAGTTGTCTGAAGAGGTCAAGAACAAGAGTGGGAAAATGAAAAAAAAATGTTTGAGGGAATATTAGTCTGGCAACCGAGTGCAAGAGAAATAAAGGATAACAAAAAGGAAGCAGAGCCTTACCTGGAAGTTGGTGCATTTTTCAAGATGAGGGCCTAGAATTTAATAGATATGTGTTAAATAAATAAAAGGAAGGCATCAATCCTAGAAATATTATTAAGGGAAAATTAGTAGGAATTGTCTGAGTGGTTATGAAAACCTAAGGGAAAACATCAAAGATTATTTCAAAAATTTTAAGCCTGGGTAACAGTTAGATGGAATCCAAAGAAAAAGTAGATACAAACTGGAAATGAGAGGAGAGATTGGGGTTTTGAAGACACTGATTTGGAAGTCATCATCATAAATAAGAACTGATTTTAAAGAGAAACTGGGGGGCTAACATAACCTTAGGTAATGTCCATGTGTGAAGAGTAGAAAGAAAAGTCTACAAAAGTAACCAGAAAGTCACTAAAACTAGAGGCTGTGGGGAACCAGGATAGCATAAGCTTCATGGGTATTAATGAAGGAAATGGTTTCAAGGTAAAACTATTGTGGTCAACCGTTCCAAAAGTTGCAGGAAGAAAAAGGAGAATGAGAACATAGAAAAAGACAATTGAATCTGCAAACTCACATTACATAGCATATACATAAGTAGACTTAACTTTTTTAACTGTAATTATTTTTATTTTGTGAAAATCAAAATTATTTCCTATTGGGTAAATCAATTATTCCTTATTCTTAGCCAGGCAATTAATCAGCAATGCTTATCGAGCAGTCACTATATTCAGAACGCAAGAGGAAGAAAGCTTGGTGGGAGTTGGGGAGGTAAGTGTAACTCACAGTAAAATCAAATGGTCTCTGAACTGTAGAGCTTGGGTGGCTTTCACTCTGATATCCTTTTCCTTAGGCACATAGAGAATAGAGGCAAAAAGGTGACATGGTGGCTGGACACGGTGGCTCATGCCTGTAATCACAGCACTTTGGGAGGGCGAGGTGGGCAGATCACTTGAGGTCAGGAGTTTGAGACCAGCCTGGGCAACATGGTGAAACTCCGTCTCTACTAAAAATATAAAAATTAGCCTGGTGTGGTGGTGGGTGCCTATAATCCCAGCTACTTGGGAGGCTGAGGCAGGAGAATCACTTGAACCTGGGAGGTAGAGGTTGCAGTGAGCTGAGATTGCACCAGTACACTCCAGCCTGGGTGACACAGTGAGACTCCATCTCAAAAAAAATAAAAAAAATAAAAAAAATAAAAAAAAGTGACATGGTGATAAGAAGCTATGGACTTGCATTATAAACCCCAAGGGTGCACTGGCAAATCTCATCCATTTAATGGATCTTGGAAACTTGGGTCTTTATTTGGAAAAGCCATTCCCCACAAACACAGGAGGTTCCTCCCAAGGGATGTTCTCTGTGATCTTCCATGGCAGGGACCTACTGAATGCTTCTAATTTGAAAGATCTATTGAGGATTAGTTAAGAGAAGAGGTAGACTGGGTTCTGTCAACACACCCACCCATGCAATTGGGGGCCATGTTGCACATCTCACTGGTCTTTGGCCAGTATGACCTACTGTGTAAGAGTATGTGCTTTGGAATCAGATCTGGATATAGCCTCCCTCCCTCTCCATTTACCAGAATTGTGATTTGGAAAGTCACGTAACCTCTTCAGACTTTTTGTTTTTTTAATCTGTAAAGGTGGACATAATAACCATAAATAAAAGATTATTGTTAAATACTCTGTTCATGGGATACACTAAATACATGGTAGCTACTCTAATTATTGTTTTAGGAGTTGAAAGAATGTTGATTGTCCTAGCTGATTATGGGGCCTTAAATAGTGTCACAAGGTCTCCATCCTGATGCCTTTCACTATGTAATAAAATGACTTGCATCTTCAAACTTCTGCAAAGCTCTTCCATCTCCACTAATACATGTTATCCTCACAACAAACCTGTAAATGACTCAGCGTGTCTGTTATTACTCCTATCTCGCAGATGGAGAGAGAGGGCCTTAGAGAGAGGCAAACACTTGTTTCAGTCACAACGTGAAAAGGTCACAGAGCCTGAACTGGAACCCATGGCTGCTCACTCCCGTCAGAGCTTGATGGGAATAGTCAAGAATATGCAGCCACTTTTCTTGCCAAAATCCCCCTCCACTTATGTGGAGAACACAGTGCTGAGATGAGCTAATTCTCTAGACACATAAAAGAGCTGCTTGTTGAACTTTTGACTTTTGGCAAGTTGTGCTCATTTCTTAGCCTCAGCAATGTCTTGACACTTCTTCTGCTTTAACTTTTCATCTTTCAAGGGACTTTACTCTTAGCATTTTTGAAGAGTGGGCATTGTTTTCATCCTTCTCACATCTCAAAAAATATGTGTCTTATGTTCGCATTAGTCCATCCACATACTTTCTTAAGTCAGAATATTGGTTTGGATGCCTGCGGTGCGTGTATGTTGGGGTTGGGGGCGGGGTGATTTAGCCTGAGGAAAGTGCAGATGAAACTTAACCTCAAATATTTTGAGATATGTAATATTACTTCAAGTCTTCTTATTTCGTGTATGAAATATGCATTTCTTCAGCTTTGTACACCAAGTTAATGAATTAAAGAGTCCGTGATTTAACAAATTTCATACTTGCTTGGGAGGCTTAAGGACCTAGACAAGCAGGTCTTGGTCTTAAGTTACTGTGTTTACCCGTTGGGATCTTGTGGTGGGTAGGTGTGAGGGTGGGCAATGGAGGAGGGGGGTCAAAAGCACAACACTGCAACCCCTGATCCATTTCCAGTGGATGGGATGATGATCCTGAGTAACTCTGCGTTGCAATGTGTCCACAGTTGTGTGAGTAGAGGGAAACCTTGGAAAATTCTTTGCACCTCCTCCTATAGTCTTCAGCCATCTCAGGAAACAGACTGCTTTGGTCGTCATGTTTCTTCCAGGAGCAAGGTGACTTGGTTAGGAGAAATGTTGAAAATTTCCCTCAGATGGCTCCCCATAGAGATTTTGAGCGTTAAGTTCTATGGTGCCCTTCTAGCCTCTAAGGAACCACTTCTGATTTTTTGGTGGGGAGGGAGGCAAGACCAATGTTTCTGCATTCTGGGCCCATAAATCCAATTTTACTTTGATTGAAAATGTGTTTCTCTAAGGTATCAATGTTTACATGGTAAGACAGATGACATTTTGACCCTACATGGTATATTTCTATTCAAAGGATTTTAGGATCTGTTTATTCATCAATTAGTAAAGGCAACATGTATTGACTACAAAGTTGTTGGTAACACTCAATCTATTATTTTTACAGAAAGACAATGAACTTATTTTCCCCAAGAGTGAAGTATATTAATTGCATCAAGATATATTCCCGATTACCATATCAGGACATCAAAGGAAAGCAGGTTCCTTGAATCATTACTCCCCACCTCTTTCACTTCACTGACCAATCACGGAGGTTTGGATCCTAAACTTAACTTTGAACGTTTGCTGCCAGTTCCAAAGAATTTGCTAAATAGGTTTCAAATGTTCGCCCTTTGTAGGCTTGAGAATGAAGAATTAAAAGAAGAGTGATGGTTACCATTATAGTAAAAACTTGGCACAAAATAAAAAAGGGCTTTTCTTCTCTCTCACTTTTTCCAGGTGCTCACCTAAAGCAATAAATATGTGGGTGATTACCCGTGGGTTTTTCCAATCCTAACGCAGTTAAATGGCATGAACAATGTGCTTTTTAAAAAGATCACTGTAAACATTTATTTCAATTCAAGGAGTATTTGTGTACTTTCTCTGGGGCAAATCCAAGAAACCTAGGAGATTCAGAAGAAACATGAACTAGAGGCTCGCTCTCCCTGGTCATCTGTGACCACTGCACTGCCTGGCCATACTTTCCTCATTCATTCCTCCTCTATCACCTTTTTTCTTTTTTTCACTTAGCCCAGCACAAAGCTATCTATCAACTTCTATCTGTTGGCATCTCCGAGGCTCTATCCTTTGTCTTTTCTAGCTATACTGTCTCCCTCGGTGTAGTACATTGACTGGTGACCCACAAAAGGATTTGTTTGTGTCCTAATTCCTGGAACCTGTGAGTGTTATTTTATTTGGGACGGAGGCCTTTGCAGATGTAATTAATTAAGGAACTTGCGCTGGAGAGGGCCTAGATTATCCAGGTGGGTTCTATCCTTGTAAGAGACACATAGGAAAGATATGATAGAAGAGTAGGAGGCAATGTGACCACAGAGGTAGAGCTTGGAGTGATGTGGCCACAAGGGCACAAGTCAAGGATTGCTGACAGCCACCAGAAGTGGGAAGAAACAAGAAGTGAATGTTCTCCTAGTCTCCAGAGGGATGCGGCCCTGCTGACACCTTGATTTTGGATTTCTGTACTCCAGAACTGTGAATGAAAAAATGTTCTGTGGTTTTTAGCCACTAGTTTGCAGTCATTTGTTATTTTCCATCCTGGTGGAAAATAAACAGATCTAAAAGATATTCAACATCATTAGCCATTAGAGAAATGCAAATTAAAATAATGACAATATCACTACATACATATCAGAATTGCTAAAATAAAAATTAGTGACAACACCAAATACTAGCAAGAATATGGAGAAACTAGCTCATATTGCTGGTGAGAATGTAAAATGGTAAAATCGTAAATTGAATGTAAAATTGTAAAATTAGTTTCCTGTGGCAGGAAACTAATATATTAGGTAAATGTATCTAATCTCTCATCTTCAAATTCCATCTCTAGGGGACTCATTAATTTAAATCTCCAATCCTGACTTCTCAGAGTACCATACTGAGACATCTAACTGCCTACTGGACATCTCCGCTTGAATATCTAATGGGCGTCTCAAACTTAATATGGCTAGGATAATTTTTTAATTTCTAACCCCTATGCTCACAAATCTCCTTGCAAGTCTTCCCTATCAGTAAATGACATTAATGTCTCAGGCTTGGGGATTAGACCCAAGTACTCCATGGCTCCAGGAGAGAGTCTAAGCAGCATACTTGATTCTTTCCTTCTTCTTACCACCCTCCGCCTAATTCCTAGATGAATCCTCTTGGCTACCACCTTAGTTCATCATGTCTGATTGGGCTGTTATAGTCGCCTTCTAATTTCCTCCCTGCCAAAATTTCCTCTTACCTTTCTCCGCAGAAGCTAGCATAAGTTTAACTCAGTTCTTATCCCTCCATGCCTAAGATGTTCTACTAGCTTCCTATCGCCCCTAATAATATTCAAATTTCTTACCTTTGCCTGCAACAGTGGTTCTCAACTGGGGGCTATTTTACCGCCCCCCCCCCACCCCTCCAGGGACACTTGGCAATGTCTTCTGAAGACAATTTTGCTTGTCACTACTAGGGAGAACCTACTGGCCTCTAGTGAGTAGAGTCCAGGAATGCTGCTGAACATCTTATACTGCACAGAATATCCCCCCGCAACAGAGAATGAGATGTCACTAGTGCCGAGGATGAGAAACCCCAGCCTACAGATTCCACAGGAGCTGAGATCTGCCTTGTTCTGCTGCCTCATCTCTGGCTTTTCCTCTCATTCACCTCTGTCCAGACACGCTGGCTTTTATTTCATTCTTCAGACATGCTAAGCTTGCCCACCTCTCAGAGCCTTATGTTCTCACTTTGGGTTGAAACATACTTTTCCTAAATCTTTGCATCTCTGCGTCTTCATTACTCAGGTGTCCGTTCAAATAGTATCCCCTAAGAGAGGCATTCTCCAACGACCTTTACTAGAGCAGCCTCCACCCATTGCTCTATCACGTTAGTCTATTTTTAACTTCCTATATAGCTCTAATTTATCTTATATTTTTTGTGTTTATTGTTAGCATTTTCTCTCTAAATTCGTAAAGCTCTCTAAGGTCTTTCACATTCACTGCTGCCTGCCTGCATCTAGACTACTACCTGGCCCAGAGTAAGTGTTCAATAAATATTTGTCAAATCACGGACATACAAATGTAAAACAATAGAAGATAACTAAGTATTCCTAAAATGTTTGGTGCCAAGAGTGATGCAATGTATCACCAGGAAGGCAGGTTTTTTGTTTTTTATTTTTTCTAGCCCTTGTCCATTTTCAGTATATGGCTCTTTAGTGGGTGTTACCTCCATTTAAATCTTGTCTCTACTGACAGAATGAGGCTTTGGGATGTTCAGCCCATCTTGTTGGTCAGAAAGATAAAATTTTTATCTTTGAACTTATTGTTCTGAAGACACACATAAGAGCAATCACCCTGTGTTCGCTTTTGCTCCCTTTCATCAGGTAGTAGATGGCTGGTAACTGATGGTTCATGTGGTTAGACTTTGAAGCATCCGCACAGCAGCAATGGATGAATTCCTGAGAGCAGATGAGCTCACTGAGGGACTGCTTTTTGAAAAGGAGCTGTCAAAGGAAATAGAGAAAAATGATTAGAAAAGTAATAGGAAAACAAGATGAAACTAAGTCTCTGTAGCCCCAGGGTGATAGAAAATAGCCAATTTATAAAGGAAGTCTTGTTAATGCATCTTTGACATACTATGCTTTTTTACTAGAGGCAGATGTGCCTTTCATTAATCAGTGAATAGCTAAAAATGTTCCTGCAAAGCAAAATATAAACCTAGCGATAACGGGTACCTACAGAGAAGGCAAAGTTGGGAGCACATGGAATAATATAATAATAATTAAAGTATTCAGTTCTTACTTTCTAAAAACATTAACCCTGCTAGGACATTTTCCTAATTATAAAGGGTTTTAGAATAGTCCTAAAATCCCTAATTTTTCTAACATTTTTATTAGGAGAACTTTGACTATTTTTAATAGCTCCAAAGTGTTGGAAATAGAGATCATTTTTGTCCCCTTTCATCATGTGTTGAGTGATTGAGAAATCAGCTAGGGAGATTGGCAAAATCAAGAACTGGGAAAAGCTTCCATCTGCCCCAATCTGATCCAGTCCTGCTTCCATGTTTGGAAATGGTTCCTTGAGCTTATCCACATTTTGTTGGCAGCTCATATTTTTGGAGAATGACAAGTGCTTTTCTCCTTACCACCCATTAGCCATAATCTTGGCCTTGGGGAATGCAAACTGTCTGTAATGTTCAGAATCTGAGGGCAAGTAAGCTGAAGACCAGGTGGAATTGTGGGTGCAGCCATGATATAAGAACTATACTGCAGCCACACACAGAGCTTGCCTGGTGGTGGTATATTTTGTCCCATAATATGAAGACAGAAGGGAAGGAGAGGTCATTTTTCAAAGTAATATAGAGAATAAGAGTTAAACATATCTGAGAGTGAACTCAATTTGTATTGCATTTAATTCCAAGAAAAAGGCACTTCTATAACACCTTTGGTGAGAGTAAATTTTTGTGCCCAAAGTCAGATACTTTCCACAAGGCACCCTAGGCAAGTGTCTATCTTATTAGATCATTACAGTGAGTATACAGACCAGTAGTCTCTGTCCCACTGAAATGTGTTTTCATCTAGGAAAAATAAACTTTTATCATATTTGTAATTTCAAAGGTGGGTTAATTTAATAGCACATTCATACAGGCCACCAGACTAAGAAATAATTTTACCTGACTTACTGATCTGTATTATTAGTAATTAATTGCTACTTCAATGCTGAATAAATCTGAAATAATAAGGAAAGCTTATGATGTTTAGACTTTTTATGTATTTAGACTGGACTGAAAAACTTATTTTTAAGTCTTGCATCTTTAACTTTTTTTAGAAGTTGGAGTCTTGTGATGTTGCCCAGGCTGGCCTGGAACTCCTTGGCCTTCCAAGTAGCTGAGTCTACAGGTGTGTGCCACCGTGTCCAGCTCACATCTTTACATTTTTTTAAAAAAATCAGATTTTATTATACTTGTTTATTTTACCAGTTGATCAAATTCTCAGGGAAATGAGGATAAACTGATTTTTAAAAATTAGTTTTAGTACATGCTGTTATGATTTATTTCCATAGTCTATAAAACTTTAATTACAGAGGTACAATCTCAGATCCTCTGACCAAACAACTTGCATTAAGCTTTTTGCATAAAGGCCTAGGAGACTTGTTACTCATATTTAACCATTGCCTCTAGGCAAACTCATAGTAGCATGGAGGCCACAGCTGTCCTGGATACAGTCTGTCCTCGAAATGCAATCAATCAATCAATCAACCTTCTAATCAAATACTGGCCAGGTGATGCATGGCTCTCACTGAGATGGGATTGCATCCTATTAGGACGTACATGGGTTTTGCATGAGGGGGACCACCCGTCAAGATTATCCACCAGGCTTTTCACTCCATTTAACCTAATTCTAGCATATGGAGCAGGTGCCAAGGAAGTTTTGGGGGATAAAGATAAATAATAGATTTTTCAAAATAAGAGATGTGGCTGTGTGTGGTGGCTCATGCCTGCAATCCCAGCACTTTGGGAGGTTGAGGCGGGCAGATTACTTGAGCTTAGGAGTTTGAGACCAGCCTGGGCAACAGGCAAAACCCTGTCTCTACAAAACACACACAACACACACACACACACACACACACACACACACACACACACACACTAGCCAGGTGTGGTAGTTTGTGCCTGTGGTCCCAGCTACTTGGGAGGCTGAGGTGGGAGGATTGCTTAAGCCTGGGAGGTAGAGGCTGCAGTGAGCTGAGATTGCACCACTGCACTCCAGCCTGGGTGACAGAGTGAGAGCCTGTCTCAAAAGTAAATTAAAAAAAAAAACAATTAAAAACTGAGAGATATGGAAAAAATGTTATCTGAGAAAACCATCAGGTTTTATTTATTAGGGTGACATACTATTTCTCTCTCCCTCTCACTCTGCCTCTCTACTTCCACCTGTATCTCCATCTTTCTCTCTCTTCTTCCCTCCCACTCTTTGATTTGATTTTTTTTCTCATTAATCTTAGGTGGTTTCCAAGGAAGAAAGTTTACGGTAAAGCCATTCATTTATTTATTCAATAAATAGTAACTACTGTCTGTTAGACATTGTGCTGGAGATGTAGATGTTCTTACAAACAAGAAAACCCCTGCTATCAAGAAACTCAGTCCAAAGGACTGAAAAAAAGACAAGAAAATTAACCTTTATGTGGAATACATAGTGTGTCCCAGGTGTTAGCTGGGACCTCCTGGCTCGTTGAGATCTGACTGGAATCAGCACAAAGCTTCCATTTCATGTCCTTTCGAAGCCCAAAGGCTGCTCCCAAGATTTCTGTTGCATTCACAGTCAGCTCTGCCCTGACTTCCTGCTTTCTAATGTACTGTGCATCTTGTAGCTGTTCCTTTATCTCTGTCTTGGCATAAACTCAAGCTTGGGAAACAACTCTTTCTCATCTATTCTCCCTCCCCTACACCACACACAAAGCAATCATAAAAACCAAGCTGATAATATATTGCAAAAACTTGAACTGAGAGTTTTTGGGTCATGGGAGAGCACAGCAATAAACTTCAAATGACAGAGGGCACATTCCTGTTATGAGTCCATTTGCCAGCACCCCCCCACCCCAACCAGGGCCTTCTCACTGTCTGCTTTACCCCACACAGCAGCCATATGCCTGCCAATCTTCTCATCCATCTCCCGGTTCTACTCCTCACATCATCCCTCCTGCACTGCATTCTACCCTCCTTCAAGCTCCAGCTCCAGGATGCTCTTGCTGTCTGTTGTACAGAGTAATTCTGTTCTTTTCATGCATCCCCCAAATTCAAATCCAGGCCCACTTTTTTCATACCTAAATCCATCTTGGTGCTTGGGCAAGGAGACTTTTATGTTCCAGGATCTACTGTCTAGCCTCCATAGAAGGCAATTATGGTTACACAGTATTGTTTTTTCTCCTTCTTTACTTGCACTATGATTCATTTATTCAGTCATTTGACAATATTTACTGGATGTCTGCTATGTATCAGGCACTATTATCGGTGCTGGAAATAAAACCGTGTACAAGATGGCACAGGTCCTGTCCTCATGGATTTACATTCTGGGAAGTACGTACAAGATGATATCAAAAAGTAGAGGGGGCTGGGTATGGTGGCTCACATCTGTAATCTCAGCACTTTGGGAGGCTGAGACGGGAGGATCACTTGAGCCCAGGAGTTCAAGACCCGACTGGGCAAAATATGAGGCCCTGTCACTACAAGATTTTTTTTAAAAAAAATTAGCTGGATGGAGACTGAGGTGGGAGGATTGCTTGAGCCCAGGAGGTTGAAGTTGCTGTGAGCCATAATTGCACCACTGCACTCCAGCCTGGGTGACACGGTGAGACCCTGTCTAAATAAATAAATAAGCCCATACCTCATTCTGGGATGGGAGACTATTGTGGATTATGGAAAGCTAAGTCTGATAGGACAACCAGGATTAATCTAGGTGGATCGGAGGGACTCACGGGCAAAAGTTGGCAGCAAAATTCTCAACCATTCATTTGAGTGGATAGAAAGAAACGGGAAATAGAAAAAGTGGTTTATTTGAGAAGGCATTCATCATCGCTCCCTCTGGCTCCTATACCTCAATGCTCAAGCAATACCTTTAAAGCAGAATTGAGGTATGAGCTCTCTAGGGAGAAAGAAAAGGCAGTCTGCCTCCCCATTTTAGCTTCTGGGTAGAGACGATAGATAGAATAGGCTTGTTTGAGTTGGTTTGTCTTTCCCAGAAACCCTGGAGCACAGCTCCCCCACTTACCCTTGTAAACCCCAAGGGAGGACTTCTTCTATATAATCTTGCCTGAAGAAGGAAAGCTAGGGTATGGCAGAAGGTTTGGTCAAGATCCTAAATTGCTGTGGGATTTAGGATTGGACCCCAGGGCTGCTGCTAGTTCATATGAAGCATTTATAAAAATTTAAATTATATAGCTATGTATCATATATATAACATATATATACACACACATACTTCTGGGATGATATAACCCAAAGCTACTGTTTTACAGGGCTTGGCAAGTGAAAGACCCCCCTCCCCTAGTTCCTCCTGTATTGGGTATTACCTGAACAAATGGTGGCCTAGTTTGTCCCAGATTGTATAGATTTTACTAATGTAGGTTGAACAGATTGATGAAGTTTTTAAAGTATCTGAATCTACTCATGTACTTGAAGAGCAGGTCAGCAGGTCCTTCCTTACAAAGCTCTGAATGATTAGTTAATAACATGGTAGTTTTTAAGGAACTGTACCTCACAGTAAGTACATCTTTTTCCTCTTTATCCAGTTACTTAAAATGACAGTAATAATAGTTAACCATTATTGAGCATAATGGATATGTTCCAGACAGGCACTAAATAGTTTACAAAGATTAATTCTATGAATTCTTATAACAACCTTATAACACAGGAGTGTACTATTATTCCCTTCTAATATTTCAGAAAACAAAGGTTTCAGTGGTTGAACTCAGCTACTGAGTTAATTTCAAGCCCATTTTAGCTCCCACTCTATACTGCCCATTTTCTTTTTTCTCTCCCACCCTCTTCTTTCTTTCCTCTACCTCTGTCTCCCTATAGGAAATAAAAGTCTGCGGAGGAACCACGTAAATATGATTTTCGTCGAGCCACCTGATAACTCTACAATTGACCTTTTAGCTCTGACATTCCCTGAGACTGAGTTTTCCAACAAACAACTTCTCTTTGTTGTTTGGGTTATGCTTAAGAGCCAGCGTTCTGAAAATCCTGGCTTCAGGTTTCCAAACTAGCAGGTTGTGCTCAGAGCCTAATCCTTGCTGGATGGTAGCACATTTCATCACACAAAAACCACAGCTCCTCTTGGTCCTTGGCCTGATGCTCTGCAGCTTCTTTGGCCAACTCAACTAAAAGTGCAGTGGGGAAGCCCCATTCATGGTAATTTCCAGAGAACCATTTGCCTCACTTGGGGAAACGGGTATAGCACAATCCCTGATAGTTTCTGGACAAAAAGGTTCCATGTTTTCCCCTATGCTTTTGGCATGTCTTGGATGATTCCCTTTGGTATGAGTCATCTCCTTAAGAAATCATAAGATATACAGCATTTAACTAAAGTTTGTAACACCAGATTCTCTCCAGAAGGTGTTTTCCTTGATTTGGCTTTTTAATTCTTCTTGATTTGAAAAATCTTTATACCAAAAAAAAAAAAAAAAGTCAACTTAAAACATGGACCTATCCATGCAACTTTAAACTTTATTAGAGAATGTCATATAATGAAGACATACAGCTATTCTATAAAATGTCTAACTATGGTGAAAAAATATGTGACATTCAATGTATTAACTTTCAAATAACATAGCTTAGTGCTCTTGGTTATTGGTTTCCAAAGACTTGCTGAGCATTTCCTTGTTTGGCCTTGGAAGAATTTGCTCTGGGATTTCAGCCTGGCCCTTGACTTGCTGAAAAACCACAAGATGTAGAACAAAGAGAGCAGGCTGAGAAGCCAGTTAGTGAAAATGAAAGCAAGAGGTCCTGGCCTGAGGCTTAGTGTGTGTTCTTGAAAGAAGGAAGTTGCTGCAGGGTCAGGAGAATGTCACTGGAGGCCCTTGCACTTGCTAATGCCAATCAGACCTCATGGGCTCCAGGCAAATCAACAAAGTCTGGAGACGAAATGTTTGAATGTAACTGTTACAGCAATGTCCTGGCTCCACAGAGATGTCTTTTCTCCCAGAGGTTACTGTTTCACCATTAACCATTTAACCATTTTCTCAGCCACTCCTGAGCTCCAGTCCACTCTCCCAACTCAGTAGGAAAAGTGAGTGACAGATTTTCTAAATTAGAGCCCAGACTTCGAAAGGTCACAGCTAAGAAAGCACCCATAGGCATTTGCCTTGCCATTTAGTAAAATTTCTGACCATGATACAGTGATGGGGCAATCTAAGAAGGAAAGGGGACTGGATTTGTGTGGGTTTGCAGAGGTTAAAAGAGCAGTGTCTTCTGGGAGTCCCTGGTGGAGGAGTGATGGGTCTTTTTTCTTTTTAAAGAACTTTAAGTATATACTGACTTGCAATGGGTAGAGCAATTTTTAAAATTTCAAATGAATGGCATAACTCCCTTGTGGAGGCCTCTCTTTTCAAAGTTAAAAACAAATTTTTGCAGAAGCAAGCTCAGACTGATTTTTGAGCCCTCCTGCATTTTCCAGGTGGAAATTCCTTGGCCTTTGAACCCTGACTAAAACGTCAGAGATTATAAATCTAACTGCTAAGTATTATGAAATATAGCGTGGCAAAACAAAAACGAAAACAAAACAGAACGAGAAAATCCACAGAACGAGAGGAGTGAGGAGACCACTGTCTTAGCCTCTATGTAGTTGAGCAAGTCCAGGAGTCTTTCCAGGTCAGTTAAAAGGAGGGACACGAATCATTAGTTAACCTCAAGGGGCCCTTGCAGCTCCTAAATTGTATACTCACATAAACACAACACTCTGTCTCTGGTGGGTTACCACTGTTTTATGATATCCTACACTGTACAGCTAAGTTTTGGACCAAGTTTACAAGGTAGTGTTACTCCCTAAAACATTTTTCTGATATATTAAATTGAACTCTAAGTCCCAGAAATGCTACATAGAAATTACATTGCACTTTG
The DNA here is from genome assembly GCF_000001405.40 of Homo sapiens. Lineage (NCBI taxonomy): Eukaryota > Metazoa > Chordata > Mammalia > Primates > Hominidae > Homo > Homo sapiens. The sequence goes on from NC_000004.12 coordinate 118,969,309, forward strand.
TAAAAGTTGTATATGGCTCCAAAACTGCATTAGAGACTAAAAATATATTTCCAAACTCTTACATGCATGGTGTTCGTTTAAAATGGAAAATGTATTTGTAAAAAAGTACGTTTCTCTCCCGATGGTAATACTGGGTTTATATTATCCATTACCAGTGCTTTCACTGCCCTCTGCTGCTCTGAGGAGGTGTGGAGCGCCAGTCTTTTATATCCCATTGGAGAAGGCCAACTTTTCATTTATGGTCATGATTATTAATGTTCACTGGCATATTCCAAGTGTAATACTATCTGACTTGGAAAATCCCAACAATGAGGTAGCCAATGGCCTGAAACCAAAGAAGCACTGTGTTCCTGTGAACCAGGACTTTCTAAAGTCTTCTGGGGTTTTATTAAGTTCTGGGCGTTCTTTCTATAAGGTCACTAATATATGAAAATAGCTGTTATTTTGGAAGTTGATTACAAGGTTTTTTTTTTTTTTGGTAAAATATCAGTTATTGTTTAAAACATGAAAAATTAGTAGAAATGCCAACAAAAATGATTTGAGATGAGAACCTGGCCTCTTTAAAAAGTAGACTGAAGTGTAATAGAATTTCATTATGGGAATGTTCTATTGTTTGCATTTAACTATTAGATGATTAGCATAAGGAAAATATTGAGCACTTTCATTGTTTCAATTATATTTTTCTATTATTAATTAACAGCATTAGGTAAAATTTCTGTTCATTGTCTAGGACTTCTGTTTAATAATGATAGCAAAAATTAATAATCGACATATATGAGCCTTCTTGGAAATGTACTTGTAATTTGTACTCACTTTCCACCTAGCAAAAGCTTTATCTGAAAGCTGTTTTATTCCTGAATTATAAATTATCAACAGATTTCATTCTCTTAACAATTATCTGTCAAATGCCTACCATGTACCAGACATAAGCATGTAGATGAATAAACTACACTTCTACCCTAAGGTGCTCACATTTTATTCAGAACAAAATATAGATAAATAAATGTTTTATTGAGAAATTTCCAAAGGTCTTGCTATCATATGTGCCAATCAAGAGCCCCAGAAGTTTGATTGTTTCTGATCAAGATCTATGACACAGTCACTAGTGAATAACTCTGTCCCTTAGTACTCTTTAATATTCACTAAATAAAACAATAAGTTTGTATCCCTCCAATTTTTTTACTATATACCCTGTAATAACTTGATACCTCCCTTGGATAAGATGCATGAATGCTTTTACCTTAACCACCCCACATATTATTTACAAATTTGTCTGTATATGATAGAAAGATAAATATACTTCCCATAGCAGATAACCTCATTTCATTATTATAAAGGGACTGTAGTAGAAAACTGGTCTTGCTATATCCAATTACTGCCAAAATAGAGAAAGCTACAAACACTCTAGAACCAAGGTGGGTGGATTTGGCCTATGACCACATAGGCTTTCTAAAGGTTCCCTTCATCTCAGAAGCATTTGCACATGCAGAGAAGAAGTCCTTAGAAGAGGACTAGAACACGGTGGGTGCTTTATAACTCCTTGTCAATAAATGAATGAATAAAGTAATCAATCAAAAAGATCACTTTAGTTTTTCTCAGAGAAATGTCAACATGAGTTCCAGAGGACACAGAATCTTTTCATTTGTTTTGACCCCCAATGATACTTTGTCTCCTTAGACAGGCTTGTTGTTAGACCAACACTCTCTGGGGTGGCAAAAAGCTGGGGTCACTTTGGGACTGAGCACATTCTGGTGCTAGTGAAAGGTCCCGTGAGCACCTTCGCTCCTTCTCTCCCTCCGTGTTAAAATGCAATATGTTATTCTTTGACATGAAGATGAATATATGTTATATTTGATTTCTGAGATTTGCTCAGTGTCTTAAGTTAGCTGTTTTGGCTAATGTTTAGTAAATTACTCTAAACAATAAGCAGATAATTATTATGTGTCTTTTAAACTGAAAACAAAGCGAACCCATGACTCTTAAGAACAAGGAGCCAGAATCCATGGATGGTTATGTTATGCCAGTGTTTTCAAGACAGCAGAGGACTGGGCAACTATCTCAAAGGTCCCAAATGTTGAAGGCTTAGAGTAGCTCTCCTACATCCCACCATCCTTTTAGGCTTTAACTTGAAATGATCAGTTTTACTCACAATGAAGATGCACTGGACAATGTGACTTAGACCTGAGGCTAGAATGGCGCTTCCATATCTTTTAGGAATTAATGTTTATTACATTAAAGCCAATGGGTCTCCAGTGAAAGGGCAACCTGACTTATTCATTCATAGACAGCAAAGCTGGCCTGGAGAACAAAAGCTAGCTGGGCCTGCTAGGGCAGGGTTTGCCTACTTTCTGGGTCCTGAAGCACAAGTGAGCGCATCATCTGTGAACACAGTGGTCTGAGGCAGTAAGAGAAAGACCTGGCCAGCTTTTCCTTTTCAATGCAGTAACCATGGTCTCTGAAAAATAATGGCTCAATGACTCAGTCTCTCTTTAATCAAATTAGCTACTCTTCCCATGCCGAGAAGTGACAGGAGAGATCCAGAAGTGTTATGTTCTCCCATCCATGAGAGGGGTGGACATTCCCTCTTTTGAGAAAGTGTAAGAAGGAAAATAATGGTTTCTTCAACATCACATAATTCTACAGGGATAGACCTCATAGTGTGGTCCCAGTGAGCGTCATAGTACTCTACAGTGGTCTTGAACAGCTTCGTAGGCTTACATGTAGAACTCTATTTAATCTCCACAGAAATTCTATGTAGGAGTTATCCTAACTTCTGACGAGAACTTCCTCAGAACATAAAAGAAAGAGAGGAGACAGAATAATATTTAACTATACTTATAAAAACAATTCTGAGGCCGAGTGCAGAGGCTCATGCATGCCTGTACACTTTGGGAGACAGAGGTGGGAGGATCACTTGAGCCCAGGAGTTTGAGACCAACCTGGGCAGCATGGGGAGACCCTGTCTCTACAAAAAAAGAAAGAAAAAATAGCCGGGTGTAGTGGTGCGTGCCTGTAGTCCCAGCTACTTAGGAAGCTGAGGTGGAAGGATGGCTTCAGTCCAGGAGGTGGAAGCTGCAGTGAACTGTGATTATGCCACTGCATTCCAGCCTGGCTGACAAAGGGAGACCCTGTCTCAAAAAAAAAGAAAAGGGAATTCTGAGATTTCAAGCAGAATCTGATTCCCTTACATTTCCCCAAATAGGAAAATAAAACACTTTTTATGTATTTTTTTCTTTTCCTCCAAGCCCTTCAAACTGTAAGGGCAGTTTGTCTAAACTAACTCAGAAGGGAAACGAGCAAATTTGTCTCTTAGGTGCTAGCTTTGTTTTTTCTCCATCACTTCTAGCATTGTCCTCTTAGGATTGTTGTCAGGTTTACAGAGTCAGCAAGGGTGAAACTGTTTTGCCCACTGCCTACAATTTTAAGTTATACATCTCTAAGTTTAAATCTAGTTCTGTGACCTTGGGCAAGCTACAAAAATCTCCTCAAAGTTCAGTTTACTTTTCATCACATAGTGAGTGCTTAATAATTTCAGTGTCTTTCATTTGAAAATTGGAAACAAATTAGATATTACAGGATCAGAAATACATATTTTGTAAGCTGGCTATCCCCGCTTGCTCACCTGCTTTTTCTCCCCATTCACACCACTTTTTCACACCAATGGTCCCCACTTATTATAACTCAACTTATGATGTTTCAACTTTACAATGGGCTTATACATGCATTAAATGCATTTTTGACTTATGGTATTTTTTGATTTATGATGGGTTTTGTGGGACATAGTCCCATTGTAAGTTGAGGAGCATCTGTAGAGTGAAAAACGTTTGAATTTTTGAGTAAGTCAGAATTATAGAATTAGTAATTCTATATTATTATGTGAATTCTGTTAATTATTATATGAATTCCATCAATTATAGAATTATTAATTCAAGGATTCTATTATACTATTATTAAAATTATAGTACCTCAAATATAAGACTTTCTCAGCATTTTAAAAAGTAGTTTTATTATACATATATACGTATAATGATTCTAGTAAGGCACACACTTGCACTAAGTGTGTGCACACAGAGGTCAGCTTCCTTTCACGGTGGTGCTGATTTTTAAGAGAAAGCCACAGCATAGCACGTATGATATGATACTGGCAGTTTTCGTTTCTGTGATGAGTGAGGATGAATTAATCCCTGTGCATGTCAGGTTTGGCTAACCACCATAAAAATTTCCCTTCACCAAATGTAAATATGTATCTTGCCAAGTACTTTCCACTTACTTTTTAAGCTTCATGTTTTTATTGGAAATTTAACCCATGCGTGTTGAGTTATTTACTGAACTCGGAATACTGTTGGGCAAATGCCAGTTCATAGCCAAAAAATTCCCTCCCCACAAAAGAACCCACCATAAATAGCCACATTTTTTTCTTCTTTCCTTTCATTTTCCTAACCACAATTTTGGATATTAATTAGTATCAGAACTAAAAGAAGCCTAGTTTGGTCCTGAAGTTACATAAAAGCTATATAGGCTACACCAATCAGTAGCCACTGGACATAAAACCTAAACAAACCCCACTGAAATAAGCAATCTAACATCACTCAGAACATAGTTTAACACAAGTAAATTCTTCATTGACCTGTTTTAAGATTCTTCTTTCTTCACAAAAGCAGGAGTCAGGTATTATTGTTCCCATTATACAGCTGAGGACGCTGACTTAAATCATCAACCTGCTTATCTTGGTCATATGATTTTAATTTTTGAAAAGAGAGTTGAGAATGAGAGTTAAACATAGCTAAATATTAAACCTGGACAATAATTATGTTTGAGCTAAGAAAAGAGGCATTTCTACAACACCTTTAGTGGGAGAGTAAATTTTAGTGCTCAAAGGGAATCAGCCGTAGCAAGTGGCATCTGTAGCATTTCTCAGTGGGATGAGATAGAAAATCTCACACAGGTATTGTATCTCAGGCCTTAGAGATTCCATACCTAGTTGTAGTGGTGGCTCTTTTTAGAGCCAAGTTATATAACAGGCTTTCTTGTTTGTGAATATACAGTCCATCCTTGACTCTCTTGCCCATCCTTGGCCACTGGCCCAGCAGAGGCCTAGACCCAGAATATTGTGGAAAACTGGATTTCTTGCCAGATTAGGTTTGACTTCCCTCACAGTTCACTTGTCCACACCTATGACTTCTCCCACATCTATCCCTAATTGATATGTTCAGCCTTGATTTTTCATTTGTCTTCTAGTCTTAATTCAACAATTTGATTGATTTTAACACATCCCTTTGCTTGGATACTTGCTAGCAATGTTCTCACATACAATCAATGTTAATACTGAAAATTTTGAAAAGAGAGCTGGGATTTTAGGGTTTCTTTCCCCAGATTTTGATTCTTTCCCTATGTTTCTTTCTTCTACCAACAGCATCACCATTATTAGGACTTTAGATTCATCCTTGACTTCTGCTTCTCTACATACCCTATCTCTCACTAAGGTGCAGTTTGCTTCAAATGTTGTCTCTTACCTCCTTCCTGGGGTTATTACAGATAACTCTAATCCAGGCTCTCATCACGTTGTTTTTGCAGAACTTTAATGGTTTCCTTGTTTCTCTATCTTCAGTCATCTCCTGTCTAGTCCATCCTACACACTGACTAATCTCCCTAGAGTGCTTACAAACCAATAATAATTTCTCATCACTACTGGATGAGAGCCAAGTGTTACATTCTGGCATTCAAAACTCTTTTCAATATGGTTCTACCCCAGTAATCCAACCTTACTTTCAATAACCTGTCACACACACCTTGCACCCACGTGAGGCCACCCTCTGCACCTCCAGGAGTACACCAGACTCTTTCCCACCACTGTTCTGTCATACTTATCTTATGGGCCACATATCGCTCAGTCATTGGGCTAAAGGAGCTAGACAAAGACCAGCACACAGAGTAACAAATAATTTGGGTGACAGATCCCAAAATCTATGTAGTACTACTGCTAGAAGGAAGACTAATCAACAAGTAGAATAGAGTTTGGGCACCTATGGCAACAGAAAATTTGGGGTTGTCTGGGCAAGAAGTTCCTTTCAGAAAAAGCCAAGCTTTAAGAGTGGGAATAGGCTGGCATATGAATGACAAACAGAGATGAAGGATCCAATACAACCATTATGAGGAACTTAAGGATACACACAGACAGGACTTGGGATATCTACTAACAAGTGGTAGCAGAGTCCAAGCAATCAGGCGAAATTCAAGAGCAGGACTTTCACCCCCAGGAAGGAGGAGGAGGTGCAAGGGGAAATTCCTGTCATAGAAGAGCTGGGTTACCACACAATTTATTAAGGGCACAATTAAGTCACAAAGAGTAAGACACACAGGGATATAGTTACAGGATTAGTTCCCTAGCACAAGGCAGAAGCCTAATCATCAAAACTTGGACTCTGGATCAGAGCCAACCAGCATTAAGTGACCCAGTCTCATACCCCAAAAAACACAGGGCTAAGAATATGTGCTCCACAGCCTGAGAGGGAATCTACCATAGTAAATGCCTTTGAACTTGAATTTCATTCTCCTGCCACTAGCTGTATGATCAGACACAAGTCCCATAACTTTTGTGAGCCTTACTTTCCTCAAAGTCAGGAGAAAAATAAATATTTTACAGATTTGTTGCAAAAATATAAAAGTGCCGGCTATGGAGACTGCCATTTATTAATAGACTCCCTGTCCCCTACCAGAGCTTTTGAAATCTTTCTTGCCCAATAACTGGATTGACTCTAGTGACTTTGTGTCCAGAATTGGTGGGTTCTTGGTCTCACTGACTTCAAGAATGAAGCCGCGGACTCTCGCGGTGAGTGTTACAGCTCTTAAGTTGGCACGTCTGGAGTCTGTCCCTTCTGATGTTCAGATGTGTTCGGAGTTTTTTCCTTCTGGTGGGTTCGTGGTCTCGCTGGCTCAGGAGTGAAGCTGCAGACCTTTGCAGTGAGTGTTACAGCTCTTAAGGCAGCGCGTCTGGAGTTATTCATTCCTCCCGCTGGGCTCGTGGTCTCAAGAGTGAAGCTGCAGATCTTCGCGGTGAGTGTTACAGCTCATAAAAGCAGCGTGGACCCAAAGAGTGAGCAGTAGCAAGATTTATTGCAAAGTGCAAAAGAACAAAGCTTCCACACTGTGGAAGGGGACCCTAGCGGGTTGCCAATGCTGGCTAGGGCAGCCTGCTTTTATTCTCTTATCTGGCCCCACCCACAACCTGCTGATTGGTAGAGCCGAGTGGCCTGTTTTGTCAGGGCGCTGATTGGTGCATTTACAATCCCTGAGCTAGATACAAAGGTTCTCCACGTCCCCATCAGATTAGTTAGATACAGAGTTTCCACACACAGGTTCTCCAAGGCCCCACCAGAGCAGCTAGATACAGAGTGTCGATTGGTGCATTCACAAACCTTGAGCTAAACACAGGGTGCTGACTGGTGTGTTTACAAACCTTGAGCTAGATACAGAATGCCGATTGGTGTATTTACAATACTTGAGCTAGACATAAAGGTTCTCCACGTCCTCACCAGAGCAGCTAGATACAGAGTGTCGATTGGTGCACTCACAAACCTTGAGCTAAACACAGGGTGCTGATTGGTGTATTTACAATCCCTGAGCTAGATAATAAAGACTCTCCACGTCCCCACCAGACTCAGGAACCCAGCTGGCTTCACCTAGAGGATCCCGCACCGGGGCTGCAGCTGGAGCTGCCTGCCAGTCCGGCGCCGTGCGCTCGCATTCCTCAGCCCTTGGGTGGTCGATGGGACTGGGCGCCGTGGAGCAGGGGGTGGTGCTCGTCAGGGAGGCTCGGGCCGCACAGGAGCCCATGGAGGGGGTGGGAGGCTCAGGCATGGCGGGCTGCAGGTCCCAAGGCCTGCCCCGTGGGAAGGCAGCTAAGGCCCGGGGAGAAATCGAGCGCAGCGCCGGTGGGCCAGCACTGCTGGGGGACTCAGTACACCCTCTGCAGCCACTGGCCTGGGTGCTAAGTCCCCCATTGCCCGAGGCCGCAGGGCTGGCCAGCTGCTCCGAGTGCGGGGCCTGCCAACCCCACGCCCACCCGGAACTCCAGCTGGCCCGCAAGCGCGGCACGCAGCCCCGGTTCCCGCTCACGCCTCTCCCTCCACACCTCCCTGCAAGCTGAGGGAGTGGGCTCCGGCCTTGGACAGCCCAGAAAGGGGCTCCCACAGTGCAGGGGACTGAAGGGCTCCTCAAATGCCACCAAAGTGGGAGCCCAGGCAGGGGAGGTGCCGAGAGCAAGCGAGGGCTCTGAGGACTGCCAGCATGCTGTCACCTCTCAACTTGAGGAGACACTAGCCTTGTGGGTGGGATCCAGCCATTCTCCTGATGGCAGGGAAGAGCTTCAGAGGCTAGAAATCAGACATGTCTGGATCATAATCCTACCTTGTCTGTGGAGCATCAACTCTGCCCTATAGAAATTTCTGCATTATGTAGGCCTTCTTTGAACGTATATCATGGTGAGTAGTGCTTGACCTTGTACAGTGTTAGCAATCCCACTTTTGACATCTCTAAAGCAACCCTGTAGGTTTATGGCATTGCCACTTATAATTTTGCAAAGACATAACTTCCACTCAGGAGTTCTGCAAGCCTGGTTCCAGGTAGTAGGTTACTAGCCAAGTGAGTGAACCCAGCAAATAGGACCTCATATATAGTCCAACATAGTTTTGTTGTTATCAAGTTGCCGTTGCATGAATATTTTATGAGGGAATTATATGCTACTGTAGAATTTGTGGATTGGGAATTTTCTAAGATCTTTGGGTGAATTCCTTGAAAACGTCAATGGCTTATGATGTCATAACTTATTGATTTTCTAGTTGCAACTTGCTTCTTGGCCAGATTTGCCCATCTAAATTTCAAGCTTCTCTAGGAATGAGCCAAGTCACATCTTTCCCTTTGTTCCCCACAATTTAGCCCAAAGTTGCCCTCAAAGCAAGCATTTAACCTGCAGTTGCTGATTGATTGAATTACTGTATCTTGTTGTCATTTTATTTACTTTTTAGAATTCTAGATAATCATTTTCTCTAATTGTTCAGTTGCATCAAAAATAAAATATGACCGTTTCCCTAGCATAGTAAAAAGTGCAGTAAAACACAAAAGAGTTGGGTCTAGCATTAATTTTTTGACAAGAAAAACATGACAAACCATTTGCAGGGAAACTTCGGCTATACCTTATCCTCGTCACCAGTTGGCTTATGAATAATCAGGGTAATTTATATTACCTTGTTCTGTTTACTATATATATGTGTATTCCAATGGATTTTCCACTTGTCCCAATGATTTCCTGAAACGGAAAAACATTCAACTTCATTTACAAGGTAATGATTATCAGTGCCCAATCAAATCTCCCTGCTTCCAGATTTTTTAAAAAATGTTATTTATTTTGAGAAATGATGCCAGGACTTTAAGACTAATCATAGGTACAAATATACCTGTGTATTTCATGTGAAATACTCCTGCCATGACACACACACACACACACACACACACACACACACACACACTTAGCCCATTTGTTGAAAAGTGCCTGTAACCTTTTTATGTATAGGACTCCCTTGTCCAACTTATTGTTTTATCCTATGTAGTGCCCTTGAATTGAATTCTGCTTTTCAATAACACTGGCCCGCACACATAGCGCATTCTTACATCATTTCTGATGCCATTGCTCTAGTTGAAATCTTTATTGTTTAACACCTGTACTGATGCGATATACTCCAGAGGTGATTTTGGATCGGCCTCTTTCGCTTTCCAATCGTTCTGTGCATTTTGCTTTCTGGCTTGCAGCTCCATGGCACCTCTCATCTCCTTAGCACAAAACAAAAACACCCCTAGAATATGGCTCTGACCTTCCTGTCCAGACTTGCCTTCTACTATTTTCCCTTACCCTCCACAGTCTCTCCTGCTTAGCTATCTCTTGAATAGTGGCTATGCTTTCCTACTGCCGTAGCGTTGTTTTGCCAGTACTGCTTAGCATCTTCTCCCTTCCTGTGGAAAGAAAGAATTTTGTCACCTACAAAAGTCTTTGTATGCTGTAAGGCCGGGTCTCAAGGTAATTTACTTTGTAAACCCCTTTCCTGAGCCAATGACCTAAAATCTCACCCTCAGCTCTAAGTCAGAATCATATACTACCATCTTGTTTATCAAGTACTTACTATTGGCTGCCTTATTTTCTAGTTGTTTACACATGCAACTTTTTACTAGATTGCATGCACTTTGTGGGCAAGGCCTATCCCTGGCCTAACTTTGTATTTCCGTACTGTTTATGACAATGTCTTGCCAATGATATGTGCTCAGTAAATATTTGTTCACTGGTTGGATATCCTTTCATTATCTATACTATATTTTCAGCACAATGACAGGGTAGCAACAGAGGCATCTATTGCAGGAGGCCATACAAATTGTACCTCAGAAATTCATATAACCAGGAATTATAGTCTGAGCAATTACTTTAATAAGTTAGAATCTCTCTGTAATTATAGGTTACAGATGGTGACATAAAAACACTAGGAGGTCAGGAAGTTTCTTCCGCACTCAGCATACTTGAACTAAAAAGAGTGGACATTTCATAATTCTGAGCACCTTGGTCTATTGCTTGGTCTGTGCCTCGTGTTATTCTCAAGAAAGGAGACTGGATCTCAACCATCACTCATCCACACTTGTGTTATCTTTAAGCACTGTAGAGGAAAAAACTCTTTTGGAGTTTGAAGAATAAAGTTGGATACATTGCATAGTATATGCGGTTTTTAAGCTAACTTAAAGGGAAAGCTTCCTGAATGAAAATAAATCATATTAGTTTAATGATGGCTGCTATTAATAATGACATATATACCCATATATAGTATAGTGTAGTAAAAACTTTTCATCTGTTTTCTGGAAATCTTGATTTTCAACTCTTTCTAATGTATTTTTCTTTTGGGGGCCCACTCAGACCTTACAATATGTCTTCTAGAGGCACAGAGTGAAAAGCCTTGTTAGTCTGCTGATGTGCCTTCAGACCTTCTCCGGACTATTCCTTGACCAGAACCATCCCTTTTCTAGCTGGCTTTTCTGGTAGAGTCTATCCACACTCCTAGAACTGTCTACTGTTTGCTTGGCAAGGTCTACCTAGATCCTTCCTTGGCCTGCATCCTCCTGGGAGCTGTGGGGTCACCATGAGCCTTGTTACTTCTTTCTTTTCCCCCCTTCCCCAGCACACACCCACACATGCCATCATTCCACCGACTGGACTAATTTTATCAGAAACTAGACTTGTAAATTAACAGAGACATATATGATTTCACTTACAATTTGAAAAAAAAAGAACTTGATTAATAAGTGTCAGCATCACCATTCAGAGTATCTATAACTATCACAGCATAAAGTAGCTGGAAAAGAAGCACATATATAGAATCCAGTGGTTTTCAGATTCCAATTTATAAAATGGATAAAAGTGAACCTGGTTTAGTTAAAGAAGGGAGGGAAAGAGGACGCTGCCTCTTAGGCCTCATCCTGGTGGTGGCATGTGTGGCATGCCATCTGCACATAAGCCTATGAACCCCTAATCTGAGTTACATGAAACACTTTGCCTATGTGGAAACTGAGTCTGGAATGGTTAAGCGACTTGCTCACAGTCACATACCCAGTTTGTGGCAGAGCTGATTCTCAATCTCAAGTTACTAAGCACAGTTTCCTTTTTCTGGGCTTTTCCCACAGCACCAAATAACTGCTAGATAAAGCACTCTTTCCTGCTCATTGCGCTGGTCCAGTTTATCTCTGTGCCCAAGAGCAGTTTAGAAGAACTAGCATTTTCCATGCAAAAATCTTTGTTGAAGGAGATTCATGATTAACTGAAATCACCCAAAGTACCACAAACAATGCAACAAACCATGAAGGACAGCACAGCGTGTGTTTTTATCTGACCCATTTGTTCCAGGATGGGCTCTCTAGTTGAACAGCCTAACAGCCCTGCAACCAACCTGTCTCATAAGCCCTGCACAGAACAACCCAGCAGAATTCCTAAGCCTGCTCACATAAACAACCAGAGAAGTTAATCATAGGCATGAGAGACTTTTGGTGGTGGCCAATTAGAGCAGACCCCCCACAGAGCTTCATCATAGGGTAGCCACGTCAATGTCAATACCCTCCTCCGTGCAACAATCCTTGTGATTAATGTAATTACCATAATTACTGACCTCTCTTCTGAGAGTCTTGGCCACATGGAAGAGTTGAATGTTTTCCCTGAATGCGTTGTCTCCATACAATGTATGCCCTTAATTATAGAACATGATGTCATAAGTTCTGATTAGGGGGTTGCCCTAGAGGAGCTGAGGATTGGCCCCAAAGGCATAAGGGGGCCAGTTCAACTCATAGCCCACCCTAGTCCTCCCGGTCACATGCAGGTAGCCAGTTACTTGGTAATTAACAAAACAAGCTTGTGGTTGTTGCTGTCGTCCATTTTACTCCTATGTCTTTTGGGGCCTTCTTGGGAAATAAAGGCTTCCTTTTTCCTCATGTACCTCATAATTATTGTGCCCCAGAACTGCACATAATTATTATTATTTTTCCATTCAGGAGTTAATGCTTCAGCCAAACAGGTCTGGACGGAAACCCAGTTTGCGTTCAGAGGAAAATAGTTGACTATTCTCAGACTAGACCACTTGAGGGCGGCATTGCCTTAGGAGAGTGTGTTTTGACCAACTAATACATAACCTAAGGAGGAAATATGCAGCGTGGGTGTCACAGGCACATCACTGTAGTTCAGGGAATAAAACCACAAAAAATGAGAACATACTTCCAGGGAGTCAACTCACATTTAGGAATGAAGGAATAAATGTCTAATTTTAAATGTGGTTGCAAAGTTTTTTTTTTACATAACAGAATTGCTTGAGGCAGGCGCGCTGTAAACCATTTATATGGGGAGGGATTTATTCTGTGAAATGAAGTGCTATTGAAAAAAAAGATAATGTCCAGTGCAGTGTAGGAACAAAAAAGGCAAACTAAAATATATTGCACAATGAAGACTGGGGACAAAATCATGAGTATGTTTGCAGGTCTTCATAACCCTCTCGGATGCACATAGTTCTTCACCATGGACATGTCCCCATTATAACCTCTTTTAATTTGGCAGGGAGCTGCTCCTTTGCCTTTCCTTCATATTTTGGGGGTCAATCCAGATGAATGAGAGAAAATAAAAGAGGGGGAAGAGAAGAGAAGGAGGATGGTATGCCCCTCTGTACTTGGAGAATCACTAGCGGTGGTCTCAGTCACAGGGAGACAGACTGGTTCCGCTCATCTCTGATCCTGCCCCAGTAAATTACTTGCAGATATCTTTTTGGTAGTTTTCACAGGATGCTAATAAACTGATCAGCCTAGTATGCTAGAGATATTTAAGTTCTCTTTCCAAATATCACTGCATACATACCTAAATAACAGACCAATCATTGATTTCCAGAAACCTGTCTGGAAGGCATTCTACATTCTTTCCTTTGCTTCTTTTTATGGGCCACAGAAAGAACACGATAGTTCTTGAATACATTTCCCAGATTGTCCAAAGAGGTCAAACTCTTAATGTTAAGCACAGTTCTTTTGAGACTGTGGTTGTGGGGGAGAAATTAAAGAAAGATCTGGAAGCTAATGGAAGCTACTCAGATGAGTAGCTTCTTTAGTGCAACCTCAGCTGGAACGTCAGTGACTCTTGAAAATTCTTTCTTCCCTCCCAAGTCAATATCCTATCAAATTGCTTTCTGTATTTTTTTGCAAATCTCCAAACAGAAACTCATGGAACACAGAGGTAATCTTGGCTACTTTGCAGAGATGGCCAAGGAGATTAGGTGTGAACTTCTCCGGTTTTCTTCCCTTCATTGTTAACTTTGCCTTTATTCATCCCTTTCAGTCTTTTCCAGGATCTTGTTCCATCAAACATCTCCCTACCTCCACCCTTTTCTTTTCAACCTTTTCCTCTGTACTTAATGGGGAAAGTTCTTTACCTCATTTCTCTTTCCAGCATCTATTCTCTCTGCCTCCATTCACACTAGATTCCTTGAAACAGGTCTACACCAGACACCCCCATGCTCTGGCCTTCCTTTACTATTTCCCTTGCATTATTTTCTCCGGAAACTACCCTTTAAACCCCACCCATGAGCTACTCATCTCCAGGTGGCTCAATGGTTTCTTCTCAGCTCTTCCTCTTAGTGCATTACATTCCTATTACCATGATGGCAGCATTGATCTAAAATCCCCTGACCTCTCTCCCTTTGAAATACTTTCTTCATCAGAATTCAATAACAAGCATACTCACTCGCTGAACATTTCTCCTTAGTCTCTGTTGGCCCCACTTCTACTTCCTCCTTGATATAAGAATTTTTCAGTACTCAGCCCCTTTATCTGCTGTGTTCTTTACTGAGCTCATAGAATCCTACAACTTTAACTACCACCTCTTTGCTCATAACTCCTCAGTAATATTTCTAACAAGCTACGTGCCTGCCCTTCCAACAGGATATTTGTCATTTCCACATCTATGTCCTATATCATAGGCAAACATTTCCAAAACAGAACTCATCTTTCCTGCACAGCCTCCCCATATCCTGGTCCCAAACTGAGTTCCCCTCCTTACCTTTCCTCAACTCTCAAGTCAAAATTTCAACTATCCTTGACTTCCCCTTTGTCATTTGTAAGTTGACTGGACATGGGGAGCAGAGGATTATGAAATGTCTTTTCAGAATCCCCCTTCTACATGCGTTGAGAGTACTCTATTTCCAGCCTTCATTTCATCACCTAGACTTCTGAAAAGATCACCAAACTGGTGTCTCTGTCATGAATCCCCTCTTCCTCATTCCAGCCCAACCAATATTTGGCCATTAGCTATTTTCCAAAACAGTCCTTTCCATACAAAAGAAACTGGTAACATTAGTTGCTTCCAAAATAGGTGACTGGGAGACGCAGATGTAAGAGAGAGAAAATTTACATTATGTACCATCTTGTTCCTTTAAAATGCTGTGCCTTATAAATACATTAGCTATTTAGAATAATAATGTTTAGTTTAAACATTAGATATTATCTGTTTAATTAAAAAAATCCTCTTCAGTTATTCTTCTGCTCAAAATCCTACACACATTGCCTTTGGAACAAAATCAAACTTCATCATATCGTTCAAAGCCCCTAAAATGACCCTTCTACTTTTCCCTTTACTCTGCTTTCAGTCTGCCCTCTGACACACTCCACAGGCCAGACACAGGCCAGCACTCTGGATTCTCAGGCTTCCAAACCTTTGTTTAAACCATTCCCTCTGCCAGTGGTGTCTTTCTTCATCCCAAATTGAAGTCCTACCTTCCTTCCAGCTTCACCTCAGATGGCACCAATTCCAAAGTACTTTTCCAGATCCCAGCATTTAGAACTACTCCTTCCCTTCTGTAAGTTTCCTGGCCTAAGCACTTGATGAGTCTATCAAAGTCAGCCTGGTTTTGTAGTTATTTATGCACATGACTGTTCTTATCTTTGTATATTTTGCACTGCTTGGTTCAATGCATTTCACATGATGGATACTTGGGAAGTGTTTCTGAATGTCATTGGTCCTCAAGACACTGAGAAATCCAAAATTAGAACTGTTTGGATATGAGACCCACTGGCATCTTTTTGTCATTTACTATTGTTTGTCATTGACATTAAGAAGTACAAAGCTCAATGGGTTCCCTTTAGGTCAATGCTTCTCCTAGTGTGGTCCTAGACCTGGAGCACTTGCTAATGTGAAGATTCCCAGGCTCCAAGAAACCTACTGGTTCAGAGTCTCTGGGGTAGGATATGGCAATCTGTAGATTAAATACGTATCCCAAGTGCTCCTTACGTACACCGAAGCTTCAGAGCCACTGCTCTAGTAGGATGTAGCAGGGTTTGGGGGAAGGTTGTAGAGGCAGATAATCCTTGAGGTTTGATCCTGCTTGTCTGCTCAGTGCTCCTTAGCTTCTGCCAGTCCTTCAGCCCTGCTCCTCAGCTGGGTTCATGCTCCTGGCTATGCCTCGTGCTCCTGGAACATGATTTGCCGTCTGTCTCTCCTTTCAGAAGACAGCTGAGCTGTCAAGCTCTGACTCCCTGTGGAAGCTGTCTGGTGCTGGCACATTTTGATGGAAGAGGGATGCCTCAGACTTCAACAATAATCTCATCTTTTTTCAGTCTTCTCTTCTCCCCTAAAACTGCTGTAGGCAAGTGACTATCCTCTGTGTTGTAGACAGGAGGATCCTGTGTCAAGAAAACATTGAGACTTGCCTAAGCCACTGACATATTAATAGAGTTAATGTCAAAAGCCTTGTCATCCAACTGGGCATTCTCAGTGACACTGTGTCAATCAGCAAGTCAATCAATTAACAAGTGTTTAATCAATGCCAATTAGGCATCTAGAAGTGTCTTGTTTAACATCTGCTGGCTGGGCTGGGCCCTGCACAGAACTTGGTTCAGTGTCCTTACAGTATCCCTGATCGAGGATCTAATTCTGTACCATGTCATCCACAGTTGGCTGCCTTTGTGGTCACACCAGGTTGCTGGGCTATATTTCATGTGAACACCACCATTTACTACATTATTCTGTAGGCCCTAATGAAGTTAAGAGGAGCAGGATACGGGGGCCAGCTATTTAGCCCTCCGATGTGAACAACTCTTCAGCAATCTTAGCTTGATGTTGTACCTCTCACTCTGTTAGGTTTTCCTTGCACTCCCATTGAATTAAAATTAGAAATTCTGTGGACAAGGATGTGACTCTATGAAAGAAACCTTCTTCCCCTCTGCCAATCCATATACATGTAAAATCCCCAACCCCCAGCATAAATGACCTTTGTTCTCACAATTTTAAATCCTTTTATAGGTTACAATTAATATTTAAACCCACCCTATGGTCCCCAAACCTTTCTAAAAGTAATCAGCCCATAGGATGCCCTCTTGCAAAAGGCTACATTTTCTATACTTACATTTTCATTTATTTTCTAATAGTCACAGTGGAAACTGTAACCATGAATGTACAACTCAGTAATCCAGTTAAGACTTGCTTTTTTCTGCCAACTTACTCTTTTATGAGCCAGAGATAGTAAAATAAGTCCGACATGTTTAAAAATGCCAATTCAAACTTGAATTTCTATGCCAAGAATGTTCTTTGGGTTAGGTCACTCAGAGTACTACAAACCAAATTTCATGTGGTTTTCAAAGTAGCCCCGAAACTCGACCTTCATCTCAATTGGCATTGGTGATACCAAAGGTATCTATGAGAACATCACTGGCCCATCCCAAGTTTGAGAGATGATAATAGGCACATGTGGCCATTTCCACTATATCTAGTCTAGGATTTAGTCTATGATTTAGACTACCCAGCTGTATTTTAAACTAGTCCAAACCACGACTGGCCGCAGGGAGCATAGACCTTTTCTGAGAGGGATTTTAGCTAATAATTTTACTTCCACATTGTTCCATCCTCTATTTCAGGATGCATGATGTACATACTCTTCCTTTTTCCATCTCATTTCACCATTAAATAAATGCCCTGGCTGGGTCAGAGGAACCAGGAAATAGACTGTTATTCAGTGTGCTATTGATATGGCCCCTAAAGCCTCCAACAACTTCCCTATAGACATCACAAAATGGAACAGAAAATTCTAGTGGATCACCATTGTCCATTCATAGGCACTGCAAATGTGTTATATGTCTCACTCAATAAACCAACACAGTTTTGCTGAATTATGCTAAGTCAAAGTTTTCTTTAAATCCCATTATCCTTATCATTGTTCTTGGTGAAACTGCAAATAAATAAAACCTCTAATGAGTTATTTTTAGATATCTAAATGGACACAGGAAAATGTTAATTGACTCCTCAAATTTACAGAACAAGTTAATAAAGGTAGAATAAAAGAAGAACTAGTCTAATAACTTTCTTCTAAGACTACAGTGAAATTTATTTTATCTCATAACATCGAATGTCCCAGCTAAGGAACATCAAGGAGAAATTTGATGCTTTTCATTCTTTAGAATTTCACTTTGATGCAGATAATGTTGCATTAGTTATTCTTAATTTTACTCTCTTCACTTATTAAAATGCCTAATATGGGCCAGGCATGGTGGCTCACGCCTCTAAATCCCAGCACTTTGGAAGGCTGAGGCAGGAGGATTGCTTGAGCCCAGAAGTTTGAGATCAGCATGGGCAACACAGGCTGATCGACAAAAAATAAAACAAAGTTCCCTGGGTGTGGTGGTGAGTGCCTGTGGTCCCAGATATTTGGGAGGCTATTTGGGAGGATCACTTGAGCCCTGGAGGTTGAGGCTGCAGTGAGGAAAGATCATACCTCTGCACTGCAGCCCACATGAAAAAAAAAAAAAAAGCCTAATGTGAACTCGAATTACTGCTTCTAGATTATTTTCTTCACTTAGTACTGATGCATCTGAAAGTAGAATGAGAATTGTATTGCTATTTAAGTATATTAGCAGTGTTATTACTCTGCTCCATTTTTGTTTTTAAAACATCCATTTTTATAATCACCTACTCTATGTCTAGGTCTTTAACATACCTTTTATATATTCTTCATAACATATAAGATGTGTATAATCATTATAACCTTACAGAAAAGGAAAGGGACTCAGAAATATTCTGTACCATGTGAAGTACTTTAGTTCAGAGTCTGGCAGGTAATAATTCTCAATAAATATTAAAATTATCATTATTTTTCCCAAAGCCACAGAGCTATTGGTTGGGAGAATTTGAGCTCAAATTCAAACATAACAACATGTTTTTGCTAATCTGCACATGTACTGCCTCAATTTTCACACTTGATTTCATGAGCAGGAAAGTTATTTTAGTCCTGTTTATTTGAATAGCTAGAGCAAATATTGCATAAACTATTATTTGCCAGTACTTCTAACATTAATTTATGTGAATGTACACCTGTGTAGCTTGTTGTATTTGTTCTATTTTGGTTTGGTTTTTAGGTTTTAATATTGTACACTGTCATGTTTTTATGAAAACCAATAATTTAGTGTTTTTTTTTTTTCCTGGGGATGGGAAAAAGGTGTTAATGGAGAAGCAAATAAATGTGAAATGAAACAGTTCTGCCCCAGGGAACAGCAGGAAACTTCCCTAAAAGCAGAGGTTCCTAACACAACCTTATACAGCAGGTTGAGCAAAACCTAACTCTAAAAATGGTACTTGCTTTCAACTACAAGACAGGACATTTGGATTCTGTTTAGTTTCCAACTGAAGTTTTGGAAAGTACATCCAGCATTTCCTTTAGAAAAGCTCCAAGGAGTTTCTTTACCTACGAGTTATTCTGAAAAACATTTGTGAAAATGTGGGCTTTTATTTTTATTAATAAATGGCCACAGCTTTCATTTTGGGAGGAATTCAATTGACATTATGATGAGGAGTTTCAGGTCCAGACATCCTGTGTGCCCTTTTCTCTGTAAGCACAGCTGTGAGAGCTACAGGAGCCTCACACTTGGCTTTGCCCAAGCACAGTGCCGGCATCTCTGCGAAGGTTGGTGGCCAAGGAGCCTCCACAGGAAACATGCACCTTCCCCCACCCCAAAGTCATCGAATCGCTTCAGACTTGAGGGTCTCCACATCTTGACAGAAGGCTCAACTTTGATGAAAACTTCTCTGGAAGAACACTCAACTGGTACTTATGGTGACCAAGCAGGTCTTACAGTTCCCTTCCTCAGTTAAAACAACAAAAAAAGAACAAGGTGGTCACACATAAAACAAGAGTCATTGAATTAGGCCAGAGCTAGGCTTTGGAAATTGAATTTAAAGGCCTGGAACTAGGGATCTTAACTGCATACTTTAATGTTTAAACACAGGGCAGTTGACTTGGGAAAGCATCTGAGCTTGGTTCCGGCTGCACTCAGCTGCTTTAGCCTGCTGCCCTTGCCAGAAGACCCTGAATACATTTGAAAGCATCAGGCCCTGGCTCATGATTATGCCTGTGGGATGTTGTGCCCATAGCTTGAGAGGAGGTGTTCATCTTCTGGGGGAGTAAACAGCATGTGAAGAGGTTTCTGGAGTGTAACTGGGAATAGCTAAGGCTTTGGCAAGCTTAAGACTGAGTGAGAGTCAGAGCCTGAAACTGTGACTCAAATTGGCATATGATTCTGAACTTGTTTGCACCATTCTCTAATTGTTTCATGTGTGATCATATCTCCCTAGCAAGCCTGAGGGCATCTGAAGACAGAGAGCATGCTATTTTTGATTTCCCAAAAGAATCTGACAGAGTCACGGACTCGTTTTATTGACTGACAGTCAGTGCTAGCAGTGACTTCAGCTGCAAGTAAAAAAACAGTTTGTGTTCTGAGTAATAAAGGAATGTGTCATATAGTCATGCTTCCATGGAATATCATTGATTCATCATGATAGAAATATCCTGTGAAGCAAACATAAGCCAAATGCACACAGTAACTGGGAATCTTGTGGCACAGACAGAAGAAATAAGTGGATGTACTAAGAGTTAGGGACTTGGTGGAGGAGGCCTAACTTGTGTTCACGCAGGGACACAGACAGAAGCTCTCCAAGGAGACAACACCAAGAGTCCCTGAGAGTAAGCCCTGAGGCTGCAAAGACCCCCGTCCATCAGTAGACCGATCCACTTCACTCATTCATGTACTCTCTAATTCAGATGTTAAATCTTTCATGAATACAGAGATGAATATACATGGCCTCTGCCCCTAAAGGTGAGACATATTTGTAAACAGATACATTAAAACATCAAGCATAATCCCATATGGCAGAGTGATTTAATGAGAAGACGGAAATGGGGCTGGCTTTGCATACAGGTTTTGTGATCTATTATTGGCTGTATGACTTGGATTTTTTTTTAGCCTGTTTTCTCCTCTGCAAGTATGGGTAATAATACCTATCATATTGGATTATTGAAAGAATGAAGGGAGAAACACATAGAACTGACAGCTCACATGGTGCACAGGATGGACCCTCAGGAAATGTTCTATTCCTTTCTCTCACAAAGAAACGTGCAGTGCTGTGGTTGCTCAGAGGCAAGAGCAATGGCTGCCTGAGAAAAGGAGGAGAGACTTCTCCCAGGAAATACATCTTTGCTTGACCCTGAAGAATCAATAAGTCCCTTATTGAATTATTTATTCCGCAGATGTTTACAGAGCACTATTATACACCAAATATTGTGCCAGATGCTGGGGATAAGATGGTGAACAAAACAGACATGGTCCTTGTTCTCATGGATCTTACCTTCCAGACAGAGTGACAGACCAGACCAAACAAATAGACCCAGCAATTCTGAGCAGGGAGGCTAAGCTGGATAATTGGTTTTTGTTTGTTTGTTTGTTTTTGAGACAGAATCTCGCTCGGTCGCCCAGGCAGGAGTGCAGTGGCGCAATCTCAGCTAACTGCAATCTCTGCCTCCCGGGTTCAAGCGATGCTCGTGCCTCAGCCTCCTGAGTAGCTGGGACTACAGGTGCGTGCCACCATACCCCACTAATTTTTGTATTCTTAGTAGAGATGGGGTTTTACCATGTTGCCCAGGCTGGTCTCTGTTTTCCTGACCTCAAGTTATCTGCCCGCCTCGGCCTCCCAAAGTGCTGGGATTACAGGTGTGAGCCACCATGCCCGGCCTAAGCTGGATAATTGTAACCCTCAAATGCATTCAGGGGCTTCCGGCAAGAGCACCAGGTGAAAGCAGCTCCACATGCAGCCTGAACTGGGCCAACAGGCCCTTCCAAGTCAACTCCTTTGGGTTTAAACATAAAATTGTGCAGCTAATACCATCAGTTCCAGGACTTTAAATTCAACTTCCCGGGCCTAGTTCTGGCCTAATTAAATGACTCTTTTTAGTGCGTGACCACTTTTTATTTATTTTTTATTATTTTTTGAGACGGAGTCTTGCTCTGTCACCCAGGCTGGAGTGTAGTGGGGCCATCTTGACTCACTGCAACCTCTGCTTCCCAGGTTCAAGCAATTCTCCTGCCTCAGCCTCCTGAGTAGCTGCGATTACAGGCACGCACCACCGCACCTGGCTAATTTTTGTATTTTTAGTAGAGACAGGGTTTCGCCATGTTGGACAGGCTGGTCTTGAACTCCTGACCTCAGGTGATCCACCCGCCTCAGCCTCCCAAAGTGTTGGGATTACAGGCATGAGCCACCGCACCCGGCCTGTTTTTGTTTTTTTAATTAAGGAAAGGAACTGCATGACCTACTGCTCATTATAACTACCAGTGGAATGCTCTTCAAGAGAAGTTTCCATCAAAGTTGAGCCTTCTATCAAAGTCTAAGATTGAAGTGATTAGACTTTGGGAGACAGAGCAGGGGTGGGGGAGAAGAAGAGAAAGAAGAAAGAGGTATATGTTGCCTATTGAAGCTCCTTAGGCACTGACTTTTGCAGAGATGCCTGAATGGTGCTTGGGGCAGAGCCAAGTAGAGACTCCTGTAGTTCTAACAATTGTACTTAGAGGGAAAGGGGCTGGGAGGACTTCTGGCCTCATATCATCAAAGAATCAATGGGTAAGAAACAGCAGGCAATGCAAAGGGTGAGAGGAGGAGCATTGTAAGCAGAAACAGTACATAGAAATGCCCCGAAGCAGAGAAGTGCTTGGCTGAGGAAGTGAAAGTATAGAATAAAACGGGGAGAGGATAGTGCTTAATGGAGTTCGACTGGAAAGGATTCAGGGGAGTTCATTCCAGAGTGAACAGCATGTGCAAAGGTGTAGAGTCTTAAAAGAGTCTGACACGGTCTAAGAATAGGGAGAACTTCATTGTGGCCTCACTTTAGCCTGGAGGAAAAAGAGGGCGGCAGGAGATGGTGCTAGGGAGGTAGGTGGAGGTCAGATTGTGGGGGATCTTGCTTGTATGATAAGTGAAGACATTTACATTTTGTTCTGTTTATAGGCAAGACTCTACACAGGTTTTTTATGTGGAAGGGTGGATGCATGATTTGATTATGGTAGTGTAGAGGATGGATTAAAAGTGAAGAGATTGGAGGGGAGTTCAAACACCAGGCTGCTGAAACAGTCTGAGGAAGGACTGAAATAAAACTGTGACAAAGAGGACTGGATTCAAGGGACAATCCTGAAGTAGAAGCAACATGATGTAAGAAATAATGGAGTGAGGGTGTGATGAATCAAGGATGACAATGAGGTTTCCAATTTCGGAAGCACACATTCCAGGAGCCATCACAGTGATGGTGCCATCACTTGTCAGGTAGCCTCTGGAAAGCTCCCCTGTATACTCATAAAAGTGAAAGTGACAATGCCTTATTATTATTAGGAAATAGTTTTGACCCCAAAGACCCTCTGAAAGAATCTCAGGGATGCCTCCAAGGTCCTTGGTTCACACCATAGGACCTGCTGTTATAGGCAGTAAGTTAGGACTCCTCTCACCATCCCTGAGCCCTCTCCATGACCTACTCACCCACCAACAACCTCATAAATGCACTTGATCTGGAATTATTTGCACCTGGACTTGCTATTGCATCTTAGGTTTGGAGATCCTGACCTGGCTCAGCAAAGCTTCTGAGGTTGACTCTACTTCCATTTAGAGTAGTTTCATAAGCGCCCACCAATTTTGGGACCCTGACTTCTCTGCATGGCTTTACCTCTTGCTACTCAGATGTGGGGCATCTTCTGTTGTCTACAAGACAGTTCCACTCTGGCTCTGCACAAAGAGAAAGCATTCTCTACTCTGGACCCTGGGTGGGTGGTTGGGCAAAGCTAGATTCATCTTCTTAAGAAAACTACTCAAACCAAGCAGAGTCGATCTGCAAGATAATAAGAGTAGATATGCGAGTTAATGGGAAACCAGTGTTAGTCCTTGGAAAATAAAGCAGCATAAGAGAATTACTTACATTGTCAATTAAATTTTTAAATTAAATTCTGATTTTCGGAATTAATTAAAGAAGGAAGAGAGAGAAGACAAACAAAATGTGTATTTGTGTGTGTTTGTGTGCACGTGTGTGTGTTTGTAGTTATTCTCTTTAAAAAAAAATAGTGCCTTACAAAGTGGAAATGAAATAGTAAGCATGATGGACGGTGAGGATTAGCCATTGTAGAGAAATATAATTTTAGTGGATTGAAATTTATTTGGAAACCTTTTCCTATAGACAAACGTATCTCATTTTACGAGGCCTCCTTGATTTAGTTTGGTTTAAAAGTCAATGGAGAAATATATTCCATTTGATCAAATTGTCAAGTACAGCTTGTTAATGTGTCTGTGTGAGTTTCAACATATCACCACTCAAGTGTTGGATTTGTCCTTGTGTGTAAGCCACAGCAATGTCCCTCCTTCCTTCTCCACTTTCCTCTTCAAGCACAAGTCTCTTGGCCTACAAGTTTCTTAGACTACAGACTCCCATGATGGAGGTTTTCCCCCTATATGACCTACAGCTTAGTATGGTATTTCTAGATGTTTGTATAAGAACCTGTTTAACTGATTTCAGAGTCTTTTCTCTCTTCCCATGTTTTTCCCCCAAATTACTTTTTACTTTGTATTTGAAATATTTTTATGAATTTTCTAAATTTTAAAGGACTCTTGAATGTTTACTTATATTCTGACATGTTGAAAATATATTCCATTATCATGTTTAATCCCAGGACTTATGATGCTGGAAGCACGGAATGATTTAATGCTTTGCCTAGTCTTACCTAGCAAGCCAGAAGAGACATAGGCTTAAGCCGGACCAGCTGATCGTCAGTCCTATGCACTGCCCCTGAGCTGATTAATAGTTCCTTTTATTACTGTTGAACATTTGGTTCTTCTAGGGGGCCTCTGGGTCAGTCACTACCACCATATTAGGCCACACTCTGACAAGTAGTTTTGTTCCTACAAAGAATCTAATTTCTTTCTCCAACGTGTGGCCTCCTAAGACCACTGTGCTCCGCTGGTGATGCTTGAGTTACTCAGGGAAAGAGGCAGATAGCCAAAAATTCACCAATTTTAGCAGAAAACCCTGCCATCAGCGACAGCTGGAGCATCACAAAATCTATAAACACACTTGTTACTCATCTGCTGTGCCTGTAGGACAAGCCAGGCATGTGACCACTGAACATCTTGTAGAGGAGAGGTTTCCTAGGCGGGTCTCCTGACAGAAACTGAGATGAGAAAAATCAAATGAGCTTGGCGTTCAGAACATTGTGTGTTATTAGTTGAGCCCTGTTTTGAAAGAGGAGACCTACCACCTAAATGTAATTTAAAGAATTGAGAGATGGAGTGACAATTGGGTTAGATGCATCAATATGAGCACTGTTAATTCAATATATGAACTGGGGAATCGCTGAGTTTGAGTACTAATTGGTTACAGAGGAATTTTCTTTAAAAACTCTTAAAAGGCTTTGTACCTAGCATTTTATCATCTAGAAAAAGGCAAAGTTTTGGTAAAATGCAATCCTAGTGACAGAGTAAATTTACATCACATAACCACAAGCTTGGTAGAAAGTGGCATGTTATTCCCATAAACATCTTGGACATCTAAAGTTAAAAATCGTAGGTGTTATAGAAAAAGATCTTTGTTTCTAGTTTTTGGGTATTTAATTTTTAAAATTTTGGCATTTGTTTTCTTATCCAAATGCCTGCCCATGCAAGAATTAGATTATCTGAATAGGAGATAAGATGTACTTAGACCCTTTGATTAAATTTTCTTGGATTTTAGGCATATAACCATAGATCCTTGTCTAATGAATATTTTTTATTTACTATTTTTCAAATCACAAACTAATGAAAGGACATACAAACAAACGTGCTCTCATAATTCAGTTCATTCTTTTAGACTCCTTGAATGTAAGAGCAAGGTACATATATTTTACTTCCAGTGCAATTCTCTATGGTATCTAAGTGCCATGAACACTCACCAGTGCTGTCTCATGATCTAATACCCATGATTATTTGAGCTATTGACTTAGGATGATCCCAGCCTGTAGGTCTCATTTGCAAAGTTCTTTAAACATATGCCTTTGTGATGAATCAAAGTCATTTCTTGAAAAAAACAGAGCTCTGACCAGATACTATGTTAGATATTTGATGGGAAATATATATTCCAACTTGGATATATATTGAGCTCCAAGCCCAATATATGTGATGATAGCAACTATTATTTACTATTTATTGTATACCTATCACTGTGATGGGTATCTTATATACATTATGTCTGTTATTCCTCTCAAAAACCCCATAAGATAGGCATATTATTTCCAATTTTACAAATGAGAAAAACCAAAGTTTGTTAATTAAATAACTTGCTCCAAGTTACACAGTTAGTAAGTGAAGGAGGAGTTATTTGAACTCAGGTTGTCTGATTCCACAGGCTTTGCATTCAGAGTGGCAGTATAATGTGTTTTGTAAGCTTCAGAGTCAAATTATAAGCTTTGACTCTGAAGCTAGATTACCCAGGTTTAAATCTTAGCTCTGCCCCTTAATAACCAATAACTTATGAGACCTGGGACAAATGACTACAAGGAAGTTTAAAATTGAACATGTGGCTTACATTTGAGGTCCATGTTGTATTTCTATTGGATAGTGCTAGGTCTGGACTTTTCCAAATGCTGTCTTTCATTCTTTATCTGTCCATGTATCTATTTATCTTATCTATCTATCTATCTATCTATCTATCTATCTATCTATCTATCATCTATCTAATTTTGCTTTTTTCTGTCTTGCCTCTTTTTATTTCTTTGCCCACATTGATGCTAAAGATGTCTTACTAAACACAATCCGATCCAGGCTCTTTTGTACTGAAAAGCTTTTGCTAGCTCCTATCACCTACAATGGAAAGCCTGAACTCCATTATGCGGCATACACAAACTTTTCATCCTCTCTCTACCTGTCCAGCCTCATCTCTCTCATGACTCTCTTCCTTGCACTTCACATCTTGGAAACACTAAGCTGTGCTTTGGTTCCCAGGTCATTTCACGCTTTTGCCTTTGCACTTGTTGTTCCCATTGCTTTGAAATCTCCTCCCCTTTCTGGTTGCAGTGACTGAAGTTTTACTCATCTCCCAAAATCTAACTCAGACATTGCCTCCTCTAGAAAGGTTTCCCAAAATGATCAGCCACCCCCTTCGTCCACCACTTTTGCAATGCTTCTGTTCTTTATGAATACTTTTATTACCTTTGCCAGATGTATAACTTGTTTTTCTGTCTGCCACCCCTACTAGCCTGAGTATACGGAGAATATAATTGTATATCATTTCCATATTGATAAAAAAGTGATTGAATAAACAAAACAATACCTTCTCTCAAGGAGAGAGATACACTTTTGTACAATAAAAATAAATATAACGCAAGATGTAAGATATGTCATAAGGCCAGGTGCTCACGCCCGTAATCCCAGCACTTTGGGAGGCCAGTGGGGGTGGATCATGAGGTCAGGAGATTGAGACTATCCTGGCTAACATGGTGAAACCCCATTTCTATTCAAAATACAAAAAATAAGCCAGGCGTGGTGGCACACGCCTGTAGTCCCAGTTACTCGGGAGGCTGAGGTAGGAGAATCGCTCGAACCTGGGAGGCAGAGGTTGCGGTGAGCTGAGATCGCGCCACTGCACTCCAGCCTGGGTGACAGAGTGAGACTCTGTCTCAAAAAAAAAAAAAAAAGTGTCATAAGACAGAGCAATCAATAAATGTCCATTTGCAAGCAGAAAAGAAGTCAATTAATTTTGACAAAAATTTAAAAGAAAAAAGGCCGGGCGCGGTGGCTCACGCCTGTAATCCCAGCACTTTGGGAGGCCGAGGCGGGCGGATCACGAGGTCAGGAGATCGAGACCATCCCGGCTAAAACGGTGAAACCCCGTCTGTACTAAAAATACAAAAAATTAGCAGGGCGTAGTGGCGGGCGCCTGTAGTCCCAGCTACTTGGGAGGCTGAGGCAGGAGAATGGCGTGAACCCGGGAGGCGGAGCTTGCAGTGAGCCGAGATCCCGCCACTGCACTCCAGCCTGGGCGACAGAGCGAGACTCCGTCTCAAAAAAAAAAAAAAAAAATTAAAAGAAAATGTAATGAGGTAGGGAAACATTGATTGACTGGCTGATATAAGATCTCTCAAGATGGCCTTACCTTTGTCAGTGTAGCATAGTCCCCAGCTGACTCTCAAATATGCAGATTCTAAACCAGTTTTGTCATTGTTCAAACAATATCTAGGGATACTATACTCATGCTACCTGAAGACACGGGACACTGAGGCTAAACTAGAATTCTAGTTTCTTGCTTCAGAGGGAGGGAAAAAACATATTGATAAGACTGAATACCTGCATCTTCTGGTCAGTGTGATAGTTTCCCTTAGGAACCAAATTTATTAGTAAAGCTAGATTTGTGAGTGTGAAATCAGAACAAAGTCTGTGAGTTGAAAGATTCAATAGTGGATGCCTGCTCTGCTCACCTCTGCAGTTGAATGCACCTGTTACTTGCACCAGGCAGAGCAAATCTTTAGTCTGGCTGCCTTCTTCTCTGGGCAGTACTTTTATGGGCACTGTTTGTCTATGACTCTTTTCTAATTTCTATTTCTAGACAACCCATTCAGAAAGACACATTCTTTCCTTAGACATGTTAATACCTCCCATTAGTCAGCTCTGTTCTGTGCTCAGTCCACTTATGAGGCAACTTTAAACATTTCTGTTCTCATAGGCAACCTGTTGATTTAGAGTTAACCCTCCAAGGCAAGCCCTGTTATCTTATTTCCAAGATCTTAGATGTCCCTGACTCCTGACAGTAAAATAGCTTTGGGGGAATTGAGGAGAAAGGAGAGGGGCGCTTCCTGGAGAAGACAGTGTTAGGATTCTGACGGGGGTGGTAAGGATGGGAGACTAGGACTTGGTTAACTGCACTGCTTGATAACCGCATTTTTCAAAAAGTATGTGTCAGTTATTTGAGGAAAATTACAAGGCCTTGAATTATGTAAATATATTTTTAATATGCACACTTCACTGGCTTGGTCATATTCTAAATTTTGCAGCCTTTTTGCTGTTTGAAAGTATGAATTTAAGAGAGCGCTCAAGGATGAAGCATTATTTGTATTGCTAGGACTGCTAAGCAGTGAAACACACTTTAAGGGCAAAGTTTCCTTTCTGGTGAACAAACAAAAGAGAATTATATTATCGTGTAATATCATGTAATATCGTGTGTATTTTAGGTATTTTCTATGTGTCTGATGATGAGAAAATTAATCATGAAAACTTTAAAAAATTGTAATTCTTGCTTCTTAGGAGCCAGAGAATTTCAGTAAACCAGAGTTAAAACAGGCAAGTTTACATGTCTATTAGTTGCTATCCTGTTTTAAATGAGTATTAATATCTTAGTGCCTGGTTCAAAAGTTACATCTCACAGAGAAAGTCACCTTAGAGTGTGACTCAAGATCACTGAGGTCTGTGCTAGTTTCAGCTGTGTCAGTTGCTGTGCAACCTTTAACAGGGATCTTAACTTCTCTGGATCTCAGTTGTTCTGTCTGTGAAAAATAGAGGGTAGGTGTTTTAATGTTTTCAATCTTTCACAACTCTGCAACTTTGTGAGTCTGTGAAGTATTATTCCAATAAATGGATCAAAGTTTGAGATTAACTCTTCTTCCTCTCCATCCCTCCTCCCCACTCCCTCCCTCCCTCTCTCTCTTACTCTGTTTTTGTTTTTGTTTTTGTTTTGTTTTTTCTTTCTAACTTGTACTAGAATGTGCAGAGCACAGGAGGTCCTTTAAACGTCAGCAGAGCTGGACACTTGTTGACCGTGTGATCTTGGGCAAGCCATGTAACATCTCAAAGATTTAGTTTTGTCTTCTGGAAAATGGATTTAACAGCCTTTACCTCTCAGGGTTATTGTGAGGATTAGAGATAATGTATGTAAAGTGAAATGTTTAGCTGTTATTATTACTCATTTACCATGATGGATAAGTTTTTTTGTTTTTCGAGACAGGGTCTCACTCTGTCACCCCAGGCTGGAGTGCAGTGGCACCACCATGGCTCACCGCAGTCTCCACCTCCCAGGATCAGGTGATCCTCTCACCTCAGCCTCCCAAATAGCTCAGACTACAGGCACGTGCCACTGTGCCCAGCTAATTTTTTTTTAATTTTTTGTAGAGACGGGGTTTCATCATGTTGTCCAGGCTGGTCTCAAGCTCCTGGGTTCAAACGATCCTCCTGCTTCAGCCTCCCAAAGCGCTGGAATTATAGGCGTGAACCATGGCACCCAGCCTGGATAATAAGATTAAAATAAGGTTTCTGCTTTTGTAAAGATAGTAGAGATAATATATTATCTAATAATTACAATATAAAGTACCAGAAGAGAGATACAGGTGCATACCACCGCACCCAGCTAGCTTGTATGTATGTATGTATGTATGCATGTATTTATTTATGTAGAGATGGGGTCTTGCTATGTTGCCAAGGCTGCAAAGTAATTTTTACTGAGTTTATAGACTAATAATACCTCTTCCTGGGGAGTACAGGAGAATAATCAGGTGAAGGGCTTCATTGATCTGGGCTTTGCAGGATAAATCATATTTGAAGACAGAAGGACATTCTGGGGCACATAGGGTAGATTCTGAACACAGAGAACAGTTTCCTTCTAATCTACTACCATCTTCAGGGTTTTGCACTATTGCCTGGTACTTTTTAAAGGTTTTGAAGTAGAGATGTTCAATACCACCGTGTATTTGCCCAAGAAGTCATTTGTTCTCTGAAGAAGCTGGCAAAAGAAAAGTTGAAGGAGCTTTAGGGAAAGGCCCTTTAAACAGAAAGAAGCTCCTGACCATGGGTTTATCTGGGAAAAAAGCAACTCTCCTTTAATAAGTAAATCAGAGTCTCATTCTGCTACCCAGACTGGAGTGCAGTGGCACAATCATGGTTCAATGTGAGCCACTCTCTCTGTTGCAATGTGAGCAAGACAGCCTTCCTGTTATCACACTATCAATCTTTTTCCACCAGGTAGCAAGGTTTGGCGACTTAATGAGGTAATAAAAAGCAAGACACTGACACAGGTAGGGGATGTGAGATGTGAGGCATTGTTTCCTTGTGAAGGAAAAAGACCACTTGTAACCCACTGAGATAACCTGTCCTTCATTTTCCTGGGTCTGAGAGGATCATTCTCCTTTCACTCTTTCTTTGCTTTTAATGTGAAAGACCTTGCTAATAATAAATGAGAGCCCGCCTCCCTTTGATATGTCCAAGCTGAGGAAGACTTCCTGATGACTGTCATGTAAAACAGCAGAAGACACCCACAGACACACAGAGAGAAACAGACACACACGAGTAATACAACCCCAGGGATCACCACCCAGGATTAATAAAATAGCATGAGCTATAGTTGCTCACATTACACAGGCTTCCTTCTCGGCAATGTGGCATGGTGCTGAAATGTTGTTTAAAAATTTGTGCTGCCACCTTCATACCATGGCCATATTTTGAAGCCCATGACCTCATCGCTATCTGAGTTGCCAGGGCTGGATTCCAGGAGAAAGGGGAAGGGAGGTGGACAGGAGAGAGAAGAAGCAAAGATTAACAAGTTGAAATAACAAAAACTTTTAATTCCACTTCTTAGAATTCAATTATGTCATTTGCAGAGAGGGTCCATGTCTTCCTGCTGTTCTTTCTTTCTTTCTTTTCTTTTTTTCTCTCTCGCAACATCTGCTGAGACATAAGTCTAGAAAATCTGTAACCACCTGAAACCATTCACTGGGGCACAAATCTATTAGGCCTAGAGTTTCATATGAGTGCAGTGAAGTGAAGTTATATTTGAGCTCTCCATCATAGAATTTCTATTCCACATGGCTGTTCTTTCTACCCTCACACTTTCCCCTCAAGAGGTAAAAAGTCTCTCCATTTTCATACCCACTGTTCGTTTTCTCCTTGGCTTTGTGCCCCATGGGGGGTGCCATTAACATGTGTCTAATGTGGCCATGCCCCCTTGAACCTGTGCAGTGTCCTAGCCCTATGGCCCTTCCATACATAGTTAAAAGAAGAATGGATCAATTGACAGAAAAAAAATGGAAGAGAGAAAGAAAAATTGCTTCTCCACCTCAAAATCTTAAATCAAACATAGCCTTGTACACGAGACACAGATACATTTATATATATTTATATTTAGATACTGACTTCTAGACTAAGGACAGATACTGAAATAAAAACAGCACTTTAATATTGTCCTTAAGTAGATACTCATTGTTAACTGAAGAAATAGGTAAGTAGCTATTTAACCCTTCATGTCCATAGCACATAGATTATTTAATATTCTACAGCAGAACTTTTAGAAAGTCAAGGCAACTTTTATTTGTCCAGAGTTTAAGTTTAAATTCACAGGTCACTCAAATCCAGTATACCGGGAAGCCAAAATATCAAAAATGCAAGGATTTATTGAAAAGCCATGACGCTTTTTAAAATTTAGTTCTTATTCTTTATCAAAGTTACATATACCTAGTTTAAAGAGTCAAATAGTTCTAGAATACGTTTTATGAAAAACCATCAATTTTAGATTTCCCAAAAGCAAAACATATTCTTTTTACCTTTGTCTAGTTTTCTTCTTATTTCTAAAATATACATCTGTGTTTACCTTTGTCTAGTTTTCTTCTTATTTCTAAAATATACATCTGTGTTTACCTTTGTCTAGTTTTCTTATTTCTAAAATATACATCTGTGTGATTTCTTGATTTTTCTCAGTTGTAAAAATTATTCATTGTTATGTCACAACGGAAGATGAAGATAAATAGTTCTGTTACCCTTCTCCAGTCCCTACTTCAAGCTCATATGATTACCTAGTGCCCCCCATCCTCCCAATATAATTATATTTTGATTGAATCACTATTCAGTGCTTAGATTATTAAGCTTAGCCAGGTAGTATGTTAGGAATACTTTTTCCTTTCCTGCATAAATTATTTTCTCCTGATAATTGACAACTGTCTTTCTTTTTAAGATTTTAGTTTTCTAAGTATTTGTCATTAGTTCATCCCCAAACTCACTCCATCTAACTGTCCTCCTGGTATTTTAAAATATATCAGGAGTGCTATCAATGTCATTTTTTTTCTTCTGAGATGGAGTCTTGCTCTGTCACCCAGGCTGGAGTGCAACGGCGTGATCTCAGCTCACTGCAACCTCTGCCTCCCCAGTTCAAGCAATTCTCCTGCCTCAGCCTCCCAAGTAGTTGGGACTACAGGTGCTTACCACCACGCCTGGCTAATTTTTGTATTGTTAGTAGAGATGGGGTTTCACCATGTTGGCCAGGCTGGTCTCGATCTCCTGACCTTGTGATCCACCGGCCTCGGCCTCCCAAAGTGCTGTGAGCCACTGTGCTGGGCCAATGTCATTGGTTTTGTAGCCATCTTTCCTGGAGTCTTCTACCCTCCTCTAATTTAAGTTGGTGACTCTCTGCCAGGTGCACAGCTATCTTCCTGGAGTCTCTTCTTAATCATCCTGGGGATTTCTCTTTTCTCTCTCAAGTTGGATTCCCTATTTCTTTGGTTTTTCTTCCTCTTTTTTGTGGTTCCCTTCCTCCATTTGCTTCCTAAGAACAAGTGATGAGAGCTGAATTTTTTAAGACTGGGTATATTTGATACCATCTTTATTCTACCCTCCCACCTAATTGATAATTTATCTGGGTATAGCATTCTAGGCTATTGATTTGAGTATATTTTCCTCTATTGTATAGGCCCTTTATATCCAGCAATGCTTGCCTTCAATTATAAGAAATTTTCTTGAATTATTTGATGACTTATTCGTTTTGTTTTCTGTTTTCTCATTCTGGAATTTCTGTTATTTAGCTGTTGAACCATTTGTATGCATCCTCTCTAATTTTCTTAGCTTTTTCCTTTTATTTTTATCTTTTTGTCTTGCTGTATTAGTCCACTGCTGTATTAGTCACACTGCTATAAAGAAATACCCAAGACTGGGTAATTTATGAAGGAAAGAGATTTAAAGGACTCACAGTTCCTTATGGCTGGGGAGGCCTCAGGAAACTTACAATCATGATGGAAGGCAAAGGGGAAGCAAGCACTTACTTCACAGGGTGGCAGGAGAGAGAAGTGCTGTGAAGGAGGAACTGCCAAACACATAAAACCATCAGATCTCATGAGAACTCACTATCATGAGAACAGCATGGGGGAAACCACCCCCATGATCCAATCACCTCCCTCCCTTGACACGTGGGGATTACAATTTGAGATGAGATTTGGGTGGGAACACAGAGCCAAACCATATCACTGCTATTCAAACTTGTTAGGTTTCAGGAGACTCTAGAAAATTTTCTCAACATTGTCTTCCAAATTCTCTACTCAGCTATTCATTTCTGCTAAGAGAGTTTTAATTGCCAAAAGTCCTTCTCATTCTCTTTTGTATCATCCTGTTTCTGTTTCATGGTTTGATATCATTCTGGAGACATTAGTAATAACATTTTTTGACATTTTCCCCTCCCAGTATAGTCTCTATGTTTGCATTCTGCCTTTTTAGTATCTTTTATAGTAGAGGCTTTCCTTTAGATTAGAACTGATGTCCTTGGCTCTCTGCTTACTCTAGGGGAGTCAGGCTGGGCTGTTTCTTGGCAAAGTCCTAATATCACTATTTTAATTGACTGGCTAATCAGAATCTTCCATTCTCCTCCTAGAAAGGTATAAATTCCAGCTGCCAGAGTTCCGGGAGCCCAGATACGACATGGCTTTAAGTGGGAATTTCAGGATCCGGTAGTTAATCGTTCATTTCACCCCTTATTTTCCACCCTCAGCTGTGCCTGGTGTCCTGTAGGGTAAATAAACGATATTTACATGGCTGTGGGAAACAGGAAATGGCATTGAGAGGGTCTACTGTGTTTTTAGACTTTCAACAACATTCCTGTTTTCGGCCCTACATTCACCTTTACTGTTCCACAAATTCCTAACTCTTCAAGGAATTCTGCAGAGCAAATTGTATTGTTTGTTTGGCTTTCTCTAACTTAGGGTTCACTATTCCCAAGTCTGTCCATTTGTGGAAATTGTTCAAAATTACCTTTTTTTAAAAAAAAGTATACTTTAAGTTTTAGGGTACATGTGCACAATGTGCAGGTTTGTTACATATGTATACATGTGCCATGTTGGTGTGCTGCACCCATTAACTCGTCATTTAGCATTAGGTATATCTCCTAATGCTATCCCTACCCCCTACCCCCACCCCACAACAGTCCCCGGTGTGTGATGTTCCCCTTCCTGTGTCCATGTGTTCTCATTGTTCAATTCCCACCTATGAGTGAGAACATGCGGTGTTTGGTTTTTTGTCCTTGTGATATTTTGCTGAGAATGGTGGTTTCCAGCTTCATCCATGTCCCTACAAACGACATAAACTCATCATTTTTTATGGCTGCATAGTATTCCATGGGGTATATGTGCCACATTTTCTTAATCCAGTCTATCATTGTTGGACATTTGGGTTGGTTCCAAGTCTTTGCTATTGTGAATAGTGCCGCAATAAACATACATGTGCATGTGTCTTTATAGCAGCATGATTTATAATCCTTTGGGTATATACCCAGTAATGGGATGGCTGGGTCAGATGGTATTTCTAGTTCTAGATCCCTGAGGAATCGCCACACTGACTTCCACAATGATTGAACTAGTTTACAGTCCCACCAACAGTGTAAAAGTGTTCCTATTTCTCCACATCCTCTCCAGCACCTGTTGTTTCCTGACTTTTTAATGATCACCATTCTAACTGGTGTGAGATGGTATCTCATTGTGGTTTTGATTTGCATTTCTCTGATGGCCAGTGATGATGAGCATTTTTTCATGTGTTTTTTGGCTGCATAAATGTCTTCTTTTGAGAAATGTCTGTTCATATCCTTCGCCCACTTGTTGATGGGGTTGTTTGTTTTTTTCTTGTAAATTTGTTTGAGTTCATTGTAGATTCTGGATATTAGCCCTTTGTCAGATGAGTAGATTGCGAAAATTTTCTCCCATTGTGTAGGTTGCCTCTTCACTCTGTTGGTAGTTTCTTTTGCTGTGCAGAAGCTCTTTAGTTTAATTAGATCCCATTTGTCAATTTTGGCTTTTGTTGCCATTGCTTTTGGCGTTTTAGACATGAAGTCCTTTCCCATGCCTATGTCCTGAATGGTATTGCCTAGGTTTTCTTCTAGGGTTTTTATGGTTTTAGGTCTAACATTATAGTCTTTAATCCATCTTGAATTAATTTTTGTTTAAGGTGTAAGGAAGGGATCCAGTTTCAGCTTTCTACATATGGCTAGCCAGTTTTCCCAGCACCATTTATTAAATAGGGAATCCTTTCCCCATTTCTTGTTTTTGTCAGGTTTGTCAAAGATCAGATAGTTGTAGATATGTGGCATTATTTCTGAGGGCTCTGTTCTGTTCCATTGGTCTATATCTCTGTTTTGGTACCAGTACCATGCTGTTTTGGTTACTGTAGCCTTGTAGTATAGTTTGAAGTCAGATAGCGTGATGCCTCCTGCTTTGTTCTTTTGGCTTAGGATTGACTTGGTGATGTGGGCTCTTTTTTGGTTCCATATGAACTTTAAAGTAGTTCAAAATTACCTTTTCTTATAACTGAGAAAGTTTTAAAATGGCAAATAAATATCTACCTTTAGAAAACAGTATGTGCAATCAGTTGCCGAGAACAACTAAATGATTGTTTTGAAGGAGCATTAACACTAAGCTAGTCTAGGAACATTAAAATCCAGTT
Source organism: Homo sapiens (assembly GCF_000001405.40). Lineage (NCBI taxonomy): Eukaryota > Metazoa > Chordata > Mammalia > Primates > Hominidae > Homo > Homo sapiens. Next base: position 119,005,904 of record NC_000004.12, read on the forward strand.
GGAGCATTCAGTAACTATAATTATTACATTCTACAAAGATGATAAATGGTTTCCTATTGAACCACTGTGTGTCCATGCAGAGAAACTGAGGTGTCTGAGCTCCAGCCAGAGGCACCTGGGCAACAGAAAGGCAAAGATGTCTGCTTCCTTAGCAACAGGAAGCTGCAGCTCACCCAGGCCACACTCACCCTGACACCGTCAGCAGTAAACAATACAAAACAACTACTTACAGATAAGCCTGAACATGAAGGTGTGAAAGTTGGTGTCCTAACCCTGGCTTTTCTTATACTTTTTATAATACATGAAGCCAAAAGGACATGCTGATGAAGTTGTTCAAGATGGAATCAGTGTGTTGGAGGAAAAGAAAGCACAAACTAACACTCTTAGGGACAGAAGTGGACTATTCTTTTACGAGAACACAAAGTATCCAGTGAATTTGTGTCCATAACCCAAACACCAAAGAATCTTCTAGCTGTGGAGAAAGACCCCAAAACTATTTCCTTGGCTGTCAGCACCAGAAATATTCTCATGGAAGCCTTGGGGATTACTAAGAGAAATTATGTGACTATCAAGTTCTCAGAATTTATAAACTACAGCTGCCTTATAAAGAAAATAAAGGAATGCATTTTGGGAACAAAAATATGACAGACTCATAATTTGTGGTACTTATCCCATTTAAAAATGTCAATATCAAAAGCGGAAACTAATAAAGATCTGGTAAGCCTCACTAATAATTGTATATAAAATAATGAATTAAAGTTAGGTAATCCCCAAAGAAGCAGGCAGGTTGTTTATTTCTCTGTTTTCTTTATAACACTTGTAAAATTTAATTTTTTATGGATACATCTGGAAGTAGCTGCTCTAACTTAGCTGTTGAGAGCAAGGATGATCTGTATAGCCAGGGTATTGCAACATGCTGACATGGTCTCTCTCATTACATTTATCTTTCACTCTACGTTTATTAGCAACCAAGTTTTTCTTTGTTTTATGCTTGTAACAATTTTTGTGACCATCCTAAATTACCTCATATTTCTTCAGGTACACTTAATTTGTTGGTTTGTTGCACCTTTATTTTACGGTTGTTTTCATTACATTTCGGGACTTCTAAGGGTTATGGACATCACATTAGGCAATGTACTTGGCTCTTTGTACCAGGTAGAAAGACATGATCTCTAACTTCAAGAGGCTTACAAACAATTCTCTCCCCTCCCCTTCCCTTTCTCTCTTCTCTCTCTGTCTCTCACACACACACACGCACACACACACACAAGAATGAGGAGACTGAAAATTCCCAAAACAAAAAAGAACAAAGGTATATATATATATATATATATATATATATGTATATACATATATATATATATATATATATGTATATACATATATATATATATGTATATACACGCACATATAGGCATACTCTATTTTACCACTAACTTTTTTAAAAACTGGAAGGCATGGGAGAAAAAGATCATCCTGAAATGTTAAAAACAAAAACAAAAAACAAACAAAAAAAAAACATAAAACAAAATGATCGGATAGTTTGACTTTAAAATTATTGACCTAGAAGCACATAAAGTACTTACTTAGATTTATGTCTATAAGCCTTATATATGGCATGATCGTATGCTTATATGGCATAAATCAAACCTATATTTCATAATACTCTGTTCATCATTTATCAGCCAACAACTTCACTCTTGGGAACCAAATCCACATTGCACTCATCAGCGGCACCAGAGTCAAGCCACCTTGGCCTTGGTCTTCATGTTTATGTCTTAGCTCCTAGTGCCAGGAGTGTCATGCCACATTTCCTACAATCACATCCTTTCCTATTTTAATATGGATTTTAATGTTTTTTTAACCACTGATATTGGCGAACCGACAAAACATTTACTTATACACTTATATGTGAACAACATCATCTCATACCTTTGCTGCATGTATTTTGTTTTAAGGAATATGAACATGTCAAGTGTATATGTGTTAATAGAGGAATATATGAGAATGGATCACACATGTAGACTCATGAAGAATTTGTAAGGTACATTATTATAAGATACATTATTATTTTCCAGAGGAGGAAGGGAATACAGACAAATAAATGAAACACAAATGGGAGACTAAATTTTGCAGCAGAGAGTGCAACAGCTTTCCATTTCTGAGAGGCTTTGTTCAGGAACTCGGCCATATTCATCTTCATAGATTTCATAGATTTCATAGTACAGTAACTTGCACATATTAGGTGCTTAATACTTACTTGTTGGATTAAGTCAATCCTGATGAGTTTAGTGCCCTTCTCACTGTGGGTACTGGTGATTATCTGTGATTATCAAGACATGTCATATATCCAGTCTTTTAAGATGGGAGTCCAATTGCCAGTTCTTCCTGGGTCTATCCTGGGAAAAGCAAGCCTAGAACACTGCCTGCTGCTGGAGGTACTCAGTACTAAGTGAATGAATGAATACCTTCAAAACTGAGGTGAAATGAGCAGTGGACATTTGCGAGCACACTGGTTTAAATTGCACAGGCTTTTTTTTTTTTTTCCTTGGCAAAGCAAGCTTTGAATGAAATGTCTTAGCAAATATAAGTGAGATTAAATAGTAACAGAAATTATGATATGTTATTATAAAAGATGAATGCCAGAACATTTATTTGAAAAGAAAGAGTAGGTGTTTGATGTTTTCATTGAAATCCAAATGGTTTTGTAGCAAGATGAGGAGACTCAACATTACTTACATTTTGTTTTACAAACAATTTTTAAGATTATAAAAGTTCATCTCAAGAAATTAACATTTATTTCCTTTAAAAGCATAATTTATATATGATACTGTGTAGTTGCTTGGGTTAAGTAAAATTTTTTTTTTGCTGAACTTTAACTCTTACTAAACATTTTAATATATTTATGTGCCATTTAATTGCTCCATTTCCTTCAAATATTAGAAGATGCCATATTATTTACAACTAATTTAATTAATGTGGAGATCGTTTTTTCTATAAAGCAAGCACTTAGTAATTTCATCTCTTTGCTTCAGGTTTATGTAATAATAGAGAGGAAATGGAAATTTCATCATATTTGGTTTCAAATGAAAATCAGGAACAAATGAAAACCTCTTGTCTTCAGCATGTTAAATTTTGTGATCAGGTAGAGAATTAATAAAAATTATAGTTAAGATAAACCAGAATTTCAATGTGTTGTTACATTCCATTGTACATCTAGCACAAATATTATCAAATGCTTCGTAAAGATTTTTGTATGCTTGCAATTGATACAAAATATTTTTGAAGAGCTAATTATTGGCAAGCATGATCTGCCTAGGGATAAAATTGGGCTATAGTTTTTACACATAGGTAGTCAGTTTTCAGCAGCACACCAGCTTACATTAAGTTTGCACTTCTAACCCAGAGAGTCTTGGCTTTGGAACACCTTTGCTTTCAAAACAATAAGAAGCATATAGTTTAAATAAAAGAACATGCCAAAAAATCTTAAAATAATGATCATAGACTTATCTTCTAGTCTCCTTGAAAAATATGATTATTTGAAGCTCAATAGAGTTAATAATATGGTTCCTTGTAGGAAAGTCACTCAGGCACTCAATAAAGATCTGCCTGTTTCACACACACATACACACACACATAAACATAATTGATTGCCCCCCAAAATATTTTCCTAAAGTATTTTATAGAAAATAACACCATGTTCTGTCAAATAATGGAACTCAGAATCACCCGGGGAAGCTCATTAAAAGTGCAGATACCCAGGTTCCCGCTTCTAAGAACTGGCTTCCATGGAAGGCAGGGGAATAAAAGCAGGGTTCTGTACTTTGAAAGTCCTCCCTAAGAAAGCCTGATATTCGCCAGAAGTTATTAACCACCATCTTATAATAGAAGGCCATTAATGGTTTATGAGCTTTTAGTACAGCCCAGTCTCAAACACTAGTGTGTATAGAAATCACCTGGGGATCTCGTTAAAATGAAGATGTTGATTTAGTAAGTCTGGGTTGGGGGCTGAGATTCTGTGCTTCTCACAAGCCTCCAGGTGATTCCATTGCTGATGGTCTGTGAGCCTCACCTTGAGTAGCAAGGATGGGTTTTTCTCCATAACCATTTTGTAAGGTTACACCTGTCAGCTCACCTACATAGTAATTGTTCTGAGTACTCTATTAGATACTATAGTATTCGTGGGAGGTGGCATTGTGTTGTGAAAAAATAGGTCATCCAGTAAGCATTGACTGAGTGTTTACTATGTGTTAGGCTCTATGACTTTGCCTCACTGGCTTCCCTTGCCCCTCTGCATGAGGCTAACATTAATTTGTCTTTTAGGAGTGTATTAGTCTGTTTTCACACTGCTGATAAAGACATACCCGAGACTGGGAATAAAAAGAGGTTTAATTGGACTTACAGTTCCATATGGCTAGGAAGGCCTCAGAATCATGGTGGGAGGCAAAAGGTACTTCTTATGTGGCAGCGGCAAGAGAAAATGAGGAAGATGCAAAAGCAGAAACCCCTGACAAAACCATCAGATACAGTGAGACTTATTCACTACCATGAGAACAATATGGGGGAACTACCCCCATGACTCACATTATTTCCCACCAGGTCCCCCCCACAACATGTGGGAATTATGGTAGTACAATTCAAGATGAGATTTGGGTGGGAACACAGAGCCAAACCATGTCAAGGAGAAACTGTCTCCTTTGAGAAGCCTTGCCTGCTATGTGCTATGTGCTATGCACTTCCATTGTATACTGTGTTCACTTTGATAATATAAATTATCATGTTGGGTTGTAATTATCTACTCTCTTACACATGTTAGAATATGAGACTCTCTAGGGCATTATTCATTATTTCAATTCAGAGCCCATAACACTGTTTGTCACATTAAAGACAATCAGTTAATATATAGTATAATTAACTAATTAATCAAAAGAGGTAACATAAGCAAATCTTTAAGCTACAACTCCATTTCCTTACATAAGTTCAACACAGACCCCTGGCTGAGTGAAGAGAGAGAGTAGCTGAGGGTTCTTGCCTGCCTCTGCAAGGCTCTCCTTAGCTAGCTCTGGCCCAGGATCTTTTTGGCAAGATGGTGACATTCATGCAGGCTCTCCTCAATCTGAAATAAATAGGAGAACTATTAGTCAATCGCAGCAGGGAGCATGACTGGCTTTAAAACGCATTAACAGAACACTTACATGGACACCAAGGGCACTTGGCATGACCCTGATTTCCCTTCTTGAAGTACAGGATTTGGAAATCACTGCCACAGCCCAGTTCAGCTCACGTGGACCTGCCAAGACCAGCAGAGTGCACAGGAGGTCCAGCAGAGTGCACAGGAGGTGCAGCAGCACCTGGGGTAGTGCCTCTGCTCCAGCGCCTCACTCTACTTCGATGCATATGTTTATCTCCATAAATTGCAACCAAGCCTACACAGTGATCATTTTTAAGTTTTACTGATTGCCTTATGACCTTACCTCTCTCATGGGGCCAGAAGAATGATGGCGAAATACAGTGATTGGCAGGAGCAGCTGTGGAGTTGCTTATTGAGTCATGGTGGGACCGTTGCCTTTGCTGGGGAAGACTCAGGTATCTCTGATGTCCAACATTCAATGGGAGCAAATCTTTTCCACAAATGCCCTGGGAATTCTCTATGTATTACAATGCTTTTGTAATAATCTCATACCCTAAAAGAGACTATGAAAAAAGAATAAATAGAAAGTAAGAGGTTTAGGAGTGCCTGTTGACCCAGGTATTAAGAAAAGTTGATACAGACATTTGGGTAAAATTCAATCTTCTCATATTGTCATTTATTCGGCACATATTTATTGCAGGTCTACTATGTGCAAGACACATGTCAGGTTGTGGGAGATACAAAGATCTTTGTGTTGCAATCTTAGCTCTCAAGGAATTTCAACTAGCCAGTAGTTTGGAAGCTAAATGGGAGCTATTTCCAAAGTAAGCTTGATATAGTAGCTTGGCAAAGATTTTCTTCTCCCCTTCCTCTCCTTTCTATAGACTTTTTTTTTTTTTTTTTTTTGAGATGGAGTCTCACTCTATCACCCAGCTTGGAGTGCAGTGGAGCCATCTTGGCTCACTGCAACCTCCACATCCCGGATTCAAGTAATTCTCCTGCCTCAGCCTTCTGAGTAGCTAGGATTACAGGTACCTGCCACCACGTCTGGCTAATTTTTGTATTTTCAGTAGAGATGGGGTTTCACCATGTTGGCCAGGCTGGTCTTGAACTCCTGACCTCAAGTGATCTGCCTGCCTCAGCCTCCCAAAGTTCTGGGATTATAGGCATGAACCACTGTGCCCAGCCACCTCTCTATAGACTGAATCTACAGAACTGGGCTGAAACTGTTTGCCTCTCCATTCCTCCTGCCGGCATCACCAGAGTGATCTTTAGCCTGAATTGGTTGTTGGTTTTAGTCTTGCTCTTTTAGCACATGGTTCCTTTTTTTTCCCCCTTTTCTTTTTTTTTTTTTTTTTTATTTTACTTTAAGTTCTGGGATACATGTGCAGAACGTGCAGGTTTGTTACATAGGTATACATGTGTCATGGTGGTTTGCTGCACCTATCAACCTGTCATCTAGGCTTTAAGCCCTGCATGGATTAGGTATTTGTCCTAATGCTCTCCCTCCCCTTGCCCACTTGACTCCAACAGGTTCCGGTGTGTGATGTTTCCCCTCCTGTGTCCATGTGTTCTCATTGTTCAACTCCCACTTATGAGTGAGAACATGTGGTTTTGGTTTTCCATTCCTCTATTAGTTTGCTGACAATGGTGGTTTCCAGCTTCATCCACGTCCCTTCAAAGGACATTAACTCCTTCTTTTTTAGGGTTGCATAGTATTCCACGGTGTATATGTGCCACATTTTCTTTACCAGTCTATCACTGATGGGCACTTGGGTTGGTTCCAAGTCTTTACTACTGTAAATGGCAGCACATTGTTCTTAAAAGGCAGCATTTTCTGGTTTCTGTCAGCCTTTGTTCCCTAGGTTGGACCTTACTTCTACTTGCTTTTGCATTGCCTTCAGTGGAACTTCCTCCTGTCCAACTCAGATATTCAAGAATGCTTACACATGGAATCCCTGTCCCTTTAGATCAGTTATTCTCAAAGTGTCATCTGCAGACCTCTGGTGGTCTCTGAGATACTTTCAGGCCAAAATAATTTTAGTAATAATACTAAGGTGTTACTTGTCCTTTTCACCATGTTGACATTTGCATGGATAGTGCAAAAACAATGGTGGCTGAAACCACTTGCACCTTAGCCCTTAGCATTCAAGGCGGTGACACAAATGTACCAGGGGCCTTTGTGTTCCTTACTGTCATACATTTGGCTTAAAAAACATGATGCCAGTTTTACATAAGGATATCCTGATGAAGCAGTTAAAGTTTGATTTTTATTAAATCTTGAATGCATATCTTTTTAATATTCTGTGTGACAAAATGAAAAGTACATATAAAGCACTTTGGCTGGATACTGAAATGCAATGTTTACCTCAAGGGAGCATTTGTACAAAATTGTTTGAATTGCAAGCCATACTAGCCATTTTTTAAATTTATGGGACATCATTTTTATTTTAAGGAATGACAGACAAAATATGGTTATTCAGTCTTGGATATTCAGCAGTTATTTTCTAGAAAATAAGCAAAGTCAACCTGCCCATTTAAGGAAAACAATGGACGATATTTGAACTTTCAAGGGAAAACTAAAATTTTGAGAAACTCTCATCTGCCACTGTGAATATGACAGCATCCCAATACTTAAAGACTTCTCTGATGAGATCATTGGTGGTATTGAGAGTGATTGTTTGATATTGTATAATGAAATGTGTCAACATTTGAAAGATGTGCATAACTCAGTGAATCAATATTTTCCAAATGATCAACCCAAATGTAACAAAATCACACATGCATAAAAGATGCATTCAAAATGCAAAATGGACCAATAGATTTTTTAAATTAACAGAGTATGAAAAATTTATACCTATGGTTTCAGATTCTGCAGTACAACTTTAGAAACTACTGCTTGTTGAGTTCATTGTGATATCAAAGAAGAATATCCAAAATTACCCTATAAGACTATCAATGTACTCCTCCTTTTCCAACTATATAACTGTGTGAGGCTCAATTTTCTTTATGCATTTCAATCAACCCATCACAACAGATTGAATGCAGAAGCACATCTGAGAATCCAGCTGTCTTCTATTGAGCTCAGACATTAAAGAGATTTACAGACCAGACACGGTGGCTCACACCTGTAATCCCAGCACTTTGGGAGGCCAAGGAGGGTGGATCATTTGAGGTCAGGAGTTCAAGACCAGCCTGGTGAAATGTTATCTCTACTAAAAATACAAAAATTAGCTGGGTGTGGCGGCACATGCCTGTAATCCCAGCTACTCGGGAGGCTGAGGCAGGAGAATTGCTTGAACCTGGGAGGCGGAGGTTGCAGCGAGCCAAGATTGCGTCTCTGCCCTCCAGCCTGGGCAACAAAGTGAGACTCCATCTCAAAAATAAATAAATAAATAAATAGATTTGTAGAAGTGGGAAATAATACCACTATTCTCACTACATTACCTGTTTTATACAATACGGTTTTTCATAAAAAAGTACTTATGTTAACATGCAGTAGGTTTGCTATTTTAAATTTAATAAAAATTTAAAATTTCTTATTTTTGATATCTAACATGGTAAATATCAATAGACCAAACTCAAAACAGAGTATCTTTGAAGTCCTTAATTATTTTTAAGAGTCTAAACAGTTCCTAAGACCAAAATGTTTAAGAATTGCTTCTATAGATCACATACTCTTAAACACCGATGATGGCCTAAATGAAATTCCAGTTAATTAAAGCCTTGAAAGTGATCATTTAAACCAGCTCTTCCCCGAAAGGCTGTCTTTCTGATGTGATTAAATCCCCCTGGCTCCTGCACCAGACAGTTTTTTTGTCAATCAAACCTCTCAAGTATGTGCTGTGGCTGGGAAGGCAGATATTATCTCAGTCATGTGAAGACATTATTGGCCCTGTCTTTTCCCCCAGTACCCTACTACAGTAAATGTTCAGTGCAGTCAACTTAACTTTCTTGAATTAAAACTATGACAAGTATTTATAAATTTGTACAGTTGATACTTTTTAAATGAAAACTTCAATGACAATTTGATGTGATTCTTTCCAAAATGGAAGCACCCTAATGTATCTTATATGTATTATAGTTTGACAAAGTATAGAATTAGGAATCTGGAGGGAATGCCTTCATTCTCCAGGTGTGGAAAATGATTCCCTAATAGCTTAAATGCTTTGCTCGAAATCACATGAGTTAGTGACAGAATTAAGGCAAGATCGCCAGTTTACTAATAACTGCAAGTCCGCAGCAAAATAATAGAATTTATAAATTTTTAAAAGTCTCTACTCCTGTCATTTGGAGAAAAATTTTCATTTTACATATATCTTCTTTATCTGTAGTTTTATTTATGAGAAAACTAGAAGAATAAATGGATTCATCTAGTTGAGACAAATGCAGACTTCATATGTCTAGAGCTATAGAAAAACAGGGCACTCAGACAGGTATATTTGTTGGGTACATGAGATGTTTATATCTGAAACTAAACAGTTTCAGAAAAAAAAGCAATACAAGCAAGGTATCTGGGACCTTACATTATGGATTCCAATTCATTTCCTTTACTTTATTAATGCAGAAATGCCTCAGGTTCAATTATACCTTTAGATATCAGAACCTCATTTAGCTATTTGGGATGTACTCGTTCCTAAAGATATCACGTGTTCTTCTGCATCTAATCAGTCTGCTAAAAATGATATAAACATTTTAAATGTCTTGGGATCATTATTATTAATGCCCATTATTTTACTCGAATAGAGCAGAGGCATTAAATCCTATTGAGCATATGAGAGTTTTTTACACCTTCAGTGAGTGGCCCAATCTTCTGAGCCTTTTTGTTGTTGTTAAGATTTTCATGTGTTTTTAAATTTGGCTTTTACTCCCTAACTTTGGCATTTGTATTAACTTTGCCATTTTCCTTTATACAGGATACATGATTTTCTCCCCACTTCTAATTTTCTAAACCAAATAACGATGGTAAATAGAATTGTATAAAATTGATGAAATAGACTGAGGATAGGATCCATATACTTTCAGTAATGTCCAGAAGTTTTAGTGAACTTTATTTTTAACTGTATTTTGACCATTCAAAAGACTGTTGAGAGCTTACTTGTAAGTTCTTTAGGTAACTAATTCTTATTAGCATGTTAATTTCTCAGTTAAAAGTTGTATGTCCAGTATACGAGGTCAGGAGTTCGAGACCAGCCTGGCCAACATGGCAAAACCCCATCTCTACTAAAAATACAAAAATTAGCTGTGCGTGGTGGTGGGAGCCTGCCAGCTACTTGGGAGGCTGAGGCAGGAGTATTGCTTGAACCTGGGAGGCAGAGGTTACAGTGAGCAGAGATTGTGCCATTGCACTCCAGCCTGGGCAACAAGAGCAAGACTCCATTTCAAAAAAAAAAAAAAATCAACTAAAATTTAGGAAACCCAAATAGTTCTAGTTCTGCTCTCTTTTCTTAGTAATTCTTATTAAAAAGAGTATTTACATAGATGCTTTTAAATTTTACATGTGCTTTTATTAGGAGTTTTTTAAAAAGTATTTTTTCATATTCTGCACAAATGTTTATAAAAATAATCTGCCTGTAATTCAAAGACCTCTGTGCAATCTTTCATGATTTATCCAGCAAAAAGTAGACAGGCACATGTCCTGCTAGGCTCTGCTCTATCAGTGTTTGCCTGAAAGAGCTAGGATGTTTACATTCTTAGGAAAGAAAGAAAAGCAGAGAATACCATTCCATATTTGTACTTAGTTTTCTAGCATCATGATGGCTGCTTTATAACAGCTCATAGCAGTTATATTGCAGCATCGTTTCTGCCTGTGGAATCACTTTGGTATGAAGATTCTTAAGTATGCAGCCCCACAAATTAGGGCTCTCATTCCTGTCAAAGATAGTTATTACTCCAGGAACCTTTCCAAGGTTGCTACCATGAATACTTTTTACTTTTATGGTGACTTGGTCTCTGAGAGTAAAGACAATTATCCAAAAGAAAACGTTTTTGTCTGGATATATCTTGGTGACAAGAGGAAGAAAGGTCATGATCTTCAAACCAAAACCCAACATGAGAACAGGTTATGAGCTTGAATTGAGGTACTGAGTGTAGAATAACCAAAAATTGTAGTGTCTGTTTGAATTTACACCTGTCACCAGATTTGAATACACAGTTTTAACTTTATTTTCATTATTTAGACACATGATTTGTAGAACTGAATCCCAAGGACTGAGGTTGGTGTTTAGGATCTGGATAGCAAGCCCTCTGAAAATGGAATTATGAACTTATTTCCAAGATCTTAGCTACTATCATCTTGCTCTGCCTCCTCTGACCATTCCTCTGGTATTAGTTGAAGAATACAGACCTACCTAAGGCTTTGGTTTAAGATCCAGTTGGGGTAAGGGAATGCTTATTAAACCTTGTCTTACAGGTATGAGGCAGTTTTGAGAAATGCCTGAAGTGGAAAATTGAGGAAAGGCGGGAGCTTCCAAAAGAACTACTAGAACATGTAGTGTACATTTTCTGTCAAAAAAAAAAAAAATCTCTAAAACTTTAATTGTTGCCTGAGATCACAATCATCTCTCTCATCCTCTCTTAGTTATTGCCAGGTCCCTGAGACTTCATCATATGGATTGAGAATAGCCCCACATGTGATAGGCAAATGTATGCTAATTTTCTCTTTTTCATTGATTTCAATAGATTATAATAGTGGATTTAAGGAAGAGATTGTCTTGTTTCTATCACCCACTCTGACATTTTCCAACAGTACTTGTCAATGAATTATACATGAAAATGCAGCTCCTGAGACAAAATTTAGTTCTGACAGCAAGCTGGCATGATTGATAGGCCATATACACAACACAAAATAATTTATGTACTAGGTCGATGAGAAATCAAATCTGAGACCTGCTTTCTAGTCAGTCTTGGAAGACCTGGAAATGAAGAGAGAACAACACAAGAGAAAAACGAGGTTTTTTTAATTTTGCAAGGAATTATTTATTCATAAAACTAAATTAGCATAGCCGAAAGTCTTCTCAGATTTAGTCTATGAAATGTAAATAATGTCGTTAAATTTCCCCGAGAAGTCTTAACTTTCCAATTTCACTTGGTGTTGGTAAAACAAATCTTTCCTGGCATGGATCAAGAAATGGAAATCCTCACATGTGAGTGAGAATGAGCAATATTTGTCTTTTTGCACATGGCTTGTTTCACTTAAGATAATGCCCTCCACCTCCATCCATGTTGTTGCAAATGACAGGATTTCATTTTTTATGACTGAATAATATTCCACTGTGTATATGTACCGCTTTTTCTTTATCCACTCATCCACTGATGGACACTTGGGTTGATTCCATATCTTGGCTATTGTGAATAGTGCTGCAATAAACTTGGGAGTGCAGATATCCCTTCAATATACTGATTTCCTTTATATTGGATATATAACCAGCAATGGGATTGCTGGCTAGTTCTAGTTTTAATTTTCTGAGGAACCTCCATATGGTTCTCCATAGTGACTGGACTAATTTGCATTCCCACCAACAGGGTATGTGGGTTCCCCTTTCTCCACATCCTTGCCAGCATTCATTATTACCTCTCTTTTTGATAAAAGATAGAGAGTAGAATGATGGTTACCAGAGACTGGGAAGGGTAGTAGAGAGGAGAGGGGGATAAACTGGAGATGGTTGATGGGTACAAAAATACAATTAGAAGAAATAAGATCTGGTGTTTTGTGGCATGACTATAGTTAACAATAATTTATTGTATACTTCAGGATAACTAAAAGAGTGCAATTGAAATGTTCCTAGCACAAAGAAATGATAAATATTTGAGGTGATGAATACCCTAATTACACTGGTTTGATCATTAGCTTGTATCAAAATATCACACATACCCCATAAATATGTATAACTATTATGTATCCATAATAATTTTAAATAAAAAGTTTTTGAAGTTGGTAAGCTGCATGTTCTCACTTATAAGTGGGAGCTAAATGATAAGAACTATGAACACAAGGAAGGAAACAACAGATACAGGAGTTTACTTGATGGGGGAGGCTGGGAGGAGGGAGAAGAGCAGAAAAGATAACTTTTGGGTACTGGGCTTAATTCCTGGGTGATGCAGTAATGTGTACAACAACCCCCCGTGACACGTGTTTACCTCTGTAACAAACCTTCACATGTACCCCTAAACCTAAAATGAAAATTAGCAAACCAAAACAAAAAGGTGGTAAGCAATGAAACATAGTATTGCATTTGGTAACTACTGACATTACCAATATCTCTTAGTTATGTGATCTGATTAAATTGGGAGATACTGAAAAAGAATACAGGATAAGAACTCACTCAGGGTCTAATATATTATATGTAGAATGAGGTCTCTAAAGGAATGTTTTCAAAGGAAAGGAATTACATGATGTGCTCACGCAGGTATTTTGTGTCAAATCACAGTTTATGAAAGATAATTATACTCAATTTTGAACTTATAACACATTGAGTCATAATATTGTCTGTTTTAATTTTTAAAAATATTTTATATGTAACTCTGTGTGTGTAGAAAGCCAACACGTCTGAATTCACCAGTCCCTTCTTGAGCACCTCTTTGAGCTGTAGGTACATCATGGAACTTTACACACATTATTTCTAATCCTGATTAAACATCTAGACGATAAAATTTATTAGCACCATTTTACACTTTAGAAAACTAAAGCTTAGGGTAGTAGCGTAACTCATCTAGGTTTAGACAGGTAGTAAGCATAGGAGCAACACAGTTGAAACCCATGTCTTGTTCCCTCAGAGTTGGTACCCTTTCCCACTGCTACATGTATTTTATGAATCCAAGACTAGTGGCTTAAGGAGACTGGTTGATAAGTTCACTGATAGAGAATTGGTATCATCAGTACTAATAATTTTTGTGTCTAAATTTAGTTTTGTGATGCACAGTGTCTTTCATTTTCACAAATAAGAACATTTCCAAGTGTTAGAATCTTCACTCACATAAACATACACACTTATACAATTATAAAAATACGTAATTACGCACAATAGAAGGTAAGGATCTTAGGTACACTAATACATGTTTATCCTTCTTGATACTACTATAAGACCCTGTCATACCATGTTTTTTTGGTTGAAGAGTTCTATAAAAAATGGAGAAAGAGTAGTCCTTCAGAAAAACTTAAGTAAGAAGAAAAGTTCTCATCATATATAGCAAGGTTCTTGAGGGAAAAATATTTCTTGTTATTCAGATGAATGTGAAAGTTCAGTGAAACGCAATCACAGCAGTTGATTGTGAATGTTGACCTCAGAATGTATTCTCTGAAGGAATGCTAATGACTCTTACCATGATGCACTGGCTTATTTAGATACCATTAAGAGCTCCAACTTGACAAGCAGGATGATGAACTGCACTTTTCCTATCATGCAACACATGTTTGGATAACAGGCAGCTCTGTAAAGTTGGGAGATTATTTATTTTTAAAGAATCAATTTTTCATCTTCTTCTGCAATCCCAGTTTAAAACTCAGACAACTCATGGCTAATAAACAGAACTTCTGCCTAAGATTGGGTCTTGGGGGGCACAGAGTATAATGACACCTCTGTTTTATCAACATAAAACCTCTTTGGTCCTCCAAAGGATGATGTTCTGTTCGAATCCTGGTATATCTGACTCCATTGAATGAATGATTTTATGCCTCAAAAGTATCCTGTATTACCTACCTAATTTTTTTTATAAATAAATTTCAGTAACTGAAATGTGAACAACTCTAACCCTGACATAGATGTTTACTGTTGGATATTGTTGTATCCTTTACTTATTAAAAAATTTCTTGTGATCTTTCATTTTAAATATTTCATGCAAGATAAAACAAAACAAATATATTTAACAGCTAAATGGATATTTTCAAAATTAGGTGAAATTCTCTTTCTCATTGCTTTTGTGACTTTCTTATAGTCTTGGAATATTGGTTCATTTAATATTTTCTAATAAATTAGTGTTTTCCAATAAATTAGTATATTCCAAAAATAAATTATATTTTCCAATAAATTAGTATATTCTTCCCCAAGAGGTAATGATATTGATGTGTCAGCAGTGGGGAAGGCTTTCTACAGATTGTAATTTATGACAATAGAAGGATGGGCCCTCCCAGAACAAAACTAATTGAATCACTTCAAATTTCAATAATGCCATTGTTTTGGCTCTTAAAGGTAATATTTTGCTTTCAAGAGTATCATTTAAAATGAACCTCTAGATGTAAACTTTAAACCTATATGAGTTAATATATGAATTATCATTTAAGACTTTAGCAGGAATTAGTGGGCAGCTTTTAGAGATAAATTGAAATACATTTTGTGCCCAGTCAGAAATAAGCCTAGCCATGAAAACATTGTTCAAGAAGTGCTGCTTACCTGGTGTTCACCTCTCTAGGCTCAGAAGCTTTATTTTAATAAAAAGGAATAATGCTTGGTAGAAAAAAATCTAGAAAAGTATCTTAAAGTATTCTTAAATTTGAGACTGTATGGTCATCATACATGGTTCATTGAGAACAATTGAACTCATAAAATGAAATCTAAGCACATTAGTATCACTTAGGGCTCCAGCAGGAAATAGGTGGCATGCTCAAAGAAGAATTCAATATAATGCAATGCAGAGACTAAAGGTAGTCTTAAGGGAACCAACAAATGATAATGAAGCACCCAGAAATCCAGAGATTGAGAGCAGGAAACTATTATCACTCATAGGCCCAAAGGTACAAGGAGATAATGTGTGTTGTTGGAACCTAACGAGTTAAGGCAATGATAGAGGGGCAGGCTGACAGGAGCTGCAACTCTCTAGACTGAAGAACAGAGCCACTGCTAAGCCATGGCCCAGCAGGTCCACCAAGGAGAGCATAGACCTGACCTCTCATTTCCCTTGGTCTTTGATCTCTTACTGGAGTAAGAATATTCCAGTAGATTATGACACAGTGCTTATGGCAGGGCTGCTTTTACTTTCTGCAAAGTAATCTCTTTTTTCTTTCTTTTTTGCTAAAGTTTGCTTAGTACCATGCCTGGAGTAGCTGATTTCAATGAAGCATTTCTCTCTTTGACATATTCCCTAATATCCAGGCTCCCTGGTGCCCCACTATACTGGGATGGTTTTTATCAGTCCATTTAGCTATACAGCTCTCTCCTCAAACAAGTTGCCCCGTCCTGTACCTCCTTCTTATAGTCATGGCGTTTCATTCACCTTGGCAATGGGAAGGATTTTAAAATTTATTGTAATGCAGGAGGTTACTTTCTCACTGGAGTAAAACCTTACAATGTGGAATTATCATCATCATAATAATAATGTTTTAAGACGGGGTCTTGCTCTGTCCCCCAGGCTGGAGTGCAGTGGCATGATCTTGGCTCACTGCAACCTCCACCTCCTGGCTCAAACAATCCTCCCACTTCTCCTGTGTGGCTAGGATCACAGGCATGCACCACCAAGCGGGCTAATTTTTGCATTTTTTGTAGGTTTTTTTTTTTTTTTTTTTTTTTTTTAGAGACAGGGTCTTACCATATTGACCGGGCTGGTCTCAAACTGCTGAGCTCAAGAGATCCACCTGCCTCAGCTTCCCGAAGTGCTGGGATTATAGGCATCAGCCACTGTGCCTGGCCTGAATTATTTATTTTATTTTATTTTATTTTAATTGTATTTTATTTTATTTTATATTTTATTTTATTTTAATTTTATTTTATTTTATGTTTTATTTTATTTTATTTTATATTTTATTTTATTTTATTTTATTTTATTTTTGAGACAGAGTCTTGCTCTGTTGCCCAGGCTGGAGTACAATGGTGCGATATTGGCTCACTGCAACCTCCACCTCCCGGGCTCATGCAATTCTCCTGCCTCAGCCTCCTGAGTAGCTTGGACTACAGGCGCACACCACCATGCCCAGCTAATTTTTGTACTTGTTAGTAGAGACGGGGTTTCACCATGTTGGCCAGGCTGGTCTCGAACTCCTGACCTCGTGATCCACCCGCCTTGGCCTCCCAAAGTGCTGGGATTACAGGCATAAGCCACCACGCCTGGCCTGAATAATTATTTTTAATGCCATCAATGTAAGCCTTTAACATCTTTTTTCACTCTTCTCTATTTTTTATTTCTTTAATTCTGTCTGGTACCTTTACATTGATTTATTTACTTTCTTTTTTCCTGTTTACTTACAATGCTATGAATTAAATGTTCATATTATGGTACATGATAAAGTGTGTGGCTGTGTGTGTGTTCATAAGGTGGTAAGAAGTATTTAAATGGTCTTACAGGTTAACAGGTGAATTAAAATTCAGGGCTGGTGTTACTGTTGACAGATTTGTTTCTCAGAGATGGTGGCTTGCTTTTTACAAATTATATCATTCTACTATGTCTTCTTTTTTTACTCCACTCAGATTCGAAATCAGAGCAAAGCCTCTGGGTCTGGGCTCTGTGAGGGAGATGAAGTGGTTTCCATCAATGGCAACCCTTGTGCAGATCTCACCTACCCTGAAGTCATCAAGCTCATGGAAAGCATAACAGACTCTCTCCAAATGCTCATCAAAAGGTACAACAGATTTGCTGGAATATGTATTTTCTCTTGAAGCTACATGGGAATGATTATAGCTTTTACTACATATATAACTTGTCATTTATGGAGAAATTAGGGGTGCTTTGTAGAAGGTTAGGTATAGTTAAACAGAAACACCACTGTGTTTGAAAAATAGTCAATTCTAGTCAACCAAACTTTCTGGTTAATTGAGAATTAAGTTGAAAATGCTTGTTTCAAGCACTTTGTTGAAAATCTTAGGTATTTTAGGCTCCTTCCTTAGAAAGCTCAGTATATTGAGCATAACTTAATATTTCTTTGATAGGTCAAGATTTTGTGATGGATCAGAATCACTCAATTGTAATTATCAGATGCACAGATGAATTAAAAATGTTTAAATATTAGACCATTAAACTGTACAATTTTTCATTAAAAGGATGCTTAAGAGACAGAAAAGAGAAACAACAACAAAAACTTACAAGCAGCCGGATTTCTCCAGTAAAACCAATATTTGAGGATGGACAAAAGCAGATGATTAGAATAAGGTTTTTGCACGACCAACACAGGTCATTTGGGAATTCAATCTCTTCAAATACCACCATCCCCACATAGTTGTTTAACAATATAAAAGAAACCTTTAAATGTAAAAAACAAAAGAAAACAATGAGGACAATAACAAGGAAAACTACAGCATTGACATTTTTATGGTGTACAAATCACAGTACAATCCATACTGATTTTGCAACGGAAGCTCTGGCTATTGCATGATAATGAATCCAGAAAGGAAAGCTTTGGCTTCCTGGAGAGCAGCTTTTAGGAAGATGTCAGAGGACATCTCAAGATGAACCTCAAGGTCCTCCAGGTTTTTCCTCAACTCTGCAGAAACACTACGCACAGTTACCCCTCTGCTAATCATTCAGTATGATTCTGTTCCGGGATGAAAATGAACTCACTATGGCCAAAATCTTGAGACAACAATGGAAATCTAGCATTATTCTTATAATCTAAATATTTACCCATCAAACTCAGTGTTTAAGGCCTTAGAATCCTTCCTTCATGTTATGAAGAGAAAATAAGTTTATAAAATACATAATTTACTAATACATAATTAAATTTATAAAATAAAAAAAATTACAAAGTAAGTAACTAATTGGTAGGATTCAAAGTGGAATCTCAATTGAAAATCAAGTCAAAAGCAATTATTATCATCACCACCACTACCACTATTTTAAATATCTGAATATTGTTTCCTGCAATAAATATTTCTGTCACTCATATCACTGTCATCTATCAGTAGAGGACAAGTGTTTTTACTTTTCCTGAACTATTGCCCAGAGATAGCTCAGTAAGACTATTTTAAAATAACTCCTTTAACATTCCATCTCTATTATCTTGAATGTTCTTAAAATAAGATTTTAAAAATTCTATAATTGTGACACATAAATTGTGGACTTGATGAATACCTATGTAGACTGATGGGAAATGAATGTTTTAAGGCATAAAGCTTTATTCGCTCATGCTTTTATGATATTTACTCATGTCTATTTATTTTACTTCAGCTGCTGATAAATGTTAATATTTATCTGGCCATTTGTCTGTATTGGTCTACAAGGCTGGCATGAATTGAAACTATTCTCTTCTCAGCTTCACAATTGATTGCTAACGTTATTCAAAGTGATTTAATCTACTTCCATCCCAAGGCCTTCCTAAATTAAAACTCTCTGACCTTTTGGTACCCTCAAATTCAGTTTAACAATGTATTTAACATTTTCTACATAATAATGATCTAATTTGCTAACATCATGCTTTTTTAATACGATATTATAATGTTGTATAAATACTGTATTACAGGGAAGCTTTTCCAATTACTTGCGTATAGAGAAAGGTGCATTTTGTTTAACTGTTAGTTTGTTTTCATTTTGTTTAGTTTTGTTTTGCCAAATGCAGTTGAAAGCAAAGGTAGGAGTAAGTATTTTGAGCATTGGTCGGAAATTGCACTACCACATAAATTCTAAGGTAAATTCCTTTGAGTAGAATCCAAGTAGAAGCTCACGCCCTTCAGCTGACGTGCCTGCATGAGTCATAACTGTCTTTTAAGGAAGGAGGAAAGGGGCAAAGATAATTATGCTGCTTCCAAAATTAAAAAAAATACAAATATAAAAAATGAAGGCATTTCCTACAGCTGTTCTGTGAATAATACCTCTAAAAACATTTACAGTTTAAATTAGAGTTTCAGAAAGAAGTTATTTAACTCTTAAACTGACATTGCTTCTTCTCAGAAACCCAAATTTGCACAGACAACTGGGAAGATCAAAATCAAAGAGCTGTGGTGTACAGCTCTAGGCTCCTTAGCTGAGAGATAAAGGAACAGTTTGACTTCAGATATCCTAAAAAGAAAATGCTCCAAGAAACAGATCCAAATAGAAGAAAGGGAGACATCTCAGATTATAAATACTCCATGACTTAATGATTCATTGCAGCACGGAAAGGATTTCTCTTTACGCAAGAGTACTGGGCTGGGTCCACTTATTACGAAACACATGCTCACTGGGGCTTAAAAAACAGCTTCTATTTCATTCCTTTCAAGAAAGCACAGCCTCTAAAAGGACTAGTTGAGTTATCTGTAAGTTAAGATTGATCTGAAGGTGCTGGATATGTTTATGTGACTTCATAATGTCTAGACCAAAACTTAGTCAATAAGACATTGAAATGCTTTGTCACATTCTAGCAAACTCATTATAAGAGATACCCAGATTCCAAGTACTTACAGATAAACGGGATCCATGTAGTTTTTTAAAAATAAAAGCTGAATTTAGGATGGATTCAGGTTTCATAATCTTGTGTAAGAGTTTCTTTGTGCTTTTAAAAAAGTTTATTTGGTATCTCTTTAAGTAATAATATGAACATGTTGCCACCTTCTGTTTTCAAATATGTTGCAACTGACATTTAGAAGAAAATATTTTGACTATATCACATATTAGACATCACAAAAGTGTCAGGAAGTTCTTTGGCAGATGTAACATAGTCTGATTTAAGTGTCTGGAATGATTTTTCTGTGTGCAGACCATCCAGTGGAATAAGTGAGGCTTTGATATCTGAAAATGAAAACAAAAACCTCGAGCATCTCACACATGGGGGTTATGTGGAAAGTACCACCCTGCAGATTCGACCGGCCACAAAGACCCAGTGCACAGAATTCTTCCTCGCCCCTGTCAAGACTGAAGTTCCCCTAGCTGAGAACCAAAGAAGTGGTCCCGACTGTGCAGGCAGCTTGAAAGAAGAAACAGGCCCGAGCTACCAAAGGGCTCCCCAAATGCCTGACTCCCAAAGAGGACGCGTGGCAGAAGAGCTGATCTTAAGGGAGAAGGTAGAAGCGGTACAGCCTGGGCCTGTGGTTGAGCTGCAACTGTCCCTTTCACAGGAGAGACATAAGGGCGCTAGTGGCCCTTTAGTGGCTCTCCCGGGAGCTGAAAAATCTAAGTCTCCTGACCCAGACCCTAACTTGTCACATGACAGGATTGTCCACATAAATTCGATCCCTACTAATGAGAAAGCAGACCCTTTCCTGAGGTCCAGCAAGATAATCCAGATCTCCAGTGGCAGAGAGTTGAGAGTGATCCAGGAAAGTGAAGCAGGAGATGCGGGACTGCCCCGGGTGGAAGTGATCCTCGACTGCTCTGACAGGCAGAAGACAGAAGGGTGCAGGCTTCAGGCAGGAAAGGAGTGTGTGGATTCTCCAGTGGAAGGAGGGCAGTCAGAAGCACCTCCTTCTCTGGTATCCTTTGCCGTCTCATCAGAAGGCACAGAGCAGGGAGAAGATCCACGCTCGGAAAAAGATCACAGCAGACCTCACAAGCACCGAGCGCGGCATGCACGTAAGTTCTGCCTGGGCTTTCAGAAGGGGCTTGGGAGTTGGGGGCATTTTGCTGCTTCTTTGCTTGCATGAGTTTTTCAGCAAGATTTTTCTTATGTTTCTCATTGGCTTAAAGAAATATTTAATTAATGCACAAAATCACAAATGTGAAATTGTGGAGAATACCAATTTCTAAATAGGAAGCAATAAGTCCGAACTTCATATAGATTTAAACATTTTTCATGAATTTCTTTTTATCCCCAAAGGCACAGGAACTGTTAAAGAAAATAATATTGTCAATGTGCCTGTTCATTTTGTTTCAGACAGTTGAAATAGTTCATGTTAAAATAGCATAAGAAAGCACTTGAAGTCATGTGGACTCAGTTTAAATGTCAAAAACTGTTGAGTCTGCTACTGAGAGGTGTCTTTAAAATAAAAGCTCTACCATTGATATCAAAAGCAGATCCTTGTTTTGAAAAAAAATCATTGTGCAGCTTGATGATGCTTGCAGAAGTGAGTTTGACAGACAAGGACATGTGTATACTGAGCAGTTACATGATCCTCTCCGTTGTGTAAGTCTTCATTTGACTGCAAAGTGTTTCATCTACCTTCTAGACACAGAAGTCAGTCTCCAGGGCCATGTGGAGGCATTTAAATGTCTCCAAACATAAAATATATTTAAATTCAGTGCTTTGTATGGCATTTTGTTTTACCCAGGGGAGAGAAGACAGAAAGGAGAATTGGGATAAGAATTGCAGTTAGGTGTTAGGATTTCTATTGTTTTATTTCACGTTTATTTTTGTTTGTTTTTTTTTTTTTTTTTACTAATTTTGGAATTTTATTTGAGGATGTAAAGGCTGACAGGCAAAGGCACTTGACTGTATATATGATACACAATGGCAATGAATTCGGTTATTCAAAGTAGGATATTAAGTCTTCTAACCTATTGTTATTCCTTTCAAAGCATATTTTTAGCATAACCATTTGTAGCTTTATTGGCAAGTGCTGTTAATCATTCCTTATACTTTAAGCATCTGTAGGCCATCTTCACATTTATAGCATATTAAACAAGAGTATTGAGACACCATTCACATACTTTACATGTTGGCAGTGAAGTTAGCAGCAACTGTGCAACTGTGACTGTCAATTTAATAAGTTGTATAACACTAGTCAAAAAAGGAATTCTATTTAGTAATAACCACAGTTTCAACTATTTTTCTCTAGAAAATTCGATCACCAGTAAATGCCTGTAATCATATTATAAAATTATTTCCTTGGATTATATTTTATTTAAAAAAAATTAACCATTAAGTCTGTGACAAAAAGAGCTAATTTTCAATCATAAAATAGTCAAAAATTTTTTCTTAATTTTCCACTTAACTGTTTTGAGGAATTAAAAAATTTAGGGGACTCACAGTCATTATCATTGAAAATATGATATAACTATAAATTATAAATGATAGATGCTATATGTTTAGTTGCTATAATTTGCCACCCATTTCTTTTTTATAATAGTAATAATGAAAGAAAATTTTAAATATTTTTATTTTTATAAAATAAAAATCATATTCTTGTTTTAAATGACTTAATTTCTGCATCAGTTTTTACACAGTTAAGTGGGTCACAAGTCAATTTTTAAATTTCTCCAAGGTTTATTCTTGCTGCAAGGAAAGTAATATTGTATTTCCAAAATAGCAATACATTTACAAACAAATCTGTCTAGAAAACTTTGTAGCTAGAGTTTCTTATATGTATTTACAATAATGTCATATTTTGAATTTTAATTATTGATTCAGTACCTTCAATGATTAATTCAGTGTTTTGAATTTATATTAATCCAGTAGCTGTGAGTGGAAAGATTTGGGGTGGTTGTCAGGGTAAAAAAAGAAAAAAGAGAAAGAAGAAAACCTAAATAGCTAAATTCATTACATTAAAACATTTAGAAAATTTTAAAACATCTTCTTGGGACGCTCCTCCCTTTTTAAGATTCCTGGAAACAGTTTTATATTGACACTTTATTTTAAAATATGGAAGTATGAGATATGTCTCATCTTGTTTTTCAGAAAATATTATGTCTTTAAATTATGTCCTTCTTAATTCTAATTTTATCCTATTAATTGACATTTACTAGCCAGTTTTTATTATTAAAGTGGAAGGATCTCTAGAGAAACAAATGTATGAAACATATATTCTAATCAGCATATATAAAATATTTTTATGTAAACAAATAGAACAGTATATTATTGTAGAAGGAAACATGTTAAGAGAAATAAGAAAAAGAAATGTGTTGGATTCCTTCAAAATTCTGTACTCAATGGCAATTTTTTACATATTTATTTTCCCCCAGGAGAGTTCATTTCTGAGTTGCTGTGGTGTCTTCCTTGAACTCATCAGCTCAATATAATTTTTTTTTTTTTGCTTTCCCTAGGGCTCAGGAGGAGTGAAAGCCTGTCAGAAAAACAAGTGAAGGAAGCAAAATCTAAATGCAAAAGCATTGCCCTTCTTCTAACGGATGCTCCCAACCCCAACTCCAAGGGGGTGTTGATGTTTAAGAAGCGACGTCGGAGGGCCAGGAAATACACCCTAGTTAGCTACGGTACTGGCGAGCTTGAGCGAGAGGCGGACGAGGAGGAAGAAGGTGACAAGGAGGATACATGTGAAGTAGCATTTCTTGGTGCAAGCGAATCAGAGGTGGATGAAGAGTTATTGTCTGACGTTGACGACAACACACAAGTTGTGAACTTTGACTGGGATTCTGGACTGGTGGACATTGAAAAGAAACTGAACAGAGGGGACAAGATGGAGATGTTACCAGACACCACAGGCAAGGGAGCCCTCATGTTTGCCAAGAGGAGGGAGAGAATGGATCAGATCACAGCCCAAAAAGAAGAGGACAAGGTAGGTGGAACGCCAAGCAGAGAACAAGATGCTGCCCAGACCGATGGCCTGAGAACCACGACTTCTTACCAAAGAAAGGAGGAAGAGTCGGTAAGAACGCAGAGCTCTGTGAGCAAAAGCTACATCGAGGTGAGTCATGGTCTTGGCCATGTTCCCCAACAGAATGGCTTCAGTGGGACATCTGAGACAGCAAACATCCAGAGGATGGTCCCCATGAATAGAACGGCCAAACCCTTCCCAGGGTCTGTGAATCAGCCAGCTACCCCCTTCTCGCCAACCCGAAACATGACGAGTCCCATTGCTGACTTTCCTGCACCTCCACCTTACTCTGCAGTCACTCCTCCCCCTGACGCCTTCTCCAGAGGGGTTTCAAGTCCGATTGCTGGCCCAGCACAGCCCCCTCCATGGCCCCAGCCTGCCCCGTGGTCCCAGCCAGCCTTTTACGATTCGTCTGAGCGAATAGCTTCCCGAGATGAGAGGATCTCAGTGCCAGCAAAAAGAACAGGAATATTGCAGGAGGCCAAAAGGAGAAGCACGACAAAACCCATGTTTACTTTTAAAGAGCCCAAAGTAAGCCCAAATCCTGAACTCTTGTCACTCCTTCAAAATTCAGAAGGCAAACGGGGCACTGGAGCTGGAGGTGATTCCGGACCGGAAGAAGACTACCTCAGCTTGGGGGCAGAGGCTTGTAATTTCATGCAAAGCTCCTCTGCCAAACAAAAGACCCCTCCTCCTGTTGCTCCAAAACCTGCAGTCAAGTCCTCATCCTCCCAACCAGTAACTCCAGTTTCCCCAGTCTGGTCTCCAGGAGTGGCTCCCACCCAACCTCCTGCCTTCCCCACATCCAACCCATCAAAGGGCACCGTTGTCTCCTCCATCAAAATAGCCCAGCCTTCTTACCCTCCTGCCCGGCCTGCAAGTACTTTGAACGTGGCTGGTCCCTTCAAAGGACCACAAGCAGCAGTAGCCAGTCAGAATTACACACCCAAACCAACAGTTTCCACACCAACAGTCAATGCTGTTCAGCCTGGTGCAGTGGGACCATCCAATGAGCTTCCAGGAATGAGTGGGAGAGGAGCTCAGCTCTTTGCTAAAAGGCAGTCGAGAATGGAGAAGTATGTGGTCGATTCAGACACGGTGCAGGCCCACGCTGCTCGAGCTCAGTCTCCCACTCCATCTCTCCCGGCCAGTTGGAAGTACTCCTCCAATGTCCGAGCACCTCCTCCTGTGGCCTATAATCCTATCCACTCGCCGTCTTACCCACTGGCTGCTCTCAAGTCTCAGCCATCAGCTGCACAGCCCTCCAAAATGGGCAAGAAAAAGGGAAAGAAACCCCTCAATGCATTAGATGTCATGAAGCACCAACCGTATCAGCTCAATGCATCCTTGTTTACTTTCCAACCTCCAGATGCAAAGGATGGCCTCCCCCAGAAGTCATCAGTCAAGGTCAATTCAGCCCTGGCCATGAAGCAAGCTCTTCCTCCCCGGCCAGTGAATGCTGCCTCACCTACGAATGTGCAGGCTTCGTCAGTGTACTCGGTACCAGCCTATACCTCTCCTCCTTCCTTCTTTGCAGAGGCCTCCTCACCAGTCAGTGCATCCCCAGTGCCTGTGGGCATTCCCACCTCGCCAAAGCAAGAATCAGCCTCATCATCTTATTTTGTGGCACCAAGGCCAAAGTTCTCAGCCAAGAAAAGTGGTGTCACAATTCAGGTGTGGAAACCATCTGTTGTGGAAGAGTAATCTTGTAGCTGAAGCTGAGTGTCCACTTTGCTTGAAATGAATTGTTTGCAGTGTTTCTTGAGTCCCTGAGAATGCCTAGCAAAGTCCTCAACTTACTTAATTTCAGATATGTCACCTCCTAATCTGGGTCCAAGGAGTATAATATTTTTAATGAGTCAAAAATCCAACTCAGATTGACCTAAAATATATTTATCTTCTTTGCACACTTAAAAAATCCAGGAGCACCCCAAAATAGACATGTACCGTTATATTAAGTAAGCAGGAGACTTAGGATTTGTGCTGTAGCCACAAGAAAGACAGTGATCAGTGATATCAAACATCAGGAATCAGCCTTTATGTAACATAACAGCTGTCCTCCTATGGTGAAAGGTTCAAATGTAGTGAAGGTATAACCTATATTGACTGAGATTTCCCTTTTAGGTAGTGCCTTATCTCTATTACTAGTGTTAAAGGAATAAGGAATCTATGAAGGACAGGGAGCAGCTCTGGTCTGTCAATCTCAGCCACCTGTTTGATATCACAGAGAAGATACTCGGAGGATTGTTGGAATGTATATAGTTTAGTAAGAAGTGGGTAAGAAAGAGGGTCTTAATTACTGAGCACTTATTATGTATTAGGTTCTTTGCCAGATGTTTTTACATATATAAACTCATTTCAGAAAACTTATTTAAAGTAAATGGGGCCGGGTATGGTGGTTCATGCCTGGAATCCTAGCACTTTGGGAGGCTGAGGTAGGAGGACTGCTTGAGGCCGGGAGTTGGAGACCAGCCTGAGCAACATAGTGAGACCCTGTCTCAATAATAATAATAATAATAGTAATAATGAAGTAAATGGGATAAGGAAAGAAGGATAATTATCTTTAAAGGTTGATTCCCACCCTCCCTCCCCAGTTACTTAAGGAACTAAGTGAGTACATCTCCAGTTGCCCATGAAAGCATAAGTTTGTTTTCCTCAGCTGAGGCAAGTGGTAGAGTATACAGGATAACGAAGTAACATGTAAAAGGCAGGACGCACATAAAGGTGTACATGGCTATTGTTTCACCTGGAGAAACCACATGATTGGGACCTGAAGGTTTACTGACTGACTACAGGGGCTGATTGTGAAGCACGAGGAACCCCATGTGTGTGGAGACTGTAGGGTGAGAGCACACAATTATTAGCATCATTTCTGAGTGATCTCACAGATTTTTTTTCTTGTGTTTGCTTTGCTTTTTGACAACTGCTTCTCCCACGTTCCTTGCAATTCTATTCTCTCACCTTCACTTTACTATTTGTATTCGATGGACCAGGATAATTCAGGCAAGGTTACCTTGTAAACTTTAATTGGCCACACACCATGTTGTCACCCAGCTGGCTATGAAGTGAATAATGGTACTGAAAGTAAACCTGAAGACCTTTCTCAGATCTATTTTAAGTCTGAGTCTGACCAACCATGGAAAATATTCGACATGAATTAATGTAGAGAACTATAAAGCATTTATGACAGCTCCAAGAAAAATCATCTACTCTATGCAGGAGATATGTTTAGAGACCTCTCAGAAAAACTTGCCTGGTTTGAGGGTACACAGTACCATTTTAATCTTCTGAAAATATCTGTATTCCTGCTCTTTTTCTGCTGTCACTGTCAATCTGCTATATTTTTCACTATCCTATTAAAATATTACTGTCTCCTTTATCTGTTCAATGTCCATATTTTAAAAAAATCTTCCTTGTATGAGCTATTCTGATCTAAATAATTTCTCTGATATTTCTCTATATGGCTCCCACAACAATTTCATTGTTGTTAGCATATCTATTTCTCCATACATTGTAAAACTGTAATCCTTAGGTATTTCTAAAACATAAAGAGGAGAATTAAGTCAGCTGCAGAACAATGGGGCTGATTCTTCTGCTTTTTCTCTGGAAAATCTTTCATTGCTTTTGGTGGAAATTTACCTAGAGGTTACAACCACAGGATGTAGCTTGGTCTCTTATTTGCCTTTTTGGGAAACCAATTAAGATTAATACAGGATAAAGGAAAAAAGCAATCTATTCATTATATAACACAGTTGTTTGTATTACTTGTTCCCTGCAAAGGAAATCTGTTGAATGCTTGCATTTTGAATTCTTTTCTAATAGAACAACCAAAAAAGGCTTCTTATGGTGCAGCAGGAAAAAAGATCATTTTTATAGCTTTGCATTCTTAACATAGCATTTAAAGAGCGGCATGAATTAGAGGAAAGACATGGAACACACAGGTAGTCGGTTTGAGATCATCGGCTTAAAAGTATCCTAGGATGGTAATGACCCAGAAGTATTTCCAGTTGTCTAGTGGTGTGGTATGCAGGAATGAGAAGTGTTTTCTTTCCATTTCCTGTTGGACAGGTGGCAATCTTAGCAGAGCCACTATTTGGAGTTGATAACTAAAGATGCAAATAACATGACTATGCCTTCTGGTCATCCTAGGACTATTTGGAGTTCTCCAAAACCTTGTAAGAGGCATGTCAGGCATGCAGTAAAAGCATCTACAACTTCAGCTGGGCACTGGCAGCATAGGTCTCATCTTGGACCATACAGTCCCACTTTATAGAAGAGGGTGGAAGTTCTCCAAAACAATATCCACAACAAAGTCTGACCTCACTCTGAGGGAGATGGGAAGTGGGAGGAAGAAGGACTAACCAGCTCCCTGGAGTAAGAGGAATTTGCTTTCCCTGTCTGCCCACCAGGGGCTATATGTGCCACCTTTCAGGTTGGGGCCAAGGAAGTGATGTCAGTGTGACAGAAGGGAGAGTTAGACCTCCAGACGTCAGCCTCCCTCCCATGGGGTACATTTTCAATCTGAGTGTTGTTGCCTTAGCTGTGTTGGTATTAGCTTGATTGGTTGGTCCGCTGGTTATGAGGTGTAGGGAGGCAGTTTTTGTTTAGTTTTTAGGACTTTGCCTCTTCCTTTGTCCTTAGCATAATTTCTAGGCAGAGCATCCACGAAGTCGGTTTTCATTGCCAGCTCAAGAGCGACAATCATTTACGAGTTCCTATGTTATGTTAGGTGCCTTATGTATATTATCCCAAATCCACTGCATGGTTTAAATACAGGCACTGGAATATAAATGAAAAAGGTCATTACAGTCACTGACTTTCTGCAGGACCTTAAACATTTCTCTTTCCACAAGTTTCCCCTTAATCATGTGTCAAACCTCTCTTCCTGACGGGAATGTTGTGCTATAATGAATCTGCATAACGCTTGGGATTCTAGGAGGAAGGAAGGTTCCATGGACATGTAAGTACAGCATATTCCCCTCAGTCTTCTAGGAGGGCAGAGTGAATCCCAGAACTGGTAAGATTGGGAATCTGAGCATTGCCACTTTAATCTTAGAATATTTATCATTTTGACACATCCTGTTTTTTAGAGAGGAAAACAAACACAGTTTCTGCATTGGTAGTGTAAAGCATACCTTGTTAGGAACGTGTTTTGTAAGACACATTTGGGTTGTCACTCTAGAGCATGTCAAACTTTGTACTTCAAAATATATTTAGTATGATTGTTAGTGGTAACATATATCAAGGCTTTGAATTAACTGTTTTATTTAATTTTCACAAGAAGCACTTATTTTAGCCATAGGAAAACCAATCTGAGCTACAAATAGTTCTTTAAAATAAGCCCAGGTTATTTAGCTATTCTAGAAAGTGCCGACTTCTTTCAAGAAGCAGGCATTGTAGGACAGCTGAGAATTATCACATAGCCTAAATTCTAGCCTGGCAGCAAGAGTCACATCTGAGATGTCCAAAAAAAAAAAAAAAACACCTGATCTACATTGAAAGGGGGTAGACTAACGTATGTGAGACCATTTTCCTATTTGCAGTTACAAGGTTAAAGAACTTTGAAGGTCATTCGGCTGCTAAGAGGCATGTCGAACACTCTGTGTGGCTCTTTCACAGTAAACCCTCCTAAGAGCAGAAGACACATGGCTGTTAGTGTCTGCGTTTAGATTTAATTTCTCAAATAAAGGCCCTTGGCTGCGTATCATTTCATCCAGTTATAAACTAGGGCTCCTGCAAGCACCCCCATTCTAAGGGTGAATTATTGAAATCAGTTGCTATTTGATGAGTCACAACTGGCCCAGCAGGCAGGGCATTTGAAGTCATGGTCATCAAAAAGAAATGATTGTTTTTTGAAAAGCTAAATGCTTAAAATGCTTCTAGAGGGAAGTCGTGGGGCGTGTGCTCATTCTCTTTAAAATCAGGGTTGTTGAGTTTGTTTTTAAACATTTTTATAAGTTCATGAGAAAAAATATATAAATTCTAAGAACCAACACTGTATTCCCAGAAACATGACCCTCGCTGGTCTTGGGTCCACATATCATTGGACTCTGGGGGACACAAAGATGCCTGTGACACTTTGGTGTTGCCGAGTTAGTCAACAATTATTCTGGGAAAAAGCAGAATTGAATTCTTCTCTAGATGTCCTACCAGGGTTGGCCAAGGGCCACAAAGCAGGCTAATAAATTCCCACAGGATCCAGACACCAGGCAAAATTGCTCTAAGAAGCCAGTTACTGTCATCCCTCTATGGTTCTAGAAAAAATAGTACAAAAATGACAGGTCATCCTATGAGCGTCATGCCAATGAAACCCCATCTTCTGGAGAAGCCCTTGAATCAGAATTATCTTTTTTCTTGATGTCGTCAGATGCAGCCAGTTTCTTAATTTTTTTAAAAACTGTATGTTTCTGTGGTATGTATATTTGTACACCTAACTACCTGGCACTTGGAAATCACAGCACTACTCAGAGGCAATTGAATAAAGAGAAATTTAATTTTAAATATCAAGTCCTGTCAAACATTTCTCAAACTTCTGATTTTATCAAAGGTTTGCCAGCCAATAAAGTGCATCCCAAGTATACAGGGGAGAAAGCTAGACTCCTACAGGGTCCTAGAGTTTAAGTAATTTTTTTGTTATTAATATAGGTAATAATTTTTCTAATTTTTATTTTTTGGTTCCAAATGTAAAGCTCCTTGTGTTTACCTCTGTTTATGTCATTCTTGACATGTTTATCTAAATTATGTGTGCTCTGTGACAGGTGAAATGTAAATCTGGGATCCATAGTCAAGATATCATAAGGACCTACTTCCCAGCCTACCTTTCTTCCTCTACCTGATAATGATAATACTCAAAATAACAACATTCAAAGGAAACACAAAGAAATCCTGCTTTCACATCTCCTATTTCTTGGGCTCCTTAATAACTACTGATGGTTTGTTCATGAAAAAAAATTTTTAAATCAAAAGATTGTACTTGGCCCTGAGTTGAAAAAATTTCAAAAATCAAAAGTTTGTACTTGGCCCTGAGTTGAAAAAAAAAATTCACATTCTAAGAATAAACAGAAAAATGTTCTTCTTGGAAGTAAATAACAAAAGCCATAGTGTTTTCATTTGTCTTTTCTTCAGGATACACGGTAGAAGTCAGAGAATCTTTGATACTTTTATTTGGTGCAATAATCAAGGCCATGCAACAACCCAAAATCAAGCATTTTGGTTCAAGTCAGGATGACATGAGTGGGGACAGAAGCTGTGGCAGTCATTCAAATAATCTCATGGGTCCTGAGGAAAAGACAGGAGTTAATGTATTAAGTTTCTACTATATGCAGGAACTGTGTTAAATATTTTACATAAGTTTTGATAATAGCTAACATTAGCTGAGCACAAAATTTGGGCCCTGATTTGTGCTGAGTATCTTTCACAGATTACTGCTTTTAATCAGCAGTCCTTGTGAGCTAGGTATGATCATTATCCCCATTTTATAGATTACAGATGAGATTCTGAGGCACAAAGAGGCTAAGTAACTTGCCAAAGATCATACGATGTTAAGTAATGGCCCCTGGATTCAGTCTGCAGCCTGAATTCTTAACCAATTATACTGTGATTTCATTATTCTTCAGAATTACACTAAAAAGAAGGTATTATTCCCATTTTACAGATGAGGTATCTAAGCTCAGAGAAGCTAAACAACTTGTGCAACAATCACTAAGCTTATAAGCAGTGGATTAGGGTTAGATTTAGATATTTGTCTGGCATCCAAACCTGTGCTCTCCCTACAGTACCACATGGTTTCCACAGTCTCATCAGACCCCGGAATTTCACTCCCTGAGACTGCTTAATTGTGAATTTCCCAAACTGATTCACCAAGAGCCTACTGTCTCTGCTTTGTAGATAGCTTTGACCACATTCAATGACATTAGGAAAGACTCCATTTCCCAAGATGGCTCAGAAAATCAGATGCTATGACGCATGTTGAAAGTGAAAACCCATCTCTGAGAAAGAAGCATCTGTTTTATTAGTAAAAAAAAAAAATGAAATTTACAGCAATGTTGTGTGACTTCTCAAAATTCTTTCATTTTCTTATTTCAGAATGAATAGTGTTGTTCGTTGGCTGGGAATGGGGAAGAATGTGATTTTTAAAAATAAAGCATAATCAAACTCTGCATAAAAGGAAGTGCTCCCTTTGGCTTTCTGCCATTTTAACTAAATGTAACTCAGGGAACTTTCTTATTAAGTAGTGAATCAGCACCTAGCATGGCTTGCTACTAAACCAATAATAACTTAAGGCATTTCAACAAGAATAATTCTAAACAGAATAACGCTGAGGGAGTCACAAGTTTTCAGTATTTCAGACTACACTCTGAAAAAGAGTTACCCCTGGAATCTTAGAGTGTCACGGTGCCAATCCCAGTCAGGACAGCAGTCAAGTGCATGAGGCAGCAAACCCTTCCCACCTCAAAGATTCCTCAGTGGAAGATTTCTCAACAATTATTTCTGTCAAAGGCTTCCCAGCAAGGACACTTTTAAACCTTACATTTTTTCCAGTGGTTTTTTTTTTTTCCTTTTATATATCATTGTTATTTTGAAAACATCTCCTGAGGAACTAGTGTGATAGATTCTAAACATGGGTTTGGAACAGTCCCATCACCAACTTCAAAAAAAGAAGATGTGAGCTTCTAGGTTAATTGTAAAAACTCATTACATTTGCAGAGCTTTATTGACTTAATTTAAAATCATAGAACCACTAATAAGGTAACAATTATGGGGGCTTAAGATGTGCTAGGTACCACTCTAAGCACTTTTTTGGTCACCACAAAATGATGAAAGTATGATGTAGGTACTATTATCATCCCACTTTAAGATGAGAAAATTGAGGTAAAGAAAACTTAAGGAACTTGTGTAACATGGTAGGGCTAAGCCTCGGGACCCAACAGTCAAACTCTATGGCCATCATCTAATCACAAGGCTATACTACCTCCCCTGATTGCAAGAAGACTCAGGTCACAGGTAAAAGGAACTGCTCATCAGAAGTGATGAGTTTTACATGTCTCAGAGATAACTCCAAAGTTACACTAAACCTTCTAAATCAAAATAAGAAATAGTGCAACATCTTAGAGTTTGGTAGCTCCAAGCAATAGACATTTTTAAACAGGGTGCATGGGGAAAAGCTGTAGTTTTTATCTCCATCAGCCTATTTGCTTATTACAACTCAATAATGGCGAAGGGAAGCTCAACATTTTGCTGGTTTCTGTTGAACAAATTCCCACAGTGCACTAGACCACACGCCTCAAACACCTACCGCTTCCAGCCAACCAGCATCACATATTACCAGAGTTATGGTAATTTATACCTGGCAAATAAAGGAAGAACAGAATAGTGATGAGAGAAACCCTCAAATTTCAGTAACAATAATGCAGAGAATAAGGTTCCTTCCAATTTTTAAATTAAAAAGAAGACAAGACTTTTTTTTAATTTAGGAAAAGCAAAAGGTAATCATGTCTTAAATGAACTTCACATACTATTAGATGAGATAAGGTGTGTAAACCTTGAGCCCACAAGAAGTACATTGGTAGTGATTAAGAGTGTGGGCTCTAGGGCCGCGCTGCCTGCCTCTGAGTCCCAGGCCTGCCTCCTGCTGGTTGGGAGACTTTAAACAAAGGATTCAGTCGCCCTGTGCTTCAATACCTCAGCTGTGAAACGAAGACAATAATAGGTGTACCTCACAAGTTGTTATGAAGATTAAATGAAACAATATGCATTTTGTATATAAAACACTGCCTGGCACAGAGAAAGTATTCAACACATGTTAGCTATTATTATTCTTCTAAGGGGCACTCAATAAACAATAGCTACTATTTTAAAAACTTCCAATGAGGAAAACACAATTAAACAAGTTCTTTTGTGTTCTCTGTTAATATGAATCCCAGTTTGAGACCCACAACTAAAATAGGAAAAGTAGAAGGAGTGTCGCTATAAATTTCACATTGACACAAGAAATCTATTCCCAGGAGTCGTTGAGAGATCTTTGTTTCTTCTCTTTTTTCTTCTTACTGAAGTTTATATGTTTACATTCCTCTGTATTCAGCCTGTTTGTCCATTTTTTCCTGCTTTGTGTTCATCTATTGTGCCAGCATTCTTTTCGTGGTATACAAAGATGAGATCAGATTCAAAAAGACTGGTTCAATATTTTTATAAAATAACATCAGCTTTGAGCCTCTACTATAAAGACACTGTTTTCAGTTCAAAGTACCAATGTTAAATAGAATGAATGTAGTGGACTTAGTAATATGAAGAGAGCTCTTCTGGGGAAATGTTTGTAAACCAAACATATTCTCTAAACAGGATAGTTGGTATCCTGAGTAACCTGGTAGCATAGTTGAAGCTTAAATAGGCCTATTACACTGAAAGTGGAGCAGTTGGCAACCCTATCCCTGAGACTACCCCACTTCAGACCTGCAACAGTTGGGCTGACCTAGGAGGGCGCAGCTCACAGCTGTCCTTATCCCTCCTTTCCACACTGTCCTAGGACAAAGGGTCAGCAACCTGGCCTTTTTAGAGTAATTGATCCCCTTGCCTGAGAGGCATGATCACTTTCCAAAAACAGAAAGAGTGAAACCTCGGCCTGAACAGAGCAAACTCCCAGCTCAGGGCAAGTGATGAAAAACAATTCTAAGAAGCTGAGCCACTGACATAGGGAGGAACTTAATATTCCAGCTGCCTTTCAAACCCAGGGAATTTTTGTGGGTTTTCTGGTACTTCTAGAATCCTTCTGAGTCAGAAGCAGAAGTCAAGACTCATCTTGAAGATAAAAAATCAAAACAAGCTGAGATTCTGAAAATGTTATCTGAATCCAGAATAGCTTTTGTTTCAAATGCAATTGAATTGATTTAGTCTTGCTTTCCTTTTGTGCCATTTAATTACATTTAAAAATAAAGCAAAACTAGGCCTCTTACTGTACTAAAAACCCCTTTGTTCTTTTTTCACCTAGCATATCTAACACTGATAAAGAAATGTTCACAAAACCATTTTCTAGAGCTAAGAATCTCTAAGGAATTGGTTGAACTAATATAATGTACTAATTTAAGGTTTCATTGCAATCCTTCCACAATTAGATCTTTGGTTTGGAGTTTTTTTTTTAATTCACACTCAGAGTCTGTTGGTTGTGGTTGGATTACTTATTACTGTTTAACAAATGGTGCAGATCATAATTCTTCACGTAAGTCCAATATGGGCTAGATTTTGAATTCTGCATTATGAAATACTCACTGAAATGTCACAACTCATTGTGGGTGGTATTACTGAAATAAACAGCAACACTAAATATATTACTTAGAACTTTTAATTTTAATTTTACATTGAATGAACTAATATGATTTCCTTTATATACAGCACTTTAGTATGAGCAAACTATTCCCTTCGTAGTGTAACATATAGCTTTCCACTTTTTGTTCCTAGTGTAAAATTAAGATTTCCCCACCTTAGAGATAGCCCCACCTTAGAGATTCTGATTTACTAGGTTTGGGTGGGACCTAGGAATTTGTTTTTGTAACATACAACCCAGGTGATTCTGATGCTAATGGGCTGTGAACTACACTTTGAATAACACTTTTCTAACATGCAAACCACTTAAATCAACTTTATTCTTTAAAACCCATAAATAGTTTTCCTGTTTATCCAGTCAGGGACAGCCAGACTTGTAAACTGCACCTGCTTCCACAGTCTTAGTGCCCCGTCTAAAAGGAACAGGCAGGCGCTGAAGCACTCATCTTGCCGATTTTATTTCAAACGTCCAGGAGATGGCAGCAAACTCTCCTTCCCTCTCAGTGCTTCACAGGCAGCCATTCTAAAGCTCGTTGCATTACAATTTGCTTTGAATATTCTTTTTTTAAAAAAGACAAAAGACTAAAGGGGGCCTTGAGACGTGATTTTTATCTGACCCCCTGCTTCTAATCAAGAATGAGTATAAATATTTCTAGGGATAGAATAGAATGATACAATTTTATTATCTAGAAAAGAGATTGAATTTCCTTGGCTATTTTTTCTTATCTCTGGGGAAAAAGATTGTATGACTTCCCTTGGCTGTTGGGCCCTAGACTCTGTTATCTCCAAATCCAAAATATTCTTACTAATAACTAGCTTAAATCTATCTGGCAGTAATCTAAACATTCTTATTTTGGGATCTAGGCTAATGGAAAATTTTGAAGCACTTTGAATGCTTATTAGCTTTTTAAAATGAAAATAAATACGATTATAAAATTTTCAAAAGAAAAAGGAAGTTCATGCACTTTATGCATCATAGGGAAAGAGCCCAATATTTTTGTTTAACTTTAACATTAATCTTGGCAAATAGAGTAGTATGTCAACAAAATGCAAAATCAGTCAGAGGCTGCTTATATGTTACAAGAGTGTACGGAACAAAGAAACAGGCAGACCCACTTGGTGACGGCTTTGATCCTAACAAGCACATTGTTTTCAAAACTTTGAGGCACTAAAGTTTATTTCTAAAACAGAAAAGATGGTGACGTGTTGGAAGTTCTGTGATGTGAAATATATGTTTGTACATTTACCAGTGGGAGGAGAAAAGACTAATGGGAGAGCTGGATATTATAAATGATGGGTTAATGCTGGAGCCTAGGTCACTGCACAGGTTTGATGCCATGTGGTCAATGAATGACTGATCTGTTCATTGTATTTTGTTTGTTTGGTTGGTTGTTTTTTTTCTTTTGTTTTTGTTTTGTTTTGTTTTGTTTTTAGACAGAGTCTCGCTCTGTCGCCCAGGCTAGAGTGCAGTGGCACCATCTCGGCTTACTGCCATGTTTTTTTTTGTTTTGTTTTTTGTTTTTGTTTTGGATAATTGCTTAAGAATTTAGACACACATACTACTAAAGGATCTCTCTTTTCCTCTCTTTCTCTCAAATGTGTATTGATGAGGGCCTATCCATTTTAGTCTCCCCAGAAGTTACTTTTTATCTTAGGCTAAGATTACATATCCATAGCAGTTAAGAGGGCTGATGTAGTATTTTAGCTAATTCATAATATTTTTGTAAATTCATCAATGCATTTGCATGAATTAATACTAAAAGTGAAAAAATTGTTTAACAATTGTAATAGTCAATAAATACCTAACATCAAATCAAAATGAAGGCAAACTTTGGGATGGGGAGAAGTCAGGAGAATACTAAAGAATGAGATCCTTTTAATAAATGTGTGGTCTACATGGCAAAATTTGCTGTAGTATTAACATACAATGTTATCTCAAGACAATTATACATTGCAGCTTCATGAATGCATTAAGAAAGCTATGCCGGCCAGGCGCAGTGGCTCACGCCTGTAATCCCAGCACTTTGGGAAGCTGAGGTGGGTGGATCACTTGAGGTCAGGAGTTTAAGACCAGCCTGGTCGACATGGTGAAACCCCACCTCTATTAAAAACACAAAAATTAGCTGGGCGTGGTGGCACATGCCTGTAATCCCAGGTACCCGGCAGGGTGAGGCAGGAGAATTACTTGAACCTGGGGAGCAGAGGTTGCAGTGAGCCCATATCGTACTGCTGCAGTCCAGCCTGGGTGACAGAGACAGACTCCGTCTCAAAAAAAAAAAAAAAAAAAAAAAAAAAGCTATGCAAATAAAAACCAGCTGTAATAGCAGCTATAGCCATGGGCAAAATTAAGTATTTGATCTCTAATTTCGTATGTCTGATAAGTAGACACACATTCCAATAACTCCCGAGACATCCTTTCAGTGATTAATGACAGACTACAACTATATCTGGAATTAGTGTTTTCAATGGAAGTAAATGCTGCTTATTCTGAAGAAATGTAACTGGGATACTTCTGATAAAAGATGTTTCCTAAGTTTCCCATTTGTATTTGAAAAGCACATGATCGTGACCATCATTGTATACTTCTCTTTAACCCATGTTTCTCCTCCAGCAAAACAATCACACATTTGAAAATCCCACATAGTTTATGGCATCTCCATGTCTCTAAAATGAAATGACATACATGAAATTATTGTGTAAATTCCCTCAAACAGGAAAGATATCATTAAATAAAACTTATCACTTGGACCAGAGATGTGATAAAGGAATTGAGCATAATTTTTTTCTATTCTGTGCTTAAGAAAACAAGCTGTTGATGCCTTTCCTGATGAAGAGCTGGATTTATGATTCCTAATTTTATTTTTATTTATTTTATTTTTGAGATGGAGTCTCACTCTGTCGCCCAGGCTGGAGTGCAGTGGCGTGATCTCAGCTCACTGCAACCTCCACCTCCCAAGTTCAAGTGATTAAGATTCCTAATTTTAAACCTCACTCTGGGGTCATGTTTTTGACCAGGAAAACATAAATATGATAGGGAGTAAATCTTACATTTCTCAAAGAACAGTAGGTTAAACAATTTCCCCAGGGCCCAGGATATTAATCAAAGGTTCCATTTAATAAGCTTAGAAACATAGTGGACAGAAAAGCAGTTACAAAGGCCAACTCAGTCATTTTCCTCATCCTGTATTCTCCACATCTTTGTGAAATTATGTTGTCACACACTGTATAGTTGCTGTGTCTTCGTCATTGCCATTAACTCGCTTTGAATTGTCAGAGATTTTTAATGTAATTAGAAGTCGTGACAGAGGATGCTTCTAAACACATCAGTGGGAAGTTTTGGGAATGTTATTGTGCAGAGGCCAAATCAAGTTTGTTACATGGTATGCACACATTTCTTAAGAATCCTTGTTGTTAACATCATAACTGATAAGATTTTTCTCTAAAAAAGCAAAAGGCATTTTAATTGGGAAATAATTTTGCTTAAGGGCTATTAGCTCCACTTCAAATAGCAGTCACATAATTATAACTGAATACAATACAAAACATGTTAGTTTTCTGTACTGATAATCATTACTCTCATAATAAATTAAGTGCTTACCATGTGCCAGGTACCAACATTTTTCTCTACAAAAACTTCCCACATGCTGGATGCAGTGGCTCACTGGAAGCAACTTGAGAGCCTGAGGTGAGAGGATGTCTTGAGCCCGGGAGGTTAAGGCTGCAATGAGCTATGATAACACCACTGCTCTCTAGCCGGGGTGATAGAGCAAGACCCTGTCTCAAAAAAACAAAAACCCAAAAAACTCCCACAAGGTCAAAAGATTGTTTATTTTAAACAAGATCAACATTCTTTGTTTATTATGAAAATTACTTGTTTCTCCATAGAAACTGACGAAGTCTGAACTTTTTATATATACTATTCACTTTTTCTACCGTGGGAATCTAAATGAATGACGTTTACTATTTAAATCTTTTGAGGAAAGAGAGAACTTCAGAAAATATTTTGAAATGTGTTTAACATTTATTTTTTATGTTTGAACCAATTAAACTAGACTTTTATGAAAATAAACTTAAATAAGGCTGTTCCTCAAGAATTATAAAAAATTAAAACAGCAATCCCAACTACTTAAATAGAACACAGTCTATATTAATACAAGTATTGTCACAGGCTCTAACTTGTAGAGTGACATACTTCTTTTTTGAGAATAAAGAAAGGTAAGAGGGTAAAAATTGCTGGTATAGTAGTTTTTTCTGTTAACAGAGTTAATGCCTTAACATACATTATTTAAATAAAATTTTATTACCTATAGCTTTACTTCTCCAACTTCCCTATACAAGCCAGTATGTGCTTGTATAGGGAAAATTACCAATTTAGGGTAATATTAGGGTAAATTACCTAATTTACATGCCTCACTTTCCTTATTTGCAAAATGGAGGCCATAAGGTTGTTGAGAGGATTAATTGAGGTAACAAATACAGTGTTTAGAACTGTAGCTAGTACATAGTAAAAGTTTTGTACATTTTAGTTATTATTATCATTGCTTCAAAGATGAAAGAGACAACAAAAGTATATGCACACATTCCTCCTTCATGTTGGTCTTCTCGACCTTAAACTGTGTATCATTACTTTTATTCTTTTATAACAGAAGGTTTAAAAAAAATCAAGAAGTGTATATTTTGGCCCACTTAGACCTAGCAGGAAGATGAGGTCAGTGGCAATGTTTCTGGCCAACCCAGCTGCCTGCATTCTGATGACAGGAGGGCAGCCGGGGTTGGCACAGCAGCCTCGGAGGCGTGCACTGCTAATGCCACTTCAAAGGCAAGTCTCCCTCCTATTTTTGTCCTGGGTCAGCAGCCTGCCTATGCAGTTGCCTCTTGAACAAAAGGTCCTGCCAGGTCTCTGACACCTTTAGGGCCACACAGTCTCTTCCCACAATAACAAAAATAATCACCATTTGTTGAGCTACATGGCATTCCATTTATAAACACAATCTTTACTCTGCCCATAATCTTGAAACTGTAGCCAGCAATACTCCCATCTTACAATTAAGGAAAATAAGACTGGGAGAAGTTGAATTGCGTGGATAACAAAAGACAAAGGCAGAACTTTCAGGTCAATGTGACATCCAAGTTTCCATTCCTTCCAATATAAGATGCTGGCCTCCATTGTCATTTACAAGCCTTACGCTTTCTCACAAACAGATTTCCTAGAAGCAGAAAGTAAAACTTTTTGTTTAAAAGTCTGTTGTTTTGGAAGAGAAAATTTAATCTAAAAGTTAATCTAAGATGACTGGTGAGTAACAGAACCAAGATGATATGCTACATACAAGACCCTATCTCTTATTTTGATGTCAGAGTATGTCCATTGCATTCATGAAACTATTTATTTTGTTTATTTATTTTTTTTTTAGATGAAGTTTCACTCTTGTTGCCCAGGCTAGAGTGCAATGGCACAATCTCAGCTCACTGCAACCTCTGCCTCCCGGGTTCCAGCGATTCTCTTGCTTTAGCTTCCCAAGCAGCTGAGATTACAGGCATGAGCCACCATGCCCGACTAATTTTGTATTTTTAGCAGAGACAGGGTTTCACCATGTTGGCCAGGCTGATCATGAACTCCTTACCTCAGATGATCCACCCACTCGACTTCCCAAAGTGCTGGGATTACAGGCGTAAGCCACTGTGCCCAGCCCATGAAACTATTTAAACAACATGTGATTACTTGGCCACTTTTCTATTCAAAAATATGGTTTA
Organism: Homo sapiens; assembly: GCF_000001405.40. Lineage (NCBI taxonomy): Eukaryota > Metazoa > Chordata > Mammalia > Primates > Hominidae > Homo > Homo sapiens. Next base: position 119,047,421 of record NC_000004.12, read on the forward strand.
TTAGTCCTGATTATGTGCCCTTCTTGGCAGACAGAATGATACTGTGTACTTCTGCTGAAAGAAATAGAAACTCTCTTCCATTTTCTAGATAAGAGAGTCCTAAAACAGAATTTCCAAAAACTCCAGTTAGTGGAGGTAAACTTAAAATCCTCTTTAAGAAGGCAAGTGTTAGGGAATGAGGAAAAGACTATTTTATTGAGACTAGAACAAAATGACCTTCAAAGTGTTTTTATCCTCTAACTTCAAGCTTGATTGTATCTAAACCACCTCAAGGGAGCGTTTGTTTTATATTTAAAGACCTTTAGGTAAAGGGATTCTATATCTCTATGCAGAAATTTTTTCCAGTGTTGAACTGTTTCTACTGTCAAGAAAATTTTCACTGAGGGCTCATTAGAGCTGGGAGGGACTCTAGGAGATTAGTTAGTAGAGGCTGCCATTTCCTAACACGTACTTGCAGTCTCATGATAAACGGTAAATCAACTTTCAGCTTGCTCTTCTTCAACCCTAACTAATTCCAATCTCTTTTATCGTTTTCTTCTTAGGTCTGATTTATTTAATCTTGCAAATGTATTTCAGGTTCTCTTTAGGGTTTATGCATAATTTTCTAAGACTTTTCTCAATTGTGAAATCAAAGCCGTTTGAAACTCTTAAACTTCCACTGACCTGAATGCAAATCATTTATTTGAACCTTAAAAATCTTCCACCTGTTTAGAAAAATTGGTTTGTTCATAAATATTGACTAGTCCTGTCTGTCTTGTTGAACATGACTTGGGGTGCATATTGGTTTGCATATATTGAAGGTGGTGGGGATAGTTCTGTTTGTGTCCCTTGTCACATGTAACTGATGTGTGAGAGGGGCTACATCTTGTGAACTGACGTAAAATTCTGGTGAAGATAACCACATTTTCAGTTTATGACAGCCTGATGTAGAAATTATCATTCATTCAACAAATATTTACTAAGCACCTACTATTCTGGTGCCAAGTACTGTTCTAGGGAAGCCTTAAGGAAACAAAAACCTTTACCCTTAGATGGACCTTAATTTCTAGTGGAGAGAGAAAAATAAACAAATGATTAAGTAGAATATTTATTATGTTAGATGAGTGTAAGTCTAAGGGAAGGATTAAAGCAGGGGAGAAAGGTAAGGAATTTTGAGAGAGGGAGGGAATTGCCAAGCTGAGTGATCATGTAATATTTGAGTAAGTCCTGAAGAAAACAAGGTAGGAGTCATGCTGGTACCTGGGGTGAGCAAGTACAAAAATCCAGAGGATTGGAAAGTACAAAAATCCTGAGGCATGAGTGTACCTGGTGTGTTCAAGGTTCAAGGCCAGTGTGGCTGGAGGAAAGGGAGAGGAAGAGAACATGAAGAAGATGAAGTCAGATAATGCAAGGAGCTAGTTGGCAGATTTTGTGGGGTCTTGTAGGTCAATGAAAGGACTTTGGTTTTTCCTTTTTTGAAATGAAAAGCCATGGGAAGTTTTTAAACAGTAGACTGAATAACATAATCTGACTTGAGTTTTAACTGGGTAGTTTTGGCTAGCATATTAAGAATAAACTAAAGGAAGCAAGAATGAAACTAGGGAAATCAATTAGGAGACAGTAGCAATAATCCAGGTGAGAATTTGTGATAGCTTAGTCCAGGATGCTACCAGTGGAGGTTGAGAAGACTTGGTCAGATAGTGGATGTATTTTGAAGTCAGTGCTGACAGATCAGGTGTGGAGTGTGAGATGGAGAGCAGTCAACACTGATTCCCAAAATTTCAACTTGAGCAAATGGAAAAATGGAGAATATCTGTGGTTTCTTCTATTTGTGTATCCCTTCTAGGACCTCTGCTTTTCAGAAATTCTAATCCATGATTAAAAAGGCAAAAGAAATACTTTTTATTCCTCTTCACTTTTCTTGGACCTCCCAGAATCTGTGTATGATAAAGTATATGTTTGTGATGATCATTTACTGATCATGTGTTTAAGAGAGAAAAGAGTCAAAGGAATTGAAATCATATTTATCAGTTGACGCCCCTTTCCCTACAGTGCATGTGTAAGCAGGGTTTCAGCCAAGAGAATTGTATCACTTTCAAGGTTTATGGTATAAAATAGTTTAAACTTTGACTCACGACACATACATCAGATTTATCTTCTTTGGCTTCTAGGACAGTTTACATTGCTTTAAAATTCACTTCTTTGTGCTAAGTAAACCTCAGATTACACTTTCTTTTTGCATGTCAAGTGTTCCCTGCCAGTTAAATTGGTTACTAGACAGCTAGACAGTTTAACAAGGAAGCTAACTAAGCTGTTTTATTAACAAGCTGTGTGGATAAACCAACATTTAATTGACATGAGAAGATGGTTTATGTTAAGCTGAGAAAGGCCCTCAGCTCCTCTGAGCTTTTCTCCTGCATGCAGAGCCCCGGATATCTCATCTTCATGCAGCAGAAGTGCATCTAAATGCGATGCACTGTATTCCCTACGGCCCGGTCACCTGCCTGTTCTTGTGACAAATGCCAAGATGCCAGTATTCTTTAATCCAAATTTAATCCAAATTTAAATGACCTTTTCCAAAATTTCTAAGATCTTACTCCATTTAGTTTGCATGGTTTTGAATCTTTTTTTTAAAAAAAAGATGTTCTCAGGCTGGGTGCAGTGGCTCACACATGTAATCCCAGCACTTTAGGAGGTTGAGGCAGGCAGATCACCTGAGGTCAGGAGTTCAAGGCCAGCCTGGCCAACATGGCAAAACTCCATCTCTACTAAAAGTACAAAAATTAGCCAACCATAGTGGTAGGCACCTGTAATGCCAGCTACTCAGGAGGCTGAGGCAGGAGAATCACTTCAACCCGGGAGGCAGAGGTTGCAGTGAGCCAGGATCGCCCCACTGTACTCCAACCTGGGTGACAAGAGCGAGATTCTGTCTCAAAAAAAAAAAAAGATATTCTCTCAAAACAATATCATTGCAAGTATAGTCCAATTAGATTTAGGAACTCTGGTATGAGACTGCCTGCCTGGGTTCAATTTTCCACCCCAACACTTACTAGCTTTCTACCCTTGGGGAAATTACTTACTTTCTTCAAATCTCACTATCCTCTGGAAAAATAGGGATAATAATAGTGCCTCTACTTCACGGGGTTGTGACGATTACGTGAAACACTCCACATAAAGAAATCAGCCCCCACTGCCTGGCATACAATAAGCAATCTATTAATGTTGGCTATTTTTAAAGGCAGAGGTAGAAAAATGCCTCCTTAGTGTTAAGCCCTTTTGTGGGACTATATAACACCAGATGACTCATGAGTTCAGTGGGAGTCTTGCATGCATTATATTGGGCCAGCTAAAGATTGGCGTGTGCTCTCGTGGGTTGAATAATCAAAGAACAGAATACTCTAAATGCACACAGACTGAATGTTCCATATGCAGTATTAACTATACCATCTGCCAGATGACATGGTCCCGCAGTCATTTTGAATGATGTCTTCACTCAGCACGTGGCCTTGTGTTTATGTACACACATCTACTTAAGAAGATCAAGATATTATACCTGCATTAGCCTTGCCCAACAAACTGGAGGGAGAAGGATGTGGAGAACTTGAGGGAGTGAATGACATAGATATTATTTCTCCTTAGTTTGAAAAATAACAGATAGCAACAGGATAGTAAAGATATTCAAGGAGGGTGGAAGAAACTGGGAATGTATGAAGGAATGGCTGCATAGAAGTACAAGTAGATGTAATCCATGTTAGCAGAATCACTGGGGTAAAGCCATGGGAAGCAATTTTTTTTTTTTTTTTTTTTTGAGACGGAGTCTCGCTCTGTCGCCCAGGCTGGAGTGCAGTGGCGGGATCTCGGCTCACTGCAAGCTCCGCCTCCCGGGTTCACGCCATTCTCCTGCCTCAGCCTCCCGAGTAGCTGGGACTACAAGCGCCCGCCACTACGCCCGGCTAATTTTTTGTATTTTTAGTAGAGACGGGGTTTCACCGTTTTTTAGCCGGGATGGTCTCGATCTCCTGACCTCGTGATCCGCCCGCCTCGGCCTCCCAAAGTGCTGGGATTACAGGCGTGAGCCACCGCGCCCGGCCGGGAAGCAATGTTTGATTCAATGTAAGAAAGAAGTTCCCAAAATCTAGAGCCTAAGGATTGACCAAGATGCTCTGGAAACAAGTAACCCCTCTTCTCTAGAGAGAAGACTCAGTGAGGTATAAGCTTTCAACTTTATTCGAAGTTATTAGAGAAATTTCTTGGAATTGATTTGTAGAAAAATATTTCCAATTTTAGCTTATATTTTACTTTAAAAAGAAAAATAGGAGAGAGGGAGCTTTGTACTGTACTGAAAATGAGATGACAGGATGTTGAAGTTTTACCCAAGGCCCCCAGATACAACAGATGCTGCCCACTGAAGTGAGATTCCAGATTCAAATGCAGACTCTACAAAGAATATAGTAGCAAATGACTTCCACAATTCTTGAAACCTTCAGCCAGGTCCAAGTGATTAAAAGGGGTTGATTATGGCAAGGAGAGAGGATTCTGTGAGAAGGAATTCCAGAGTGCTGAAGATGTGTGTGTTTGGAGTGGGTGGCGTGGAGGGGGTTTCACCTTTTTACCTCAAGCTGTGTGCAAGAAGAGTTTCAAAGTGTCTTCTTAGAGAACTTCATGGGAGATACTTGCATGAGGATGGGTAGGAGGTCAGAGTGGGGTCTGAGTGCCACTCAGGAAATTTGGAGGGAAAGGGACAGGCTGACAAACTGTTCTGGCACAGAACCAGGACATTTTCTTCTGCATCCCCACAGGCAAATGATGTGAGTGTTCCCCATGGACCAGGCCAGTCCAGGCTAGGAGCAAGGGAGAGCTGGCTGGGGTCAACCTGGGGCCTCTCTGAGGGGGCAGATGGATCCTAGTAGCTACACACTGTAGGTAGACAGCTTCCTAAGGGAGCATATAGGATGAGTCCAAAGTCACTCCCTAGAACAGAGAAGAATTAGCATGAATCAAGGACTAGAGGTAAGATGTCCCCAGTGATGGGAATCTTTCAATATCCCATAAAAATGTCCCTCTCTGGGCCTGTCTGGCCCCAAGAGTAAGAGGCCAGAACATGATGTTGCCAAATCAAGTAAAAACTTTCTTCTCCTCTTTTATTCTACTCCTTTTTTTCCTCCAACCCCAGGGGGCCAGAAGGCAGAGTTAGCGACCTGAGAGAAGAAGTGGAAGTAGAGTGAAGAAGTCAACCACACTCCTTCCCTGAAGGAAGGCAGCCTTTCTGAAGCAGGCCCCAGCTGGGGAAGGAGAGGAGATTTAACTCTAATAAAGTTGAAATTGGAGTTTGTTATTTCAGGGGATGGCATCATCTATTTCAAAATAAAACTGGTTTGAGTAACTTAAGGTAACCATTGAACTCTTCCTAAAAGTAAGCAAAATGTCCCAGGATCTGCTAAGTTTTCTTCCAGTGGCAGCAGAAAACTTTTTTTTATTAAATAAAGTTTAAAAGGTAGTGGGAGACAGAAAGAAGCAATTTGATGGGTAAAGCTAATTTAACATCTTGGTTACAGTTAAGTGCTCTCATATAAAAATATTAAATTCCCTTGATGATGATATAACCCATGGTGGAAGTGACAACCCAGGACCTAATCCATGCTATGCTAGGATTCCAGCGTCAGACATTCAAACTCCAAAACAAAAGAAACACCTCTGTTACTTTCAGGTTCCTTTGGTCGTTTCTGGCTCAGGGTATATCACATGGCTTCATTCAGCCAGCCAAACAGAGAACAGCCTGAGCCTTGAAACTGTGATGGACAGAAGGAAACAGCACCAAAAAACACTGTGAAAATTGCTTTGGGGAAATACATTAAAATTAGAAGTATGGGTGCCAGTAGAGGCTAGAGGCTTGCAATATTTTGGACACAAACAGAAACTACATTGTACCTATGGAATGATTTATTTATATCCCAGTTGGATCTCTAACCTAAAATGGTTTATCATCTTATCCTCTATTACTAGCACTTGAAAGAATGTGAAGGCATGTTCGTCAGTCTGGGGAAATGTAGAAGAGCCATGGTCATTTTGCTCATTGAGCTGGTTGCTCTTCTTTCCTCACTGCTGTTACATTTGTCATATGCATGTTTGGCGTGAGATTTTTGCTTTCAGCTTCAATCCTAGGTTTTAATTTCCCTTCAGAAAGCCCTGGCTTACTCTTTCAATACCATACCTCAATATTTTAGTTTTCTCCCTGCATATTCATCTCTTTGTTAATAGGATATCACTGAACAATATTTTGAACTTTATAAATTCTGTCAAGTTTCAATTCTTCTGAATATTTTCAAACTCAGTGCATAAGAGAAACACCAAAAAATAATTCCTCTCTTTCATGTAATGTTTTGGATGTCTTATCACTGCAATGTATGCTTTCACATAGTACTTAATACTCCCAAGTATATTGATAATTATTTCTTTTTCCAGTTATTAGCCAGTAAATTAAACACCTGTATATATGTTCAGGGGCCTCACCGAGATTTCTGTAAAGTCTTAGCTCCCTTTATCTATTGCCATCCCCTCAGCCTTCTATCTTTTAAAATACCTAAATAACTGACTAAAGCAGTCCCTCAAGGTGCTACATCTAATTGATGCAGGATTTTTTTTAGCCTCTTTGCCAGACTTGCAACAGGGGTGCCCTGTTTACTCAGCTCACTGTGCTCAACCCCTTGAGGGAGGGAGCACATGAGTGAGTGAGTGTGGGATCTGGCTGGCCACTCCGGGCGCCAGCAGGAGCAGACTTCATGTGTGGCCCACAGCGGTGCCCAGGTGGGGGTGCTTGCGACCCCAAAGCCCCAGAGGGAGCGTTACAGTGCTCTCTTAGTTCTGCCGTCCACAGACGGTGGTTTGTTAGCAGCTCAGTTGGCCTCTTGCCTCATTGTGTGGGGTGGCTGCCCTTCATCCGTGAGGGCAAAGGGCCGGTGTGATGGCCTTTTTGGGTACCTGCACTCGGTGGGTCCCAAGCTCTTGTCCGGCGTCCAGGAAGAATGAGGTCACACAGACAACTGAAGGGCAGAGAATTTTACTAAGCTACGAAAATGGCTCTCAGTGGAGAGAGGAGCTAGACAGCGAAGAGGATGGGCAGGTTGTCTTCCCCTGAAGTCAGGTCATCTCTTCTGTAGTCTGTCCATCTCCCTCGAAGTCCAGCTGTCTCTCTGAAGTCTGGCCGTCTCCTCTAAGGTCCGGCCATCTCTCCCTCTACCGACTGAGTCTGGGGTCTTTATAATAGGCACACGGTGTGGGTGGGGTGGGCCGCAGGTAGTTTTGGAAAAAGCAACATTCCACTGGTAAAAAGACACTATTCACAAAGAACCAATCAGGAGAGAATGGGCAAACAGGAATAGAAGTTCTCACTTTGGGCTGTAAGTTTCAGACTATTTTGGCTTGAAGGTGGGGTTTCACCAGGGATCCACCTCTGTCTGCCTAGAATTTGTCTGCCTCCTGCCTCTATCATAATCAAAGACCACACAAAGCAAAATCATGGGACTCTGAAAACTCTCCCAGGGCCTCTGTAGACCACTGTTGTTCTAATTCTTCCACAGAAAGGACAAAAGTGATATACAGACACACACCACAACAGACAGCTACATTTCTCTTTATCACACTGAGTCTTACCACTTCTCACAGTTTAGAAAACTTCCTATTTTTTCCTGTCAAGACAGTTAAAGAGTCTCTTCTCTATCTTCTCTAAACTGATCTTGTTTCTTATTATTTATTTATTTATTTTTTTTTTTTGAGACAGAGTCTTGCTCTGTCACCCAGGCTGGAGTGCAGTGGTGTGATCTCAGCTCACTACAACTTCTGCCTCCTGGGTTCAAGTGATTCTTGTGCCTCAGCCTCCTGAGTAGCAGGGATTACAGGCCTATGCCATCACACCTTGGAGAATTCTTTTGTATTTTTAGTAGAGATGGGGTTTCACCATGTTGGCCAGGCTGGTCTTGAACTCCTGATCTCAAGTGATCCATCTGCCTCAGCCTCCCCAAGAGTTGGGATTACAGGCGTGAGCCACTGCACTGGCCCAAACTGGTCTTCTGTAATTGACTTAATTCAGCTACTGTGGGGCTAAAACTAGTACTGGATTGTGTGCTTATTGAGGGCAAGGACTTTATCATCTTTAAGTCTTCAGCTTATAGAAGAATACCTGGAAATATTAGGTGTACAATATGTTAATTTATGTTAAATGAGTCTATGAAATGAACACATACATAATGTGAAATAGAAACTAAGGCCTTAAAGGTGACTAAAAGTCAGGATTCCCCACACCTCACCCAAATATAGAGTAAGGAGAATTATGAGTGGTTCTGAATTAAGACAAGATTAGTGAAAGCAAGTTTTTGCTAAGATTCAACCATTGTAAGTAAAATTTAAATGATTAAAATGAGAGAATCAAGATTTATTATATTGGACCCCTTATTCTTCAGATAGAAACCAGGAATGAACCATCTACCTTCTTTGTGTACCTAATAATAAAAAAAAAACGAAACATTTGAATCTGAGATATTTTGCCTAAATCCAGGTATTGATATTCACTTTAAAGTTAAGAACTTGATTAAGAGAAAAGCTGTTGAAACTGTTTATGAAATTAGAGCACATTTTTAAGCATGGTAATGTTTTTTGTTAGGAAACAGGATGTTTTGATACTTTCAAAGTTGATACTCCTGTCCCCTAGGTGTACCCTTTCTGCGTTTTTGCCAAGAGCTTATCTCACACAGCCTCATGCATATTGGAATGTGTGAAGATGTAATGTGGATAGCCAGCCATCAGCATTCCTAGAAATGCAGAGGAGTAAAAGGAGAGAATGAGAACACAAGAGGTTTCATTAAATTATATTGCTGTAGCCAGGCACCGGGGCTCATGTCTGTAAGCCCAGCAACTTGGGAGGCTGAGGTGGGAGGATGGCTTGAGGCCAGGAGTCTAATACCACCAGCCTGGGCAACAGGGAGATCCTGTCTGTAAAAAAGATTTTTAAAAATTTAGCCAGGCATAGTGGTGTGCACCTGTAGTCCCAATTACTTGGGAGGCTGAGGCAGGAGGATTGCTTGAGCCCAGGAGTTTGAGGCTGCAGTGAGCCATGATCATGCTCTGCACTCCAGCCTGGGCAACAGAATGAGACCCCAACTCTATATAATAATAATTAATAATATTCCTGTGTTATTAGTCAAGCTGAATATTAAGTATACACAGAGGAATGTTGCAGGGATACAAACTCTCAAAGAAATAGGAATGTAATACACATGAAAGGAAGCAAAATGCAAATTAAACAAGAGGCAGGAGTAATTCCCTCAGAGACAAAGGCAATACACTCCACTCAGGAAATAAAAATCCATGTGATCGTCACCATATAAATAGATTTTGAGCGGAAAAGGGCCAGGCAGTTAATCATACCAGTAATGTTAACTACATCTAAGAAGCTCTGGTTTGTTTTTGCTATATTCATTCACTAGACCAACATTAGATAACAGATTAAAAGTCACTTGGGAAGAGTAAAAAGCTCAGTAATGTACAGCTTGTTTCTGAGGTTATCAATAGGTTTTGTTTATTTTGTACCAGCAAAGCAGGATAGGAATAAGGTTGGGATGTGAATTCACATATGCTTATGTGGAGGGCAGAGAGAAGGAAAGGTGGTTCCTAGTGATGACAGAGCCCCCGCCCTGCCCCTAGTGACTATGCCTAAGAAAGATGATAGCAACTGGGGCTATGCGTTCACAGATGGGGAGCAACTAGGAGGGCCAAGTGCAAAAGGTAAGATCAAGTGGCAGCCCACCATTTGCACTTGGCCCACTTTTGCAAAGGTGGGGACAGGCAGCATGTCCTGGCTTTAAGACTAAGCATTCTGGGGGGTTAATTTATTTTTATTTTTATTTTTTATTTTTGCAGTGCTTGGTAATGGTGCTAGGAATACTTTGGAGTAACAATCAGCACAAACCAAAATGAATGAGATATATTAATATTTTCATTGTTTTTAGGAGAGTGGGCGCTCCCTTTCTCTTCCTGGAAGATCAGTCCCACCCCCCATTTCTACATCTCCTTGGGTATACCAGCCTACTTATAGTTACTCTAGTAAACCAACCGATGGACTAGAGAAAGCAAACAAGAGACCAACTCCTTGGGAAGCAGCAGCAAAGTCTCCTCTCGGTCTAGTGGATGATGCTTTCCAACCCAGAAACATCCAGGAATCCATTGTGGCAAATGTGGTTTCAGCAGCTCGGAGGAAGGTGCTTCCAGGGCCTCCAGAGGATTGGAATGAAAGACTGTCCTATATTCCTCAAACCCAGAAGGCCTATATGGGCTCATGTGGAAGGCAAGAGTATAATGTCACAGCCAATAATAATATGTCCACCACCTCCCAATATGGTTCACAGTTGCCATATGCATATTATAGGCAGGCTTCAAGAAATGATTCTGCAATCATGTCCATGGAAACCAGGTCTGATTACTGTCTTCCAGTAGCTGATTACAACTACAACCCACACCCAAGGGGATGGAGACGCCAAACATGAAAGTTAGAAGAACGGATCATGTGCCAACTGTAGTTTTTTAAAAAAAACGCTCCTTTGTAGGGTTTTAAACTTTTCTAATAGATTTAGATTCACTTTTGGTCTTGGCTTGTTCTCATAAGTCATTTATCTAAGTTTGTGTTTCTGTGTGTGTGTGTGTGTGTGTATGTATGTGAATATACACACACACACACACACAGGTGAGTGTGAATACTTCCTTGTTGGCTGATCCATAGAGCATTACTTGGAAGAAAATTTCACTATTTGCATTGATGTGCTGGCATTTATATGTAATTCATAATTTTGATTCCATTAATAGGTAGTCTATGCAACAAACTCTACTCAATTAAAGTAAAACTAAGTATTTCTTCATTGTACCTTAGTCCAGGAAGAAATTAATGGAATATGGTGTGCTAATTATCACTACCTATAACATGAGGAATATAACATTGCAGAAATTTCTCATAGGGGCATGCCAGTGAGCAATTACTTTATAAAAATATTTTCCTTGGTGTTAAGTATTTCTCTGCAACTTTTTTTTTTTTTTTTTTTTTTTTTTGAGATGGAGTCTTGCTCTGTCCCACCCAGTCTGGAGTGCAATGGTGCGATCTTGGCTCACTGCAACCTGCGCCTCCTGGGTTCAAGCAATTCTCCTGCCTCAGCCTCCTGAGTAGCTGGGATTACAGGCATGAACCACCACACCTGGATAATTTTTGTATTTTTAGTAGACACAAAGTTTCACCATGTTGGTCAGACTGGTCTTGAACTCCTGACCTCGTGATCTGCCCGCCTCAGCCTCCCAAAGTGCTGGGATTACAGGCGTGAGCCACCACACCTGGCCTTTCTGCAACATTTTTTTAAAAAAATCTAATAAATCTTAGATTTTTAAAAAAGAATTAAAATGTGGGAGTTCTCAGAAAGAAATAAACACATGAGAATAAGATTATTACACATTTTGGAAGGACTTTTGAGGAATGATGTGATGTGTAGAGAATAGAAAGATTTAGATATATGCCTGTGACAGGAATAGATTCTGGGTTCAGGGGTCCCCATCTGTCAAATGAGAAGATTGGATTATCTAATCTTTTAGATCCTTAACAACTCTGATATTCTGAGATTCTCTCATTTGTAGAATGCCCGCTGATGCATTGTTTATTTTTTTTGCTCATAATATAAATATCAGATTATGTTTAGGAGTGGATTAGGTAATTAGTGTCACTACATGTATCATTAAAGGTCCTAAAAGGAATTGTTAGGCGGCAGGCTTTGTGTTACGTGTTACATGGAGTGAGGGTAGATGTGAAGATTTAAAACGATTGATGGATTTAAGGAAGTGGTACATAAATATGTCTGTTATTATGCAATCGTAGGTCATGATAATTTATTCAGTTATAGAAAACATGCCACAGAAGCCTATGTAACAAGTGGTGCTTCTTTAGAAAGTTGTCATTAGAATGTTCTGAGGAAGTTAAGCAGCTGCTTCATCAATCCCATGACACATGCCTTGTTAGCATGCCCATCAAATAATCAGATCAAACACCTGCTCCTTATTGCCATACCCACGAACTGTTAAATATAAAAAAATTCAAAGTATTTGACATCTTAAGCAAATATCCAGAATATTTTTAAGTAAAAAACCATCTTAAGTATTCAAAATTTCCTTGGTTTTTTAAAGGTGATAATTTTGCTTTGTGTTACTTTTTTGCTCTTGAATGTATCGTTATGATGGTCTCTTATAATCATGGTATCTTTCACAGAATAAAAATTAAAAATAATGCCAGGGTGCAAGTGACCAAGGCCTTATCTTGAAAGTTAAAAAAAAAAAGTAAAGAAATCACAGTAAGTTCTATTAGTGATGATAGAACCAGATATAAAATTGTTCAGTGATGGAGAAAAGAAACGATAAATACTTTCCAAGGTTATATTGTTAAATTATCTTAAATTATCAAGGTGTAAGATGTAATGATCCCAAGAGTTTTTATAGAATCCTAAAAAATAACGCCTGATGTATAGATTAGTTAGCAAATTCTCAGAAATCCCCCACATAAAAGCCTTACTTTGTTCAAAATTTATTATAGTGGTTTAATCATTTTAGATTTGAATGTTTTAAGATAGGAGAGACTTAGCAGAAAATACTTGGCTTGCCAGGGCCACGTTCTACTTCATTGCTTTCTTTTATAAGTGCAAGGAGTTATTTCCATCAGTTGACATAGATATTATTCACTAAAATTTTCAGCAGACTCAAAATAGAGAGGAGACTTTAAACTTACATGTTAGCATAAAACAGACTTCTCTCTCATTGCATGCACTAGATCAATATTATCATCTGTATTAAGCTATCTGAATTTATTCGAGACATTAAGAAAAAGACAGTACATGGTGGGAAAGCTGCACATTTCTCACAAGGAAAAAAACATTCTATATTTGTAGCAGAAATCAGTGGTTTGAAAAGTCATACTTTGCAGATATGAACCTGAAAATCAAAGTGCCATTGTTAAATCATCCTAAAGTGTACTGTGGGTATTCTCCAGCATACTTGAAAATGAATAAAGTTAGATTGCTCACATTGAAGCTAATGGTTGAGACAAGACACCTGCCAGAGTGAAGTTTGATTCCTATGGGTGAGAAGATGTAGATGACTATTGTTCTCACTAAAGTTCTAAAATAATAGCAAGTGTAGAGAAGAGCCGTTGCTTTGAAAATACATACCACATTTGTTATAAAGCATTTGTTTGTTAGTATCAATCACATAGGTAGAAAGAGTTTGAGTTTTACTGTGGATTAAAAAGCCTTCCCTAAAAAGAGAGCATGCCAGTCATAGAGACACTAATTTGGCACTTTTCCTCCTTCTTAGGTTTAAATGTTATACCAATGCATGTGTTTGAAATATCCATTAAGATGATTTAAAATTTGTCTTGTATTTTGAGTTTCTTAAATGCGTGGATTCTTGTTCATTTATCTCTGAATATGTCTCTTTTATATTTTGGCACAATTATACACATTGGAAAGGGCCAACCTATTAGGGCTCAAGTATGTATATGCAAAAAAAAAAAGTTATATCAAACAGGCACAGTTATTACAACTAGAGAGAAATTCCAGAAATATTTGTTTTTTTAAGAGAAAGTAAATTTTCACATTAGATTTCTATTCAAAGTACTAATATCTACATGGTCCACACTTTTCTATTTTAAAAAATTGTGTTCTCTTGTTAAATAGATTAACATTTCCACTTCTGTTTATCACAAAAGACTGTATTTGAAATATGCATACGGAAAATTGAAATTATATTAGTAATAAATGTAACTTGAAAAATCAAGTTTAGGAGCCTCTTCATTTTTTTCTTATAAAATTGTTCTGAATTACTCTTTACTACAAAGATTTACTCCTATCTACCACATATTTTTCCATTTTATTTTCTGTGATAGCTTCTATACACATCAAAATAATTTCATGCTAAATGGGGCAACATTTTAACTGTAACATTTAAAAACTTTTTTAAAAATTCCTGAAAATACAATTAATTTCACGTGTAAGTTAAGAATTTTAGGATCCAAACATATTTTAATACTATTTTTAACTAATTCTTTCCTTCATAGTATATTGAAAATCAGTCTTAAGCACAAGCATAGCCAATGGTAACATGACTTGACAACATGTTGGTTGAATGCCTACAACCACTCTGGGCTCTGTCTCTAATCTTCCGTGTTTGTCTACCCAGTCCTTCCAATTACTTGTCCTCTTTTGACTGGTCCAAGACTGACCTGTGTTAAACTGAAGCCCTCATTACAATAAGGCATATTTAAGCAAAACTTTTTAAAAAGTGACTTTGGCTCTTTCTACACAATATTAAAACTATCAGCTGAAATGTGAACTCCCTGGTCAATTGGTGTCATATAGCACACCCTTCAAACACTTTTTTTTCCTGGTAATTTCAAAATAAAATGGCATTCTGATGAAAAATATATATTTTTTCTTTTATTATTATTATACCTTAAGATTTAGGGTACATGTGCACAATGTGCAGGTTAGTTACATATGTATACATGTGCCATGCTGGTGTGCTGCACCCATTAACACGTCATTTAGCATTAGGTATATCTCCTAATACTATCCCTCCCCACTCCCCCCACCCCACAACAGTCCCCGGAGTGTGATGTTCCCCTTCCTGTGTCCATGTGTTCTCATTGTTCAATTCCCACCTATGAGTGAGAATATGCGGTGTTTGGTTTTTTGTTCTTGCGATAGTTTACTGAGAATGATGATTTCCAATTTCATCCCTGTCCTTACAAAGGACATGAACTCATCATTTTTTATGGCTGCATAGTATTCCATGGTGTATATGTGCCACATTTTCTTAATCCAGTCTGTCATTGTTGGACATTTGGGTTGGTTCCAAGTCTTTGCTATTGTGAATAGAGCCACAGTAAACATACGTGTGCATGTGTCTTTATAGCAGCATGATTTATACTCCTTTGGGTATATACCCAGTAATGGGATGGCTAGGTCAAATGGTATTTCTAGTTCTAGATCCCTGAGGAATTGCCACACTGACTTCCACAATGGTTGAACTAGTTTACAGTCCCACCAACAGTGTAAAAGTGTTCCTATTTCTCCACATCCTCTCCAGCACCTGTTGTTTCCTGACATTTAATGATTGCCATTCTAACTGGTGTGAGATGGTATCTCATTGTGGTTTTGATTTGCATTTCTCTGATGGCCAGTGGTGGTGAGCATTTTTTCATGTGTTTTTTGGCTGCATAAATGTCTTCTTTTGAGAAGTGTCTGCTCATATCCTTCACCCACTTTTTGATGGGGTTGTTTGTTTTCTTCTTGTAAATTTGTTTGAGTTCATTGTAGATTCTGGATATTAGCCCTTTGTCAGATGAGTAGGTTGCGAAAATTTTCTTCCATTTTGTAGGTTGCCTGTTCACTCTGATGGTAGTTTCTTTTGCTGTGCAGAAGCTCTTTAGTTTAATTAGATCCCATTTGTCAATTATGGCTTTTGTTGCCATTGCTTTTGGTGTTTTAGACATGAAGTCCTTGCCCATGCCTATGTCCTGAATGGTAATGCCTAGGTTTTCTTCTAGGGTTTTTATGGTTTTATGTCTAACATGTAAGTCTTTACTCCATCTTGAATTAATTTTCATATAAGGTGTAAGGAAGGGATCCAGTTTCAGCTTTCTACATATGGCTAGCCAGTTTTCCCAGCAACATTTATTAAATAGGGAATCCTTTCCCCATTGCTTGTTTTTCTCAGGTTTGTCAAAGATCACATAGTTGTAGATATGCGGCGTTATTTCTGAGGGCTCTGTTCTATTCCATTGGTCTATATCTCTGTTTTGGTACCAGTACCATGCTGTTTTGGTTACTGTAGCCTTGTAGTATAGTTTGAAGTCAGGTAGCGTGATGCCTCCAGCTTTGTTCTTTTGGCTTAGGATTGACTTGGTGATGCGGGCTCTTTTTTGGTGCCATATGAACTTTCAAGTAGTTTTTTCCAATTCTGTGAAGAAAGTCATTGGTAGCTTGATGCGGATGGCATTGAATCTATAAATTACCTTGGGCAGTATGGCCATTTTCACAATATTGATTCTTCCTACCCATGAGCATGGAATGTTCTTCCATTTGTTTGTATCCTCTTTTATTTCATTGAGCAGTGGTTTGTAGTTCTCCTTGAAGAGGTCCTTCACGTCCCTTGTAAGGTGGATTCCTAGGTATTTTATTCTCTTTGAAGCAATTGTGAATGGGAGTTCACTCATGATTTGGCTCTCTGTTTGTCTGTTACTGGTGTATAAGAATGCTTGTGATTTTTGTACATTGACTTTGTATCCTGAGACTTTGCTGAAATTGCTTATCAGCTTAAGGAGATTTTGGGCTGAGACAATAGGGTTTTCTAGATATACAATCATGTCATCTGCAAACAGGGACAATTTGACTTCCTCTTTTCCTAACTGAATACCCTTTATTTCCTTCTCCTGCCTAATTGCCCTGGCCAGAAATTCCAACACTATGTTGAGTAGGAGTGGTGAGAGAGGGCATCCCTGTCTTGTGCTAGTTTTCAAAGGGAATGCTTCCAGTTTTTGCCCATTCAGTATGATATTGGCTGTGGGTTTGTCATAGATAGCTCTTATTATTTCGAGATACATCCCATCAATACCTAATATATTGACAGTTTTTAGCATGAAGGGTTGTTGAATTTTTTCAAAGATCTTTTCTTCATCTATTGAGATAATGATGTGGTTTTTGTCTTTGGTTCTGTTTATATGCTGGATTACATTTATTGATTTGCGTATGTTGAACCAGTCTTGCATCCCAGGGATGAAGCCCACTTGATCATGGTGGATAAGCTTTTTGATGTGCTGCTGGATTTGGTTTGCCAGTATTTTATTGAGGATTTTTGCATCAATGTTCATCAAAGATATTGGTCTAAAATTCTCTTTTTTTGTTGTGTCTCTGCCAGGCTTTGGTATCAGAATGATGCTGGCCTCATAAAATGAGTTAGGGAGGATTCCCTCTTTTTCTATTGATTGGAATAGTTTCAGAAGGAATGGTACCAGTTCCTCCTTGTACCTCTGGTAGAATTTGGCTGTGAATCCACCTGGCCCTGGACTCTTTTTGGTTGGTAAGCTATTGATTATTGCCACAATTTCAGAGCCTGTTATTGGTGTATTCAGAGATTCAACTTCTTCCTGGTTTAGTCTTGGGAGAGCGTATGTGTTGAGGAATTTATCCATTTCTTCTAGATTTTCTAGTGGTTATTTGCGTAGAGGTGTTTGTAGTATTCTCTGATGGTAGTTTGTATTCCTGTGGGATCGGTGGTGATATCCCCTTTATCATTTTTTATAGCGTCTATTTGATTCTTCTCTCTTTTTTTCTTTATTAGTCTTGCTAGCGGTCTGTCAATTTTGTTGATCCTTTCAAAAAGCAGCTCCTGGATTCATTAATTTTTTGAAGGGTTTTTTGTGTCTCTATTTCCTTCAGTTCTGCTCGGATTTTAGTTATTTCTTGCCGTCTGCTAGCTTTTGAATGTGTTTGTTCTTGCTTTTCTAGTTCTTTGAATTGTGATGTTAGGGTGTCAATTTTGGATCTTTCCTGCTTTCTCTTGTGGGCATTTAGTGCTATAAATTTCCCTCTACACACTGCTTTGAATGTGTCCCAGAGATTCTGGTACGTTCTGTCTTTGTTCTCATTGGTTTCAAAGAAGATCTTTGTTTCTGCCTTCATTTTGTTATGTACCCAGTAGTCATTCAGGAGCGGGTTGTTCAGTTTCCATGTATTTGAGCAGTTTTGAGTGCGTTTCTTAATCCTGAGGTCTAGTTTGATTGCACTGTGGTCTGAGAGACAGTTGGTTATAATTTCTGTTCTTTTACATTTGCTGAGGAGAGCTTTACTTCCAACTATGTGGTCAATTTTGGAATAGGTGTGGTGTGGTGCTGAAAAAAATGTATATTCTGTTGATTTGGGGTGGAGAGTTCTGTAGATGTCTATTAGGTCTGCTTGGTGCAGAGCTGAGTTCAATTCCTGGGTATCCTTGTTAACTTTCTGTCTCGTTGATCTGTCTAATGTTGACAGTGGGGTGTTAAACTCTCCCATTATTATTATGTGGGAGTCTAAGTCTCTTTGTAGGTCACTCAGGACTTGCTTTATGAATCTCGGTGCTCCTGTATTGGGTGCATATATATTTAGGATAGTTAGCTATTCTTGTTGAATTGATCCCTTTACAATTATGTAATGGCCTTCTTTGTCTCTTTTGATCTTTGTTGGTTTAAAGTCTGTTTTATCAGAGACTAGGATTGCAACCCCTGCTTTTTTTGTTTTCCATTTGCTTGGTAGATCTTCCTCCATCCCTTTATTTTGAGCCTATGTGTGTCTCTGCACATGAGATGGATTTCCTGAATAAGCACACTGATGGGTCTTGACTCTTTATCCAATTTGTCAGTCTGTGTCTTTTAATTGGAGCATTTAGCCCATTTACATTTAAGGTTAATATTGTTATGTGTGAATTTGATCCCGTCATTATGATGTTAGCTGGTTATTTTGCTCGTTAGTTGATGCAGTTTCTTCCTAGCCTTGATGGTCTTTACAATTTGGCATGATTTTGCAGTGGCTGGTACCGGTTGTTCCTTTCCGTGTTTAGTGCTTCCTTCAGGAGCTCTTGTAGGGCAGGCGTGGTGGTGACAAAATCTCTCAGTATTTGCTTGTCTGTAAAGTATTTTATTTCTCCTTCACTTAGGAAGCTTAGTTTGGCTGGATATGAAATTCTGGGTTGAAAATTATTTTCTTTAAGCATGTTGAATACTGGCCCCCACTCTCTTCTGGCTTGTAGAGTTTCTGCAGAGAGATCCGCTGTTAATCTGATGGGCTTCCCTTTGTGGGTAACCCCACCTTTCTCTCTGGCTGCCCTTAACATTTTTTCCTTCATTTCAACTTTGGTGAATCTGACAATTATGTGTCTTGGAGTTGCTCTTCTCGAGGAGTATCTTTGTGGTGTTCTCTGTATTTCCTGAAACTGAATGTTGGCTTGCCTTGCTAGATTGGGGCAGTTCTCCTGGATAATATCCTGCAGAGTGTTTTCCAACTTGGTTCCATTCTCCCCGTCACTTTCAGGTACACCAATCAGACGTAGATTTGGTCTTTTCACATAGTTCCATATTTCTTGGAGGCTTTGTTCGTTTCTTTTTATTCTTTTTTCTCTGAACTTCCCTTCTTGCTTCATTTCATTCATTTCATCTTCCATCACTGATACCCTTTCTTCCAGTTGATTGCTTCGGCTCCTGAGGCTTCTGCATTCCTCACGTAGTTCTCGAGCCTTGGCTTTCAGCTCCATCAGCTCCTTTAAGCACTTCTCTGCATTGGTTATTCTAGTTATACATTTGTCTAAATTTTTTTCAAAGTTTTTAACTTCTTTGCCTTTGGTCTGAATTTCCTCCTGTAGCTCGGAGTAGTTTGATCGTCTGAAGCCTTCTTCTCTCAACTCGTCAAAGTCATTCTCCATCCAGCTTTGTTCCGTTGCTGGTGAGGAACTGCGTTCCTTTGGAGGAGGAGAGGCACTCTGCTTTTTAGAGTTTCCAGTTTTTCTGCTCTGTTTTTTCCCCATCTTTGTGGTTTTATCTACTTTTGGTCCTTGATGATGGTGATGTACAGTTGGGTTTTTGGTGTGGATGTCCTTTCTGTTTGTTAGTTTTCCTTCTAACAGACAGGACCCTCAGCTGCAGGTCTGTTGGAGTTTGCTAGAGGTCCACTCCAGACCCTGTTTGCCTGGGTACCCGCAGTGGTGGCTGCAGAACAGCAGATTTTCGTGAACCGCGAATGCTGCTGTCTGATCATTCCTCGGGAAGTTTTGTCTCAGAGAAGTACCCGGCCGGCCGTGTGAGGTGTCAGTCTGCCCCTACTCGGGGGTGCCTCCCAGTCAGGCTGCTCGGGGGTCAGGGGTCAGGGACCCACTTGAGGAGGCAGTCTGCCCGTTCTCAGATCTCCGGCTGCATGCTGGGAGAACCACTGCTCTCTTCAAAGCTGTCAGATAGGGACATTTAAGTCTGCAGAGGTTACTGCTGTCTTTTTGTTTGTCTGTGCCCTGCCCCCAGAGGTGGAGCCTACAGAGGCAGGCAGGCCTCCTTGAGCTGTGGTGGGCTCCACCCAGTTCGAGCTTCCCTGCTGCTTTGTTTACCTAAGCAAGCCTGGGCAATGGCAGGCGCCCCTCCCCCAGACTCACTGCCGCCTTGCAGTTTGATCTCAGACTGCTGTGCTAGCAATCAGCGAGACTCCGTGGGCGTAGGACCCTCCCAGCCAGGTGTGGGATATAGTCTCCTGGTGTGCCTTTTTTTAAGCCGGTCAGAAAAGTGCAGTATTAGGGTGAGAGTGACCCGATTTTCCAGGTGCCGTCTGTGGCCCCTTTCTTTGACTAGGAAAGGGAACTCCCTGATCCCTTGCACTTCCCGAGTGAGGTAATGCCTCGCCCTGCTTTGGCTGGCACACGGTGCGCTGCACCCACTGTCCTGTGCCCACTGTCTGGCACTCCCTAGTGAGATGAACTCGGTACCTCAGATGGAAATGCAGAAATCACCCGTCTTCTGCGTTGCTCACGCTGGGAGCTGTAGACCAGAGCTGTTCCCATTCGGCCATCTTGGCTCCACCTATCACATATGTGTCAAAAAATATTTTTTTAAAGGCTGGTACTTGAAAACTTTACTTTAAGAATGAGGCTGGGTGCGTGGCTCACACCTGTAATTCTAGCACTTTGGGAGGCCGAGGTGGGTGGATCACTTGAGGTCAGGAATTCAAGACCAGCCTGGCCAACATGGTGAAACCCCCTCTCTATTAAAAACATAAAAATTAGCCAGGCATGGTGGTGTGCACCTGTAATCCCAGCTATTCAGGAGGCTGAGGCACAAAAATCACTTGAACCCAGGAGGTAGAGATTGCAGTGAACCAAGGTCGCACCACTGCCCTCCAGACTGCGGTAGAGTGAGATTCTGTTGAAAAAACAAAAGAAAAAGAACGAAGAGTGTTTTAAACATTTAAATGAGTTAAGAGTACTAGACTACCTTAAAATGCTAATGCTATATAAAGAGCCTGTTTTTTCTAAGGAATCCTAGTGCTTACTAAACAATAAACTTCAAAACATACTGAGAGGTAGGTGGTGTCATCTGCATACAGCGCCAACAGGCAGCCCGAGGCAAGGAGAGTTCAATTCCCTTGCTTGTCTCCCAGGAAGACAGCAACAGAAATACCTGAAGATTAGTCAGTGTTTCCCTAGTCCACATAATAACAGAAGCATTTAGCACAAAATGCTCCTTCTCTGCAATTTTGGAAAATCACAAGATCTGTGACTTCTCAAATTTAACAGAACAGTACTTACCATGAAGTGGCGTTTCATTTTTTATAGCCCTATAAAACATGACAGTTTATATTTTTAGAAAGGATCTGGCAATTTCCTCCCTCCCCCAATAAAAATCAAGTAATTTTATGAAGGGCATTTAAGGAGGAAATGCCTCCAATGTATCTTGCTCTGATACACTTTTTCTCTCTCTAAAGTTGTAGTAAAGATTTGCTATATTGTACTTTTCTTCTTCTTGACTTTTCTGTCCCCCTTCTCCATAAACTTTACTCCCACCACTGTCCAAGAGGAAAAAGCTTCACTGACTCCTCAAAATGTCACAGTTTATTTGTCTTACTGAGAGTCTGAAGAGGCTTTATAAAATAAGGCAGTATTGTCTCATCATGATCATTTGAATAAGCATGAGGTTTGCTCTAAATTACCAAACAAAGTATAACAGGTTATATGTAAGGAAAGGCACAATCTTATTTTAGGCTAAATTCCCCCTGAAGAAGCTTGTCTATAGTACTATGAACATATAGAGATAGAGATAGGATTTCCTGCTTAGTCTTTTCTTTCTTTCTTTTTTTTTTTTGGATGTGGGCAAACCTCATTTTAATTGCAAAAGACTTAATTTACAGCACATTCAATAATGAACCAACAGGAGAGTTGCTGACTTTGGAACATATGAATATATAAAAATTCCTTGCAATTCAGGTAGTCAAGATAAAAAGTGCATACAAGGAAAGCAATCCTCATTTTTCTGAAAATGTTTACATTTTAAAAGGTGAGTAGACATACTTGGAAGTTCAAAGCAGTAGGATGCAGGGAAAGGAAAACCCTTTTCCATGTTGTTAGGCAAAAGTATATCAAATATATCCCAATTCCACTGGATAAAGTCAGTTGGATGACCTCCTTGAACCAAGCTAGGGCAGAACACTTAGTAAAAGCGGGCCCTGGGTGGGGATGCAAATCCAGGAGAAGAGGGGCACCAGATCCCATGCAGTGCCAAACACATCCATTCCACCCTCTAACACATACGAGGCACATCGCCCCATGTCCCTGGACACAAGATCCACGAGAACAGTCAGCAGATGATCACTGCTCCCATGGCCTGGTGCTTTCTAATGGTCTTAATACAGGCCATGGAGAAAATCCTTTACTACCAAAGGCAAACTGTCATTGAACTTAAGTCATAAAGGATGTTGTGGGGGAAATTCTTGTAACACATACATAGGGACTTCTATTTACCTAATTAGAACAATGATTACACAATTGACATTCCTGTTTCCATAAGGTTTTGTTCTCTATGCTGGAATGGCTGAAGGAAAAGTTGTCTATTTTTGGTTTTATTTTACATTTTCAAAAGAGAGGGAACAGAGAGAAAAATGCCCAACTTTGGGGCCCAGCAGGTACAAAAGCAGACTTCCCTGACTCTAGATCCATCAGATTTGGGGGATGTTTCACTGCCTAGGGAAGGTTAGTGAAGCCCGTTATATCCCCAATCCTACAGGAAGAATTCTGCAGTTAATCTATCACAGTGTTCTAGCAAACCTGCTTAGCCTTTTCTCAGCATCACCTTTTCTAGAAAAAAATATTGATTTGGATACTTGAGCTATAAGTGTAATCTTCAGGGGTAGTTGTTCAACGCAGAGTGCGTGTGTCAGGAAGTAAAGGGCCATCCTTGGTACTGCCCCTGCCCCCACTTGGATGAAGCAATCATTGTTGAAACAACGTAGAAAACCAAATCACAGTATTCTGCAGAAGCTTTGCAGCACCTAGAGCTGATCCTCGACCTGTCAGGACTAGCCTCATTTTAAGAGGTTGGCTTGGTAGTTTTTCTTGTTGATCTACATGTCATTCATACCACAGCTTTCTGCCAGACCAGTACATAGGACAGAGAACAATAATAGTTTAAAAATAAATAAAAGGGGTATATTTTTTCCATAACTTTTTATTATTTGGACGTTTATGGCAATTAGATGCCTCTTTATCCTTGAATTCAAAAGTTCTCTCTCTCTGGTTTTATCTACAGTAACTATGGCTATGATAAGTAGCAATACAAAATGCCTATGATTTATTGAAGTTGATGCTTAATAAAAGGCTGATGAAAGGAAAAAGAATCCTAATTTTGTGATAAAACCACCAAAACTCAATGCCCAGCTAAGATAAACCCCATGTTCAGCATGAACTTGATAAAGAAAATCACAAAAAAGAGTGGCAGAAATTTCATGTCCGGCAGTGTTCTCTGGTTGTGATGTTTAAAATTTTCATATTTCGAATGAAACTCATCTGGTTCTTCTACAATACATTTGAATAAGCAATGTATCTGAATTTCTCATTTTGTATACAAAGGAAGACTGAGAAATGAATAAGAATTAACTGTTCAAGTTCCAAAATGCTATCATGTAGGAAAAAGCAGATTTTTAGGAACAGATAGGAACAGATTTTATAGATACTTTGCCCGAGGAGGTTGCAAACAAACAATACATTTAGCTTTCACTTTTTACAGTATGAATAAATATTTTTTCTCAAAAATAAGTCTTATATGAATTTGTAACATGTTCCTATTTTATCATTACTCTGCTATAGAATTGTCTTAGTCTGTTCCTGCTGCTATAACAGAATACCTCGATTATCTATGAAGAACAGAAATATGTTTTCTGAGTTCTGGAGTTGGAGTCCAAGATCAAGGCACTAGGAAACTTGGTATCTCACAAGAGCTGCACTCTGCTTCCAATATGGCACCTCTAGCTGCATCCACACATGGCAGAAAGAATGGAAGAGTTGAACTCACCTCTTCAAGCCTTCTTATAAAACACGAATCCCATCAATGAGGGTGAACCCTCATCACTTCCTAAGGCTAATCACTTCCTAAAGGCTCCACCTCTTAATATTGTTACATTGGGGATTAAGTTTCACATGAATTTTGGAGGGGACAAACTTCCAAATCAAAGCAATGGAACAATTTAAGAATTATTCTTAAAACAAAACACATTTAAAAATAACTAATACAAATATATAGTTAGATAAAAGAAATAAGATGTAGTGTTAGATCAATAGGGTGGCTATATTTACAATAATCTATTGTACTTTTCAAAATAGCTGGAGAGAATAGTTTGAATGTTTCAAGCAAAACGAAATGACAAATATTTAAGGTGATAAATATGCAAAGTACACTGATTCGATCTTTACAAATTATTTGAATGTATTATCACATGTACCCCAAAACTATGTGCATCTATCATGCATCATTAAAAAAACTTTTAAAAAATTTAAAAATAGTCATTCCAGAATTAAAAAAAGGTGTGGGGTACAGTGAGGAGTTCTGAGGAAGACTGAATTTTAGCCATAAGTATAAAACAAATGTTTTTACTAACATGAAAAGATTGATATTTATTTCACAAATATTTAAATAAAATATGTGTATTGCATTCACTGCAAAAATTTCTCTTCAGTCATAAATTACCCCAATTTAACATTTTCTCTAAGTTATTATCATTTGAGGGTATCAATGGCAAGATTTTATTTTAATCCAAGAAAATTGGAGTTTTTGTCAGTATATTTAAAGTTCACCAGGTAAAGCTCATGATGATTTTTAATTTCTCTGACAAAGGGAAACATGCAATTTCATCAGCATGAGTGGTCAGCAGATATAATAACATTAATTGTTTCTGTTTCTGCCCTCGACTTTTTAACAGAGAATACCAAATTCTACTTTTGCATTGATGTACTACTAAAATTAATTTTTAATAAAACTTTATAACAAATCCATCCAATCTCAGTCAGCTTTGACTAAACAAGATACAATTTTCACAATTCTTTTGCAACTCCATTAATTTGTTTTCACTTAGGCAATTAAGCAATTTGTATGAATTCAAAAAACCATTTTGGTAAGTTTCTATTTTTCTGAGAGTTTTATGAATACTTAATTTGTTTGAGTGCTCATTTACTCCTAAGCCAATTTGGGTATTTTAGATTTGTAATGCCATTGAATGTAGAAAAATATCATGTATACCTATCATACAAACATAGATATATACATGTACACATACATAAACATACAGACAGATGCAACCAGATCTTATGGCATTTTATTTTAAAAATTTTAGTCACGGAATAAATAACAGATGGTGATGAGAATACAGAGAAAAGGGAACACTTATACACTATTGGTGGGAATGTAAGTTAGTACATTCAGTACGAAAAACAGTATGGAGTTTACTCATAAAATGAAAACTGGAACTACCGTATGATCCAGCCAATCCCACTGCTGGGTCTGTAGCCAAAAGAAAGGAAATCAGTACATAGAAGAGCTAACTGTACTCCCATGTTCATTGCAGCATTATTTACAGTAGCCAAGAAATGACATTAACCTAAGTTTCATCAAAGGATGACTAAATAAAGACAATGCAGTATATATACACAATGTAGTACTATTATTCAGCTGTTAAAAATAATCCTTTCATTTGTAGCAACATGGATGAGCCTAGAAGACATTATGTTAAATGAAATAACCCAGGCACAGAAAGAAAAATTTTGCATGTTCTCACGGATATGTAGGAGCTAAAGAAAAAGTTGATCTCTTGGAGGTAGGGAATAAAATGGTGATTACCAGAAGTTGGGAAGGAAAAGGGGAAGAAGTGTACAAAGCATGTGGTTAATGAGTACAAAAATACAGTTAGATAGAAGGAATAAATTCTAGTGTTCAATACCATAGTAGGGTGAATACAGGTATTAATAATTTATTGCATACTTCAAAATAGATAGAAGAGAATATCTAGAATGTTCTTAACACAAAGAAATACTAAATGAGGTGATGGATGTCCTAATTACTCCGAGTTGATCATTACACATTGTCAGCGTGTATCAAAATATCTCATGCATTCAGCTGGGAGCCAAGATGGCCGAATAGGAACAGCTCCAGTCTACAGTTCCCAGCGTGAGTGATGCAGAAGACGGGTGATTTCTGCATTTCCATCTGAGGTACTGGGTTCATCTCATTAGGGAGTGCCAGACAGTGGGTGCAGGACAGTGGGTGCAGCGCACTCTGTGCGAGCCGAAGCAGGGCGAGGCATTGCCTCACTCGGGAAGCACAAGGGGTCAGGGAGTTCCCTTTCCTAGTCAAAGAAAGGGGTGACAGACAGCACCTGGAAAATCGGATCACTCCTACCCTAATACTGTGCTTTTCCAATGGGCTTAAAAAACGGCACACCAGGAGATTATATCCCACACCTGGCTCAGAGGGTCCTATGCCCACAGAGTCTCACTGATTGCTAGCACAGCAGTCTGAGATCAAACTGCAAGGCGGCAGTGAGTCTGGGGGAGGGGCGCCTGCCATTGCCCAGGCTTGCTTAGGTAAACAAAGCAGCAGGGAAGCTCGAACTGGGTGGAGCCCACCACAGCTCAAGGAGGCCTGCCTGCCTCTGTAGGCTCCACCTCTGGGGGCAGGGCACAGACAAACAAAAAGACAGCAGTAACCTCTGCAGACTTAAATGTCCCTATCTGACAGCTTTGAAGAGAGCAGTGGTTCTCCCAGCATGTAGCTGGAGATCTGAGAACGGGCAGACTGCCTCCTCAAGTGGGTCCCTGACCCCTGACCCCCGAGCAGCCTGACTGGGAGGCACCCTCGAGTAGGGGCAGACTGACACCTCACACGGCCGGGTACTTCTCTGAGACAAAACTTCCCAAGGAATGATCAGACAGCAGCATTCGGGGTTCACGAAAATCTGCTGTTCTGCAGCCACCGCTGCAGGTACCCAGGCAAACAGGGTCTGGAGTGGACCTCTAGCAAACTCCAACAGACCTGCAGCTGAGGGTCCTGTCTGTTAGAAGGAAAACTAACAAACAGAAAGGACATCCACACCAAAAACCCAACTGTACATCACCATCATCAAGGACCAAAAGTAGATAAAACCACAAAGATGGGGAAAAAACAGAGCAGAAAAACTGGAAACTCTAAAGAGCAGAGTGCCTCTCCTCCTCCAAAGGAAAGCAGTTCCTCACCAGCAACGGAACAAAGCTGGATGGAGAATGACTTTGACGAGTTGAGAGAAGAAGACTTCAGACAATCAAACTACTCCGAGCTACAGGAGGAAATTCAGACCAAAGGCAAAGAAGTTAAAAACTTTGAAAAAAATTTAGACAAATGTATAACTAGAATAACCAATGTAGAGAAGTGCTTAAAGGAGCTGATGGAGCTGAAAACCAAGGCTCGAGAACTACGTGAGGAATGCAGAAGCCTCAGGAGCCGATGCGATCAACTGGAAGAAAGGGTATCAGTGATGGAAGATGAAATGAATGAAATGAAGCAAGAAGGGAAGTTCAGAGAAAAAAGAATAAAAAGAAATGAACAAAGCCTCCACGAAATATGGGACTATGTGAAAAGACCAAATCTACATCTGATTGGTGTACCTGAAAGTGACGGGGAGAATGGAACCAAGTTGGAAAACACTCTGCAGGATATTATCCAGGAGAACTTCCCCAATCTAGCAAGGCAGGCCAACATTCAGTTTCAGGAAATACAGAGAACACCACAAAGATACTCCTCGAGAAGAGCATCTCCAAGACATATAATTGTCAGATTCACCAAAGTTGAAATGAAGGAAAAAATGTTAAGGGCAGCCAGAGAGAAAGGTGGGGTTACCCACAAAGGGAAGCCCATCAGACTAACAGCGGATCTCTTGACAGAAACTCTATAAGCCAGAAGAGAGTGGGGGCCAGTATTCAACATGCCTAAAGAAAAGAATTTTCAACCCAGAATTTCATATCCAGCCAAACTAAGCTTCCTAAGTGAAGGAGAAATAAAATACTTTACAGACAAGCAAATACTGAGAGATTTTGTCACCACCACGCCTGCCCTACAAGAGCTCCTGAAGGAAGCACTAAACACGGAAAGGAACAACTGGTACCAGCCACTGCAAAATCATGCCAAATTGTAAAGACCATCAAGGCTAGGAAGAAACTGCATCAACTAACGAGCACAATAACCAGCTAACATCATAATGACAGGATCAAATTCACACATAACAATATTAACCTTAAAATGTAAATGGGCTAAATGCTCCAATTAAAAGACACAGACTGACAAATTGGATAAAGAGTCAAGACCCATCAGTGTGCTTATTCAGGAAACCCATCTCACGTGCAGAGACACACATAGGCTCAAAATAAAAGGATGGAGGAAGATCTACCAAGCAAATGGAAAACAAAAAAAGGCAGGGGTTGCAATCCTAGTCTCTGATAAAACAGACTTTAAACGAATAAAGATCAAAAGAGACAAAGAAGGCCATTACATAATTGTAAAGGGATCAATTCAACAAGAATAGCTAACTATCCTAAATATATATGCACCCAATACAGGAGCACCGAGATTCATAAAGCAAGTCCTGAGTGACCTACAAAGAGAATTAGACTCCCACATAATAATAATGGGAGACTTTCACACCCCACTGTCAACATTAGACAGATCAACGAGACAGAAAGTTAACAAGGATACCCAGGAATTGAACTCAGCTCTGCACCAAGCAGACCTAATAGACATCTACAGAACTCTCCACCCCAAATCAACAGAATATACATTTTTTTCAGCACCACACCACACCTATTCCAAAATTGACCACATAGTTGGAAGTAAAGCTCTCCTCAGCAAATGTAAAAGAACAGAAATTATAACCAACTGTCTCTCAGACCACAGTGCAATCAAACTAGAACTCAGGATTAAGAAACGCACTCAAAACTGCTCAAATACATGGAAACTGAACAACCTGCTCCTGAATGACTACTGGGTACATAACAAAATGAAGGCAGAAAAAAATTTGTTCTTTGAAACCAACGAGAACAAAGACACAACATACTAGAATCTCTGGGACACATTCAAAGCAGTGTGTAGAGGGAAATTTATAGCACTAAATGCCCACAAGAGAAAGCAGGAAAGATCCAAAATTGACACCCTAACATCACAATTCAAAGAACTAGAAAAGCAAGAACAAACACATTCAAAAGCTAGCAGACGGCAAGAAATAACTAAAATCCGAGCAGAACTGAAGGAAATAGAGACACAAAAAACCCTTCAAAAAATTAATGAATCCAGGAGCTGGTTTTTTGGAAAGATCAACAAAATTGATAGACCGCTAACAAGACTAATAAGAAAAGAGAAAAGAATCAAATAGATGCAATAAAAAATGATAAAGGTGATATCACCACCAATCCCACAGAAATACAAACTACCATCAGAGAATACTACAAACACTTCTACGCAAATAAACTAGAAAATCTAGAAGAAATGGATAAATTCCTCAAAACACACACCCTTCCAAGACTAAACCAGGAAGAAGTTGAATCTCTGAATACACCAATAACAGGCTCTGAAATTGTGGCAATAATCAATAGCTTACCAACCAAAAAGAGTCCAGGGCCAGATGGATTCACAGCCAAATTCTACCAGAGGTACAAGGAGGAACTGGTACCATTCCTTCTGAAACTATTCCAATCAATAGAAAAAGAAGGAATCCTCCCTAACTCATTTTATGAGGCCAGCATCATCCTGATACCAAAGCCTGGCAGAGACACAACAAAAAAAGAGAATTTTAGACCAATATCCTTGATGAACATTGATGCTAAAATCCTCAATAAAATACTGGCAAACCGAATCCAGCAGCACATCAAAAAGCTTATCCACCATGATCAAGTGGGCTTCATCCCTGGGATGCAAGGCTGGTTCAACATACGCAAATCAATAAATGTAATCCAGCATATAAACAGAACCAAAGACAAAAACCACATCATTATCTCAATAGATGCAGAAAAGGCCTTTGACAAAATTCAACAACCTTCATGCTAAAAACTGTCAATATATTAGGTATTGATGGGATGTATCTCAAAATAATAAGAGCTATCTATGACAAACCCACAGCCAATATCATACTGAATGGGCAAAAACTGGAAGCATTCCCTTTGAAAACTGGCACAAGACAGGGATGCCCTCTCTCACCACTCCTACTCAACATAGTGTTGGAAGTTCTGGCCAGGGCAATCAGGCAGGAGAAGGAAATAAAGGGTATTCAGTTAGGAAAAGAGGAAGTCAAATTGTCCCTGTTTGCAGATGACATGATTGTATATCTAGAAAACCCTATTGTCTCAGCCCAAAATCTCCTTAAGCTGATAAGCAATTTCAGCAAAGTCTCAGGATACAAAGTCAATGTACAAAAATCACAAGCATTCTTATACACCAGTAACAGACAAACAGAGAGCCAAATCATGAGTGAACTCCCATTCACAATTGCTTCAAAGAGAATAAAATACCTAGGAATCCACCTTACAAGGGACGTGAAGGACCTCTTCAAGGAGAACTACAAACCACTGCTCAATGAAATAAAAGAGGATACAAACAAATGGAAGAACATTCCATGCTCATGGGTAGGAAGAATCAATATTGTGAAAATGGCCATACTGCCCAAGGTAATTTATAGATTCAATGCCATCCGCATCAAGCTACCAATGACTTTCTTCACAGAATTGGGAAAAACTACTTTAAAGTTCATATAGAACCAAAAAAGAGCCCGCATCACCAAGTCAATCCTAAGACAAAAGAACAAAGCTGGAGGCATCATGCTACCTGACTTCAAACTATACTACAAGGCTGCAGTAACTAAAACAACATGGTACTGGTACTAAAACAGAGATATAGATCAATGGAACAGAACAGAGCCCTCAGAAATAATGCCGCTTATCTACAACTATCTGATCTTTGACAAACCTGAGAAAAACAAGCAATGGGAAAAGGATTCCCTATTTAATAAATGTTGCTGGGAAAACTGGCTAGCCATATGTAGAAAGCTGAAACTAGATCCCTTCCTTACACCTTATACGAAAATTAATGCAAGATGGGGTAAAGACTTACATGTTAGACCTAAAACCATAAAAACCCTAGAAGAAAACCTAGGCATTACCATTCAGGACATAGGCATGGGCAAGGACTTCATGTCTAAAACACCAAAAGCAATGGCAACAAAAGCCAAAATTGACAAATGGGATCTAACTAAACTAAAGAGCTTCTGCACAGCAAAAGAAACTACCATCAGAGTGAACAGGCAACCTACAAAATGGGAGAAAATTTTCGCAATCTACTCATCGGACAAAGGGCTAATATCCAGAATCTACAATGAACTCAAACAAATTTACAAGAAAAAAACAAACAACCCCATCAAAAAGTGGGCGAAGGGTATGAACAGACACTTCTCAAAAGAAGACATTTATGCAGCCAAAAAACACATGAAAAAATGCTCATCATCACTGGCCATCAGAAAAATGCAAATCAAAACCACAATGAGATACCATCTCACACCAGTTAGAATGGCAATCATTAAAAAGTCAGGAAACAACAGGTGCTGGAGAGGATGTGGAGAAACAGGGACACTTTTACACTGTTGGTGGGAATGTAAACTAGTTCAACCATTGTGGAAGTCAGTGTGGCAATTCCTCAGGGATCTACAACTAGAAATACCATTTGACCCAGCCATCCCATTACTGGGTATATACCCAAAGGACTATAAATCATGCTGCTATAAAGACACATGCACATGTATGTTTATTGTGGCTCTATTCACAATAGCAAAGACTTGGAACCAACCCAAATGTCCAACAATGATAGACTGGATTAAGAAAATGTGGCACATATACACCATGGAATACTATGCAGCCATAAAAAATGATGAGTTCATGTCCTTTGTAGGGACATGGATGAAACAGGAAATCATCATTCTCAGTAAAATATCACAAGGACAAAAAACCAAACACCGCATGTTCTCAGTCATAGGTGGGAATTGAACAATGAGAACACATGGACACAGGAAGGGGAACATCACACTCTGGGGACTGTTGTGGGGTGGGGGGAGTGGGGAGGGATAGCATTAGGAGATATAACTAATGCTAAATGACGTGTTAATGGGTGCAGCACACCAACATGGCACATGTATACATATGTAACAAAACTGCACATTGTGCACATGTACCCTAAAACTTAAAGTATAATAATAAGGAAATAAAATTAAAAAAAAGAACATAAAAAATCTCATGCACTGCATAAATATGTACAATTATTATGTATCAATTGAAAAATGTAAAAATTTTAGTCATGAAGCAGTAAAACAAAGTAATAGAAACTCACTGGTTTATCTCTATATTTTTAACCAAATTGTATTTCTGACAAAAATGGCACAAGTCAAGCTTACCTATTCAATAAGGGCTAAAGCTTTTTACCAATATTTGTGGAGAAGGATTTAATTTTTTTTCATTTTCCCAGTTTCCCAATAGTTCCTTTTAAATTCTCTTTTCAACCTCAAGTACTTGCCTTTGAGGGAACTCTGAATCCCTTGAGAGTCCCCAGTGGAGGGTAGGGTGCCTAAAGTTCCAGTGACCAAGGAGCTGGGGTGGGAAGGGAAAGGTGCTAGCAGGAGTAGACATTGCTGGCAGAGCAGATTGTCAGCAGAGGTTCAAGAAGAGAGATTTCAGGTGACAGAGAAGTTCCCATGAGACCCAATACAAAGGACAGAGGAAACAGAATAGAGAGGTCTTACAGAGCTAGGAAAAGGACTTCCAGCTCATAGTCAGTGAATCATCCCCACTCAGGAAAAGAAAGCCAGGAAGAAGAGATTTCTAGCCCAGGGAATTGGGGAATAATTCCCACTCCCAAAAAGGAGGCAGGAAGAAGAGCTTCCAGCCCAAGAGATACCTTTCAAAAGAAGCCTGGGGACTGGAACCCAGCCCCAAAAAGTATACTTATACCTTTAGAATCAACATCTGTCCTTGCCAGCTTCAAGGAATGTTTGTCTGGAACAATGGTTCAGAAGTCTGAGTTACCAGCGAATCCTCAGTCAGTCAAGAGAGAAGACAAAGGAAAGGCACACATTCAGTGTCCTAGGTGAGAGTCCTGGGGGTCCAATGATGAGTCTAATCCTATCTGAGTCACAGCACAATAACTGTTAAAGAAAAAATTACTTCATAATATTCTTTAATATTCAGGACCATTGCAATAGGTATAGGGACCATTGCAGTGGGGAAGTGCAGTGGGGAGAGAGAATGGGTTCAACCATGAATACAACATAGGCAAGTGGGAATTTATAGCCAAGGGGCAGTAAGAGGATGCTGGCTAAACCAACTAAATGGGATTCTTGATCAGACATCACCTTGGGGATGATGGAAGATAAAGAACCTGCTCATACCAAGTATGACCAGATATCAAGGATAAGCGTTCTTACTAAACTAACTTAGCAGGATTCTTTGCTAAAACTGGATTGTACAAGGAAGTATACAAATGGACCTAGCAGAAGACTCAGAAGCCTGACTAAAGTTTGGCCAAGCAAAGAATCTTTGACGTTAGTCATCAATTATTTACCTACTTGGCTTATGCAGTGTTTGATGTTAGGAGTACACTAGTGAATAAAATGTGACCTCTGTCCCCAGGGAGCTGACAGTTCTAGGGAGGGTACAATGTAAAGAGAGAAGAACAATGATGGGATTACACACAGAGTATTATGAGAACACAGCAAGAATAAAAGAAAAAATCCAAACTTTAATGTGGAAAGATTGGTGCATGAGGAGTGGAAGGATTCTCACAGCAGATTCCTGGAGGGATTTATGGCAGAGTCTTAGAGGCTGAGGAGTAGTAACTGGTAGAGGGTGAGAATAGCCTAGAGGCAGGCCATTCCAGACAGAAGGAACAGCACAGTGCTGGAATATTCCAGGCAGCTCTCTGTTAGTCTTGAATAATAAAGTGAGAATCAGAAAGCAGTGGATTTTTTTCCCCATAGGGCAGAGTAAACTTTTTCTGTAAAGAGCCAGATTGTAAACACTTTAGGCTTAAGGAACCTTTGAGTCTGAATTCAACTCTGCCTTTATAGTGCAAAGTAACCATGTCCAATATAAAAGTGAATGATCATGGCTCAATAAAACTTTATTCATAGACATTGAAATTGGAATTATATATTATTTGCACAAGTCATGGAATAGAATACTTGTTTTTTTTTTCTAACCACTTAAAAACGTAAAAACCATTTGTAATTTGCTATCCATACAAAATAGTGTTTGACCAAATTTGGCTCATTGGCTATAGTTTTGCCTTTTCCTGCTATAGAGCAACCATGGGGCCATTAAAGGATTTTAAACAAGAAGTTGGCATGATCAAGCCTGTGTTGTAGGAAGTTCATTCTGGCAGCACTGAGGGAGATAGATTTGAAAGGGCAGGACAAGAGGAAGGCAGAACACACAGGCTGTCCAATCTTTCCACCTGGAAAGGCAGGCATAAGAACACTCTGTAGTAAATCAGTCAACACCAGAATATTCCAAAAGCATTCCTTCCCTCCCCATTACTGCCCACCATTCTCTGACACTGTGATTCTTCCTCTTATCTCATCATCCTCCCCATCTCAAACACACACTATCGCTGCCAGCTGCCACCTCTTTAAAATTCTTTCAACAGAGTAGAGAATAGACAGCGGTGCTGGGTGACCTCCAGCAGCATGCTTCCTTAGTTTCTGGGAAGACAGTGATGGCTTAGTGAGCACTGGGATGACCCGACCTTCCTCCAGGCCATCAATGAGTGCCAGAGATGTAGTTACAGTCTTTGGAACATTTATTTTCCAGTTGACAGAATAAGTATTTTTTTAAATTTTCATTTGGCAGATCAAGTCATGTAGTCTCAAAAAAAAGGGAATGATTAGTTCCTTTTGCTGCAGGATAATCCAAGACTTTGCTAAATATCTTGAATCCTGATTCAAAAATATTTAAAATTAAATATGCCACAAAAATGCTTAGATATCAAAATTATTTTTTAAAGATTAGAACTAAAACAGGAATATCGTTGGTAAGTCCTCAAAACTCACAGACTACGAAAACAACAGACCATGTAATGAAATTCAGGAGGAATTTTAAAAGGCAGAATGAGAACAGGTTCTCTTTCCTTTCAATGTTGAGTTCTTTCTTCAAAGAATTAATTGCAGAGCTTTTTTCACTCACATCTGCTAGATTTAAGATGGCAATATTATCCTACCTTTGGCACAATGCCATTTTCAAACATTACTGTTGCTGTACTATAGAGTCCATCTTAAGCTTTTAAGGTACTTATGTATAGACCTGAACCAATCTTGTTCCAGACGTGGCCTGTGTTAACATCCCTCCTCCTTTCCTGTTGTACAGACAGAGGTGAGGTCACTGTCAATTGAGGGGATAATTTTAGGTGGCACTATATTATTATCATCGTTCTGAAATTCTCCCAAAATGGAGAAACATAAAATGAAGGAGAACATAGTAATGCAAGATGTATAATAACGTGTGCTTCTAAAAGAGTAAAACAGAAAAAGCCAGAGTTGACTACAATAGTAACTCATTCTAACAAAAGCAGCTCTGTAATCTGAGAATTGCCCATCTGTTATACCCACACAAATAGTAAAAGCCCAAGAATGATATAAAAATCTTTCAATTAATTATGTGTGAAAATCTATGACAAAAAAATTTACAAGAATTTAATCATTATGGATTTCCAAAAACAAACAGAAATAATTGGAAAATGTGTCAGAAAACCCAGGCAATTCTTCCACATGTTCTTATGATCTACTCTAATTTCATCACATATGTCATTCCAAATGAAGCTTCCTAAATATGGCAAGGTGAAGATTTACACTGGAGACTTAGCTGTTGTTATATATTTTCATATAATTAACAAAAATCATATTCAAATAATCGAAGGAAAAGCTTAAGTAGAGATTTATTTGGCATAATTTACCTGAATTATTATTCTCTTTTACTGCATTCATCCAATCAATCATCAGGAATGCATTAAGTATTTTCTAGGTGTTAAGCACTTTCCTAGGTAGAAAGAGTGAAGATGATTATGATGATGATAATGATGATGATGAGATGATGATAACAATGATAGTGATGAGGACAGTGATGATAGATACCTTTATAGACACCCACAATTTAACAAACCCTATACTAAATAATTTAGCTCTGTTGTCTCATTTAGTCTCCTTAGCTTTTTGAGGCTGGTACTGCTATCCCCATTTTACAGATGAAGCAGCTGGGGCACAGAATGCATAAATAAGTGACAGGGTCATACCACTAGAAATTAGTACATATGGGATTTGAATTTGAATCTTTCTCCATAGTCTATATATGCTTGTCTATATATACATGATAGAAAGATATAGATGACATCTCTTCCCATGTATGGGAAACTAGACAGATACATTTATAGCAAAAGAAAAATTCTAAGGCACGTAAGAGATCATCATGCTGAAAGGAATCACAGACATTATCTAGTCAAAACTCATTTTACAGAAAGGAAATGGAGATCTAGCTAGAACCACATACCCAAGGTCTCCCAGTGGAGTGCAGAAATACTTTTCTCTACTCCTTGTACTACTACTCAACTCCAGGCCCTCATCATCTGTCACTTGAGCTATTACAATGGCATCTGGACCCCTGTCTCTCATTATATACAAAAAATAACTCAAGATGGATTAAAGACTTGAATGTAAGACCTGAAACTTCAAAATACCAGAAGAAAATACAGGAAAAACTCTTCTGCACATTGGCCCAGGTAAATAATTCATGACTAAGACCTCAAAAGCAAATGCAACAAAACAAAAAATAGACAAATGAGACCTATTAAACTAAAACACTTCTGCACAGCAAAAGAAATAATCAACAGAGTTAACAGACAACGTGTAGAATGGGAGCAAATATTTGTAAACTATGCATCTGACAAAGGAAGGACTAATATCCGGAATCTACAAGGAACTCAAACAACAACAAAACAAATAACCTCATCGAAAAGTGGAGAAAGGACATCTCAACAGACATTTTTCAAAAGAAGACATACAAATGTCCATGAAGCATATCAAAAAATGCTCCGCATAACTAATCATCAGAGAAATGCAAATTAAAACCACAATGAGATACTCTCTTACATCAGTCAGAATGGCTATTATTAGAAAGTCGAAAAACAACAGATGTTGGTGAGGACGTGGAGAAAAGGGAATGCTTATACACTGTTGGTGGGAATGTAAATTAATACAATGTCTATGGAAAATAGCATGGAGATTTCTCCTAGAACTAAAAATAGGTCTAACATTCAATCTACCAAGCAATACTGCTACTGGGGTATGTACTCAAAAGAAAAGAAATCATTATATCAAAAAGATACCTGCACCTGTATGTTTATCACAGCACTATTCATAATAGCAAAGATAAGGAATCAACCTAAGTGTCCATCGACAGATGATTAGATAAAGAAAATGTGAAATATATATACAAATATGTGTGTGTGTGTGTGTGTCTGTGTATGAATACTAATCAGCCATAAAAAAAGGCTGAAATTTTGTCTTTTGCAGTAAATGGTTGGAACTGGAGGCCATTCTCTTAAGTGAAATAACTCAGAAACAGAAAGTCAAATACCGCATGTTCTCACTCCCAAGTGGGAGCTAACTAATAGGTACACGTGGACATAAAGAGTGGAATAATAGACATTGGAGACAGAAGGGTGGGAGAGTGTGTGAGAGGTGAAGGATGAAAAATTACTTGCTGGATACAATGTACACTATTTGGGTGAGGGTTAAGCCCAGATCTCATTGCTATGTAATATATCCACGTAACAAAACGACATCTGTATCTTCTAAATATATTTTTAAAATTTAAAAATAAAAATAGCCCATCGATGTCTCCCTGCCTCCAATTTTATTCTTTTTTCTATAATAATTATATTTCTGA
Source organism: Homo sapiens (assembly GCF_000001405.40). NCBI lineage: Eukaryota > Metazoa > Chordata > Mammalia > Primates > Hominidae > Homo > Homo sapiens. Next base: position 119,085,512 of record NC_000004.12, read on the forward strand.
AACTTAGATCTGTTAATGTTGAACCACTTAAACTCTCAAAATTGTTTCCTTTTCCTTCCTGAAAAGCCCAGTACCGCCTTATCAAGCACAAGTCTATCTATCTATCTTCCCAGCTCCCCTTTGAACCACTACTCCAACCAGCCAATCTATTTCCCCAATCCTACTGTTTATGTTTCCTTCTTTATATGTTTGAGCATGCTCTTCTGTCTAAAGTATTCTTCTCTTTTCCCAGCTTGTGACCCTATTCATCCATCAAGAAGCAACTCAAGGGCCAGGTGCAGTGGCTGACACCTGTAATCCCAGCCCTTTGGGAGCCTGAGGCAGGTGGATCACATGAAGCCAGGAGTTCAAGACCAGCCTGGCCAACAGGGTGAAGCCCTGCCTCTAACAAAAATACAAACACTGGCTGGGCATGGTGATGCACACCTGTGATCCCAGCTACTCAAGAGGCTGAGGCAAGAGAGTTGCTCAAACCCAGGAGGCAGAGGTTGTAGTGAGCCAAGATCATGCCACTGCACTCCAGCCTGGGTGACAGAGCAAGATTCTGTCTCAAAAATAAATAAATAAATAAATAAAATTTAAAAAGCAACTCAAATATCACTCATTAAAGTATTTCATTCTTTAAGCAGTTAGTCACTCCCTCCTCTGCATTTCCATAACACTTCATTTCTAGTCAATGTTAGAGATGACGACTTGCTCACCTTTTATTTTTCAACACCTAAAGAATACGTGAATGACTTATAGGAGGTCCATAATACATGCTTATCGAATAGATGAATAAACTGAGAGTGCTATGGTTTCTTGATCTCCAAACCAATTTTGCCACAATAGACTTCATTCAGTCTTTTAGTTCTTCCAACAAATATTTATTATGTTTATATTTTGTGCCAGGTACTCTGTTAGTCAAAAGGGTAACAGTGGTGAAAAGGTAGATAAGGTTTCTGCCCTCATGGAGGTGCTTGTAGCAAGAAATACAGATAATAAAAATAACAAATAAATAATAAGTTCCAGGAAAGTAATAAGCAGTGGATAAAAGAGAGAGTAAATAACAAAGGCCATCTTAGAAACAGCAATGGGAAAGAAACCCTTCTCCAAGCACTTAATATTTTAACTAAGATCTCAAGGCTAATATGCTCAGCCTTGTAAGGAGTTGAGGAAGAATATTTCAGGCAGAGAGAACAGCAAGTCTTGTCGACAAGAAAGAGTTTGCTGTGGACAAGAAACAGAAAGGCTCACGTGACCATGGCCCTAGCAGTTGATGGTGAAAAATTTGGCAACAAAAGCTTTGAGAAGTAGGCAAACTCACAGCTCTTGAGTGGCTTGGCATGCTTTGTAGGTTATAAGCAATTTGAATTTTGTCTTAAAAGCACTGGGATGTCAGAGGCTTCCTAGCTGGAAGTAAACTGCTTTGATCTATGCATTTAAAAATTGGGGCAATGAATTAAAGAAGGTCAAGCACCAGTTAGGAAGCTCCTGCAGAAGTCCAGGCAAACAGTGGTTAATGTGGAGTAATCAGAGATGGAACAAACACAGAGTTTAATCAAATTTGAGAGCTAGACTCAGTAGGCCTTGGAAATATATCTGGTGTGGGCTGTGGAAGAAACGGAGATGTTACCGTTGACGTTTAGATTTTTATAATTTGAACCATTAGATGGATGGCATACTTTTTACTGAGATGAGAATGACCAAGATAAGAAATACATTTAGGAAGGACTTAATCAATTAAGTATGGACATTTTAAGCTTTAATTGTGGAAAACCACTGCTACAGTAAAAGAACCACTAGATGGCAATAATAATAGTTAATTATTGGGAGTGCCTACCATGTGTCAGACTTTTCTTACATATTAACTTCTTTAATCCCCGCAGTCATTCTATAAGGAAGTTACTACTGTAAACTCCATTTTACAGATAAGGAAAGTAAGGTACAGAATTGTCACCTTACCTCCCCAAGAGCTCACATTTGTATTAATAAGTGGAAGATTCAGGATTCAAATCCAGGCAGTCTGACTCCAGATCCTGGCCTTGTAATCTGTGTACCACAAAAAATTAATAATTTGGTGCCAGGACAGTTATTGGACACTTCTCATTCATATATAAAACCAACAGGAAGCAAACATAGCTCTCCACACATTATATGACTGAACTTACTAAGCATTGGCTTTCATAAACGCCGATTCTGTGGCTGAAAGATCACTTTTCTTAACATTGATGCCATCACAGAACCACATTATGTACTGGGCTCCAAGTAGACAGCAAATAATATAATAAAGTCTGCTCTGCCTAAATATATATTGCTCCGCAGCGACTTGTCCCAGGGGAATTTTGATAGCTATTTAGCTCTCTTGCCTGGGGGCAATCACCTGCAGAAACCCACTTAATCCACAGTTATCACATCAGAAATGATGGATTGACTGTATAACGAAGCAGGCACTGGGATAGACATGGGAACTACAACTCTCTGCCTTCATAGAGCTTCCAAGTAGTGAAGGAGACAAAAAAGGTAAATGAAATAGCAAAATAAACAGTGATATGTGCTGAATGTAGTACACATCCCAGGGGCACCCAGTCCTTTACAGAGAAAGTTATGTTTGAGCTGAGACCTGAAAAGGAAGGCAGGACTTAACCTAGAGGCAGCCCAATATTTAATTGCTACAGAAGAAACTTACAAAGCACTTTGGAAGTGGCACAGGAGCTTTTGTACCATTTGACATGGAAAGCTGGTGTCCCAAACTCCCAAAGGTGCAAATATCGAAATTGCCTTCACCTATTCTTGGTGTCAGTGCTCCATCTCCAACCCCTGCTTTCCTTTTTTTTTTAACTTTTAAGTTCAGAGGGTACAAGTGCAACTTTGTTACATAGGTAAACTTTGTCATGGGGGTTTGTTGTACAGATTATTTCATCACCCAGGTATTAAACCTAGTACCCATTAGTTATTTTTCCTGATCCTCTCCCTCCTCCCTCCCATCACCCTCTGACAGGTCCCAGTGTGTGTTGTTCCCCTCTCTGTGTTCATGTATTCTCATCATTTAGCTCCTACTTATAAGTGAGAACACGGGGTGTTTGGTTTTCTGTTCCTGTGTTAGTTTGCTAAGGAAAATGGCCTCCAGCTGCATCCATGTCCCTGCAAAAGACATGATCTCATTCCTTTGTATGGCTGCATAGTATTCCATGGTGTATATGTACCATGTTTTCTTTATCCAATCTGTCATCAACGGGCATTTAGGTTGCCCATTGCCCATCAATGGGCATTAGGTTGCTCCTTAATTTTTTGGAGTAGTTTCAGTAGCAATGGTACCATGCCTTTGCTATTGTGAGTAGTGCTGCAATGAACATACACATGCATGTGTCTTTATAATAGAATGATTTATATTCCTTTGGGTATATACCAAGTAATAGGATTGCTGGGTAGAATGGTATTTTTGTCTTTAGGTCTTTGAGAAATTGCCACACTGTCTTCCACAATGGCTGAACTAATTTACACTCCCACCAACAGTGTATAGGCATTCTTTTTTTCTACAACCTCACTAGCATCTGTTATTTTTTGACTTTTTAGTAATAGCCATTCTGACTGGTGTGAGATGGTGTCTCATTGTAGTTTTGATTTGCACTTCTCTAATGATCAGTGATGTTGAGCTTTTCTTCATACGATTGTTGGCTGCATGTATGTCTTCTTCTGAAAAGTGTTCATGTCCTTTGCCATTTTTTAGTGGGGTTGTTTGTTTTTTTGTAAATTTGTTTAAGTTCCTTGTAGGTGCTGAATATTAGACCTTTGTCAGATGCATATTTTGCAAAAATTTTCTCCCATTCTGTAGATTGTCTTTTTACTCTGTTGATAGTTTCTTTTGCTTTTCAGAAGCTCTTTAATTTAATTAGATCAAACTTGTCAATTTTTGCTTTTGTTGCAATTGCTTTTGGCATCTTCATCATGAAATCTTTGCCTGTGCCTATGTCCTGAAAAGTATTGCCTAGGTTGTCTTCCAGGGTTTTTATAGTATTAGGTTTTATGTTTAAGTCTTTAATCCACCTTGATTTAATTTTTGTATGTGGTATAAGGATGGGGTCCAGTTTCAATCTTCTACATATGGCTAGCTAGTTATCCCAGCACCATTTATTGAATGGGGAATCTTTTCCCCATTGCTTGTTTTTGTCAGGTTTGTCAAAGATCAGATAGGTGTAGGTGTGTGGCTTTATTGTTGTGTTCTCTATTCTGTTCCATTGGTCTATGTATCTCTGTTTTTGTACCTGTACCGTGCTGTTTTGGTTACTGTAGCCCTGTAGTATAGTTTGACCAGGTAGTGTGATATCTCCAGCTTTGTTCTTTTTGTTTAGGATTGCCTTGGCTATGTGGGCTCTTTTTTAGTTCCATATGAATCTTAAAATAATTTTTTCTAGTTCTGTGAAGAATCTCAATGGTAGTTTAACAGGAAGAGCATTGAATCTATAAATTGTTTTGTGCAATATGTCCATTTTAACACTATTGATTCTTCCTATCCATGAGCATGGAATGTTTTTCCATTTGTTTGTGTCATCTCTGAGTACTTTGAGTGGTGTTTTGTAGTTCTCCTTCTAGAGATTGTTCACCTTCCTAGTTAGCTGTATTCCTAGGTATTTTATTCTTTTTGTGGCTATAGTGAATGGGATTATGTTCCTGATTTGTCTCTTGGCTTGACTGTTGTTGGTGTATAGGAATGCTAGTGATTTTTGAGCATTGACTTTGTATTCTGAGACTTTGCTGAAGTTGTTTATCAATTTAAGGTTTTGGGCTGAAACTATGAGGTTTTCTACATATAGAATCCTATCATCTACAAACAGGGATAGTTTGACTTCCTCTCTTCTTATCTGGATGGACTTTATTTCTTTCTTTTGCCTGATTGCCCTGGCCAGGACTTCTATTACTGTGTTGAACAGGAGTGGTGAGTGAGGGCATCTTTGACTTGTGCCGGTTTTCAAGGGGAATACTTCCAGCTTTTGCCCATTCAGTATGATGTTGACTGTGGGTTTGTCATATATGGCTTATTATTTTGAGGTATGTTCTTCCAATACCTAGTTTATTGAGTTTTTTTTTAAACCATGAAGTGATGTTGAATTCTGTCAAAAGCCCTTTCTGCATCTATTGAGATAATCATCTAGTTTTTGTCATTAGTTCTGTTTATGTGATGAATCACATTTATTGATTCGCATATGTTGAACCAATCTTGCATCCCAGGGATAAAGCCTATTTGATTGTGGTAGATAAGCTTTTTAATGTACTGCTGGATTTGGTTTGCCAGTATTTTGTGTAAAATTTTTCCATCAATGTTCATCAAGGATATTGGCCTGAATTTTTCTTTTATCGTTGTATCTCTGCCAGGTTTTGGTATCAGGATGATGCTGGCCTCATACAATGAGTTAGGGAGGGGTCTCTCCTTCTCAATTTTTTGGAATAGTTTCAGTAGGCATGGTACCAGCTCTTCTTTGAGCATCTGGTAGAATTCAGCTATGAATCTGTCTGCTCCTGGGCTATTTTTAGTTGGTAGGCTATTTATTACTGCCTCAATTTCAGAACTTGTTATTAGTCTGTTCAGGGATTCAATTTCTTCCTGGTTCAGTCTTGGGAGGGTGTATGTGTCCAACGATTTATTCATTTTTTCTAGATTTTCTAGTGTATATGCATAGAGGTGTTCATAATATCCTCTGATGGTTGTTTGTATTCCTGTGGGGTCAGTGGTAATATCCCCTTTGTCATTTCTAATTGTGTTTATTTGAATCTTCTCTCTTTTTTTCCTTATTAGCCTAACTAGTGGTCTATCTTACTAATTTTTAAAAAATAAACAGCTTCTAGATGCATTGATCTTTTGAAAGACTTTTCATGTCTCTATCTCCTTCAGTTAAGCTCTGATTTGGGTTATTTCTTGTCTTCTGCTAGCTTTGTCAACCCCTGCTTTGATGGCCCTCCCTGGGTAATCTAATGAACAATTACCTAAGTTGCTTCCACTTACAGGGTGGTGACAGATAATTAATGTCCAAACCCAATTTCAAATATCTTTTCAGCTCCAGCCCTGAATCTGTTTACTCACTAGTCCTTATCACTTGAGGGATTCTCAGACACCTTAGATCTAACACTTTCAGATGAGACCCTTTCCTGCAGAGCCTGCTCCTTCTCCTATGGTCTCCACTGAGTGCCTGGTACCACCACGCAACCACCCAACTGCCTATGTCAGGACTAGAAGCATTACCCTAGTTTCTCCCTAACCCCGGCCCTTATTCAATGCATCAATCACCAATCTCTGTGAACTTCATCTTCTTAGTATCTCTCATCTCAGAATACCTGGCCCTGCTTGCCGCCATTGTCACAGCATTTGATCAGGCCCTTATCACCTTTCCCTGAGACAACTGCAATAGAGTCAAAAGGTCTCGCTGCCTGCATCTCCAGTCAGTTCTTCATATTGAGGCTGGAATAATATTATAAAAATGCACATTATATTATTCCCTTGCTTTAAAGTCATCAACGGCAACCACGGTTCACAGGCTAAAGTCCAAACTCTTGTGAAGCCCTCTAGTATCTCATCTTTCTGCCTTTCAGCTTTACCTCTTGCTCTTCCTCTTGTGCTTCATATCTCACCGATACCAAACTACTTACAATCCTACAATCTCCTTATGTGGTTTCAACCTCCATGCTTTACCTCATCATGTTCTCTCCGCTTGAGATGCCTTTCAACACCACCCCCACACCTTCACTCCTCGTACAAGTCGCAATTTATGGGTTAACTTGTCTTTGAAGTTCTTTTTTACTCATCACCCTTCCTCTGCCCCAAATAGAACTGACTTTTTTTCCCTTTATGTCCCTACTGCTTCCAATACAGGCTATTTTTCATAGCCCTTTTAGTATAGTAAGCCCACAAGTCTAGCACAATGCTTGCTTATCTGATTCTTTGATAGACACAAACATAATTCATGGACCGTGAATTATGGACCATGAGTGCCTGTGGCTAAATGTTGGAAAAGTGGAAAGGGTCATCTCTGCCCTCATAGCTTACTTATAGTCACAAAATAAAAACTTGCAGTCCAAAAGTCAAAAGCACTCCCAAGCCCACTCTGTGTCACAGATGTCACAGATGATATGGATTTACCCTGAAATTGACATAGTTTAAGCCAGTTTGACGTAGTTTTTTTTTTGTTTTTTTTTTTTTGAGACGGAGTCTCGCTCTGTCGCCCAGGCTGGACTGCGGACTGCAGTGGCGCAATCTCGGCTCACTGCAAGCTCCGCCTCCCGGGTTCACGCCATTCTCCTGCCTCAGCCTCCCGAGTAGCTGGGACTACAGGCGCCCGCCACCGCGCCCGGCTAATTTTTTGTATTTTTAGTAGAGACGGGGTTTCACCTTGTTAGCCAGGATGGTCTCGATCTCCTGACCTCATGATCCACCCGCCTCGGCCTCCCAAAGTGCTGGGATTACAGGCGTGAGCCACCGCGCCCGGCCAGTTTGACGTAGTTTAAGGGATCTGATTTATAGACCTCCTAAAGTCCTGTGCTTATTTAATATTTTCAAATACAAAATTATATTTATATATATATACATTTTTCTTTGGGCCCCCAAATTGTATGCATTTCAAGCCCTACAAAACCTGATTCCAGGAGTTGTACCATTTATCTGTGGTCATGAATTTTGTAAACAAAGCTAAGGAAAAGTCAACAGTGATTCAGGGCAGATTCGTGGCTACATGACTTCCTCCTGGGCTGGCCTGGCTGGACTGAGTGTTGAGTGGGGGTGGGTCAACACTACTCCCTCAGTGGTCCCCTAAAGTAAAATACAAGTGTTCTCTGTCTCTCCGCTGTCCTTCACATCCCCTAAAAAGAGAAGTAAATTATCAAGGAAGGAAGGAAAATAAAGATGACAAATACTTCATGGTAGCAGAATATCATGATTCTGAGCTACCAACAGAAAATGCATTGCATTGGCTTACTCTACGTCATCAGGGTCACAGTGATCCTGCAACATGATTGAAATTCCAGGGTAAAATGTCTGTAGCAGTCAGAAGTGGGAGGAAGAGGGAAGTTAGAAGCAAGAGAAAAAGGGAGGAAGGACATGTGACAAAGGCAGTGAATATGATTAATGAGTCCAATTCTTCCTTATGTCACCTGTGGCCTCCCTGAGCATCAAAAAAGAAATAATGGGCTGGGATCCGGTCATCCACATTCCTTCTCCCTACCCCACCCCTTCCTCAGCATTTCCTCAGTATGTCAGGCTCTGGTCCAATAGCTCTATGTGGCAAAAAGGGAGGAAGACAACAGGCAGTCAGAGGCGGGGCTGAGTCCAGTTCCTGGTTCTGGCCAGGGCAGAATTCAGATTTTCAGGGCTTCAAGCAAAGAAAAGACTATGGAGCCACCATATTCCCATACATATATGCTGAAATTAGGATAATTGTTTTTCTGGGTTTTGTGATTTTGACATTTTAAAAAAGCCGATTGGAACTGAACTTCCAACTTTCTCTCTCTCTCTACACTAACACCTTTCTGGCCCTTACTGATGCTGTGACCTTAGGAGAGTCCCTTATCACTATGAGTCTGTTTGCTCATCTATAAAGGTGGTGTGTCATGATTCTTTAATCTCCGTGAGTCTATTAGTGATCATTCGGTTTCATCTTCTAAAGCAAAACAATTTTAAATACCCCTGCTCTGGCTTGTACATTCTACTGACATGTACAGAGTTGAGAATTCTAGTCCAGATTAGTGAGGACATCCTATGTATGTGGTGATACATCTGATTTTACTTATTCTACAAATGTTCACTGAATACCTACCAGGTAACAGCTGCTGAGTGTACGGTGATGAATGAAGCAGAAATTCTCCTCGCCTTGCCCAGTAGAATACTTCAGTGGAGCTTGCAGTCTATTAACTGTAATGGTGGAGCCTGAGATCAGCCCAGGTGTCTGATTCTAGAAGCTACCCTCTTAGTCACAATCTAAGATGGTGGTGAAGAGCCTGACTCTGCAGTTAGGCAGCCTGGGTTCAAATCTCAGTTGTGTCACTTCCTTCCTTAGTGACCCTGAGCAACTTTCTTAACCTCTCTGTACTGATATTTTCTTGTTTTTTAAAACCAAGCTAAAAATGGCAAATCCAAATGCCCAAAGTAGATGTCCTGACATACTCAGGTTAGAGGCACAACTCTTCTGCCAGAACTTGTGCTACGGCTTGCTATGCAAGGGACAATGGTGAGTTTGCTCCACAATGCATGCCTAGCGTTTGGCCAAAGAGGGAAGAATGATTCTCTCCCCATTGTGTGTCTTAATTTGGCATCTAGGTTAAGCAGTTCTATCCTGATGTCCTATTGAGATTTTAGAGAAAAAACCCTTTTCAGTTTTAACTCAAGGGCCATTTTAACTTTACCATCTTCTCCCCAGATTTGTAAAAATATCCTTGGTGACTTAAGAGATCCTTGGGGGCTACTGGAGACCCAGCAGGTCGTGGTCGAGGGTGATCCAGATTTTTCCTGTCCTCTCATCCTTCTCTTTGAGCTTCCCAACATCTGCTTTTCCCTCAAAATAATTAATCCACTTCACAAAAAGATATTACCAAGAAATGTCGATTTACATAAGATTTTATGGAAACAAAAGACAAGACAGTTAACAACCCATATCCCACAGATGACCACTTGAAAATTCCTGTTGGACGTTTCACCATTTCTCTTCTCCAGACTCCTCTTTCCTGCCACGTTACTACCAGTGGTCTCCCTCTTTCCCTTCAAGGGTGCCCTGCTTCATTGCTCCTCTCCTCCTGTTCCCAAAGGCCAGCCTCCTTAGAAGGCAGTGGGGGTTACAAACACCAAAAAAAATTTCAAGTAGACAAGTAACAGATGCTTCCCCATATTCAAAAAACCCACCAGCCCATCATCCTCAAAGCTTTAAAACTGGGAAAACCTTGTCTACCTGTTCCCTTAGGATCCATCCTTCACTAAGACACTCTTGGCATTTCGTGTAATTAGTCTCCAGTGAGGCCAGTCCTCTTCCCACCAAATGTTACCTGAACACTAGTGGCGAGCAAGCTATGCCCTGGTTGAAATAAAGATGCTGGGTAACATGTTCCATTTTCTTCCATCTTATCTCTTCAAAGCAGCCTTGCAACACAAAGCTGTGCCAAGAGCATTTAATTTTCACCACTGTCCTTCAGGCTTCCAGCCTTCTCTGAACGTGCCTTCCCACCTCCCACCCCGAACAAAACTGTCTGCTTTCTACATGTTTTCCACAGTACCCCTACTTGCTTCTACCTAACATTCAACATCTTGTAATTTCTTATTTGCTAATCCATTTCCCCTAGTAGACTGTCTATGAAAGGAGGCATGTAGTTCTTAACCCAACTGGAATTTTAGTATACATTTGTTGAATTAACAGATGAAGGAAAAGCATACGCTTTACTATTAACTATCCTCACTATAAACTAATATATGTCATTGCCTTTGCGGCTAACCTCAGATGTCACAAACCTACAATGCTAAATCTGTCATACTAAGGATCCTCTGTGCTTTTGTTAAGTTTATCCAGGCTATGGTTAACTTCAGAATTCTCTCCTTTCCAGTGACTGCGAGGGCCTTATAAAAGATGCTGCAATGAGGCCGGGCGCGGTGGCTCACGCCTGTAACCCCAGCACTTTGGGAGGCCGAGGCGGGCGGATCACGAGGTCAGGAGATCGAGACCATCCCGGCTAAAACGGTGAAACCCCGTCTCTACTAAAAATACAAAAAAATTAGCCGGGCGTGGTGGCGGGCGCCTGTCGTCCCAGCTACTTGGGAGGCTGAGGCAGGAGAATGGCGTGAACCCGGGAGGCGGAGCTTGCAGTGAGCCGAGATCCCGCCACTGCACTCCAGCCTGGGCGACAGAGCGAGACTCCGTCTCAAAAAAAAAAAAAAAAAAAAAAAAAGATGCTGCAATGAATTTCTTTCTTTATTTCATTTGCTTGCTTATTATTCTTATTCCTTCTACATAAAACGAACAAACAAAACAAAACAAAAGCACAAGCTCTGGTGGCAAATAGACACGGATGTGAAACCCAATTTCACCACTGCTAGCTTTATGATCGTGAAAAATTAGTCTTTTAGTTTCAGTTTCTTACCTATAATACTTACATCCATATCATAGGATTGTCAAAGAATTAACTGGTACATATCAAGGCCTCCTGGTACATAGTAGGATGTTGGTAAATATGAAACCTATTAAATCTCTTTTTTCTCTTACCCCTTTCTCATAACTCCCATTATTACAGCCTCAAAATGCTTACCACCTGATTATTCAGTACACGAGCTGCTTCTCATATTTTCTTTTTATCTTGGTATTCTACAGTTTCACAATGATATAGTTAGGTATAGATTTGTTCTATAGATTTATTCATCCTGTTTGGGCTTCTGCAAGCATCCTGATTTTGTAGGTTGGTGTCTTTTATTAGATCAGCCATTATCTTTTTAGAAACTGCTGCTGTCTATTGTCTCTGTCTTCTGCAACACTGATTAGATTTATGTTAGTGACTCTTCATACTAGTCTCCAAGTCTCTTAACCTCTCCTTTATTCTTTCCTTTTCTTTTCTTTTATTCATTGAACTTCATTTTGGATAGTATCTTCAGAGCTACTATATTCTTTTGTGAGCTGTGTCTAATCCACTATTCAATCCATACATGTATTGTGTGTGTGTGCATGTGTGTGTGTATGTATGTGTGTGTGTGTGTGTGTGTATGTATCTATCTATCTATCTATCTATCTATCTATCTATATATATATATATATATATATATATATGCAATGAGCTGCTCATTTTGGGAGGGCTCTGTTAATGAAAACTCTTTAAGACCTGGGGAAAAGATGGGTTCCAATAGAAGGGATTTTCATTTGTTTCTGTCACGTGTCTTTACATTATCAGCCTAAGATCACTTGAAACTAACTCTTGGCTTAAGATTTTTCAAGCCACCACAGGTAATGGTAATTCTGTCTTCAAATACATATGAAAGTTAGTTTATGGTTAGACATTCTCAGGGGATTTTTTTCTCAACTCTGCTTATTACTAAGGTTTAATACAGGCAGTTTTCCTTGAAATACCTAGAGAGGGGCAATGTGCACAGGACATGCATGTTTATTGGTAGTTCACCTTGTATATCACTAAGGATATAGTTCTCTAGTGTCTTTACTTTATAGAGGGTGTGTATCTTATTAAGCTTCCCATACTAGGCAAGCCCTAGACTTTGTTTTCCATCCCCATAAAACTGCAAAGATATACAAACTAAAGTTCAAGTTCATTCTGCGGCAGGAAATACTCTCAGAAGATGTATTCTGATATTTGGCTTACCTCTCTAGGTCCCCACCTTCATTTAATTTATAGCCTGCATGTTCTAGCTCATGGACACAATTCATTTTTTTTCAATTTGCATTTTAAGTTGTTTTAGCAATAGGCTTAGTTTGAGCACCCAATACACCAGGTTACCCTTTGTAGTTTGTGCAGTCTGATATTGGGTCAAGTTGCCGGATCACCTTGCTTGGTGATCAGCCTACTACAAAGTCACAGTATTTAAATCATTATGCTGAGATGTATATGTCAATGAGGTAGTTGCATTATCTTTCTCCACTTTTTTTCTGTAACATTGCTGTACATCATAACGTTGTAAACACTGCTGTAGAAGAAAGAGAAATAAAGAAGATAAAGTTAACAAAGAATCCAAATTTGGATCTCTTAAAGGCTGGACTGTTTTCTTTGCCTTTCCCTGATTAGGACTCTGCTGAGTTGGCCTTCACATTAGGAAAATTGATTATTTACAAATGTTTGAACATTTTCTCACTGACCCCATGGTTGGGTGTGCCTTTGGGATAACAAAAGATGAACAAGCTAAATAGATGTAATTTTATCCTTCTTTTGAAGGAAATGTTGAAAGAAAGCAATACAAAAGAGAAGTAGAAATTTATACCTGGATTTCAGCATGTGAATTTGTTTCCATACACACACTCCAGAGGCCTAAAATAGAGTCTGAGACAATTAATGCTGGAAGGGAAAAGAGATTCCCCAATTCAACCCTGTCCTCTTAGTGATGAGGAAACCAAGTCTCAGAGAAGTTACATGACTTGTTTAACATCGCAAAATAGAACCATTTTTCAGGACTGGATCTCCTGATTCCAAGGAACTGATTTCTTTCAAAGATAGCATGCTCTCATGTAAAATGCAGGTTCCATTTCACCAAAAAATAATGAATATATTTAATAAAGTTAGTAGATTTAGTAAATTTAGTTTATCTTTTGTAGTATACAGAAATTTATGTGAAATAAGAATAAAGAATTTATTGGAACTCAAAAATGAAACAAAAGCAACTGTGAAAATTAATCCTTTCCATTATGCAGTGTAGGATTAATCTTTTAACTCTCCACTATCTTAGTTGTCTTTGCCAGCTCGGTAATTAGAAAACTAAGATACATCGATGGCACTTAGGGCTGCCATAATTAGTAAAGATAAAACTTTTATTATTTACATATATTGCATTTTGAAATAAACTAAGAAATTTGTTTAGACATTTAGAAATAAATATCCTCATCAGGAATGTCTTCTCTGCCATCATCACTAATTATAAGACCCAAGTACATTATCACTAAGGAGCTATATAGCACTCTCTCAGTGAGGCTGAAGGTTGAAAGTGAACTGGAAACCTGCTAGGAGTAAACCTCAGAATTCAGTGAAATAAATGAAGTCAGAACTAGAGACAGAGAGAAGCATCAAATATCCTCTTCATTACTCATGATAAGGCAGCAGCAAATCACACTGACCTAGGAACCATGAAGTTCTCTTGGTATTAAAACCACTCACAAAAATGACCTTATCAGGACATCTCTGACAGGTCAGTGTTGATGCATCCACTAATAGCACAGGAATAACTGTTTATTCAGAGCCACATGTTTTTATTTTTATCTGATATTATGCAATTTTGAATTTCCCTCAAAGGGAGCAGTAATAACCCACACTTGAGATTATTTTTGGACACATTAGAGCTTTAACCTCCTATTTTAAAAACAGAATCCAAGATTCCAATAGATAACCCAGGCTCTCTCTTGCCAGTACATTCCAGTCTCCACAGGTTCACAGAATTTTTAGTCACCTGGGAATAATCAGATCCAGATGAGATTTTTATTTATTTTCTTTTGTTTTAAGTAAGGACACTGAAAGTTCACTTATCTAGTATAGGGTTTTGTTTCACATCTGCAAGAGATCAAAGTTAGTATGGGAAGTATCTCCGGCATGGGTAAGTTGTGAAATCAAAAGAACTGCATGTGCCAGTTGAGTTTAGTTTTTGGATAAAGTCTCATGAGCAAAAACTGAAGACAGGGTAAACATATTATATATCAATAATAAAAAATGCCCATCAACACAACATAAAAGGGGATTACTCTATAGAAATCAAACTTCATGTGGTAAAAGAAATGTTAAAATTATTAGCAAAAATTGCCAAGAGTACCTATTAAAAGAAATATCATTTCTCTCTTGACAGTCTTCTCTCCAAAATGAACTCAACAATGCAGACACTAGCAAAGAAAAAATGAACACTTCTTTAAAAATCATGCTTTAAGTTCTGGGATACATGTGCAGAACGTGCAGGTCTGTTACACAGGTATACACGCGCCATGGTGGTTTGCTGCACCCATCAACCCATCATCTACATTAGGTATTTCTCCTAATGCTATCCCTCCCCTAGCCCCCTCCCCCGACAGGCCCCTGTGTGTGATGTTCCCCTCCCTATGTCCATGTGTTCCCATTGATGAACACATTTTTAATACTATTGCCAAAGGAAAAATTTCTCTAACTTAAGCTTCGTATTTCCAAAATTTGTTTAGCAATTTTTAGGACTTTTCCTCCTGTTGGAAATTTGATGAGCATGAAGAAAAAGCTTAATGGAAGAAACAAATCCGAGGAGAGAGTTTATGGAAAATGGAGAAAGGACAATGAGAACCGACAAAGATTGAATAAGAGAGAGTAAAGAACAAGATGGTGACGTAGACTACTTATTCATTCTTTCTTTTTTCCTTTCTGCCGCAAGTATTTGTTAAGCTTTGCTAAGTGCCAGGTATTCTTCTAGGCACTGGAGATATAGCAGGGAACAAAACAAAGCACTTTCCTTTGTAAGATTTATATTTTAGTGTAGGGGCTGGCCAACTTTTTCTATAACAAGCCAAATAGTAAGTATTTTAGGCTTTGAGGGCCATGCAGTCCCCATTAGGACGTCTGAACTCTGCCATTGTAATGCAAAAGTTGTCACAGAAAGACAAACATGTGGCCATGACTGTGTTCCAATAAAACTTTATTTACTGAAACACATGACAGGCCAATTTGTCCTGTAAGCCATAGTTTGTGGAGTGCAAAGGAAAGAAGGAAGTCCAGGATGACTTCAAAGATTCTTGCTTAAGCAACTTAGTGACCATGACAATAAACAGTTTCCATGGAGCAGTACAGAGAAACTGAAGAAAGCAAGTGTAGACAAATTTTTATGTTAAAAGGGAGCAAAGAAAAGGACCACAGAAGGTGTTTTATTGTGCTTGTCTCTATTTGCAAGGTATTTTGCTTTTGTTTGATGTGAGAAAAAAAGCATAGCATGTTTCTATGATGATGGAAAAACTCCAGTAGAAAACAGGGCTGGGTGCAGTGGTTCATGCCTGTAATCCTAACACTTTGGGAGGACGAGGCAGGCGGATCACCTGAGGTCAGGAGTTCAAGACCAGCCTGGCTAACATGGTGAAATCCCTGTCTCTACTACTAAAAATACACAAATTAGCCCGGCATGGTGGTGGGCGCCTGTAGTCTCAGCTACTCGGGGGTTTGAGACAGGAGAATCACTTACCCAGTAGGCGGAGGTTGCAGCCAGGGCTACACAGCGAGACTCCATCAGGAAGAAAGAAAGAAAAGAAAGAAAGAAAGAGAGAGAGAGGAAAGAAAGAAAGAAAGAAAGAAAGAAAGAAAGAAAGAAAGAGAAAGAAAGAAAAGAAAAGAAAGAAAAAAAAGAAGGAAGGAAGGAAGAAAGGAAGGAAAAAACAACAGCAATGGAGAAAAAGAGAGGATAACTGCAGGAAGAAAGTCCATGGACCTAGAGCAGTGGCTCACACCTATAATCCTGGCGCTTTGGAAGGCCTAGGTGGCCAGACTTCTTGAACCCAGGAGTTTGAGACCAGCCTGGGCAACATAGGGAGACTCTGTCTCTACAAAAAATACAAAAATTAGCCAGGCATGGTGGCACATGCCTGTAGTCCCAGCTACTTAGGAGGCTGAGGTGGGAGGATCACTTGAGCCCAGGAGATAGTGGCTGCAGTGAGCCGTAATTGTGCCATTTCATTCCTGCCTGGGTGACAGAGTGAGACCCTGTCTCAAAAAAAAGAAAAAAAAATGGACAATTCACCTCTTGTAATAGGAAAGAGGGCAAAACATAAAGTTACAGATGCAAGTAAGTTGTCATGTATGGTTGGGGGAATGTGGATTGCTGACGGGAAGTGATGATGAGACAGAATTAAACTGACTACAGTTACCCTCTTGGTCTTTTTCTGTTTTCTACTCTCTGAAGACAATAAATATAATAACTATCATGGGCAGATAAGAACACCACAGCAGAAAATGATTTTTAGAGGAGGTGAGAGATGTCATTGGAGTGGGGGTGGGAGTACATTCCAAGAGTGACTAGTAGAGGGAGCAACCACTTTGACGAATATCATATGACCTGAGCATAAGAACGAAAATCACATTGCTGGACTGAGGGCCTGTATTCTGATGTGCAATGACTGTCATTATGTAAGGAAAGTAGGAAGTGATCAGAAGAATTTAGAAAATCTTATTAAAAGTTGAAATTATATTTAATAAGCAATATTGCTGATCCATGGGGCCCCTGTAAGGTTCTGTGAAGGGGAAGCGAAAGAAGATACTTAAGAAAGATAAAGCTTCCTATTAGTATTGGCTGTATTAAAAGACACCAACAAAGTGGTCTGTTGTTCCAGTCCAACTGGGGTCATCGCTGGCTTGTCTCAAGAAAGATATCAAAGTATAAGTCAACAAGGCTAATTTTATGTAATCACAGCTCACAGAAAAAAATTGTGATGGAAACAACTACTATACAGAAATTATATGGTAGATAGAATTAGGAATAGACAGAGAAAAACAAAGTTGACAAAAGAATCATCAATGTATAATGTAGAATTAATTTCAAAGCTCTAAAGCCCTGCAAATAAAAACATGTTTCATGAGAAATGAACTCTAGAAATCATTCATGTCCAGACAACAGTGATACCTGTGTGAGTCAGAACTAACCGTGCCTATCCTGAAATACTACATTATACCAAGTGAATGGGTAATGGTTGTAAGCTATGTTTCAAAACAAGAGGGCAGTGGGGCACATTGTCCCCATTCCTTATACCCACACCTCAACTCATGACTACCTGAAGTTCAAAGACTTCGTCCTTCAGGAACAATAAACTTTGTTTGTTTTTTGAGATGGAGTCTGGCTCTGCCACCCAGGCTGGAGTGCAGTGGCGCAATCTCGGCTCACTGCAACCTCCGCCTCCCAGGTTCAAGCGATTCTCCTGCCTCAGCCTCCTGAGTAGCTGGGATTACAGGCGCCCACCACCATGCCCAGTTAATTTTTACAATAAACTCTTAGGGCAAAATTTGTTCAAAGAAATTAGCAATCAACATGTAATCTTCGCTTTTAGATTTAACATCTCAAAATAAAACTCTGAGGCTTATATGCCAACCATCAAAACAAATCCTCATTCAAGTTGATGTATCTCGGAGCAGAGTGGTGGTCACACTCAAGGGCAAACCCATCTGGCCTTCACAAAAAGCCCATAGTTTTGAAAAGGCATCAATAAAGAAGGGGCAGATGGAGCTGCCAGCGCACACCACACTTGTATCCAGGAAGTTCCTTGCTCTCTTTTTGGCTGAGTAAATGACTCACTGTTGTAATCTTGAGTAAGTCACTTAAATTCCAAGCATTCAACTTCCTTCCATCCACTAACAATGACCTAATACTAAACATGCTTGAAAAATGATGTAAGACCATTTCCTCTCCATTACCAGCAGCTAAGAGTAACAGATGACTAAGGAAAAAAAAAAAAAGGAATGATCCATAAAGCAAAAGTAATTCACCCTTTATTATAAAACCACTCCCACTAAGTTAGGAGTATTTTTCCTAGGAATGTTTTTGAGCTATTTCAACATGGGTACTGGGATAGCTAATTCAAGAGCTAGGGTTCAGCTTTTTTCACAAAAACAGATTTTCAAACTATGATCTGTTGTCTAGGTGAGAACGAGTGTGCCAGTGTCTTTTAAAAAGTGTTTTATACTGTGTGTCCATGAACTTGTATCCTAATCTTCTAGTTTAATTCAAAAATGCTCACCAAATATAATAAAAGTTTATAGCTTTAGTTCAGAAGCAAATAGTAATTAGAAAGAATGAAGGCTTTAGCCAGTTCACTTTTGTACAATATAAAATGCAGATTAAATTTTTTTTTTTCAAAAAAACCCACAAAGGAAAAACTATAATATGGGGGTTAGGTATGTAGATTTAGCCAACACACCTAGCTTCAAATCTTGGGTCTGTTTACTAGCTCTAGGTTGAGGGAAAGCTTCTTAATTGCTCTAAGTTTTAGACTTTTCATTTGCAAAATGTGGATAGTAATGCCTGATCCATGCATATTGCTGTGAACATTAAGCAAGAAAAAATATACATATAAAAGTTATGCATAAGGTATATATGTAGCAATTAATGCAGTCTGATGCATAATTAATAATTGGGTTTTATAAGTGAGGAAAAAGTTGACCTGTGTAATACAGTAGTTTAATTTTATTCATTTAGTTTTCAGCTATTCAGAGCCTTTATTAAGTTCTTCTTTAGAAAGAAGTAATTTCTCAAATTCTTCAAAATCATCCACCAGGTTTAGAGCAGACATTACACACAATGTTTTGCTTCTCTTTGGTGACCAATGTGACTTCTACAACAAATTCTATTTCTTATCTCTGTGTTATTTCAGATATTTAAGTAATTTAATATTTCAAATATTACTTAAAACTTCCAGTTATTCTTGGGGATTATTTGCATGTCAGACATCAACATGTAGATCATTGCTTTGTTAAGTAGTATCTTGAAATCTAACTGTTTAGCAAAGTAGAAAGACCATAGGAAAAATAGTAATAAAAAAACAGAGGGAATAATCCTTCCCTTCCTCAGCCCTAGAGTATAAATGATTAAGCATCATAATTGCAGGGTTCTTTATGCTTTATACAGTAAAAATAACAGAGAACAAGGGTAACAAACACAGTTCCCTGTGAGCCAGTGGCATGCTTCCCTGCCTACCACATGTCCTAAGCCAAGACTTGAGAAACAGGTGACTTGGCAAAGAAAAAGAAATAGCATATACTCATAGAAAGCCCATAAACCAGAGCAGATATGTAACTTGAAAACCCAACCAAGGGCCTACTACCCTTTTATTGGTTGTGCCTCTTGCCTCTATTGCCTTGTATTACCTCTGTTGGTAGCGATCGAGGCTGTGAACATGGTAAGGAAAAAAAGAAAGACTGCTAAAACTGGCTTGGCACTGAATCCCGTCACACAGCATTACAGGTCTGTGAGCACACAAGCAGAATTTGACTTGCCCTTTTACATATCTTCACTATAACCTTGTCACTTTCTTAACTGAATTTACGGATCTCAGGTTGGTTTTGTCTTTACTATTCTTTACTGAATATTTACATCAAATGGGTGTTTGTTGCTGTCATTATTTTTATTGCTGTTTTGCCAGTTTGTTCAATGAAAATGGCCATAGCCAAATGGCCAAGAATAACTATGCAGAAATATTGCTTGTCATAAATTATATATCCTAATAATATGATAATGATATGCAACTGTTGAGTGCATTATATAACCTCTTATAAATGAATTTCTTCACTTTCAATTTGAATAGAGTTAAAAACTTATCAATTACAAAGTTGTTATGAAGAAGATAATCAGAATTACCCAGCTTGAAGAAAGTCATTTAATTCAGTGTCTTATTTCTATGCAAAAAGCCTCACAACTTATTAAAGACAAAGTTTATATTAAATTACATATAATATACACATTGCACGTATATAAACACACAAATACTTTCGCAGTGGAAATCTACTCTTAAATACTGTTATTTAGGAATAAAGAGTTAAGGTCAAGGATTCTATAATATTGAAATAACCAAAATGTTCTATGAAACAAATAGATGAATTAGAGAAAGATTTTGAAAGAGGTTGGAATAGATTATGCAATAGTAGCTTATGTGTGTATTCAGAAAAATGAAAAACCATTTCCTGTCATTCAGGAAGAAGGGGTCATCTTATTCTAGTGCATAAAGTGAGCAAAGG
Source organism: Homo sapiens (assembly GCF_000001405.40). Lineage (NCBI taxonomy): Eukaryota > Metazoa > Chordata > Mammalia > Primates > Hominidae > Homo > Homo sapiens. The sequence continues at coordinate 119,105,873 of NC_000004.12, forward strand.
ATGTAGTTAAACCAAAGTGAACTGGCTATATTTCTAAAATTAGCTCTTCTATGAGACCATCAAAATCCATGTTTGAAAAAAAATCCTTCATATTTTCACTTATTTTGCTTTGATTACTCAAAGAAAGAAAAGCTGGTATCTGAGATCTAAAAGCAGATAAAAAACAAATTCCAAATGTTCAAATCTGAGCAACTTAATTCCAAACTTAGCTAATCCTGAGTCTACCTGGACATTTGCCCTTTTTAATTTTATTTTTTTTAACCAGAAATACTGGTCTAGAATAATCAGGAAGCATAAATCATGAGAGCCAAGAGGGAAAGCCAGAAATTTGCAGCTGGCACAACTGATCTGGTCTTGTCAGTATAAATGACCATGACATGTTGATTCCAGTAGGACCTGAGGCCCCCAGAGTAGAGGTGTGATGGAAATTGTGCTTTGGTGGAAATAGCATGGAAACTCAGGTAAGAGAATTCACTTGAATTCAGTTTCTGCCTCTTTCCAGTTGTGTTAGTCATGACTCCTGAAGGAAGTTGCAGAAATCCAACCAGAACTAGCCTAGGCATAGGAAAATGAGACATTTATTGGCTCAGGAAAGCAAACTGGCAGAAGGACAAAAATACAGTTGTCACCAAGGACAACTGGCCCCAGGGTAGGAATGCTGCTGGGTTCCTCTCTTTCATTGCCATTTTTGTCCGTATGTCAGCTTCCTTCTCTAGGACCAGAGTTCTCAAGGTACCTATCACAACAACTTTCAGTGGCCCCTGCCTCCCCTGTGAACAACTTCCCAACCAGCAAAGAGGAGTCTCTCCCTACATCAAAGTCCTCCATCCTTCTCCTCCTAGTGAAAACATGAGGAAAGATTCCAAATGACTAGACTCTCCTCTTGCATTCAAGTCCTGGGTCAGGAGGGTTGCCGTAATTAGTCCAGCTTCTGTCAGATGGCCACTCTGAGGTCAGTCAGTGTAGCCCAGGAGATTAAGGTCACATAACATGAGGCGGTTTCCAGTCAGTCCAAATGCTGGAGGTTGGGATTGGGGAGCAGTTTCCTACAACAAAGGGGTTATCACAGATAATATTTCTGTGAGCAAGGCAGCCCCGGTGATTTGACTCTGCTATAGTAGCTGCTGGCCTGAGGCCAAGTTACTTTAACCTCCTTAGTTTCCTAAAGTATACAATTGGTAAATTGTAATATTTAACTCAGAATTATTGTGAGGAGTTATTAAATTAATACATGATAAAGTACCTTAAAAACACAAAATGCTTACAAACGAATACATTTTCAGTTTTTTCCTCAGATTAGATTCAGATATATTTCTGGAATCTGGTGTGAGCCAGTGAAGAACTGCCTTTCCCTCAGCCTCATTTTAAGCATTAGATGCTGGCCAGTGAATTTATCAGTTAATAATTCTTTGGGAAAGGTTCTAATAATTAGCAGGTTATTTGTAGCAAATATACCAGATCAAATGTAAAACGATATGTTAGCAATAATTAGGTCTAGCAATTTAAAATATCAAGCCTAAAAGAGCAAGAGTTTATTCTATCTCATCAGAAAAACAGCCATTTCTACTCCATAATGTGATATCTAAATTATGAACTATTCCAAAGAAATGTGTTTTCCAGAGAATGTAGCTGAATACTTATCTAGAATAGGAAAGTAAATTTTACTTTGTGTTCCTTACTCGAAGCATTCCTTTCCTTAATACTGATTTACCTATGTGGGAGGCTGGCAACACAAATTCCATGCTGTTGAAAAGGAAACGAAGGTGGAAATATTTAGCAGCTCACCTACAGTGGTTAGTGACATCACTCAAGTAATGACACCAAGTGAAAAATCCTTCTCTTCCATCCCCAAATTCAGGACTTTCACTATTTCTTGAATTAATTGACTGTTCTTAATTCCATAGCATTTGACTTTGGAATTGAAATATGTGGTATTCGATGCAGTTCATAAAGCAGGCAGGTAGCTCTCCATGTGTGTAAGGCCTCCTTAAACTACTAGCTTCTGTTGTATTTCCCTGCCTCAAGCAACTTTTCTCTGGTGGGAGAAGGTCAGGGTTGACACTGAATTTCTCAGTGTCAATCCCACCTACTTTATCCCACCTGAAGCTATTCTTAAGAAAATAAAGCAACCCTGCCTCATCCTTGGCACACTAAACACAAACTCCAATCTCATCTCCCCTGGGATGGCCTCTATGAACTCTCAAGCCTGGTCAGATGATCCTCCTTTGGGTCTCAAAGTACACTGGGCTTGTCCCTTGTCTATTTTCTTCAGCATGTATGTATCTTCAGTGCCTAACAATGTGCGTACTATTTATTAATCAACGAATATTTATTGGGCATCCACAATATATCAGGCTTTATTCTAGTAGTTGTAGAAGTTGATACTTGAAACATGAATGAATGAATAAGATTCCCAATTCCATCTGCAGATGGGATTAGGAACCAGTCATATACCATAAGTTTGGGCTCTCCCAGGCCCATCAGGTTATAATAGCTTCCATTAACCTCCACTGTTCTTGTCCAGCCATTATAACTGGGCCTTTCTGAAATTTTCTACTAGTTCTTTAAGCGTTTGTTTACAGCTACAATTCTGCACCCTAATCCACTTGGCAAGAAAAGAGCTTTTGCTTATTTCTTGATAGTCTCCTTCTCCTAGGGGCTGTGTCTAGCATAAGTGTTATGAGCCACCTGAACCATGATGCCTCTACCCATTGAACATCAACACAGCCCCACCCATTGTCTACAGTGGCCATTTCAATGTCCATTATTCCTAAGCCTCCTGGGTCACCACTGCCACCTCTCTCTCAAGAGATGATCTCAACTTCCATCATGTAGAATAAATAGAAGACATTAGGTACAAACATCCTCAAATTTATATCTGTACATCTTCAAAATTATCTGCCCCTATACCTATTGTGTCCTTATTTCCTATTTTCATTATGGAAAATGTCTCTCCTCTGCTGGAAAAAAATTAAGCTCCCAACCTTAGTTCTGGATCCCATTCCCTCCCTCTGTCTCTGGCTTTGAAACACAACTGTTATTTGAATGTATAAGTTCCTTATAAATCAGACCTATTAACTTTTCATATAGTACCTAAAAATTCTCTGTAGTAGTTGAGAAGGTAACAAAGCAATGTTCCCAGTAAAGGTTTTTATAAACCATAGTTTCTCCACCTCAGCACCATTGACATTTTGTAAGGGATAATGGGGAAGCCAGGGTGGGTTGTGGGGAGCTGTCCTGTGCATGTAGCATCTCTAGTCTCTATTCACTAGATGCCAGTAGCACCATACTCCTCAGGTTGTAACAACCAAAAATGTCTCCAGACATTGTCAAATGTCCGTTGGGGGGCAAAATTACTCCTGATTAACTGAGAACCACTATTATAAGCAATTAGAAAGCAAAATGTAGGATTTGAGAGCAAGATCAGAGGCTTTAGGTATCTGGATACAGAATCAACCTGAATTGTGTTTTTGAGTTTGAATGCCATTAACAATAAAACTTTAAGGGTCAAAAATATACTACATGGTGAAATTGTGGTAAAGAATCAAATGATTAAAAATTCAGCTAGGGGTCTAAGATAAAGTTATGAGCGATAATGAAATAGCAGATTGAGCATAGAAAGACCTTCATTTTGAAAGATAACATAATGATCAAGAGTTTGATCTTCTCTATTTGTTCTTTGTATAGGAAGGTTTATTGTAAGAAAAGGGACATTACACAAAGCTGTGAAGTGATCCAATCTTTCACAAAATTCTCCAGATGAATGCCTATAAATATCCTCCTAAAAACATTTATGAATTCCATATTCCTGATAACAACTGTTACCTCCTACTCTGATTTGTAGAAAATTAAGGCACAGAATAAGAAGACAGGAACTTTCAAATAGTATAATAAAATAGAGTATGTTTCTTATAATTTAAAATGGTTCATTACTGTGTTGCCCCGCTTACTTCATTTACTCGTACTTGCTTTATATACTAATCAATAGGTTAAATATGTTGTTAGTGGTCACTCCTACTAAAAGTTAGGCAAAGGGTCATTAAAAATACATATAAAATAACCCTCATACTAATCTTATTTCCATGAAAAAGTTCAATTTCATGTTTAACACGTCAACTCATTAATTTTTCCAGAAAGGGAAACAACTTGATAATAACAGAATATGTTGTGGTTAAGAGTGAGGGATAGAGTCAAACTGTGGAGGTTTGAATGCCAGACTCCCTCTCCTTGCTGTGTGACCTTGGGAAAGTCACTTACCTTCTCTGTGCCTACACCACACAATTAGAAGAAACAAAGCATGTGGAAAGCATAGTGTCCAGCATGTCCATAACTATCACCATCATCATCATCATTATCATCATCATAAATAACCAACCCTACCCACTAGCCACTGCATAGAGGTTAACCAACATACCAGTCAAGGACAGGGTTTCTGGATCTAGCCAGAGCTTACCACTGAGAATGATGACCAATAAATATCAGCTTCCTTCCAGATGCGCATCTGAGGCTCATTATTATCTGCTTCTGGCATGGTTTTAAAAGTCTCTCAGGAGCTTGCTCATAGTTGATTACTATACCCATTGTCAAAAAAGGAATTATCCAGAAATTAGCACATTCTTCTTCAAATAATATGATCTCGGTTTTTTTTTTTTGAGACGGAGTCTCGCTTTGTGGCCCAGGCTGGAGTGCAGTGGCGCGATCTCGGCTCACTGCAAGCTCCGCCTCCCGGGTTCACGCCATTCTCCTGCCTCAGCCTCCTTAGTAGCTGGGACTACAGGCGCCCACCACCACACCCTGCTAATTTTTTTTTTTTTTTTTTTTTGTATTTTTAGTAGAGACGGGGTTTCACTGTGTTAGCCAGGATGGTCTCAATCTCCTGACCTCGTGATCCGCCCGCCTCAGCCTCCCAAAGTGCTGGGATTACAGGCGTGAGCCACCGCGCCCGGCCTTTGATCTCATTTTTTAATTAAAAAAGTAACATATAAAAAAAGTACATTGTAAAAAGAGGTAAAGAAAAATATATGGAAATAGTGATCTCATTAATTCATTTTACACTGATTGGATATCTACTGTATACAAGGAGGGATTTTGTTAGGCATTAGACAAAAAGAAAAAGATGAATATAATACAGTACTGATTATCAAGCAGTAGAGACATAAAACATATATTAGATACCAAATTCCACATCAGAAGTATGAATTAAGAGCTATAAAAACACAGAGAAGAAAGAGAAAATTAAATAAAATATGGGAAAATGGAGAATTTCCTTGGTTTTAAGGAAGACATACATAGGACTACTAATGGGAGGATACGGATTAGGAAGATTGAGTTTCCCATCACACTCAGCTAAAAGTCCTCTTCTCTCCCCCTCCTTAACAACCACAATTTTTGTATAGGAGATATAGTAAATATCAAAGAAAGCCATTAGAATAACCAAAAAATTTACAAAAGGCAGCATGCTGAGAAGCACATGTGAAAAAGAGGATTGGCCCATTCACTTTACAAAGTGAAGGATTTTACAGGGTGATTGTGTACATGGGACCATAACACCAACCAGAAAATCCACTGTCACCTTTATGCTCCAGTGCCCACCTCTTACCACATGAATGAATGTGGTCCCAAACTCAAGGCCCAAACTTTATTTTCTATAAGACCATTGAGGTTCTCATTATGCTTGGAATAGCTCCAAGATAATTAAGGTAAAAAATAAATAGACCAAGTTTATGTAATTTCATGAACCAACCTTCCCTTCATTTTGTGGTCTGCTTCACTGTAGGCAAAATTCAACTCAAGAATAAAGAGCAGCAAATGTTTTCACAGTGTGTCTACCCCTGGTTGCCAGCCAGAGCCATGTTTTCAAGCCCTGTGAGAGTGTAATGATTTGACTTTCTTCAGAAAGAGAAAATCAGCAAAATAGTTCTAGTTTTGTATCTACTCTCCAGTCCCCACCTTCACTTGTTTGCCTTTCTGTATATCTCATTTATGCATTTTCTCCGATACTTATTTTTCAGATTTCTAAAACAACCTCGAACATATCTATTGTCCTCTCATTCAGAGTAACCTATGGAAAAGCACCATGCCTAGAGGGAACGTGGCCCACTGAACCTAAATAGCAACTTGGAAAGCCTGGTTCTGGAATAGAGTAAATCTAGAATTTGATTAGTACACCATGTGTAGCAGAGCAAAGTGATGAACTTCTAAAAGATATTGTGAATTTGGAAAAAACAAAGCAGAAGGGATAAATTGTCCTAGTTTATGATATTATCACAAGCAGTTATAGTATTATGAAAATTAAAACTAGTCTCATTGAATAATAACAGATACAAACAACTAGGGGTCAGTTTCTGGAAAGGCCCCTAATAAAATCAAACACAATTTTCTATTCTTCTCTGAATTACATTTAAATTTATTCAAGAAAATTAACAACAACAACAGTAACAGGTAAGACTGGATCTTTTAGTTCCCACCTAAAAATAAAATCAAATGATCCAACAACTCCTCTCTCAAAAGTCAGGTTTGGGATCATATACAATACGAATAGTAAGTGTCCACCTTAGTTTGCACTTTTCCATGATTCAGTAAAAACTCTTTTTTAAAAATGTCACATTTCGTTTCTTGCCTCCTCTACCCTGTGAAGGCACTGTAGAGTTACTATTTATAGAAGTAGGAAGATGGTCTTATGGAAAGAACACTGGACAGATCTAGATTTTTATCCCGACTTTACTCTGCAAACTTAAACTAGTAATTTAATCTTGTTGAATCTAATTTTCTCATTTTAAAATGGGGACAAAAGGATTTTTCCTTGCTTTACTTGTAAGGTTTTCATGAGTATCAAATGAGATAACATATATAAAGTGCTTTTAAAAAGTATAATGTTTTTGTACACTCTTTACTAAAGACATGTAATGAGGCACTTACTATATTTTATTCATATTTTTTTCAAGCTATTTTAAAACACATACATATGCTTAATTATCACAATATACTATTTTATCAATTCTTTTAAAGTAACCAGCATACACTAAAGCAGGTTAAGCTCATGGACTTTTGAGTCAAACTGCTGCTTACTAGGGCAAACCTCTTAGTCTACTTCTCAGTTTCTTAATCTATAAAAGGGTATATAATACTAGTACCTCCTGTTAGGACTAATCGGACTGTTGTGCATATTAAATACATTAAAATCTGTAAGGTACCTGGAACAAGGACTGTTGTACAGTAAATACTGAAAAATTAGTTTTTCTAAGAATAATAAGAATCTGAAAAGATATGTGAATCAGCTGGCATCTTTATCACCAGAGGAGTTAGATTTACATATCAGACCATGTGATACATTTACTCTCTCAGTGGGGACAGTGGGGGGGATGTAGTCACCTGTTTCTCTTAAATCCACTTATATATTCTATCCAAAAAGAAAAGATCACAAAAACCTGGAAATCCTAACTACCTTTTTTTTTTGCAATTGTTCTCAAGAAAGAAAAAGGATATAAACAATATGACTCACTAGCAAGTGAGAGGATGTAGCCAAACTCCATATTCCAGGCTTCTACTTCCTGTAGGTGGTTAACTTTTTGATTTCACAATGCTTAGTCATAAGAAAATGGAAGCAGTGGTTAAAGACATTAAATGAGAATGTGTCCTCATAGTTCCTAGTCCAGAGATCCAAAATAATTTATTATGCCTGGAAAAGAGCAAAATAGCCTCATGGTCCTCATGGACACAATAGAGCCCTGTCTTAAGAAACATCTTAGGTTTGCTCTTTATCTTATCAACCTGTGTTTCAACAACTGTCAGCTAAATTCTGAAGACATGACTGGGATATTAGTTATGCTTCTTATTGAAAACTCTAATTGTTTTGCACCATTTTTATCCCTGTATCAAAACACAGTAAAAAGTTACCTTCTCTATGGTAACTAAGCAACAAAGACATTTTTTTTTCTTCTTAAGGGTTTCATGAAGTTACATTTTTTATCTTTTAAGACTAAAATCCTTTCTTTTTCCTAAATAATCCAAATAATAACTAACACTAATTACTCTCTGGGTATTACTTTTAGTGTCCTTCATAAACTATCTCATTTAATCCTCACAACAACCCTATGGGTCAAGAACTGATATTAATTCTATTATACAGATGAGAAAACTGAGAATCATAGATGTTTAATAATTTGCTCGTGGGGATGCACTCAGCAAATGTGAAAGCTGGGATTTGAGCCCAGGTAATCTAGATTAAGAGTTCATGCCGATGTATACATGAGTATGAACCTCATGAAAGAGATAAAGAGCTAAAAAAAATCAATAAGGCTTGGTGACTGCTTAGATGTGGTTGGAGGGGTAGCTATGAAACATTCAAATAAAAGATGAAGAATAAGGGAAAGTTTAGAAAAGAGTGAAATAATCAGTTTGACCTTGAACATGTAATAAATTATTGAACAGCTACGTAACAGAGTGGTTAAATCAAGAACTATTAATCTGTCTTCTAGCTAGGGTCCTGGAGGAAAAATCATATAAATTTTTTAATTATAAAAATTTAAAAACATATTCTATTTATTTAAAGACACTTTTAAAAAGTAATAATGTCTAATAAAGAAAAGCAAAATTATTTATTTCTTCCACAAAGAGAACACCATTATGTAAAAAATATTTCTTGTACTCATACGTATGAATGCGTACACACACACACACTACATAATTGTATTCATCTTAGGAAGTTCATGATTTGTTTTTCTTATTTTCTAGTAGCTAGCATAGGGCTCAGTATGTATGAAACAGTAACAAATATTTGTTGAGTCAATGAATGATCCCAAATCTATCCCCTTTTCCTCCATTTCCCCAGCTACCATGTTAAAATCATTCTTCCATGCTATTCTAATAATCTTCAGGTGGTCCCATTGCCTCTAGTTTCATTTCCCTTGAATTCATTCCCTGAATTGCTGTCACAGTTATATTATTATTATTATTATTATTATTATTTTTCGAGATGGAGTCTCGCTCTGTCGCCCAGGCAGGAGTGCAGTGGCATGATCTCCGCTCACTGCAAGCTCGGTCTCCCGGCTTCACGCCATTCTCCTGCCTCAGCCTCCCGAGTAGCTGGGACTACAGGCGCCTGCCACCATGCCAGGCTAATTTTTTGTATTTTTAGTAGAGACGGGATTTCATCGTGTTAGCCAGGATGGTCTCGATCTCCCGACCTCGTGATCCGCCCGCCTCGGCCTCCCAAAGTGCTGGGATTACAGGAGTGAGCCACCGCGCCTGGCCCACAGTTATATTATAAAATGAAAATCTTCCTACATTTTAATCATGAATCTTTGATGGCTTTTATTGCCTATGAAATAAAATGCAATTCCTCACCACTCAAGAGTTTTTCCAATTCAGTCCTAATCTGCTTTTCAGACCCGCCTTCTGTGATTCCTATCTCCACCCTCATCCTGTTTCAGGCATCAACCTAGTCACATTAGACCACTTACAGCTCTCAAAATACGCCACGGAGCCTCACTCTTGCACCTCTACTCATGCCCCTCCTTCGGACTGAAATATCCTGTCCCGGTCTTCCCCATCAGCCAATTATTTGATTCATCCTTCAAAGACAAACTAAACAAAAACAAAAACTCTTCTGTAATGTCTTCTTCAAACCCTTTCCCTATTTTCCAGACAAATTAATTGCTCTTTCTTGCATTTCCAGAGAAATAGTCCCTACAGTTACAACTACAGTTTTGTAAAACTGCAGATCCCCTGACCTCTTGCTCATAGAGATTCAGATTCAGTAGGACTCAGGTGGAGACAGAAATCTGCTTTTTGAGCAGCACACAACATCCCAGCCTAAGCAATGCTACTTCAGAGCCAGACTGAACTCTGGGTTGTTGAGCATTAAGCATTCTCCTTAAAGCCTGACTCAGAATCATGCTAGTAACAATCAGAAGTAGAGCATGTTGGGCTCCATACTTTCAGGTATTAGCAAAGCCAATCATTGTTTTTGATATGTTCTATAGGTATGCATCCTGGGGAAGTAAAATCAAGCTCTGCTTCTTCACGTTGTTCAAACTAGCAGGGAAACAGAGGGATGGAAAACATAAAGCAAGACAAAAGCACACTGTTAAATATAAACAAAAAAAGAAAGGAAAGGACATGTGGCACGTAAGTTGACCTCTAAGTTGCCTCTAGAATATTGCGCTCATGGAAAACAAGTGAGGAGGTAAACTAACACAATGGAAGTAGTTATGAGCGAATATAATTTGGAGCCATAAAGGGCCTTGGCTGGTCCCAATCATCACAACTGTTTTCCTAGAATGGCGTCAGTAGTTCTAACCAAGTCATTTTGAACCAAATTCTTAAGATTTTTCCCATTAACAAAGATATGTGACTCCTTTTGAAGATTTCAGTTCAAAGCAACTCTAAAATCCATCCGCTTCTCTCTTGGATACAATATGCTCATTCAATGAGTAAGTGCCCAGAGAAGAAAAGTGCATTAATAGAATCTTTAGAATGAACAGCTTTAGAGACAGAAAGACTGTTAAAAGATCTGCTAGACCATTCTTCTTAATCTTTTTTATAAGAGTACATGTGGAAAAATGATATTAGTATGGCATATTGGGGTAATGACATGAGACTGCTAGAAACTCAAAAAAGTGACTAGCAGGAGCTCAAGTAGTCCCAGACAACACCTAGGGATCAAAAAGATTAATACATCCTAGAACATCTATAATACATATTACTTGGGAAGATATAATTGATAAACTAATGCAATTCGAGATGAGAAAAAGCAAGCCCTACAGAGTGGCATGACACCCCAGAGGCTAACAGCGTCACTTAGTCGAAGTGCTAGCTTTGGGTTTTCACGTGCCTCTTAACAGTGATGCCAATCAATCTGCCATTGAAAGTTCATCCATTCTGACAATTGTTGGAATCATTTCAAGAGATCCACAATTCATTAAGGCACTCAGCATTGGTAACAAACTGAAAAAAATGGTATCTCCTACAAATATCTGTACTATTTTCCAACTGTATTTAAATGCAAGTTGGAAAAATAAAAGAAAAATTCATGTCTTAGGTCATTGAAAAAAAGTTAGATAAAATATTAAAAGCTCTTTTAAAATGAATGGAAGAGGCTCTCAGGAATTAAGTAAGAATCTAAATTTAGGGAAATAAGTGAGCACTGCAGCAACTGGGTTCCCTGGGAGTACCCACACATCCAGGCTGCCGGGAACTTTGCATTTTCAGAGAGCAGAGAGTTTCATTAGTGACCACCAGCACAGAAGCCATGCGCAGGAAGGTCAGCACATGGAAAAGAGTTCACTAGAACAACATAAGTAAACAAATGACCCCTCACACAGGAAGGCAGCAAGCAAAAGTGTCTGGCAAAGATTTGACTGTGGGAGAAAAGGCTCTCCTGAGAATCTGTACCACTGGAAAGTCCAGACATGAATTTAGGATCAAAATTTGCACTGTTTACATGGTAAGGAAAATTACAAGCTGAAAGTTTTCCTTTCTGGACTCATTTTAAACTAGTTCCAGACCTGTAATGTCTGCAGACATGTGGCAAAAAGAAACACAGATTTTCCCTAGAGAAATGAATCCACAACCTTGGTATTTATTAGAAAAGTGCAAAGGATTGTGTTTTATTGCGAATACAACTTCAGAATCAATTTTAAAAAATCACAAAATACATTTGAACTAAGCCATTGCATGCAAGTGTCACAGAAATAATAAACAACAGAAACTTGAATATTGGAAATGTACAAATATAGGGAATATATTATAAATTTTTTAGAAAAATTATGTGTTTAAGGAAAAAAATTTTTTAAACAAGAAAGAGGTAAAAATATGACTAATCAGCAAGAAATCAGGCAGAATTTGAGGGCAAAGTTCTCCTAGAAGTAAAAAGTATAATAATTAAAAGTAAAAATTCAATGTAAAGGTTAAATAACTTGGATACAATGGAGTAGAGAATTAATAAAATGGAATGTTCTTCTGCAAAAGAAGAAAAAGAATAAAGCAATAGAGATAAAAAGATGCAAAATATTTTAAAAGAGTTGAAGACACAAGAAGAATAGAGTGAGAAAGTCCAAAATATCTAATCAAAGTTTCAGAAGGAGAACCCGGCAAATTTAACCAAAAAAAAAAAGTAATATGACCATAATTAATATCAGTCAAAATATTCTTTAAAGGAAAAAAATACTAATAAGAGAACTCTATAAAAATAAAGAATATAATAAAAAGAGATCACATTTGCAAATTTACATTGTTTAATATCATAGCCTCAAAATAAATTGCATATAAATTTTAAAACCTATGGAGAAATTGACAAATCCACCAACACTGTGGGAAATTTTTAATACATATCTCTTAGCTATTAATGCATAAAGTAGGTAAGGAAAACCAATAGGATGCAAATAATTTGAACAATAAAATCAACAACTTTGATTTAGTTGATATACATATACAGACACTTGCATTTAGTAATTGGAAAATATACATTATTTTCCAACACACACAAAAAAACACTTGCAAAAATGGGCTGTGTCTTAAATTTTTCAAAGAACTGATATCATACAGAACACATGTTATGACCATAATGTAGTTACATTAGAAAATGTGGCAGGGATTCTGATTCTCCTTTCTGTGCTAGGCATACAGTTAAATCACATTTTCACCTTCCTTGTATTTATGAGACTTAGCTCTGTCCTTATGAATGTGGGCAGAAGTGACGCATGTACTTGCAGGCCTGACCACAGAATATCCTGTGAAATCTTCCATACTGTTCCTTCCTCTTCATCAAAAGCACACAGGGATACTTGTTGAGAATGTTGGCAATCTCAAAGGGAAGGAACTTGCTTTCTGTGTCATATATAGAAACATTTATGTTGGACTTCGAATGAATAAGAAATAAACTTGTATTGTGTTCAGCCCTCTCAAATTTGTTTTTTTTTTTTTTTACAGCTGAGAGCTTATCATGAAAACACATAAATTAAAATAATAGCTAAAAATAATTATTTCTGTTTGCAAATTTTTAAACACAATTCTGGTGATTCAGGAGTTAAAGAGAAAGGTATCATAAAAAATTTTAACTACCATAACTAAATAATAAATGAACCCGATGAAAGTTGGAAAAGGAAAATAATATCAAAAAGAACAGAAAGCTATGAAATAAAAAAAAAAAGTCAAGTACAGAAGCAATAAAATGAAGTGTTGGTATTTGGAAACATTGACAAACTGAACAAACCTCTGGTAAGATTGAATAAGGGAAAAAGTGATGAAGTAAAAATAAGCTACTAGGAATGAGAAGTGGGAGTACTGCAGGTATAACAGAGATTTTTAAATTAATAAGTGAATGCTTTAAAAATTAAAAGATAAGAGAGACACTGATTGCCCTTTGTTCTGGACTGTCTTATCAGGGATGTCTGTATAGTGAACAGCCTTAGACAATATGGTATCCTCCTCTGCAGCAAAGAGCAGTTTAATTTATTGTCTAATATAAAGAAGGTAGTGTCTCTTTCAGAGGAAAAGGCAGGTTTACTTACTGCCCAATATAAACAATTCAGTTTCCCCAAGTTCAGGGTTCTCCTATAATGCAACCCATTACAGTGTATATGCAGGCATCCATCTGAGCCCATCTGCATCACCCCCATGGGACTTAAGAGACAAGAACTGATGCTAATACAAAACTCACGCTGCTTGCTCTTCCTTAAGTAAAGTCCTTTATCTCTGACCCAGGAGTTCATGTCTTCTTCCAGCATCGTGGAACTCCATCCACGGAACTAACATGTTGGTTTCGTAAGTAGGGTAAAAATTTCAGCATCTTCACGGTTCTTGACCTTCACAACATGATTCTAAAATGTATATGGAAGAGCCAAGATAAACCAAGATCTTCTTATAGAGGAAGAACAAGTGCTAGAAAAGATGGACAATTCAATAATTAAGCTAGGACAAGTGTTATCCATGTGAGTATAAAATTAAATTGGATTGACTGGCGTGGTGGCTCACGCCTGTAATCCCAGCATTTTGGGAGGCCGAGGTGGGTGGATCACGAGGCCAAGAGATCAAGACCATCCTGGCCAATATGGTGAAACCCGGTCTCTACTAAAAATACAAAAATTAGCTGGGCGTGGTGGCAGGCACCTGTAGTCCCAGCTACTTGGGAGGCTGAGGCAGGAGAATCTCTTGAATCCGGGAGCTGGAGGTTGTGGTGAGCCAAGATCATGCCATTGCACTCCAGCCAGCGACAGAAGGAAACTCCATCTTAAAAAAAAAAAAAAATTAAATGAAATTGGATTGCTACTTCATACCCCATAAGAAATTAATTTCAGATGGAGTACAGTCTTGAATGTGAAAGAGGAAAATTTTGTAAGTTTTGGAAGAAAATAGAATAGAATATGTCTATGACTTCAGGTTAGGAAAGACAGAAAAAGCATCAACCATAAAGTAAAAGATTGATATACTCAAACACATAAAAGGTTAAACTTTTGTTTCACCCAGGAATTTTTTTAACTGTTAAAACAAAGTTGAAAAGGCAAACCAGAATCTGAACGAAGATTTTTGCCACACAAATAGCTAACAAAGGATCAGTAACCAGACTATTTATCAATTCCTTAAAAAATCAAGATGAAGATGGCAAATAACCCAATAGAAAAATAGACAAAAATAGGAACAGATATATTTTGGAAGAGAAAATATGAATGAATGTCCCAATAAACATTGGAAAAGAACATGATGTCATTTTAGTAACCAGAGAGATACAAATGAAACCACAATATACCAGTTCATGCCCACATGGATGGTAACAACACTAGAGTCTAACCTACTCTCCAGGTGAGAAAATAAATTGGTACAATCATTACTATCTATGATTTTAACTCCTAGGTTAATTCTCTAGAAAAGCTTTTGCACAAGTTTCCAAGAAACATGTACAAGAGTGTTGGTAGCAGCATTGCTTGCAAAGTCAAAGACCAAATGTCTGTCAATAAGATATTGGATTGTTAAATGTGATAGAGCATATTCATAGAATGGAGAACTAAACTGTAGTGAAAAATGAGTAAACTACAGCTACATATTACATGGATGGATTTTAAATTTTTTTTTTCAGTGAAAAAAAGTTGCTGAAGAATACTTAAAATATGTATCAGTGGGTATTTCTGGGGAGAGACAAGGAAACAGCAGTAGATGCAATGGGACAGATAATGATCTTCAATAGCATAATAATATTCTATTTCTTAAGTTGAGCAATGCTTTCAAAAGTATTCATTTTAAAATTATACTTTGTAACTTACATATAACTCTCATATTTTCATAATAAAATGGGGAAAAGAGACCATTAGAAAAGAAAACTATTTCTAAATACATAGGCTATTTACTAAATAAGCAAGTTTTTAACTTCTGTAATTTCTTAGTAAACTTGGTAAAGGACAAACTCTTAAGTGAAAAATTCTTCTATTTCTGTTGTCTGAGGGACAGAGTTAAATTTATCTGGGCCTTTCTTCACACAGAGGGCATTTTCTTTTTTCTCTTTTCTTTTTTTTTGAGACGGAGTCTCGCTCTGTCGCCCAGGCTGGAGTGCAGTGGCGCAATCTTGGCTCACTGGAAACTCCGCCTCCTGGGTTCATGCCATTCTCTTGCCTCAGCCTCCCGAGTAGCTGGGACTAAAGGCACCCGCCACCACGCCCGGCTATCTTTTTGTATTTTTAGTAGAGACGGGGTTTCACCGTGTTAGCCAGGATGGTCTCTGTCTCCTGACCTCGTGATCCGCCCTCCTCGGCCTCCCAAAGTGCTGGGATTACAGGCGTGAGCCACGGCGCCCGGCCACAGAGGGCATTTTCAGTTGCTGTACCTTATTGCAGGCGGGGGCATGCATAAGGAAAGACTTGGCTGTTGGGAGGGGCGTGTCTTACACCTTAGGAAGAATCCTTAGCTTTACTTTCCTGTCTCTCCTGGAGCTCCCTCCTACCCCCTAGCTGAGTAGGCCAGGTTTTGGTGCAAAATCTCCCACATTGGCAAAGTTCCTGCATATGCTGCGCAGTATGTGCCTTGAATAAAAATCCTGAAGATTAGATGGTTCAGGCTGCATCATCCCAAAGCAAAGAGCACCTCTTTGAAGCTCACCTGCCCTGAGAGAGGCCTTTCGACTAATGGTTGATGGTATCTGTGCTTACTTTACCATAGCTCCAATTACAGGATATTGTAATTATGAGATAACTGATCTGTATTGTTTTCTAAAATTAATCCGTATCCCTGATTTGCAAGAGATCAGAGACTGGATGTTATTCACTTTTGTGTGCCCAGTGTGTATAGTGTCTGGCACAGAGTATGTAAAGGATTTTTGTCTAGAGGAGTTGAGAGACAGTACTTACAGATTTTATACTTCAATCCTAGGTTTCCAGAATGTTTCCAGAGATTCATGGCTTCTTCGTAAATTTTCTGCACACAGGAAGTAGAATCTGCCTCAGAATCAGCTAAATTTGTTATTCAGGTCTTTCTCTTTCCTTTGCTAATGGCTTCATTCCTAAAACATATTCATTTGTTTTCACAGCAAGTACAAACTTCGCACCCAGTGTGCATAAGGTAACAGGCACGCCAGTAGGAATAAGAGACATGTCGGCCTTCAAGGAGTTTTAAATTTAATGGAGAAATATTAATTCCCCATTAATATTAATATGAAGTTTAGACCCTCATTTAAAGACCCTCATGTAAAGGGCAGATACTGTAATGCCAGACTGTCTGGGTTTGAGTTGTGGCAACATCGCTCATGAGCTGTGTAACCGAAGGCAAGGAAAATTACTTTGTTTTGTTTGTCTCTGTTTCCTTACCTATACAATGTAGATGATAACAGTGTTTATCTGGAGTGTTGTGAAAACGAAAGAGTCAATGTACAAGAAACACCAAGAACAGTCCATGACACATCATAAGTGGTATAGAAATCATAGCTGCTACAATGAAGAAAACAGCTTGATGGGAATGGTGATGGTGGTGATGATGATGGTGGTGATGATGATGCTTCCCTCTATAGATAGTCATCCTTCAGTATCCACAGGGATGATTCCAGGACTCCTTCCCCCACTTGTATAATAAATCCATATATGTTCAAGTCTCTTATGGTGTACTATTTGCATATTACCTATGCACATTCTCTTGTATACTTTAAATTATCTCTAGATTACTTATAATACCTAATACAATGTTAATACTTAAAAACAGTTGTATTGGTTTTGTGTTTTTTTAAATCGTTATATTGCCTTTTTTTATTTTTTAAATGTATTTTTGATCCAGGGTTGGTTGTGGATTTGTGGATACTGAACCCACAAATTCAGAGAGCCAACTGCATACATATTTCCCTGTCCTTAGAATCAACCGGGATCTTCTGATTATTTGCACAATAGTCCCAGAGCCCCAGTATTCTAGTCAATAAATTATCAGAATGAACTGTGGAGATTTTTTATAACATATCCTCACCCACCAATTTGTTCCAGAAATCCCAAACTCAGAATTCCCTTGAGCTGTCTCATCAGTTAGCTAATGGGTCCGTGCACAAAAGGATGAAAAGTAAAAAGGGAAAAACAGGAGATATTAATAACATTTTACAATTGTTATGGTATAAAAATATCATAACATCAAATTTAAGCCAAAAAATAAAACAAAAAGGAAAACAGCAAAAGAGAAAAAGAGGGAAGAAAGTATTAGAGTAATTAATGAAAGTACAAATGCAATACCTACGAGACAGAAGTTTCATGTATAGATAGATTCACAGATTTCATTTGTAAAAGTGCTGGATACAATTGATCCCTTCACAAACATTCTCCTCTAGCTCATGACACAGTTTGATTAAAACCAGGAACAGTTTTTAGCCCCATGATCTTTGCTGCTTATAGTCATAAGGAATTGCAACCTAGCTTGGTACCTAAATAAACTGAAAGCCTGATTTAGTAGTATATTCTTTTGTAACAAATGGCTGAGTCTCAGCCATCACAGAAGCTGAGCTTCAGCCAATCTCAGATTGATACCTGATCAGACCATGCACAAATACAGCAAACTGAGAGCTGTAACTAATCTAGCTATTTCTGTACCTCACTTCTTTTTCTCTATCTGTAAATATTGCCTGTCCACATTGTCGAGCAGAGTTCTCTGAACCTCTTCTGGTTCTGAGTGTTTTCCTATTAGAGAATTGTTCTTTGTTCAATTAAACTCTGTTAAATGTAATCTGTCCAAAGTTTTTCTTTTAATAGAATGGACTACTGTATAGTAAATAGGCAAAACTGAAATAATCCTTTTGAAAGAAGACATTTTCCAACAGTCAAATAGCAACACTAAATTCATTCAGGTTCTCAGAGGTACATTTGCAATCAAGTCATTTAGATGCTTTCAAAGGAAAAAAGTGATCTTAAAACTGAGATATTTTAAGAAGAAAACCAGGACATTTCCTTTGCCTCACTCCGTTTTCTCTAATCCTTATAGAAGCTTGTTTTCTTCCCCACTCCCCCGCCACCCCATGCACCTTATTGCCAAAATGTCAGTGCATACTTATTTGTTAATCATACTCCTTCCTCTTACTAATACCACCCAATTCCTTCCTTTCCCATCTGGCCTTGCTTCTTCAAGAAGAAAAACTTTCTTGAGACACTCCTCCCCCTTTTTAATGTAAATCAATCAAACTTGCCCAGCTTCTTTGAAATCTGCAGTTCTCCTCATTACCCTTATCAGATCAACAAAAACCACAGGCTTTTTTGTCAGCTGCCCAAGGCTCACAAAACTCCAAGCTCTTTAAGAACTGGCAGTCAAAGGGAAAGTTGTGAATATTTAAAATGTTTTCTTTTAATGCAAGTCACATGCTCTTACACAACTGTATTCTCAATTGGACTATGAATTTCTTGAAAACAGGAACCATATTTTCCTCATTTTTATAAATGCCTGCCATAGGTATGCCCTAAAGAGGCCTCTTGAGCCCCAACTGCATGTACTCCCTACTGCATGTACCATCTATGGGCATTTCAGCATTTTATTTAGAAGGAGCCTAGAAGGAAATTTGAGGGAAGAGGGTCTAGGTGGGAAACTAGTCCTGAAGCAACACTCATATGGCAAGGAGACTATGTTCTCTTAGATTGCATGTTTATTCCATTTATTCATTCTTCCATTTATAAAAAATATTGCCCGGGTGTGGTGGCTCACGCCTGTAATCCCAGCAGTTTGGGAGGCTGAGGTGGGCAGATCACGAGGTCAAGAGACCGAGACCATCCTGGCCAACATGGTGAAACCCCGTCTCTACTAAAAATATAAAAATTAGCTGGGCGTGGTGGTGCACGCCTGTAGTCCTAGCTACTCGGGAGGCTGAGGCAGGAGAATCACTTGAATCCAGGAGGCGGAGGTTGCAGTGAGCCAAGATTGCACCACTGCACTCCAGCCTGACAACAGAGCGAGACTCTATCTCAAAAACAAAACAAAACAAGACAAAAAGTCAATTACATGTCAACTATGTGTCAGACACTATTCTTGGTGCTAGGGAATTAACCAGAGAACAAAACAGGCAATGATCCATACTTTCATTAATATGACATTAATATGTTAGATAGTGATAAGCATTATGAAGAAAAATAATTCAGGGAAGAATAGTGAGTTCTGGGGTGGAGGGTTTTGATTTTTTAAAGTGGAAAGTCAAGAAATGCACCACGGAGAAGGTGGCATTGAGTGAAAACCTCAAAGTGGTTTGAGAGAAAGTGGTGCAGATATGCGGACAGCGCTTCAGGCAGAGAAAATAACCTGGGATGTCTGAGAAAAGCAAAGAAGCTGGGGCTACTGCAGTAAGAGCAAGAGAGTTAAGAATAGGTGTAGCCAGAGAGTTATCAGAATATAAGATTGCATAGGGCATTTTTAGGCCAATATAAGGACTGGCATTTTTAGGTCATGATGAGAACTGGCATTTACTCTGCCTAAAATAGGAAACCACTGGAGCATTTTGAGCAGAGGAGTTGAACTGTCTGATTTAAAATTTTAAAAGGTTCTGGCTACCTTGTGAGAAGAGACTGAAGTAAGATATGCATGGAAGTAGGTCATCAGTTATTAGGTTATTGCAATAATCTAGGCAAGAGAGATGGATCAGGGTGATAACAGTAAACTTCATGAGAGCATTTCAGTTGCAAATATATTCCAGATTTGCTGACCAGATTTGATAAGGAATATAGAAAAAGAGGAAAGAACAAGAGATAACAGAGTGTAGGCAGAAAAGAGAAAAGGTTCAAAGACTGAGCCCTGCAGTATTTCAACATTAAGAGCTTGAATTGCAGAATAGGAACCATCTCAAGGCTTTAAATACAAGTGCTGAACACTCTCAAATTTATATTTGTATCCCAGACTTCTCTAAAATTCAAGTTCTAAAATCCAGTTGGTTACTTTATGTCTCCACTTGGAAACAAGTCTTGAAGCAGTACTCATATAGCAAGCAGACTATGTTCTCTTATATTGTTTTTCCATTTATTCATTTCTCAATGATGTCCCATTTAGACATCTCAAAATTAATGTTCAAATTTGAATTTCTGACATTCTCTTCAAAACTCAATCTTTTTAGAGTCTTCCAAATCTCAGAGAATAGCAACTCTGTCCTTCCCATTGCTCAGGTCCCCAAACTTGCAGTCATTCTCCCTCTCACATCCTAATATCCAATCCATCAGCAAATCCTATTGGTTCTGCCTTCCAGAATCTGACCACATCTCACCACCTACACATGCATCAGTGCACGTAGAACCAAGCCACCCTCTATCTTTCCTAGATTATCACATAGCTTTCTAAATGGTCTCCTTGCTTCTCTCCTTGTCTTACTGTGATCCATTCTCCACAAAGCAAACACAGTGGTCCTGTTAGGACAGGAAGTTGTATTGTCTTTTCTCTGTGCAAAACTCTCTCACAGCTTCCTATCTCAGGTAGAGCAAAAGCAAAGTACTATGGCTGATGGGCCTGTGCTACCTCCTAACTTCTCTCTCCCTTACATGGCTCTAGTTACACTAGCCTCTTCACTTCCTTCAAATATACCTAACTATATCCCCACCTCAAGGCCTTTGTAACTGCTCATTCTGCCTGAGATATTCTTCCCTTAATAAATCCTCATGGCTTGCTTCTGCATTTCCTTCAGGTCTTTACTTACATGCCACCTTCTAAGTGAGGCCTTCCTTGGTCATCCTATCTAAATCACAATTTCTCCCCAAACAATGCTGCCTGGCTTCTCTACTATTTTTTCTTAGTATAATACTTCTTATTCTCTAACATACAGTACACTTCACTAGTTTTTCTTGTCCAGTGCCTGTTTCTCCCACTAGAAGATAAGCTCCATTGGAATGGAAAGTTTTAAAATTGTACTTACTTTTTTTTTTTTTTGAGATGGAGTTTCGCGTTTCGCTCTTGTTGCCCAGGCTGGAGTGCAATGGCACGATCTTGGCTCACCGCAACATCCGCTTCCTGGGTTTAAGCGATTCTCCTGCCTGGGATTACAGGCATGTGCCACCACGCCCGGCTAATTTTGTACTTTTAGCAGAGGCAGGGTTTCTCTATGTTAGTCAGGCTGGTCTTAAACTCCCGATCTCAGGTGATCCGCCCCCCTCAGCCTCCCAAAGTGCTTGGATTACAGGCGTGAGCCACCGTGCCCGGCCCAAAACTGTACTTACCTCTCAACACCTAGAGCTGTCATATACCTGGTATATGACAGTTGCTTAATAAATACTTATTGAATGAATACACTGAGAAAAAGTAGAGGAGGAAAACCAGGAGTATATATTCTTTTGGACTCAAGGAATAAAATGTTTCAAGTAAAATGAAATATTGATGATGCATTTTTAACTTAAAATGTTCATGTTTATTTTGAGAGGCAATGAAGCTTTGTTTTTGGAGCATGTACACCATTTCAGTTTCAAGAGGACTAATATAAAATAACGGAGCTAAAGGTCTCAAAACCACCATCCCTTCTTGCCCTACCACTGCAGATCAGGGAATCAGGTGATAAGAATGAAGAATGGATGATTGAGCCAAGAGTGAGAGAAAAAACTAATATACATTGCATTCCTGCTATATGCCAAGCGTTATGCTGCATTATCCAACAAATATTGCCACATGCCTACCATATGCCAGAACTATTTTAAACACTGGGGTTACAAAGTGACTCCATCTACTAAAGAATAAAACATTAGAGCACTGGTTCTCTCCACTAATCAACCATCATAGCCTTGGAAGTGAACTACCCCAAATCTCGCATCGTCAGAATTATTACTGTTTTATACACCAGTGTTTGTTTCTCTTTTATCTCTAAGTATGTTCAAGTTTCTGCTTCTGAAACACACACACACATACACACACACACACAAACTCACATATGCTTGTAGAACTTGCTTTCCCTTCTAGAAATTGAACTCTCTCTCTCTCCTCAGTTCACAGCCAGTCCTTTCAAATACATAGTTGCCATTTGCCGCATGCACTTCCCATCCACTCATTCTTATCTTAAATCCCTTCTATTTGGATTCTGTTACCACCACATTACAGAAGTGTCTCTAAATTCTGCCGATGACCTACTTCTTGCCAAATCAAGTGACCTTTTCTCATGTGTCTTTCTCTGTGACTTTTGTGCAGATCTTGGCAGTGCCTAAAAATTCTCTTTTCTTTTGAACTTTGCTCTTCCGTTTCTGTTCCAGTGTCTTTCTTTTTCTTATTCATTCATTCATTTATTCAACAAACTTACTAGGCGCTGAATGTTTTACTCTCAAATTGCAGCATACTTTAATGAGAAAAAGCAGGTGGATTTGGATTCTAGCAAACTACATGGAAAACCAATGGATTAGTGGAAGTTTGGATGGTAAGCATAAAATTAGAATAAAGAGATTTATACAACTCATATTTTGTAAATGATATCAGGTTCTAATTCATCAATATATCATGTCCATATTAGTATACGCTTATCAAATATTCCAGGTTCTTCACTGTTTATTGCTGGGTGCCTTATTTCTCAGCAATCTCTCCTCTGAGCTACACAAGCTTTATTTATATTAATAATATCACAAATCAAGTTACATCAATATCTTTCTCAGTTAAGGAACCATTCTATTTTTTCTCTGTGTGTGACCTTTAACATGTGACTTAATCTCTCACTGCCTCATCTGCAAATGGGGTTTAAGCCATTTTTATTTAAGGTGACTGATATTGTTTGGCTGTGTCCCCACCCAAATCTCATCTTGAATTGTAGCTCCCATAATTCCCATGTGTTGTGGGAGGGACCCGGTGGAAATAATTGAATCATGGGGACAGCTTCCCCCATACTGTTCTCATGGTAGTGAATAAATCTCATGAGATCTAATGATTTTATAAGAGGCTTCCCCTTCTGTGTGGCTCCCATTCTCTCTTACCTGCCACCATGTAAGACATCCCTTGCTCTTCTACCATGAGTGTGAGGTCTCCCCAGCCACGTGGAACTGTGAGTCCGTTAAACCTCTTTTTCTTTATAAATTACCCAGTCTCTGGTATGTCTTTATCAGCAGCATGAGAATAGACTAATACAGTGACTTTACATATTTTGATAACATCTTTTCATAATTTTATATGAAAGTTAAAGTTTTTCATGCTAATAACAATAATGGCTAACATTTGTTACTCAATATATACCAGGCATTATGATAAGTACTAAGCAATGCAACAGCCTTGGACTGTTAATAATGTGCTTGTTCGTCTTTTATAGTCATGCTGCAGATGCTCTGGCATGTGATACATTGCTGTGAGATCTAGGCTCTGTCACTAAATTTCTTGACTATATACTCTTTTTTATTTTTATTTTTTTGAGAGGGAGTCTCACTGTGTCACCTAGGCTAGAGTGCTGTGGTGCAATCTTGGCTCACTGCAACCTCGGACTCCTGGGTTCAAGCGATTCTCCTGCCTCAGCCTCCCGGGTAGCTAAGATTATGGCACCCACCACCATGACCAGCTAATTTTGGTATTTTAGTGGAGACAGGGTTTCACCATGTTGGTCAGGCTGGTCTTAAACTCCTGACCTCAAATGATCCACCCTCCTCAGCCTCCCAAAGTGTTGGGATTACAGGTGTGAGCCACTGCACCCAGCTGTATATACGTTTTTGTTTGTTTGTTTTCTGTTTTTTGTTTTTTTGGAGACGGAGTCTTGCTCTGTCGCCCAGGCTGGAGTGCAGTGGCGCAATCTTGGCTCACTGCAAGCTCCGCCTCCCGGGTTCACGCCATTCTCCTGCCTCAGCCTCCCGAGTAGCTGCTGGAATTACAGGCGCCCGCCACCATGCCCGGATAATTTTTTTGTATTTTCAGTAGAGACGGGGTTTCATCGTGTTAGCCACGATGGTCTCAATCTCCTGACCTCGTGATCCGCCCATCTCGGCCTCCCAAAGTACTGGGATTACAGGCGTGAGCCACCGCGCCTGGCCTGTATATACTCTTTTTTGAACAAACAGCTTCATGTTTTCTTTATTGAACTTTTTAACTTAATTAGGTCATGCTAAATTTGTATGTAAGAGAAGGACGAGATTTTCTTGCAGGTGAGAAAACTTAAAAAGTTTCAGTATTTTGAATCTGTACTATATAGGAAAACTATAGCCTGGCTCTAATTGTGAAAGGAAATGTGACAAAGTTCTGGATAAGTGTTGGGATTATGCAAGCAAAGGAAAAAAGTGACTTGCGGTTTGCTTTGGCAGCTTGTTTCTTAATATTCCTGTATTTGAAACTTTCTTTCCAAGTTCCCAACCCTATTACATTAGCTCATGTCCTCGACAAGCTGGTCATCAGCCTCTGCTTATCCCTTCTTCTTCCCAGCTTATCTTAAGGCTCGATTTAAGAGCTTAGAAGGAAATACTTCGGTAAAAGAAATAAATTTACAAAGAAAGACAGGTATAACATGGGGCTTTCATATGAACAAATTATTTGGATGGAGTTAGATTTAATTCTCATTGTTGGCAGTGAAGGTGGTAAGTGTGTTTGTGATGGTGTGGTACATGGGCCAGGAAAGGAAGGAGAGGTCTGCACAGCAAATGGCTTCCATTTGTTTATGTTAGGCATTTTAATCACTTTAGTATTTGCACAGCTGAAGGAAAGGAAAGCACCCTGAGAATAGACATCATGAGGAACTCTAGAAGTTTGCAAACAAGAAAAACATGAGTTGGAAAAGAGCCACAAATATTATAAGTAAAAAGCACCTCACCCCAAATAAACCTAATATTAGGATGTTAAATTCCAGAGGAAATTAGTAAGGAGAATTTTCTGACAATTCTCAACTCTGCTTCATTTTTGTTATATAGATATCAATGCAGAGGTATTTAGAGAAGATGAAGGAAACAGAGATGTCTGCACAATATGGTGAAAAAAACAAAAGCCTTCAGATCAGACAGAACCAATTTGTAATTCCGTCTCTGTAACATACAAGTATGACGCTTTGGGGGTTTTACTTACTCTCTCAGAACTTCAGTTTTCTTATCTGTAAAACAGGGCTAACCGTGCCTAGCAAACATTAACTGAATAGTGGTTGGAATTTTTCCTCTTAACACTCTTGTTACCCTTAGGCCTTTATGGTAATGAGACCAGTTGAAAACTCATCTGTCTTTTTTGTGCTGTCCCACATTAGCTGGTAGAATGATTACCCCGTCAATGCCTATTCCTATTCTGCCCTTGCTATGGCCTGCTAAGGAGGTCAGTTATAGGCTGGATCCTCCTCAGTGTAGGAAAATAGAAACCATGGAAGACACAGCAGGCCAATTATGCATCAAGAATGAAGCACAGAGTATTTTGCACAAACCGAAGGCCATGCTTCCATAGACAATCTCACCAAAGGTGAGTTGTTTACACCACCTTTGTTATATTTTCAAACAGATTCCTTCCTCCCAGAGTTAGCACTGTAACTGAGGCCCTGAAGGCTGGTAAAGAACTGATTGTCCCCTCAGACTGGTCACTCAACACTGGTCTGGCAGCTGTCCTGTTTGGGTTATGTGTGCCTCAGTCCAGAGCCGAGCCTCAATAATGGCAATGTTTTGTCTGCCCACCTAGCAAACGGTGAGTTCCCACATTCTGCCTACCTCCCCAATCCTCCCCTAATCTCTAACTGCCCACAGCCACCTAATATAGACTGTCAATGGGACAAGAGAAACACAGAATTAAAAAACAAGTGCTCAATTAGAGGAAGGTCGATGTAGACTTTGTTTACCAGTTGGCTAAAGTGCTCATGTTTACCACTGGCTGAATAAGGTTGCCTTTCATGAGTCCTCATGATGTGGATTTTTGTTAGGTAGCAATATAGCAATAAAAGTCACTTTATTTAATCTTTTTTTCTCTTTTGGCAAGTGGTGAAGGAGTTGGAAATGCAACTGTGGCCAGCCCCGGCAGTGGAAATAGTTTGGTTATAGAGGTGTTGAAAATCTCTGTCAAAAACTTCTTTCTCACTAGCCTCCTAAGGCACAAGTTTCTGCCATTAGAATCCTATTATTTTGCCTGTAAGAAAAGATTGTATCTTCTGTCTTTAGCACCAGTTATTTTAAAATACTTCGGGCCTTGAAAGAAAGATAAAGTACTACTCTGCTTAAACTGGGGTGAAGGAGAAGCTTCAAGGGAAGGAATGAGTAGTAGGGCAAGGGTAGGAATCGAGTCTCTGGGGGTAGGAGACATCCTTTTCTAGTCTATAGTGTGTGTGTGTGGTCATGGGGTGGGAGGGTGTGAGCTGAGGACAAACGATGATCTCAGTATGACGAATTTGGGCTGAATTTTAATTTTGTCTAGTACCAGATCTCTGTGCAGATGAAATAGAAATCGATTAACTGTGACTTGATTTAAAATTAAAAGGCATTGGCTTTCAGTATGGACCACCTGAAAATGCTTTGTAAATAACCATTAAAGTTCTGTTTAAAGTTCACCATTTGTGCTGTGAAGCACATGGATAGCATATCCCATCTTAAGACTGCAACATCAGTGACTTGTTCTTTCTTCTTTTTCAGAACAGATAATAACTCAGAGACCAGAATGAACTTATAAAATAAGGCAAGAGAATTTTAAGTACAATCTATTTGAAAAATAGACAAAAAGGTGTAAGACCTTATATTCACTAAAACTTTTACAATCTTTTAAAATACAGTATCTATTTTCATTTTGGAAACCAAAATTAATATAACAATGATTATCTGTTGAGGACACCATTTCAACCTTTAGAACTGTATGTAACATAAAGTTGGAAACATATGAAGATGATCAAATAGGAAAACCAGAACTCTCTTAATCTTTGGTTTTTTTAACTGAATAATGCAGTTGATTACTCTAAAATTCTAAATCCTACCATATTGCAGAAATAATAATAGCAAAAGGAAAAAAATCATTTATTAAATTTTTACTAAGTATAAGGAATTTCTAAATTGTCCCATGTAAAATGTCCATGACTTTATGTGATAGATACTGTAATCACCATTTTACAGATGAGAAAACAGAGTTTAAAAGACTTGTCTAATAGCATACTATGGTAAAGGCTACAGCCAGGAACATACGGGCACTCAAGGGATTTTGAGAGGGAATTTAAATTTATTTGCTTTGGCAAAATTGTTTCTCATTTGATACCTAATTATACTTTCAATGCAAATGGTTTGTTTAGAAACAATTGCAATAGGTTAGCTAGATTAGCTTAAACCTGCTATCTACAACCTTTAGCTTTCTCTTTTTTTTTTTTTTTAAACAAGGTCTGGTCTTGCCCGGGCTGGAGTGCGGTGGCTTGATCATGGATTACTGCAAACTCTACCTCCTGGACTCAAGCAATCTTCCCACCCCAGCCTTTGGAGTAGCTGAGATTATAGGTGCATGCCACTCACCTGGCTAATTTTTGGGTTTTTTGTTTTTGTTTTTGCTTTTTTGGTAGAGGCAGAGTTTTGCTAGCTGGCCTAGGCTGGTCTCAAACTCCTGGGCTCAAGCGATCCACCCACCTTGGCCTCCCAAAGTGCTGTGATTTACAACCTTAAACTTTCAATCCTATGATCAGGCACCAAAATGTATAACCGATTTCAATCTTATAAAATACAATTCCTCCCACAAATAGCCACCACCTTTGTACATTCAAGCGACTGTTCATTTGAATTCCAAACTCATGCCAAACCTTTAATGCATTCTGCAGTTAATCTCCAACCTACTCATTTATTCATTCATTCAATGAATATTGAGTGCTTACCATATGCCAGATACAATTCCAACTGCTGAAGATACAAAGCCCAAGCCATTATAGGATTCATAGTTTAGTAGAAAAAAGAGATATCACATAAATAGATGCAACCTCTACCTCCTGGACTCAAGCAATCTTCCCACCCCAGCCTTCAGAGTAGCTGGGATTACAGGTGCTAGTAAAACTGTTGAGGACGCCATTTCAACCTTTAGAATTGTACATAACATAAACTTTTGCTAGATAGATAGATAGATAGATAGATAGATAGATAGATAGATAGATAGATAGATAGAATAATGTTGGCATGTTCTTAGTGAAAAAACTGAGTTGTCACTCAGCAACAATTATTTCTTTGTTAGTAAGTTATGTATGAATTTTAATTGGGCTCATGACCACCTAGAATAGAAGCTACACTTCCCAACCTTTCTTGAGTTATGTACGGCTATATGGCTAAGTTCTGCCCAATGGGATGTAAACAGAAGTATGAACAAAATATCAGACATGTTCTGAAAAGAAGACAGTGTTCCCTTCTCATTTTTTTTTCTTTTTCCTGCTGGTTGAAATATATGCATGCTGACTGGAGCTGGGGCAGCCAATTAGGCCCAAGGGGTCTGCATTTTAGGGATAGTGGAGCAAAAAGTTAGAGGGTAACTGAGCCCTTGATAATTATGTCAGTCATGCAAACCCTCAATTACTTACTTCTAGACTAAGCTTACCTGTGAGAGAAACATCTTCCATCTTTTTACAGTTCTGTTTTGGGGGGGTTTCTGTCACTCCCATTTGACTTTTATCTTAACTAATAGAAAAATATAAAGAAAATGAAGCAGAGTAAGGGACTAGAGAGTGGCACAGTGTGATATTTTAGACAAGGTGATAAGGGAAGGATTTTATGAGGGATTGTTATCTGAGCAGAGTCCTGAATGCATGACTGTGCCATGTGAGTAGAGGGAAAGTATGGAAGGGGGAAATAGTAAAAGGAATACAGTATCTATTTTCATTTTGGAAACCAAAATTAACATAATGATTATCTGTTGAGGACACCATTTCAACCAGGGAAAGGGGGAAATAGTAAAAGGAAAGGGGGAAACAGTAAAAGGAAAAGCCCAGAGATGAGAGCACGTTTTTGTGTCCAGGGACCATCAAGGAGGCCAAACCTTTTGACAGGCAAACCTTTCAAATCTTGTCAGGCCTGCAAATGAAAATCCTTGACCCTAGACATTGTAAAGACTGGTCAACTTTGCAGGGACTGGTCTCTGTAGGCCCTTCAAAAAGCATGACCCAGTTATGAGTCTCAGCTTTTACCCAGCTTCATGGCTTATCCTCTAATGGTTCATTTCAAAATGCTTCCTGAGTTCACTATTCAAATACTACATACTTTTCTCAACCTAGCATGAGTTCTCACTACAGCTTAAGAACTGGCTCTATTGATCCACCCCACATTACTTCCTTTCTTCTTGAGTCTACATAGATATTACTGCCTATATTGTTCATTTTAATTATGAAAAATCTATCATTCTGTTCTGATTCATGCATGTGTCTCTTGCCACCTCAATTAACATGTAACATAAGAGCTAGATGTTTAAAAGTGTTTAAAATCCCTTTTGGCTACTATCTGTTCAACAGAAAGTGCTCACTAAAAACTTTCTGCATGTCCAATGAACGTTTCATTTAACCATCTCACAAACTAGAAACACAATGGAGAGAGCCTAATCTTTCCCTGTTCCTCCCTTTCGCCAGGAAGATATGAGTAGCTAAAGTATTTGGTGCTATATATAGCCAGTTGATGTCAGCTGAATGCCAGTCTCTTCAGAAAAGCTCAGTCCCCAGTTTGAGTCAGAGTAGGGACCATGCTGTCCCAGGTTCAAGGATAAAAACCATCAGGCCCAAGTGCCATCCATAGTCCATCTCCAGAGTCTTCCTCCACAAACTGGGATTCATCCCCGCTGAAAAAGCACAATCTAACAGCAAGGTGAGTATGTTGTTTCCTAAAATGTTTCATTAGTCAGTTGTCCAAGGATATTCAGAGTTGTGACTCATAAATGGGCATTCTCTGCTTTAAAGGGCAGCTGTTGCCAATATTAAAATGCTACCACCAAAGAATTCTGGTTTAGTCTAGTGTCTTCTTCATTCTTACAGTTTGCTGGAATTGATGGAGTGTGATGCTGGTACAAATGAAGGCCAGTGAGGAGACAATGACAGACTAAAATACTGTGGAGAAAAGAGAGGGAGGGGAAAGGAGACCAGCAATTTCATTGTTTCTCACTGCCTGATGATCATTGTATTAATGTCCAGACTGGGTCTCTGTTCACTGTGACATTGCCTGTCAATGAATAACATACTCTGTCACCAGATAAGGAATGCGTATTGAAGTCTTTCAGTAGCAAGCGATAATAACTTTTTAATAAAGAACAAAGATGTTGTCTTTCAAAACAGTGATTATAAGACACTCCAAATGAGTTCTTCACATTGCCTCAATAATGTCCCTTTGTTTTTAACAGGGAACAAAAAAACCATGCTATCACATAATACTATGATGAAGCAGAGAAAACAGCAAGCAACAGCCATCATGAAGGAAGTCCATGGAAATGGTATCAATAAAAATCCTTCGTAGCATTAATATAGCACAGCATGAATGTGGCTCCATCCTGACGTTGTTTAATATTCCATAGTTTACTTCCTTTAGATTCTTGCTGTTCTGTCATAACAAACCTGGAGCTCTAGGGGGTGTAGAAAAGCCTATGGTAACTAATCCTTTTGTAGTCATCCTTTCTCATTTGGAAGCTATTTTCAGAGGAACAACTGCTGTAAAAGGCATGAAGCAATCTGACAGCTGATGTACATTCTGCTTGGCTTGCCTTCCACATTATAAGTTAAGATCACTCTCGATTCTTTTTTTTTTCTGGACAAGTCTCATACAATCTTGTCTTTATTGTCCATCCCACATGGTTTAGCTTGATTTCTTTTACCTTACATTATATAAATCACTCAAAATAAGTTCTATCATCTTTTTTATCAAGCTATTAAGTTGGAATTCATATTTATTGCTTATTATTTAACTCCATTTCTATTGCTTATTTATTTAACCCTTCATATTTGTTAATTGATTTACTAACATATTTTGTGTGCAAAGTCTACTTTTATTTGTAACTTCTGAGAAAATATAAAGTTATTGTAGTCTCAAAGCATATGACTCAAAAAAATTTTAATATATATTACGTGCAAGGTAATATTTCACTCTCTCCTTTTCTTTAAATTCTAGCAACTAACTTGAGAAAGCAATGCTTTATAACTTGCATTTTGATTCTTATAAAGGAAATTCAACTTTGTTTATAAGCAACGTATAGCATCAGTTTTAAATGTTAAGAAAAATATTCAGGTCCTCTTAGGAGCTGATTTGAGCCATTCCAGATATATTAGTGGCATTTTCAGAATGCCTCCTTATTTCCCCTGTATTGACAAGGAATGCAGCCTTTCACCACTACAATATTGAGACCTAGAAGCTTGAGACCCGGGAAGAGTATTGAGCATAATGTTTTCATATTACACCTTCCATAAAGCAAGAGGAACAGAATCAAAGACTTTTAGATGCTCCCCACGCAATGTAATCATAACTAAGAGGTCCGTTGTTGTTTTCTATTTTCTGCAATACAGAACCACTGTACTGGATTCAACTTGGTTCTCATGTTTTACTGTAATGTCAAATTAGCTTGGAATAAAATGAGAATAATTCTGAGTCAGATACCAGAACTGAATTCATACCAATCCAAAGTTCCAAAATTCATGCCTTATTTAAAATTTCATGCATCTTTGTGTTTCCAGATTCAAGTAGTTTACTTGAAATTATTTTTTAGCTTTTCTGATCAATGTGGCAAAAATCAGATGATCACTGGAGTTTGTGACAAAATTGTTTACCTTAAAATAGACCTTTCATGTTATTATTTTCTAATGACATCCTAATCATAAAACAGTCAGTCCATTTAATGTATTCTAGCCTAAATCATGTGTTGGAATCTACTGTTAGCTCTGACATAGATCTATAAGGGTAAGAAGTTTTTTTTCCTTTTTTTTATAAACATAACTATTGTTTTTATAAAAAATATGTGGGAGAAAACACACAATTATATATCAAAGTGGGGGAAACCCTCAAAACCACTATCTCACCACCAGTAAATCCTAGCCACGTAAAGTCAGCTGAAGCCCTCCCTCCCATGTCACTGGATGAGTACCAGCTCCCTTAAGAGGAGTCACATGCTCTGTCTTTGTTGGAATGTCAAGTATTTCAGATAACATGGGGATAATCAGACTCTTTCCAAGCTCATCCCAGATGAAATAACTTCAGTACTTTATGAAACCGCTCAAATATTTTTCTTCTCTTATTTCCTCTGACATTTTATATGGAACTTTACTATTTGTGTATAGCATGATGTTTAGAGATCTGGAGCTAGGGGAGTATAATTTTTTCTCAGGATGCATAATAAAATGGACTTCAGAGAAACTTTTTTGGGAATGATCCTCCAAACTTTCAAACATTTTACAGGAGTAAAAATCTGGATAATTTAAGATAAAACATGCAACTGCTTTGATCTTAATTGTAAGACTAAATAAATCAAATTTTGCCTGGATTGTCCTTTATAAAGATAAATTGAAAAGGATGTTCCAGTCGAAATCCCCTTCTCCTGCCTTCTCTCCTTTCCCCTTGTGCATCAGAATTTTTTTTCAGCCTCATAACTCATTTAATTTTTATTACTACTTACCAAAACATTTAGCTTGGAGGAGTATAAAATGTGACAATGAGTTGGCTAAATCACTTGTTGTCCTCTTAACATGAGGTGGAAATTCAATCCCATTCTTGTAGGGGAAAGAGATTGCAGCCGGTGAGTCTTTGAGATAAATCACTAGAAAAATATAAGAACCAGAAATGGGGAGTTTTACATCAGAGCCCTCATTCCATCAGGAGTGATAACCTCAAAGAATTATTAAAAAATTCTCTTCATATAGATTATAATGCTAACTGCATAGAATGAGTGAGAGGTGGATAACTCCCAGCCTCCACTAATCACAACCC
The DNA here is from genome assembly GCF_000001405.40 of Homo sapiens. NCBI lineage: Eukaryota > Metazoa > Chordata > Mammalia > Primates > Hominidae > Homo > Homo sapiens. The sequence continues at coordinate 119,139,079 of NC_000004.12, forward strand.
CAAATTGTTGCTCATTTTGAATCCATTGTGATTTGGTTTCAAATTATGTACTAGAAGCAAATATACTACACTCCCAACAATTGACTAATAAAAAGCATCCCAAACATGCAGGCTGCCTGCTTTTAGATTTACCTTCCTCATTATATCATAGTTATGATTACCATCATCATCACCTTGGCCGGAAGCAGAGCTAATGGTAAAGCTGTCCTGGTTACTCTTGTGAGACAAACCTCTGTGCTTTATATAAAAGTATCTCAGCCACAGTTGTTACCATCTAACAAGTGCTATTGTAAAAGACAAAAGATAATTTGCCATTATCTATGCATGAATTAGTTGTGGAGACAAGAAAAGATGGCCTCTGATAGTCCCCACCCATGAGCCTTGTGCAATTTACCCCTAAATCTGTACATATTTTCCAGTATTAATCATATTTTTCTCTTGTTCAGTATCTCATGTGAAACTTGAAGACTGAATGAAGAGAGAGAGGTAGGAAAGGATAAAAGGATAGGAAGTATTAAACTGATAAAGAGATGGGGCAATCAGAATGAAATAAGGAGAGGCACTCTAGAGAAACTGGCATCTGTTTAGAAATGCTGGGGGAAAGGAATTGGAATTTTAAAAACCATAAGAAGAACTGGGAGTATGATGTTCCCTGACTTTAAGCATGGATATTGCTGACAGTTTAGAATAAGAGCTTCATAAATAGAGAAGACCACAGTGCCTCCTAAGTAAGCTTCAGTCACCCTACAGTCCTCTCACCTGGGTTCCAGGAGGGCTTTTTTTGGTACGTTTTTTGTTTGTTTGTTTTTTTCTCCTCATGACTGGGCAACAGCTTTCCCCAGCACACTGAAGAGAACTGGGCAGGTTGTTTTTTTAACTTCAGGAAGAGAGCTTAGCTTTGTGGTCTAAAAACAGGAAGCCCAGGTTCTAAATGGAGTGCTGTTGTTAATGTGGTACCAGGGGTCCTGGGTTCCAGACGAGACATCAGATTTCACACAGAAAATGAGGAAGGCTGGATTTGCTGATACATCTAATTATAAAATTCCATGATTCTAATTTACTGAGCTATGTGCAGAAACCAAACATCAGTGTGTTTGAGTTTCTCTATCAGTAACAAAGGAAATGATAATATTGACATAAATTGCAAGGACTCCTTGAAAAAGTACAAAGTCTAGAATTTCAGATGAAAGATTACATGAAGACCGCTTTTACTTCTCTTGTAGGAGTGTATCTTAAACTGTAACTAATCAAATCTTCAAAATCAAAATGAAGATGCCAAAAAGGCCTTTCATACCTCCTATCAAATATATAAAGTTTATAGAAGAAGAACTTAATGATTCAGTGTACAAGTTTGGTAATTTTCTGTGGTTTGTTTTAATTTTCACATTAGCATTCTCATAGCCCCAAGAAAAATAAGAGCTAGAAAGGTTTGCATGTTTTATTTTGAAAACTGGTGTGCAGTCATATCTTGTGAATTCATAAGTTTTCTGAGCATCTAACCCCTAATAAGGCACTCCAGAAAATGAGTACAAGAGAACTAGGCTAAATTGTATTTTACACTGAAGTTGAAATTGCAGAGTTCAATTCTAGCTATGTTATTCCATCATCCTAACTTTCTTTGAAGGCTTTTTCACTCAAATATGTTTTAGACATACATCCTATAAACAGAACTAGATTATTCTGTTTGTATAATTCAATACATTGGTAATGTCATTTTTTGAATGTTTATAGATTTATACAGTTTTTAAATAATATTTTTATTAATGACAAATTTTTGAAAACTTTATAAAATAGCCTTAGAACTCAAATCAAGACAGAGACATATGAAATAAGAAAATAAAGAATCACAGATGGTATTCAAAATCAACTTTTTTATGTAGAGATAATTATCACAGAACTTTTTATCAATTGGAGTTTTAAGGCATTATCCAAAATCACAGTCTGGACTATGATCTTACATGTTATATGTAATATGTACATACATGTTACTTTATAGAAGAACATATTTTATGGACTATTATTCAATTACATAGGCCAACTGTCCAGGGACAGGAGGAAGAGTTCTGTGCAAATGCAGATAATCAATAAGCCCACCCTAAAGCAAATAAGCTTCAGCTAGCTACCCTCTAGTAATTGCAGTTGCCAATCATGGTAGAACAGTTTCAAAAGGTCTTTTGTCGTACTACAATTATTTGTAAGTGAGTGTCTTTGCAAACTATGGATTAGATTAACTCATCTAACTGAAGTTCTCAGTATAAATGACACCAATAAGAAAGTACACCTAACCATATTATTTTCTTTCTTTCTTTCTTTCTTTTTTTTGAGATGGAGTCTTGCTCTGTTGCCCAGGCTGGAGTGCAGTGGTGCAATCTCCGCTCACTGCAACCTCCACTTCCTGAGTTCAAGTGATTCTCCTGCCTCAGCCTCCCGAGTAGCTGGAATTACAGGTGCCTGCCACTACGCTTGGCTAATTTTTGTATTTTTTTAGTAGAGACATTTTGCCATGTTGGCAGGGCTGATCTCAAACTCCTGACCTCAGGTGATCCACCTGCCTCAGCCTCCCAAAGTGCTGGGATTACAGGCATGAACCACCATGCCCGGCCTTATTTTTAATAGATGATCTAATGCCACAAAGACAACCTTCTAAGCCATGAAGGCAAGGATATGTATTCTAAATAAAACATATCATTTATCAAGCATCAAGATTAAACACACCGTTAAGAACCTGTGCAAGGGTTTGCAGCGAAGGGCAGGCAACAGCTGAACTTAGAATCTGTGTGCTCAGCTGACAGCGTTCTTGACTCTGAAAGTTTAAGTAATGAGAGTGATCATGCATTAGATTCCTTAACTCACAAATGGTTCTGAAACCCTTGCTCCAGTGACATCATAAATTTAACTATTAGAAGGGAAGGGAAGGGAAGAAAACCTTGGAAAATTTTGTTTGTGTGTTTTATTTGTTTATGCAATACATCCCTGACACTGATGGATGTGCCCATTAGTATGCTATTATATATTTAACAATTGCTTCTTGAATGGGGCAGCAGTAGGGATGTTTTGATTTGTAGAATTTGCAAATTTCTGTGGTATAAATGCTTCCACCATGGCCAAATTCAAGCTACCACCATGGAAGCACTAAATGCAGAGCTGGAAACAGATATGCAGTAGTAGAACATTACATATTTTCCCTATACAGTTACAATGGATATAAATAACCTCAAGAGCGTAACGTCTCTTCTATCTTTTATAATCTAAATTGAACTTGCTATTTTGAATCCAGAATCAAAAAGTTGAAATATCGCATCCCCATCACATTGTCTAGTATGTTGAGGGATATTCATAGACACACTAAAAAATAAACTTGCTCATCCTTCCATGGTCCAAACACATAGTGACAGAGACTCCAAACACTTGCAAATAAGCAAGGGTGAATATTCCCTGTAGAACTCAGCAAAGCTGACGAGCAACTCCCGGGAAATTGTTGCAAAATACCCTCATGTACTCTGCTCTGTTTTTCTTATGCCTTTTCCATAGGCTATTTCTACCATTCCTGGGGACTGTGAAGTGCAGCATTTTGCTTTGTTTTGTTTGGGGATACTAGAGAGCCAGACAAAGCTGTTCTGCATTGCATTAGGAAGAAGTATAAAAATTTTTAAACATTTTAATAATAGACTTTATTTTTTAGAGTTTTAGACTTGCAGGAAAGTGAGGGAGAAAGTACGATGAGTTGCTGTATAAACTTCTTCCCCGCTGCTGTTTCCTCTATTATTAGCATCTTGCATCAGTGTGTATTTGTAACAACTGATGAACCAATATTGATAACTGTTGCACTCCATTTTGTGCTGCTATAACAGAATACCTGAGATTGGGTAGTTTATAATGAAAGACATTGTTCATGGTTCCAGAGGCCAGGGAGTCCAATATTAAGGTGCCAGCATCAAGGGAGGGTCTTTTTGCTGAGTCATCAAATGGCAGAGGACAAGAGAGAAAAGGGGGCTGAATTCATCTTTTTATAAGGTCACAAATCCCACCCATGAGGGTGGGGTACTCATGGCTTAATTACCTTTTAAAGGTCTGAGCTCTTAATACTGTTACAATGGCAATTAAATTTCTTTCTTTCTTTTTTCTTTTTTTTTTTGAGATGGAGTCTTGCTCTGTCACCTAGGCTGGAGTGCAGTGGCCTGATCTCAGCTCACTGCAACCTCTGCCTCCCAGGTTCAAGCGATTCTCCTGCTTCAGCCTCCCGAGTAGCTGGGATTACAGGTGCACACCACCACACATGGCTAATTTTTGTATTTTTAGTAGAGATGCGGTTTCACCACATTGGCCAGGCTGGTCTCGAACTCCTGACCTCATGATCTGCCCACCTGGGCCTCCCAAAGTGCTGGGATTATAGGCGTGAGCCACCGCGCCTGGCCTGGCAATTAAATTTCAACATGAGCTTTGGAAAGGACAGACATTCAAACCACAGCATTAACTAAAGTCCATAGTTTACATTAGGATTCACTCTTTGTGTTACGCAGTTCTACGGGCTTTCACAAATGCAGTGTCGTATATCTGCCATTACAGCATCACACAGGATAGTTTCTCGGCCCTAAAAATCCTCTATGCTCCACTTATTCATCCGTCTCTCTCTACCTCCTTCCAAGTCCCTGGCAACTACTGATCTTTATGCTACCTTCTAGTTTTGTCTTTTCCAGAATGTCAAATAGCTGGAATCATACAGTAAGTAGATTTTTCCGACTGGCTTCTTTTACTTAGAAATATACATTTAAGAATCCTTCATGTCTTTTCATGGCTTGATAGCTCTTAATTAAATTTTTTATTTTGAGTTTTTTTTAGATAATCATAGTTTCACCTGCAGTTGTTAAGATGTAATACAGGGCTATCCCATGTGCCCTTTCCCAGTGGTAACATCGAGCAAAACTATAGTACAATATCACAACCAGAATATTGACATTGATACAGTCAAGAGACATAATATTTCCATTCCCATAAGGGTCCCTCATGTTGCCCTTTCATAGCCATACCCACTTCTCTCTAGGCCCCATCTCTCCTTAAACCCTGACCAATCACTATTCTGCTCTCCATTTCTATAATTTTTCTGTAATTTCAAGAATGATATACAAATGGAATCATACAGCATATAACCTTTTGGGAATGGCTTTTTCATTCAGTGTAATTCTCTAGAGATTCACCCGGGTCTTGTTCTCAATGATTTGTTCCCTTTTGTTGCTGAATACCATGCTGTGGATGGACCACAGTGTTTTTAATAGTTTACCCATTGAAGTACATCTGGGTTGTTTTCAGTTTTTGATTATCAAGAAGGAAGATGCTATGAACATTTGGGTATATGATTTTTCAAGAACACAAGTTTTCATTTCACTGGGATAAATGTCCAGTATTGCAGGGTAGTTCTGCATTCAGTTTATAACAGAATTTATTAAATTGTTTTCTAGAGTGTCTGTACCATTTTATATCTTCAGCAGCTATGTATGAGTGACCCAGTTTCTCCACATCCTCACCAGCAAATGGTGCTGTCATCATTTTTCATTAAAGACATTCTGATAGGTGTATAGTGATATATCATTGTGATTTTAATTTGCATTTCCCTAGTGACTGATGATGTTTACCATCTTTTCAAATGCTTATTTGCCATCTGTATATCTTCTTCAGTTGAAATGCCTCTTCATGTTTTGGCCCACATTCTAATTGGATTGTTTGCTTTTTTAATAGTGAATTTTGATAGTTCTGTATTTATGCTAGACTGTTTTCAAGGTTACATGTTTTGAAAATATTGTTTCCCATTCTGTAGCTTGTCTTTTCATCCTCTTAGTAGGGTCTGTCTCAGAGCAAAAGTTTTTCATTTTGATGATGTCCAGTTTATCAATTATTCCTTTTATGGATCATGATTTTGGTGTTGTTTAGCAACTCTTTGCCTAGCCCTAGGTCCCAAAGATATACTAAAGTGATTTTTCTTCCTTAGCCCATTAACATGGTGAATCTTTGCCTAGCTCTAGATCTCAAAGATACAGTAATGTGATTTTTCTTCCTTAGCCTATTAACATAGTGAATTACATTGATTGATCTTTGAATAGTGAAACAGCCTTGCCTCCCTGGATTAAACCCCACTGGCTCATGATATAAAATTCTTTTCATATATTGCTTAATTATATTTGCTAATAATATGTTAAGGATTTTGCTTCTACGTGTATGTGGGATATGGGATATTGTTTTGTAATTTTTTCTGTGTGCGTGTGTGGTTTTTTTTTTTTTTTTTTTTTTTTGAGATAGGGTCTCACTCTGTCTCCCATGTTGGAGTGCAGTGGCCTGATCTCAGCTCACTGCAACCACCTCCCAGGCTCAACTGATCCTTCCACCTCAGCCTCCCAAGTAGCTGGGACCAACCCACCACCATGCCCAGCTAAAACTGTGTGTGTGTGTGTGTGTGTGTGTGTGTGTGTGTGTGTGTGTTTTTGGTAGAGACTTGGTTTCACCATGTTGCTCAGGCTGGTCTTGAACTCTTGAGCTCAAGCAATACACCTGCCTCAGGCCTCCCAAACTGCTAGGATTACAGGCGTGAGCCATCCCACCTGGCCTGTCTGTGTGTGTTGTCTTTCTCTGGCTTTGGTATCAGTGTATTATTACCTTAATGAAATGAACTAGGAAGAACTCTCTTCTATTTTGGGGCAGAGATTATGTGACATTGGTGATAATTGTTCTTTAAATATTTGGTAGAATTCTCCAGTGAAATGATTTAAGTCTGAAGCCTTTTGTGGGGTGAGGAGATTTTTAGACTATAAATTGAATTGCCTGAATAGTTATATAATTAATCAAGTACTCATTTCATGTTGGGTGAACTGAGGTAATTTGTGCTTTTTGAGGAACTGGTCAATTTTTTCTAAGTGCTCAAGTTTATGTGAATTTATATGTAGAATTGTTTGTAGTATTAATATTCTTATTATCTGTTTGCTATCTGCAGTGTCTGTAATGATATCTCTGATTTTGTTCCTAATATTGTTAATTTGTGTCTTCTCTATATTTTCCATGTTAATCTTACTAGAGATTTATCAATTTTACTGATCTTTTAAAAACCAGCTCCATACTTCATTGATTTTCTCTGTTGTTTTTCTGTTTTTTATTTCACTGGTTTCTGCTCTTATCTTTACTATTTCTTTCGTTCTGCTTGCTTTGAGTTTATTTTGTTCATCTTTTTTTTTTAGATTTTTTGGGGTAGACACTTATTTATTGATTTGATACTTTTTTCTTTTTTAACTGTGCATTTAGTGCTATAAATATTCCTCTCAGCACTGTGTTGACTGTTTCCCATAAATTTTGATATGCTGTATTTTCAAATTCGTTTAGTTCACTGAATTTTTAATTTCCTTTGAGACTTCCTTTTTGTCCCATGAACTATTTAGAAGTATGTTGATTAGTTTCCAAGTGTTTGGAGATTTTCCTGTTATCATTCTGTTACTAATTTCTAGTTCGGTTTTATTGTGATCAGCGCTAACAATCTGAATAATTTAACCATTTTAATTTGTTGAGGTTTATTTTATAGCCCAGGATATGGTCTATCTTGATATATATTCCACTGGCACTTGAAAGAAATGTGTGTTCTATTGTTGTTGAATAAAATATAAATGTCAATTAAGTCCTATTCGTTGCTAATATTGTAGAATTTTATATTCTTACTGCTCTTCTGCCTAGTTGTTCTATCATCTGCTGAGATGGGGGGATTGAAGTTTCCAACTATAATTGTAGATTTGTCTATTTCTCCTTTTAGTTCTACTTTTTTACTTTAAATATTTTATAGCTCTGTTTTTGGTGCATGTACATTTGGGATTTCTAGGCAATCTTTGTGGATTCGCACTTTAATCATTATATAATGCCCTCCTCTGTTTCTGGTAATCTTTGTTGCTGTGATTTTATCTGATATTAATATCAGGTAATATTTGGTTGATGTTGCTTGATATATATTTTTCCAATCTGTTACTTTCACTTGCTTATAATGTTATCATAGGCAGTGAGTTTCATGTAGGCAGCATCGTCCAACAAACCATAGTTGGTTCACCTTTAATCCAATCTGACATCAATTGATGTATTTAGATTATTTACATTTAATTTATTAATGTCTTAGAGCTTAAGTATGTAATTTTATTTTTAGTTTTCTATTTGTCATCTCTGTTTTACATTCCTGTTTTTTTTTTCTGCCTTCCTGGAGATTACTTCAGAGTTTCATTTTGGTATAGTGTTTTCAAATGTATCTGTTCATATAGCTTTCAGGAGTTGCTCTAAGTATTGCATTATATATGCATAACTTATCACAGTCTACTGATGTTGTCATTTTACCAGTGCAAGTATAGAAAATTTATCTACTTTTGGCCAGGCACGGTGGCTCATGCCTGTAATCCCAGCACTTTGGGAGACCGAGGTGGGCGGATCACTTGAGGTCAGGAGTTCGAGACCAGCCTGGCCAACGTGGAGAAACCCCGTCCCTACTAAAAAAACAAAAATTGGCTGGGTGTGGTGGTGGCAGGCACTTGTAATCCCAGCTACTCGGGAGGCTGAGGCAGGAGAATCACTTGAACCTGGGAGGCGAAGGTTGCAGTGAGCCAAGATCGGGTCACTGCACTCCAGCCTGGGTGACAGAGTAAGACTCTGTCTCAAAAAAAAAAAAAATCTACTTTGATGTCTTTTTATCCTCTCCTGTTTATAAAATAATTGTCTTAAGTATTTCTTCTACATACATTTACATCAGTCAGTATTATAATTTTGGCTTCTACAATAAAATATAATTTAGAAAGCCCAAGAGGAGAAGGGAAGCCTATTGTATATAGCTATATTTCTGCTTACTATATACCTTCTTTATCTCTGATGTTCCAGGCTTCCTTCTTTTATTGTTTCCTTTCTGTTTTAAGAAAACTTCATTTAGTCATTCTTTTAGGGTAGGCTTTCAGGCAACAAATTCTCTTAGTTTTCCTTCATCTGAGGATGTCTCAAGTTCCCCTTTATTTCTTGCAGGATATATTTCACTGGGTATGGGATTCTGGGTTGACAATTCTTTTCTTGCAGCACCTAGAAAAATATGGTACAACTTCCTTTTGGCCTCCATGGTTTCTGATGAGAAATCCACTATTATTCTAGTTATTTTCCCCTTATATAAGTAAGTTGTTTTCCTCTGGTGGCTTTCAATATTTTCTCTTTGTCTTTAGTTTTCAGAAGCTTAATTATAAGTCTTGTTGTGAGTTATTCAGGTTTATTATGTTTAGGGTTCTCTTAGCTTCTCGAATCTGTAAGTTTATATCTCTTGTCAACTTTAGGACATTTTTCAGCCGTGATTTCTTTAAGTACTTTTCCAGCCTCCCCTTATTTTTCCTCTCCTTCTGGAACTTCAATGACATGAATGCTATATCTTTTATTAGAGTCCCATGAATCCCTAAGAATACCTCGTTCATTTGTTTTCAAGTCTATTTTTCTCTGTGTTGGTCTTATTGGGGAAATTCTATTCTAACAGCTAAGTGATTTTTCTCATTTGCCCCCTCTATTTTACTATTGAGCCCATTCACTGAGCTTTTTACTCAGGTTATTATATTTTGAGTTCTAAAATTTTTGTTTTGTTCTTTATATCTTTTATTTCTCGACTGAGATTTTTTTTTTTTTTTTTTTTGCTGCTGCTGATGGAGTCATTGGCAAAAAAAAAAAAAACCTTTCCATTTAAAGAATTTGTTTCAAGTGGTTTCCTAACTGCTTTCTGAAGCATTGTTTTAAATTATGGGTACTTTAAAATATTTGTCAGATAGTTTTAATATCTCAGTCATCCCAGTGTTGGCATTTGATTTTTTTTTTAATTTTTCATTCAGTTTGAGATTTTTCTAGTTCTTTGTATAAGTGATTTTCATAATATATATAAGTGATTTTCAATTTAAGCCTGGACATTTTCACATTATGTTCTGAGATGCTTGCTCTTTAAATAAACCTTCTTTTTCATCTGTTCTTATCTGACACTGCTCCAGCAGGAGTGCCAACTCATTACTGCAGGTGAATGTAGAAGTCTGGGTTCCCTATTTGGCTCCACTGAAACTTGAGGGGAGCCTCTTTGTTATTGCTGGGAGAGGACAGGAGTTCAGACTCCCACGTAGTCTTCACTAAGACTGCGGAGACAAGGAGCTAGTTACTGGCCAAAAGGAATGAAAGTCCCAACTTCCCACTCGGTCTCTCTGACACCACCCTAGTGGGAGTATTGGAGAAACTTGTTACAGCCTCACAGGGTGAAATTCTGGGCTCCCCACAAGATCTTAACGTGGGTGAGAGCGAAGTCAAAGTGTTTTCTGTGGTGGTTGGCTAAAGTAGCGCAGCCATTGTCTAAACATTTTCTGTCTTGCAGAGGCAGCTCCTTTCCTGGTCCTTTAGCTGGAGAGAACAGCCTTTCGTTGGTGCTTTGTCTGTCTGGACCTCTTGGTGTTTCTGGGTTGCCATCATCTTCAGCTTCAAGTCTGAGATTTAGGGGCTAAAAGAACACCCAGAGTATTAATCACCATGTTGTTCCTTGGGTCCTGGGGTCCCTAGCTTGTCTGCCTATTTCTTTACACTTTCAGAGTCTTTTATTTATTTACTTATAATGTCCAACATGTGAGGTTGTATTTAATAGCTTTACAGGAAAAAACACATCTACTTCATCTTCCCAGAAGCAAAAATCTTGATATTGTGACTTTTATAATTAGTGGACTCCTCTAATTTTACCTGTAAAAACAAAACAGGTAAACTAATTTTTCTCTCAAAAGAAAAGTGGGGAGAAAATTTAACAAGTAATTCTGTTGTTTTATCCCAAAAGCTTAATTGTTATGGTTAATATATCATCAAAGAATGTTGCCCCAATCAAAATAATTATTTATTTTCCTAATGGCCCAATTTTTCTTCCTATGCATTTAACGGTAGTCAACTGTGGCAAAAAGACTCTGTGGGTATTACAGAAATATATTAGTGATTAAAGAAGCAAGTGGAAAGATTGTATCTCTTTTGGATTTTGGAAAAACTGTTTAGTAAAAGAAATAGGAAATAACACTCATTTACTGAATATCTGATATATTTAAGGTATGGGAGACACAGAAAGTAAAACCTAAAGAAAATGCAAACCATAAAACAAATAAAACAAAATCAAATATATGTGATTCAGTGTTATGGAAATATAGAGAATGAATGAGTAATTATGAATAAAAATTTTAGGTAAGAAATTAATATAAATGGCATTTGAGCTGGATTGGGGAAAAAGTTCACTCAATACTTATCATCTGCCTACTTTATGGAGGTTACTCAGTGCTAGATGCAGAATAAATAGTATTTTGACCGAGTCTGGGAAATGGGGTGGGGTGGAGTGGGAGGGTAGGCATTTCAGTAGGGGGATAGCTAAAGCTGACACATAAAAATGTGGGGAGCAAAACAGAGTTTATGAATGTAACTATGAAGCCATGCTATTTGCAAGCTCATTCTATATGGAAAGACTAAATTGTACTAGTAGTAATTACAGCTAACTTTTTAATTCACACTATGTGCCAGGTACCAGGCTACATGCTTTACATGAAGCATTTTTATTTCATTCTCATATTAATGCTTTGCAATAGGTATTAGTATTATTAGCTCCACTTTAGAGATGAAGGAACTGAGGTTTAGAGAAAATAAATGACATACTTATGATTATGCAATTAGAAAGTGGTGGAATTTTAGAATTAAGAAATTTATAAAAGCATTAAAAATGCTTACCTTGGGATTTTTACTCATATGAATATTGTTTTACAGATGTTGATGGCATGGACCTGGGCAAAAAGGTCAGCATCCCCAGAGACATCATGTTGGAAGAATTATCCCATCTCAGTAACCGTGGTGCCAGGCTATTTAAGATGCGTCAAAGAAGATCTGACAAATACACATTTGAAAATTTCCAGTATCAATCTAGAGCACAAATAAATGTAGGTATAACTTGAACAGGTAGTATCCAAATGAATGCGCAATATTTCTAAATTTGTATTTATGACTAGTTTCTGAAGGAAGTATTCTATATATTTTCTTTCAATTTATTCTGTTAGGCTATTTTTTTTTTATCATAATGAATAGTTTAGGTGGGTAAACAAAAGAAGCATTATGTATGATATGAGTATGCTTTTAGTTCAATAGGGACATTGTAAGCTTGTAGATTTGGCACTGAGGAACTTGTCTGTTCCACTAAGAGGAGGGAGAGGGAGTGGAGAGAAATGGTACTAAAAGTTTCCATGGTCTTATCACAACCAGTTACATGTTTGAGATGGAAACACTTCCAAAGCACATAGCGCTCCACAGGCGAGGATAAGCATTTTATTCACTGAGTAAACCTTGGAACTGAAACATGCCTGGGAACTACAGACACATTCAATGCCCTCTCAAAGCATTTATTCCACATTGTGTAGGGAAGTCTGGTACTCACTAATGACAAAAACTAGTTTGGATATAACTCTTTGGACAGAGATTTCCCCAACTCAAAGCTAATAAACAAACAAAAATTAAACTACATTTTACATATTGTATTAATATTACATTCACTTAAACTGTCATTTAAAGAGACTGTAGAGGAAAAAGTTGATAGTAGAAAGGCAACCAGCTTTGGGAAAATGGCTTTAAAATTCAAATGGCTGGCGTGAAGAATCAAAAAGGAATAGTGCATTCGTCCTAAATTTGAAAAGATCATGATGACTTCAACAAATATGTTTTATTTACTGAGAGTTTCTTCCTAGAGCTATGAAAGATTTACTTACAGATTTAAGCCTGAAAACTTACCAGCTCCCATCACTAATAAGTTGTTTTGAATGGACAGCTCCCTTCTTTACAGCAAACAGACTAATTTCCCTGATTTATTTTATCATAATTACTAAAACACACTATAGAAACTAATATCTACATCCACAAACACCAAAATTTTGTTCCCTATATTTCTATTTTCCTTGTTATGTTTTTTGTTAACAGAAAATGTTGAGAGGACACTTAACAAATTTATTTTCATATTTGTGAGCATTCTTCAGCCATCCATTGATTAAATCTAGTTTTAATTGTGAATTCAGTTAGCCATCAAATCTTACTCAACTATAGTATTTATACTTGTGAAGAATGATTTTTTAATTGAAGTCCATGTACCCTATAAGTATGCCCAGTAACCTCTTATCAAAAATATCTTGTAAGTATGAGTCAAAAATAATCCCTACCCCATCTGCTGGAGTCTATGTAATCATATTCTTTCAATAATGACAATAGAGAAGGCTCTCTATGGAGTAGTACAAAATAAGGTGGCTTACGGAAGTCTTTGAAAAGTCATCTACAAGTTTAGACATTTGAATAAATGAATAATGTCAGTTTTTATAACTTCCACTTACATCTCTAGGAATAATGCTTTAACTACAATTCTGAAGAAAGGTACAATAAGATTTAAAATGTCCCTATGAACACAACATATTCTCTTACCACCAGTATTTCAAATTATTGATTATAATTTTATACACCTGTGTTCGAATGTGTTCTGGTTACACATAATATATATAAGAACATGTCTTGACAATTTTTCACTATTCCCTGAAGACTGGGCGCTGAATAAATAAAATGACCCCAAACAGGTTTATTGAAATAAATAATTAAATATTGATAAATAACACAAAGCAATAAGCAATAATAATATATGCAATAAAGTCATATTTTATTGAGTTACATAACATACTCTAAAGTGTGATGAATTTTACTCTTCTTTCAAAATAAGGAAAGTAGTATTCAAGGAAGTATGTTCATTTGACTTAAGCAACACCATAATAAAGAAGATTGATACTCAGCTGTCAGAATCCTAGAGTTCTTGGCACCAATTTCTCTCATGGTGTAATTAAAGGAAAATCTTGCCTGGGAATCAGGAGACCAAGGTTTGGTCCTGGCTCTCCCACCAGCCATGTGATTTAGTGTTAACTCAAAAAGCGTTGCCTTTTTTTTTTTTTTGCCTTTCTGAATTTTCCCCCTCATTTTAAAAATAAAGATACGCACTCCAATGCTCTCAGGTGCCTTCTGTCTTTAATGATCTGTGTGTTGCCCGATCTTAATTCAAAAAATTACCTGCACAATAAGTCATTAAGGAAGATAGTGAGCCACGTTGTACAATGATACTTTTACTTTGTCAAGACTGTAGATTGCAACTTGAAAGGTTAATATGACAGGAATTCAAAAATATTATTAGACTCAGGTCTATTTCCATTCATATTCATTTATACTTTTGGCAAATATTTATTGGGTGCCTATTATGTTCTTGATACTATGCTGCAAGCTCAAAGATAAATAAATACAGGTTTCATCTAGTGATAGAGAGACCAAATGACATTGAAAGATAAGAGAGCTTTTATTTACTTATAATCTAGTTCTTGAATGATCCTTATATGATTTTTATACCACATTAATCTGATTTATTGACTACATTTTCTGGAACAAGCTTTTACTTTTACTGCTTCCCTTGAGCAATAGATGTTGTCAAAGTAATAATTTAACTCAGCTTTATATATTTCTTATTCTAGTATAATGTTGAAGACCTCATATAAATGAAAATATAAACCACCCCCCTGGTAATTAATGCCATTTGTTCAAATACTACCATTTTAAAAACAGAAAAAATAAGTGTAGCTTTGAATTCTACTGGTGAGGGACACTGGCAAATTCAAGCTACATATACTTTCTATGACACAAACAGTAATAACAGTAAATATGTGTTCCTAAAAAGAAATGAACATTGCTTGCTACATGAGCCAATTTTGAAGCCCTAGTTCATAAACTATTTTTTAACCAAAATGGCAAAATGGAGATGGGTGAAGAAAATAGGCCACCAAAAATAAAGTAAAATGGAAGAATGCCTCATGATAATTAAAATTCTCTTCTTATCAGTTACTGCAAAAGGATATTATATTTTTTGAATCACTAGAAATCTTAAATACTACTGGGAAAAGGGGAATTATACTATTAAAAGTAATTCTGAAATAAGACCACACTAAATAATTGGAACTCTAAATATATATTTGCTTTGTTCAAAAAATAACTTCTACCATGTATGTGGCACAAAGCATAGAGCAAAGAAGCCTTCTTTTTATATCTATTGATATTTTAACAGAAATCATGTAAAGCATCTTCTATGCATGTTTTTAATTTACATAATCTATAGGATATGGCTCTAGTTTTGTTTTCTTTAGGGTCAACTTAACTGAGGTAAGAAGAGACATATCTTCATTTGTCTTTCCAACTTTTCTGAAAGGAATTGCAGATGATGGAATGCTATGATGTAAAGCTTATAATTATATAGGTTACTATCTAACTATTATAAGGCTCTGCTTATTTTCTTAACGATGATGTAGAGGTACTGGGTGTCTCCTGATAATTAATGACTAATGAGAAAGAGTTGATTTTCCTGCTCATCATTAATCCCCAGGAAGAGGTTACAGAAGGTATTACAATTCCTGGAAATTAATGTAGGTAGAATTATTTGTAAGTTTAGGTGAAATTCATTTAATGAACACATTCTAGGAACTTAGAAAACATTACTCTTTGTGCATTATACATTTAAACTTCCTAAATTTATCTCAAATGCCTTTTTATTTATAATTAAAGTTATCAGGAACTTTATACTTTTTAAAGAATTAGTATAGGTTTAGAAGTAAAAACATAAAGATACTAACCTAGTCAATTATTAAGTCCAACACTCAAGATAGGAGCTGAGTTCAAAATGCAAAAATGTTATATTACACACACACACACGCACACACACACACACACACAATGCCTTTCTTAGTCCATCCATGTTGTTATAAAGTAATAGCTGAGACCAGGTACTTTATAAAGAAAAGAGGTTTATTTGACTCATGGTTCTGTGAGCTGTACAAGAAGCATGGCATCAGCACCTGCTTCTGGTAAGGGCCCCTGGAAACTTCCACTCATGGCAGAAGGGAAAGGGGAGTTGGCATCACATGGTGAGAGAGGAAGGAAGGAAGAGAGAGGAGGGAGGAGGTGCCAAGTTCCTTTTAACAATCAATTCTCATAGGAACTAATTACTGCGAGGATGGCACCAAGTCATTCATGAGGAATCCACCTCCATGACCAAACGCCTCCCATTAGGCCCCAACTCCAACACTGGAAATGAAATTTCAGCATGAGATTTAGAGGGGACAAATATCCAAATCACATCAGTGGCCAACTAGACTTCAGCCAGATTATAAATAGGATGGGGACTCCAAATGACATAAATGCAATACCAAAACCCAGGTAACAGGAACAAATAAAGAAAGAGCACGAGAAGGTGGCATAGGTTTTATTGAAGTATTGGGATAATACAGAATATGGAGACATTTCCGGTAGATTAAGTTAGTTAGAAAGAAGACGGAAATTCTAAGATGGGTCTTAGAGGAAACCTAGGATTTGGTTTAGTAAAGAACAGAAAAGAGGGCATTCAAAGCAGGTGAAACAGCTTGTGGGGCTGAGGAGGGCAGAGGGTAGTAGTGGGGAACTGGCTTGTGGAAGTTTGCAAGGAATGAGAGGTAATGTTTATGAGGTGAGTATGACATCTACATTACCAAGCAAAAGAGTTTGCATTTTATTCACTAGGCAATTAGGAACAATTTCTAAAGATTGGAGTAATGCCATACCAGCATTTGTATTCGGTCTGACTGGAAGGAAAATGCTTGGTGGAAAATGAACAGAAGATAGATGATGACATGATAAAGTATGAGCAATGAGGATAACAGGAGCATGAAGACTAAAGTGAAAAAGGAAGATGGCATTTTAAAAAATGTCATAGTGAAAAAGAATCAGCTGGGTTTGGCTATTTATTCACTAAAAATTCAGCTAATATTCGCTGACTGCTTGTGCTATATAAGACACCATCTTAGGCTTTGTAAAAGACATATGGGCAAAATGAAATTCCCTGTTCTCAAGTAGCTAACAAGCTAGTAAATGAAACAGGACACAAAATATTATTTTAAAGGCGAATTATAGTAAATGATACGGGAGCGGCGAGAAGAAAGACAAAAAACTTTTTATTGGAAGGGGAGGAAGAATAAGGGAAGGGGTGTTTTTTAAATCACGACAGAGCCGACCATGGTAATGACGGAGAGGGGTCCTCTTGCTAGGGGAACTCCTATGATCAAAGATCAAAGGTAGAAAGGTGGAGAAACATACAAGATAATGGGGGAATCTTGATCTATGATCAAAGGTAGAAAAGCATACAAGATAATCGGGGAATTATAAGTGGTTTGGTTTTAAGCTTAGGGTACATCTTTAAAAACTGATGAGACTAGGTAGGCAGGTCTCAGTGCAAGGCTAAAACATTTAGGCTTATTCAGTATGCAATAAAGTGTGAACATGATGATGAGTTTGCAATTAGGCATGCGATGTTTAAAGTTGTAAAAATGTTTAAAGTCATAATATTTTTGCTATAAGTTTTAACCTCAGGCAGAGACAGCTCTAAGAGAATTCCTTCCCAAAATAGATCTTTTAAAATTCTAATAGAGATTAAGTATTTTTGTTTAAAAAGCTATTCGTTGAAAATATATATATGTTCCTGGGAAGTTAGTATATCATCAGACTATCAATATTTTATAAGTATAATTTATTCATGAAGATTTTATTTTATCATTGTCATTTTCTGCCCTGTCCAAATGTGGGCTTTGATGAAGCAGACGAAAGAACAAAGGCTCAAATTTGGACTACTGCTTTGAAAGTAGGCTTTTTTGGAATGCTGCAGAGATTAACATGAATGCAAAAGCCCTTGGGGAGGGGCTGTGTGGGTGAAGCATAAAAATGGAGATAAACTTTATTTCCTTCATAATTTTATTAAGTGAGGATCTTAATTTATGGCCTTTAGTTATGGTAAGTATTTAAATTTTAAAACAAAATTGTATTCTATCCTGAAATTGCTATAAAGTTAAATAAGTGTTAAAATGTAAAGGTATATTTCATCACAGAATCTTACAAACAAATATAGAAATTAAAAAATGAAAGATTTTCTGTATGTCACACACAAAAGAGTCAAAATCAGTGTCTAATTGCTATGCTTTTTACTAAATTTTTATTTTTGAAGTTAAAAGATGATTTGACCTAATCGCTTCTTTTTAAAATACACATATTTCCTATATGCAATTAAAACAATGATTTATTATGAGAATAAAACTTGGCTATACTTTTGAGGACATAACCTACTACGATGTCTATTTTTTTCTTAAAATGCAAACTGAACATTTTTAAGGTGCTATATTATTGCCATAGAATAAATCCTGTAATAGGAAAACAAATTTATCAAAATTTAAAAGACAAATGTATTTTTTCAGCATTTTATTTTCTAAAAATCAAAAATTTTTCCTTTTGCAAGTCTATGCAACTTAAAATATAAATGATTTTTGTGTTTTTTTGGAGTACATATGATTGCCGTTGAAATTTCAGGTTAGATTTTTAAACTTTCTAGACGTTAAAAAATCTAATTAAAGCCCAAATATAAATACAATGGAAGATAAGATTTACTAGGCCAAATGCTTAGCCAGTATGCTCTACATTATTAGATTAGTAAGGATTCAAAAATTAAATACATTTATCTCATAGGGATGGTCTGAACAGAAAATGAAATGATTGGTATGAACCACTACACACAGTGCCTGGCACACAGTAAGTCTCAATTTCAGCTCTAATCATTATTAAGTGGACTGTCATCATAAAATAGATCTTAGACTGATATCAGTAAATCTTCTCATTCAAGTGCGCAACCATCTTACTATGAAAAAAATTATTGAGGTCCCAGGAAGTAATGAAGCGACATTGCATTTAAATTATAAATATACAATTGAAGTTTTGCATATATAGCTCCTATTATTGTGCTTACATTTTTGAGTTTTCAGCAGAGTTTACTTTTGATTAAATACAGCACAGTATTGCTATGCAGAATGGGAAAGTGGATGGAAGTAACTTGGAAGGTGGTTCGCAGCAAGCCCCCTTGACTCCTCCCAACACCCCAGATCCACGAAGCCCTCCAAATCCAGACAACATTGCTCCAGGTAACCAATCCCCTTACCAACAGAGCAATAAAATTTCTGTGTACCTAATGATATGACTCAAGGCATTTAAAGCCTTTATTGAATAGTATTTAAATAATATATCTTTTCTCATTAAGTATGTTTTTGGGCCCCAGGCACGGTGGCTCCCAATCCCAGCACTTTGGGAGACTGAGGTGGGTGGATCACCTGAGCCCACAAGTTTGAGACCAGCCTGGATCACATGGTGAAACCTAGTTTCTACAATAAATACAAAATTTAGCTGGGTATGGTGGTGCACACTTGTAGTCCCAGCTACTTGGGGGGCTGGGGTAGGAGGATCATTTGAGCCCAGGAGGGGCTGCAGTGAGCCATGATCACACCACTGCACTCCATCCAGCCTGGGTAACAGAGTAAGACCCTGACTCAAAAAAAAGTTTCTTTTTTGGATAAATAGAAGACAAATGCAAAAATTCAAACCTAAAGGAATCACATAAAACATTTATAGTAGCCATACGTTCTTTGTTTTAGATGGTCTGTTAATCACCTGCTATATTGAAAATTATAATAAGTAATTTGTAATTATATTGAAATCCTATTTGTATAGGACTGTACAATTTATAAAGTGCTGTGATATATATTGTCTTCTTTAATTTCGCAGTAACTCTATGACATATTAATTACAATCCTCATTTTATAAATTAAGACGTTGAGGTTATGAATGTCTATGAAGCAACAAAGAATGAATAAGACCTAGTATTTGACAGCACAACAGGGTGACCATAGTCAATAGTAACCTAATTGTACATTTTACAATAACTAAAAGAGTATAACTGGATTGTTTATAACATAAAGAATAAATGCTTAAGATGATGGATACCCCATTTATCCTGATGTGGTTATTGCACATTGCATGCTGTTATCAAAATATCTAATGAACCCCATAAATATATACACCTATTATGTACCCACAAAAGTCAAAAATAAAAATCTTTTAAATTAAAATTACAAGAGAAAAAAGAATTAGGGCCAGGCACAGTGGCTCACAGCTATAATACCAGCATTTTGGGAGGCTGAGGATCACTTTAGGCCAGGAGCTCGAGACCAGCCTGGGCAACATAACAAGACCCTATCTCTACAAAAAATAAATAAATAAAACAAAAAAGAATTAAGCCCAGATCTGGTACCAAATTTACAACTGCCTCATGTCAACAGACCTTATGGAGATTGTTTTTGTTTTCTCTGTTCCCTCAAAGGACTTTCAATGCAGCTCCTAAAGAGTATACATTTGTTTATCATTTTAAAAGAGAATCAACTCCTTATTCAGTCAGTTTATAGTCTTTATAAATAATGTTGGGCATTAAAATAGGACATCTTTCAAAAAATTACATTATCTAATTAGACAACTTTTCAAAGTAACCTATAGTGTCTTTGAAAATTCAAGCATTTCCTCAAGAGTAGTGTATAGATTTCAAAAATTTAAAATAGTTATATCTTGAAACTAAAGATATATGTCTAATTTTTGTAAAATAAACAGTAAATTTAGCAAAAGTACTCCTAGCATTCTTCTCAAATGTAATACTATTTTTGAAAATATGTAAATATTTTGAGATAATGTTATACAGGTACAGCACCTGTACAACATTAAATATTATTTAAAAATAAGGTATTAGAGCATTCTTAATGAGCACGATGAGAAAAACTGTGGATAGACTTAGCAAAATAATACCGAAGGAAACCAATTAGGCACAATTAAAATGCATACAATTCTGAAATGGATTATTTTAATGAAGTTCTCTGGTAGCTTTCAACAAAAGTTATGGCAGAAAAGCAGGTAATAGGGTCTGTATCTACATCATCAACCACATGAGAAAAGAAATAAGGTTTAGAATCAGACAGATCTGGGTTCAACCCTATGGCTCTTCCCATTTTACTACCATGCTGGGAAAGAAAATACATCTCTTTGGGCCCTAGTTTCCTCAATCTGTAAAATAGAGAAAGAAATCTCGCTTTACAGGGTCACTGTGCAAAGTAAGTGTGATGGTATGCGAATAGTCCCTAACATATAATAAGCACTCAGTTAAAGTTAATTCTTTCCCCATCCACCTTTACATCCTTCTTATGCAATAGAATACACAGATACTATCTGAGCTCCAACCACTGTACTACAATCCCTGCTTACTTTTTGGAGTTTTTTTTTTTTTATTAAATAGGAAAGAGAGAGGACATATGGAAAAGTGAATGTTGATACAATTTAGTGCTGTCATTCACTTAGAACTTTTATTATGTAGTCTTTACTGTACACTATGGAATCACAAAATGAATAGAAGAATTAATCTCTATCTTCAAAGAATTAATAGACATAGAGAGATAGAGCAGATGTCCAAAGAATATCTATATTTTCACTTTCTGTGTATATAATTCAACATCATATGTGCATTTTATTGACCATCAGGAGTAAATATGTGTGTGGTTGTATATGTATGTTTATATATATTCAGAGAGAGACTTTGTGGGGGGAAAACTGCATGCTTTATTAAATGGTATATTCAACACACTTTTCTGTATCTTAATTTTCTCATTTAACGGAACCTCAAAGATGTACCTCCAACGCAACTGTTATAGCCCTAATTAATATCGTTTAAATTGACGTGTAATAATTGTACATATTCTTGGGGTACATAGTGATGTTTTGATACATATCCATCATCTCAAATATTTATTATTTCTTTGTGTTGGAAGTATTCAATATCCTCCTTCTAGCTATCTGAACTATATATTATTCTTATTTGTATATAAATTTATATATAAATAACTGTATTATTCTTATAACACCCTACAGTGTTATAGAAGACTATAACTTATTCCTCCTGTCTAGCTATAATTTTGCATTCTTTAACAAATCTCTCTTGTCCCCACTTCTCTCTACTGTTCCCAGCCTCTAGTATCCTCTGTCCTACTTTTCACGCCTAGGAGATCAACCTTTTTTAGCTTCCACATATGAATGAGGACATGCAATGTTTAACTTAAGAGAAATTTTTAAAGCACTAATTTATGTACCTATTTAGAGCTAGTATCCAGTTATTAAATATTAGAAAATGTCTATGCAATATAGAGTAAGAAAATGGGGAGTTGGGGTATTATTATGTACTTTACTATGAGGCAAGAGTACAAATGGATTCTTCCTTCTGAGTAGATAAGTTGAAAAGTACAATAAGCTCAGTAAACAAACTATAATTATTCCAATTTAGCAAATTAATTTGTTATAGTGATTAGCCAACTATGTATCAAAAAGCCAACTTTTTTCATACATGAATAAATAAGAGTATGAAAATGCCATAATACTGTAAAAATAAAATTTATCTAAATTTCAGTTATATTAAAACATATTTAAAAATCAAACAAGAAATGTAGACATATTGCATTGCTGAATTGTAATATTTCTGTGAGGTTAAATATAAGCACATTCTTTTCTGTAGATAACTCAGCATTATCAAAAAAGAAAAAAGTTGTTATTTAATGATATCTATAAAAAGAAATTAGAAAACCTTGAATGTTCAAAAATGGGAAAAGATTACATAACCATGGTTCCTTAATTTAATAGATTATTGTGAAACCCTTAAAATAATTATGAACATGATACAGAAACATTTAAAAGTATTTTAAACAAATTTGGGGGAAAAACATAATATTACACTAGATGTTCTAGTTATGTGATCATTACGTTTATGGGTGAAGAAAAACTGGAAGAAAATACACAAAACTAAATACTTGTGTTAGGGTGGTGAGATTTTGAGGAATTTTAAACAAATTTTATAAAACTTAAAATTGTCCAGTTTTTAAAGGTCTTACCTCTGTTCAACTCCAGGAAAGGAATAGGAAATAAAATGTGGTAGTTATGGTTATAGAATTACGTATAATATACAAAGACAAGACACAGGAAAGAGAACTCTTTCCTCGGGGAGGTAGGAATGGCTGCATAGAAGGGTGACCTGAAGCCAAGGCTTACAGTAGAAATTCGCACATGACAAGAAGTAGGGAGAACAGTCCAGGCACAGGAAATGAATGGACCAAGTAGAGGGGCATAAGGGGCACCCCAAGCAGCAAGTAACTAGATCCATAGTCCTGGAGCAAAGAGTGTGAAAGGAGAAAGCAGGCGGTGAGGCTGGACGGGCTTAAGGGCCACATGGGTCATGCTGAGTGGTTGCGATTTTGTCCTGGGAGGCATTAGGGTCCCCTGAGCAGGGGAAGAGCTGGCCAGTTAGGAAGGTCTCCTGGGGCAGCAGTGTGGAGGCTGGCTGGGAGAGGGTTAGAGCTAAAGGATTAGTGTTGAAGCTGTGGCAAACACCCAGGCAAGAGACACCTGGACCTGACCCAGGGCAGGAGTAACGGAAATGTAAAGAGAATTTTTTAGAGCAGTGTTCCTCGTTGTTCTGTTTGTAGACCACCTGCATAAGATTTGTATGAGAGTTTGTTAAACATTGGAGTTTTAGGTAATACCTGAGACTCACTGAAGCCAGACTCCTGGAGGGAGGATCCTATTATCTACATTTTAAATACGTATCCAAGATAATTCAGACAAACAATAATATGAGAGCCACTATTTTAGAAATCCTTAGGTAGTATAGTTGGTAACACTTTGTGATTTGTTGTGGGGATGAGGGAGACTTTCGGATAATGCTCTGTCTTGGGCATCTGAGAGTAAAGTGATAACATTTGCTAAAATGACCAAAATAGAAAAAGAAGCAGAATATATTAGAAAATGGCTACATTTAGGTCTAGACAGGTTATAAAGGGTGCCAGTGGATCATTTATTTTGATAAATATAGTAAATAATTCAGTAGAGGGCTTGATTATTTTTTTAAAAAGTCAGAATTATCAATACATAGGTCACAATTGAAGCTATGAATATAAATGGAATTTTCTAGGTAGAGTGCATTGTGTAAGAAAAGAGCTTTGAGGAACAACAGTATTTAAGTGGTAAGCAGAGAAAAGGAGCCTACACAAAAAGATTTGTATTAGATACTGGAGGCAATCTGAAGAAAATTAAATAATCACAAATAACTGTTTAGACATGGAATTATCAGGAAGGGGCTTTTTTTTTGGAGGAGACAAACATTTTAGTGTAAAGAGGAGATAGGCATGCTTTGACAGAAGAAAATCAAAATTATTGCAGAGATGGGAAAGAGCATCAGAGAAATCTAAAAGTAGAAGTCATCAAGTGGTAAAGGGATTTGACATGGTGGAAGAGAGAATTGCAGGGATATAACTAGGTAATATGGCAGTGTAAACAGAAAGTAGATAACTGTGCCTTAGAAAACTGGAAGAGTGTCACTCTATGCATGTGAAAAAGGTTTAAAGATCTATGCCAAGAATTTCCGTGACTTTTAAACAGTATTTACAGAAAATTCCCAGCTGTTATGGGAAGAATAAACTGGGGAGGTGAGATCAGAAGCAGAAAAGCTAGGTAAGAAATCTTGAGGAACAAAATAAAAAGGGGATGGGTACATTGGGAGATAAGAAGAGCTGGGCCTGAATAAGGCCGTGGGAACAAGTTACTTCATCTTCTTGAAGCTCAAACATTTTACAGAGCACTCAGCAATTGAAGACAGACAAGACCCAAACATCACCTCTAAAGAATCAGCTCTGGGAGGAGGGAGATTTTGTCTGCATTGCGATTTCCCCTACCTTAGACTACAATAGGCACTCAATATTAACATTTTTAAATTAATTAATTGTGGTATCTAAAGTCTAGTGTGAATTAATGCAAGGAGCACAATTTTTAGAAAACTAAATGAACAGTTTTACTGGAAAAATATATATACTAAGACAGTCAAGAAAAAACTGTATAATTTGGAAAAATTAAACATTAAGAAAAATGGTTTCTTTTTAAAGTTCCATAAGCTTACAGGAGCTCTAAAATGTCTAACACTTGCAGACTGCTGTTTTCTAAGGGATCATGAAAAGGATGCATGCTTCATAAATTTATCCCAGCATGAAAAATCAAACATGGTAAAATGTTAGGTGGAGGTTAGTAACTCTCGGGCACAGTATTTACTTACTTTTGCTATATTTTTCCAAAGGATATTCTGGACCACTGAAGGAAATTCCTCCTGAAAAATTCAACACCACAGCTGTCCCTAAGTACTATCAATCTCCCTGGGAACAAGCCATTAGCAATGATCCGGAGCTTTTAGAGGCTTTATATCCTAAACTTTTCAAGCCTGAAGGAAAGGCAGAACTGCCTGATTACAGGAGCTTTAACAGGTAATTCAATGGTCCTGGGTGACACTGTTGGCATGCAATACCAAAATTTTTTCATCATGGTACAGATAACTGAATTCCCTGGTAGAAAGCAATTTTTTCTTTTGAGAAAAGAATCTAAATAGCAATATAGGATATCTTCTAAGCCTAGGCAAAGACTCATTTTTGTAATATTACTATTATTTTCAAACTTGGTCATTTTTAGTATAAAAATGAAGGAAATGATTCAGAAACTATCATTGGTATAACATCAAGATTATCCCTTGATACTTTAAAAATGTTATTTTAATAATAGTTTCAAATCCAAAGATTGATCTGGGTTTATGCATTGTTTCAAATGGCAATACTGTTCAAGAATTTAATAAATAATTCACATGCAAGGCTATGAGAATTACTGTGTAACTCCAGATTCTATCTTACATTTTTGCAGGCTTTAGGACAGATTAAAAGTAATTTAGAGACTTAATGGCCCAAGATTCCAGAAGAGGTACAACCCAAAACTTATGCTATCAAAAATATCACCAAATGATATCTGTAGTATAGTTTATAGAATGGGCATCCATTTTTCTCTGTTATTCAGTTTTTATAATTTCCATGGATATTTTGAATTTTTAATAGTCTCATAATCCATTATTTGATCACTTGACCTTCATTTTAGAGTAAAATATTAAAATATCTAATATCTAGTATGCTGTCTCACACTCAAAAAAAGTTAGACTCAATTTATAGGCAGCTTAATAACCATTCATTTAAAAATGAATAAATTAATGAGTAAATTTTTTTATTTAAAAAAAGAATGCCAAATAGACTGCATTTAAACAGTGATCTTCTTAAGTGATCGGATGTGGTGGCTCATGCCTGTCATCCCAGCACTTTGGGAGGCTGAGGTGGGTGGATCACTTGAACCCAGGAGTTCAAGACTACCCTGGGCAACATAGCAAGAACCCTGTCTCTACAAAAAATACAAAAATTAGCCAAGAGTGGTGGCATGTACCTGTAGTCCCAGCTACTTGGCAGGCTGAAGTGGGAGGATCACTGGAGCCCAGGAGGTGGAAGTTGCAGTGAGCTGAAATCATGTAACTTCACTCTAGCCTGGGCAAATAGTGAGACCTTGTCTCAAAAAATAATAAATAAATAAAATAAATAAAAATAAATATTGTACTATTAAGATTTTAGTTTTTGCACACTACCATTATTAGTAATGCATCCCTTGCATGAAAGAGGTGTACCATAGAATTTAAAGAGGGGTTGAGGAGTGGCAGGGAAAGAAAGTTGGAGGCCCATTCTGATCAATGTTATAATTTTTTTTTCAAAATGAGAGTGTAGAAAATTATAACAAGTAAAACATTAGGGGAAAATGGAAATTAATGGAATAACTCGGATTTGTTTTTGAGATTAAGTGCTTAAGACATGCTGTAAGACTTCTCTGTATCTTGTGGCTTTGGTGCCCTGTACCTGCTGAGCAGCTTGCCTGTAGTTCTACACACACTGGTGTGGTAATATTTGGGTTAGTTATAAAGAGATGCCTATTGACTGTATAAATACCAGGTGAGTACTATATCAGTGAGCACAATACCATTCAACAGGAAATGTAGCTCCCTGTGTTAATCAAAGCTTTTGCAAATATTACATGCTGTGTGTGTGTGCGTGTGTGTGTGTGTGTGAAAACTTAATCTGCTAATACTTCTCTTTTACTTTAGAACATTTTATTCCTTTGCATATCTACATCAACGTAGAAATAAAAACTTAGGAATTAAATTCTTTCAACATGATAGTATATTCTTAGACTTCTTATTATTAAATAACATTAATGGATGAAACAAAACATGATATGATACATAGACAGCCCAAACAGATAGCTGTAAGATCCTTTCTAACCTTGAAGCGTATGTAGGCCAGGTGCGTATGTACAGGCTGGGGTACATGCCTGTAATCCCAGCACTTTGAGAAGCCAAGGTGAGCTGAGCCCAGGAGTTTGAGACCTGCCAGCACAACATAGTAAGAACTCAAAAAGTGAGGCGAGAGGGTCGCTTGAGCCCAGGAGGTTGAGGCTGCTGCAATGAGCTATAATCACACCACTGTACTCCCACCTGGGCAATGGGAGAGAGACCCTGTCTCAAAAAAAAAAAAAAGTATATGCACAGGGATACACAAAGTTTAAGACATTGTCTAGTACGTGCATTGCTTTAGAAGTCCACTTAAAAAACAACTAAACAGTATACAGGCATACCTCGTTTTATTGCACTTCACTTTACTCTTCTTGGCAGATACTGCATTTTCTCACAAATTGAAGGTTTGTGGCAACCCTGTGTCAAGCAAGTCTATTGGTGCCATTTTTCCAACATCATGTGCTCACTTTGGTAATTGTCACAATATTCTGATTTCATTATTATTATATCTGTTATGGTGACCTGTGATCAGCAATCTTAGATGTTACTATTGTAACTGTTTTTGGGATGTCATGAACCATGCCCATGTAAAAAGGCAAACTTAATCAATACATGTTGTGTGTGTTCTGAGTGCTCCAATGACCAGCCACTCCCCCATCTCTCTCCCTTTCCTGGGCCTCCCTATTCCCTGAGACACAACAATATTGAAATTAAGCCAATTAATAACCCTATAGTAGC
Organism: Homo sapiens; assembly: GCF_000001405.40. Classification (NCBI taxonomy): domain Eukaryota; kingdom Metazoa; phylum Chordata; class Mammalia; order Primates; family Hominidae; genus Homo; species Homo sapiens. The sequence goes on from NC_000004.12 coordinate 119,167,019, forward strand.
CTCTAAGTGTTCAAGTGAAAGGAAGAGTCACAAGTCTCTCATTTTAAATCAAAAGCTAGAAATGATTAGACAGTGAGGAAGACATGTCAAAAGCAGAGATAAGCTGAAAGCTAGGCCTCTTGTGCCAGTTAGCCAAGGTGTGAATGCAAAGGAAAAATTCAGGAAGAAAATGATAAGTGCTACTCCAGTGAACACATGAATGATAAAATAGTAAAACAGCCTTAGTGCTGATATCAAGAAAGTTTGAGTAGTCTGGATGGAAGATCAAACCAGGAACAACATTTCCATAATTTAGCCAAAACCCAATCCAGAGCAAGGCCCTAACTTTCTTCAACTTTATGAAGGCTTAGAGAGAGGCAAGGGAGTTGCAGAAGAAAAGTTGGAAGCTAGTAGTTGTTGGTTCATGAAGGCTGAGGAAAGACGCCATCTTCTTAACTTTTATAGCGCAAGGTGAAGCAGCAAGTGCAGATGTAGAAGCTGCAGCAAATTATCCAGAAGATCTAGCTAAGAGGATTGATGAAAGTGGCTACAGTAAATAACAGATTTTCAATGTAGGTGAAACAACCTTCTATTGGAAGAAGATACCATCTATGGCTTCCATAGCTAGAGAGAAGTCAATGCTTGGCTTTGAAGCTTCAAAGAACAAGCTAACTATCTCACTAGAAACTAATGTAGCTGGTGAATTTGAGTTGAGTTGAAGCCAATGCTCATTTACCATTCTGAGAATTCCAGGGCCCTTGAGAATCATGCTAAATCTCTGTCTGTGCTTTATAAATGGAAAAGCAAAGCCTGAATGACAGCACATCTGTTTACAGCATGGCTTACTGAATATTTTAAGCCTACTCTTGAGACCTATTGCTCAGAAAAGAATATTCTTTTCAATTTATTACTCTTTATTGACAACGAACCTGGTCACCCAAGAGCTCTGATGGCAATGTACACGGAGATTAATGTTTTGTTTTGTTTTGTTTTGAGACGGAGTCTCGCTCTGTCACCCAGGCTGGAGTGCAGTGGTGTGATCTCGGCTCACTGCAAGCTCCGCCTCCTGGGTTCATGCCATTCTCCTGCCTCAGCCTCCTGAGTAGCTGGGACTACAGGTGCCTGCCATCATGCTCAGCTAATTTTTTGTATTTTTAGTAGAGACAGGGTTTCACTGTGTTAGCCAGGATGGTCTCTATCTCCTGACCTCGTGATCTGCCCGCCTCGGTCTCCCAAAGTGCTGGGATTATGGGCGTGAGCCACTGCGCCCAGCCTAATACTTTTTATGCCTGTTGACACAACATCCATTCTGTAGCCCATGGATCAAGGAGTAATTTTGACTATCAAGCCTTATTATTTAAGCAACACATTTCATAAGGCTATAGCTGCCATAGAAAGGGATTCCTCTGATTGATCTGGGCAAAGTAAATTGAAAACCTTCTGAAAAGAATTCACCATTCTAGATGCCATGAAGATTATTTGTGATTCATGGAAGGAAAGCAAAATAATAACATTAACAGGACTTTGGAAAAAGTTCATTCCAACTCTCATGGTTAACTTTAAGGGGTTCAAGACTTCATTGGAGGAAGTAAATAAAGATCTGGTGGAAATAGCAAGACAACTAAAGCTAGAAGTGGAGTGTGGAGATGTGACTGAATTGCTGCAATCTAAAAAAAACAACAACAAAACAACAACAACAACAACAACAACAACAAAAAACCACCTGAGCAGATCAGGAGTTGCTTCTTATGAATAAGCCAAGAAAGTGGTTTCTTGAGATGGTATCTACCCCTGCTGAGGATGCTGTGAATATTGTTGACATGACAACAAATATTGAGAATATTCCCTAAACTTAGTTGATAAGGCAGTAGCAGGATTGGAGAGGATTGACTCCAATTTTGAAATAAGTTCTACTGTGGGTAAAATGCTACCAAACAGTATCATATGCTACAAAGAAATTTTTCATGAAAGGAAGAATCAATTGATGCAGCAAAAATCACTGTTGCCTTATTTTAATAAATTGCCACAATCAATCCAACATTCAGCAATCACTACCCTGATCAGTCGGCAGCTATCAACAATATGGCAATCACTCCACCAACAAAAAATTTCAACTTACTGAAGGCTCAGATGACCATTAGCATTTATTAGCAATAAAATATTTGAAACTAAAGTATGTACTTTGTTTTTCAGACATATTGTTCTTAAGGACACAATGCTATAGATAGTTGATGGACTACAATACAGTGTAAACATAACTTTTATATACGCTGGGAAATAAAAAATTTCATGCAACTTGCTCTCTTGTGATACTCTATTGCAGTGGTCTGGAACCAAACCTACAATATCTCCAAAGTACGCCTGTAATTATATCTTTGGCTTAAATGCTTGCTAAGTGAATAAGACCAAAGGACATAAGTAAGATTTTCACATCCAGCTATGGCAGACTACTTTATATCAGAACAACTTCATAAAAATAACCAGAAAAGCTAGTTTTAAAAAATGAGTTTTAAAAATGGTTTAAAATCTACCAAGGAAGTGAGTACTTGAGGCCAGGGCTCTGGAGATGAGGGAAATTTAGAGATTTTAACCCAACATGTGGTACCACGTTTCTCCTTGAGGCACCTGTTGATTCATCAGCAGCACTAAAAGGCTAAAAAGCTGAGTAAACCTTTTGGCAGCTTCAAGTCTGGGAACACCAAATAGGAGTATAGGGTCTTCCAGGGAGGAGGGGTCTTGGTAAATATTCCATACTTTCAGCTGGAAGCCCTAAAGGGCTATACCATTGGAATAAAGGTGAACAAGTAATACTTCAGCCTTCATAAAACTAAATATTGCTCTCAACCAACAAAATCTTAGATTGGATAAAGGCTATCTCCCCTAAATCAAACTGCCCGCTCTGACAAAAATGAATCCCTTCTAGAAAGAAGATGACATCTCTTAAAGACTTAAATCATCCTACAGGTTTTTTTAAAAAAATATTTTTTGTTGTTGTTGTCATGGTGGTGGTGATATACACATAACATAAAATGAACTATCTTAATCACTTTAAGCATACAGTTCAGTGGTATTCAGTACAATACTTCATAATGTCGTGCCACCATCACCACCATTCCTCTCCATAACTCTCCATCTGGTAAAACTGAAACTCTGTACCCATTAAACAATAACTCCCCATTCCCTCTCTGCCACCATCAATTCCTGACAACCACCATTCTACTTTCTGTCTCTATGATTTTTACCACTTTAAGGGCCTTGTATAAATAGAATCCTACAGTATTTGTTGTTTTTTTTTTTTGTGGCTGGCTTATTTCACTTAGTATAATGTCCTCATGCTAAAAAAAATTTTCATAAGTTTATATTACTATAAAAGTCAAAATATTGACTACCACTAGGGGCTAGAGGGTATTGTGATTGGGCAGGGACCATGGATAGAGCTCTGGAGTGGCTCTTGATATGTGTAGTCCTTTCCAAGATTATTCATTTCATAGACATTATGTATACTTTCTTAAGTTTTCTGTACTTGTGTTATATTAAATAATATAAATGTTTTTAAAATTCCATAAATGGAATTAATAGCAGATTAGACATAGCTGAAGAGAGAATTGCTAAATTGAGGCAGAAAGTGTTCAAGCTGCAACGTGGAGAAAATAGGATTTAAGATGCAGAAAAACAGCAGAAGACATACTTGGAGCAGTAATAAAAATGCCAATATATGTGTATGGTTGGAGCCTCAGAAGGGAATAAGAGAGAGAAGCAATATTGAAAGAATTCATGGCGTAAGATTTTTCAAAATTGACAAAAGACATCAAGCTTCAAGTTCAAGAAGTACTACAGCACCCAAGAAGGGTAAATGCAAAGTAAACCACACAAAAGGCACATGATTGTAAAATAAAGACAATTAAGAAAATCTTAAAGCGAAGGAATAATAGACACATTATCTTAAAATGAGTAAAAATAAGACAGTTGATTTTCCAACTGAAATGATGGGAGAGAGTGGATTAACACTTTTAAAATAATGAAATAAATAACAGCAAACCTGTAATTCTATATCCAGTGAAAATATTATTTAAAGGTAAAAGTTAAGACATACTTACATAAATGTTTTCAGAGAAAGATGCTGTTTGTTTACCCCTGCCAAACAATAATACAAGAGTAATAAATAAAAGGGGTAAGTATAGGAAAAGAAAAATAAAGATGTCATTATTCACAAATGACATGATTATGTCCATAGAAAATTTAAAAGAAGCTACCAGTAAATCATTAGGATTAATAAGTGAATTTAGTGAGAGCACAGAATAAAAGGTCATCGTTAATAGTTATTTTTATACACCAGCAATAATTAGAAAATAAATAGTATTAATTAACTTTTACCTTATGTTTTGTGCACTTTCTGTATCTTACACTTCAATAAAATTTTTATTTCAAAAAAATCACATAGGCAAAATAATCTCAATAGGTATCTGGGTCTTTATAAACTAAATGTGACAAAAGCCATTCTTTGAATTAGTCCAGAACAAAATCTAGTCATTTAAAATAGAGGCTAAAATAATTTTCAGGTATAAAATAATTTTCAAGTTATTATTTTCAATTTATTATTTTCCCTATTGTAGGTTAACATGATTTTATTTTATCAAACTACTCAAAATTATAAGAAAGCCATTTGGCCAAAGATTTATTTTGTCATACAACTATTATACATATATATTTTTAATAAAATATTTTATTTTATTTTCTGATTATTAAATAATTTAACATAATATTACACGAAGACTTTATTCTGATATATCTATTTTTCACATTTTTTCCAAACACACAAACACACACACACACACACAAAACAAAACAAAACAAAAAAACAGAAGAAAGAGACAAAGAGAAAGAAGCAAGCAATTTCCAGTTATTTCCAAAGTCCTTGCAAAGAGTAAAATAATATTGTTTGGTAGTTTACATTATGATATGTAATTATTAGATATTGCTGATGAAGCCTAGAGAGGTAAGATATAGTCAAATGGCATTCAGCAATGATAATGAGTGGATGAAAATCGGCTTCTAAGTCTAATCACAATTTCAAAATGGCCCAGAGTTTAGTTCAACTTTGAATTTTTGTAGTTCCTCTGAGTGTATTCAAATTTTATGTTACATTCAAATAATATTTCATTAAACCCATGAGAAAAAGTAAACCAGGAGCAAGGAGGCTTGTAACCCCCCAAAGGGTTCTCCTTGCCCCCTGCCTAGACAGAGCTGATTTATCAAGACAGGAGAATTGCGATAGAGTTTAATTCACGCAGAGCTGGCTGCATGACGGGAGACCAGAGTTTTATTATTACTGAAACCAGTCTCCCTGGGGATCAGGCTTTTTAAGGAAAATTTGGTGGGTAGTGGGGACAGTGAGTCACGAGTGCTGATTGGTCAGGTGGAAGATGAAATCAGAGTGAGTCGAAGCTGTCCTCTTGCGCTGAGTCAGTTCCTGGGTGGGGGCCACAAGATCAGATGAACCAGTTTATTGATCTGAGTGGTGCCAGCTGATCCATCGAGTACAGGGTTTACAAAATATCTCAAACACTGTTCTAAGGTTTTACCATAGTGATGTTATCCCCAAGGAAAAATTTGGGGAGGTTCAGAATCTTGCAGCTTCCAGTTGCAAGACACCTAAACCATAACTTCTGATCTTGTGGCTGATTTGTTAGTTCTGCAAGAGCAATCTAGTCCCCAGGCAGGAAGGGGATTTGTTTTGGGAAAGGGCTGTTACCGCCATTGTTTCGAAGTTAAACCATAAATTTCTCCCAAAGTTAGTTTGGCCTATTCCTAGGAAAGGAAGAGGAACAGCTTGGAGGTTAGAAGCAAGATGGAGTCAGGTAAGATCTCTCACTGTTATAATTTTCTCAGTTATAATTTTGCAAAGGCAGTTTCAGATTCCCAGTTCTGCTTCAAAAAGCTGTATGACTTCGGGTATGTCACTTAACCTCTTATCTTAATTTCCCCATCTGCAAAATAAATTCTATAATGATATGATTAAGTACCTTTAAATATAGTACATTCATTAGCTACTTAGTAGAATATTTTAACTTTTATACAATCATTTTACCTACTTCTTCACCTTATAGAATAATTAGTAATTATTATAGGCGTATTATATATCCAGTACTATTAGTTTTCACAAATGTAATCCATCACTGACCCATCAAAATAAACAAGAAAGTATCTACTAACTGTGAATCTGAATGAAACAGGCTTATTCTTCACTACGTAGAGGATGAAATAGAAAAATCATTTTAAGTCAGACCTATGTTTGAAGAATTTCTATGTTATGGGAACTGGGGAGATAGATGCACAGGTATTTTTCAGTAGACTATTTTAAATCTTTCATTGGAAACGTTTGCTTCACTAACTTTGACTTAAACTTGAAACTATTTTCAGGGACCTTAAAAATCTTATGAGTAGTCTCTCGCTTTGAAAACTTAACATCTCTATTAATGGACTCTCTTTTAATTTGTGTGTTGAGGGCAATCAAATTCAAACAAACAGGATGTAGCCTCAATGACGCCAAAGAAAAGAAAACTGCTTTCCAAACAGCAGCTCTTCATTGTATCTGTGGTAGTGAGAGGTGACAGCGTGCTGGCAGTCCTCACAGCCCTCGCTCGCTCTCGGCACCTCCTCTGCCTGGGCTCCCACTTTGGCGGCACTTGAGGAGCCCTTCAGCCCACCGCTGCACTGTGGGAGCCCCTTTCTGGGCTGGACAAGGCCGGCGCCCACTCCCTCACCTCAGCTTGCAGGGAGCTGTGGAGGGAGAGGCCCGAGCGGGAACCGGGGCTGCGTGGGACGCTTGCTGGCCAGCTGGAGTTCTGGGTGGGCATGGGCTTGGCGGGCCCCGCACTCGGAGCAGCCAGCCAGCCCTGCCGGCCCGGGGCAATGAGGGACTTAGCACTCGGGCCAGCGGCGGTGGGGGGTGTACTGGGTCCCCCAGCAGTGCCAGCCCACCGGCGCTGCACTTGATTTCTCACCGGGCCTTAGCTGCCTTCCCGCAGGGCAGGGCTTGGGACCTGCAGCCCGCCATGCCTGAGCCTCCCACCCCCTCCATGGGCTCGTGGGCCGCCTGAGCCTCCCCGACGAGTGCCACCTCCTGCTCCACTGCGCCCAGTCCCATCGACCACCCAGGGGCTGAGGAGTGCAAGCGCACGGCGCAGGACTGGCAGGCAGCTCCACCTGCAGCCCTGGTGCGGGATCCTCTAGGTGAAGCCAGCTGGGCTCCTGAGTCTGGTGGGGCCTTGGAGAACCTTTATGTCTAGCTCAGGGATTGTAAATGCACCAATCAGCACTCTGTATCTAGCTCAAGGTTTGTAAACACACCAGTCAGCACCCTGTGTCTAGCTCAGGGTTTGTGAATGCACCAATGGACACTCTGTATCTAGCTGCTCTGGTGGGGCCTTGGAGAACCTTTATGTCTAGTTCAGGGATTGTAAATACACCAATCAGCACCCTGTGTTTAGCTTAGGGTTTGTGAGTGCACCAATCCACACTCTGTATCTAGCTGCTCTGGTGGGGCCTTGGAGAACCTTTGTGTCCATACTCTGTATCTAACTAATCTGATGGGGAGGTGGAGAACCTTTGTATCTAGCTCAGGGATTGTAAATGCACCAATCAGCGCCCTGTCAAAATAGACCACCGGGCTCTACCAATCAGCAGGATGTGGGTGGGGCCAGACAAGAGAATAAAAGCAGGCTGCCCAAGCCAGCAGTGGCAACCCGCTCGGGTCCCCTTCCACACAGTGGAAGCTTTGTTCTTTCACTCTTTGCAATAAATCTTGCTACTGCTCACTTTTTGGGTCCACGCTGCTTTTATGAGCTGTAACAGTCACCGCAAAGATCTGCAGCTTCACTCCTGAAGCAGTGAGACCACGAGCCCACCAGGAGGAACGAACAACTCCAGACGTGCTGCCTTAAGAGCTGTAACACTCACCGTGAAGGTCTGCAGCTTCACTCCTGAGCCAGTGAGACCATGAACCCACCAGAAGGAAGAAACTCCGAACACATCCGAACATCAGAAGGAACAAACTCCAGACACGCCACTTTAAGAGCTGTAACACTCACCGAGAGGGTCCGCGGCTTCATTCTTGAAGTCAGTGAGACCAAGAACCCACCAATTCCCGACACAGTAGGAGATGGGAGGTGGATGATAAAACAGAAGGAAATGTTTTCATTTATAAGAGAAGAAAATGATCTACAAATCGGTAGGAAAAAAACAAAATAGAGCTGGATAAAAAGGGGAAAAGCAATCCACTAATTGCCAACCCAAATACTGTATTTTAGTGCAGAGGGATGTGTCTTCTTTGATGTAATTCAGAAAACAAAATAACTGAATAAATTCATTTCTGGAATAAATAAATACAAGGTTAATTGATCAATTTTTGCTTAAATCTAGAAATGTTCAATTGTAATCTATTGCATCTAATGGATAACTATTCATTCTTAAAAAACAATGGGCCAGGTGCAGTGGGTCACACCTATAATCCCAGCACTTTGGGAGGCTGGGGCGGGTGGGGTTAGGAGTTCGAGACCACCCTGGCCAACATGGTGAAACTCTGTTTCTACTAAAAATACAAAAATTAGCCAGGTGTGGTGGCGGGCGTCTGTAATCCTAGCTACTTGGGAGGCTGAGGCAGGAGACTGGTTTGAACCCAGGAGACAGAGGTTGCTGTGAGTAGAGATTGTCCCACTGCACTCCAGCCTGGGTGACAGCGTGAGGCTCCATCTTAAAAAAAAAAAAAAAATTTTGAAGTAGTGGTTGTGTGACCTGTGCAATTGCATGGGGCCCCACATTTATTTATTTCAAAGGGCCATGTTTGGTTTGATCCTCTGCTGTTTCTTTCTTCAAATTCCTAATAATTTCTGAACAAGGGGCATTGTGTTTTCATTTTGCACTGGGTTCTAAAAATTAGGTAGCTTGTCTGGATCTTGAGCTCAAAAGTGAAGCAATGTGTTCTGACCCGCCAGGTAGGCTAAGGTGTTTTTTACCCTAGGCTCCTCTGCACTCAGGACATTCTTCTCTTAGAGTAACTAGCTTATTCCATGTTGTATTTTTTCCTCATGTTTCACCGTCTTTGAGTTCATTGAGGTTAAGATCTACAATTTTTTCGTGTTTGATTCCCTAGCATGCAGCATTGTATCTAGACATGCTAAGAAATCAGTAATTTGTTGCATGAATACATGGGTGAATCAACCATTGAACAAACTTTTTTTTTTAAAACAGTCTCACTCTTGTGGCTCAGGCTGGAGTGCAGTGGTGTGATCTCGGCTCACTGCAACCTCCACCTCCCCAGTTCAAACGATTCTCCTGCTTCAGACTCCGGAGTAGCTGGGATTACAAGCGCCTGCCACCACACCCAGCTAATTTTTTTGTATTTTTAGTAGAGACAGGGTTTCGCCATGTTGGCCAGGCTGGTCTTGAGCTCCCTACCTTGGGTGATCTGCCCACTTCGGCCTCCGAAAGTACTGGGATTACAGGCATGAGCCACTGTGCCTGGCCCTGAACAAACTATTGATATACAATGGCAAGATTTTAAAATGATAAAATATCATCTTGAACATCTGAGATAAGAAGTGTTCTTTTGTACTGAATCAAATTTGAGACATAAAGACTCCTCAGTCACTAAACCAGATAACAAAATATGGGACCCTGAATCATCTACTGTGTAAGAGAGATTAATTTGAAAAAGAACTTTAAGAACTTACATTATCATTCAGGTACCTTGTGATTATTAAACTTCATAAGGCATAGTAATGATGGAAACTAATTTATTGAGTGAGTACTATGTATCAGGCACGGTTTTAAGTGCTTTTCAAACTCTATTAGTATGGGAATTATCTTGAGCTCTTGTCAAAGTGCAGACGCCAATTCAGTAAGTTTAGGTTGTGCTCTAAGATTCTGTAGTTCTAACTAGTTCCCAGATGAAGCCAGTGCTGCTATCTGTGACCACACACTGAGTACTGGGAGGCGGAGGTTGCAGTGAGCCGAGATTGTGCCATTGCACTCCAGTCTGGGTGACAAGAGCGAGACTCTGTCTCAAAAAAAACAAAGTTTATTCTTTATTTCAATAATGCTTCAGTTCCACATACCAAAATGACGCCATTTTTTAAAGTCCATCAATCCCTTTGCTCACTATTTCTACCTAGACAGATTTTGTAGTTCGCCATTATGATCATTCCATTTTACACACATCTCATCTTCCTCTCGTCTCTCTCCAAATGTTTTACCCAACTTTTAAAGCTCCAATTCTGATTAAGTCCAGAATCCATCTACTTTGCACTCATATTTAAGCAGCTGAATGTGGCTGGATAAAAAGACATAGTTTTGCTGTCTCCCCTTAAAGTGATTACCACAAATCTCAGCACTGCCAGACAATCCAACAACATTCTCTAGCAAATTCGGTCTGTGAAGACAATTTTCTAGGACAATTCAAATTTTCTAGGACAATTTGAATTGTCCTAGAAGACAATTCACACTTTCTTCTCAACATGGGATGTTTCCACAAACATCCTATACCTCACCCTACTCCTCACTGTCAACCAATGGGATCACTTTTTATTTTTCAAAAAAAAGTGGAAGCAAATTGGAAGACACCTACCTTACCTTCTCATTATCAAATTTGCCAGTTGAGTACATTCGGAACCACATAGCCTGCCTTTTCTCTTAAAAGAGCTGATGAGTTGCCTGCCTTGTTCCTAAAGTCAGCCTCTCTAATTGCATACTGATTCCCAATCCCTCTCATCCACTCTAGGGTTATCCTGCAATTATTCCTTCTCTTGCAGCATCATTTGTTTTTCTCTCTATTGGGTTATTCCTATCAGCATACAAACATATTAAAATGCCTCCCATCTTTAATAAAAATATCTTTTCCCCAGGCTCTCTTCCAATTACCTCAAATTTCTATGCTTTTTCTTGACAGTAAAAAGTTCTTAAATATTGTCTATATTTATTGTCTCTATTTCCTAATGGCACATTCTCTCTTGAATTCATTTTAATCAGGACTGCATCCCACCATTACACTTAAAGAGCTAATCCCCATGTTGTCACATCCAATGGTGAATTCTCAGTGATCAATGTACTCAGCTTCACAGCAGTATGTGAAATGGCTGATCATTCCCCCTTCCAAGAAATAATTTTGTTCCTTGGCTTTTTGATCATCAAACTCCCCAGATCTTTCTCCTTCTCAGCCTTCATTGCTGGCTCCTCCCTTTCCAAACTCCGTATGTTAGGAACCAACTTCTCTTTATTTACACCCATTCCAGGCTGTGATGGTATGCAGTTCCAAGGTTCTAATATCACCTGTGTGCTGATAATGCCAATGATATACTCAGCCTGAACTCTTCCCTGAGCTTCACTCTGCCACTGGACATCACCCATAGGATGGGTAACAAACATACAAAAATTAACATGTCAAATGAAACTTGATCTCTAGCTCCAAATGGGCTCCTTTTCCAATCTGCCCCATCTCAGTAAATTGCATATTTATATTCCCTGTTGCTCACATAAACAATCTACGGCTTACCCTTAATTCCATTTTCACCTTATACTCTATACCATCAGCAACATCCTATTAGGTCTATTATTTATTTATTTATTTATTTGAGTTGGAGTCTCGCTCTGTCGCCCAGGCTGGAGTGCAGTGGTGCAATCTCAGCTCACTGCAATCTCTGCCTCCTGGATTCAAGTGATTCTGCTGCCTCAGCCTCCCGAGTAGGTGGGACTACAGGCATCCACCACCTCACCCGGCTAATTTTTGTGTTTTTAGTAGAAACAGCATTTTGTCATGTTGGCCAGGCTGGTCTCCAACTTCAGACCTCAGGTGATCCACCTGCCTCGGCCTCCCAAAGTGCTGGGATTATAGGCATGAGCCACCGTGCCCGGCTATTCAGTCTATTTTCAAAATACATTCACCCTAGTACAAACTGCCATCATTTCTTATTTTGATTACTGCAAAAGCTTTCAGACTGGACTTGGTGCTTTCACTCTTGCCCTCCTTTAAGCTGTTCTCCATAGAACAGCCAGAAAGAAATAATTTAGAAATGCAAATCAGGTCGTGTCCCCTTCCAACTAAAAACTTTGTAACTGTTACACATAAAATACAATCCAAACTTGTTATCATGGCCTGGAAGACCTCACAGTGCTGGCTCCTGTCTGTCTCCAGCTACATCTTGCAAGGCTTTCCTCAAGCTCACCCAGCTGTATCCACACTGGGCTTCTACTGTTTCTTACATAATAGACTCCTTCTCACCTTGAGGCCTTTGCCCTTGTTTCCTTAGGCCTGAAATGCTTTCCTCAGATTTTCAGCAGATCATTCCTTCACATCTTTCAGAGTTTTGCTAAAATGTCATCTTACAGAGCACTTCCTGAAAATTTATTTAAATAGTACTCTTTCTCCTGGACTAAAATTCAACAGTGATATGGACACATAGAACAAACTCTCATCTACTCATTCTCCTTTATTTTTCTTCATAGCTCTTTTTTTTCATTACCTTATAATATTATGAATTTATCTATTCCTTTCCTAAAAGTGAGTGTCCCTATCTACAGGGTAGGCACCCACAGAGAGCTGCAACTTTATCTGTTTTATTCAACATTATGATCTTAGTGTTTGTCTTAGTTTGTGCAGCTGTAACAAAATATCTGAGACTGGATAATTCATAAAGAACAGAAATTTATTTCCTCACAGTTCTGGAGCTTGGGAAGTCCAAGATCAAACTGCCAGCATTTGGTGTCTGGTGAGGGTCTTCTTGCTGTGTCCTCACATGGCAAAAGAAGTGAACACTGTGTTCTCACATGATGGATGCAAGAAGGGCAAAAAAAGGCTTAAGCTAGTTCCTTCTAGCCCCTTTATAGGGCACTAATCCATTCATGAGGGCAGCGCCCTCATGACTTGGTAATTTCCCAAAGGTCTCCACCTCTTAATACCACCACAGTAAGGATTAAGTTTCAACACATAATTTTTGGAAGACATTCAGATCATAGCAAAATCTGAAACAGTACCTGGCACATAGTAGGCACACATTAAATATGTATATTAAAAGGGGAATGGATTTTACTTAATGATTGGGGAATCATGTGCTGTGTATGTCAAGTAATTTACCTTTGATCAAGGTGGTGTTTCAGGCTAGCTAGTCTGACTCCTGAATCGCATCTCTTAGACTGCTCTATTTTATTTTTTCTCCAGTGCTCTATAAATTCTACCTTGTTTGCTTTTATTGCCTGTGGTGATCTGGAGGGAAGAAATCCTGTTTTAACTTCTACCCATCATTGTTGTTAGATCAGTCAACTGTATATATGAATGATATACCTAATAATTAAATTCAAGAACAAAGCAATAACTCCTGATTCCCACCTATGCATGGGAGGATGAGAAATATGTACTCTTTACTCCACTCTCATCCCCTGCCTGCCAGCTAATACTTGTTAATTTAATCTGCATACTGCTATTCGCCTTTCTGTCATATAAATATTTTAAACTAGATAAATATTCTTTTCCAGGAATAGCAGCTTGCATTTGTATTTAATTTTCATGATCACATATATTTTTTTGAGATGGAATTTTGCTCGTCACCCATGCTGGAGTGCGGTGGTGCGATTTCAGCTCACTGCAACCTCTGCTTCCTGGGTTCAAGCGATTCTCTTGCCTCAGCCTCCTGAGTAGCTGGGATTACAGGCGCCTGTCTCCACACCCAGCTAATTTTTGTATTTTTTTAGTAGAGACGGGGTTTCACCATGTTGGCCAGGCTGGTTTCGAACTGCTGACCTCAGGTGATCTGCTTGCCTCGGCCTCCCAAAGTGCTGGGATTATAGGCATGAGCCATTGTGCCCAGCCTATGACCACATTTTTAAAGTGGCTTTATTCTTATTGCCAGTACTTTTTATATTATGCTACTTGAGTTATTTATCCAAAAGTTATCTGGAATATGTCTTCAAGTAATTCTCTTAGGAAGGGAACACCAATATAAGTCCATGCATATCTATAATACATATATATTTTTTACATTGGTACATGAATAATTACCTGGTCACAGTCTTTTCTCCACAACACCTATTCAATACTCTTTTTTGGTATGTAATGTTTTGGAAAAGATTATGGACAGCCTCATATTCATTCCTTTTATACATTCCTTCTGGCTTCCCTCCCTGTATGGCTCATTATATTAAAAACATTAAAATTCTGACAAGGAATGTCCAGGTAGCATCTTTTTATTTTTTCTTGTTAACTTTGTCTAGTACTTGGTAACTCCTTTTCCTCTATAATCTCTTCTTCCTTCAACTCAGGAGAGTTGTTTTCCATATCTTTGGTTCATGATTGTGATCATAATGCTCTGTTTTCTTCCTCTGGAAGCTTGAATATCCTCATCTGGACTCTAGTTTATTTTACTTTTCATCATATTGTCTGCTCCCTGTGCATTCTGGGAGAGTTATTCTACATAATTTAGTATGCCTTTCTTATGAAAAATAACATAACATTTTATTGTCTTCTCAGTAGATTACAAGTTCTTTGAGAGTAAAAACCATGACTTTCATTTCCACTTACTTGCTTCCAGCATATTCCTGGAAAATAGTGGCTACTCAAAATAGCCATTTGGTTTCCTTAGATGGATAAAATATATGTGATGGAGGCATATCAACTTACTACAAAAACTATGGCATAGTACTGAAGAGGTGGAATTTGGAGGCTATCTTGAGGAGTATATATGTATTAAACATTCTGCAGGCAAGAGCCCAGAATTTAATACATACAGAAAAGAATGAACAACTATAAGTTACATACATGAAAAAAAGAACATAAATTTAGCAAATTTGGAATCTGATTTAATTTATATAAACTGAATTTTAGGAATGTATTATTATAAAACTGTAAATATTGCAGAGTTCAAACAGTACACTGAAGAACAGAGTATCTAGTAAATATTATAAAACACGACTTTATTGTTTTAGAAGTTTGATAGTAAATTTTCAAATCAACATTATAAAATTTCAAATTTTAGGCTTCTGACCTAACCTAATACAGTATTCAGAAGCTTTTGGGATTATTTTCTCCACTGTGCATAATAAAAACTTCTTAAAAGAGGAAAGTGTCAAATTATATTGCAAGTTAAAAGCAACAGAAAACATTTCTCATGCCACTGAAATAATTTTGAAACAAAATGTGACACAGTTCACCTGCAGTTCTCACTGGCTATGGTAACTATTGTCAGCAACAAACATATTTAGCTTCTAGCAAATTGGCTGGATAAAGGATGTAATGCCTGATGCTTGAAGTATAGTTGGCTTTACTCTACTTCCAGCAGTCTGATTGCTTCTTACACAGGCCTTTCTAGTGAATTAAGTCTCCTTCTGCATCCTCAACCTGGATCATGGTACCTCAGGAAGGACAGAGTAGTTATCAGTCACAAAAAGGCAACTTCTAATAAGGAAGTTGCATGACACTGTAATACAATGGTCCCCAACCTTTCTGGCACCAGGGACCAGTTTCGTGGAAGACAATGTTTCCAAGAATGGGGGAAGGGGTGTAGGGGTGGCAGGGTGGGGGGAGATGGTTTCGGGATGAAACTATTCCACTTCAGATCATCAGGCATTAGTTAGATTCTCGTAAGGAGCCTGCAACCTTGATCCCTCACATGCAAAGTTCACAAGAGGGTTTGCACTCCTATGAGAATCTAATGCCCCTGATGACCTGACAGGAGGTGGAGCTCAGGTGGAAATGCTCACTCACCCTCCGCTCACCTTCTGCTGTGTGACCTGGTTCCTAACAGGCCATAGATGGTTGGTCTGCAGCCTGAGGGTTGGGGACCCTTGCTGTAACAGATGCAATGGGAATATACAAATGAAATTGAATATGACTTTCCTTTTTACAGACTAAAATCTGTTTGGGGAGGGAAAAATTTAATTGAAACGAAAGTAATAGAATCAAATTTGTAGCAGACTATACATATTTATGTTTTAATTAATTCTTTAATAAAAAAACACACAGAAATTAAGGTAGTCAAGAAAGATAGCAGAGTGATTGAACTATAAAGAAAATAAGATCTCTTCCAGGTTTTAAATAATCACAATATTAGAGAATCTATATAGTCTTGCCAGGTCCTATGGTACAATGCATTATATAAGTATATTGTAACGAATTACAAAGATACATCAGAGAGAATTCCAATCTTCTTAGAGTACAGTCTGGTAAGAAAAAAGGCAGACATACAAATGGATATAATGAAAGATATAAAATAGGATCGCAGGGGAGGTGAAAATAGAAGTCATGGAAACTTCGGAGTGGAAAGCTTACTTCTGGCTGTGGGAAATTGGGAAAGCTTCAAGAAGAAAGTTAAGTATGAATTAGGGCTTAAAGGGGATTTAGAAACGCAGTTGTAAATATCAGAGTACTCCAAGCAGAGAGAGAAAAAAAAAAGAGTATGATTAGAGGCAGTGAGGTAGGAGAGCATAAATGCAAAGAGCAAGCAGTTAAAGGATGCGTGAAAGTGAATAGGGCAAAACCTGCATGATTGACCTCTCCACTGGGATGTCTAATCGTGTTTTCCACCCACACACCAACTCTGTTCTTTTCTGTCTTCCACCAGCCAGTTGCTAAAACTCTAAAGGTAGGAGTTTTCATTGATTTTTCTATTTTCTTCATGGTTTTAATCCAATTTATCAGCAAATCCTGTTGACTCTACCTGTAAAGCACATCCTGACCCACCCACTTTTTTCCATCTTTACATAAAACACCTGAAATACAAGTCATCATTTCTTGCTTGAGTTACTGCAATAGCTTCCCTCCTTCCACTGTTGTCTTTTTTTTTTTTTTTCCGAGACTGAGTTTCCCTCTTATTGTCCAGGCTGGAGTACAATGGCACGATCTCGGCTCACTGAAACCTCCACCTCCTGGGTTCAAGGGATTCTCCTGCCTCAGCCTCCTGAGTAGCTGGGATTACAGGCATGCGCCACCATGCCCTGCTAATTTTTTGTATTTTTAGTAGAGATGGGTTTCTCCATGTTGGTCAGGCTGGTCTCGAACTCCCGACCTCAGGTGATCCATCCACCTTCTCCTCCCAAAGTGCTGGGATTACAGGTGCGAACCACTGGCACTGTTGTCTTCTTATAATCTGTTCACACAGCAATAGCAGCCAGAATGACCCTTATAAAATGTAATTAGGTTATATAATCTCCTGCTTACCATCCTACAATGGTTGCCCTTCACATTTAGAAGGAAATCCATATTCCTTATTTAGAAAAAGTCCCACACAAGTTTACCTCTCTGTCCCCTGTTCCCTCTGCCCCACCCTCACCTGCTAGCCTAGGAACATAAGCCTTCTTTGTTTCCTTGAACACGCCAACATTATTTCTGCCTTAGGGTTCTTGGCATTAGCTATCCTGTCTACTGGAAGTGCTGATGTACTTTAGCCATACTGTACATGTCTAACTTCTGACCTTCAGATGGCTGTTTAAATGTCGCCTCTTCAGAGAAGTCTTCCCTGGTGATTCTATCTGAAATAACTTTTTAGTAATTCAGTTATTCAATATTATAACACCCTATTTTAACTTTATGCATAGCTGCTATCACCATCAGATATTTTTGTATATGTTTATGTTTAGGGTCTCTTTCACTAGAATGTAAGAACTAAGACTTTGATTATACTGCACACTTGAAACTCTGTCTGGCACTGAATGAGTAATCAAATGCTTAAATCAAACAAAGCAAAAAAGTTATGTGGGATCTTGAATGACAAGATATAGAAGTTGGGCTTTATTCAGAAGACAAGTGGAAGAATGCTAAGGTTTTTGAGGTAGAAAGATGCAACAGACATACTGCTTGACCTAAAAGAGTTTATAATTCACAGATAACCCAAACAGATAATCCACATTCTTAAAAGGAGAAGCTCAATACAAAGCACCATTTCATTAGTAGCAAATGACTGACATAGAACAATTGATGCTGCAGGAATGTGGCTAAGAAAGTGGGCAGGGATAGTTTGAAGGAAGTTAGAACTGCAAGACTATAGGACATACACAAGTGGAGAAGTCAGGGAGGAAACTGCCTCTCTTTTATTTTCCTTTTCTTTCCTCTTCTCCCCTCTCCCTTCCCTTCCCCTCCCCTCCCCTTCCCTTTCCTTTTCTTTTTTTCCTTTCGTTTCCTTTCCCTTCTCCTTTCCTTCTTTCTTTCTTTTTTTCTGAGATGAGGTCTTGCTATATCACCCACGCTGGTCTCAAACGCCTGGGCTCAAGTGATTCTCCTGCTTCAGCATCCCAGGTACTTGGGATTACAGGTGTAAGCCAATGCACCCAGCAGGGAATATCTTTTTTTTTTCTTTTTAGACAGGTTTCACTCTGTCACCCAGGCTAGAGTGCAGTGGCATGATCTTGGTTCACTGCAACCTCCGCCTCCTGGGTTCAAGTCATTCTCCTGCCTCAGCCTCCTGAGTAGCTGGGATTTCAGGTGCCCGCCACCATGCCCGGCTAATTTTTGTAATTTTAGTAGAGACAGGATTTTGCCATGTTGGCCAGGCTGATCTTGAACTCCTGACCTCAGGTGATCCTCCTGCCTCGGCCTCCCAAAGTGCTGGGATTATGGGCATGAGCCACCACGCCCGGCCTAGAAATATCTTGAATAGGGGAAATATTGTTGGTAAAAGTACAAAGGCAAGACATGTCTGTAATGAGCTCAGTGTACAGGGAATAGATTAGTCCAAAACTAATAGTATATACAAATGAACTTCAATGAATTTGTTATCAATATTTGGTTTTTCATAAAAACATGGTCTTTAAAGTAGAAATGCTTGCCTCAGAGGTCACAAAATGACAGTCATTCATAGAATATAAGTAAGCCCATAAAATAATGAATTAAATACACCCATAAAATCATGCCTATAAAATTATGAAATTGTTTTCTATTTTGACAAATTTGAATATTAATTGAGATCTGTTTTTTTTTTAATTTCCCACAGGGTTGCCACACCATTTGGAGGTTTTGAAAAAGCATCAAGAATGGTTAAATTTAAAGTTCCAGATTTTGAGCTACTATTGCTAACAGATCCCAGGTTTATGTCCTTTGTCAATCCCCTTTCTGGCAGACGGTCCTTTAATAGGACTCCTAAGGGATGGATATCTGAGAATATTCCTATAGTGATAACAACCGAACCTACAGATGATACCACTGTACCAGAATCAGAAGACCTATGAAAAGAAAGTTGTATGTGCCACATAAAACTCTGAATATAAAAGTTGCTGTTCTACTATTTTAACTACTGGCAAAGCCACTTGCATTTTTCATTAGTAGCAACAATAGCAATTTAGTGATTTTCCTTTTCTGACATTCAATTTCAATCTCAGATCAAATACTAATAAACAATTAGAAATCTTACTTTAAAAAACTTATAACTCACTTGTCTTCATTCATAATTTTGTTTTCACCTGGTTTAAAGAATCCAGATATTTTACTGCAAAAGTTCAGATGGAAAAGTAATTGACAGTTTCACCTTTGTCTCATTTTATATGATTTATTACAGTGTAAGTTTTTCAAGTGGAATCTAGAATCAAAATACAGGGAGAGATATGAAGACCTATTCAGAGTTTCATCTGGGGATGAAAGCTATGGAAGATGATGTACAAATGTTATTGATGGAGAAAATGGTTGGGTGTGTCCTTTCTGGTGACCATGAGAAAATAATATGTCTTGATGAAGTCTTTTCATTAGTCACTCTTAGAATTCTAAAGTGCTTTGCACTTTTCAATATGTTTTGAATCATTAGGTAATTTATTCTGGATGATATTCTCCAAAATTCAATTCAGTTATTATATTCATTTAGCATTAAGTCAAGGAGACTGAGAATGACTCAAGGGACGTCATAGTACCATAGTTTTAAGGACCAAGGTGTGCCCAGAATTCAAGTTTCACAAATCCCAATGCTGTGCATTGATTATGTTCAACTTTATGTGTGCATTCTTAGAAGAGTAAGAACAAATAAAGTACACCGTAATATACATATAAATACATTCATGTTTGTGAGAGAAGGAAAGAGTAAGTAATTTGAATTGGCAGCTTTCTTTGCTAAATCTTTAAATTCTGTTAAGATCCTCAAGTAACTGGGGAGTACATGCTTTAGGACACAAACAAAAACAAAGGGCATGAAAGTATCTGAAAGCAATGTAGCACATATCTATCGTAATATATGTAATATATTGACATAAAAGACACAAACTAATATAAAGTTATAGTTATATCTTAAAATATAATTGAAGAAGCATATGACATATAACTTATAGAAATCAGTATCAATTCCTCCCATTTCAATTCAGTTAAGACTTCTGTGATAGATGTTTATAGCAGAGAAGAAATGTCTCATCAATAGAAAACTATCAGATAAAGTTTAGGAGATAGGAAGAAGGACTGTGTGTAGTAATGAAAATACCAAGTTGCAACATTACATGTTTACAAAAAAAAATCTGTGTTTGTAGTGTGGAAGTTGGTGACTGTTTTAATCATCATCTAGACTTGTTAAGTAGAAAAATTTTAAAAATTTGCTTATGAAAATATAACCCCCAGAAAGTAACAATGACAAAGTATTATATTTATATATATTATTGTAGAGAATTTGTATATTTTTAAAGATGTCTTAAGATATCTTAATTTTATTTATAAGTTTTGGTGTTTACCTGTTTTAAAATGATAATGTTGGCATCTGTGATAAACTATCAATGAGGCTCCCATCATGCCATTTTTTGTTCATTTTAATCTTTAAAAAATAAAAATTAGGCATATTAATTATGCATTTTGATGAAATGGTTTAATTCTTTATTAACATCATGAAATGAGTCATTATTTTTAATGAAAATGAAATCTTTTTGCATTATTTCAACCATTTCCAAATATAAACTATATGATCACTGTCCCTATTCTGCCAACCACTGAAAGTAGAGGCCAGCAATTAAGTATGTTAGCTACAGAACAGTACTCCCCAGTATCATAAAAGATAATTTAAAAAGGAAAATCCTGGCCAGGTGCGGTGGCTCCGCCTGTAATCCCAGCACTTTGGGAGGCCGAGGTGGGCGGATCACGAGGTCAGGAGATTGAGACCATCCTGGCTAGCACGGTGAAACCCTGTCTCTACTAAAAATACAAAAAAATTAGCCAGGCGTGGTGGTCGAGGCCTGTAGTTCCAGCTACTCTGGAGGCTGACGCAGGAGAATGGCATGAACCCGGGAGGCGGAGCTTGCAGTGAGCTGAGATCACGCCACAGCACTCCAGCCTGGGCGACAGAGCAAGACTCCGTCTCAAAAGAAAAAAAGGAAAATCCTAAGTGATACTTATTTTTTTAAAAAGATTAGGTAGAAAAAGAAAAAATAACCCTCTGTTCACTATTTTATTTCTTTCTTTCTGGGAAGTGTCTATTAATTCTAGCTCAGCTGACACCTTTAGAAAGGCCAGCATTTCACTCTGGTTGTTACATAATTCAGAATTCAAAAGGAATTTTGAATGGGTTTTCCATTAACCTGAAAAACAGCTAAATCTTTCAAAGTCAAAAGAAATATGATAGTCTCTTTAGAACAACAGAAAGACCGCGACATTTTTTCCACCTGCTTTTGTATAAATAAGATATGGAAAAAAGGAGAAAAAATATTTTTTAAAAAGGTAAAAGAATAAAAATTTGTTGCTGGAGTACTAAATGTCAGACACTGTAGTCATTTCCTTATAAAGGCAATTTAATATATTTAATATTGCATTTTCATAATTATTCTGTAAGGATGGCATTACAAATAATCTCAATTTTATATTGAAAAGACTGAGCCTCAGAGAACTAACGTGACTTGAAATAAGCTTAGCTCATAATTAGAAGAACTTGGTGAGTCTGGCTCTAAAGTACATGCTCTAAGAACACATGGTTCATAACTTTTCCTAAGAATAGAGTTCAGCCTTAAAGTATTTAGACAAAATAATAAAAATTCTCTGTTATTTTAATTTTGAGCAAATACATCTATTCACTGAGTAATTTTAGAGTCACTATCCAAAGTTATACAGGCATTCATAAAGAAACTGAACTTTCAGACTGTGTTGAAAGCAAACTAAATAAAACAGCAGTATGCAGATTTAACTTTGAAATTGGAGAAACACAAAAGTGCACTCTGATTAAACCTGCTCATTTCTGCTCAGTATTGTACACCTGTTTGATCTATGTAATCTTCCTTTTCTAAGGAGAAAGAGTGGGAAAGCAGGAGAAAGAGAGTTAAGAAATGCATGACATAAGGCTGAAAGAAATCATCTAGTTAATAACATACCAAAACCACTCCTTCAAAAGAAAACATTTTCTACTTTTTAAAACATTAGAGGAAATTCTCTCAGATTTCATTATACTGTTCGATAGACTTCTGGGTCATGAAATTATATCTTCTATTTTAAGCCAATTTCTTCTAATATCATTGGCAGGACTGATGATCAACTTGCCAACTGCCCCCTGGATGATAACTACAGCTACATTAATAACCAAAGCTATGGTTAGAAAGACTGTCTTTGGCTTTTAACTCTCCACTTCCTTTCATCATTTCTCAAACGTTTTATTTTTCATCTCGTAACTCAATATTTAAGAGGACTTGACAATTAAAAATAACTAATTATTGGTTATTACAAAATCAAGCCAAATATAGACAAAATTTTTAGTCAAAATGATCATTTATTGCATCTACTTTAAATTTTACATCCTATAAATAGACCCATTTATAAATATTTTAGCAGCTTGGAAGTGGAGGGAGCCAATTAATCTTGCAAAGGCTAATATGGAGCAAAATGTCCAGTCGTGAGTATGAAAAGAACACCCTGAACTTTTCAACTAAGGGCACAGCTGTACCAGCAGGCTTATTAATTCTGGAATTTCTTCACTCTGCTGCTTATGCAAGATAAAACTTACATGACATAATTGCAGTTTTTCAGCCACAACTGTCTTTTATTAAGCTTAGAAAAGTATTACTTTGTCCCTTTTCTTATGAAAAATAATTTTGCCCTCCACACTCTATTCTGTAGGAAGAAGGGCCATTCACTTTCTATGAAAGGCAGAAAAGTGCCATGCTTTTACCAAAAGACAAGCAAAGGGAATCCATTTCAAACTAACTGATCAAAGCACACTGCAAATATATAAAATAATTTTTTAAAAATTATAATGCCTTTTACAAGTTAAACTTTCCAGAACTAACAAAAAAGGAAGTAAAAGTGTATAAGAATTTTAACAGCTTAAACTAAAATGTTATTAAATAAAAGTAGGGGTTCTTATTTGAATTTCTTAAATGGAGGAGCTAGATTGCAACCCTGGATATAAATTTACCCTGACTTCTCAATGTAATGTGATTTCAGTGGGAAGATTTGGTACATAAGGGCAAAGAGAGAAAAAAAGCTATTTGAAAGAGCTTATAGTTCAGATCAAAATAAGAATGTGCTTGCCATTTTGTATTATGTAATTTTTTTTTAAGAGACAGTTTCTTATTCTGTCACTCAGGCTGGAATGGAGTGCACTGGCCCAGTTATAGCTTACCACTGCAGGCTCAAACTCCTAGGCTCAAGTGACCCTTTTGCCTCAGCCTCTTGAGTAGTTGGGACTATAGGCATGCACTACCACACTTGGCTAATTTAAAAATTTTTTTTAAAGGTAGGGTCTTGCTATGTTGCACAGCCTGGTCAAGTGATCCTCCCACCTAGGCTTCCCAAAGCGTTGGGATTACGGGCATGCACCACCAAGCCCAGCCTGCATTGTGTGATATTTTGAAAAACATTTTAATGACAACTCAGGGCAGTGGAGATGTTTCAGGAAACAGGACTGGAAAGTTAGAAGGAAAAAAATATAAAGTAAATGTCATTCCCTATTTTGAAATTGCTCATTAAAGAAGCTGCATCACTAACAAAATAAATATAAAAGAAGGGGTGTGGATAGGGGGGAAAGGAAGGCCAGAGTGAAGTAGGCTGGAAGGAAATACAATTCAGGCTGTACAAAAGCTAACTGCGTTATTTTATGGTTTCTGAAGCCTTTTATTCACTTCTTTTAAAGTAATTTTGGTCTACATAGACACAATTGTTTGATGTGGATTGTTATCTAAATAGATACTCTCATTACATTTATCATCACTCACAAATAATATATTAAAGCAATTTTATTTAAAGAGTCTAGCTTCACAGTAACAAATTTACATGCTGATTTACCACAAATCAATGAATAATCTCAAGCAATTTACTTCACTCTGTAAATCACAGTTTTCTCCAACTACTTATATGGCTCAAACATCACCTCCTCCTAAGACCTTTCCTGACCACCCTTATTTAAAAGAGCACACTTCTAATACCTTATTGGGCTTTTATTTTTCTTTACAGCACTTATTACTCCCTAATGTGTGTTAGTTCAGATCCTCTGAGAAGCAGATGTCAAGATGGGATTAAACATGCAAGAATTTTATTAGGAGAAATGCATGTGTGAAAGAAAATGGGGAGGGAATCAAGAATGTCTTGGAGATATATATATCCACTATGTACCCACAACAATTAAAAATTAAAAAAAAAGAAAGCCTGGGAGAGCCAGCAGGCCTAAAATGGAAATGCGTACAAGTGTTCTAGGCTGTCATGCAATTTCAGGAAGATTCAGCAAGGCTGTTGGGAGATCCTGAGCCAGTCAGCCATCCTCAGAGGGGTCCTGTGTTTCCTAGAAACAGCCTACCTTAGTGGCACTGTCACAGTCATTAGCTATGAGTGGCCTGTGCAGGCAGCCTCTGCACCAATGCATCGTGGAGTTCAGAATACAGCAGAACTGGGGCCCCTGGCCAATTATGTTGCTGGTGTTCTACAAGGAGCATTCCAATGACCGCCACACATATTTTTATATGTATTTATTTCTTTATTGTTTAATTCTTTCACCAGAATGAATGCTCTCTGAGGGCAAGGATTTGCCTTATTTATTTATTTAATTGACAAATATAAAATTGTATGTTAATCATGTATAACATGATGCTTTGAAATATGTATACATTGTGGGAATAGTTCAATTGAGCTATTTCAACAATTAACATAGGCATTACCTTATATACTGATCATTTTTTGTGGTGAGAACACTGAAAATCTCCATGATTTTCAAAATACAATGTTATTATTAACTATAGTCATCATGTTGTACACTAGATTTTCTGAACTTCCTCCTTTGTAACTGAAATTTTGAATCCTTTGATCAATATCTTCCCAACCACTGCCCACTTCCCAGAACTACCATTCTACTCTCTACTTCTGTGAGTTCAACTTTTTTAGATTTTGCATATAAGCGAGATCACTTGTATTAACTGCTATATCCTGTATGCCCGGTCCATTCTAAATAATAATATTGGCCGGGTGCAGTGGCTCATGCCTGTAATCCCAGCACTTTGGGAGGCCGAGGCAGGTGGATCACCTGAGGTCAGGAGTTCGAGACCAGCCTGGCCAACACGGTGAAGCCCTTTCTCCACTAAAAAATACAAAAATTAGCCGGGCGTGGTGGTGGGCACCTGTAATCCCAGCTACTCAGGAGGCTGAGGCAGGAGGATTGCTTGGACCCAGGAGACAGAGGTTGCAGTGAGCTGACACGGTGCCACTGCACTCCAGCCTGGGTGACAGAGCAAGACTCCATCTCAAAAAAAAAAAAAAAGAACAATATCTATTTGTGAAATAAACATATCTGAATTATGGCAATAACATAAGCTTCTATATTTAAAATAATGCATTATAAAACACATTACCCAATACTTGGTTAAGTGTTCAATAAATGGAAGGTATTTTTATTTAAAAAAATGAAAAATTATTCAGATCACACAGTAAAAAAGCAATGGTATTCAGAACTAAGTTAGATTAGAGATGACACTGGAATTACTTTGGGATAAATATACCAATATGATTTGGCTCTATGTTCCCACCCAAATCAAGGGAGGGACCTGGTGGGAGGTAATTGGATCAAAGGGATGATTTATCC
The DNA here is from genome assembly GCF_000001405.40 of Homo sapiens. Lineage (NCBI taxonomy): Eukaryota > Metazoa > Chordata > Mammalia > Primates > Hominidae > Homo > Homo sapiens. The sequence goes on from NC_000004.12 coordinate 119,192,983, forward strand.
CATGCTGTTCTCATGATAGTCAGGGAGTTCTCACAAAATCTGATGGTTTAAACGTGTTTCCCAGTTCCCACTTTGCTCTCTCTCTCTCCTCCCACTTTGTGAACAAGGTACTTGCTTCCCCTTTGCCTTCTGCCATGATTGTAAGTTTCCTGAGGCCTCCCCAGCCATGCAGAACTGTGAGTCAATTAACTCTCCTTTCTTTATAAATTACCCAGTCTCAGGTAGTATCTTTATAGCAGCGTGAACGAACTAATTCATATACCTAGCCTGGATTTGGAATATATGTTGGAACAATGATTATATTAAACATACACAGAGAATCAGAAACACGAAAGTAGCCTAATTTTTAGGATAAACATTAGCATTAGCTCCATTCTCCAGACTCAAAATTGTCATTAAGATAGCCTATTTACAGATCAGGCATGGTGGCTCACGCCTGTAATCCCAGCACTTTGGGAGGCTGAGGCAGACGGATCACACGAGGCCAGGAGTTCCAGACCACCCTGGCCAAAATGGTGAAACCCAGTCTCTACTAAAAATACAAAAATTAGCTGAGTGTGGTGGGGTGCACCTGTAATCCCAACTACTTGGGTGGCTGAGGTGCAAGAATCCCTCGAACCTGGGAGGTGGAGGTTGTAGAGCCGAGATTGCACCACGGCACTCCATCCTGGGTGACAGAGTGAGACCCTGTCTCAAAAACAAAAAAAGGTAGCCTATTTAGGAGCTTGCTAAAATGGTCTTATTTCTTGTGAGCATTCACATTTTGTACGTTATGTAAGAATTTTTAAAAATCAATAATGGTGGATACTTTCCTTGATCAGTATACTGTAACTCTTTGGGAAGTGTATTACATAATCAGAAGGGAGTTCCCATGGGATTGACATGTAGTACAGTACTGCCTCTTTTTTTAATACCTAAAATGGTTTTTCATGTAAATACCTGTTTGGAATGTTTTGAATCAAGAAAAATATTGCACCTGGATTCTGATTCCTCGACACAACAAAACAAGCATATAGTGAATAAAAACAATAATCTCCAAGTCCCTTGCTTTAGGGTGTTTCCACCTTGCTTAAGGAAAGTAGGCACCTGGAAGTTATAACCAATGAAAGAAGGTGACTCCTCTGTCAGCTGAAATAATGACAAATGCATTATTTAATCAACCTGAAATAATGTTTTTTTCTTCCCCATGTTACCTTGAAAAAGCAAGCAGGAATACTGATCAATTTCTACATATATTCCATTCTCAAACTTAATTTTTAAACTCTGTTTCTAACATTCATTTTTCCTTAATCCTACCTATGTAAAATATAAGGGTTCATGAAAGTTCTACAACATAGCTAACTGGCCTCGGGTCCCAGGCCTCTTGGAAAAGACCTCTTCTAGGTCCTGTAGCACTCCAGGATCAGTATCTATTTTAAAACATAAAGTCAAATATGAACATGAGCCACATTTATTTAAGAAATACACATATATAATATTTTGATTTTTTTTATTGTTTACATTTTTAACATACCTAAAAATTTGTAAAATATTGGATATAAATCAACCTGAAAGAAAACTAACCATTTTTCAAGGATACATCATCAACAAAACTGCTAAATATTTCTGGTTTATCAAGTTCAATCAACTTGTTTTTTCTTTGATCTTCCCAAATGAAATTTACATTAATGACAAAAGCAAACCACTTTTCTTTTGGGAAACAGAGGGTCACCATTATTAACTATTTCGTTACTCTCTCCTAGTCACTATTCCTCACACTTTACTGGCCATTTGAAACTTAGTTAGAGTTCCTTTATTAAAAGAACTAGATCAAACAATAGACTTTGAATATGAAATTATTTTTCACATTAATTTTACAAATAGTGTAACACAAATTTATTTTACAAGTTTAAATAAAGTACCTTTCCACCTTCTTAAAAGATTCCTCACCTCCTAAATAGAAATCGCAGGGGAAACAATGCTATTAAGGATCATATATAAGATAGTAGTGGTGCACCTGCAGTCCCAGGTTCTCAGGAGATTGAGACAGGAGAATCACCTGAGCCTGGGAAGTGGAGGTTGCAGTGAACCGAGATCGCACACCACTGCACTCCAGCCTGGGAGACAGAGCAAGATACCGTCTCACCAAAAAAAAAAAAAAATAGAACGGATGAAAGGGGCCTAACAGATAGAAGAAACTGATTAAAATATAACTAATTTAATTATTTCCTAGAAGCCAATAGAAACACTGTAACATTTATTTTCTGGGTAGATCTCATGAATTGATCCTCAAAGGCAATTTAAAAATCTGTCGTTTGGAGGGTCTAGTTTCTTAAGACATCGTGATACTGTCCATGAGGATACCAGTGGTGTTTAGTAGGAAAGAACATTTTGCCGAGTTGTTCTATCATGGGTTTCTCAAGATGCTTACCTTTATCTTCCAATCTAGTTTTCAGCACTTGAACATATGTTTCTTCATTATCATGCACAGAATCTGATTGAGGGTTTGTTTTGTATGCTCATATGAAATGTCCACAGAATGGTGGTAGCACACTATTGTTCTGCCATCAGATATCACAGCAAGCTCTTCTTTGCAATTACAGTCATCTGGTAGAGAAGAATATGGAGATTTATGACAAACAATATAAAACTCTGTTTTGGATTGGTAATATTGGAACTATTCAAGATAGTTCTTTTTGATAGCACCCATTTTGCTGCTGCTACAGCCATGGTGTTTCAAGATGCTTACCAAGTGGTATGAAAAAAAAATGTTCTGAAGAGAAACTGCTTTTAAAATCTGCTTCTATATTTCGTTTGAAAACCAGCACAAGACAAGGATGCCCTCTCTCTCCATTCCAATTCAACATAGTATTGGAAGTTCTGGCCAGGTCAATCAGGCAAGAGAAAGAAAAAAAGTGTATTCGAATAGGAACAGAGGAAGTCAAACTGTCTTTGTTTGCAGATGACATGATCCTATATATAGAAAACCCCATCATTTCAGCCCAAAAGCTTCTTAGGCTGATAAGCAACTTCAGCAAAGTCTCAGGATACAAAATCAATGTGCAAAAATCATTAGCATTCATATTCACTAACAACAGACAAGCAGAAACCCACATCATGAATGAACTCCCATTCACAATTGCCACAAAGAGAATAAAACAACTAAGAACACAGCTAACAACAGAAGTGAAAGATCTCTTCAAGGAGAATTACAAACCACTGCGCAAGGAAATCAAAGAGGACACAAGCAGATGGAAAAACATTCCATGTTCATGGATAGGAAGCATCAATATCGTGAAAAATATTCCCATTACACTACCTACCATTGACATTCTTCGCAGAATTAGAGAAAAACTATTTTAAAATTCATATGGAACTGAAAAAGAGCACACATAGCCAAGACAATCCTAAGCAAAAAGAACAAAGCTGGAGGCATCAAGCTACCTGACTTCAAACTATACTACAAGGCTACAGTAACCAAAAGAGCATGGTACAGGTACAAGAACAGACACATAGACCAATGGAACAGAATAGAGAATCTAGAAATGAGACCACACACCTACAACCATCTGTTTTTTGACAAACCTGACAAAAACAAGCAATGGGGAAAGGATTTCCTATTTAAAAATTGGTTCTAGGAGAACTGGCTAGCCATATGCAGAAAAATGAAACTGAACCCCTTCCTTATACCATATACAAAAATCAAAACTCAAGATGAATTAAAGACTTAAATGTAAAACCCAAAACTATAAGAACCCTAGAAGAAAATCTAAGCAATACCATTCAGGACATAGGCATGGGCAAAGATTTCATGACGAAAACACCAAAAGCAATTGCAACAAAAGCAAAAATTGACAAATGGGATCTAATTAAACTAAAGAGCTTCTACACAGCAAAAGAAACTATTATCAGATTGAATAGAAAACCTACAAAATCAGAGAAAATTTTTGCAATCCATCCTACTGACAAAGGTCTAATATCCAACATCTATAAGGAACTTAAACAAATTTACAAGAAGACAAAAACAGACAATTCCATTACAAAGTGGGTAAAGGACATGAACAGACTTTTCAAAAGAAGACATACATCCGGCCAACAATCATATGAAAAATAGCTCAACATTACTAATCATTAGAGAAATGCAAATCAAAACCACAATGGGATAACCATCTCACCGTGGTACTAGGTGATGGAATGATCTGTGCAGCAAACCACCATGGCACACATTTACCTATGTAACAAACCTGCACATCCTGCACATGTACCCCAGAACTTAAAATAAAAATTAAAAAAATAAAATAAAATAAAATCTGCTTCTAGGCATATCAAATTGCATTCCTTGACAGCTCCTCACTGTGAGACCACCATCTTGTTTAAAGAAATATATTCTTTACTTTTGATATACAGAAAGAGATGTGAAGATAGTATATGATTAATCACAATACATTTCCTCACAAACTCATTGAAACCTATTAAAAATTCTTAAAAACTCAAAACTTTTAACTTCGTATTAAAGTACTGGTCATTATGGTTACACAGAAAAAAATATGTTTTCAGATGAATACATGTATAAATGTATATATTATAATGACCACAATTATCAGAATATATTAGGCTATGCTACTTGTACAACTCCATACTTTGTTTACTTAAGTGTCCTCTTGCTAGCACAGCAAAAAGATATTAATATTTTACAAATAGTAATAAGAATAAACAAAGAACAGAGTTCCAAGATGGCCGAATAGGAACAGCTCTGGTCTGCAGCTCCCACTGTGATCGACACAGAAGATGGGTGATTTCTGCATTTCCAACTGAGGTACATGGTTCATCTCATTGGGACTGAATGGACAGTGGGTGCAGCCCAAGGAGGGCGAGCTGCAGGAGGGCGGGGTGTTGCCTCACCCGGGAAGTGCAAGGAGGAAGTGCCAAGGGAAGCCATGACAGACTACCTGGAAAAACGGGACACTTCCGCCCAAATACTGCCCTTTTCCCAAGGTCTTAGCAACCAGCAGACAAGGAGACTCTCTCCTGTGCCTGGCTCCACAGGTCTCACGCCCATGGAGCCTTGCTCACTGCTAGCACAGCAGTCTGAGATTGAACTGTGAGGCGGCAGCCTGGCTGGGAAGGGGCGTCCACCATTGCTGAGGCTTGAGTAGGTAAACAAAGAGGCCTGGAAGCTTGAACTGGGCGGAGCCCACCGCAGCTCAACAAGGCCTACTGCCTCGACACTCCACCTCTGTAGGCAGGGCATAGCTGAACAAAAGGCAGCAGATAACTTCTATAGACTTAAATGTCCCTGTCTGATAGCTCTTAAGAGAGCAGTGGTTCTCCCAGCACGGTGTTTGAGCTCTGAGAACGGACAGACTGCCTCCTCAAGTGGGTCCCTGACCCCCCGTGTAGCCTGAGAGACACCTCCCAGGAGGGGCCGACAGACACCTCATATAGGCAGCTGCCCCTCTGGGATGAAGCTTCCAGAGGAAGGATCAGGCAGAAATACTTGCTGTTCTGCAATATATGCTGTTGTGCAGCCTCTGCTGGTGATACCCAGGCAAACAGGGTCTGGAGTGAACCTCCAGCAAATTCCAACAGACCTGCAGCTGAGGGACCTGACTGTTAGAAGGAAAACTAACTAACAGAAAGGAATAGCATCAACATCAACAAAAAGGTCATCTACACCAAAACCCCATCTGTAGGTTACCAAAATCAAAGACCAAAGGTAGATAAAACCACAAAGACGGGGAGAAATCAGAGCAGAAAAGCTGAAAATGCTAAAAATCAGAGCACCTCTTCTCCTCCAAAGCATCACAGCTCCTTGCCAGCAACAGAACCAAGCTGGACAGAGAATGACTTTGACAAGTTGATGGAAGTAGGCTTCAGAAGGTCAGTAATAACAAACTTCTCTGAGCTAAAGGAGGATGTTTGAAACCATCACAAGGAAGCTAAAAACCTTGAAAAAAGATTAGACAAATAGGTAACTAGAATAAACAGTGTACAGAAGACCTTAAATGACCTGATAGAGCTGAAAACCATGGCATGAGAACTTCGTGACATATGCACAAGCTTCAATAGGTGATTCAAACAAGTGGAAGAAAGGTTATCAGTGATTGAAGATCAAATTAATGAAATAAAGTGAGAAGACAAGGTGAGAGAAAAAAGAGTAAAAAGAAATGAACAAAGCCTCCAAGAAATATGGGACTATGTGAAAAGACCAAATCTACGTTTGATTGGTGTACCTGAAAGTGATGGGGAAAATGGAACCAAGTTGGAAAACACTCTGCAGGATATTATACAGGAGAACTTCTCCAACCTAGCAAGGCAGGCCAACATTCAAATTCAAGAAATACAGAGAACACCACAAAGATACTCCTCGAGAAGAGCAACTCCAAGACACATAATTGTCAGATTCATCAAGGTTGAAATGAAGGAAAAAATGTTAAGGGCAGCCAGAGAGATAGGTCAGGTTACCCACAAAGGGAAGCCCATCAGACTAACAGTGGATCTCTCTGCAGAAACTCTACAAGCCAGAAGAGAGTGGGGGCCAATATTCAACATGCTTAAAGAAAAGAATTTTCAACCCAGAATTTCATATCCAGCCAAACTAAGCTTCCTAAGTGAAGGAGAAATAAAATCCTTTACACACAAGCAAATGCTGAGAGATTTTGTCACCACCAGGCCTGCCCTACAAGAGCTCCTGAAGGAAGCACTCAAGATGGAAAGAAACAACTGGGACCAGCCACTGCAAAAACATGCCAAATTGTAAAGACCATCAATGCTATAAAGAAATTGCATCAATTAATGGGCAAAATAACCAGCAAACATCATAATGACAGGATCAAATTCACACATAACAATATTAACCTCAAATGTAAATGGCCTAAATGCCCCAATTAAAAGACACAGACTGGCAAATTGGATAAAAAGTCAAGACCCTCAGTGTGCTGTTTTCAGGAGACCCATCTCACGTGCAGAGACACACATAGGCTCAAAATAAAGGGATGGAGGAAGATCTACCAAGCAAATGGAAAACAAAAAAAGGCAGGGGTTGCAATCCTAGTCTCTGATAAAACAGACTTTAAACCAACAAAGATCAAAAGAGACAAAGAAGGCCATTACATAATTGTAAAGAGATCAATTCAACAAGAAGAGCTAACTATCCTAAATATATATGCACCCAATACAGGAGCACCCAGATTCATAAAGCAAGTACTTAAAGACCTACAAAGAGACTTAGACTCCCACACAATAATAATGGAAGACTTAACACCCCATTGTCAATATTAGACAGATCAATGAGACAGAAGGTTAACAAGGATATCCAGGACTTGAATTCACCTCTGCAACAAGCGGACCTCATAGGCATCTACAGAACTCTCCACCCCAAATCAACAGAATATACATTCTTCTCAGCACCACATCACACACTAAAATTGACCACATAATTGGAAGTAAATCACTCCTCAGCAAATGTAAAAGGACAGAAATCACAACAAACTGTCTTTCAGACCACAGTGCAATCAAGTTAGAACTCAGGATTAAGAAACTCACTCAAAACTGCACAACTACATGGAATCTGAACAACTTGCTCCTGAATGACTACTGGGTAAAGAATGAAATGAAGGCAGAAATAAAGATGTTCTTTGAAACCAATGAGAACAAAGACACAATGTACCAGAATCTCTGGGACACATTTAAAGCACTGTGTAGAGGGAAATTGATAGCACTAAATGCCCACAAGAGAAAGCAGGAAAGATATAAGATCGACCCCCTAACATCACAATTAAAAGATCTAGACAAGCAAGAGCAATGAAATTCAAAAGCTAGCAGAAGGCAAGAAATAACTAAGATCAGAGCAGAATTGAAAGAGACAGAGACACAAAAAGCCCTTGAAAAAATCAATGAATCCAGGAGCTGGTTTTTTGAAAAGATCAACAAAATTGATAGACCGCTAGCAAGACTAATAAAGAAGAAAAGTGAGAAGAATCAAATAGACACAATAAAAAATGATAAATGGTATATCACCAATCCCACAGAAATACAAACTACTATCACAGAATACTATAAACACCTCTACGCAAATAAACTAGAAAATCTAGACGAAATGGATAAATTCCTGGACACATAACACCCTCCCAAGACTAAACCAGAAAGAAGTTGAATTTCTGAAGAGACCAATCCCAGGCTCTGAAATTGAGGCAAGAATTAATAGCCTACCAACCAAAAAAGGTCCAGGACCAGACAGATTCACAGCTAAATTCTACCAGAGGTACAAAGTGGAGCTGGTACCATTCCTTCTGAAACTATTCCAATCAATAGAAAAAGAGGGAATCCTCCGTAACTCATTTTATGAGGCCAGCATCATCCTGATACTAAAGCCTGGCAGAGACACAACAAAAAAAGAGAATTTTAGGCCAATATCCCTGATGAACATTAAAGTGAAAATCCTCAATAAAATACTGGCAAACAGAATCCAGCAGCACATCCAAAAGCTTATCCACCACGATCAAGTCGGCTTCAACCCTGGGATGCAAGGCTGGTTCAATATACACAAATCAATAAACATAATCCATCACATAAACAGAACCAATGACAAAAACCACATGATTATCTCAATAGATGCAGAAAAGGCCTTCAACAAAATTCAACAGCCCTTCATGCTAAAAACTCTCAATAAACTAGGTATTGATGGAATATATCTCAAAATAATAAGAGCTATTTATGACAAACACACAGCCAATATCATACTGAATGGGCAAAAACTCAAACCATTCCTTTGAAAACTGGCACAAGACAGGGATGCCCTCTCTCACCACTCCTATTCAATATAGTGTTGGAAGTTCAGGGCAATCAGGCAAGAGAAAGAAATAAAGGGTATTCAATTAGGAAATGAGGAAGTCAAATTGTTCCTGTTTGCAGATGACATGATTGTATATTTAGAAAACCCCATCATCTCAGCCCAAATCTCCTTAAGCTGACAAGCAACTTCAGCAAAATCAATACAAAATTGATACAAAATCAATGTGCAAAAATCACAAGCATTCCTATACAGCATTAACAGACAAACAGCCAAATCATGAGTGAACTCCTATTCACAATTGCTACAAAGAGAATAAAATACCTAGAAATCTACCTTACAAGGGATATGAAAGACGTCTTCAAGGAGAACTACAAACCACTGCTCAATGAAATAAAAGAGGACACAAACAAATGGAAGAATATTCCACGCTCACGGATAGGAAGAATCAATATCATGAAAATGGCCATACTGCCCATAGTAATTTATAGATTCAATGCTATCCCCATCAAGCTACCAATGACTTTCTTCACAGAATTGGAAAAAACTACTTGAAAGTTCATATGAAACCCAAAAAAGAGCCCGCATTGCCAAGACAATCCTAAGCACAAAGAACAAAGCTGGAGGCATCACGCTACCTGACTTCAAACTATACTACAAGGCTACAGTAACCAAAACAGCATGGTACTGGTACCAAAACAGAGATATAGACCAATGGAACAGAACAGAGGCCTCAGAAATAACACCACACATCTACAACCATCTGATCTTTGAGAAACCCGACAAAAACAAGAAATGGGGAAAGGATTTCCTATTTAATAAATGGTGCTGGGAAAACTGGCTCACAATAGGTATAAAGCTGAAACTGGGTCCCTTCCTTACACCTTATACAAAAATTAATACGAGATGGATTAAAAGACTTAAATGTTAGACCTAAAACCATAAAAACCCTAGAAGAAAACCTGGGCAATACCATTCAGGACATAGGCATGGGCAAAGACTTCATCACTAAAACACCAAAAGCAATGGTAACAAAAGCCAGAATAGATAAATGGGATCTAATTGAAGTAAAGAGCTTCTGCACAGCAAAAGAAACTACCATCAGAGTGAACAGGCAACCTACAGAATGGGAAAAAATTTTAGCAACCTATCCATATGACAAAGGGTAATATCCAGAATCTACAAAGAACTTGAACAAAATTACAAGAAAAAAACAAACAATCCCATCAAGAAGTAGGCAAAGGATATGAACAGACACTTCTCAAAAGAAGACATCTATGCAGCCAACAGACACATGAAAAAATGCTCATCATCACTGGTCATCAGAGAAATGCAAATCAAAACCACAAACAGATACCATCTCACGCCGGTTAGAATGGCAATCATTAAAAAGTCACAAAACGGCTGGGCGTGGTGGCTCCAGCCTGTAATCCCGGCACTTTTGGGAGGCCAAGGTGGGCAGATCATGAGGTCAGGAGATAGAGACCATCCTGGCTAACATGGTGAAACCCTGTCTCTACTAAAAAAAAAAAAAAAAAAAAAAAAAAATTAGCCTGGCGTGGTGGCGGGTGCCTGTAGTTCCAGCTACTTGGGAGGCTGAGGCAGGAGAATGGTGTGAACCTAGGAGGCGGAGTTTGCAGTGAGCCAAAATTGCACCACTGCACTCCAACCTGGGCAACAGAGTGAGACTCTGTCTCAAAAAAACAAACAAACAAAAAGTCAGGAAGCAACAGATGCTGGAGAGGATATGGAGAAATAGGAACGCTTTTACACTGTTGGTAGGAGTGTAAATTAGTTCAACCATTGTGGAAGACAGGGTGGCAATTCCTCAAGGATCTAGAACTAGAATTACTATTTGACCTAGCAATCCCATTACTGGGTATATACCCAAAGGATTATAAATCATGCTATTATAAAGACACATGCACACATATGTTTATTGTGGCATTATTCGTAATAGCAAAGACTTGGAACTAACCCAAATGTCCATCAGTGGTAGACTGGATTAAGAAAATGTGGCACATATACACCATGGAATACTACGTAGCCATAAAAAAAGGATGAGTTCATGTCCTTTGTAGGGACGTGGATGAATCTGAAAACCATTATTCTCAGCAAACTATCACAAGGACAGAAAACCAAACACTGCATGTTCTTACTCACAGGTAGGAACTGAACAATGAGATCACTTGGACACAGGGCGGGGAACATCACACATTGGGGCCTGTCAGGGGGTGGGGGGCTGGGGGAGGGATAGCATTAGGAGAAATACCTAATGTAAATGATGAGTTGATGGGTGCAGCAAACCAACATGGCATATGTATACCTATGTATCAAACCTGCACGATGTGCACATGTACCCTAGAACTTAAAGTATAAAAAAAAAAGAATAAACAAGAACAAGTTATTATTTTGCTAGGTACAACCAACTAGTACTATATTAACAGCATGATGAAGGCCAATGCAGTGGCTCATGCCTGTAATCCCAGCACTTTGGGAGGCCGAGGTGGGTGGATTACCTGAAGTCGGGTGTTGGGAGACCAGCCTCGCCAACATGGCAAAACTGCTTCTCTACTAAAACTACAAAAAAATTAGCTGGGCGTGGTGGCATGTGCCTGTAGTCCCAGCTACTAAGGAGGCTGAGGCAGGAGAAACGCTTGAATCTGGGAGGCGGAGGTTGCAGTGAGCCGAGATTGGGCCATTGCACTCCACCCTGGGCAACGAGGGAGAAACTGTCTCAGAAAAAAAAAAAAAAAAAAAAGAAAGCTGCTGTTCTTTCTTGTGCTAGTTGCTGCTTGCAATTTAAATGTCAGCACTGTTTTTAGCAACTGAACTGGCTTCCTTCTATCACATTAACACTATTAAAACTTGATAAAGAGTTCTTTAGAGTTAAAAGTATTTGAAACATTAGCAGAATAAAACTTGTAGAAAGCAATTTAATCAAAACACTTTCATTTAATAATGTCTAAAAAGGCTTTAACACACATACAATGGATTTTACCTGCTAAGAGTTGGTTTGCGTTTTTCCTCAGCACAATTTAGGGTTTAGGGCTTGTTTTACAGATAAGAAAATGAAAGATTCAAGAGCACAAACAGTTAAGAATTGGAAAAAAATTCAGTACTCTAGTATTTCTGCCTTTATATATACTTACAAGTCTTGAAAATGCTTTTGCCACTGAATATTTTCCAACAATTTTTTTACATTATTTAAAATTAAGTGTTATTTTACTTTTTTCTTTTGACTGTGAAGTGAATTTCAACAAGGAAGTTCAACTTGAAAACACTGTGCCCTGAATATTTTTGTCATCTTTACAAGAAAAGTGCTCTCCGGGGCAACTTCCTTTGGGTCTAGTATTTCAGCCAATATGCTATGAGCAAAAGACACTGTGTTACTTTACTATTGTATTTCTTAAAGAATTACTTTAAAAACAAGTCAGTCCAAGGTGTAAAGTGAGTGAGTGTGTGTGTGTTTGTGCGTACGTGCAAGTCACACAGGCTTGGATTTGTTATATTTCCAAGGAGTGGGAAAATAAGTTTGATAAATTTGCAAACACGATGGTTGTTTTTTGTACAGTCAGAGAACTACCATGGATATCACAATTCAGAAAAAAGAAAATATTCGCCTTTGAAATACTCTTGACCTCCTTATGTTCTCTTTCCTTTGTCTTATAAAAAGGTACAAAAGTGCCACGTATGTTTATCAATATTCTAATATTTGAATATATAAGAAATTTTACTGTACTTTAAGAAAGAAAAGAGTTCCATCTTCCATGAAACTTCAGAATACTTCATGGAAAATTGTTCACACTAGGCAAATTCCAAATGTTAAGGAATTGGATTTCAGTTCTGGTTCTGCCAGAGTCTAGAATGACCTTGGGTAATTTTTCTTCCCTGGGCTTAAGTTTTCTCATATGTACAGTGAGGGATTTTAACAAACTAATCTCTGAGGTCCTTTCCATCACTAAGATACTAAGATTCTAAGGCATCTTATATATAAAATAATTTTATAAAACTAGTTTTATAAAAAGTTGAAGAGAATTGATGTTCATAGAAAGGAATGCTAGTGAATAACTTTATGACAATTAAACCTCCAGATATTTTTGGCCAATACTTCTGGACCTATTATTAGTGCAGTACATACTGGCTTTGTTCATTTCTACTTACTCTACTGCATTTCCATGGCTGTAACTTGACAGCATATTTAACTTATATGGTCTTTTATTTAGTCATTCATCTTCTGTTTATTGAGTGCTTCCTATGTTCTAGACACTATGCTAGGTACCTCATTTTCATTATTTCTAAAATAAGGATATTAGTAATATCTAAATATTAATATTTAGGGTCATTGAAAAAGTTAAATAAAATAGTCTGCATAAAGCAGTTAGTTTCTAACACATATTTAGGGATTAAATAACAATTGAGAAAAGGCACTTTCACATATTTAGAACACTGTACTCTAATTCTTCCATTTAAGCATGAGGAAAGAGAGGTTAAAAGAGGTTAAAACTGATCTGCCCACAGTCATACAACTACTTGTTGAGAGCAAAGAACATTCAGTGTTGTTTCTATCATATCCACGTTGCTTCTGAGCACAAATAATTCCACAATTTGTTTTTTTTTTCATTCTTTTGCTCAGATTACAAAACATTGCCAGAAAAAAAAAATTACAAAACTAGGCAAATAAGTGTCCAGAGGGGCTGGCAGTCCTACTTAATCCTGTTAACAGCAATCCAGTTAGCTAGGATACCCTGCTACACACAGATGAAGAAACTGAGATTTATGGAAGTTAATAGCTTTTCAAGATCACACAAACAATAAATGGCAATGTCAGGATTTAAATCTGTTTCTGTCCAGGTACAAAAACCATACTATTTTATGACACCATGTTGCCCTTAAACATTTCTTTTCTTGGCTTTCTAACACTTTTAGTTCTGCCATTAGGATTAATTTAGGCTGCAGCTGGGGCAGAAGGTCAGGAATCCAGTCTTCGTCAACATTTTCCTTAATGACATAGCTGAAGACAAAGAAGATATTACTAATTTTTGCAATACAAAAATAGAGGAAGAATAGTGAATCTTATGAGATAAGATGAAACTTACTGGCATGAAACTTCAAAGCAAAATAAGATACTTAAAAGAAATGAAGAAAACCAATGATGGGGTTGCTTGTGCTCTGAGACAGCATAAATATTTGTGTCCAAAAAAGAATAATGGCATTAAGATTTGGAAAACCTGGCTTCCTATCACTTTATAAAAGAGAAATAAATTAAAAATCAAGTATTTTGAACATAAACTAATATTGGTTAACAAAGTGACACAATTGCAAAACAATCTTATTTAAACTATCCTGATAAGAAAACAGTGTCTGAACTATGGGAGGAAGTAATTTCTCCAAACCACAATTGGGGTAATTGCAAAAATCTGTTTTTATTTTTGGGCACCACATATTTTTCTGAAGTTGACAAGACAGCATCTTGAATTCAGTCACATGGATGGTATGTGAGGCTTGTTACTGCATTTGCCAGGAACATGTTGATGAAGCCATTGTCAGTGAACATAGATAAGAGTCTCCTTAGATACAGGCTCACATGGGGGAGAAAAGCATTTTAAACGATGACAGAAAAATGTTTTCCTGTTACTGATAACTTAAATATCTCATTCACTTTTGGTTTTAGAACATAGCCAAACTGAAGTTTAAGTTACAGGCTCATGCATATATCTGTTCTTTTGCTCTCGCTCTTTACCTTTTACTCTTATTTTAATTCCTGATAGCTCTGATTGTTTTTTCTTATTTATGTTTGACCTCCATTTTTTATTATATGCCAGAATTTATTTAAAATCATTTAAATCATTTGTAGGATGAGGTGAAGTACTGTATAATAAATGAATGAATATGTGGATTAGTGTAATATTTACTAGGCTTTCAAAAATCGTTGCTAGAGTGGAGTATTTTAGCTTAAAAACACAAAAGATATTTTCAGTGTTAACTACTATCTTATGAAAAAGGAGAATATAGATTTCTGTTGTTTCAAAGGACAGAAATAAGGCTAGTATGTGGAAATTACTAGGAGATAGATTCCAACTCATTGTGATGAACATTTTTTTGAGTTAGTCTTAAAAGGGCAATAATAGGCTGCCCTGCAAAGCATTAGGTTTTCTATCACTGTTACCATATTTGAACAGAAGCTGATAGCCCACTGGTGAGGATGATCCTCCATTGAGTGGGAGGCTGGACCAGATGAAATCTAAAGCTTTCTGTACTTTTGAGATTTTAATTAAATACATATCATTGTCATCAATGATAATGGGATTCTATAAGAACATTTTTTTTTTTTTTAGTAATCAGCATTAGTAATCATAATAATGGCACTAATGGCCATCATAACCTAGTGTGGGACTTTACAGTTGCTTTTATCTAGGGCCTTATAAAAAGATATTTGTATAAGTATTTCTTCTCACCCCAATTTTAATGATAAGAAAATTAGAATGTTTCAATGTGAAATAACATACAAGGGTAATGAAATTGCCTACGCTGACCCTAAGTCAGCAAAAATTAAAGAGGCCACTAGTTAAACCACTAGCAGTGATTTACTAGCAAATGTTGACCTTGTTATGGCAGAGCCTTAGAAGGTCTGGGATGGATGGCCAGAAAAGTTTCAGCCAAGTAAGAGCTAGCTAAGATATCATGGATATTGAATTTGAACTTCCAGTGTTTAACAAAATGTCATGCTGCAGAGCTTTAGGAATCCAGTAAATACTGAAGTCCAGAATTCCTTGTAAGAGGAGAGAGGATCCTCAGGAACTCTCTCTCTCCTTCCCACTTCATCTGTGCCTTACTCGTTCAGACCAGCTACTTTCAATGACAAGGCACATTACTATAGCAATCACTTAGAGACCCATGGGAAGAATGTTCTAGGCCAGTAATTCTCAACCTTGATCCTACTGACATTGGGGACTAGATAATTCTTTGTTGTGGGAGACTGTCTTGTCCATTGTAGGATGTTTAGCAGCATCCCTGCCCGCAACTGTGACAACCAAAAATGTTTCCAACCATTGCCAAATGTCCATGGGAGAGAAAACCACCCCCAGTTTAGAACTAGTCTTCCAGACATAGAGAATAGAGAATGCAAAGCCTTGAACAGCATGAGATGTTGTTGCGGAAGCAGGAACAGATCATTCAGGGGTCTATAGGCCTTGGCAAGAATTTTGGATTTTATTCTATGTGAATGAAAAGTCATTGAACAATTTAAGTTGGGGAGTAACATGTCAATATTTTTAAAAGACTAATTGGCTGCTGTGTGGGAAATAGATTTAAAACCATGAGGATAAATGACATCTCAGGATCAGGCACTAAGGCACATCAACATTTAAAGCAGATTGAAAAGTACAAGAGAAAAGGAGGCTGAGAAAGAGAAGCCCATGAGGCAGGATGAAAGCCATAAAGGAATGATGTCACAAGAATTGAGATGAAGATGTCAAGGAGGGAGTGGTCAATTGTGACTAGATTTTTCTGGTTGACTCATCCCTGAGTCACAGCCTAGAGATTTCTCTTCTTGCCTAGCTATAGTTTCCCCTACAGTTCTTCTGTACCTTATTCCAAATGAATCATTCTGCCCCAGAACTTACAAAGGCTTCCCATTGTAGTCCTGTACTGGCCTTGTTCAATCCTGTTTCTAAAACTTTGCTCTTTTAAGTTACATATCTTCCTCAATGCCTTCAAATACACTTGCTTATAATCCTTCCAAGCTGAAGTTCATATTTGATCTCCCACAGAAGCCCTCTCCAACTTTAGCCCACACAGATGACTCTATTCAAAAAAATCAACAAAACTTCCAATTTTTACTCCATCCAATAAACACTGCTTGTTAAGCATCTGTGCTAGGCACTGTGCTATGCCTTGGAAACATGAAAAAACAGAGAGCTTAGGTAGTAAGGAAATTCACTTGTCAGTCCTTATGGATGCATTTAGGAAAAAAAGGATTCTGTCTAGTATCTAACCCTGAGTCAGTCATTGATCTACTACTTCCCTATGCTATATTTCACTCTACCCCACCCAGCTCAGTCATGGTTAAGCTGTTGATTACCTCCTGGAACTACTGGGTTACAGCTCCGCAGGACACAATGTTGCTATTCCTACCAGACATTAGTGGCAGGGTGCATCTAGCCACAGGGTAGCACATTTCTCAAAGTCTGAGTTATAATCAATCCAGAATAACACTAAGAGGTGTGTATATGTGCTGGTGGTGTGAACTTTGGCTAAGCCTCAGCTGAATGATCTAGGGTATTCTTTGGCATGCCAAGCCTGCTCCCTTTCATGATCTCTTTGCCTGTGTGAGGTGCAGAGATTGGTCTTCACAAATTTGGGTCCAGCCAATCAGAAACTAGGGAATCAAACCCACACACGTCCCTCAAGGACAAATAGTAAGAATTAAAATATTTTAAATCCTTGTTGTGACTTTCCCAATTACAAATTTTCTGGGAGCAACAGCTGTCCTGCAATGTCAATTTTCCATTTTTTCATGTTTGCTTCAGACTCTGCCCTCTTGATGCTTAAATTGGGTCCTATTACAACTCTACCATTTAAGGATCGGTACATAGATATGCTAAAAACTGGTAGAAAGTATGAAATTATATAATTTTAAAAGTGTATAGTCAGGGTTTAGTCAAATTCTTGAGCAGGGTGAACTGAAGGGTATTCTTCTGTAATTGCTAAATAAGGAAGGGAGGTAGTATAAGCCATTATTATCCACAGTTCAAATTATTTCTCAAGGGTGGAGGTGGGGGTTACTCTGTCAGGTACATTTGCAGAGAAATAAATATAGTACAACATAATTGTTATAAAAATAAGTCCCAAAAGGGATGACAATTTTGTCTCAGAAAGTTATGAAAAGATCCATGGAGATAAGCATTCGAGAGAGAACCAAAGGATCTTGAGAGAACCAAGAACATAGAAAGCAAGGACTTTAGAAAGATTAATGTGGAGGAACTGGAGGAAGAATGGCGATGAGTTTAACAGTGTGATCATGAAAGGCCCTGCCGGTGGGTAATGAAAAATTCTTAGCAGAGAAGTATAATGATCGTATTTTCACGTTAGAAAAATTATTAATAGAATGGAGGTTGGACTGGTGTGGGAAATAACTAGAGGATATCTTGTGAATATTGCAATAGTACAAGGAAGATGAGTCATAAGAGATGGTGATTACTTGAAGGACTAAGACAGTGAGAGTGGAGGGGTGGACCTGAGAGATACTTAAGGAAATAAGAGTCAAAATTTGATATTAGAAAAGAGGAAATGAAGGAAAAGTAACAGGGGTACTCATAGATTTCTGACTTGGGCAGTTGCGTGTCATTTTCTGAAACAGGGAATGGAAATGGTGTAGGTTCCAGATGGGTGAAGAGGGACATGGCATCAGGAACAGATTATAGTAAAGATGTCCATGTCAATTTGGGACATATTTAAGATACTGTGTGAAATCCAAAGGATGTTGCTTAAAAATGTCCGACGTATAGATATACACCTGAGAGTTCTTGGTGCACAGGACACGTGGTAGGTAAATCCATGATGGGAAAGAGACTGCTCAAGGAGACATGGATTAACATTAAACAGAAACAGCAAAAGAAAATGGAGTGCTGGCGAACAGAGACCACGCAGCGGAAAAACAGTATTTAAAGTGCACCAGAAAAGTAGCTGCAGAATGAGGAGAAAATGACATTAGAGAAACGGAGGGAAGAGTTAATGGTGTGCTCTTATTGTTTTAAAAATGCAGAGTAGGATCTTTTTTTCCCCCACCCCTCCCAAAGTTTTTAATATTTTGAGGGCAGAAACCACGGCTTTATTTCATCCTATTTCTGACAGTGCCTAGTTCAGTAAAGGGAACATAGTAAATGCTCAATAAATTCTTAATGATTCAGCCTCAGACATTACAAACGGGTCCTATTTGTCTCCTGTATCAACGACCAATATTTCTTCCCCCTCTTTCTTCAAATAAACTTTTAGAAGTGCCTCTGGGTTTACTGAAATCCATTTTTACAATTAGTATGTTCAACTTACACCAGCTTTGGAATGAGTTCCAAAACCTTCTTTATTTACTTGAGAGATATTCGGTATCAGTGACGATGGGTTTTTCCTTTACTACTATTCCTAAGAAAGGTTTATTCAAAATCAAAGTTTAGCCCAATTCCCAGCAGTACCTTTTAACTTAAAACCTGTTCGAAAGCACGGCAAAGAGGCGGACAGACTTTTCTGACAATCATTAACCAGGTCAACAGACTTATTAAAGCTATCTAATTAAAGGCAAGAAACAACTGCTTGGGGAATACACATTCACGCCACAGGAAGCCATTTAACTGCAAATAGATCGTCTAACGACTCACGGAAATCTAAAGGAAACTGCGTGTCCGCATGGGGTTCTGATGCCAAACTACGGATTGTTCTCTCAGGTAACACCTAACCTAAGTGAAGTCCTTGGTGGATCCGCGTTCTTGAGCTTAGAAAATACCGAATGAACTACCAAGAGCACCAGAATAATCGCCTCCTCCTGAAGAACTAGCCTCTTTCTCACCACACCAGACAGCACGTCCTACAACCACCTTTCCCCCAACAACCAAACTCCAGCGCCAAGCTGCCGCTTTTGCAGAAATGTTCTATCTCTTGGTCTCGCGCGATCTCGCGCCTCCGAGGAAGCCAACTGTATCGCGCACGCCATCAAATCCCCGCGGGAATAGAATTCCGCAGGTCCAGAAAGCCGGGAAATCGCGAGCGGAGGCGGAGTTACCTCGGTGAGCGTGAAGGCGGAGCCCGCTCCGAGGGGCGGGCTCGAGGCGGGGAGAGGGGCGGGGCTCCAGGGACCTGTTGATCGCAGGTGTCACTGGCCTGACTGGTCCCTGGGTATTGGGGCGTATGCGCATGCTCCGCTCACAGGGTCGGGCTCTGGGCGGCGGAGACCAGCCGCCTGTGCTCCAGTTCCCGGTGAGCCTCGGTACTGTGGCAGCAGTCAGTGTGTCTGGCGGGTGTCGGCGTGAAGCGGGGCTGGGCCAGCGGGAGGTAGCTCTGTGGGAGTGGAAGGCCTGTATTTCTCTACCTGGACCGCACGCTCCTCGCGCAAGGAGGGTAGAGCTCAAGGTAAGTCTCCGAAACTAGCCCTCTGGTTGGAGATCCAGAGACCTGCGACCCCCGCGGGCCTGACCGGGACACTCTCATTCTAGCCCCAGAGCTCGTCTCTCCCCTCGCAGCCCGGCGACCTCCTATGGCCCCGGCCCTCTGGGCACACACACACTCTCTTTGCTGGGCGGTTCAGACGCCAGAGGTCACGCAGCCCTTTCGCCCCTTCTCGCCGCGTCTGGCGGAGATGCCTCTGGCCAGGCTGGAGGCGCTCGCGAGGCGGGAGGAGGTGCTGTACTTGTTGGGTCCTGGATGTTATTGCTGCCGTGTTTGAGGGCGGCGACAAGCTGGAGTCCTGCTGGGATTGTGAGTAATACCCTTACTTGGCTCCTGCCCCTGGCTGTCCAAGCCACATTGCCTCGCCTGAGCACACAGTTTTTTACTTAAAGGGGTCCAGGATGGTTATGCTCCCTCCTTGGAGAAGAGAGATGACTGGACTCGTGAGATTCTTGGGGTGGTGGTTTCTCAGTGGTAGTGGTGATGTATATAAAGTTAATGTTTAGCTTCTAAAGGGCGGCTTACGGGGCATTTACCAAACTATTTTTAAACAGTGTTGGAGAACAGGAAGTACTTGCACAGGTGTAATAGGGAGGGTTTCTAAAACCTGCAATCTGAGGATGTTTTGAGGTTTGTAACCCTGCTACAAGGTTTTCTTTATCAATGCAAAGTATGCAGGGAATTACCAGTTGGACAGCAAAGTTTTCCGAAAGTTTCCTTATCTGGAAATAGATATATATATATATATATATGTGTGTGTGTGTATGTATGTATGTATAAATATATATATTTGCAAAGAATATCTAAGGCTATTTTTGAGGTAGGTTTAATAGTAAACTTAACCTGTAGTCCCAGCTACTCGGGAGGCTGAGGCAGGAGAATTGCTTGAACCGGAGGTTGCAGTGAGCCGAGATCGCGCCACTGCATTCCAGCAGGGGCGACAGAGCCAGACTCCGTCTCCAAAAAACAAACAAACAAACAAAAAAACGCAGTACACTTAGGAAGGTTTTTGTGATTAAGATCTGATTCACTTTTAGTTATTAAAAGAAAAGGCTTGCTGATTTTCACTATTTAAAATGAGTAGCAAGTGCTAACACAAAATGTCTGTTGGAAATGAACTTTTAGTTACATTGATAATTGTTATTTTCTGTTCTTTTCAGTTCCGTGATGATGGTCTAAGCAAAGACCCTTCGTCCTGTTAAAGATAAATTAAAAAAAAAAAAAAAAAACCAAAGGGAACAAAACTTACTCTGCAAAAGTAATATATGATTTACCTGCTGTTGTCATAAGAATTCCAAATAGACAAACTCGGTGTAAGTAGGAGTTAATTATAGTCTGAGAAATAAGGTTTTTGTTTTGTATCTCAAAGGCTTTTAAAATAAGCTCCTTGATACAATTTGTGCAGGTTCGTGTTTACTGGTGATAAACCATGAAAGTGATTTATTAAGATTTTTTCATTAATGAAACTGGGAGGTTTGTGTATTTCTTCCTAACGTGTAAAAAAGAGACTAAGAACTGGCCTTTCCTTTTTCCTAAGAATTTTAACAAATATTTTTAAAAATGTATGTAGATTGTGTAAGTTCATGGAATTTGATACTAATAATCAATTCGTTAATATTTTCACTAAACAATGCATAAGATAGTTTTAAAAAAGATATTTTAATGGGAAGGTAGACTTTTCCAACTAGTGTATTCTTTTCCTTAAAAAAAAAAAAAAGAAAAATCACAATACTCTTAAGACCTGCCATATGTGCTGTGATTCAAGTTCTTTTATATTGTTTAATGTTAGATGTTTATTTTAAACTGTGCAGTATCAAGAAATACAACTTTGGTACCATATGGTTTACAAGTTTGTTTTAGCAAGACAAAGTTTAAAAATGAAAATTTTATCTCATTTAAGGTTATATGTAGCTTTAAAAGCCAAAATCAGAATTATTTTCCCTCCTGGAATTGTTTGGAACTCTCTTACTTACTGGGGTAGGAGGGGGTACATTGCTTTACCCTACAACTTTCCGAAAACACAGTTGATCTTTATAAAGTGATGGAATAAACTATCCTACAAAGATGTTTGGTTACTAAAATACTTAGAAGATCCTTTTTGACAGCTTTAACTGTAAGGTATTTCTTGTAGAACTCAAAAACAACCTGTAGAAAGTTGGGTAGTTTATATATTGCATCTGGAAGCATTTTTAACACAGTGTGCTAGGTGTGCTAGGGCCAAAATGATTGCCAGTTTCGCTTACTCTGCTCATGAGCTCTTGTTTTAAGGAGGGAAGTATGCTGATTTATGTTATCTTTGCAGAGCTAGGTAGAAATTAATGATGTTACAAATATAGTATTATTATATTGTTAATTTTATACTGATGATTTTAGAAAATTTTGCATTATGGTATTTGCACATGATAGGAACAAGAAACGGATGCAACCTGCTCTACTACAAGTAAAAATCCTCAAAGGTTAAATTTTAAATAGCTTTATGTAATATTGTAATCTTTGCAGGTTATACATTTTTTAAAATTAATAATAAGAATACCATAGATACCATGTACAGTATATAGAATATTTAGGCAAATAATATTCTGTGCTCTTCCAGGTTAACTCATATCCTCTATCAGGAATTGTTGAACCAAAAGCCCATGATTAGAACTGTGGTCTGTGGTTAGAATTGAGTTTTAATATAATTGGTTTTCTTTGTGATCTTAGTATTTTTTTTTCTTTTTCTTTTTTTTATGCTATGAATTTTATTTTGTTCATTTACAAACATTATTCATAGGGGGCTTCATTAGGCCACCAAAGATGTCCATGATACAAGAAAAGGCTACAAACCATTGCATCTGGCTAAAGAATTATGATTTTACATGAGACTTCAGAAGAGTTGCTTCATATACTCTGCAGTTCATCAGAATTTTTTCTGCAAAATAAACCTTATTCCAATATCTTAGCTATTTTTATGAACAAAATCAGTTATTTGAGGTGTCATGGTATTTTTGAATTAATTTGAAGATAACATTAGTTTTCAATTTTACACATATTACAAAAAAGAAGTTTTAAGAAATACCCTTCCTTTGGAAGTTTTTTACTGCTGCGCTTTTCTGAGTTAGAAGTATTGAATAAACATTATTGACCTCCTATTGTATGCTAGGCATAGTGCTAAACACTAGAAAGTCAAAAGTTAATTAGACAATGTTGGCTGGGTGCTGTGGCTCACGCCTGTAATCCTAGCACTTTGGGAGGCTGAGGCAGGCGGATCACTTGAGGCCAGGAGATTGAGACCACCCTGGCCAACATGGTGAAACCCTATCTGTACTAAAAAATACAAAAATTAGCCAGGCGTGGTGGTGCACACCTGTGGTCCCAGCTACTAAGGAGGCTGAGGCAGGAGAATCACTTGAACCCAAGAGGCGGAGGTTGCAGTTAGCTGAGATTGTGCCGTTGCTCTACATCCTGGGCGACCGAGTGAGACTCTGTCTAAAAAAAAAAAAAAATCATTAAGTAGTTATTTTTCTGAAAACTTATACTTTGGTTGAAAATTTCTAAATCAAGTCTCTGTTGCTGACACTTACTTCAGTCACTTTATCTTTCTTTCTGATCCATTGGCTGTTAACATTTTAACTCATTTTCTCCTTCTCTCCTTTCTAGTCCAGAAAGGTTTTGTAAATGAATATTTACAACAATTCTGTGGTGAAAATCCACTTATAATGTGAAGTATTCCCAAACATTCATTTTATAAATTAGGTTTTTCATATGCTAGATATTCTTAAACTAGGATAGCTCCGTAACAAAATTGCTTATGATTTACTAAGAACAGCTACTAAAATTTTAAAATTAAGAAATTGATATTTCATTGAACAATTTATCTGATCTCATTAATCTGAATTAAAGCAATGGTTAAGTTTAATATATCAGTTTAAGGTATTTCCTTAAAGATAGCAAAATGGAGTATAAAATATATAATACAGCGTCTGCTTTTTTCTAAATCCTTGTTGACATTGTTAAAAATCATTTTACGTGGAAGATAATGTTATTATAATTAGCCTGCATTCGTTGAATGCCTATGTTTTGGCCATTTATTAGGTATTTTATACATGGTTTATGATTCTCACAGTAGCCCTATGATTTTGATTATAGATGATGAAACTGATAGATTTTTAATGATTGAGTAGTTGAGCAATGTGTTGTAAACTTTATATCAGAGGAGGAATAAAATATCTATGGGAATTATAAGGTCACTATCAGGGTATGGATTCCATCCTTGTCAAGAAGCCATCAGGGTATTCTTTGCCCATCAGATACCTCATTCTTTGGCTTTTTCTTAACTCCTCAGCCTGCATAATAAACTGTTGCCCCTCTCATGGTGCCCCTCCCCATACTTAGGTGAGCAGATTGAGCCCTAAATTTTTCCTCCTATATGATGCTACCATATAGGCATGAGATAATGCTCCTCCTTTGTCAGTGTAGTACTGACACTGACCTACCTGCCAGATGGTAGGAAATTGTCCTATACTTTAGTGCCTAGGTTGTCTTTGTTAGGAACACTGTTTTTTCCAAAGGGTTTGTTGTTTGAGATTTTACTTTGTTTCCTGAGCTTCCTTTAATAAATATTTGATGAAAACTTAACCATGCACTGTGTTCTGTTCTAGATGCTTGGGATTTGCTTTACATTCTAAGTGGATTTGGAGAAGAGACAATAAAGAATAAGCAGTCAATTCTATAATATATTTAGAAGGAGAAAAGTGCCAAGGAGGAATGAAAAAGTAGAACAAGGTAAGAGGAATTTGGAAAGCGTGGTAGAGATTGTGATGGTTTGCAATTTTAAATAAGTGTAGGCCTCATTTAAGTGACTTTTTTGGCAAAGCAATTATGAAGGGAGGGAGGGCAAAGCCATGTGGGCGTTATGGGGGGAATGTATTCCAGGCAGGGGAATGGCCAGTGCAAACAATATAGAGAACAGAAGTTTGTATAGTGTGCAGGAATGAGAAGGAGGCTGATGTGGCTGGAATGGGAAAGCCAAAGGTCAAGTAGTTAGATGAGGGGCTGGGCAGATAGTGACATTATGATTTAATTTTAGAAAGATCTCTGTCTGCTCTCCAGAATAGACTTATATGTTACTGTGTAAAGGGTAGAAGCCAGGAGACAAGCTGCTATTTTTTTAATCCACACAAGATGTGATGATGGCCAAGACTAGAATTGTTGAAGTGGAGGTGGTGAAAAGTGGTCAGATCCTGAAATATGACAGAAAAAGGAGTCAAAGATGACATCAAGATATTTGTTCTCAGCAACTGGAAAGATAAAGTTGCCATTGGCTGAGATGGGGAGGAAGGTATAGATAAAGTAAGAGTTCAGTCTGGGGCTTTGTCAAGGCAAATAAATGTTAGGTTATTGCTGGCTTGACATAATTTTCTTCTGGAGATCATGTCTTAAAAGTAGACTGCTGTAAGCCATTTTCTTTAATGACCATGTCCTATATTCTGGATACATGTGTATGCTTGTCTTTTGCTAGTTAGTTACTAGTGGAAACTAGTGAATAGGTAAAAGCAACATGAAATATAGCACGGTTTTTTGTTAGACACAAAGAAATAGAGCAAAAAAGTGGAAACATTGAAAATTACTTAAAACTTACTGTTTTTTTGTTGGCAGTATTATAGTCTTTTTTCTTATTAATTTTATTTTCTGTGTTTTATAAATTTTCTACTGTAGTCTTCTCTAATTCCTCCATTTCTAGAGTGACAATGGTTTTACACATCAAAGAATATTTATTCTTCAATTATACCTTCCTTACTATAATCCTTTAGCTTTATAAACACAGTTACTTCTGTAATGAAAGATATATTTTTTCTTTTTTCTGACACTATCTACTTGAAGATGAAGAGTTTTTTTGTATTACTTCAACTTGGTATAACTCTTCTGTTTGCTATCTAGTTATCTAAAATAAAATCTTAAATACTTCTAGTAAGATGAGCAGTTGTAGCATATCATCAGAAAGTCCTCAGTGTATCTTTGAGGTGCTATATTGTTAGTGAAAAGATGTTAATATGAAGTTTTACTTTACAGTTTGATGGCTAGGACTGTGTACTATTAAGAACATATTTGCAGTGATTCTGTGCTAATATGGAATTATGGATATTTCTAATTTTCTTTATGTAGTATTTCTGTGGTATTTCAGAAATCTAATGAACAAGTACTGTTTGATAATCAAAAAAATCCATACACATAAAAGAACAAAGAGTCTCATGGCTTTATCAACTATTATATTAGTTTCCTAGGGCTGTTGTAACAAAGAACCACAAACTGGGTGGCTTAAATGACAGAAATTTATTCTCTCACAGTTCTGGAACTAGAAGTCCAAAATCCAGGTGTCAGCAGGATTGGTTCCAACTGAGGGCTCTGAATAGAATCTTTCCTTGCCCCTTCCTAACTTCTGGCAGTGGCTGTTCATCTTTGGTGTTCCTTGACTTGCAGCTTCATCCTTCCAGCCTCTGCCTCTGTCATCATTCTCTCTCTTTCTCTTCTTATAATGACTGCTACCAGTCACATTGGATTAGGGTCCACCCCAGTGACCTCATCTTAATCTGATAACATTTTCAAATACCCTGTTGCCAAATACATTGACATTCATAGGTCTGGGACTTGGACATATGTTTTTGGGAGACACAATTCAACCCATAATAGGTATAATGAATCAGGTTTAAGATGCCATTATCATTTACCCAGACCATTCTAGTAGCCTGATAAAGTTATTGGATGTTAGAATTTGAACAAATTCCATATAGTGTCATCCCCTTTTGGGGGAAAACACCTGTTAAATAATTTATATAGCATGGTGAAGATTACCTAACTAATTATGTATTGGGCTTAAGTTTTGGAAGGAGAAAAGATAGTTTGATAGTCTTGTCTAGGGTAATGAAGGAGAGTGGCCCTGGAATCTTGCCTTTTAGGATAAAATTATTGCTGGTAAAGCACTGACTCATAAGAAAACAGCAGTGACTTATTTCCTTTCTTTTCTTTTCTTTCTGTCTCTCTCTCTTTCTCAAAACTTCTGGTTCATTTTAAAGTTCAAATTTAAGTTTTTTATTTTAAAATATTTTATTGGAAAGTATTAATAACTGATATTAAGCACTTAATAAAGTTAAACATTTTGTTTTTTCTTATTTAAGCCTTACAGAAATTTTAATAACAGTAAATGTTGTAATTATCCTTATTTTACAGGCAAATGTGGATATATGTTTATAACTGCACAAATGAATTCTGAAGGGACGCATAAGACATTGGTATTGGTTGCCTATGGGGAATATAATTGATATGGGGGAGACTTGGTTTTCCTTGTATGCTCTTCTATATGGTTTAAAAAATTATTTATGAAAATTAAATATATACTAAAAAAGAGGGAAATTGCTGAGTTTTTCCTTTTAGCTGCACTATTAACTCTTTTAGGAAAAAGCAGTGATCTATCAAATTGTATTGAGATATTCAGTAGATCTGCTACTGAAGTACTTATTTACATTGGAGTTAAAAACACAAATGCAGTTTGACAAATATAAATTCTTAGAAAAAGTAAGTTCTACTCTTTTATTTGGGGATATAATATTTTACTTATTTCATATTTGCAGTGTTGTAGGGTAATGCAGTTGCTTTTAACAAGCCATAAGTGAACTTCTGAGAATTTCATTCAAAGTAAACAGTTAGGAGAATATAAGATCCTTTGAAGTGATTCTGCCAGTTTTCTAATTTTTTTCTTTAAGAATTTCTTAAGCATTGTGAAATATATTTATGTATTTAAACTTTTAGAAATTTATGCTGTTAAGGAAAAAATTATTCATGACAATTGTTAAAGATGGTAAGGAAGACACTTGTTACAGATAGGTACAGGGAGCACTGCAATGGAGTCTTGCAGTTGGGGAGAGAGATTGGGCTCTACTCTATATACTACAAGTAAAAGCGGGAATTTATAGACAAGGATGTGGGTGTGGTTGGTGGATGGAAAATTACTAGGGGGCAACATTAGGAATAAGAGAGGATTCTGGCCAAACTGACCTAACAGGATTCTTGTTGAAGGCAGGCCAGGGTGATCAGACATCACCTGGAGGATGGTGAAGGATGAGGAACCTAATCAGATATGAGGATGATCAGATAAGGAGAATGGCTGACTTGACTTAGTAGGACTCTTGCTAAAATTGGACAACGTAGAGACAAACAAGGAAGTCCAAAAGTTGAGGAATAGTTGAAAAAGAACATGGAATAGCTCGAGTGGAGTTTGATCAATGAGAGAATCTTTGTCAATATTTTCTGACACCTGTATCTGAAAATATCAAATAGTTACTTATATTAGGCCCATTTAGAAAATCAAAACTGTTGTATTACATTAGAATTAGTATTAGTGGCAGGGGCACAGTGGCTCATACCTGTAATATCAGCACTTTGAGAGGCTGAGGCAGGAGGATCGCTTGAGCCCAGGAGGTCAAGGTTGCAGTGAGTCATGATCAGGCCACTACACTCCAGCCTGGGTGACAGAGTGAGACCCCAGCTCAAAAAAAAAAATTAGTACTAGTATTGAATTAGAAAATTTAATATAAGAAAAAAATTTAAAAAGCTGTTAGAAGACCTTAAGGAGCCACCAGGGGAAGATAAATTATCTGGTGTTGTAAGTTGCCACTGTCCCTAGGCTTAAGTTCCAAAGACAGGAGCCCAAGAGCTGGAACCACCAAGCCTGACCTAGAACTTTAGAGGCCTTGCTGTAAACGGGGAACTTGAGCCTTCGAGGAGAATATGCCAGAGATAGCAACAGGGCAGAGAGAGAAGGGGAGAAATACCTTGGCTTCTCTCCTTTGTCTTCGATTTTCTGGCAGTGCCTCTGATTGGCCGAAATGGGCCAGAAATGGATTCACAAGGGATCCTGGGAAATGCTGTTTGCAGAGATCAGCTCTGTATGGTTGTCCCATACACAGCAGAGCAAAGGAGAGAGGGGGATGATTTTGAAATCAAACATGGACATAAACTGCATTGCACTGAAAACTTACCACAATATACAATAGCACCTTGTGCTTCTCTTTCCTTCTAGTGCCACCCTGAAGAAGCAAACACTTTCAAGTCTTTCAGCTGATTATTCTATAGTTTTATTTATATTTCTAAATATGAATTCTGTATTGCTATTTGGTGATTTTTCAAGCTTAAATTAACATTAATTTTCTATGATGGTGGATATAGGTTTAGTTTTTTTATTTTCTTCCTTATTCTTGCAATAGAATTGTATCTTTTTTTAATTTTAAATTTTATGGATATGTAATAGTTGCACATCTTTATGGGGTACATGTGATATTGTGATATAAGCATACAGTGTATAATGATCAAATCAGGGTTGTTGGGATGTCCATCGCCTTAAGCGTTTGTTTCTTTGAGTTAGTAACATTCTAATACTACCCTTGTAGTTATTTTGAAATATACAATACATTACTGTTTAGTCACTGTGTTGTGCTACTGAACACGAGAACTTATTCCTTCTAATTGTATTTTTGTACATTGACCAACCTCTCTTTATCCCTTCTCTCCACTTCCTTTCCCAGCCTCTAGTAATTGTTATTTTACTCTCTATATCCATGAGATTATTTATTTATTTTTTAGCTCCCACATATGAGTGAGTACATGGGATATTTGTCTTTCCGTGCCTGTCTTATATCACTTAATATCCTTCACTTCCATCCATGTCGTTGCAACTGACTGGATTTCATTCTTTTTTATGGCTGAATAATATTCCATTATGTATACATACCACATTTTCTTTATCCATTCATCCATTGGCGGACTTAAGACACTTAGGGTGATTCCATATCTTGGCTATTGTGAATAATGCCACAATAAACATGGGAGTATAGACATCTCTTTGATTTTCTTTCTTTTGGGTATATACCACTAGGGATTGCTGGATTTTGCATTGCTCTTTTTTCTCCTGGAACACATGTAATACAAAAAATAATAAATATATTCCCACTATTTTTATAATTATTTTTATGATTTAAATCATTTCAATCACTTTATTACACTTCTTTGTAATAAAATAACAGATGTATATTTTTCCCTTGTGGATTATGTTATACATACAGTTACTTTGGGAACCAGTAAATCTGAATTTTCACTGTCTCTATTTTCAGTATCTATATGCACATAATAAATTTTGAGAAATAACTAAAACCTAAGAAGTTAAAAGTTTATTACAAATGTATCTTTTAGTGAGATAAGCTGAGCATGAGTTAAGGTGCCCAATTAAAGGAAGCTTAAATTACACCAATATTTTGAGTTGTTCCTTTATTTGGCACCTGGAGATTTTTGTAGTAAACCTAGAAAATAGAATACTGTAAGATGTAGGATGGGTGAGGGGTATATGTCATTATTTTGTAAAGTAGGAGGAAAGCAATTGTGAAAGCAGAACTGGGAAAGAACTACAGACGAATCGTTAGCCAGATCAATTCTAGGAAAGTGTACATTTGGAAGTGGCAGATCTGTAAATTAATTCCTTTAAATCTAACCATACCTTTAATCTCTGGGAAAATCATTATGTTTTCTTGGATGTGCATATCCCAATTTGAAGATCGCTGCCTTTAAATATAAGAGAACCAAGATTGTAGGATTGGTGAAAAGTCAAAAAAGGAGAAGGTGACTTGATAGAGGACAAGTTAGAAATCCCGACTAAGAGTTTCCTCCCTGGTACTTCTGTGTTTGTGATCTTCCTGATGTGCTTCTAGAATCTTTACCATCCACATTATTTTTCTTATTGCTACCAGGGTAATCTTAAAACAGGTCTGATCATCATAGGTGGTTTGGTTAGAAGTAAAAGTGTTAAATTGGCCTTTAAGGTATATAATTCCTAATTTTAGCTCTACTACTTACAGTCTCTAAAAACGAGTCCATTACTAAACTTCTCCTGACCTGATATTTCTTACACTGTCAAAAGAAGGAAAAAAGTTAGTTTAGTTTAGTGGTTTTCATACTTTTTTGACCATGACTCAAGGTAAGGAAGATGATTTGCATCACAGTCTAAGTACCTATATCTACATATTATTTTATTGGAGACCTGAATTTCTTTTTAAATATTTTTTATGTATTTTATTTTATTTTTTGAGATGGAGTCTTGCTGTGTTGCACAGGCTGGAGTGCAATGGTGCTATCTTGGCTCACTGCAACCATCATTTTCTGAGTTCAAGCAATTGTCCTGCCTCAGCCTCCTGAGTAGCTGGGATTACAGGCGTGTGCCACCACACCCGGCTGATTTTTGTATTTTTAGTAGAGACGGGGTTTCACCATTTTGGCCAGGCTGGTCTTGAACTCCTGACCTCGTGATCTGCCCACCTTGGCCTCCCAAAGTGTTGGGATTACAGGCGTGAGCCACCACATCTGGCTTGAATTTCTTTAAACAGAACCGATGTATAAATGCTACATTAAGCCCAAAGCAGCCATGTTTTATTATATTACACAGTGTTAATAATGAATTGTCAGAATGCAAATTACTGTATACTAGCCAAAAGAATATCACAACTATCACATTTTAAACTTGTGTTTCTTAGCATGTATGAGGTTTAGAATTATTTAACAATGTAACTCAGTGCATTTAAATGTTGTGGAGTTAGGGAGGGAGGTTAGTTCTAAATATCTTTATAGATCTGATTTAAAGCTATGATCAGGGAGGCTGAAGTGACTAGAATTTGTGGAGCAGAATGCTAGAAGGGAAATAATTTCACAGAGAGGAAACTCTGGCAATCTGCATAAGAGTGCCCTTGAATCTCTGGCTGGGAACTGGGTACAGGGAGAAACTCCAGGAGGCTGGGGAAAGGAGTACTTGAAAGTTGAACAAGGGAAATTTGAAACTATGTTGAACAGAATAAAATTGAAAACAGTATAGCAGACTGTGTGGGATTTAAACTAAGGCAGTGTGGAGGGAAATTTATAACAAAATGCTTATATTAGAAAAGAAGAAAGCTCTAAGCTTTTATCAGAAAACTGGAAAAAGAAGAGCAAATTAAGCCCAAAGTAAGCAGAGAAAGAAAATAATAGAGTTCTGGAAACCAATGAAAGTGAAAACAGGAAAGCAATAGAAAAAAAATCAGTGAAATGAAAAGCTGATTCTTTGAAATTATCAATAAAGTTGATAAAATCCCTAGCCAAGACTGATCAATAAAAGAGAAGATACAAATTAACAGTATCAGGAGTGAAAGAATGGACATCATTGCAAACCTTACCAACATTAAGGGGATAATACAGAGTATTGTGAATTTTTTTGCCAATAAATTTGACAACTAGGTGAAATGGGAAAAGTCCTTTAAAGACACAAACTATGAAAGCTCACTCAAGAAGAAAAGAAAACCTAAGTAGCCCTTTCTATCAAAGAGATTTAATTTGTGATTTAAAATATTCCCATAAAGAAAATTCTAGGCCCAGATAGTGCTACTGATGAATTCCACCAGCCTTTTAAGAAGAAATAATAGCAGGTCTACATAAACTCTTCCAGAAAATTAAAGAGGAGAAAACACTTCCAAGTTCACTTTATGAGATGATTATAACTCTAATAACAGCCAGGCGTGGTGGCTCACGCCTGTAATCCCAGCACTTTGGGAGGCCGAGGCGGGCAGATCACGAGGTCCAGAGATCAAGACCATCCTGGCTAACACGGTGAAACCCCATCTCTACTAAAAATACAAAAAATTAGCCGGGCGTGGTGGCGGGCGCCTGTAGTCCCAGCTGCTCAGGAGGCTGAGGCAGGAGAATGGCGTGAACCCGGGAGGTGGAGTGAGCTGAGATTGCGCCACTGCACTCCAGCCTGGGCGACACAGCGAGACACTGTCTCAAAAACAAAAACAAAACAAACAAAGAAAAAAAAATTCAGTAACAAAATCAGACAAAGATATCACAAGAAAACTACAGACTGAAAATCCCTCATGAATACAGATGTAAAAGTTATTTAAAATTTATTAGCAAATTAAGTCCAAAATGCATAAAAAGAATAGGTTTTGATAAATTGGCATCATCGACAGGAATACAAGGTTGATTTAACACTTGAAAATCATTGTAATATACTGCATTAAGACTCAGAATCATATAATCATCTTAGTATTTACAAAATTTAAAAGTTTTGACAAAATTCAACAACCATTTAAACTGTCAACAAATAGAATCATATAATCATCTCAGTATTTACAAAATTTAAAAAATTTTGACAAAATTCAACAACTGTTTAATATAAAAGTTTCAACAAAGTAGGAATAAAGGGGAACTTACCCAACCTGATACAGATACCTGTAAAAATCTACAGCTAACCCTACACATAAGGTTAAAGACTGAATGATTTCATCTCAGATTGGAAGCAAGATTAGTATTTCTGTTCTTACTTCTTCCTTTTGGCATTGTACAGGACGTCCTACCTACCCAGTTAAGTAGGGCAAGAACAAGATGAAAGAGGCTTACAGATTAGAAAGCAAGAAGTAAAAGTATCTAAGAAATCTATACAATAGCTCCTAGAACTAAGGTTGCAGTTTTTATTGTCAGTACAAAAAATCAATTATATTTCTGCATGTTAGTAATGAAAAATTGGAAACCAAAATTGAAAACATCATTTACTATAATGTCAAAAAAAGATGAAAAACTTAGAGATAAATTTAAAAATATATATGTATAACCTGTACACCTAAATTAGCAAAACATTTCTAAGAGAAAGAAGACCTAAAAAAATGTAGAAAGACATAATATTCCTAGATTGGAGGTCTCAATATTGTTAAGACGTTATTTATTTTTTTTGAAAGAGTGTGGTTTTGGTATAATTCTAGACATACCTGAAATATTTATAATTCATTTAAAGTAATGGCAAAAAGCACAATTACTTTTGGACCAACCTAGTAGAATAGAGAGACCAGAAATATATCTACTATGTAAGTAATCAGTTAATTTTTTGTTTTTGTTTTGAAACAAGGTCTCACACTCTGTCACCCAAGCTGAAGTGTAGTGGCACAATCACAGCTCACTGCAACCTCTACCTTCCAGGCTCACTCGATCCTCCCACCTCAGCCTCCTGAGGAGCTGGGACTATATAGGCATGTGCCACCATGCCCAGCTAATTTTTGTACTTTTGTAGATGGTTCTTACTGTGTTGCCCAAGGTGCTCTCAAACTCCTGGGCTCAAGTGATCCTCCCACCTCAGCCTCTCAAAGTACTAGGATTGCAGGCATGAGCCACTGTGCCTGGCTATAATCAATTAATTTTTGACAAAGTATTCCAAAGCAATTTAGGGAAAGCATACTCATTTTAAAAAATGGTGCTGGAAAATTAGATTTTGTTTGGACAAAATTAATCCAAAGCCTTGTCTAACACTACACACACACACACACACACACACACACACACACACACACACAAACTTGAAATGAATCATAGAGCTAACCATAAGAGCCAAAACTTTAAAACCTCTACAGGGCCGGGCGCTGTGGCTCACGCCTGTAATCCCAGCACTTTGGGAGGCCGAAGCGGGCAGATC
Source organism: Homo sapiens (assembly GCF_000001405.40). Taxonomy (NCBI): domain Eukaryota; kingdom Metazoa; phylum Chordata; class Mammalia; order Primates; family Hominidae; genus Homo; species Homo sapiens. The sequence continues at coordinate 119,227,419 of NC_000004.12, forward strand.
ACGAGATTGCGACCATCCTGGCTAACTGGGTGAAACCCCGACTCTACTACAAGTACAAAAAATTAGCCGGGCGTGGTGGCGGGCGCCTGTAGTCCCAGCTACTCGGGAAGCTGAGCCAGGAGAAGTGGCGTAAACCCGGGAGGCGGAGCTTGCAGTGAGCCGAGATCGCGCCACTGCACTCCAGCTTGGGAGACAGAGCGAGACTCCGTCTCAAAAAAGAAAGAAAAAAAATTGCATAGTATTCAAAAACTTAGGAAGGCACTTTGGCAATTTTCTATAAAGTTAAACATGCATTTACAATACAACCTAGCAGTCCCACTGCTAGGTATTTACAAGAGAAATGTATCCACAGAAAGACTTGTACTTGAATGTGTATAGTTACTTTATTCATAATAACCCCAAAATGGAAACAACTGCAATTAATCTCCCTTTACCAGTAGTAAAGAGATAAGCAAAAGAATATTACTCAGTAATAAGGAATGTACAACTTCTGATTTGTGCAGCAATACAGATGAAACTCAAAAGTATGAGTCCATTTATGAGAAATTCTAGAGAAGTTGAAACTAGGACAGAAAGTGTATCAGTGTTTTCTTGCAGGTTGAATGTATTAATTTTCTATTACTATGTAACAAATTACCACAACAGCTTAAAACAATGCACATTTATTATTTCACAGTGTTAGTAGGTCAGAAGTCTAGGTCGTTTTTAACTGGATTCTGTGCTCTGGATCTTACAAGAGTGGTCAAAGCATCAAATGGGCTGGCCTTTTATCTGGAGGCCCTAAGGAAGAAGAATCTGCTTCTGGGTTCATTCAGGTTGTTGGCAGAAGTATTTCCTTGTAGGAGCGAGGTTCCTGTTTCTTTGTTAGCTGTCAACCAGGATCTGTTCTCTCATGTTGAGGCCCCCTCCACCTTTAAAGCAGCAATGGCACATCAAGTCTTTCTCATGCTTCAAATCTCTCTTTTTCTGTCACCAGCCAGAGAAAGCACTCTGCTTTTAAGGATTCATGTGATTACATTAGGCCCAACCAGATAATCGCCATATTTTTAGGTCAACTGCGCCATATAACATAATGAGATAATGGAATACATATCTTGTCATATTTACAGGTTTCTATAGGGTATGAAATCTGGGGATGGGGGTGTGGGTGCACTGTGGTAGAATTCTGCCTACCACAGTGAGGAAGGTTATTGACTGTGAAGGGGCACAGGAGAGCTTCTCAGGGTGATGGAAATGTTCTATAGCTTGATTGTGGTAATGGTTACATGACTGTAGGTTTGTCAAAACTTACTGAACTGTACACTAATGGGATGAATTTTATTGATTACAACTTACACCTCCAAAGCTGGTTAACTTAAACATCCTATGTACAAAAATATTGTACGTAGGAAAATTAGCTGTCACTGAGATACTAGTGACCTCTGAATTGTTTAATTTGGATCTTACTGAACAGAAAATAGACTAAAATATAAATAGAAAAAGTAATATAAAATAGAAGGAAGAGTAAGGAAAACTACAGTTGCGTGTGTAAGTAGATTTAGATGAATAAAAGGGAGGAAGGAGTTAATTACTGGCTGTTCCTATAGACCTTCTGTTAGAGTTAGATTCCCTCTACTCTGCCTTCCTTTTTGCTACCCAGGTATTCAGCCTGGGGATTATAAATCTGAATGGTCTTAGCAACATCAGCTCTAGACCTCTGTCAGATACAATAGCAATTGCGTGCAACATAGACTGTAGTGGCTATCTGTTGTCATCCATCCAGCCATCTATATATGGTGCTATTATGTGAAATAAAGACTAAAATATTGTCCTTTTGGCTCCAGTATAATAATTACTACCATAAACCTGGTGTTTCTGATATTCTTTCAGGCTGCCACTTTTCTCACTCGCATGTCCTTTCTTTACCATTTCATCTATTCTTATGGTTTCTTATGTTTATATGTTCATGACTTGAAAATCCATTATGTCCAACCCTAAACTCTTCCCCAGGATTACCTTTTGAATCTAAATATTTACTGGGTCTCTCCCCTTGAATGTTCTGTAGAAACTCATTCATTTTATCCCAAATGGAACTCAATATTTTCTCTCAAACAAGCTCATTTTCCTATAAATACTATTTGAGTTGGTATAACAGTCCTACTACCATTCACTCTAGAAACCTGGGAACTTTCTTTACTTTCCTCTCTGCTTCATAGGTTTTGTGGACTTTACTTCTGAAAGAGTGTCATATTCATCCCCTGTTTATGCTACCACTGCCCTTGTGCAGGCCTATGTCATCTCTCCTGTGCATTCCTTCACCAGCCTCCCAATTTACCCCTTCTACTTGCAGATTAATTTACCTCAAATTCATCTTATTCATTGCCATGGTCTATTTATACCACAAGTCTGATTGTAATTTCTCTGCTTAAAACCAACAAAAGCTTTTTGCCACCTATTAGATAAAGTCCAAATTTCTTATGTGACCTTCAAGACCAGCCATGATCTGACCCCTGGTTCTGTCTACTTCGTACTTTATTGTGTATATTACTTGATTACTTGGTTCATAGCATTTCTTTGAAATGCATCTCATCCTCCCAACATACGCATGAAACTTGTGCTCGTTTTTCAATATATAATAAAATGTAACCTCTCCAAGAAGCCTATTCTGCTTCCACATGGATCTTATGCTATAATATGCATATCTCTGGTTTTGCATATTTACATGTTTTGTTCTTTTTTTCTTTGGGCTTCAACTGCACATAACTGAGTTAATCTTTTTTGTTTTCTAAGTTGGCTGTCTAGCCCTGTTTCAATTATACATATATACACCTCCTTGCTCAAGTGATCATATAAAACATATATGTTTTCACACATACATTGTTTTACCAAAGTGAGATCATATTAAATTCCTGTATTTTGCCTTTGTCACTCAAAAACACTTGTGTTTTCCTCTAATGTGGTCTTGTGGTCTGTCTTTGGAGAGTGGCTATAAACACTACCCCTTCCCTGCCAGGGCTTCGGGAGATCTGGTCATGAGTGTTTACAATGTGCCTTTCACAGGATACTTCTTTGTCCTGGCATATGACCTAATGCCTTAGTGTCCATGACCCTTGATAGGTGTCCCTCTCACAGGAAACTTGTTTATACTGGCAGATGCCCTTGTAGCTCTTGTCTTACCTGTGTTGAGTTTATTCCTATCAAGATAGCCATTCTCTAGGAGAGTCCTGACCAGAAAAGAAGTTGGATTCAGGTGTAACTGGGCAAAACACACAGGATACAACTCACCAAAACACATGAAATAACAGAAGCAGTATTACTTACAAATCGAGAGAGAAGAGGGCAGCACACCTCCTATGGCCAACTGGAAGTGGGGAGCCAACGAGATATGCATATTCAACCACTGGGTGGGGAGCAAGAGACAGAGAGTGAGGGGAACCTGTAGGCCAAAGCCTTTATTGGGGTCCAGGGTATTACCTAGGTGGGTTTCCTGCAGGTAGGTCTAATTGGTGGGTTTAGAGTAAGTGGGTACATGTTCCATGAAGTCACTGTGACTGAAAGGTGGTCACTGTGGCATATCTGCACAGCCCATGCAGGCTGTGTGAGTCAGTAGGTCAAGTCAAGTGGGTTGTATTTCACTGACCACCTATAAAGAGGTGGTAACTAGGAAGCAGTTATATAAAGTAGATATCTGGATTGACCATATTGAGGAACTAGGAAGAGGTAGAAAACTGGAAACTGTCAGGGGTAACTGAGTACTGCTTCTGGAATCAGAAAGTCCAACTTATGTTCAAAGTGGATGCAGAGGTAACATAAAATTATAGGAATTCACAGCGAACACCCTGTAGCAATTATGTTCCTACTGATGGATATTTACTTTATTTCCTTCATTATTTACTGGTAGAACCTAATATATCTCAATAAAAATGTACTTTTATTTCTGGAGTATAGATTCTCAGTATTGGGTTTCGGAGGTTGAAGTGTGTTTTAATTTTTAATAGTTGTTGCCATGTTGATCTAATATTGCCAGAGGGTATAATAGTATGATTACATTATTAGCAGTGAAAGAAGGTACCTCTTCCCTTTTATCCTCACCAACAGTATTTTAATATTTTTGCCAGTCTGATAGAAACGAAGCAGCTTTCAAGTACTGTACTATAATGCCTCTGGGTTGGAGGTCCCCAAGATCCCTCCCACCTGACAGATTTGTTGATTCTCTAGCAGGACTCACAGGGCTCAGCATATAGTTGTATGCATTGCTGTGATTTATTACAGTGAAAGGATATAAAGCAGGATCAGCAAACAGAGAAGGAGCCGGAGGTGAAGTCAGGAGGAAACCAGGCACAAACTTCCAATTGTCCTCTGCCAGTGGAGTCACACAGGGCACACTGATTTCTCCAGCAATAGATTTTGTGATGACGTGTAAAATGTTGTGTACCAGGAAGCTCATTAGAGACTCAGTGCTTAACATTTTATTGTGGGGTGGTCACTATGCATCCTCTGCCTGGGACGTACCAAAATTCCAGATTTCCAGAAGGAAAACAGGTGTTCAGGATAAACATTTTGTTTGTGCAGTTTAGGTGCAGTGACCCACTCTTATCAGTGTGGTAGAAAGCCTCCCCAAATCTTGAACTCCCAAAGGTCAGCCCTGCAAGCAGACCACTGTAAGGATGGCAGTCTCAGGAATGCTATGTAAAGTCTTTTCTTTTGCTCTTTTTAAAAAACAGCTTTATTGAAATATAATCACATGCCATGCAATTCACCCTTTAAAAGTGTAAAATTCAGTGATTTTTAGTATATTCACAGAAATATATGTACATTACCACAGTCAATTTTGGAATATTCTTACTACCTCAGAAAGAAACTCTATCTTTAACGATCACCCCTCATTCTCCTATAGCCCCCACTTCTCCAGTCCTAAACAAACATTAATCTACTATCTATCTTAGTAGATTTCCTAGTTGTGGACATTTCATATGAATGGAATCATGTAATATGTGGTCTTTTGTGACTGACTTCTTACACTTTGCTTAGTTTTTTAAATGTTCATTCATGTCATAGTATGTGTCACTACTTCCTTTTTATGGCTGAATAGTATTCCACTGTATGAATATACATAACACATTTTGTTTATCCATTGATTGGTTGATGGACATTTGTTTGGGTTGTTTCCACTTTTTGACTGTTATGAATAATGCTCTGTTAGCTATTTTCTTCACAGCCTCCCAAATATTTATTGAGAGAATAAATACAGACTCACATTTGCATTCTCGTAATAAACTGCAGTATTCTTTTCAATAGTATGTTATTCCTTTGACATATTGGTAGATTCTGTTTGCTAGCATTTTATTTATAATTTTTGTACCTATAATCATGTCACATTTGTATGAGGTTTATCATGTTTTGATATTAAGGGTATGTTAGCTTTATGAAATGATTTGGGGTTACTTTCTATTTCATTTTCCCTTTGGCCTGCAGTGATCTAACACTAGAATTAACTGTTATTTGAAGTTTAGATAAAAATTTAACTTTGAATTTGTCTAATCCAGATGCCATTTAAAATGGGAGAACTTTTCTCTCTTTTCCATTTTCTTCTAAACTAGCCTTTTTAAGCTTTTCATTTTTTCTTGTATTAATTTTGGTAATTTGTATTTTGCTAGGAAATTACCTGTTCCTTTTTAGTTATTGCCATAAGAAATAAAGTAATATTCTTACCATTGCTTATGTGTTTGGTTATTTCTCCTTTAACAATTTCGTTAGTGTTTATGTTTCTCTCTCTCTTTTTTTTTTTTAATCTTAATCAGGCTTTTTGTAAAGATTTTGTCAGTTTTTGTAAAATTTTAGTTTGGGATTTATTTTTTCTATTGTTTGACTATAAATTGACTTGGAAATCTCCTTTCTTCTTTTTAGTATAAGGTTTCACAGTTTTCATCTTACTTCTCTTTTTTCCTACATCATGTTTGGATTCTTTGAGTTACACATCCTGTTTTTATCTGAGTTTCTCAGTCTCTAATTCTGGCAAATTCTTAATCATTTCTAGAGATATTTATTTATTTCCCTTTCTGAGAATCTTATTAGATATTGACATTTAAATATTTTAACCATGTCTCATAGCTTTTGAGAAGTGTTTATATTTTCTACTTCCTTATTCCTTTTTTAATGCTTTGTAGAATTGCTTGACCTGAACTTGTTGCTCACTAGTATATTCTTGCCCTATATTCAATTTGCTAGTTAACCCATCGGATTTTTTATTTCAGCAGTTTAAAAAATCTATACATATCTTCAATTGGTGAATATTATGTTTGTTTTAAATTTGTGGTCTCTTTAGTCTTTTTTCTTATGGTATTGATTGTTCATTTGTTGCCTTTCTTTCATTGTGCTCATACTCTCCAAGTGTCTGGTTATATTTTTCTTAGAAGTTCCAAGTTATGAGCTAGTAATATTTGCCTGGGGAGCAGGGTGAAAGACTAGGCTTTAACATGTGTCTTTGTGTAATTTCATGGAGTAGAGGTGGGAGTGTGTGGGCTGATTCGGGGTGATGCAGTTCGACAGTTGGTGCCAAAAAGGAACTTCCTGTTGACCTGCTTAGAGGCATGATCTTCTCCAGGACCTGCTATCCTTATTGTATTTATGCAGTGCCGGTGAGAACAGAACACACAGGGGCCTTGCAGGTCACCTAAACTTGTTACCATTTCCCAAACTGTTTGTGCTCTGGTGCTTTCCTGATATAATAATCTCCTGTACTCTTCAGATGGCACTGGAGTGGTAGCAGAGCTTTTCTGTCTCATTGCATCCTGTAGGGTAGAAATTCTCTGCCCAGAGCAATGTAAGGACTGGAAAAGGTCACAACTAGGTCTTTTCCATTTGGTAGCATTTGGCCTGCTCCATCTCTTGGTTGCCATTTCCTTAACACTCTAGAAGCCATTGCTTTTAGTGTCCCCAAGGTTTTTCATTTATTAGACTGCTTTTTGCTTTTGTGTAATCTATAGGGTTGAGATGGAGGGAGGGAAGCAGGAATTTGAAATCTTGTGCTGGAATGGAAGCCATAATATTTTTAAATTATCTGTTTGTGTCTGTGCCCCTCAGCAAACTAAGCCCCTTAAGGGTAGTGATTTTTACATATACGCTAAAGTGTATATAAAAATAGTTCATGGGGCAGACTTGGTGTCTAATAAAGTTTATTGAAAATATTATTTCAAAAAGATTCTTTCATTAAAAATAAAAATGTACTACCAATATAGAACTTCCTTAACATTCTACAAACATGATTAAATTTATTAAAACCTTAATTTGTATGCAAGGTTTCAGGATCATTTAGATCACTTTAGAAGAGGTTATAAACTGTAGAGTAAAATAAAAAGAAGAAAACAACTAACATAATACATTTATCCCTCAGTGGATTGGTTCCAGGACCTACAACAGATACCACAATCCATGGATACTTAGATCATTCAGTGGACCTAAAAGTTGGTCCTCCACAGCTGAGGTTCCGCATCCCACAAACACTGTATTTTTGATCCCTGGTTCTTGAATCCACAGATGCAGAACTCGTGGATATGGACGGCTGACTGTATAGTGTTTTATAATTCTCAAAACATTTAACCTATGTTAAAGCAGGGCTGTTATTGTTATCCCCATCTTAAAAGTGAAGAAACCATGAATCAGAGATGACAAGAATGTATCTAAGACTAAGCAGCCAATAAATAGGCATGGAAACAAAGTCTCCTGACTTGGATTCTTTTAGAGACTGATGCTTCTTTGTTTTTCAGCGCTTCTGTAATGGCTATTTGATTAATGACATTGAACTAATCTGTGTCATTCTGTCTCCCATCTTTTTGTACTGTGGAACTCAGTGACTGTTACCCAGAGTTTTTGTTGTTGTTGTTTGTTTTTAGAGACAGCATCTTGCTGCCACCCAGGCTGGAGTGCAGTGGTGCAGTCTTAGCTTACTGCAGCCTCAAACTTCTGGGCTCAAGTAATCCTCCCGCCTCAGCTTCCTGAGTAGCTGAGATTACAGGTGTGTACAACTGTGCTTGGCTAATTTTTTATTTTTTTTGATTTTTTGTAGAGACAAGGTCTTGCTATGTTGCCCAGGCTAGGCTTGAACCCCTGGTTTCAAGTGATCTTCCGCACTTGACCTCCAGAAGTGCTGGGATTACACACGTGGACCACCCTGCCCAGCCATCACCCAGAGTTTAAAGCCAGAGTTCTTAAAAAGGGCTTGTGAGATCCCACATGATCTGTCTTTTTCCCATTTACTTTTCTCTTTGTTCACATTTCTCCTGCCACACTAGACTTTATATTACTATTTCTCCGCTATACCAGATATGCTCCAACCCTCAGTATCTTTGAGGTTTCTGTTCACTGTGCTTGGAATTCCTTCTCTTAGGTGGCTTCTTCATCCCTTTCCAATCTTTGTGCAAATGTAACCTCAATGAGACCATCGTTCATTATCCTATCTAAAAGCACAAACCATCCCACATTATATATACTTCCTATCCCCTTTTCTTAGATTGCTTTTGTTACTACTTATCATGTAACCCTTCTGGTACACTCTACAATTTATTATTCCTTAAGGTATTGTCTGCCTTTCGTCATTATAATGTTAGTTTCAGTGACTGGTTCAATACATGGCTCAAAAAATGTTGAATGAAATAATTCATCAACGAAATTCAGTTGATTAGACAAAACTGTTAGTAATACAGGTATACCACTGAGGTATTGCAGGTTTGATTCCAGACCACTGCAATAAAGCAAGTTGCAGGAATTTTTTTGTTTCCCAGTGCATATAAAAGTTATGTATACACTATACCACAGTCTATTAAGTGTGCAAAATAGCATTATTTCTAAAAAGACAATGTATATATCTTATTTAAAAACTATTGTTAGAAAATGCTAATGATCATTTGAGCTTTCAGTAAGTTGTAATCTTTTTGGTGGTAGAGGGTCTCGCCTTGATGTTGATGGCTGCTGACTGAATCAGGGTGATGGTTGCTGAAGGTTGAGGTGGCTGTGGCTATTAAAATAAGGCAACAATGAAGTTTGCCACATTGACTCTTCCTTTCACCAAAGATTCCTCTGTAGCATGTGACACTGTTTGATAGCATATTCCCCACCACAGATCTTCTTTCAGAACTGGGGTGGAACCCTGGCACTGCAGTAATGGTTCTAAACCCTTTGTTGTCATTTCAACAATGTGCACAGCATCTTCACCAGAAGTTGATTTCATCTCAAGAAACCACTTTCTTTGCTCAGCCGTAAGAAGCAATTCCCCTGTTCAAGTTTTATCATGAGATTGCAGCAATTCAGTCACATCTTCACACTCCACTTATAATTTTAGTTCTCTTGCTGTTTACATCCAGTTACTTTCTCCACTGAAGTCTTGAGCCCCTCAGAGTCATTCATAAGTGTTGGAATCATTAACCAAATATCCTGGTAATGTTGATATTTTGCCCTCCTCTTGTGAATCCTGATTGTTCTTTATGGCATCTAGAATGGTGAATCCTTTTCAGAAGGTTTTCAGTTTACTTTGCCCAGTTCCATCAGAGGAATCTCTTTCTGTGGCAGCTGTGGCCTTATGAAATGTGTTTCTTAAATAATGGGACTTTAAAGTCAAAATTACTCCTTGATTCATGAGCTGCAGAATGGTTATTGCAGGGATGAAAGCAACATTAATCTCTTTGTACATCACCATCAGAAATCTTGGGTAACCAGGGGCATTGTCAATAAACAGTAATATTTTGAAAGGAATATTTTCTGAGCAGTAGGTCTTCAACTGTGAGCTTAAAATATTCAGTAAACCATGCTGTAAACAGATGTGCTGTCATCCAGGCTTTGTTGTTCCATTTGTAGAATACAGTCAGTCTAGATTTATCATGATTTTTAAGGCCCTAGAATTTTCAGAATGGTAAGTGAGCATTGGCTTCAACTTGAAGTCAACAACTGCATTATGTCCTAATAAGAGAGTCAGCCTGTGGCCAGAAAGGTGGCCGCCCCCTCGCCCGTCACGCAATGCATGTTCGTGGGGAACCTGGTGCTAAACTATTCATAGATGACCTGCTTCTGGGTCGGGGTTTTGTATGTAGCAGAGCGGCTCCCTCGCTGCTATCTATTGAAAGTCAGCCCTCGACACAAGTGTTTGAAAAAATTAAAAAATAATTAAAAAAAAAAAAGACAGAATCAGCCTGTCCTTTGAAGCTTTGAAGCCAGGCATTGACTTCTTTCTGACTGTGAATGTCCTAGATGGCATCTTCTTCCATCTGTCAATATCACTGTCAGTCTTCAACTGTTTCTTCCACAGATGACAGTCTTCATCTGTCAAACAGTTGATGACTGTTTCTTCAACACTGAAAATCTGTTAATTAGTGTAGCCACTTTCATTAGTTATCTTAGCTAGATTTCTGGATAATTTGCTGTAGCTTCTCCATCAGCATTTGCTGACTCACCTTGTATTTTTATGTTATGGAGATGGCATCTTTCCTTAAACCTCCTGAATCAACCTCTGCTAGCTTCCTACTTTTCTTTAGCTTCCTCACCCTCTTTTTCTCAGCTTTCGTAGAATTAAAGAGCGTTAGGGCCTTGCTCTGGATTGGGCTTTGGCTTAAAGGAATGTTGTAACTGGTTGGATCTTCTATCCAGACCACTCAAATTTTCTCACTATCAGCAATAAGGGAGTTTCACTTTCTTATCATTCAGGTGTTTATTTGAGTAACACTTTTAATTTCCTTCAAGAGCTTTCCCTTTGCATTCACAACTTGGGTTACTTACTGCTTGATGTAGGAAGCCTACCTTTCTGCCTGTCTCAACTTTCAACATGCCTTCCTCACCAAGCTTAGTCATTTCCAGCTTTTGACTGAAAATGAGAGACATGCGACTCCTTTTACTTGAACACCTAGGGGCCATTGTAGGGTTATGAACTGACGTCATTTCAGTACTGCTGCATCTCAGGGAGTAGGGAGGCCTGAGGAAAAGAGAGAGTTGGGGAAACAGATGGTCAGTGGAGCAGTCAGAATACACACATTCATGGATTATGCTTGCTATCGTATATGGGAGTGGTTCATATTGCCTGAAAACAATTACAATGGAAACATCAAAGATAACTTATCACAGATCAGCATAACAGATACAGTAATAATGAAAAAGAATTACTGAAGTGTGACATAGACATGAAGTGGGCATATGCTGTTGGGAAAATGGTGCTGGTAGATTGGCTTGCTACAGGGTTGACACACACCTTCAGTTTGTTAAAAAGGCAGTATATCTGCAAAGAGCGATAAAGTAAAATGCTATAAAACAAAGTATTCTTGCATTTGTTTGTTTTTAATTCATAGGTTTAACATTTAAAGTCCTTTTAATCAGGAGTGTGCGTTTGTTGATACCATGGAAATTTAATTCACCAAGATTTATTTATGACTTAAAGGTTTCTTTTGAATAATTATACATATCCATTTACATAAAATCTGTCTTTTTTTGGAAAAATATGATTCTATGTAAGAAGGATAACAATATATTCTAGAGCAATTTAGTGTTGACAGATACAGCATACCAGCTGAAATATAATTTATTCTAGATTTTTGGATAATATTTTCCTTAGGAAACCATCTTTTGAACATTGAGCTTAAGGTAGGTAGGGATTGATGTCACATTGATATTTTAAAAATGTAAATGATGAAATTTTTAAAAATTTATATTAGAATGCTATCAGTTCTAATCCTTTTTATGACGAGTTTTAATTCTATATTCAATATTTGTGTTCAAATGGTAAAGTTAAGAATTTTCTTATTTGCATTTGCTTTTATTTAAACTTTTTTTTCTTTTTTGTAGATTTGCTTTGAGGTCACATTGATATGAAATATGGAGTCACCTTTTATAACTTCACCTGGGAAAGAGAGAGAAAACTTTCTTGTTAAAAAAACATAAGGAAAACAAACAACCAAAGGAATCATGCCAAATGCCAACTCTACATCTTTTTGTATTATTAACATATTTTATGCATCAAGACAAATGGCTTATGCATTAAAGGGGATGATTCGTTCATCAGTATTTTTAGCCATTAAAAAAAATCGTTTTCATATTAACCTTATACAGCTCCCATAAAATTTAACACATATAAACATCTTTAACGCCTTGTTTAAAATAGCTTTCTTTTTTAGTGCTTAGAACTTCAATGTTTATGCACCCTATTGTTACTTGTCAGAGTCTTTAAGAGTTTATAACATCAGGAAAGATATGGACTTGGAAACTTACATTATTAAAATAGACTGCAGTGGATTTAATTGGACAATTCAAGACATCCATTTTATTGTCCAAAATATTACATAAAAGTGTACAGTTTTTAGCCTAAATGCAAACAAAGTTGCTTGAAAATGGCATGGGTAAAATTCTTACGGAAACCTGGTGGCAATCTTGGAAAAGTTTATCAGCCTGGAAGTATGCTATCACTAGCCCCTACCAAAGGCTTGTTAAATGAACCAGGACAAAACAGCTGCTTTCTTAATAGCGCTGTACAGGTGAGACCATAATTACTTATTACATTAAAAAAAATACTTTTCAGAAAATCCTTTGTTTAATGCTTCTTTAGCTCATAAATTAAAAATAAAGTTACTATAGACTAGAATGACTTTTTAATATAACTTTAAATGGGAGCAAAAGTGTTTTGGCTGGTCATTTTGGTTTTTATAATAAATGAAAATGGTTTTTTTCAACAGACTGATGTATCACTATGATATAAATAATCTTATTTAAAAGGTTTATTTAGTAAATTAAGGACATTTTTCTAACATACACAAATGTTTTGGTTTTAATCAGCTAACACCCCTCCCTTTGAAAAAACATCCAGTATATGGATCCCTGTAGATAGAATAAAAAGACATAAGCTGCTTGTATTGAGATAAGAATGCAGAGTTTTTGATTTCAGTACTCAAACTCCCTTCACCTCCCACTGTGGTGTTTAAATTACCTCTGCGGAATCATCATTTGGGCTCCACTGTTTTGGTTAAATTGAAGGATAATCCATTTTGCCTCAATCCTTGTTGAAAATCTTAATTAACCTGCTTTTCTGCCTTAGATAACTATACTTTCTTATGCTTAATAAAGTTTTTATTCAGCAGTTATAGATTTTATAGATCCTGTGTCCTTCTGACCATTGTAGAGTACTAAAGATGAGGAAGATTTAGAATACTGATAACTTTTTCTATTGACCTTAGAATATACCTTAAAAGAATTCATATATAATGATTCACTTTTCATATGCATTGTTTTTTCTTTTGAAAACTAATAGAGAAAAATATTGTGTTGATTAGCTCATCTGACAAATAAACACATGTAGAATGTGTCAAGTGCACAGATATCTGACTCAGAGCTGTATTCTCAGTTGCCTTCTACCTGAGACAGATGCCAAACTTGAACGTTCTCTAACTCACCCAGCGAAAGAGAAGCAGTTGGTATTAAGAAAGCATTTATTCTAATTTACTTTAGGACACTTAAATGCTAGTGTTCTGCCCTGGCTCAAAGATCCCACTGACATTACTGTGACAAATGCAGAAAAATATTTATTCAGTGGCACTGGATATAGTGAAATATTAGATACCAAAAGACCTGGAATTAAATGCTTTTGATAGAATCAGGCTGTGAGAAAGCGTTTCTGGCATTTCAGATATTTTTCTGTTTACCCTTTTTCCTATTCTTTTTACCTTTTATGTTTTCCCCTCTGTTTCTGTCCTTTTCATTAGCACCCAAAATACTATGTATAGTTCAGAGAAACAAAACGCATATTAGAACGGGTGAAAATTTTGAGTAAGGAAACTTACATGGATCAAAACATTGAGAAGTATTCCTATGGTGATGTATTTTTTTTAAGAATGAACATTCTGCTGACATTTACCATGAAGACTGTTTACTTATACATATCTGCATATTTGCCATTTCTGGTGCTCATCACTTTTTTGCATAGATCCACATTCCATCTGATATCCTTTTCTATTGCTTGAAGGATCTTTCTTGTAATACAGGTTTATTGGTGATGAATTCTTTCAGCTTTTGTATGTCTGAAAAAGATCTGTATTTCACCTTTATTTTTGAAAGATATTTTCACTCATTAAAGATGGTCCAAGTTGACATTTTTTCTTTCAGTACTTTAAAGATTTTGCTTCTCTGTTTTAGCTTGCATTATTCTAATGAAAAATCTAATATTCTGATCTTTGTTTCTCTGTATGTAATTTGTTCTTTTTCTCTGGGTGCTTTTAAGATTTTCTCCTTATCATTGGCTTGAAGCAATTTAATGATGTTTCTTGATATAGGTTTCTTCATGTTTCTTGTGTTTGGGTTTGTTGAGTGTCTTGGGTCTGTGCGTTTTGGATTTAAATCAAATTTGGAAACACTTTGTTATTTCTTCAAATAATTTTTCTGTCTCTTCCCTCCTTTGGGGTTTTCCAGTTACATATGTAGTGAGTTGCCTGAAGTTTTCCAGTTGTTCCACAGCTTACTGATGCTCTCTTTATTTTCTTTCTCAGTCTTTTTTTCTCTTTGTGTTTTACTTTGTGTGGTTTCTGTTACTCCATTTTCAAGTTCATTAATCTTTTCCTTTGCATTGCCTATCTGCTATTAATCCCATCCAGTGTATTTTTTGTCTTAGACATTGTAGTTTTCACTTTGAGAAGTTTTATCTTGGTCTTCTTAAAATCTCTTTCATGTCTTTACTTAGCATTTGCTAGTCTGTTGAACATGTGAAGTATAGTTGTAATAATTGTTTTTATGTACTTGTCTGCTAATTCTGTTATTTGTATAAATACTGGGTACATTTCAGTTACTTTTTTTGTTGTTGTTGTTGGATGTCAGACAAGGTTTACCTTGTCAGGTTATGGATATTTTTATATTCCCTAAAAATAATCTAGAAGTTTGTTCTGGGACAGAGTTTATTTATTTGGAAGCAGTTTGATCATTTTACTTTTAAACTTTGTTAGGCGGGACAGAGCTATGCTTATTCTTTGGTTAATTTCTCTGCTATTGAGACTCCTTTTTCAACCATTGCTCTGTGAATTATGAAGTTTTCTACTTTGGCTGCAGGAATAGGCACCATCTTGGGCCTGTGAGCTCTGGGCACTATTCCCTCTAATCCTTTTGGGTGTTTCTTTCCCAGGCCTCAGACAGTTTCCTCATAGTACACCCCCAAATACTGGAGGAGGATCCTCTACTGATCCCTGATGTTAACTCTCTGTGCAGCTCTCTGCAGTACTCTGCCCTGCCAACTCTAGCAGCTTTGGGGGATCTGTTGGTCTCTGTTGTCTGCCATATAAACTCATTTACATGGCTAATTCTCCCTGACAAAACAACTATTCAAATAGATTTTCTATGAGATAAGACCTTTCTTTTTGAAAATTCAGAATACAAATGTTGATTTGCAATTCGATGAATACATTTTCAAAAATGCTGAGAAATAAATTGTAGAATATGTCTTGTAAGAATTTACTAAACACAGACATTAAAATGTTTAGATCTGATATAAGACACAAAAATGAATTTACATGCCATTTCTTATTAATATTTAAGCTATTTCTTACATTATTTTCAAGTAAAGAATGTATGATGAAAGGTTTGTATTTAATGTGTGTATAGATATGTATTGATCTTTTGGGAATAATATAAGAAATATGTATAAATATTCAAAAATAACTACATTAATTTTGTTAGGCACCATTTAAATTGCTACATGCAAATAACGAAAAAGTGTATATTGCTAGAAACTAATTAGTTCAATAACTATCTTAAACCTTAATTTTTTAAAATAAGTGATAGAATATAATCAACATTTTAAAATGAAATGGGACCAGGAACAGTGGCTTACACCTGTAATCCTAGCACTTTGGGAGGCCAAGGTGGGTGGATCACTTGAGGCCAGGAGTTTGAGACCAGCTTAGCGAACATGGTGAAACCCCGTCTCTACCAAAAATAAAAAAATTAGCTGGGCGTGGTGGCAGGCACCTGTAGTTCCAGCTACTCAGGAGGCTGAGACACAAGAATTGCTTGAACCCAGGAGGTGGAGGTTGCAGTGAGCCAAGATAGCACCATCACACTCCAGCTTGGGCAACAAAGCAAGACTCCATCTAAAAAATAAATAAATAAAAATAAAATAAAATGGATGAAGATTAACTATAATTAGGATAATTATTTTGTGATAGCGATTTGTTAAAGTAGCCTTTACAGTATTGTGTTAAAGACAATAATGTACAGGGAACTTGAAATAAATCACATAAAACATTTTATCTGTAGTTTGATCCAGTGTAACTCAGAGTTTTCGTAATCATAGAAAACATTCTGGTTACATTTGGAAGACTTCACTAAACTTTATAAACAGATTATAGAGGGTATTTTAGCTGAATATTTTAAACTTTTACCTAATGCAAAAACAGTACAATTAGGTATAACATTAGTGTGATTTTAATGTCTGAGAAGGAAAGTTATTTAATACTATACTATTTAATAGCTCACATTTATTGTGTTCTTACTGCTTGTTTCAACATTGCATATGTCACCTAATTTAATCCTTACAACAGCCCTAAGAGGTAAGTACTACATTTGTCTTTATTTTACTGTTGAGAAAACTGAGTCCCAGAAAATATTTTGCCTGAGTCAGTCCAGGATTTGGTAAATAGTAAACCCAGAATTAGAAACCAGACACCTGCCTTCAGATGTTTTTTATTAACCTCAGTGGTACATTGCTTCTAAAGTTGTGCTGTCATTAATCATCTTCTTTCTTGGTAAAATGGATTTCCGTGTATTTTTTAAAATATGCTAGGATATGATACTCAAGAAAGTTATTAAACATCATCAAGTGCTTTGCAAAAACACTGAGTTATCTGTGACAGAAAAATGGATCCTATTCATTATGCTTTAATAAAAGGCAACGTTTAAAGAGAAATTTTGAAATGACCTTTAGTTGTGGAGTAGTTGAAAATATAGGAAATATTAAAGCCAGTTTGTTTTTATTAACTTTTTGTTTTTATTTGGGAGAAAGGAGAGATCATGAATAGATTTTCTTAGTTACGTTATCTGAGGACACGACTAAAAGAGAAATTTGAAGATCTTATTTGTTTGTTGTAATAGTAGTAACAGCCACAAATAGCAGCTGGTACTCATTGCATGCCAGTTGAGTACCATACCCTGCTCTAGAAACATTACATATTATTTAATCCTTACAAGAACTCTATGAGACACAAGTACTATTCTTATCCTCATTGTCTAGAATTCAGGTTTTTCAGAATGATTTTAAGTATTGGACTGATTTGTTTTGACAGTTGCCGTCTTTGGGTTTGGTTTGTCTTTGTCTTTGCTTTGTCTTTGTCTTTTAGTAGCAGAAGATAAGTGGATAATTGCATCAAGTATATACTTAGGTAATTTATTAATGGCTGCTGCTTACTATGCTGTACCCCCATTACCACACAGGCCCCCTTTCTTGTTCCATGTACAGTGACCACATACACCTCTGCTCACCCCTTTTTCTTGCCATAATGTGCAGACCCCAATTTAGTACACTCTGGCTTTAAAGTCTAATTATATTTCCTTTCAAAATTTCAGTTTGTTCCAAGTATTATAATCACTTCCTCTTTCATGTCTCTGCCAACTTCTCTATTTAGTATTCCTTGTTTCCTGTTCAGACCAAATCCTTAATGAGGAGTTGGTTTTTCCCTGCTCCATGCTTGTCATAGTTTTTCATGTGCACCATTAAGAGTATCTTCTGAATCCAACTTTTATATATGCACAACATGCATGTAGCAATTTTATACTTGCTGTTATTTCCAGTGGTTATGTGTGTCTGATTATGTACAGGCAATTAAAAGAAGTTACTTGTTCGCCTTTTGCAATTTGTAAAATATCTAAATCTGTCTTTTGTTACAGTAAGAAAAATTTGTTTATTTCTTTTTCCTTAACATCTCCCTGTTTTTTAGGTTTTATGGCAATTGGATATATTCCGACGAAGCTTGCGGGTTTTGACTGGACATGTTTGTCAGGGAGATGCCTGTATATTTTGTGCATTGAAGGTAACCTTTTAATAGCTCTGAAAAACTACTATCAATTGTTCCTTCAAAAATTTAAGTTTGATATATTGGGTCAGTTTGTTGTAACTAAAGTTCACTGTCAGGTGATTAACAGTTTTGAAGATGAATTCTTAACAGTATGACTTATTCAGGTTTGTGTTTTCATTTTCCTCTTTTATATAAGGACAGTTAAAAATTAATATTCTAAGTAGTATAAAATTGTTAGGAACATTATCTTTTTCATTATTTTGCAATTATTCTTATTCATTTTAACAAATGTTTTTGGAGCTACTACTGAGTTCTGGGTACCAGTGTAGTTACTGAGGATACAGCAGTGAACAAAACTGATAAAAATCCCTCTTCTCATAGAGCTTGTATTCTTATAGAGGAGGAGACAATAATAAGAAAGCAAAATATTATAGAGTATGTTAGATGGTAATAGTTGTAACATTGGAAAAATACATCAGGGAAAGAAAATAGGGAGTGTTGTATAGGCAGGAAAGCCTCACTGAGAAACTGATATTTGAAATGACACCTTGAAGAGCCTTCCAGGTAGACAAAGAAACAGCAACTGCAAAGGCCTTGAGGTATGAGTATACCTGATATATTTAAGGAACACCAAGGAAATATGGGTGGCGATGGCAGGAGCTTTATGAGCAAGGAAGAGAGTGGTAGAAGGTGAGCTCTGAGGTGAGGGTAGCCGAGGTGGCTTTAAAACATGTCTGTGGATGCTTTTGCATGCTTCCTTATCCAAAATCTAATTCCTTGAATATAGGCTGGCCTTAATGACTGATTTCTGTCAAATAGACTATGGCAGAACTGAGGCTGCAAGCAAGATATCTGAGGTTAGGTTAGTTTAGAAAAGGTGATATAACTCTCACCCACCTCTGTCTCTTGAGTTGCTCATTCTTGGAAGTGAGCCACCATGATGAGGAAGCCAGGTGGCCATGCGGCAAGACCACGTGGAGACATTCTGGACACAGCTAGAGCTGAGTTCCCAGCCCACAGCCAGCATCAACTGCCAGACATGAAAGAGCGACCCTCAGATATTCCAGGTCCCAGCATTCAAACTGTCCAAAATGACTTCGAGTGGAGCAGAGACATGCTGTCCCCACCCAAATTGCAGATTTATGTAACTAAATTTTGGGGGTGGTTTATTTACAGAGCAATAAATAACTATAACAGGGGTTTAGATTGTGTAGGGCCTTATAGGCCTCTGTAAGGATCGTGGCTTTTTCTCTGAGTGATTTAGGGAGATGGGGCATTGTTTTGAGTGGAAGAGTGATACAGTCTGTTTTAACCAGATATAATATTTGAACTAGATCCCTGTGGCTGCTCTGCTGAGGAAAATAGAAGGAAGACAAAGAAACAGAGCATCCAGTATATATTAGCAACTCATTCGTGTCACTGAAATGTTTTGCCAGAGAACTTAAGATTTTGTTATACATTTTAGAGATAAATGTTTCATTTTTTTACATTCTTGAATATTCATAATGAACACATACACATAGACACACAGAATTTTTTTTTTTTAATGTATGTGCCTTAATTTCATTATGTTCCTGAAAAGGCTGTTTGAGTAAATCACCAAAGGAAGAAATTTTATATTCTCTTTTTTTAAGAACATGGCCAAATAGGGTTATTGTTAGGACATGAAGAATGAACCTAGATCACATTACAGTATCACATTTTATTTATTCCACAGTAAATTTTGAATGTTTTGTCTAATTGTAAAACCTAGGATTATTAATTTCCTAGACCAACTCTCTTGTAGCCCTGCACAGTCACCTGCCTCTTTCCTGTGCTTGCCTTCCTCTCCTCCCCTGTCAAAAACACACATAAACACATTGCATTTTAGCCAAACTGGGCTCTATTTCTCAGAGCTGATCCCCACCTCAAAGTCTTCTCATTGTTATTCCTTTTGTCTGGAATGCTTTTCTTCCAGATGTCCTCATGGCTAACACCCTTATTTCCTTTATGCCTCTCCTCAAATGTTACTTTTCCATTAGTGAGGCCTTCCCCGACTACCCTAGGTAAAAGGTAAGCTGCTTCCATCTGTAATATCCCTGGCATTCCTATCCCCGTTACACTGCTTTATTTTTCTCTCTTGTATCTATTTTTCTCTACTGTACTTATCACATTCTGATGTTATATAATTACTTCTTTGCCTTCTCATTACTATAACTAGAATATAGGCTCCATGTGGGCAGGGTTGTCATCCATTTTTCTAGGGTAGAACAATGCCTAACATATACGAGGGAGGCAAAAAATATATGTTGAATCAATGAGTGACAGTCTCGCATAGGATTAAAAATCTTAAACATTACCTGGAAGTTAATTGCCTAAATAAGAGATAAAATCTGAAAGTTATTTTTCATCTTTTACTATTCATAATTTTAGCTACTATAATGGCTAAAATAATTATAGTTCTGGGTATCTAATATCAGATGACATCTGTTTTTTTATTTCTTATTTTATTTATAAATTGTATTTTTTTGCTGTAGTGAAACAGATTTGTGAAATGTTTTCTTTGTATGTTGATCTTAAAAAAATATTTTTTTTTTGAGATGACATGACCCTTTGAGCTAACATGGGACTGAATGTGACCAATACTACTTTGGTGGGCTGTCATTGAAAACTTTTCTTTCTTCCATGTAAGATGATTGTCATAAAATTGGAATTTATTAAAATGTTTTTTCTTGCTTAAGTTTAATAAGGAAAATTGAAAATCATATTAACAACTATAATCTCATATTTCCAGTTTCTTAGGTTTAGATTAGAAACTGAATGATGTTTCCAGTTTCTTAATTTAGATTAGAAATACAGGTTGGGTATCTCTTGTCTGAAATGCTCAGGACCAGCAGTGTCCTCTGAGGGTGGGACCTGGGAACCCTATATGTTTAATTCTTGTGTCTGCTAACATTTGATTTAGAGGCTGGTGCAAACATTTCTACACTTGATGATACAAATAATTAATTTTTGTATGAAATTTTAGAGCAAAAGACTTCTGTATTATTTTCCGAAATACAGGTTGGGTATCTCTTGTCTGAAATGCTCAGGACCAGCAGTGTCCTCTGAGGGTGGGACCTGGGAACCCTACATGTTTAATTCTTGTGTCTGCTAACATTTGATTTAGAGGCTGGTGCAAACATTTCTACACTTGATGATACAAATAATTAATTTTTGTATGAAATTTTAGAGCAAAAGACTTCTGTATTATTTTCCAAGTATAGTGTTTTGAGTTTCTCTGTGTTGTAATGAAATTACTGAAATGTCGTTAAAGCTGGCATTAAACTTACTGATTTTCTTGTCGATTCCCAGACGATATTTGCACAGTTCCAACACAGTCGAGAAAAAGCACTTCCCTCAGATAACATAAGGCATGCTCTTGCAGAAAGTTTCAAAGATGAGCAGCGATTTCAACTTGGCCTTATGGATGATGCTGCGGAGTGCTTTGTAAGTGTTTCTGATATTCCTTAAGAAGTCAGGATAGTAGTTTTCATTCCTTAGATGGTACAAGTGTTGAGACAAATGAAACAAAAATTTAGAACAATAGAAAAATGTCAAAACTGTCCAGTAGATCCATATCTTACCCATCCTTCAAGCCTCAACTTCAATCCATCTGTGTTTTGTGTTGTACTTTTGGTTTTGATTATTTTTGTTGCTCTAATTTTTACTCTTAGGCTACTAAAATGTTTTAAAACTTAGTTGGAGCAATAAGCTTTGCTGAATATAAATGATATCACTTAAATCAGTGTTCTGCCACTATAGGGACCACATATGCAGCACATTCCCAGCAGTAATAGTTATCATTGCATGCAATGATTCTCACTGGGAGAGAAGGGGATTTTGGTGGGATTTTGGTGGGTAACAGGGGCAACAGCCTGTTACACACATTCCAGGTTGAAAATCACTGAGGTTGATGTTCTCAGGCTCTGTGTTACCACCATATTAGTAAGTAGAGCATTCCTTTGATCAGGTACATACTTTATACATGTAAAATAGGTATGTTAATTATTAAATGTCTCATTAATATTGATGTCACCTATAATTAAGTTGTAACCATTTCTTCTCTCTTCTTTCTGTTTCTAGTCAGCAAAGTTTGTAAATTCTTTCATCAGAAACCCTTTCAGAAGTTTTTTCTTTCCGTATTAATTCCCTACCACAACTTCTTCCAGTTCAGTATATTTAAGCCTCCTATTGGTGTCCATTCAACCTGTTTATTTATGTCCTATTTTTTTTTTTTTTTTTTTTTTGAGACAGAGTCTCGGTCTGTCACCCAGGCTGGGGTGCAGTGGTGTGATCTCGGCTCACTGCAAGCTCCACCTCCTGGGTTCACACCATTCTCCTGCCTTAGCCTCCTGAGTAGCTGGGACTACAGGTGCCCGCCACCATGCCCGGCTAATTTTTTGTATTTTTAGTGGAGACAGGGTTTCACTGTGTTAGCCAGGATGGTCTCGATCTCCTGACCTCGTGATCTGCCTGCCTCAGCCTCCCAAAGTGCTGGGATTACAGGCGTGAGCCACTGCGACTGGCCTTATGTCCTATTTTTTAAATAACCACCATATCAATATGATTTTATTCAGGTTAACGCTTACTCTTCAAATATTTCTGTGATTTAAATCTAGACTTTTTATTCTGATATTTAAGGCCCTTTAGATTAAACTCCACCTTCCCTCAGTGCTTCATCCCTAGATTTTTCTTCCTAGTGAGATTATTCCATTCTGTTCCTCACATATATTTTTATATTCTTGTTTATAGTCCTTATTTATAAGGCTGTTCTACTAGCAGCCTTTGCTCAAGTTCCTGAAATACTCAAAACTTTAAAAATCTATCATTTTGTCAAGGTTCAGACTAAGTCTATGCCTACCAGATAACACATGACCAAACCACCCAATCCATTCTCTGTAGAATTTACTCTGTAGAATTCATTTGGCATTTTTATATTATTAATCACCTTTTTAAAAATGAGCATCTTCATGGTTTCCTTAGATGGAAAGCTCATTGACTAGCATCTTGCCTAGCACACTTGCATGTTGATTAAAATGTCAATAATGGCACACACAGTAATGAAATATACTTTCCATATTTCTTCTGTTTATAATTGATTTTTTGCTTAAAACAAATATATTTTGAACAATGCTAAACTTTATAGTTTTACTTTCACTTAAATGAATTATTCTAATACATGATATGATAATTCACAAAATGTCTAGAAGTCTAGGCTTAAATTATTAAATGGTCTTAAATATCCTGGGGCAGAGGAGAGAGAAGTTAGCTAATGAATAGAATCCATTGGTTAAGCTTTGGTAAAAAGAATTATGTTAAAGAAATAAATGCCCCTTATTGATCTATATTGTAAATCAATATTTATATGAAATTCACTGCAGATTGCATTGCCTGCATTATGGTGTTAGTGTAGATATAGAGCCTTTGTTTTGCTGTTATTTATACAGACTACCTAGATGATTCAAGTAGGATTTTTTTTTTTAATTATACTTTAAGTTCTGGGTTACATGTGCAGAACTTGCAGTTTTGTTACATAGGTATACACGTGGCATGATGGTTTGCTGCACCCATCAACCTGTCACCTACATTAGGTATTTCTCCTAATGTTATCCCTCCCCTAGCCCCCCACCCCCCACAGGCCTCAGTGTGTGATATTCCCCTCCCTGTGTCCATGTGTTCTCATTGTTCAACTCCCACTTATGAGTGAGAACATGTGGTGTTTGGTTTTCTGATCTTGTGACAGTTTGCTGAGAATGATGGTTTCCAGCTTCATCCATGTCACTGCAAAGGACATGAACTCATCCTTTTTTGTGGCTGCATAGTATTCCAAGGTGTATATGTGCCACATTTTCTTAATCCAGTCTATCATCGATGAACATTTGGGTTGGTTCCACGTCTTTGCTATTGTGAATAGTGCCACAATAAACATACCTGTGTATGTGTCTTTATCCTAGAATGATTTATAATCCTTTGGGTATATACCCAGTAATGGGATTGGTGGGTCAAATGGTATTTCCAGTTCTAGGTCCTTGAGGAATCTCCACACTGTCTTCCACAATGGTTGAACTAATTTACACTCCCATCGACAGTGTAAAAGCATTCCTATTTTTCTGCAACCTCTCCAGCATCTGTTGTTTCTTGACTTTTTAATGATAGAGTTTTCTAAATATACAATCATGTCATCTGCAAACAGAGACAATTTGACTTCGTCTCTTCCATTTTGAATACCCTTCATCACTTTCTCTTGCCTGATTTGACTTCATCTCTTCCTATTTGAATACCCTTTATTGCTTTCTCTTGCCTGATTGCCCTGGCCAGAACTTCCAATACTATGTTGAGTAGGAGTGGTGAGAGAGGGCATCCTTGTCTTGTGCCGGTTTTCAAAGGGAATGCTTCCAGTTTTTGTCCATTCAGTATAATATTGGCTGTGAGTTTGTCATAAATCTCTCTTATTATGTTGAGATACATTCTATTGATACCTAGTTTATTGAGAGTTTTTAGCATGAAAGGCTGTTGAATTTTGTTGAAGGCCTTTTCTGTATCTATTGAAATAATCATGTGGTTTTTGTCATTGGTTCTGTTTATGTGATGGATTACATTTATTGATTTGTGTATGTTGAACCAGCCTTGCATCAGAGGGATGAAGCCCACTTGATCATGGCGGATAAGCTTTTTGATGTGCTGCTGGATTCGGTTTGCCAGAATTTTATTGAGGATTTTCACTTTAATGTTCATCAGGGATATTGGCCTAAAATTCTCTTTTTTTGTTGTGTCTCTGCGAGGCTTTGGTATCAGGATGATGCTGGCCTCATAAAATGAGTTAGGGAGGATTCCCTCTTTTTCTATTGATTGGAATAGTTTCAGAAGGAATGGTACCAGCTCCTCTTTGTACCTCTGGTAGAATTTGGCTGTGAATCCATCTGGTCCTGGACTTTTTTTGGTTGGTAGGCTATTGATTATTGCCTCAATTTCAGAACCTGTTATTGGTCTACTCAGAGATTCAACTTCTTTCTGGTTTAGTCTTGGGAGGGTGTATGTGTCCAGAAATTTATCCATTTCTTCTA
The DNA here is from genome assembly GCF_000001405.40 of Homo sapiens. Taxonomy (NCBI): domain Eukaryota; kingdom Metazoa; phylum Chordata; class Mammalia; order Primates; family Hominidae; genus Homo; species Homo sapiens. The sequence goes on from NC_000004.12 coordinate 119,252,500, forward strand.
CGTTTTCTAGTTTATTTGTGTAGAGGTATTTATAGTATTCTGTGATGGTAGTTTATATTCCTGTGGGATCGGTGGTGATATCCCTTTATGATTTTTTATTGCATTTATTTGATTCTGCTCTCTTTTCTTCTTTATTAGTTTTGCTAGTGGTCTGTCTATTTTCTTGATCTTTTCAAAAACCAGCTCCTGGAACCAGTGATTGTTTTGAAGGGTTTTTTTGTGTCTCTATCTCCTTCAGTTTTGCTCTGAACCTAGTTATTTCTTGTCTTCTGCTAGTTTTTGAATTTATTTGCTCTTGCTTCTCTTGTTCCTTTAATTATGATGTTAGGGTGTCAATTTTAGGTATCTCCTGCTTTCTCTCGTGGGCATTTCATGCTATAAATTTCCTTCCACACACTGCCTTAAATGTGTCCCAGAGATTTGGGTACATTGTGTCTTTGTTCTCATTGGTTTTAAAGAACATCTTTATTTCTGCCTTCATTTTGTTAGTTACCCAGTAGTCATTCTTGAGCAGGTTGTTCATTTTCCATCTAGTTGTGCGTATTTGAATGAGATTCTTAATCCTGATTTCTAATTTGGTTGCACTGTGGTCTGAGAGGCAGTTATTTCTGTTCTTTTACATTTGCTCGGGAGCGTTTTACTTCCAATTATGTGGTCGGTTTTAGATTAGGTGCTGCGAAGAATATATATTCTGTTGATTTGGGGTGTAGAGTTCTGTAGATGTCTATTAGGTCTGCTTGGTCCAGAACTGGGTTCAAGTCCTGGATATCCTTGTTAATTTTCTGTCTTGTTGATCTGCCTAATATTGACAGTGGGGTGTTAAAGTCTCCCATTATTATTGCGTGGGAGTCTAAGTCCCTTTGTAGAAATCTAAGGACTTGCTTCATGAATCTGGGTGCTCCTGTATTGGGTGCATGTATATTTAGGATAGTTAGCTCTTCTTATTGAATTGATCCCTTTACCATTATGTAATGGTCTTCTTTGTCTCTTTTGATCTTTGTTGGTTTAAAGCCTGTTTTATCAGAGACCAGGATTGCAACCCCTGCTTTTTTTTTGCTTTCCATTTGCTTGGTAGATCTTCCTCCATCCCTTTATTTTGAGTCTATGTGTGTCTCTGCACATGAGATGGGTCTCCTGAATACAGCACACTGATGGGTCTTGACTCTTTATCCAATTTGCCAGTCTATGTCTTTTAATTGGGGCCTTTAGCCCATTTACATTTAAGGTTAATATTGTTATGTGTGAATTTGATCCTGTCATTATGATGTTAGCTGGTTAATTTGCCTGTTAGTTGATGCAGTTTCTTCATAGCGTCAATGGTCTTTAAATTTGGCATGTTTTTACAGTGGCAGGTACCGGTTGTTCCTATCCATGTTTAGTGCTTCCTTCAGGAGCTCTTGAAAGGCAGGCCTGGTGGTGACAAAGTATCTCAGCATTTGCTTGTCTGTAAAGGATTTTATTTCTCCTTCACTTAGGAAGCTTAGTTTGGCTGGATATAAAATTCTGGGTTGAAAATTCTTTTCTTTAAGAATGTTGAATATTGGCCCCCACTCTCTTCTGGCTTGTAGAGTTTCTGCAGAGAAATCCACCGTTAGTCTGATGGGCTTCTCTTTGTGGGTAACCTGACCTTCCTCTCTGGCTGCCCTTAACATTTTTTCCTGCATTTCAATCTTGGTGAATCTGACAATTATGTGTCTTTTGGTTGCTCTTCTCAAGGAGTATCTTTGTGGTGTTCTCTGTATTTCCTGAATTTGAATGTTGGCCTGCCTTGTTAGAGGTTGGGGAAGTTCTCCTGGATAATATCCTGCAGAGTGTTTTCTAACTTGGTTCCATTCTCCCCATCACTTTCAGGTACACCAATCAAACATAGATTTGGTCTTTTCACATAGTCCCATATTTCTTGGAGGCTTCGTTAGTTTCTTTTCAGTCTTTTTTGTCTAATCTTGTCTTCTTGCTTTATTTCATTAATTAGATCTCCAATCACTGATATACTTTCTTCTGCATGATTGAATCGGCTACTGAAGCTTGTGTATGCTTCACGAAGTTCTCGTACTATGTTTTTCAGCTCCATCAGGTTATTTAAGGTCTTCTCTACACTGTTTATTCTAGTTAGCCATTTGTCTAACCTTTTTTCAAGGTTTTTAGCTCCCTTGCGATGGGTTAGAACATGCTCCTTTAGCTCGGAGAAGTTTGTTATTACTGACCTTCTGAAGCCTACTTCTGTCAACTCTTCAAACTCGTTCTCCGACCAGTTTTGTTACCTTGCAGGTGAGGGGTTGTATTCCTTGAAGGAGAAGAGACATTCTGGTTTTTGTAATTTTCAGCCTTTCTGCTCTGCTTTCTCCCCATCTTTGTGGTTTTATCTACCTTTGGTATTTGATGTTGGTGACCTACAGATGGTGTTTTGGTGTGGATGTCCTTTTTGTTGATGTTGATGCTATTCCTTTCTGTTTGTTAGTTTTCCTTCTAACAGACAGGCCCCTCAGCTGCAGGTCTGTTGGGGTTTGCTGGAGGTCCACTCCAGACCCTGTTTGCCTGGTTTTCACCAGTGGAGGCTGCACAACAGCAAATATTGCTGCCTGATCCTTCCTCTGGAAGCTTTGTCCCAGAGGGGCACCCGCCTGTATGAGGTGTCTGTTGGCCCCTAATGGGAGGTGTCTCCCAGTCAGGCTACACAGGGGTCAGGAATCCACTTGAGGAGGCAGTCTGTTCGTTATCGGAGCTCAAACGCCATGCTAGGAGAACCACTGCTCTCTTCAGAGCTGTCAGGCAGGGACATTTAAGTCTGCAGAAGCTGTCTGCTGCCTTTTGTTCAGATACGCCCTGCCCCTAGAGGTGGAATCTAGGGAGGCAGTAGGCCTTGCTGAGCTGTGGTGGGCTCTGCCCAGTTCAAGCTTCCCTGCTGCTTTGTTTACACCGTGAGCAGAGAACCAGCTACTCACTCCTCAGCAAGGGCAGACACCCCTCCCCTCAACCAACCTCCCGCATCCCAGGTTGATCTCAGACTGCTGTGCTAGCAGTGAGCAAGGCTCCGTGGGTGTCGGACCCGCTGAGCCAGGCACGGGAGGGGAACTCCTGGTCTGCTGGTTGGTAAGACCGTGGGAGAAGCTCAGTATTTCGGCAGGAGTGTATGGCTCCTCCAGGTACATTCACTCACAGCTTCCCTTGGCTAGGAAAGGGAAATCCCCTGACCCCTTGTGCTTCCTGGGTGAGGTGATGTCCTGCCCTGCTTTGGCTCGCCCTCCGTGGGCTGCACTCACTGTCCAACCAGTCCCAATGAGATGAACCAGGTACCTCAATTGGAAATGCAGAAATTACCTGTGTTCTGTGTCAGTCTCACTGGGAGCTGTAGACCGGAGCTGTTCCTATTCAGCCATCCAGGATTTTTTTTAAAGCTATCTGTTTTTTCTTCATTTGAGAATGTTGGGAACACAGGAAACTGTTTTCTAATATTAAATTGTAGATGTCAGTCACCATGGGTTTTTAGAAGGATTAAAAATAACTTTATTAAAGATCATGTTATAATGTTTGTTTAATTAAACAACATTTTCTTTCAAGCTAGTGCTATAAAAGGTGAATAATTGAACATTCGATCAAAGTGTTGATTAGAGAGGAAAGCTGAAAAGCTAACAATATGTATGACACTCTTAAATTTATACTTTGGATAATCTGCAGGTAAAGAGTTATATTTTGCTGTGTTCCCTGCAAGATCAACAACTCATTTATCTATTTTATTTTTAAATTAGGAAAATATGTTGGAGAGGATTCATTTTCACATAGTGCCAAGCAGAGATGCAGACATGTGTACCTCTAAATCTTGTATCACTCACCAGAAGTTTGCTATGACTCTGTATGAACAGGTGAGATGGCTTGATTATTATTTAGATATTGTAGTTCTGTTTTATGATTGATAGATTAAACATATGTTTTTACCTATATAGTGTGTGTGTCGTAGCTGTGGAGCATCGTCAGATCCTCTACCTTTTACAGAATTTGTGCGGTACATTTCTACAACAGCCTTATGGTAAGAACCTATTAAAGCTTAATTATCAACGATATTAATAACATATTTAAGCACATTGAGCACTTATTTTATAAAATCATAGCATACATGAATTTCCCCTCTCTGTCTGAGGCTACCAAGTATGCTGCTGTGAGATGTATTAAGTGATGTCTATCAAAGTTGGATGTTTGTAATTTGGCCTAATATATGTGTTACTTAGTGAAGTGTACATAATACTAGTTAAATTTTATATCTATTTAATTTATAACAAATTTTAGAACTGTGAAGGGGAGCATGAAATGATAAACTGAATGTTAAATGGAACTATACATGGTTGCTTCATTTATGAGATGTTCTGTTTGTAATGGCCATATTTTCAGTCAGCTCCACTATGTCCCTTTCTGGTGATAAAAGCTAGGGTAAGCGGAGAAGAAAGAAAAATGTGAGCGTAATTCTCAGGTTATTGCATTTGAGGACTCATCATTCACTTTAAATAAAAAATTTGCCATGCTTGCCTGCTCAGCTGCCCACTCACTCTCTCCCTTTCTGTCCATGAAAGATTAGCTCGTTAAGGATCTAAAAGTTATCCCTAGACCTTACATAATGTTCTTTGAATATTTTCCAACAGGTATTTGAAAGTATAAATATTTGGCATGTGGCTGGGCACAGTGGCTCATGCCTGTAATCCTAGTACATTGGGAGGCCAAGGCAGGTGGATCACCTGAGGTCAGGAGTTCAAGACCAGCCTGGCCAAGATGGTGTAACCCCGTCTCTACTAAAAATAAAAAATTAGCTGGGTGTGGTGGCGGGCACCTGTAATCCCAGCTCTTCCGGAGGCTGAGGCAGAGAATTGCTTGATCCTGGGAGGTGGAGGTTGCAGTGAGCTGAGATTGCGCCACTGCACTCCAGCCTGGGTGATAGAGCAAGATTACGTCTCACAAAACAGCAACAACAAAAAAGTTGGCATGTGGTAAACATTGAGTAAGATCATAAACATTTGCATACATTTTAATACAAAATACATAATATGGATCAATAATTATCAGTCAGAATATGTTAGTGCAACAGTTGATAAATGCTGCCAATATTTGTGTCAGTGTGCAAAGTAAATATCATGTTTATTCATTTCATATTATTTATCTTCCTGGCTTTATTGAGTATAAAATGTTATTTCATAAAGATTATTGAATAATAACAATTTCGTTATTTGGGTGTGTTTACTATCTTTCTTACATTTACAGACAAGTGAAAAACACTGATTTAGAGAAACATTCCTAAACTTCAGTCAAATTGTAGTCAGTCGTCAGTCATTTTTTTAAATTTCTATGAAAAGTAGGATGGTGTTCAAAGATAGACAATAAGTTAAAAACTAAAATTTTAATTCTACTTTAAAACTCTTGAATGAAATGACAGTGTTCTGAGGCAGAATGTTAGATAATAAGAATTACAGCCCCATCATTCTCTGCTTGGTAAACACTGCAAGTTGCAGGAGTGCACGCTTTGAATTCTAATTATAATATCCTTATTTGTATTGGTAATCAGTGTTGAATACCAGTTACTGAATGCTTACCATGTTCCAGGCTTTATGTTAAGTTGTTGCTTTTAATCTTAACCAAAATTCTATTTTGTTGATGAAGAAATAGGTTTAATGAGGTTAATCTAGTAAGTGGATGAATTAAGATTGAAACCCAGATCGGTCTGACTTCAAAATTTTTCTGGCTAACCACTACTCTAATGCTGTCAGTTTTGTAAAAGCAGTATATGCAATTTGAATGAGCTTATCAGATTTAGGGCTTTCTAGTGTACTCTTGAAGTGTTTGGATGGGTACATTTAGTTGTTACCAAATACTTGGAGATTATTTAAACTATTGAACTGTAAAATATATCCAGCTCTAGAATAGTTATATTACTGTTAAGTACAATCAGAACATCTAGAATGGAAACTAGTTAGTGTTTCAGCTTACATTACATTCCTTTTTGGAAATATTTAAATAGTTGTTTAAGTATTAGTCTGTTCTCATGCTGCTAATAAAGACATACTCAAGACTGGGTAATTTATAAAACAGAGAGGTTTAATTGACTCACAGTTCTATGTGGCTAAGTAGGCCTCACAGTCATGGCAGAAGGCAAGGAGGAGCAAAGTCACATCTTACATGGTGGCAGGCAAGAGAAGAGAATGAGAGTCAAGCAAAAGGTGTTTATCCTTATGAAACCATCAGATCTTGTGAGACTTATTCACTACCACCAGAACAGTATCGGGGAAACTGCTCCCATGATTCAGTTGTCTCCAGCTGGGTCCCTCCCACAACACGAAGGAATTTTGGGAGCTACAATTCAAGATGAGATTTGAGTGGGGACACAGCCAAACCATATTAGTTACTTAATACCCTGATACATAAAAATATGTCTTTTAAGGAGGTTGAATAAAAAGTATCACAGTTACCCTGTAGTGTATTAAAAGGCCTGCCTGGGCTCTAATAAAATGATTAGTATCCTGGCTGAGCTCAGTGGCTCACGCCTGTAATCCCAGCACTTTGAGAGTCCGAGGTGGTTGGATCACTTGAGGTCAGGAGTTCAAGACCAGCCTGAGGAACATGGTGAAACTCCATCTCTACTAGAAATACAAAAATTAGCCAGATGTGGTGGCACGTGCCTGTAATCCCAGCTCCTCAAGAGGCTGAGGCATGAGAATCACTTTAACCTGGGAGGTGGAGGTTGCGGTGAGCCAAGATTGCACCATTGCACTCCAGCCTGGGCGATAGAGTGAGACCCCATCTCAAAAAAAAAAAAAAAGGGGGGGGAGTAATATTCAAAATAAGAACAAAAGGAGTAAGTCTGGCTTTAAAATCTTTGGTTGTGACTTCTGCATTTAATCAGCAAAGGACCTTCTCCTAGCTGAAATTGATAACATTGCTCCTAGGAACTTTGGGCTAGAGAGGGAGCCTTTCCTACAGTTTGTTGTTCTTGTTAGGGTAGGGTTTAAACTTAAGTTTCTACTCATTAAGTAATAATACAAATAAAACATTTGCCTTAGAATTACCTCCAGACAGAGCATGTTAGCCTCATTTATCTAGTTCCAAACATATAATTTTGTGTTACTTTGTTTTCTTTATTTGAGCTAATTTTTTTCATTATATACTTGCCAAATTTAATAATTTTTCACTTTATGGAAATGTACTTTATGGTTAATTTTTCAGTCATGGTCATGTTTTAGATAGAAAAAGTGATGCACATCTAAACTGACAATATTTTTCATGTGTAATTTATTAAAGTTTTAAGTTCATAGGCCAGATTTGGGATTGCTTCTTTTTTTGTAGCAATGAGGTTGAAAGAATGTTGGAAAGGCATGAACGCTTTAAACCTGAAATGTTTGCAGAATTGCTACAAGCAGCAAATACAACAGATGACTATAGGAAATGTCCTGTAAGTATAGTTTGGAGAATATTAGTATGCTTCTTGTTTTGTAGATTTGAAAATAGGCATTCAGATATTATCATGTAAATATTGATTCTATATCTAGAATTAGCTTTAAGAATTTTTAAAAAATATTATTTTAGATTATACCATGTGTATCATTTATCTTAGCATAAATTGTTTAAAAACTCCTAAGTTTGTGAAGCATATATTGATTAAATTTTTTCAAAGTTCTGAAATTTATCATTTGATTACAGAGAAAGTTTCTTTTCAGTAAACTTGATGAATGATGAATGATACTCTTTTCTCATCTAATATATTTGTTACTGACTTCAAGAGTTTTATTTCTGCTTTTTTTTAGGTTGAATTCTTACTTTAACAGATTTACAAAATTATCAAAGAATACTTTTATTTAAAATAAACTTCTTTTTTAATCAATAATTAAGACAAACAGCTTGTTAGAAGTCAATTTTTAGTATACTGAATAAATTGCAGATATGTGTTAAAATTGTCATTATATAATGCAAACTGTGTAAGGCTGCCTGGTTTATCTGTTTTCATAATTTTAAAACTTTTATGTTTTTCTGTAGAGTAACTGTGGCCAAAAAATAAAAATTCGCCGTGTTTTAATGAATTGCCCAGAGATTGTTACAATTGGTTTAGTCTGGGACTCCGAGCATTCTGACTTGACCGAAGCTGTTGTTCGGAATCTAGCAACACATCTTTATCTTCCTGGGGTATCTTATCTATTTTCATTCCCTTCCCTTTTATTTTCAAATTCTTCTAAAACATCATCCTGATGTTTTATCTGATAACGACAAGTTTAATCAAATCAGGCTAACTGGAATGCCTTTACTACATAGACTAGGAATGGCTTTCAATTACAAACTAAACTGTCTCATGGCTTTTGCTTCTTTCACTCTAAAATCATGATGATTGATGATTTTTTATGTATGGCCATGATTGTAAATATAAATATTGTTAACTTAGAAAGGTTTAATATTTAAAATTCATCTAAAGCACTGATCTCTCTCTTTTTTTTTTTTTTTTTTTTTTTTTTTGCGGCAGAGTCTTGCTCTGTCACTCAGGCTGCAGTGCAGTGGTGCAATCTTGGCTCACTACAACCTCTGCCTCCCAGGCTCAAGCAATTTTCATGCTTCAGCCTCCCTAGTAGCTGGGATTACAGGCATGCACCACCATACCCAGCTAATTTTTTGTATTTTTAGTAGAGATGGGTTTCACCATGTTAGCCAGGCTGCTCTCGAACTCCTGGCCTCAAGTAGATCCACCTGCCTTGGCTTCCCAAAGTGCTGGGATTACAGGCGTGAGCCACCACACCCCGCCATGATCTCTTGTTATGCTTGTTACTTTCTTGGTATATTTTGATTTGGTTCATGTTACAATTAAAGTTTTGGATAATTATCTTTTAGATAATATGTTTAATGAACATTCAAATATGTGATTCAGTCAAGAATTACCAGAAATGTGGAATTTATCTCATATTTTGAATTTCTTTATGAAAAGTGTCAGTCATGTGTCATTAGAGATACTCTATTATTGCTAAACTAATTTGTAGTGAATTCGTTTTATTGGACTTAAAGTTTTATGAATGAATTAAAAGTGGTAATTCTGTTAACAATGTGATGTCAGTGGTGCCTTCAAGTAATAATATAATATTAGATTGGGGCAGTATGCATGAGAAATATTTCATTATGTGTCAAAGACATGATTCATCTAATTATTCCTCATTTTACAAAAGATGTAGTGTTAAGTGTACATTACCAATTTTTTTAAACAGCTTTTTTATAGAGTTACTGATGAAAATGCCAAAAATAGTGAACTTAACCTTGTTGGTATGATCTGCTACACCAGCCAACATTATTGTGCCTTTGCATTTCACACCAAAAGTTCCAAATGGGTATTTTTTGATGATGCAAATGTGAAAGAGGTAAGTGACACTTTCTTTAATTGAAATAATTACTGTGATTTTTACTTTTTGTTAATAAATGATATATTGATATTAATATTCAAAAGGATGATATAATTAATATGTAAAATAGTAATAAATGAACATGATGATAGCATCAGTAAGTTCAAACTTTCTTTTGTTATTCTTGAAATTGGCTTATTTTGAAGCCAGCTTTTAAACCAGTCCATTTCCAGAATAATAATAAGTAAACTAATGAATATTAGTATACAAATATGTAACTATCAGTGATCTGTGTGTCAGTGATGATCCTTTTTGCCTGACGCATACTTGCTATATTTACTTTTTTGTGGATGATTCACAGTAGTTTTGTATAACTAGTGATGAAAATATGCTTGCCTTTATTTTTATTATGACAATTTTTTTCAAATTTTGTGTGTAGAATACAGAAATAGATATATCAGTTATATCTTTTGGTAATTACAGTTGACCCTTGAACAACATAGGAGTGCCAAGCCCTCTGTGCAGTTGAAAACCCACATACCACTTTCGACTCCCTCAAAACTTAACTGCCAACAGCCTACTATTGACAGGCAGCCTTACCAAAAACATAAACAGTCAATTAACACATATTCTGTATGTTCTATATATTATATACTGTACTCTTACAGTAAAGTAAGCAAGAAAAAAAGTTACTTAGAAAATTATAAGCAAAAGAAAATATATTTACCACTCACTAAGTGGAAATGGATCATCATAAAGGTCTTCATCCTTGCTGTCTTCACGCTGAGTAGACTGAAGAGGAGGAAAAGGAAGATTGCTTTTGCTGTCTTGGGTGACAGAGGCAGAAGAAAATTCACATATAAGTGAACCTGTGCAGTTCAAACCTGTGTTGTTCAAGGGCCAACTGTAATTTGTTTACTCAAATAGTAATAATATTGTCTAGAAAAGTAGTGAATAGTAGTTCTTAATAAGGAGTATTGGAATCACGAGGAGCTTTTAAAAAAACATATATTCCTGGATTCCTAAAGTTTTGATTCAGTGGTGTAAAGCCAGGTATCTGAAATTTTAAGTTCTACAGGAAATTCAGACATAACACAGTTGAAAATTATTGGTCTTGTCAAGGCTTACTGGCTTTGGCAATCTTTATTAAGTAGTAAACTCATTTAAAAATACAAGTTCTTTGGTTGTTATAAGCAAATGATGTAGAATTCTATTTAGTTCCATTTTATTAATATATAACAAAAGGCCATTTATCAGCACTGTGATTAAGACAATACAAATTCAAATGTTTGGTATTTAGTGGACTTCTGATTCTACCCATGAAGGATTAACTGCTATAGAAATAGCCATTTCACTGTTTAAAACTAGGACATAGGTGAAACAACTCAAGACATTGAACAACATGCAGTTGAACAGAGAAAAGGGAAACAAATGAGTTCAGCTCTATAATTACCCCCTGCTTACTGCCTAGAGGTAGTTTCTGGGTTGCAGTGCAGGCAGTGGGAGCCCAAACAAAGCCTAGTAGTGTCACTGAGTTCTGGAGACTGAAACTGGAGTTCAGGGAGGCCTAGATGGCTAAAATTTGCAGGACAGAATACTAGAAAGAAAACTGTACAGGGAAAAAGTTCTGGAAATTGACAGAAGGGTTCCTTGGAATTTTTGGCTAAATTGTGATTTGTGCATGTGAGGGGTGAACCCACACAAGTTTGGGGTTAGTTGGGAAAGATGGGAAGCATCACTGGAAAACAAAAGGTAAAACAATTCTCAAAAATCATACAAGGTTAGTAATAGTTTGTATCCCCACCATAAAGAGTGGAGAGATGATATAACATGTAGGCATTAGCTGGAACCTTCAGAAAAGTATTACCTTGATAATGGGGCTAAGTTATTCCTAGGCTGAAGGTTGCTCTGGACCTGATATTAAAAAGCTTAAAACAAGGCCGGGCTGGTCACGGGGGCTCATGCCTATAATCCCAGCACTTTGGGAGGCCAAAGTGGGCAGATCACGAGGTCAAGAGATCAAGAGCATCCTGCCCAACATGGTGAAACCCCGTCTCTTCTAAAAATACAAAATTTAGCATAGTGGCACCCACCTGTAGTCCCAGCTACTCAGGAGGCTGAGGCAGGAGAATTGCTTGAACCTAGGAGGCAGAGGTTGCAGTGAGCCGAGATCGCGCCACTGCACTTCAGCCTGGTGACAGAGTGAGACTCCGTCTCAAAACAAACAAACAAAAAAAGCTTAAAGTCTTGAAAGTTCAAAGCTAATCCCACTTTTAAAATAACAGAACAAAATTCAATACCCAAGACTACAAAGTTCAATGAAATTCAATATGCCACTTCAAAATAGCATTCAATAAAAAATTACCAAATATTCAAAGAACCTGAAGAAAAATTAATAAAAACAGACCAGAAATGACTGAGATGGGACTATCAGGGGAGGATAGTAAAACTACTATTTATATATAGGGATTTCTTAGATAACATTTAATAAGCATGAACCATAAAAATAGCTGGTAAATTAGACTTCATTGAAAGTTAAAATTTTTGTTCTTCAGTAAGATACTATTAGGAGAATAAAATGACAAACCGTATACTGAGAGAAAATATTTGTGAAGCATTTATCTAATAAAGACTGTATCCAGAATATTGAAAGAACTCTTAAAATCCAATTAAAAAATCAGCAAAAAATGTTGACAGTTCACCAATGAATATACATGAATGGCCCTTGAAATGATATTCAGTACATCATTAGCCACAATGGAAATACAAATTTAATTCATAATGAGATTCTAGTACTCATCTGTTGTAATGGCCAAAATTAAAAAGACCAGTAGTTGGTGAGGATAGGAACAGCTGGATCTCTCACACAAGGTTGATGGAACCACAAAATTGAACATTCACTTTCAAAACTGTCAGTTTCTTATAAATTTAAACATATATTTTCCATATAACCCAGCAAATCCACTCCTGTGAAAATGTAAGTCCATGTAAAACGTGTACTTGAATGTTCATGGTAGTTTTCATAATGCCCAAACTAGAAATGACTCAAATGTCAGCAATTGGTGAATGGATGAACAAATTGTGGTATAGCTATACAGTGGAATATAATACTCAGCAAGAAGGACTGAACTATTGAACTGACACATGCAATAATGTGAAAAAATCTCAGAAGCATTATGCTAAGAAGTGAGATATAAATGACTACATGCTATGATTCCATTTATATGAAATTCTAGAAGGAAAAACAAAGGTGTGGAGGGTAGATCACTCATTTCCAGGGACTGCAAAATGGGGTACAAGGTAAGATTTTGGGGTGAGGATTACACAATTGTATTGTCAAAACTCAATGACTTGTACACTGTAACTAGATAATTTTACTTCATATAGTACAACTCAATAAAGCTATTAAAATTTTTTGGTATTTATATTTAAAATCAGCACTTTGCTTGAATTACTTAGTACTTTGATGTAGGAGTTTATTAAGTTTCATCTTGAGTTGATGTGTAACAACATTTGCAGCTTCTACTTTGCTTTTACATAGTTTAAATTGTTCAAAATTTGGAGGAAGAACTGGCTGTATTAATCACCCTGTGAAGTTTTTTATTTTATATTCACATTGACTCCTCAAAGCCTGGCCAACATGGTGAAACTCTGTCTCTACTAAAAATACCAAAATTAGCCAGGTGTGGTGGCACATGCCTGTAATCCCAGCTACTCAGGAGATGGAGTCATGAGAATCCCCTGAACCTGGGAGGTGGAGGTTGCAGTGAGCCGAGACCGTGCCACTGAACTCCAGCCTGGGCGACTGTGAGACCTTTTCTCAAAACAACAACAACAACAACAACAACAACAAAACAAATGGACTCCTCAAGTCTCTTGGAATCCCCAGTGAGGAGGGTAAACAGCTGAATATGTGTAGTTCAAAAAAGCTCATCAGAATTGTTCTTAAAAGTCCCCTTGCCTGCAAAAATATTCTAGAATGCTTTGTGGTGTTTTTGTTTGGTTGGTTTTGTTTTGCTTTTAAATCAATTTTATAGAGGTATAGTGCACAAACATTAAAATACACCCATTTTAAGTGTACAGTTGGAGTTTTGATAAATGTATTTACCTATGTAACTACCATAATCAGTACACAGAACATGTTCATCTGCTAGAAAAATTCTGTCAGGCTTCTTTGTTGTCATACTCCCCACACCACCCCAGGATGAGGAAATCACTGGTCTCATTATAGATTAGTTTCACTCATTCTACAATTTTATATAAATGGTCTCTTACAGTATGTACTACTGTGTATCTGCCTCCCTTCCTTTAGCATAATGTCTTTAAGATTCATTCATGTTGTTTGGATTCACACTTTATTTTTATTGTGTGTTTTATGGCTGTACAACAATTTATCCGTTTACCTGTTGAAGTATGAGTAATCTGTGAACATATTTTTTTCCGTTGCTGTTAGATAATACCTTGAAGTGGGATTTCTGGGTTGTGTGGTAAGTGTCTGTTTAACTTTACAAGAAACTGTCAAATTGATTTCCAAAGTGGTTATACCAATTTGCATTTTATGAGAGCAATGTATGAGAGTTCCTGTTGTTCCACATTCTCAGCAGCACTTCGTGTTGGTATTCTTTTTAATGTTAGCCCTTCTCGTGTATGTATAATATTATCTCACTGTGGTTTTCATTTGCATTTCCCTTGTCATTGGTAATATTTTGAGCATCTTTTCATGTGCTTGTTTGACCATTCTTACATCTTTCTTTTGGTGAAATGTCCAATTTTTTGCCAGTATTTCGCATTGGATTATCTTCTTATTAATGTGTTGTAGGAATTCTTTATTCTGCATACCAGTCCTTTATTAGCTGTATGTTGCTTATTTTTTTTCAATTTCTTAATGGTGTCTTTCCAAGAGCAAAAGTTATTAATTAATTTAGATTAAGTCCATTTTAAAAATATTTTTCTTCTATGGTTTGGTATGCTAAGAAATCTGCCCTTCCCCAAGGTTGCAAAGATTTTCTCTTTTGTTTTCTTCTGTAAGTTTTAGTTTTTGTGTGAGCCATTCTGAGTTCATTTTTTTGTTGTTGTTTTATATGAAGTCAGGTTAAAGTTATTTTTCTCATGGTAAAAGTTCTTTTTCTCCAGTTGTAGCACCATTTGTTGAGCTGACTCTTATATTTCTCCATTGAATTGTCTTGAAGTCTTTGTCAAATGTCAGTCAACCACATATTTGGAAAGCTTTTTAAAATTTAATCACCTTGAAGTTTATAATCTTTGCCCGTCAAATTTTTAAAAGATAATGTTTAAAATATTTTTATTTAGACTAGTTACTAAATACAGTTAATTATATGATACATACTTGAACTACTAGCAGCTGCATATCTAAATTTTTTAAAAATATAAAGTAACTCAGAGTCTGTCTTTTCATGTAACACATTGATTACAAGGTTTTGTTTTGTCTTTATTCATTGTGTTTTTTTAAAAGATTGGAACTAGATGGAAAGATGTTGTCTCCAAATGCATTCGATGCCACTTTCAGCCACTACTTTTGTTTTATGCAAACCCAGATGGCACAGCAGTTTCTACTGAGGATGCACTCAGGCAGGTCATCAGCTGGTCACATTACAAATCTGTTGCAGAAAATATGGGTAATTCTTTCTTTTAAAAATTCTCAATGTTTTTCTATTATCACAGTCAACTAGGAATACTAGTACTCTGAATATAAAATGAATATAGAGGATAATTTCAAATTTGACTTTCAGTAGAGCTGAGGAAATTTTAGTAATTTTTGTTAGTATTTTGGAATGAACCTTTTCTCATCGGTGGCCTCAGAAGCACCTTCAGGAGTTACCCACTATTATGGTCACACAATCACAGAAGAGGCTTCATTAGTAGCTCTTTCTAGAAGTACATTTTAAGTGATTTAGTAAACTGGAAAAGTCCGAAACAGCTAGGTCATTTTTGGATGCATTATAAAGCAATTCAAAATTCTTAAATGATGTCAATCCGCTTAAGTTTTAAGTAACTTTTTTTACAGTTAAAAATAATCTGGGCCGGGCGCGGTGGCTCACGCCTGTAATCCCAATGCTTTGGGAGGCCGAGGCGGGTGGATCATGAGGTCAGGAGATCGAGACCATCCTGGCTAACAAGGTGAAACCCCGTCTCTACTAAAAATACAAAAAATTGGCCGGGCGCGGTGGCGGGCGCCTGTAGTCCCAGCTACTCGGGAGGCTGAGGCAGCAGAATGGCGTGAACCCGGGAGGCGGAGCTTGCAGTGAGCCGAGATTGCGCCACTGCAGTCCGCAGTCCGGCCTGGGCGACAGAGCGAGACTCCGTCTCAAAAAAAAAAAAAAAAAAAATCTGAAAAAAATGATTCAAACATCTCTTCTCATGGGAAGGAAAGGAATGATACATTTTTGCTTCTCTTTTTAAGGATGTGAAAAGCCTGTAATTCATAAGTCAGATAATTTAAAAGAAAATGGATTTGGTGATCAGGCAAAGCAGAGAGAAAATCAGAAATTTCCAACTGATAATATTTCATCATCTAATCGGAGCCACAGTCACACAGGTGTAGGGAAAGGACCAGGTATGTGTTTAAATTGTCATTTTTACATAGTTCCAAGTGAGTGTCCTCCTTTCTTCACTTATCGGAGGATGCTTACCTAGCTTTCCTTGGCTGTGAAAAGATAATAACAAATAGATAACAAAATTCGTCTTTTGATTTATGCATTTCTCTGAGAGCTGTAGTTTTACCTGACCAGTTTGATTCCATGAGTTGTTTGAGTTTCTTCATGCACTCAGACTGTGGTAGGCCTGAGGCAATCTGGACAGTTACCAAATAAAGCAATAATGTGGCATTTCATTCAAGGAGTTAATTATCAGCTTGGAGCAGAAAAACATGAGTTAGTAATTTGGCATAAATGCCAAAATTAAATTTACTGGTAGTGAATGCAACAGCAGTTCAAAGTTACTATTGCTGTAGTTTGTTCTTAACCTCGTTTTTATTCAACTCTGTCTTGTTACTGTTATCCCATAACTAATTTTTACAAGCCAGGTTCTGTAACTTGGGTCCAGAATGAAACCTCACAATACTGTGTACCATTACAGTTTAGAAATACATCTAACTCTTGTGTGGATGTTCAGGATGATTTTGTTAGCAACCTTTAAACATATTAATGAAATAATGTGTAATCATAAAAGTAACTCATTTAATCAAGGGTAGTAAGATTGAGAATTAACAGTTATCCACAAAAAACTAAAATAAAGGCTTTTTAAAAATTCTTAATGAAGCTGTATCTCTTTTCCTTTCACAGATTATTGATACTCTTAGATTCAGACATTTTATGTTTTTCAAAAGACACCTAGTTTTAAGCCCAGAAATAGTATATATGTGTGTAAGAATAGAAGCATTGGAACAAGACAACTTGGGTTCATATTCCTGGTTCTAGACTTACAAACTTTGTGAACTTGGGCAAATTTCTAATTTCTCTCTGCCTCAGTTTCCTTACCCAAAATAGAGACAGTAATTGTACCTCAAAGAAGTAAATGAGTAAGACAACTGGCAAATAGTGACCATTCAGTTACCTTTAGCTCTTATTATTTTAATGGCAGATCTCTTTCTTTTTTTATACTTGTTTTAGGGGCTATACAAGGAGTTTTAAAATACAACATGCATCTCCAGTGTCAAGAAAAATCACATCTAGTTTTTAATCATAAAAATACCATTGTATACTATATATCTACATATCTATGCTCTTTTTAAATATATCTTAACATTTTTATATAGATCAATTTTTATTTTTATTGGGCAATTTGAAAAATGATCTGTATCATAGTAAGAATGATTTCTTTTACAGCTAAGTTAAGTCACATTGATCAAAGGGAAAAGATAAAAGACATTTCCAGAGAATGTGCTCTGAAAGCTATTGAACAGAAAAACTTACTTTCTTCACAAAGGAAAGATTTAGAGAAGGGACAAAGAAAAGATTTAGGACGACATAGAGGTAAGTTAAGATCTTGTACTATTGATTTTAAAAGGAACTTCTAAAAATCTTATTTTAAAACTGAATTTTATAACTTTAATTTCTGTATATGTTAAATAATATATATTAAAAATACATAAATATATAAGTTAAATATATATACCTATATCTAATATAGAAATATATAAATTACATATATTTCTGTATATGTATAAATATATAAATTATATATAATTTATATAGTTTATATATAGAAATTAAATTATATTAAAGTTATTTTTAATAACTTTATTTTGAAGAGGTGAGAGTTCACTCTTGTCCAGCCTAGAGTGCAGTGACACAATCATAGCTCTCTGCAGTCTTGAACTCCTGGGTTCAAGCTCTCCTCACGTCTTAGCCTCCTGAGTAGCTAGGACTACAGGCACATGCCACCACACCTGGCTAAATTTTAAAAAGTTATTTGTAGAGATAGGGTCTTGCCATGTTGCTCAGAGTGGTCTTGAACTGCTGGCCTCAAACGATCCTCTTACCTCAGCCTCCCAAAGTGCTGGGATTACAGGGGTACCCAGACCTATTATATTTTATATATTTATTAATATGAGTTCTTTAATACACCTATACTAAATCTAAATATGCAAAATATCCTGGTTTGTTCTTAATTCTAACCTGGGATACTTGTATATATGTGTTTCGATGTTTTAACTTACTTACAGATATAATTCACTCATGGCACATTCAAGTAATAAGGAAGTTTATAAAATTAAGTGAAGGGACTCCTTTTCTGGCAATCCCTGACCTTCCCCCTCTTTACTTAGTATTTCCATTTCCACATTATAAGCATGTCTCTTTATGGTTCTATGCTTTTTTCTTTATGGACAGAGCATAATTTAACTGATAGTGATAGACTTTACAGGCTGATTTAAGATTTTTGCTTCAGCAACATCTTTTTTCACACATACCTTTATACGTTTTTGCCTAGAGCCATAGCATAAAATTCCTTCAGAGGAATTTCTGGGTCAGGATATGTTTACTTTTAATTTTGACAGATGTGGCTCAGTTGCCCTCTTGAAAGACTGAACTAGTCTGCACTCCCACCAACAATGATTGGATGTCTGTTTGTTCACACTCTCAGCAACAATTGGTTTAACAAACTTTTAAATCTTTACCAATATAAGAAGTGGAAAATATTTTTATGATTTTTGTTATGAGTGAGATAGAGTGCTTATTTTTTTAAAAACTGCCTCAATTATGATCTACCTTAGAGATCATTTTTTGAAGTTTCTTTTACAAATACCCCTCATTAAGCATACACAAGGACTGGAAAATCACTTTTTAATCTCAAAGCAGTATGTGATATGTACTTGTAATTACTATTTACCTAAAACTCTTTAACATTTTATCTCTAACAGGTATTTGCCTTGTGACTACAAGGTGGCTCTGAGGAGTAATTCATGTGTATCTTTAATTTTTTTTTTTAAGATTTGGTTGATGAAGACCTTTCACATTTCCAATCTGGATCACCTCCTGCCCCAAATGGTTTTAAACAACATGGGAATCCACATCTATATCATAGTCAAGGAAAAGGATCATATAAACATGACCGAGTTGTACCTCAGAGTCGAGCTTCTGCACAAATAATAAGTTCAAGTAAATCCCAGATTCTTGCTCCAGGAGAGAAAATAACTGGCAAAGTTAAGAGTGACAATGGCACTGGATATGACACAGACAGCAGCCAAGATTCTAGGGATAGAGGAAACAGCTGTGATAGCAGCAGTAAAAGCCGGAACCGAGGTTGGAAACCTATGAGAGAAACATTAAATGTTGATAGTATTTTTAGTGAAAGTGAAAAAAGACAGCATAGTCCAAGACATAAACCAAATATCAGTAATAAGCCTAAATCTAGCAAGGATCCGAGTTTTAGTAATTGGCCAAAAGAGAATCCAAAGCAAAAAGGTTTAATGACCATATATGAAGATGAAATGAAGCAGGAAATAGGAAGCAGAAGTTCCCTTGAATCTAATGGAAAAGGAGCAGAGAAAAATAAAGGCCTTGTAGAGGGTAAAGTGCATGGTGATAATTGGCAGATGCAAAGGACTGAGTCTGGATATGAAAGCAGTGATCACATCAGTAATGGTTCTACTAATTTGGACTCACCTGTTATCGATGGAAATGGTACAGTAATGGATATCAGTGGTGTTAAAGAAACAGTATGCTTCAGGTAATGTAAAAGTTGAGTGAATCATTTTTCCATCACTCTTCTTTTTTGTTAATTGCATGAAGTAATTTTTGAAGTTTGGGGTCAATTAAATAGAACAGAAACAGCATGAGCTGTTTTAAAGAGCTTTAAAAAGTTTGTTTCTTTTAAACACAAGTATGTTTCTGTAAAGAAACCTAGGATATTGTAGTTTATTTGATATTTTAGATTTCCATTTTGAATAGTTATTTCCTGATTCCAAAAATAGCAGCTTTTTATTTTTAGAAAATTTGGAAAGTACAGAAGTTTATTATCATTGTTGTGTCACTGTCAACAATTGATTGGTTTTAAAGCACAGACTTCAATTGGTATCATCTAAGTCATTAAGGTGGTTGTTTAATTCTTCTTTTTTTGGTGGGAGGGGAAGGAGTCTCACTCTGTTGCCCAGGCTGGAGTGCAGTGGCGCAATTACGGGTCACTGCAACCTCCGCCTCCCAGGTTCAAGCGATTCTCCTGCCTTAACTTCCCAAGTAGCTGGGACTACAGACACGCACCACCACGCCTGGCTAATTTTTGTATTTTTAGAGACGGGGTTTCCCCAGGCTACTCTTGAACTCCCAACCTCAGGTGATCCACCTGCCTTGGCCTCCCAAAGTGCTGGGATTACAGGCCTGAGCCACTATGCCCAGGCTGTTGTTTAATTCTTCAATCTATATAATGTTTATAATCCCATCTCTAACATTTGTAACTCAGAACTGAAGCTAGTTTTTACTGTCACACTCATTCTCATGGAAGAGATATTTTCCCTTTAGCAAATATAAAAAAAATCAGCCAAATAACTTTGTGTTCGATTAATTCTAAATACATTTATTATATTACTGTTTAATCCTTCTAACAATGTGTTTGTTTGATATTAGCTGATATTTGACCACATTTGTTATTAAAAGGTAGATTTGCAAAAATCAACTGCTCATGTTTTATGAAAATGCTTGTTTCAATAAAGACTTAAGGAAAGGGCCAGGTGTAGTGTTTACACACCTGTAATCACAGCACCTTGGGAGGCTGAGGCAGGAGGATTGCTTGAGCCCAGGAGTTCAATACTAGCCTGAGCAACATGGAAAGATCTCATCATCTCTAGGAAACAGTTTTAAAATATTAGCCAGGTATTGTGGCATATGCCTGTGGTCCCAGCTACTTGGGAGGCTGAGGTGGGAGGATTTTTGAGCCCAGGAGGTCGAGGCTGCAGTGAACCATGTTTGTACCACTGCACTCCATCCTGGGCAAAAGAGCAAAAGGTCCTGGCTCAAAAAAAAAAAAAAAGACTTGACAAGGTAATTTTATAATTCTTCTTGGAATGGAGTAGCCTAGGGTAGTAGAAAGATCAGGACTTTATAACCAGATAGACTTAGATTTTAATTATTGGGCAAATTAATTTGACTTTTACAGTCTTTATCTTCTGTAAAATGAAGATAACAACTACTTTTAAGTATTAAATAATGTACATTAAGCCCTAGAACAGCACATGGCATATAATAAATGTTTAACAAATGTTGTTTTTTTTTAGACTAAACAAAGGCAGTCCATAATACCTGATGTGTTTAGTGTGTATTTTATTTTCTAGTGACCAGATTACGACAAGCAACCTAAATAAAGAACGTGGGGACTGTACCTCCCTTCAGAGCCAACATCACTTAGAAGGTAAAAAACTTATTTGAATATAATAGTTGCTGTAAAAAATGAATTATAGTAATTTATTGTTTGCTATTATGTATCTGAGAGAAAATCCTATATGACTATAAAAATTATTTTTAAATAACCCTAAAATATCAATAAACAAGTTTTATTAAGTTAATATATGTTTTAATGAAGTACATGTGGAAAGAAGGAAATCAGCATTCTTTTTTGTATTGTATTGTCATACAAAAGAAAGCATGCTATACTTTCCACATTGACTTCACAAAGTGTTAATAATGGTTTTGTATCTTACTTTTTATTTGATTGGATAACTATTGCTTTTGAAGTTTGCAGCCTTTTTTTTTTTTCTTGGTCCTCTTGTTTTATTTTTTTATTATTATTTTTTATTTATTTATTTATTTTTTTATTATACTTTAAGTTTTAGGGTACATGTGCACATTGTGCAGGTTAGTTACATATGTATACATGTGCCATGCTGGTGCGCTGCACCACTAACTCGTCATCTAGCATTAGGTATATCTCCCAGTGCTATCCCTCCCCCCTCCCCCCACCCCACCGCAGTCCCCAGAGTGTGATATTCCCTTTCCTGTGTCCATGTGATCTCATTGTTCAATTCCCACCTATGAGTGAGAATATGCCGTGTTTGGTTTTCTGTTCTTGAGATAGTTTACTGAGAATGATGATTTCCAATTTCATCCATGTCCCTACAAAGGACACGAACTCATCATTTTTTATGGCTGCATAGTATTCCATGGTGTATATGTGCCACATTTTCTTAATCCAGTCTATCATTGTTGGACATTGGGTTGGTTCCAAGTCTTTGCTATTGTGAATAATGCCGCAATAAACATACGTGTACATGTGTCTTTATAGCAGCATGATTTATAGTCATTTGGGTATATACCCAGTAATGGGATGGCTGGGTCAAATGGTATTTCTAGTTCTAGATCCCTGAGGAATCGCCACACTGACTTCCACAAGGGTTGAACTAGTTTACAGTCCCACCAACAGTGTAAAAGTGTTCCTATTTCTCCACATCCTCTCCAGCACCTGTTGTTTCCTGACTTTTTAATGATCACCATTCTAACTGGTGTGAGATGGTATCTCATTGTGGTTTTGATTTGCATTTCTCTGATGGCCAGTGATGATGAGCATTTTTTCATGTGTTTTTTGGCTGCATAAATGTCTTCTTTTGAGAAGTGTCTGTTCATGTCCTTTGCCCACTTTTTGATGGGGTTGTTTGTTTTTTTCTTGTAAATTTGTTTGAGTTCATTGTAGATTCTGGATATTAGCCCTTTGTCAGATGAGTAGGTTGCGAAAATTTTCTCCCATTTTGTAGGTTGCCTGTTCACTCTGATGGTAGTTTCTTTTGCTGTGCAGAAGCTCTTTAGTTTAATTAGATCCCATTTGTCAATTTTGGCTTTTGTTGCCATTGCTTTTGGTGTTTTGGACATGAAGTCCTTGCCCATGCCTATGTCCTGAATGGTAATGCCTAGGTTTTCTTCTAGGGTTTTTATGGTTTTAGGTCTAACGTTTAAATCTTTAATCCATCTTGAATTGATTTTTGTATAAGGTGTAAGGAAGGGATCCAGTTTCAGCTTTCTCCATATGGCTAGCCAGTTTTCCCAGCACCATTTGTTAAATAGGGAATCCTTTCCCCATTGCTTGTTTTTCTCAGGTTTGTCAAAGATCAGATAGTTCTAGATATGTGGCGTTATTTCTGAGGGCTCTGTTCTGTTCCATTGATCTATATCTCTGTTTTGGTACCAGTACCATGCTGTTTTGGTTACTGTAGCCTTGTAGTATAGTTTGAAGTCAGGTAGTGTGATGCCTCCAGCTTTGTTCTTTTGGCTTAGGATTGACTTGGCGATGCGGGCTCTTTTTTGGTTCCATATGAACTTTCAAGTAGTTTTTTCCAATTCTGTGAAGAAAGTCATTGGTAGCTTGATGGGGATAGCATTGAATCTGTAAA
The DNA here is from genome assembly GCF_000001405.40 of Homo sapiens. Taxonomy (NCBI): domain Eukaryota; kingdom Metazoa; phylum Chordata; class Mammalia; order Primates; family Hominidae; genus Homo; species Homo sapiens. The sequence goes on from NC_000004.12 coordinate 119,275,678, forward strand.
TTACCTTGGGCAGTATGGCCATTTTCACGATATTGATTCTTCCTACCCATGAGCATGGAATGTTCTTTCATTTGTTTGTATCCTCTTTTATTTCCTTGAGCAGCGGTTTGTAGTTCTTCTTGAAGAGGTCCTTCACATCCCTTGTAAGTTGGATTCCTAGGTATTTTATTCTCTTTGAAGCAGTTGTGAATGGGAGTTCACTCACGATTTGGCTCTCTGTTTGTCTGTTGTTGGTGTATAAGAATGCTTGTGATTTTTGTACATTGATTTTGTATCCTGAGACTTTGCTGAAGTTGCTTATCAGCTTAAGGAGATTTTGGGCTGAGACAATGGGGTTTTCTAGATATACAATCATGTCGTCTGCAAACAGGGACAATTTGACTTCCTCGTTTCCTAATTGAATACCCTTTATTTCCTTCTCCTGCCTAATTGTCCTGGCCAGAACTTCCAACACTATGTTGAATAGGAGTGGTGAGAGAGGGCATCCCTGTCTTGTGCCAGTTTTCAAAGGGAATGCTTCCAGTTTTTGCCCATTCAGTATGATATTGGCTGTGGGTTTGTCATAGATAGCTCTTATTATTTTGAAATACGTCCCATCAATACCTAATTTATTGAGAGTTTTTAGCATGAAGCATTGTTGAATTTTGTCAAAGGCTTTTTCTGCATCTATTGAGATAATCATGTGGTTTTTGTCTTTGGCTCTGTTTATATGCTGGATTACATTTATTGATTTGCGTGTATTGAACCAGCCTTGCATCCCAGGGATGAAGCCCACTTGATCATGGTGGATAAGCTTTTTGATGTGCTGCTGGATTTGTTTTGCCAGTATTTTATTGAGGATTTTAGCATCAATGTTCATCAAGGATATTGGTCTAAAATTCTCTTTTTTGGTTGTGTCTCTGCCCGGCTTTGGTATCAGAATGATGCTGGCCTCATAAAATGAGTTAGGGAGGATTCCCTCTTTTTCTATTGATTGGAATAGTTTCAGAAGGAATGGTACCAGTTCCTCCTTGTACCTCTGGTAGAATTCAGCTGTGAATCCATCTGGTCCTGGACTCTTTTTGGTTGGTAAACTATCGATTATTGCCACAATTTCAGCTCCTGTTATTGGTCTATTCAGAGATTCAACTTCTTCCTGGTTTAGTCTTGGGAGAGTGTATGTGTTGAGGAATTTATCCATTTCTTCTAGATTTTCTAGTTTATTTGCGTAGAGGTGTTTGTAGTATTCTCTGATGGTAGTTTGTATTTCTGTGGGATCGGTGGTGATATCCCCTTTATCATTTTTTATTGTGTCTATTTGATTCTTCTCTCTTTTTTTCTTTATTAGTCTTGCTAGTGGTCTATCAATTTTGTTGATCCTTTCAAAAAACCAGCTCCTGGATTCATTGATTTTTTGAAGGTTTTTTTGTGTCTCTATTTCCTTCAGTTCTGCTCTGATTTTAGTTATTTCTTGCCTTCTGCTAGCTTTTGAATGTGTTTGCTCTTGCTTTTCTAGTTCTTTTAATTGTGATGTTAGGGTGTCAATTTTGGATCTTTCCTGCTTTCTCTTGTGGGCATTTAGTGCTATAAATTTCCCTCTACACACTGCTTTGAATGCGTCCCAGAGATTCTGGTATGTTGTGTCTTTGTTCTCGTTGGTTTCAAAGAACATCTTTATTTCTGCCTTCATTTCGTTATGTACCCAGTAGTCATTCAGGAGCAGGTTGTTCAGTTTCCATGTAGTTGAGCGGCTTTGAGTGAGATTCTTAATCCTGAGTTCTAGTTTGATTGCACTGTGGTCTGAGAGATAGTTTGTTATAATTTCTGTTCTTTTACATTTGCTGAGGAGAGCTTTACTTCCAACTATGTGGTCAATTTTGGAATAGGTGTGGTGTGGTGCTGAAAAAAATGTATATTCTGTTGATTTGGGGTGGAGAGTTCTGTAGATGTCTATTAGGTCTGCTTGGTGCAGAGCTGAGTTCAATTCCTGGGTATCCTGGTTGACTTTCTGTCTCGTTGATCTGTCTAATGTTGACAGTGGGGGGTTAAAGTCTCCCATTATTAATGTGTGGGAGTCTAAGTCTCTTTGTAGGTCACTCAGGACTTGCTTTATGAATCTGGGTGCTCCTGTATTGGGTGCATATATATTTAGGATAGTTAGCTCTTCTTGTTGAATTTATCCCTTTACCATTATGTAATGGCCTTCTTTGTCTCTTTTGATCTTTGTTGGTTTAAAGTCTGTTTTATCAGAGACTAGGATTGCAACCCCTGCCTTTTTTTGTTTTCCATTGGCTTGGTAGATCTTCCTCCATCCTTTTATTTTGAGCCTATGTGTGTCTCTGCACGTGAGATGGGTTTCCTGAATACAGCACACTGATGGGTCTTGACTCTTTATCCAATTTGCCAGTCTGTGTCTTTTAATTGGAGAATTTAGTCCATTTACATTTAAAGTTACTATTGTTATGTGTGAATTTGATCCTGTCATTATGATGTTAGCTGGTGATTTTGCTCGTTAGTTGATGCAGTTTCTTCCTAGTCTCGATGGTCTTTACATTTTGGCATGATTTTGCAGCGGCTGGTACCGGTTGTTCCTTTCCATGTTTAGCGCTTCCTTCAGGAGCTCTTTTAGGGCAGGCCTAGTGGTGACAAAATCGGTCAGCATTTGCTTGTCTGTGAAGTATTTTATTTCTCCTTCACTTATGAAGCTTAGTTTGGCTGGATATGAAATTCTGGGTTGAAAATTCTTTTCTTTAAGAATGTTGAATATTGGCCCCCACTCTCTTCTGGCTTGTAGGGTTTCTGCCGAGAGATCCACTGTTAGTCTGATGGGCTTCCCTTTGAGAGTAACCCGACCTTTCTCTCTGGCTGCCCTTAACATTTTTTCCTTCATTTCAACTTTGGTGAATCTGACAATTATGTGTCTTGGAGTTGCTCTTCTTGAGGAGTATCTTTGTGGCGTTCTCTGTATTTCCTGAATCTGAACGTTGGCCTGCCTTGCTAGATTGGGGAAGTTCTCCTGGATAATATCCTGCAGAGTGTTTTCCAACTTGGTTCCATTCTCCCCATCACTTTCAGGTACACCAATTAGACGTAGATTTGGTCTTTTCACATAGTCCCATATTTCTTGGAGGCTTTGCTCATTTCTTTTTATTCTTTTTTCTCTAACCTTCCCTTCTCGCTTCATTTCATTCATTTCATCTTCCATTGCTGATACCCTTTCTTCCAGTTGATCACATCGGCTCCTGAGGCTTCTGCATTCTTCACGTAGTTCTCGAGCCTTGGTTTTCAGCTCCATCAGCTCCTTTAAGCACTTCTCTGTATTGGTTATTCTAGTTATACATTCTTCTAAACTTTTTTCAAAGTTTTCAACTTCTTTGCCTTTGGTTTGAATGTCCTCCCGTAGCTCAGAGTAATTTGATCGTCTGAAGCCTTCTTCTCTCAGCTCGTCAAAGTCATTCTCCATCCAGCTTTGTTCTGTTGCTGGTGAGGAACTGCGTTCCTTTGAAGGAGGAGAGGCGCTCTGCGTTTTAGAGTTTCCAGTTTTTCTGTTCTGTTTTTTCCCCATCTTTGTGGTTTTATCTACTTTTGGTCTTTGATGATGGTGATGTACAGATGGGTTTTTGGTGTGGATGTCCTTTCTGTTTGTTAGTTTTCCTTCTAACAGACAGGACCCTCAGCTGCATGTCTGTTGGAGTACCCTGCCGTGTGAGGTGTCAGTGTGCCCCTGCTGGGGGGTGCCTCCCAGTTAGGCTGCTCGGGGGTCAGGGGTCAGGGACCCACTTGAGGAGGCAGTCTGCCGGTTCTCAGATCTCCAGCTGCGTGCTGGGAGAACCACTGCTCTCTTCAAAGCTGTCAGACAGGGACACTTAAGTCTGCAGAGGTTACTGCTGTCTTTTTGTTTGTCTGTGCCCTGCCCCCAGAGGTGGAGCCTACAGAGGCAGGCAGGCCTCCTTGAGCTGTGGTGGGCTCCACCCAGTTCGAGCTTCCTGGCTGCTTTGTTTACCTAAGCAAGCCTGGGCAATGGCGGGCGCCCCTCCCCCAGCCTCGCTGTCGCCTTGCAGTTTGATCTCAGACTGCTGTGCTAGCAGTCAGCGAGATTCCATGGGCGTAGGACCCTCTGAGCCAGGTGTGGGATATAATCTCGTGGTTCGCCGCTTTTTAAGCCGGTCCGAAAAGCGCAATATTCGGGTGGGAGTGACCCGATTTTCCAGGTGCGTCCGTCACCCCTTTCTTTGACTCGGAAAGGGGACTCCCTGACCCCTCGTGCTTCCCAGGTGAGGCAATGCCTCGCCCTGCTTTGGCTCGCACACGGTGCGCACACCCACTGGCCTGCGCCCACTGTCTGGTACTCCCTAGTGAGATGAACCCGGTACCTCAGATGGAAATGCAGAAATCACCCGTCTTCTGCGTCGCTCACGCTGGGAGCTGTAGACTGGAGCTGTTCCTATTCGGCCATCTTGGCTCCTCCCCCGTTTGCAGCCTTTTTTCATGTGCTGTTTGGATATGTCTCTTATTAAAGATAGCATTAGATTGCTTCCTTTTTTGATTTAGATGATGAAGTCTTTCAATGTTTTTTTTTTTTTGGTAGCAGTTTGCATTTTAAGTGTCCACATTAGGGACCCTTGAACACATTGCTTTTGATACTAGCCCTTAAAACTGTGATTTGAGACCCAGATAGGCAGGAGTATCTGTCTATGGTGGCTTGTTAACACTTTACTTTTACTTAACAGAAGGTATATTTCTATATTTGCAAAGAAAAATGTCATATTCTGATAGCTTAGAAACTGGCTGTAGACTGTTGGTCTTTCTGACTTTATTTACCTCCTACCTTTTATGTCTATGGGAAATAGGCATAAAAAGAGAATGGTCCATTGAGGTAAGCGTAAAGAAAATAAGAATGGTCCTGTTACTGATAAGTTTATGAGTAATGATGAGGGAAGTTGAGAGCATTCATACTTGAAGGCTTTTAAAAGATGGGAAAGCTATGAGAAAAGGGGAAACTCTATCAGGATAGGTAGGTTTTAGATTATGCAATGGTAGTATCTTCAAAATCTCAAGGTGTTAACTCAAGTTTGTTTCTTGCTGACAATACAAGTCCAGAGGTGGTCAGTGTAGTCTCTTCTTAGGAGTCACTCAGGATCCCAGGCTAAGGGGATATGGGTGAGGAGGACATAAAGGAAGATATATTGTGGAGAATCACGTGCCAACTCTTAAAACTTCAAACCCGAAGTGACACATGCACTTCCACTTCTGTATCATTGACCAGAGCTAGTCTTCTAACCAGGCCTGATTTCAGAGAAGGTAGAAAAGTGCAATTTTACAGGTGCTTGGAATTGAATGGAAGTATGTGTGAACAACTCTAATGACTGCCATAGTAGTTAAGAACACATAGAAAGATTGATAAAGAGCCTTCTGGAAAAGTTCAATTTGGCACCAATAACTATGCAATGGTGTGGGATTATTATAGGCGATTTGTTAGCAACACATAACAGCCCAGAAGCAAAGAAAGTTAGATATTTGAACGTATACAGGATTCAGGGTTCCTATTGGGAGTACATACCTGAAGAATTTGGGCGAGAGAAGTCAAGGAAGATGATTAGCAAAGGGATTATTATGTTGCAATCAAAGACAATGTTTTCAAATTTTATAATTCAGAGGAGTAGAAGGGATATAATTTTTCACAATATAAAAGAGCAATGAACAGCAAATTTTAAAGTTTTTTAGTCTTTGTTATGCTTAAGGCTTTTGTGGGGATTATTTTTCAGTTTGCAGACAAAGAATGTGATTAAATGTTAAATTATTTTGTTTTCATCAAATGGTATACTATCAGAAGGAAACACTTATATTAAGGAAATAACCTTCCTTTCCCATATTAGAATGTCTCGCCTGATAAAATCTGATAAGTTTGGTAACCAAGTATTACAGGAAACAGTAAAGGGTTGGCCAGAAATCATAGCAAAAGTCAGTGAGATTGAACAATAACTGCAAGTTCAGTACTTGTTACAAAATGATGCTTGCTTCCTGATAGTTATAAAAACACAAGATCGTAGAGATTTTGATGGTCAGAAGTGCATTGCTGTAAGAACTTTGCAGGAGGTTTCCTCATTTAATATGAAAGTGTGTGTGTGATGCACTTAAAAATGCTTTTTTGTGGTAAAATATGTATAGCCAAATTTGCCATTCTAACTATTTTTAAGTGTACAGTTCAGTGGCATTAAGTATATTCACACTGTTGTGCAACGATTACTACCATCCATCTCCAGAACTTTTCTATCTTCTCAAACTGAAGTTCTCTACCCATTAAACAGCTCCCCATTCTCCCCTCCTCCCAGCCCTTGGCAATCACCATTCTACTTTTTGTCTCTGTGAATTGGACTATTTTAGGTACCTCATATAGGTGGAACCATATGATATTTGTCCTCTTGTGTGTGAGTTATTTCACTTAGCATGATGACTTCAGGGTTCCTCCATGTTGTAGATGTATCAGAATCTCATTCCTTTTTAAGACTGAGTAACATTCTATTGTATTATATACCACATCTTGTTTATGCTTTCATCTGTAAGTGGACATGTGGGTTGTTATTATCCTTTGGCTATTGTGAATAATGCTGCAATGAATATTAGTGTGCAAATGTCTGTTTGAGTTCCTACTTTGAAATCTTTTGAATATATACCCAAAAGTGCAGTTGCTGGGTCCTGTGGTGGTTATATGTTTAATGTTTTCAAGAACTGCTGTACTATTTTTACAGCAGCTGCACCATTTTACATTCCCACCAGCAGTGCATAAGGACTCCAGTCTCTCCATATCCTCACTAGCACTTGTTATTTTCTGTTTTAATAGGTATCATATTGTGGTTTTGTGTAACCCACTCTTTATTTAACTAAATAAATTATACTATTTTAAAGTTATTTCTGATTTCATAAACTTTCTACTTCAAAGCCTACTACGGTTCTCTAAGCCAGTCTTTGACTTCAGAACATCTGTTTGTGTTGTGCCTTGTGGTATTATGTATTCCCTTCCCCCAGTCTGGGACTGAGAATATGTGGAAAAGTGATATAGGAATTTTTTCCCAAATTAAAAACTTGCTGTGCATGGTTTTTTCCCCCAATAAGGGACAATTTATTATAATTTTGTGACTATATATGATTTTCTTGGTCATTCCTATTTCTTATTTATAAAATGAGGGCACACTTACATTACTGACCTATAGAATCATTTTATATCAATAGCTAAAAGACTTAAAATTTAAAGAGCCTTAGAAATTTCTTACTTTCATATTTTCTTGACATTTTGTCAATTTTTAATATTAGTCTATGCAAGTATATTTAATGGTAGAGGACCAAAATCTATAATAATGCCACCGTTATTTCTTTTTTTATTCCATTAATAGAGATATTATATAGGCTTGTCTGCCTATGTCATGATGAATTCTGCTGCAAAAATTCATCCCTACACTGCCTAAAGTTGTTATATTTGGGAACATTGTTTAAATTGCCACAATGCCATTTGTAATGTTTTAGCCCCTGTTTTAAAATGGAATTGTAGTGGAGGGATTTCACACGCCTTAAATTATATTCAAGACAGAAGAAATGATATGTTTAAAACATTGTCAGGAGAAAGCATCACATATTTGAAGAACACAAGTAGTTTGGTATATGCAGGGCAGAAGTGCATGCATGGAATTATGGGATAATGGCAACAGGGATAGAAGCGAAATTATGCTGAAAATTTGTGCTATTTTTTAATCATAGAGGAAATGGAGAGGCACCAAAGGATAAGAAAAATGGTATACTGTAATTTGCATTTTGGAAAAGACTGTGGTGGTGGTAGTATAGAGGATAAATTTGGGACAGTGGGAGAAAAATTAGTTAGATGATGATTGTAATAGCCTAGGAGAGAAAAGTTGGGGGCAGTACCAATGTCAAGAAATATTTGAGAGATGATAAGCGTATGTGGGCAGGATAATTAGTTAGCTTTTGTGACACGTACCAAATGAGAGAAAGGGAAGCAGGGATAGATGTATTTGGGATGTATACAACTAGATTTACTATTTAGCAAAATGGGGAATATAGGAAGAAGGAACAGATTTTGGGGGTGGAAGGATGCCAAGTTTATATTTTAATTTGTTGAGTTTATCATCTAGGTAAACAGCATTATTAGGCAGTTAGGAATATAAGTCTAAAACTCAGGAAATATTATATATTTAATAACCATCCACCTATATAGGAATTGAATGCCACAGACACAGACAGGATCCTTCAGGAAAATTGGAGATCGAAGGGCAAGAAATAGACAAAGTAAGGAACATTGGCTTTGCTGAGGAAGAGAAGTGAGCTAAAGCTAGAGAGAAGGAGCAACTGTAGAAAGGAATGAGAAGGGGGAGCTGGAAAGATATGAGAAAATATTGGAGATGGGGTTATCAAAGGAAAAACAGAGAAGTGTAGATCTTTCAGGGGAAGAGTGTCCATAGATTAAGCAGAATAAGGATTAAAAAGTGCCAGTTTGATTTAGCATTTATTAGTGGTATAGTAAAAGCAGTGTTTGAGGAACATTAGACATAGACGCAAGATTGAAGTAGAATTGAGGTATTTAGAAGTAAAGGGCCATGTTTGTAACTTAATCTCAAATGGTCCAGAAAAAAAAAAACCCTATTATTAAAATGTTAATAATAGCTGAATCTGGAGAAAGGATATAATATACTGCTTTTTTTCCATTAATAGAGATATTATATAGGCTTGTCTGCCTATGTCATGATGAATTCTGCTGCAAATATCCATCCCTAAACTGCCTAAAGCCATTATATTTGGGAACATTGTTTAAATTGCCACAATGCCATTTGGAATGTTTTAGCCCCCTTTTTAAAATGGAATTGTAGCGGAGGGATTTCACATGCCTTAAATTACATTCGAGACAGAAGAAATGATTTCTTCTTATAAAAAGTATGTTTTATACTTTTTAAATCTTTCAACTTTTCTGAATTTTGAAAATTTATTTCCAAGTAAAAAGTTAAAAGATTACAGTAGACTAATGGTTGCACAGCAGTGTGAATGTACTTAATGCCACTGAACTGTACACTTAAAAATAGTTAGAATAATAAATTTTGTTATGTATATTTTACCACAATAAAAAACCCTTGAAGTACATTATGTACTTTTTCATATTAACTGAGGACACCTATTGCAAAGTTCTTAGAGCAATGTGCTTTTGACCATGAAAATCTCTAAGACTTTATGTTTTTACAGCAGGAAGCAAGAGAAGTAAAGAAATGAATTTTTGTCTGTCTTTCCAAACGTTTGCTGTGAATAGCATACCTAGAGGAGAAAATGAAACTAAATGCTTAGTTTGCGTTTTGTTTTGTTTGTTTTCAAGTGGACATGCTTGGTATTTATATTGCAGAAGATAAGGAACTAATGTTGTACAGAGGGAGAGAAAGGCATGAAGAATAGAACAGAACAGTAATTGATGGAGTAAGACCCTTTAGGCAGAGTGAGAAGGAAACAAGGTAAAGACAGAATTTGAATGAAAAGGATGGCAGCTTTTCTGTGATGAAGGAGAGAAAGATGAGAGCAGATACTGATTAGTGTGTATTTGTGTTAGGTAGAACAGCTGAAGTGTTTATACCTAATGGACTTTCTTTTTTTTATGAGGTACGGTTATCTACTGAGGTAAGTACATAGTAGGTTAGGATATTTATAGATCATATGTAACAGATCACAAAAGAATTATTAGGTCTTTCAAGAACTTTTGCCATTTGCTTCCAGAGTCTGCAATACTTGGCTTAATCTCAGTTGATCCTAGAAGTCAGGATTAGTTAATGCTGAGAGTCATGATCTGGGACATAACAAATAAGAGTGAAAGAAGTTAATCAGTGGTTTAAAAATCTGTTAAGTCCCTTATTTCTTCTTGTACAAATAGTCTGTACCTCCACTTTCTTAAGTGAAATATACTGTCCTTAATGTTGTTACATCCTAGAATTAAGTCAATAAAAAATTTTGTCAGAAGTGTTTATACATATACATAAGTTTTCTCTAAGATGTTTTTGGCAAACTACCAAGTTTGTTCATTTAAGATAAATACATTAGAAAGTATATTTAGAGAAGTACTTTTGTCAGCCGATTTTTTTTCTATGCATTTTAAACATTTTTTCTCTAAGAATTTCACAAACTGGTAACACATAATCTCTTCTCTTGCTGTGGCCTACCCAGGACCACCAAATGGCTACCTATGTACTTTTTTAAAACTAAACTTCTGGGATTGAAATTTGCTTTGTAGCAAAATAGCAATATTTGCTTTTCCTTTAAATTATAATCCAAGTGCAAAAAGCATTTATTGACTCCTGCTTTATTATTTTGTAAAATCCCCAAATTTAGGTTTCAGATAGTATAGATTATTACTACATATTAAAGTATCTCTCTACTCCTTTTAGTATGTAGTAAATTTATCCATAAATATTTATCTAGTTAAAGTTTTCTGATTTTTCTAAAATATTCAAATTTATTTCAAATGTATTTTTATTGTAAATTCAGTCATTGATTTGATTATTGCTGTTTAATGTTTAGGGTTTGTAAATATATATATATGTCTATTTTAAACATAGGTCTTTTTTTTAGATGAAATATATATTTTGATTTCTTGAATACTCTGCTTTGGGTTTTTTTGTATACAGAATCAAAATGGGCATTATTAAAGTTTCTTGCCTTGATACTGAGTTTTTTTTTTCTGTGTCAAAGCGTTAAAATTGGACTTAGATTTGCGAATAACCTGGAGCCAAAATTCCTCACAAAGACACATGGATGTCTATGTCAGCAGAAGAGAAAAATAACATATCTATTTTTAAGTTAGTTGGAATTCTGAAGTCAAACCACTTGGTTGAATGCCTGCCACAGTGATATTAAAATTTCAAACATGCTCATAAAACCTATGCTGCCTCCTGCTGCCCATTGTGTGAATAATTTATAAAAGTAAAGAATTACTTAAGAACTAAATATTTACTTGTTTCTTGTTTGTGAATATTAAACTTGAAATTATGAATTGGTGAATAAATTATGAATTGGCTAATAATATGAAGTTAAAAATCACACTGGGTAGCAAATTACATTTCAACTTAAAAATTAAGCTGTGAACATTGACAAATTATTGAAGTTCTTTTTGACATCTTATTTCTTGTCACATCTTTTTTTAATCATAAAATAGCTGTTGAAAAGATTGGCAAAGTTTTCGAGCCTCAGGCAGTGTGTCAGGCTTACCCACAGTGATTTTCTTAAACATGAAAAATAATATATTCCTTCTAGAGAGACTCTGGGATAAATTTTACTGCTTTTTAAAAGTGTTATGAGTATAGCACTTATAGACTTAAGTGGGAGGGAAAGATAAGATTTGTCTCAATTCATACTTAACTTGTCTTGCACCACTGAGTTGGGAACATGATGGGCAGGGTGGAGGTGACTTAAAAGAAGTAAAACTGTGTTTTTGAGGCAATTGTTTATTCTGCAGACCTTCATTTGAATGTCTTTTGTATGCTAGATACTGTGTTAACTTCTGGGCAAATTTTTTTTTTTAAAGGCACGTATATAATCAGAGCGCTTACAGCAATTTAGTGGAAGTAAACGTGTTAAATCTTAAATGAATGCCAGATTTATAGTTCCTCTCATTCTACCATCTTAAGTTTTTATTATTTACTATATGGAGCGATGTTGGCATAGAGGGTATTAAATTCTCATGTATATTACATGACTCTTTCTTGGAAATTGCTTCCAAGATTTAACTTGCAGAGCCTGATCATAATCAAATATAGATTATTTTTCCCCTATAGGGCAATACCTAAAAAATATCTAAGATAAAGAACACTTATTGTTTAAAAAATAAAATCACTGCTTTAATAACTTTGTTTTCTTTGCAGTCTTCATAGATTTGGTGTACAGTAAAGTAGAAACAGGAGAATGAGAGGAAAATGAGATAAATGAACATGATGAAAATGTCAACTAAAAATACGGGAGAATGCAGAAAAACTTACTAGAAATGTTACAGAAGTGTAGACGATTAATTGACAGTTCATGCTAATGCCATATATTTTGCTATCTTCTATGGGCATCAGCATGTTATTTGATGTTCACACTAGTGGCCTAGTTTCATCAGAAGGAGATTTAGTATAATGTCTTTGTATGTTAATGGCATAGTGCAGTGGCATGAGCACTAGCTTTGGAGTGAACCCTGGATTGGTTTAAATGCTCCTACTTACCAGATATATAGAATATAGATTAGGTCACTTAACTTCACTGAGCCTAAGTTTCCTCAAGTGTAAAAAGGGGAATTGTTTCACAGAACAGTTGTGACTGATGTTTTAAAAGACAACTATTACCAACTAGAACAGTAGTTGTCAAACTTTTGGGCCTCAGATATCTTTATAATCTTAGAAAAGGATTTATGACCTAAAAGAGCTTTTGTTATGGTTATGTCTTATATAGGTTATGTCTTATATAGGTTATGTCTATCAACATTTGCTAGATTAGGCACTAAAACTGAAACTTTCAAAATATTTATTCATTTAAAGAAATAAACCCAGTACATGCTAACACAAATAACATTTTTAAATGAAAATTAACTATTGAAAACAAAAATTTAGTGAGATGAATGGCATTGTTTTATGCTTTCAAATCTCAGTTAATGCTTGGCTTCATGTAAGATGGCTGGATTCTTGTTTTTGCATCAGACTGTTGTGATGTTTTCATGTATGAAGAAAGCCCATTTACACACAGATAATACAGTTGGAAATAGGAATATTTTAATAGCTTTTCCTAAAAATTGTGGATATTATTCTTTGACACTACACCAAGTAGTAGTTTCTTTAATGCAGTGTGAAATCTGAAACCATAGTATTTAACTTTTCGTCCTCCATTACATTAAAATACATCAGTCTGTCTTGCACTTTGAATGGATACTTTACTCATGCATGATTTTGTAACATCCATGTAGGGTCATTTAAAAAATACTGGTTTGCAGCCGGGCACGGTGGCTGACACCTGTAATCCCAGCACTTTGGGAGGCCGACGCTGGCGGATCACCTGAGGTTTGGAGTTCGAGACCAGCCTGACCAATATGAAGAAACCCCGTCTCTACTAAAAATATAAAAAATTAGCCAGGCGTGGTGGCGCATGCCTGAAATCCCAGCTACTCAGGAGGCTGAGGCAGGACAATTGCTTGAGCCTGGGAGGCGGAGGTTGCAGTGAGCCGAGATCGTGCCATTGCACTACAGCCTGGGCAACAAGAGCGAAACTCTGTCTCAAAAAAAAAAAAAAAAAAAAAATACTGGTTTGCTGAGTTATGCAGGGCTTCCAAGTGTTGATACATTTCACTAATATCTTTCTAAAAACTATTTTTGTTACTATCACCATAGATACTAGCAGAAAGTCTTTATAAGTATTGGGAAGTTGCAAAACTTGTGGTGGATACAAGTTTTCTTCAAACAGGTGTCATGCTTAGTATTACCACAGCAAAAGTGCTTTATGCATATTTCCCATTTCCTCATATAGAATAACAAAAAGATGTGCAAATGAAGTAAATTAATAAAATAATTGTTACTGTTTCATCAAGCATTCTTTAAGTAAAACTGGCTTAAAAAACACAAGTATATGGCAATGAAGAATACAATTAGTACAGTTTAGTGTTACTGCCTTGAATTATGCTAACATTTTTACCCATTATTGTTTTTGCGTCATCAGTGTAAATGGCAACACAGTCAAAAAGTAAAGTAACATCTTAATATTATCATGAAAATAGTTTGACTTCATAGACCCTCTGAAAGGGTCTCGGAGACCTCCCGGGGTCCAAGGCCACACTTCGAGAATTGCTGAACAAGCATAATCTTAAGACTTGGTACATATTGGGTATTCCATAAACTGTAGCTATCATTATTGTGGTGGTACATGACTAAAATAATTTTATACAGTTTTCTGCTTCTCATTTCTACGATAAGTGGGTGATGATGTTCACAAAGTAATTAAAGATACTTTTGTGCTTTGTTGATACATTGGTGGTTGTGACTTTTCTATCAGTATATTGGTGCCCCAGGACCCTTGTGCCTTAGTAAAGGAAAAAGCTCCCTGTAGACCTTCAGGTTCTCAGATATAAAGCACTTGTTCTCCCATAAGGGGGAATCAAAAACTGAGATGGTGTTAGGTAAACTCCTGTACAAATCCAAATGTCTTAGTTCCCTTTTCTTCATCTCTACCTTTTAAAATAATTTTTAGTTTTCAGGGTTTTGTTTGTTCAGTTGGGCCTACTTTATCTGTAGTCTGGACATTAATTTAATTTAATTGTATTAAAGATTAGAGGGCAATAGTCATTTTTATTAGAGCTGTTTTAGTTAAGGTCATGTTTTGTAGAGAGAAATCCAAATGTAGATAATGTTTTACTCTGAACATTAATATTGTTAAAGGCTCTCCAGTGAATTCTCCTAGAATCGTTGTTCAGAGGGAAATAGACCTGCTGTATTTTATGTGGTGCCATATTGACCTTTAGGTTCTAATCAATAGCTAGCTATAATTAGAGAGAGAGAAAAAATGATTAATTTGGTATCTGAAATCTCATGTAGCAGGCTTGGAAGACACTTGGAAGTAACAAAAGTCACACTGTAAATTAGTATAACTTTTTTCATAAGACTTCATTAAAATTAAATTAAAAAACTATTTGGTGCCTATTAAATGTCAGAACCAGGAGAGAAGTTAAGTATCAATTATTAGGAAGCATTATGGCATCATGGTTAAGAGCACGGACTTTTGAGTCATAAAGATCTAATTCTGTAGTATATCGATATATATACTTAACCTTTCTAAGCCACTGTTTTCTCATCTGTAACATCAAGTTGCTAGTCATTTCTTTATAAGGTTATTGTAAAGATTAAATGAAATATCCACTTCTCACAACTTGAGTAAGCAGTCAATAAATGGTAGCTAATTAGTAGTGGTATATTTTATATGCTATCATAATAACCTCCTACCAATTTTAATTCAGTTTAAATTCCTAATATTCCCATGAGGTAGGTAAAATGGATTATCATTATCCCATTATATAAGTGAGGGAACTGAGATTTTAAGAGGTTAAAAGGCTTGTTTACCTACCCATAATTAGTGAGTCCAAACTTCAACTCAAGCCAGCGATCTTCAAATGCAGGGTTTTTTTCACTGTTAACACTTGGTCAGTAAAGATCTTGTCTTAAGTAACAGGGAAAACACATACACAGATCTGCATGACCCAGCAGGAACAGCACTATTCCATCATGGATGACACCCTCAAGTGATAATAAACTGAAGAAATTTTGCATAAAGCATTCCAAAAAGAACTGTTATTTTGAGTTGGGTCTTAAAGAATTCATTTTTTTAAATTGGAAGAGATTACCTTTTATAGAAAGCTTTATGTAAATATAGAAAAGTATAAATGAAATAAATTCTGTAACATAATTTAAATAATTTTGTTTTCCTCATCTCTTCTCCCCACCCCACCCAACCCTAGGCTTTAGAAAAGAACTCAGGAATTTGGAAGCAGGCTATAAATCTCATGAATTCCACCCAGAATCACATTTACAAATAAAAAATCATTTGATAAAAAGGTAACCATATTTTTTTTCCCTAAATACATGTATTATAGGCACGTTGTTTATCAGAAGGGCATAAATACATATTATTACTTTGAAAGCAATGGGTCTATAGTATTGAGATGCCTTTCTTATTGGGAATCATTAATACAATGTGGATCTAAGGATAGAGAGCTTACAAAGTACCAGGTACAGTATCTGATTGTCTGTTTCAATCCTCACAGCATTCTTATGAGGTAGGTGATATTTTACAAGAGAAAATTTGAAGCTTAGGTTAAGTAATGTGACCAAAACTATCGAGCTGAGATTTGATTATAGCTCCATCTACCTAGCAAATCCTCAACTCTCTTTAACCATTGCATTCTAATTCAATTCCACATAATTCATATAAGAAAAATAATTTGCAATATGGCATCATTTACCCTCACCTTAGAAAATAACTATTACCTAAAGATAATCTTGATTACATTATTTTAAACTATTATACAGCCAGGTGTGATGTGGTGGTACATGTCTGTAATCCTAGCTACTGAGGAGGCTGAGGCAGCAGGATCACTTGAGGCCAGTTTAAAGCCAGCCTAGGCAACATAGCAAGACCCTCAAATATAATATAAATATATTTGCAAAATATAATAAAGTAATTAATATACTATACTGCTATATATCAAAATTTAAGTACTTCTACCTCTATTGCCTTTAAAGTTTGGAATGTTGGTGGGGAGATGTTTTAGAGTACTGTTTGACTGTTAACACTTTCCTCAAGTTCTATATATTGTTACAAATAAATGTAATTTTAGTGTTTTGAGTTGAAGTGAGTTTTTAAAATTATATTTCTAATTATTAGAAATGGGATTCTGGTAATGATGGGTGTTTCTGGTAAACACTCACATATTCTGACATAAAGAGTTTGGATTTGGAGAGAGTTGAAAATGTTAATGGTTGCAAATATCTTTCCATTTTTGTGGTTTTGTTGTAAAAATAATATAAACTGTATTTTGGGAAAATCAAACTACAAAACAAATGTTTATTTTCCCCTAGTTTCATATATTTGCATAGGGTGTTCTAGCTTTGTTTTTATTTTCATATTTCAGATCACATGTACATGAAGACAATGGAAAGTTATTTCCTTCATCCAGTCTACAAATACCCAAGGACCATAATGCAAGAGAACATATCCACCAGTCAGATGAACAGAAACTTGAAAAACCGAATGAATGCAAATTTTCTGAGTGGCTTAATATAGAAAATTCTGAGAGAACAGGTTTGCCTTTTCACGTTGATAACTCTGCTTCTGGGAAGAGAGTGAACAGTAATGAACCATCTTCATTATGGTCTTCACACCTAAGAACTGTTGGGTTAAAGCCAGAAACTGCTCCTCTCATCCAGCAACAAAATATCATGGATCAATGTTACTTTGAGAACTCTCTATCCACAGAATGTATAATTCGGTCAGCCAGCAGATCTGATGGGTGTCAGATGCCAAAACTTTTTTGCCAGAATCTACCACCCCCTTTGCCACCAAAGAAATATGCTATAACCAGTGTGCCACAGTCAGAGAAAAGCGAATCTACACCTGATGTCAAACTTACAGAGGTGTTTAAAGCTACCTCTCATCTTCCGAAGCACAGTTTAAGTACAGCTTCAGAACCAAGTTTAGAAGTGAGTACACATATGAATGATGAAAGACATAAAGAAACATTTCAAGTGAGAGAATGTTTTGGCAACACACCAAACTGTCCATCCAGCTCCTCAACTAACGATTTTCAGGCAAACTCAGGTGCCATTGATGCATTTTGCCAACCAGAACTAGACTCTATTTCTACCTGTCCAAATGAGACAGTTTCATTAACTACCTATTTTTCAGTTGATAGCTGCATGACGGATACATATAGATTGAAATACCATCAGAGGCCCAAGCTCTCTTTTCCAGAGAGCAGTGGCTTTTGTAATAATTCACTATCTTAGAGTGAAAAAGGACTAGACCTGTGTTACATAATAATCTTGGTTCAAGCTGCCCTTCTGAACAAAGATATAAACCTAGCATACATTGTAATAGATAACTGGTAAAACTGACCAACTTTTACTTCTCAGAGGCCATTTAAATATAATAGGAACCTACTGACCAAACCTAGTGATACATAAAATTAAAGCCTGTGGCATTTTTAAAGTTGTTAATCACTATACATATGTATGTGTATATGTGTATACACATATATAATTTTATGATCAATATCTTAGATATTTTAGAAATTCCCTTTGAATAGTCTTGGCGTGCCGTGAAAAATAGAAAATCAGGGAGATATAATAATTCATTTGTCATATGCTACAGTTGAATAAAAATTAAATTTGTCCCCCTATTTTGTGGCCAGTAGACTGGGAAGTATTAAACTAACCAGTACTCATGTATGGAGATTATAAACTATGCTAATTGAAAAGTACCAGGTGATACATAGCCTGGTACTTTTTTGTCAAAGAATTGCTTTATGAAGAAGCACTTTCTAATGGGTAACCAGAAAAGGGCTTCACCCATTTGTTTTTGACTTCTATGATAGTCACTGCATATGATCCCTTTAAGTGTCTTTAAAAAAAATGACTTATGAATTTGATAGCATTTGGGGAAAAAAAGCCTTATATGATTAACAATTTGTAAGTTTTCAAGATCGGATGGAATTTAATTTTGCTCCTAGAATTTTTGTCTTCAGAATATCTAGTTAAGATAAATTAGGCCTTTGACTATTATAGGTATTCATAAATGCTACTTTAGCCATGTAAGTTAAAAAGTTAAAATACTTAAACTTTAGTGTATTTATTTATCTCGTTACTTTTTTTCTAATTTTATATGAAATGTGAAAGGTCTTTATTTTGGTTTGGTTTACTTTGGGCTGCTAACCACCAGTGTTAGGAATTAATGTAGGGCACCCTCTTATTGGGAATGTCACTGTAATTGCCTACATTTTCTTTGCTGTAATATTACCTGCTTATAGGTTGTCAACCCATTTTATCTGAATTTGAAAATCTATCTAGGTTTCCAGATTAAATTTCTACCTTTCATATAGAGAGTTTAATTTTAATAAAATGTTTAATTAGAGCATCCTTCCCTTTTATTCTACTTTGAACAAATAGTAATTTTACCCCAACTACTTTTCATGAAGAGTGCTTTGAAAATTAAAGGAATTTTTATTATTATGGTAACCTTATGAGTAAAAATAAGTTACTTTAATTGCTTTATTTCGTTAGTTGTCATTTTATTTTGTACTATGCTGGTAAACTAATTGTGGTTTAGAATAGTTTTATGTTCACTCCTGATAACTGAGAAACAGAACTAAAGTTTTCCTTACATTGCTAAATGGATAAACCTCATATTCAATAAACTAGTAAATGTAGCCACTTGACTGATTGCGTAAATCGTGTTAAAACATTCTAAAATGTTGTAACTAATTTAATGTGAATACTGTTAAACAGAAAATAATTGCTTATAAAAGTCTAACTTCACCCAGTTACCAAGTCTTGGCCAAATTTTATCTTCTGCCTATAGTTTTTACTAGCCTTTTTAAACTATAATAGTGAGTGATCATTACTTTATATTCTCGTAAGTTAGAAATACTTGAATGCCAAATTAATTTTGTTTTAAGAAAGCTTATTTTTAACATAATTTTTTAGTGTGGAGGGTTTGTAAATAATGTAAAGTTTGTAAACCTGTATTTAAAATACCAAAGTTTTTCTTCTTTTATAACATTGTAAGATACTAGAAAAATGGGCTTCAAGTTTTTTAATAGCTTTCACAGTTTGTGTAGTTTTTTTTTTCTATTTGGTTAAGATGTGAGTTGGAAATGTATTATTTGAAACATTTAAACTAATTTTTGTATTTAACAGCAGTCTCAGACATTTGTCTTTTCAACTCAGTTGAGTTGTAGATATCAAATAGAAATGTCCAGTTTTGCCTCTTTTAAGTACTGTCCAGTTGAAACCTCCTGACTCATGTACTACTACACAAACTAGAAAATGCCCATTTATTTTTGTTGATTCAACACTCCAGATACAGATTGATACATATATACTAATCATTTTATTTCATGTAAAAGTTTTACATCTAGGGTGCCTATTTATTTTTATAGATGCTTTCATCCAGTTATAAGCTTATTATAACTTTGTAAATATTTCAGCCAACAGTTGTAATGTTTAAAATACTTACCTTCAGAATGTTATATTTTCATGTGAAATCAATTTCTTCTAATTCAAAAAAATTTTAAGATAAACTGATTTTTAAGTTTATATGATTGGACTTCTCTTTGCATTCATGAACTGTGTGTCACCCTCCCACCAACGTGGATTATTTTGGGACATGTTAAGTCGCGGGTACTTGGAATTTCACTGATCATAAACGGTTATCACAGGAGATCCTAGGAGTTAAACTCCAGCAAGGTCTAAAGCACAGCTCCTTAGAAAAGGAGTTGGCAAACTTTCTATAAAGATAGAAAATAATTTAGGCTTTGTGGACCATAATATTTCTGTAATAACTACTCAACTCTGCCTTTGTAATGTGAAAGCAGCCATAAACAATATGTAAATGAATGAGCATGGCTGTTTTCCAGTAAAACTTTGTCAACATAGAAATCCAGATTGCATATAACTTTCATGTCATGAAAGTTTTTTTTTTCTCCATTTTAAAATGTAAAAAATATTCTTAGCTCACAGGCTGAAGTCTCCAAATGTACTCCCATGCCACTTACGGACTGAGTATTTGCAGCTCTTTACATCCTAAAACGTTCAGGTTAAGCTCCCTAAAAACTATCCCTTGCAACTGCTAACAAGCCAGTTCATTTCAAAAGGAACTACTAAAACAATCATTTCACTTTATATAAAATGGTGTGAAATTTACAAAAGAATTTATCAGAGTAAAGTCACATTTTCTTTTGATGTCTTTTTTGTTTTGTTATCTTAGCAAGTTTGCAACTTTTCTTGGCGTTCCATTTATCCACTTCTTAAAAGCCTTCAAACTGAGGGCAATGTAAGCAGTCACTATACTTGCTATGGCACAGTTTAATGGTAGGTACAATTTCTTACCTATAGGAAAGATTCAGCCTTCATACTGCCACCATTTTGAAAATGCCAATTACAGTCATGTCATATTACTAAGTCAGGGTTTGCCATAGAAAGAGAATCAACAGGATATATATAGAAATAAATTTATTATGAGGGATTGGCTCTTGTGATTATGGAGGCTGAGAAGTCCCACAATCTGCTTTCCGCAGACAGTAAGCCCAGGAAAGCCAATGGTGTAGTTCCAGTCCAAACCCAAAGGTCTGAGAACCAGGGGCCCTGGTCCATGTCTGAAAGCCAGAGAATCAGGAGAACCAATGTCCAAGGATAGAACATGGATGTCCCTGTTCAAGCAGAGAGAAGACAGAATTTGCCCTTCCTCTGCCTTTTTATTCCAGCTAGGCCCTCAAGGGGTTGGCCCACCCGCAGTGGAGTGGGTGGCTCTTTTTTATTCAGTCTACTGATTCAAATGCTAATCTCTTCTGGAAACACCCTCATGGACAAACCCAGAAATCTGGGCATCTCCTAGCATAATCAAGATGACATATAAAATTAACCTTCACACCAAGATCTCTCCATCTTCACCATACTAGAAATTTTCAGAATATTTGGTAATTGTGGTAGTAGGCTGATTTTAGGCTCAAAAAGGCAGTATGGATTATGATCGGAAGTCTGTGTGTGACCTAACAGTAAACTATGTGAGAACTGTTAATCACCTCACAATCACACCACCAGGTAATTTGTTAGAATAAAACCAAACTCAGCTATATAAGTAAACATTTATTAGATGAAACCATTAGCAAGCAGTGCAGAAACAGTTCACACAGTTGATTTGGTAAACTCAGTGAAATCCCAGTTCTGTGTTCCTACAGATGTTTCAACCATACCTTCCATAGATGGTTCTCTTTAGGTTGATGTGACAACACCTTAAAAGCATAATTGCTAACTTTATAGTCAGCAATTATATTCCAGACTTGACTAACCCTAAGAACGATTTTGAAAGGTAGGAAGATATACAGAGAGTTTACCAGATCTTATGCCCTGTTTAAAAGGCGGGGGAGTATCCCCAAAATATTTAAGACAATTCATATATGCTGAATGCAACTAATTTAAACAAAAGACCACTTCTACCATTCCTCATGTAAAGCCTTTAGGGCTAACAGGAATATTTTCTTTTTGAGACAGGGTCTCTGTTGCCCACGTTAGAGTGCAGTGGCCCCATCTTGGCTCACTGCAACCTCCACCTCCCGGATTCAAGCAATTCTCGTGCCTCAGCCTCCCAAATAGCTGGGACTACAGGTGCATGCCAACATGCCCAGCTAATTTTTTTGTATTTTTTTGTATTTTTTAATAGAGATAGGGTTTCACCAGGTTGGCCAGGCTGGTGTCACAACTCTTGACCTCAAGTGATCTACCACCCTTGGCCTCCCAAAGTGCTGGGATTATAGGCGTGAGCCACTGTGCCCGGCCAACATTAATATTTTTTATTAGCTACTACAGCTTAGAGTAGCTGCTATGGGAGTGTGGCCTTTTTGATTAAATACTAGCTGATCAACCCTAGAATATAAATTCTTGTTTTATAACATTTAGATTTAAATAACAATAAGAATGTAAGCTCCATGAAGGCAAGAATGCCTTTTTGTTTTGTTCACTGCTGTGTCTAAAATAATGCCTGGCTCAAATATTTGTTGAATGAGTAAATATGCTGACTTTGCTGAAGTATTTAAGCAAGTTACAGATATTATACAAGTAAATATTTTGGGCACAAGCACACTTAATGAAACAGTAAAAAAAAAATAGGTTTGAAACACATAATCCTTCGTTATAGGAGGCTCAAGAGTTTAAAAGGAAAAAAGGGGGAAGATACCCAGGTAAGAGGGCATGCATGCTAGCTTTCCAATACTTTGATATTACCTGCTTTTTCTAAGACTGTATCAACCTGTCGCCCACCCATAACCTATCTTTTCATAACAGAGTCCAACTAAACCTAAAAATTAAAACTGGAACCTAGCAGCTTCTACGCAATCTAAGAATACTTTGTTCCCTCTCTCAAAATCTTTCCCTGCTTTTGAATAATTGACTTTTGAATTCATAAAAACCTTCCCTTATTAATCATCCTATTACTTGCATCATAGTAAACCCTGATCAACTCTTAAAACATTAAAAGACATTACTATATTTCTTAATGAATACACAAGACCTTTAAGTACAAATGCTTTTATATTCAGCCCCTGTAAAGCCATCAGATGTTTGAAAGTTTTTAAACACGAACCAAAGGGTTTAATTTTAAGAACTTAGCTAGGAATGGGTGAAATCCTACCCAATTAATAGAGTTCTGCAAATTAGTAACAAAGTGTAAAATGAAAGGAAGGGTCCCTTGGAGATGTGAAATTCTTCTATTGAGAGTCCTGTCTTCTTTATTCAAGAAGTTTGTAGCCATTTTCAGAATTCACTCAAGAACCAACTTCTTAATTTAGATATCAGCGAACAAGTCTGTAAAAAGCAAGTATTTGTCAGCAATATGTGCTTTATCTTCCCAGTTTTTAACACTTTATGCCTATTTACATATTGATAAAAAGAAAAGCCTAGAACATTTCTTGTAAGGCCTCTATTTTCTATCCAGAGCTGAAAGTTCAGGTCATAAAAACACACACACACACAAAACCCACTGTATTTGAGATTATCAGTCTCTACCAAAACAGGGAGGGAGAGTAAAACTCTCCCTTTACAAATGGCTTGACAGAGAATTTTATAGAAATCCCTATCCCTTTTGCCATCCTCCCATTAATCCCTCTCGCTCCCCTGCCACCCCTTTTTTTGAGACAGGGTTTGCTTTGTCTCCCAGACTGGAGTATAGTGGCACGTTCACAGCTCACTGAAGCCTCGACCTCCCCAGCTCAAGCAATCCTCCTATTTCAGCTTCCCAAGTAGCTGGGACTACAGGCGTGAGCCACTGTGCCTGGCCCTCTCTGTCTTCTCTAACTTACTACACCATCCAAGAAATGAGACAGTGAGGCTTAAGACACCCAAATCTTGGTGAAAATATAGGATGGGGGTTGGGGGTGTAGAAGAAGTGACTGCCTATCAAGAAGTGAGAATTTCAGAAGTAACTCATAGGCATGGTGACTAAGGAGTTAACAGTGAGTGAACAATCAACTCCAAAGTCCAGGAGAGCTGTCTAGATGGGCTACACTGCTCTTCTCCCATAGGAGCCCTGTTTCATCTCACTGCTTCTCCTTAGCTTGTCTCTTAACACCATCTCCATTTGGTGTCTGCTTCCTCCTGCCCTATTCTCTTAAGTTCCCTTCCTTTACCCTCTGCCAGAATTGTCTTTTCAGAGCGAGTGGCGATGAAAATGGAGAGCATGGGTTTTACAAGTAAACTCTACAGAATTTTGTAACTTGGTGTTTTAGGATATGTGGATGTGTGTAAGAAAAGGGCAAAGTGTCTCAGGTTTCTGGGAGGTAACGGTGGATAAAGTTGGCGTTTACTGAAATGGTAACGCTGCAAGGCAAGTAAATTTGGGTAAGAAGCTGTTAAGAGTTCAGTTTTGGACATGTTTAGTTTGAGACAGCTGCGTGGTCTGCTCATGGTTAAACAGCTGTATAGTAAAAATAGCTTTCGTTGAGCACTTACTACTGCCAGGCAACATGCAAATCACTACGATCTCAATCTTCACTACACCCCTATGACCTGGGTTACTAATGGTCCCAAATGGCAGATGAAAAAATAAAGCTCCAAAAGGCGAAATAACTTCTCCGGTCGCTTCATGGTGCTGCAGGAACTCAAGCCTAGCTGGTTTCATTCCAAATCATGAGAAAATATGACGCCAAGTTTTCTCCACACTTCTTTGGAGACTCCCACGGACGTGCTAAAGAAGGACATTTTACTCCTAGTCCTTCTCCCCCACCCACCCGACTGCGCCACTCACCAGCTGTGTGATCTTGGACATATATAAACTCTCTGGAATTCAGTCCCCTCCCCGCCCAAAAGCGAGCAAATGATCTCTAAGCTCCTTACCACCCCAATTTTGCATTCGAGATACTCACCATGGCAAAAAATACACAAAGAGAAACACCACCACATCGAAAAGGATGAAAAGCCAGAGGTCCAACCAGTAGGAGTGTTTGGGAAGCCCATTTGCCCCAGACTGAGGCCTCACATCGAAGTTCTGCCTCCCTCCCTCGCTAAAGCCTCGCCGCTCCCGGAGACCATCTCGACCATCAACACCCGGTGCGTCCACCTCCATCTCGCTCCTGCAGCTTCGTAACAACCCTAGAAACCGAAAATGCTTAAGTTCCCGGACTTTGGTGTTCGCCGCACCGGAAACTGAGCGGAGTCCGGCCGCCTGCGCAGTGCGCCGCGCCCCGGGTTCCGGAATGCACTCTGAACCTACTCTTCCCAGCGCGCAGGCGCCTGGCTCGGCTTTCCGCTGCCTCCGTGACCGCTGGCATGAAGCGCGGCCTCCGCCTTGACACTAAGTCAATGGGCCCGCCTACTTCTGCCTCGCGGCGTCCCAGGCAGATAGCTGGTTATTCAGGTTTCGTTGGAAGAAATACGTTCTCGTCCCCCTGAAAGGCCCAGTCCAGTCAGGTGATGGACTCCTCCCTGAAACTGCACGAGGTCACCTCTCCTATCCCCGTATTCCGTTTGGATCCTTATGCCAACGTGTTAGGAAGGCCCCCTCTGGTGGGTTTTGTACTGTCTCTAGCATTTGACACTTAATATTTAAACACCACCAATGAGGTGGACGTCCTACTCACGGGACTGAGTTTCCAAACGGGCCAGAGAGCAGCACGTGAGCATTTTGCAGGTACTTCAAGGGAGTGGGTTTAAGAATAACCTGGCCGCGCCCCCCTGTAATCCCAGCACTTTGAGAGGCCGAGGCGGGCGGATCACCTGAGGTAAGGAGTTCGAGACCAGCCTGGCCAACATGCTGAAATCCCGTCTCTACTAAAAAAAAAAAAAAAAAAAAAAAAATCCAAAAATTAGCCGGGCGTGGTGGCAGGCGCCTGTAATCCCAGTTACTCGGGAGGCTGAGGCAGGAGAATCGCTTGAACCCGGGAGGCGGAGGTTGCAGTGAGCTGAGATCGTGCCACTATTGCACTCCAGCCTGGGCAACAGAGCGAGACTCCATCTGGGGGGAAATGGGGGTGGGAAGAATAACCCAAAGGTTATTTGACTTTGAGTGTGAGCCTCAGCAAGAACAGAATGCTAGCAGGAAGAAAATGACCTATACTGCCTGGATTTTACCTCGTGGGTCCAATTTCAAATATTCTCTTTCTTGTCACATTATGATTCCTGAATTGTTCAGAAAATAACGGGCACCCAGACATATAAGTGGTTCTCTTGGTGCATAGTAAATGGAGATAAGACTGTAGTTGTGTTTTTACAAAGTCATTAAATCGTCGTAAAACCTCTTTGAAGGGGCAGTACTCCATCTTATAGAATTAGGAAATGAGACACAAAAGGAGTGAATTGTCTAAGGTTACTAAAAAAATTATAAAGCCTAAAATTAACTCCAAATCCAGCACTCTTAAAGCTGTTCCATAGCTTCCTAACCTTGCTCCAATTTGCCTCCAAATCAATTGCCAGGTTTTAGAGACAAAGATAGTATACGACCTTTCAAGAAAAATGCTTTGTAGATTCTGGGATGAGAGGGCCATTACCTGAGAATTAATTAGATTGTGTGCTGTAATACAGATTGTCTGATGGTAGTAGACAAAAAGACCCTGGGCTTAAGTGGCATTGAATCTTTACAAAAATTAGGAAAGGCAAATAAACAATTGCCTCTACCAGAGATGGAAGCATTCTTCTCGCTGACAAGGTAGGATCAATTACTCCTAGTTATTGAAGTAGGATTGATAAAAAATTATTGAGATTATTAGTGTTGAAGAAGCATGACATAAACTGAACAGGTCTTGAAATGGTTTTAAACTTGTCTTTGGCCCAGAGTCACATGCTCATCATGAGGGGATGTTGACAGTATGATCTGTTCTAGAGTCAGGAACGTCTGCCAGACTTGGAAGAGCAACTAGTGCAAATAAGGAGGGGTTATTTAAACTAAATTCAGTTGAAAGATTCTATTTCCGACTTTACCCTTGTAAAAGTCCCACTGATTGTTGATTATTCCACATTACAGAAATGAGTTTAGAGTGTGTTATGGCTGATTTTGAACTACTGGCCTCAAGTGATCCTTCTGCCTCGACTTCCCAAAGTACTGGGATTACAGGCATGAGCCACCTTGCTCAGTTGGCATTTGCCATTATCAAAGCAATTTAAATTTTAAAAAGTACTGTACTGAAATCCAGGTTCACTGTCAGTCATGCAATACCTCGGCACTTGTCCAACCACCTTGAACTTTCTACTTCACATGTTCAACTGAAAAATATGCACCAGGGACTACAGATTGAATCATTGCACTGCAACCATGATCCAACACTTCCATAATTCTGTCAGCACAATTAATCTGATTGAGCTGGGGTGGAGAAGGTGGTGTATGAAAATGCTATAACCATCAGGCCAAAGACAGCTAAGTGTTTTTAAGAAGACGTTACAGATCTTCTGAACTTCAAGTGCAATAAGTTTTCAGGAGGGAGATGATGATGAATTTTGCTTTAACCTAAGGGATAATGCAAATTTTTCGTATGCAGCTCTCAAGCCAGTATATCCATGTGATAAAGCATCCTCATGATCATCCTAGGAATTAAATTAATTTTATAGAATAACCTCTCCAACAGTGGAGAATTTGGTTACTGTAATTTTCATCTGGAAATATATGTGTTTATCTTAAATTATTCTTTCTCATCTTAACTTTGTCTTTTCCTCCTTTTCAAGTTGAGTACCTGTCCTAGCAACAACCCTGTTGATTGGTACCACAGGTTATTTCTCCATCTTCTGGGTCATTTTATTTATTCATTTTGTTGTTATTGTTCTCTTCAATTCTTTTTTTTTTTTTTTTTTTGGAGACGGAGTCTTGCTCTGTCGCCCAGGCTGGAGTGCAATGGTGCGATCTTGGCTCACTGCAACCTCCACCTCATGGGGTCAAGCGATTCTCCCTGCCTCAGCCTCCTGAGTAGCTGGGATTTCAGGCGTCTGCCAGCACGCCTGGCTAATTTTTGTATTTTTAGTAGAGACAGAGTTTCGCCATGTTGGCCAGGCTGGTCTTGAACTCCTGACCTCAGGTGATCCGCCCGCCTCGGCCTGCCAAAGTGCTGGGATTGCAGGCATGAGCCACTGCACCCAGGCTGTTCTCTTTCATTCTTACTCCTTTGTATATCTTCAATAGTTTTCTTTGTTTAAGAGTTGTACTATCTGCTGGGCGCTGTTGTTCACACCTGTAATCCCAGCACTTCGGGAGGCCAAGGTGGGTGGATTGCTTGAGCCTAGGTGTTCGAGACAAGCCTGAGCAACATGGCGAAATCCCATCTCTACAAAAAATAGAAAAGTTAGCTAAGTGTGGTGGCACACACCTGTAGTCCTAGCTACTCAGGAGGCTGAATTGGGAGGATCACTTGAGGTCGAGGCTGCAGTGAACTGTTATTGTGCCACTGCACTTCAGCCTTGATGACAGAGCCAGACCATGTTCCCTCCATGCTCTAACAAAGAAAGAGTTGTACTATCATCATAACTAGGTTGCAGCTTCTCTTTTATCTTCATCTTGGCCTTAGCAGTTCCCACCTTTATACCCACTATTAATCTGGCTCTACTCTACTCAGCCAACCTGGTACCCAGGAAACATTCTTTGCTCCAGTCAGAGTGCTTTCTTCCATCTTCCTCATGGAAACTATTCTCTTGGCCTCTGGGCTTTGGTGCATGTTTTTCCTGTTAAACTGGAATGCTTTCTCACCTGTCCAAATCCTACTCATCCTTCAGGGCCCCACTTAAGTGCCAACTTCATAAAATTTCCTTCACTACAATTCACATTGATCTCTCCATTCTTGGTATTTCTAACATACCAATTGTGAAAACTTCACATTTAACTTGTCTCCACCTTCTATGTCATGTTTTCTTCTTGGGGAGAGGGTTATTTTCTCAAGATCAAGGCAGTGAATGAAGTATTTGTTTCCATAGTTTTTTGCCTTCCTTTGGCACCTATTATTTCCCTCTACATTCTGTAATGGTCTCCTATTAATGGGGCTATTTATTAGACTGGTCATCTTTCAAAATTTCCCTACCTCTGACTCAAAAAACACTGAAATTTTCTTGATATTGTCTGGCACATTGGCTTGCTTTGTAGCAATTTTATGTAAATTTTCTCCCCTGTTAGAGTATTAAGTTATGTTCATTTGTTTTGAGACAGGGTATTGGTCTGTCACACATGCTGGAGTGCAGTGGTGCAATCAGAGCTCATGGCAACCTTGAACCCCTGGGCTCAAGCAATCCTTCCACCTCAGCTTTCCCAGTTGTTAGGACTACAGGCACACACCACCATGCCAGGCTTGCTTTTTATTAATGTTTATTTTTGTAGAAATGGGTTTTCACTATGTTGCCCAGTGAAACTCCTGTTTTCAAGTGATCCTCCTGCTTCAGCCTCTCAAACTGCCAGGATTACAGGCATGAGCCACTGAACCTAGCAATTATTAAGTGTTCTTTAAAGGAGAGACAGTATTTTTGCCATCTTTGCAATCTCCACAGCTCTTTAAACAGTGTCTTCCTCATGGAAGAAATTTAATATGTATTCAACAATATTTTGTTATATTCTGCAACCACTAACACAATCCTAGTCAAAAAAATACTTGTAAAATTGTGTGTTTTAGAACATAATAGTGTATGATACCAGTGGGATCTAACACTATTGATCTATACTCTTAGCAGGGATACTTTCTGAGATGTTTTGAAGTACTAGTAATGGATATGTGCCAATCCTT
Source organism: Homo sapiens (assembly GCF_000001405.40). Taxonomy (NCBI): domain Eukaryota; kingdom Metazoa; phylum Chordata; class Mammalia; order Primates; family Hominidae; genus Homo; species Homo sapiens. The sequence continues at coordinate 119,305,157 of NC_000004.12, forward strand.
TCCCCTTTGTGGATTTTCCTTCTTTAATTTCAGTAAATACTTTTTATTACCTGCTGTGTGTCAGGCATTGTCCAAGGAGCCATAAGAGTTATGGAAGCAATACCAACCGATTCATTAAAAATACTGACTGAGGACATATAACAGAGCAATGAAGTTTTCGAACAGTATCACAGAGCCTGGGGTTCTGCATAATGATTTGGGTTTTGAAAGGCTGAACAGAACTGGCTGTGAACATACTAGTCAGATACAATTAAACCTCTTTCTGCTTATACATGTACATGTATTATACATGTACATGTCTGTACTTATACATGTAAAGACAGACTTCAACCATAAAAACTTAGTTTTGTTTATATTTTAGAGTTTCATACAAGATTTTATTTCAAAACAAAGCATCCTTCTGCTTTTAAAAGTTTAAAAACTTCGGTAGAGCAGAGTTTAGTAGGCACAAATGACAAAGATGTTGAAACCTACAACTTTGAAATTTCATTAAGCTAATCATCAGCAATCAACCTGTTATTTGTTTTATTGAAAGGTGTTAGAGAGGCAGTCATTGAGGATGGAGTCTCAAAAGTTAGTCAATACATGACATGTTTTTATCTCATAAGATTATAGGTTTCCAAGCATAGGAAACCTGTGCTTGGAATTAAAACCTATGCTTGGAATTAAACAGTTGTTAATTTAGAATAAATAAATGGATGCTAAGGTGATCATTGCTATATATAAAATATTGACCAGAATTAGACTTATAAGTGTGACAAATGTAACCGTGTTAACAGAAGTTATTCTTGGAAGATGGGATCACAGATAGTTTCATTCTTTGTGTTTTTCCATATTTTTCAAATTTTCTCAATGAAAATGCATTTTATTAACTAGAAGTTGGAAAGTTTGTTGAAAAAAAGTAAATTAGAAAATAAACAAGACAAAGTCTAGTCCAAAATTATTATTTAACTGTTTATGGCATCAGATCACAGACAGTAGACACATAAGTATCAAGGGGCTTTAATGATTTATAATAGTGCTTTTTAAACTAAATTTCATGGAATGCTATGATTCCTCGGAGTTTACTCAAGGACCAACATGGAATGGAAGAGATAGATGCAGGGAATGTGGCTTAAGGCATCTACTGGAAAAGCTCAGCTTTCTTGTTCATATCTATAAATATGCCTGTTGGAGAACAGATTTATTGTTGTTGTTGTTGTTGTTGTTTTTCTGTTCTAGTGAAAGCTAGTGTCAAAAAGTCACCTTGGGTGACCCATGTTCAAAATGGTGGAATAGCAACTCCAAGTTCCTGTCCCTCCACAGCAGCATTGAAAAACAAGCAAAAGCTGTCTGAAATAACTTTTTCAGAATGCTGGAAAACAGTCAAAAGTTTACAGCAACCAAGAAGATACTGAATCAAAATATATGAAGCAGACATTGACAGAATTGAAGGGGGAAATAGACAGTTTTACAAAAGTCTTTGGAAACTTTAATACTTTACTTTTAATAATGGGTAGAACATTTAGACAGAAGAGCAATAAGAAAATAGGGGACTTGAACAACAGTATAAACCAGCTATACCTGACAGACACATACAGAACTCCACCCAACAGCAGCAAAATATCAAGTCTTATCAAGTATACATGAAACATTCTCCAGGATATATTATATACTAAGGCATAAAACAAGTTTCAGTGAAGTTTTAAAAATTGAAGTCAGAAAGATCTCTGACAACAATGAAGTGAAGTTAGAAGTTAATAACAGAAGGAAAACTGGAAAATTCACAAACATGTGGAAATTTAACACACTCTTAAACCACCAGTGGTTCAAAAAGGATATCATAAGGGAAATTAGAAAATACTTAGAGACAAACAAAAATGAAAATGCAACATAGGAAAACTTGTAGATTGCAGTGAAGACAATCTATAGCTATAAATGCCTACGTTAACAAAGAAAGATCTCAAATCAACCTAACTTTATAACATGAGGAAATAGAAAAAGGAGAGCAAAATAACAAAGCTATCAGAAGACAGGAAATAATAAAGATTAGAGCAGAGATAAATGAAATATTGAATACAAAACCCATAGAAGGAATCAATGAAACCAAAATTGGTTCTTTGAAAAGATGAACCAAATTGGCAAACCTTTAGCTACAGGAAGAAAAAGGTGAGAAGACACAAATAACTAAAATCATAAAGGAAAGTGTACATATTACCACCAAACTTACAGAAATAAAAAGGATTATAATACTGTGAACAATTGTATGTCAACAAATTAGATAACTTAGATGAATAGAAAAGCTGAACAGACCTATAACAAGTAAAGAGATTCAATCAGTAATCAAAACATTCCAACAAAGAAAAGTCCAGGAGTAGATCACTTCTCTGGTGAATAATATCCAACATTTAAAGAATTAACACTGTTCCTTTTCAAACTCTCAATAAATAGACCTGAGAGAACACTCTCTAACTCATTCTATTAAGCTAGTACTCTGATACCAAGGCAGATAATGACATCACAAGAAAAGCAAATTACAGATATTGCACACCCATGTTTATAGCAGCACTTTTCACAATAGCCAAGAGGTGGAAGCAACCCAAATATCTATCAACAGGTGAATGGATAAAAAAAATGTGTTATCTACATACAATGGAATATCATTCAGCCTTAAGAGGAAGGAAATCCTGTCAAATGCTACAATGTGGATGAACCTTGAGGTCATTATCCTAAATGAAATAAGCCAGTGACAGACAAATACTGTATGATTCCACTTACATGAGGTATATTAAGGAGTCAAATTCCTAGAAACAGAAAGTAGAGTGGTGTTTACCAGGGGCTGGGGACAGAGGGAAAAGGCCAATTGTTTAATGGGCATAGAGTTATAGTTTTGCAAGGTGAAAACGTTTTGGAGATCTGTTTCACAACTATTTGAATATGTTTCACACTACTAAACTGTACTTTTGAAAATGGTTAATATGGTAAGTTTTATGTTATATGCTTTTACCACTATAAAAAAATTGCAGACCAGTATCCCTTACGAATATAGATACAAAAGTTCTCAAAAAGGGCCGGGCACCGTGACTCATGCCTGTAATCCCAGCACTTTGGGAGGCCGAGGTGGGTGGATCATGAGGTCAGGAGTTCAAGACCATCCTGGCCCAGATGGTGAAACCCCGTCTCTACTAAAACTACAAAAATTAGCCAGGTGCAGTGGCAGGCATCTGTAATCCCAGCTACTTGGGAGGCTGAGGCAAGATAATTGCCTGAGCCGGGGTAGCAGAGTTTGCAGTGAATTGAGATCATGCAACTGCACTCCAGCCTGGGTGACAAAGTGACACTCCATCTCAAAAAAAAAGAATCCGTCTCAAAAAAAAAAATTCTCAAAAACTACTAGTAAACCCAAACCAACAGCATATTAAAAGGATTATATACCATTACCACATGAGGTTTATCCCAGGAATGCAAGGGTAGCTCAACATAAGAAAGTCAATTAGTATAATATGCCACATTAGTAAAACAAGGGAAAAAGACAAACATTTCATTTCAATTGAGCAGAATAGGCATTTTATTCCCTAATAAAAACCAGCAGAAAACTGGGAATAGAAGGGAACTTCCTCAACTTGATAAAGGGTATAATGAAAAACCCACAGCTAACATCAAGCAACAACAACAAAATAGATAAATTGGATTTCATCAAAATTAAAAACTTTTGGGCATCAAAGAACATTGTAAAGAAAGTAAAAAGACAATTTACAGAATGGAAGAAAATATTTGTAAATCATATATCTGATAAAGATTTAACATACAGAATATATAAAGAACTTCTACAACCCCACAACAAAAAGAACCCAGTTAAAAAAAGTACTGATCAAAGGACTTGAACAGACATTTCTCAAAAGAAGATATACAAATAGCCAACATGCAGTTGAAAATATGCTCTACACCATTAGTTATTAGGGAAATGCAAATCAAAATCACAATGAGATACCATTTCACATCTACTAGGATGGCAATAATAATATAATAATAATACAGAAAATAACAAGTGTTGGCAAGGATATGGAAAAACTTAAATCCTTTAACATTGCTAGTGGGAATGTAAAATAATGGAGCCATTATGGAAGGTAGTTTAGAGATTCCTCAAAAAGTTAAAGAAGAACCATATGACCTAGCAATCCTGCTTCTAGGTATATATCCCAAATAATTTAAAGACTCAGATACTTGTACACCAAGTATACACCAAGTGTGCTGTTTCATCGTAGCGCTATTAACCATAGCCAAAAAGTAGAAACAACTCAATTGTCCATAAATGGATAAACAAAATGTAGTTATACATATCTTTAATTATTACTCAGCTATGAAAAGGAATGAAGTTCTGATATGTGCTACAACATGATGATTCTTGAAATAATGCTAAGTGTTTTAAAATAATGTTTGAAAAAACACTAAATGAAATAAGCCAGACACAAGTAAAAAGACAATCTATAGAATGGGAGAAAATATTTGATTTTTCAGGGGCTTGGGAGATGGGGGAATTAGGTGTTACTGCTTAATGGAAAGTTTCTGATTGTGGTTATGAAAAAGTTTTGGAAATAGATGGTAGTGATGATTACACAATATTGTGAATATAATTAATAGTCACTGAATTGTATATATAACATAGTTAAAATGGCAAATTGTATATTATATGTATCTTAACCACCTTAAAAGAACCCCCCTCAAAAAGAATATTAATACTTGACAGTCTTCACCTTCCCCACAACAAAAAGTCACATTGGTCTTCATTAGGGGACTAAATCTGTAGAATAAATTACAGATAATTCCTGTAGTTTATTAAGTTGGACTCTCTGGAAGCAGTCAGGGTAGCAGTTCTTAAGTAAATAATTCTCTTTATGTATTTTTATGTATAGAGAGAGGGAGAGACAGAGTCTCACTGTTGCCCAGGCTGGTCTCAAACTCTTGGCCTCATGTGATCCTTTCACCTGGCCTCCCAAAGCACTGGGATTTCAGGTGTGAGCCACCACACCTGGCCCTTGCCTTTATGTCTTAAGTGGGGCTCTTTAAGGTCTTAAAAGGTGAATTTTTCAAGTGCTGAGAAAATTAAAGTAGAAAAGCTTAGAAGACACTGGGTCTGTGAGGTAGAGGACACCTAAGCCCTTTTGGCCCCCATGTTCCAGCTGATAGCCAAAAGGTAGCGATAGATGTGAAAGGAGGAGGTTCTGCTGCCAGCTAAACCCCAATATTCCAGGACCTATGGTAAGACTTTGAGGACACCATCTAGTCCAGTACTTTGTTCTCAGATCTGATTGAACAAGTCCAGGTGCTTCAGATAATCGCTTCTTGTGACAACTTCAGGTTGTGCCATTCTTTACTCCCTGAAAGGAATATTAAAGTGGAAAACCTCAAGTAGTATTGCATTAAGAATGAGCTAGTGTACCCTCTTCTAGGTGCAGAAAGTAGAGTTGACAGTGTAGGCATTGTTAGGCTTCCATGAGGATTTCTTTTGAAAAGATGTTCCCTGCTTAAAAAATAAATGACAAATTTAGAGTATTCTCAGAGTTCAAAAGAAAAAGTTTATTTTCCCCCTATTTTCTATGTTGGCAAATGGGCCACATAAAGGTGCAGTTCTGTTCATTTAAGCTTTTGGAGTATTGCAACAGGTACCTCAAAGTTGGGGAAATGTTACTTGATTTTGAAAAGCATGAGGCATAGGAGGTAAAAGATGACACCAAAAAGCTAACCTAAATCAACTTAAGAGGGATACAGGCTCATGGTTTGTTAGTGGTCAGAGTTATAGAATGTAGGCATAGTGCAGCTGTGGTGTTTCTCTCTGTTTCTTCATCATTCCCAGGCACACTAAATTTCATAAACAACTTTATTTTCATAGAGTGACTCTTGCCTGGGGATTAAGGGTACTCCCTAGGAACCTAAGGGAATGAGTAAAATGACCCCCACAGGAAGACAGGGCTACTCTCCCTGGTGTGAGAATGACTTCATCAATTTGTAACCCAGGCCGACTAAATATATCAATCATGTGTTGTTTTTATAACAGCTAGAAACTGGGAAGAATAGAGTTCATAAGGTTTTCAGTATTGTTACCTCACAAAATAATCCTTCAGAAATTCCAATTCAAAACATAGAAGGAGTCTATTGTTTGTTTCATAATGCTTATTTTGTTACATTACTCTGTTCTTCCTTAGCTAGCAACTTTGAGCCCCCATAGGCTATGCTAATTAGGCTCTTTATTTATTTTTTTGAGACACAGTCTCTTCCAGCCTGGAGTGCAGTGGCGTGATCATGGCTCACTGCAGCCTTGACCTCCTGGGCTCAAGGGATCCTCCTGCCTCAACCTCCTGAGTAGCTGGGATTGCAGGTGTGAGCTACTGTATCCAGCCCTAGGCTCACTATATTACAGAGCCCAGAAACACTCAGTGTAATTCCAAGGCTCTTTAAGACTGTCACTGGCTCAAGGATCCAAATCCAGGCCTCTGACTAAAACATACTTAGAATGGCTCATTCTCTCACTCCCTTCAAGTGTTGCTCAAATGTTACCTATTCAGTGCTATCTTACTCCCTATTTAAAACTGCACCCATGATCTCACCTCTGACACTCCACATCCCTCTTTCTGGTTTTATTTTTCTCAATAGCGCTTATATCATCTAATGTACTATATATTTTACTTCATTCTCTTGTTTATTATCTGTATCCCTTCCATGATGACAGGGATTTTTGTCTGTCTTGTTCTTTGTTGTAGCTGTAACACCTAGATCAGCACCTGGCACATAGTGCCTGCATATAAGACATGCTTAATATATATTTTGATGGACGATATTTCGAATGAAAATTTACCTACATAACCACATCAAGTAAAATTGAATTTGGACTCTAGGACAACTGCTTGGGTCCAAATCCTGGTTCAGCGACTTATGGCTGTTGACCTTGGGCAAGTTATATAACCTCTCTCTGCCTCAGTTTTCTCATGTGTAAAATGAGACTAATAATAATTGTTCTTATTATATAGACTTTGTTGTGATGATGAACATGAATTGGTATTATAAAGCACTTTGAAAAATACCTGGCACATTGGAAACACCATGTATTAATAAATGTTAACTTGTAGTGGTAGAAGGAGTTGCATTTAACTGTATCTGAGTTAGTGCTATGTTTTATAAATAAAGCATTTATTTAGATTTTATGATATCCCCCTTGTGTGTAGGAGCCAATTTGTATGAAAATAAGGATGACAGGAGTCTGATGTGTGAGTTAGGCCCTTTAATAATTCAAGAAAGTCTGTACAATTAAGCATCTTATGAAAAATAGTTCAATGGAAAGTATAATTCAAGATTGCATATATTTCTATGAAAGCCTACCGTTACTCCTTTATAATACTTATCGCAATAATTTTTACTTATTCAATATGTCTTCTATGTCTAGATTCTAAGCTAAGCAGATTCAAAGTTCCATGGGAACAAAATAGATTTGTCTTGTTCACCACTAAAACTCATGTCATATTTAGCACATGGTAGGTGCTTGGTTCATATTTGGTTAAAGGAATATGTATTCTTGGCTACTCAGAATACGAGGAGCCTATACTGAACAAGTTATCTTTTTATCCACCAGAAGCAAGAATTCATTACTTCCACATCTAAAAATGTTATCTCACCCCTCTTTTCTTCTATCCGGTTTTTGTTTACTAGAACTCATCATGACTGCTTTTACCTCATGGCATCTGTTGTTTGCTTTTCCATCTGTATCTTAACTTTTGCCCATCATTACTAGCTAATGACTTTCTCTGTGTATTGAAGTCAAATTCTCAACAGAGACCCTACCTGGTTTTAATTAATGAGAATTATTGGTCTTGGACAGAGTTCTCCTATCATTGGCTGCTCTCAAGTATAGAAATTGACTGCCCTTGGGTCAGGTGGCCATTTTTGACCTAATCAGATATGGCTAGGGTGATCTGGTTCAGAATAAGTTTATCTGTTTGTAAAGAACAACAAGGACTTATTCCCTCAGTAGATCTTCTGGGTTTAAGAAAGAATGGGGAAAGCTGGCTTTCTGAGGCTGGGGCTGCCCAGCATGCCCCAAATTACAATCATTAATATTTGCTATGTGTTAGAGGGATACAGTGTGGGGTATAGATATAAGACCCTATCCTTGCCCTCATATAGCTCACAAACTAGAGGAGGCAGGCAAGCAGATTGAATATAGAGTAATGGTATTGCTGGAGTTGAACACTTTGTGCCATGGGAACATGCAGGACAAACACTCAGTCTGGACTGGGATTGTGAAATAACCTCCATCTTTACTGAGGTTTCTCTGTTCCAAGTATATGTTAAAGAGAGGAAGTTCTGTGTCACAATGATGCCCTTCAGTATCCTTTTTTTAAAAAAAATCTTGTTTAAAAGTTTCTAAATTAAAACCCAGTGAAGGCATTGAGCATATACTCCTTTACCTAAAAGACATTTTGTTTTCAAGTTTAGGAAGAGTACTGTTCTTTGACTTTCAGGTGTTTTCTCCAGTGAATATAGTGAGTGTGCCAGAATCATTTGATAAGAACAGTTACACTACCTGTAATCTGAGAGATGTGGCTTTGAAACTGGGCTGACATTTAGGGAGCACTTCCTTGCCTGTCCTCCTTCAGAGTTCTACTACTCCTTCATTTCACAGCAGTCCTAACTACTAATTGTTTAAGCTCCCTCTTTCATTCCTGGAAATCTTGATTACATGGCAGGGAGGACTTCTCGCAATCCATCATTCTAATGGAATCTTCAATGAGGATATATATGGATGAGAGAAGCCCTCTGGAACACTATGCTTTATCCATGACTATTGATTTCCACCATTTGCTTCAAACTTTCATCTTCTGCCACTGTCTTGCATACTCTTCTTTTCCAGTCAATTCTCCAGTAAAATCTGTTCCAGACAATAGCTTGAAGGTTGGTCATCGGGCCTGAAGGCAATATACACCACCCTGCATATTAGCACCCACTGAGTGAGAGTATAACCCTACTCTAGATGACCATCCAATGCTGAAGATGATGATGCTATTCTTGGTATTTCGATTCAGACCCAAGATGAGCCTGAGAGTTTGTATCCATTTGAGGAAATTCTTAATCACCTAAATATCTCTACCAATAGTGTTCATCATTAAATACTTGCTGTCTGGCACATAGTGCTTTTTTAAAATTATTTTTTGTTCAATAAATGAAAGCAGTTTTAGTGGATCGGTTCAAGAGGAGTCTTTGTATTAGCTTTGTTTAGTGTGGAGTTTGGAACTGAAGAAGCATTTAATAATTAACATTTTAAAGTGTAGACTACGGTATATCAGACCTTTCTGGAACACTCCCTAGACACTGAAATGCGGCAAAGACACTGCATTGGAAACCTCCGAAAGAGTCTGTATCCTTGGCCAGCAGATGGCATTCTTATACTATAGTTTAGAGAAAGCAAGTAGCAAAAGGTAAAGAAGCACTTCTTAATGATGAAGTGACCATCTACCTCCTTTTTCCCTTCCCCATCACCACATAACCTTATCTCACTTCCATTTTATCCCAGGCAACTATCTTTTCCATCCATCCATTCACCCTTCTTTAGGTGCCTAGAGATGTCTTGCTACCATTCTCTCTAGTTGCTCATAGGAAAATATCTTTTGTACTTATTAATAGTCAATCCATAGAAATAGGACAAGCCACATAATTTTCAGGGCCCTGTGTAAAATGAAAATGCAGAAGTTGTTCAAAAAGTATTGAGAATTTTAGGACAGTAAGAAAAGAGCATTAAACCAAGCACAGGGCCCTCTGAGCCCACACAAGCCATACACCCATGAAACCAGCCATACTTTATAATGTAAATATTTCCCTCTTCCCATCCTACCTTCCATTGTTCTAATGTCCTGTCCCCTGTGACCCACACCAAAAAGGCTGCTTAAGAAAGGAAGGAATCACTAAATGTCATTCAGACATCATAGAATCTTAGCACTGAAAGAAAATTTGGAGATCTAGTTCAATCCTCTCATTTTAAAGATGATTAAACTACATTCCAAAGAGATGAAGAGACTCTCCCAAAGTCCCCAGCTAGTTATGTCACAGACTGGACTGGAACTAAGTATTCTCATCTACCAGGCCAAGGCTCACTCTCTCACGCAGACTCCATGAGAGGTATTTTAAGAAAAGAGTTTTCCCATCTACTCAGGATATACTTTGCCCCATTTTCTCTAGAGGAGAAGGGTACATGTTTATGTTACATTTGAGTACCAGGTATATGCCAGGCATTACACTCGATGTTTTATACATAATACCTCAATTGCAACAAGCTCAGAAAATCATTACATTTTCCCCATTTTTCAAATGAGAAAAATAGAGAATCAGAACTTGAATTTTAGTCAGTAAATGGGCAGACAAGAATTTGGGCAAGTCTGTGATTCTAAAACCCATTCTTTTTCACCACATCATTCCTAAATTTTAGGAAAGCTGAGTCAGCCTGTGTTTCCTGAACATTGGTCTTGTTTTTGGTCAGCTCTGGGTGATTTGGGGACTCTTTCCAGGCTATGTTCTTCAAATTTACCAGGTTTGCTACTGCCTTGGTGTCTTTGCTCCAGGGTGTTTCCTCTGCTTGAAACACTCTTCCCCCAGATATTTCATGAAAAACAGGACCACGTGTTGGAGAGGTAACAGGGCATCTGATCATATAGGGTCTTACAGGTCATTGTAAGAACATTGGCTTTTTCCTCTGAGTGAAAATGGAAGCCATTGCAGCAGTTTGAGCAGATAAGCGATGTGATCAGATTTAGATTTTTAAAGGATCCTTCTGGCTGCTGTGTAGAAAAAGAGACTAAAGGGGTGGAGTAGGGAAGGTAGAAGTTCTTGGGCTTTTTAGAGAGTTGTAACAGTAATCCAGGAAAAAGATAATGGTGGCTCATACTAAGGTGATAGCAGTGGAAGTGATGGGAAGTGGTTGGATTCTGGAGTTATATGTGTATGTAAGTACTATATTTTTAACTTCTTGTTATGGAAAATCTCAAATACATACAGAAGTACAGAGATGAATATAATGAATTCCTGTGTTCCTATTCAGTGAACCTATCATATGTTATTATGTGTCAGGCACTTTGCAACAGCTGCAAGAATTGCCAACTTGTATCAATCTTCCTCCCCAACCCTAGATTGGGGAGAAAGCAATTTGAAGCAAATCCCAGATACCATATTGCATGTGTAAATATTTCAGCTTCTACTACTCCAACTGCTTCTGACTGCCCCGACATTCTGCTATCTACCCTATGGTTACTGCTTGTTCATAGTTTCAGGTACTCATGACTTCTACTTATTGTCTGCTCTATTTGTCCTCTTTAAGCCTTTTTCCTTGCTATCAACTACTAACTGTGTACTTCTCAAATTCAAACTCCCTAGAAAGAGGTTCTTGCAGGTTCAGTTAGTTGTCATTTTTCCTTCTACACAGAGCTCATGATCTGGCCAAATTGTGGTAGATTGGCTGCTCTTGGGTCAGGGACCCTCTTTTGGCCAAGCAGGGTGGTGTAATGACAAGGTTGGTTTTCCCGAAAAACGGTTGTTGAAATGGAAGTCACTTAACAAATAATAGGCTGTTCTCCAATACTAATAAATAGTGGAAATTTAATTCTAGAAAGGATATAAATGGTGAAAAAAGTCAGCCTGCAATGAGACTAGAAATAGATAAGTGTCTAATCACTCAACACCATTATTTTACAGTCTGACCTGACTCATTTAGAGTGCTATTCTTGGGTGCCACTGAGGAATTAAGGACATTTTTTTTCTTAATATATTTTTGTTTATAACAGGCTGAGTAATAGCATAGATCATAATGATCTAGGCTGAAAGTCAAGACCTACATTTAATTCTTCTGTTCATCATGGACTTTGTACAATATTAGACAAGCTAATAAACTTCTTTGTGCCTTTGTCTCTCTCAGTTTTTGTATTGAGATTAATACCTGCCTTTTCCTGATTCATATATGGTAGACACATAAGATTAGAGGGATAAAAATACATTGAGCTTTTATGAAGAGAAGCATGTGAAAATCTAAATAATTACTATTTCCTATGTGAAGATTTTTATGAAATTATAAAATGAACATAGATTTAAGGTATTTTTATATAAATTTAAGGAGTACAAGTATAGTTTTGTTACATTGATATATTGCATAGTGGTAAAGTCTGGGCTGTAACCATCACCCCCTGAATAATGTACATTGTACCCATTAAGTAAATTATCATCGCCCCCTGCCAACCCTCCAACTCTTCCAAGTCTCCAGTGTCTATTATTCTACACTCTGGTGTGTCCATGTGTATACATTATTTAGCTCCCACTTATAAGTGAGAACACGCAGTATTCAGCTTTCAAAGATTACATACTCTCTATTCATTTTCATCAGGTACTCAAACATTTTTCTTCCTACATTTTAATATATATGTCATATGTATATACCACTTAGAACAGTGTGTGGCAAGTAGTAAGAACTATGTAAATGTTAAGCTGTTATCTACATCAGTGTGAAAAAGAATTTGTCAAAAGTCTATAGAGTTGCAGCTGCAAATGCTTAAAAATTGTACCCCCTCTCCATCCCCTAATATGTACCCTGCTAAAATACAATTATGTGAAGCACATAAAATTTTACGTCATGTGAAAATATGAATAAAAGGAAACTTTTTGAGCCCTGGAAAATTGGCAATGTATGTGTTTATGTGAAAAAACCCACAACAACAAAAAAGAAGGGGGTGGTTAAAAATAACATTGATAACTGATATCTCCATTGTTCTCAAAGACAAGTTAGTGGACAGGCTGCATCAGAATCACCAGGAAATTTTCTAGAATTCTTGGTTCTATTAGCGATTCTGATATAATAGAATAACAGTGGAGATTAAGAATGCAGAAATTGTTTAAGTTTCTCAGATGATCCTGATTTTCAGCCAAGCGTGGGAATGACTGATGTGTACAAAAATGTAATACAATAATTTAATTTAATGTAGTACATCATTTATTTCCTATCATCCTATTCAAAGTGGTATGTATTGGGAAATATCTGCCCCCAGGGAAGAGAGCTGAGAGGATATCTATCAAAATCAGAATGGCAATTATCTCTGGATTATGAGTTATGGAAATACTTATTTTACATTTGTGTTTCTTATTTCTAAGTTTTCTGGTTGAGCATATATTATTTTTATAATAATAGATATTACTTACAACCAGTGCCAGAAAATTATTCACAACCAGTTCAAGATGTTAAAGACTCATATGCAGCCTATGCTTTTAGTTTATCAAATGTAAAGAAAAAAAACAACTTGAGAGGCTGAGGCAGGAGGATTGCTTGAGGCCAGGGGTTCAAGACCAGCCTGGGCAATATAGCAAGACCCCATCTCTAAAAAAAATAAAAAGAAAACAAAACAAAAATTAGCTGGGCACTGTGGAATGTACCCATAGTCCTAGCTACTCAGAAGCCTGAGGCAGGAAGATTGCATGAGTCCAGGAGTTTGAGGTTACAGTGAGCTATGATCTCTCCACTACATTCCAGCCTGAGTGAAAGAGTAAGACCCTCTCTCTACGAAAACAGTCTGTCAATTCATATTCACATACTTTTTCTTTTAAAAGGCAAGGCTACATATAAAGCAACATGGACGCAATATTTATTTTTGTTTTTTAAAATGTCACAAATTCTTTTAGTAAATATATATCTTAGAGAATATAAAACAAATTAAATCCTAATTAGCTTTTACTTCTTTTGCTTTGGCATGAATGGAAATATACCAATGTTTATAAAAGGACCAATCAATCAGTAACCTTATACTTGATGGGGTGAAATAAATAGTTCTGGTACAATATAGATCTTCTGTCCAATTTGTATTTTGGACTGTGCGCCAAGAATAATGCTCAATCCTTTTTAAAGATCCTTTTGGCTTCTACTCCTTCATATACATAAGTCTGAAAGGTGTTAACAAACAGAAGAATTTATCTTTAAGGTTTACATCTAAGTTAAGAAAAAGTAGTATTATAGTTTTATACTATATGAGTTTATACTATTTTTATATTATATATTCATATATATTATATGAGTATGAGTTTATACAATTTTTTCTTGTACTTGATAGCAAGATTTATACAGATATGGGATACAGCCATTTTAAAACACATGTTGGTTTGTAGTCATTTATATTTTCAGTTAAAATAGGCATTGATTATTTGACATATATAAGTTGTCTTTAGTAAATAGGCATCAGAAAATAGCTATACAATATTTTTAAAATCAGTAAGATTTATGAGAAAAGAAGTAGTCAGTTTACTGAAGATCTGGCTCAGCAGTGACAAAAATTATTGTTTTGTAGTAATTTTTGCCTTTTGAAAATAGCTATAAATTTGACAACTCACCTGGACTAGTTCATCACCTATAATTTCTCGGACAGTATTCAGTTCGTTTCCATTGTCTGTCCGTTTGAATTTTCCAATAAGTTTATTTCCCTCAAGGCTCCAGGTCCCCTACATAATAATAATAATAATAATAATAATAATAATGGCATTTATTAGGGTCTTACACATGTCAGGCACTGTTCTGAGTTCTGTAGACACACTTTTTCATTTAATCTTCATGGTGACCCTATGAAACTGATACTATTATCTCTACTTTGCAGAAGAGGAGACTGTAAAATGGCACAGTGATTCACCTAAAGTCACAGAGTGAGGATTGAACCTAGGCCATTGGGCTACAGAGTATGTGTTGATAACCATTATGCTTGTTCTCTTCAATAATTTCCATACGCTGAATTTTAAGGCAGATGAGCAGCACTTCTTTCTGAATCTTTCATGTTACGTGTCCAGAAATATAGTCATGGTTAAAATTAGTTTCATGGAGATGTTAACAACTCTGTGCTTGTTTTAATTTGTGTGATTGTGGTACTAATTAAAGAAAGACATAACTTATGATAAAACATTCAGTAGTTAAATTGTCATTACAAACATGTAATTTAAATAGAAAAATGTTGAGGCTAAAAAAAGTTTTTAAAAAATTTGTTGAAAATGATGACTTCCTAAAATGTGTTATCTTAAACATGAAAAGGTACACTCCCAATGACCTACAATACATCAAATCTTTCCATTTGGTAACTCACTCATTTGTTCATCTATTCATTTCTTTTATTATTTCAACATGTTAAATTGCTATTACAGTTAAGTTACATATTAACTCTAAAGGCTTCTTTTGCTGTACTGTTTAAAAACACAGTTTTAAATTTCTTTATGAATAGGTCTATATTCAGTCATTCAAAAGATAGTTTTCTAATTCTTACTGTTCAATTCAGATTCTTCACAGATGCGTATAAAAATAAAAACATATTTAAATATCCTGCCAATTTGTGCAATATATAATGTAGACAAACTTCATTGGCTTCTTCAGTTAGTGAAGGAGACCTGCATTAATTAAACCATCCAATGAAATAGAGCAGAAATCATTTTAATATTGGGTAGAAAAATCAAGAATGCATTGCTCATAAAAAAAAAAATTCTTACCCTGAGTTCAGTTCCGTCTGCTAGATTGTAATTAAAGGTGACACCAAGTTCAAAAACAACTTCAATGTTTCGAAAAGTGCTTGATTCTTTGACTGTGAATTTATTTCCTTCTTGTGTAATTGTCAGCTTCAAATTGTCATGAGCTGCAAGCTTCCTTTTCACTATATTAACACCTGTAAAAGGTAAGACAATGGAGAAAATAAAGTCAAATCCCATAGGAAGTGTTTATTTTTCCAAGTTATGTTTTGTTTGTTTATTTTGAGGGTGGGAAGAAAACTCGGTAGCATTGCCTTTGCACAAGAACATTCAGATTGCTTCTACAGAAGTTCAGGTTCAATCAGATCAAGAGAACTGATTAAAGTTGTTTTTCCATAACTTGAGAAAAATTAAGTAGAGTACAGAATTATAGAATCTTAGAGCTGAGCAACCTTAATAAGATTAACAAACTGTTCATTTCAGTGTTAAGTAAATCAAATTCTAGAAATATCAAATGAAGGATTAAAATGTATATTCATATATTTATAAGGAAGCACATCTTTAATTCCACATATACAGTATTCTTTTTTCTTAAATGCCCCTTTGTTTTTCTTAGTGGCTTTAACATTTTGAACTTTATAGTTCTATTTGCTTCTTGTGGCATTTCTTTCTGACACAAAAATGAGAAAATTAGCAAATATTAAGCCAAAATCACTATAAGAATCTACAACTTTTATAAATTTAAACTTAGAGTTCCTAAACTGTAAGCTATAATTGATGCAGATTTTTCTTTTAGGGGAATGACACAAATTTGTTTGCCTATCTTGTATAGTATATGGGCTGCCAGAGTATTGGTATCAAATTATAAATCAGTTAAATTAAACGCCCTGGAGAAAACTACACAGCTTCTCAAGATTATTCCAAAACTTTTTTAAGTTAGAAGAAATCAGAATTAAATCTAACTTATTCAGCGCTATAAATTTTAAGAGAACCTTTTCCATTACTTTCTTATATGGTCTTTGTTTTTCCATCTCCTAGAATTTAACATTTTCAGATCTGGAAGTTATCATTACACGCTGCCATTTTCTTACTGTAAACAACAAAAAAAGTCATTTTTCAGTTAAAGAGGGAAGGAAACATTTCTGGATCTTTTTGGTGTGTTTCAGAGAACAGCACTCAAAGAATCTTTTCTTCCATTAGTGAGATAGTGGATTCTTCCTAATGTAAGAAGGGAGAATATGGTTTCCCTCCTCTGAACATCTTCTGGATCCTCTCTACCACATCAGGAGCTATCTGTAAGCTATCTGTAATCTCCTAGAGATTTAGGAGTTAGAAAGAAAAATGTTTGTAAGAAAGCAAAGAATGAGCCACAAAGAAATAAAGTCTTTACCCATTTTTTCCATGAACTTGTCATAGTTTTCACTCCGGTCTACCTTCCAAGTGCTGTCAAACGCCATGATTTCAGTTGAGTCAGCCTCTAGGCAGCTAGAGATTCAGGTCTGTCCTTGGGCGAGAATTTATTATATTTCTTATCTTAGAACCAACTTCATACTGTGATGTGGAAGCTTAAAGTTCAGGAAATCACCTAACTATGTCAAGCAATTAATTAATTCTTATTAATTAATTCTTAATTCTCGTTCTGTACATTCCTGAGATCTTCTGAAATTCAACTGAATTAAAACATGAGAAGCATACCTATTCTGTCTTAAATTACAGTTTGTGGGCATACTTATTTCAAGAATTAGAATGCATGCCGTCTGAAGATTGTTTTTCTAAGTTCAAAGTGCAGACTATGTTGGAGGTAATATAATTTATAGCATATATCAAATAACATCTGGGAAATGAGACCATGACCTTTCCCTTTTTCACAACAGCAATTATCTTGTAAAGTAAGACTTTATGATGAAATACAGTTGAAAAGTTAAAGTTAATAAGATTCGTTTTCTAATATGTCTTTTTGCATTGTGTTTAGCATTGCCAGGAGTTTGGATAAATATCCTGGCACTTTGTAGGGTGCATGACACACAATAAGTGCTCATTGATTTTTGTCTTGATCCTGAATGGTGATAGGCCACTGAGCAAAAATTCAAGAGGTACAAATGAGGCTGGATGGTGTAAAAACTTGCATAAAAGAAAGAATGAGCTTTAAACATCTGCCATGTGCAGAGAGAACAAAATCCAGTTTTAGCTGTGCCATTAATTAAAACCACTCCTTCATTTTACTCTCAATGCCTCTCATCCCCAAACCCAGTAGAGTCAGAAGCCACAGCTCAATTATGTATGTAGGGTCAGGGTATAGAGGGTAGCTAGAAAGGTACAAAGAAAAGGTCACCATATCTCTCCTTTCCCTACTTCAGGCTGCCAGCCAGGAACAGGCCAAGCTTGGGGAGGAAACTTGGTGTGAAGTAAAGAGTTTTAATTACTAGTCTTAAGATGTTTATTACTAAAATGAGTCTATTATTGTGACTGAATGTGACCAGATAACATCTTATTAACTAAGGGTCAGGAAAGAAGCTCTAGGGCTTGCCCAAGATATTACTTAGGGTCAAGGGAAGATAAATCTAACAGATTTGAACAGAACTTTGGGGAACAGAATCCCAGTTTTTAAATTTTGATATTATTTTATATTTTGATTTTTAAAAATCTTTTAAACATGTTAGATATTGTTTGATTTTTTATTTCGAGTTGCCCACTTTTTATTTTATTAAGTAAGCACTTTAAAAAGCAAACTATTTTCTACTAGCTCTATTATTTCATTAAAAAAGAAAAAGAGGCCGGGCGCGGTGGCTCGCGCCTGTAATCCCAGCACTTTGGGAGGCCGAGGCGGGCGGATCACGAGGTCAGGAGATCGAGACCATCCTGGCTAACACGGTGAAACCCCGTCTCTACTAAAAATGCAAAAAAAATTAGCCGGGCGTGGTGGTGGGCGCCTGTAGTCCCAGCTGCTCGGGAGGCTGAGGCAGGAGAATGGCGTGAACCCGGGAGGCGGAGCTTGCAGTGAGCCGAGATCGTGCCACTGCACTCCAGCCTGGGCGACAGAGCGAGACTCCGTCTCAAAAAACAAAAAAACAAAAAAACAAAAAAACAAAAAACAAAAAAAAACAAAAAAGAAAAAGAGTTGCCTGGTGCAGTGGTTCTTGCCTGTAATCCCAGCTATTAGAGAGGCTGAGGCAGGAGAATCACTTCAGGCCAGGAGTTCGAAACCAGCAGTTTGAGGCCAGCCTAAGCAACATAGGGAGAGCCTGGCTGTAACAATTATAATAAAATAAATTAGCCAGGTGTAATGGCACATGCCTGTAGTCCCAGCTACTTGGGAGGCTAAGGCGGGAAGATCTCTTGATCCCAGGAGTTGGAGATTGCAATGAGTTGTGATCATGCCAGTACACTCCAGCCTGGGCAACAGAGAGATCCCATCTCTAAAAAATAAATAATTTTTTAAATGTCAAAAAAGGAAAGAAAACACATATACACACTCATGAGTTGGGGACAAAGGTCATAATGGGAAGTCCTTTACATTCATAATTTAGCTTTACTTTCAAAATTAGGTACATTGTGATTTTTTAATCTTTTTTCAAAGAATTAAAACTGTATCACTTGGGAGCTATCAACCTAATACACTTTCTTTCTTTTTTTATTACACTTTAAGTTTTAGGGCACATGTGCACAACGTGCAGGTTTGTTACATATGTACACATGTGCCATGTTGGTGTGCTGCACCCATTAACTCGTCATTTAACATTAGGTATACCTCCTAATGCTATCCCTACCCCCTCCCCCCACCCCATAACAGGCCCCGGTGTGTGATGTTCCCCTTCCTGTGTCTAAGTGTTCTCATTGTTCAATTCCCACCTATAAGTGAGAACATGCGGTCTTTGGTTTTTTGTCCTTGCGATAGTTTGCTGAGAATGATGGCTTCCAGCTTCATCCATGTCCCTACAAAGGACATGGACTCATCATTTTTTATGGCTGCATAGTATTCCATGGTGTATATGTGCCACATTTTCTTAATCCAGTCTATCATTGTTGGACATTTGGGTTGGTTCCAAGTCTTTGCTATTGTGAATAGTGCCCCTATAAACATATGTGTGCATGTGTCTTTATAGCAGCATGTTTTATAATCCTTTGGTTATATACCCAGTAATGGGATGGCTGGGTCAAATGGTATTTCTAGTTCTAGATCCCTGAGGAATCGCCACACTGACTTCCACAAGGGTTGAACTAGTTTACAGTCCCCTCAACAGTGTAAAAGTGTTCCTATTTCTCCACATCCTCTCCAGCACCTGTTGTTTCCTGACTTTTTAATGATTGCCATTCTAACTGGTGTGAGATGGTATCTCATTGTGGTTTTGATTTGCATTTCTCTGATGGCCAGTGATGATGAGCATTTTTTCATGTGTCTTTTGGCTGCATAAATGTCTTCTTTTGAGAAGTGTCTGTTCATATCCTTCGCCCACTTGTTGATGTGGTTGTTTATTTTTTTCCTGTAAATTTGTTTGAGTTCATTGTAGATTCTGGATATTAGCCCTTTGTCAGATGAGTAGATTGCAAAAATTTTCGCCCATTCTGTAGGTTGCCTGTTCACCCTGATGGTAGTTTCTTTTGCTGTGCAGAAGCTCTTTAGTTTAATTAGATCTCATTTGTCAATTTTGGCTTTTGTTGCCATTGCTTTTGGTGTTTTTAGTCATGAAGTACTTGCCCATGCCTATGTCCTGAATGGTATTGCCTAGGTTTTCTTCTAGGGTTTTTGTGGTTTTAGGTCTAACATTTAAGTCTTTAATCTATCTTGAATTAATTTTTGTATAAGGTGTAAGGAAGGGATCCAGTTTCAGCTTTCTACATATGGCTAGCCAGTTTTCCCAGCACCATTTATTAAACAGGGAATCCTTTCTCCATTTCTTGTTTTTGTCAGGTTTGTCAAAGATCAGATCGTTGTAGATAAGCAGCATTATTTCTGAGGGCTCTGTTCTGTTCCATTGGTCTATATCTCTATTTTGGTACCAGTACTATGCTGTTTTGGTTACTGTAGCCTTGTAGTATAGTTTGAAGTCAGGTAGCGTGATGCCTCCAGCTTTGTTCTTTTGGCTTAGGATTGACTTGGCAATGTGGGCTTTTTTGGTTCCATATGAACTTTCAAGTAGTTTTTTCCAATTCTGTGAAGAAAGTCATTGGTAGCTTGATGGGGATGGCATTGAATCTATAAATTACTTTGGGAGGATGGCCATTTTCACGATATTGATTCTTCCTACCCATGAGCATGGAATGTTCTTCCATTTGTTTGTATCCTCTTTTATTTCATTGAGCAGTGGTTTGTAGTTCTCCTTGAAGACGTCCTTCATATCCCATGTAAGTTGGATTTCTGGGTATTTTATTCTCTTTGAAGCAATTGTGAATGGGACTTCACTCATGATTTGGCTCTCTGTTTGTCTGTTATTGGTGTATAAGAATGTTTGTGATTTTTGCACATTGATTTTGTATCCTGAGACTTTGCTGAAGTTGCCTATCAGCTTAAGGAGATTTTGGGCTGAGACGATGGGGTTTTCTAGATATACAATCATGTCATCTGCAAACAGGGACAATTTGACTTCCTCTTTTCCTAGTTGAATGTCCTTTATTTCCTTCTCCTGCCTGATTGCCCTGGCCAGAACTTCCAACACTATGTTGAATAGGAGTGGTGAGAGAGGGCATCCCTGTCTTGTGCCAGTTTTGAAAGGGAATGCTTCCAGTTTTTGCCCATTCAGTATGATATTGGCTGTGGGTTTATCATAGATAGCTCTTATTATTTTGAGATATGTCCCATCAATACCTAATATATTGAGAGTTTTTAGCATGAAGGTTGTTGAATTTTGTCAAAGGCCTTTTCTGCATCTATTGAGATAATCATGTGGTTTTTGTTGTTGGTTCTGTTTATATGCTGGATTACATTTATTGATTTGTGTATGTTGAACCAGCCTTGCATCCCAGGGATGAAGCCCACTTGATCATGGTGGATAAACTTTTTGATGTGCTGCTGGAGTTGGTTTGCCAGTATTTTATTGAGGATTTTTGCATCGATGTTCATCAGGGATATTGGTCTAAAATCTCTTTTTTTGTTGTGTCTCTGACAGGCTTTGGTATCAGGATGATGCTGGCCTCATGAAATGAGTTAGGGAGGATTCCCTCTTTTTCTATTGTTTGGAATAGTTTCAGAAGGAATGGTACCAGCTCCTCCTTGTACCTCTGGTAGAATTTGGCTGTGAATCCATCTGGTCCTGGACTTTTTTTGGTTGGTAAGCTATTAATTATTGCCTCAATTTAGGAGCCTGTTACTGGTCTATTCAGAGATTCAACTTCTTCCTGGTTTAGTCTTGGGAGGATGCATGTGCCGAGGAATTTATCCATTTCTTCTAGATTTTCTAGTTTATTTGCGTAGAGGTGTTTATAGTATTCTCTGATGGTAGTTTGTATTTCTGTGGGATTGGTGGTGGTATCCCCTTTATCATTTTTTATTGCATCCATTTGATTCTTCTCTCTTTTCTTCTTTATTAGTCTTGCTAGTGGTCCATCAATTTTGTTGATCTTTTCAAAAAACCAGCTCCAGAATTCATTGATTTTTTGAAGGGTTTTTTATGTCTCTATTACACTTTCAACTTGGAGGGAAGTAGAAAACTTTGTTTAAAGCTGAGGACTCAACAGTCTCTCAGGTAGTTGACTGGCTGTGGTGATTTGTGAACTCAGAAGCCTATGGATAATGAATCCAATCTTTATTTCTAGGTCAGAAAACTACATGTATCTGGTCACTGAAATAAACGTATGGTAGAGTGAAAAGAACATGTGTTTTAGAAACAAGACCCATTGACTTGGGTTTCAGTGCTGACTAAACATACATTACTCTGCAGAATCTTCGTCACATTACTTACTCAATCTCTCTGAGCCTCAGTTTTCTCATCAATAAAATGAAGACAATAATAATACCTGATATGTATATTTTATGAACAAATTACATAAAGCACCCACCTGAAACAACTTATAGATAACAGGTCCTCAACAAACCTTTGTTTCTCTCCTAATTCTCTGAGAAAGGAAATCTGGGAGCAATAACAATGTTTTAGAAGCATCCTAGGTCTCAAACCAGTGATATTTTGTTAAGAAAACCCATGTCATTCTGGTGTTTATGAGAAAGTCACCTAAAAGTTACTTAGGTATTTTATGATTTGCACTAGTGATCAACTTGGGACTGGCTATGCCTTGGATTTGCCTGTTAAGGATAGTATTGCACTGTATCACCCTCTGGGAATACATGTTTCCACTATGTGATCTCATAGCAATTGAAATTAAAGTGTCTGATTCAAGAAGGAAGGTTGGCAGGAAGAAACTAAAGTGGCTTCTTACCATTTTCACCATGACCTAACCCGTGTCTCATGGCCATTTTAAGCTTCGCAGAAGGATCCAAATAGGATAAATATAAAGCAAATAGCCCTTGGGCTCACAGAAGGCTGGTAACAAAATAAGCATGTTAAACTTTCAGTCTTAAATTTATCAGTGGCAGTGACCTAATTTAACCTTAGGTAGGACATCCTGTTATCTCTGTTAAGTAGCATCATTAGTTTTTTTTTTTATTAATGCTCAGATTACATTTTTAACATTACACTTTTCCTTCTCCAGCTACCCAATTCTGTAGCCCCTCGGTTTTTATCACTTATCTGTAGTCCATCTAGAAAATAATATACGGAACTTAGGGACCAATTTCTCTACAGACCTTTTCTACTGATGATATGATTGAGCCAACCAGCTAAGGGCAGACCCAGCCCTTTCTTTTCCATTTTGATAATATTAAAAGACTTGAGTATTGCAGTTTGGGGGTCGTGAGTGGACTAAGTATATGTGTGCATGTGGATGCAGATGCTATGGAGGTAGAGCTATAGCTGTACCCTCTCTCTCTGGGCTCTACAGTCAACATCACCCACGGAGTGGTCTGGAAGAAGTGGAAATCAGCAGAAACTCCTGTGGATCCCTATTCCATTCCTCCAAGGGAAAGTACAAACCACAATCCTTAGCATGGTTTACAAAGCCACTACTTAAATCTCCAGTTGATTTTTCCATTCCCTACTGTGTACTGCAAGATCTAGATCTATTAAACTTCTTGCAGTCCCCAATCCCCTGAATGTCCATGCCTCTGTTGCTTCAGGTCTCAGCTTGGATGCTGATTGCTCAAAGATTCTTGCCTCGAACTATCAAGAGTGAGTCAGGCAACCCTTCTTCTCCCAGGTGTAATGACCTTCTAAAGGTCTCAGAGTAGCTCATAAAAGACAAGAACAGCTGATTCATGATAACCAAAGGAATATTGTTATCATGAAGCCCAGCGACATCATTAGCAAGGGCAATAGGATGTTAAAATCTCATCTCAAAGGAATAATGTTTTAGAGATCACAAAAATCCTTTTACCCCATTGTATAATAGAAGGGAGTGTTTTTGTAGAGTATTATTCTTTATATATCCTTATTGTGAAATAGCATTTTAAGGCATATTCTAATCATCTCAGAATTTATGTATCCTATTTTTTGATCTTAAGTTGTTTAGCTTTTTATATGTCAAAAAATAGAGGTCTCTATCAGAAATATATGAGAGAAGGATTTGAGGGACAGATAGAAGGAGTAACAGGAAAGTCTTAAGGTTACTGTCAAATCCCTAGCAGTGAATGGGGAATGAGAGAGAATTCTGAAGTTTGCCGACAAAGCTTATTTCATTCTGTTTTAATGATTAGCCTCTAAATTTTAGAAATATTATGACCTATTTAATTAGGTTTTAGATTTTGTATCTGGGATGACTGGTTGGTTTTCTTTCAAAGAGATTATAAATGTACAGCAGTGTGCAGGAGAATGTCTACCATAGAGTGGTGAGTGTGGCTTGCTAATTCTCATTAATAACAAAACAGCCTAAGAAAACAGCCATTTTAGAAGATTAATGTGTCCATTGAATGATCTTGCATGAAGAATTTATGACTCCTTCTTAGTCTGGGTTTATCCCAGAAATGATGAGCCACTTTCAAGCAATGTAGATAAGAGGTTGTTCATCTCCTATGCCCCTCATACCACAGGTAGAAAAAGATGGATTTGCATTATCACAGCTCCCTACTGCCACAACCAAACCATTATGTTTCTGCCTTTTTCAAAACAAAATATTGTTTTCTGAGACCACTCCCATTTGGCTGTGGTCCAGCCTACTTCATCATTGTTATCTACCATCCACTCCCTCTAGCATTATCATCTACCATCTATCACTGAAAATCTTGGTACTTGGCTCACCATCATCTGTGTCCTGCCATCATCCTGGGTGACCTCAAAGTCCATGTGGATAAGCCACTTGTCAGTCTGGCTTCACAGCTCCTTAACCCCCTCATATCTAATGACCTTTACTTCTTTTATGCTTTATCTACTTACATCCAGGGCTGTGTCCTGTGATCTGTCATCATTAAAGCTGCTCCTTCTGTTGTATTTAACATGCCACTCTGACCACAACTTTCCATGCTCTCAGCTCCTTTATTTTATTCTGCACATTAGTTATTGGCTGGGAGAGAAATTTTCTTAGTTGTTGCCTCTATTTCCTCTCAAGTTAAAGCCCCCTCCTGTTTGTTTAAATTCTTTATTCAATTGATATCCTGTTTCCAATTTTAAAACTCTCTCACTTTTTCCTGCACTGACCTAGGTGCTATTAGGCATGCATGGTTTCTAGTCTTAGAGTAATTATCAGCACTCCCTGGAATGACTTCTGTGTATTTCAATCAGCTTCCTCCACATTTGCGACAATGGCTGTGCCTTTAGTCACCCTCCTGTAGCCTTTTACCTTTGCCCTCAGCAGACAACCTGCACATTACTTCACAGAGGAAAGAAACCATCAAACAATTCCCTCAATTTATGCCTTCTCAATTACAAAGTTACCTACTATTACTTTCTTTACTCCTATTAATTGTTACACTCACGTATGAGGTTGTTTTTGCATTGCTATAAAGAAATACCTGAGACTGGGTAATTTATAAAGAAAAGAGGTTTAATTTGCTCATGATTATGCAGGCTATACAGGAAGCATGGTGGCATGTGCTTCTGGGGAGGCCTCAGGAAGCTTCCGATCATGGTGGAAGGCAAAGGGGGAGCTGGCACATCACATGGCAAAAGCAAGCGAGAGGGGGAAGGTGCCACATACTTTTAAATGACCAGATCTCGTGAAAACTCACCATTGCGAGTACAGTACCAACGGAATGGTAAACCATTCATGAGAAATCTGCCCCCTTGAGCCAATCACCTCCCACCAGGCCCAACCTCCAACATTGGGGATTACATTTCAACATGAGATTTGGGTGGGGACAACATCAAACCATGTCAACCCACTTACTCTTTCAATGTGTATTTTAATTCCTCCTATGGTCTAGGCACTGTGCCACATTATAAACAGAAAAATAGACACAGTTTCAGTCAAGGGAAAGCAAGGCTTGAAATTGCAATAGTGTGTCACATGTAAAGTTTTTTTTTTTTCTCCCTGTTTCTTCCTATCACCCTCTCTTTCTTTTTTATTTATTTGCTTATTTGGATGAGGTGGGATGTGAAGACGATCAAGTCTCTCCCATTATAAGACATAAAGATACCTAAATTCTGTTGACATTTCTAGAACCTACTCAATCTTTCTCCTTCTCTTTGTAGCCAGGCTTCTTGAAAAAATAATTTGTACTTTTTGTCTTCACATGCTTATCCTTCATTAATACCTCAATCTACTGCAACATGGCTTTCATATTCACCAGTCCACTGAAACTACTCACTAAGGTCATAGATGAATTTTTAGTTGCCAAACCCAGTGCACATCTTGGCCCTTATTTTATGTCATTGTAGCATTGCATACCATTGACTCTTCTTCTTCTTCTTCTTCTTTTTAATTTCTCCTTTTCTTTTGCTGACTTTTTTCTTTCTTGACATTCCTCTTCTCTGGATACTTCTTTTCAGGCTCTTCCATAAGCAACTTTTCCTTAACTGACAGATACCTTAAATGTTGGAATTGCATCTTTAAATCACTTTTTATTCCATACAATCTACCTCGATCATCTTTTTCATTCTCATGTCTTAATGTTCAAACCATATGTCTCTAAAATTTAGAGATCCAGCCCAGACATCTTTCCTACTGGGTAGGAAAAGTGCTGTAATCCCAGCACTTTGGGAGGCCGAAGTGGGCAGATCACCTGAGGTTGCAAGTTCAAGACCAGCCTGGCCAACATGGCGAAATCCCGTCTCTACTACAAATACAAAAATTAGCTAGGCATGGTGTGCCTGTAATCCTAGCTACTTGGGAGGCTGTGGCTTCTCATTCAGAAGCAGAACAGAAAATGATGCATAATGTCTAAAACTATAGATGTGAGATATATATACATATATATTAGGAATAACTAGTTAAGTGAGAGGTAAAGGTTTGGGGTTTGCTTAATTTTAGAGGTTATATTCATGTTGAGTACCTGTTTCATGGCTTCATGTACCATCCATGTAACCAGTGATTCCCACATTTCTGCCTCCAGCTAAACTTTTCTCTCCAACTCTAGACTCCAATATTTATCTGGTGATTTGATGCCTTCACTTGGATGTCTGATGTTTTAAAACCAACATGTATAAAAACAGCTCTTGATCTCTGCCTATCTCAAACAGTTTCCACCTGCAGCCTTCTTCATCTCAATGAACAGAAACTCAGTCCTTTCTCTTGTTCAGGCCAAAAGACTTGGAGTCATTCTGACTTTCTTTGACATGTCATATGGTTGTTTCAACAGATCTCGTTGGCTGTATCTTCAAAATGTCCAGAACCCAGCCAGTTTTCATCACCTCCACTGCAACTATCCTCCCTAAGCCACTGTCATCTCTTAGTGAATTATTGTAATATCCTGCTAAATAGTTGCCCCCTTTTCATCTTTGACCCGTGTAGAGTGTTCTCAACCAGCAGCCAAAGTGGTCTTTGGAAAACATAAGTCGGATTGTGTCACTCTTTTGCAGTGTCTCCTCATTTCACTCAAAGTGAAAGGCCTTAGGATATCCTAAAAGGCCCATTGTGATCTGCACTCCCCTCTCCTGCTCAGCCCCAGCCTTTTGCCAAAGCTGCAAGGGCCGTAGTTCCTGGAACATACCAGGTACATATTGGCCTTTGCTGTAGTTACTACTTCCATCCGGACGTTCCCACACCCCCTAGTCTTTTGTTCAAATCTCAGTTCTCAACTAGGCCTTCCCTGAGCACCCTATTTACTGCAGATTACACCCCTCCACCATCCCCACATTTCTCACTCTCTTCACCCTGCCCTGCTTTTTCTATTTCCATAACACCATTTCCTAACATGCCAGTTGCTTCCCTGACTTGTGTTGTCTTCCCCTTTCCCCTCACCAGACTCCAAGCTCTATGAGGACAGGGATCTTTGTTTTATTCACTGATATATTCCAAGTGCCTTAAGAGTAGCGATTGGTACATGGTTGGTACTAAAAAAAAATTGCTGAATGAATTAATGAATGATATTTAAAAATGAATCATCCTTTTAGAAATGGGTCAGGAAAGGAAGAGAAATGCAGCAATTAATAATGATTTTGCTTGTTCTTTGATATATATACAAGTATGATATTTTTAGACTTCATTTTTTAAGCCTGGTTAAAAAATTGGTGCCCTGATTTTTTATGTAATAGCTTTATTGAGGTATAATTTACATACCATAAATCCACCCATTATAATTGTGCAATCTAATGATTTTTATTAAATTTATAAAGTTTTATAACCATTGCTTCAAAAAGTTGTCTTGTGTTCATTAATTTGCAGTTAATTCTTGCCCCCCTCCTCATGGGACCCTGATTTTTTTGGTTAATTTTATGGTCCTAAGTCTTGAAAGAATAATTCATGTAGCAATGCTAGTATAGCCTTGTGTGCTTAAAAAATGTAAATTTAAATATTCACTGTTCAGTGTAGGAAATGGTATTGAAATATTAGTGAAAAGAACAAGATGGAGAATCAGACTGGCCATACTCTTACCCAGCCCTACCATTTACACCGTTACTCAAACTATTCTCTTCATCTGTTAAATGGGGATAATAATAGTAATTTGCTCAGAGAGTTGTTGTGAGGATTAACCAAATAATGAAAGTAAACTGCTCAGCACAGGGCTGCCATATAGTAAATACCCAATAACTATTAACTAACATGATTAATCTCAATTAATCTCTTGTTAGTATAGGTCAAAATATATGGGGTTAATATATCCTGGCAGGTAGAGAGCAAAATTTAAATCAGATTCTAAGTTTCTGAAGTTTGTGTAAAATATGATCCTGCTCTGTCTTGGTTTGTTAATAACGTACGACTATAGAAGTTTGTAAAAGCAAGTTAATTTCCAATGGAGAAGATCATTTCTCAACAGTTTTATTTGGAGATATCTGCTAAGCCACTTCTACTGAATATTCTGTGTTGATCTTTGACGGAACTTTGACACCAGGGAGGTAATTACCCACTTTTTATTGAAACCATAGTGTCCATCAGAAACTGTTCTCAATTGTCTTAACCTTACATTGGGATATTCTGTTCATGAGACTTCCTCTAAATAAGTAGGGGAAGGAGACATTCATTGTCTCTCTTGTAGCTTGATAAGCTGAACTAAATGATCTTTAATAAGATCTTTTTCTGTTTTTGTTCTTTTCTTTTATGTACAGGTGCACAAAGCAGGGTCATCAGAAGCCTCTTGATTCAAAAGATGATAATACCGAAAAACACTGCCCAGTGACAGTGAATCCTTGGCATATGAAGAAAGCTTTCAAAGTCATGAACGAATTAAGAAGGTATCATTATACTAATGTACATGCAACCATTGGTTTCGTCCCTTTATTTTTCAGTTGTTTGTAGTGAATATATAATCAACCTTCCATTGTTGCTTTTTCTGGTACACAGAACATTAAAACCTTTTTCTGCAAGTTTTTTAAAGGAAAAGAGCAAATAATTTATCAGAAGTGTGGATGGTGTGGGGCTCCTCTATTAGTGTGGTAGCCACTTAGCCACATACAGCTAGTCTGATGAGATAGTTTGGAGGTGAAAAATACACAGGGGATTTCTAAATGCAAAAAAAAGAAATGTAAATATTTTATTCATACTTTTAAATGTATTGATTCCATGTAGAAATGATAATATACTAGATATTTTGAGTTAAAAAGAATACAGTAGGCCAGGTGCGGTGACTCATGCCTATAATCCCAGCACTTTGAGAGGCCAGGGCAGGAGGATCACTTGAAGCCAGGAGTTTGAGACCAGCCTGGTCAACACAGTGAGACTCTGTCCCTATTTTCTTTCTGTTAAAGTTAAAAATAAGAGAATATATTATTGAAATTAATTTCTTTTGTTTCTTTTTACCTTTTTAATGTGATTACTATAAAATTGTGACTTGCGTTATGTTTATATTGGACAGTGCTGGTCTAGGGCTTCTAACTTACTGTGGCAAAGAATATGGAAAGAAACTTTTAGAGAAAAATGTAACCCTTTTTTTGTGGGAGTGGTGGTAGTTTTGGGGGGCAGTGACCTGCCTGTTGCTGAGGTAATTCTCAAGTGTACTAAGGATCACTGCAACTTTTAAGTAGTGTTAAAAGTTGATTGAAAAATGAGTAGCTTTTTTTAATTAAAAGGGTAATATATGTATTAAGAGTCTTGCTTTTATT
This sequence comes from Homo sapiens, assembly GCF_000001405.40. Taxonomy (NCBI): domain Eukaryota; kingdom Metazoa; phylum Chordata; class Mammalia; order Primates; family Hominidae; genus Homo; species Homo sapiens. The sequence continues at coordinate 119,335,321 of NC_000004.12, forward strand.
TTCTTAGCACTTTATGAAAGATCTGCTTTTTCCCACCATTCCCTTTGTGAAAGTACTCTACGTATATCTATCTGAAATGCTGAAAGCCTGGCTAAGAAGGGATTAAACCTTCCTTAATCTTTCTATGCTTCCTAAAAGCTCTCCCTTTTAGGCCCATCATTTGTTTGTTTCTTCTTTAATTAAATTAGGGATTCAATAAATATTTATCTGCTAGGTACTGTAGGTACAATGGTGAGCAAGAACAAATATGGTTGCCACCCTTGTGGGCCCATAGCTGACTGCAGGAAGTAGGCATTCATCAAAGAATCACAAAAATAATTTACTGTAATGACAGTAAGTGCTGCAAAGGAGGGCTGCTGGTGCTAGAAAGGTGGATAACAGTGGTCAGGAAAGGCTTTCTTGAGAAGACAGGAATAATTATGCTGATATCTAGAAGGAAAAGAAGATAAGGGGATAAAGTCAGGATGGGAGTGAGGAGAGGGAGAACAGTGTTCCAGGCATTGGGAATGCAGTGCCACAACTTAGGGTAGGAAGGAGCTGGCCTCATTGGAGGAACTGACAGTGTTGCTGCAGTGCACATGGCGATGGAATCACACAGGAGAGGCAGCTGAGTTGGTAGGAGGGGCCATTGGACTGAGGTCCTGAAATTTTGGTCTTAATCAAGAGTTGCCTTGAGAGAAAGCCAGTGGAGAGTGTTAAGCAGGAGTGTGACCTGATCAGATTTATATTTTGAACACACTGGCTGCTGGGTAAAGAATGGATTGGAGAGAGATAAGAGAAAGTTAAACTGAATATTGGATCATTTGATTTGCTTTCTAGTACCGCTTTGACAACATTTTCAAAATGTGGGTTTTCACTTATTCTTTGGGAGAATATATAGCTGGAATAATCCAGCAAGTCTCAGGGTACTGTTTCAGGTTTTTAATCCTGTTTTGACAGTAATTATTAGAATGTAAAATGCATTGGTTACTAAGTGGAACTGCAAGAAAAGTAGGAAAAATAGTCTGGTTGTTTTAAGACTGGGATCTTTAATGGCTCTTTTTTCTCTTTGAGAAGTCTAAAAAGACTGACTTTTAATAGGACTATTCAAATGTTCTTTTTCCCCACTCCTATGGGTGGGGCACGGGTAGCCTTGGCTTTCTGCTGGTGTTAATGTGAGTGGGTCTCTGTTGACCTGGGCATGACTCACTAAACTGCAGGGAAGGTAACACCAAGTGCTCCTTCCCTTGGGGTGAACGACCTGAGTTTGGGGACAGACTCTGGTCTCGAGCCAGTTATTTTACTTGTTTGAGCCTGACTATAAAATGAGAGGCATGGACAAGATGGTGTCTAAGGTTCAGTGCTGCTCTGACATTCTCAGCCTAGAGATGTTTTTCCTGCTTACCTGCAAGCCCTGTGGTGTCCTTGCCTGGCCCTAGGATTATTTATAAGCTCCAGTCTTCATTCATCTGTTTGCCCCTTTTTGGATGTGAACTCTATAACTGTGAGATAGTACCTTCTTGTTCTTTGTGTGGCACCCTTTCAGCAGCTAGTATGTCACTGGGCTGGTAGTTGATGCTGATTTTCAGAACAAAGAATGACCTTTGAATAGCCAGAGTATTGGCTGCCAGGTCTACAACCTGGATTGTTTTAATGAAAGCGCCAACAACAACAGTATTTTTAAAAATGGACTGTCGTTCGGGTTCATCAGACCTTTTTAAAAATGTCATTCCCTTCCACCCTTAAATCTTATAGCCATTTTGAGTAATTCTTTTTAAAAAAATCTCTGAAGAGGCCTATTCCTTGTACAGCTGAAAATCATTAATTATTTCCTGTCCTTGCATCAACTTCCTCTTGCCCAGAAAGGGTAGTTGAGAGTGTTTTCCTGACTTCTGGGAAGGGAGAACTTCCTTGTTCTCACCACTCTGCCCTTGGGCTCTAACCTCAAAGTGGTACAGCAACAGCTGTACTCCGAAGAATGTTAATGTGAACCTTTGGCTGATGGAAGCAAAATTTTAGGAGTAAAAGTCACTTTCAATTATGGCTGATGTAAGGTGTGGTTGTGGGAATGGGGGTAGGAAGACAGGAGTTCTGTAAGGTTTAAGTTACAGAATTAAAATTGTTTGATAGAAAAAGTACATGACATTTTATTGATTTCTTAAACTAATTGTTTTTAGACAGGAGGCCCAGAGACCTAGCTTTATATCCCAGCCTGGTAAGAGCTTGAATATCTTGAAATTATTTGGTTTAAAAACCCTGCAGTCATATGTAAACAATGTATTCAACAAGTATTGGTGAGCACCTAATCAGCTAATATGCCTGAAAGGCTATGTGGGATCCAAAAACAGTATCAGACTTAGGCCATGCCCTTTGAGTGTCTAGAGAGCTGCTGGACACATACAGAGAGGAGGATGAGGCAGTGAAAAAGTGTGCAAATCATGGGTGCCCAAACGGATTCTCATGGGGAAAATTCACACAGCCCACAGAGGTGGGCTTCAGTTGGGCCTTGATGGGAGTGCAGCAGGATTCACTGAGGGGATGGAGTGGGAATGTCTTTCCTGGCATGATTAATTGCACAAGTCAGGGAGGGAATAAACATCATCTGTTGGATAAAGTGAATCAAGGGTTCATCCTGGGGAGTCTGTGCAGAAAAGGTTAGGAAGCAAGAGAAGGGCAGAATTGTGGCAGGCTTAAATAGTATGATGAATTCGGACTTAATCCTCTGGGCAGTGGGATTCAGTGAAGGCTTTTGGGAAACAGAGCATCATGCTAAGATTAATGATGTTGGAGTTGTGAAAGGACGGCTTTTAGGTCAGCAGTGCATCTCTGGTGGGAAATTCAGATCTTAACTCTAAATTTCCCAAGTGTGGATGGGGGAAATTTTTCAAAACACCGACATTTTCAAAATCAACCCAATAGATCTTCACAGAATGCTTATAATGTGCAACACACTGTATTAGGTCTATAGAGGGGACAGAGAAGCAGACTGTACCCCAGGTAAGTTTTTCTTTTTCTTTTTTTCGAGACAATCTCACTCTGCCACCCAGGCTGGAATGCAGTGGCGTGATCTCAGCTCACTGCAACCTCCAACTCCTGGGTTCAAGCGATTGTCCCACCTCAGCCTCCCGAGTAGCTGGGATTACAGGTGCGTGCCATCACACCCAGCTAATTTTTTATATTTTTAGTAGAGACAGGATTTTGCCATGTTGGCTAGGCTGGCCCAGATAAGTTTTATTGACAAAATTAGATTGCTAGCTTTTGGAGAAGACCAAAGAGCAACTGTTGAAAGGTGGCATTTTGTGTTTAAAATAAAAAAAAAAAAAAAAACCTACTGTTTTTTAGGCTATAGGATAAGACTGTACTTGAGCTTTAACAATTTCAATGAGTATTAGTGGTGGGGGCACAACCTATTAGCTTTATTTACAAGGAATGTAAGTTTGATCCTTAATATTTAGGAGTTGAAAGTATTCAGTAAGGATGAATCATATGAAGCAATTCAAATGTTCACCTTTATATCCTGTACAACCCATAAATATTGAGTTGTTCATTCATAACAGCAGTTCTTAACATTCCAGAAGATATTTAAGCAAAATAGCCTGATCTGCCCTCTTAAAGGAATGGTTATTGTGTTTTTCCTCCAGGATTTTAGGCATCATGGGACCTATATCACTACTAGGATTAGATTATCTGTTGTGCATCCATAAAAACATTTGATTTGTGGCTGTTGAATTTTGGCTAAATTGTTATTGTGTCTATTGTATGAATTCATACTTTGTTACTTAGATGGCAAGTGAATTAAACAGTGAACTTAAGGGGGTCTCCCTTTTTCTTCAGGTATACCTAAGATATTTTGATACAGGTATATAATGTATAATAACCACATTAGAGTAAATGGGATATCCATGACCTCAAGCATTTATCCTTGGTGTTATAAACAATCCAGTTATACTCTTTTAGTTATTTTTAAATGTATCATTAAATTGTTATTGACTACAGTCACCCTATTATGAGACATATTTTACTTTTAAGAAGATAGACACCGTGCATTTTAAAAGCAGTGACAGGTTTTTCTCAGTCTTAGGAATTCATTCATTTTATATCAGAAGACCCAAGGATGCCTTAGTGTGTTCAGGCATGTTTCATACCTTTTCAAAGCAGTTTCTTTTTTTCCTGAGAAGGACCAATTTTCATGATACAATTTTATTTAGGAGATGGAGTGCCTTCCTTTATTCTGTGCTATTTGAGTTTTACATTAAGCCTATCTAACTCCTGTTCTTTTCCCTTTAGATTTGAGCTTAGAAGCCACTTTCATTCTGAAGCTTTTCCATAAGGTTGAGCCTAGCTTCTCCTGTGTGTTTCCAAATATCCCACACTTGTCCCATCTTAAAGTCATGGGTTCATTTTATAATCACTTATTTCCTTGTCTGTCTCCCTCACATGACTGTAAACTTCATACTGTCATGGCTGTTAATCTTGTTTATTTTGGTAAGCTCACACAGTCCTTGATAAGTGAATGAATAAATGCAAATTTTGCTAAATAACAACTTATTTATACCATTATTTTGGAGGCCTTCTTTTCCTACAGTTTATCCCTCATTAGATTTCAAGTAATAGGAACATAAACTTAGAAATTCACCATGGAAGACTTTGCATATGGGCTGCTAAAAGAAGTTTTTCTTATTTTTAGTGCCAGACTTTTCATTTGTAGCTCTCTCACTCAAAAGTCATTCAGCTTCTTGTAAGCATGCAAATTTGGAAAGAGGTAAGGGCCAGACTCAATGTACACACACTGATATACACTCATTGTGTACTTAGTGACACAAACTAGTAAGAGTTTGTTAGCTCTCTCATCTCTGAATGCTGTTTTAAAATATGTTATTACTGAAGACAGATAAAAAATTGAATACTAAAACTAAGCATGTCCTTAATGTGTAAAGTGGCTCTGAGACCTAACCCAGGATGTGGCTGCATAATATTTTAGCAGTGTTTTAACCTTATTAGTTAACTAACATCAACTAATAAGTCAGTAAGGCCAAGTTAATTATGTAAGTGACAGCCAGCAGGTATTATGTTAGAAGGTTTGGATCAATGAATAATTGTAATTGAAGCCAAATGTAATTAGTTATGTGATTTTTGAGGTGTTCAGGTGTAATTCCACTTGTGTTCCATCTTGAAACTAAAGCACTAGGAGGGATTACTGACAAAAGGAAAATAGGCATAAAGATGCACTTGACTCATGTTTGAGTTGTGTTCAAATCCCCAGGTCACGAAAGAGAAACCTGGATTGCTTTATTCTAGAGAGACCATGCATGCTCTGCTGACCCTGCTTACCTGCCTCCAGAGTTTCTTCGCTCCCACCCTTCTCTGTCCCCACTCTTCTTGGCCCACAGTTCCGCATTCTGCTTTGCTGCTTCAGGTCTCCATGCGATAGTACATCATGTTCTCTTTGGGATTCTTTTGCTCCTTCTCGATCCAGCTAACTCTTACTTGTTTTTAGAACTCAGTTTAAGGCCAATAGCTGCAGGAAGCCCTTTCTGATCCCCAGTCTGATTTAAACGCAGCCCCCCCACCCCAACCTTTCCATAACATCTTTATTACGGTGCTTTCCACTTTATCCTATAATTTTTGCGTTGCCAGTTTTTTCTGGTGGTCTTCTTAAGGGCAGAGATGGTCTTGCAGTACTTTGTTGAATGAATGAACAAACTTTGATTTTTAAAAATATTCTGTAGAGGTAGTGCTTAAAACCCACTAAATTTGGAGCTTTTATTAGCTATATATAGAACTTAAAAATACTTTCTAGTGTATTGTATGTCAAAAAATAAATTGTTATTATTTATAATTTATTTACTATTTCCCTTTCTTGTTTTATTCAAACTTTAACAGATCTTAAAACAGTATAGCTTTAGGTTTTGTGTAGTGGTCAAGAGGCTCTGGAGTTAGCCTGTGGATTTGAATCCTGGCACTGCCTCTAGTTGGAGGACTTTAACCTTGGTTTCCCCAGCTATAAATTTGGGGATAAAAATAATACCTTATAACATTGTGGTGGGCACTAAATGAAATAATACATGCAGGTAAAACTCTTGCATAGTACCTTCCTGAAAACACTGCTGACACCACTGACTTTTCCACCCTAGTTATATGTGAACCCATGGAATTCATAGAATTGCAGAATGGTTTTATATTCTCAGAGCAGATGGTAAACTTTGTCAGTTCTCTAAAATGATCTGGAGGAATTGTAAATTAGTGATACTGTGCCACCTTTTATGACTCCAATATGAGACCTGCTTTATGTCTCATACAGCATCATGAGCCATTAAACTGGTAACACACGAGCCATACTATAATCTAAATGGCATAGCAGTCTCATCAGCAATGAGGCCCTGGGATGCAGTCATCACTGATGCTGGGGTAGTCTTTTTTTCTTCCATTTCTCCTAAACTGGAAGGAGAATAGTTACCAGTAGGCTCTCCAAAAAGTTTTGGCATGAACTTTATGGGAACAAGTTTGCAAGCAGTATGGACAGGTGGAAAACTTCAAGGACTTCGTCAAGCTCATGGAAAATGTTGCTTGTAAGCTACTAGAAAATTACAGAAGTAGGCAGGCCAACTTTTTAGGAAATAGAACAGTAGAGGAGGGTGCCAAGTGTGACCTGCATGCACTATGCACATAGACATAAATTCAGTGCTTGGGTATGTGAGGTGTGCAAGGGACATTTGCTTTCACCACACCTGTTTCAGTCATTCATAGTATGACTACTAGCAAGGCAGGTTGTAGGCTTTGGAGCCTTCTTGCTTATTCTAGAATAAGCATCAGCAACGTTTTCTGTTAAAAATATTCTATGACGTTATTAATTACCTGGATAGTATGATCTGGCACCACGTATTGCATGTCAAAAATGCTCACCACATGTTTTTAGTGAATTACAATGGATGTTTTAAAATTAGAGATACAATAATATGGTTGCTGAATAATGGTTTTGAGGTAACAAAACGCTTTTTTTTTTTGAAACAGAGTCTCACTCTGTCACTGGAGTGTGGTGGTGCGATCTTGGCTGAATGCAACCTCTGCATCTTAGGTTCAAGTGATTCTTGTGTCTCAGCCTCCTCAGTAGTTGGGATCACAGGTGTGGTCTACCATGCCTGGCTAATATTTGTATTTTTAATAGATTCTGGGTTTCGCCATGTTGGCCAGGCTGGTCTCAAACTTCTGGCTTCAAGTGATCCATCCACCTACCTGTAGGGGTGGGTTGCCCCTACACACCTGTGGGTGTTTCTCGTAAGGTGGGACGAGAGATTTGGAAAAGAAAACGACACAGAGACAAAGTATAGAGAAAGAAATAAGGGGACCCGGGGAACCAGCGTTCAGCATATGGAGGATCCCGCCAGCCTCTGAGTTCCCTTAGTATTTATTGATCATCTGTGGGTGTTTCTCAAAGAGGGGGATGTGTCAGGGTCACAAGACAATTGTGGGGAGAGGGTCAGCAGACAAACACGTGAACAAAGGTCTTTGCATCATAGACAATGTAAAGGATTAAGTGCTGTGCTTTTAGATATGCATACACATAAACATCTCAATGCTTTACAAAGCAGTATTGCTGCCCGCAGGTCCCACCTCCAGCCCTAAGGCGGTTTTTCCCTATCTCAGTAGATGGAGCATACAATCGGGTTTTATACCGAGACATTCCATTGCCCAGGGACAGGCAGGAGACAGATGCCTTCCTCTTGTCTCAACTGCAAGAGGCATTCCTTCCTCTTTTACTAATCCTCCTCAGCACAGACCCTTTACGGGTGTCGGGCTGGGACGGTCAGGTCTTTCCCTTCCCACGAGGCCATATTTCAGACTATCACATGGGGAGAAACCTTGGACAATACCTGGCTTTCCTAGGCAGAGGTCCCTGTGGCCTTCCGCAGTTTTTGTGTCCCTGGGTACTTGAGATTAGGGAGTGGTGATGACTCTTAAGGAGCATGCTGCCTTCAAGCATCTGTTTAACAAAGCACATCTTGCACCGCCCTTAATCCATTCAACTCTGAGTTGACACAGCACATGTTTCAGAGAGCACGGGGTTGGGGGTAAGGTTATAGATTAACAGAATCTCAAGGCAGAAGAATTTTTCTTAGTACATAACAAAATGGAGTCTCCTATGTCTACTTCTTTCTACACAGACACAGTAACAATCTGATCTCTCTTGCTTTTCCCCACACTACCTTGGCCTCCCAAAGTGTTGGGATTATAGGCATGAGCCACTGCACCTGGCCAAAGTGTTTTTTAACTTTAGATGTAATATTTTCTGGCCTTGAAGGATGAGATATTTTGCATTGGTAAAATGTTGTGATTAAGTTAAGCTTCAAATGCTCAAAGCCTTTTAAGCAGCAAGTGTAACTGAATATAATTTTACCATTGCTTGATGAACTAGGGTCTTTTAAGATTTTTTTTTTTGGGGAGGGGGCGGGTATTTGACCCAATTTAGTTTTTGGCATGTGTTTTTTCTTCATCTTCATGTCAGACTACACCTGCCACTTCTGCCGCTACTTCTTATTCAGATAGCCTCTTCTTTTGCAGTCCATTGATGGTTTGCTGCCAGTAATTGCCTTTAGGTTGAGAAATCAATAATCAAGTTTGGGAAGATTTCTGTGTTTTTCAAAGGCAGGATTCTTAGTGAGGGTCCAAGGCATGTTGGGCCTTTATCCCAGCTGTCTTCTATGTACTTCATGTTTAGGGATCATGTCCCAAAGGATGGCTGTTTTTTACATTAGTCTCCACTTGATGAAAGTGGGCTTTACTGTAATATTTTTGCATAGGATGTTCAATACATTCATTGTTGATATCATTTAAATTTTTTCTCTCTGCTTTTTACACAGTCAAAATTTACTGTGCGATGTCACAATTGTGGCAGAAGACATGGAAATTTCTGCTCATAGAGTGGTGCTGGCCGCCTGTAGTCCTTATTTTCATGCCATGTTTACAGGTATGAAATAGTTTAGTTATGGGAATTTTAAAAAATGTATTCAGATCTGTGCTTTTCTTACCACATTTTCTTTTGTTATTAACATTTTACTTTTATGAAATGAAGAATTATAGTGGAAGAAAATGTTCTTGCTTTGTTCCAAATTCCTCCTCGTCTTTGTTTTTCATTGTTGGGGGTCAGTAAGCCTATACATAGGTACGCTCACAATTTTATGCTCAACTTTCTCCCTGTAAGTTATACTTATGTGTATTAGTTCCTGCCATTTATAATAGCTTTTTGGCACTTTATTATTTTGACAAAAGGAAACCACTTTACATTTTTTAAAATGATTTTTACATTTGTTTCATCTAGTGTTACATTGAAGAAAAAGATGTTTATTTAATATCCTTCATTTGGAAATATAAGAAAATAAAGCGATTTATCTACAAGCTTACATTTTGCTTTGGCAACTGTGAAAATATATAGAATGATTTTAGTACTTCTGGAAAAGAAGTAATTTATGTCTGTCACACTTGAATCCCTTACTCTCATTCTTTTTTAAAATATATTGTACAAAGAAATGAAGTTTTTATCTGTTACATCAATGAGTTTATAATCTTAGGGTATTGGTATGCCAAATAGAAAATACAAATAGAAATGTAGTTATACCAAAAAGCAAAAATACAAAGCTCTTCTTACTTTAGAAACTATTAAGTATTTCTGGTGCTACTGTTTTACTAGATACTTCAAGGCATACAAAAACAATGTGAACATGCTTCCTGCCCCAAAAGCATCCTGTGTAGCTAGGCAGATGGATGTGCACCCTTTAATAGGTAATAGTGTATGGAAGATCTGAGTGCTCACAGCAGTGGTCAGACGTTGAGGGCTGTGATGGGCAGCACTGAGAGAAGGATTTCCCCAGACCTGATGGATTGAGGGGTTTACACAGATGAAGATGAGTGTAGAAGTCAGATGGAGAAGACGGACTGAGTGAAAACTTTTCTGGGTGTCTTGGGAGTAGTGAGGAGAACAGAGCCCCGCTCAGTTTTCAGCCTTTTATGATCTTGCTGTTCCAGAACAGAGTTAAATAATCAGGAATGAAGAAGGATAGCAGGTGGGTTCTGAGCCAAGTTTGGGAGGGTTGCCTTTCAGCTGAGAGCTGAGGTTGATCTGAAAAGTCAATACCTGTGAAGTGAGACTAGTCAGATTTTTATGTCTTGGGGTTCACTCTAGTCTCTTGATTTACATCTTATTTATTACTGCTGGACACTTTTCTAGAGAGAGAGAGTCTCTAAGGCTTGTAAGAGAAGGATTCGATCTGGAATGTGCTGGGCTACTTTAGGAATTCCCTTGTAAAGTGCTGTCCCCTTGGTGGCCTTCCTTCAGATGACACTGCTGTTGCCACTTACTTGTTGGAACTACTGGGTCTTTGGAAAACTTAATCTGTGCTTCAGTTTCCCCATCTGGAAAATGGGAATAATAATATTACCCACATCCTAGAGTTTTTGTAAAGATTAAATGAGAACATATGTGTGAATTTCTTAGCACTTGACACATAGAAAATGATCAGTTAATTTTGACAGTAATTATTATGGTCATCATCACCATTCTTTTTTACTCCAACTTCCTAAATTTCTTTATATTCTGTACAAGATTGGAAAGCTTTAAGCTAGGCTCTTTTTTTTTTTTGATAAATGTTTTATTGTCCACAGAGTGACAAAAATAGAGTGATTAACTTATACCTGTAAGATCAAGGTTAGTTTCCTTTCCCCTCAAAAGGCTTTGGAGACTTAGTGTCTCCAAACTCCCTGAGCCTTAGACATCCAGTGAAATGGATGCTAGGTAGAGATAGGAGAGCTTATTATGTCTTTAGCTCTCTTTTCTGTTTGCTTTATAATCTAAACTGCATTTTGGTTTCCCTCTTCTGTTTTTGTCTAATGGTTCTCTATGCTTCATGATTTAGCTGACATGGTTTATGAATATGTGAGCTTTGCCTAATGAAGGGAATGAGGCATTGAAGACATTCTGATTTTCTAAGTATTTATAGTGTATTACAACTAACTAGTAGGTAGGTGCTTTTGCAGTTCAACTGGTTTCTGTCTGAGAATATACCTTTTATGCTTAGTCAAATTTTAGATTGCTATGTGCTAAAGTACTTGAAAATAGGAATACTATGTTAATTTCTGGCACATATACAAAATGTGAATTGAGTACCTAATGTTTTTTTTTTTTTACTAGTTTATTGAGGCATATTTTATATATCATAAAATTTACCCATTTCAGGGCTGGATGCAATGGCTCACACCTGTAATCCCAGCACTTTAGGAGGCTGAGGCAGGTGGATTGCTTGAGGAGTTCAAGACCAGCCTGGGCAACATGGTGAAAACCCATCTCTATCAAAATATAAAAAATTAGCTTAGTGTGGTGGCCCTAGCCTAGAGTCCCAGCTACTCAGGAGGCTGAGGTGGAAGGATCACTTGAGCCTGGGAGGCAGAGGTTGCAGTGAACCAAGATGGTGCCATTGCATGCTAGCCTGGGTGACAGAGTGAGAAAAAAAAAATTACCTATATTAAGTGCACAACTCACTGATTTTTAGCAAATTTACTGAGTTGTACTGCCATCACCATAAATCAATTTTAGAACATTTTTGTTCTCACATAATGTTTTTGAGGTTCATCCGTGTTGTAAATGTTTCAAAGGAAGGTTTGCTGTTCTTATTGCTAAATAGCATTCTGTGTGGATAGACCACTTTTGACTTTCCATTTACCAGTTGATGGATGTTTTTGTGTTGTTTCAATTTTTGGCTATTATGAATAATACTGCTATGAATATTCATGCACAGTTCTTTGTGTGGACATATATTTTTATTTCTCTTGGGAGTAGATATCTAGGAGTGTAATTGCTGGGTCACATGGTAAATTTATACTTAAAAAATTCTGCTAAGCTGTTTTTCCAAAGTTACTGTACCATTTTACATTCCTACTAGCAATGTTTGAAACTTCCTATTTCTCCACAACCTTGCCAACACTTGCTACCGCTTTTTAAAAAATTATAGCCCTTCTAGTGGGTGTTGAAGTAGCATAGTATTGTAGTTTTAATTTGCATTTTTCTAATGACCAATGATGTCAAGCATCTTTCTATGTGCTTATTATTTAGGCTAAACTTTTATGGTTTTTCAGCAGTAGATGTTATTTGACTTTCTAGCAATCTTTGTACTGTTTTTTTTTTCTTCTACTTTTGAATCTACTGTTTAGCCAACAATTTGGCAGAAATTAGATAAAAAAGATAAAGGCCACTTTGGGAAGCTGAGGCAGGTGGATCACGAGGTCAGGAGATTGAGACCATCCTGGCTAACACGGTGAAACCCCGTCTCTACTAAAAATACAAAAAAAAATTAGCCGGGCGTGGTGGTGGGCACCTGTAGTCCCAGCTACTCGGGAGGCTGAGGCAGGAGAATGGCGTGAACCCAGGAGGTGGAACTTGCAGTGAGCCAAGATAGCACCACTGCAATCCAGCCTGGGCGACAGAGCAAGACTCTGTCTCAAAAAAAAAAAAAAAGGTAAAGGCAGGGCGCAGTGGCTCATGCCTGTAATCCCAGCATTTTGGGAGGCCAAGGTGGCAGAATTGCTTGAGCCCATAAGTTCTAAACCAGCCTGGTAGAAATAGGGAGATCTCATCTCTGAAAAGATTTTTAAAAAAATTTACTGAGCATGGTCACACGTGCCTGTATAGTCAGTCCCAGCTACTGGGGAGGCTGAGGCAGGAGGATTGCTTGAGCCTAGGAAGCAGAATTGCACTGAGCTGAGATCATGCCACTGCCCTCCACCTGGGCAACAGAGTGAGAATGTGACCCTGTCTCAAAAAAGGAAAAAAAAAAAAAAAGAAGACACGGGGATTGGGTCTAGGTAATTTAGTGTATGTAGACTCATTTAAGTATTTGCCAGAGTATGAGTACTTTGTTTCTTTGTTTTTCATGGTCTGAAGCCCTGCTAAGCTTTTTTTTTTTTTTTTTTTTTTTTTTTTGGCAAAAATTATGGTGAGGTTAACAAGTAGACCATTGGATGCTTTCATTCCACCAAACATCATGTACATTTACATTCTCTTGCTCAGGGACAGGGAGTTTCCCTACTCTTCTTTTGTTTTCCTGTGACTAACCTATTAGGAAATGGGGAATATGCAGATGTTCTTTGTTGGGTCTTACTTTTAATCTCATAAACTGTAGGTGAAGTTTTCATTTAAATTATATCACCTAAGAAATAATTCTGTTACTCGTCATAGTTCCAAGTATTTGAGTAGAGAAGGGAAGTGAAAAGTAATTCTGTGATGTAGTCACAGGGTTTTACTTTGTGAAGTATGGGCCTATTTAGAGTAAGGCCAAGTTATTTAACTATTACTTAAGAAAGAACATACCAAATTGGGTTCTTGTGTTTTTAGATTACTTCTTGGTTACAAATATGGCATTTAGAAAGCTGTTTGCTTAACACATACTTTGAGATTTATTTGTGCCACAGGCTAACATTTCTGAAATCTGGTGGGAAGTACTGAATACTGAATTTTTATTTTTAGCCTTTTTTTTGGTGTGCTTTTTGATTTCTTTTGTCATATTGAACATGATTCAGTAAAATAAATTAGAATAGGAAAAGACAGATTATTGTTTGAGTGACTAAGAAGTAAGATTTTAAAAAGCTATATACATGGTTATGTTTGTCTAAGATTCATGCTTTCATTCATCAAGGAATATTTATTGAGAATCTTCTCTGCTAGGCATTGTCCTAGGCTTTGGGGACTAGAGTGATGAATAAAACAGATAAGTTCCTGTTCTCATTATTCTAGTTAGGAAGAAGAAGAAAGGTTAGACAGTAAGTAAACACACAAAAGATAATTTCTGGTATTGATGATGGCTCTGAAAAAAATTAAATAGAATGTTGCACAAAGAACTTAAGTTGGAATGCTTTAGGCTGCCTGTAACAGCAAACTCCACTCAAACTGGTTTAAATACTAAGAAAGCAGGCTGGGCACCAGACATGATTGGATCTACAGCTTGAAAATTTCATCAAGAATCTTCTTCTGTCTGTCTACCCTTCTATCCTCAATAAAAATATCCTAAGGTTTGTTCCTCTCCTAAATGAAAGATGCCTGCAAGAGTGGACCCAACATGTCAAGGAAGGAGGACTCTGTCTTTTAGGAGCTAAGAAACCTTTCTCAGAAGTTACCCAAACCAGACCAAAACTGGCAGGGCAATGCAGTTACCATGTTGGCCTTAGATTTGCTGTAGAACTGGAGAGTTACATACTCTGACCATCACAGAGAGTGGCTGGTGGGCCACCCAGGTCACCTGGCCAAACTGAAAATGCCTGTGTGTCAGTAACTGCTTTGTAACCTAAGAACAAAAAGGTAGTAGTGATTAGAGTAGATGACAAGTGGAACTTGCAAAGTAATGGAATAAGATTTATTAAACATAGCTATAAATTTGTTATTTATTTCTTAGAGTTTCAGCATAGTCAGAGTTTCTGTGTTACACTTTTATTCTTTTTTTCAGATGTTTTGTGTGCTAAATAACTGAAATTAGAATCATAGAATTTTTAAAATGAAATGAATTTTAGCGTTTATCTTTTTAAACCTATTCACTTTTCATTTATTCATTGGATAAATTCATTTTGCAATGGATAAGTGAAGTTACCAGTTTATGTTGGGCTTCAGGAGTCCTGATTAAAGATCCTTGAGATGGAATTTTTTTTTTTTTTTTGAGATGGAGTCTCGCTCTGTCATCAGGCTGGAGTGCAGTGGCATGATCTCAGCTCACTGCAGCCTCCGTCTCCCGGTTTCAAGCGATTCTCCTGCCTCAGCCTCCTGAGTAGCTGGGACTATAGGCATGCGAGATGGGAATGTTTTTAGCCATATATGTATTCTTACACTTTCATGTTTTGGAGGACTTCCTTTTTTTTATCAATAAAAGTAGATATGAGACAGGGTGCGGTGGCTTATGCCTATAATCCCAGTACTTTGGGAGGCCAAGGCAGAAGAATCATTTGAGGCCATGAGTTCAAGGCTGCAGTGAGCTGTGATTACACAATTGCACTTCATCCTGGGCAACAGAATGAGACTCTGTCTCAAAAAAAAAGGTAGAGATGATGTGGTATTTGCCAGTGAAAGTGTTTGGCTCACTCTGTAATGTATAGTGATGTTCAATAAATGTTTGTTGACTGAAATCCTACATAGCTAGAATATCCATGTTTAAGACTAATTTTAAAGTGCCATTAGTTACGTTAAGTAAAAATGCTATATTTTATGTATTTATTCAATTTATTTGAATCTCTGTCACCCAGGCTGGAGTGAGTGGTGTGGACTTAGCTTACTGTAACCTCCACCTCCCGGGGTCATGCAGTTCTCCTGCCTCAGGCTCTCACGTAGCTGGGATTACAGGCATGTACCAGCATGCCTGGCTAATTTTTGTATTTTTAGTAGAGATAGGGTTTTGCCATGTTGGCCAGGCTGGTGTTGGACTCCTGACCTCACATGATCCGCCTGCCTTGGCCTCCCAAAGCGCTGGGATTACAGGCGTGAGCCCCTGCGCCCAGCCAAAATGCTACATTTTAAATTGGCACTTGCTTTACTTTTTATTCATCTAGTCATTTACTTATCTAACCAGTGTTTATTGGGTATCTACTAGATGTCAGACATGTTATACAGAGATAAGAAAGGCTTCATCCCTGTTCTCAGTGAGCTTAAGAATTCAGAGGAGGAGAACTAGGTAAAGAGTTGATTATGACAGAGTGGATCTGCATGAGGTACCCAACTGTACCTAATCCAGCCTTGGGCCACCAACAGATAAGGCTACCTAGAGAGGTTCCAGTGGAGATTAGCCTGGGAAATGAGTGGGTGGGGAGACAGAGAGGACAATGTTCAACAAGAGCATCAGGGTAAGACATTGCTTTGTGTCTGTAGAAAACAACAAACAGCTTCTCAATAATGTATTTCAAGTTTAGAAATAGCGGGAGGAGAGAGAGAAGGCTAGACAATGAATCAGGGGCTGGACATGTGTGCTTGGACTGGGAGAAACCAAAGGATTTTTGAACTCCGTGCTCAAATTTGTGGAGTCAGTACTGGAGGCAGGAAAATAATTAGGAGGTGGCTACATTGGTGTGAGCAAGAGATTATAGGATCCCCAATGGTGAGAAGGTGAGAAGATTTATTTGAGATCTATCCAAGGTTAATTCTGCAAGTTTTAGTGAACTGTGGGACTGGTGGGTAAGGAAGAGGAGAGAATCAAGGATGACTCTCACTCAGGTTTTTAGTATAGGTGTTTGTATGGATAGCATAATGTAGCTTCAGAGTTCTGATATAAGCTCAGAGTTATGTGATCAAAACATAAACAAGAAACTATAATCTCTATAGAGACTATGGGAGGTTACAAATGGTAAGGATAAACTATGTACAGTATCATTGGATAGCCTAGTTTATTTTCTGTTTGTTTTAAATAGGACAGAGTCTTGCTGTGTTGCCCAGGCTAGTCTTGAACTCCTGGGCTCAAGTGATTCTCCTGCTTCAGTCTCCCTAGTAGCTGGGATTACAAGAGTGAGCCACAGCACCTGACTCTCATTGATAGTTTTTAAAATGCGTTAGCAATCAGAAATCTCACAAAGCCATACTGTTTAAAGATTTCCTCTGAAAACACAGCAAAGGGCAAAAACTAAGGTAATAATGTAACAACTGGAATTAGATATAAATAACTTTTACAATACTCTTTAGTATGGGCTTTGATTCATAGTAATTAGAATTTTTAAACCATTAATACAGTCATGGGCACATTTTTTGTTTTTCTTACTGTTTTTGTAAATTAATATAAAAATATTAAAATGTTTTCAAAACAGTATATAATTGAAATTGAATTTATTGGAAGCAGATACAGTTTTCTGGGGAGAAAAATAATCTTAAAAATGACAAATATTTGAACTAGCAAAATGCATCTTATAGCAATACCTTAAGAACTATAATATTAAAAACTGTTTGGCAGAGAACTAATTATTTTTCAGTCATACATGTAAATTAAAGTCCCACTTGGTTTTGCCTAAGGTAAGTCACGCTTAACTGAGTACTGGCTGTTTGGCTTTGTGCTCATGTGGCCCCAGGCCCTGAAGGGCTTTGCATATTATTGGGGCTCTGTAGGTGAATCAGTTATGGCCTTTGTCTCAAGTCCAAGTGGGAATCACCAGAATGTCTTAACTTTTGGCACAAAAGAGGCTTCAGTTTATACAGACTATCAGTTTATACCCCAACTATTCACAGGATCCAGCAAGAATAGGATAGAGGAAGGTGCCTTATATGTGGCTGAAGACTTATTTTTCTGTATTCCTTGACCTTCCTTTTTCCCCCTTTCTGTAAGCACGGGAAAAACATTTGCTGTAGCACCAGACATACAACTCAGTCCCCTTTCATCCTGCTATGTAGGTATAGGTACATCTTTCTCATTAACTCTCCTACTTCCCTTGTCATACAAAGAGATGTTTTTCTTCCTGGGAAGTAGCAGGGTAGTTTTTTGGGATATTTTAGCTCTGAGGTGAACAGCTTCTTTCTGAGATCTTGTCAGAGATAATCTCCAGGGAAGAACGCGGTTAAATGTACACCACTATTGTTATTTCTCTTCTCCCAGGGTTTTGTTTACAAAGGAATTTTGTGTAATTATGATTTCCCATAGACTTTTCTGATAGTTTATGGTTGCTGACAGTGCATTGTATCAGAAAAAGAAGTGAGCTTTCAAGAAATCTTGAGGCTATGTTATGGTTTAATAAGAGATGCTGGGTTAAAGTGAAGATGATGAATAGTGGCACGTTCTCATGCTTCTTTTACCTTTGAAACTTAGTGAATTCTAGAGCCAAATCTTTTTTGCCCATGGCCCTCAGCATTATTCTTGGACTGTCCTTTTAGTTTTTAATTGAATCCCTCCCCACCCGCATTCAATTGCTTGTGTCTCCATGTATCATAGTTCACTTATGTTGTCACACCTCGGTGCTTAAACTTGCCTCCTACTCTCCCCAAGTCTCCTTGGCTTAGGGACCATCCCTTCTCTTTCCTCCTTCCCTATTTCTTTTCCACAAGTGGGTATTAGGAAGAAAGTCTTGTACTGTTTTTTTAGCAGGCAGTTTTGTGGAAGGATACCTGGTTTTAGTAATAAAGCTGGTATGGAAATGACTTCAGCGTGAAGTTGCTGCAGTTAACAAACAGGAACTGAATCTGAGGTAGAAGATCTCTGTAATAAGCTTTGCTATTGACTAACTCTTTGTTATTATTGTGATCCCTGTTATGCCTTGCATTCTCTAAGCATCATAGGTAATTTGTTTTCTCGTTGTCTCTGGCATGAGGATTGTGACCTCTCACTGAGGGTGGAGCCTCTGTGTCTGGTGCAGGCTATGCATGCCCCGGCAGGCATTTGTGTGTTTGTTGAAGGAGTAATGCTAACCAGGTGGGTCCTTTTCAGCAGCTGTTCATTGCTATTAGCCAAAGGCAGTAACATCATTACTCTTCTAGTCATGACTAGAAATCCATAAAGACAACAAATGCCCAAAAGCAGGGACAGCCTCAGCTACTGATCCTATAGCCACAAGAATAGTTCATGCAGCTGGACATATGGCACGTTCATTGTTGTGATATGATTTGCAGGTGCAAGTGGGTAACAAAAGTACATTTTATGATTTGCTCAGGTAAGCGTTTGGAAGAGGAAGGGGAGTGTTTTCAGCCTGCAAAAAGTGGCTGATTATGCTGCCTGTTGAATACAGTGAGTGGCAAGAAGATGTATCAATGTGCATTGGCACTGGAACTTCCACAGCAGTGTCTTGCTGTAACATCACTCTTATTCCTTTGTGTTTTAGGTGAGATGAGTGAGAGCCGAGCAAAGAGAGTTAGAATAAAAGAGGTAGATGGCTGGACCCTGAGGATGCTAATTGATTACGTTTACACTGCAGAAATTCAGGTTACAGAAGAAAATGTACAGGTAAGAGTAAACACTTCACACCATCTAGCTTTTTATGCATACAGTTTTTTTTAATAAAAAAAGCACACCCACACAGTATACATTTTTCACCAAAATAATAGGATTCATTGTGAAAATTGTATTTCTAAAAAATATTTGGAATGATTACACCTTTTTAGTAATGTTTCTGAGTTCAGTATCTTTTATATTCTTTAAGATCTGAGATACAGATCCTTTAGTTCTCTGAATGATGCTTGTTCTTTCATGAAAACACTGTCATATTCATTTATAACTGTTCATTGATGCTGCCCACAATTTCTCTTTATTCCTTGGAAGGATATAGTCTACAAAGAATGTTTTTGACTGCCAATATTCTTTCTGTCTTTTTTTTTTTTTTTTTTGATACCCAATCTTGCTCTGTCTCTCAGGTTGGAGCGCGGTGGTGTGATCATGGATCACGCAGCCTCGACCTCCTAGGCTCAGGGAGTCCTCCCGCTGCAGCCTCCCAAGTAGCTGGGACTACAGGCATGTGCCACTATGCCCAGCGAATTTTCTTATTTTTTTTGTAGAGAGGTCTCACTATGTTCCCCAGGCTGATCTCAAACTCTTGGGCTCAAGTGATCCGCCCTCTTCAGCCTCCCAAAGTGCTGGGATTATAGGTGTGAACCACCATATGCCCAGCCTATTCTTTGTTTTACTATTTGAGCATCCTCTTTAAGTGATTCTGGAGTTTAGGTAAAAGTTGATATTGCATCTTATATTCTATAAAGAACAAATGTTTTATGTGTGTTACATAAATGTTTAAATAATACAGATGGATGTGGAGTAAAAGGTGAAAATCCCTCTTCAGAAAATGGACCTTCTCTTCGATACCCCAGTTCACATACATTGATTCACTTCTTCCTCTCTAGAGGGCAGCTTCTGTTATGTACTGTGAATCCCTTCAGACCATTTTCCATGCATTTATTCACACAAACGTACACACAATTGTTTTACATAAGAAATACTATACTTGTTCTGAAACTTGCTTTTTGAACTGAGCAGTGTCTTAGGGGTCTTCACACATTAGTGTATATGGGTCTAACTCATGTTAATCAGCTATATATATATATAGTATGATTTTTTCACCTGTATAAAAACAGTGCAATGAGTGGACATTTTTATATTTGCATCCCCAAATTTTATAAGCTGGATTCCTCAAAATGGAATTGGTGAATCAAAGAGTACATGCATATATTAATTTTTTGATAGCAATGCCAAATTGCCATCTGAAAATGTGTGTTTATTTATATTCCTTCTAACAGGGACACTGTGTTTTGAGGACAACAAAAATAACTAGGACTAAATTCTTAAGAAATAATCTTTAAATTCTACTTGCACAAATAGGAAGTTGTTGGTTCAATCCTTATCCCTGCTAACTAGTTGAAATATGCTACAAAATGAATTCGGAGACTGAAATCTTTGCACTTGTTAAGACATGCTATCGATTGTTCCATGTGAAATACTGGCAGTAGTAAGGCCTCCTGGTGATCTTTCCCAGATGGCCTCATTAGCTTTTGCTTAGAAGTTCCAGTTATGAGGTAAGGCATTTGAAAAACCTTGGTCAATATTGGAGTTGTTTCTAAATGTATGCATCAGATGCTAGATGAACTTTTTTTTTTTTTTAACATGGAAGAAAGTGTTTGGTATATGTCATGAGATCACTGAACTAATACGTCATCTCATTCTGGTC
The DNA here is from genome assembly GCF_000001405.40 of Homo sapiens. Classification (NCBI taxonomy): domain Eukaryota; kingdom Metazoa; phylum Chordata; class Mammalia; order Primates; family Hominidae; genus Homo; species Homo sapiens. The sequence continues at coordinate 119,355,943 of NC_000004.12, forward strand.
TTTTAGGTACATTTAGACTATTTGCTAGATTCTGGGGCATTGTTTTCAACAAGAGTTTATCTTAGTTTCTTTTTGTTCATTCTTTTTATTCATTTTAGTGCATGGGCCTCATTATGTCCTTATATTTGACCTTCAACAAATGAATTACTGATTTCTTTGATTCACATAATGGGCCACATGGGAAAAAATTGAGAAAAATCCTTTAGGCCTTAGAGACTAAACTGTGTGAATTCAGCCCTGAATGTTGTTTGTAGTAGTTCTTGTGGTGGGGACATGGGCCTATTAGGAATTAGGAGAACGCCTCTCATGTTTCTTTTAATAACTATCATGTTCCAGTCCTGAAATATTAGTCATCACAGCCTTTCAGAAAACTCTTGCCATCCTAATTTGCCTCTTGTGTATATATTGCTTAGCTTTTAGAATATGCAGGAATACATTCTAAGAGTTACATTTGGCAGGCTTATTAAATGCTTAATATTTGTATAGTTTTGTTTTGTTTTTAAGAGGGAGAGGGATATCTCTTCAGCATAGGGCTATCATGGTTTGTAAAGCTTTCTTTTATTTTCAATTGAAAAATACTTGTTTTGGAAAAGGCAGTTGAGAAATAAATTAGATTAAAAGTAGCTACTTTTTCCATGACATGTGTTTTTCAATGAAAAAAATAAGACTATACCATATAAAGATACACCAGACTCCTATTTCCTGCTTTGTGTATTTTTTGTCAATCTATATTTTGTTAAATCTTTCTTGTAAAGTGTTGTCCACCTTAAAGAAGAAGGTGTCTGTTGTTATTAATGTTAAGCTGAAGTTTTAAGTGGCCCTAACTGGAAGCCGTGCTCTGAATTTATATGCCCTGAAGGTGCTGACAGTGGGAACAGAAGTTTCTGTAATTCAAATGTTTCTTGGTGGTGGTATATTTTTCTCACTGGACCTAGACTCAAATCTTTTACCAGGTGACCTCCCTTTTGTAAGTTTCTGTTTTAGTAGTAAAGTACAATATTGGGCTAGAAAGTATCTTTGGGATTGCATGTTTTGGTGTAGAATCATTGTGCTGTGGAATGCTGAGGTCCAGCCATCTGTTGGCAGTCAGTTGGCGACAGAACAGGGCTGTAACCCTGGTTTCCCAGATTACTAGTGTAGGGTCTCTTCCATGATACCATATGGTCTCCTTATTACACTAATTTTAAACAATATAATACCTATTTGAAGTGAAGGTTGTTAACTTGGAGTCAGAATGAGAGAATGAGTAATTTAAAAAATTAACTCCAAACAAGGGACTATTGTTATTATAGTCCCTTCTGATTTATACAAGCAATAGGGCTTGAATTCTTGGCCATTCCAGGTTTCCTAGCTTTTTGTGTGTTTGTTGCTGCTGTTGTTTTTTTGTTTGTTTAGGTTTTTAAACTTTGGCTTTATGTTTGGATATTTGGTTTTATTTATGGCAAAATTGGAGGATAATTTGAGCTAAATGAATTTACAGTTTTTTTTTAAAGGGAGATAAAAGGAGAACCAATATTTTACCTATGACTACACTTGTAATTCAACTTTTTTGTTGTTGTTGCTGTTGAGTGAATTAAAATTTAACTTGTGTCTAGAGTTTCAAAGCAAACTTTATGAACTGCATAAATCTGGGAAATAGAGAAAATACAGCCAAAGGCTATTGAAAACTATGCTCTTTGACATTTGGTGGTTATGGACACCTTTGAGAATATGATGAAAAACTGTCAACCCTTTTCTAAGGAAAGGGCACATTAGCTTATCTACACAAAGTTTTGCATACATTTTCAATACACTTTCAGAGAATCCGTGTACCTTGCTGCTTGCCCCACCTTCCACTGTTAAGAATACTTGGCTTTATTTTTAAATTTTTAAATTTTTTTATTTTATTGAGACAGAGTCTTGCTCTGTTGCCCAGGCTGTGGTCAGTGGTGTGATCTTGGCTCGTTGCAACCTCCGCTTCCCAGGTTCAAGCAATTCTCCCACCTCAGCCTTCCAAGTAGCTGGGACTACAGACATGCACCATCACGCCCGGCTAATTTTGTATTTTTAGTAGAGATGGGGTTTCACCATGTTGGCCAGGCTGGTCTTGAACTCCTGACCTCAAGCAGTCTGCCAACCTTGGCCTCCTCAAGTGCTGGGATTATAGGCATGAGCTACCACTCCCGGCCAAGAATACTTGGCTTTAGGTATAAAAAATATAAATATGTAAGTGTGTGTGAGTCTGTGTGTGTATGTGCATGTATGAAGGATTTTCACATGGGTATATCTCTAGTTATATGCTAAGCATTTTATATGTAGCTCATTTGATGTTTTTGCCTCCATGTAAGATAGGTGTTACCCCAATGTGATTGAAGAAATAGGTTTAAGAAGGTTAAATAATTTGCTCAACGTCACACAGCAACTATTAAATCGTCATTAACTAGTATTGCTTACAAAGAGAGTTTATAAATTCAAAAATGTAAATGTCTTTATAACTGAAAATTTTTTTTCACGATCCAAAAATTATTCAAGGTACATGCTATGTCATTAGATGTGTTAATTAACACTTTTGGAGAATCCTAAAGGATCTTGAACTTCTTAAAGCATTTACTTCATTGCTAAATTTGTAGTTTTGTTACATGAGTTTGACTTCTCCGCCTTTGGGTATTTGTTTTGGCTTCCTAAAAGTAGGTAAGAGTTTCTCACTTGATGTAAGTGTTAAAAACAAAGGTAATGCTGTTAATAAACAGTGCCCATGAAAGTAAATGCTCTCATTCCTAAATTAATATTATGAGTACTCATCTACAGATTCTTTCCATATTAGAACTGTTATCATCTAGAAGAATTTGAGAAACATCTGACAGTTTTGAATGGATAGGTTTTAAAAAGTTCATGAAATATATGTTGGATGAATTGGAATTATTTGAGACAGACACTTTCTATCTCTTTAGAAATGAAACAAAATTTAAATGAGAGTTTTTCAAGGGACATCTAAAATCAGTTATTGGTAATAAACAGACTAAATGTTTAACACAGTCTCAGTATAGTAGAAAATTCAATATAGTGCGTCCATTTTATTGGTGGTATAGGGCAGGTTGTTGTTGTTTTGCTTCAAACCAGAACTGCTAGGAGTATGCTGTATAGATAGTGTTTTACTCTGCATGTTCCCAAAAGGAGGACATCACATGGAGGGGCTTACATGGTACCAGGCCTGTTGACATAGTTGAAAAAGCTTTAAGTTAGCTTAATCAATAAAAAGCCAGCCAAAGTAGGGAAATCACCAAAACAGAATACATGTGTACCCTAAATATTTTAACCTCAAACATGTAGGTTTACAATTGTATTCCAATCTTTGTTTGTAAAACTAAGTATGGTAAGCTGTTTCAAGAGCCACATGTCCTTTTTTGCACAAACCATACCATAATCATGCACCAACTATAATTTCCAGGCTTTTTTTTTAAGTGCAGCAAGAACTGAACTTGAAATCTCAAGGCAAAATCTTCTTTGAATTATACAGTTTATCTTTCATTCCTCCCATGTCTAATTGGATTGAAAACATTTATTTTTTTTTTTCCAGTAACACGTTGATCAAGCCACTCCAAAGCAGCCAACTTAGTTTTCATAGAAAGAGCTCTTTTTACATTCACATTTCATTGAATTCATTTACTTAAATTGTGTAATTTCAATAAGTGCAAGTGTCATAAACAGATGTGGGAGCAAATCCAACATGTATGAATTGGTAAAATGCATCCCAGCTGGAGGAGCAGACGTGTGCAAGCACAGTAGAGTGTAGTTACTGAGGGCATGGAGAGAGTTGGTTCATCAGGTGAGTAGGTAAAGTGGATTTTGGTGAAGAGTGCTTTTGCTTTGTGTATTTCTATATTGTGTGGGTAAACATTGAAATGAAATTCCCAGTAGGTGGAGATTTGTTTTAAAAATCTGTCTTAAAAATATTTAAGACACCCCATCAGTTAAACAGTCATTGATGGAATTTCTGATAAGTACTCGGTCCTGGTGCTACAAAAAAAAAAAAAAAAAAATGAACAGGGAACAAAGTAATGAATAGAGTATATACTTAGAGTGGGTTTGGATCTTGGCTTTGCTGTTTAAATGCCATGTGACCTTGCCTAAGTTGCTTAACCTCTGATTGGCATTGGAGCTTGAGCCAGAGATGAATAGGGCTAGGCGTAGGAGCACTGACCTGATGGAGCAAGCATTCAACAAGTATTTTTTTTCTGTTTGTGTTTGTGTTTGTGTTTTTTTTTGACATTTTCAAAAAATAATTTTAAAACTGAGGGTAGGCTGGGCACAGTGGCTCATGCCTGTAATCCCAGCACTTTGGGAGGGATGCCAAGGGAGGCGGATCACCTGAGCTCAGGAGTTCAAGGCCAGCCTGCCCAACATGGTGAAACCTCATCTCTACTAAAATTACAAAAGTTAGCCAGGCGTGGTGGTGCACACTTGTGGTCCCAGCTACTCGTGAGGCTGAGGCAGGAGAATCGCTTGAACCCGGGAGGTGGAGGTTGCAGTAAACCAAGATCGTACCACTGCACTCCAGCCTGGGCAGCAGAGTGAGATTTCATCTCAAAATAACAATAACAAAAAAAACTGAGGGTAGCATGCAGTCCGAACTGAAATGTTTAGAGGTGAGTTACAGATTCAGGTCTGAATGAGATGCTGCAGAGAGCCTGGCAGCAGGACTTTCGTGGTGTTGGTAGTGGTGGTAGCATATACTCTTAGGCTGATGGCAGTGCCTTTATCCAGGAAGAGCTGCCCTGGGTGAACACTCAAGCCTATAGCTCTTATGTTTCTGGCTTGTCTAGAAAGAGACTTGGTAAGGGCTGGGCAATTGTAATGACCACAACCAAGTAATTTTGAGATTGTGGAGGGTCTGCATTCCCGTAGGAAACTGGGCAACAAACCCAGGATCTGGGGCTTGTTATGTGGGGCATTAGGAGTCACGCTGTGGCTTGGCAAGCATGAGGGTACTTGGGGGAGCACATCACGTTTAGGGCAGCAAGATTAACGCCAGACTGTAAACACTGATATGGTGCCCAATAAGCTTTGTGGTATTGGTCAGGATTAGTTTAGGACCGAATTGAACTGCACTTGAAGATCTAAGATTTGTAAGACCTGTAGCTGGATCAGGCCAGATCAGGTATGGATGAAGAACCACTTTACTGCTTTTTATACATGGCTTACCCTTTCCCTTCCCTATATCTAAGCTGTTGAGCTTACCTCTTTTTTTCACTGCCAGTATTGATCCTGATGAATTTCATCTTTCAATCAATAGTTTACTAAATATTTATGGGGTATCTATTCTATGCCAGACACTGTTCCAACCATTGGTGTTACAATGTCAGGCAGGATAGATAAGGTCCTTGTCTTGAAAGGCTTTACATTGTAGAGGAGGGGTAGGGACGAGACAAATAATATACCCATAGATAGAGAAACAGGTGAATTTTACCTGTTATTCTCTGGGGAGGGGTCGTTTGAGCAGAGACTTGAATGAAAAGAAGGGAGTGATGTAAAAATAAAGGCAGAGAACATTCCAAGCAGAAAGAGCAAAGGACCTGAGATGTGAATAAGTTTGGCGTGTTTTATGGGCCAGAAAGAAAAGGGCGATTATTATTTGAGCAGAGTAAATGATGAGAGAGTGGAGAAAGATGAGATTAGATTAGAAAGGTAAATAGGGCCAGACAAAGTGGGTTTGTAGACTATGATAAGGAGGTTTGATTTTGTTCCAGTTGTAGTTTGGGCAGGGAATTCATGCTTTAGACAGTTTGTTCCCCTTTCCCATCTGCTAGCTGGAGGATGGACTGTGGGGGCAGTAGAAGAAGTTGGAGGCCCTTTAGATACCTGTTGGGGTAGGCTAAGTGAGAGACTAGTGGCTTGGGCCTGGGTTGTTGGCGTGAGATGGTGAACAATAGATTTGGGAGATATTTGGAGGTAGGGCCAATGGAATTTACTAATGGATTTGCATGACGGGATGGAGGAAGGAGAATGATCAAGAATGGCTCCTGCATTTTTGGCCTGAGCAACTGGGTGGATTATAGTGCTGTTGTCTGAGATGGTGAAGACATGGGATGGGGACATATTTTCGGGGTGGTGGGAATTAATGGTTCTATTTTGGTTATGTTAACTTTTACCAGTTGGGCTTACAAGTGGAGATGCTGAATAGGTTGGTTCTGTGATGGGAAGGGGTCAGGTTAGGGAGGTAGATTTGATGTATTGGTGGCATATTGAAGTGGATGAGGTCACTTTAAGAGGTAGTGTAGACAGAGAAAGCAAGCAAGCCAAAGACATAATCTGGGGCATTCCAGATTTTAGATGAGCAGATGAGGGAGATGGAGTACTGGTGATGTAGGAGGAAAAGCAGGTGTATGTGGTGTCACAGAATGCTAGTTCTAGAGAAGAAAGTGCTTCAAGGAGACAGTGTTTGGCTGTGTCAGATGTTCTTGATAGGTCAAGTAAGTGAATTGAGCCATATCAGTGTAGGTGTCGCTACATTCGTTTGCCTGAGACAGTCCTATTTTATGCCTGCTAATCTGGTGTCTTCTCTGATTAGTGTTTACTTTACTCAGAAATGTTCCAGTGTGGATGATGAATTATATGGTCCCACTGGTCATTAGTGACCTTGGGAAAAGCTATTTAGAGGTGATGGTGAGAATGAAAAGTGGTTTGGAGTGGACTAAGAATAAGTGGACTCAGAGAGTACCGAAAGTTCTTTCAATGCCCTTTGCTGTGAAAGGGGAGAGAATGTGCTGGCTGAAGGGGATGATGAGTTTAAGGGTGTTTTTGTTTGTTTGTTTTGTTTTGTTTTTTGATGGGTAATATTTTAAAGCATTTTTATGTTAATTAGAATAACCTAGTAGAAAAGTGAAAGTTGATGTGATAAAGGGGAGAAAGAAACAAAGGGTATAATTGCAAAAGTGAGAGAGGTTGCCATCTAAAACAAAATGAAGGGGCTTACCTTAGATGGGAGCAGGAAAACTTCTCTGTTAACCAGACAGAAGGCAGACTGTGTTGTTGTCAGATACAAGTTAGTGGCTTGGATGGTGGAAAGGTAGGTATTTTATCAGCTTGCATATAATTATAAAGGCTGTGGCAAGTAATCAGCCAAAAGGAAGATGAGGAAGAAGGATGCTGGAGATTTGAACTAAAGATGATAAATCATTGTCTTGCAAAGGATGAAGATGAATTTACTAGTGAAGTGTAGTCGAATTGTCAGGCCATATTGAGAGCTCATTTGAGATTTGCAGTCATAAATATCAGGTAGAATGGTTGTGTGATTTTCTTCAGCCATGTTATACCACTTATACTTAGTATAGAGATGATGAATGTGTTAGCTATTGCCACAAAAATGCCACAGAACAAAGTATGCCAAAGCTCAGTGGCTTAATAAAAAAATCATTTATTCTTATGGATTTGCAGATTGGCTGAGGATCAACTAATCTAGGCTGAGGTTGGCTGGGTGATTGGCTCTACACCGTGTTTTAAAAATTATTCTGGAATAAGAAAGTCTAGAACAAGACTACATGAGTGGGTAGCTGAGAAAAAGTGGAGGAGGAAGTGGTAGTTGGAACTCAGGAAACCGAGATGTTCTATTTGGATGTTTATGTCATCAAAAATTGTCAGAAGTTGTGGTGGAGAGAACGGTGATTTAGGTTTTAAAAAGTTCTCTCTCTCGTGTGTTTGAGTTAGCATGACGACAACACTCTGGGGTGATTGTAGTACCATACTAAATCTTTGATTTAGAACCACCTGTTCCATCTCAGTATATTAGATGAAGTTGGCCAAGTAAAAAAAGTCATCTGTAAATGAGTAGGAGTGACTGAGGTGTCGTTAGATAGTCCCAATGAGGAAGGTGAGCAGACATGTGCTTCCAAGGAGCAGGGGTTTTTGAAGAAAGGAGAAAGGAAGTAGCAATGGGGAGCTGCATCTCCAGGCCTTAAAGCAGCATTTTTGTTTTTCAGGTGTGGGTGGTGATCAACTAGTGGGTCAAGAAATAAACTTAGTAGGTCATTATTAGCATTTAAGAGAAAAATTAGAGCCAAGAGTAGGAAATGCTATTCAAGCTTAAAGTCTATTTCAGAAGAAAATAGCAGATCCTAGCAAGTCTGCATGTTTTGTGAAACTTTGAGTTCTAGGTTGTGAGGTAAAAAGTCTTACTATGTAGTGTGGTCAAAAGAATTGGAAAATTCAGCTATAAGTTACTTGGAGTGTGAGAGAGAAAAGTTTCATGAATAGTAGAGATGTGACTGAATATATGTTATTGATTATGCATAAATACAGTGATTTTTATGTTATTTGTGTATATATTTTATTTTTCTAAACTGTATTCTTTAGCATGCATTTCTAGCATGGAAATACCCAACAGATGACTAATAGATGTTGACTGCTTAGATGTCAGGAAGACATAGGTACTCAGTGGTAATCCAGAAAGTATACTTTGTTTTCTATGCTGGCTTATGGTGCAATTCCTGGAACAGGGCACAGAGATTCAGATGGACCTGCTTGAGATGGTGAGCAATGAAGGTGATGTCACAGTAGGGGTTAGACATCGCTTGCCCAATCTATTTCTTGGCTTTGCAGGTCTAGAAACTATTTTGTTAGCTCTTTCAGAGTTGATCAGACTTTTGGGAAATAGCTCAGAGTAGCCAAAATCAGAAAACTAATACATGAACCAAAATGATCTTAAACTAATTTTCAGCGGGTAACAGGTGTTTCTAGGGACTGTGTTTACATTATCCGGTGTGCATCATTCTCAGGATCTAGATACCTAAGTGATAGAATTAGTAATCAGAGCTTCATTGGGTGAGCACAAGGAAAGGGAATTTACTTCAAAGGGATAATGGAAAGTCTTACCAAACTGGCATCCCACTGCAAAGTATACCTTTCTAGTGATTTGAGTATTGATTACATACTGTGAAACCCAATGTCTCCTTACCTTTCATGGTACTGGGAAAACTCTGACAAATAATTGCTCTTTGGATAACCCATTTCTGAATTTTTTTGTAATCTGGTAGTTGTCTTTTTCTATCCCCAAGCACTTGAGGATGTGCCAAACTCCACCAGACACAGTGATTCATTGACACAGAGATTCTCAACTAGAGGGCAGGGTGCCCTGGTATTTTTAATTCTTATTTATCTCCTTGTGGAGATTTAATAATGTGGACCATTTTAAACCTCATGTTAAAAATAGTTTCTTCTGGCTGGGTACGGTGGCTCACGCCTGTAATCCCAGCACTTTGTTTGGGAGGCTGAGGCAGGTGGATCATGAGGTCAGGAGATAGAGACCATCCTGGCTAACACAGTGAAACCCCGTCTCCACTAAAAATACAAAAAATTAGCTGGGCGTGGTGGCGGGTGCCTGTGGTCCCAGCTACTAGGGAGGCTGAGGCAGGAGAATGGCGTGAACCCAGGAGGCGGAGCTTGCAGTAAGCCGAGATCACCCCACTGCACTCCAGCCTGGGCAACAGAGTGAGACTCCATCTCAAAAAAAAAAAAAAAAATAGTCTGTTCTGACAGAGACTATCACTATATATTTGATTATGTTTTGAGCTTTGTTACAGTCATATTCCAGATCTGCTCCTCCAACACTGCCCTCCACCCATTTTGAGTGGATGACCATGCTTCATTCATAGCCACACATCTAGAAGTTGCCAAGTAGCAAGGTGTTCTGTAGAAAGCTCATCTTCAAGGTGAACAGAAACATCTACTGAGCAGTTTTTTAAAATGTTGTTAATAATTCCTCAAGGTAAAATCATTTGAATTACACGTATAATGCTGCATATTTACATTAATGTGGAACAACTCAGAAATAATAAGGAGCCCTTACGTTGGCTTTCTGCTAGTAAACTTCATGGCCCAGTGGACTTTGGCTAATTATAGTATTAAAATTCAGAGCTCAAATCTTGAATTTATTACTGACTTCAAGAAGAGCCTTGAGTAAGATATTAACCTTTCCGTTTCTCAGCTATTAAATGAGGCCAACAGTGCTTTGCCACTGCATTGAAATGGTGTAAAAATATAACAGTTAAAGCTTGCAAAAATATCTAAATGCTCTATAAATGTTGAGCAGAAATAAGAGATGGGCAGGAATAAAAAGACTTAAGACCAAGAAAAAGAATAACTCATTAAAATTATTTGGGATCACTGGGTAGAAAATAGCTCATATGACTTTTCCTTCCCTCTTTATATTCTGAATCAGGTCATATAAAAAATGTCCCTAATTTGCTATAGAGTTCTCTCCCTCTTGTGCATTTGAGTTGGCATGGAGACCACACTTGGGTGATTGTAGTACCATGCTAAATCTTTGATTTAGAATCACCTGTTCCATTGGTTTGACATGCAGTGATTAGAGCAAAAGTTATGTATCTCCCAGCAGTGTCTATGGAAGGCTTATTGCTTTTCCATTTCTGTTTTCTTTCTCTCATGGGATAGAAGTCCTTTGTGAGTAAAAGGGTTTGGCAGATGATGTGCTTGGAAAACACAGGTTAAAACTTAAAAAAAAAATTACATAAATTCCTGAATCAAACCTTCAGGATTAGTGGTTGTTTATGATATAACCATGGGTACTTATATCATTGTAATGAATTTATCTGACATTCTAGCACCCAGAAATCAGTTACCTTGATATTTTATCACTTTACCTGGTTAGTACTAATTTATTATTATCCAGAGGCATAAAAATTTAAATTATTTACCATTTGAGTTTTGATGTTAATTGTATTTTATTATATTTTAAGTCTGAATTTGGTAATCCTCATAGTTTTAATCAAAATATTAGACCAACTAGAACATCCAGTCTCCATTCTAGTTAAATTATTTTTATTCAATATAAGAATATAGAATTAAAAAAGTCTTATTTAAAATTTAATATGGAATGGCCATTGAGGTCAGCTAGTTTGAGAAAACCTAGAAACCTTAGTATAAGAGCGTCTTATAAAACTAGGTGGATACGACACCCAAAGTGGTTTTTAAAAAATTTATTGTTCGGAGCAAGGCTAGGTACTCTAGAAGCATTAGTAATTGAGTTACTTGTGGCTTTGTATTATTAAAATATATGGTCCTTGAAGATGTCTCCACGGCTGAATCATTTTGAGATTCACGTTTTAAGTAGTTTCATGTGGTACATAAAAGGCATTTATCTTGATGAACAAAAAAATGACTCCATCCTGTTTATGATTTAGCATCTTATAACAGCGTCTTTGTAATTTGAACTCGAACAAGACAAATAAAAACAAATCAAAGTCCTTATTAGAAATATATCCAGTTCAAAGTGGATTTTTTTTTCTTGTTTGTGATGTTGTTTAGGTATGGAGCCTGTGTGTGGGATAGCACATTTGTATCAGGCTAGTTGCCAGTGTTCAGGGTACGCCTCTCCAATCCAGTCCAGGTGGTCACAGTCTAGAGTTGTTAAATTATATGTGGTTCTGGCATGTTTGGTTTGACACCAGCCAAAGGTTTTATAAACCCTAGCATTATTGACATATAGTCTTAAAAATATTATTACCTCTTGGACCTTAATGTCTTAATCTCATTGTTAGGTTAGTAAAATTAATGTGCTTCTGATAATCTGGTTTAAGTGTATTATGCCTTTTCTTGGGCTATATAATTTATGAAAACTTTATTTCTAGCTTTGTACAGTGGCAGTATCATAGCCAATGAGGTTTATCTGAGGCATGATTATTGCTAATTGAAAACTTTATTTCTTGCGAAAATAGAATATAGCTATATCACTGACATGGATGCACAAGCTACTGTTTTAAAATAAGTTTATCAATGCTAGTGTAGCAATTTGGTCACGTAAATGCATTTTTGCGGGGTTGCCTCTTATTTTGGATTCTATCAGGTAGGATTATTATTTTCTATTTGAAAATTTATTTCATGGCTTATAAAGGCTGTCCGTTGACCTCTGGTTAATCTATTAGTATGGATTTAAAGTACAGCTGTCCCTCAGTATCCGTGGGAGTTTGGTTCCATGACTTCCCTTGGGTACCAAAATCTAAGCATGCTCTAGTCCCTGACTTAAAGTGGCATAGTATTAATATTTGCATATAACGCATGCACATCCTACTGTATACTTTTTTATTTTTTATTTTTTTGAGACGGAGTCTCACTCTGTTGCCCAGGCTGGAATGCAGTGGTGCGATCTCGGCTCACTGCAACCTCTGCCTCCTCCTGGGTTCAGGCGATTCTCTTGCCCCAGCCTCCTGAGTAGTTGGGATTACAGGCACCCACCACCATGCCTGACTACTTTTTGTATTTTTAGTAGAGACAGGTTTCACCATGTTGGCCAGGCTGGTCTCAAACTTCTGACCTCAGGTGATCCACCCGCCTCGGCCTCCCAAAGTGCTGGGATTACAGATGTGAGACACTATGCTTCGCCCCTCCTGTATACTTTAAATCATCTCTAGTTTGTGTACAATACCTAATACAATGTAAATGCTGTGTAAATAATCATTAATATGGTATGGTTTAGGGCATAATGACAGGAAAAAAAGTTTGTACATAATCAGTACAGATGCACTATTTTTCCTGAATATTTTTGATCTGAGGTTGGTTGAATCCCATGGAGGGTTGACTGTACTTGATTGTTTTTCCCCTAGTGGGATATAATTTACATACCATAGATCTTAACTGTACAGTTTGCTAAGTTATAACAAATGTACACATCTATTAATCCACACCCAAATCAAGGTATTGAGCATTTATAACCTCAGGTCTCTTCCCAATAAATCTCCCACTCCCTTTCCAGGCAACCATTGATGTGATTTCTATTATAATAGGTTAGTTTTCCCTGTTCTTGAACTTCATATAAATAGAATCATACAGAATGTATTTTTTTTAAGGCTGACTTCCTCCTCATAACATATTTGTGAGAGTCATCTATGCTGTTGTGTATTTCAGTAGTCGTCCCTGTTTATTGATGAGTATTGCATTGTAAGGGTTTATTACAGTTTAGCATGTTAATGGATATGTGTCTCCTCTGACTAGAGATGGGATGGGATCCACATCCAGTGCTGCCAGCTGTAGGAGTGAAGGATGCAAGGGCAGGAGCCAAGCTGTCATTAAAAAAACCAGTAGAACACTTTGTTTACTCTGTCCACTACGTGTTAAAAATACTTGGTGTGGAAGTGTTCAGTAGTTCGTTCTGTTTGTGTCAACATTGTTTTATTTTTTAAGTTTCCTGAGATCAGAGGAGCTTGTTGTCCATTAAGTTGTTCTAATATGATGATAGGTTAAAGCTGTGTGCCAAGTCCATTTAATTTTATAATAGGATTGTTTGTTATAGCAAATACTTTAGAAATGTTAGTTATTTTTAAAGCCATTATTAGTCTTTATTATTACTGATTATAACATTTCATCATGTGGATTTATCATATTTTACTTAATTGTTGCCATATTGTTAGATCTTTAGTTGGTTCTGGTTTTTTTTCTACTAAGTAATGCTAAAGTAAAAGTCATTTATGTATCTTATTCCATTTTTTGGACTTTTTTCTCAAGGTAGATTTTCAGAAACATAATTTTAGGGTCAAATGTTTTAAACGTTTATATTTTTTGGTATCTATTGATCAATGTTCCTTATTTGTTTTCTAAGGGAGTTGATTAGTTTACAGTGACAGCAAAAATATGCTAAGGGCCAAGGCTTACTGTACTTTAGTTTGAATATATATTGTCTGGAAACATTTTGTTGTTTGAATTGGGAGGTGCTAGAAAGAAAAGTAAAAACATTTTGTATTATACTTATAAAATGCACTCTCATGGTTCTATATTTGATAACTAATGAAGCATCAAATACATTTCTCATTTTTGTATGCTATGTTTCTTTTTTTGCAAATTTTCCCTGATTACATCTTTTATGTTGAGAATATTTGATCAAAAAAGGAAGCTACCTATATTGTGAATGATCTGGGATAAAACATCATCTTATGCGGGAGAGACTAAATCTTGGTGTTCAATTCTCATGAGGTAGAATGTTCAATCCAAGAAAAAAAGCCCTGAGTCAGAGCTGATGTGCTACATGGTCATTGCCATGCATTGTGTTAAATCGTTGACTGACATTTAATTTTTCAATAACCTGAAAGGTAGGTGGTGTCTTCATTATCCATTTGACCCACTCTCAAATAAGTCGGACTTTTAAGAGAAACCTTGGGTTAAAAGTAGTAGAAGTAGCAACTGGAAAAAGGATAGTGTAGGAGAGATGGCTTTCAGTCTGCCTGAGGCTGCTTTGCCCCCAAATTTCTTCTCTCCATACTACCTTTGCTTTTCTACTTCATTAATTATAACATTGGAAATGCCACCAATTGCAGTTGTATTCTGCTTAAGAGTCAACCTCTCTTAAAATGTTAAAAACCCCTAGAAGGGGATTTATTCTGGAAGATCTTGTGTTATTAGCTATTAATATGACCTAATCAGACAGTTTTTTTTTTGTGGTGGGGGGAGGTTGTTGTTTTTGTTTTTTTAAACTCTGTGGGACATACCTATTCCTAGGGGTGGAGTGTTGGGAGGAGGCAGGCGAGGTTGCATGTGGGTTACAGGAAAGAAGGTGGAAGAAAGTTTCCTTCCTCTTTCTGGGATGTAGGGGGCTGGCCCGGTGCAGAGTTTTGACATAGGAAATGCTTGTCCTTGGCATCCTGCCATCTCCTTATTCATACTTCTACATCTCAAAACCCTACTCCTTGACCGCAAAACCCAGCCCTCTGCTATGTGCATCCAACCATGACTCTCCACCCAGATCTGCCTTTCTTGTCACTAAGCGTTTCATCTTCTAAACACATCACCCTTGCCTGCCTTCTCCCCACACTCCTCCCCAAGCTCCACCTTGCAGGATAGCTATGGCTAGCCGAGTCAAAAACAACAGCAACAACAAAAGCTGTCTTTTCATGCTTGCATGTTTTCTTAGATATTTAGAAGTTATATATATATGGAGCAATCGGACCCTTTGGTAGTCTCTTCCTAATAAACAAACTGCTAATGGCTCAGGATTTAAAAGACATACTACATAAATTATTTCCCCCTATGGAATAAATGCCCAAGCTGAAAATAAACTATAGATCCTAATAGCCAAGCAGAAGGAGTATACTTGTCTAAGCAAAACATCTTCTATGTAATTTGGCTTGTCAAACAATGTGAAGTAGGATGAAAGCAACTTACTTTAAAATATGCAGCTGATGTGAGAGTGTCACACAGATGTTAATTGTTTGGCTTGGGTGTCTTCCATTTCTCATGCTCTACAGTGTCTTCACTGATCAGTGGTGGCTTCTCCCCTCCATTTCTTTGTTCATTGCAGAAAGCATCTCCAAAGTAAAAAATGTGCAGCCTTTTATTTGTCTCCATTGGTTGGAAATCAACATATACAAATAAAAAAGCTTTTTTTTTTCCCTGTTTTTCAAAATGACAACATTTTAAGTTAGATTTATTTAATCAGGGGCTATGTCCTTCTACTTCATGTTTCTCCAAACACTTAAAACTGTTGCTGTTCACCGAACAGGAAGAGTAACGTGTAGAGCCTGGTTACTGTTCTACAAAACACTGGCTTGATGATCAAAGGCCTTTCAGACTCCAAAGGCCTTTCAACACGCCAAAGTGAGGCAATCTCTAGTGAGTGGTGGGTAATATTTCCCAGAGAAGCCACAGTCCATATATAGCTCCCCTTAACCCTTGTTATATTTGTTAGCATTGTAGAGATCCAGAAAGACATTCCTTTACTTGCTCCCTGACTTTCTTTTAAATAATATTTGACCATTTAAATGGTACATAGAAAATGCACCACTTAACAAATACATAAAATTTAACAAATATGTAAAAATAAATAGGAAATGTTCATATCACACCTAACCAGAGATAAAACGTATTAACAATTGTGGTATAGCCCTCTAATACTGTCTGTTGTTATGCACACATGTGTTTACCCAAAAAAGGGGTCATACTGTAGATTCTTTTAGAAACTAGCTTTTTATACTAAATGTATTAGAAACATTTTTCCAAGTCATTAAATATTTGTCTACTAGATCTCTTTTAAGAGCTGCAAAATATTCAATTTCATTGATATTATAGAATTGACTTCATTTTTCTCTTGTTATTGGACATTTAAGTTCTTCTCAATTTTTTATAATTTAAACAACACTATAATTAATAGTTCTATAGCTAAGTATATTCACATTCACAGTTTGTTCCATTGTGTAATATAACAGCTTGGGGTCCTTCTGCAAGCAAGGCTTACATGCAGTTCATTTATTTGGGAAGTGATCCCAAGGAGCCACAGTGAGTGAATGGAGGACTTGAGCTGGAAAGGAGGGAAAACCGGTTCATAGGTGCAGTACAGATCTGGCCATAGCTACATGTGACAGGACCTTTGAAAGCCTTATAACATATGTCTCAGAACTGTCTTCTAGGAGAATACCAGGGGGAAGTATTTCTCTTCCTTTGATCCGTTCTCCACTAGTCAAGGGTGGTCCCACAGCATTATTTCCCACATGCTTCCAGACTATGTGGGTATGAGCCCAGTGCATCACTGAAGGCCTAGGATAGGAAGCCAGAGAGAGGTATGGCCGGGGGCTGGGGTGAGGCCCTGTTACGATACATCTTCAGAAAGGTGGTCAAAGCCTGCTTGGGCCTGGTTGCCGCAGTGGTGGGTTGGGCAAGAAGTAAGGCTGAGAGGATTTGTAGTAGGATACAAGAAGTGTCTGGTACATATACATTCCTAGAAACAGAGTTTGTAATTTTGTCTCAAAGGACATGCACAATTGTATCTCAAAATAGAAATACACATGGGAGTCATAAAATTATGTTCAGGTTGATTCATTTATGAGGTACACATTCTGAGACCTGAGGATGTGGCAGGGGGTAACAGACGTGATCCTACTGCCACAGAGCTTACATTCCTTTGCAGGAAGACAGTAAACATGGGAACAAATACATAACATCAGTGCTGACAGCAGTAGGTGCTGTGAAGCAAATGAAATGAAGCAGTGCTGTTAGTAGTGACTTGAAAGGGACTGAGCCCATGGTGAGAACACCAGGGTTCTCATGATTTTAGATGGCACACAGATAAACTGAGAGTGAAGAGACTCAGGGTTGGGTTGATGGAATAGAACTAAAGGAGAAGGATGTAGGAAGGAGGGGCGAGGGCCTCTTTACATTCACTGTCCGCTTTGCATTTTTCCTAGAGGCAGATGTACCCAAGAGAGATATTTTGGCTTTTGGAGTGTGGCCTTCCCTCAGTGTATATACTATATGGAATTTAATCACTCTTAGATTCTTAGAAAATATTATTAACATTCAAAATATATATCAAATTATAATTGCTCCATCTTTGATGTTTTGGAATATACTTCAGGATCATAGAGTGCCTTGGGGTTATTTTTAATCAATCTCAGTGTTAACACTAGTGCAACTCTGCACTAGATGGAAATTTCCATTAGATGGTGGCTGGGGGTTTATTTTATCAATGTAATTCTACTTCATATGAGAAGCAGCACTGTTCAACTGCTCCTTTGCTTTAGAGAGCTCAGAAAATAAGTTTCAAAGACATAAATTTATTCATTGGACCTTTTAGTTACAATGCCCAAGATATTTTTGTGACCTAAATAGCAAATTAAGAAATCACCTCTTTACATTGCTAGGTGTTTCTCACATTTGTTACCGATAGTACAATTTATCCACTTCAGTAGAAAGTAAGCCATGGGATTATGATAGCTCCAGATTAAAGCACATTCTTCTTTTTCAGTGATATGTAAAACCACAGGATCAGAATTATATTAGATATTGAAATATTAGAATATTAAATCTGATCTCCTAAATCAGGGTTTTCCACATTCTGATCACTTGTAATCATTTGTGGGCCAGCTTCAGGATTTTGCTATATTCTACAAGTGCTGATGCTATTAAATTTTTAATGTTTTTCTCTACAGTGAGTCAATTTTTGCTTAAATAAGTTTACTTGGGAAGGAATGTTTATATTATTGTATTATTGAAATAAATGGAAAATAACTTTAAAAAATGTATTTCTAACTATGAACCTATATTCTCTTTTTTTTTTCTTTGAGATGGAGTCTCACTGTGTCACCCAGGCTGGAGTACAGTGGTCCGATCTCGGCTCACTGCAGCCTCCGCCTCCTGGGTTCAAGCGATTCTCCTTCCTCAGCCTCTCAAGTAGCTGGGATTACAGGTGCGCACCACCATGCCCAGCTAATTTTTGTATTTTTAGTAGAAACGAGGTTTTGCTATGTTGGCCAGGCTGGTCTTGAACTCCTACTCCTGACCTCAAATGATCTGCCCACCTTAGCCTCCCAAAGTGCTGGGATTACAGGTGTGAGCCACCAAGCCTGCCCTGAACCTATATTCTTAACTATTAATGCAAGAAGTTTATCTGTATGTCATCTAAAATCATTATGCACATTTTGGTTAGTACCGCTCTCATAGCAGGCTTGGCCTGTCCCATACCAGGTGTGTGACCTTTAGCAAATTATCCAGCTTCTCCTACCCTCTGTATTCGCTTGTGTATGATGGAGATAATGAGATATTATTGTCTGGCAAGTGCTTAGCACAGTGCCTGATGTAGCAATTACTCAGTAAATGGAAGTAACTGCAATAATGCATTGTTGAAGTGGTTGTTGTCTTTATTATTCTTCATGAAAAGGACCGTGTTGGAGATTTAGAAATTATACAAATACTTCCATTCTGCACCTAAATTTGGGGTTGAAGGTATTAGAACAGTAGACCAAAGAGTTGACCAATTTGATTATATCCCTAGCTTTCCATGACTCGCTGTATGATTTGGTCAAGCTGTTTAACCCCTCGAGGGTGTGGTTTCTTCATCACACAAATTAGAAGGTTTGATTTGATTTGATCTCAAGACATTCAACTTGCAGGGTGACAGCTGTTTGAGTGGTTTTGATCATGGGATGTGGTTCATCTGAAGTCAGAGCATTTTAAATTTTGTTTTAAGTGGCTGTTTGACACACAAAATAAGCTAGGAGTTGATGTGGCCCCAGCTGTTTTCCTGTTTTCATTATGAGTGACTGATGGTCACCAGGCGTCATGTTAGCAAGCTGGGTCAATTAGTAATTGCTTTTGAAGCTGTATATAATTAATTACATAATTATGAGCTATTGAAGTTTAGTTCTAGTAAAACTACATCATAAAACCAAGGCAATTTCAAAAGATTTACTGACAAAAGAAAAATATGAACAAACTTTTTGTACATTTGACTTACGTTTATTTTATGTTTAGTATATATTTGTCAAGCATGTAACCACTTTTCACTGTCATCAATAAAAATTATATGTGAATATAATGTAGCCACATGGACCACTGTTGAAATAACTTTTATATTTCTACCTAGATGACTTGTTATGCCCCTTCCAGATAGGAGAATCTACAATTTTATGAATTTCGGTCTCCTAATACGGTAGATCTGAACTTGGTAATGATTAAGTTGAAATCAATAAAGCAAAATGAAATTTAAAAAGCCTGCTACACACACATATGTGTGTGTGGGGGGGTGGTGGCGGTGTATATGTTAGCATAATATACCAATGACTAATTTTTTTTTCACTCAGGAATATATTTTAGAAATTATCTCATTTATTAGTTTCCTCTTTCGTTTGAATGACTGCAATTGAATGGATGATTCCAATTATTTGATCAGTCTCCTTATGATGGACATTAAAGGCTTTTTTCTAATTGCTATTAGCCACAATAATGCTGTAATAAATATCTTGTGCATGTGAGATTTTGTGCATGTGTTAGCATATCTATAGGTTAAATTGCTGGGTCAGAGGACATGTGCATTTGTAATTATGAATTTGAAATAAACAAATTGTTCTTCATGGAGGTTGGACCAATATGTGCTCCCACCACCAATGTGTAAGTGAGCCTGTTTTCCACCCAACCACTTTTTCCTCATCGTTCTGTGTGACCAAACAATTCAAGTATTATACTGTTTTCTCTAGGAAAATGCTAGTTAGAGGGGTGATCATACTATTTGTGCAGATTTCACAGAGATTGAATTTTACACTGAAGACCACTTTCTAAACTATATGTAGAAATTTAATTTGCTGAATTAAATGGCTGTACTGTTAAGCATCTTGGAACGCACTTTATGTTGCTTCAGAGCGCAATTACACTGGCATGGAAAAACCTGCAATTTGAAAATTATCAACAAATTAAAGCCTTCTGTGGATATTCATTCTCATAATAAAACCTACTATACATATCATGCAAAAAGTTTGGCTATAACATTATTTATACTTTATTTTCTATTTTTATTTTTATTTTTTGAGACGGAGTCTCTCTCTGTCACCCAGGCTAGAGTGCAGTGGTGTGATCTCGGCTCATTGCAACCTCTGCCTCCAGGGTTCAAGTGATTCTCCTTCCTCAGCCTCCTGAGTAGCTGAGACTACAGGTGTGTGCCACTACACCCAGCTAATTTTTGTATTTTTAGTAGATTGGGCTTTCACCATGTTGGCCAGGTGGTCTCAAACTCCTGACCTCAAGTGATCCACCTGCCTCGGCCTCCTAAAGTGCTGGGATTACAGGCATGAGCCACCACGCCTGACCTATTTTTCTTAAACTCAGAAGGTAAAGGCCTTATGTCTAGATACTGTTTCTATTTTTTCTTGAGCCTTTAGGTTCAGGAGTTAAAGCTTCTGCGCTTCCTTTAAGAAGGTAAGAAGTTTGTTACAGAGAGATGTGAATGATGTCTTTCTTTTTTATGTTTAGGACTTACTCCATAGATTTAGGAAAGTCATAACATATAGTCATAAACCACTATTATTTTTCTGTCTTTGGGCTGCAGTGTGGCATATATGAAAGTCAATTTCTGAAGGAACTTAGATCTTTTTTTAATGCTAATGTCTTTTCTAAAATTTACCATTGTTCGAGTAATTGAAGGTTTTTTTTGTGGGGTTTCTTTGGCTTTTATAAAGGATCACCAGAATTCGATAACCTTTTTTTGAAGTTTTTCTCCTTAATTTGACTTTCAAATATGGTCCTTTATATAGCACTGTAATAATTCACTTACAAGGAAAAATGTTTTTCTATTATTGACTTATTTGAAAAGCACTTGTAGTGTTGGATATAGTATTTATAGTGAAGATAGTGGTTCAATCCCACAGAATAACCTATAATTAATATAAAATTGCTTGGAGTTACTCAAATAAAAATGAAAATTAAAAAGTTATTAGATAATCACCTATTACATTTTCCTTGTTAGCACATATATTACATTCTAGAGAAACTGTCTGCTTATAGGTAGAGACTGTTGTTGAACTTTAAATTGTTCTACCCCGTAAGGAAAGCAGTTGTTATGATACTTATACAGTAGAAAAACAGGCCTTCAGCAAAATGAGGCTTCTTGTGATATGGATTGCTCTGGGGCCACTCCTTCTCCACAAATCACTGAAGCGCATGACTGCTTGAACTAAGAGAACAAAACCATTTTCATTGAATCATAGCACCCCCTAGCATCCTAATAATTTATGGGTTTTTGTTGTTGTTGTTGTTGTTGTTTTGTTTTGTTTTGTTTTGTTTTGTTTTTGAGATGGGATCTCACTCTGTCACCCAGGATGGAGTGCTGTGGGGTGATCACAGATTACTGCAGCCTCGACCTCTCAGGCTCAAGTGATCCTCCCACTTCAGCCTCCTGAGTAGCTGGCACTACAGTTGCGTGCCACCACACCAGGCTAATTTTTATATTTTTTGTAGAGATGAGGTCTTGCTGTTGCCCAGCCTGGTCTCAAACTTCTGAACTCAAGCAATCCTCCTGTATTGGCCTCCCAAAGTGCTGGGATTACAGGTGTGAGTCACCAGGCCCAGCCAAGAATTTGTGTTTTTAGAAGTCAAAGGAACATTTTGTTTATGCTTATAAAACAAACCATGAATCTTGTAAGATCTGATATCTCATATTCTTCTGACGAAGGAGAAGAGGCCTTTGAAAGATTACATGGAAATTATGGGGAATGTGAAGAGTCATCATTGTTATTGAAAATAATTTTTATATTTGTTTTCTAGGGAATATGGGGGTATGGACGCAGATAATAAACTATGGCTGAACATCTTGTGTCCTATGTAGAAGTGGTCAAAGAGACAGTGTTTTTCCACCCAAGTGCCTAAGAATATTGATGTGTGTGTTGCAGGTACTTCTCCCAGCAGCTGGTCTCTTACAGTTACAGGATGTGAAGAAGACTTGTGAATTTTTGGAATCCCAGCTTCACCCTGTCAACTGCTTAGGAATCCGGGCTTTTGCTGATATGCATGCATGTACCGACCTTCTGAACAAGGCCAACACCTATGCAGGCAAGTGGAGTAGACCTCAGCTGAATTTGGGAGGAAACTGCTTGGTTTTTGATATGATTCTACAGTGGTCTCTGGAAAGTCATGTCATATTTCTGGATCTGGGCTTTAAAAACATACATTTAAAATCTTATAATGGTCACACTGCATAACTGAAGCATACTCATAAAATTCTGAACTTAAAAAGCAAGCAACTATACATTGGGATTGGGCCTGAATAATAGAATAGCTAGGAATAGCTAGGTTTTTTTTTTTTTTGAGACGGAGTCTTGCCCTGTCACCCAGGTCGTGGTGTGGTGGTGCAATCTTGGCTCATTGTAACCTCCGCCTCCAGGGTTCAAGAAGAGTAGCTGTATGTATTTTTCTTTCAAATTGTTAAATGAATAGGCATATGAGAAACTGTATGCATGTGAAGTTATTTTAGCTCTGATTTTTTATTCTTTTTTTTTTTTGCATCTATGAAAACAATTTTGTGGCTTAAAAAAATCTTCAAAGCAGTGAAATATAGATATGTTTGGTGGAGTAGAAAAGTAGACCACCAATAGAAGCAGCCCACTCCTTGCATGCTGGTTCCATGGCCTACTGCTACTGCTGGCATCTCCCTGTGGCAGAGGGAGGGCCTGTTGCTGTTTTCAAGGAGCCCTTGCTTTAGCTGCTGTTCAGGCCCTTCAGGCCCCTCATCTCTGCAGTTGGGGAGGGGAGATTGTTATAGCTTTGAATGCACACACATAGTTCACAAATGTAATCTATATTTTATTTGAGTTTATAAACAATTAAAAATATATATTGAAAGTGATTATTAGGAAATTTCTTTTATTTTTATTTATTTATTTATTTTTAAATTATACTTTATGTTTTAGGGTACATGTGCACAACATGCAGGTTAGTTACATATGTATACATGTGCCATGCTGGTGCGCTGCACCCACTAACTCGTCATCTAGCATTAGGTATATCTCCCAATGCTATCCCTCCCCCCTCCCCCCACCCCACCACAGTCCCCAGAGTGTGATATTCCCCTTCCTGTGTCCATGTGATCTCATTGTTCAATTCCCACCTATGAGTGAGAATATGCGGTGTTTGGTTTTTTGTTCTTGCGATAGTTTACTGAGAATGATGATTTCCAATTTCATCCATGTCCTTACAAAGGACATGAACTCATCATTTTTTATGGCTTCATAGTATTCCATGGTGTATATGTGCCACATTTTCTTAATCCAGTCTATCATTGTTGGACATTTGGGTTGGTTCCAAGTCTTTGCTATTGTGAATAATGCCGCAATAAACATACTTTTCTTTTTTTAGTTTCTTTATGCTTTCATTGAATGATTACATCCTTTTTTTTATTCTAATAGCTTTAGGAGTACAAGTGGTTTTTGGTTACATGGATGACTTGTATAGTCACGAGGTCTGGGATTTTAATGTACCCGTCACTTGAGTAGTAGACATTGTACTCTAATCGGTAGTTTTTCATCCATCACCATCCTCTCAACCTCCCCACTTCTGAGTCTCCCATGTCCATTATACCACTCTGTCTGCCTTTGCATACTGATAGCTTAGCTCCCACTTATAAGTGTGAACATGTAGTATTTGGTTTTCCATTCCTTAGTTACTTAACTTAGAATAATGGCCTCCAGTTTCATCCAAGTTGCTGCAAAAGACATTATTTCTTTCTTTTTTTATGGTAGAGTAGTATTCCATCATATATATATATATACATACACACACACACACGTACGTATATACACATGTATATATGTACACACATGCATATACATATATGTCTACATACGTATATGTATGCGTGTATATATGTGTATGTGTGTGTGTGTGTGTGTGTGTGTGTGTGTGTATATATATATATATATAACATTTTCTTTATCCACTCATTGGCTGATGGGCACTTAGGTTGATTCTATATCTTTGCAATTGTGAATTGTACTGTGATAAACATACATATCTGGGTGTCTTTTTGATTTAGTGATTTCTTTTCCTTTAGGTAGATACTCGGTAGTGAAATTGCTGGATTGGATTTTAATTTCTTTGAGGAATCTCCAGACTGTTTTCCATAGAGGTTGTACGAATTTACATTCCCACCAACAGCATATAAGCGTTCCCGTTTCACCACATCCACACCAACATCTATTGTTTTTTCACTTTTAATAATAGCTATTCTGGTTAGGGCAAGGTGGTATCTCGCTGAGGTTTTAATTTGCATTTTCCTGATGATTAGTGGTGTTCAGCATTTCTTTCATGTTTGTTGACCATTTGTATATCTTCTTTTTAAGAAATATCTGTTCATGTCATTTGCCCACTGTTTAATGGGATTATTTGATTTTTTCTTGCTGACTTGTTTGAGTTCCTTTTAGATTCTGGATATTAGTCCTTTGTCAGAGGCATAGTTTGCAAATATTTCCTCCCATTCTATAGGTTGTGTGTTTACTCTGGTGATTATTTCTTTGGTCTTGTGGAAGTTTTTTTTTGTTTAATTAGGTCCCATTTATTTATTTTTGCGTTTGTCACATTTGCATTTGGGGTCTTTGTCATAAATTTTTTGTTTTGGCCAATGCCCAGAAGTTTTTCCTAAGTTTTCTTCTAGAATTTTGATGGTTTCAGGTCTTAGATTTAAGTCTTTAATCCATCTTGGGTTAATTTTTATATATGGTGAGAGATAGGGATCTCTCACCATATATAAAATGTGTACACGTGCACAACGTGATGGTTTCCAGCTTCATCCGTGTCCCTGCAAAGGACATGAACTCATCCTTTTTTAATGGTTACATAGTATTCCATGGTGTATATGTGCCACATTTTCTTAATCTAGTCTATCATTGATGGACATTGGGAGGTTCCAAGTCTTTGCTATTGTGAATAGTGCCACAATAAACGTGTGTGCATGTGTCTTTATAGTAGCATGATATATAATGCTTTGGGTATATACCCAGTAATGGGATTGCTGGGTCAAATGGCATTTGTAGTTCTAGATCCTTGAGGAATTGCCACACTGTCTTCCACAATGGTTGAACTAATTTACATTCCCACCAACAGTGTAAAAGCATTCCTATTTCTCCACATCCTCTCCAGCACCTGTTGTTTTCTGACTTTTTAATGATCGCCATTCTAACTGGCCTGAGATGGTATCTCATTGTGGTTTTGATTTGCATTTCTCTGATGACCAGTGATGATGAGCATTTTTTATATGTCTGTTGGCTGCATAAATGTCTTCTTTTGAGAAGTGTCTGTTTATATCCTTTGTCCACTTTTTGATGGGGTTGTTTGTTTTTTTCTTGTAAATTTGTTTAAGTTCTTTGTAGATTCTGGATATTAGCCCTTTGTCATATGGGTAGGTTGCAAAAATTTTCTCCCATTCTGTAAGTTGCCTCTTCACTCTGATGATAGTTTCTTTTGCTGTGCAGAAGCGCTTTAGTTTAATTAGATCCCATTTGTCAATTTTGGCTTTTGTTGCCATTGCTTTTGGTGTTTTAGTCATGATGTATTTGCCCATGCCTATGTCCTGAATGGTATTGCCTAGGTTTTCTTCTGGGGTTTTTATGGTTTTAGGTCTAACATTTAAGTCTTTAACTCATCTTGAGTTAATTTTTTATACAGTGTAAGGAAGGGATCCAGTTTCAGCTTTCTGCATATGGCTAGCCAGTTTTCCCAGCACCATTTATTAAATAGGGAATCCTTTCCCCATTGCTTGTTTTTGTCAAGTTTGTCAAAGATCAGATGGTTGTAGAGGTGTGGTGTTATTTCTGAGGCCTCTGTTCTGTTCCATTGGTCTATATCTCTGTTTTGGTACCAGTACCATGCTGTTTTGGTTACTGTAGCCTTGTAGTATAGTTTGAAGTCAGGTAGCGTGATGCCTCCAGCTTTGTTCTTTTTGCTTAGGATTGTCTTGGCTATGTGGGCTCTTTTTTGTTTCCATATGAAATTTAAAGTAGTTTTTTCCAATTCTGTGAAGAAAGTCAGTGGTAGCCTGATGGGGATAGCATTGAATCTATAAATTACCTTGGGCAGTATGGCCATTTTCAAGATATTGATTCTTCCTATCCATGAGCATGGAATGTTCTTCCATTTGTTTGTGTCCTCTTTTATTTTTTTGAGCAGTGGTTTGTAGTTCTCCTTGAAGAGGTCCTTCATATCCCTTGTAAGTTGTATTCCTAGGTATTTTATTCTCTTTGTAGTAATTGTGAATGGGAGATCACTCACGATTTGGCTCTCTGTCTATTATTGGTGTAAAGGAATGCTTGTGATTTTTGCACATTGATTTTGTATCCTGAGACTTTGCTGAAGTTGCTTATCAGCTTAAGGATATTTTGGGCTGAGACAATGGGGTTTCTAAATATACAATCACGTTATCTGCAAACAGAGATAATTTGACTTCCTCTCTTCCTAACTGAATACGCCTTATTTCTATCTCTTGCCTGATTGCCCTAGCCAGAACTTCCAACACTATGTTGAATAGGAGTGGTGAGAGAGGGCATCCTTGTCCTGTGCTGGTTTTCAAAGGGAACGCTTCCAGTTTTTGCCCATTCAGTATGATATTGGCTGTGGGTTTGTCATAAATAGCTCTTAGTATTTTGAGATACGTTCCATCAATACCTAGTTTATTGAGAGTTTTTAGCATGAAGGGCTGTTGAATTTTGTCAAAGGCCTTTTCTGCATCTATTGGGATAATCACGTGGTTTTTGTCATTGGTTCTGTTTATGTGATGGATTACGTTTATATATTTGCGTGCATTGAACCAGCCTTGCATCCCAGGGATGAAGCTGACTTGATCATGGTGGATAAGCTTTTTGATGTGCTGCTGGATTTGGTTTGTCAGTATTTTATTGAGGATTTTTGCATCGATGTTCATCAGGGATATTGGTCTAAAATTCTCTTTTTTTGTTGTGTCTCTGCCAGGCCTTTGGTATCAGTATGATGCTGGCCTCATAAATGAGTTAGGGAGGATTCCCTCTTTTTCTATTGTTTGGAATAGTTTCAGAAGGAATGGTACCAGCTCCTCTTTGTACCTCTGTTAGAATTTGGCTGTGAATCCGTCTGGTCCTGGACTTTTTTTTGTTAGTAGGCTATTAATGATTGCCTCAATTTCAGAACCTGTTACTGGTCTATTCAGAGATTCAGCTTCTTCCTGGTTTAGTCTTGGGAGGGTGTATGTGTCCAGGAATTTATCCATTTCTTCTAGATTTTCTAGTTTATTTGCATAGAGGAATTTATAGTATTCTCTCATGGTAGTTTGTATTGCTGTGGGATTGGTGGTGATCTCCCCTTTATCATTTTTTTATTGCATCTATTTGATTCTCTTTTCTTCTTTATTAGTCTTGCTAGCAGTCTATCAATTTTGTTGATCTTTTCAAAAAACCACCTCCTGGATTCATTGATTTTTTTGAAGGGTTATTTGTGTCTCTATCTCCTTCAGTTCTGCTCTGATCTTAGTTATTTCTTGTCTTCTGCTAGCTTTTGAATGTGTTTGCTCTTGCTTCTCTGGTTCTTTTAATTGTGATGTTAGGGTGTCGATTTTAGATCTTTTCTGCTTTCTCTTGTGGGCATTTAGCGCTGTAAATTTCCCGCTACACACTGCTTTAAATGTGTCCCAGAGATTCTGGTACATTCTGTCTTCATTCTCAATGACTTCAAAGAACATCTTTATTTCTGCCTTCATTTCGTTTTGTACCCAGTAGTCATTCAGGAGCAGGTTGTTCAGTTCGATGTAGCTGTGCTGTTTTGAGTGAATTTCTTAATCCTGAGTTCTAATTTGATTGCACTGTGGTCTGAGAGACAGTTTGTTGTGATTTCTGTTCTTCTACATTTGCTGAGGAGTGCTTTACTTCCACTTATGTGGTCAATTTTAGAATAAGTGCAATGTGGTGCTGAGAAGAATGTATATTCTGTTGATTTGGGGTGGAGAGTTCTGTAGATGTCTATTAGGTCTGCTTGGTCCAGAGCTGAGTTCAAGTCCTGGATATCCTTGTTATTAACCTTCTGTCTCGTTGATCTGTCTAATATTGACAGTGGGGTGTTAAAGTCTCCCATTATTATTGTGTGGGAGTCTAATTCTCTTTGTAGGTCTCTAAGGACTTGCTTTATGAATCTGGGTGCTCCTGTATTGGGTGCATATATATTTAGGATAGTTAGCTATTCTTGTTGAATTGATCCCTTTACCATTATGTAATGGCCTTCTTTGTCTCTTTTGATCTTTCTTGGTTTAAAGTCTGTTTTGTCAGAGACTAGGATTGCAACCCCTGCTTTTTTTTTTGTTTTGTTTTCCATTTGCTTGGTAGATCTTCCTCCATCCCTTTATTTTGAGCCTGTGTGTGTCTTTGCATGTGAGATGGGTCTCGTGAATACAGCACACCGATGGGTCTTGACTCTTTATCCAATTTACCAGCCTGTGTCTTATAACTGGGGCATTTAGCCCATTTACATTTAAGGTTAATATTGTTATGTTTGAATTTGATCCTGTCATTATGATGTTAGCTGGTTATTTTGCCTGTTAATTGATGCAGTTTCTTCATAGCATCGACGGTCTTTACAATTTGGCATGTTTTTGCAGTGGCTGCTACCAGTTATTCCTTTCCGTGTTTAGTGCTTCCTTCAGGAGCTCTTGTAAGGCAGGCCTGGTGGTGACAGAGTCTCTCGGCATTTGCTTGTCTGTAAAGGATTTTATTTCTCCTTTACTTATGAAGCTTAGTTTGGCTGGATATGAAATTCTGGGTTGAAAATCCTTTTCTTTTTAAGAATGTCGAATATTGGCCCCACTCTCTTCTGGCTTGTAGGGTTTCTGCTGAGAGATCTGCTGTTAGTCTGATGGGCTTCCCTTTGTGGGTAACCTGACCTTGCTCTCTGGCTGCCCTTAACATTTTTTCCTTCATTTCAACCTTGGTGAATCTGACAGTTATGTGTCTTGGGGTTGCTCTTCTTGAGGTTTATCTTTGTCTTTGTGGTGTTCTCTATATTTCCTGAATTTGAATGTTGGCCTGCCTTGCTAGGTTAGGGAAGTTCTCCTGGATAATATCCTGAAGAGTGTTTTCTAACTTGGTTCCATTCTCCCCATAACTCTCCGGTACACCAATCAAACGTATATTTGCTCTTTTCACATAATCCCATATTTCTTGGAGGCTTTGTTCATTTCTTTTCACTCTTTTTTCTCTAAATTGTCTTCTCACTTTATTTCATTAATTTGATCTTCAGTCAGTGATATCCTTTCTTCCACTTGATCAAATCGGCTATTGACGCTTGTGCATGCATCACAAAGTTCTCTTGCTGTGGTTTTCAGCTCCATTAGGTCATTTAAGGTCTTCTCTACACTGTTTATTCTAGTTAGCCATTCGTCTAACCTTTTTTCAAGGTTTTTAGCTTTCTTGTGATGTGTTAGAACATGCTCCTTTAGCTCAGAGAAGTTTGTCATTACCAGCTTTCTGAAGCCTACTTCTGTCAATTTGGCAAACTCATTCTCCATCCAGTTTTGTTCCCTTGCTGCCGAGGAGCTGCGATCCTTTGAAGGAGAAGAGATGCTCTGGTTTTTGGAATTTTCAGCTTTTCTGCTCTGGTTTCTCCCCATCTTTGTGGTTTTAACTACCTTTTGTCTTTGATGTTGGGGAGCTGCAGATGGGGTTTTCGTGTGGATGTCCTTTTTGTTGATGCTGATGCCATTCCTTTCTGTTTGTTAGTTTTCCTTCTAACAGGCCCCTCAGCTGCAGGTCTGTTGGGGTTTGCTGGAGGTCCACTTCAGACCCGGTTTGCCTGGGTATCACCAGCAGAGGCTTCAGAACAGCAGATATTGCTGCCTGATCCTTCCTCTGGAAGCTTCATCCCAGAGGGGCACTACCCTGTTTGAGGTGTCTGTCATCCCCTACTGGGAGGTGTCTCCCAGTCATGCTACACTGGGGTCAGGGACCCACTTGAGGAGGCAGTCTGTCCCTTCTCGGAGCTCGAACGCCATGCTGAGAGAACCACTGCTCTCTTCAGAGATGTCAAACAGGGACGTTTAAGTCTGCAGAAGCTGTCTGCTGTCTTTTGTTCTCCCCAGTTTATGTTTTTGTATGCTTTGTTGGAGATCAGTCGTTTCTAAATATTTACTTTATTTCTGGGTTCTCTCTTCTGTTCCATAGGTCTACATATCTACTTATATGCCAGTGCCATGCTGTTCTGGTTATGATACCCTTATATTAGTATAATTTGAAGTCAGGTAATGTCATGCCTCTAGATTTGTTCTTTTTGCTTAGGATTACATTGGCTATTTGGGCTTTTTAAAAAAAATTCCATATGCATTTTAGGATTTTTTTTTTTCTAATTCTGTGAAGAGTGATGATATTTTGATAGGAATTGCATTGACTCTGTAGATTGCTTTGGACAGTATGGTAATTTTCATGGTATTGATTCTTCTAATCTATGAACATGGGATGTATTTCCATTTGTTTGTGTCATCTATGATTTCTTTAAGCAGTGTTTTGTAGTTCTCCTTGTAGAGTTCTTCACCTCCTTGGTTAAATATATTCCTAAGTATTTTATTTTATTTTATTTTGTAGCTATTATAAAAGGGATTGAGTTCTTAATTTGATTCTCAGCTTGGTCATTGTTGGTGTGTAGCAGTGCTACTGATTTATGTACATGGATTTTGTAACCTGAGGCTTTACTGAATTCATTTATCAAAGCTAGGCGCCTTTTGGAGGAGTCTTTAGGGCTTTCTAGGTATAAGATCATATCATCAGCAAACAGAGATAGTTTGACTTTCTCTTTTCCAATTTGGATGCCCTTTATTTCTTTCTTTTGCCTGATTACTCTGTCTAGGACTTACAGAAGTTGCTAATTTGTTTTTAAACTATATTTCTGGGAGATAAATCTGGTAGAAGTTACAATCCACCAACTGCCTGCAAGACTCTGCTTTGCATCTATGAGACTCAATAGGAATAGTTCCTATGGAAGCTTCTGTGTTCACTGCTCCTTTAATAGGCTCTAGAACTGTAACTTCCCCAGCTTTCAAATGCAAGAGCCGTTTGTCTAAACTGCTTCAGTGTGCTTACTCTGATGAGTAAGGAAGCTTTTGGTCCATAGATCTGGGTAAGGGAGAATGCATGTGTGTATATATATGTGTGTCTCTGCCTGCACAGAGCATTGGAGAGTAGTAGTCCTAGAATCCCTATTTCATTTACCAAATAAATAATGGTTCAAAGTGGTTAGTTGAAAAAACAAAAACCAGAGTGCTTCACTAAATCACAGTAGGTCCAATAAATTTAGACCTTATTGATTTCTATTGGGTGGCCTGATGGCCTAACTGCCCTTTAGAAAATTATTTCAGTGAAAAAATGTGATCTGAGTTCTAGGAAGCCGATTTACAGATGAGCTTTTAGAACACAACCCTTCTGTAAGTTGGGGAATGCCTGTAGTGTGTAACACTATTCATGCAGCACTTTTGAATAGAATGAAGCATTTTATGAAAAACCAAAGACAAATATGAATTTATTGGTGTATTCCAATGCAAGCAATTCTGTTCAACTAAGTAGAAAATATTACTTCTAAATTCAGATTCCATTAACTGCTAGACTTAATGCACCTGTTATAAGTGACTTCTATTAGGAAAACCAAGAAAGATTTCATATTTTTAGATATTTTTTGCTGCATGAAACAATCACTGTTTAACCTTTTATCTTTCCTGGGCTGCCAGTTTTCTCTATAGTGCTTGATAAATGTTACTGACTGCTAATGGGGAGAGGAGGGTCAGTGCCTGGGGAGAGAATGAATAAAGTAGGATTAATGCACAGGATATCCAAACATAGTTCATATGATGTACTAGAACTCTTAGTTTTGCTTATATCAGAAGCAACTCATTTACTGTGTTTTTAGGAGATCATTAGATTTTTAAAAATCTTTCTCTTATTTAAAATCTTAAATTTATTCTAGTATACTACAAAATATAAAAAATTTTCCACCAGAATTAGAACACTTCTGTTTCCTAGTTTGTAGTGTCCTCCTTTGTAATTATGCCAAGAATTTTTCATGAAAAATTATTCACTTTCAGTAAAATTATAAAGAAGCATTGATTCTTCATTTTTAATGCACTATATTTTGCATCTGAATCTAGCTTTAAAGGATGTACTGCTTTTATACCACGCTTCTGAATCTTGTATTTGCTTGAGTTTCTTAGGTTTTAGGTAACATTTTAAAACATCTTTCATTATGAAAAATTGCAAGCATGTACAAGAATAGAATAGTACTCATCATCCAACTTCAACAGTTGTCAACTCAGGGACAATTTTGTTTTAATTATAACCTTCATTACTCCCCTTCCCTTTTTTTTATATGCAAACATTTTACTGAAGTCTAATGCACATATAGAAAAGTACACAAATCATGTCTACAGCTTGAGGAATTTTATACATCCTCTTGTATTATCTTGAAGGAATTGTCATGCTTTACCTATGTATTTCATCCTTATATTTTAAACAAATGCCATTACAAAGACCATGCTTGTATAATGAAGCTATTTCTATATCTTTGGTGTATTGATAACTAGTTGCAACAAACTTTCCAAAATAATCCAGAATAATACTATAAAACAATTTGATATGGTTTGGCTATGTCGCCACCCAGATCTCATCTTGAATTCCCATGTGTGGTGGGAAGGACCCAGTGGGAAGTAGTTGAATCATGGGGGCAGGTCTTTCCTTTGCTGTTCTTGTGATAGTGAGTAAGTCTCACAAGATCTAATGGTTTTAAAAATGGGAGTTTCCCTGCACAAGCTCTCTCTCTTTGCCTGCTGCCATCCATGTAAGACATGACTTGCTCCTCCTTGCCTTCCACCATCATTGTAAGGCCTCCCCAGCCACGTGGAACTATAAGTCCATTAAACCTCTTTCTTTTGTAAATTGCCTAGTCTTGCATATGTCTTTATCAGCAGCATGAAAACAGACTAATACACAATTGTTCCTCATAGTGAAACTATCTGATTGTTGTTGACATTTTAAGCAAATATGAGGTGGGGAGATAAGGAGTCCATGCAGTAAGATGTCTATAGCTCCTTTTCTACCATAAACAAATAATTGTTGTTTAGGTGATTTGTCTTTAAAGCACTCTATTTGTCCAGAAAATTTACCCAAACCTTCAAATTACTTTCAAGTCAAATCACATAGCTTGTGAAGAACTCCAAGAGGGTGACGGGACACAGTGGCAGTAAAGTTAATATTTTTCCTTTTCTTTTTCTTTTCCCTATCATAGGCAGTAGGACTTGTGACAGGCTTTTCTAGGTAGGAATGAAAAGAAGGAAGGGAAGAAATAAATAGCAATAAATGACTCAATACATACATACATATATACAAGTAAAGCAGAAGGGAGGAGAAAGAAGCTGAGGGAAAAAAGGATGGATAAGGAGAGAAAGCCTGCAGGACCTCGGGGTATTGTCTGGTCCATGGTGTGACTGCATATAAGAAGAGCACTCTCGGGCCGGGTGCAGTGGCTCACGCCTATAATCCCAGCACTTTGGGAGGCCAAGGCAGGCGGATCATGAGGTCAGGAGATTGAGACCATCCTGGCTAACACGGTGAAACTCCGTCTCTACTAAAAATACAAAAAATTAGCCAGGCGTGGTTGCAGTAGCCTGTAGTCCCAGCTATTCGGGAGGCTGAGGCAGGAGAATGGTCTGAACCCAGGAGGCGGAGCTTGCAGTGAGCAGAGATCGCGCCACTGCACTCCAGCCTGGGTGACAGAGCGAGACTCCGTCTCAAAAAAAAAGAGCACTCTCTATCCTTTGAAAACTCACTGGAGATTCCGGACATAAGAACTGCTTCATTTCTTTCTCTTGCCCATTGGAAACAAGCTTTCTAGAATACATTATAATTAAATTAAATTGTACAGGTATAATGAAAAAATTAACAGTGTTCCATGGAGATCTCTTCCATGAACTCATGCTTATTTTTAATAACATCAGTATCTTTAGGGAAAGTAAAAATGTGAGCAACCAAATGGGTAGGTTAGAGAGTGAGAGCAGGGGAGGATGTGGAATCCACACTGCTCACCCTGAGACGCTCTCGTGGCTTCAGCAGCGTGGCTCTGGCAGTGACAGCCCGTCGCACTGAACACCCTGCTTCTCCAAGGCGTGGAGTGACAGCTCAGTGTGACCAGACCACCCAGGTTAAATGGCCTGCATGCTGAGGCATGGTGTTCTGGACTATGGTCAGCCTTTGTTACACTCCTGAAACATTTATTTTATTTTATTTTATTTTAGCTTAAAAAGCTGTATGAAATTATTTTTTGTATCATGTCTAAAAATGAAATTTTTCTCAGTTAACCCCAACTGTACTAACTTATTCAGAGAGTGCTGGTTTGTGGACTCTTCTCATGTTTCTTGGGTGGTATCTATATTTTAACCATTTCTCAAATCATTAGCACCTTTATTTTTAGCATTTTTGGCAGGCCAAAAATATAGAGGAGATAAAAATTGAACTCATTGGTTTAGATGCATCTTAATAGTTCTAGCAAAAGACTCTTTGGAAATTGGATTTTAATTATAACTTGAAATATGAATTTTATTCAGTATTTCTTGTTGATAGCCAAGCACATTTAAGGGGAAAAAAATTGTTTCAGATTTTTAGTCATTCCTATACATCACCACTTCCCATACTGAAAATTTGAGAAACTACTTAGTACTAGTTCTAACTGATCTTTGGCGAAGTTTGTGGTATCATTTTCTTTTTCTTTTTTAAAATAGAGACGGGCTCTTGCTGTGTTGCCCAGGCTGTGCTCGAACTCCTGGCCTTAAGCAGTCCTCCTGCCTTGGCTTCCCAGAGTCGGGATTACAGGCATGAGCTACCACACCCAGCCTGACTATCATTTTCAAGCTAGAGCTGTAGCTGAAATTCTGGGCTTGGTAAGCACTCAGCATTCCTCAGTAACAGGACTACCTGTGGAGAATTCCTTCAGAGCTGGGCATGGTGGCCCCCACCTGCAATCCCAGCACTTTGGGAGGCTGAGATGGGCAGATTGCTTGAGGCCCGGAGTTCGAGACCAGCCTGGCCAACATGGTGAAACCTGGTCTCTACTAAAAATACAAAAAAAAAAAAAAGAGCCAGGCATGGTGGCATGTGCCTGTAGTCCCAGCTATTTGGGAGGCTGAGGCAGGAGAATAACTTTAACTCAGGAGGCGGAGGTTGCAATGAGCTGAGATCGCACCACTGCACTCTAGCCTGGGCGACAGAGAGACTCCATCTCAACAATAACAACAACAAAAAAGAAGTCCTCCAGTTACCGATGTGCTTTCATTTTATTTTCCATTCTTTGGCTCTTAACTCTGTTATTAGTTTATATATCCCAGGCCCCGGTGGTAGTAACTACTTTACCCAGGCCTGTTCAGGCATCCCTCACTGTCCAGCTTCTGTCCTTTCCACTAGGCCTATAAAATGATCAAACTTTTTTATATGCACAAGTATTTTCATGTGTGTCCCCTCTGTCTTTGTCGTAAACGAAACTTTGTGTTTCTCCCAAACCTGTATGTCGTGAGCAGACTTCTCGAAGGGATCACTCACCACAGCTCACTGGGAACCTAGGTAGAAGGGTACCACTTCCAGACCATTGCTCTCGCTGCCATCAGCCTCACTTTTTTTTTTCACTGTTTACTACAAAACAAAGTAATTTCAAGATATTTTTTAAAATTGACGTTAAGAAGCTAGATTAGGTAACTTCTTATAATATGTGACATTAAATATTTTGAGAAATTCTTGGTTTCATTGGAAGGCATTTGTAATGATAAACCTTTTTTCAGTTATAATAAGATACTAAGCAGAGATAATTTTGTCATCCCAGATAGCAATTTCTTATTAACAATTGATAATATTTGAACTGAAAGAGATTCTTGGCTTTATTTCTATATTTTTTTCTATTTAGGTATTTAACTTTTTTGACATCCTCTTATCCCCTCAATAGGATCCGAAATATGTCTAAAATTAATTCAAAAGAAAACTATTTGAATTATTGCTTGTGTTTGAAAACAGTACTTACTGTAGTATTCCACAGTTTCTTCTTTTTTTTAGGCTAAGACAATTAAATAAAAATGTAATGGATAAGAAATATAGTTGAAGTCACAATAAAGTATATTTTCTTTTATGGACATAAAACATAAATTTTAAATGTTGGCTATTTAAGAAAAAAATTCTCCTGGTAAATATTATGCATAACCATTGCTCAAAAATGTATACAGCTGTTTTCCAACATATTTATATACATAGTGGTTCACTTAAGACCAGCCCTGTTAGAACCTTCTGAATATAATGTGCTCTTAATTTATAAATGGGCTACCCTCAGTGTATAAAATATATAGGCATATATGTTATACATACAAAGTAAAAAATATAAAAAGGAAAGATGGAAGAAAAAAGAAAGTATCCTTTCCTATAAGATCCAGACAGAAAGTCATTATAATTAGTGGGACCATGGAAAATATTGGAAGGATTTCAGTTTTGGCAAATACTTTTCAGAAAAATATCCAAGCTATGAGAACACTAAATGTCTATCTTAATAATTTAGTAGATGTTTCTATTCAAACATTCAGTGAAGGTGTTTCCATCTTCTACTATGTAGAAAAGAAGACTTTTGGGGTGTCTGTTAAAAGCGAAGAGCTGCTCATTTTTAACAGGTTAGTAATAACCTTTTAATCAAGTATATGTCATGCAGAGACTCAAGTCCTGTTCCAGTAGTGTTTGAGTATGTTTGATGGAAGATTCCAATGGTGAGCATCTGAATTCTTCGTACATCTTAGAGGGAATGGAGCAGGATGTTATGGCAAAGGAGGGGGTCAGCCCCAAAGGTAGCTGGCCCAACCTTAACTGTGGATGTTAAAAAAAAAAAAAAACACACACACACACACACACACACACACCAAATATTTCTATAGCATTCTTTTTGCTGCATTTTCTTTATTTTAAGCCACAGGTCTACTTGGAGGGTCACGCAGCAAGTGGCTTATAAATAAAATGAAAGTCTATGAATAGTGTCATCGCATTAAGAGACAATTGCTGGGTTGTTCTTTCATTATGTAAAAAGCTCGCATCTTGGGAATCCATGAGTTGGTAGGTTTTATGGAATACCTGAGATGTACCTTGCTCTGATTAACATTGCCATGCTACTCACTATAAAAAAGCCCAAGGGCAGACTACAGAAGACACTAGGGTCACCACTTTCTGGAGATTGAGTTGTAACCCAACCCATTGACTTCATCACAGCTTTCTTCCATGTAGAATAACGAATTTCACTTTCCTCAGCATTAATCTGAGGTTCAAACCGCTCCATTGTGACGGCGGAGAAATCCTCAGGTTCAAGACTCCATACGACGACTCCTTCTGCAGCCCCTGCCGCCATGGCAGCACCCAATGCAGTGGTTTCGGGCATCAAGGGCTTCACTACTGGAATATACAGAATGTCTGCTTGTAGCTGCATAAGAATTTTGTTGCTGGTCCTTCCTCCATCAACCTGCAAATGACTGAGTGGAATTCCACAGTCTCAATTCATGGCATCCAAAATCTCTCGAATATGGAAACAAACAGCTTCTAATGCAGCAAAAGCAATATGGCATTTATTGGTAAACTGAGTGAGTCCACAGATTATCCCTCTTGCGCTGGGCTCCCAATAAGGTGCATATAACCCCGAAAATGCTGGGACGAAGTAGCTGCCATAAGAAGTACCTACTTCTTTAGCAAGTTTTTCAATTTCTTCTGAGGTCTTTATAATTCCAAGATTGTCTCTTAGCCAGCGAATAACAGCACCAGCTATAGCTACAGAACCTTCCAAAGCATAATATACCGGTTTGTCTCTGCCAAGTTTGTAAGCCATTGTGGTGAGAAGGCCATGATCAGAAAATACACACTTATGGCATGTATTACATAGTAAGAAATATCCTGTTCCATACGTATTTTTGGCTTGTCCAATCTGGAAACACATTTGTCCCACCAGTGCAGCAGACTGGTCCCCTGAACACCCAGATATTGGCACACCTTCCAAGGCCCCAGCTTTCATTAGGCCATAGATCTCAGAAGAACTCCGAACATGTGGAAGAATTTCCGTTGGAATTCCAAAAAATTCACAGAGTTGTTTATCCCATTCCAAAGAATGAATGTTGAAAAGCATAGTCCTACTTGCATTTGTTACATCTGTACAGTGGACACCTCCATTGACGCCTCCTGTCAAACTCCAAATAAGCCATGAATCAATAGTCCCAAAAAGAGCTCGTTTTTCTTCAACGGCCTTTTGAACTTTTCTCACATTGTCAAGGAGCCAGCGAAGTTTCACTGCACTGAAGTAAGTGTTAAGTGGAAGGCCTGTCTTGGACTTGACAAAGTTATTATTTCCTGGAATTCTCTTACTAAGACTCTCAACGGTAGACTGTGTTCTTAGTTCAAGCCACACCACAGCATTGTAGAGAGGCTCTCCAGTTATCTTGTCCCAGACTACAGTGGTTTCCCTCTGGTTGCTGACACCAATAGCTTTTATGTTGGAAATACCAATATTGAGCTGTCCAAGTTTCTCACATGTTTTCGCTATACACTCATAGACAGAATGTAGAATTTCCTTAGGGTCCTGTTCCACCCATCCTTCTCTTGGGAACTCTTGTTTTATTTCCACTTGATGATGACTAAGTAGTTCAGCTGTTCTTGAATTGAAAACCAAAAAGCGCGTGGAACTGGTGCCCTGGTCCACTGCCCCCACCAATGGCCCCAAAACTGCCTTTTTTGAGGCTGCCATGAAACCAGCTTCAGGTCCGCCCGCATTTGCGGCCGGTTTCCTGGGTGACGGCGGCGGGAGGGGGAGGGGCGAGTGATGAGTCCAAAGAGCGAGGCCGCGCGAGTCCGCTGAACCAGCCTCA
This sequence comes from Homo sapiens, assembly GCF_000001405.40. Classification (NCBI taxonomy): domain Eukaryota; kingdom Metazoa; phylum Chordata; class Mammalia; order Primates; family Hominidae; genus Homo; species Homo sapiens. The sequence goes on from NC_000004.12 coordinate 119,395,079, forward strand.
CTTCTTTACTGGCTGGCTAGCAGGCTACTGCATTCTCTCTGCAGCTCATTTTCTCCCTTGGCCTCCAGGCATACATCTGTCTTTAACACTGAGATTATCTTTCCCTGTGTATTTTGTTTCTCCTGCCATAAACGCCTTCAGAATCTATACTGTTGGCTCACGTGAGACTCCTTCATAGCTCCTTGTGACTATCATCTTCCCCCCACAAACCCATTCATCACCTTAGACTGCAGTTCCAGGGTCTGTTGGACCTTTCTGGTATTTAGAACTCTGGGGTCCCCACCTTGGTTCGGACTAGATGTGTGCCTTCTCATTCTCTTGTATTTCTTCATAAATCTGTGCTCTTTGGCCCTTGTTCTTCCAGCCAACTCTTGGCCATTCAGCCTAGACCCAGTAGTCAGTCATTTCAAAGCTATTCTCTTTATGTGCCTGGCATTGCCCACACTGTTGTGTGTGATAGATAACAGGCTCAATACAATTTAACCCTTGCTTATAATCTAACTTTATAGTCCAGTAACAATAAACTCACACCCTAATTAAGTATATTTGGAATATGCGTTATTCTCTGTAAAACCAGTTTTTATAACAGTTTCTTCTATAGAAAATTTACTTCAATCATTTGCCCACCTTTCTATAATTTAGGCTAGGAATCACTGCTTGGAATAAACATCGGTTAGAATAAACTCGATTTGAATGCCGCCCTCTTGAAAGAAATTAGTGTTGAGTGAGTGGTTTTAATAATAGTATTACTAGCCTTAGCCATGGGATATGCATGCCAAAGAATAGATGCTGATTATTCAACAGTCTATTGTAATGTTAATTTACTGATACAGAAGATTCTTCCTTTGGAGAACTGTGAAAGCACTTGATACACAGCACTTTTTAGCTGAAGTTATGCCAACTCAAATGATGCTTCTTAAAAGAGTTAATTATTTGTATATTCATGCATTCATTATGGTCTTCTTTATTCCTTAGTAAACTACATGCAGTCTCTGCTGTGCCTTGTTGACAGCAATTTTTTCTAGCTTACATGAGTTAACTGTTTTCAGGTTTCATTAAAACTGCCTTATGTTAATAGAACTGCTGGAGACATACACGGTTTTTTTCTCCTAAAGATTAATAGTGTTGAAAGTCAAAGAATCACAGAGTATTAATGTTATAGGAAATCTTAGCAGTTATCTAGTCTAACACTTTCATTTTATTAATTAGGAAAATGAAGACCAGAGATATTTCTGTTTTCCCAAAAACACTTTGTCTGTTAGGGATGAGCTGCTTGTGGATCTAAGATGTGGGGAAAAGCAAGAGAGATCAGATTTTTACTGTGTCTGTGTAGAAAGAAGTAGACATAGGAGACTCCATTTTGTTCTGTACTAAGAAAAATTCTTCTGCCTTGAGATTCTGTTAATCTATGACCTTACCCCCAACCCCGTGCTCTCTGAAACGTGCTGTGTCAAACTCAGGGTTAAATGGATTAAGGGCGGTGCAAGATGTGCTTTGTTAAACAGATGCTTGACGGCAGCATGCTCCTCAAGAGTCATCACCACTCCCTAATCTCAAGTACCCAGGGACACAAACACTGCGGAAGGCCGCAGGGACCTCTGCCTAGGAAAGCCAGGTATTGTCCAAGGTTTCTCCCCATGTGATAGTCTGAAATATGGCCTCGTGGGAAGGGAAAGACCTGACCGTCCCCCAGCCCCACACCTGTAAAGGGTCTGTGCTGAGGAGGATTAGTATAAGAGGAAGGAATGCCTCTTGCAGTTGAGACAAGAGGAAGGCATCTGTCTCCTGCCCGTCCCTGGGCAATGCAATGTCTCCGTATAAAACCGGATTGTATGTTCCATCTACTGAGATAGGGAAAAACCGCCTTAGGGCTGGAGGTGGGACATGCGGGCAGCAATACTACTTTGTAAAGCATTGAGATGTTTATGTGTATGCATATCTAAAAGCACAGCACTTGATTCTTTACCTTGTCTATGATGCAAAGACCTTTGTTCATGTGTTTGTCTGCTGACCCTCTCCCTACTATTGTCTTGTGACCCTGACACATCCCCCTCTCGGAGAAACACCCACGAATGATCAATAAATACTAAGGGAACTCAGAGGCTGGCGGGATCCTCCATATGCTGAACGCTGGTTCCCTGGGTCCCCTTATTTCTTTCTCTATACTTTGTCTCTGTGTCTTTTTCTTTTCCAAGTCTCTCGTTCCACCTAACGAGAAACACCCACAGGTGTGGAGGGGCAACCCACCCCTTCATAAGAGACTACTGTTATTCATACTTTTGCCCTGACTTCTCAAATGGGACTCTGCATTGAGTATAGAGGAATTATGGAGACCATCATGGCGTTTTAATTTTGTTCAAAAAGGTGCTTGGTGTTTAGAAATCAAATACAAAGGGTACTTTGTACCTTATTACAGGATACAAAACAGAACAAATAACATTTGAGACTTATATTGTTGATTTTATTACACTTATTTGGGATGAGGGTCCTAACCTGATGCTCTTTTTTTTTTTTTTTTTCATTTTTTATTGAGATGGAGTCTCGCTCTGTCACCCAGGCTGGAGTGCAGTGGTGCGATCTCGGCTCAGTGTGAGTGCTGCCTCCCGGGTTCAGGCCATTCTCCTGCCTCAGCCTCCTGAGTAGCTGGGACTACAGGCGCCTGCCACCATGCCTGGCTAATTTTTTGTGTTTTTAGTAGAGATAGGGGTTCATGTGTTAGCCAGGATGGTCTCGATCTCCTGACCTTGTGATCCACCCGCCTCAGCCTCCCAAAGTGCTAGGATTACAGGCGTGAGCCACCGCGCCCAGCCCTGATGCTCTCTCTTGACCTGGTATGGCAAATTCTAGGGACTGTCTTTCATTTCATGATTAGCTTATTTTATTTCCTGGAGGGAAATAGAAAAGTTCAATTGCTTTAGAGAGTAATGAGCATATATGTTAATTATGGAAGGAATGGAATGTATATTCCATATACATATATGGAAGGATGCATATGTATATTATATATTATGTGTGTGTAGTTTATGTGTTTAACGTATATAGCATATTGATGGCATAGTCTTTACTACCTGGAATTGTTCCCTATTGCAGTTATGGTATTTGTTTAGAGAGAAGCAACTGATGATTAAATGTCAGTATAACTATGTTGGGCTTTATTCAGTGGCCAGTGGTGAACTACTGAAGGTAAATTACTAATGTCATAAGCTATGATCCATAAACAAAATGACCTGTCAGTATGTGGGTGAAAGGTTGGGAAGCAATAATTGAGGTTGGTAATAGGGTTAGAACTAGTGTAATGAACATAGAGAGGAGGTGAATGAAGCAAGATCATAGATATGGGAACTAACTCTGAGTATAAGTAGAGGAAACAGATTAAACTCTGAGATGACCTACCTTTTAGCATTACATTTTAGGTAAATTCTTTGTAGGTACATTTTAGTGTGTGCATATTTACAGCAAGTGTGCAGTAGCTGTTGATTTTTACTGTACCTTACTGAGATACAGTAGGATGAAAAAGAATTCATTCACTGAAACGGAAGAATTTTTCACTTTGGCTGTGTTGCGTTAGGCTTATATTAACCAAACTGATGCAAAGATGTTAGGCTTTTAGTTGATGGTATATTCAGTGAGAACCAATTATGTAATCGTGTCCAGAAAGGTGTAAGGTGATTATCCTGTTCTGTTCTGTCCAGATCAGACCATAGCTATGAAATTGAGTTTATTTTTCGGTTCAGTGTTTTGAGAGAGACTGATGCACTAGAGCCCTGAATTTATAGTCAGGGTGATGATGAAGACCCCAAATCATGTTGTGCAAGCAGTGGTTGAAGGACATAGGATGGTACAGACCATTGAAGGATAATTTGGGAAAATATAATGCTCTCTGTAAGATTTTGAGGAATTTCATAAGAGACAGATTAATTAATCTTGTTCTGTTTATTGTGGTGGCAGAATTATCAGTGTTACAAAATAAGAGTGAAAAAGATTTTAGAGCAACGTACAGAAGAACTTCTAATAGTAAGTGTTTGTATTAGTCCATTTCCATGCTGCTGATAAAGACATATCCGAGACTGGGCAATTTACAAAAGAAAGAGGTTTATTGGACTTAACAGTTCCACGTGGCTGGGGAGACCTCACAATCATGGTGAAAGGCAAGGAGGAGCAAGTCATATCTTATGTGGATGGCAGCAGGCAAAGAGAGCTTGTACAAGGAAGCTCCCATTTTTAAAACCATCAGATCTCATGATACCTATTCACTATCACGAGAACAGCATGGGAAAGACCCATCCCCATAATTCAGTCGTCTTCCACTGGGTCCCTCCCACAACACATGGGAATTATGGGAGCTGCAAGATGAGATTTGGTGGAGACACAGAACCAAACTATATCATTCCACCTCTGGCCCCTCCCAAATCTCATATCCTCACATTTCAAAACCAATTATGCCTTCCCAACAGTCCCCCAAAGTCTTAACTCATTTTAGCGTTAACTCAGAGGTCCACAGTCCAAAGTCTCATCCCAGACAAGTCAAGTCCCTTTCGCCTATGAGCCTGTAAAATCAAAGGCAAGTTAGTTACTTCTTAGATACAATTGGGGATACAAGCATTGGGTAAATACAGCCATTCCAAATGGAAGAAATTGGCCAAAACAAAGGGTCTACAGGCCCCATGCAAGTCTGAAATCCAGTGGGGCAGTCAAATCTTAAAGCTCCAGAATGATCTCCTTTGACTCCACGTCTCACATCCAGGTGACACTGATGCAAGATATAGGTTCCCACAGTCTTGGGCAGCTCCTACCTCCTGGCTGCCTTCAGGGGCTGGTGTTGAGTGTCTGTGGCTTTTCCAGGCACATGATGCAGGCTATCAGTGATACCATTCTGGGTTCTGAAGGATGGTGGTCCTCTTCTCACAGCTCCACTAGGCAGTACCCCAGCAGGGATTCTGTGTGGGGGCTCTGACCCCACATTTCCCTTCTGCACTGCCCTAGCAGAGGTTCCCCATGAGGACCCCGCTCCTGCAGCAAACTTCTGCCTGGGCATACAGGCATTTTCATACATCTGAAATCGAGGTGGAGGTTACCAAACCTCAATTCTTGACTTCTGTGTACTCACAGGCTCAACACCACGTGGAAGCTGCCAAGGCTTGAGGCTTGCACCCTTGGAGGCCACGGCCTGAGCTCTATGTTGGCCTGGCCTATGTTTTCTGTCATCTTCTTCTGAGCTCTCCAAACTGTTCCAACCTCTACCTGTTACTCAGTTCCAAAGTTGCTTCCACATTTCTGGGTATCTTTTCTGCAGCACCCCACTTTACTGGTACCAATTTACTGTACTAGTTCATTTTCACACTGCTGATAAAGACATATCTGAGACTCGGCAATTTACAAAAGAAAGAGGTTTATTGGACTTAACAGTTCCACATGGCTGGGGAGGCCTCACAATCATGGTGGAACGTAAGGAGAAGCAAGTCACATCTTACATGGATGGCAGCAGGCAAACAGAGCTTGTGCAAGGAAACTCCCATTTTTAAAACCATCAGATCTCGTGAGACTCATTGACTATCATGAGAACAGCACGAGAAAGACCTGCCCCCATAATTCAATCATCTCCCACCAGGTCCCTCTGACAACACATGGGAATTATGGGAGTTACAAGATGAGATTTGGATGGGGACACAGAGCCAAACCTTATCAGTGTTCAAGGATGATGTGACTGTCTTGCCATCTGTTGATGTGTGTAAACTACAGCCAGATAACCATTTATTGTGAAAATTTTTGAGGTTATGCATACATATTATAGAAGCTGTGCCAGGTGACCTTTCAGATCTCTTATACTATTAAATCTTTTGATTTTTATGGCATTACTGAGAAAGAATTAACAGGGTTTATGAAATAATTCACATTAGGGGTTAAAATAGAGTGGGATGACGAGGGAAAGGGTAGGTACTTAATGAATTTCATATTTGCAAGATGAAAATGTTAGATCTTTTTCATAACAGTGTGAATATACTACTTTTTTTGAGATGGAGTTTTGTTCTTGTTCCCTAGGCTAGAGTGCAGTGGTGCAATCTAGGCTCGCTGCAACCTCCGCCTCCCGGGTTCAAGCAATTCTCCTGCCTCAGCCTCCCAAGTAGCTGGGATTACAGGTTCCCACCACCATTCCTGGCTAATTTTTGTATTTTTAGTAGAGACGGGGTTTCATCATGTTGGCCAGGCTGGTATCGAACTCTTGACCTCAGGTGTTCCACCTGCCTCGGCCTCCCAAAGTGCTGGGATTACAGGCATGAGCCGCCATGCCTGGCCCAGTGTGGATATACTTAACACTGTTAAACTTTACACTTAAAAATGGTTACGGTGGTAAATTTTATGTTTTTAATCACATAATAAAAGAGAGGGAGGGAGGCAAGAATCACTGTGACTAAGACTTCATTCATCCTTGGAATCAGAGTGAAGCCATTAGGACACAAAGGGAACACGGGAGGTCCAGCAGGTGTCTGGAGGAGGTCACTGAAACGGTTTGAAATGTAGGTATATCCTCATCTTGTTTGCTTGAGGGGGAGCCAGCAGTGAAGTGCAGTATCAATTTAAAGGTTCTCAGATTGGGCAAGATGTTTAACAGTAGCCAAAGACAGCTTGGCCAGAGGAAGAACTTGATTTATGTTGAGAGGAATATCAACAGACATAGAGAATCTTTATCAAAGTATCAGGCCAAAGAGTGAAGCATAGCATCAGTGGAAAAATGCACAATGATGAAAAGTCAGACCACAGAACTCAAAACAGGCCAAGGTAAGTGGCCCAAGGTAGTAATTAATGTGAAGGTTTTAGAGGACTGCTTATATGTGTTACTGGTTTCATGGTGTTTGGGTGGCTCTGTCTTGTTTAAAAGAGCCATGATGATTAGATCATATTCATATGGAGACTAACAGACAGCTAGAAATTCAAACATTGGGGTTTGGGGGAGAGGTTGGATCTGGAAGCAACAATATTAGGGTAATAAAGATAACTGTGGACAGTAATATACATTAGATAGTTAAGACAGAACAAGTGGAGAATCAAAAGGAGGCTGAAGGCAGGCAGGACCATAGTAATACCTAGTTTTAGGGAGGTAAAGGAGGCAGATTCAGTGGTCAGAAAGGTAGAAAAATATATAGAATCCTAACCAGTAGAGAAGGCCATTAAGCTTAAAATCAGCAGAGAGGTTGAGAAGGACTAATGCCAAGAAAAAGACTTCCAAAGAACTATTTCAAGGTAAAATTGAGCCAGAGGCTATGCCATAACATAAATATGTGAGTGTGCATCAGCACGCAGAGGCTTCAGAATTGAGATCTGCTCTTGAGAAGTCTGGTGTGGAGGCTGACAAGGTAAGAGAGCGGCCAAACGTAGGGATGTTAACCCAGTGATCTTTCTTTTTTTAGCAGAGCAGGTATTTGTCCACTGAAGTCAAGACAGTGACATGCATTGACTGTCTATAGCAACACTTCCTTTCTCACTGGGGAAGGAAAGTAGTTGAATCTAGTTGCTTGTTTTGTTTTTATTTTTGTTTTTTAATTTTCATCACCAGTGTTTTCAAATGGTTATAAACTTTTAAAAATATTTGTGGTAAAGAACATATAACATGAAATTTACCACCTTAGCCATTTTAAGTGTTCCACTCAGTAGTGTCATGTGTAAGTACTTGCTTTATTGTGAAACAGATCTCTAGAACGTCTTCATTTTGCAAAACTGAAACTCTGTACCTTTTAAACAACTTGTCTTTTCCACTTTCCACTGTCCCTGGCAAGTATTATTATACTTCCTGTTTCTATAAATTTGACTCCTTTAGATACCTCATATTAGTGGAATCATACAGTATTTTTTTATTTTTGTGACTGGCTCACTACACTTAGCATAATGTTCTCAAGCTTCAACCATGTTGCATTGTGACAGGATTTCCTTCCTTTTTAAGGAATTGTATGTATATATAGTGTATGTATATACCAATTTCATTTATCCATTCATTAATCCAGCACATGGCCAGTGAGGACATAGCGAATGACGAGGAGCACATGGTCATCCATGAGGAGGAGGGGGTGATGATGTCATTGCTGATGACGGCTTTAGCACCACTGACACTGATCTCAAGTTCAAGGAGTGGGTGACCGACTGAGAGTGGGGACAGCTCTGGGGAGGAGCCAGAGCGCAACAAGGGCTTTCATGGGAAGGTATTTGCACCTGTCATTCCTTCCTCCTTTACTCCTGCCGCCCCTTGCTGAATCCTGAGCCCCCAGGGTCCCCCGATCCACCTGCAGTTTTTGGCAAAGTCTATGGTCCCACCCCGTCCTTCTCCTACACATTCTCGGATGCTTCCTCCTCAACCTTGGCACCCACCTCCTTCTTACTGGGCCCAGGAGCCTTCAAAGCCCAGGAGTCTGGTCAGGGCAGCAGAGCGGGCCCCCTACGGCCCCTACCCCTGGGGATGGGGGCCCAGGGACGCCTTCCAAGGTGACCTGTTTCCTCCCAATGGATCCTGCCACCTTCTGGTGCAAGAGACCTGAAAGTGTGGGCGACCTGGAGCTACCAGGCCCCTCAGTCATTGTGGTCCCTCCCAACACTAAGGCTTTCCTAGGCAGGAGCTGGGCTGAGCCACCCAGGGGGCAGAGCCTGAAGAGGAGAAACTGGGCTTTGGGGGTTGGGGCAGAGGGAACCCCACGGACATGGATCCCGCACTGGCGGACCCCACCACACCCAAATGCAAGATGAGAAGATGCTCCAGCTGCAGCCCAAAGCCCAACACCCCCAAGTGTGCCATGTGTGATGGGGACAGCTTCCCCTTTGCCTGTACAGGTGGAGAAGCCGAGGACGGGCTCAGGGAACCGGAGACGGAGAAGGCGCTGTCCTCTTCACTGCACGCGCCCTGGACCAGTGCTGGCCTTGATCATGCAGCTCTTCCAGGCCCACTGCTTCTTCCTGTCCACTAGGCCACAGCTGCCCTCCAGGCCCACTATGCACACATCTTCCCCTCCAAGGTTTGTTCTGCCCCTGCCCTGACTCCCAGCCCTGCGGGGGTCCTGACCCCACCTCACCTGGCTCAGACTCTGATGCTGCCCTGGCTGCCCCACCACTGCCTCTGCCCGAGAGTCACGTGAGGCTGAGAGTAGGGGCAGGGGCAGCAGTGGTGCCAGTTGGGGGGCGGTCCAGTGGGAGGAGCCTCAGCCTCGTGGGCTGTTCCGTGGGACTGATGACTGCATGATCTTCTGGGCACCTCACGGATCTTCAACTGCAGGTGAAACGGATGCTGGTGGTGGGTGCAGGGCCACTGGGAGCCGCTGCATGGTCCCAGAGGCTGGACTGGGGCAGGTGCCAACTGAAGCTGCTGGGGCAGCATGGGCAGGATGTTCTGCACACAAACCTTGGAGAAGAAAATGTGTGCATAGCGGGTCCACTGCTGCTGCCCCTGCCCTGACTCCCAGCCCTGCCTGACCCCACCTCACCCTGCTCAGGCTCTGGTGCAACTCTGGGTGCCTTGCCCCTGCCTCTGCCCCAGAGTTGGGGCCTCGACAGCCTGGCTGGAAGGGGACACCCCAGCCCTGCCTCAACACCTGGGTCCCTCCATAACTACCACAGGCAGATGGGCGACCCCAAAGAAGATCCCAGGACTCACAGTACCCCCTGAGAACATGGACAGTATGTGGGGGTAGCCATGGAGGTCAGGATGGTTATCTTCTCCCGGGTAAAGCCATTTAATCCTTTCAGTTTGGGATGGAATAAGGCCTGCTTTTTTTAATTTTTTTTTGAGACGGAGTCTTGCTCTGTCGCCCAGGCTGGAGTGCAGTGGTGCGATCTTGGCTCACTGCAACCTTTTCCTGCCTGGTTCACGCAATTCTCCTGCCTCAGCCTTCCGGGTAGCTGAGATTACAGGTACACGCTACCACGTCCGGCTAATTTTTGTATTTTTAGTACAGACGGGGCTTCACCATCTTGGCCAGGCTGATTTCGATCTCCTGACATCGTGATCCGCCTGCCTCCACCTCCCAAAGTGCTGGGATTACAGGTGTGAGCCACCAGGCCTGGCCAAGGCCTGCTCCTCTTATATATACCCACTATCCCTGCAGCTGTACCGGGGGAAAGCTTGGCAGTTTCCCTCCTCCGAGCCCCTGTACATATCATGAAGTGTGGGACCTTCAGAGCTTTTCACTTTTCGGAAAATAGCTCCTGCTGGGGCTACAGGATGGAGTGTGAAGAGGGCCTTGGGCCACAGGGAGGTGCCTGTCGACTATGGGGAGTTCATGCACCCCTTCTTTCCCCAGAGGGGCTGGACTCAGGTGAGTATGGGGGTGGAAGCTCCTGCACTTCGACACAGGCAGCGGGAGGGTTTTCTCCCCATTCCCTCTGCTATCCCAACTTGAGTTGTACTTTTTAAGAAAGTGATTCACCCTGCCTTTGCCCCCTTCCCCAGAACAGAACACGTTGATCACGGGGATATTTTTTATTGTGCCAGAAAGTTGCCATGACCGTCATTAAACCTGTTTAACACCAAATAATAAGGAAAATAAAATAAAAAATTCGGGCTTGGTGCAGAAACTCACTCCAAATAAATTACCTACCAAAATATTTATATAATGATGGAAATATTCCAAAATTCCATATTTTGGGATTTATACACAAAAGATAAAAAAATTAGAGTCCAAGAGGCTGCCAGAAGTGAAAAACGGGGCCTGGAAAGGCCGTTGTGAGGAATAAGCTGGGCCTAAAGAGGCCACTGGCAGGCGGGAGCTGGGCCTGCAGAAGCGGCCGAAAGGCAGGAGCTTTGGACTGGGGAGGCCGCAGTGAGGCGAGAGCTAGCTGGGCGTGGAGAGTCCGCTGTGAGGCCGAGGCCGAGGCCGGGCCCGTGCAGGCCTTCGGGAGGCAGGAGGCCGGGACTGCAAAGGCCGACTGGAGGTCAAGTTCTGGGCCTGAAGAGGCTGCCAAAAGTCAAAAGCGGGACCTGGGAAGGCCGCTGAGAGCCATGAGCTGGGCTGGGCTGAAAGAGGCCACTGGGAGGCAGGAGGAGCTGGGCCTGGAGAGGCTGACTCGAGGAAGTTTTGCACCTGGAGAGGCCGCCGAGAGGACGGAGCTGGGCCCGGGGAGGCCGACTTGCTGCTCTTCCAGGCCCAATTCCAGGCCGACTTGAGGACGACTTGGGCCTGCAGAGGCCGCCGGGAGGCCCAAGCTGGGCCTAGAGGAGCCCACCGACCGGAGGCCGTTTGGGGCCTGCAGATGCCATCGGAGGGCAGGAGCTGAGCCTGGAGAGGCCACCGTGAGGCCTGACCTGGGCCTGGGGAGCTTGGCTTCAGGAAGCTGTGGGCCGACCAAGGCCGCCAGGAGATGGGTAGGCACTGAGTCCAAAGAGGTTGTTGAGAGGCAGGAGTCGGGCCTGGAGACGCAACCAGGAAGAAGAGCTGGGCCCAGAGAGGACACCCGGAGGGTGCAAGTGGGTCTGGAGAGGCCGACTTGAGGAGGTTCTGGGCCCGGAGAGGCCGCCGGAAGGGAAAAACTGGGCCTGGAAAGGCCGTTGTGAGGAATGAGCCCCATGGGCCTGAAGAGGCCACTGGCAGGCGGGAGCTGGGCCTGCCGAAGCGGCCGAGAGGCAGGAGCTTTGGACTTGGGAGGCTGCAGTGAGGCGAGAGCTAGCTGGGCGTGGAGAGTCTGCTGTGAGGCAGAGGCTGGGCCTGTGCAGGCCTTCGGGAGGCAGGAGGCCAGGCCTTGTCGAGGCCTGCAGAGGCCACCGAAAGTCAAAAGCGGGGCCTGGGAAGGCCGCTGGGAGGCATGAGCTGGGCTGGGCCGAAAGAGGCCACTGGGAGGCAGGAGGAGCTGGGCCTGGAGAGGCTGACTCGAGGAACTTTTGCACCCGGAGAGGCCGCCGAGAGGCCGGAGCTGGGCCTGGGGAAGCCGACTTGAGAACGACTTGGGCCTGCAGAGGCCACCGGGAGGCAGGAGCTGGCCCTGGACAGACTGACTTGACGACAGTCTGGGCCTGCAGAGGCCGCCGAGAGGAAGAGCTGGGCCTGGAGAGGCCGACTGGAGGAAGTCCAGGGCCTGGAGAGGATGCAAAGCAGCAAACACTAGGCCTGGAAAGGCTGCCCTGAGGCATGGGCTTGGCCTACAGAGGCCACTGGCAGGAGCTGGGCCCGCAGAGGCTCCCGAGAGGGAGGAGCATTGCCCCAGGAGGCCACGGTGAGGAAGAGGTGGGCCTGGAGAGCCCACTGTGAGGTAGAGGCCGGGCCTGTAGAGGCCGCCGACAGGCAGGGAATGGGCCTGTTGAGGCCACGAGAGGCATAAGCTGGGCCTCAACAGGCCAGTGTGAGGCAGGAGCTGACACTTGGGCAGGTTGCAAGAGGCATGAGTTGGGCCGAAAGAGGCCACCGTGAGGGAGGAGCTGAGCCTGTACAAGCTGCCAAAAGGCAGGAGCAGCTTTGGACTGGAGAGGCCGCAGACAGGGAAGAGCTGGGTGTGGAGAGTCTGCTGTGAGGCAGAGGCTGGGCCTGTACATGCCCTCGGGAAGCAGGAGGCTGGGCCTGGAGAGGCCGACTTGAGAAAGTTTTGCTCCTGGAGAGGCCACTCAGAGGCAAGAGCTGGGTGTGAAGAGGCTGACTTGAGGTCGATTTTGGCCTGTAGAAGCCACTGGTAGCTAGGAGTTGGCCCTGGAGAGGCTGACCTGAGGACAGTTTTGGCCTGTAGAGGCCACTGGGAGGGAGAGCTTGGTCTGGAGAGGCCAAGTGGAGTAAGTTCAGGGCTTGGAGAGGATGCACAAAAGGAAACGCTCAGCCTGGAAAGTGTGCTGTGAGGCATTAGCTTGGCCTACACAGCACTTGGAGGCAGGAGCTGGGCCTGCAGAGGGTGACTTCAGGACGATTTTGGCCTGCAGAAGCCTTTGGGAGGAAGAGCTTGGCCTGGACCGGCTGACTGGAGGAAGTTTTGGGACTGGAGTATGCATCAAAAAGCAAAAGTTAGGCTAGGAAAGGCCACTTTGCGGCATGATCTTGGCCTACAAAGGCAACTGTGAGGCAGGAGCTGGGCCTGTAGAGGCTGCCGAAAGGCAGGAGCTTGGCCTCAGGAGGCTATGATCAGGCAAGTGGTGGGCCTGGAGGGTCTACTGTGTGGTAAGAGTCTGGGCCTGTGTAGGCCGACATGAGGCAGGAGCTGAGTTAGGAGAGGCCAACTTTTGGAGAATTTGGGCCTGCAGAGGCTAACAGGAGGCAAGAGCTGTGCCTGGAGAGTCCATTTTTTAGCATAAGCTGGGCCTAAAGAGACCATTGTGAGGCAGCACCTGCCTGGGAGGCAGGCAGATTCGTGGCCTGGGGAGGCCACCGTGAGGCAAATGCTCAGTTTTCGGAGGATGCTGTGAGGCAGGGAGAAACTTGGCTTTCGGTGGCCGCAGTGAGGGAATAGTTTGATTGCTGAGGCTGCTGGGAGGCCGAAGGTGGGCCTGGAAAACTTTACTTTAAGAAGTCTGTGGCCTACAGAGGCTGCCAGCAGCTCAGCAGGAGTTGGGCCAAAGGAGGTTGTTGTGAGGCAGGAGATGGGCCTGTAGACGCACTGGGAGGATGAGCTCGTCCTGGAGATGCCGAGTTAAGGACATTCTGGGCCTGGACAGGCTGCAAAAGGCAAAAGCTGTGCCTGGAAAAGTCGCCATGGGGCATGAGCTTGGCCTGAAGAGGCCACTGCAAGGCAGGAGCTGGCCCCGTAGAGGCTGCCGAAAGGCAGGAGCTTTGCCTGAGGATGCCACAGTGAGACACCATCTGGGTCTGCAGGGTCCACTGTGAGGCAGAGGCTGGCCTGTAGAGTCCGACAGTAGACACAAGTTGGGCAAAAGGCTGATTTGAGGAAGTTTTGGGCTTCAAGAGTCAGCCAGGAGGCAGGCACTAGGCCTGGAAATGGCCCGACAGTCATGAGTTGGGCCTAAATGGGCCACCGTGAGGGAGGAGCTGTGCCTGTTGAGGCTGCTGGCAGGCAGGAAGAAATTTGGCCTGAGGCAGCTGCCATGAGGCAAGAGCTGGGCTTGGAAAAGCCCCTGGGAGGCAAGAGCAGGCCCTGCAGAGGCTGTTCTCAAGTCAAAGCTGGGCCTGTTCATGCCACCGGGAAGCAGAAGGTGGGCCTGGAGAGTATGACTTGAGGAAGTTTTGGGCCTACATTGGCTGCCATGAGCTGGACAGGAACTGGGCCAAAAAAGGCTGTTGTGAGGCAGCAGTTGTGCCTGTAGACTCAGCCAAGAGGAAGAGCTGGGCCTGGAGAAGCCCCCATGAGGCAGAGGTTGGGCCTGTAGACGCTGACAGGAGGCAGGAGCTGGGCCGGGAGAGGTCAACTTGAGGAGATTTTGGGCCTTCATAGGCCACCAGGAGGCAGCAGTTGGGACTAGAGAGGCTGACTTGAGTAAGTTTTGGGCCCGGAGATGACGTTCTGGGACAGGAGCTGTGCCTGGAGAGGTCACTGTGAGGCATGAGCTGGATGTAGAGAGGCCAGTGTGAGGCAAGACCTGGGCCTGTCTAGGCTGCTGGGAGACACGCAGGAATCTGGCCAGGGAAGGTTGCCATGAGACGAAAGTTGGGCCTGGAAAGGCCCTTGTGAAGCATGAGCTTGGCCTAAAGAGGCCACTGGGTGGCAGGAGCTGGGTGTGTAGAAGCTGCTAAAGGTTGGGAGCTTGGCTTGGGGGGTCCACAGTGAGGCAGATGCTGGGCCTCAAGAATCTGCTATGAGGCAGATGTTGGGACTGTAGAGGCCGACGGGAGGCAGAGGCTGGGCCTGGAGGGGCCACCAAGATGCAGGAGCTGGGCCTGGAGAGGCTGCAAAGAAGCATGAGCTGGGCCTGGTGAGGTCGACTTCAGAAAGTTCAGGGCCTAGAGAGAAGGCTGGGAGGCAGGAGCTGGGTCTAAAGAGGCCATTGTAACGATGGAGCTGTGCCTGTGGAGGCTGTTGTGAGGCAGTAGGCTCATCTGCGGAGACTGCCGTGAGGTAGGGTATGGGCCTAAATAGGCCATTGTGAGTCATGAGCTTGGTCTGTAGAGGCTGACTGGAGAAAGTTCTGGGCCTGGAGAGGCTGCCGGGAGGTAGGAGCTGGGCCAAAAGATTTAAGCACATTTACATTTATTAGGCACTTCGTTTCCATTATTACACTGTAATATCTAATAAAATAATTATAGAACTCACCATAATGTAGAATCAGTGGGCATGTTAAGCTTGTTTTCCTGCAACTGGATGGTCCCACCTGAGCGTGATGGGAGAAAGTGACAGATCAATAGGTATTAGATTCTCATAAGGACAGCGCAACCTAGATCCCTCACATGCACGGTTCACAACAGGGTGCATTCTCCTATGAGAATCTAATGCTGCTGCTGATCTGAGAAGGTGGAGCTCAGGCGGGAATGTGAGCAAAGGGGAGTGGCTGTAAATACAGACGAAGCTTCCCTCACTCCCTCACTCGACACCACTCACCTCCTGCTGTGTGGCTCCTTACGGCTCCATGGCTCAGGGGTTGGGGAGCCCTGCTCAAGTGCATCCAAAGCGACCCTTCCCACACCAGTCTTCATAGTGGTCAAGTGCAGTAACCACTTAGCTCCCAAGGCATGTGCCTCAGCTGGCATTTCGTCACAATCAACAGTAAGTGGTAGCTTGAGTCATTGTGAGGTCACTTCCTGGAAATCACCAGCATCCCATTTCCCACTGGCAAAGAGCTCAGCACTGCCCCCTGGGAAACCAAACCTATGCCCAAATCCCATCTGTGTGGGTTTATCTCCTGGGACCCTTCCTAACATATTAGTCAGAGTCCAATCAGGAAGCATAAACCACTCAAAAGTTTAAAGTGGTAAAATTTAATACGGAGAATTATTCATTATAACAGGTGAACGGCATAATGAGAGATTGGCTAACCCAAAGTAAAGAGAACTCTAGAGAATACAGGACTAGCCCAGGCCAGGCATGGTGGCTCATGCCTGAAATTCCAGCAATTTGAGAAGCTAATGCAGGAGGATTGCTTAAGGCCAGGAGCTAGAGACCGGTCTGGACAACACAGTGAGACCCTGTCTCTATCCAAAAAAAGAAAAAAGTTAGCTGGGAGTGGTGGTGCACACTTGTAGTCCCAGCTACTCGGAACGCTGAAGTTTGAGCCTGGGAGGTCAAGGCTGCAGTGAGGCATGATTATGCCACTACAGTCCAGCCTGGTGACAGAGCAGGCTGTCTCAAAGAACAAAACAACAACAACCATTTACAGACAGAAAAGAGATAGAGCTAATAAGCTAAGGAAAGATGTTGAAATGTGACAAGTAAAGTAATATGAGGTCTTTTATCTATTTAAAATAATCAAACAAAAAATGACTTAGTAAATTATAATACCCTGTGCTGGCAAAGGTGCAGTGAAACGGGCACTTTCTTGTACTATGAGGGGTGTTTAAATTGTGTATAAGCCTTCCCGGGTAAAGCTTGTCAATTTCTTAAAATAATGGAGACAGGGTCTCACCATACTGCCATACTGCCTCCTCCAACTCTTGGCCTCAAGCACTCCTCCTCTCTTAGCCTCCCAAAGTGCTAAGATTATAGGCTGGGAGGCACCCAAAACCCTGTCAATTTACATCAAGGGTAATGAGAATGTCCATTCACCATGTCTCACAGTAATCTTACTTCTGGGGAGATAATTCAATCTAAACAAAAGGTCATCTGTACAAACACAGTAAAAATCTGGGAGTAACTGAAGACAGAGTTGGTAAGTGAAATAAGAAACAGTTATAAGAAATTAAACTATGATATCAATAGGCACCTGGTATAAAAGGTCAGTTGATGTTAGCTGCTACTTTTTTGTTGTTTTGAGACAGGGTCTCACTCTGTCACCCAGGCTGGAGTGCAGAGGCCTGATCATGACTCATTGCAGTCTCAGCCTCCCTGGGCTCAAGTGATCCTCCCACCTCAGCCTCCCAAGTAGCTGGGACTACAGGAACATGCCACCACACTAGGCTAATTCATGTATTTTTCTGTAGGGATGGTGACTCCCCGCTTTGTTTCCAAGGCCTATCGCAAACTCTTGGCCTCAAGCCATCCTCCTGCCTCAGCCTCCCAAAGAGTTGCGATTACCAGTGTGAGCCACCACACCTGGCCAGCTGCTACTTTTAGCAATATTATTATTATTCCACTCAATTAAAAATTATTATTTTCAAGGCTATGCAACAGTATGTATCCTACAGCGTAATTGTAAAAACATATACAGTCGTCGTCCCTCAGTATACAGAATTAGTTCCAGCCCCCCATCTCTGCATATACCAAAACCCATGCTTACTCACGTTTTGCTGTCACCACTCTGGAATCCACTTATATGAAAATTCCAAATATTAGTTGGGCATAGTGGCAAGCACCTGTAGTCTCAGCCACGTGGGAGGTTGAGATGGGAGAATCACTTCAGCCTGGAAGGTTGAGGCTGCAGTCAGCTGTGATAGCACTACTACACTCCAGCCTTGGACAACAGAGGGAGACCCTGTCTCAGAAATAAAAACAAAACAGGTTAGAAATTGTACTGAGGTCTGTTGGGCAAAATTCCATATAAGCAAAGTATAAATTAATAAAGCAAATCGTGATAAATTAGTACGATTGACTTTCTGGAGTTTCAGACAATAAAAGTAAGGAAAATGCAAAACACAAAGACAGAGAGTAAAAAGAGAAATTAGGAAAGCATTCTACATGTTTAATAGGAAGACGCTGGCCATGGTCGTGCAGCGGCAGTATGTCGTGACATGACATACCTTGGAGAGAAGTTAACAGATGAGGAAGTTGATAAAAATCATCAGAGAAGCAAAATACTGGTAGTGACACTCAAGTAAACCACGAAATTTCCATAACTTATGTCAGCAAAGTGGGAATATTGTACAGTGTGTGTTAAAGTTCCTATACAACATTGTTTATCTGCCTTTTGTTTGTTTGTAAGGAATGTATATACTAAAAGTTCTTCTTGCTGTCAAAAGAATATGTGTGAATAAGTCATTGTAACTTCTTCTTCTGTTTTTCTTTTATCTTCCTGCCATCATCCCACAACCTTACTTTAGAAATTTTTTCTTTAGAAAATTGAACAAGTGCTCCTTGTGGTGGCACATACCTCTAGGATGGGAGGCAGGGGTGGAAGGGTCACTTGAGGCCATTAGTTTGACACCAGCCTGGCCAACAAAGTGAGACCCTATGTCTACAAAACAATTTAAAAATTAGCCAAGTATCGTCATGTGTACCTACAGTCCTAGCTACTCAGGAGGCTCAGGTAGGAGGATCCTTAGCCCAGGAGTTCAAGGCTGCAGTGAGCTGTGATAGCACTACTGTACTCAAGCCTGGGTGACAGGGTGAGACCCCATCTCCTAAAATAAAAAACAAAGAAAAAAAATAGTTCAAGTAGCAAGTTGTATGTGGCTTACTCTGAATATTTCTAAACTAGAAATTCTCAATCTTTTGGGGTCTAACATCCCTTTACATTTTTTAACTTTATTGAAGATCTCTAAGACTATTTCTTTCTGTAGATAATTATATTAAAACTAGAAAATAAGACACAAATTTTTAAATATTATTCATCACATATTAAAGCCATTACATGTTGATATAATACAAGATTTTAAAAATATTTAATATTCATTACATATTAATAATAAAACCATGACATGTTGATATAATACTTTTTTTTTTCTTTGAGACAAAGTCTTGTTCTTTCGCCCAGGCTGGAGTGAAGTGGCACAATCTCAGCTCATTGCAACCTCCACCCCGCAGGTTCAAGCGATTCTCCTACCTCCGCCTCCCAAGTAGCTGGGATTACAGGCGTCCACTACCACGTCCAGCTAATTATTGTATTTTCTTAGTAGAGAAGGAGTTTCGCCATGTTGGCAAGGCTGGTCTTGAACTCTTGACCTCAGGTGATCCACCCGCCTAGGTCTCCCTAAGTGCTGGGATTACAGGTGTGAGCCACCGCGCCCACCCCGATTAATATATGTTTTAAAACACTGATTAGTCAGGCAACAACACCGGGCAGGGGTCTCCTCATTCCCAGCGACGCAAACCCCACTGCACGGCTGAGGGGTTGCAAGGGCTGCAGAGCCAAAAGGCTCTGACTTGAGATATTATTTTACTTGTATTTTTATTTGTATTGTGAGACAGGTCCTGCTCTGTCACCCAGACTGGAGTGCAGCTGTGCACTTACAGCTCACTGCAGCCTCGACCTCCTGGGCTCAAGCCATCTTCCTGCCTCAGCTCCCCAGTAGCTGGTAGTACAGTTGAGTGTCACCATGCCTGGTTATTTTTTTAATTTTTTTGTAGAGTGAGGGGTCTTGCTATGTTGCCCAAGCTGGCCTCAAACTCCTGACCTCAAGAGATCTGCCCACTTCAGCCTCCTGAGTAGCTGAAACTACAAGTACACATCACCATGCCTAGCTACATTTATTTAATTTTGAAAAATATTTTTGTAAAGAGCAGATCTTGCTGTGTTGTCCAGGCTGGTCTTGAACACCTGCCCTTAAAAGATACTCGCACCTCTGCTTACCAAACAGCTGGGACTACAGGCATGAGCCACTGCAATGAGCCTGAAGAGATTTCTTTAATCTAGCATCCCATACTTGGTAGGATTGGGAAAGGCAGTAGTGTTTTTTAAAATTACTTAATAATTTCAGTAACAATCAAACTCAACCTTGACCCCTGCCTTCTCTCACACCCCATATCCAGTCTGTCAGGAAATCCTGTTGATTGTCTTTGACATCTACTAAAGATCCCCACCCAGCAACTCCCTGGCCTCCTCCCCTAGTTCTCCCCTCTGACCATCTCTCAACACCACCACGACCCTGGTCAGGACCACCATCATCTCCCGCCTGGATGTTGCCAAAGCTTGGCCCCCATGCTTCTATCACATCTTCCCACAGTCTTTCTCAACTCAGCAGCCAGAGAATGCTTTTAAATCGGGAGACAGATCACGTCGCCTCTCTGCTCAGAACCCTCCCGCAGTTCCCATCTAAGTCAGAGTAAAAGCCAAAGCCCCACCAATAACCTCCCAGGGCTTATGTGATCTGTACTGATCCTCACCCAGCAACTCCCTGGCTCCCTCCCCTAATTCTCTCCCTCTCTCCATCTGCTCCATGGGCCTCCTTCCAGAGCCGGAGACACACCTCAGACAGTTTATTCTATTGTTTCTGCCTACAATCCTCTTCCCTCAGCACCTTGGCCAGCTCCTTCCCCTCCTTCAAGTCTTTACTCAATTTTCACTTAGGAGGCCACCCCTGACCATTCTAGTCAACACTGCCATCTGTCCCCATGCCCACCATGCTCATTTCTTCTTTCTTTACTTTCTTCTTTCTTTTTTTCAAGATCTCACTGTCACCAAGGCTGGAGTGCAGTGGCGAAATCACAGCTCACTGCAACCTCAAATTTCCAGGCTCAAGCGATCCTCCCACCTCAGCCTCCCGAGTACCTGGGACTCCAGGTTCATGCCACCATGCCTGGCTAAATTTTTTAGTATTTTATTTTATTTTATTTTATTTTATTTTGAGACAGAGTTTCACTCTTCTTGCCCAGGCTGTAGTGTAACGGTGCGATCCCGGCTCACTGCAACCTCCACCTCCCAGATTCAAGTGATTCTCCTGCCTCAGCCTTCCAAGTAGCTGGGATTACAGGTGCGTGCCACCACGCCCAGCTAATTTTTTGTATTTTTAGTAGAGCCGGGGTTTCACAATGTTGGCCAGGCTGGTCTCGAACTCCTGACCTCAGGTAATCTGCCCGCTTCGGCCTCCCAAAGTGCTGGAATTATAGGCGTGAGCTACCACGCCTGGCCAATTTTTTCATTTTTTGTAGAGACAAGGTCTTACTATGTTGCCCAGACTGGTCTTGAACTCCTGGCCTCAAGTGATCCTCCTGCCTAAATTCCTAAAGTGCGGGCATTACCGGCATGAGCCATCATGCCTGGCTTCATGTTCATTTCTTCTTGCTGCTGCAACATAGTTTGAAGTTTCCTACATTTAGTGGCTTAAAACACCACAAATCTACCATCTTACGGTTCCAGGGGCCAGAAACCCAAACTAGGTCTATTAAGGCTAAAGTCAAGGTGTCAGCAGGGCTGCATTCCTTCTGGAGACTCTAATATGTTCCCTTGGCTTTTCCAGCTTCTGGAAGCCACCCCCATTCCTTGGATCATGGCCCCTGACTCCATCTTCAAAGCCAGAGGTGAAGCATCTTCAAATCTCCCTCTCTTACCTCTGCTTTCATCACCACATCTCCTGCTCCAATTCTGAATCTCCTACTCTCTTTCTTTTATAAAGACCCTTGTGATTGCTGGGCATGGTGGCTCCCACCCAGAATCCCAACACTTTGGGAGGTCAAGGCAGGAGGAACACTTGAGGCCCGAAGTTTGAAACTAGCATGAAAAACACAGTGAGACCCCCACCTCTAGAAAAAAATAAAAATAAATATTAGCCCGACATGGTGGTATGCGCCTGTAGTCCCAGCTACTTGAGAGGCTGAGGTGAGACAATCGATTTAGCCCAGGAGTTTGAGATCAGCCTGGACAACATAACTAAATCTCATCTCTACAAGGACGAGGTGGGAGGATCACTTGAGCCCAGGAATTTGTGGCCAGCCTGGGCAACAAAAGAAGACCCCATCTGGCCAACATGGCCAACCTGGCCACCATGGCGAAACTCTGACTCTACAAAAATGAGCTGGGCATGGGTGACATGCATGTGGAGTCCTAGCTACTTGGGAGGTTGAGATGGGAGGATTGCTTGATCTCAGGAGGCCAAAGCTATAGTGAGCTATGATCACATCACTGCACTCCAGCCTGGATGACACAGGAGATCCTGTCTCAAAAAAAAGAAAAGAAATATATATTTAATCTCTGTCCCTGGTTCGTGGCACAGAGCTTCTAAAGCTCTTACAAAGACCTCAGTGATAGATGTGACAGGAACATCTTTTGTTTTAATATTTGGTCTTGGTCCCAGGTTTTAACACAAGAGCCTCTAAGAACTTTGGGATCTCCAGCATGTAAGAATGCATTTGGGGATGTTGTTGAGATGACTGGGTGACTGCAAGCTCCTAAATTTCCTCAAGAGGAGGGCTGATTACCACGCAACCACATGGTAAGAGGCTTGGAACTTTCAGCCTCATGCACTGAACTCCAGGAGGAAGAGGGGCTGGAGACTGACTTAATCACCAACAGCCAAAGATTTTATCAATCATGCTTGCATAATAAAGCCTCCATAAACACCCTGAACGGGGTTTGCAGAGCTTTCAGGGTTGCTGGACACAGGAGATGCTGGGAGGGTCGCATGTTCAACAGAGGGCATGGGAGCTCTGTGCCCCTCCGAACTTAACTTGCCCTGGGTATCTTTCTTTTTTTTGAGACAGGATCAGGCTCTTTTGTCCAAGCTAGAGTGCAGTGGCACAATCTCAGCTTACTGTAACCTAAGCCTCCCCAGTCTCCAGCTCAAGGTATCCTCTCAACTCAGCTTCCCTAGTAGTTGGAACTCTAGGTGCACAGCACCACACCGGTTATTATTATTATTTTTAAATTTTTTATAGAGACAGGTTTTCACCATGTTGCCCAGGCTGGTCTCAAACTCTTGAGTTTAAGCGATCCTCCCACCTTGGCCTCCCAAAGTGCTGAGATTACAGGCATGAGCCACTGCATCCAGCATGCACGTCTCTTTCATTGACTGTTTCTGAGATGTATCCTTCACAATGAACCAGTAATAGGAAATGAACTGGCCAGATGTGGTGGCTCACATCTGTAATCCCAGCACTTTCAGAGGCTGAGGTGGGAGGATCACTTGAGACCAGGAATTTGTGGCCAGCCTGGCCAACACAACAAGACCCATATATACAAAAAATAAAAGAAACTAGCCAGATGTGGTGGTGCAGGCATGTCTACTAGGGAGGCTGAGGTGGGAGAACCACTGGAGCCCAGACAATCAAGGCTGCAATGAGCTATGACTGCACCATTGCACACCAGCCTGGGCAACAAAATAAGACCCTCTCAGAAAAAAAGAAAATAAACTGTTTTTCTGAGTTCCGTAAACTGTTCTAGCAAATTATTAAACCCAAGAAGACAGTTATGGGAACCCCCGATTGGTAACAGGTTGGTCAAAAGTACGGTGACAACTTAGGACTTGCCATTGGCATCTGAAGTGAGGATGGCCTCGTGGGACTGAGCCCCTAACTTGTGGGGTCTGTGCTAACTCCAGGTAGTGTCAGAATAAAGTCATGGGATACCCAGTTAATATCCAGAGCACTGAAGAATTTGGTGTAGAAACTCCATACATACATTCAGTCGGAAGTGTGTGAGTAGAGACAAACATGGGCTTTTCTGTCACTTACCTGCTTAACTGCATAGGAGAGGCAATATGTGGTGCTCATGAACAAAGCAAACATTAAAATCAGACCAAACCCAACATTTGACTCAGTCTTAATATCCAGGCGAGCTTGGGCAAATCATTCATTATTCCTAAGGCTTCATCACTCCATTCATAAAATGGGGATAACTGTGGCACCTACCTGTGATTCTGTGAGAATTAACGAAATATTATGCTTGGGGTTATTGTGATCATTATACCTATTCCAAACTATTTGACAAGGACAGTGATGGATGATGACATCAAAAAATCAGAAACTGCAATGAGGTCTCTCAGGCAAAATTCCATACAAGCAAATTACTGTGTCTACAAAGCATTCCTGCCACACTTAATTCACCATTCCCTGAACAAAATATGCCATCTTTGTGGTTCAGGTCTGTACAGTGCTGGTTTCCCTTCCCGGGCAGTTTGCGCTATCCCATCCCAGCCCATTCCCCATCCCTCCACCTCCCCCTTCCCTCCCCACTCTCATACAACTCTTCCTCATCTTTCAGGACTTGGCTTCAATGTCACCTTAACTGGAAGCTTCTCTCACTCTCCAGAAGAGCTTCCCATTGCACTTGATGCATGCACTATTATTTGATCATTTTTAAGTTAGTCCAAATCTTTTTGTACCTGAATAACATGTTGCCCAGTCAGTCTCTCTTCCTGGATTCAGAAGTCTTTCATGGTAGATCCAGCTGGAAGTGACAAAAAGACATCTTTTGACATAAAGGGATGACACAGACAGACATAAGTTCTTACATGTCTTAAATGTTATGTGAAAATTAAACAGAATTCAAAGACTTGTGGGGAACACTTAGGAGGGAAAGTTACTGGGAATGTCATAAAGGGTTAATTTGTATTTTATTTTATTTTATTTTTTGAGACAGTCTCATTCTGTCACCTAGGCTGGAGTTGTGGTGCAATCAGGCTCACTGCAGCCTTGACCACCTGGGCTCAAGTAATCTCACTTAATTTTTATCTGGTTTAAGAAAGTCTTGGTTGAGGGTGGTGGCCTATGCCTGTAATCTCAGCACTTTGGGAGGCTGAGAGAGGTATATTACTTGAGGCCAGGAGTTTGAGATCAGCCTGGGCAATATATTAAGACCCTGCCTCTACCAAAAAACAGACTGAGTGTGTGGAAGACAATTTTTCCACAGACTGGGAGTGAGGGAATAATTTCAGGATGATTCAAGTGCATTACATATATTGTGCACTTTATTTCTATTATTACTACATAGTAATATATAATGAAATGATTCTACAACTCACTATAACGTAGACTCAGTGGGATCTCTGAGCTTGTTCTCCTGCAACTAGACTGTCCATCTGGGGTGATGGGAGACAGTAGCAGAATATCAGGCATTAGATTCTCATAAGGAGTACACAACCTAGATCCCTCGCATGCACACTTCACAACAGAGTTTGTGCTCCTATGAGAATCTAATGCTGCTGCTGGTCTGACAGGACATGGAGCTCAGGTGGTCATGCAAGCGATGGGAGGGGCTAGAAATACAGATGAAGTTTCCCTTCACTCGCCTGCTGCTCACCTCCAGCTCTGTGGCCCTGTGGTTGGAGACCGCTGCTCAAGTGCATTCGAAAGGATCCATCCCATGCCATTCTTCAGAGTCATCTTTACTGCTGCAGTGGTCAACTTGTAGCACCCCTAAGCTCGCAGGACATATGCTTCAACTGGCATTTCACAATCAACAGTATGTGGTAGCTTGAGTCATTGTGAGGTCACTTCCTGGAAATCACCAGCATCCCATATCCCATTAGCAAGGAGCTCAGCACTGCTCCTTGGATAACCAAACCTACTCCCAAATCCCATCTGTGTGCATCTATCTCCTGGTACCCTTCCTAGCATCAATTCTGTATTTGTAGGAGTCCAATCAGGAGACACAAACCACTCAAAAGTTTAAACTAAAATGAGCAAGATGGCTCACACCTGTAATCCCAGCACTTTGGGAGGCCAAGGTGGGTGGACTGCTTTGAGCTCAGGAGTTTGAGAACAGTCTGGGAAACATGGTGAAACCTTGTCTCTACAAAAAAACACAAAAATCAGCTGGGTGTGGTGGCACTTACCTGTAATCCCAGCTACTCGGGAGGCTGAGGCAGGAGAATTGCTTGAGCCTGGCAGGTGGAGGCTGCAATGAGCAGAGGTTGTGCCACTGTACTCCAGCTTGGGTGACAGTGTGAGACCCGGTATCAAAAAGAAAAAACGTATACATATGTAAATTTAATATAAAAAGTATTAATTTTGGCCAGGCACAATGGCTCATGCCTGTAATCCCAGCACTTTGGGAGGCCAAGGCAGACAGATCACCTGAGGTCAGGAGTTCGAGACCAGCCTGACCAGCATGGAGAAACCCCATCTCTACTAAAAATACAAAATTAGCTGGGCATGGTGGCACATGCCTGTAATCCCAACTACTCGGGAGGC
Organism: Homo sapiens; assembly: GCF_000001405.40. Lineage (NCBI taxonomy): Eukaryota > Metazoa > Chordata > Mammalia > Primates > Hominidae > Homo > Homo sapiens. The sequence continues at coordinate 119,420,852 of NC_000004.12, forward strand.
TGTGGCAGGAGAATCGCTTGAACCCGGCAGGTGGCGGTTGCGCTGAGCCGAGATAGCGCCATTGCACTCCAGCCTGGGCAACAAGAGTGAAACTCCGTCTCGAAAAAAAAAAAAAGGTATTAATTTTTACAGAGGATCAGCACAATGAGGGACACGCTAGCACAAAGTAAAGACAACTCTAGAGAATACGGAACTAGCAGAGGCCAGGCATTGTGGCTCATGCCTGTAATCCCAGCAATTTGGGAAGCCTAAGCAGGAGGATTGCTTGAGGCCAGGAGTTGGAGACCAATCAGTGCTAAATAGTGAGACTCTGTGTCTACCAAAAAAAGAAACATTAGCCAGGTGTGGTGGTGGTGCACACCCGTAGTTCCAGCTACTTGGGAGTCTGGGGTGGGAGAAATCCCTTGAGCCTGGGAAGTCTACACTACAGTGAGCCAAGATTGTGCCACTGCACTCCAGCCTGGGCGACAGAGTGAGACCCTGTCTTAGAAAGAAAAAAGAAAAGAAAGTGTTAATCCCCCTATGGGAATCTCCTCTTCTCCTGCCCTCTCTGGAACCTCACTTGTCAGTTCTTCCTCCCACTTTCCTGTATCTTTAACCTATCCCCCACTTTTAGCTCCTTCCCATCATCATTTAAATTACTCAAACTTCTTCTGTTTTAAAAACCTCTCCCTAAACTCAGTGAGAGGTCTCCTGCACACCCATTGAGCCATCTGCTCTCCCTGGCGCCTTCTCTACAGCAGCCTGAGCCATGTCTCTAATCCATGAATCTCATCATGTTACTCCCCCATTTACATCACTTCTCCTTGCCTCAGGGATTAAGTCCAAACTCCTTAACAGCCCCTGCTCTGCCCTGCCTTGCAAGGCAGCCTCACTGCTTGCCCCTCTCCATTTCATCTGCTATGGAGTCCAACTGAGCCTCATCTGCCCCTTCAACGCACACTCTTTCTCCTCTAGGAGTCTCTGAAGTGGGTAATATCCTCTGCTTATACTATGCTTCCCCTTAAACCTCTACTCTCTTCCTAGCTAGCTTCGACTCCTCTGTCACTTGTCCGCTTTGGCATCACCTCCTCATAGAAGACTTCTCTGACTCCCGAGATTCTCAGGAGCATGGCAGGTGAGGTGCTCCTCCCATGAATGGATGGAGATTAGGGAGTGTGTGTTATTCATGCTTAATTCACCAGTGCTTAGCTGAGTACCTGGCGTAAAATAGTTACTGTGGTGGCCAAAGTAATAACCCCCACCGCCACCAATTGCTCATGTCCTATGTTACACAGCACAATTACATAGGAAGGGGGAATTAAGAGTGCAGATAAAATTAATGTTGCTCATCAGCTGACCTTAAAACAAGATTATCCTGGAGTATCTAGGAGAGCCCATGTAATTACAAGCATTCTTTAAAACTGGAAGAGGGAGGCAGAAGGTTAAGAACCAGAGACGGTGGGCACAATGGCTCATGCCTGTAATACCAATACTTTGGGAGGCCAGGGCAGGAAAATCCCTTGAGTGCAGGAGTTCAAGGTCAGCCGTGGCAACATACTGAGGTCCCATCTCTACAACAAAATAAAAACAAAATTCACTGAGTGTCACGATGCTTACCTGTAGTCCCAGCTACTGGGAAGGCTGACATGGTAGGATTGCTTGAGCCTGGGAGTTTAAGGCTATAATGAGCCATGATAGGACCATTGAACTCCATCCTGAGTGACAGGGCAAGGTCCTGTTTCTAAAGAAAAAAAGGACATTGGAATCAGGGATCATCCTGAGTGCCTACAAGGCATCTCTCTCTGCAAACGAGTAAACATCACCCTCCAACTCCTTACAGAGTGGAGCAGCAGGAAAACTCCTTCACCTCATTTCTGTGCTGCTTGGGAGGCCTGGACAGCCCAATAACCAGCTCCTTGCTGATGAAGCAATCAGGAAATGGCTCAAGTTGAGCTAAGGAGAATTTGGATCCTTCTTTTGGTTCTCAATAGGCAGGGTAGGGGCCAGGCATGGTGGCTCATACCTGTAATCCTTGCACTGTGGGGGGCCAAGGTGAGAGGATTGCTTGAGGCCAGGAGCTCACGACCAGCCTGGGCAACATAGCAAGACCTGGGTGGCATACACCTGTGGTCCCTACTACTTGGTAGGATGAGGTGGGAGGATTGATCACTTGATCCCAGGAGTTTCAGGCTGCAGTGACCCATGATCACACCACTGCACTTCAGCCTGGGTGACAGAGCCAGACCATGTCACAAAAAGTTAGAAAGAAAAAAAAAAGAGAGAGGGAGAGAGACTATACACAGGCACCACCACATTTGGCTAATTTTTAAATATTCTGTAGAGACAAGGTCTTGCTAGGTTGCCCAGGCTAGTCTAAAACTCCTGGCATCAGGCTGGGCATGGTGGCTCATGCTTGTAATCCCAGCACTTTGGGAAGCTAAGGCAGGCAAATCACCCGAAGTCTGGAGTTCGAGACCAGCCTGGCCAACATGGTGAAACTCTGACTCTATCAAAAATACAAAAATTAGCTGGGCAGTAGTGGTGTGTACCTGTAGTCTCACCTACTCGGGAGGCTGAGGCAGGAGAATCACCTGAACCTGGGAGGTGGAGGTTGCAGTGGACCCCATGACTGCACTCCACCCTGGGTGACAGAGCGAGACTCTGTCAAAAACAACAACAACAACAATAACAAAAACAAATACAACAACAACAAAAAAAAACTCCTGGCATCAAGACATCTTCCTGTCTTAGCCTCCCAATGCCCTGGGATTATACTGTTTCCTATAATTGAAGACACTTGTTCTTATACTGCTTTAAGGTATAAAGGAAGAAAAAAAAACAGATAATGGCAAATGTTGGTGAAGGCCGGGCATGGTGGCAGCCTGCAATTCCAGAACTTAGGGAGGCTGAGGTGGGCAGATCACTTGAGGCCAGGAGTATGAGACCAGCCTGGGCAACATGGTAAAATCCCATCACTACAAAAAAAATATAAAAATTAGCCAGGCATGGTGGCATACACCTGTAATTTTCAGCTACTCAGGGGGCTGAGATGAGAGAATCACTTGTGCCTGGGAGGTCAAGGCTGCAGTGAACTGTGATGGCATCACTGCACTGCAGCCTGAGAGACAGAGCAAGCCCCTATCTAGAAAAAAAAATGTCAGTGAAGATGTGGAGGAATTGGAACCCACATACATTACTGGTGGGAACATAAAATCGTGTAACCATTTTGTTTGGGTATTTCTTTTCTTGTCATTTTAATTGGATTTTTAAAAAATCAACACAGGGTTTCACTATCTTGCCCAGGCTGGTCTTGAATTCATGGGCTCAAGCCATCCTCCTAGCTGAGCCTCCTGAGTAGCTGGGATTACAGGTGTGAGCCATTGCACCCAACTGGTGTAGCCACGTTAGAAAACAGTCTGGCAGTTTCTCAAAAGGCTAAATGTACAGTCATCCTATAATGCAACAATTTCACTCCTAGGCATATATCCCAGAAAAATAAAATATATGTCCACACAAAAACTTGTACAACAATCTTCATAGCAGCATTATTCATAATGACCAATACATGGAATACATGGAAACAACCCAAATATCCACCAACTGATGAACGGATAAACAAAATGCAGTGTGTCTCTACCATGGAATACTGCCATAGAAGGAATGAAATATTGATACACACTATGACATAAAGGAACTTTGAAAACACTGTGCTAAGAGGGAAAAAAAGCCACAAAAGATCACATATTGTACAATTCTATTTGTCCAGATTAGGCAAATCTATAGTGACAAAAAAATTAATCAATGGTTGCCTAAGGCTGGGGGCGAAGGTAGGTGGGGAGAGTAGGAGGTAGTGGCTGAGGGGTATGGATTTCTCTATAGGGTAATGAAACGTTCTAAAAGTGACTGTGGTGATCGATGCACAGCTCTGTGAATATTCTAAAACCTACTGAATTGCAGATTTCAATAAATAAAGTGAATGGTATGTGAATATTTTAATAAAGCTATTATTTAAAATAATAATAATAGGGGGCTGGGCACAGGTGGTCATGCCTGCCTGTAATCCCAGCACTTTGGGAGGCTGAGGAAGGAGGACCACTTGAGGTCAGGAGTTTTGAGCCCAGTCGGAGCAACGTGGCAAGATCCCGTCTCTATGATAAAAAATTAGCTGGACATGGTGGCACATGTCTGTAGTCCCAGCTACTTGGGAGACTGAAGTAAGAGAACCGCTTGAGCCCAGGAGTTTGAGGCTACAGTGAACCATGATCATGTCACTGTACTGTAGCCTGAGCAACAGAGCAAGACGCTGTCTCTGACAAGGAAAGAAAACAAATGCAAGTTTTTATCACTTTATGAGTGTAGCCAAGTTGGAGGAGAAATAGACAATAATAAAAGAGCACTGAATAATGACAGTGAGTGGCTGGTTAGGCTCAGTTGCTAGCTAAATGGCTTCTAAAAAATTCAATAAAGTTACAGCTCTGGGGACAGTCATGTAGTCAAAGAATGAATGCTAAATTCATTACAAATGCCCATGGTCTTTATTTACATGCCTTCTAGTGAAAAATTCCTAAGTGCCTAAATAGCAAGTCTGCAATGATAGCAGCTGTTTATTAAAGACTACAAAAAAGAAATGGAGGCCGGGCGTGGTTGCTCACATCTGTACTCCTTGAATTTTGGGAGGCTGAGGCAGGCAGATTGCCTGAGGTCAGGAGCTCCAGAGGAGCCTGGCCAACATGGTGAAACCCCATCTCTACTAAAAATACAAAAATTAGCTGGGTATGGTGGCGGGCGCCTGTAATCTCAGCTACTCGGGAGGCTGAGGCAGGAGAATTGCTTGAACCCAGAAGGTGAAGGTTGCAGTGAGCCAAAATCGCACCATTGCACTCCAGCCTGGGTGACAAGAGAAAGACTCTTATCTTAAAAAAAAAAAGAAAAAAAAGAAATGGCATCTTCTTCAAGAATTACATCGTGTTTCATGATAAAGAAGCTCTAATTTTGCATTTGTTCAAGTATTGATGAGATTTAGCCAATATGACACCCATCTTGGATAAAATGCAAACAACACAATTTCATTTTCTCATTAACAAAACCGATTAAGTAGTCTAATATCAATTCTGATCTTATTAAAAACTCATCAGATTAAAAAAATTATGGAATTATGGAGCCAATAAGATGTTACAACCTGTTCCAAGGGGAATTCCAAAATCCATACATATCTGAGACCATCAAGTATGATGAAATATATTTGACTACTATATCGAAAAATAAACTGATTACATAGCCAACAATTGGACAGGGGTCTCCTCATCCACAGCCACACAAACCCGATCATGCAGCTATGTGGTTACAAGGCCTACATAGCCTAGAAGGGACTGGTCTGACTTGAGATTTCATTTGTATTTGTATTTTGAGACAGGGTCCCACTCTGTCACCCAGGATGGAGTGCAGTGGTATAATCATAGCTCACTGCAACCTTGACCAACTGGGCTCAACAGATGCTCCTGACTCAGCTGCCCCCATACCTGGGAATACAGGCAAGTACCACCATGTCAGGCATTTTTTTCATTTTTGTAGAGAGAGAAGTCTTGCTATGTTGCCCAAGCTGGCCTCAAACTCCTAGAATCAAGAGATCTGCCCATCTCAGCCACATGAGTAACTGGGGCCATAGGTACATACCGTCATGCCTGGCTATATTTATTTTATTAAATTTATTTTTTTTATTTTTGTAGAGAGGAGGTCTTGCTGTGTTGCCCAGGCTGCTCTCAAACTCATGGCCTTAAAACATACTCCCATCTCTGCCTCTCAAACTGTTGGAACTATAGGTGTGAGCCACTGCACCTGGCCTAACTTGAGATTTCTTTTATCTAGCATCCTTTACTTGGTAGGATTGGGAAAGGCAGTAGTGTTTTTTAAAATTACTTAATAATTCAATCAGAATCAAACTCAACCTTGACCACTGCCTTCTCTCACAGCTCACATCCAGTCTGTCAGGAAATCCTACTGACTGACTTCAACATGTATCCAGGCTCTGACCATCTCTCACCACCACCGTGAACCCGGTCAGGATCACTATCATCTCCCAGCGGGATGTTGCCACAGCTTGGCCCCCATGCTTCTACCCAAATCTTCCCATAGTCTTTCTCAACTTGGCAGCCAGGTCGTGCTTTTAAATCAGGAGACAGATCACGTCGCCTCTCTGCTCAGAAGCCCTCGGTGGTTCCCATTTTAGTCAGAGTAAAAGCCAAAGCCCCAGCAATAGCGTCCCAGGGCTTACACGATCTGTACCGATCCCAGCCCAGCAACTCCCTGGCCTCCTTGCTGACTTCGCTCCCTCTATCTCTTTGCTCCACTGGCCTCCTTTCAGAGCCTCAGACACACCAGAGAGTTTCCTCCTAATGCCTTTATCCTGTTGACTCAGCCTACAATGCTCTTCCCTCAGCACCTTGGCCAGCTCCATCACCTGCTTCAAACTTTTGCTCAATATTCACTTACGAGGCCAACCCTGACCACTCTACTTAACACTGCCCTCTGTCCCCATTCCCACCATGCTCATTTCTTTCTTTTTGAAACAAGGTCTTGCTTTATTGCCCAGGCTGGAGTACACTGGTGCAATCACAGCTCACAGCAACTTCAACCTCCCAGGCTTAAACAATCCTCCCGCCTCAGCCACCCTAGGAACTGAGACTACAGCTGCATGCCACAACACATGGTTTTTTTTTTTTTTTTTTTTTTGAGACGGAGTCTCGGTCACCCAGGCTGAAGTGTAAGGGTGCGATCTTGGCTCACTGCAATGTCTGCCTTTTGGGTTCAAGTGATTCTCTGCCTCCCGAGTAGCTGGGATTACAGGCACCCACCACCACACCTGGCTAATGTTTGTATTTTTAGTAGAGATGGGGTTTCACCATCTTGGCTAGGCTGGTCTTGAACTTCTGACCTCGTGATCCACCCTCCTCGGCCTCCCAAAGTGCTGGGATTACAGGCGTGAGCCACTGCGTCTGGCCTTTTAAAAAATTTTTTTTTAGACATGAGGTCTTATGTTGCCCAGGCTGGTCTTAAGCTCCTGGGCTTAAGCGATCCTCCCACCTCAGCCTCCTAAAGTTCTGGGATTACAGGCGTGAGCAACTGTAACATGAGGTCCCAGCTTCATGTTCATTTTTTGTTGTTGCTACAACAAAGTACCCTACATTTAGTGGCATCAAACACCACAAATCTACCATCTTACAGTTCTGGGGGCCAGAAGCCCAACTAGGTCTATTAAGGCTAAAGTCAAGGTGTCAGAGGGGCTGCATTCCTTCTGGGGGAGGCTCTAGACAGAATGTGCTCCTTTGCCTTTCCCAGCTTCTAGAAGCCACCCCCATTCCTTGACTTACCTCGTGACTCCATATTCAAGGCCAGAAGTGCAGCATCTTCAAATCTCCCTCTCTGACCTCTTCTTCCATTACCACATCACTTTCTCTAATTCTGACTCTCCTACCTCCTTCTCTTATAAAGATCCTTGTGATTGGTGGGTATGAGGGCTCCCATCTGTAATCCCAACAAGTTGGGAGGCCAAAGAGGAAGGATTGCTTGAGGCCAAGAGTTAGAGATCAGCCTGGGGAAAATAGGAAGACCCTGCCTTTACAAAATTAAAATTAAAATCAGCTGGACATGGTGATGCACGCCTGTAGTTCCAGCTACTGGAGAGGCTAAGGTGGGAGGATTGCTTTAGCCTAGGAGGTCAAGGCTGCAGTGAGCTATGATCACATCACTGCACTCCAGCCTCAGTGGCAGAGTGAGACTCTGTCTCCAATATAAGAAAAGAAATATACATTTGGTCTCTGCCCCTGGTTCCTGGCATAGAGCTTCCAAAGCTCTTATAAAGCCCTTCGTGACAGAGGTAATAGGAGCATTTTCTGTTTTGATATTTAGTCTTAGTCCCAGGTTCCTGACACAAGGGCCTCTAAGGTCTTTCAGATCTGCAGCATGGTAAGAATGCATGTGGGATGCTGTTGAGCTAACAGGGTGGCTGCAAGCTCCTAGACTGCTTCAGGAGGAGGGCTAGCTGCCAGAGAAAGCAACCACATTTTTTTTTTAAACGGAGTTTGGCTCTTGTAGCCCAGGCTGGAGTGCAATGGCACAATCTCAGCTCACTACAACCTCCACCTCCCGGGTTCAAGCAATTCTCCTGCCTTGGCCTCCCGAGTAGCTGGAATTATAGGGATGTCTCACAACGCCTAACTAATTGTTGTTATTTTTAGTAGAAACAGGGTTTCACCATGTTGGTCAGGCTGGTCTCAAACTCCTGACCTCAAGTGGTCCATGTGCCTCAGCCTTCCAAACTGCTAGGATTACAGGAGTGAGCCACCGCACCTGGCCCCAACCACATTTTTTGAGGCTTGGAACTTTCAGCCTCACCTGCTGAACTCCAGGAGGCAAAAGGAACTGGAGATTGACTTAACTACCAATGGCCAATGATTTTATCAATCATGCCTCCATAAAAACCCAAACAGCAGGGTTTGGAGAGCTTCTGTGTTGCTAAACACAAGGAGGTCCTGGGAGGGTAGTGTGCCCAACAGAGGGCATGGAAGCTCTGTGCCCCTCCCCACTTACCTTGTCCTGTGCATCTCTTTCATTGGCTGTTCCTGAGATGGAGCCATTACACTGAGCCAGTAACAGAAAATAAGGTGGCCAGATGCGCTGGCTCATGCCCGTAATCCCAGCACTTTGGGAGGCAGAGGTGGGCGGAATCACTTGAGCCTAGGAATTTGAGACCAGCCTGGGCAACATAAGAGGACCCCGTCTATACAAAAAATAAAAGAAATTAGCCAAATGTGGTGGTGGGAACCCTGTAATTCCAGCTACTTGAGAGGCTGCAGCAGGAGAATCACTTGAGCCCTGGAGGTTGAGGCTTCAATGAGCAATGATTGCACCACTGCACACCAGCCTGGACAACAGAGCGAGGCCCTGTCTCTTAAAAAGGAAAGAAAAAAACCTGTTTTTCTAAGTTCTGTGAGTTGTTCTAGTAAATAATTAAACTCAAGAAGAGGGTCATGGGAAACCCTGATTTCTAACTGGTTGGTCAAAATACAGGTGACAACCTAGGACTTGCAACTGGCATCTGAAGTGAGAGTGGTCTTGTGGGACTGAGCCCCTAACCTGTGGGTTCTGCGCTAACTCTAGGTAGTGTCAGAATGGAATTGTGGGATACGCGGTTGGTATCCAGAGAGTTGGAGAACTGGTGTAGAAACTCTGCACACACATTTGGTCAGAAGTCTGTGAGTAGAGAGAAACGTGTTGCGGGAAGTCAGGGACCCCAAACGGAAGGACCAGCTGAAGCCACGGCAGAAGAACATAAATTGTGAAGATTTCATGGACATTTATTAGTTCCCCAAATTAATACTTCTATAATTTCTTGGGCCTATCTTTACTGCAATCTCTGAACATAAATTGTGAAGATTTCATGGACACTTATCACTTCCCTAATCAATACCCTTGTGATTTCCTATGCCTGTCTTTACTTTAATCTCTTAATCCGGTCATCTTCGTAAGCTGAGGATGAATGTCCCTGCAGGACCCTGTGATAATTGCGTTAACTGCACAAGTTGTTTAAACAGTATGAAACCTGGGCACCTTGAAAAAAAAAACAGGATAACAGCAATTTCAGGGAACAAGGGAGATAACCTTAAACTCTGGCTGCCTGTGGGCCGGGTGGAACAGAGCCATATTTCTCTTCTTTCAAAAGCAAATAGGAGAAATATTGCTGAATTCTTTTTCTCAGCAAAGAACATCCCTGAGAAAGAGAATGCATCCCTAAGGGGAGGCCTCTGAAATGGCCGCTTTGGGGACGGCTGTCTTTTACAGTCGTTGATAAGGGATGAAATAAGCCCTGGGCTCGCGTGGCGCTCCCAGGCTTATCAGGACAAGGAAATTCCCGCCTAATAAATTTTGGTCAGATGGGTTGTCTGCTCTCAAACCCTTTCTCCTGATAAGATGTTATCAATGACAATGCGTGCCCGAAACTTCATTAGCAATTTTAATTTCGCCCCGGTCCTGTGGTCCTGTGATCTTGCCCTGCCTCCATTTGCCTTGTGATATTTTATTACCTTGTGAAGCATGTGATCTCTGTGACCCACACCCTATTCGTACACTCCCTCCCCTTTTGAAAATCACTAATAAAAACTTGTTGGTTTTGCAGCTTGCGGGGCATCACGGAACCTGCCGACATGTGATGTCTCCCCTGGACACCCAGCTTTAAAATTTCTCTCTTTTGTACTCTTTTCCTTTATTTCTCAGACCGGCCAACACTCAGGGAAAACAGAAAAGAACCTACATGAAATATCGGGGTGAATTTCCCCCGATATCACACGGGCTCTTCTCTCACCTGTCTACCTGCTTAACTGCATAGGAGAGGCAATGCATGGTGCTCATGAACAAGGCAAGCATTGAAGTCAGACCAGACTAACATTTGACTCAGTCTTAATATTCAGGTGAGCTTGGGCAAATCGCTCATTAACCCCAAGTCTTCATCATTTTGTGCATATAATGGGGATAACTGTGGCACCCACCTGTTTTTGTGAGAATCAATGAAATATTATGCTTGATGTTATTGTGATCATGATACTATCTGACAAGGGCAGTGATGCATGATAACATCAAAAAATTAGAAACTGTAATGAGGTCTCTTGGGCAAAATTCCATACAAGCAAATTACTGTCTCTACAAAGCATTTCTGCCACACTTAATTCACCATTCCCTGAACAAAATGTGCCATCTTCATTGTTCAGGTCTGTATAGTGCTGGTTTCCCTGCCTGGGCAGCTCACTCCATCCCATCCCAGCCCAATCCCCATCCCTCCACCTCCCCCTTCCCTCCCCACTCTCATACAACTCTTCCTTATCTTACAGGACTTGGCTTCAATGTCACCTTAACTGGAAGCTTCTCTCCCTCTCCAGAAGAGCTTCCCATTGCACTTGATGCATGCACTATTATTTGATCATTTTTGAGTTACAGTCCAAGTCTTTTTGTACCTGAATAACATGTTGCCCAGTCAGTTTCTCTTCCTGGATTCAGAAGTCTTTCATGGTAGGTCCAGCTAGAAGTGACAAAAAGACATTTAAAAAAAAAAAAAAAAAAAAAAAAGAGGGATGACACAGACAGACATCAGCACTTAAAAGTTTTAAACGATATGTGAAAAACAAAATTTAAGGGCTTCTAGGAGAAATGTAGGAGGGAAGGTGTTACTGGGAAATATGATAGAAGGTTAATTTTTATTTTATTTTATTTTTAGAGAAAGGGTCTTGCTCTATCGCCTAGGCTGGACTGCAGTGGTGCAATCACAGTTAACTGCAGCCTCAACCTCCAGGGCTTGAGCAATATTCCCATCTAATTTCTATTTTGTTTAAGAAATGCAGTCTTGCTCTTAGCAAAGCTAAAGTGCAATGGTGTGATCATAGCTTACTACAGCCTCAACCTTCTAGACTCAAGTGATCCTCCAGTCTTAGCCTCCCCAGTAGCTGGGACTACAGGTGTGCACTGCAACGTGTAGCTCATTTTTTTATTTTTATTTTTAGTAGAGACAAAGTGTCACTATGTTGACCAGGTTGGTGGTGATCTCCTACACTCAGGTAGTTCTCTCACCTCAGCCTTCCAAAATGCTGGGATTACAGGTGTGAGCTGCCACACCTGGCTGAGGGGGTTAATTTTTAATTATATAAAGAGCTCAAAGCAAATATTAGAAGGAGCCTAAATGCCTCCAGCAGTTGACTGGTACTGGTAAATTGTGATACATCCATATAATAAAATATTATGCAACCATGAAAAGGATTAAGCTAGATCAACAGGTATTGGCACAAATGTCCACAAAATATGAAATTATGAAGTGATGTTCAATCACCATGTACGTATCTTGAAGGATATGGCCCATTTTCTCAATTGCAATTATTTCCTGAGATAAGATTATGGGTCTCAAGAGTGAAGGACATTTTTCACTTATTTAAAAGTATTTATTATTTTTATAATTTAATAAAAGATTAAACAGATCATTGAATTAGTAAAAGACAAAGTAACTCTACAAATAAATGGAAAAGACACAGATACCCCAGGCATGGTGGCTCATGCTTATAATACCAGTACTTTGGGAGAGGGTGGTGGGGGGATTGCTTAAGGCCAGGAGTTCCAGACCAGCCTAAGAAACAAAGCAAGACCTCGTCTCTAGTAAAAATTAAAAAATAAAAATAATTGGCCAGGCATAGTGGCATGTGCCTATAGTCCCAACTACTGAGGTGGAAGGATCACCTGAGCCTAGGAGGTCAAGGCTGCAGTGAGTTGAGACTGTGCCACTACACTGAAGCCTAGGAGACAGAGCGAGACTTCATCTCAAAAAAAAAAAAAAAGGACAATAAAGAAATAAAGCTAATAAGCTAACATAAGGAAAGATAAAATATGTGACAAATAGGCTGGGCGCATGGCTCACAGCTGTAATCAAGCAGTTTGGGAGGCCGAGGTGGGTAGATCACAAAGTCAGGAGTTCAAGACCAGCCTGATCAACATGGTGAAACCACGTTTCTACTAAAAATACAAAAATTAGCCGGGCATGGTGGCATGTGCCTGTAATCCCAGCTACTCAGAAGGCTGAGGCAGGAGAATCGCTTGAACCTGGGAGGCACAGGTTGCAGTGAGCCGAGATCACACCACTGCACTCCAGCCTGGTTGACAGAGCGAGACTGCGTCTCAAAAAAGAAAAAAGAATGGGTGACAAAGTAATAATATGAGGTCTTTCATTTATCACACAAATAACTCGTTAAATTATAATACCTGCGTGGGTGAAGGTGCAGTGAAATGGCCATTTTCTTGTAGTATTAGTGGTGTTTAAAATGTATATAAGCCTTCTAGCATAAAGCTTGGAAATTTTTTTTAAATCATATAGACAGTGACTCATTATACTGCCTCCTCCAACTCCTGGCCTCAAGCAATCCTCCCACCTCAGCCTCCCAAAGTGCTGGAATTACAGGCTGACAGCCACCATGCCTGAAAGCTTTTGCAATTTACATCAAGGGTAATAAGAATGCTCATGCCCTGTGACTCACAGTAATCTCACTTCTGGAAATTTCATCTTTGGATATAATTCAACCTAAACAAAAGGTCATATGCACAAACACAGTGAAAATCTGGGAGTAATTTTTTTCTCTTTTTTTAAAAAAATATGGAATGCTTCACAAATTTGCATGTCATTCTTTCACAGAGGCCGTGCCAATCTCTCTATTGTTCCAACTTAAGTATGTGTGCTACTGAGGCAAGCATGAGTAATTTAAGATAGAGTGGTTAAGTGAAATAAGGAAGAATTATGGAGAATTTAAAAATCTATGCTATTTATAGGCACCTAGTAACAGCTCAGTAAATATTAGCTGCTACTATTATTATTTTTATGGTAATTTCACTCAATTAAAAACTGTCATTAAAAAATACCATTGTCATGGAACATAATGTCTCCTACTGCATAATTGTAAAAACAGATACAATTTGTCCCTTGGTATATGGGGGGGATTAGTTCCAGCTCTCCCATTTCTGTGTATACCAAAATCCACGCATACTCAAGTTTTCGAAGTCAGTCCTGTGGAATCTACATGTAACACAAATGGGAAAATTAGTGAGGTGTGGTGACAAGCACCTGTAGTCCCAGCTACTTGTGAGGCTGAGGCAGGAGGATTGCTTGAGCCCAGGAGGTTGAGGCTGCAGTGAGCCATAATTGCACCACTGCACTCCAGTCTGGGCAACAGAGTGAGACAGAAGGTTGACTTTTTAATAGAATTCTTCTGTTCACTTGAAGATATGGTCAGGATTGTGGCATATGAAAATTCTTCATAAAATAACTATCTAATCCAATTAATGCTGGAATTGGGAACAGCAGAAGTGTCATCTCAGAGCTACTCACAATGAAAGGTGATGTTTGGGGCTCAGGTGTGTTGAGGTCCCCATGCCTGGACTATGGGTGCTGAGTGGGATTTACTTGTCCATCCATTTTCTATATTCCAGCACTGGGAAACTAGTATTTATCGATCTTGATAAGATGTCATTTAAATTCCACTTCGCAAGAACCACAAATGGAAGAAAGGCCATGAAACCGCAGGACAGTACTTGTTCTCAAGGGAATCTTCAGCTTAGGTGGCTCTGTAAAAGAGAAATTACATTGTTGAAAGATCGTCGCAGGTCAGGTGAGGTGGCTCATACCTATAATCCCAGCCCACTGGGAGACTAAGGCAGGAGGATTCCGTGAGGCCAGGAGTTCAAGACCAGCCTGAGCAACACAGTGAAACCTCATCTCTACAAAAAATTAGAAAATGAACTGGGTGCGGTAAAACATTCGTATAGTCCCAGCTACTCTGGAGGCTGAAATAGGAGGATCCCTTGAGCCCAGGAAGTGGAAGCTGCAGTGAGCTCTGATCTCACCACTGCACTCCAGCCTGGGTGACAGAGTGAGACCCTGTCTCAAGACACACACAAACACACACACACACACACACCCAATCTCAGTCTGTCCAGCCTTGACTAATCAAAACGGCCTTCTGGTTACAGAAGAGGTATGCTCTTTTTTAGGACAGGGAGAGACCAGCAAGCTTGTTCACAGACTTTTCCTCATCCTCTGCTTAGTTTTCCAAGAACCCTCACAGTGGAAATGGAGTCTCTGGGAAAATGACCTAAATCTTTGGGTTACCAGGGGAGAAATATGCCTCCTTTGTCAATTAATAAATGGAACATCTGCCTTAAAATCCAGGGAGTTCTGCTAGAATGAATCACTCCCTAAGACCCTGACCTATGCATGGAACATGAAAAACTGAAGTTTAACTGGGCGCGGTGGATCACGCCTGTAATCCCAGCACTTTGGGAGGCTGAGGCGGGCGGATCACCTGAGGTCAAAAGTTCTAGATCAGCCTGGCCAACATGGTGAAACCCCGTCTCTACTAAAAATACAAAAATTAGTTGGGCATGGTGGTGGACACCTGTAATCCCAGCTACTCGGGAGGCTGAGGCAGGAAAATCGCTTGAACCTGGAAGGCGGAGGTTGCAGTTACTTCTAGAAGAATTTCCATTAGCCCTTTGAAATCCTTCAACATTCATGAAGGCCAAAGAGTTTTCACCTAATTTAATCTGATGGGTATGTCACCAGAGTCTTTCTAGGGAATAGAGACTCCCAAACAGTTCAGCTGGGAAGTGAGGAGAGAATTTATTACTCAAAATCAAAGGGAAATGAAAAGAGGCCAACATAGAATGTCATTATTCTTTCTTGGCGGGGAATGGATTCCAGAGTCATTCTGTGACCTTTACATGACCTCCTTATTAGCATCTAAAAGCTTCCAGTGTAGGATGCAGCCAGCTAGGTTCTCTTCTAATGTAATAAAATTTGCTTCAGCAAATCTTATGCAGAGCCATCTCCAGGCTCCAGAAACAATAGGCTATAAATTACTGGATCTCCCATTTGATACAATGAAGTATAAGCACGGTCCTGAATGACTCCTCTACATACTACTCTGGGTGGCTTGAAGTGAATTTGATACAAGAACTGGAGCAAGCGCAAAGCAGAGCTAGATTTAGGATTAATGTGCTTGGGCCCAGCTCCTCACTACTCACCTATGAGTCTAGTTCCAGAACCCAAGTAGAGGGTGGGGAAACAAGGCTCCTGACTTTTTTCCCCTAATGTCTGCATCTCTTTCACATTTCTTATCTCCTTGCAAAGAAACTAAACAGGCTCAACTGAAATAACTAAATGATTAAACCCTATACAGAGAATCTCCAAAGACTGACAAAATATCATTCAAGACTGTTACACAGACAACCTTGAGGATGACTTGATGTACCAGTGATCTACAATATTTGGGATCATTCCAAATTCCCATCAAGGATCTGCCTATATCAACAAAGGAGCCAAGGACCAACCATTCAAATGGGCCCTGCTGCCAAGCCTTTTTTTTTTTTTACAATGCCATCTCTTCATATTGTTCCATTTAACAAAACTGTAGCCCCTCATCTATCCTTAAGTCCCTTGGCCAATGGTACAGAGCCAGAGTATGCTACTCCCTAGCAGGAAATCAACAGGATGACCTACTAAACACCATTCAGAAGATGCTAAGACCCATGAATTGCAACAGGAAAGAAAAGACAGAGAATTAGTCAGACAGGTACATGCTGTGCCAAAAATGCACTACAGCCCCCACCCAATTCTGCCTAATCCTAGCTGGGCTGACACCAACCTGATGAGACAGGCCTATAAGATCTCAAACTAAAACAGAAACTCCTGAACTGGGTTCTTTCGAACCCAGGAAGCAGCAGCAAATCATTAAAGAACAGATAAGTTCTTAAGGTGACGGAGAGTTTCAGATAAATGGAATGCTGGTAGAACACAGGGCCCAAAGGAGCAAAAGTTAACCTAAGCCCAGGTAGAACCTTGTTTACTAGAGTATTAGGCATGGGTTGGGGCAACTATTCTAACCAGAGAAACTGGCTTCAGTGAGGGCAAGTTGGCAATCCAAGGTATAGCATGCATAGGGCTGGCAAAATTCAGGGTGACTGAAGCAAAAGCTTCAGAACCAGAAAGACCACATCTGGGAGTAGAGCACAAAACTCTCAAGAGATCAATCTTTGTAAGAGTGAGGCAGAACTATATAGCAGTTTTAGGAGATCTGTTGGTGCCCAGCAAGAGCTCCAAACGGGCTATATGCAGGGATGCAGGCTGTAGTCTCAGGAAAGGAGGTTCACAAAAGTCATTCAGTCCAAGACCTCAAACTGTGTTCTCTACTAAAAGGAATCAAGGTTCCCTAGAGAAATGGCTGACTCCATGTATGGTGCAGTATATTGATCCTGGAACATCTTTTTTGCCAGAAAGTAAGGAAGCCATCAAAGTCCAACAGGATCACGTCAAAAAGACATGAAAGTAAACTTGAAGAGATAATTATTAACCTAGATGAGACAATGTAAGCATCCAAAACAATAAAGACTGCAATGGCCTGAAATACATCAAATGCAAACAATAATCTATGAGTTCATAATGGTATTCAGAAAAAAAACTACTGGTCATTAGAGGGAAGGTTACTAGGTCACTAACTTACTACTCTGAAAAGTGACTTAAGATGAGAGGTAGGGTGGAGAATTAGCTATTTATTCAGTCTTTCCTGTACAAACATAAATTTTTAGGGAGATTGAAGCAGATGAAACAAATCTGGAAAAATGGAGGTAACTGCTTAATCTGCGGGTTGGGTGCATGGAGGTTCAACATATTTCGTTTGTGTATATTTGAACCCCCTACAAAAAAGCACAAGACAGAATGTGAGCCAAGCAGCTTAGGGTTTAGGCACGGCTTCTGCCTACAAGAGACACTAGGATATGAGGTGTAGTTTTAGCCCTGATGGGCTGAGCCAACTGGAGGTATATAGGGAGGTGCTAAATTGCAGAGGTATCATGTTGCCCAGCACTTGATCAAATCCTAGATCCTAGGTCTGCTTGGTAGCATGCTTCCTAGGTAGTGGATCTGAGGCTACCTATAGAACTTCCTTTGCAGTCATAATTCGCTCAGAAACTACAAAAGTGCTTGCTCTTGAAAATGGAGTCTGTCTTTGTCCATTTCATGCTTCTATAAAAGAATACCACAGACTGCATAATTTATGAAAAGGAAAAAAGGAAGGAAAGAAAAAAGGAAGGAAGGAGGGAAAAAGTGAAGGAGGGAAGGAAAGGAAGGAAGGGAAGGAAGGAAAGGAAGGAAGGGAAAGAGAGAAAGAGGGAAGGAGGAAGGGAAGGAAGGAGGGAGGGAGGGAGGGAGAGAGAGAGGGAGGGAGGGGAAGGGAAGAAAAGGGAGGAGAAGGGAAAGGAGGAAGAAAAGGAAAGGAATAAATTTTATTTCTTAACAGTTCTGGATGTTAGGAAGTCGAAGGTTGAGGGGCCTGCATCTGGTAAGGGTCTTCTTGCTGCATCATCCCACTACAGAAGGCAGAAGGAAAAGAAAGTGCAAGAAAGCAAGAGGGCAAAAGGGGCTGAACTCTGTTTTATAATAAGCCCACTCTGTGATTACTAATCTATTACCACCACAACAACATTAACTCATTCATGAAGGCTATTGTATTAGGCCCCCACATCCCAACTGTTGCATTGAGGATTGAGTTTCCAGCACATAAACTTTGGGGGACACATTTAAACCACAGCAGAGCACTTAGGTTGATTCAACCAAGAGGAGCTGGGAAAATCAAAGGCATGAGAAAGACAGCAAAAGCTAGCAGAGAGAAATGCACAGGTTAAGGAAAAATGTCACAATGAATCCTGTAGTGCAGGCTACTTTATCAAAAGCACCTAAAAAAGATCTCATTAACTCCCCCAGCTCACCTCCACCCACATCTAAAGAGCCACACACAGCACCACCAAAGGCAGCACAATGAGAACAGCATTCTCCTCAACAGACAAGCTGGGAGTATCTAGATACCTGACCTCAATAGCTCCAGAACAGCCCTAAAACAGCTCCTCCCTAACCACCACTCAAGTCACCAGCTTGGAAAGTATTCAGAAAACCCAAATCCTGACACACCACTATGAAACAACTTAAAACAGCAAAGAACAACCCATTTAAACAGCAATGCCAGCTGCTGGGAAAAAAAGGAACAATGAGTAGAGGAGAAACAGACCTCTTGGGGTCCACCAAGACCCAGTCTCTCAGCTTCAGCACTTTCAAATGCAGAATCCACACCCCTCTGGGGCCTGTGGAGCTCCACAAGGCATGTCGTCCTCAAAGATAAATGAGCAGGCAAGCTGGCTAGAAAACCACTAAGGGTATTATTCTTTAAAGAATCTTTATAGGTTCAAAGAGGAATGGGTCTTAACTGGCTATGTGAACTCCCCACAGATTCTGAGGATGATGTCAGCAGCCCTTTCCAGATGTGTTTAACACTTTGCAGTTACTTGTATTCCTGCCACTGAGTGCCAGTGCTTTGCTAATTTGAACTGATTCCAGCTCACGCTGACCCCAGCTCCCTGGATGTTACCATTAGCCAAGACTGTCACCCATACTGTACCCTTTCAAAGAGTCCTAAAAACAGCTCTTCACCTACTCTTCCAAGACAAGTAAAAATGTCTGCCAAAGAAATGGGGAAAAAAGATTCAGAGTGAAAACAATTAACATACTAACAAGAGAGCAAAAAGCAAAGGGGGAGGAGAAACTAGGAAAATCATAGATGGGCTCACACCTATTTCCAAAGCTGGGCTAATGTCCTTTTGCTTGTGTCTGAATAAGGCACCAATTTTAAGCTGCTAATGAAAAAAAAAGAAAAAGAGGAAGAAGCAGGCCCAGGCTGGGTGCGGTGGCTCATGCCTGTAATCCCAGCACTTTGGGAGGCCGAGGCGGGTGGATCACCCAAGGTCAGGAGTTCTAGACCAGCCTGGTCAACATGGTGAAACACCATCTCTACTAAAAATACAAAAAATTAGCCAGGCATGGTGGCGCATGCCTGTAAATCCAGCTACTCAGGAGGCTGAGGCAGGAGAATTGCTTGAACCCGGAAGGCAGAGAATGTGGTGACCTGAGATCGCGCCATTGCCCTCAAGCCAGGGCAATGAGAACAAAATTCGGTAAAAACAAAAGAAAAGAAAAGAAAAGAAAACAAAACAAAACCACCATAAAATAACTCAGACTTAATTAAATACAACCCTAGTGGTGAATGACTAAAGATGGATTACTCATAACAGAGATAACAGTCCAATAAGAATCCAAGAATCTTACCTTTTAATAACAAAAAAATCCTTTCCGTCGAAAGTAATATCCTCTCAAGGCCAGGAATTCCATTAGTAGAAAGCCTTCCTAAAAAACAAAATTCCTGGCCTGGCATGGGTTCACATCTGTAATCTCAGCACTCTGGGAGGCCGAGGCGGGAAGATCACTTGACGTCAGGAGTTTGAGACTGGCCTGGCCAACATGGTGAAACCCCATCTCCACTAAAAATACAAAAATTAGCCTGGTGTGGTGGTGGGCACCTGTAATCCCAGCAACTTGGGAGGCTAAGGCAGGAGAATTTCTTGAACCCAGGAGGCAGAGGTTGCAGTGACCAGCAAGGTTGCGCCATTGCACCCCAGCCTGGGCGATAAGAGTGAAAACTCCATCTCAAAAAAAAAAAAAAAAAAATTCCTTTGGGAAGGCCTTCTACATAAAAATCTTCAACATGAGACTGGAAAAAAGGGTATGGGATCATCACCGGACCTTTGGCTTTTACAGCTCGAGCTATAAGAACAAAAAGAAAAAGGGGTATCATTTAAACACAGTATGTAGAAAAGAATAATTATTGAATCTGTACTGGTCTTTAACTTTTACACTTTGATCTGTAATTCTGTTATTGTGATTGAGTCCAAAGAAAAATAGTATGAGTAAAATAAAAAGAACACCAAAAATGCTAATATTCTGTTTACCAAAGTCCGTAGTGAAATATCCCATTAAATCGAAGTGCAGTGACTTACACTCATAATCCCAGCACTTTGGGAGGCTGAGGCGGGTGAATCTCTTGAAGTCAGGAGTTCGAGGCCAGCCTGGCCAACATGGTGAAACCCCAACTCTACTACAAATACAAAAATCAGGCAGGCGTGGTGGCAGAGGCCTGTAATCCCAGCTACTTAGGAGGCCGAGGCAGGGAGAATTGCTTGAACCCAGGAGGTGAGCTTGCCATGAGCTGAGATCATAACACTGCACTCCAGCATGGGAGACAGAACAAAACTTCAACTTACAAAAAAACAAAACAAAACAAAACAAAAAAAAACAGCTAGCAGGTGACATTTGCTACGGGGAGACTAGGGATATGATCTTGCTGCAATCCTTCCATTTTAGTAAATCTAAACAGTGTGAATCCATTCTGTTTCATCCCCACTCCACTCCAGAGCCAAAACAAGAAAATCAATTATATTTCTAGTTCTTTAAAAACATATCTAACTAAATCATCTAATTAAAAGATAATATGCATGGCTCCATACTCTAAAAGAAAACTTATGTTCTGCATATCATGGACATTTGATGAATGCTTATTCAGTTGACTGGTGTAGACTTCAATAATAACCTGTTCAATGCATTATGCCAGATGAATCTTGCATCTCAAAAGTAGAACAAATATTGTTCTTTCAGTTTTCTCTACCCATAAATGCAATATTTACTAATAAAAAGAAAATGAGTTTATTGTTCTAGAGAGTATGAGAATTTTGACAACATGAATTCTCCTGTCCTAGGACATAATTAATACTTAGAGGCATACTATTTCATGTGGAAGCTATCATTAAATCAACGTTAAGTGTTAATTACTTCACATAATCTTCTAATCTGACTTAAGACTGAAGATGTACCTCAGGAAGCTGATTTATCAAGTTGTAAATCTTCACCTGTTGAATTCATTAAGTTCATGTCTGAAAGGTGAGAATAAATACTTAATATTCACTAGGCAATATTCAGCAAAGTAATATCCACTAGTACATATTTAATATTTCATCACGAACTGTGGGTGTGAAGAGAAAAGACAGGCTGGGCACAGTGGCTCACACCTGTAATCCCAGCAGTTTGGGAGGCCGAGGCAGGCAGATTATGAGGTCGGGAGTTCGAGACCAGCCTGGCCAACATGGTAAAACCCCATCTGTACTAAAAATACAATAATTAGCTGGGCATGGTGGCAGGCACCTGTAATCCCAGCTACTCGGGAGGCTGAGGCAGGAGAATTGCCTGAACCCACGAGGTGGAGGTTGCAGAAACCATGATCACGCCACTGCATTCCAGCCTGGGCAAAAGAGCAAGATTCTGTCTCAATCAAACAATCAATAAAAATGTAAGGAGGAAGGATTTACTGTGTATTTATATGTCTGGTATTATGTGAAGCACTTTACTATCTTATCAAATCTTCGGGACAGATCTTCAGTTCTCATGACCACAAAAGAGGATACTAAAGCTCAGACAGGAGAAGAGACATGGCCAGCCTGTGTCCCCAGGGCCTATGGTCTTACCACTAGGTTACAGTGTTTCCAGGTATCACATGTTGTGAGATTTTTGCTTTAAAATGAACCAAAAAAAACCAAAGGCGAAAAAGGCATAAGCTATTAAAAAGTGGGAGAAACACTAAGAGAACCTTAAGCATGTAACTAAAAATATTATGGAAATGTCATTGAATTCATTAGCAAATTTAATGCTAGGTTTTCATTGAGGAGTAGGTTATATTTCTTATGATGAAGAAAGTATCATTTTAAGTATATTAACATAAATACCATCAATATGGTTTATCATGTTTAAATGTTCACTTAAAGCAATTCAGTTAAAATTCTGCATATCATACAATTTTATAGTTTGCTAGTAGGTTACAAGTAAATAGTCATCCAAATAAAAACATCATGTGTTTTCCACTGGTTGTTGCTCTTTTTAGGTGAGCATTTGATGTATACCAACAGAGAGAGGATAATAACAAATCGCTAATTTCTTTCATTATATAAAGGTGGCTTCAGAATAGAACAGTATAAGGGCAATGATGAATTTGAAATCTAACATCAATTCAGTGATGCATCAAGATAAAAGTAGAGACAATAGGGGCACCCTGGTGAGTACGGAACATTTTATTTATTTATTTATTTTGAGATGGAGTTTTGCTCTTTTTGCCCAGGCTAGAGTGCAATGGTGCAACCTCGGCTCACCGCAACCTCTGCCTCCTGGGTTCAAGCGATTCTCCTGCCTTGGCCTCCCGAATAGCTGGGATTACAGACATGCGCCACCACGCCCGTCTAATTTTGTATTTTTAGTAGAGACGGGGTTTCTCCATGTTGGTCAGGCTGGTCTCGAACTCCCGACCTAGATATCTGCCTGCGTTGGCCTCACAAAGTGCTGGGATTACAGGTGTGAGCCACCGTGCCCAGATGAATTCCAAATTTAACAAAGCAGACTAAGAGAAACAATTCATTTAAAAAAATAATATTTGGCCAGGCATGGCGGCTCACACCTGTAATCCCAGTACTTTGGGAGGCTGAGGTGAGTGGATCAGGAGGTCAGCAGTTCAAGACCAGCCTAGCCAAGATCATGAAACCCCATCTCTACTAAAAATACAAAAATCAGCCAGGCGTGGTGGCTGGCGCCTGTAATCCCAGCTGCTCGGGAGGCTGAGGCAGAGAACTGCTTGAACCCAGGAGGCGGAGGTTGCAGTGAGCCGAGATCGTGCCACTGCACTCCAGCCTGGGCGACAGAGTGAGGCTCCGTCTCGAAAAAAAAAAAAAAAATAATTCAATGAAATCCCTAAGATCCAGGGCTTTGCAATAAATATGTAAATAAATTTCCAATCTCCATACTGAAAGTTTAAAAGAAATGCTAACTAATAATTAAAGAAATACAACTTTTCCTCAGCTTTGCAGCAATCTAGAAACAGTGTGTAGACACTACAAAGCACCTTACAAGGAGAAACGTCTAAGGATGGCATGACTCGCCGGCAGCCCTGGGCTTGTCCACAGTACCTCCATGATGAACAGTAACTCCATTGTGTAAACGCCCATGAACATAAGATTACAGGACTTTTCCAGTTTAGACTTACCATATTTTCTTTCAGACAATTCTTCAATTTGTTTACGTAGATGAGCGATACAATTATTCCATTTCTCTGAAAAGCAAAAGTTGATTCTCAATAATACGTCCCTATGTCAGAGCAGCACTAACATATAATGACTTATTTCATATATTTTACATTCTAACAGTCCATATCATTTTACTGCTTTCAAAAAAAAATTTCCCTTTTTTGGTGGTTCTTAGAATTGGTTTAATGGGAGACTATTAGAGAAGCTGAAAAGCAGGAGGGCAGAAAAGTTCAATCAAATTAAACACAATAACAGGGAGGTCACAATGAGGAGGTCTCCAGGGGTCTTTCAGCAAACTTCCTAAAACATGTCTCAGCTGTGTGAAATAAGACTTTACAGCAGCCGGGTGCAGTGATGCAGGCCTGTAATCCCAGCACTTTGGCAGCAGAGGCAGGCGGATCGCTTTGATCTCAGGGCAACATAGCCAAAACCCCCCTCCCTAGCCCCACCCCCACCCCGTCCCTACCAAAAATACAAAACAGCAGGGCATGGTGGTGGGCGCCTGTAGTCCCAGCTACTCAGGAGGCTGAGGCAGGAGAATCACTTGAACCCAGGAGGCAGACGTTGCAGTGAGCCAAGACCACGCCACTGCCAGCCTGGATGACAGAGCAAGACTCCACCTCAAAAAAACAAAAACAAAAACACAAGGTTAAGAGGGACCCCAGACCTTACAGATACAAGTTTAAGAGGGACCCCTAAGCAAAAAATGCCAACCCTTTTTCTCCCAATCATTGAAACACCAGGAGGGTTTAATAGTTTTGCAGCCTAGCTGTAGCAGGCTGATGCCCCCAAGATGCCCATATCCTAATCCCGGGAACTGGTGAACATGACCTTATATGGCAAAAGGGGCTTTGCAGATATAATGAAGTTAAGGGTCTTTGGCTTTTGGGGTTGATGTACTCACCCGGATCCTTATAAGAGCAAAGCAGGTGATGGAGAGGGTGGGAGGTGTAGTGACAGAAGCAGGAAACTCCAGTCATTCGAGACTGGCAGCACAAGCTGAGGAGTGCAGGCCACCTCCACGACCAGGAAACGGATTCTCCCGCAGAGCCTCAGAAGCCACCGACCCTGCTCCCACCTTGACTCAGTAGGACTTACTGTAGAATTCTGGCCTTCAGACCTGTAAGGGAATACATTTTGGTTGTTTTAAGTCACTAAGTGTGTGGTAATTTGTTGCAGCAGCCACAGGAAACTAGTATTGTAGTGAAGCCTCAAAACCCCCCTGAAGGGGCTGGGCTCAGTGGCTCATGCCTGTAATCCCAGCACTTTGGGAGGCCGAGGTGGGTGGATCACTTGAGGTCAGGAGTTCGAGACCAGCCTGGCCAACATGGCGAAATGCCATCTATACAAAAAATACAAAAATTGGCCGGGCATGGTGGCACATGCCCGTAATCTCAGGTACTCAGGAGGCTGAGACAGGAGAATTGTTTGAACCCCGGGGGGCGGAGGTTGCAGTGAACTGAGATTCCACCACTGCACTCCAGCCTGGGTGACAGAGCGATGCTCCATCTCGAAAACAAAACAAAACAAAAAAACCCCACCTGAAGGTTTTCAGTTCTGCCAGCAGTCTCCCACCCAACCCCCAGAAGCAGACATTCCATTGCTGTGGGCCATGGACAGGCAGAAGGAAGCGCCTCCTCATGGCAGAGGCCTACCCAGGAGAAACCCAAGGGAAGGCACTGCCAGGCTGGCCCCTCTCTGCCAAGGCCATATTCTTTTTTTTTTTTTTTTTGAGGCCTAGTTTCACTCTGTCTCCCAGACTGGAGTGCAGGGGCACAATCTCAGCTCACTTCGACCTCTGCCTCCCCAGTTCAAGTGATTCTCCTGCCTCAGCCTCCTGAGTAGCTGGGATTACAGGAGTGTAGCATGCCTAGCTAATTTTTGTATTTCTAGTAGAGATGGGGTTTTGCCATGTTGCCCAGGCTGGACTCGAACTCCTTGCCTCAAGTAGTCCACCTGTCTCAGCCCCCCAAAGTGCTGGGATCACAGGAGTGAGCCACTGCACCCAGCATTTGCCAAGACCTTTGATGGCAGGCTTTTTCCAGGTGATCAGTCCTTGTCTGGTCTGGCTCTGCCCCACTCTCCTTCTCACCTAGTTGGAATCCCTAGCTACTTTTCAGTAGAGAAGAGTGTGTACCCCAATCCCAGCTTGGTTCAGATCTGCACTTAACTAATGGAACCTGGCTGCTCCCCAGGTCCTGAAGGAGAAAAGGGTCTCTCTGTGGGTATGATAAAGGATGGGCCTGTCCCCAGGACCCTGTGAGAGGGAAGCCCAATGTCCCACCAGGTTGGCAGGGCTGGGCAAGGGAAAGTGTTATGGTAGCCCCAAGAAAAAAAGAGGCAGCAGAGGGAGCAGGACAGCGCTCACATGGAACTCATGCCACTGCCTGAGTGAGGGGAGGGAGGAGTGCACGCCAGTGACGTCAGGGGACAGAGAGGCGCAGTTCCAGGGCGGCTTTCCCCCTCACTTCCTGCCATGTTACTCTGATCGCCTCCAGGTGAGCCTGCCCACTTTGTGCCCAAGGGCCTGTAGAAAACCACAGCTCCCCATGGTTATGGCCCCAGGAGTGGGGCAGAGCAGAGAGGAGTCCTGGACAGAGGAGAGGCAGGGGAAGGAGGGAGTGGGCCTCAAACTCGAGGAGGGGGCCCTTCTCATGGGTCCTGCTTTCTGGCTTCTCCTTCCTTACCCCTGGGCTGATCACTTGGGGAAGAAATTAGACAAAGTTTCTCACCCTCAGGCCCAAGGGGTTTAATTACTGGGCCCTTAGGGAGGTGTGAGCCCCCTGAAAGGATGCAAGGTTTTGTTTCGTTTTGTTTTTTGAGACAGAGTTTTGCTCCTGTCGCCCAGGCTGGAGTGCAGTGGCGTGATCTCACCACACTACAACCTGCGCCTCCCGGGTTCAAGTGATTCTCCCGCCTCAGCCTCCGGAGTAGCTGGGATTACAGGTGGCTGCCACCACGCCTGGCTAATTTTTTGTATTTTTAGTAGAGACGAGGTTTCGCCATGTTGGGCAGGCTGGTCTTGAACTCCTGACCTCAGGTGATCCGACTGGCTCTGCCTCCCGAAGTTCTGGGATTACATGAGCCACTGTGCTTGGCCACGATGAAAGGTTTTGTGTGGAGAGCATATACATGCCTTTCTGGGAAAACAGTCTACAGCTCTTATTCTCAGCAGGCTTCACGGTCAAAAAAGGTTAGAACTCTTGCTACAGAGCTGTGGAAGCAGCTAGGTGAGGGGCCTGCCAAGGGCACTCTGGGCACTACCTGGGCACTCTCGAGCCCATCATCCCCTAGGCAGGCTGCACTGCTTGGTATTTGCAGAGCTGAGGGGGTGGGGCATGTGGGGACTGTGAAATCGCCCTGAGATGACCCACAGTCCTCAGCTGGGAAGTGAGCGGTGCATCTCCTGCAGCGTCCTCCATCCCTAGAGCCAAGGGGCCAGGAGAACTGGCCCTTGCAGCAAGTGAAAAGCCTATTATTGACTCCCTCCCTAGCCATGTAGACAGTGAACCAAGACACTCATATCAGGTAAATGCCTTGGTCTCTGTCACCGAGGTGACCAGTAGGCATTCCCAGATACAGTGAAGGTCCTCACACCAAGATATGCACCTGGCCACCTGAGGAAAGAGAAAGGACTATCTGAGGGGATGGGGCTGAGCTGGGTGTGGAGTGGTCCTTGTGGGTCTTGGTGAGTGGGAGGGGGAGCAGCATGAGCCAGGCCTCGAGGCAGAAGGACAACCAGGAGACAGCCTGGAAAAAGTGCTGGACCCACAAGGGCTCAAGGCTGGCCAGAGGGGAGGTGGGATAGGCTGCAAAGTCCCGAGGTCTGAAGATTGGCCCTGGCAGGAAGAAACCAGCTAAGGTGGGGTGTTACCTACACCCTCGGGGCCAGATGCAGGCCAGAGCCAGCCAATTACCAGGCCCTTAGGGAGGTGTGAGCCCCTTGAAATGATGCAAGGTTTTTTGTTTTTGTTTTGGAGACAGAGTTTCACTCTTGTCGCACAGGCTGGCACCTTTGCCCAGAGCAGGCACCAAGATTTCTGGCTCTGGGTGTGACCTCAGTCTGGGTAAAAGCCCCAGCCCCCACCAGGACCACCTACCCCCTAGACTACTTCAGGTGCTGAGCCCAAGCCAGGGGCAGGAAGCTAGACTGATGCCTAGGGTAATCCCAACAAAGTCCCTGGTTCCCCGCAGCTATGGGGCTGATGGGAAATTACAGCCCAAACCCCAGATGCTGGCTGTCAAACTAACACTGAGCCCTCAGTGCCCACAGGGAGATACAATCAGCGCACTTTCCAGATGGGGAAATGGGCTCAGAGAAATGCAACAGCCTTGCCCAATGCCCCAGACCAGGGCTCCAGGCCCAGAGTGTTCTTTTGTTACTGTGTCCAGAGGGCAGCAGCTGCTGTGATGTACCCACCTGAGCCTGGCAGCTTTCTCCAACTTTGGAAGCCCAGGAGCATGGCCCCTGTCCACAGATGCACCTGGCATGAGGCGTGCCCAGAGGGACAGAGGCAGATGAGTTTCGTCTCCTCCACTGGATTGTGAGGGCCTAGAAGGAGACAACGGTCTGCTTGAGAAGGCAGTGAATAGTGAGCAACCTGAGGCAGTGCCCCTCTGGATGGATCCACAGTGCCTGGATGGAACCTGGCTCAGACAGAGCTCAGTTCTGCAGGTCCCTGAGGCATGGAGAGTTCACAGCTACCAAGTGTAGGAGTCTGGATTCAAAGCCAACGGTGTGACTCCAAAGTCCCTGCCCTAGCCCCTGGACCACCCTTGCAGGCCCATCAGATGCCCAGGCCAGCAGCACAGCCGGCCAAGACCAGGGAAACTTGGGGAGCCTCAGAGCACCCCCAGGTATTCCAACCTAATCCTGGTACCCCTGCCTCTCACCACCCTTCTTCCTGCTTTAACCTCAATCCCTACACAAAGCCTGGGCCACTTAATGTGGCATCAAACAGATGCCTCAATAAATCAGAGTCTAATCTTGAAAAAAAAAAAAAAAGACTTAACAGATATACAACTGCACGTTAGAATGCTAAAGACCATAAACATATAACAACTTAAAGTACATATAAATTCAATATATATCCAATCATTGTGACTATGACACAGTAGAATATTAAAATACTATTTTCAAAATGTATACAAGCTTAATGTTCTATGTATTCAAACTATTTATTCAAAATATAAATCATCAACATAATTTGCCACTAATATTCAGTCCCTTCACAGGACACGTGATTCACTGGGAGTTAATAAATTAGCAGCTGGCAGGCAGTGACACACAGCAAAAATGAAAACCAAGAGGTGAAATAGTTCTGAAATAAAGGTTTTAAAGCTAACAGAAATCACTGAATTACTAAGTCATTAGCACTAATTTTGAGCCAACTAACTAATTAATATGAGATGATACAACGTCCTATACTTTGGTATATACAGACTATGTTTAAACAATGTCTGAATGTCTGTAACGTGACTTTCAAAATGCTCCTGGCTTTACAAAGATGTGATTAAGATGTAGTAATACATGCTAAACCATTTCCCCCTGCAGAGCATGTGGTAACTTTCATCAGTCACATTGAGAGTCCAGAAGATAAAGGAAAAGGTCGTGGATTTCGCTGAGAACTTGCCAGAGTTGAACTCCCTCATTTTCCGTTCCCCAGCATTAGCGGGTTCTGGGACTGGTGGCTGTGGTGGCTCGTTGGTCTTTGTGTCCTAGAAGGTGGGGAATAATCATCATCTTGAAAAAGAAAAAATGGTCATTACTGAAGGAACCATCTTAGTTTACAGCCACCTCTGGGTCAATTCCCAACATTCAAAAGCTGAGCAGGGCTTTAAAGCTATCTTAATAATTATTTCTGTATTGCAAACTTCAGCAATCTTTTTTCTAGTTACATTTGAAATGTTATTCTTTTGGGATGTGCTCAAGTGAATACTGCTTTTTCCTCTGTCTTGCTTCATTACTTTTTAGTTTGCTTCAATTGAAGCATCA
This sequence comes from Homo sapiens, assembly GCF_000001405.40. Taxonomy (NCBI): domain Eukaryota; kingdom Metazoa; phylum Chordata; class Mammalia; order Primates; family Hominidae; genus Homo; species Homo sapiens. The sequence goes on from NC_000004.12 coordinate 119,450,403, forward strand.
TTGTAAGTCTCCCCTTCTCCTCAAATAACTTTAAATTGCTGCCAAGAACTATGTTCTATTTTAAGGCTTTTGAGAAAAAATTTTCAATGAAGATAGCCACCTAAAGTTATACAAATATAGAAGAAACGGGATAAAATAAAGCTTAGATTGGAAAAAATATTTAAGATTATACAAAATTCAAGCATAAACAAGGGAAACTGAGTAATTGTATATTCAAATACTTTTAACAAGTGCAAAACATGTAGGCTTAAAGAAATAGAGCTGGCCAGGCATGGTGGTTCACGCCTGTAATTCCAACACTTTGGGAGGCCGAGGCAGGCAGATAACTTGAGGTCAGGAATTCGAGACCAGCCTGGCCAATATAGTGAAACCCCCTCTCTACTAAAAATACAAAAATTAGGCCAGGAGCAATGGCTCATGCCTGTGATCCCAGCACTTTAAGAGGCTGAGGAAGGTAGATCACCTGAGGTCAGGAGTTTGAGACCAGCCTAACCAACATAGAGAAACCCCGTCTCTACTAAAAATACAACATTAGCCGGGTGTGGTGGCACATGCCTGTAATCCCAGCTACTCGGGAGGCTGAGAAAGGAGAATCCCTTGAACCCGAAAGGCAAAGATTGTGGTGAGCCGAGATTGTGCCATTGCACTCCAGCCTGGGCAACAACAGCGAAACTCCATCTCAAAACAAAAAAAGAAAAAATTAGCCAGGTGTGGTGGCACATGCCTGTAATCCCAGCTACTTGGGAGGCTGAGGCAGGAGAATCGCTTGAACCCAGGAGGCTGAAGTTGAGGTGAGCCGAGACTGCACCATTGCACTCCAGCCTGGGTAACAGAGCAAGACCCTGTCTCAAAAAAAAAAAAAAAAAAAAGAGAAAGAAAGAAAGAGGGCTACATTATTTATGAAACAGATACTGTTAACTCAGTCACCAGAAAGCCTGTGTATAAATGAGCAGTGAGATATTCAAGCACAGCACACACACACTTCTCAAGACAGCTGTCGTGAGAGTTCCAAGCTCGTTTCCTTCTGGATACATCAGCAACTCACTCTGCTATGATCCTGCAATACATCTCATGTTAGAATTAGACACATCTGGGCCAGGCACAGTGGCTGATGCCTGTAATCCTAACACTTTGGGAAGCTGAGGCAGGCAGATCACCTAAGGTCAAGAGTTCAAGACCAGCCTGGCCAACATGGTGAAACGCTGTCTCTACCAAAAATACAAAAAATTAGCTGGGCATGGTGGCGTGCCCCTGTAATCCCAGCTACTCGGGAGCCTGAGGCAGGAGAATCGCTTGAACCCGGGAGGTGGAGGCTGCAGTGAGCCGAGATCATGCCACTGCACTCCGGCATGGGGGACAGAGCAAGGCTCTGTCAAAAAAAAAAAAAAAAAAAAAAAGAAAAAAAAAAAAAACAGAAACAGAAAAAGAAAAAAGAATTAGAAACATCTGAATCAAATTAGCTGCCAGTCTCGCAAAGTGTCGGGTAACATCCTATTAAGATTGCTGCTTACACATCATCTATAAAATACTGAAAATATCATTTTAAGAAATCTTTTTTTTATTTTGAGACAGAGTTTTGCACTTGTTGCCCAGGCTGGAGTGCAATGGTGCGATATCAGCTGACTGCAACCTCTGCCCCCTGGGTTCAAGCAATTCTCCTTCCTCAGCCTCCTGAGTAGCTGGGATTACAGGCATGCGCCACCACGCCTGGCTAATTTTGTATTTTTAGTACAGACAGGGTTTCTCCATATTGGTCAGGCTGGTCTCGAACTCCTGACCTCAGGTGATCCACTGACCTTGGCCTCCCAAAGTGCTGGGATTACAGGTGTGAGCCACCATACCTAGCCAAGAAACCCTTATTTGAAAACAAGCCAGGCGCAGTGGCTCATGCCTATAATCCCAGCACTTTGGGAAGCCAAGGCGGGTGGATCACTTGACGTCAGTAGTTTGAGACCAGCCTGGGCAACATGTTATAACCCCATCTCTACTAAAAATATATTTAAAAAATTAGCTGGGTGTGGTGGTGGGCACCTGTAATCCCGGGTTCTCAGGAGGCTGAGGCAGGAGAATCACTTGAACCTGGGAAGTGGAGGTTGCAGTGAGTGGAGATCATGCCACTGCACTCCAGCCTGGGTGACAATAGAAAGACTCCATCTCAAAAACAAAACAAAACAAAACAAAAAACCACTAAAAAAAGACTCCATTTCAAAAACAAAACTAAAACCAAAAACACAACACAAATGTAGTATACAAATGAAAATAATTACTGTGTTAAACACAGTTTCATAGAAAATAAAAGACCAATCAAATACAATAAGCTGCCTTTTTAGATGGGTATGTTATTCTTCTTTTACAGCTAAAGAAACCGGCTCAGAGAATGTTATTTGATTGGACCGTGTTGCATCTCTGGACAGTGCAGCTGAGATCAGACTTTGTGTGTAACTCCACTAGCCTACCAGGGTGCCTCTCATAAAGGTAAGAAATGTAAATTTGGCCTAATATAAAAAGTTGCCAGGGCAGCACTGGGTCAATTCTACATACAGTACTTCTATGTTCATCAAGGGAAACCTTAAGGGAAAGTGAAAATGCTTCTAGAAGGTGACTGGACACCAGCGCCTTTGCTTGTTGCCTTTGGGCTCTTCTTCTAAGGCCAACAGTGACCTGAAATTATTGACTGACTTTTCCAATCAAGTGGACAAAATGGTACCAAGGTCGCCAACATCAGACAAATTCACTTGAGGGCCTTATCTATGTGCCTTGAAAGACAAAACTGCTTTTGTAAAGGATACTGTATTTCAGAAAAACATAATCATATTAACAACTAATAAGACTGTAAAATGCTGATGTGTTGAATGCTACTTTAGAAAAACATGCTCAAATCTAGGGAAAAAATTTGATACAAAACTACGTATCAATTATCTAGCTAGCTAGCTAGCTATCTAGAGACATGCTTTCACTCTATTGCTCAGGATGGGAAGCAGTGGGATTATCATAGCTCACTGCAGCCTTGAGCTCCTGGCCTCAAGTGATCCTCCTGCCTCAGCCTCCTAACTAGCTAGGGCCACAGGTGGACACAGTTACTCCTGCGTTTTTGTTTGTTTGTTTTGTAGAGACAGGGTTTCACTACATTGCCCAGGCTGGTGTCAAAACTTTGGAGTCTCGCTATGTCGCCCAGGCTGGGGTGCAGTGGTGCGATCTCCGCCCAATGCAACCTCCGCCCCCCGGGTTCAAGTAATTCTCTTTTATCAGCCTCCCAAGTAGCTGGGACTACAGGCATGCGCCACCACGCCTGGCTAATTTTTGTATTTTTTGTAGAGACTGGGTTTCACCATGGCCAGGCTGGTCTCCAACTCCTGACCTCAGGTGATCCACCCGCCTCGGCCTCCCGAAGTGTTGGGATTACAGGTGTCAGCCACTGAGCCTGGCGGAGCACTTTCTTATGTTATTAAGTAGCCTAACCCAGGTGGGGCGCTGTCCCTCACGCCTGTAATCCCGACAACTCTGATGGCCAAGGTGAGAAGATCGCTTCAACTCAGGAGTTCGAAACTGACCCGGGCAACATAGCGAGGCCCCCCCCCCACCCCATCTCTAGAAAAAAAAAATACAAAAATTAGGCCAGGTGCACACCGCGCCCGGCTAATTTTTGTATCTTTTGTAGAGACGGGGTTTCGTCATGTTGCCCAGGCTGGTCTCGAACTCCTGAGCCCAAGCCATCCATCCTCCCGCCTCGGCCTCCCAAAGTGCTGGGATTACAGTAGGGCCCAGCCAGCCTCATGTTTTATTTAGCAGTCCCTCCCTGTTGCACACTTGGATAGTTTTTTAATTTTTTTACACAGGGTTTACCTCAATCTCGCAGGCTGGAATGCTGTGATGGGATCATAGCTCACTGGAGCCTTGAACCGTTGGGTTCATACTTGAGGGCTGGGGGGCTGAGCCCCCCTCAGCTGGGGGGAGCTGAGGTAGGACTACAGAGATGGGGTTGCGCCATGTTGCTAGGCTGCTCTTGGCCTGAAGGGTCCTCCCGCCTCGGCGGCGCCAGACATAGTTTTCTATTTTTGACCAACATAAACACTGTGCTGGGTCTGAATTTTTCAGCTACCCTTCTTCGGCTGGCAACACACAGGACCTGGCGGGGAGGTCGCTCTTACCAGTCCCCACTCTGACGAGAAGACTGCCCAGCTCCAGGCACCGTAGGGCCCCAGTGACGTAGCCGAACACCCACGCCTCTGACGTCGCCAGAGGCCCACCTCTATGGTGTCGGCGAAGGCGCGCCATTGTGACGTCACGGAAGGCGCGCTCTTGTGACGCCACGGAAGGCGCGCTCTTGCGGCGTCACGGAAGGCGCGCTCTTGTGAGGTCGCAGGGGACCGCCACTCACGCGGAGCCAATCGGAACTCGCGGCGGGGCTGCTGGGTCTTCCAGGAGCGCGCTTGAGCGGACGCTGCCTACCGGTGGCCGGGCGGGATGTAACCCGCTGCTGAGCTGGCAGCTCTGTGTCGCTAGGCTTCGGCCCGGCCGCCGCCGCACATAAGCTGCGAGGAGGAGCTTTACGACTTCCCGGTCTTCGGGGCCGGGCGCAGCAAGGGCCAGACTCTGCGCTAGCAGGCGCTGCGCGCCAACCGGCCGGCACCTGTCGCAGAAGGTGCAACCGATCGCACTGTCGCGCCGAAGCTCCTCAATGGCCAGCGCCAGCTGCAGCCCCGGCCGCCCACTCGCCTCACCTGAGCCTGGGTACGTGCGCCCCACAACACCTCCCCCAGGCAGGGCCCGGGGACCCCCGGGAGCGTCCCCGGCTACCTGGCGCCGCTCATCCTGGGTAGGGTTGGCCCCCTCTGAGGCTGCCCGGCATGAGGGAGCTGCACCCCTGAGCTTGACCTCTGACGGCCCTTTGTAATAGCATTAAGTCTTTGAAACTTTGTAGCGGGGTAGAAGGGGCTAGGAAACGAAGAAAACATCTTTTTAAAAATATAAGCGGTCGGCTGGGCGAGGTGGCCCACGCCTGTAATCCCAGCACTTTGGGAGGTCGAGGCGGGTGGATCACGAGGACAGGAGTTCAAGACCAGCCTGGCCAGCATGGTTTCACTGAAACCCCGTCTCTACTAAAAACACAAAAATTAGTCGGGCGTGGTGGCGGGTGCCTGTAATCCCAGCTACTCGGGAGGCTGAGGCAGAGAATTGTTTGAACCCGGGATGCGGAGGTTGCAGTGAGCGGAGATCGCGCCACTGCACTCCAGCCTGGGCAACAGACCAAGACTCCGTCTAAACAAACAAATATATGTGTGTATATATATGCGATCGAGCCCGGGAGGTTGAGATTACAGTGAGCTGAGATTATATAAGCGATCAAGCACTGGAGGTTGAGGTTACAGTGAGCTGAGATTGCGCCATTGCACTCCAGCCCGTGTAACAGAGGGAGACTCTGTCTCTAAAAAATTATATGCAAGTGAGCGCTTTTCTTCCAGCGCTCATGCTCAGACTGAAGAAAGTAATTGGGCCAGGCCTGGTGGCTCACGCCCATAATCCCAGCATTTTGGGGAGGCGGAGGCGGAGGCGGAAGCGGGTGGGTCGCTTGAGCTCAGGAATTCCAGACTAGTTTGGGCAACATGGTGGAACCCTGTCTCTACAAAAATACAAAAAATTAGCTGGGCATGGTGGCACGCACTTGTAGTCTCCGCTACTTGCCGGGCTTAGGCGGGAGGATCGCTCGGCTGCAGCCTCGACCTCCTGGGGCAATCCATTTCAGCCTCCCAAAGTGCTGAGATTACAGGAATGAGCCATCGTGCCTGGCTTTGCACTATATTTTAATACTTTTTTTGAAAATGGAAACTTTTACAGGCAATTTACTTCAAACTAATGATAAGGAAGTGATGCTGTTCTGTTCTGTTTTGTTGTTTTTGTGTTTTTTTTTTTTTCTTTTTTGAGATGGGGTCTTGCCCAGGTTGGAGTGAGGTGGTGCAAACAAGGCTCACTGCAGCCTTGACCTTCTGGCTCAAGGAATCCTTCCCCGTCAGCGTCCCCGGTAGCTAGGACTACAGGTGCATGCTACCACGCTTGGCTAATTCTTTTTTTGAAATGGAGTCTCACTCTGTCTCCCAGGAGTGCAGTGGTGCAATCTCGGCTCACTGCAGGCTGGTCTCAACCTCTGACTTCGGATGGTCCACCCACTTCTGCATCCCAAAGTGCTGGGATTACAAGTGTGACCCACCGCGCCTGGCGATTTTGCTCATTTTAGATACTAGAACTTTTTAATTTAAAATTTTTTTTTTCCTGAGATGGAGTCTTTGTCTCCAGGCTGGAGTGTAGTGGCGTAATCTCGGCTCACTGCAACCTCCGCCTCCTGAGTTCAAGCGATTCTCCTGCCTCAGCCTGCCAGAGTTGCTGGGACTACAGGTGCGCACCACCACACCCAGGAGTTCAAGGCTGCAGTGAGCCATGATCGTACCACTGCACTCCAGCCTGGGCAACACAGCGAGACCCTGACTCCACAAATAAATAAATCAACATCATATGATCTGTACCAGGGTATAGGCAGGTGCTATGATCCCCACTTTTCATCCTCAACTCTAAGTTGAGTCATACATCAACCTCTAGTAAAAAGTGGCATGCTCTCAGTCAAAGGGGTAAGCCCAAACCACGTGGAGAGAATCTTATCTCTTTTGAGAGCTAATATAAAAAGAATTCCTCCTAGGCATAAAAATATTGTGACATCAGTTACTTAGGCTAAACATGCCTATTATGCTAAGTGAGTTATTAACAATAAATACTTTAACTCTGTGCCATGTTACTTATCATAATCTGATTTATAATTTGTTTTAACCTTAGGTTATATATACCTTGAAGCCATTTATATTTTGGTATACTTGTAATAATTACTATACACTGGACTATGTATATTGGACTAAACACGGAGAGTCAAAAAAGAGTATGTGGTCAGAGTAGAAATCATGCCCTAGCTTCCTTCGTGTCTACCTCCTACCTTGAGTAGAAGTGGTAGAAAAAGTAATTACCTAAGATTTTTTGGATTCTGGTTTGTGGAGAAGCACCCTTATATTTAGGCTGATGGGCGGCAAAATTAGAAAGTATTTTTTGTGATTTAGACTTTTATACAGAGATGTTCATTGTGATTAATCTTTGTATTAGCAGATTTTTGCTTTTTATAGCTGCATGATTTCTTGTTTATTATTCATTCATTATTGTCTATTAATAAAGAAAAACTTTATTTCACTGAAGCAGTGATATATAATCCAACTTGGATTTTTAAATAATGACTGACTTTTTTCTTTGGGAATACATTACTGTTAAAAATGTAATTATTAGATACATTACTTTTAATGAATATAAGTGGTATAATTAGAAGGCTGAAAAGAATCCTTGGAAACGTGAGTTTAATTTGATAGCTAAGAAACTGAGGACAAGATACTTATTCTTTGTAGCATATTTTCTAATGTCATTTCATTGTCTCACCAAGAAATACTTGCATAAAGCAAGTTCAATTACAGCATCTGTTGAATATTTAAGGTTGGGTAAAGTGGGTGAGTTTAACAGATATTTTCCCTTATTTCTTTTAGGCGAATCTGGATTGGGAAAGTTGACATTAATCAACTCATTATTCCTCCCAGATTTGTATTCTCCAGAGTATCCGGGTCCTTCTCAGAGAATTAAAAAGCCTGTACAGGTCTAGATATTGGTATTTTTAATTGATGATAAGCTGGAATAATATTAATACACACAAAGCACGTGTTGTAACTTTTATTATGCTTCCTTAGAGGTAAGATGCAAATTTGCCCTCAGCCAGTGTAAGATGGTAAATATGACTTCATAAAATTAAAAAAACAGAAGAAGTACAGTTAATCGAATTATCTTGACTAGAACTTTCCAAATTTGTCCTAAGGATTCTCCTAGAGATGACACTGTGACATAGTAACCAATTCCCCTGGAGTTGTGCTATGTAGTATGATAGTCATTTGCCACATGTTTAAATCAATTAAAATTAATTAAATTAAAATGCAATTTCTCATTTGCTCCAGATATATTTCAAGTGCTCAACAGCCATATGTGGCAAGTGGCTGCCATTTTGTGCAGCACATATATGAAGATTTTCATCATTGTAGAAAATTGCATTGGACAGTGGAGAGAAAACATGATTCATAGAAAAACTATTGTTATTTAAATACAGTGTTCTATATTAGTCAGTGGGATAATACCATATCATAGTTGAATGGCAATAGCAATTCTGTAAGACTCCCAAGCTATATGTGATCTAATTTACTGCTTCTCAGTCTTTGCTATGCATTCCAATCCTGGGTATCCTGTTAAATTTATTTCTTCTAGTAGTTCTGAGATGGGCTGCCTTTCTACATTTCTAACAAGATCCCAGGTGATGCTGATGCTGCTGGATGGTAGATCACACTTTATAAAGCAAGGGGCTAGACTCTAGATATGCACTTTTTATTAAATAGTACAGCAGCCTGTAGCCACATGTGGCTATTAATCTTTGAAATGTGGGTAGTCTGAATTGTGATGTTCTGCAAATATAAAATATGCCACAGATTTCTAAGACTGAGCATGGAAAAGAAAATCTCCGTAATTTTTTATATTGATCGTATACTGCAGTGATAATATTTTGGATGTATCGGGTTAAATAAAATTGACTGATTTCACCTTTTTCCTATTTTAAAAGTGGCTACTAAGAAAATTTTAAATTACTTACATGACCGACATGGTATTTTTATTTGGCAGCGCTGCTCTAAGCTGTTGATGAAAAATATTGTTGGTGAGCTCTGCTTAGGTAATATATAGGACACGAGCAGAGAGGAGGCACGTGAACAGTTCTGGCTGGAGTAGGCTTCATTGAGGCCATGATGCTTTTAGCTGGATTTGAAGAAGTGGTAGTGATCATCCCAGTGCACAGGATAGGAGGACAGTCTATATATTCTGAGCAGTAACTCATATATATCATACTGCAAGACCCCAAAGGAGTAATTTTGTGAAGTAAATCTTATTTCTCCTTTTTAATGTTTCTATTTTAGGAATTTTTTTTTTTTTTTTTTTTTTTTTAGTAACCTTCAGAGGGCTTGAGATTTCAAATTACCTGCAAAATTCTACTCTAAAAACTTGATCCTACATGCTTATTTATTTTGTGATAAATATTGGAAATTTTAAACCTAAGCAAGAAAATGAACTTTGAACTTTCTTAATTTGGGTATCTATTATGAATACCTTCACTTAAGTATTTATGAATTTAGATATGAAAGGTAAAACTAACCACTGTCCAAATTAATATACAGTTCATTTCCAGAACCCTAGTTTCTTCCATGTGCTCACTCGCATTCAGTATTACAACCCCCAAAGATAAACACCTTACTGACTGCCTTCTCCATAAATTTGCCTGTTCTTGAACGTTATATACGTATACTTTTTTGTATCTGTTTTCTTTCAGTGAAGATTATGTCTGTATTATTTACTCATGTTGGGTGTAGTTGTTTTTTTCATCGTCGTATAATACTCCATTGTGTGAATGTATCAGTATATCCTTTATTATTTATTGTAGATAAGCCTTTGGGTTTTCAGTTTTTTACTAACGGGAACATTCTTGTGCATGTCTTAGTAGACTTAGGCACTCATTGCTGTTGTGTGTGCATAAAGATATAAAGGTATTTGAGTTTATTTTATTTGATTTCTAGTGAGGTTGAACATGTCTTTTGTACTCAATAACTTCAGATTTCATTAAAGTCTTTTGGTAATCTTAATATTTTCTGTCATTTTCTTGCTGATTTATAGGAGCTTGAAAAATCACATTTGAGAAGAGGATTGGATCCTAGCCATAACATAAATATAAGGGTAATTACATCCATGCTGAGAAAGATTTAGGAATGATAGTAAGTTCATTTGAGTGAGTGGTTTGGGCCAAACTTGATAGAGAATAGTCTAGGAAGACATTTACTATAAACGGTAGATTAAATGTTCTTGCCTGATGAATTACATTTGAACTCTGAATGACTGAATCACTCAAACTGCTTATTTGTATTATTAAATGCACATTTAAGTTATGTATTACATGTCTTTAGTGGTGATCACTATTTTATCAGTTCCTCTGTCTTTCTTTATACCAAGTATGACTCATAAACCCAGTATTAATTTGCCAAGAGATTGGCATACTATTTGTATATATGCTTTTCTTTCAAATAATCTGGATTTCCAATGCCCACAATCATTGATCCTAAAGAAAATGTGGGAGTAGGTAAACTCAAACATCCCTACCATCACCCCTGGTAGGAAATCACTGGTGTAATGTATGATATTAACATCTGCACCAATTACTGTTATAGGTGGAACCAAAGTTTTAATCAAAGAAGGTGGTGTTCAGTTGCTGCTTACAATAGTTGATACCCCAGGATTTGGAGATGCAGTGGATAACAGTAATTGGTAAGAAGGATTTGTCCTCACAACTTTCCAGTGTATTTGGGGTATTGGGGTGGTTAAACTTTCTCTTCTTAACATTTTAAAACTCTTCTTAGCAAAGGTCACCAAACTTCAAGTAACATGACAGGTTTGTATACCAACTTTGCCACTTATTTGACAAAGTTTAACTTCAAAGTTAAACAAAGAAGTTTAACTTCTTTGAACCCATTTACTTTTCGATAAAATGGAGATAATACCTATCATAAAATTGTTTTTAAGACATATTCCAAAATAACGTAGCTAGATAGAAGAATTCTCATTATTGTAAGAAATTTAAAACTGTTTGCTTTAATTTTATCCATTTGTATAAATTCTATCTCAATCCTAATTTAAACCTGATATTTAGACCTTCAGTTTTTCCATAAGTCCTAAGTGAAGAAAACAACTATGAAATTTTAGTCTGAAGTAATTATCTTAGTATTTTATAAATAACTTTTATTTTTGTTTGAATTCACATTGTTTTTGAGGTATTTTTCTGTCAACTCTTAAAACTCCTAAGTTCATCATGAAGTTTTTATATTATTTAAAGTAATCTCTCATTTGAAATTTGAAACTGAATATAATTGTTTTCATATTATGAAGTGTGTTATTAATACACTTACTAGTGCCAATAATATGCTAATAATTTCAGCAATAAATATTTTCTTTCATTTGGAAAGTTTTGAAATAATGAATAAAGATTTATTCAACATAATTTATATTTTTGAATCTTTATATAGAATAACTTGACATATCTTCCCTTGGTAAATTCATTTTGCTTATTTGAAAATATTGATTATTGTCCTTTAACAGTCATCAGTTAATTCATATGTAGAATTGCAACTTAATTGTTTTGTTTATTTGCATTCTATAGCTGGCAGCCTGTTATCAATTACATTGATATTAAATTTGAGGACTACCTAAATGCAGAATCGCGAGTGAACAGATGTCAGATGCCTGGTAACAGGGTGCAGTGTTGTTTATACTTCATTGCTCCTTCAGGACATGGGTCAGTAACCTGATAGTTCTGATTCCTTTTTGTTGTTGTTGCTTACTGTTACCTTTATGTGCATATTTGAGTAATCTTTAAGTTTGTGAAGTACATACAACTATACCCATTATTAAGTACCAAATTTCATGTAGAAATGTCTTAGTTGAAAAGCCTTTTTAAGTCCTGTGTAAGCTAACAGTGATTTTACTCCTTAGTTCTTATTCATAAGGATTTTCCCTGCTTCATGGAAATAAACAGTGTTGCCACCATGGTTTGAGGTCTCAATGTGGCAAATTTAGCTTTCATGTTGAACTACCAAATAAAGAGAAGCAGCCAAACCAGTTAGACATATTCAAAATAAATCCAAAGATGCTATTTATTATAAGTCTCATAAGAGATGGTTATCAAAAGCACTTGCATGCCAATGTTTTCTTGTGCCATTTCTTTCTGCAAGAAATCTGTTTGGCTTCTGTTTCACCTTAGCTGTCATAGACATGTCGTTTAAGTATCATATTGTCAGTACTAACCTTTTGTTTATTAGGACATAAGACCTAAGAATCTAGACATTAATCTGATGTGATTGTTCTGTTTGTTATAGTTAGCCTGTACTCCCTTTTTTTGTTCTTTGTACTTCCCCTTTCATTTTGAGTACATATATGTGTCATTTGTAACTGCAGATTTTTCCAATTATTCTTCCTCAGTCTTTTCCTTTGGGTAAGTAACTCAGCATACATAATTCAGCCACCTGGTAATTGTAACGCCACCATCTCTCCACTAAAAGAACTGTAGTAGCATCAGGCTAAATAGCATTAAGTTATCTAACACATTACAGTAGAGTAAACCAATTCCTTCAGGTATACTTTTCTCTTCCATTTTTGGCTTCTCACTCTCTTTTTTTTGTTTGTTTTTATAGATGGGTCAATGCCCATTATCACTCTAGATGGATAAGGGAGCCTTAATTATATACTTATATTTTTGCACTGTCAGATTGGAGTGGGGTAAAAATGTTTCTTCTTTTATGTCTAATACTCTTTTTTTTTTTTTTTTTTTGCTGTGCCGTAGACCATTACATAACTGAAGACTCCCACCTTCAGGCAGGATTGGGTAGTACGTGTTTGTAACTACCTGGCATTGCCTTTTGTTGAGGTAATTTCAGTTTTTATTATTATTAGTAGTAGTAGTATACTTTAAGTTCTACGGTATATCTTCACAATGTGCAGGTTTGTTACATATGTATACATGTGCCATGTTTGTTTGCTGCACCCATTAACTGGTCATTTACATTAGGTATTTCTCCTAATACTATCCCTCCTCCATCCCCCACCCCACGACAGGCCCTAGTGTATGATATTTCCCGCCCTGTGTCCAGGTGTTCTCATTGTTCAATTCCCACCTATGAGTGAGAAACACCTATGCGGTGTTTGGGTTTCTGTCCTTGCGATAGTTTGCTCAGAATGATGGTTTCCAGCTTCATCCATGTCCCTGCAAAGGACATGAACTCATCCTTTTTTATGGCTGCATAGTATTCCATGGTGTATATGTGCCACATTTTCTTAATCCAGTCTATCATTTTATGGTGTTCTCAGTTTACATATTTAAATCACTAAACTGACTATTTGACTTAAAAGGCTCAAAAAAAGTCATCTCAAAAATACAACACACTGCATAACCTTTTATAAGTATTTGTGTAGCTTCTTGAATTTATATTTTTAAATCATTCTCATTTAACTTGTCAGGGCCTTTTCCTGAAAGCCAGCAGAGTGAAATCTTAACCTGCAGTTAAGCCAATAAAATTTGTCAGCTTATAACCAATTTTATTATTTTAGATTTTCTGGACTCTCTCCAACTATAGTAATTCTCATGAAATCACATTCCTGCCATCCCCTTGGGGAAAATTTTATTTCTTAAAATTGCATGGGAAATGAGAGCTTTTTTAAAAGAAAAAAATTTTTATATTCAAATGAGATGTAGTGGCTTTGTGCCATTTCTTATTTGTCACAAGGGGTAAGATGTTTAAAATTGCTATATCTTATATATAAAAATGTACCTTTGAATAATTTCTCAGTTTAACTATTTTTAGAAATGGAGCAAAGTTTTGCCCATTGGTACATGATATTGTGGATTAAGTGAAAGAATATGAGGCTGGGCGCGGTGGCTCACGCCTGTAATCCCAGCATTTTGAGAGGCTTAGGCAGGCGGATCACCTGAGGTCGAGAGTTCGAGACCAGCCTGACCAACATGGAGCAACCCCGTGTCTACTAAAAATACAAAATTAGCTGGCCGTGGTGGCGCATGCCTGTAATCCCAGCTAATAGGGAGGCTGAGTCAGGACAGTTGCTTGAATCTGGGAGGTGGAGGTTGCGGTGAGCCGAGATCACACCATTGCACTCCAGCCTGGGCAACAAGAGTGAAACTCCATCTCAAAAAAAAAAGAATATGACACAGAATTTTATGTATAGAGTTCCAGGTACCCTGCTCACTACGGACTGAAATTCTGTGCAGTCTAACAAATGAATCAGAGCCTTTCCATCTTGTCTGGGTAGTCCCTAGATTCCCTTTTTAGAGGGTTTTGTTTTTAGAGTGATTATAAATTCGTCCAACAGTGCACTTTCAGTGCCTTCTACCTCCCTCTACCAAGTATGAACTGCATGCATGGCTGATTTATGATTTCGGCTATTATCGCTTCATGTGCGTTGTTCACTATTTTGTAACTGTTATTAAAGTAAAATACTGACTTGGAACATGAATTTTAAAATGGTGTTTTATCCTTCTAGTATTGATTCCCAGTTTTAGAAAAATTGGTGTCATCCAGTGAGTTTTATACAGAAGGATTTTTTCCCTTAGAAATATATACATACATACAAAAAAAATTTGTCATTTTCCCTGTAGTTGTTTATTATGCTGTAGAATTTGAGGCTAAATAGTCTTTTCTCTCTACTGTGGGTTTACCTTCTAGAAATGATAAAGGATTTTCTATTGCTAAAAAACAAGATTTAAAAACTAAATTTGTTGATGAAAAGACTAGCCAATATAAATCTAAATGGACAGAGGGAAAAAATTCACCCAGAATGTAATACACATGTGAACTAAATGTTTTCTGTTGCTGACGTTTTGTAGGCTTCTGAAATTTAATGAGACTTTTACAAGGTTTACCTTTTTTCCTAAAGTTTAATTTTTAAACTGACTTAAATGTTTTTTGACCCTTTGGTTATATTTAAGAAGTTGACTTCTCTAATTTCCTTGTCATGTTTATTTTTAAATATCTTTCTCTTTAAAAGTTGGGATACTATAATAAATATTCAGCAAGTATTTTGCATTTAAATATAAAATCTTGTTATTTGGATTTTAATACTTTATATTAAATGCCTTTAAGATTTATTAAAATTTTAGATTAACTGAACTCTGCTTTTTTGTCACTGGATTAATAAGCAGGCTTGTATCTGACATAATAGCTTAATAAGGCAGTGACAATTTAAATTTGTCATGAGTATAAATTGAAAAATCATAATTTAGAAATCGGAGATTGAATATTTCATGGCATTTATATTTAGTGTTTTATATAATGATTAATGAAAAGAAGGAAAACTTAAATTTTTTTTCAAAGATGGATAGGTTCAGGCCAGATGCAGTGGCTTACTCCTCTAATCCCAGCACTTTGGGGACCAAGGCAGGAGGATTGCTTGAGGCCGTAGACTAGGCAACATAGTGAGATCCTGTCTCTACAAAAAATTAAAAAATTAATTGGGGCTGGGCGCAGTGGCTCATGCCTGTAATCCTAACACTTTGGGAGGCTGAGGCAGGTGGATCACCTGAAGTCAGGAGTTCAAGACCAGCCTGGCCAACATGGTAAAACCTCGTCTGCACTAAAAATACAAAAATTAGCCGGGTGTGGTGGTGGATGCCTGTAATCCCAGCTACTCGGGAGGCTGAGACAGGAGAATCACTTGAACCCGGGAGGCGGAGGTTGCAGTGAGCCAAGATTGTGCCACTGAACTGCAGACTGGGCAATAAGAGCGAAACTCAAAAAAAAAAAATTAGTTGGGCATGGGGGTGCACTCCTGTAGTCCTAGCTACTCAGGAGTCGAAGTGGAAGAATTGGAGGCTATGGTGAGCTATGACTAAGCCACTTCCTCAAATATAAGGAAGAATATAATCTGACTAAAGGATTGTCTTTAAATTTAAAAAACTTAGCCTTATGAAAACTTATTACATTGTCCTCATTTTGACATAGATCAGTAAAAAGTTCATTGAAGCCTGACATTTGCAGTCCGCTGGACCAGATGACCTTTAATGTTCTTTCTAAGATTCAATTGCTATGAATTTGGAACCTTGCTACAGGATACCCAGTATTCATTTGTTTGTCTGTTATAGTGCATTGGAGTGTATTCTTATTTTTGTTTAATTAAATGTACATTGGGCATCTCTCATATCACAGGTGAATCTCCCCAGTGATAGACAAAGACATTTAAAATATTTAGGAGTAATAATGGCCCACAAACGAGGTAATTGTGAAAGAAGACATGTGGATCAATGTGTGTTGAAGGAAGTGTTACATATAGGGACAACTTTGAGGTACATTTGGGGACTTAAGAAGTGAATTCTGGAAATAGGTAGCATTTATGTAGTAGTTTAAAAAATATCTGATGCTGGGA
This sequence comes from Homo sapiens, assembly GCF_000001405.40. Lineage (NCBI taxonomy): Eukaryota > Metazoa > Chordata > Mammalia > Primates > Hominidae > Homo > Homo sapiens. The sequence continues at coordinate 119,466,486 of NC_000004.12, forward strand.
AATCACTCCACCTACTCCCTGCAAAATGCCCCAAACCTTTTGTTTCTGATGTACATGGTAGGCATTCAGTAAGTTTAGTAAATGTACTTTTCTGAAGGTGACTGTAAGTTTACTCATCTATGGCTGTTACGGATTTACACTAGTAGTGCTTATGAAGACCACTGAACTTCTTTCTTAAGATCAGGCAGAAGGTTTTTTCAAGGTGATCCAGAGAAGGAAATTCACTTTATGTTGCATTTCTGTAGTGTTCTACCAAATCCAAATGCATTTACTCTTTATGATGAGGTAGTTTGAGTTTTTAATTTATATTTATTGAGTGCCTACTATGGCCAGATTTTGGGGATATCTCAGAAAACAAAGTTCCTTTTCCTATGATTGAAACTAATAGCAAACAAATATGTAATATTGTTAGTAGTATTACAGTAAACAAAAATGAAGCAGGATAAAAGGGTAGAGAATAATAAGAATAATAATTCAGATAGGGTCAGGGTGTCTTTGACGAGGTGATATTTTAGCACAATCCAGAGGGGGAATAGCATTCCAGCTAGAGAGAATAGTAAGCACAAAGGCATTCTTGAATTCTTCCCCTGATGAGATAATTGCTGCAGTGAGTGGGTCCGTAACTTTTTGTGTGTTACGCACTGTACTTTCTTACATTTTGGACTATTGGCATTTGCTAAAATATTCCTTTGACCAGTTCCATTCTCTGATTTTACCTTGAAAAACAAGCCCCTGCTTTTTATGATAGCTCTTTTTCTTGTTTTCCTTCTCTGATTTTTAGGTTGCTAAATGTGATTTGCATACTTTATCACTTAATCTCGCTTAGTCTTGTCAACAACCTTATAGTGGTAGGTGTCTTATTTATCAGATGAAGAAGTAGAGTTTAAGTTACTTTCTCAAGCTTATCAAGTATTAGAAAAACTGGGATTCTAATCTCTCTGTTGTATCACTTTTTTCTGTCTTGCATGACTTCTCTTCTATCACTGTTTGTGGGCAGTATTTCCTCACGGAAGTAGGCCTTGGCCAGTTCTTTTCAATCAACTGTTAATCTCTGAGCTCTAGCTCCATCTATATCTTAAGTCTGGGCTCTAGGTCTGTGCTTTGGTGTGGAATTTTGAACTTCTCACATCTCTACTCTTAGCTCATGCCTCTAAACCCAATACATCCAAAACTGATGTTTGTTCACAAACTGACTTCATTTTATAACATTTCCACTTATTCAATGGGATAACCATTCTTCTGGTCCCTGCTAACCAAAACACTGGAATAGTCTTTGATTTCTCTCTCTTTCTTCATCCTCCACATCTTATCAGTTCCCAGGAACTGTGGTCTTGGTTTCAAGTGTCCATTCTGGTTGCTACTATTCTGATGAATGGATTTCATCACTTGATACCTGAACTTTTTCACTGGTCTTCTATTGAGCTCTATGTATTCTCTCCTCATCCTTCAGTCCCCACACTGTTTTAACCCTCCAACATCTTAGAGTCATGTGAAGTGACTTATCAAAACCAGAGACTCAGGCAGTCACAGCCCTTCATCATTTTATCTTATCCTATATATCCAAGATCATCATGTGCTTTTAAAACTCTCCCTTGTCCACAAGCCAGGATTCTCCAGCCTTTTCCTATGCTTCTCTTCTTCTCTCCCCGTTACAACAACTTGAAGTTCCTCCAAGGCCCCATTGGAGCCCCATCTCCTTCACCAAGTCTTTCCTCTTTACTCCAACTCATTCCAGCTCATCGTTGCATTCCTATGGTGTTTGCCACTGCACCTATGTACTGACTTGTGCCATTCCTTAGTGGTTTCCCACGTACCTTCCTGTTTAGATGGTAAATGGAGGAAGATCTCAGTTCAGGCTTCCTAATGTTTCTTACCCTTCTTAGTACATGGCATGCAGTGGGCATCTAGGCAGCACTTAAATACTTAATTTATTGGCTTTGGTCATTTTGAATATTGCTATTAACTTTGAATTGAATGTTGCAATTAAAAATGAAGGCCAATAAGATCCATAAAAATATATCTGCATATTCAATTTAGATCCTGAACTCAACAATTTTCTTCTAAACTTTGTTTATATTCATATAGTGCCTAGTGCCTATACAGCTCCCTGAGATAGGTAGGTGAGGTATTACTATCTTTGACTTTCATATTACATTTCACATCAGACATATTTGTGAAATAAATTTTATAAGTAGTCTGAAGCCCAGAGAGGCTAAGTGACTAATCCAGGGTCTCTTGGTTAGTATTTGGCATAGACAGAACTACAATTTTGGGCTTCTTTCTCATTCTGGTTCTCATCTAGTACCTTTTCATTTGAGTGCTGGAAAATGTATCCCAGTCAACTGAATTGTGGAGTCATATTGCCTCCCCCTTACCAACCAAGTGATGGCAATACTAGGAAGAGGGGCAAAAGAAAAGTCAGAAATATAAGTGATAAAATAAATGGAAATGTTTGAAATGGATCATCGACCTCCTTTTACCTATTTTAGCACCTCACAAATATCCCACTCTGACAGTGCTTTGTTAGTTATTTATAAAATATTCCTTAGGAGATTGGTCTTGCATAAGACATGCTTTTACCGTGGTCCTTTTCCCGGTAATAGTCACTGTCAGGGACAAAAAGTGCCTGATTGTGTTCTGTTTGTCATGTAGGTGGGAGGGAAAGAGGGAGAGAAAGCTGAGTTGAACTGAAGCAGAGCTTTTTACAGCTCTATTGTTCTACTGTCAGAGAGCAATTATACTCCAACTTCCATCCACCTCAGACATCCCAACCTCCTCCTCCTGCCAATGCTTCCCCACACACTTAACATACAGCCACACAACCGAGTTCTCTGGGGAGAATAGGGTGCTTTTAATACCTCCCTCTGCCCTTCAGTGAGTTCAGGGCTCTGCTTTTTAACTGCTAATGTATTTTAGTAAAGTTTGGCAATTCAAGCTTTTCTAGATGTTTCCTTTTCGGCTCTGGAAAATTGGAAAAAATAATTTTTAACTATATATATTTAAAATATTCAGTGGCATTATGATATTGTCTGAAAGGCATTCTGTGACTTGATGCAAGATCAGAAGTTTTTTTTCTTTCTTGGAGAAGTAATAAAAAGAAAAAAGAGATCGAAGTTTTTATCTCACAAGATACCTCATATTCAGTTCTACATACTGAAGACCTAATCCAAGTTCTTACATGTCTATAGGGCAAATGTTAACATTTTTAAAAAGCTATATTTATTTGGTAATATGAACATATGTTTGTAGATTAGTTAGTCTACTCTTTCCATACCTAATAAAAGTTTAAATTCCAGACATGTGAAGAAAATTTGCAGTGTGTCTCTTTGCCTTAGCTAACTGCAAAAATTGAAATCACAACCCTACCATAGACCCAAACGTGTTTCCAATTGAGAAAGTCTTCTACCTTCACAGCCTCTAAGTAATATAGTGGTTATTTGTTTGAAGGATGTGAGAGTATTTTGTTGAGAAACTGTAGAATGACATAACAAATTTTAGTTAAAATGTTAGTTATGGTTGACTCTGTACTTCTGATATCCTGGATTTGTATATGAGAGCAATGCTAGTAAGATGCCTGCTTCTGAATGCAAGTTTGGCTGGGAAGACAGCAGAGAAATAGAAGAAATATTATAAAGTAATGGAGAAACCTCAAAACAGTACAGCATGGATGTTGACTTTGAAAACAACAGCTGCTGACGTGAACTTGGCAGAAATTTGTGAGTAATAGTGGGTGACTCATTGCAAGCAGGGGAGTCTTGCAGCTTTTGAGGTGAACAGGCAAAGGGGAGAACAGTGATGGTGGCCACCCAAGGGCCAAGTGTTTATGTCCTAAATGTCAAAATGTCTTTGATCTCCTGTTAAACTTTGCAGCTGCATCATTCACATGAATAGTTGCATTTTTTTTTTTCTAAAAATGCAACATATTTTCTAAAGCATTTGTTTTTAATCTGGGATGATTCTGAGGTGGGAGGTAAGTTGGTGGCAGGACATACTACATGATTTTTGTTATTGTTATTATTTTTAAAAATCACGCATTGCTGGCTTTCCCCTATACTCCTGGAGATGCCATCATGTATGTATAGCTAATTCTAAAAAGGGCTTGTGTGACTCTTCATATGAGAAGGGGTGGTTATTTGTGGCTTGAAAAAATTGCTTGGGTGATTCTGATCTTTCTCTTTCACTCTGCTGAAAACCATTGTTTCAAAGCCAATAATAAATATCTAAAGAAGTTTTACTTCATTTCTGTGGTGTTCTCAGAATTGTTACAGTAGGTTTAAACCTTTGCCTGGTTTGGAAATCTTGACTATTTGAGGGAGACAGCCCTGTTAGAGTCTTTATTTTCTTCCTGTCTGAGAATTCAGTTATCATCAATAGTGTATTCTTAGGCAGAGTCAGAAAGTCACCTCATCTGAGAAGCCACCTGTGTCCACAGCTGGGAATTTGCAGAAGTCAGTCACTGAAGGAAGGCTTTAGGATATTTATGATAAAACATAGCAGTACACTGGGATCCAAACCCTGGGAAACCTCAACTATTTTAGAGTATGTGTTGATAACAATAGGCTATTGGATAATTGCCAGACTACTCGAGGAGTCTAAGAGTTGGATAAAGACTTAAAGGTGAAAGGAACTTGGAAAAATATCCTCTTCAGGTATTTTAAGGGAGGCAGTTCTCAGAATGAGAAGCTTTTCTGGAAAAGGTTAGCACTTTGCTTCAGAAGAGAAGCAGGGCAAAGGTGTAATTCTTCATTTAATGTAGTACAACCTAAAGGGTAAACCTTAACCTCTCACTTACACACATACCCGCACACTTACATTCTTTTGATCAGATTTGTATTTTAGAAGGCTTCATTTGTCGCCAAATGTGGGTGATACTTGAGGGACCCCTTGGAGGAGAAGGCTAATTAGATATTACTGTAACCTTGCTGAGAAATGACTGAAACTAAGATGGTAGAAGTGAGATTGGAGAAAAGAGAACCACAGAAATGTGGCAACACACTAGGTGGCTGTCAGAGATTTGATTAGCAAACAAGACAGTAGATGTCAGCTGTGTTAGATGGGTGTGTATCTCCCAAGAGCATCGGGGCACAGAATTCCCTTTTCAACTAGCTTATCTATATGGGATATCAACTATTGAAATACAGATAAAGTCCCCTAATGGCATCCTGTCCATCAGAGATTGAAATTTGCTTCAGTAAATGTGTCTATCCTTTTCAATAGGAATTTGCCTCTTAAGTCATCTCACATTTGTTTAAGTAGGATCACTCTCTTTAGTAACTTAAATTGACTTTTTAATATCTACGTTTATTCATTCATCCATCCTTTTCTACCCATAAGTCGAACAGGCACAATTTATGGAGTTTAAATGAAATAAAAATTGTTTTTCATCTTTATCTTTCACTAGGAGAAGTTTTATTCCTGGGCCTGCATTAAAAACCTAGGCAGCCCTATGATTTTTCTGGTCATTCAAGTAATAAATGTTTTATCAGAGCCTCTGAGTTGCACAACTCCAGGGGGCAACATTTGCATTGTAATCTTTATAAATGGAGTCTCCTGGAGCCCAGCTTCAATAGATTGTAATGGGATGGTGCCCCTATAGTTTTGCAACATAGTCCTTGTGGCCTAAGTTCACTTTAATATAAAAAAATCAGTCTTAATTCAGTATTTACTATATTTGTCTAATATATTCAAAATTAAGAGTTCTCCTCCCCAGCCCACTACCTAGCTGTAGGCAGGCCCCAAGACCTGGCTGTAGGCAGGCCAGCAGTCTTCAAGGAAGAATATGCCATAAACCTTCATGCTTAACCCCTCTAGGATTGGAGGGTAGGGTAAAGAGCAGAGAGTTAGGGGCCCTGCAACCACCCAGGCTCTCAGTCTAACTCTCCAAGTGTGGCAGTGCCTCAGTTTCAGTTGGCCACTCTCTGTGCCCTTCAATTTCTGTCTTGCAAGAGTATATCCCAAAGCCATTTATTTCTAGGTTGCCTCAGCCCTCACAGACTACACTCTTGGACAGAAAACCTCTTTAAATAACCCTAGGCTGATATTTCTACCTCTTGTTCTTCATCTAGTCCCTAGAATTCACATACTTTTGACCCACTATTAAAACAGCATACACTACCTTCCTGGTCTCCTACCTCTATCCTGCTGTCGTAGGCTGCTTTATCAGGCTCTGATAAGGGTCAGGCATTACCTTGTATGCCCCCAGTCAGGGCTGTGACTAGAGTGGAATTAGTAATACATGTCTTTTGAGTGCAAAATTTAAGAAAGTACCAGAAAACTCAGTAATTAAGATGAACATGTCTTTTTTTTTTTTTTTTTTTTGAGATGGAATCTTACTCTGTTTCCCAGGCTGAAGTGCAGTGGCACAGTCTCAGCTCACTGCAACCACCACCTCCTGGGTTCAAGCGATTCTCCTGCCTCAGCCTCCCAAGTAGCTAGGATTACAGGCACACCATGCCTAACTAATTTTTGTATTTGTAGTACAGACGGGATTTTGCCATGTTGGCCAGGCTGGTCTTGAACTTGCAACCTCAGGTGATCTGCCCACTTCGGCCTCCCAAAGTGCTGGGATCACAGGTGTGAGCCACTGTGCCTGGCCAAGATAAACATACCTTAAGAAAATTTTTAAAAATAATTATTAATATAAAAAACCATGATGAACAAGATACCAAAAATTTAAATACAAGATTGTGCAGGAAATACTTATGGAGTTCAGTGACTATCTTGAAATGTAGTACATACAACCATCATCACTGTTCCTTCACAGTACATTTATTTTTCCACTGAAATAATCCTCACAAAATTCTCTCAATTACCATAATCTTACATATCTATGTTGTGGGTATTAGAACTTAATATCAGTCACCATCCTTGAAATTTAGGCTCTCTGGTCCAACGTTTCACTTTGAAATGTATTTTGTATATTGTTGTATCAGTCAAAATTTCCAATTTAAATTATAGTTATCCATCCATCCATCCATCCATCCATCCATCTGTCCATTTATTTATTGGGTTTGTGTATGAAGGAGAAAAAATAGAATCTTCAAATGCTAATGATTAATCCATTTTAACGACTATAAAATGGAAATGTGTACAGTTACAAAGGCATACTAAGTTGGTCTGCCTCATCAAATAGGCCTGGGCAAAAATTGGTAGGTAAAATTAAAGGGAATCACAGTGCATTTTACTCTCATGATCTCTGTTAGAAATGTCCCACTAAACATGTTACGTTACCAACTCTTCTATTATGCCCTCATCTCTACCTCTATAGATTTAGCCTTTGTGAGCTATTCTGAAACAGCTTATTCCACAGCTTCTGGTCAATTTTTAGACAATGTAAATAGAGATCCACCTTCAGATATAGACTGGTGAGTCTGGTCTTGTTCAGAGAACAATTAAGGACCTTCAAGCTAGTGAATTGTCAATTCCTTTGTAAAAAGTGTTTTATTAACCTTCAGCTACCTTGGAGGTAGTTGTTGACAGAGCATTATATTAAAACTTGTATTAAAGAATACAGATATGCATTGTATTAGAGGCTTTAGGACTTTTTTCAAAACGAACCTTGAAAAACTTCTTCAATTTTTTTTTTTTAAAAGCTGTTCTATTAAAGGGATAATATAGTGAATAAATATTTGTTGTCTGTTTAACTTACCTTATGTAGAGCTATTGGCTCTAAGGATTTTGAAAGGACAACAATAATTCTCTAAAAATAATTCAGGCACCTTTGGCCATTTGTGTAACCAGGTACAAATTACCACGTTTCCCAGTTTCCCCCTTGAGTCCAACTGTAATGTATTGTTCTGTAAAGTATAGTCCAGTTGTCAGCTCTGTTTGCCTTGGTCAATTGAATGATCCTCCTCCTTAAGCTTAGCCTATAGTGCATTTGGCTTAATAAATGAAACTGTAACATGCCAGCCACACAATAGAGGATTTTATAGAACTGTTTCTGCTTGGAATACTATAATTGGAATTTGAGTTAACTATAATTAAAAAAGCTTTCATAGCCCATGGTATATGAACTCTGAAACCCCAAATACCAAAATCCTACTATATAAAAATGATCCACATACTAAAAAAAAAAAAAAAAAACCAGACACACAAATCGAGTTTAATTTCGTATCATGCTATTTTCCTAAAATATAGTTTCTAAAGTTATTGCAAATTAGTTCCTGCTGCTTGGTAAAATACCATATTTAAACTTAATTACAACTGCCTTCCTGCAATGAAGGGCCAACTTTTTCAAATAATGTGTTACAGCCCAGTGACTCTAGGGAGTCTATGGTCCCATTGCTGCAAATGAGCAGATCGGTGAAAACAAAAACATATTAAGAAGTCCACATTTCTAACAAACACCTTGCAAAGAATAAAATGGTAATTTAAGGAATATGTCCACTTAATATACATTTCATGTATATAGGACACATAATACAATAAATACCCTTTTTACTACCCCCAATTTAAGAAGTAGACTAGTATAATAGAAGGCATATCTCCTTGGTACTCAGTATTTCTAAAAGGCAGTAATGGCTGTCTCCTCTAAGCACCTGAGATGATATGCCTCTGTGCACTCTAGCCTTAGAAATATGCTTATCTCCTGCAGGCAGAGCATGCTGGAAGTGCCAGGGAGTTAAGGTTACCAGGAACAGCCCTCAACTAATAATGAGGAAAAGCTTGTGGATAAATATCCAAGCCCCCTGCCTTCAGGTAGGAACACTGATATTTTATTAGATTGGTGCAAAAATAATTGCGGTTATATAGTCTCAAAGAGGAAACAGTCTCCACGTGAAATCGAGCCCCAGTTGTCCACAGTAATAACCCGCTTATTAACTTAGCCTATATGGATTTACTTTCTTCTCATCTGTCTTCTCTGCTTTCGCAGGGAAATAAGTAGTTCACTAGTGTTTCCTGTGATAACCTCCTGAATAAACTACTTATGCTCAAATCCTTATGTTGGGGTTTTCTTCTGGAGGAATTGCCAAACTGTTGAAGTTCCCTGTGTTCATCCCCAATCTCAGCTCTGTCCGTCTCCCCACCAAGAGTTACTGTTTTGATTTTTTGTGTTTCTTGTTCCTTTCCTGTTTGTAATAATTATACTAATATATTAAAAATATTAGTAACTACACTGGTTTGCTATAATAAGGTATATCTTCCCCCAGAATATAAAGTCCTTGGAGACTTTCCCTAAAGAGTCTAGACCTTGACCATTATGCGCTTCCCAAGCTGTGGCTGCTGCATTTCACATTTTCTTTCAAAATTGGGCAAGGAATTACTAAAAGATGCTCCAGTAGATCATCTGGGTACCAAACATATTTCTTTCTGTACCCAGTGTAGAATAGCAACCCTACTTTTTTATGATGCTCTGGGTCAGTTACTCTTGCCAGGATAGTGACTTCTTTCCTTGGTCTCTCAGCACACAGACCCCAAAGTGACTGTGTAGCAGCCACAGCTTAAGTTTAATGGAATTTCTGCTGTGTCTGCTGAAGGAAGCATTTCCTTTAAAAAATAGGATTTCTAACTCACAGAGCCCAGAGTTGAGGGAGCGAGAAGTGATGGCAAAAGGACAATTTCTGCTGTTACCCTTTAGTTTCCAGATCCATGTATTTGGTCTGTTGAAGACAGACTACCATATAATGATTAGTAATAGGTGTATACTTCATCTTGGAGGATGCAGCCCTACCCTTGAAGTATATCAGCTCCAATCTTGTTCTTCAGCTGTCCCTTCAAAAGGCCAGCTTCTGGGCTATGTGGCAGGTTATAAATCCAGTGGATCTTATGATCATGTACCCAGGGGTGTACTGCTTTTGCTCTGAGTTCTTTGGTCTGATGTGATGTCACACAGGATTCCATAACAATGGATCAAACACTCTGTAGCCCCCAGATGCTGAGGCTTTGCCAGCAGGAAAGGCAAAACCATACCCTCAAAATGTGTCTGTTCCAGTCAAGCTTAATTGCAACCCCTTCTAGGGTAGGACAGGCTGAAAATAATCAACAGGCCAGAGATCTCCTCCAGGGATGATGTTATTAGGAGCTCATCGTTGGTCTCATTTGGACATTTGACAGAGGCAGCACTGTATCAGCTTGGAGTGGGAATCCACGGACCCATGCATAGCCTTCATCCCTCTATCATGACTGTTTATTCGTGTGACTTAGTTTTGTCCCAGACTGAAACTCTAACAGTCTAGATAAGAACCTGTCTTTCATAATATGAGTTGGATCCCTATTCCATACTACCCCTAGGCCTGCCTTGATGCATGTCTGGACTGATAAATTATTTTCTTTATTAATTTATTTATTGAGACAGGTTCTCACTCTGTCACCCAGGCTGAGTGCAGTGATCATGGCTCACTGCAATCTCTGCCTTCTAGGCTGAGGCAATACTCCACCTCAGTCCCAAGTAGCTGGAACTATAGGCACGTGCCACCATGCCAGCCTAATTTTTTATTTTTTGTAAAGACAGGGTCTTGTTCTGTTGCCCAGGCTGGTCTCAAACTCCTGGGCTCAAACAGTCCTCCCACTTCGGCCTCCCAAAGTGCTGAGATTACAAATGTGAGCCATCAGGCCTGGCCTTATTTCTTTAAATTTAATCTGCCTACAATTTTAAAAAATTATGCATTCTTGACAAAATTGTATTTAGGCATTTTTTTAAACAAATATTTATTTCTCCTTCATTAGCAAGATAAACACTGTTAATTTATAGCTTTTCCTATAAATTTCATTTCTCCTATTCTTTGGAATAATCCCACAATCATTAAGCCTTGTTTCTGACATGGAGAGATGAGGGCAGATTTTTTTTTTCCTTTTTTAGATTTGTTGTGTTAATTAAATCTTATGGTGCTATAACATGCAGTGGTTAAAAGGGTTGGAGAAATCACCTTGTTCAAATTATAGTAGAAAATTTATAGCTAATTGAATGACCTGAGGCCGGTTACTTGACCTCTTTGGCCTCCAGTTTTATCATATCTAAAGGACAATAATGTATATCTCAGAGGGTTTTTGCAGAGATTGAAAATGTATGAAATGCCTAACACAGTAGCATATACCTGGTTTGGTTATTTCTGGTTACAAAACCAAGCCTCACAGTGTGTAACCAAATGGGAATTCCATTTCTATTAGAGCATACTTTCATTTTGAGAGCCTTGATAGGCCAGGGGAGACAGGAAAGTCAAAGTTTTGAAATTTTCTTTCACCAGTGACTCCCATAGACTTGATTATGGTCAGAGTGTCATACAAATCTAGGCTATACACAGACATGTTTCCAAGCTAAAGTGATAAGATGTCTAAAAGAAATATTTCTTAGTCTGTGTTGAATTAATGCTGCAGAAGGTCATGGGTGAGTGAATTACTTTCAGAAGGGAGGAAGCAATAGCAATAGTGAGCAAACTGTGTATGAGGAGACCCTATGAAGCAAGGGCATTCTGTATTGAATATTGCAACTCAAGGACCAATTCAAGGTTCCTTCTTGGGAACTTTTATAGAGAGACACAGACCATAAAAGAAGGGTACAGAAATTAAGATGTTGAGAGAAACAATACTACCATGCCAGTTTACATGCAAAGAGCTACTTCTGTCTTTTGGTTCAGATGGGAACTATGGGAATGAAAGCTGCTAGTGTTTTGTGGAATCTTTTCCAGAATATTTTTATTGTTTTTCTCCTATGCTGATTATGAAATCAATATAGGCTTATCTCAGAAAAATCAGAATATGTAGAAAAGCAAAAACAACTCCAACAAAATCACAAAAAATTTTCTCCATTCAGAGATAGCCATTATTAGCAACTTGTCTATCCAATCATATCCTTTTTTTAATTAAAAAAGTTCTATATAATAGGATTTTGTAATCTGTTTTTTTCACTAAATACTGTCATCTCAATAGAGCTTATTTTTACATGATTTTGAAATATGCCTGCATGGTATTCTTCTATAGGAATGTATTGTAATTTATTTAATTAGTCCTCTAAGGGATGGGCATTTATATCATTTGAAACTTCCATTATTATAACTTTGTACAGGTTTTTTTTAATCCACATCTTTAATTATTTACTGATGAGAAACTCTTAGAGTTGATTTGTTGGAGAAATAGCCATGGTACAGTCAGCTCTCTCACAGATGAGGGTGAGTGTTCCTACCTCTAGGATGTGTCAGAACACCCTGGCTGCCTACAAGTGCTCTCCTCCTATTTCATTTCAGATTGTTTGCTCTGCCCTGGCATGCAATACCCTGGGTTAATGTTGCCTAGGAACTCTGCTCTGTAGGACTGGATTCTATCACCAAATTGTTTTGCAAATAGCTTATAAAAAGAAAGATAAAATTGTAGTTGACAAATACAAAGTGAGGTATTCTGTAATGGTTAAATAAACCCCCAATGGGGAATAATAGATACATATTCTAGGAAGAAAGGAGTTTGTTTCCACAAGGGATTAGTTTGGCTCACTTGAAAATGATTAAACAAACTTCACAGAAAATCATTCTCCTGATTTAGACCATCACAAATGAATGATTAACTGGCTGAACTATCACTGAGGTTATATATCAAGCTTGTATATATATCAACTCTGTTATGTATCAAGCTTGTTCAGGGCAAAGGAAAGAGCACTTAGAGGATTATACTGAAGCAAGCAGATTGCTCTCTGATTACCTCTGTAAAATCAGATTACCTCTGATTATACTGAAGCAAGCAGCAAGTGCTCTCTGATTACCTCTGTAAAAGGGTTCACCTTAGTCTTTTTTTCCCTCATGTAAGAGATAATGGAAGAACACTGATGCTGGACTTCTGTTTAACTGGGATGTATGGTGATAGTATAGAGAAAGGAGATTTCAATGGAAAAAGAGGAATAGACAACATAAAAAAGGGTAATTCATGAGAAAATTCCTGACTCAGCTGTCTTTGTTAGATGATAGAAGTGCATAACAGTTCTCTCTTAATACAGCATAATTAGTATGTATGGTTTGCACGCTAAGAAAGATGGCACAGGTGATGTCTACACTGTAATCTCCATTGATATCTGGGTAGCAACCCACAGCAAAAGACTTAAAGTGACTTTTCTCTCAGAGATGGCCAATTAGCATATGGGCCCTTTCTACTGTGAACACACAGTAGTTAGGAGAGTATGGACTTTGGAGCCACACCCAAGTTCGTATTCCAGCTATGCCTCTTACAAACTGTGTGATTTGGAGTAGTAACTAACCATCTCTGCCTTGTTTTCCTTTCTAAAAAATGGGTGTAAAATCACCTACCTAATGCAGTTATCATGAAGATCAAATGAGTTAATGTATGGAAAGGGGTGGCACATAGTTACTCCTCAGTAATGTTGGCCTCATTCCCTCTCCCTGCTTTCTGTAATGCAGAGAATTATCTTCTGGTAACTTCATTGAAAAGGCCTCTTTAGGCATGAAATCACCTGCCAGCTGTGCTGAGGACAGGCTTCACAGAGCTCCTGGAGGCTAATTAAGGTGCAGAGTTCAGAGCAGAAAGATGCTTCACTATACCTGTGGCAGGATGGCCACCAGGGCCTGTTCCCTGGCCAGAGTAAGCACTCTTTCCCTAGGGATTTGGAACAGCCCCATTCTCACCTGGTGTTTACCCCAGGTTTTGAAGAGATTCCAAACTAGAGCAGCAAGCAAAGTCTAGAGCTGACTGGGGAACCAGCCCTACCCTGGATATTGGCCTCTGATGAAAGCACCACTAAACCTCACCTTCTCTCCTAAATCTCTTCAGAAATGCTTACTCTCTGTGATAGACATGGAACAGATTGTTTTGCCTCAGGGATTTATTGATTGATTTTGCCAAAGTCTTTCCCAAGGCTCCTTTCAAAACTGGACTGATCCCTTGGTTCTGGGAATGAGTGGTGAACATCAGACCTCTGGAATGGTGGCTGGTCAATGTCTTTGCCCTCTCAAGTTGCTCTTGAATGTTGATTCAACTCATTAGGACATACTTGGATGATGAATTAGAAGGAGCATCTTTGCCCTCTACTTACAGATCCTAGGAACAATTTGTGGAATTATCAGTAAGCAATATCTGTAACAGATAAAATGTCTGCTTTCCCTTTGCCCCTCTTAGCCTATGACATGCCACATCCAATTTGTCTTCGTTCCAACTGTGAGAGGTCTTAATTTCATCATTCTGGCCTTTTGCAGTTAAATGTTCTCCAAGGATATGATCTATGGGGAGAGGACTGATAGTGGAACTAATCTTTCAAAGTTCTGCTTAAGCAATTGTAGATAACATAGGAGAAGAAACTCTGGAAACAATTATGATTATCCTAGTTCTGCCCCTGTGGAAATTCAATCCGAAACCCTTCATGTTTTTGCTTCTCTCTTCTCTACATGGATGGAATATGTTATACTTTTTTGAGCTGAAAAATCTAAATAATTAGAAAAAGACAAAGTTGTAATGAGTTTTCTGTTTAAACTTATAGGACCCTTTCTAATAAAAGTGTTATTGTAATCATTGAATCGTTAGTTAACTGCTTTGTATGGTTATGTCTTGTCTCTCTTTAATCCAGGGACTGCAAGCAACTAGGCAAAAAACTAACAAAAAAACCAATGTTTTATAAGAGTGGTTCTCAAACTTTAAAGTGCTGATTAAAGCACAGATTGCCCAGGCCTCACCCTCAGTAGATGGGTATGGGGCCCAAGAACTTTCAACAGGAGATGCTGCTGCTGCAGCTTGTCTAAGAACTACACTTGGAAAATTACTAATTTGTGTAATAAATACCTGACCATTTGGAATCCTTAGAGGATGGAAATATTTTGTAATGCTGTGTGCAAGATTTGATATAGAAAAACTTGGGTTCAAGTGGCAATTCAGCAGATTACAAGAGGTGAAACAACTGAGTTTCTGAGACTCAGTTTTATTATCTGAAAGTCAGGAATGAAAATAATGCCTATGTGGCAGAACTGCTATAAAGATCAGACAAGGTCGTGTATGGGAAAGGCCTTGGTAAATGGAAAAGCACAATCTAAGTGTAACTTATTCTAGATGTGTTTTCAATAGGCAAGTTTTATATACCTAAGACTAAAAGCTTGCATTTTAATCCCTGGGATTGAAATCTTTCACCATCATCACCATGATGGTAATAACAACAATAACAATACTAGTGCACTATTTATTGTATTTTCTGCAATGGGCACTTAATATGTTTTGATTATATATTTCAAAAACCTCATAAAATCTATTTTATCATGTATATTATTTGCTTACCTAAGAGTGTACTGGACAGAATTTAAATTTTTCTTGAGGGCTTAGGGCAGTGCAGTTCTTAGGGTGTGTGATGTCTCTGTCTATATAGATGATTTGATTTAAAAATGTGTTATATGTGATACATTTATAACGGAATATTTTTTGCTAAAAAGAAATGAGCTACCAAGCTATAAAAAGATATAGAGGAACCTTGGATGCATTTTTCTAAGTTAAAGAAGCCAATCTGAAAAGGCTATAAAACTGTATGATTTCCACCATATGACACTCTGGAAAAGGCAAAACTATGGAGATATTAAAAAGATCAGTGGTTGTCAGGGGTTAAAGGGGAGGAAGGGATAAATAGGCAGAGCACAGATGTTTAGGGCAGTGAATTATTCTGTATGATTCATATTGGTGGATCCATGGTCATTATACATTTGTCAAAACTCATAGAGTGTGCAACATCAAGAGTGAACTCTAATGTAAACTATGGACTATGGGTGATAATGATGTGTCAACATAGGTACATTAATTATAACAAATATACCACTCTGGTGCCCAGTGTTAATACTGGGGGAACTGATGTGTGTAGAGGACAATGGTATATGGGAACTTTCTGTAATTTTGGGAACTGAAAACTGCTCTTAAAAGAATAAAGTGTATTAAAAAGGATCACACCAAAAAATGAATTGCAAAATTCATGACCTCATGTGAAAGATAGTGACTGTGGTAGATAGAATAATGGCCCCTAAAGATGACCACATCCTAGTCCTTGGAACCTGTGAATCTGCTACTTTACTTGGTAAAAGGGGCTCTACAGATATGATTAAGTTAAGGATTTTGAGATGGGAAGGTCATCCTGGATTATCTGAGTGGGTGCAGTGTAATCACAAGGGTCCTTTAAAGATGGAGGCAGACTGTCAGAGGAATTGGCACAAAAGCAGAGGTCACACACACACACGGGGGGATAGAGAGAGAGAGAGAGAGAGAGGAAGATGTTACACTGCTGGCTTTAAAGATGGAGGAAGTGGCTATTAAGTCAAGCAAGGCATGCAACCTCAAAAGCTCCAAAAAACAAGGAAATGACCTTCAGAAGGAATTCAACCTTATATTCCTTGCTGACCCATTTTAGACTTTTGACTATCTGAACTTTAAGTTAATAAAGTGCTGTTGTTTTAAGCCAATAAATTGGTGGTTATTTGTTACATCAGCAATAGGAAACTGGTATAATGATTTTTCAATGAAAATTTAGACAAGATTAGAAAAAAAAAAGAATAAAAAGGAACAAACAAAGCCTCCGAGAACTATGGGACTGTGTAAATAGACCAAACCTATGACTAATTGGAGTACCTGAAAGAGATAGGGAGAATGGATCAAAGTTGGAAAACACACTGTAGGATATCCTTCAGGAGAACTTCCCCAACCTAGCAAGACAGACAATTTTCAAATTTGGGAAATCCAGAGAACCCCAATAAGATACTCCTTGAAAAGATCTACCCCAAGACACATAATCATCAGATTCTCCAAGGCTGAGATGGAGGAAAAATTGTTAAGGTCAGCCAGAGAGAAAGGCCAGGTCACCTACAAAGGGAAACACATCAGACTAACAGCGGACCTCTCAGCAGAAACCCTGCAAGCCAGACGAGATTGGGGGGCAATATTCAACAGTCTTAAAGAAAAGAAATTCCAACCCAGAATTTCATATCCAGCCACATTAAGCTTCATAAACAAAGGAGAAATAAAATCTTTTTTCAGACAAGCAAATGCTGGGGTATTTTGTCACCACCAGAGACCTGTCTTGCAAGAGCTCCTGAAAGAAGCATTAAACATGGATAGGAAAAACCATTACCAGCCACTACAAAAATACATTGAAGTACACAGACCAATGACACTATGAAGCAGCTACATTAACAAGTCTGCAGAATTAACCAGCCAGCATTATGATGACAGGATCAAATTCACACATAACAATATTAACCTTAAATGTAAATGGGCTAAATACCCCAATTAAAGGATTCAGAATGGCAAGCTGGATACAAAGACAAGACCCATCACTGTGCTGTATTCAAGAGACACATCTCATGTGCAAAGATGCACATAGACTCAAAATAAAGGAATGGAGAAAAATTTACCAAGCAAATGGAAAGCATAAAAAAGCAGGGGTTGCAATCCTAGTTTCTAACAAAATTTTTTTTGACTTTAAACCAAAATTTTTTTGACTTTAAACCAACAAAGGTCAAAAAAGACAAAGAAGGGCGTTACATAATGTTAAAGGGTTCAATTCAACAAGAAGAGGTAACTATCCTAAATATATATGCACCCAATACAGAAGCACCCAGATTTATAAAACAAGTTCTTAGAGACCTACGAAGAGACTTAGACCCCCACATAATAATAGTGGGAGACTTTAATACCCCACTGTCAATATTAGATGGGTCAATGAGGCAGAAAATTAATAGTTTAGACTGATCAATGAGACAGAAAATTAACAAAGATATTCAGGGCTTGAACTCAGCTCTAGAACAAGTGGACCTGATAGGTATCTACAGAACTCTCCACCTAAAGGCAACAGAATATACATTTTTTTTGACGTCACATGGCACTTACTCTAAAATTAATCACATAATTGGAAGTAAAGCACTCCTCAGCAAATGCAAAAGAACTGAAATAATAACAGTCTCTCAGACCACAGCACAATCAAATTAGAACTCAAGATTAAAAAGCCCACTCAAAACCACACAACTACATGGAAATTGAGCAATCTGCTCCTGAATGAATGACTCCTGGGTAAATAATGACATTAAGGCAGAAATCAAGAAGTTCTTTGAAATCAATGAGAACAAAGAAACAATGTATCAGAACCTCTGGGATGCAGGTAAAGCAGTGTTAAGAAGGAAATTTATAGCACTAAATACCCACATAAAAAATCTAGAAAGATCTCGAATTGACACCCTAACATCACAACTAAAAGAACTAGAGAATGAAGAGCAAACAAATCCCAGAGCTAGCAGAAGACAAGAAGTAACTAAGCTCAGAGTGGAACTGAAGGAGATAAGAGTCATGAAAAACCCTTCCAAAAAAATCAATGCATCCCGTAGCTGTTTTTTTTTTTAAATCAATGAAATAGACCACCAGCGAGACTAATAAAGAAGAAAAGAGAGAAGATTTCAAATAAACACCATCAGAAACGATAAAGGGGATACCACTACTGACGCCACAGAAATACAACCAACCATCAGATAATACCATAAGCACCTCTATGCAAATAAACTGGAAAATCTAGAAGAATGGATAAATTCCTGCACTCATAAACACCCTACAAAGACTGAACCAGGAAGAAGTTGAATCCCTGAATAGACCAATAACAAGTCCTGAAATTGAGGCAGTAATAAATGGCCTACCAATCAAAAAAAGCCCAGCTCCCGATGGATTTACAGCTGAATTCCACCAGAGGCACAAAGAGGACCTGGTACCATTCTGAAACAATTCCAAACAATTAAAAAGGAGAGATATCTCCCTAACCCATTTTATGAGGCCAGCATCTTCCTGATACCAAAACCTGATGGAGATACAACAAAAAAAGAAAACTGCAGGCCAATATCCCTGATGAACATCAGTGCAAAAATCCTCAGTAAAATACTGGCAAATTGAATCCAGCAGCACATCAAAAAACATCCACCATGATCAAGTTGGCTTCATCCCCGGGATGCAAGGCTGGTTCAACATACACAAATCAATACATGTCATTCATCACATAAACAGAACTAAAGATAAAAACCACATGATTATCTCAATAGGTGCACAAAAGGTCTTCAATAAAATTCAACATCCCTTCATGTTAAAAACTCTCAATAAACTACGTATTGAAAGAACATACCTCAAAATAATAAGAGCCATTTATGATAAACCCACAGCCAGCATCATACTGAATGGGCAAAAGCTGGAAGCATTCCCCTTGAAAACTGGCACAAGGCAAGGATACCCTCTCTCACTAGTCTTATTCAATGTAGTATTGGAAGTTCTGGCCAGGGCAATTAGGCAAGAGAAAGAAATAAAGCGTATTCAAATAGGAAGAGAGGAAGTCAAATTTTCTTTGTTTGCAGATGACATGATCCTATATCTCGAAAACCCCATCATTTCAGCCCAAAAGCTTCTTAAGCTGATAAGCAACGTCAGCAAAGTCTCAAGATACAAAGTCAATGTGCAGAAGTCACAAGCATTCCTATACACCAACAACAGACAAGAAGAAATGCAAATCATGAATGAACTCCCATTCACAATTGCCACAAAGAGAATAAAATACTTAGGAATACAGCTAACAAAGGAAGTGAAAGACCTCTTCAAGGAGAACTACAAACCACTGCTTATAGAAATCAAAGAGGACACAAGCAGATGGAAAAACATCCAATGCTCATGGATAGGAAGAATCAATATCATGAAAATGGCCATACTGCCCAAAGGAATTTATAGATTCAATGCTATTCCCATTAAACTACCATCGACATTCTTCACAGAATTAGAAAAGACTAATTTAAAATTCATATGGAACCAAAAAACAGTTCACATTGCCAAGACAATCCTAAGCAAAAAGAAGAAAGCTGGAGGTATCACACTATCCAACTTCAAACTATACTACAAGTCCACAGTAAAAAAAAAAAAATAAAACCAGCATGGTACTGGTACAAAAACAGGCACATAGACCAAAGGAACAGCATGCAGAGCTCAGAAATAAAACTGCACATCTACAACCATCTGCTCTTCAACAAACCTGACAAAAACAAGAATGGGGAAAGCACTCCCTATTTTAAAAATGGTACTGGGAGAACTGGCTAGCCATATGCAGAAAATTGAAACTGGATCCCTTCCTTACACCCTATACAAAAGCTAACTCAAGATGGATTAAGGACTTAAATGTAAAACCCAAAACTATAAGAACCCTAGAAGAAAATCTAGGCAATACTATTCAGAACATAGGCATGGGCAAAGACTTTATAATGAAATTGCCAAAAGCAATTAAAACAAAAGCAGAAATTGACAAATGGAATTTAATTAAACTAAAGAGCTTCTGCACAGCAAATTAAACTATTATCAGACCAGACAGACAGCCTACAGAATGGGAGAAAATTTTTGCAATCTCTCCATCTGACAAAGGGTGAATATCAAGAATCTACAAGGAACATAAGCAAATTTACAAGAAAAAAAACAACCCCATTAAAAAGTGGGCAAAGGATTTGAACAGACACTTCTCAAAAACAGATACTGCAGCCAGCAAACATGAAAAATAGCTCAATATCACTGATCATTAGACAGAGGCAAATCAAAACCACAATGAGATACTACCTCACGCCAGTCAGAATAGCAATGATTAAAATGTCATGAAACAACAAATGCTGGTGAGGTTGCGGAGAAATAGGAACACTTTTACACTGTTGGTGGGAATGTAAATTAGCTCAAACATTGTGGAAGACAGTGTGGCAATTCCTCAAAGATTTAGAACCAGAAATATCATTTGACCCAGTAATCCCATTACAGGGTATATACCCAAAGGAATATAAATCATTCTATTGTAAAGATCCATGCACGCGTATGTTCATTGCATCACTATTCACAACAGCAAAGACGTGGAATCAACCCAAGTGCCCATCAATGATAGACTGGATAAAGAAAATGTGGTACATATACATCATGGAATACTATGAAGCCATAAAAAGGAATGAGATCATGTCCTTTGTAGGGACATGGACGAAGCTGGAAGCTGCTATTCTCTGAAAACTAATGCAGGAACAGAAAACCAAACACCGTAAGTGGGAGCTGAACAATGAGAACACATGGACACAAGGAGGGGAACAACACACACTGGGGCCTGTCATGGGAGGGTGCTGGGAGGAGAGCATTAGGGAAAAGAGCTAATGCATGCTGGGCTTAATACCTAGGTGATGGGTTGATAGGTGCAGCAAACCACCATGGCACACATTTACCTATGTAATAAACCTGCACATCCTGCACATGTACCCCGGAACTTAAAAGAAAATGTAGAAAAACGGGTAGAGAAGAGTGATTTACATACTTCATTTTCCAATTAGTGCATGTGAAAATAATTCATCTTGGTAGTATTGTCCAGATACTATCTCTTCCTGTTTAGGTCCAGGAACAGTCTGCTTGTGTTTTTTATTGTCAAATGAGTTGTTCTCTAATTTCATCTCTCACTGGGAGAAAAAGAATAACAATACTCATACTCAAAATGCTGTGGCTGTTTAGAATCTGTTTATATGAAAATAATATAGATCTTGCCTCTGCAGTTCCCTAATACCATTCATTGATGTTGTTTGTATTATTCGTGATGCTGTTTCATCCATTGTGTTGCCTGTGAATATTGGTTTCCAATGACTAAAGGTTTGTTAGTGTGCTTTGTTGATGGTCATCACAAATGCAAGTGTTCCATGGAGTAGGAAGAAAAAAATAGGAATGATAATTTCTGGTCATGTTAAATTTATTTTTCAGAATTTTATAACTTAGAAACACATCTTTCAGTTATACTTTTCTTGAACTCATTAGATCATATTCACTGCATTCCTAAAATGTGATCCCTTTCAATGTTGACCTCTCTTCTGTCCCCTATTCCCCCATACAGCCACCAGCAGAAAGGAGAGATGAGTAAGAATGTTCTCATTGGCACAAGGAATGTTTGTCCCTAGAATGGCACAGCTTAAGACAGAACCAGGAAATCACAGGTTTACCACATTGATGAGAAGCAGGAGAAGGCTTGATTGGAAAGGCCCATTGGTGTTGCTGATCAACAATCTAGAAAGCCCTTAGAGGACAGGCATAGTTAACCTCAGAAAACTCTGTGACATTAGCTAGTGTGCTTTGTGGAGAGAGTCAGGTAAGTAAGGGGTTTGGAGAACATGTTCAGGTTCAGGAACATTCTACACTTAAATGGGCTTACTCTTACCCTCTGCTTCAATCCCCATCCCTTCTACAGGTTAGATCTTGGGACAGCCCACATACCTAGACAAACTTAGGCTTTCCAGCTTGCACTGGACCAGGGTGGAAAGGTAAGGAAAAGAAACACATCCGCAACATTTTACTGCTTTTTTTTAGATCAACCTCACCCATTTAAGGAGTGTGGACTGACGGCTATCACATTACAAACAGACTGGGTTGAATTAGAGGTGGAGAAAGAGGCTGAGAATGTCACTTTAGGGGTGCTCCTCCATATGGAGACACAGGAGTGAGGAATCAATGATTTCTCCCAACAGCTTCAAACAGATAGATCTATTGTGTGAATTTCTTGGGGATCTGATCTTAGTCTTGTGACTTCTGACTTCTTACATGTTGATTGTTTCCTCGTGTGTCTTGAAATTATGAATTAAGAATTTTTCTTAAGTAGTGTAATTTCTGTGGAAATTTGATGGGCCTGTTTGAGGATGTGTTATTCCAAAGACATTCTGCCTTTGCTTTTGCCAGATGTACAGAGGACATTACTGGCATGAGACTTCTTTTTGTGCTTACAATTTAATGTGGGTAGTTCCAGATCATATTCAAACTCAAATCTGTGTGACTATGAGGATAAACCCAATGTAAATTTTTTGTTAACCAGGGCCCAGATTAAGACAGACATGCTTCCTTTATGTTTCCCTGTGAATCTGAGTGGGTTCTTGCCTCCCCATCTCACACATATTCATTGAGGATGTAGCTCTTCAGAGGTTTCAGCCTTACTGGGAGGGCCATTCCTTAAAGGCTTCCTGGGGTCTCAAGACCATGTTTCCTGTGTGAAAGTTGTCTATACAAAAATGGAGTCACTTCTGTCAAACCGTAAGGAAAGAGAGCTTGGAGACCATGAAGGGAGGACCTTCTTACATGTTTGCATGATAACAGAAACTATCACAACAGATTGTCAAAACCACAACCTTGTACAAAGATTACATCTATAAGGATGCCTGCCCAGCAGCTGTCTGTCCACTAATGAACTGATGCCACTCTTGTTATTAATCCTTGTAGCCAAGGATATCATTTCAAAACAACGAATGTAACCTCCTTCGTTTTGCCTTTATTTTCATATTGTTTTGAATTATGTGTAAGTAATAATATAATTTCTGGGTTATTCCAAATTCCCTTTTGTAAGTTATCCTTAAGTTATTTCGCACACTGCTAAGTTTAATTTAACCTAGCTAGTTTTGTTTAATAGGTTAAAAGGAATTAAATTGGTTTTAAAATAAATTATGCTGTGAATAATAAAAACGCTAATAGGAAATATATTCCATTAAAAAAACCCCTTGTCTTCTTTGCTTCTCTGGATGCACCTATGGCCCTCTATAGCATGTATATCTGATTACAATCCCCTGCTATTACCAGATAAACTCTGATCTGGAAGCCAGTCTCTCTGCTGTTTATTTTAGGTTGACACCAGCTGGGGTGGGCATTAAACCCTTTATGATAGAGGTCTGCAAATTGTCCCAGGTCTGTTATAGCATCGCTTACATGCTTTCTACTTGGATATTTAATTGTCTTTGTTTTGGCCTCTGGGAATTTCCCTTACTTTCTTAAGAGCTATGTCAAAGGATATTTGCTTTATTTTATAAAACATAAGTATGAAATATTTATACTTTATAAATATACTTTTAATACTCATCATTCATAAGTATAATAATTTTGTAAGTATTTAAATAAGTAGTAGTAGATGTTTCAAGTTCTCTAGTCTGCTACTTTTAGATCTTTAGATATTCTAATTCTTCTGCCTGGAACGCTCTTTTCCCTTTTCACTTGACTAAACCAGAGGTCACATCCTTAAGGAAGCTGTGAGCTTCAAGTTTGAATTAAATACCCTCCACTCTTTACCCTCAGTGCATAGATCTAATGGCTTGTTTGCCCTCGTGTGTTTCCTCCACTGAACTGCAAGCTCTGTGAGCCCATGCCTATTTAGTGTACCCTAGCTTGACACTTAGTAGAGAACCAACTATTTGTGAATGAATGCATGTCTTCTGTTGACATGTTTGCTTATTATTATTTTTTTTAATCCTGCCTCTTGGCTTGAAGTTGTTTGTTTCCATAGATTTTTAGCCTTCCGCCTTTATGAATTTTCGTTGGTGTCTAGCAATAAAAGCTCCCACTGGGAGTAACTTCACACTGGTTGTCAATTTATTAATGAAAGCCTGGCAACTAACATGTTTTTCACAGTAGAAACAGAAATATATTTTTCTAAAAACTTTTTTATTATTCAGTCAGTTTTTTCATATTACATTTCAGCTCTTGTTCAACTGAGGATTCTTTTAAAAATGCTATATTGATTTTTCTATTGCCCTTCACTAAAATTACCTTCTTCATTATAAAAAACTCAATTTTATGTCAGGTAAGAAACAATGGGAATCTATTCTTTTACTCCATAGGTATTTGTTGAGTCCCTTCAAAGTACAAGAAAGAATGCAGAGAGATGCTGGTAGTTCAGGAAGGCTGTGTAATTCAGGTGGGGCCGGGGAGAACTGAATGTTTCTCGAGGATGGAGCCAGAGTAGAAAAAGAGCAGCAGAGGCTCCAGAAAACAAAGTTACAGTCCTCTCCTCATCTTCCAAGGAGTGTTACTGATTTACTGATTCTTTTCTATAGGTTTTATTTTTAATTGACACCTAGCAATTGACACCTAGCAATTGCACACATTTATGGGATACAGTGTGATATTTCCATATATATATTATATATATATATATATAGCATAATGATCAAATCAGGGTAATTGTCTAATCCATCATCTCAAACATTTATCATTTCTTTGCAGTGAGAACATTCAAAATCCTCTCTTCTAGTTATTTGGAAATATAAAGTACAATATTGTTAACTATAGTCACCTTACTGTGCACTAGAACACCAGAACTTATTCCTCCCATGTATCTGTAATTTTGTATCTGTTGACCAATCTCTTCCCCTTCCCGACCCCCCAACCCCAGCCTTTGGTAACCATCTACAGTGTACTTCTATGAGATCGGTTTTTAAAAATTCCACAAATTAATGAGATTACGTGGTATTTGTCTTTTTGTGCCTGGCTTATTTCACTTAACATAATGTCTTCAGGTTCATTTATGTTGCCACAAATGACAGGATTTCATTCTTCTGAATGGCTGAATAGTATTCCATTGTGTATATATACCACATTTTCCTTATTCATTCATCCTTTGATGGACAATTAGGGTGATTCCGTATCTTGGCTATTGTTAATAGCTGCAATAAACATGGGAATGCAGGTATCTCTCTGACATTATTTTATTTCTTTTGGATAAATACCCAGTAGTGGGATCGCTGGATCTACTTATTTGTCCTTTATTTAAAATTATTTTATTTTTTAGCGATAAACGTCCCACTCTATCACCTAGGCTAGACTGCAGTGGCTTGATCTTAGCTCACTGTAACCTTCAACCCCTGGGCTCAAGCAACCCTTCTGCCTCAGCCTCCGGAGTAGTTTGGACTAAAGGCGTGAGCCACCATACCCAGCCAACTTACTTATTCTCATAGGCTCAGTAGAGCAACTTTAGTAGCTATTTCTGTAGGCTTTTCTGGAGAGAGAGAGAGAAAGAGAGACAGATAGAGAGCAGTTGTAGCTGAGGTAGAGTTGATGACCACGTTTCATGGCAGATCAGTGAGACCAGAGAATTCCTGACTTTCAGAGCTGGGTGGTAAAGGGGGAAGTTTGCTTCTTACAGTTACATGCTGATTGGTGTCATATAAAGCCTTAAAACACTCCTATTGGGTAAGACAAAAATGATATGAAGTGGAAATGTGAAAAATAGCTTTGCAGGTAGTTAGTATCAGGTATATTAAAGTTAGAAACTATTATGAAGGTTGGCATGGTGGCCAATGCCTGTAATTTCAGCACTTTGGGAGGCCGAGGTGGGTGGATGGCTTGAGCCTAGGAGTTCGAGATGCTGTCTCTACAAAAAATGGGTGTGGTGGCATGGGCCTGTGATCCCAGCTACTTGGGAGACTAAGGTGGGAAGATCACTTGAGCCCAGGAGACATAGGTTGCAGTGAGCTGAGAAAGCATCACTGTACCCCTGCCTGGGCAACAGAGTGAGACCCTGTCTCAAAACAAAACAAAAAAACCCAAACCCTGTTATTATAGTTCATGTTCAGTGTTTTTTTCTTTAGCTATGCAAGCTTGTCCCTGAGATTCCAGTTTAGGAAGAGGAATCCTAAAATTGGGATTGCCGTTAGATAACTGAAAGAACCAACTCAGTTCCTGTGGCTACTGCCTAAAATCCCTTTGTCCACCATAAACACACCTTTGCACAGGTGTGTGCACATGCACACAAACACACATACTTAAAATGAGGAAAGCCAGGAAGAGAAATCACATATGCTAGTCAGTCAGATTTCTTTTGATTAAAATAATCATGATTTTTATTCTATTTGTAACTTGTGGGTTTTATTTTGAACAAATGGTTTGTGAACTGGAAACATGTTTTTCTGAGCTATAATCTGAATACAGCTTAAAACTGTGAAGAATATTTTCTTCAAGTTTTAAGTATTTCTTCTAATTTAATGTTATGTGCCTTAAGAATAGAAAATCATAGGCTGACATTTCCATATATCAAATGTAAGAATCCCTGTTTGCTAAGAATGCTACAGAACTAAGAGCAACAAAGCAGGTTCAAGAGTTGTCAAATGTGTCCCTTTTCCATAGGAAGGGTAGATGTCTACCCAAATGGAATATTGAGTATCAGAGACTTCAAATGATAACTTTTGTTTGTTTGGAGAAAATCTTGAGGACGTGATCACTGTACAAAAGGTAATAAGCAAGTCTTAAACAATTTTCCCCCCTACCTTTTATTTTCTCTATTGATTTTTTTCCATTTATTTTTATTTAGCCACTAAAAATCTTAAAAAAAAACACACAGTTTTATTAGTTCTTTATGGTCAGGAAGGAAGATTACTTCTTTAAATATAACTAAAACTCTGGCACTCTCTAGTGGTCAGAGAATCTAAAATATTGTTCTACATGAGCTTATACTTTACTTCTTCCTTTAGCTTTATGAATTAGACATAACCTAGATATTCTGCCCCACATGAAGAAGGCTTGTCTAATGGCAAAATAATGAAATCAGAAATTCTGCATTTACTCATAATTTCACACCTCTAGACTAGAAGCACTGAGATACAGTGGTGTGGGAGTCTGTGAAGGCATTTTCTTAGCTATTACCAGATGAACTAAATTAAGAAATGTTAACTGTAAAAACTCAGACAAACCAAACCTGCTGGGTGAGGGAATTCCTGTCTCTAATGCTTCCAGATAGCCCATTTGGCTTGTAAGAGTGGATTTGAGACCTTTATAAATTTAAATTCAAAAAGAGAACTAAGGAATAGACCCCTTGCTTTGCAACTAGACAGATCTGGGCTCAAATCCAGCTCATGCCATTTGGCCAAGTATTCAGCTCCAAGCCTCAGCTCCTCATGGAGCATCAGGCTGGTAATAATCACCCTCCAAAGAGTCATTATTGACTTGAAGTGAGAAGGAGATGGAAAACATTGCCCCCAAATTGGCAACAAAGAGTATTAATAAAAGGAAGACTATTATTGAGAAGAGTCTAGGCTAAGGAAAGGATTACTTTTCTTCGGCTAATAGGATCACAGGTTAGCTTGATTAAAGTCTCTCAAAGTATTGGGCCCATTCTCTCTGCCTAAAATCCAAACTCCCCTATTAATTCCCCTCCCTTAAAATTCAGAGTCCCCTAATAATCACACAGTATTCATACCTACTTGATCATTCTTTTTATTTTTACAAAGCATGGCAAAATGAGGAAACCACTGACAGGTGAAGAATTTGCACAATGGAAAACCACCTTGACCATCTCATGACTTTATACAGGAATCGGAGGTAAGTGTTCCTTTAAAGTGATTTTGTCATGAAAGAGTCATCTGAAATGACTCTCGTGATGGAGGAAAGGAAAGTAATGAAATCAACATTCATGGTTATTTAAAATGCCTTAAAAGCTAAGCATAATATACATAGTAACTCCTTTTCCTAGTATAAAAATAGTGCCAGAAACTATATTTGTTCAAATATATTGAAAAGGTATAAGAATACAAATAGATATTAACAGTGGCTAGTGATGCCTCATAAGGTTTTCTTAAACTGTAATATAAATTTATATTTTCAACTATTTACATTGCTTTCAACAACATTCATTAAGACATGTTTACACAGGCTTTTAGTAAGTATATGGAATGGTAAAGTGAGCTTTAATACTTTCTTCTTCACTCTCTGTAGTAGAGCAGAAGGGGTCCAAAACCATGCACAATTTAACAGTCCAGAAGAACTGTGTAATCTTTACCTGGCTAGCACATGGAAAAAATAAACTATATACAAGAATACAAAACTCCTAAAGTGTTCTTCAACTATCAGCAGGTTAAGTGATTCATACTTGCAAAAAGACAGGATGTTTGTTTACTGGTAGATTCTTAGTAAGTTTCAGGTAAAGAAGGTGCATAAAACATATGTTATTGATGAAAATGGAAATGATGCAGTATACCCCATGTTCTCACATTAAATTGGCAGTATCAGAAGCTAAGTCTCTTCTCTAGCACCTCCTTCAGGGACCGTGAGCTCCTTGGGGTCACTGCTCTGTCTCCACAGCAGAGCACGGTACCTAACATGTGGCAGGACTCAATAAAAGGTGGGTCAGTGTATTTCTGATACAAAACAATTAAATTGTGCCACCTTATTTTGACTACAGTTGTTCATAAGAGAGGATAACGATGACATTTTGTATCCTCTCATATTAAATCAATCTTGTAAACAAAAGACAATTGCTTGTGATGGCCTGTTAAGTTTTAGGAGTACAATCTGGTGAAAAACACAGAAAAAAATTGTAGATCAAATTGGAACAGGTCTAATATTTATTTGCTATGCTGAAAATAAAGGCACTTCACTGCTAGGCAAGAATATATCTGTGACTGAACAGTTTTCTCCAAGAATCCAATATTTCCAGTATATTTTCATATACTTTCTTATCTCTAATACTCCTATTAAAGGAAACTATTATTCAAAATTAAGAGACAGTGGTGACAACATCATCATCCTGGGTTTGTACCTTGAAGCAATATACTCAATGAGCTCTAAATCTCACATTCACTAGTGATCTGCAAGTGAAGCTGAATAAATATATTCTCTTTGTTCAGTCATGGAAACTCAACATTAGAAATGACATGTGGGAATAGATCACCTTCTCTCTAGACTAATATCCCATTTCTGACAGTGGTCTCCATGGCCCATTGGGGCTTATAAAGTAGCTGCCTTCTGTGACATTCTGCTTGAAGACAAAGGCTTTGCCCAAACATAACTCCTTTTAAAAAAGCACAACTTGTTTAGGCACACAGAGGTTAAGTGACTTACACAAATCCACCCAGGATTGTGATTGGCACGGTCTAATCTACTGAAAAATATAAGGCCAGGCAATTATATAGATATCTTTTAACAAGTTAGTAAAATAGTGGGGACTTTTCTGGCTAAAAATTGTAATTAAATGGTATGTTACTCTGTTATAACTAAACAAACAAAAAATCTAGAACAAGAACTTCTTGCTAGTTATGGGTAATATAAATACAGAGTAAGGTGAAGGAGGACTGTATGTATATTTTTCCAACTTGAGAAGATACTAGAAAGGAAATTAAAAATTATTTGAACCAATTAACCAGCCCTAAAGAAGTACTCTGCTTTGTATGAACTAAAATATCCAACAAAGAAATAAAATAGGCATTGCCCAGCTTCCTTTAATGTCTCAACTAGTAAAGTAAAATAAACAATATTCAAAGGCAGACCAAACCATTTCTAATCTAAATATATCTTCTTGCTTATTAAAATGACACACATACAAAGCCTCTAAACACGATCTACCATGTCTTTAAAAAATTTCTCAGTGACACATACTAGAGGGGACCAAACAAACTACTAAAGCATAAGTACATATTTTAGCATAACTGCTAAATCACAATGTAATAAAAAGGTTTATTAAAGATTGCTATTCTTTATGCAATTTTTCTATACTAAGGATTTATGTATGCATGCATAAGTATACACCTGTATGTATATATAACTATTATTTTAGTGATAGTCTGTGTATTTTACACACCAGTGCCACAAAGGGGCAACCTTACAAATTTTATCTGTATGGCAAAAAAAATAAAATATCCTGAAAATACAAGTATACAATACATATAGCATTAAACAGTTGGTAACTTCCTAGATTAACCTTTACCAAATACAAAATAATGGCAATACAATGTGTTTTGCTTCTATTTTTTGTTTTTTTACCAGAATGATAAAAATAAAACTGCATTATGTCAAGATATTTGTACACACTCAGAATTTTAAAAACTTAAGGAACATACTGAATTTTAGGCAAAATTTAGGGGAATCGGGACATAGATGGAAAACACATTTTGGCGAAAGGTCCTTGAGAATGCTGGATTACCATGTCCCTTAGAAATTTTCTATCCAAATTAGTGATAGAAACTCAGATCAAATATCTTTTTTGTGGGTTGGAGGTAGAAGTTAACAAATCAAGCAAATCTCTCCTTCTACTCTCCCCAAATCCAAACATTCCTGCATATTTGAAACAAATTTTCCTTTCCTAGACCAGTTGCTTAATTCATTATCTACTTCTCCAATATTGAGTAAATGTGTCTTTAGGGGCACACATGTAGAATATTAATCCACTTAAATGGGCTCAAATTCTAAGAAAATATTAACTATACTAAATGTTATGGGAAGAAAATACATTGAATGTGAGTTAAGGGCCAGTGTTTAGCATTCACATCCAGGATTCTCTGGATCTCAGTTGACTTGTCCTATACATCAAAATATGGCAATTTTTCAATCACAATACTGCTAAATGTTATTCAGGCATAAAGTTTCTTACCCACTGTTCCCTCAAATTCATTTTTGACCCTAGTATTGGCAATAGCCCTTTGCTATTTATATAATTAAAACTTTTCTTTAAATTTCAATTGACAGGAAAAAGAGTCATTTTGTACTCTCTTATCTATAACCATGTCTCACTTCAAGTCAATGCTACAATTGTCACTTTTATTTTGAAAAGGAAGCTCAGAAGGAAAAAAACTCTTAGAGAGATCTTCTAACAGAACATTTTTCTTCACTGATAGACATCCAAGGCCATTCCATTTCTAAATCACACTTATCCCTCAATCAAGTCAGTGACTGGATCATCTCCTAAGGTTTCACCTGCTTTGCATCAGGTAGGTGAGATGAAAGTGATTTTATGGGTAGCTTTCAGAAAAATGTACTGCACTGAAGTGACAAAGTTCTGTCTTGCCTGTTCTCTCACAAAACAGCATATCAATTAAATAATGTTTTCTTTACAATACAGTTTCATAGGACTTTCCATTTGTTTCAGAGTGCCTTAACTTTTTAAAAAAAGACACTGTTAACAAATACAATTATTTCTCTTAAAATCCACTCAGCCAGCATTTTTCACTATCCTATAAAGGCTTTAAATGTCACAGAATGTATGATAATTTGCTCCTAACCTACTTTTGAAAAAGGAAAGATTCCAAACATTCTTGAAAAAATGGTAATTCAGAAAACACAAAAACCAATTATTTAAAATAATCCCCAAGCAAAAAAACCTCAGTGCAAGAATACTGCATACACTTTGCAGTACACGAAATATCACAAACAATGCTTTTATCAATGTGCTAACAGTGGATGTTGTTGATCCTTTCAGTTCAGTAGCATAAAACAAATATACAAAAAATATGTAATAGTCCTCTAAAAACATTCATGCTATACTCTCAAAAGTTGTGCAAAAATAAAAATACAGCAGTGGCAAAGTATATACCAAATACAGACACTATACAGACAGTGTGTAAGAAACTAGGCATATTGCAGAACACACCATCTCTGTAAACTTCAACTCTGCATGAAATAGGCCACTCAGTTCCGCTTGGCCTGGCCGCTTTCCCCATTAATCAGCATCTTCTCCTGCTGTTCTGCAAGGGCCTGCCATTTCTGCCTGTTCTTTCTGCAGCCATCTAGCAAAGGGAAACAGTCCTCTGACACGTGGGTCAGGGCCTAAAGAGAAAAAAGAAAGCAAACAGCTAGAGAGAAGCCAGGAAATAAGTCCTCTCCCACAGGCCTGTTACAAAGGGCCACATCCCACACTCATTTCATAAGCAGACTCACTGTTGAAATTTTCACAAGCTTTGTGAGCACATACACAGATCATTTACACATGATTCTTCTAAAACACTACAGATAAGGAGTACATGCTGAGGGACAGAGCAAACACACACATTCCAAAATAACATTACTGTGCTAGGGAGACAGATCTGTGTGGAATCCACTTTTAGGGGAAAAAAGACATTTTGTTTCTATGTAGTACAGTTGGCTCTTCCTAAGTGTGACTGCATCAGGGAACTGCTTAGTTTTTGCGTTTTTCTAGGGAATGGTTTCATACAATGTACTTAAATAGGCTTTTATCCAGGATTATATTATAATAAAGATTCATAATTTGGTGTGGCATTATTATGTACCAATTATAGTGCCATAAATATTTAGCCACCAGAATGTTCATTTCAGATTTCTTCCTAATAGTGAACCACTTAAAATGACAAATACCCAACAATAGGTTGTCACTGTAAAACCTCCCGCAGAATAAAAAAATAAAAAGAAACCTCACAGAAACACATTTGATACATAAAATATGGATATAATGACATTATGGATTGCAAAAGGCAATTACTGAATTATTAAATGAAAAGTATATGAAAATGTCATAAAGCATATACATTGATATGTTATCTGTAGTTTTCTCTGGGTAATGGATTGTAACTGGTTTTATTTTCCTTTTTGCTTCTCAGTAATTCTGATTTTTCTTTTTCTTCTTTTTTTTAGGGCAGGGTTCCACTCCCATTGCCCAGGCTGGAGTGCAGTGGCGTGATCTTGGCTCACTGCAACCCCCTCCTCCCCTATTCAAGCAATTCTTCTGCCTCAGTCTTCTAAGTGGCTGGGACTACAAGCGCGTGCCACCACACCCGCGCTTATAATAGAAAATAATTTTTCTGTTTTTTTGTAGGGATGGGGTTTCACCATGTTGGCCAGGCTGGCCTCGAACTCCTGAGCTCAAGTGATCAACCTGCCTCTGCCTCCCAAAGTGCTGGGATTACAGGTGTAAGCCACCATGCCCGGCCTCTGATTTTTCTATAGTGAGAACATAACTATTTCTGTAATAATATTAAAAATACTTGTCAGTATCACATAGAATTTTCAACAGCAGATTCAAATAAAATGAATCCTTGTGTGTGTGTATATATATATATATAAATGTAGAAGGATAACATCTATAATAGGTGATTACTATGTTGACTGTATTTACAGGGATGGAGAAAACTCAAAAGAGCCATTAGTATTTTTAATGGAGAAACTCTTAATCCAATCAATAAGGAAAGCAACTGTTATGGAAAGAATGAGATGTCCAAGTGTTTGAAACAATGCTCTGAACACACTTCATACTTCTGAGGAAGAGCTTTGAACAAAGGAGTAAACAAGTAGAATGCTGAGAAAAATAGGGAGACGACAGTGGCACATGACACCTAGTTTTTTTTTTTTTTTTTCTCCATGGTTCTTTTGGTATCTCTCCTTCCTTTCCCTGTCAGCCACAGTTCTTTATATTAAATTCTTTTGATGGCGAGAATCCTGGAGTAGGAGTGAGAACTGGACTGTAGATGCACCTCTCCCACTAACCACCTGTTTGGGGCAAATAGTCTGTCTCGTTGGGAGATGAACTTTACAAGTTCAATTACTAAATCTGAAATATCTGGATTAGAATATTTCTAGGTTTTTTTTCTGCTCTTGACATTCTATGATAACTCCATGACAAATGTTCTTTTTCCAAATAATTAAAACTTAAAACATTTCCGTTTAAACCTTCAAAGACAAAGACAACTTCTTCTTTCTGCATTTGAGTCATAAACATCTAAACTAATAAGTTAGATGTTTTAGGGAGAATCTATTTGCCTACAATAACCACCCCCCCTCCAAAAGCCAAGCCAGCAGATACGTGGAAATGGGAACCTGCAATATTCTACCTCCTTCCTTTTAATCTCAGAAGAATTTTTATAACTAGAGTAAAGCCACATTATGACAATGAGAAAAAGTTGGATTACTTTTCTTTATTTAGGCTAAAATTTAGACTTAAAAAAAGAATATGCTAACGCATAGTATATACAGTATTGCTCCTTGAGGGTAACACTGGCACATAATTCTTCTTAGCATCCCCAAATCAATTTGTTGGAGATTAGCACATAGTAGGCACTCAATAGATATTAGTATGTGTTCCTTGTTCAATACAAACATGTTCATCAGTAAAAGAAACCATACTGCTAATAATTTTATTTCTTGATTTAGAAGCAAAATATAGGCGCCTAATATTAATCTCTTCAATTTTAGGTTCTAATTCACAACAGTCCAAGTTTAGCAAGTCTAGTAGTTTTCATATAAATACCTCATACAGTTGCAAGCAGATGGCATCTATGAACCCAACTTGCATACTTGGGATTTTGTTTTTCTTCTCCCTGTTCATTAGATCCTGAAAATACAAATACAGACCAGACACACAGATGTGCATTTATTTATTTAGTTAGTTATTACTTTATTATTTTTTGAGATGGAGTCTCACTCTGTTGTCCAGGCTGGAGTGCAGTGGCACCATCTCAGCTCACTGCAACCTCCACCTCCCAAGTTTAAGCTATTCTCCTGCCTCAGCCTCCCTAGTCAGGTGTGCAGTACCACGCCTGGCTGATTTTTTATTTTTATTAGCGACAGGGTTTCACCATGTTGGCCAGGCTGGTCTAGAACTCCTGACCTCAAGGGATCTGACTGCCTTGGCCTCCCAAAGTGCTGGCATCACAGGCATGAGCCATTGTGTGCATTTATTTAAAGAACACAAAGCTGGCTCTAGAAAGGTGAATCAGTGGGTTAGCCTAGGAAGGTCAGACAGCAACTAATACAAAAAGAAAAAAAGAGGAAAACTCTTATGTTTTATTTCAAGGAAACTCATTCCAAAAAACAGAAGTGGGCTGAGAGGAATCTTTACTTGTATCTGAGATCCATACTCTATGTAAAAAGGCAGTATGTATCAAAGACCTTTAAATTCTGTTTGCCCTTCAACACGACAACTTTGGGAATTTATGCTAACAAGATAATGAAGAATGAGGTTTGGCGGTTTATCTATTCCCTTGGTGTAATGTTTGCAGTGTTCACTATTACAAACAGCACTGTGATAAACATCTATGATAGATGAAACACTGCTCTGAACACACTTCTGAGGAGAACTTTGAACAAAGGAGTAAACAAGTAGAATGCTGAGAAAACTGGGGAGACTGTGGTGGTGGCATGACATCTGGTCATCTTTCCTCCATGTTTCTTTTGGTATCTCTCCTTCCTTTCTCTGTCAGCCACAGCTTCTCTATTAAATTCTTTTGATGGCGAGAACCAAGGAGTAGGAGTGAAACATCTATGATGGATGTTTATCACAGTGCTGTTTGTAATAGTGAACACTGCAAATATTACACCAAGGGACGTAGGTAAATTATGGTTACATCGATTTCATGTAATCATGATAATACATAAGAATATTTGTTAAAATGAAAAGTGGTTTCTAATACTTAAGCGGAAAAAAACAAATTACAAAGAACACTGATACAATATGATGAACCCAAGAGTCTTTATTATGCCTTTTATTGGTTTTGCTTTCTGTAATGAACATGTATAATTCTTCCAATGAGAAAAAAGTTTTAAAAAATAAAATGAGAAATTGTGGTCCTAAGGAAAGATCCCATAGAGCCATAAAAAGGAGTCTACAATTAAAAAAAAAACAATTTGAATAATTCCTACCAACAAGGTTTCATACTTACAGTGGGTTCTATGTTGAGTTCTTTTCTCTCTCTGTCTCCTTGATCAAAAAATTCAGTTGCTACAAGTTCTGCTATCTGAAATAAATAACAGACTCAGTTTTGACAATGAAAAGCATATCATTCTTTAAAACAGAGACCGTGAATGAAGGCCCTGTTAGGAGCTGTATATCTCCATTTTATAGCAAATAAGCAGCAGCTTGATACCCGAAGACAAGTAGTCCATGTCCAAAGCGTGCTCTCTTAACTATTACATTATACTCTTTTTCACTTAGGTACATCTCTCTGTCTTTGGTAGCTTCCAACATTTTTCCCTTTTAATTTTATTTAAAAATGTTTTCTTCATTTATTTTCTCCCCATAAAACAGTATGTACAAGGGTTTGATTCAGGGGAGAGAAAGGATATATGAAGACACATTCTTCCCTCTTCTATTCTCTTACCTGGTTAGAAATAAATAGGCATATAGTCCTGTTTATTATGGGCAGGAAGGTAGGTAAAGATCACCTAAGTGCTTATGGCGTGTTGGCTTTGGCACATGGAGAATGAGTTTTTGATCTTGTTTTCTCGGCATGTCTGTTTCATGAGATGAGCCTGTAGGAAGAGTTACTAGGCTCCCTGACTAAGCAGCCCGGAGTCTTGACCAACAGCAGGCTGTCAACAATCCTAAATAGCATATTTATTACGGACTCAAAATGAAATCTTGAAAAACAAAAACACAATATATATGTCACTGCATGGACATCCATCACTTTTTCTGAGCCTGTATTGCCTCTGCAAAACATTATAGCA
This sequence comes from Homo sapiens, assembly GCF_000001405.40. Taxonomy (NCBI): domain Eukaryota; kingdom Metazoa; phylum Chordata; class Mammalia; order Primates; family Hominidae; genus Homo; species Homo sapiens. The sequence goes on from NC_000004.12 coordinate 119,503,368, forward strand.
GTTACTTAGAGGGAAGGATTTTTTTCTAGCCTCCTGGTAACAGGCTCCATTCAGAACTTTCTCGACATCTTATATCAATACTTCCTACATCTACAAGCCCCAGAAATCTCTATGTTCTACTTGTTAATGTCTATTTAGAGCTGAGGCACAGCGTAGAAGGCTAACCATAAGAAAAGTAATTTTGCTTCTTCTAATTTTCAAGGTCATTAAAGGGATGACCTTAAGAAACAAGTAAGCCAGAAGTATAAGTTATATTCCAAATCCAAAAATCTGAAACCTAAAATGCTGGTTCAATGAGCATTTTCTTTAAGTGTCATGTCAGTACTCAAAATGCTTTGAATTTTGGAACATTTTGGGTTTTTGCATTAAGTATGCTCAGCCTTTCACACTGAAATGAAAACTGTGCTAATGTAGATGCTCTCTTTCTTAATATATCTTACAAATATTATGTGCAAATGCATCTTCTAAAAAGAAAAGCCTTTGTATGTCCAATTATCTGTTTTTAATACTACTTAAAAATTCCAAAAAAAATTCCATACTTACTTCAGAAGCTACCTTTAAGAGTAAAAACTTACTTAAAAAAATTTTTTTTATTTTAGATTTAGGGGGTATATGTGCATGTCTGGTATATATGTATATTGTGTATTGGTGGGGACTGGGCTTCTAGTATACCCATTACCCAAACAGTGAACATTGTACCCAGTAGGTTGTTCTTCACCCCTTGTTCTTTTCCCACCTTTCCCCCTTTTGGAGTCCCCAGTGTCTATTATTTCCATCTTTATGTCCGTGTGTACCTACTGTTTGGCTCCCACTTATGAGTGAGAATGTGCAGTGTTTGATTTTCTGTTTCTGAGTTAGTTCATTAAGGATAATTGGCCTCCAGCTCCAATCATGTTGCTGCAAAGGACATGACTTGATTCTTTTTATGCCTGCATAGTATTCCATGGTGCATATGTACCACATTTTCTTTATCTAATCAACTGTTGATGGACAGTTAGGTTAGTTCCATGACTTTGCTATTATATAATAAATGGTGCTGTGATGAACATATAAGTGTCTTTTTTATATAGTCATTTATTTTTCTTTAGGTAGATACCTAGTAGTGGGATTGCTGGGTAGAATGTTATTTTGACTTTTTAATTATTGTTATTGTCACTAAGTAACATACCCGTTGTTGAATAGGCCAGGGTTTTGTAATTGCAGAAAGATCACAAGCTGTCATCAGCATTGCCCTGTTATGGAAAAAAGAAACCCAAAACTCCTATTTACTTTTGTGTTATTATATACCCTCAGTAAATAGTTACTAATAAAAAAAAGTTAAAACCCTCTAAACAATGGAAATGGCAGTTTATAAAGACCAAAGAAAAAGAAACAATTTATATGAAAGTCTAACTAATACATTGATAACAGAGCATCATTGTTTCAGTTTCCCTTTGAACTTTTGGAATTTGTCCTCAAACTGCCTCATTTAGCTCCAGATTGGCAGACTGAAAAATTATTAACCTTGGGTAAAATCTTGCCTGCTTTTATTATTTTTGTCACCTTAGTATTCCATTCTCAGCGACAGTATGATGAAAGTACATTGATTACTAATAACCATTAAAGTACAACATCAGGTATCATACTGATAAAAGTCTTATATCAGAAATTATAGTAGGTCATCCTAATTCACTCAACACACATGGTAACTTCTAAATGAAAAGCCTTTGAATGATTAATCATGTTTTTCAGCTTTCTCCTTTATTGTTTCTGCATGTTGAATTATAGTTAGGAAAGTTTTCTCACTCCTAGGTTATAGAAGAATCCATCTATATTTTTATTTAATGCTTGTATGATTTAATTCTCTACATTGAACTCTATGCTTCAGTTGGAATTTAAGTCTGTAGAGTAGATCCAATTTTGTCTTTTTCCATTTGGTTATCCACTTATCTCTCTCTTTCCTCCAGTCACTGGAAATGTTATCTTTATTATACACTATATGTCTTATGCAGTTCTAGATTTTCAGCTGTGTTCCACTGGTCTGCCACCAATATCAAACTGTTTTAATCATAGAGACTTAATAGTATTCCTTCCATGTCTGGACCCTGACCTCACTGCTCTACCTTTTCAGATTTTCTTTAAGAGAAGTAAACATTTTGCAGCTATATCTTACTTCCACAACATTTATAATTCCATTTTCAGCACTTCCATTACAATGAATTAGGAAAATGAATAAGGGAAACCTATAGCCATATATTGATACTCTACCACATTTTAAAGGTTTTTCTAGAACAAAGGAACAGTTCATTCACTTGGATTTGCAAATGCATTTCTTTTCAAGTAAATATTCAAATTTACTCTTTGTACAACCCTCTGGAGAAATCTGACCGCTTTTAAGATCATCATATTGTAACAAATAATTGCAATAAAAACTAACAGTGAGGAAAAAATAGTGAGAAAATTAACTGGGTAAAAAACTTCAGCTTTAAAGATAGTAAACCTACTTACAAAAACAACTCCTTTTGATGAGGATCTTCCAAATTGAATTGATTTTTTCTTATAAGTTCAAAAAATTCTCCTCGCCTCCTACAATGTTTAAAAAAAAATTGTTAGTTATAATGAGTACCCAGGGTCTTATCCCTTTGGTCCACAAAGACTCATGGACTAAATTTTGGTGAAAAAAAACCTCTGATTTTTTTTCCCATCTTAGAGCCCACTATAAAATCATCATTTACAAATCTTTAATACCTCACTTTCCCCCTTCTATCATTTGCTTTCGATAAAACATTAAACCTCACCTAATTTTTAACTATAGATCACAAATTATGGTAATTTCAATTCTTGAATATTTGTTATTTTAAGAAAAATGAAACAGTATGAGTTAAAAATTTGATGCTGAGAATGATTTCAGGTATTTTAAGTGCATGGCATAATAAGATCTATAGGTTTCAGTTTATCATTTATTTCATGGTAGGGGATAAAAATATCTAAAGTTGTGAAGTGCTTCTGAAGTAAACAAAGACTAGGTAAAGTTTAAAATAAAATAATATTTGTTATTATTCAGTGAATATAATAATATTTGGTGTACAGTGAATACCTCTTTATGTGCCCAGTATTGTTAAGCATTTTGAGAAGGCATAAGACAAAAATTTTTCTTTTCGCAGTGTTTAATATCTACCTGGAGACACAAGACTCAAGAAAAACTTACGTAATAAAACTGATAGTATATGGTTATAAAAAATGAAAAGTATGTTTCATAAGGGTTCAAAGGAGAGACCCATGTGGCCTGTAAAGCTTAGAAAGGCATTGTGGTTACAGGTATTTTTCAAATTCTTGGTAATTTGATAATCCTTATTCTGCAATTATTTTTAATAAACTGAAGTTTACTATTAATATATATTATTTTGTCTTAACCTCAAAATGCTCTAAAAACCAATTAAGTAGGCACATGCAGTTACTTCTAGATGTATAACAGTAGATATCTGGCAGATGTTTTTGTGTTTTTTCTATGTGTTTTTACTTCTCCTAAGAGTAACTACAACCATGAATGTGAATTCCTTACAGAGGGAGAGAGACTCATGTTACAAGGAAATCCTGAGAGTGATTCCCTGACTCCCCTCATTCCCACACATGCGTCAAAGATCTCAGCTAGGAGTTGGAAACTTATGATTGCTCAAATGCAGGAAAGTATTTTCTAGCTTTTAGAAAGGCAGTTTAATCATGAAAATGCATAATCACAGAGACAACTCTAATGTATACTCTTATTTTAGAATCAACAACTTCAAAGTTCTACATAAATATTCTTCTCCTGCCAAAATCAAATAAAAAGAAACAAGAGTTACTTGCTTGGCAGTAACTCCTTTTCCTGCCCAACTAAGCTTGAATGACGGTATAAAGGAGTCATGAAATGGTCAGAAGTTGTGGGGAGCAAGGGAAAGGAGGAAAAGCAAATGATCTATATAATCTTTGGACAACATGGCTTGGAATGACTGACCTTGAGATGGCTATTAGATTTGTATATAGTTTCAGAGACACAGTGGTAGATAAACATCAGAAATAATAGGTATTCTTAATTTTCAGCAGTATAAGCCAAAGGAGTAGACTTTTCTGGCTACCCTTTCAGAAACTGCTCCGTATTCTGATAAGCAGTTTTGCCAGGACATTTCTGCTTTGAAATTTCTCAATATGGATGTCAAAAGTTTGAAACAATGAAAAGACTTCAAATACCTATTTCTCAGGTTATTTCTTAAAACTTACTTAATGTACAGTGCTAGGTCTGTAGCTAAAATAGCTTGCTTGATTATTTTCAACGTGGTCTTATATTCTTCAATGGAGAGGCCACTGAGAATCTGATTGCCCTTTATAAAAAAAGAAAACCAGTATTAACATCCTGGAGAAGCTGCTGACAAGAACAAAATCTAGAAATATATTCACATATCTTAAACACATGCCCAGTATTCTAATGAATGTGGAGGACACACTTAAATACCATGAAATAAAGTTTCCCCTCTATGTTCCCACCCAACCCCTCTGTCATACATGTAAACCGCTTCATAATGCTTCATCTGCCTACATATGCATGTTTTTCCAACTCTTATACTCCTTAAGCCTTAGTCCAGACTTAAAATCTAATAGCTATCCTTTTCCGTAGGGCAGACTAATCGCTATAATTTAACAGCATGTAAAACTTTGAAAAAAAAGCCATATTAATGGATATGAAGAAAGAAGTGGTAAAATTTTTAAACTTCTCTATGGCATTTTAAATAAATCCAGTAACATTTCTGGTGCAAATTTATATAATTTTAACTTGGTCAGTTATGATAACAGTGCATATTCCTTAGGAACATCTTAATATAGATGGGTAAAGGGCATGAGCCAAAGGGTGCTTACTGGTCAGTGGTGAAAGAAAGCGTGGGTTGAAACATCTATAAGGAATATTTAAAAGGTAGCTAATCCATGTGCAAATCATTCAAAGTTTTCACTATGTAACCATTTTTTATTTCTTATCTGTAATTTAAAGCATAGTGGTTCTCTAATCTTGAACTAAGTAAAATACACAGACCATGCACTCAGAATACAATCAAAACAACATCTGTAAGTTGAGTCAGATGTGCTTCCTATATCTTAGGGCCAAGAAAAAACCCAGACGCTTAGGAATGAGATCTGAAGGCAAGGGATTTGTTATGAAGACAGGAGAACTTCTGGGTATGTTAGGCTGGGGCCAAAACACATTGATTAAAGGATAACTAGATGCTGAAATTGTGGCATGGATCTAATTAATGACAATAATCTATAATTACAACCATAAACATTATTTTTAAATACTAAATCATTTTAGATTCTAGGCTAAACAGAAAACTATTCAGAAAATACCTTCTGATACTTACTTTAAGATAAAACAATTTCAAGTGGAAGATGAAATGTCTTTTGGTGCTATATTTTTATTTTTTACTCTCAAAAGCTGAGGATATAATTTCTTGTGTAATTATGCTTACAAAGATAGAATATATAGATAGGTCTTATAATTTGAGCCAGCCATATAGATAATCAGATTCCTTATATATTAAGTAACAACATATTACATAATAAGTTATATAGTAACAGGTCAGTTGATAGGAATACTGTAAAATATGCTTTTAAAAAAGCATATTTTCTTTCTTTGGAGCTAAATTTGTAGTGGGATACTGAAATGAAAGTTTTAGTGGAAACACACAGATAGCAAAAGTACAGATGTTCCTACTATAACATGACATATACATTCCTGAGAAATTTCAGTTCTGAAAAACCGTACACTAAAAATAACATGGATTTTGTGAAAAAATGGTATTGGGAAAGACCACTCAAAACCTATGCAACTTTGTAACCAGAGCACAAACTAAACCAAGAATTGGTTCCTCTGGAAGTAACTTGGACAGGCCAGTCTGGCAGGTCTGGAGGCTGCTTCTGAGGACATTAAAGATGGACAAAAACAATCAAGTAGAAATGCTGGTTTGAGGGGCCCTGCAATAATGCATATAGAATTGATTGTTGAGACAGTAACTCTGCTATTAAGGTGGGCATTGAAAGAAGAGCAAGCTACCAAGAGGCTACAGCAGTCCAAAGCGAGGGAGAGAGCCTCAGGTGCAAGTGCTCATTTTTAATATTCCTAAGATAGAATGGAAAGGGCTGTATATGCACGAGCCAAAGGGAGGGCTTTTTCCTTTATTGCTGAAGGTCAGAATTCAACTTCTATAATTCTGGCACCTCTTACCCCAGAGAAGTCGTGTATGAAATGATAGAACGTCTATAGTATACTGATACCATTCTTCTACCTCCCAATCACACATGATATAATTCACATTAAACAGTCACATGTTGTAGAAAAACAATCTGTACTAGACCATATACAGATTTTATAAGGAGGTTGCCAAAACAGGCTATATAACTCTTAATTCCTCCCCGACACTGAGGTGTTGAGGGAGGCGTGAGAGTGTGTTCCCCTCTACCTCAGGTAAGAGAGAGGGGTGTGGAGTTCCTGTGTATGTCTCCTATCATTTAGTGGGTGGAGGTGGGGCTAGAGTAGACTTGTGTCTGACTCTTGTCTGGAAAGTCTAAAAGCAAGGCACTCATATCAGTACCAGTCTGTTAAGAATGTTTTGATGTTTCTTACCTATTCTCCCTTCCCATTCTCCAAGTATGAAGAGGTAAGAAACCACATGGAGGTTGGGGAGAGAGGAAGGAGTTAGAAGAAACACAAGGTAGGGAATGGGAGAAGCCTACCAGTGCAGTAACAGAAAACCTGAAACTTTAAATCATGTTCAAAATTTGGACTGCTACCCAGGAGTACACATTTTTGTTTCTGAGTTGAGAACTCTATACTATATGTTGGAACCTAAAGTAACTAGAGGGCTTTTACTTATAAAATAGTGACCAGAAAAGTGATGGGAATCCCTGAATTTTTTTCCAGGGCTCAGGAAAGAATTAGCCCAACTGAGTAAACTTAGCAATATTGTAAAATTGCTTTAAGATTATATGTCATGCATTGTGTATGTTCAATGTAATAGTTAAAACTTTCATTTTTTCTTATTATTAAGGTAATACATACACACAGCCGACAATGTAAATAATGAACAACCATCCCCCCCAAACAAAGATTAACAATTTCATTACACCAGCACAGCCATTGTTAATATCCTGGTGCATATTATGTTAATCTTGTTTTCCTTAACATAAGTATGTTTAGCATAGCATAGCATATGCTTTCTTATGTTGATAAATATTCATTTCACCAAGTAGTTAAATAGCTTTATTCTTTAATAAAATCCTCTCTTAGTGACTGGAAGTTTCAATAAAAAGAAGAAAGGGTATTGCTTTGTGAAAGCAAATGCTTGAGCTATAGAAACCACTTCATTCGATTAAACAAAAAAAGCAGAATTAACTGAGAGCCACAAAATACACATTTTGTTTGTTTCTAATTTGGAATAGCCACGTAGAGTAGAATAACCAAATTTCCCTTATTGGGCAACATGTAGACAGTTCTGGTTGTCTAGAGAAGTGAGGCTGTGAGGATCTCAAATGTTTTGGCTTCGCCTTCCTTACCCAAAAAGGAATAAAGTATGTGCAAGAATTTATGATGCTGGGAATAAATCCAAGAACTAAAAATAAAACTGAATTTATAAAGCTCTCTTTTAAAATTCCACAACAATAAATTAGGTACTTACTGGACTATTAAGAATCATCAGGCACTGGTCAAAATGATGGTGTTCCATGATTGAATGGCAGTAAAGCTGGGCAAGTGGATGTTCACTTCTGAAAGTATTTTGTTGAAGAAAGGAAAAAAGATCAGTTTCCTTAATATGCCATTTATCAGTACATTTTTATTACTGTTTAACTACAAAAGAGGCTACTTCACAAAATTAATCAACTAACAATTTTCTCTCCTTTTACTGAGAAAAGTGTGAGATAATCTCTGGGAAACAAATACAAAGAGTCAAATTGTTTTCAAATACCAATGTGACCATTGCCAGAGTAAAGTATGAACAATTTCATTGGTTTTAATACTGATTAAAATAGAAGTAAGGAGTAAAGACAAAAAAATTAATACCTCCAAACATGGAAAAAAACCCTCTGAAATAGTTGTACCAATTATATTTTTCAATTTCAAAACTGCAATTGATATAAAATCTGAAACAAATTCATGTTAGCTTTTCCTCTGAAATAATGCTCAGGCTGAAGGTCAGCTTATTCATGTGTGCCTGCAAATAAGAAAAGGACTGACTGAGATGGAATTAACTGAGGTATGATTGATGAAAGGCAAGAAAAAGAGGGATAGTCAGTGTACATGCTCCCTTGGAAGGAAGGAAGGAAGGAGACGGCTGAGTTGGAAAGTTCCCCATGTAGGATCCAGGTCATTTTAGTGCAGAATATCCTGCTAGTTCTGCTAATTGAACTTGGTGAAGCAGTAGAGACCCTTTGGCTGAGTGAAGAGAAAGGAAAGGATATTATACTCAGTTCATTATATCTCTGAGACAGTCACAAATAAAGCTTTAAAGCACGACAAGCACAATCCTCCACCTCATGTTTCTCATGACCCTTCACACGTGAATATTAAGCATAGTTTTCACTATTTCTTCATAAGAAAAAGATGAAGTTTCTGAAAGCCTCTGTTCATAAAATTTATAGGAAAGGGGTTTGTGAATTGTAAAGCTCCATATACAAGTGTTGGATAATACAACTGATTTGTTATTTCTTCCTATTACTATCTGAACGATTATTTTACTTTGCATTTAATTTGTTGAAGATAGAGAAGCTACCTAAGACTGAAGAAATGTAATGTGGGGGAAAAAATGGGTAAAGTGAGAGAAATCTGAGGGAAAAAGAAAATAGTAAAGTGAAAATAAAGGTAATAGGACAGATAATCTCATCTATTCTTATTGTTTAAAGTGTTGTTTATATTTACTGTTGTCCTAACCTTTCCCAAATTAATTCTTGCCCTTCTTGTCTTCTTTGCTCCTTCCATATTTAGTGAGTTGGACTATGGATCAGGTACTGTGCTCAGCATCAGAAAATGGGATGACAATGAACAGAGTAACAGGACTATATTTCTGAAAAAGGATGAACTTACTGGAAACAGGATTGCGTATGTATCGAGACTATGGGAGTTAGTTAGGAGACTACTGGGAAACTTCTAGTAATCTAAGTCAGAGAGAGCCTGGATTAGAGTGGTAGCAGCCCAAAGGAAGAGAAGCAGACATCTGAGAGCTGTTTAAGAGTAGATCAGATAGGAACTGGTAATGACTCCTGACTAGGAGTGGGATGAGGGAGATAAGGGGATGAGGGAGATAAAGGGAAAAAGTATGAATGTTAAACTTTCTGCCTTGGGATGCTGACCTCATTTACTGACACAGGAAAAGGGAGAAGATGATTAAAGATGGGGGATGAAGCAGGGGAACCTGACTAGCTGAATGTTGGATCTGTTCATTTTAAGGTGCCTGAAATATATCCAAATGGATATAAATGTCAACTCAGTTCTGGGCTGGAGATATAGATTTGGAATGCACCAACAATGCAGATGGTAATCCTGGCATGCGAGTAGGTGAGATCATCCAGGGAGATGGCCTATAATGAGAGCCTACAACATGTCAGGTAGTTTGCTTTAATTTTTTTTAGTTTATTATATTTAATTTTTACAATAACCTTGTGCAGGGCATGCCCATTTACGACATCAAAACCCTCAATCCCACCTCTTACTCATCCACTGATGTAGTGTCCAGTTTCATGCACGCTTTAACAGACTTCATGCAAGTACCAATTAGAAGGTGTTTTGTCCCAGCCTATCTTTAATACCTCTCACTTCTGCCTTAGAGCTTTCTGACCCCACAACTGGTGCCCAGAGGAATGTTCTCTGCACTCATACTTGTTCATCCTGAAAGTGTCAAAGAGTGAAGGCCTGTGGACCACCTTGGACCAGGGGGGTACAAAGACCTAGGGACAACTGCCTTTGTCTTGCCAGTCAACAGTTCTGGGTCTTATTTCATAAGACTCCTCAAAAGTGCCTGGGAAGACTAAGCACCAGTATGGGTGGACATCTGGATAGCTCATCCCTCTACTGCCTTTCCTTTCTTCCCTGCTTCCTTCCCAGTTCTGCATTCCTGCTCCCTGGGGTCATATTCACAAATAGCCTATATGCACACTGACTTTCATCTCAGGTTGTGTCTCCAGGGTAACCTCAGCTGAGACCTCTCTAAAGTTGCCATCTTTTTGCTTTCTAGACAATCAAAGGCTCAGTGAAAAATAATGTGCTCAAGGTTGATATAAATGGTAGAGCTGGCATTCAAGTATATCCTCTTCAACCCATCACACTGTCTTAGGATACCAAAGTACTTTAAAGGCACACAGTATCCACTCATTGACCCACTTAGGGGCTGGACTACGAAATGCAATTAGGTGGTTATTTAACACAAACAAGTTAGAACTTCAAACACACATTACATTTTTAGACGACGCAGAAGGGACTGTTTCACATTAGAGAAAATTCTTGGCTTGAGATAGATGAATGCAAACTGTGTTTGCCTTTACTTACATTCTAAAAATACAGATTTATGAATCCATAACAGAGTGACAAATGACTCGAATTTCCTGTATATAAAAACATTCATGGAAACCAGTGTATTCTCTATCTGTTGTATTTTCCTCTTTCAAACACAAGGCTATGTGGCTTCTTTATTTAAGGTTGCATCAGAAGGACCCATTTAAACCACTACTGCTACAGAATTTTGTTCTCACACTGCTGTCAGTGAGCACTAATGGACCAGCATACTCACTTTGCATTTTCCTCTGTTCTGCACAGTTGTTGGTCCATCTCTGACAGTAGTATTAGGATGTCCAATGCAGAAATCAGACCAATATTTTAAAAATAGAAAGCCTTAGAAATCTATAGAAAATGAAAGCCCCATGGGGGTGGGAAACTATATTGCCACCCCAGTCTTCCTATGTCACCAAGAACAAACAACATCCTTGGTTCTGCTTCTTAGCCATATATATTACTCTGGGCTCAATTCTCTAACAACCTCTTTGTAACCTTCAATCCCATTTAGTTCTTTACTTCATCATTTCTCTTCAAATCATCACTATTGCTTTCTTCTCCCAATCAACCTTTTTTTTTTTTTGCCTTCTCATTGTCTATAATCATATTCAATGACATAAATATTCATAATGATGATTCATTTCACCTTTTGACCTCAGAATTCTCTGACCTCCTTGACACTACTGATTATCTCTTTGCACATAATGATGGACAGGGCTCCGCTTCTTTGTTCCACAGCTACTAGGTTCTACTGGGCACAGTATTTTTGCCACTCCCTTTATTCACCACAGGACAAAGCAAGATCTTGAACTCCTATCTGTTGCTAAGAACATTCCCCTGTGAAAATAGCTAAAACCTGTAGAGCATTTAACATGTGCCAGGAAATGTTCTAAGCACTTTACATCTATTTATACCCCTTTAATCCTTATGAAAATCCCAGAAGATAGGTATTTTCATTATTCCATTATACAAAGAAGGAAACAGGGACATAGAGAAGTTTAATGACTTGCACAAGGTCACAGAGTAAGAGGAGAGAGAAGCCAAGATTTGAAGCTAGGCATCTGGCTCAAGTTGGCTCTTAACTACCATAACCATCACAGCCACTGCATGGTGGTATAAGGACTAAATGAACTAATATATAAAAAGTGCAAAAACGTTTCAAATGGCATAAGGCCTATATAAAGTTTTAGCTTCTATTATTAGTATTTACTACTGACATAGGACTAATTGAATTGAACTTTCACTTTATTCATAGTCAGATCTCCAGGCTCTCAAGATCTCCAACCTGACCAGAGATCATCTCATTCATGGGTAAAATGGACTTTACCCAGTTTGAACTTCACACATGATTTTGTGCTGTGTGTAGTGCCCTTTTAAGTCTCTCACATCCTGCTGACCCTCTATTCCCACTGTGCCAGACCATGACTTCAGCTCACTTCTGTCCTCTATTAGAGCAGAGAAGACAGTCATGGGATAGAACAAGTTCTCCCAGGACAAATATACAGTGTGACTGTGGCTACCAGGAGATTTTTCTCCCCCTGATTGTATTGCATCTCTAACCTTGAAAAAAACACATTCGTTCGATCATTTTACCACTTCTAACTACCACCCTATTTATTATCTTCTACTGGACTTATTGCCAAAACTCCCATAACTTCCATTCTTGCCAACCCTCTCTCTCAGTGCACACATATACATATTTCCCAGCTCTTTCATTTTCATCAATGGCACCATCACTGTTCCAGTTTCTTGGACCAGAAGTCATATCTCCTTCCTTCATGCTTATATATAACTAGCTGCTCATTATTAAATTAAAAAATTTTTTTCTCCTTCAGTCTCTTCCTCTCTCTAGCCAGTATGTGATTTTTCAGCTTATACTTGACTTGCTGTAACAGCTTTCTAGTTGAGCTCTGTGGTTCTAATTTCTACCCATTCACCTTGTAGCTTACATTCAGACTTCCTTCCTAAAACTGTGCATTTATTACACACTGCAGTGGCTCCTTTTTCCCACCCATATCAAATCTATAATGCACTGGTTAATTTTATAACCCTGCATCAAAAAGTTTCCATTTGTTCATTCTCTTCTTTTTCATTCCTAATCAGTGTGAACCTTCTAACTCTAGTCAAGCTAGCCATCACCACTATTCCAAGAACATGCTTACCTCATGGTGCTCCTGAAATATATTTATCCTTTCTCCTTTCTAAATCCTACCCACATTTTAAGACCAAGTTTAAGTCTCATTTCCTCCATTAACAATGGAGATGTACTACATCTGTCTTGACCAGTTTTCTCTGCTGAACACTTACAGTCCATGCACTAAATAACTCAGGACTAGATACTTTCTTGTAGTGATCACTATTACTTCATGAGACTATGACAATTCTTAATGGCAAGAATCACATTTTATACTTCTATCACTTTCTTTCTGCCTTGCAAAGGGCAAAAGCCCTAGTATAATAATTATTCATTATCTATCTGCCTAGAATATAACATAATTTCACTGCATTATTTATCAACACCAAACTTGAATCTAACCAAATAAATGCATCTACAACAGTCTTCTTATACTGAATGCAGACCTAATGCAGGTAATCTCTCTACATAACCCAAATGCTACAATTGTGTTTTCTCTAGTGGTTGTCTGCACTTTAGCTATTTTGTTCCTATTACTGCCTATTTTTAAAATAAGAATTCAGTATCTATCTGAGATCATTCTTTTTTTTTTGAGATAGAGTCTCGCTCTGCTGCCCAGGCTGGCATCAGTGGCGAGATCACAGCTCACTGCAACCTCTGCCTCCTGGGTTCAAGTGATTCTCCTGCCTCAGCCTTCCAAGTAGCTGGGACTACAGGCACCCGCCACCACACCCGGCTAATGTTTTTTGTATTTTTAGTAGAGATGGGGTTTCACCATATTGGCCAGCCTGGTCTCGAACTCCTGACCTCGTGATCCACCTGTCTCGGCCTCCCAAAGTGCTGGGATTACAGGCGTGAGCCACCGCGCCCAGCCCTCATTCTCTTCTTGATTCACCCAAGTGGGAGAAGTAAGCATGAGCAGTGAACTCTTCTCTCATATATGCCACTGGCATACCTGTAGAACTCCTCTACGAGGGTAGTTTCCTAATCAAAGAAGGCATCAAATAATCAAATGATGACTCAAGGGGCAACTTTCTATTGGAGAAATATCTTCTTCCAAGGTAATTTCAGGGTAATTTTCTGAAAAGATGTTCAAGAATGAATGAGGAAAATCTCAGTTTCTAATTTTGCCACCACATGACCATTTTTCTCTTTTTGATAAATTACTTTCATCTCTGTGCATTGTTTTATTTTTTGATTTTCTCTAAATATTAGTTTGAATATCTGATGAGGGCTGGACACAGTATACCTTTTTAGAAGATAGTACTTTACATGGGAATATTTATGGTACTCATAGTTTCCTGGGTCTCCTGGCTAAGAAAATTCTACTTTAAGTATCACTCATTTACCAACAAGGAAAGAAAAAAAAAGAAAAATCCCTGGAAAATTCTTGGTTTCCTCTACTGAAACCACAGGGATGTAGGAAGAAATAAAAATCTTTGAAACTGCTTTAACTTTTTTTTTTTTTTTAAAGTTGAAGTCTGCTTTGTGGTGTGTGTGTGAAAGCAAGATTCTGCAGTCAATGACTTTTTCCCAGGATGTTTTCTTTTTCTTTTTCTTTCTTTTTTTTTTTTGGAGAAGATGACGTTTCTCCAGATGTTTTTGGGGTAATTATTTTTAAATAAACAAAGGAAAAAATAGTTGAGTGTTTTTTTTTTCACTCTAAAGCAGGGCAATATAGCATCTTAGAGCAATCCATACACTAATAATACACATACTAATAATATTATGTTCAGTGTAGCACATGCTTATTCTGATCTTTTGGTTGTGCTGACTGTGGAGAGGCGTACTATGTGGCTTGACTCTGTACTATACATCTTTTCATATCAGTGTCCCCTTTCATAATTATTCTGTGTCTGTGTGAGGCTCAGGATTGCAATCACATGACAAAGCACAGGGGACAAAGGACATGTCACCCAGTCAGTTCTCCAAAACATGAGATTTTTCAAGAGGAAACAGCCAGACTCTGATACTCAGGCAAGAGCTTGCTATCTTTTCCCATCAAAGGTCAGCAGAGGACATGGTTGTTACATCACTACAATTCTTTCTACATGAAGTTTTCCATTTATTTAGATAAGAAGAATGTGATTAGAGAGCTTTCTGAAATTCCCTCTAGATATCAGACATCTGGAATTTCCTTGAGAGATCTGCCCATTAGTTGAATCACTTGTGTACTTAAAAAATGCTCAGTAGTAAGAGATCTTGCACTTAAAATGTAGACCTTTCAACTAAATTCCTGTAAGAAAATAAAAATATCACAGTGGCTCAAACATTTGATGAAAAGTGATGTCACCTTTATCCTCTCATTTGTCATCTCAAATGCCACTTAAGTATGGCTCTTAAAGGAGCCTGACACTTGTCCTAACGGATAGTGTCTCACTCTCAAACTCAGTCAATGAGCAGACATCTGATGACAGTACATCTCTAGCATCTGCTTCTAATATTTAAGACTTAAATAGGTACCAAGCATTCTGCTTGGTATTGATGTGCATTATCTTTTACAACTATTATCTCCATTTTACAGATCAGGACATAACGGTATAGAGAAATTAGACAGAGGACCAGTTTTCCAACAGAGTGCTATGTAGCTTCCACTAAGACCAAAAGCCTCCTTCTACTGAGCACTTAATAAGTATGTAGGGCCGAGCTAAGCACTTTTCAAATATTATCTTTTCTACTGTAGGGTAAAATGTTACCTTTTCTAAACTAGTCTTAATAGTTTTCTAAGGAAGCTGTTAAGCTGGATATATATAAACTAAAGTAAAACTCCTGGTAATTATCTAATGAAATAAGATTCTCAACATAAATATGTTTTGAACTTCAGGGCTGAAAAATTATAAACATAATACTTAACCTGCATTATTTTTTCCATTTCCTTTAAATATAACCAGAGTATGTTATGGGACCTTGACCATCAAATTTTGCTGTGGCTTTAACTTAAAAAAAGACAGCCCTACAATTAAAAGAAAACATTTTCTTGCTTTACTGGGAAAGTCTTACCGCTGTATGTAAGAGTTATTCACACCACGGTGATCCAAATCGTGGCTTAGTGCAGCAATCAGCAATGCAAGTATCTCCAGGTCAGTCAGCTTGTTCTGCATGACCAAAGACATTGGAGGAAAGAGAGAACAAATATAATGTGGTGAAGGACATTATATTACCTCTTTTCAGTAATCTTTTTTTTCCCCTCAGTGCTTTACATACATACTTCTCTATAGTCACAAAGGACTAACCCTAGAATCCTATTCTTCAGGGAATTAGTTGTCCTTTGTCATTCAGAATGGGATCACCACAAATGTCACTTATCAACAGGAAAAGCTGAAATGCCTCAATAAATTAATAATCTGTCCACCTATAGTAAGTATTGCTAATTCTTAATTATTATGTGAAATAATCATAATAAACTTTAAATAATTGTTTTTTTCCTCTTTTAATTCCCTGCAGATTCTGTTCACTCTCTGCTATCAGTTGCTGTGTCCTTAAGGAATGCAGACAATGTTAATTCAAGCAAAACAATAGAAAGAAAATGATTTGAAATGAAAACTTGGCTTTAAAAAGTTACATAATATACTCTCAAGCTAAATATAGGTTATTTTTTAGTATCTGCTATGAGTATTATCATTAATACTGTTCCCCTTCATTCGCAAAAAACACAAGTTAAAATTATCATCAGCTGTATTTTCCTAGAACTCTCAGTACTCTAAATAGGTTTTACAACAAACACAAAAATCATCATTTTGTTATTCCTCACAGAGAACTAGGACAGTTTTCAGTGTTGATAATCCTTGTGACCTTCCCTACCCCAAAATAAGTTTACATGATTTCTTACACTGGTTGAGTATCCCTAATCTGAAATCCAAAATGCTTCCAAATCTGAAGCTCTTGGAGCACCAATAAGTCTCAAAGGAAATACTCATTGGAATATTTTGGATCTTCAGATTAGGTATATTCAACCAGTAAGTATAATGCAAATATTCCAAAGTCTGAAAAAAATCTGAAGTCCAAAACACTTCTTGTCCCATTTCGGATAAGGGATACTCAACCTACACGTGTTTGCTAAGGTAGGAAAATACTACTATTGTATTTAATTGCACCTCACTTCTTTAATAACAATCACTTCTTTTAGATTTAGCCAGTTAAAATGTGCACCCTATGAAAGTAGAGACAGAGAATAACATTTTAAGAATTTATTTACAAAAAGAAAAAGGCAGGGAAGCTCTGAATTAAAAACAGTTATATGATGGATGCCTGGAATCACTTACCTAGAATAACTAGTCGATTCCCACTGAAGTTAGAATCTAAGGACAGAGATATGGATAAAATTTGGCCTGGAAAGGAACGAATTACTTGAACGTTTTCTGCATTGATCTTCCTTTTAAACAGTCTCTGGTCAATGTATATGAAACCAAAACCCTTTCTATGAAACAGTACTTACAAAATTTACTGAGTGCTCCAGAGAAAATGCGATACAGACCCCTAACTTATCAATGAAGCAAGTTCAGGAACTAGGTGGTTTTTGAGGAATTCTACTATGGAGCAGGTTGAATGTGAACAAGAGAAATGTGATACTTTTTCTTACTTTTTCTTAATAAGGCAGTGTTTTCCTCAGAAGGAAATATTTATTTGCCCAAAGACTATTTACGTGCAACATGAAGTTATTTTGAAGGTTTTCTAATATGCCATATATATCATATATGGAAGAAAATTAGCAACGAAGTAGTTTTGCCAGATTAGTCCTCTTTAATTAACGAAATATAACTTATTATGTAAGTGGCAGCAAATATTATTTTAAATCATTGTGCACCTTAAAGTGAAATTGAAAGAATATGCTATAAATTTTACTACTAAGCAACAAAATGTATTAGATATATGAATGGCTCTAAAAAGTACCTGAATTTTGCCTGCTTTTAGAGCAGCAAACATGCACTGAGCTGTATTAAAGGCATGTCTCCAATTATGATAGGCAACATTCTTCCGATAATTCTTCTTAACACTTAAAATCCATCTGCAAAGAACCTTTAGGGAATAAAACATAAGTAGTAACAATAATTGCCAACATCTTCACACATTTACTATGTTCCAGACACTACAAAGCATTCACATTTAGCCTGATACTCCGATTTGGATCATCTTACAGACAAGAAAACTGACACTCAGAGAGGTAACTTGCTGAAGGTCATATTGTTAGTTAGGGATGGGGCCAAAATTCTAACTTGAGCAATTTGACTCCACAGCCTACCATGTTAAGTACCATGCTAATTAAATTGATATAAAACACAAGACATCCCTAAGAAGGGTATTTTTGGCAGGGTAGGGCACTGGGTAGGTTTTTTTTTTTTTTAATAAAAGGTCCATGTGTCCATGTGCCATTTCCATGTGTCACCAACTAGGAGAGTCCAAAGGTTCACATAGGTATGAATTCACCATTTGAGAGCCATAAAAGCGGCCACTCCCAAGTTCTTCCCATGCTCTCATGTTGTATATCCGTGAAGGTATTTAGTGCAAGGCCCTGGGGGTGGACTAGTAACAAGGTATATAGCACATGTCCGAGGACAAATTGGAGCTACAAGACAATGCCGTCATTAGCTCTTTGTCCTTTTAAATTATACTTATTCAGGTAGTTACTGCCTGGTTACAAAGAAGTAATTAAAAAAAAAATGTGCCAAATAAAGCCCTGGGGTCCATATAAAAAACACTTTAAAAGATGGCCGGGGGCAGGATAGACTTCAGCAAGTCTCAAGAGTTGGGTTTAATTCAACTTCTAAGTGGTGTATTAAATAAAATCCCCAGAGACTCATGGGCCCTAAACATGGTCTGTGTTAGCATCAGAATCTGCCTCTCTTCAAATCTGAGTGATTTACTATACTTTTGGGGATTTGTAAAATAAATATGTGATTCTCCCTACATGTATCACTGGAGTTGCTTCAAACACAAAGAACATTGCCCTGGGAAATGGAAAAAGTACCAGGGAAAAGAATGTTGCTTTGACAATATTCAACACAATACGATTAGCTACAGAAGTAGGCCAAAAACAAGGTTTCTTCATTGTCGGTAGAAACTGCTTATAAAGAACTTGGTGGGAAATCAATGCTTCCATATCCTCCCTTTTCAGGTCATTTTATTCCTGTTCTATTGCTCAGTTTACAGGAAATTCTGATAACAAAGAACACTAATGTCTCCTAACCTTTTTACCCACTGAGTTGCCATATTCCAAGCGGAGGATTTCTGTGTGCCTAAGATTGAATGTGTTCACCCCAAGCATACTGCAGCTTCTTACACCATTTTTTCATATCTGAATAGAGTCTGTCAGGAAGGTGATGGATGAATCTTACTGGGAGACTAATCTTACTGAGAGACTTTTAAGTAAGATCTATAAACTCTCTTTGATATGTTTAGAAAATATGTTGCAGAAAATTACTGGTGATTAATTAAAGCAGCAAGAAAAAAAACAGGAAAACCCAGAAATTTAAACTTTGGATATATCTTTTTACTAATCATAAATGTACAGATATAATTAAATATATAATACCATATATTGTGAAACAATGACCAAAATGACTCTATGAAACATAATTCCTAATGGACTACTCTATTTTCCTTTTATTAAGACGGACCTAATAGAATTGGATAACCCAATGGACAAAGTAGTTAGTACCTATATTTAAGTACAGTTTTAGATTCTGTTACCAGGATGTTCTCAACAGCATACAAGAAAATTATGGTCATATCTGGTAAGTTCTCAGTGGATATGCTGGACACCATTAAAATTTGTAAGACAGTATTTTGTACAGGACTACTGAGTACTTATTTGCAGTTTGGATGACTCTACAGAGCATGTTCAATACGTTGAATCAGTCTCTAACAATTATGGAAGGTTTCCTGAGTGGTGAACTCAAGATGCCACCGGAGAAAAAGAAGAAACAGAAAACAGCTTAGCTCCTGCTTCAAGAAACTCAATCAGTAGTGAAAAATAACAAAATTGCATATATAAAGGAAATAAGTAAATAAACATAAAATTGAGAGCAAGTTTATACATTGCCAAATAGCAATTGAAGCAGCATGAAGTCAAGCCTAGGGTTCTCTTACAAACAGATATTCTTAAGTCAGGCTCTGAAGAAGAGAAATGTTTGTTGTGGTAGAGAGTGGAACAGACATTATTCAGGGAGGAATGAGATGTAAAAGATAAAAAGTGAAAATAAGCACAGCACATGCAGATTGGCTTGAGCAGAATGAAGAATCTGTTTCAGAGATCAGCAAGAGGCAATGGTTACAGTCATTATAGGAGAATAACTAAAGATTTAGAAGCCATGCAGAGAACATGAAGATCTTTCAATATGAAATATTCTTAGTCACAACAGCTTCATGATGTTAACATCCTCTCTAGCATTAACATTTTTATTTCATCATCCTAAAATTATACTGACAATAATATCTGAAAGAAACAAAACAGAAGAGGCACTAAGGAAGGAAGGCCAGCCAGAATGATGGCAATGTTCAAGTTTGATGTTGGCCAGAATTAGAATAATAGTTATTCAACCAGAAAAGGTAGGATGATGAATCAGACATTAAGAGGAAATATTTTCCTCATGGATAAAAACCCAACAACTGGTAAGAATAAAGATTTCTACAGAAACTTTGAGTGATTATCTTCATTACCTAACCCTCAAATGCTATCTAAAGGCCAAAGAGAAATAAATCAACTTATATGAATTTCATTTAAAAGTACAAGAATCACATTCCTCTACTCTAGCCAAGTCCTTTCAACAGAATCATTATTAGTTTCAAGAATGGGAGTACTCAGGAATGGAAAAGGATTTGAGATACTATATAGGTTTATAAAGTCCTGTAACTAGCAAGAAGCAGAAGTGAGATTCACATAGAACTTCTGGCTCCAAATGAGATCTTCATCTCATCAATAGATACGGCTTTAAAAAAAGAGCCTTATGACCTACTATTGAGAAATTTGATGAGTGATGTAACCAGTCAAACTTGGCCTAAGAATGGGATAACTGACATGGACTCTACACCTGTTTGTTAAACAGAATATTATAGATAAGTACATACATACACATGCATACAAATAGATAATCACAGATGCACGTATAATTCTCGTAAGACTCCCATGGGGAGAATAATACCATTACCCCTAATAACAGAAAAGGAAACTGAGAATATGAGTGATTAATTGCCCAACGAAAAAAGAGCTAACCAGTAGCAGAGGTATGACTCAAAAATCCATGATCTTTCTACTCTACCATGCTGTCCCAATTTCTTCATTTGTAAAATGGGGATAACAGTAATCCCAGTAACAGCCTTTCTAGAGAACTTGTTGAAATAATTAAATGGCATGATATCCCTTAATCAACGCACTCTAACAAGAGTAAAGTATTATTAGGTAAGAGTCTATGGACAATTGTTCTTTATTTTCACCTAAGAAAGAGTAACATAAACTTTGGTTAAATTCAGGAAGAACCAGATTTGGGCCTCCAATAATACCATAAATGACAATGTATTAATCTTAGCTATATTCACTCTTAGTTTTCATTTCTGTGAAGCCTTTGAGAGCAGGGACAACTCATCGCTGAAATGTGCCCCTGGCAGAGTCCTGAATTAATACAATGCTAAATAGTGGAGGCCTTCAAGATATTTAAATTTTCAGATAGGAAATCTGTACAAGGAGACTAGACATTCAACTGATCAGAAAAAGTAATTTTTAAAGGCAAGATTACTGAATTCTTTTTTTTAAATAGTCCTTTCTGCTGCTTCTTATTCTTTGATGCTATATATTATAATACATAGCCATTATGAAACAACGGAATTCCCTAGTATCTCCAAACTGATATTAGAAGATATTTAAGTTTTTCTATTTTCTGAGAAGTGAATAAGGTAAGCAACAGAGGTTAAAATCAGTTTTCATCTTCACCCATATGGGTGACCCTGTTCCAACTAAAAGCTTGGCCTCCCATCAGGCCCCTTTATTTCCTCCTTCATTTTCAAAGGAGTTCACTCTGCTTCGGTCCTTCCCTGTACACTATTGTTATAACCATTGCAGTGAGATCATGCTACTTCTCTGCATAAAATTCCTGTGACTCACCATTGTTTTCAGGGTAAAATCCAAATTCATCTGTACGGCTTACAAGGTTCCGTATCATTTGCTTCTCACCTTCTTCCATTGCTTCTCTTGCCATTCTTACCCCTCAACAGTACTCCTGGCCCTCACCCCCAATCTCTGCTGTCATGCCTTTGAACATCCTGCTCCTATTTTTAGGAACACTCTCCCTTAGTCTTCACCCTGATACTTGATACATGCTAGGAGCCCATTAAATGTCTTTTTGATAATGATAATTTTTCTTTAAAAGTCTCGGGTATATATTAGGTGACAGTATATTAATCACTAAAATGTAAAAATCCCTATTCCATATTTGCATTCAAAACCAATTCTCTCTCTTACATACACACACACATACACATAGACTTTTCCAAAGGATGTTGCTGCATTCCTACCTCATGTTTCATCTGGAAGTTCTGCACAAGGTTGAGGTCAGTAAACATCCGAATTGTACACAGTGCTGTTTCCAGATCAGACAGCTCAAAGTCACTGAAGCTAAAGTCAGTAATTTTAAGGGTCTGGGCAGATGGCACCACAGCAGCCTTGGGTAAGGAAAGAAGAAAAAAAAAAATGCTGTTAATTAAAGCAGCAGTGATTTGCAAGGTTTTCTTGTTTTGCTGCAGAGAAATAGCATATTGTGGCTTTTTTTTCCTTTTTAATGAAAGACACTAGAAACCTTTTTGTACAGTGGCAACTCCACTCTCTGCATTTTTAAAACTGAGCCACATAAGGGTAATTAATATGGTTCAAAGTAGGCTAAGTGGAGAAAAGGGAGTTGTCACCCTTAGACTGTACCTGGAACAGTGAGCAACACTAAGAACTCCTCTAGTGATCTGGCTCCTTTATACCTCCCCAGTCTTATTCACTCAAAAGAAATTTATAATTTATTGAGTAAATATTCTGGAACCATCCCAGTGCTCTGGGCTGCAAATCATCTGGTAAGAAGGGTAATGATAATGTTCTAAGCATTTTATGGTTAGTTCTCAGGACAGCCTTATGAAGTGGACACTCTAGCTCCATTTTTCAAGTACAGGAACTTAAGCACAAAGAGGTTAATTTTCTTGCCAGTGGCAGCCCAGCTAGTTAAGGAATGAGGATGCCAGGCCTCCAGTCCAGGAAGACTATCCTGTGCCCAGACTAGCAGAACCTGCCTCCCACCATACTTGCCTCACACAAGCCTGATCATAAGAATCACCTGGGTGCCTATTAAAAAACATTCATTTGGACCAAGGAGCCCTGGCTCCCTCAGACTGAGCAGAGCGCACAGGCTCCTCTCCTAGATGTTTTGCTGGGCCCTGTGGGATGGGAATTTAAAGGAACCTCCACTCCTCTGACCTTGGACCATTTACCCTGTCAGCACTTTGTTAACTGTTTTAGCTAGATCAGGCTATTAACTGGACCAACGGAGGCCTTTACGTGGTTTGAAGTAGAGGGAAGAAAAATTAAATTTCAGCCAGGTTCTCAAACCCCTTAAGTTTCCTATGAGTATCTGAGATAGCACTACTTTGCTTTTGGGAAGTCAAAAGGTCAAAATAATAAAATCTTATGGAGCAATCTAAAGTAGATTTCCCTACAAATCTGAAGGCACTTGCACATTCTCCTTTTTATTCTGGACTTCAGATTTCACTTACATATACCAGACTTGTTTAAACTTTCCATGAATGTCACCCTCTTCATTCAAGCTAAGAATTTTTTCCCAAGACCAAAACTGACCAGAAAATATGCATTCTGTTAAGTCAATTCCATAGGCTAATGTGTGGGCCGAAATAGGGGAAGAAAGAAGGATTTAAAATGTTTAGATAAAGGGCTTAGTTGTTTATTCCAGCCTCCAACATCAGAGATGGAGCGGTAACTCAAGTTTGGGAAGTGTGGAGGTGGGGAAAAGCCCACCTTTTAACTCAAAGCAGATAACAGCTGCTTTCCTTAAAATACAGTGCAATGGACAGGAGAACAGATGTTTTTTCCTTAGGGCATCATTATTCTTACAGCAGGAAGTTTTCTTTCTTTCCTTTCACAAAGAACATTCTAAAAGCTACAGGATGGAAGCCAGCATAGCTTGTGCCTCTTTCCATTATCTACTGTAATTCCTAATCTCTCTCTCTACTAAGAGAAAAGAATCTTTTCTTTTGATTGTTTGGTCACACCACACTACAACTCAAACATTCTGAGCTGACCCAGTGGGGACATGCAAACATTTTCCATAAGAGCCTTGTGGTCAGTGATATACAGGTTCAGAATTCTGGGATCTATTATTAACAAGCCATGAGAAGTCAGAAATCCTTTCAAGCTCTTGTACTCTGCTTCTTTGACCATCACAAGAGAATTCAACTTTCTGTTTAACTTAGAAAGGCTTGGGATAAAGGTGATTTTAAGTAAAACATAATTACCTATTATTTTTACTTATCACATTGTAGGATAAAATATTGTACATTTTACTAATAGCAGGAAATAAATTTACTAAGCAGGGAATAAAGTATGTGGTATTTCTGGCATAGGATGTATATACAGTTCCAGATTTTCACAGTTTCTTGTTTTAGTGACTTTTATTCATTAGAATTAGCAAATTTAGATTTCTGAGTTTGATTTTCTTCAGGGGATTTTATTATTGCATTACGGTTTTGAAGCCTAACAGAAAGAACATATTTTACAGAGTCTGTAAAACAATAAGGTACTATAAATATAAATATGTATATGTATTTTTATGGTTGGGTAATCCAATTCAAAACCACTGGAACTGTGATACCACCTAATACCACCCAATATTGCTTATTTATATGAGAGCACAATGTCTCTGAATTCTTGGACAAAACAGTTAGTTTAGATATTAGTGTTTAATTCAAATATGGTTAAGCTCTTACAGGACTATGGTTTTAATGTCAAATTAACCAAATATGGAATGCAAAAAAAAAATAAAAAAACAAAGCTCATTGGGTTAAAGATTCAATCTGACAAACAATTTGATGGTATATGTATTCTTCTGAGTTCTTCAATTGTATCTGCCACTCAAACTAATAAACTAGTGGGCCTCTAGTGACTCTTTAAAGGAATTATATCATAAGTCTTTTTATGATCCTTTTCTAATACCATGGCCCTCTTTTCACCATTCTTGCAAAAATTAAAAATTAAAAAAAATTCAACTCTGGACATGAAAAGTCACTAAGAGTGGAACGAGAGTTAATCTTTGAGTGCAGGAATGTCTTGAGTTAAAGCAGTAGTGAGAGTTATAAAAATATTTTAATTTTGCAGTGACCTTAAAACTAATTGTTCTAAATACCATCTAACTGATGAGCTAAATAGTAAACTGATGTGCAGCTGACAAAATGCTAGATCAACTACCATATTTACATTTCAGCATGAGATGATGATCAGAAACAGAAACTTAAAAGGAAGGTGAAGCAAGTGATAAAAAGGAATGTCGGCTATTGGGGGTGCTAGTCCAGATGTTCCACTGACTTTGTCACCCTGAACAAGATGTTCAATCTCTCTGCCTGCTTTTTTGAACGTGTAAAAGAAGGAAGTTGGAGTAGACTATCTCTAAGGTTTAACATTCTCTGATATATTAATACATTTATCTCTGTATCCACAGGGCTCAAGCACCTCTTACTGCCTCCTCACTCTGGAACCAAATGCCTTACTGTAAGTGGCATCTAGATCTTGCCAGTGACTTTCCTGTACAGGGCCTAAACTCAATCTCTGGTTTTCTCAGCATTTAAGGTACATGGACAGGTGCACCTTGGCAGTTAAGATTATGTTGTATTTTTCATGCTCGATTCCATACACATCACTTTGGTCCTGCTTCCTCACAGGTAGGAGGAGGGATATTTCACAGCTCCTGGCTTAAATGGAGGACACTAGCCTCTACTGGGTTAAAGTAGTGGAGGGTTAGACTCAATATGTGGTAGCCTCTCTTCTTATTGCAATAATGTTCTAAATTTTAAAAACTGACTTTTCTGAAATTGTCATTTTTTTTTTTCAGGGATGGGGGAAGTGTCTATGTATTTGTCATCTGTTTTTAAGGTTAATTAATAATCTCTCTCACAAGAGAGAAAAAGAAGGCTCTCTTCCAGGCCTCTTTGTTTCTTCTCTGCCTAGAATGCATATTCCCATGTTTTCACGTAGCTAATTCTTTAACTTTTTTTATGTCTCAGCTGCATCAGGGAAACATTCACTAGTCCTTGTGATAGCAAGGCTCCATTAACATCTGTTTCAACCTTTTTCTAGTGAGTCTTCATCTTCCGAAGAGGCTAGACAGCTAACAAAAATACATTTCCTTGACTCTCTTGCAACTTGGATTCCAGATAGATTTGGTTTCGGCAATGAGGCAAACTTGAGTGAGACTTGAATTTCAAACTAATGTAGTGACACATGGGAAACTCATTATTTTGGGGGGACGTGACTCTAGAGGGAATACTGCAGTCCTGCAGCTTGCAGTTCTGCTAGCAGCTTTCTGACTCTGGCCTATGTATGTAGAAGTTTCCATAGTGAGCCAGAACAGCAATTTTGTTCTAGGACTTATTCCTGGGATGACTTACCTACCCTTTCCAATGATTTGAAAGTACTTAGTTAAATTCTTTTCTGCTTAAAATAGCTACAGTAGTTGCTACTACCTGCAGTTGAACCCTGTTGATGCTCTATTTTGCAACGAAAGCATGTGTAGGCAACAGACTCTCAAAAGTTTGAATATTTGACCTGATGAGTTTGAAGGCAGAGGGGATCCGTTTCCATTAGAGCAGCAGTTCTCAAAGTTAAGTTCCTGGACCAGCAGCATCAGCATCTGGGAACTTGTTAAAAATGCAAATTCTTGGGTCCCAACACAGACCTACTGAATCAGAAACCCTGGGAGTGGGGCTCAGCAATCTGCGTTACAAAAACCTTCCAGGTGATTCTGATGAATGCTGAACTTTGAGAACCACTGCATTAGGGATAGGTTATTGGTAGTAAATAGTAGTTAACAGTCATTTTAAGTGAACAGTTTAGAAAAAAATGCCTTTTTGTGGACCCAGTGGTGACTGCCATATCACAGTGTGATGGGCAGAAACTGTAAGTGGGTTGGCTGCTTCTTGCTGTGTCAGAGAGATTAAAGAAAGAAAATGAAGGGCTCTGGGCTTTAAATTTTTGGCTCAAATAATGGTCTGAAAACTAGAGAAGTTTTATGGCTTTCCTAAAACAGCCTATTTCTTGTAGTACTGATGTAGCCAAAACCCAAGTGTAGTCTTATCCTACAGGTTGGTGAATTACAGTGTAGGTTGAAATCACAGACTTGCCACATCTCCTATGTGAAAGTTAAAGCACTGATTAGGAAGGAGTGGAGCACCAAGAAATGAAATTGAGACATATGAAAAGATCTGGATAATGACATGTATCTTAGACCATTCACTCTAGAATATGTTTCTATGTAATTTCACAATGTTTTATACTTTACAGTCCCACCTCTTTTTCCTAATTGTAATTATACAAATTGTATAATTATCTTATATATGACTTTTTATTCACTGTTATATTTGGAGCACCTAATATAATGCCTGCATAGAATAGGGGTTAAATATTGAATGAATAAATAAATGGGTTTTTAAATCATCTAGTACCTAATCAGTTTCTCCATATTATGCAGAACTATTTCATATAAATTTAATTTGGCATAGAGCTATAGTACAGTATTCATATTAGTAATGAACTATACTATGGCGGAAACAACCAATATGTTGTGGTACATGCCTTTTTCTCTTAAAGTTCAATTATTCAATTTATTTTCTTTTGAAAAATTTTAATAATTGAGTTTCTTCTTTCATCTGCACAACAAATACTCCATTGCTGTAATTTTTAAAAATCAGTTACAGCTTGTCTTAATAATCATTAAGATTTGATTCTCTCACTTCCAACAACACTGAAAACCCAGGATGAGAAAGCAGTGACCAAAAAGTTTTCCAATTTTTAGCTGCTTTCGTAGGAAGTTACTGAAAATGGTGAATTCCAGATTGTTCCCCATAAGTAGAGAACTGGTTATACATTATGAATAAAAAGTTTACACTTTTTTTGTGCTTACAAAATATGACATATTTTCCCCCAGTAAGCTTTCCACCTACCTAATTCAACTTAAGCTAATTTAAACATGAGTGTATAATTTCTTTTTTTTCTTTTTTCTTGAGACGGAGTCTCACTCTGTCATCCAGACTGGAGTGCAGTGGCACAATCTTGGCTCACTGCAACCTCCACCTCCCAAGTTCAAGTGATTCTCCTGCCTCAGCATCCTGAGTAGCTGCGACTACAGATGCATGCCACCACGCTAGCTAATTTTTGTATTTTCAGTAGAGACAGGGTTTCACCATGTTGGCCAGGCTGGTCTCACACTCCTGAGCTCAAGGATCTGTCCACCTTGGCCTCCCAAAGTGTTGAGATTACAGGTGTGAGCCACCACGCCTGGCCAAAAAAATGAGTGTATAATTTTTTGAGTGCTTATTATTGGAATCGCTAGTGCAAAAAGGCTTGGAACATCATAGGAACATAAAGATTTCAATGGTATTGCTACTAGATATTGAAAATTGATGTTCCCTCCCCCACCTATTGCCACTATGAGCAATAACTAATACTTAATGGAGCAAATGTACCAGGAACACATTTGCTCTGATTCTGTGAGGTAAATTCTTTTATTATCCTAATTTTGCAGAGAAAGAAACTGAAGCACAAATAAGTCACATATTTGCCTGAGATCACACACCTGGAATTTGAACCTAGGTATCTCTCTCTCTCTAGTACCCAATGCTCTCCATCTTGCTACAGTCACAAATATGAAAGCTGACAATGAAAATGTTATCTCAGTGTCCCTCAACATGGCTGGCTCTATCACCAGTTTGTAGGCTGTTTTATATATTTAATCAACTCTCAAATTATTTCTAGTTTCTTCATCATTTTAAGGGAAAAGAAAGCAAAATCTTATTAAATGTATTGAAGGAGCTTGATCTGTGTTTCTTTTTCCTTCATGCTAGATTATAGGCTTTCTAAAAGTCTGGGTTTTCCAGAATCCATTCATTGATTCATTCATTGATTCAATCATTAGACAAAACACATAAACCAAGTTCATGTTAAGCAATCACTAAATGACAGCTATTATTATTATCACCAAGAACTAACAGCCTGAAGGGAAAGATAGATACATAAATGAAATACATATTTTTTAAGTGGAATAACAGAAGGAAGTATGTTAGTAGCTTGCCCAAGTGATCCCTAACAACACAATGATAGAGAATGTGAGTCCACATTTTACTTTTTTCATTAAAGAGAATCTTTCCTGAGCTTTATCAATGCCTCACTTAAGACAAATGACAGCCCTTCTTTTGTTCAACTTTTTATCATTATAATGGCCATTCACACAACAAAAGGGACATACTTGTGTCCCTTTTACACAAGTATAGAGAGTGCCTTTTTGTTTATTCAATAGAGAAGAAACTTTATAGAAAATAATACATTTATAAAATGTATGGTCTCCTTGAAGACCATAAAGCATGTGTTTGTAGAAAATAATATACTTGGGTAAAGTAAATATAATGATCATTTAAAAATTATTACGTTTCTAATTTTTAGTGGATGCCTCATGAGAAAGGTCTATATTTAGGCTACAGCAAAGTCTCTGGTAACTTCAGCAGAAAATAAAGACATGTGGCTACATGGCTACGCAATTTGCTCAATTGTGTAATCTTTGTACAAAAAAAAGGTCATACTGCTATCAAAGGCATTCTGCTTGCCTTAGGTCTGAAGCGTGAAATCTTAAGAGCCAAAATAAAAATTACGGAAACTGGAAACAATTCCTAATAGCCAACTGCTAAGAAAAGAAAAGGCTCTTTATTCAGAAAGTTATTTATTAAAGTAGTGTGAAAAGAATGGCAGTAATGGAACTTGGTCTTTCATAAAATGTCAAATTCTTCCAATTAGCCTCAGTGTTGTATAAAGGTATTTTGTTATATTGCTCCTTGGTATTTATTCAATATAAATGGTCCACAGGAAAAAAGGTTTCAATCTCAATAATCCATTTTTAAAGAAATTATTTTTATTATATATTTGATGGGTTATATCAGTGGCTGTAAGGAGACATCTCCTGCCAGGTGTTTTAAGCCCTTCTTATTGGCTCTGACCACCACTCCTACCTCACAGGATACTTCTTAATGGAGAGCAGTTTAATTCCAGGTCTTTGAATAAAGCCACCTTGACAGCTGCCACATTACACCTTATGGAAGACCATTATCTCTTTTCTCCACTTTCCGCATGCCCAAGAGGGGTGTTTTTAAAGAAGAAACCACACAATTAGTTTATAAGGCTTTTAGAATTTATCTTTTTCGAAGAGGGAAGTGAATCCAAAGACAGATAAGAAAGAAAACTACTTTTAAAACGGGAATGAGTATGAAATTCAGTAAATCTTGCAGACAGTAAAGAAATGAATCAGGCACAGTGGGACTGGACTAGTATATTTTCTTTAATAACAGCATCAACATGTTATATGATTTTTCCTTTTTTTCTAACATTATATAAGTGAATCCCTTTAAATCTCAATAAGAAAGAGGCACCGACTATAGAAAGTTTTATAATGTGCTTATAGTTTTTCAAAATCATATAGAAAGCATGTAATAATGTTAAGATTCTGATATAATATGCATACATTTATAAGAAAACTTTTAGAGTAAATTTATGATTGCAATTGGGAATAATATACACAGATCTGATTACCATCTTGGTTATTGAGTTCCAAATAAAAAAAATGACACTAAAACTATGGTGTTTAGAACTATACACAGTAGTTAGTAAAGAAGAAGCTCAAGAACAGTGCCCTCATATTTTGGAGCTAAGCTTATCACTGGAAGTAACCCACTAGTAAAATCAAATCAAAACAGACAAGATTAGCTTGTCACATGAAGGCAGAAAGAATCAAACAGAAAATCTAGTAGGTCTTGCCAATGTGAAAAACATGTAGCCCAGTTAATGTTACATACATCTACAAAAATCAATGTCTCAATCGATGGTGTACAGAAAGTCCAAAGTATTGTTTCAGAGGATTTCTAGGACTGTTTGAGGAAGATGATGCCTTGGGGCTTCCCAACCACTGAGTTGTGGACTGGTACCCGACCGTGGCTGGTTAGGAACCAGGCCACATAGCAGGAGGTGGTGAGTAGTGGGAGTGAGAATTACTGCCTGAGCTCTGCCTCCTGTCAGATCAGTGACAGCATTAGATTCTCATAGGAGCATGAGAACTGTACATGTGAGGGATCTCGGTTGCATGCTCCTTATGAGAATCTAATGCCTGATGATCTGAGGTGAAACAGTTTCATCCCAAAACTATTCCCATACTGACTATATCTCCATTCCGCCCGCCCCCCAACCCAACCCCTGGAAAAATTGTCTTCCACAAAATCAGTCCCTGGTGCCAAAAAGGTTGGGTACCACTGCCTTACTGGATGCCATAGGTAATTACAGTTCAGTGATAGTGGTTATCAAGATAGTCGGGCCAATACTTCTTTGTTAAATTATCTGCTCAAAATTTTTCCATTTATAATCTGGCCATCCATACAGAGTTTTCAAAAAATGAAGGAATATGATGGTCATCTTGACATAAGGAACTTGATCAGTGCCATAACACTGACTTAGGCATCAGAGATTTGGGTCAGGTACCTGGCTCCGCCCCTTACTGCTGTCACCTGCAGCAATCACACACATGTGTGATCAAGACAGGGTCATGGGAAGTTTTTGGCTCTGAAAGGTTAAGGTCAAGATGAGGAAAATTCTGGCCTAAGAAATCCTGCCTAAATGGTCAGCTAAGCTATAAGGACTGAACTGAAACAGCACTGCCTCCGTGACAAAAATGAGAAGCTATTTTATAAAACCAAACCCTGGTATATATTTTACTGTTCTAACAAGAAAGGAAGGTTGCCGGGACTGACCCACAGACCCTGACAGAGCAACAGATGAGAAAATGCACTCTGACCCAGATATCCAATGAAAGAGCAGGCTAGGGGACCAGGTAACCCACAGAAAGAGTTGTAGCAGCTGCAGCCCTGACAAGCTGGGGCTGCAGGCATTTATTTAGTACAGATTTAATGACAGAGGCCTTGAGTCAACACACTTGTGGGTAATTAACATGGTCACCCCTCATCCCCTTTCTATCTAACCTAAGCTTTTAGGCACCGGATAAGAGAATCTGGCTGCCTTCAGCCAAATCCTTTTCCGAAGCTTTTGTAAAACCTCCCAGCCTTCCAAGAAGGTTTGCATCTTTCCACAGTTTTTCCCGCCACCCTGACTGATCTCCTACAGAAGGCAAAAAAGGCTGTCAATCAATGAATCAAATATTTACTTCCTAGTTTTTCAGATAATAAATAAGCACTTATTATATTCTGATAATTAATTAACTTTCTAATAACCATAACAGGTCAGCCGGGGTCCTTTTATTATTATCTCCGCAACTTGCAACTAAGGATCATTAAAAGATATATGCAAAATGCTCAGTTTAACACCTAATTTATGCTACACCCAATTTTAAGCCAAGAGAAGGTTAGATTTATAATGGGATACAACACTCAAGCAACAGAAGTGGAAAAAATAAAGATTCTGAATTTCCTATCCACTAATTACTTTGTTATAACTGGAGAAATTTTTCTGGACACAGGCGTAAATATTTAGTAGATTTAATTCTCTTAAGAATAAATTTGTTAAAATAAAAATTAAGAAAATATTTGATAGCTTTTCCATTTATTTTGGGTTTTAAATTGAGATAACCAGACAAACGACAGCAATTTTGGTGATTGCTGGATGATACAAACACCTGTGTAGCTAGGGCTGTACAGGCATTTTTATTTGGTTGACAGACAACTAGAACTGAAATCAGTTGCTGAATTTCAACCAATTTAAGTGAATTACTTGACCTACAAGCTATGTAACCCTAAATTTCTCAATGCAGCTGCCAGAAATCTATTTTCTAAATGCAACAACAGCTGGTTTTGAACAATACTGGAATATAGCAATTTTCAGTTATTCAAAAGTATTTTTCTCTTGCTAAAATTATAAACATTGAGAAAATAATTTTCAGATTTTTCTGAAAGACTACTATTTTCAAAGTGAAAAACAAACTTGAATATCATCTTTAGAAATTATTGCTAGCTTTTTTTTTAACCTAGAACAACACATATAATGATAGAGTGTAACCCTCACCTTCATTTTAGAAATAACTTAACCCTGCAGTGCCTGCAGGAACTTCAATATGTAGACAATTTCTAAATCACCAAACATATTGCTCGAAAACTACATCCTTCTAGGAAGAATAGACAAATGGGCCAATTAAGCCTGAGGTGAATAATACTTTAAACCTGTAAAGCTTTGTAAATAATTGAAAAACTGTTCATCACTTCAAATACTGTCATCAACATACAAAATAAATATAGACAATTCCATATGAGGTTAACTCAAAAAGGACCTTAACCTTTCAGGTGCAATTAGTATCTAAAGTTCATAGAATTGTTCTTGGCAGTTAACTCAGTTTCACTGGCAAATGACTCAGTTTCTTACTCATGGATTTAACTGAAAATGTTTACAAGTCCTCATTTTACTTTGTTCTGTCTAACTTACTCTCTCTCCAGTGCTGTGCAATCTTGTGTGGGCTCTGGATCCAGACTGCCTGGATTTAGTACTGGCACCATTCCCTCCTTACAACCTAATGAGATCCTGAGAAGCACAATAGAAACTCTCTAAGCCACAAATTCCCTCTTACAAAATGCTAACAATACTGATCATTTAGGTTGTGGATTCAGTAAACTTAGTTGACTTACACAAAGAACTTAAAACACGCTCGGTATACAGGAAGTGCTCAACAAATGTAGCTATTATTATTATCTGTATCCTCTTGTTTGGGCAAAAGAAATGTTGCTCTTTCATGCCTAGCCCTCTTCAAGGTCCTTATCTCTTCACTGTCTTGCATTGTTATTCTCACACTGACTCCTGTGCCTCCGCCTTTGCCTAAGAACATTCTGCCTCTCTTGCTTGTGAGCAATGCCAGCTCACACATTCAAAACCTAACCAAACAATAAAAAACTTCACATGATTCGGGCAACATCCTTCATAGCTGCTCCTCCACTCTGTTTTACACAAAACATTACAATTTTTGAATAGTCTATATTCATTTCTTCCACCATTTACTTTTACCTTTTGCAGTTTCACTTCCCTGAAACTGCGTTCTCAATAATCACTTAATCAACGAATCCACAGCAGCTTTTTCACAATCCTCATATTTCTCATCCTTCCTACCACTGATGAGATCTCCTCCCTTTTTGAAACTACTTTATTTTGCCTTCTGTGCCACTGCACTATCCTAAATCTTCCTCCTTGTTTAACTACCACTTCTCTACCTTCTTGGCTGTTTTCTTTTCCTGTTCCTTCCATCTAAGGCTATATTCACAGGAGTTCTGTTCTCAGTCTCTCTACCTCTCTGCATTCTCTCCCAATTGATGCACCCCTATGATTTCACTACCATGGGATGTTAACTCCCAAATCTCCACCTCTAGTTCTAAACACCACCACCTCATCGCTTGAGTCCTGCCTTTTCTGATTGCTGAAGATGTTCACTTGGTTGTTCAACCAGCACCTCAAACTTACCTTGTCCTAAATCAAACCTGCAGTTTCAGGGAAGTGAAACTGCAAAAGGTAAAAGTAAATGGTGGAAGAAATGAATATAGACTATTCAAAAATTATAATGTTTTGTGTAAAAGAGAGTGGAGGAGCAGCTATGAAGGGTGTTGCTTGAATCATGTGATTCTTAATATTCATCTTAATATTTCCACTTTTATGAATTAATGTCACCATCATTCTTTGAATTGCCAAGGTCAAAATATTTGGATCATCTTTCCTGTCTCAGCACAGTGTTCTGTGCACAAGCTCTGGATGGTGAACTTGTATCCTCATTCTTTCACTGCATGGCAGTGACCTTGAGCAAGTCACTGGGCTTCTCCAGGCTTCAGTGCGGCCTTCATAACATAGTTATGAAGTTTACATGAGAAAACAGTTGTGCAGTTTACATGAGAAGATGTACATAAGGGCACAAAGAGTTTAGCATGTGGCAAACTATGATGAGGATGACAGAAAAAGACTCTCAATGATCTGTTCACACTTTTCTCATTCCTTACATAACTGTTGTCACAACTCACATGGCCCTTACCTATGTCATCGCAAATACATTTAAACACAGGAGGACAACCTAGGTTGTAAAGTGTTAAAGTGCCTCAAATTTTCATTAATCTCAACCAAGCCATTCCAAACCAAGACCTACAACATACATCTACTTACATATCCATGTGCTTTTCTCTCATTGTATGCTAAATAATGCAAAGAGAATTCAGGAACTGACCTTATTTGACCCCAATTTCAAACAGCATTTTATAAGCCATATGGTCAGAAATTAAAATCACTCTCAATTCTTGATAATACAGAGTAGGTATCAGTAACAAACTATAAATTGTTTTGTTATTACCCTAGCCAAACAACCACCTCATGGTCCCCATTTCTCCAGGAACTAAAAGAAAAGTAAATTTAATTTTGGCCCCAAAAAGATGTAATGATTATAACAATTACTGGAAAACAAATATCAGAATCATACACTATATTACACAGTCAGTATAAGTTATTTAATGCCTTTTGCTTTGTATTATCAGTGACTTTGCATCCCTGCAAGAAAGCAGAGTTAATTAAACATTTTTATAAGTATCCATCTAAATATTTACCAAATTTGGTTAAATTAGGTGTCTGTAATTAGTAATTTTTAAAAAGAAAGAGGATAATTACCGCTAACGACTGTAGCTCTCTTGTTTCTTCCTCTGCTGCTGAAGCATGATACGACAGAACCTACAGGGTAGGAAAAGAAGTCCAGGTTACACAGGAGAGAACTACCACATGTAGACTAGAACTTCAAGCTTGGAATTCTGCTAAGTCTTCTTGGAGAGATAATTAGACTCCTCAGAATGCCAAATCTTGTTTGCTGTTTTCTTCAACAGTGAAAAACCCAGATTTAGATTCCATTGCTTGTTTTGGAAAACAAAAAGTTATACTCCCTATGTTTAAAGAAAACTCTTGTAACTTCCAGTCTGACATTATTGCTATAACAAACACATTATTTATAAGCCAGCCTAGAAATAACTTTTGGCTCAAACTTTGGCAGAAAATTTATTTTGTTTTTTTTTTTTAAGACAATATTGACTTTAGCTATTTCTGCTTGTGTACAGAATTAAAGAGAAAATCTCTGCATAATCTGACATTTTGATATTAATATTTGGAAAGAAAGTAGTCTACAAGTGGCTCTCAGATGAGGCCTGTAACCATTCTAGAATTCACACAGAAAAACTGGATGCCTGGGACACAGTCATGCAGATTTAAGGATCCCTTTACACTCCTACAATTTAAGAGGTGAGAAGAGAGTAGTGCTGGCCTGTAAAGCCATCCATTGACAGTTGGGGACACTGAGCCTCAGGGAGTCACATGATTTGGCTGTAAGCTCACACCTAGTGAGAGGACAAGGAGATTTAGGACCCAGCTTTCAATTCCTAACCTATACACGTTCCATTACTTAGAGTTAAAAAATCAGGCTTATTAACTTAATTTCCATTTTCAAAAGCAATCATTTCTAATTACAAGTTGAGCATCCCAAACCTAAAAATCTGAAATCCAAAATCCTCTAATGAGCATTTCCTTTTGAGTGTCATGCTGCTGCTCAGAGAATTTTGGATTTTGAAACATTTTTGAGTTTGAGATTTTTGGATTTGGACTGCTCAACCATTAAGTATAATGCACATGTTCCAAAAATCTGAAAAAAAATGCAAAATACAAAACACTTCTGGTCTCAAGCATTTCATGTAAGGGTTACCCAAACTGCAATGGGATTTTTTTTAAACATTCTTTTAAACCAAGGTAGTGGTTGTATTTAAAGTATCTATCATGCTTTGAAAGCATATTTTTTTAAAGTTCATTTTTGAGAGAGACAACACAGATTTACAAAAAAAACCCCAAAAGCTTAAAAAGCATTGATGAAAAGGTAGCTCATTTTCAAACTTTAAATGGTGAGTAAAGTAATTCAGCAACCCAAACCAGTATTTCTTGAACCAGTCTTTAAAATTTTAAGTAATTAAAAATTTAAAGCCAAATGATACATATTTGTACTATCTTATGATTTAGAACTGTTACCATACTGCACTACATTGCATCTTTCTTGCCATTTGAACCATTAGTCACTAGGAAACCTCAAGAAACTCACAGCTGCTCTCTCCTGCACGTGTGAAATTGATGGGTCATGGCTATAACCTGTTGCTACTGAGACTACAGTGGTGGTTCCCAAGAAAAGCTAATACTGTGTCCATGAGTTAGACTAATATTAACAAGTGCAGTGCAACATGGATACATGAATAAAGAAATGACACAATACATTCTAAGTTAAAAAAATTTTATCACACACAAAAGATAAAAATAACTTACACATGGGGCATAAGGATTAACTTTGTTAATACATGTAAGCATTAGAATACAATTGAAACATCTGATAAATTTAGTTACTTTTATTGTCATCATTATTTTATTGTTATTAGAATGATCACAACTTCCAGGTCAAAATAATTCACTGTCTTTTGAAGACCTGAGGGGTTTGTGCCCTTGGCTTTTGTCCAATGGTCTCATAAAGAAAGGACCATTTTTTTCAAAGTTATATCTATGATCATAGAAATGACTACACATATGACCTGAAATCAAAAACTTTTTATACTAGGTAAAAGCCTAATTATCCATATATTTAACTGAAAGAGAGCTACAAAGATAGAAATAAGTCTCAATCAGGAAAATATTCAGAGATTCTGAACAAAGTAATACAATGTCTGGGATTGCTTCAAACTAAGCCAGTGGGAGGGGAAGGGAAGTGCAGAGGAGTGCGGTGGGAATGGATGGAGTGATAATGGTCATGGGTTGATAATTACTGAATGGATGATGAGTATGTGAGGGCTTATTAAGCTTTCTGTCTACTTCTGTATATGCTTGAAACTTTCCATAATAAAACATTTAAAAAAGAAATAACTTCTAATTGATAGCTGACTTAGATTAAATTTTTCAATGAAAAACCATGAAACTGAAAAAATTAGATTAAAAATTATATTTATATATTTTATAATAAACACATATATAGATATATGTATATATGTGTATCTGTATATTTAAAGCTATTTGAACACATATGTACATGTGTATATGCACCTAATTGAAACTATATTTGAAATATATATTTGTGTGTATATGTGTACATATATATTTGAAACAGATTTCCACTGGTTTATATATTCAAAGTCTTTTATATAATACTGTAGCAAACCTATTAGTATAATATATTCAGCATAGAAAGTAAAGGGTACCATCTGGTATATTTTATATAATATATGTCTCTCTAGCTCTTTAAGGTTAGTTATGTACTTAAGAGAGATTGAGGGAAATGTTATTATATCCCAAACACTGATTTTCTCTAATTTCAACTAGATAAGAAATCTCCATGTTACATCAACTGAATAATTTCAAGGCAGTTAGTGAAACATATATAGAAAGGACTGACCCTGTTGGAGTCGGCTGGTCCTTTGTGAGAAAGAGTGTTCCTCGGTCAGTCCCTGGGAGCCAGTGGTTTCTTCACTCGCTACCTGCACATTCAGAGTCACCTGGGGGAGCTTGGTAGTCATACAGATTCCCAGCTTCTACCCAAGACTTGCTGAATCAGAACTTTCAGAAGTAGGGTATATAAATTTATAGTTTGAAATAGTTTCTCAGATGATTCCAGGAGTTAAAACTCTTCCTGCTTTTCGTTGATTTTATTTTTTCTTTTCCTCACTTCTAATTCTCTTAAGAGTGCCTAGGGTTTCTGTTTTTTGTTTGTTTGTTTATTTTTAATTTTTTTCCACAACTGTTCTCACGGAAAGATGGGGAGGCTCAGGCAATGGGAAAGAGACAGATAATTGGCAGTAGTCATCTGTGTCAATGGATTATTAAAGTCAATATTGCTTTCTGCAGAAAAAGCAAAGGCATAAAGGGATAAACATCCTGAGTTGTGGTTTGGTTATATGACATTTGACAAGTTTCTTAAATATTCTGAGTCTTAGTTTCTTTCATTCTTTAGTTGAGGACAATAAGGATCTCATCATCTAAATCACATAATTTTGGTGAGGACACAATGACGGAACACACACACACCATGAGTGATTATGAGGGAAAGGTAAAAGATGAGGGTTTGGCTGTACAGTGTGAGAGGTCCCTAAACTTCACCCACCTCCAATGTGACCATTTGCTTGGCCATGGCTCTCTCCACTGCTTCATACATCTGCGTGTTCTGGATCCCCAAGCCACAAAAGATGACAAAAGCTTCCAGAAACTGTTCGTCATTTCGGTTGAAAGGCTTAACCTTGCCAGTATTCTCCTCCATCTTATTAACAAGTTGGCAAACCCCTATAACAATCCGAGAAATTGAGCAAATGTTATTGTTGATTATCATAGTTTTTGTGGACTTTAACAAACACACCCAAAGATTGTCTTACACTTTTCTCTTAGGAATGCTTAGTATGTCGAAATAAGCAAATTAACCCCCACAAATATAAGCTAGAGAAGTAAACAGAATTTATATGAGAACTAGTTTCATGTAGTTCAAAATGTACATTGCTGGCGTTCAAAAAATCCTAGAGTACTATTTTCTTCCAGACTCGGTCACGAATTTTAGATCAGTTGAGTCCCCAAAGACAATTTGTCCTTTGGAAGCTAATTGGATTTTTGTACACTTGCCAAGAGAACGATTTTGATGCACATCAGAATTTTGGGTCAAACAGATCTCCTTTCCTTACTGAGAAACCAGAAGTTAAACATACACACACACACACACACACACACACACACACACACACGGTTACATACAAAATAGAATGCAGAAAGGAGGCAACTGACATAAGCAGTCTCAAATTTCAAATCTACACCTCTGTATCCAACAGAATCAAATTTGCAGAAAACTTTTGATTCTGCAAATAATTATGCAAATAAAAATGACTACTTAGAAATAAAAGTTAAACACGTAGTCAATAAAAATGGAAGATTACATCAACATTAGGATAAATCTTAACTGGTTGTTCTATGAGTTTCTGAGCCTAGTGGTCTCTGTGAGGAGTGACCTCACAGAGGTCACTTTGATGACCCAGCCTACCTCTGTGTAAACAAAGTGTTGTTAAAGTCCTTATCACTTCTGTCTCTGAGTATATAATAACAAACTTCTACCATGTGCCCACTGTGGGATAGGCATTGTGCTAAATACTTTGGTAGACACATGATCTCCAGTCTTCTCAATTTATTCTGTGAGGTAGATGTGACTATTCTCATTTTACAGATGAGGAAACTGAATCTCAGAAAGTTACATCATTTGCTCAAAGCCACTTAGCTGGTATGTGTAGGTCTAAAATTCAATCCCCAGCTCAGCCTGCCACAAGGGCCACTCTCAACTGCCATATTACCTGTCAGATCATTGCTATCAGTGCCCTGGTTGCATCTTGCTTGCCCACACCTTTGCTTATGCTTTTCCACAGGTCTGCACTGCTCCCCATTGCCTTCCCTCCCGCCTCACCAGTTGATCCCTATACCTCCTTCCCAATGACCTCCAGGAGGCCTCTAACTTACAGGTGAGGCAGGCATTTTTCTATTCCCTTAACATGACCAGTTGGTGTATCATGGTAAATTTTATTTCTCTCTCTCTTTCTAGACTGTCAGTATCTTGGGCTTAGAGTTTTATTTATTTTTTTCAGCTCCACTTCAGCTGGCAAAACGCCTAGCATATAGTAGGAACTAAAAAAATGTTTTCCGAATTAATGAAAGAATGTAGAATTGCAGCTCTGACTGTAACTAGTTTCCCATGAAGACTATAATAGTC
This sequence comes from Homo sapiens, assembly GCF_000001405.40. NCBI lineage: Eukaryota > Metazoa > Chordata > Mammalia > Primates > Hominidae > Homo > Homo sapiens. Next base: position 119,544,094 of record NC_000004.12, read on the forward strand.
TATTATCCTTTATTTTTCCTGGAGCACAAAAGGATTTCATAGAGTCTGGAAGACGGTTGCACATTAAGCCCCTTTACCACCATCAATGTTCACTTTCTTTACTTTTCATACTATAAATGATCTGGACTCTCCTTTTTGCTCTTTTTGTTTGTTTATCTACTTTAAACAGTAAAGACATCTACATGCTTATCTATTTGCAATAGTGCTGCAGAAGTTACTTTATCAATTATTCCATAGTCAAGGGAAACTTTAGACAAGATATAATGAATTTGGACACTGCAAGTAAAAGCCATATACTAAATGGCAATCAGCGTTCATTATCTTAAATGTATATATCCTGTGTGTGGCAAAAAACAAGAACAAAAAGCAAAAAACAAACCAAGGGTTATGTCCTTCAACCTTTGTGAATCCCCAAAATATAAATATGGAACTGTTTATACAGGCTTCTGTCTCCTAAATCTTATTTTCTTGAGAGTCACATTTCATGCCCTTATCCTCACATCACAATGGAATTGCCTTTCAGTTTTACTAAAGTTTTCTCCTACTTGATAGCCTTTTTCATAAACAAGATTTTAAAAATTACTTCACAAGAATTACTACACGTATAGCAAGAAAAGTACAACACAGAGGGGTTGAGATGTGAATACCAGGCAATCTGCGAGGCTTATGACCTAGCTAAGTATCTCTCCAGTACAGCAGTTCAAATCTATGCCTTGGTCAAAATTCACTGAATGAATATATTAAGAGTCATTAAATTATACCTTTGGAATTGCCCGCAAGTCCTTTAAATGGAATGTTATGTGTAGAAATATCAAGGTTCTGCTATAACAAATACAGCTCAGAGCAGAACAACTAAAGTATATCCATGTTATGATCTACCATTATAGATATAGATCTATAGGCACAGAGTTAAGCTCTGGGGAAAACAACAACAACAACAGCAACAAAAATGGGTACTGAAGACAAATCATCCATCTAGGCATATAAATTAATTATCTTTTTGAAAGTGAAATGAGCAGCCATATTTAAATAGCATTCATGATAATCCCATTGATCTCTTTACACTCTTCGGAAAGTTTAATTCTATCAAGCAAAAATACCCATGTAAAAACAAAAAGTTATAAAGAAAAAGAGGGCTTATAACAAACAGGGTTCCCTGTTTAAGAAAACTAAAAACCTGGGCACATTTACAGATAGAGTGTTCACAACTTCTTCCTTAATGATCTGAAAGATTAAGGAGTACAATAATGAAATTTAAAACTGAAATTTGAGATGCCACGTTACTCATAAACCATACAAACTCAGAATAATTTATATTTAAAAATGAAATGTTTAATGCAAAACCAAAAATAAAAGAGAACCATTCAGCAAAAACCCATTAATAAGTGCAATCACAAAATAAAACAACATTCAAAAATGTATTGGGGGAACCAAGAAGTAGTGAAGTTAGCAAACTATCAGTGTTACCTAATATTATTATAGAGTTCATAAAGTACTCAGAATGTGGTCATCACAGTAGGTCTGAGAGTTGGTTAGCATTGAAGGCACCTCTGGAAATTATGCTGAAGGGACTAGATGGCTTCTAAAATTAAACAGTTATATTTTCTTTTCCATAATTCTTGGGATCGGATGTTGTTACCAACCACAGTCTTCCTCCTGGCTCTTTGGCAGAACAGGGGGTCAATGCTTATACCCTGCTTGCAGTCTTATGTCCTCTCTACCACATAACATGGACTCCAAAATTAGCATCCTGCCTTATTAAAATGTAAAACGAACCTTTATCACCTATCTTGCAAATACTTTTGTTTCTGCACTTTTCATTTGTCAATCATCTTAATTTGGAGAGGCTTTTGCTGTATAAAAGATTTAATTTTTTAAGGAGCCAGAATAATTATCCTTACAATATTCAACTATAGTGCCTTGCTTTTAAAAGAGGCTTCCTCATTTTAATATTATATATAAACCTATATTTTCCCTAGTACTTTTATAGATGTATTACATTTAATCTTATAATCCCACTTAATTTTTCCCCTAACTGCTATTGGAGTCTTATAACATCTGAAGAGTTACCCATTCTTTGATGATCTGAATTGTCACCATATACTAAATTCATATTTGTTTCAACTATTACATACTTTTTCCACATTTTAATATTTTTGAAATCAGTATGCATGTTATGATCAATAGCTTGACATAGTAAATTGAAATCATATTTTATTTTCTTGGAGATACATAAAATGGTGTCTTTCATTCAAAAGTATCTTACTTAAAAATAATGAAATATACCCTACTCTGTTACATACAGTAACACAATTATATATGCCAGACTATGGGTCTACATTTAGACTTTCTGTTCTGTTTCATCAATCTTGGCATGTCTTTTAGCACCTATACCATATTTTTAATTATTTTACTTTTATATCATTTTAATTTCTGAATTAAATCTAAATTTAATTTCTGAAAGGGCAATAACCATCAGCTATGATTCTTTTTACACCTCCAGTTGTAAGTATTACCAATGTTTGTAAATGTTGATCAGGAACAACCTCCCCACCCCCACCCATGTCTCACAAGGATAATAAAATTGATGCAAATCTAATCTGGGAGACTTGATATCTCGTAAACTAGATTTTAATCATTTCAGAAATGTATTCACTTCTTAATGATTTTTAAGTCACTCAGAATTTTGTAGCTTTCCTCATATAGATGACATATATTTCTGGCCAAGTTTATTCTTTGTTACTGTAGTAAATGGTTTTATTTTTTTCCATTGTTTTCTAACAAATTTGTCTTGGCATATATTAAAATTATTTCTCTTTAATAATTTGATAATTAGGCTTCTTATAAAACTCTTACTAGACAGGTACTTTCAGCTAATTCTTTTTGGGTTTTCCATTTAACACTAATATAATTTGTAAGTTATTTTATTTTGCCTCCTTTTTTTCTGTGTCTCATCTTATTTCAACCTTGCCTCCCTTCTAATTGCTTTGGTTAGAATTTCTTTGGGCAATAGTTTTTTTTTTTTTTTTTTTAAATAACAAATTCTTTCTCAGTTACTCCCATGAACAATTCTAAAATCCTCTTGAGTTAGTATTGGTTATTACCAATTTTTATAGAAATTCCCCATTTCACCAAATGTTAATTCCTATTTGCTACACTGTAATATCAAGTATCTTTTAAAATGTCTTTGATATCTGTACTTACATTCCCTCTCTCATTACTATTTGTGTTTCTCTCTTAATATCCTCATTATCCGTTGGAGGTTCATCTATTATTATTGTGTTTGCCCATTATCTCTTATTTCTTCTCATTTCATAAGTTTATTTTTTCAATTTTTTCTTCTACTTTCTTTCTTCTCATGTATATACTTATTTGGGGAAGGCAACAGAGTGAGAAAGAGAAAGGTGCTGTTTTTCTAATTTCTACGGTTGAATGCTTAGTTAAAATTTTTTCATTATTTCTTAATAATAATAAAATATTTAAAGCTACATAATTTCCTCTGAGTATAGCTTTGACCATGTACCTTCAGTTTTTATGTTATGTTAATAGAACAATTACTTTTCTAAAATGCTGTAATTTAATTATGACTTTTGATTTCTTCTTTGTCATTTAGGAGAATGCGTTTCAGGTTCTAAGTGAGTTTTTTCCTTCCAATTTATCTTTTAATTATATATTAACAGTTTTAATGCACTGTGATCTATGAAAGTGGCCAACAATTCTGCTTTTCAGAAACGACTGACTTTATGTTGCATATCACCAATATTTGATTTCTGACATATATTTTAGAATAATTTATATTTTTAAATTCTGAAACATGAAAGTAAAGCTATATATGTCAATTAAATCCACTTAATTTTTATCAATTCTAATGTTTATTTTTTCCTATAATTTAACACTGACAAGTATATTTCAGGCCCACTGTGATGATCACTTTGTCCATTTCTCCGTGTATTTTTTTTTTTTTTTTTTTTTTGAGACGGAGTCCCGCTCTTTAGCCCAGGCCGGATTGCAGTGGCACAATCTTGGCTCACTGCAAGCTCCGCCTCCCAGGTTCACGCCATTCTCCTGCCTCAGCCTCCCGAGTAGCTGGGACTACAGGCACCCGCCACCGCGCCCGGCTAATTTTTTGTATTTTTAGTAGAGACGGGGTTTCACCGTGTTAGCCAAGATGGTCTCGATCTCCTGACCTTGTGATCCGCCCGCCTCGGCCTCCCAAAGTGCTGGGATTACAGGCGTGAGCCACCGCGCCCAGCCTTCTCCGTGTATTTTTAACAGCTTTAGTTTTTGTATGTCAATGATGCTATTTAGTTTATTAGCATTCACAGCAATTACATTTTCCTCTATGAGTTTTAATTTTACTCAATGAAAGGTGATTCTTTACATTATGTTTTACCATAAATTCTACTTTGTTTGATAGAAATATTGTTATCCCTATTCAATTTTTGCCCATGTTGTATAAAATGTGTCTTTACAAATGACGTATACTTCACAGGTTCCAGGAATTCCTTAGTGTTTCTGATCCACTAAAGACTACTTCTCTGTTTTCTAGTGCTACTAAAAAGTTTTCCTTATTTTTGTCTTTCTTCAGTCAATTATTAAATCTGTAATCTTTACATTGTTTTTATTATATAGATCTTCACTTCCATAATTCTAAACTATAATATCTTAATTCTATTTTTTTCTAGTTTTCTTCCACCTATTACTGCCCTTACACCCTACAGTCTTATTTCCTTGTGCTCATTATAACTAAGCATAATTTACAATTCTCTAACTGGGAAAAAACCTGGATACTTTAAGTAATACAAGCAATGTATACCATGGAAGACAATGTACAATTATAAACAAATGAATAGTGATATTGCCAAGTGATAAAATTTAATATGAAAAGTACAATGAAGTAGTAGTCAAACTTAAGCGATATAACATTAGAATACTTATTTATGCCTTGGAATTCTACTGCAACACACAGATGAGCAGCTTATCTCTCCATGTATTCACCTATTTAAAGGTCCACCCGAGTAATTTATTAAATAAAGCCAAAATAAATTAACAGAGTAAGATAAGATGACGTGGTAGTGACAATCAATGATTCAAAAATTCATTAAGGCCTACTCAAAAAAACTCTGCAGGCATGCAGGTCTCCCAAATTTTATTGATAGAAAGGAACTAAAATAAGGTGCCATTTGGAGCATTGGAATGATGTAGGTGTTTAGCCAGTTCAAACAGGCTAACAGAACAAGTTTGAAAGTGTAAGAGACTTAGAAAATTCATTGTGGAAGTAAAAAACAGAACATTCTTACAGTGTACATGAGAAGGGATTAAGATAGTAACCAGTTGACAAATACATATTTCTTTCTCATATTTCTCTGTCAAACAATGTGTGGTACAGCACTGTAATTTTTATTTTTATGCTTTTATTTATTAACAAGGAGATGAAAAAGTAAGCTATTTAAAGTGGAGATGTTCTAAGTATCTTTTTTTAAAATAAATTTTCAATGGGAATAGGACTAGTTTCTGCAAAATTTATCCTGAAATTGATATGGAAAAAATAGGCATAAAAATGTCTGGTAAATATAATATTGGAAAAAGGCATTTAGCATAATAAGCAGGGAAAATAATTAGTTAAAATAAATGAACGTTCAATGAGAAATATATTTCCTTAAAAGTACTGGAAGCAAAGTAGTGGAAACACTGTGTATTAGCCAGAGCACTAAGAAAACATTTGATACGAAACAATACCTCAGGGAATAAATGTGATGGGACAGCAGGCCCCATACTGGTCTAATGTCTATAATTCCATCTAAATGTCAGTAATGGAAAAAATGAGAAGAAGGAAGAAGATTACAAACAACACATGTGTCCGTCTGTCTTTCTGCATGTAACTCTATAGGGATTCTCTATTAGAATTACATAATAGTGGAATCTGGTCTATGACATGTAAGACAAATTATCCACAACCATGACATTTTCCATGCTACAACTGTAGGTACATAAGTATAGTCCAGAAATCAAATTCTTAGTTTTGTCACCCTTGTAAAGCAGCAGGAACACTGGAAATTTTCCCCCTTATATTTGGGATCTACTTGAGAACCTCCCTTCACCCCACACAAAACCCGACTAAAGAAATCATTTCTTTTCCTTTCTTTTTATTTACAAAGAATTTTTCTCTCCAAAATCTACATTTGCCTACTTTTGGCTCTGTCATCAAGTAGGGTGATACAAAATGTATGCCAAGAAAAGTCTGATTGTTTCATTTTTTATTTTTTTCTTACTTGTCTGACACAGTGACAGGATCACAGAATGTGAATTTTGAACAGATCTGAAAAGTTATTAAGTTCAACTCCACAGAGGTGAGTAATGTGCCCATAAGTGTGGCTGAAGATGAGTGGCGCTAACACAATGCTGTGAGTCCGACCCCCAGTCCAGCACTCTTTCCATGTCGTCTAACTCGCTCTCATTTACCTTCACATAAAGTGACAAAGGGGCCTGATGCGTAACTTCCTCCAGCCACTCCCCGTTCCCAGTTATTATTCCAAAGAAATGTTGCTGGGGAAAAGTGAAGATGTGACTTGATGGGGCAAGCTGCCACTCTGCCTTCCTTCCTATGATAACTTACTAGTAAATAATGCATTCCTTCTGGAATTTAATTTCACATTTTCAAAGGCCAAAGACAGCTTGTAGTAAATCTTTATACTTATAAAAAAGCATTTTAAACAGCATAACATTTATAATATAGTTTTCCCCTTGACCTCCCTAAGAAATAAAATTTTATAACATTTACTTGGTATCATATTGTAAGGCACCCTTGGCAGTTTTCTTTTATTGCTTATGTTAGAGATCTGATCAGTGACAATCTTTAAAAAAGATCTCACAGATTCATTAGCCTCCACTTTTTTCTCTGAGAACTGTAGAAGAGTTGACTCAACAGCCCAGCAGGGGGTTGGCACGCTGGTTTCTAAGCGGCTTTAATGCACAATTCACCAGGGTCAGGAGCTGACCCTCAACCTTTTAGCTTAGGCACTAGATTAGCATACTGAAGACTGCTGGGGTGGAGTCACAGTAACTAAGTTGACAAGACTGATTTATAAAACCAAAATAGTATCAATGTTCAAAAAGAAACAGATCTGTCCCAGAAACAGAAGTATAAGCACCTGCAGCTCCAGCCCATTGCCTCAAGTCCAGTTCATACAATAAGAAACAACTGTCAGGGCAACCAGTATATTTGAGAGGACATGAATAATGCATTCTCTTCCCATGAGCTAACCTACACTGGAAAAGAAAGTAATCAGTACAAGTTGGATTGGTGGGACTGGAATCAGAACAAGGGAAATCAGAGTCAGAGAATGTTGAATTGTGCTAAGCTGATGTATTCCTTTCACAATAAGGATGCATTCTAGGCAGAGGGACTGGGAATTGGAAAGATATTACTGGCTATAATCTGATGCATCCATTGCACCTAGTGAAGGCTCACCATATGGTCAGAATACTCGATGCACACTGATACAACTCTCTACATCCATCTCTGTGTTAGGGACAAATGTTACTTTACTCTTGCACAGAACTTGGACAGTCACTTTTAATATCTGTCTTTTCTTTTTCTATTTTCATTACTGATATACCCTCTGCCCCTTCTTTCTGACTAAAACTCTCATTCAATAAAATTATAGTCAAATCTTGCAATTGGAAAAGTATTCAGACTTTTAAAGTTATATTTATATATCTAAATGTTGCTCCATTAGGGTTTTAATTCTAAATTTAACCTTTAAAAAGTTATCATATTTTCTTTATTTCCAGGTTCCTAGGAGAATGTTAACAGTCCAGACCTTTTTCACTACATCAACCACGGATGATTGGCATATAAAATCCTACTTAACCTTTACATAACTGCAATACCAGGAAACAAATATGTCAATAAAAGGAAACATCATTCAATTTTTCTGAGAATGCATTCTTCCATCATTCCTGAAGTAGAGGTTTTTCTATAATCATGTTAAGAACATAAGCTCCTGAGGGCAGGAATTTCTGCTTTGTTCATTGATTTATCCCAACTGCCAAGAACAGTGGAGTGCTCAATAAATATTAAATGAATAAATAAATATAACCTATAACCTAAACTACATTCTTAAAAAAAGTCAACATCCAGGAAATAAGACTCTAAAACAATACACATTATCTACTTAATATCTCTTATACAGTCTACCAAATTTCAATACATCATCAATCATTCTTAAACAAAAAATTCTGCTGAAATAGGATAATAATTATAAAAGTGCACCATAGTTTATAAGATATTTAACAAATGTCTGTTGGTATTTATCAATTATTTTAATTATTCTATCATTCCAAATTTTATCTTTTTTAAAACATTTTATTCTTTACATTTGAAAGAAAGAAGTATAGCTGGGAATACATTTTTAAAAATAAGTTTAGAGTATAGGTTAAAGGAAAGGTTTTACCTATAACTTTATTCTTCTTTCCATTTTTTATAGGTGTACAAAGCAAACTTCTAATGCACTGCTGGTTTACATTTCCTGTATTTTCAGTCTAAACAAAAATAAAAAGAACAAAACAGCTAAAATGGTAAAGAGATTGATTTGTCCATTAGATGCCATATAAACTATATGACACATTTGAAAGCACTATATATTCAACTTTTATATTAGAGAGCATTGGAAAGCAGAAAATGTATAAATTATAATGAAGTTCACATAAATGCAATATAAAGCAATGTCTACTTTGTTAAAAATATCGGAATTTTTTTCACTTTAAACTTTCCAAGCAGCTTAATAATAAGTAAAATATAAAAATAAGTTAAAAAAAATAAGTAAAAGTACAGTATCTACTATACTAGTGTAGTAAATGCCCCAAATAATTTAACGAGAGGGGCAGAATCTAAACGCCACCTAAAATGCACCGTGTTACAAACCTGTCCTTTAATAATACCACTGTTGCTATTGCTATATTGCTAAAGTTCTAACAATGTCTCCAAATAACACCCAAATAACAAAATCATCCAAATAACAAAATCAAGGCAGCTGCCTCAAAGTGCAATGCTTTCCTGAAGAGGTGAGAGAAAATACTATAATTCAAATTTTTCAGTGTCTGAGAACTAGATATTTGTAGCTTTGAGGTCAAGAAAAACAGACATCCATTTTCCCAGAGCTACTCACTATGACAGATTACCAATTGCATCAGTTCAAGCCACACAGAAACTAATTTTTGCAAATAAGGCAAAAACTCTAGCAATATTATCTAAGGAATGTCATTGACATTATGTAGGTAATAGCTAAATTACTTCAAAAATAGTACGGTAACTTATTAATAGACATTTAAAAAGGTGAAAAAAGTACAAAGAAAAATGTCCAGCTACAGCTCTCAATAGATGTTATGATCTATTTTATTCTCCTTCCTCAGATGAGGGAAAGCACAGATCATTCCTAAACAGTCAATTCTAGAGCCAGTCCTTCAGTTCAAGAATAACTGTAAGTACAGATGTGATGGGAAAACAGCCTTCTAGCTTCAAGTCTAAAATTGGGTTACTTACTGTCCAGGGAAATCTTTTATCCTTACTGACATCTGGGATATTAAGTGGTTCCATAGTATTTTTGACATACTGAGCATACATGTAATTGATTTTGTTTGCATCATGTTCCCTGTGAAAATAACAGATATGAGTTCCCTCTGTGCAGTTAAAAAAAAGCATGGGCAAACAGTTAAATAAATGATTAAGGGAGAAAAATACCAGCCTTAAATTATAAGGCATATATACTTATTTGGAAAATGTAGCTTTAAATGTGTTTGATGATTTACAACTTTGTCAGTTACCATAATTTAAATGTTTTGAAAAAACAAAATCCCACAAATTTCCAACAAGTTTTATAAGTGTGAATGGCCTTATTCTCATCGCAAATGGGCATGGTGATTTTTGGTGTCATTTAATGTAAACTCATATGTCCCCTCATATCTTATTTTCCCATCAGATTATAGAATGCCTAAGGTCTAGTGCTTGTTTCACTTCCTCATTATTTGGTTTCTCTATCCATTCCAATAAAACAGTATCTTACACATTTTAAGACCAAGGGAAAAATCAAACAGCTTAGAAAAAATTTTTAAAGCTCTTCTCTCTAGTTAAGTCTATTTTCTTTCTCCTTCTGTCTTTTTGTCGTGTCTTCCTTAGCATCTTTCCCTTTGTTCAGTTTCCTCTCTACACCTTTTTTCTGCTTTGAGATGCTTTAAGATACTTTTAAAATTAAAAATTTATCTTCCTCAAGAAATTTTTATGAACTTACAATATTTTTACCAGTTATGTTCCAGTCTCTTGCTTAACAGAGTGAACATGAAAGATTAATCTGATGCCAGGGGGTACAGTGTCAGTGCAAGGGATGGAAAACAGAATGGAACATGTTTTTTCATCAGGAAACTCCGTATGTTCCCTTGTGGTGATGATAAATTCAGCAAAGAGGGTCAGGTTATGGGAATTTATTCTATCTATAAGAACATGCTTATTTTAATTGTAATATCACTAAAGAAGTAGGAAAACCTAACAATAGTAGACATTTCAAAATAAAATACAGTTGGCCCTCTGTACCCACAAGTCCACGTCTTTGGATACACCCAACTGCAGTACTGAAAATAAACCAAAGAAAAAAAACAAAAATAAAAAATAACATAAATTTAAACAATAGTACAACATAACAATTATTTAAATAGCATTTACATTGTATTAGGTATTATAAGTAATATAGAGTGGATGTGCATAGGTTATAGGCAAATACTACATCATTTTATACAAGGGACTTTAGTGTCTGCAGATTTTGGTATCTGTAGGGGTTCCTGGAACTAATTTCCCAAGGATACTGAGTGACAACAGCATACATCTCAGGAAAAATGTCCACTTGTTCTAAGTTTCCAAAGTTCCAATGTTTTGCTATCTTCTGTCCTTCCCACCCAACCTGACCCAGCTGCTTCTTGGGACAGTGGTTTCATATGGCGTCCTTCAGCGCTAGTGATTCCACAAAGATTCCTGAACCCTGTGGCCTGGTTCCTGGTCAAAATATTTCAGTCTTCCCTTTGTTGTACATTTTACTTTAAGTGTAATTTGGTCAAACCAAGTACTGACCACTTGTCTAGTATTATGTATACATGAAAAAGAATGAAAAGGAAATGACAGAAGAGTGACATAATAGTAAATGAACTTTAAATTGAATATTTCTTGAGACTAGGCTGAGAGTCTGTGAAGGCATGCCAGTTACCATACACATCAGACCTAATACACTCCTGAGGTCCTACTTCATACATATTATTTGAGTGACACTCAAGAAAAGGTTATATAAATGCAGGGTTTAGTTTAATAAAACAATGTTTAAAACTACAAATATTTTATAAATAGCAACAGCCTAGAGAGAAGAAAATAAGAAGCTATAGTGAACAAAAGAAGAAAAATGAAAAGGTGACCACCAGGAGAATGAAGTATATTGGAGAAGTAAGTATCCTTGTAAAATCTCTTTTAAAATGATAATTATCATATCAATAACTATTATTATTCTTCATCATCATTATTTTAATTATCATCATCATTATTTTAAGAGTAGGAGCCAGGAAAAAATCCAAAATGGTTAAGCAATTTGTCAGAGTTCATAAATTCAGACTTACACTAGTTAATATAGAGAAAGAGAAGTAGAAAAACTACTTCTAAATCAACAAATACCTGATACCTTATTTAACTCCTTGAAATTTTTAGGTTTTCCTGATGGTTACTTTAAGTGAAAAATGAGCATTAGATTTATTAAAGTTACATGATACTATGTTTGTTTCTTACTCTATAAGAAATGTTGATAAATTTTTAGTTCCTGAACTCAATAAATAAAGATTGAATACCTTCTCCATCAGAGGCACCCTTAGCAGTATATGGGCGACAAACTTACATAGGTTAGTAACTGTCATAGGAGCTTACAATCTAGTAGAAGACTGAAACAGAATGAATAATGTGTTTAAATTACATGGACTATTTGGGTAGAGTCTAGTGCAGAGACTGCCAGTTGTCCTTCAATAATTCTCCTCCCCTTCTGTTTGTCTGGACATATATGGCCACCCAGAATAAAGACCACATTTCTCAGCCACCCTAGTGGCTTAGTATTGCCATCTGGCTAAGTTCTAGACAACAGGATGTAAGAGTAAATGTCTGTGATGGCTTCTAGTAACCTTCCTAAGAGACAGGTGATACATGCTGTCTGTCCCTTCTTTCCCAGTCCCCCATCCTACTGTTTAAAATGTGGATATAATGACTGGAGCTGCATCCTTGACCCTGAAGGAAAGGGCCATATCCTAGGGATGTAAGGTAGAAAGTCCAAAGGTGTCTTGGTCCCCAAGGTCTTTGTGGAGCACAGCTACAGCACCGAGCCTGAGCTGGCTACCTCTGGGCTTTTACAGGAGAGAGTAATAATACTGTGTTCTTGTTTAAGCTATTTTTATTTTGGGTTTTCATGATCCACAGTTAAGCCTAATCCTAAGTGATACGGTGTAACAATGCAAGCACCACACGTGTGGAGAAGATGGACAGGTAGCACCTAAATGGAGTGGAATAGGGAAGAGGTAGCATTAGAGAAATGAATTCACAGTTGGTTCAGAATTTTTAAAGGAGAGACATCAGGAATGAAAGGTAGAGTATTCCAGGCAGGAAAAAACAAAACAAAACGAAACAGTATAAAACACATTGCTGACATGGAAGAGTTCTATGTGTAACTGGGAAACACTAAATAGTTACAGATTGTCAAGAATAAAATGATGATTTCAGGCTGAAAATGTTAGGCTAGGACAGATAGTGAAAGATTTTGAAAGTGTAATACAAGGAATATGGATCTCATTCTTTTACTGATGGGAATATTATAGTGTCCTTTAGAATGTGCCTCAGAGCTCCAATTGTAGAAAGAGTAGCTGACCAATGTCTCAAGTTGCTGTGCTCTGGAAGCCATCAACAAGTTTGCACTGAGGTCACCTCTACCAGGGTTGATCCCAGAGAAAAAGACTGAGCACACTAGGGACACTAAAGTAGGCCTAATCCTGGGAGGCCCAGTATTCTTCTCACAGTAAATTTCAGCTAGAGGACTTCCCAGCAGCCTTGCCAAACCTTCCTTAGAACTGTTCAGCTGTCTAGGATACTTCTGTACAACTTTCCTTCCTTCTTCCTCTCCTTAACTCTGGGTCAGACTTTCGTGTTGGTCTGATGGCTTTCCTGGCTCCTTCCCTCTGGTTCTCACAGGGTGTTTTCTCTAATAAATTTCTGCACATTTAATCTAATCTTGGCATCTGTTTCTTGGAAGACCTGGACTAACTCACACATCTAAGGCTTTTTGTACAATGTGTATCAATGAACTGTATATGAGTGCATTGTTGGGATGAGAGAATTAGGTACGTGGAGCTTGAAAAGATAAATTTCTGTGCTTTAGAATTAAATGGGAGTCACTGCAGGTAATGTAAACCAAAGACAAATAAAAAAAAAATCAAAGAGACATGGAAATAATAGCTAACACTTACTGAATGCCAGAAATTTTCTGAAGCATTTTATATACATTATCTTATTTGATTCTTAGTACAATCCTACTACCACTACAGATGAAGAAACTGAGGCTTTGAGAGATTAAATAATTTACATGAAGTCTCACAGCTAGTAAGCCCAGTATGTGGTGCAACTTAAATACTTACATTTAAATACAATCAATCTGACTTCTACATTCTTCTACACTGTATCCACAATTTTTTAAAGTAGTAGTCTTTACTTATTTAATTACACTTATATTTTCTAATATGATAATCAATAACAAGTATAAACTAATATGTATATTCCAAGAAAGTGACCTAAAAGGATTAATTCTATGTATTTATCATTTTATGACACAAATGTGCATTTGTGAATGAACATAAAGTTAATTAGTATGGAATTATAGCACTAAAATATCTACTTCTTAAAGAGCTAACATAAACGGCACAACATTATACTCATTTTTTTCCTTCTAATTGGGTGGCTCTTGAATTGAAGCACAAAAACTCTAAAACTTCCCACCATGTGGAAATGAGCCTCCCTTTGGAAATTCCTGGGCAACTCAACTCCCAAGAGCTTACTATGCTTTATCCCTTTTATGATATGCTTCTAATAATTATGTGTAATGTTCACCCTGAATATGTTGTTTTACATTTAACATTTCAAAACCATCTTCAGTATATTAATTTATGAGGTCATTAGTGGATTGGTTGGAAAAATCTCGAATGAGCTATACTTTTTAATTGATAAATAACTTCCTGAAAAGAATGATTTGCTTACTGCTAACATCAAATTGCCTAGTACTTCATCAAATTGAGAGATGGCAAAGTTTGGATTGGCAAAGTTTTTAATAATGAGAATTGGAGTCCTAAATCCTACCAATAATCAGTTTTAGGAACAAAATAAAGAATTTGCTGGTGAAAAATAAGTATCAATATTAGTTTTGCCCTTTTTCAAAATGTTAACATTACTAAACACCATTTTAAATTCAGTTACTGCAAATTTAGGCCTGTTACCTAATTTTTATTAAAATAAAAAAAATCTCAGAGGCCTTTTACTGTATCACTATAATAAAAGCTAACTTTACCATCCCAGCTAAAAACAGTGAAACCCCGTCTCTACTAAAAATACAAAAAATTAGCCGGGCGTAGTGGCGGGCGCCTGTAGTCCCAGCTACTTGGGAGGCTGAGGCGGGAGAATGGCGTGAACCCGGGAGGCGGAGCTTGCAGTGAGCCGAGATCCCGCCACTGCACTCCAGCCTGGGCGACAGAGCGAGACTCCGTCTCAAAAAAAAAAAAAAAAAAAGCTAACTTTAAATGTTTAGTTAACATAAGCTATTACTGTTGAAATGATTTTCATTATTGTAAAGTCAATTAATAAATCAGTTAAAATGATCCATGTAAATTAGTCTCTTTTAAGGTAATCACACTGACCTATTTAACCTTTATAAAAAATATCTTTATACTAAGACTGTCTTGGAATCATTAAATCAATAAGTGGAAAGATCCTTTCCATTTTTCCTACAGAGAGGGAATGTGGTATTTAGAAACAAATATATATATAGCAAGACATTTTTGTGTTTTTTTAAATGCATATTTACCAGTAGAGGTCACTATCACACCAATTCACTGGATTTGTCCAGCTACTGCTAAAAGAAATTAGAGGGCCTGGCTGAATTTATAAGAAAAAAATCAAAAGCCAATACCTAAAATATAATACACAGGGATATGCTGCTGCACAAATATTAAAAGATAATGTAGATAATTCATCATTTTGGACTTTTAATATGATTATCATACTGATGTTCCTATTGTCCCATGGAGGTAAAGGTAAATATATAAACAGAGATGCCTATATTTCTATTTATGTATAGGAACTCATTATTTATGCAAGCCAAAAAGTAAAATATTCAAATATTTACATATGTCCTACCTAGAAACTTTCTAAAATCTTCTTTCCAAAAAGGAAAAAAGATATTACAGCATCATAAAATTAAAATAATATATATTAATGTGCACATTTTCAGACATTTCAAAAGGATTCAATACTAACTAAAACAATGTCAAATCTGCTAGAAAATGCAATGGCACAGGAGCTTAGGACAGAATAGGTGTGGAGACGGGATATAATCTTCAATGCATGATCAGCAAAGCCAAGAAGGAAATAAAGGTCAGCAATTCAATTATGACCATGTGAACCCCAAATTCCAGGACATCAGAAAACTCTCTGGTTAGACAATCCATGGTTTATCTCCCTTGACTACTCACTTCATGCCCAAGTCAGCAGTCAAGGCTTAAAGTCAGGTCTACCTTCTGAGTCAAATGAATTCCCCATCTGCCTCCAAGTTACACCCCACCCTTTGCTAATTCCTAAAATCCTTTAATAGGAGAAAAGGCCCTTCCTTGTACCACATTGTCAAAATAATAGTCTAGTAATGAGTTTTGATTTAAATATAAATACTTAACAAAGTAACAACTTTAAGTCACTGTGGTCAATAGTCTCTCCATCTTGATGGAGGACGACTTAGGACCGTAAATGTGAGAAAAGACAAGAGACAATAAAATAATCTGTAGCTTATATTTCTTAAATCAAACTGGTCATGAAATAACTATTTAGCCAATATTATATCATGTGATAAAGACAAGTAGAGAATACGTGCTTTTACCTTGTTAATGTATCAGATGATTTTTCTAATTCCTCACACTCCATGTGAAACACACTAGAAAAAGAATCCTAAAAACAGACAACACAGGCTGAGAAATAAGTTTGACAAGGTAATGAAAACTATCTAGATACAGACATACATGCTATGGAATTGACAAAAGACCCCAATACTTGTAGTATATTTTTACTTATTCTTGGACAAAATAGACCCAAGTACTCATTTTATGACATCCTCAAAACTGCTTCCCATTTAATTAAAATAAAAGTTTCGTTCATATAATTTCTGATTTTCTCTTGGAAGAATGATTATATGAGGACTATTTGTTTTTTTCTAGGTGCTGATGGATTTATTAGTTTCAAAATTTTTTACACTTATTGAAAATTCTCAAGTTTTGGCTTTTAACGCTTAAGTACATTGATTGTTGTTAAATCCCAGGTAAAGAATCCCTTCTTAAAAAGATGTTTCATTCAGTAATACTTTATGTGATTATTAAAATAACTGTGAAAATTTTAACAACATAGAGAAATACTTTTGAAATTACATTAAAGGTGTGGTGGTTCATGCCTATAATCCCAACACTTTGGGAGGCCAAGGTGGGTGGATCACTTGAGGCCAGGAATTTGAGACCAGACTGGCCAACATGGCAAAACCCCTACTCTACTAAAAATACAAAAATTAGCTGGATGTTGTGGGCATGCCTCTGTCATCCCAACTACTGGGAAGGCTGAGGCACAAGAATTTCTTGAACCTGGGAGACCAAGGTTGCAGTGAGCTGCGATGGTGAGATCGTGCCACTGCACTCCAGCCTGAATGATACAGCAATACTCTGTCTCGAAAATAAGAAAGAAAAAAAATTTTTTAAATCACATTAAAAAGCAGAACAGCACATTATGCCCATGCTCTATTTATACAGAATTGGAAGAAAACAGAAAAAAAAAATGATAGTTTAATCTGGGGATGGAAGAAATCTGTACATTTCTTTCCTTCTTACATTTTCACCTTTGCTCATGTTGTTGATGTACTTTTAAACAACAAATAAATGTAATACAAATGAATATAAAGTCACCTAATTCCTTTTCTAAATCCTACAACTTAAGTAGTCAAAAAGTAAGCAAAATATCTTAATAAGCATATTGTTGCGCTATACTTCCAAGTAGCACTGATCCAAATCAGTGTACTACCATAACAGGTGTTAACTGGTAGAAGTATCCATTGAGTGCGAATTAAAGTGATATTTAAGTTGTGTAAAAAAAGGAGTGCTTCACATATAACTTTCAAAAATTAAATGCAAAAAGTGGGTCATAGAGCAAAAATTACAGATTAAGTGACATACTACATTAAGGAATTCTGACCTGAAGTTTAAAATGATGGCATGGCTACTATATTAAAATCACCTCTATATTAAGGATTTTATAACTGATTGAAAAATATGAAATAGTATCTATGAAAATACTGATTACCTTTTAGCCTACTGAGTTCTCATTTGATATTAATCAGAATTTTGTATTAAACAATGCATTCATCTGACACATATACACATCCCAAATGGTTGAGATGTTGGGTCATACAGTATAGTCCTTATATCTAAATCAACTAAAATTTCTTAATATAAATTAAGTACTGAATACCTTTTATTATTCTACTTTGCCCCAAAACATAACTTCGGATATCATATGTAGATTATAATTGACCTATACAAGTGATAGTGCACGCTCTCTTTCCTATTAATCCACAAATGAACAACCTATTCTTAGGGACTAAAGGAAAAAGAAAACAAACAACTACAGCAAAAAGAAATATTCCAGAAACAGTGGTTCATAGGTTGAGAAGGGAGAGAAAGTGCATAAAGAAAAACTGCCTTAGGCCAGGGGCCCTGATTCTACTGGCAAACTCAAGACAGCTGGCCTGGCTGTAACTAGCACTCTGTGACAACAGTCTATCTTACCCCAGACACCTGAAAATGTTTCTTCACATTACAAAATCAATGGACTGAAATCTACCAGTTAGAACAGCTTAGTGGTTTTCCACTGTTGGTAAAAATATGGGACTTATGGGGACCATTAGTAATACTCCTACTGGCTATGCCTTTTGGTTTCTATACAATTTCTAGTAAGAAGAAATTTTTATACCCAACCCATCCAGAATGAGGAGTCTGGTCTGCCTGTTCATAGCAACTAGGTCACCAGTATTCCTGACCATGAAAAGTCAGCACACTGTAATGACAATATATTTCTCCATGAAGACAGTGTAGCCATTGGTAGAAGCAGCACACAGACATTCCCATGGTAACTATTTTCAGGAGGTTGGGATGGGGACATGAACAGAGGTAAAAAAAGGCTGATGAAGACACCCTCCACCCTCCACCCCTACCTGTCTTCAACCAGAACAGCTCATACCCTGATTAGTTTTATATACATATTCATACACATTTGGGTTTGAGAGAGGGTTCTAAGACCAAAATGAGGTTTAAAAGTAGTGCTTATAGAAATATAAGTTTCTGTCTTTCTAAAAATAAAAAAGTCATACTCTGTACTCACGGAGCAATCTTCATCCACTATGAAAATGGTGCATTTCTGCACTTGCATGAAAGAGATAATAGTGGCAGCTATTTTCTTCAAAATTACTTCTAATGATTGTTGTTCTTCAAAAATTAAACTAGCAAGGTCAAGCAGCACCTAGACAAAAAAATTAGGAGCTCATTATTTAGCAATTGATTGTAATTATTAAAGCACAATTATTTATATGGGTTATAAATTGTTTATATAACCTAGCAGGTTATGATCAAGTCTGCATTCAAATATAAATACGTCTCCACTTATTAACAAAATCCTTTATTGACTGTTAATATAGTTAATATAGTTGTTAAGATCACAGCCTCTGAAGCCAGAGTAATCAGTTTTTAATCCTGACTTCCTTTACTGCTAGCTTTGAGACTGAGGGCAAATTTCTTCAACATGGGGATATTAATGACATTAAAATCATAGGGCTGTTAGGAGGATTAAGATAATATTTATAAAGTATTTTGAACACTATCTGGTACATAAAACGCACTGTTAATGTTGTTCCAAACTTTTCAGATCAACATTTGTCAACATTATCAATATTTTTACAGAGCACAGTAAATATTACCCGTCAAAGTAAACAAAGTTTTAAGAATTTCCTTTGTGTTTTTTTCTGGTAGATTTCTCTTTCTTCTGAACCTCATAAGTATTACCAAAAACTTAGTGGAGGTGACGCTATCCTAGCTGAGGTCTGAAAGATGAGCAGGAATCATTCAGGTGAAATAGGGAAGAGAAATATTTCAGGCAAAAATAATAGAATTCAGAGAAAGTGGTATACTGAAAGTTTTGATTAGATTTTATAAGAGCACAGACTATAAAGAGAAGAACTGGGAGATGAGGTTGCAGCGTTAAGTAGAAAAAGAACCTGAAAAGCACTGTATGTCTTTTGAAGCAGTTTCGACTGTGATGCACTGCAGGAAGGAAGTGGTGTGATCCCATCTGTTTGTAAAAATGGGGACTGGATGAAAGGATGGCAAGAATAGAACAGGGAGAACATTGCAGTTAAAGTCAATGGAAGGTCCCATATCTTATTAACACAGATTCTAAACAGAGAAAATAGAGGGTAGAGAAGATGAATTATCAAAGAAATAATGAAAAAAGAATTACACAGAAGTAAACAGTTTGCTTAAACCTCCAAAGAGATGAACCAACATACAGATACCAGCATGATGAATGAAAAAAAATACTGTGAAATTAAGTTACAAAAGCAAATATAAATAATCTGAAAAGCTTATAGACACATAGACAAAAATAGATATAAATAATAATATAAAAATACAAAATATGTATTATATGCCATGTTATATATTTATATTGTAGATAATAAATATAGCTACAAAAGAGCTAAGAATAAGGACAACATGGATGCTAGTTAGAAGACAAAGCACTACTTCTAAATTCTGAGAAACTGATTTTTCAGTTTAGAATTTTATACCCAGCCAAAGTGGCAGGATGCTACAATACATATTTTCATACATGCAAGGACTCAGAAAGTTTACTTTACCAATGCCCTTTCTTAAGTAGTTAATTGAGAATGTGCTGCAACAAAATAAGGAAGTGAGAAAGAAGTAGGGGATCCAAAAGATAGTGGAATCTAAGAAAGCAATGAAGAAAAGTTCTATGATGACACTAGTGTAGCAGGCATAGGGCTAAATAGTGTAGCTTGGAAGAAGAAAGGTTGGAGAACCTCAGTTTGGACCTCTGCAAACAGAAGCAGAAGGGGAACTCAACAGGATGCCTAATATAATGGAGTTTGGGGAGAGGAGGAAACAAGAACATGAGGCTATACTAGAGCAAAGAGTTCAAGGAAAAAAATTCAGAAACATCAGGAAAAATGAAAAGTTCTGTAACAAAGGTAGTATGAACAACATTTACATAATTATAGTGCTTATAAATAGTTTCTTTAGAATTGCAACTTTAGAATTAACCTAGACAAAGCCCAGGAAAAGTTCATCATGGTTGTAGAACAGTATATATTACCAATGTGGGCAATTGTAAAAGAAAAAGTCCAGATGGAAAAAGCAGGGCTAAGGAGCGGTAGTTGGGAAAAAGAGATAAAGAGAACAGGGGATGCTAAGACACCTGTCTTACAAAGTATGAAATCAAGAGTAATATCTACAGTTGACAGAGCAAGAACTAAAACCATTATTTAACAACACAAGTGCAACCCATACAGTGACTTAAAACAGTGACAGAATGATTCCAGTAGGATAAGAGTAATGGCAAGTAACGTGTGGTGTAAGTCAAATAAATTCTCATCTCCCAAGTTAATGAACATTGTCTAATAAGATAAACAACTAAGCATGGAAAATAGGAAATACAAATGACTACTAGAAAAAATAAAGTATTGAGAAACTGAATCTGTACTATCTAAATTTTTAATCATCTGCATACATTACTTGGATAAAAATGTAACAATTTTTAAAAAGTATTTCTATGCACTTTCTTTAGTAATCAGACTGACCTGATTTCTCTTGTTCTCCAGCAGTGAAGTCTCATAGAGCTGAGCATTATGAAGAACAATACCACAAAATGCCAAATAAGCAGCAAAGTCCTAAAAAACAGATAATAGACAAATAAAAACGGTACATAAAACAGTCTAGTTACATTGCCTGAAATACAGATCCTCAAATATTTACAGTTAGAAAGCCAAAAGAATAGATGTTTGTTCTACATAAAATTAGGATGATATAAACTAAGTCTTAGCTAAAGGTATTGGAATAGTCTCCTAAGGTATAAATTAGGTATAAATCAATAAGGAGAAAAAGGAGAGGAACTAAGATAAAGACTTTATCTCTTTATACCACTTGAAGTTACAATTTATTCCATGCAAAATTTGGTTTAGCCTCTCCATGATATTAAGACTTGGATCTATGCTGAAATTATTATATAAATAGCTTGTAACTCATTACTGCAGCAAACAACAGCTTACATACTTGTTAAAAGAATATTCACAATAAAAGCATAAAGTTAAATATTATATAAAGTTGCAAACATTAAATATGTCATTTTTAACATGGATCTATCATCCTCATTAAACTATACTAGGGTAATGTGTTTCTAATTATATTAATTATTGATTGACTATTAATTATTATTAATTAATATTATTATAATTAATAATAATTAATAGTATTAATTATTGATTGAAATAAATATTTAGACAGCATATCTTATCCACAATGTGATAGAGCCTTAAAAATTCAAATCAATTCAAGAGGGAGTTATATTAATGGATTATAGACATAATAATGGAATTCAAAGCCAATCCAGGAACCATGTTTTCACACCAAATATTCTCAAGTGCCATGAACAGAACAGGAGCCTAGATGTCTATTACTCGATTTAAAAAGTATTTGCTATGTTCTGAAGCAATTATAACAAGGGGAGCAACACAGGTGCCAACCTAGCCTATAGCATAGAGATAAAAATAACTGTCTTGTTTGAACGTCTTCCAAATTCAAAAGCTCCTAGTAATTTTCAGGGGAACAACATAAACAGCAATGGGCTTTGAATAGGAATAATTCAGTAGGCTATGATATACACATAATTACTTATTCAATAGGAAAAATAATAAAACCTACTCATAGAATGAATTTATCGACAGGTTTACGGGCTTTTGTCCTTAAATGGAAAGCATGTCAATGAGGCGTGTGGAAGGTACTCCTTCAGAGTTGAACGAGAAGTATAATAAAATAATGCTGGCTGTTGCTCTCTCTGAAGCTAAATTTACATCATCCAGCCTGAATTCATACCTTGGCGCCCCACTGTCTGTGCGCAAGGCTTATAAAACATTCAGAAATTTGCTACGCCAGGAGGCAATTCCAATTTTTAGTCAACCAAAAGTGCTGAACTTGGAGCAGTGTTTTTATGGGGTTTTACTCAAGGTTGGATCTCTATAGCAGTGATGAAAGGTAAATGATATAGTTAAAATACCATAAGTCACCCTCTGTGTGGCCCCAACATGCCCAGTGCAGGCTTGGCAGCACAGCAAGGAGGGAATTTGGGGGTTTCTGCTGACTGAATAACACAAGTACTCAGATGTGAAATCATCGCTTTATTTAGCCTAAGATACACTTGAACATTTCAGATCATTTTTAACTCTAATTTTTTTGTGTGACCAACAATTTCAGCAACAGCTAAACCTAGAGGTGTATATACTATAAAGAGAAAGCATCTTCCTAAATTGGCTCATGTCTGACACAAGTTTTGGTACCTTTTCATCTTTTTCAGTAAATGTCCCACCGTTTCCTGATTTCTTGTTGATGGCCTGGGCTACACCAACAACCTGGTATAAGGAGAGAAAAGCGACAATTTTTTTATTGACTGAAATTACTTGTAAAAATTCACCAAAATGTATTTATAGAAGATATCCTGCATGTGCTTTAAAATAACACTAGTCTACAAAACAAAAGCAAAACCCCTCATCAGCATTTGAGCAAGCTTTACATCATTTACCACATTCTTTCATCCTAATAAGAATTCGAATGTTTTTAATTTATTAGGGCCCAAACTATGTTTGATCCTGTGATTTCACCCTGCATTTTGAATGAAATTATTTTAGCAATCACATTTTAAGTATATATTTTCCATAGTTTTTAAATATAAACAACACATTTTGATTACAGTTCCAATAAAGTATATAAGAATATGAACATTTTATATGGGTTTTAAATATAATATTCCAAAACGGCTAAATGCTCTTTTACTAAAAATGAAACAGGACCTAGTGGCCAATCATGGAAAGAATGCAGGAGGATCATTAGGGCAAAAATAATTCTTAATGTAGGGATGCAGTCCAACTTCTTTTGAAATTTCTGCCCTTGAAAATTATTTTACCTTCAACAGACTTATTTTTGGGAAAGAGGGTACTGAAAAATCAAAACAGGAATTAACATGCTGAGGCTTATTTCAAATAGATCAGAAGGCATTTGGAAGTTACTTACCTTTTAGTTCCACCTTCATTTTGAGTTATTACCTTAGTCCTATAAAGACCTTCAACTTACTCTTCTCTCCTCTTTATTACTTATTAATTCTACTCTTTCCTTTCTTCTGCTATTTAGTATCAGTGGAATAAGCTATTATCCTCTAACTGGCTATACTTCAGAAATATGTATCTTTAGTTCTATGTGGATGGTTCACTTTGTTTTCTCAGCTCATTATAGTATCTTAGCTTTAAGAAAAAGATATAAAATTCTCCTCTAGGATAGCAGAACAAGGAAGGGGAAATACCTTCTTGTCTTATGTAGTTTTCTAGTCTTCTTAACATTTTTCTCTCTCTCTCTCTTTTTTTTTTGCCCATATGGTAAAGGGATATTAATTGTTTTTAAAAGCAGAATTATGCAATTATCCTATACCTTTTCATTTCCCTTAGAGCAACTCTCTCTTATTTTTACATGCTCTTTAGCTCTTGAAAAGAGTGGCAGATTTCTAGATGCTCTAACCTCAGTGACTAAATTTCTAGTAAAATTCCTCTAAGGTCAAAAATGTCTGGATTGTAGTTACGAATGTTCACGGGAACTATAATAAGAGCCACTTGAAGGTCATTGGGGTCTAATATAGAGTAGTATAATTTGGTTATTTTAAATGCTCAGGTATTCATTCATCCACTCAACAAATAGTGAAGTGCCTATTACGTACCAAAAAGTAATAAAAAACTGGGGAAGTGATTACTCTGAACGAGCTCAGAATCAAGAATGAGTGATACATAAACATAGACTTATAGCGTAGTAGGATGGTGGGATCAGTTTCATGATACAGTGGCCATGGATTGCTAGGAGCACTGAAGGGGCACTTAATGTGGGTAAAAGAGAAGGAGTCTCAGAAATGACATTTAAATTTTTTTTCTCTAATAAATAGTTTTACAAAGTAAAGACATAAACTTTAAATCTGTGTTTTAAGAAAGATGAGTTTCAAACAGATATAGAAAGTATTATGCAAAGTTTCTGATAAATATGCAGTACAAAAAGTATACATTGATATGCTATCTGTACCTGGAACTGTATGAAGCAATGTACTAAGCAAGAAAATAAAGAGAAAGCTCCTGCTCACTCAAAAATATAAGAAGACAAAAAATCAGCTGCTTATTAAATGATCACTAATCAAACTATATTAACATTTTAGTCCATCATCATATCAACATAAATTTACAGTGAGATGATGATTCCTTTCAGTCTTTTTTTTTTTTTTCTTTTTGAGACAGGGTCTTGCTCTGTTGCCCAGGCTGGAGTACAGTGGCACAATCACAGCTCACTGCAGGCTTGATCTTCGAGGCTGAGGCTATTCTCCAACCTCAGCTTCCAAGCAGCTGGGACTACTTGGAAGGCATGTACTACCATGCCTGGTTAAATTTTAAAAATTTTTTTGTAGAGATGAGGTCTCACTATGCCCAGGCTGGTCTCACTATGCCCTGCACTCAAGCAATCCTCCTGCTCTGGCCTCCCAAAGTGCTGGGATTACAAACATACAGTAAGATAGAAGAAATAAATTAAATGTTTTATAGTATAGGAGGGTGACTATACTTAACAAAAATGTATTGTATTAGGGGTAATAGACACCAGAAATACCCTCATTTGATCACTATGCATTATATACATGTAACAAAGTTTCACATATACCCTGTAAATTTGTACCAATAAATAAAGAAATATTAAAAAAAAAACAAGTTCTGTCAAGAGACTATTAGACCAGGAAAATATAGTTGGTCCTTTGTATCCAACTGTGATAGAAAATGTTTGACAAAAAAATTTTAAACCCACAGCAATAAAAATAACATAAAATAAATATAGTAGGACAATTACGTACAGAGCACTCACATTATATTAGGTAGTATAAGTAATCTAGGGGTGTGCTCAGAGCAGGGGGCTGAAGAATGGCTCCTCTGTTTATAACACATGGAACAGGCATCTGAGGTCACTGTGACAAGGGGCACAAAACTTGTGACTCCCTAAGAACAAATGTCCTACAAGTGTAACAAAAAAAGTAATCCAGAGGTGATTTACAGTGTATGAGAGGATGTGCATAGGTTTTATGCAAATATTATGCCATTTTATATAAGGGACTTGGGCATCCACAGACTTTGGTATGAGGGGATGGAGTGGAGTCCTCAAATCAATCCCTCTTTGTATACTAAGAGACAACTGTATATCTAACATGTATATGTGCCTCCATCCCCAGAAGGATGACATTTGAAAAATGACACTGATAAAAACAGACAAAAAATAGAAGAAAAGGCATAGTGTTCATCCAGGGTTGCATACACAATAAAAGACAAATTAACAGTTTAATTCTGACTTTAAGGATCCTGAGCAAAACTGGCATCCTCTGCCCTCATGTTCAAATAAATTCAGTCCTTCTTTCTGCTGTCATCCATTGCTTCTTTAAACAAATTAGATCATTGTCTTTAAATCAAGTAACTGTTAACTATAGGCTTTGAAATGTCCATTTTTAATGACAGCTTTTACTCTAAGTATATCTCAGACTCCATGTGAGAGGCAGCACCCCTAAAAGCATTAGCTTCCATATCAGAATGTCCATTCACTTTTGCCTACCTGCTGGCTAACTGTACTCTCAGATATGGGCACTCCACGCTATTTCTGTAAAAGCGCAAAAAAGCCTTTCTGTTTTCTATTTTACTGGCACTATGCACAGCACAAATGGATGTTATGTCCTCACAGGGTCGAGTGTTCTTTTAGGAATGCAAAGGCCAAGACTTGACTCTCACTGGGCGAGCAGTATGGAATGTGACAGCTGGTTGTTTCAGGGCAACTGATCATTGCCACAGTGAGCAATTTCTTCTTCAATAAGCAGCTGCCCCAGACATTTACTGAGGTCATACATCAATCCCAATACATTTCCCCATCCCCGGTTCAGGGGATGCTCAGCATGGAAACTAAAAGCAAAGGAGGAAAGGACAGACTACAAATCATAGCTATCCCTCTCTCTCAGCCTCAGAAGATCTCCACTGCAATGACAGGACTCTAGACAGTCTAATCTGAGCCAAATACAAACTTTACTAAGAAAACTAGAACTTAACAATATATAGAGGAGTTAGGGGAGAATTTTCCCTAGTGCTCTTTTCAAACTTTTCTTTGACTCATTTATTCATTCTGCCATAAATACTTTATTCAACAGCTAACTACTAAGTGCCTTTATGTACCAGTAGTGAACAAAACAGATGAAAATCCCTGTCCTCAGAGAGCTGACATTCTAATCAGTGTTAGGCTTGGGAATCCCACCCCCACATCCTCTCCCCACCTGCTTTACAGATGAGAAAACTGAGAGTGAGAGAGTTGACATAACCGATCCAGGCTTTCTGACTTCTCTTCTGAATCCTAAGGAATCATCAAGTTATGGTAATATTCCATGTGGTAGGCAAATAATGGCCCCCAAAGATGTCCTTGTCCTAATCTCTGGAACCTACGAATATGTGACCCTTAAATGACAAACGGGGTTTTTGACATGTGATAAAGTTAAAGATCTGGAGATGGGGAGATTATCCTGAATTATCTAGGTGGGCCCAATGTAATCACAAGGTCCTTGTAAGGAAAAGTGGAATGCAGGAGAGGCAGAGTCAAGGAAACATTTGATGATGCTGTTCTGCAGATTTTGAAGACAGAGGAAGGGGCCATGAGCAAAGGGGTACAGGCAGCCTATGGAGGCTAGAAGGGCCAAGAGAACAGGTCTGTTTCTAGAGACTCCACACAGAAACACAGCCCTGTAGATGCCCTGATTTTAGCCCACTGGGAATTATTTTAGACTCTGAAGTCCAAAGCTTCAAATAATACATGTGTGCTATTTTAAGTCACTAAATTTCTGGTAGTTTTTTTACAGCAGCATTAAGAAACCAATACATTCCATTCAATTGTGATTCTTATATTCTTGCATTATTTTTCTTCTTCTCCTCACCTCATTTTATCTCTTCTGTTTCACTATGTAAATCCTCACTGTCTTTGAAGAACTTGACATCTCATTCCTAATCATCTTCCTGCCTTCAGTCCATCTTTGACAATTTAGCCAAATTTATATTCTTGGGGCACTGTTGTGCATACACAGATCATCTCATTTCTCAAGAATTTTAATGGTTTCACCCATCTACAGAATAAAAATTAAAGACTCTACCTAACATTCCACACTCTCAACTTAACTATATCACTTACATGGGTCTTTGGGTTAGAATACCGCAATGTCCTGTGTTCACATAATTCCTTGAAATATCACCTCTCTACTGAGGCCAAATCTCCAAAAAATCTTCCCTTCAGACCTACCCCTCTGAAACTCCATGTGGCAGTTGTATACGCCCTATACGAGGCAGGGTATTCCTTTTTAACCTAATTTTCTTTACTCACATCCTAGCCCTGCAATTAGATTGCTTTCTAAGTACTTGATTTATATTTTATGCTATTATCAACACTTTGCATTATTTTACATGTACTCAAAAGTTGAATAGTATGTGTTGTTGATGATAATGGGAAAAATGCCAGAAAGAATAAAATTTTTTAGGGTAATGTACTAACTGAACAATGCATATTCAAATAATAATTAATTATGTCTTCCCATTTTTGGCTCTAGCCTTTGCTTAATATTAAGAAATCCATCCATATCTGAGAACTTTGTGTGGCAGTAAAAACTTTATTTTCTTAATAAGCCATTAATTATGGAGTTGAAACTTATAGCCTAAGGCGACACTGGAAGAGAGAAGAAAGAAAAGCTTGAGATTATTTAATTTTTAATTTAAAAAGTATAGAAAATCACAAAGAATGAGACAGTAAACATCCATGCCTTTGCCATCTAAAACAGTGTTAGTGTGAGACTTGTTAAAACACAGTTTCGTGGGTCTACCCCCCAAATTTCAGATTTTGTAGATCTAGACTGGGGCCTGTATTTCTAAAAGTTCTCAGATGATTACAAATGCTGCTGGTCCAGGCACAAAAGACGCATTGACAACTACTGATACAGAATTACTAAATGTTAATATTTGGTGATGTTTCCTTTATTAATACTATTAAATTAAGATAAAATTAAATTGGACTTCCTCTTTCCAGTCTTTCTTCTCCCCCCTGTTCCTCCTACCATAGTCAACCTTCTTCATTATACTGTTAAAAATACATAAATCTATACACAAAACATAGTACTTTTATCTTTCAAAAAGGTTTCTTAAATGAAATAATATATAGGAATCATTTTGCAACTTGCAATTATATTCAATGTTGTTTTTTAAGATCAATTCATATAAATCTGGTTCATTCATTTTATATACAATATTGCATTCCATATCAAACTGTATTCATTTGATCTCCAAAGAATGGATGTTTGGGTTGTTTGCAACTTTTTGCTACTACAATCTTTAAGAAACATCTTTGATTTTCTTCTTGTGCACATGTGCAGCAACTTCTCTGGCTAAATCTTCAAAAAGATTACAGAAATTTATACCTTTACTAGCAAGGCCTAAGAGTCTCCATTAACCTCACATCCTTATCAGCATCTGGTGTTATCAGACTTTTTCAATGTTTGTCAATCTGATGGGCATAAAATTGCATCTCATTGTTGCTTTAATTTGTATTTTCCTGATTACTGGAGAGAATGAACATCTTTTTTATTGTTATTGGCTAAGCTGGTATCCTCTTCTGTATTGCCTATGTGTACATTAGCCAATTTTGACCATTTTAGTTATGGTTTTGGGGTGGGCTCTTCTTAATGAATTTTAGAATCAAAGTTAGATATTTCTTTAAGTGACTGGTAAGATTGATTTTATCCTTCTGTATATACAGGCACCTTTATACCTATGATTTATCTCAAGAGAATGTTTACAGATATTCCATGGTTGGGGGATGAGACAAGGATAAACAGAGGAGAATGATGCTTTTAGTTTACTCTCACAGCCTTCGTGGCTACGAATGGGCAGCCAAGTAGGTTGGAGAGAAGCTTCTAAGGAATTGCAAGATATAAGAAAGCAGTGCCCTGAAGATAACTGGCATCAGAAATAACATGATCAATGCCATTGTTTCTAATACAGTTAAGAAATCTCCTCCTCGCTAAAACCAGAAAAATTCAAATGCTAAAAAGCTTGCCATTAAAAAAAGGAGAAGGGTGGGCTTGCCATGTAACAGGCACTTTGTAACTGTTCATTCATTTAATCCTTGACATAATTCTTTAATTTTCATTCCCATTTTATCACAGAGCAATCTGATGTTCAGAAAACTTACATAACTAGTTCAAGAATATGCAGACCCAGACACTCTCCAGACTTGATCCCAAGAGCTACAATTCTTTCTACTACTCCCCACAGGAAAAAGTGAAATCAGCCCTAGTACAAAATATAGGCTTTTTTTTTTTTTTTTTTTTTGAGACAGAGTCTCACTCTGTCGCCCAGGCTGGAGTGTAATGATGCGCTCTCGGCTCACTGCAACCTCTGGCTCCCGGGTTCAAGCAATTCTCCTGCCTCAGCCTCCTGAGTAGCTGGGATTACATGTGCCCGCCACCACGCCCCGGCTAATTTTTGTATTTTTAGTAGAGACGGGTTTCACCATGTTGGTTAGGCTAGTCTCAAACTCCTGACCTTGCGATCTGCCCGCCTCGGCCTCCCAAAGTGCTGGGATTACAGGTGTGGGCCACCGCGCCTGGCCAAAATATAGGCTCTTATGGACTCCTCTTTTATACTCAAGGAATCATGGAGACCAAGATCCAGTACATACTAACGCTTAGTCTTTAGATCTCATAAGGATGCTTATCTTCTTAATGCACATTTTCATCAAAGGGAATGGAACAATTTCAAAATTATAACTCTAAGAAACAAAGACAATCCAAAGTGGCTGCTAAAAGCTGGTTTCTTGGACTTAGGTTATAAGTCTCGTAACAAGTTTTCACAGCCAAGAACCACTTATGCAACATTAAAAAAAATCCTATGTATCAAGGAAAAGTGAATAATAATGCAGTATCAAAAATAAGTAGATTCTTCAAGAAAAAGCAAAACTAATTTGTGGTTATAGATATCAGAACAGTGTTGCCCATGGGTGGTGAGGACTGATTAGGGAATTAGTTATACAGATATATGTACATTTTTCAAAACTCATCAAATTGTTCATTAAGATCTGATGAATGGCTAACTAGAATAACCAATGCAGAGAAGTCCTTAAAGGACCGGATGGAGCTGAAAACCAAGGCACGAGAACTACGTGATGAATGCACAAGCCTCAGTAGCCGATTCGATCAACTGGAAGAAAGGGTATCAGTGATGGAAGATCAAATGAATGAAATGAAGTGAGAAGAGACGTTTAGAGAAAAAAGAATAAAAAGAAACGAACAAAGCCTCCAAGAAATATGGGACTATGTGAAAAGACCAAATCTATGTCTGACTGGTGTACCTGAAAGTGACAGGGAGAATAGAACCAAGTTGGAAAACACTCTGCAGGATATTATACAGGAGAACTTCCCCAATCTAGCAAGGCAGGCCAACATTCAAATTCAGGAAATACAGAGAACGCCACAAAGATACTCCTCGAGAAGAGCAACTCCAAGACACATAATTGTCAGATTCACCGAAGTTAAAATGAAGGAAAAAATGTTAAGGACAGCCAGAGAGAAAGGTTGGGTTACCCACAAAGGGAAGCCCCTCAGACTAACAGCTGATCTCTCAGCAGAAACTCTACAAGCCTGAAGAGAGTGGGGGCCAATATTCAACATTCTTAAAGAAAAGAATTTTCAACCCAGAATTTCATATCCAGCCAAACTAAGCTTCATAAGTGAAGGAGAAATAAAATCCTTTACAGACAAGCAAATGCTGAGAGATTTTGTCACCACCAGGCCTGCCCTACAAGACCTCCTGAAGGAAGCACTAAATATGGAAAGGAACAACCGGTACCAGCCACTGCAAAAACATGCCAAACTGTAAAGACCATCAAGGCTAGGAAGAAACTGCATCAACTAACGAGTAAAATAACCAGCTAACATTATAATGACAGTATCAAATTCACACATAACAATATTAGCCTTAAATGTAAATGGGCTAAATGCTCCAATTAAAAGACACAGACTGGCAAATTGGATAAAGAGTCAAGACCCATCAGTGTGCTGTATTCAGGAAACCCATCTCAAGTGCAGAGACATACATAGGCTCAAAATAAAGGGACGCAGGAAAATCTACCAAGCAAATGGAAAACAAAAAAAGGCAGGGGTTGCAATCGTAGTCTCTGATAAAACAGATTTTAAACCAACAAAGATCAAAAGAGACAAAGAAGGCCATTACATAATGGTAAAGGGATCAATTCAACAAGAAGAGCTAACTATCCTAAATATATATGCACCCAATACAGGAGCACCCAGATTCATAAAGCAAGTCCTTAGAGACCTACAAAGAGACTTAGACTCCCACACATTAATAATGGGAGACTTTAACACCCTACTGTCAACATTAGACAGATGAACGAGACAGAGAGTTAACAAGGATATCCAGGACTTGAACTCAGCT
Source organism: Homo sapiens (assembly GCF_000001405.40). NCBI lineage: Eukaryota > Metazoa > Chordata > Mammalia > Primates > Hominidae > Homo > Homo sapiens. The sequence goes on from NC_000004.12 coordinate 119,576,322, forward strand.
CTGCACCAGGTGGACCTAATAGACATCTACAGAACTCTCCACCCCAAATCAACAGAATATACACTCTTCAGAGCACCACACCACACTTATTCCAAAATTGACCACATAGTTGGAAGTAAAGCTCTCCTCAGCAAATGTAAAAGAACAGAAATTATAACAAACTGTCTCTCAGACCACAGTGCAATCAAACTAGAACTCAGGATTAAGAAACTCACTCAAAACCGCTCAACTACATGGAAACTGAACAATCGGCTCCTGAATGACTACTGAGTACATAACGAAATGAAGGCAGAAATAAAGATGTTCTTTGAAACCAACGAGAACAAAGACACAACATACCAGAATCTCTGGGACACATTCAAAGCAGTGTGTAGAGGGAAATTTATGGCACTAAATGCCCACAAGAGGAAGCAGGAAAGATCTAAAATTGACACCCTAACACCACAATTAAAAGAACAAGAGAAGCAAGAGCAAACACATTCAAAAGCTAGCAGAAGGCAAGAAATAACTAAAATCAGAGCAGAACTGAAGGAAACAGAGACACAAAAAACCCGTCAAAAAATCAATGAATCCAGGAGCTGGTTTTTTGAAAAGATCAACAAAATTGATAGACTGCTAGCAAGACTAATAAAGAAGAAAAGAGAGAAGAATCAAATAGGTGCAATAAAAAATGATAAAGGGGAAATCACCACTGATCCCAGAGAAATAAAACTACCATCAGAGACTACTATAAACACCTCTACGCAAATAAACTAGAAAATCTAGAAGAAATGGATAAATTCCTCGAAACATACCCCCTCCCAAGACTAAACCAGGAAGAAGTTGAATCTCTGAATAGACCAATAATAGGCTCTGAAATTGAGCAATAATTAATAGCTTACCAACCAAAAAAAGTCCAGGACCAGATGGATTCACAGCCAAATTCTACCAGAGGTACAAGGAGGAGCTGGTACCATTCCTTCTGAAACCATTCCAAACAACAGAAAAAGAGGGAATCCTCCCTAACTCATTTTATGAGGCCAGCATCATCCTGATACCAAAGCCTGGCAGAGACACCACAAAAAAAGAGAATTTTACACCAATATCCTTGATGAACATTGATGCAAAAATCCTCAATAAAATACTGGCAAACCAAATCCAGCAGCACATCAAAAAGCTTATCCACCATGATCAAGTGGGCTTCATCCCTGGGATGCAAGGCTGGTTCAACATATGCAAATCAATAAACATAATCCAGCATATAAACAGAACCAATGACAAAAACCATATGATTATCTCAATAGATGCAGAAAACGCCTTTGACAAATTTCAACAACCCTTCATGCTAAAAACTCTCAATAAATTAGGTATTGATGGGACGTATCTCAAAATAATAAGAGCTATCTATGACAAACCCACAGCCAATATCATACTGAATGGGCAAAAACTGAAAGCATTCCCTTTGAAAACTGGCACAAGACAGGGATGCCCTCTCTCACCACTCCTATTCAACACAGTGTTGGAAGTTCTGGCCAGGGCAATCAGGCAGGAGAAGGAAATAAAGGGTATTCAGTTAGGAAAAGAGGAAGTCAAATTGTCCCTGTTTGCAGATGGCATGATTATGTATCTAGAAAACCCCATCGTCTCAGCCAAAAATCTCCTTAAGCTGATAGGCAACTTCAGCAAAGTCTCAGGACACAAAATCGATGGGCAAAAATCACAAGCATTCTCATACACCAATAACAGACAAACAGAGAGCCAAATCATGAGTGAACTCCCATTCACAATTGCTTCAAAGAGAATAAAATACCTAGGAATCCAACTTACAAGGGATGTGAAGGACCTCTTCAAGGAGAACTACAAACCACTGCTCAATGAAATAAAAGAGGACACAAACAAATGGAAGAACATTCCATGCTCATGGGTAGGAAGAATCAGTATCATGAAAATGGCCATACTGCCCAAGGTAATTTACAGATTCAATGCCATCCCCATCAAGCTACCAATGACTTTCTTCACAGAATTGGAAAAAACTACTTTAGAGTTCATATGGAACCAAAAAAGAGCCTGCATTGCGAAGTCAATCCTAAGCCAAAAGAACAAAGCTGGAGGCATCACGCTACCTGACTTCAAACTATACTACAAGGCTACAGTAACCAAAACAGCATGGTACTGGTACCAAAATAGAGATATAGACCAATGGAACAGAACAGAGCCCTCAGAAGTAATGCTGCATATCTACAACCATCTGATCTTTGACAAACCTGACAAAAACAAGCAATGGGGAAATGATCCCCTATTTAATAAATGGTGCTGGGAAAACTGGCTAGCCATATGTAGAAAGCTGAAACTGGATCCCTTCCTTACACCTTATACAAAAATTAATTCAAGATAGATTAAAGACTTACATGTTAGACCTAAAACCATAAAAACCCTAGAAGAAAACCTAGGCAATACCATTCAGGACATAGGCATGGGCAAGGACTTCATGTCTAAAACACCAAAAGCAATGACAACAAAAGCCAAAATTGACAAATGGGATCTAATTAAACTAAAGAGCTTCTGCACAGCAAAAGAAACTACCATCAGAGTGAACAGGCAACCTACAAAATGGGAGACAATTTTTGCAATCTACTTATCTGACAAAGGGCTAATATCCAGAATCTACAAAGAACTCAAACAAATTTACAAGAAAAAAACAAACAACCCCATCAAAAAGTGGGTGAAGGATATGAACAGACACTTCTCAAAAGAAGACATTTATGCAGCCAAAAGACACATGAAAAAATGCTCATCATCACTGGCCATCAGAGAAATGCAAATCAAAAACACAATGAGATACCATCTCACACCAGTTAGAATGGCAATCATTAAAAAGTCAGGAAACAACAGGTGCTGGAGAGGATGTGGAGAAATAGGAACACTTTTACACTGTTGGTGGGACTGTAAACTAGTTCAATCATTGTGGAAGTCAGTGTGGCGATTCCTCAGGAATCTAGAACTAGAAATACCATTTGACCCAGCAATCCCATTACTGGGTATATACCCAAAGGATTATAAATCATGCTGCTGTAAAGACACATGCACACATATGTTTATTGCGGCACTATTCACAAAAGCAAAGACTTGGAACCAACCCAAATGTCCAACAATGATAGACTGGATTAAGAAAATGTGGCACATATACACCATGGAATACTATGCAGCCATACAAAATGATGAGTTCATGTCCTTTGTAGGGACATGGATAAAGCTGGAAACCATCATTCTCAGCAAACTATCACAAGGACAAAAAAACCAAACACTGCATGTTCTCACTCATAGGTGGGAATTGAACAATGAGAACACATGGACACAGGAAGGGGAACATCACACTCTGGGGCCTGTTGTGGGGTGGGGGGAGTGGGGAGGGATAGCATTTGGAGATATACCTAATGTTAAATGATGAGTTACTGGGTGCAGCACACCAACATGGCACATGTATACATATGTAACTAACCTGCATGTTGTGCACATGTACCCTAAAACTTAAAGTATAATAAAAAAAAAAAAGATCTGTGAGTTTCACTGTACGTGAATTTTAAAACATTTTAAAAGCAAATGAATATGTAATTGCTGAAGGTATGTGAAAGTGGAGGCCCATGTGCCAAGTTCCCAGCTGTCTGGGTAATGTTGAAGCAGGCTGAAGTCCTGATCATTTGTTCTGTGCTATTAGGGAGGACGTCGCTCCCCAGACGGGGCCAGGGCAAATCCAGCCTCTGGGGGTCAGTAGCTGTCCTGCCCCAGGAACATCCTGTGGGACTAGAGTCAACCTGAGACTGGGGTTCTTCCCCACGAGGGAATGCTTGGCATAATTATTGATCCTAGTGTTTATCCTCATCCCTTTGAACAATTAAAAAAAAAATCCCCCTCCTGCCAAATACTAAACTCTCTGCCACACTAGCTTTTAAGTAATGAGGTAAAGCTCTTAAACCTAGAACTAAAGGGACTTTTTGCCTGCTTATTAGATCTTTCTGTCCCTTGAGATACAGAGATTCTGTCCAGAGACAGAACAGCGCATAGCCATTGCGAGCAAAGTCTCCAAATAAGCCCTTTAAAAACTGCCAGAGACACAAAGGTTACATAGCAGAAAACAGCCTGCTGTCTTTCCCATGGCAGGGTACATTCAGTGTTTACTGTTGTTGTTTAACTTTCCATTCCTCCATTTGTCTGGCTTTGCAACATTCTCATAAGGAGGAAATGGACATTTTCTGACCCCCAAGAGGTGAGAGCTCTGCAGTAGGCACTGTCACATTCCTCATCTCACTAGGAATTCAAAACCACCCTGTGTGTTTGCACTTTATGCTGAAACTTTACAAACCAGTCGCCTAAAGCATGGAGAGAAGAAACTTGCTCAAGGAATCACTGCTCCTAAGCCAGCACAAGACCAAGTCACTTTTGCTACAAAGTCAGACCTCTTTCTTTCCCACTCTGCCTCTCTGCTTAAGTGAGAGTAAGCCCAAAATGTCAATAAAAAATTTTGTATATCAACATAGGTTATACAAGTTGTATTTCATATCAGAATAATTCCACCACTGTTTATGTTCACCTTTACACAATACATTGCCAAAAACGACTTCAGAGCCCTGGATCTATTTAATAATGAAGATTTATTTTAAGGGTGGTATCCTGCCTGACGCCAGGTGTTGGCCTGCAAAGCATAGGCTTACCCCGGACGGTGTTTTTGGATTTGGAGTCTGTTAAATCAGGATCAAGCTTGTTCCATCATTGCCTGTACTTATTATGAGTCCATGTCTCTATAGCCTTGTAAAATGTCCTGCCAATAAAGCTTCCTGATAATTACAGTATAGAGTGGTGTGCCCATAATGGGCACCTACTACAAACATAAAAGAAGTAACACAGCAAAAATGGTAAAAAGCAAGTTTTGTGCATCAAAACACTAAATAGGCTGAATAGAATTTAAAAATTAAAGTTGGTATCAAAGGGGTTGAGAGAATGCCTTCTTTACTAGAGCTGAACTAAGTGTCTGGATCACTGCTGTTGCCTCTACTGGTCTAGCTAACCACATATGTAGCCACTGAAAGCTAGATATCCATATAATTTAACATAAGATATTCAAGAAAAACATGTGTGTGTGCGTGTATATATATGTACATACATAATTTCTTTACATTCTAAGTCCTTCATATGGAGAACATAGTTTATTATGTTCTCATAGCCAAAACATAATTTCATCTCAAAATATTTTCCCTCCAAATGGAAGATGTGCCTGAGAAGCTAATCATGCATGAAAGCACAGATGCAGACATCTGTCTCACTAGCGAAACTCCTAGTTGTAGGTGTCACCAGCAAAAAAAGACATGACCTCTTCTCCATAGCTGTGCCAGTTAATATACAATGAAGTATTTGTAGGCATGCCTCAGAGATATTGTGGGTTTGGTTTCAGACAATGGCAATAAAGCGAGTTACACAGATATTTTGGTTTCCCAGAGGATATAAAAGTTATTTTTAGACTATACTGTAATTTCTTAAGTGTGCAATAGCACTATGTCTAAAAAACAATGTACATACCATAATTAAAAAATACTTTATTGCTGAAAAATGGTAACAATCACCTTAGTCTTTAGCTAGCTATAAACTTTTTGCTGGTGAAGGGTCTTAACTTTGATGTTGATGGCTGCCGAATGATCAGGGTGGTGGTTGCTGACGGACGGGGCTGTTGTGGAAATTTCTTAGCATAAGACAACAATGAAGTTGCCACCACGGATTGACTCTTCCTTTCATGATAGATTCCTCTGTAGCATGTGATGCTGTTTGATAGCATTTTACCCACAGTAGAACTTCTTTCAAAATTGGAGTCAATCTTTTCAAGGCGTGCCACTGCTTTATCAACTAAGTTTATGTAATATTCTAAATCCTTTGCTGTCTTTCAACAATATTCACAGCATTTACAGCAGGGATAGAGTCCATCTCAAGAAACCACTTTCTTTGCTCATCTATAAGAAGCAACAGTTCATCTGTCCAAGTTTTATCATGAGATTGCGGCAATTCAGTTACATCTTCTGGCTATATTTCTAATTCTAATTCTCTTGGTATTTCCACAAGATCTGCAGTTACTTCCAACAGTGATGTCTCAAACCCTTCAAAGTCATCCATGAAGGCTGGAATCAACTTCTTCCAAATTCCTGTTCATGTTGATAATTTGACCTCCTCCCATAAATCACAAATGTTCCTAATGGGATGTAGAATGTTGAGTCCTTTCCAGAGGGTTTTCAATTTACTCTTCCCAGAGCCACCAGAGGAATCTCTATTTATGTCAGCTATGGCCTTACGAAATGAATTTCTTAAACAATAAGACTTGAAAGCAGAAATCAGTCCTTGATCCAATGGGCTGCAGAATGGATGTTGTATCAGCAGGCATGAAAACGACATTGATTTCCTTGTGCATCTCCATCTGAGCTCCTGGGTGACTAGGTGTACTGTCACAGAGCAGTAATATTTTGAAAGAAATCATTTTCCCTGAGCACTAGGTCTCAATAGTAGGCTTAAAATATTCAGTAAATCATGCTGTAAACAAAGGTGCTGTCATCTAGGCTTTGTTGTTCCATTTGCAGAGGACAGGCTGAGTTGAATTAGCATAATTCTTAAGGGCCCTAGGATTTTTAGAATGGTAAGTGAGCACTGGCTTCTGCTTAAATTCACCAGCTGCATTAGCCCATAACATCAGAGTCGGCCTATCCTTTGATGCTTTGAAGCCAGACATTGACTTCTCCTCTCTGGCTATGAAAGTCTGAAATGGCATCTTCTTCTAATAGTAGTCTGTTTAGTCTACATTGACAATCTGTTGTTTAGCATAGCCACCTTCATCAATGATCTTCACTAGATCTGGATAACTTGCTAAAGCTTCTCCATCAGTACTTGCTTCTTCACCTTGCACTTTTGTGTTATGCAGATGGCTTCTTTCCGTAAACCTCACGAGACAACCTCTGCTAGCTTCTAACTTTTCTTCTGAAGCTTCCTTACCTCTCTCAGCCTTCACAGTATTAAAGAAGTTAGGGTCTCACTCTGGATTGGGCTTTGGCTTAAGAGAATGTTGTGACTGGCTTGATCTATCCAGACCATTCAAACTTTGTATCAGCAATAAGGCTATTTGACTTTCTTAGCACTCATGTATTCATTGGAGTGGCACTTACAGTCTCCTTCAATAACTTTTCCTTTGTGTCCACAACTTGGCTAACTGGCCCAAGAATCCTAGTTTTTGGCCTATCTTGGCTTTCAACATGCCTTCCTCACTAAGCTTATTCATTTCTAGCTTTTGATTTAAAGTGAACACTTGAACACTTAGAGAACACTATAGGGTTATCAACTGGCTTAATTATAATACTGTTGTCTCTCAGGGAATAGGGAGGCCAAAGGAGAAGGAGAGAGACAGGGGAACATGAAGAAGGTGAAAGCTTTGGTGAAGTATGTTCAAGAGAGAATGGAAGGAAATGGAAATGGCAAACATGGCCTGTATAACTCTTTCAAAGAGTTTTGTTCTGGTGATGATCAGAGAAATGAGGTGGTAAAGCAGATGTGTGGTCCAATGAGTGTTCTGCTTTTGTTTTCAAAAGCAGATGGGAGAAATAGCAGCATGTTTGTATGCTGATGAGCAGATTTGATAGCAGGGAAAACTTTAATGATTCTGGACATAGAGGAGAGAACTGCTGAGCTAATTTCTTTGACTAGGCAAACTGAGATGAGATCTGGCGCACAAATGGGAGGCTGGCCCTTGCTGGTTCAGACAGTTCATCCCAAGAAGTAAAAGGGTAACCAGAGTATATGGACTCAGATGCTGGAGCAGGAGAAAGAAGTAGGGGAAGTTCTCTTGTGGAAATATTCTTCTAATTGTGTTGGCTTTCACTGAAACAGTAAGCAAGGCCATCATCTGAAAGCGGGGATGGGGAGGCAATGTAGAGATTTCAGGGGAGAAGAGAAAGGATTAGTCTGTAAAACAATACATGCAAAAGAAAAAGAGCTAACTGTTTTGTTCCCCACAAACCAATGACTTATTTTAGGAAATATGACAACTCTCCCCCTTTATAACCTACCTACAAAGCTAGAAAGTATTTCAGATTCTTCCCTCTCCCTCATTCCTCCATCAAATCAATCACTAAACCTACTAAACAGAAGTGTAACAAATCCACAAAAACCTCTTTAGCAGCTTTCCTGCCTCTAAACAAAGTACTCTCTCTGCTTATGAACAAATATGGAAGTTAATTATCAAAATATATCAAGTGTCAAATTATGTGGCTCTGGGTTAGAAGTGAAGAAAATGGTTCAAACTTACTGCTGTAGCCACCCAGATTTTTAAACAATAGGAAATATTTCCTGGCATTAAAAAAAATTCAGTACCTCCTTTGCATGACATTAGAAGGCTCTGCTTGATCTTGCCTCTGTCTACCTGTCTGACCTCATTTCCAGGCACTTCCCTCCTTCTAGTGGATGCTCAAACAGTGTAGCAAAGTAATAGACATATTCCCTCTGCTCTCAGTCTGTCAACAGAGGCAGAAAACGATGGTGCAGAAAGATATAATAGAGACAGACCAATGAGCATTCCCTGTGAATATTAAGTAGTGAGTACTTATATTACGTGCAAACAGAGATCTTATGTAGAACTGTTAGTATTTGTGGCATAATATTTTAAAAGTCTTGGCCGGGTGCGGTGGCTCACGCCTGTAATCCCAGCAATTTGGGAGGCCGAGGTGGGCGGATCACAAGGTCAGGAGTTTGAGACCTGCCTGGCCAACACAGTGAAACCCCATCTCTACTAAAAATACAAAAAATTAGCCAGGTGTGGTGGTGGGCACCTGTAATTCCAGCTATTCGGGAGGCTGAGGCAGGAGAATCGCTTGAACCCGGGAGATGGGGGTTGCAGTGAGCTGAGATCATGCCACTGCACTCCAGCCTGGGCGACAAGAGTGAAACTCTGTCTCAAAAAAAAAAAAAAAAAGTCTTTTAATACCTCAATAGTTTGCCACCATACAAAGAGGCAAACATCTTCTCTTTTTTCCTTAGTGTTCCCTTTTTCATGCTCTACTTCCTCTTTTCCCTCTGATTTAAGACAACCTTGAACACCAATTTTTGTATAAACCTTTGTGTAAACCCAGTCTATATCGCTTCTCCTCTGGTAGTTCACAACATTTTTTAGTACATGAAAGGTGAGAACTCAAAATGATTTTAAGAGATCATTTTAATTAATGAGCAGAGTTCCTCTTTTATCCTCTGGCTAGTTTTAAGGAAAGAGAAAAATAAATATGGATATATATGTTCTATATAATAAATAATGAAAGTACATTAGTACTATGTCTGGTAGGTTAAAGTGTCTCCACAAATTCTCTGATACTACTCCTTTCAAGAGCTGGAGCCTAATTCCCTTCCTCTTGAGTCGGGTGTAGAACCTAAAGCCTCACTGCTAAAGAACAGAACGCCGGGAAAGTCGTAGTGATGGACAACTTTGGAGACGAGGTTATATAGAGCACTACTGCTTCCTCCTTGCTCATTTTTTCTCAAATTGCTCACTCTGGAGAAGTCAGCTGCCATGATGTAAGGACACTGAGCAACTTATGAAGAGCCCACATGGTGAGGAATGAAGCATTTCTCCCAAGAACCTCTTGAAAATGGATGATCAAGCATAAGTCATGCAGCCCCTGCCCACATCCTGACCGCGTGAGATACCTGAGCCAGAAGGAACCAAGCTTGCTAAGCCACTCCAGAATTCCTGAACCACAAAAACTATGAGATAATAAATGTTTGTTCAGAATCACTTAGTGTAATTTGTTATGTTGCAAGAGATAACCAATACGGCATAGTACTCATGATTATCAAATAATTTGTAATAATCAAATAGATCTAGACTTCTAAATCCAGGTCATTTTCACTCCATTTCATTACTATAAACTGATGCAAAAAAATTTAAAAATTTTTGTAAGATCCTCATCTCTTGCTCTTTGATTTACATTCAGCCTGGACTATTAATTTCCATTCTATGATCAAAAGCAAGTGGAGATTTAGCATAGACTATTAATTTCCATTCTATGGTAGAAGAGAAGCAAATGGAGATTTTTAGATAAGCATTTAACAACAAGGAATACAGGGTATTTAACACTTGATAAAGCACTTTACCTATGGAATCTTAGACATTAATGGATGAGTATAGATGTTTGTACATATCTATTGAGAGCAGCAATTTCATTAACAATCACCTTAACTCTTCAAGAATACATGAAAACATGAAAATTATTTTATAGTCAAAATTCACCCCAGGGTGCAATTATATGATGTCGGGTTAGATATTATACAAAGAAATGTTTTATACTTCTCTGGTTCCAGACCCCTAATACCCATTATTCAGGGACTATGTAAAACTTCTCAAAATTAAATTTATAAATCATCTATTAAATTAAAAATGTAATGCATTCCAAAAAGTGCTGGAATGGTTATCTTGAAATTACCAATGAAGATAAGCTTCCTATTGAATAAAATATAGCACTCAGTATGAACCAAATTTTCTTATCATTAAAAATAGGATACCATTTGGGTACACAAAGCCTACCACATTAATTTAATCTTCAGTTTCAAGTTTTTATTCACTTTCTTTTTCTTCTTGATCAGTAATGTAGACTTGGGGATTTCACATATTAGCACAGTGTTTTTCATCTGCTGCTCTTAAGAAACATTCTTCTTTTAGGAAAGCAGTTAACATCTTCATAATATATACTTTGTTATTTAAAGGGCAGTGTGCAGAAGGAAAAAGAAAGGATTGTCACTATCACAACCTCAAGTCCAGAACAAACAGAAACTCTGCGCAGCACTTTTGTTTCTAAAACAAAACTACAAGAAAGAATACTGTGGGGAATAAATGCAGTGAACGATTTGTAACTTTTCCTTTTTTTTTTTTTTTTTCAGGCTGGCATGCAGTGGCAAGATCTCGGCTCACTGCAACCTCCACCTCCCTGGTTCACGCAATTCCCCTGCCTCAGCCTCCTGAGTAGCTGGGATTACAGGTGCATGCCACCACACCCGGCTAATTTTTTTGTATTTTTTTTTTTTTTTGAGACGGAGTCTCGCTCTGTCGCCCAGGCCGGACTGCGGACTGCAGTGGCACAATCTCGGCTCACTGCAAGCTCCGCTTCCCGGGTTCACGCCATTCTCCTGCCTCAGCCTCCCGAGTAGCTGGGACTACAGGCGCCCGCCACCGCGCCCGGCTAATTTTTTTGTATTTTTAGTAGAGACGGGGTTTCACCTTGTTAGCCAGGATGGTCTCGATCTCCTGACCTCATGATCCACCTGCCTCGACTTCCCCAAGTGCTGGGATTACAGGTGTGAGCCACCATGCCTGGCCAATTTCTAAGTTTTCAAAAACATGTAACTAGCCAATTCTTTAACACTAAAATAGATCTAGATCAACTGGTAGTCTGCTATTAAACTCTGCTTATTTTTGCAGTTATATTTTCATCTATTTTGACTGAAAATTGAAGGATTATGAATAAAACTGTAACATTTATTTCCTCCAAGTTTACTTGCCAAATTTAAGAAAGCGGCAGTCAGTACTGTGAGTGTGAGAGATCATAGACAAGGACTCCTTGGCCTCCACACTCCATGGAGATCAAGTATTTGTCATCAGGAGCATTTATGTGGTTCCTCTCTTGAGGCTGTGAGATAAACACAGCAGGGCACTTTCATCTCTCCCCAGGGATTTCTCTAGCTTCCCTAGTTCAGTCTTTCCTTCGAACTTGTGTGTTGAATATTGGACTCATTTAACATTTATCTTGTCACCTTATATAGATATTTAATTTTTGGTGTACAAGAGCTACCTCTCCAATTTTTTCTTTTTTTTTTTTTTTTTTGAGACGGAGTCTCACTCACTCTGTCACCCAGGCTGGAGTGCACTGGCACGATCTCAGCTCACTGAAGCCTCTGTCTCCCAGCCAGGTTCAAGCGACTCTCCTGTGTGAGCCTCCCGAGCAGCTGGGATTGCAGGCGCATGCCACACACCCGGCTAATTTTTGTATTTTTCGTAGAGACAGGTTTCACCATGTTGGCCAGGCTGATCTTGAACTCCTGGCCTCGAGTGATCCACCCCCCTTAGCCTCCCAAAGTGCTTGGATTACAGGCGTGAGCCACCGCGCCTAGCCTACCTCTCCAAATTGAAAAAAATTTAAAAGCAAGTATCTTCTTTGCTTCATTAAAAAAAAAAAAAAAAGAATCTACAAAGTGCAGTGATTCAGCAGTTACTTGTCAAAACAAGATAATTTAGGAGAAATAAATGAAAATATTTTTAAATGAGCAGACACAATCATAAAACTTAAATTCTAAAAAACATTTATTTTTGTATTTTGTAGTTGGAATTACATATCTGATTTCATGAATGCCTCAATTTATGAGTTTCGGTAGGTGTTAATCACTTGGATTCGCCAAAGTATAAATCTCATAAAAATTAGCTGATACTTTTTGAATCTTTTTAGTTTTTAAAAGGAAGATATACGCTAAAATGCTAAGATATTAGCTAAAATGATCTTTTACCACGTTGTAATGAATTTATCCTAAATTCTTGATTTTAACTGCCATATTTGCATCAAAGAATTGCAAGTATATCACTAAGTATGATAAAATAAAATCAAGATGATAAGATAAAAAGAGAGAAGGAGGAAAGAGCTCTGATTCCAAACTGAATTTCTACTTAATAACTGGAGTTGACATTCAACAATGGTGGTTCAGCCTAGCCTGAAAGACATTATTGGATATAATCTCTAGTTCATATCAGTAAGAAATTTTCAGAGAAAATTCTTGAGGAATTCAGAGAAATTTCAGAGAATTCAGAGAATTCAGAGAAATTTCAGAGAAATAAGAAATTTGCATTATTTCATAAAGTCCTGCTTTCTACCCCTTATCCTCTCCTCCCCAAATAATCTAGAGAAAAAAAAAAATCAGTAGGCCCAGAGTGACAAATAGGGCTCTGAGTAAGAGTTAATATTTAGGGTTGGTTATATCAGTGAAGCCACTATAAATAAAAAAGAACACTCATCTTCACTATGTCAGAACAAGCAATACTTCAGGGGAGGGCAGTATTTCACAAACAGGTCATCTGAGCTAGGGGGAAAGATCTGAGCTTCTCTGTAATTCTTTACTAAACAAAAAAAGAATTCTGTCTGGTTATAGAAATAATTAATACAAATGACAAAGATAAAAACTGGTCTAAGTGCCCAGGTCTGAAAAATCCAGAATTAACTTTGAAATAAATTTAATAGCAGCCGTAAAAATTCACATACCTGTAACTTTTTTTTTCATTATGCTTCATTTGTAGTCATGGTTCTTCTCTGGAGCAGATTGGCTCAGATTAGTATGAAACATGCTCCTGTAACTCTTTTATCTCTGGTAAAAATTTTCTTATAAATTCCTCTTAAGGCAATACAGAGGATGTGACTATGATCTCTCTCTTTTTCTCTGTCATCTCATTTTTCATCTTAAAAAGTCTGTCTGCAGAGCGGTTTAAACACTAACATTGAAGGGCCAGCAGAATACAGGCAGATCTCCTTGTTGCCACCTCAAGTCCTGCTTCTGCATGTAGCCACATTAAACACATCAGTGTACCTTCCACTCCAACAAAATCAACAATAATTTAAGTGCTTACTGCAGAGTCTCAAGAAAACACCAATCAGGAGGGAAGCAGAGTGCAGCCATCATCCATAGCAGACTTTTAAGAAATGCTCTTCTCTCTATTATGACCCCTACAGTCCGAATGCCTGGGTTTGAATCTCAGCTTTGCCAGTTTTTAGTTATGTGACTTTGAGCAAGTTCCCTATATGTTTCATGTCTCAGTTTCCTTTTTTGTTAGGTAGGAATAAGATAATGGGTTACCTCTTATGGTTGTCATGAAGATTAAATGAACTAATACTTGCCAGATCATTAGCACAGTTTTCACAAGATTTGCTTAATAAATATCACACATGTTTACTGTCTCCTACATACAAGGCAGTTATTTCCAAACTCCTACCCCATACTCCTCAAACTACTCCCTCATAGACACTCTGGACTGGCTCTCTTCTCTCCCTTGATCACTTTTTTCTTTCTGTCTTTATTCATTTTCTCCAGCCAGTAGCTCTTTGACCTTCCAAAATAAATTATTTTAGCCTTCTAACACTTCTCCAGTTTCTTTTTCCACTTTGCCCATTAACTCCATTCTCTAGAAGGGAGTAGGGAGAGGGGAAGATTGCAAAAACTTAACCTCTATGATTTTTTTCAAAAATTACCATCACAGATGTTTAGTAATATCTATGATCCTTACTTGTAAAAAAAGCACTGCTGTATCTATAACAGTTATGGTTATAACATTAATGAAAAGAACTCCCAAACATTTTTAATTAGTTGAAATACTTTACAAGAATAAGAGGCAAATAAAGAGCTTAGATATTTCAGTGAATCTTAAAAATCTTCCTGCATTTTCCGGCCTATGTTATAATTCAGACTTTAGTATTCAGCAGTCAACTACTCCATTAAAACAGCTTTCCAGAGTTGGTACCAATGTCTTTAAAAACCAGTGTCACTGAAAGGTACCAGGATATTTTGTAAACAATCAATATTTAATGATTCAATAATCACAGTTCTTTTTAGGTTCCTTGGTAATTAGTCAGAATGGGTATTGGCTTACTCGATAAGGGTGGACTTAGAAAAAGAGAAAACACCAAATTCATTTTGCCTTATTTATGAGGAAAAATAGAGAAAAACATGTTTCTCTTAAGTTTAAAGTTTCTTAGAGGGTAATCAATAGACTATGTCAGGGGCTGTGTTGGGATCCCAGTTAGCTGAGTACTGGCTTTGGTCCCAGTTAGCTGATTATTATGTGGCTAATGACCTCTTCATGCAGCTCTTATTCCTTGTCTCTCTTTAAAGCTCTATTAGTTCTACATCTCCTTTTAAAGAATAGTAGCTGATGCACTTCCAGTGTGCCAGGAACTACGTTAAACCCTTCACTCACATGAATGCATTTAATCTTCCCAATAACCCTTTAAGGTAGATCCTTTTATTGCCCTCATTTTGCAGATGAGGAAACTGAAGATCAAAGGGATTAACCAGTTCCATCCTGGTTTGTCAGCCAGCAACTAAGTGGTAAAGATGGGATTCAAGCCCAGAGCAAGCAATCTTAATAATTAGTCCCCAAAGCCTCCCTGCAACTTTCCATTTTGGTTTAAAATTTTCACGACAAAGAGTAGTTATGTGTACATAAAAAGCAAACACTACTCTGAGTTTGTTTATACAGATATAAATTTAAAGATAATTCTGGAAGTCAAATATTGCACCTTGTTAGTGGCCTGGGTTTATTTTTTGGCCAGCCAAATTACTTTTTATATTATAACAGCCACGCTTGATAGTGTGTCTGTTCTGTCTCTCTTCATTCTTTTCTCTGAAAACGTTAATTCTCAGGAGAAATAATTTTGAACTTGGCAGTGTGAACCTGGGAGGAAAGGGAGCAAGATGAGAAGGAAGGAGAATGGGGAGGGTCAGCAAGATGTTTAAAAAGCTGTGTTCTGGGCCGGGCGCAGTGGCTCACGCCTGTAATCCCAGCACTTTGGGAGGCTGAGGCAGGCGGATCACGAGGTCAAGAGATCGAGACCATCCTGGCTAACATGGGGAAATCCCATCTCTACTAAAAATACAAAAATTAGCTGGGTGTGGTGGCGCACGCCTGTAGTCCCAGCTACTCAGGAGGCTGAGGCAGGAGAATTGCTTGAACCCGGGAGGCAGAGGTTGCAGTGGGCCGAGATCATACCACACTGCACTCCAGCCTGGTGACAGAGTGAGACTCTGTCTCAAAAAAAAAAAAAAAAAAAAAAAAGCCGGGCGTGGTGGCTCATGCCTGTAATCCCAGCATTTTGGGAGGCTGAGGTGGGCGGATCACAAGGTCAGGAGATCGTAGCTATCCTGGCTAACACGGTGAAACCCTGTCTCTACTAAAAATACAAAAAGAAATTAGCCGGGCGTGGTGGCGGGCGCCTGTAGTTCCAGGTACTCAGGAGGCTGAGGCAGGAGAATGGCGCAAACCCGGGAGGCGGAGGCTGCAGTGAGCCGAGATCGCACCACTGCACTCCAGCCTGGGTGACAGAGCGAGACTCTGTTTAAAAAAAAAAAAAAAAAAAAAAAAAAAAAAAGCTGTGTTCTGGAAGCCCTCTCTTGAATAAAGTTACAGATTGAACATCCCTTATCCGAAATGCTCGGGACTTAGAAATGTTTCAAGTTTTAGATTATTTTTGGATTTTGGAATATTTGCATTATTATCAGTTGAGCATCCCTAACAGAAAAATCCAAAATGCTTCAATGAGCATTTCTTTTGAGGGTCATGTTAGCACTCAAAAAGTTTCACATTTTGGAGCATTTTGGATTTTCAAATTAGGTATACTCAATCTGTATTTAGTCCCCAGTGAAGCTACTGAAGATTTTTTCATCTCATGAAATGCTTAGTGTAAGAGTCCAAGGCTCATATTAAGTCACCACAAGGTAAAACAGACACCAGCAGGAGAGGATGTGAGAGCACAGAGAGAGACATGAGAAAGCTCAGGAACCCAGCAGAAGTCTAAAGGAGAGAGCTTCGGGCTATTTGGGGATCTGTGGCCAAACCCACTTCAATCAGATCTGTAAGAAGGCAGCAGGTCCTTGGCTAAGAGTGGGGTTACATATTCATGTAATGAAATTTAAATCATCTCTCAGTAGAATGCCTAGAATTAAAAAGACTGATACACTATGTGTTGCCAAGGATGTGATGTAAGGGGAACTCTCATACACTGCTGATAAGAATGAAATATGGTACAGCTACTTTGGAAGAGTTTGGAAGTTTCTTATCAAATTAAATAAATACCTACCATATGACTTAGCAACTGCCCTCCTATGTATTTACCCAAAAGATGTGAAAGCATAAGTCCACACAAAGGTCTGTATGCAAACACACTGACAGCAGCTTTGTTTTGTAATAGACACAAACTGGAAATAACTGAAATGTTTATCAACTGATGAATGCATAAACAAATTGTAGTATATCCATACCATGGAATAAATCACTCAGCAATAAAAAGGTACAAACTACTGATACATCCAACAGTAGGGCTGAATCTCACACCCATTAGGCTAAGTGAAAGAAGCTACATACAAAAGACCACATACTGTATGATTCCATTTAAATGACATTCTAGAAAAAGCAAAACAATAGTGACAAAAAGCAGATCAGTGCTTGTCAGGAGCTGTGGGTTAAGGGAGGAGGAGATCAACTATGAAGGGGTACAGGGGAACATTTGAAGTGACAGAAATGTTCTATATCTTGATTGCAGTGGTGGTTACATGATCGAATATACATATCTCAAATTCATCAAATTGTACACTTAAGCTGGGTAAATTATATTATATGTGTATTAATCTGTTCTCACACTGTTCTGAAGAAATACCTGAGACTGGGTAATTTATAAAGGAAAGAGATTTAATTGACACACAGTTCCTCATTGCTGGGGAGTCCCCAGGAAACTTACAATCATGGCAGAAGGCAAAGGAGAAGCAGACACCTTGGGCGGCAGGATGGTGTGAGTACAAGTAGGGGAAATGCCAGATGCTTATAAAACCATCAGATCTCATGAGACTCACTCACTATCACGAACAGCATGGGGGAAAACGCCCACATGATCCAATTACCTCCACCTGGTCCCGCCCTTGATACGTAGGGATTATGGGGATTATAATTTAAGGTGAGATTTTGGGTGGGGACACAGACAAATCATGTCAGTACGCGAATTATATCTCAATATAGCTGTGTTTTTTTAATTTTTTATTTAATTTAAATCATCCTCACCGGCAGTCATAATATGGAAGAATGTATATCCTGAGGATACTTTCTGTAGAAAGGGCCATCCTACTCACTTCTTCCTAGTGATTCTGTTGCATTCTCATCAGTTCCCCCAATCCTGACTGTTGGAGAAATTGTTCACACTATCTAGAAAGAGAAGCTTAATCAGGGCATAATTCAGGCTGAATCCCTTTGCCGGTACAAAGCTGTTTTGGGGGCCACGATTTTAAAATATCCTTAATAACTAAAAGCTGAACATTGTCTTCCTAAGTGCACGGAATCTTAGTCTGTGGTTTATAACTAGGCCTGCCAGATGAAATTTGAGTTGGATTTGAGTTCAGATAAACAACAAATAATTTCTTAGTATAATGATGTCCCAAATAATGCATGGGACACATTTCTTTAAAAATTTGATATACCTGGCAACCATATTAATAACACAATAATGATCAGTCCATGTATGGCCTTTTCAATTTTATGTATTCATTCACATACTTAGTTAATTAAACTAATTAATTAATCTCATATTACGTCATTGCTGCAGGCATTTTTAGTTACTACTGCTGGAACTACACTTTTTAAGAAACCATGTGGCAACTCTAAGGCACTGAGAATGACTACTGAGAAGTAACTGACTTAGGGCCTTGTTAATCAAATTGTGATCAGCAGACCCAGGTAATCATCAACTTGGTACTTGTTAGAAAAGAATCTCAGGTTCTACCCAGACCTACTGAATTCAGAATCTGCATTTTAACAAAATCCCCAGGTGATTCCTATGCACAACACAGTTTTAGAAGCACTGATTTAGAAAGCTGTGTTTTAGGCAAATTTCCAGGCAGTGATATGTAGAATGGACTAAAGGGAAATTGACTGCAAGGATAGAAACACCTTACAAGAACATTTAAAAACCTTAGGCATTACTTCAAAATCTGAATCATGGTGCATGCAGGTAGCACGAATAAAAAGAAAAAAATATTGAAATCAGAAACATTCTAATGAAAAAAATCAATGGGGTTTGGTAACACACTAGATGGAGGAAGGAGAATAAATGTCAGAATTTGAATATAAATCAAGTAGAAGCATCAAGTACTTCTAATATGATTGGCAGTGGTTCTCAACCTTGGCCACACACTGCAGTCATTTGGGAGCTTTAACAAATACTAATACCTGGGTCCCAATCCCTGAGATTCTGATTTAAGGTGAAACCTCGGCATTAGAATTTTTAAATGCTATACCCAGATAACTGGTAAAACATTTCCGCGTGTGTCTGTGAGGGTGTTCCCAGAAGAAATTAGCATTTGAATCAGTAGACTGAGTGAAAAAGATTCTCCCTCACCAATGTAGGTGGGCATCATCCAATCCACTAAGGGCCCAAACAGAACAAAAAGGCAGAGGAAGAGCATATATTGCTCTCTCTTCGGAAGCTGGGACATCCATCTTCTCCCTCCTCTGAGACAACAGAACTTCAAATACTCAGATCCTTGGATTCTAGGACTCACACCAGCAAATCTCCCATTTCTCAGGCCTTCAGCCTCAGACTGAATTACACCACAGGTTTTCCTGTTCTCCAGCTTGAAGATGGCAGACTGTGGGACCTCTTGGTCTCCATAATTGCATGAGCTAATTTCCATAAATAAATCCCCTCATATATCCTCATATATCCTATTGATTCTGTTTCTGTGGAGAACCCCAATTAATACAATTGGTAATCTTTTAGACTTCTCCAGTTGGTTGTAATACACAGTCAGGATTGAGAATGCTCAATTGAAATATTCAGTTTAACTGATAATTTATTAACTCTTTTTTCCAAATAAGTGTAAAATGAAGAGGGAATTCAGTGATAACAGAATCCAAATCTTCTAGTTAGGTGAAATATAAACTAACATATTTTCATTTGCCTGTTAAAATTTCAAATTGAAATTTACATAATTAGAATTAGCTATGATTTCCATTTTTTTCAAAACCTCAATTTGAATGAAATCCGTTAATGACCACTGTAGTTGGATGAGCATTTATGAATACTACTCATACTCCTAAAACATAATATGCAATGAATTGATCCTAATCACAACCATAATTACATATCTTAAGATAGAATAACGCCTTCAGGAAGAGGGGAGGTAGAATATGACATGCATAAAATTTATTTCTAAGTAAATGGGCATAGTAAAGCAATTATCAGAATTAGGCCCTGTAACTAAAAATCTAAATAGAAAAAAAATCAAGCAGAACATTTAAGAACTTTATAGCTAATTTGTCACTAAAGCATTATTTCATATATATGCAAAGTAAATACAAAATATTTTTCAAAAAGAAAAATATTTCCAATGACCTTTTATAAAATGGAAAATTGGCTTACCTCTTCCCTATGATTCTTAATTGGCATACAAAGAATGCTTTGTGTCTTGTAGCCTGTAATTTGGTCAACTTCTGCATTGAACCGAGGATCCTAGTATGGAAAAAGAAATTCAATTTAATGACTGACCTGTTCAAAGATTGATTTGATTT
The DNA here is from genome assembly GCF_000001405.40 of Homo sapiens. Lineage (NCBI taxonomy): Eukaryota > Metazoa > Chordata > Mammalia > Primates > Hominidae > Homo > Homo sapiens. The sequence goes on from NC_000004.12 coordinate 119,596,672, forward strand.
TTCTGATTTATTAGATTAGAGAAATCTAACCTTGGACTTACCTTGTTACTCTGAGTAACAATTTTATTGTTGTGAAAGGCATCATCATGTAAGTACATATTATATTTGACAAAGATAAATTGAAGTTGCTGAGCTTTTTTATAAGCAGCTAGTGTTTAAGAGAAAAAAATACAGACTCGAACAAATGTTCAGAAATAAAGAAAATTCAAAATATTAACCACTTTAGATAGCTGTACTTAAATTCAGGAAAAAGTGGCATCTCTCCACCTCTGTAATATCATCTCACAACCTGATTCTATTGTGCCTCCAGAACAACCTTTTCAATAAATGACTTTACTTCCCTTGTAAGGGCTCTTTTACAGTTCTTCAGTATTCTGTACTTCTATCTCAAGTATTCCTAAGAGTTTAAATTATACACATATATACACAATCTCATTGAGTCAGATTGTAAACAATCCTTTAATCTTTTGAATTTCCCCTTTTACAAGGCACATTATACACACCCAATAATCATAAAGGACTTCTGAGGTGTTAAATTTCTAAGTATGAATTAAAGAAACAAAGGTAAAGTTTAATTTTCCATTACACTTTAGATTGGGAAGATCTCAAATTAGGCTGTAAACTCTGTGAGGGTTTTTTTTTTTTTCTTTTTTTGTTCATTACTGTATTCCTAGCACAGGAACTCAATCAAAAGCATGCGTTAAATCAATGAAGGAATTCATTAACAAATAATACCACGGTTATCAAATGTTATCATTTTTACCTTACCATATAGTTTAAAGCAAATCTTGTCAGTAAAGGGAAAACCAAAGTAGAGGAAATCAATAGCTACAACAACATGAGGTTAGAGTGGAATGGAATCAAGCATTCCAGGACATAAACATCTGAATGAGTGCTGTTCCCTTCAAAGCGATAGCCTTGGGGAGTTACATGCTTAATCTAATAATAGCATCACTGCTCCAAAAACTACGCAGTTGGAATTCCCTTCAGAGAATATGGAATATCCACACTGGAAAAGCTCATCTTTTGATGAGCTTTGAAGGTCATTTCTTTTTAAAAAAATAAAAAATAAATTAGTCACAGTAAAGCTGTGAATGAAGTGATTACACTAGATTCCATCAATTGGGGTCAGAAATGAGGCCAATTTTCAACTGAGAGGGCCCAACTTAGCTTAAAGATAATTTCAAAAGAAAAGGTATAAAATGGTGAAAAATCAATATAAATATTTTATATTATAAACACTACTACATTTTTGCTTTTTCTGCAAACATGCTCAAAGTTATATGAATTGAGATGCAGAGAAAAACTTTAGCTGAATCTTCCTAATAAAATTCTTATTTTATCTTTAGATATTGTCTAAAGAAAGCAGACAAGATAATGTTGATGAATTAAAGAAGTGAAAAATTATTGATATATAGTGAATTATTTTACAAACCAATAAGTAAAACATGAATAAAAATACATCCTCAGTGTTACTTTGTTAATAAACATTTGAATTATGAGACAATTTATAAAGAAGACTTAACCCAACTACCTAATCAAAGCAGTAGAGTTTGACAGATTAAATTTAGTAGGACTTTCACATATTTTTTGTGTCTACTGTTAGTTTAAAATCAACAGCAGTTCTGAATTTCACTCTCCAGTGAAGAGGGTGGGAATAAATACATCCTTCAAATTTCATTTGAGGTGAAGTTCCAAACTCCTGACATCTCAAGGAGTTCTCCTTTAACAATGTACTCAGTGCAAAGACAATATACATAAAGGAGTTCTAACCCCTCTAGGTCCAGTAAACATCAAAGAAAAAAATGGAACACTACAATCATTGTGATTATTCCTTTCACTGTTTGTTTACAAGAACATGACAGTATGAAAGAACACAAGCCTTGGATGTCCACTTGCCATAACAAAGTATCAGGTACCAGAATTCCTTCCTGCTGAAGACATCTATAAGACTAGACAAAATACAAGACAACAAAGCCATGGGCAGAGCAAAGAAAAAGACAACATAAGTAATTGCCATTCAACATTCTGGCTTTCTGCCTGAGGGCGTTTTCCTGCTTTAGAGAAGGCAGGTGCTACCCAATGAGAGCAACGCTTTGAAACAGAATTGAATGGAGCTCCAAACTTCTGAAGTGGTTGGAAAGTATAAAGCACAGGGGCTGTGCTGGGGGGTTGGAAGGAAGATGGTTAGGAAGCAGTGACCAAAAGATACTGAGTTTCTAGTCACTTTGGGCATGTATAGGGCAAAAAACCTAAAGGACTAGCAAAAATTACCTGCTGAAGGCTAAAAACTGAATGTGACACCAATTAGTGAAGTGTTTGGAGACAATGGAGTTCCAGCCCAGCCAGAGTAGAGAATTCATTCAGCAGCGCAGGCATTGAGGCAGGAAAAGACCACTCCTTAGGAGTAAGGACTATACCATATAGTTGGGGGTACTCCCTAAGACTAAATTCAAAAGATCCACTCTGACAAATAATAAGACCAAGCCTGACAGGATCAAAAGAATCTGCCAGTAATTTTACTGCCTGCCCGAACAAATCTCATCCCTTTTTTAAAGGAAGAGGATATAATCCAAATGTAGTGAAACAGACTATGACCAGCAGACAATACAAAATCACCACATATGTAAAGAAACAGGAAAATGAAACCCATAGTAAAGAGAAAAAGTAGTCAATAAAAAATGACCCCAAGATGATTCACATGTTGGACTTCACAGATAAGGACTTTAAAGCAGCTATTAAAAATTAATGTAGGGATTTAAAGAAAAATATAGTAATAACTTCTTTGCAGAGATAGGAATCTCTGCAAGGAAAGAAAAAACTATTAAAATAGTCAAATGAAAATTCTAGAACTGAAAAGTATAGTGTGTAAAACACCAAGTTCATTAATACATTTAACAGCCCACCGAAAACAGCTGAAGAGTCAGTGACTCTGAAGATAAATCAACAGAAAGTATCCATTCAGAAGGATTGAAAGAGAAAACAAACCATAAAACATTAACAAAGTTTCAGTGTCTTTTAGGATACTATCAAGTGTGTATACACACACACACACACACACACACACACACACACACATACATATATTTGGAGTCCCAAAGATAATGAAGCTGAAAAATATTTAAAGACTTATAAAGAAAAATTTCCCAAATTGATGAAAACCTTAAGCTTACACACATGGTGTGAAAATGATATGTAGGGTGAAACATATAAGTTGAAAATGATACAAAGGATGGCTGACCTCTCCCAAGAAAAATGAAGACAAGAAAAAAATGAGAAAACTCTTTTTTAAAATATTGAAAGAAAACTACTATCAACTGATAGTGGTTCATCTATCCAGTGAAAATATCCTTCAAGAATATAGGCAAAATAAAGGCATTTTCAGATAAACTAAAACTGAGAGTATTTGTCAGCACTGTATGTACTATAAGAAGTGCGAAAGGAAATTCTGTAGTCTAAAGAGAAAGATATTAAAATCTAGAAAGAGCTAGAAATGTGGCTTGAGCACATGAGTATATATATATATAAAAAGAGTAAGGAAGCCTAGTCTTTCATTTTTGGAGAATGAAACACCCAATAGAGGAAAAAAAGAAAAATAATGCATCTTTAGTTGTTGGATGAAATTGGAAGTATCAGTATGAATTCAGTTGTTTTTATTATAATAAGTAGATAGATACAGAAATAAATACAATATAGATGTGTATGTATATTTATATGTTATTTTCCTAGCTCTGTCTGCTAATATACCAGCAACAATAAGCACATCTAGTGCCTTAATCTTGGTTTCTTAATACCATTCCCCCCACTAAAAGAAACCAGGGCTCCTTGGGAAAAAAGAATGATTCTAGGGCTAGGGCACGGAAAGTGTAAGATAGGCCTCAAACATTCTGATTAGCCAGAAAGTGAAAAAAATGCCCCAAAATTAATAAGGACATAACAAAAAGGACTCAGCAAATTTGTTATAATTTGAACATCAGCATAAAGATAATAAGAGAACATAATTGACTAAATAAAATATTACACGAGTCCATAATTGATGTGAATGCATGAATGAAGGAGAAGGCAAAACTCTCTCTTACATTAGAATTTCAGCTAATAAATATAAGAGGTATGATGGAGTTAGAAAATCAGTGGATGCTAAAGCTGGTCAATAGGTTGTTGATGAACACAGTATTTACACAGTCTCAAAGTATCTGCCCATATGATACTTATTAATTACAATGGGAAAAACTATTGGAGAAACCTGGTAGATATCACTTTAAAAAAGTTATCAAATTTAACATCATCAATACTTACATCACATAAATATGCCTCCTTATAAGATACACTACGAAGGTGTGTGGTACAATTAAACATGTTTCTGATCTTTGTTCCCAGTTCCTGACACAGACCTCCTAAAGGCCATGGGATTTCTTGAGTGATACTAGTGTATTTCCATATTTGCAACAAGCCCTTTTCAACCATACCCGAATTCACACTAATGAGGTGAGCCCTAGAAGGCTTCAGGATTAGGGGTGGGAACCAGAAAACCCAACCTTGTGATTAGAGGTTTAGAACTTCCAGTCCCACCCCCAACCTCTGGAGAGGGGAGACTGGCTGGAGATTGAATCCACTCACCAATGGCCAATAATGTAATCAATCATACCTACATAATAAAACCTCAATAAAAAGCTGGGAAAAATGAGGTCTAGGGAAGCTTCCAGGGTGGTGAACATATTGATGTGCTGGGATGCTGGCATTCTGGAGAAGGCATAGAAGCTCTGCACACCACCCCACCCCCCGCCACCTCCCATACCTTGTCTTATGCATCTCTTCCATTTGGCTGCTCCTGAGTTGTATGTAACCTTTTTAATAAAACTGTAATCATAAGTGTAGTGCTTTCTTGAGTTCCGTGGGTCATTCTATCTAATTACTGAACCTAAGCGGGGGTCACTAGAATCCTTGAATTGGTAGTCAGCCTGGAAGAAGTGTGGTAGCCTAGGGATCCCACTTGCAGCTGACGTCTGAAGTCGGGGCAGGCTTGTGGGATTGAGCCCTTAACATGTAGGGTCAGTGCTAACTCCATGAGGTTAAGAATCAGAACTGAATTGGGTTGAACTGGGTTGCAGTGTCAAAGAACTGGAAAATTAAATAGTCGTTGCTTAGTTAAGGTGTCAGCATTAACATATATGGTATTCCAGCTAAAAGGGCCTAGCTTGAATCTATTTGTGAAGGACATTCTACAAAATAACAGGCCTGTACCCTTTAACAATGTCTAAATTTAAAAAGATAAAGAAATGCTGAGAAACTGTTTCAGATGGAGGGGAGACTAAACAGACATTACAACTATGTGCAATATGGGATCCTGAATACTATCTTGGATTGGGGGAAAATAACTCTAAAGCTTATTAATAGGATGGGACAACTGATGAAATTTTGACTATGGACTGTTAATAGTCTTGTATCAGATTAGATAATAGTATTCTATCAATATAAAATTTCCTGATTTTGATAATTTTATTATGGCTGGGCAAGAGAATATTCTTATTAGAAAATATACACTGAACTATTTAGTAAAAACATATCTTTAGCTTATTAAATCTTTCAGAAATAATAAGCATATATTCCTTATATGCATTATAGAGTGAAAAAGAGGAAACGATAAAGCAAATGGGGCAAAAAAATAACTGGAGAATCTGGGTAAAGGGTGTATGGCAGTTTCTTATACTGGTCTTGCAATTTTTCTGTGAGTTTAAAATTATATCAAAATAAAAATAACAGAAAATTTTAAAAAGGAAACAACACAGATGACTTGACAAATTATAAGGCTGGTTTTCTTCCACAGAGTGGAATTTTTAAGACAATGCCTGAAACATTGAACAAGCATAGACACAGCAGTTCCCAAACTGTGTTCCCAGGGGCACAGTTACACTTCTATTAGGAGATTTGTCTAAATTACAACAATTGCTAGGGGTTTTCTTTTTCTTCTAAAATTCATCTGGAAATAATCATCTGAAATTCAGTTGAAACAATTCGTATTTCTTTAGAAAAATATATTGATAAATAGTTGAAATAGAAAGTAAGAAACTGCATGGTGAAAGAAGGTGAAAATTTGTTTCTCTGGAGAAATAAAAATGAAAGGGAAAGATGAAGTGGGGAAGGAAGGAATAATAGCTACATGGTCAAGGCCACATAAGTGGCAATTTGACCCTTCCCTAAGACCCTCTAAGTTTTCTCTCTAGAAATCATGGTTCACATGGAGTGTCTGTCCTGGAGTAGAAACAGGACATGAGTCTGAGTTTTGCACTCTAATTGACTTGGGAGAAGGAGAGATGTTTTGACAATGTAAATCCTTAAGACATATGAATCATGGGAAGGTTTAAGACTTCCTCAGGACATGGAATGGGGTTCAGGGCAATCCTGTGTAGTTATTGGATGTTATCTGGTTTTCCTATAAAAGGAAAATACCAAGCACATTTATATAGTAGTTCTGATTATATATCTTACTATTAATAGCTTCTTAGTATAAGTGTTAATATCTTATTAATAAATGTGTTAATATCTTCTTGTTATTCATAAATGCCGTGCCAAGCCGGCTGCAGTGGCATGCACCTGTGGTCCCACCTACTCAGGACCATAGCCACTTCTCGTGCAGTTGAAGTGAGTGGATCAGCTAATCCAGGACTCCAACCTGAGCAACACAGTGAGACTCTGGCTTAAAATAAATACATACATACATACATACATACATACATACATACATGGTGTGGCACATTGAAGGTAGTTGCATGATGGTGGGCTGATGCATGAGACCGTGTGTGACTGAACATCAATGTACAGGTAGCATTTACCAACTAATCTTTTCATTGGTATTTATGGGTCTACATGAGAATCACTGGTCTGAGTAGTGGATCCTGTCTTGTATTTTGAATATACGAATATGTTTTCTTATCAGTAATAAAACTATAGAATTTTCAAATTTATATCAGTTTATATCATTTTCTGTTACAAAGTTTTAAAAGTGAACTAAATATAGGTCATTTGTTATAATTAACTTTATGAGACTTTAAAAAAAATTCTCAGCATCAATCTGAGTATTATTCTGTTTCACAGACACCTCTCTTGGTTTCCCACAGTGACATTACATCCTTTAAAGTGGTCTACGATCAAATAAGCTTAAGAAACACTGCCATACAGTGTCATTTTTACAGATGCATGTTTAAAGAGCTAGGACTCAGAAAACATTAGAATATATTTTCATATCCTGACTACTTTCAAAAAACATAGTATTTTAATTATTCAAATTATGGATGGTGCTTAGTAATGAATTATCCATTAGCCAACTGACTTCCACTGCTAATATCAATATAAATTAGATCACAATGTAAATTAGATCACAGATCAACCCCCACAAGTTCTAATGAAATTCTTGGGACATGAAATAACTCCTGCAAGGCTACTATAAATACAGATCAAGGGTACCAAATGTGAAGTAGCAACATGACAAATCCACAGGCTAAGAGGCATCACCCTGGGAGCAGTGCAAATCAAGGACACTAGCTGTTTTAAACAATAGTACAAGAATTAAATCATTATCAAATGCAAAACAGAAAATACATTGTCAAAACTTTGAAGATGGTAGGCAGATTAAATAAAACACATATAAGTGAAGAATTCTCAGGGCTGGAGACACTTAGGACCATGAAGACAAATAAAGACTTTCTCAACAAAGCTAGAGAATATTTATGATCCTACTGTACTCTTGGGACCATAGTGCCATTGAAAAGTGGATACCCAGCTGTCACTTAAGACAGGAAGGGGATTCTGCAAACTTGGCAGCAATCCTTCAGCTGTGTCCTTAATACCCCTCTTGGAATCTGCTACAGTGTGAAGTTATTACAGAGCTCAAAGAGGTCATAGAGATACTCTATGAAGACCAGTAAATTTTTCCAAGAGAATCAAAATTGAACACATTGCTTATATAGAATGGATTCTGAAAAAACATTTCAGGACTTAACCTAGATGAAGTATCACACCCCAAATCCCGGCCCTCGGTATTACTCACTAGTAGTACCATTATTCATTTACCCAGCTTCAAAACCTGGGTCATCTTCAACTCCTCTTTTCCCTTCACTTGCATCTCCTGTTAGCTGCCAAGTTCAGCAGATTCTATTAGGTTGGTGCAAAAGTAATCGCAGTTTTTGCCATTAAAAGTAATGACAATTACTTTTGCACCAACCTAATACTTCTTCATCCGAAATCCATTCCCTCCTTTTGATCTTTAAGGCCAAGGTCCTTGTTAAGGTCCTTACTTCCTCATACTTACTTAGACTATTAAGATAATCTTCTATCCTCCCAACTTGTAGCATTTTCCCCTCTAATTCATTTTATGACTACTGTAAAATTAATCCTTCCAAAGCACAATTTAAATCATACTGGTTCCCCTTTCAAAACATCTTCAGTTACTCCTCATGTTTCTAAACCAAATATATATTCCTCAGCCTGGCATTCAAGACCTCTAATTTCCTGGCTGTGCTCCCACAGCTCCTTCATGTCCAGATTCTTATCCACACACTTACATGGTCCTACTTGCCTATCTCTTCTAACTTCTCTTTACCTCTGGATCTCACCATGCACAAATCTCAATTTATTCAATTTATTCAAATTTTCCGGGATCTGTACCAGACATTGCTCCCTCAAAGAAATCTTCCTCTGGCCAGGCATGGTGGCTCATGCCTGTAATCCCAGCACTTTGGGAGGCTGAGACAGGAGGATCATCTGAGGTCAGGAGTTCAAGACCAGCCTGGCCAACATGGTGAAACTCCGTCTCTACTAAAAATACAAAAATTAGCCAGATGTGGTGGCGGGTACCTGTAATCCCAGCTACTCGGGAGGCTGAGGCAGGAGAATCACTTGAATCTGGGAGGCAAAGGTTGCAGTGAGTCGAGATCGCGTTACTGCACTCCAGCCTGGATAGCAAAGTGAGACTCCATCTCAAAAAAAAAAAGAAATTTTCTCTATCTTTCCCACTAGATGTCCTATCCTGCTTCTCTGAAGCTTATCACATTTTTCTTGGCATCTGTTAATGACCTGCTCTCTATGCTATTTATCTATTGCATGTACTATTATTTTAATTCAACCAATATTTACTAAGCCCTATGTGCCAGGCACTATAAGGCACCAGGAACACAATAAAACAGCTATGACTCTCTGAATTAAATGAACTAAGCCAGAATTACCACTGAATCTTTATAGTGTACCACACAGTAGAAAGCTAGAACAATTGTTCTATCAAGATGCTGTAAGATACCTCATAAACATATAAAGTGCCATTCAGTTAAGATGCTTGGTTTTAAAACTAAAATTCCATTAATAAAAAGGATTATTTTAAATGGGAAATTTGAAGAATCTTACAGTGTAACCTTTAAGCCCTTAATTAAAGACTTGTGCATAGGTATAGCAAAAGTAGAAGAAATAACAAATCTTTCCATTGAAAACTTTTAGAGCAAAAATTTCCATTTTTTTGAAGACATCTGTAAGTTTATCTGTTTAAAAAATGAAAGAGAGGATAGAAAGAAAGAAAACCAGACTTTGGTATCAATGGGACTTTGAATGAATATGATTAATTGAATGAATGAATGAAAAGAGACTATGAGTTTTTTTTTGTTTTTGCACCTATCATTTTAGAATCTCAGTAAAATCCTAAGAGGTTCATGTGGGGATAACATAGATGGGGATATGTATAGTGATCAGATAAAAAGATGGGAGAATATAACCATGAGATGAGCTATATTAAATTATCATTAAGGAGAAAAACAAGATGAGATTTCCTTAAGGCTCATATCCTCAACTGAACCACCAGGAAAGAAACTCTGGCATTTAAAGATGGGAAAATTCTTAGCATACATTCCAGTTTTAAATAAGTATGCAAATTATTACATCTCAGTTTCAAATATCCCCACCATTCATGATTGCTATCCAATGCCCCAGCCATAGTACCCGCCCCAGCCATAGTCCCCTCCCCAGCACTGGTCCTGCTCTCATGCTCCCCTGTTTACCTCATATGCATCTTTGATGTTCAAGGGCTCACCAAGCGCTGCCACATGTCCCACAATGCCTTTGTTCCATTCTAAGCGGATACAGTTATTTGAAACTTCTTCCAGTGTTGAACCTTCAGCAACATCAAAGAGGCGGCTGATAAGAAACTTGTCATTGGAGCTGTCTTCACAGACAAGGAACAGGGAATAGCGGTCAGCAGATATCAGTCCATGGATATGCAAGAAAATTTTGTGACATAAGGCTGTGACATCCAAATGACTAGAAATATCCTTCACTAATTCCAAGAGTCTTGAGCACTGGTCCCCTTCATCATGATCAAACCTTGGAGGGGTTAGAGGCATCTGTTCCTTCTTTTCTGAGTCAGAGAGGAAGCTCACAGTTCCCTCAGAATCCTTGACAACAATGGGTCTAAGAGGCCGGTCAAATTCAGAGGCAGAGATTTTCCTGGTTGGTGTTCCAGGGGCACTGTTATCTGCACGAGGACTCTGCTGCAAGGGACAAGAGCAAGATTCGGTGTGGCCTCTGATACCTTCCTTGCACACAGGGATGGTGTGAACTCTCTCAGCAAACCATGCATTGACCATTTCTCTGCAGAACAGAACGTGCAGACACATTAGATACTTGAAGAGGAAGGGTGCTATGCCTGAGAGCTCCTAAACATCTTCTCATGGTAAACTGATGAGATAATAATTTGATATGTTATAGAAAATAAAAACAAGATGGTTTACTTAAGACATATGATTTTGGCCAGGCACAGTGGTTCACACCTGTAATTCCACCACCTTGGGAGGCTGAGGTGGGAGGACTGCATGAGGCCAGGAGTTGGAGACCAACCTGGGAAACCTAGTGAGACCCTGTCTCTAGGAAAAATTAAAAAATTAGCTGGGCATGATAGCATGTGCCTATGATCCTAACTACTGGGGAGACTGAGGCAGGAGGGTTGCTTGAGCCCAGGAGTTCGAGGCTGTAGTGAGGTATGATGACACCACTGCACCACTGCACTTCAGCCTGGGTGACAAAGTGAGACTCTCTCAAAAAAAAAAGACAATTTTATTTTGGAAAACAATAGAGGACAATTGCTTTAATGAACATCTTAATAAAGGCTGACTTCTATATACATAACTTTATATATCTGATTGCAGCATACCAAGCATAAAGTCTGCTTCTCTCAAAATTAGCTTATATTAAAAAGTAAAAGACACTAAATTTGCCAATAGTTTTAGGAAAATATAAATATGCACATTAATTTGATGTTTAAAACACATAACTTGTTCTGAAGTTAAATATTTGAAAACTAAAACAAATATTTGTCTAAATTTGGCTTGCTACTATGCCTATTTTAGATAGTTATATCTATATTGCAAAAGTAGATAAGTTTAGAAGGATTAATGAAAGAAACAAATAATTTAATCTTGTATAGAAAAATCAGACTTCTGTAAATATTATCCCAATAATGTTTGTTTAATAATGGTAAAAAAGATCTATTTTTCTAGATTATCTATGACTATTTTAAAGTAGGCTTTATCTAAGTTTAAAACTGCAGTCCAAGAAAACTGAAGGCATTTATGTTTTTAATGTACCCTACTATGAAAGAAACTCATTTGAGCTAAAGCCATCACAGTAGGTGACTTTTTAAAACAAACATACCAGATCATACACAATCCAAAGCATGTTGTTCAATTCAAATAATTCCCCTTAGAACGCTGTAGTCTTACACCAGTTAATGGTGTCATTACTCTAGACATTTTTGGAACTCTTCTTTTGAAACAAACTTCTGAAACAATTTATAATCCAAATAAAAATACTAATTTTATCTAAAAATTAGACCTTGTTTCTCACTAACTCCTCCTCCCAAAATGAACAAATAAAACAAAAACAAAAAAACCTATGGTAACAGCTAACTTAATTCTCTATCTTCTGATAAGACATGACGCTTTAGAAAACTCAAACTTACCTTCAAAAGATAAAAAGTTGCTATAACTGAGGATATTTCAAATAATTTGCCTATACAAAAAGCAATGTAATCTCAAATCTACAATGACATAATTGACTGTTTATACCAAACAAAAGTCCAGGATAAACAAGTTTGACAATGTACTATTTTGGAGATAGTATAGGGATGTAGTCACTCTCCAAAGTTTTTGGTTGTAGTAACAATTGATATTACTTAGGCCAGGCGCGGTGGCTCACGCCTGTAATCCCAGCACTTTGGGAGGCCGAGGCGGGCGGATCATGAGGTCAGGAAATCGAGACCATCCTGGCTACATGGTGAAACCCCGTCTCTACTAAAAATACAAAAAAAATTAGCCGGGCTTGGTGGCGGGCGCCTGTAGTCCCAGCTACTTGGGAGGCTGAGGCAGGAGAATGGCCTGAACCCAGGAGGCTGAGCTTGGAGTGAGCTGAGATCGCGCCATTGCACTCCAGCCTGGGCTACAGTTCGAGACTCCGTCTCAAAAAAAAAAATAAAAAAAAATAGGCAATATCTAACAAATTTTAAATGTATGTATCCTTTGTTCCAGAGATTTTACACATGTGACAAAGGAAATACAAGGGTATTTACTGTATATAGTAAGTACGTTTGCTACAGCAGATAAGAAGCAAACTAATATCACCAATAGAAGGCTGACTAAATACATCATGGCACACTTATACAAGAGAACACTAGGCAGACATTAAAACATAATTATATGTACTGATATGTATGATATGAATTAATTAAGTGAAAACAGAAGATGTAAAAGAGTTTGAAAAGAACACACTGTCTTATTTCTGAGTCTTTACTAAGTCTTTCATTTATGGGATGTTCCCCTAATTATTTCATTTTGAACAATGATGTATTATTTGTTAAATATACATTACTCTGAAATGATACCCCATCTAGAATGTAATCGGTCAAAATGAAAAGATAAAAATATTACCCCCCTTATAATTTCAAGAGTTGAATACAGTTATAAAAGTCTCCAAAAAGTTTAGGAGAAATAAGTTCAAGAGATCCATTGTAAATATGGTGACTATAGTTAATAATAATGTATTGTATATTTAAAAATTGCTGAAAGAGATTTTAAGGGTTCTCACCACAAAAAACGATAAGTATGAGGCAATGCATATGTAAACTACCTTGACTTAGCCATTCCACAATGTATACATACATCAAAGCATCATGCTGTACACCTTAAATACATAAAATTCTTGTCAATTAAAAAATAAATTTAAAAATATCCAATGAGTAATTTAAAGGAAAACAACCTCACTGGCCTTATGAATTGACTGACTTTCTAATAAAGAGGTATTACAAATTTGAAGAAGCACAAAAGCAATGTGGTAGGTAAGTGTATTGTACAAATCACAAGCATATACCTACACAGATTTTTAAAAACATATAATTGTCCTAATGTTTCATAGATGCATGCTGTGACTTAGGACAAAATTTCCGGTGAAGACAACATACATTAATTAAAATAATTCAGTATCTGAAAACCTTAGAAGTGAAGGTGACACACTCTGGGATTTGCTTATGTAGCCCCCAGAATTGCACTAATAGTGCCAAAGACACTGATGCTAAAAATGCATGTGAAGCTGCCAACAGTGCATAGGAAGCTTTCAAATAAAACTGTTTGGAAAAGATAAGACAGGAAAAAAGCAATATGTCTAAGTTAACATATCTGATGTGATTTTAAATATGGACATGTTACTAAACTGTTAAATCATATAAAAATAGACATTTTAACAATTTCAGCCACAAACCCAAAACTTAGCCCCAACTTATTTCTTATCTTCTCAACGGGAAATGGAGATCTCCTTTTGAATTTTAAATTAAACTGCCTACTTGACAACTCCACGTGGATATCTAGACCACTTAAAATGGTGAAAACAGAATTCCTAAGACCCTACCCATCTCACCTTGCCTCATCTTACTTCCTGCCAGTTTTCCCACATATGGAGTACCATCACCTCCACAGTTACTCAAACCAAACACGTAGGAATTACTCTAAATTTCTGTTTCCTTCAACTCTCACATTCAGTTGCGCAGTCAAGTTCTGTCAACCTGACTTCCAAAATCCTATATCCCAATCTGCTTATTTCTATCTCCATTACTACCACCCTGGTCCAAACCCCACTATCTCTCAGTTGGATTGTTGCCATAGTCCCCTAATTAATCTCTCTGATCCTATACTTACCCCCTTGCAATCCCATTCTCCACACAGCAGCCACAGTAAATTTTCAGCAAAGTATGTCAACATCTTAGCTACCCTACTTGGCTTTTCATTGAACTGAGAATAAAACCTGAGCTCTTGTAATCCCCTACAAATAGGTTCCTCTCGCCCATGCCAGCATCCTTGGCGCTCCTGAAGCACACCAAGCACTAACTGCCCTGTCTGGGATGCTCTCCCCTCATTGGCACATGGCTGATCCACTTCCACATCCCCTGCTCAAACAAGTCATCTCTGACTGCTCCACCTAAAGTGGTCCTGACACATCATGTTCTTATCCTACATAATTTAAATTCTCACTATCTGCTATTTTTCTTGTTTATCAATCTGTTGTTATATCATCTATCCCCTCTGACTAGATATTTCATTAGTGCTACGTGTTCACTGCTGCATCTCCTGTACTTAGATTAATGCTTACCACATACAGTAGTAGGTCCTCAAAATATTTCTTGAAGTAAATGAATAAATAAATGAAGCCTCCTGAAGCATCAAAAGGTACAACAGTCTTTTGAATATCTAAATGCTGGTGTGTTTATTACAGAAAATCAACGTTGTGTTTTAGCGATTACTGTTCATCACCCCTTGGATGTGTAAGTCTCACAACTGACCGTGACTAATTTATGCTTGTATACTTGCAGTGCCTGGTGCAGCATATGTCTTAAGCAGAGCCAGTGCCTAAAAGTTCTACATTATGTGTTTGTGATTACTCTATTTGTCTCATAAATGTTGCTTACGGATATTTTCTTAGAGACATTAACTCAATATTAAATGACATAGGAAAAGCAGATGTAGCATATTCAGTCAGTCAATCAACAATCCGTATTAACCACCAGTGGTAGGGAAAGAGAGTTCTCATGACTACATTATTGATTATCTGAGTCCCTGTAATTACATACTTGCAGAGGAAAACATGTTATCATAACATCAAAATCACTGATGAACCAACCACAAATAAAATTAAATCATTTCTCACACATCTTTCCCTTTGAGCATTCCTTGGAGTTCTGCAGTGCACAATCTATATGGCCAAATGAAGTGGGCCTTTGCCCTTAAGACTAATATCTATACTCCGCTGATTTTTAAAAAATACTTCAGTCTGTATGCAAATACAAATCACCTGCAAATTGAAATTAAAATTCTTATATAAGACATATGCTATGGTCTAAAATGTATGTCCCTACAAAATTCTTCTCTTGAACCCTAACCCCGAAGGTGATAGTATTAGGAGGTGGGGCCTTTGGGAGGGTTCTGCCCTCATAAATAGGATTAGTGCCTGATGTAGTTTGGATGTCCCCTCAAAATCTCATGTTGAAATGTAATCCCCAGTGTTGAAGGTGGGGCTTAGTGAGAGGTAATTGGATTATGGGGGCAGATCCCTCATGAATGGCTTCACACCATCCCCTTCATGATGAGTGAGTTCATGGCCTTGTTTAAAAGTTGTTTGTTTAAAAGTACATGGTACCTCCCACCATCCCGTCCTTGTTCTCATTCTTGCTCCTGCTCTTGCTATAACTTTCTCACCATATGATATGCAGGTTTCCACTTCACTTTCCATATGACTGAAAGCTTCCTGAGGCCTCCCCAGAAGCTGGGCAGATGCCAACACCATGCTTCCTGTAAAGCCTGCAGAATCATAAGCCAATTAAACCTCTTTTCTTTATAAATTACCCAGCCTTGGGTATTTCTTTAAATCAATGGAAGAACAACCTATTAGAGGGCCCTTATAAGGGGCCTATGGGAGCTTGTTAACTCCTTTTGCCCTCCTGTGAGGACACATAAAAGTTGACATCTATGAGGAAGAAGCCTCCACCAGAATCTGCTGGTGCCTTGATCTTGGACTTCCCAGCATCTGAAACTGTGAGCAACAAATTTGTGTTTATAAATTATCCAGTCTAAGCTATTTGTTATAGCAGCCAGCATGGACTAAGACAATATAGATTTTCTAGACATAGACTAAAGTGATGTTGGAGAATCCTTCTACTATTACACAAAGCCACTGACAATTAAGAGTTATGCCCAATTAAAGACCAGTTAACAATTGAAGAAACAATCAATAAGGATAATGACATAGCAGATACTCACAAAGAGAATATTAGTCAAATAATTATATTCTGAATTAAGAAAGCCCCTTGGGCAAAGCTGATGAAGCCTTCAAATATTAATTCAAAAAACTAGTTTAGGGAGAAAATTATCTTTATGACCCTGCTGCAAAAGCCAAACATGAACTGAAGATAATTGTTTATGGCTACACTCTGTTACAATTTATTTAACAGAGTTAGCAGAGTTTCATCCTAAGAATTAGCAGAGTGTCATTACAATCTCAATTTTATTATTAATAGCTCAAATATAAACTTATTTTCATAATCTGTGGTTCTATTTTTCAAGATAAAGCTCCAACCAAAACCTTCTCATGAACTTTTTTCTATTTTGATAGAATTAACTTTAATTGTCTTTTTTTTTCTGGAACGAATTATTCCCATAAGACAGAGATTTCCACAAGGTACTATATTGGGCACCAGGGACAGAATAATGAGCAACTCCAGAAAAATTATCATGATCTTTCCTTTCAAACTTAAAAGTTTATATTGTGTTCAGAAGTTATATACATATTGGATGTTTCTGGCATATGAAGTTAGGTAAATGTACACAAATAAGTAACGGAAAAGATGATTGTGAACATGTCCAATATAAAAGTAGAAAGCAACGGATGGAAATCCAGAAACCTCAGTAGTAGTTCTGACTGGGTAATCACTTCGATGGTCTAGGATAGGACCTCTATTTTCCTTTCCCTTTATTAATTCTAGGGGGTTTTGAAAAATATTCACATTAGTGCTACTGAAAAAAAAACCATAATTTTATTTAAACCTGGTGAGGCAGGCATTAATGGTCCTACTTTCTAAAATATGAAGCTAATTAAATGTCTGAACCACACCCATTCTACTATTTGGTGGCAACACCAGGAATCAAATCCAGGTTTCCTATTCCAGGTACTATACCCTATTAAGAATATAAAAGTTCCCAGAGCATCAGTGCTTGCCATGAAGAAGGCACTCCGTAACATCTAGCTGAATCTAGAAGTAAAAATCAAATTCAAGCAGAGAAGGCATAGAGAAAGATGACTTACGACACATGTTCAAATGAAATCCTTTACCTCCAGGTCATAAAAGGACCACACACTGTTTTCTTAAGGTAAAAACACTATTTCTAAGGACTCAGGGAACAAAGATTCTTAAGGATAGTGTCCATAAAAAAAAAATCTAACTAAATTCCAACATATCTATGTTTCTCTGAAAACAGGTCACATTTTATAAGTCTAAAGCAATGTACTGAAAAGAAGTATAATAAATGTGTTCGAGAAAAAGTCATCCCCAGAGTTGCTAGATTTAGCAAATAAAAAAGACAACCTGCTAAAAATGAGTTTCAGATAAATAATGAATAAGTTTTCAGTATAAGTAGTATCTGAAATTCAAGATGAACTGGCTGTCCTGTATTTGATCTGGCCACTCCAGTCATTCTACATAGCTTTTCCTAACTGAAATTGTTGGCGGATAGGCAACAAAGAGAAGGCAGGTTCTATGCAGCATACTAGTAAGTTCCAGGCTATCAAATCGCTCATTTTATCATTGAGAGCGCACAAAGGACTACCACAAAGTAATCCTGTGTATGATAATTGAACCTTTTGAAAGCACTTGGATTCATAACTTGCAATAAAACTAGAGCATAAAATATCTCCTTAAATCAAGTTCATTCATTTTGCTCTAAAACCATCCCACATAATGTATTGCATAGGGACAAAACAAACTGCAAACTACTTATAAAAGGGAGATTTACTAATTGACAAAAATTCTTGGGATTACAAAGCATTGAGAGGCTGCACTTTCAGCCATGAGTCCTGGGTTCTAATCTCAGCATTTGTTACTAATAGGATGTGTGACTAGCACTAAGCAATTTTCTTCCCCTGAGTTTCCATTTTATCCCTGATAAAACAAGAAAAATAGCACCAGTTCTGGCCTTTTATGAAGTGTAAGGTGCTGACTGTCTTCAGCAGAGTATAAAGTCAGGAATATTAGACTAACAATCAGGTGATAATTCTAGTTCCAGCTACAACACTACATGGATCTGATGCTAAAACAATTACAACTTCTCTGGAGTTCATTTTCACTGGAGTTTGAGATCTTCAGTGGTAAAAATGGGCTGCTGTATTAACAGGCTATTAAGACTCCCCACCACAGTTTGCAGTATGAATAGGACAAGAAGTGGTCCTTGGGTCTGTCAACTTAACTTCTTTTTGCCCTTCAACTTCCTCATTTTTAAATAGGGGAAAAGTCTTCTGGCTCCTTCACTCACTGCACAGGGTTGATGTGTGAGTCAAATTAGAAAATGCACATGGAAGCATTTCAAGATCTCTTCAACATATCTAAGAATTTGCTATCTCTTACACCCTTAGTACTCATTCCAATGAAGACAAAGGGCTGGGTTAAGGAGCAATGGCTGTTATTTCCTCAAAAAGGTCAGCCAAGAGAATCAGAAAAAGGATGAGAGTAAAAAGGTTGTTTTTGGTGATACAAGCCCACAGGTTGAGGGGCCCTAACTGGGTTGGGATATAGGCCAGCAACATGCACCATGAACACTCAAAAGTCCTTGGCCAAAGCAAATACTTCAGAATGGCATTCTTGACAGACTCCTACTAAGTTCAAAAAAAAAAAAAGAAAAAAAAAAGAGAACAGTTTAAATTACATCATAGCCATCTGAGCAAAAACAACAAAACAGAAACAAATTCCATTGAAGCATCTGTAGCTTTTACCACAAGTACTAATAATCTGGACTCTCCACTTTCATGTATAAGTGTATCTTTGCTAACTGCCCTGCAAACCTGGAAGCAATCAGAAGAAAGCCTAGCTGCCCTCTTGAAGTCTTTCAGTTAACTTTTACAAAGCTATTAATGAAAGACAACAGGCCCTCCACACTTCAAAGAAAGCCACAGCCATGGAAAATGCAATGAACATTGAAGCCAATAATTTATAGTCAATGATAAGAGCCTGAGTTTTACATCACATCCATATCTTCCTCTCTTCTCACCAAAATCTTTTATTATCCTCCAATCACTTATTTCCTACATATTTTATTACACAAAAAATTCTTACCCATAAATGAGTTGTATTACATACCCTTTTAACAAGAGTGAATTTAGTTTTGCTTTTAAACTTTTACAACACATCCTGAGATACGAAGAAACCCTGGTGGGCACCCCAAAATCACCGTTGGAAGTTATTCCTTTCAGATAACACTAATGTCGATATAACCTGTTATTTCAAACTTGCATATTCCACAGATGATACTTAAGGCTCACGAAGATATCCTTTTCCATACGGAGCAAGCAAAGAACCCCAAAATTCATATTAATTAGATGGTAGGACATAAAACCAAATGGAAGTTGCCTAAAACCTTTTGAGCTCTTGTCATAAATGTGACTCAAATCTTACTCTCGAAACTCTTTACACAATGAATCAAATCAGAAGTTTATTATCCAGATATTCTACTTTACAGAAGACTCTTGCAGCTCAAACTGCTTATAAAATAATGATTTAATATAAAAATCAGTGTCATTAAGCATAATGTTTAACACATTTTGATTTCATGAAGCTAACAGCACCGCACCTGTCAAGAGGATGATGTTATTGTGTGAGTAGAGCACCCAGCAAAACTAATGAGCATGTGCACTACCCTGGTTCCAGCAGCTGCTGCAGGAAAAGGCGAAAGTTGACAGACATTTTGTGTCTTTAGTAATACAAAGGGATGAACAAATTCATTCGTGAATGATAAAAAAAAAAAAGGAATTCTGGAGGTTAGGAAGCTTAGAAGGTGAATGGTTATCAACTTTTACAATAGTTTTAACAAAGAGTTTATTTTATCAAAATTACACACGGCAAAAATACAATGCTATTTCATTTTACACATACTATGTGCTCATATTTTGTAACTAAATGAAAAGTGTGGCACTCTTAAAATGATGGACTCAATTAAGTTAATGATTAAATTAAATAGTGCCAAGTTAGTATTGTAATACATTTTTATGGATATTTAAATAGATTTGTATTGCATATTGGGTACACTTCATCTCATAGTCTCTAAAAAGTTTATAAATTGATTAATAATATTCATTGAAAAAAATGAAATGTAACTGTATGGCATATAATCTGGGAAGAATCAAAACCTTCCCCCCTTTCCAATTTATCGCTTCCACTCAAGATTGTTATAAACCTATCACAAAATAGAAAACTACACCTTATGTTTTGGGTTTTTAGAAATTTTCCACTAATCTACACAAGTCACGGCTTCTTCCAAATGCCCTCTATCTAGAAGTATTAAATAGGACTACAAAACTTGTTGACAGGATGCAGGGATGCAAGCCCTGGAACTGCATTTCAAATATAATTAGCTAAAGGGACACACACACACACACGCACACACGTGTCTGTGTCCGAAGGGTCTCCCTGTGGCAATAACTTTACTTTCTACCAAAGTGGAACTGCTCACTCACATTACAAAATGAATCTTGAAAAAGACAGAAAGGCTTTAAAATACATATTCAATATTCCAGATGTCTTGAAATGGAAAATTAATTAAAATATTTTATAAGGTTTATAGAATATTTCTTGGCTTCTAGAAAAGTAAGGAAAAGAGAAGAAAAATTGACAAGGCAAAGTAAACTTTTGATATAAACATAATAACCCTCACGAGTTAAAAGTATAACTAGGTGAAACCTACTCGTAGAGCAACTAGTTTAATACGTTTTGCACTCTGGCCTAAAATAATGTATCAAAGGATAAAAATCCTTTGAAAATATACTGTACTAGGGTATTTGTGTTCTAATGCTAAAAAGATAATTATAATGGCCTAGTACCGAAATTTTCAACCACTCTATTTTAAAATGTCATTTGAGATTTCCCAATTTTTATACTCTGAAATTATATATGGAAACTAAACTCACTTGGGCAGTCTTTAGGCACATCATTAAGTAATGTGCTTCCACAGAAAGAGGCCGTAGAAGAAAATGTTAACCTCTTCCTGAGTTAGAAACCTCATGACATTAAATCTATGAGCCTTTGCTTTGCTTGCATTAATATTGACACTGACTTTCAGTATAGCACAGTGATTAAGGGCCCTAGATGAGACAGACTTAGGCTTTAACCCCAGAATCACCTCTTTCTAAGAATATGACCTTAGGTACATTATTTACTCTCTTTGTAAAATGGAGATCATGATAAAAGTAAAGGAAATGATGCTGGAGTCAGATACACAGTGTTTCATTCATGATAGTTATTGTTTTTAAGTTAACTGAATATTAAGTGGAGTATATTTTTTAAACTGATTAAGTTTTTGGTTTTTTTAAATAAAGAAAAATTATTTAATGGATTTATACAGCAGAATAAGTAGATGTTGGCTCTTGCTTCTTCCTAAGCCCCTAATTTAAAAACAATAACTTCTCTACAGAGGTATTTCATATTAAAATAAAAGAGAGAGGGCTGTTTTCATGTATTTTTTCAAATTACAATTTAAAAAATGGACTCCTCAGACTAATATCTACACTTACATATAACAAAATTTTCTGAATTTCATATTAAGATTAGGTGATAAACATTTAACTGAAAAAAATAAATGCAAGAATATAATTTGTTTTTTTCAGTACTACTTAGAGACTTTTTTTTTGTCAAAAATAAGTTATAGATTTGGGGACTATTTTTTCCCAAAATATAAAAGTTAAAACTGTTTGACAACAAATGTAAAAAAAATACAATAATTACCTATGATGAACACCATAGCAATACTTCATAATTCTAAACTGGAGCACAGTTTTAATATCTGATAAAACAACGCTTTAACACTCTGCTATAGGTAATTTATGGATTAAATTGGCTGTTTTAGTTCTTATCCATGGGTACTTACTTGGGTAAATCCTAAAAGTAGGGTGATACCAATCCTTGGACCTCAAAAATGTCCATATAGCAAGTCCATTGAGCAGTAACTTTTGGGGGAGATTTGCAGGGTGTATTTTTGTGTTTATAAGTCAGCTACTAAAATGCCATCCTCTTTTCTCTTTTCAATGCCTTTTTCATTAGTCATGTGAATTAATCACTAATACCAGCATTGCAAAGAGTATACTAAATTTTCTGACTGGAAAGTATGATTGATAACTTATATGGAAATCTGCTAAAATTAGGGAAAACACAAAATAACTCACATAAAAAATTATGTTGGCTACTTTTCCTGCTCTTGGATCCTTATTTTATACAGTTTCAGTTACGTTGTTTGCATAATTTGACCTGGATCCACTACTCAAATTTGGAAAAATACTTAAAAGAATGAAACTATTCAATCTGAGAAACTGATACTCGGCTCTCCTGGTGAGAAAAAAGAACTCTTACAGCTGAAAGAGATTTTTAAGCTCACTTATGAATCTCTCCGCCTTGAGTCTTCACCCTCTTTCACCTCCCGTCTTAAAGTTTGAGGTTCATTAACTTGAGCCAGTCACAAAGTTAGCTAATAGCAAAGCTGGAAACAAAATCTGGGGGTCTGGGCTCCCATTCCAGTTCCCTTTCCAGTACCTTACACAATCCCACAAAAACTTCTGTTCGAACCATTAATAAAATTCATCTAAAAAATGAAAATGACATTTAAAGTCTATGAAATCACTATGCTGTCAGAACTTAATTCCCATCTACCAGGATAAGGAAATGCCTATCAAAGTTTGTGATTACATTTAAGGCACTGATGATGCTCAAGGTAAAATGGTAAACTACTGAAAATTACCACTAAAAAGATAAGGAAACACGCATTATTTCCTTTAATTTTCTAATGAACACTATGAGGTAAATGACATTATCTCCATTTTACAGAGAGAGTAAATAATGCACCTAAAGTCTTCCTCTTAGAAAAGTAGGTCTGGGGTTGAAGCCTAAGGCTGTCCTATCTAGGGCCCTTCACCATAAACAGAAATCAATTTCAAAGGGTTCACAACAGTGGCTCCTAATCAAGTAGTGGTGCCAACCCTTGAGGGGCATTTGGAAATGTGTGGGAATAGATTTTCCATCACATGGATGGGGGTGGCCCTGGCATTTAGTGTCTGGAGTTCAGGGATGTTAAATGTCCTGCTATGCACTAGACAGCCTCTAACAACAAAAAAGTGTCACCACCAAATGCCAACATCTTCTTTTGAGAAGCAATGGTTTAGATGATTAAGAGATTAACAGACTATTATTAAACAAAACGGGAGATTTTGGACACCTCTAAGTGATATCCTCCAATAACCTCTACTCTGATGTTACAGTGAGTAGTTCGCTTGGGTCTGGCATGGTAAGGAAATGAAGAGTCTGCCCAAAGTTATTTAGTATTTCTAAGTTTGCTCCAGCTATGAAAACATCTGAGAACCTTAAAATGCAGAATTGCTTCATATGATTTTAACTTCAAATTTGACTGAGAATTGGAAGGGACAAAATATTTTGTAATTTTCTGTACATTCACAACACATGGTATAAAAGAAGTTGCTTAAAGGAAAACCTACCACTTCTGAAAGAAAACAATAACTCAAATCTATGCACTAAACATGTAAATCAGTTGGCTTTGCAGTTTAGATATGGGAGAGACTGGACTACAATGGCATTTATCTGAGGTTTGAGAGCCCACAGAATTCAAAACAAGTATGTTTTGAAGATCTTTACTTTGTTCTATAAAATGTTCTAATTTTATATTTTCACAATAATCATAATCAAAACAAAAGAAAGTGAAAGAAATTGCTTTCAGTTACTGGGAAGACCATCTTATTACCAACTACTGCCCTGCAATTTTAGTTCTAAGGTTTATATTTGTGTTAATGAGAAAATAAAAGACGTAAATTTAATATGCATATATGCCTTCATAGCAAGTAAAAAATGAAAGCTGGTATGCTGTGCTAGAGGAATAAGTTTCATGATTGTTCAGAGAGACCCAGTGGGAGAAGTGAAATCATTATAGGCCAAATTGTAGCAAAGGCCAGCTGACTTACCATACTGTTTTTCAGATAGTTAGAACCATATCTACTTTGCAAGAGTGTTTTAATGAATGCTGTAAATCTGCATTTGGCTGTGGTTTTATCATTTTGTTCGTAATTAACTGAGAATGTATTTTGGCATTACAGTTGCATAAATGTTGTAACTATGATTAAATTATATCTGCTTTTATTTATTCTACTTCTAAGAATTCCACACTTCACTAACATTAAAATAAAAGGAAGTCAACACTAGTTATGGTAGACATCTAGAACTTCTGGGTCTGCCCACATCACTTTCTTTTGGGAATGTACCCTCCCCAATGATATATCACCTTATGGGCTACGTGCCCCAACAAAACAGTCAAACAACCCTACTCTCCCGAATACAATGATTGGTTCAGAGTTGGGATGTGACCCAGGTGAGACCAGGGTAATCTGGGGAAGACTGATATGGATAAGAAGGCACCTCTCTAATATCAGAAGTTTAAGACCCACATACAGTTAACAAGTAGAAACTCTCAGCACATGAAGAAAGCATGCAAGAAAATAAAGCCAACACAGCACAGGGCCAAAAGATACATGGATAGATGAATACATGAACAAATGGATACATGGACAGATAAATAGATGCAAGGAAGGGCAGGTAAACAGAGTAGATAGATGAAAAGATAAATAGAGATAGGTAGATACATAGATAGATAGACAGACAGATAGATAGTTAGATAGACACAGAGACAGACAGAATTTTGGCAACATTATTTGATTAGCTAAATTCACAGCTAACCCAATCCCGCAAGCAATTAAAATTATGTGCATCAATTCTCTATGGGTTCAAGTTGAGTTTCTGTCACTTGCAACCAAAAGCTTTCTAATATATTGTAAATCAAAAAGAATGTCTTTCTTTAATAGGAGTACATTACTTAAGTTTGAAAAATGAGATTGGCCGGGCGCGGTGGCTCACGCCTGTAATCCCAGCACTTTGGGAGGCCGAGGCGGGGGGATCACCAAGTCAGGAGATCAAGACCATCCTGGCCAACAAGGTGAAACTCCATCTCCAATAAAAAAAAATACAAAACATTAGCCAGGCATGGTGGTGGGCGCCTGTAGTCCCAGCTACTCGGGAGGCTGAGGCAAGAGAATGGCCTGAACCCGGGAAGCGGAGCTTGTGGTGAGCCGAGATCACGCCACTGCACTCCAGCCTGGGCGACAGAGCGAGACTCCATCTCAAAAAAAAAAAAAAGAAAAGAAAAATGAGATTATATGATCCCTACTAACTCTAAATTTCAGTGATCCTGTGTGTGTGTTTTAATTATTTCATCAGCTCAGAATGTCAGGGTCTTCTCTCTTTGTATATTTTCAGTATAGGTATTCAACTAAAAGTAGAGAAGATAATTCTTATTTTTTATAATTATCACTATGAACATGATATCAAATGGTGATCCTTTCTCTCCCGATTTTAGGTAAAATACAATTATTCAGAGAAGAAAATTTGCAAAAAGTTAATCTTACTTTATAATTCAGAATCAAGGGAAAAGTCTCCCCTCTCCTGAAGATTAAAAAATCTAACAATGGTACATAAGACATTTAAAAGCATTTTCATTGCAAACTAAAAACCAGAGAAAATATATCTTTAAAAGCTTTAAAGGCCGGGTGCGGTGGCTCACGCCTGTAATCCCAGCACTTTGAGAGGCCGAGGTGGGTGGACCACGAGGTCAGGAGATCGAGACCATCCTGGCTAACATGGTGAAACCCCGTCTCTACTAAAAATATAAAAAATTAGCTGGGTGTGGTGGTGGGCACCTGTGGTCCCAGCTACTCGGGAGTCTGAGGCAGGAGAATGGCGTAAACTCGGCTTGCAATGAGCCGAGATTGCGCCACTGCACTCCAGCCTGGGTAACAGAGCAATACTCCGTCTCGAAAAAAAAAAAAAGAAAGAAAGAAAAAAAAAGCTTTAAAATATTTTTAGAATTTTTATCAAAATGATTCTTATAAACTTAACACTCAGTTTGCTTTACCTACCTTAAACATTTGGTTGGCAACAAATATAAATTCCTACCACTCAGAGAAAATGAATTAAGCACTTACATTGCAAAAAAAAAAAAAAGTAATTTAAAATGAGAATATCAGTCAGTAAATAAGATTACAGAGCTAAATATCAAATGAATGACTCATATGGAAAGACTTTCTTCAATTTTTATTCCTAGGTATGTGGCTCACAGGCACTTTTCCCTGAGAACCTGGTATAACAGATATTTCCAAGCCACATTCACCAGCTGTAATAGTGGCCAACTGAATCTACATCTATGCAGCTAAACTAATTTCATAGGAAGTCCTGCAAAGTCAGTAACTAGTCTGCATCCTAAATTCACAAATTAGTCATTTTTCAACCCTTCACTATCAATCAACTCATTGATTTATTTAATTGTCCTACAGTCCTTACTAAAGGTTTTTTTATCCTAGGAAGAGGTTTTTATCCCACAATTGGCTGTTGGAACAAAGAACAAATATAGCTTGACACAGCAATTATAGGTTTAACTTCTAAGTTAATTTGTATTTTCAAATCTAGAGGAAGGGGTGCCTCAAAGTAGGACACACTCCCTATAATCAGATAAGGGCGAAGCTACAAGCTTTACCTATACAACCTTAACAGAATTCCAAATATTTCAAAAGAAATAATACTTCAGACCAGAGTCAAATCATTTATTTAAGCAGAATAATTTAAAAAGGAAATTTGGTTGCATAGCATAATCAAAATACTAAAAATTTCCTCATCTTGAGGTGTTGAGGACATAAACGTGTGAAAATATTGACAATTTCTACAGATCATCAGATGACAGACTGAAAAAAAGCTACTGAATGATACCACAAGCCTATTTAAGTTTGTGTTATACTAAGCAAATCGATTTATTTGAAGATATCCATCTACACTAATTGCCATTGCATTAATTCTACCACATTTTTAGGAATCATGTAGTTTAGGCTCTAACATGGGTCTGAATTTGAAACTTTGAAAACACTAGAGATAGAAGAGCAATGAGAAACATTATTTCAGGGGCTCCTATGGATTTCTCCAGGCAGGAAGAATGCAATCCAGAAGAGTGCTTCAAGGACACTAAAAGCAGCTTAGAGCTGGTTATATGGACCCTGGTTATGAACAACATAAGAAAAAAAGGCCATTATTGCACCAGAATTACCATTATAAAAATACTATAAACAATATCAAAGTTAGACTGGGTCAATGCTCAGAGGGTTTTATTATCATCAACACTAACAACTGCCTCACAAAATATGCTTAACAATTCATTTGTCTGAAAATTGTGGAAAGTTTATATTCCTATATAATTATAGAAACAATAATTTAAAAAAATACATAGCAATATTTATATACATAATCTGATTGTATTGTAAATACCGTGCAATAAAAATGCTACAGCTTTTAGAAGTGAGAGAAGAATTACAAGGAAAAAAAATGAAGGACGGAATTCCAAACACAGGACCAGGAACCTCAATTAATTCAGCACAGCTTTGCAGTATCAAATAAAGTCTATCATAGAAAGCTATATGGGAGTGTAAAACGTCTGTTTCTGGACTTTGATCCAAGCTGTCATAAAAACTTGCCCTCACTTAATATCTCTTATTTCCAGTATATGCCAAATATTCTCGAGCTTTTGCCTGTACAAAACAAAGCAATAAAGTCAATCATGTCATCCTTAACAATATTAAATGACCTAAAACATCACCCACAATCACAGAGCTGATTAGTAATTAATGAAAGGTAACTTTATTCTAATATGCTGTCAAGAATAACAACAGCTGTTAAGCAGCATTAGCACCAGGAAAGCTTCAGTTGTAAAAGGCATACGCATTAAAGCCCTCAATTAACACAGTAGCTGAGGCCTTCAGGACTGCAAATTGTCTACAATAGTGACCTGGGAGTTTTCCAGATGTGATTTATTGGCCTCAAATTAATTTTTATGCCAACCGACTATGTTCTGAATCATTCAATTGACACCTTCAAATGGACATAAACAGGTTGTGATAACTAAAAAGCTCCAAGTTATAGCTTTTTTTTTTTTTTTTTGAGATGGAGTCTCACTCTGTTGCCCAGGCTGGAGTATAGTGGAGCAATCTTGGCTCACTGCAACCTCTGCCTCCCGGGTTCAAGCGATTCTCCTTAGTAGCTGGGATTACAGGCGCGCGCCATACCTGGCTAATTTTTGTATTTTTAGTAGAGACGGGGTTTCACCATGTTGGTCAGTCAGGCTGGTCTTGAACTCCTGACGTCGTGATCTGCCCGCCTCGGCCTCCCAAAGTGCTGGGATTACAGGCATGAGCCACCGTGCCAGGCCCAACCTATAGCTTTTAATAAGATGCGTAGCTCTCTACTTGAAGACAGTGATAGTAAACAATGTAATATAATGGCATAAATGCTTTCAAGGTCAACCCAAATTCACAGGTGTTTGAGAATTTAGGAATGCCAGAACCTTGATGTTCAATAACTACCATTGAGTGTAGATCATTTAGTCTGAGAAAAGGATGGAAAATCATGCATGAATGTCGAATGACAACAATAATGCAGAAATTGTTTTTATCAGCAAGCCTGATTACTGGTGCAGATGGACGATCTGGGTGAATATAAATATATTTTAAATCTTAAAACATGCCGCATGCATCTACAGAACTATTTTGTTTCATGGGTTTCCTGAATCACATACAATATTCATTTTACACTTACAAAGTGTAAAAAGAGGGGAAAAGCAAAGTAATGTGAGCTCCTACTTTTAAAAAAAAAAATCCTTAGCTGTAAAGTTAAAACGTATGCAATAAGTTTTTACCACAAAATGTGAACCACACTGGGGTTAGTGGTTTGCATTTTTATAATCAACAAATGTCCATCCTCTTATTCACATTTTAAGTCTCCTGTTAATGCCACCAAATATAAAACCAAATTGGAATATTGTTTCATGAAAGACCTCTGGCTACACACAAATTCTTAGGTTATATTCTTTACTCTGACAACTCTCAGCACTTTATTATAACTCTTAAAATTGAGGACCTGCACTATTAAATATTTTACACTTTCATTTTCCAACTTACACTCAACATAACCTCTTAAGAATATGTATACACACATACATATATATATCACAGAAAGTGTTCAGCCTGTTGCCAACATCAACTGTAATTTAAAAACTCTAACCGAAAATTTTTTAAAAGTTTTTTTAGAGCCTCAGATGATCTAAATTTTACAGTGAGCATGGTAAATTTGAGAAATAGGATTTTGATCCTATGCTGCTTGGGAGAAAAAGTAATGGGAAAAGAAATGTAACTCAGCTCTTTCCATTTATTTTCCATTAAAATGTTGCTACACTTTCAAAGTGTTGGTAGGTTCTGAAAATGCAGTGTTCCTATCTATGACTAGTCAAAAACGACCAACAAGCCATCCCTAGTTTACATCTTTAAAAGAAAAATAGGGAACGAAGAAAGGACATTTATGCTGATTTATTAAACAATAACTTTTTTTCTTTAAACTGTTTATAATCTGCCTAAAGAACAGGTCCAATACATACTTTTAAAAATCGGCCTGGTTCTCTGGCCCCCTGATCATTCTATGCGCTGTAATTCAAGGAGAGCAGAAGGCTGGGAATGCGCAGAGTGAAAGGAAAGTGGGTGCAGATGGCCTCAGAGGGGCAGGTGACCCCTGAAAACTGTTAGTCGACAGCAACCGATCATTCTAGACCTCCATGGCCTTAGTGTCTCACGCTAAACTCGCAAAAAAGTGCCCTTTCAGGGCTATCCTCTGGGCGCTCAAGATTTAGGATTTTGAAGGAAGAAGGTGAAAGCGGGGGAAGACGATTTTAAAAGAAGGGCTGGGTTATTAAATTGAAAAGATTAATCCCGGAGCCTTCCCCTCTGTCAAAAAACCCTGAAAGTGACTAAATTGACACCAACTCTGGATGTTCCTTAGGAAAAAAACAAAACAAAACAAAACAAAACAAGATTAAAAAGGGCCCAATTTAAGACCCTTATTAATACATCTGCAAGAGAGCAAAGAATAACAACAACAACAAAAGTTATACAGTCAATTTTCAATGATACATCGTCCCACTGGTGCCACCGGGGCGCCACCACCCAGCACCCGAGACCCGCCGCGCCCCCGGAAAAAGTGGGAAGGGACGTAGGGGGATGCTGAAGGAAGTACCTTGTTTTGTCTCCAAAGGGCAACATAGCAAACGTGGGAAGTTCGTTTTCGAACTCCGCCGATCCTGGACTCCAGGAGGCTCCGTAGGGGCAACAACGCGCGCAGGTGAGGTGAGGTGAGGTCGGCGACTCAGAACCAGCTCCCTCACGGCCCCGGCCTCCGCGCCGCCGCCCGTCGCCTCCCGCTCGCCCCGCGCTGCGCCGCCCCCTGGCGGGGAGCGACCGGCAGAGCCGCGGCCGCGCGCCGGCGAGTGGGACCCGGGCGTCGAACCCGGGCGGGCTCCTCGACCATCACTGCCGGGCGTGTGTCACCCTCCCGGCCAAGACGGCCAGCACCCGCTGCCCGACGGCCGCTGCCCAGAGCAGGCGGCAGCGGGGCACGGACTCTTTCTGCAAAGGGGCGCGTCCTGGAGTCCACGCACCCCGACTATGCATCAATTCCTCAGGCTTCGGGGCACCCGCCCGCCAAGCACTCTCTGCTCCACTCTTCTTGTCCCTCTGCTCCCAGTCTCAATTCCTCCCCAACTCTCCCGCGAGCGTTTCCCACGAGCGCCCCGACTGCCCGCTGCGCAGCCGCCTCCAAAAGGACAGGCTCCCTCCTCCCCGCCCTCCGCAAGGGCCGCCCCGGCGCTTGGCTCTGGACCAGAAAGAGCTGGCCTCTGGGGTCTGCGCTGCCCCTTGGGGTCCGCTCCAGGCGGCGCCTCCCCTGCGCCCTTTGTGTGCACGCCGCAAACCCCTCTGCAGAGCTCTACTTTTGGCGGCACAGCCTTCGGCGGAAAAGCGAGTGAAAGGAGGCGCGCGGGACAAGCAGGAGACTGGAAGGGGGGAAAAGGCAACCGCACTCACTTTGGCAAGGTTCCGTCATGTTGCCTTTGGGCTGTCCCGTGGACTCGTCCCTCACCCCAGCTTCCCCGCCCAGCCAGGGCCAGGGCGAGGGGGGACGGGGGAGGAGCGGAGCCATCAAGACCGACTTGGAAATGGTGCTTCCGGAGCTGCAGGGAAGGGGCTCAGAAACTGTTTGGGTTTTGCTGATTGGATTTTGGGGAACCAGAGGGCTAGAGAGGGGCTAGGGGAAGGCCCGTGAGCACGGATGTATGAAAATAATCATGTTCCCGGGGAATACCAAGAGGGTCGGGGGTGAGGGTGGGAGGTCGGCAAGTACATTTTTGTATTTGAACTTTGTGAGCAAGTTGTATCAAATCCGACACTTGAGTTTTTCGACTGTGCTCGCTTAGAGTTGAGGTTTCTACCTCGTAACAGGACCGAGGACCTACTTCAAAAGCAAAGGGCCTGGGAACAGGGGTGAACGAAGGGCACAATTCAACAGGGGAGAGAAATCAGCCCCGGGTCTTCCGTGGGTCCTCTTCTTACCTGGTGGCTTTTCTAACAAAGTATGAGAAGGTAAAGTCCCAGTGATCGTCCAGCCATGCTTCGACCGAGTCCTGATCCCTCTGCTGCTGCTTCTGCTGCTGGGGCTGCTGCTGCTGTCGCTGCTGCCCGAAGCTGGGGCCGGCCCGCTCCATGGTTGGCACCGCGCGCCTCGGAGGCTCTCTGGTACTGCTTTTCCACCCCAGCTGGGGTCCGTCCCTCAGAAGAACAGGACTCGGCCTCGAGACCCTCCCCCTTCGTCCTGCTCCAGTCGGGCCGGCTTTCGACAAAGCGGCCGGAGCGCCAGGCCAGCCTCCTGCCCCGCCCCGCCCCGCGCGGTTCTACGGGCGCCCAGGTGTGGTGGGCGGGGCCAGGCGCAGCTGCTGCGCCCCCCCCACCCGGGGTCCGGCAGTGTTCCGCTCTCGCAGGCTCTTCAGTCCCCTGGTTCCCAGGAGGCGGCGGCGGCGGCGGCAGCGGCAGCGCCCGGCGAGCTCTCCGGAAGCCAAGTGGCGGCGGCTGGAAGGAGGCCGCGCGGCCGCTGGGGTGCGCTGTGTGCCAAGCCGACTTCTGGGGAGCGCGCTAGGTGACTGGGTGTGTTCTCAGAGTGCCCCAGGGAGGGAAGGTCGCGATGTGGGAAGTTTTGCCCGAAAGTAAGAGATGATGAGACCCTGGGCCCTTTTCCTGGGGCCTGGGAGTGCAATGACCTTCCCGCCTAGCTTTTCCCTAGCCCTACGCTTGGGTCTGGGAGGAGCGGGACCGACCTCCTTCAGAGCCCAGCCCGCTCAGTGACTTAAAGCGGTCCAGCCACGGACCACTGCGGGTGGAGAGAGCTGGGGCGTGTGCTAGCAAGAGAGATTTGCAGGTGTAGGTGGGTAACTTGCAACAAAGCCATACCCGTGCTTAATGTTAATGATAACAGCAATAATTATAACTTAAGTGCCTTTAACCATTGCCTCAAACTTCCCTTATGCATAACTGGAAAAAGATTTACTTGGAAAAGAAAAAGCAAACAAATAATTTCCAATGCTTTGTGCATGAAGTTAGAAAACAAGGGCACCTCTGTACAATTAGGTTAATCCGAGAGCACTGGCGCAACCCAGGTGCAGTCGAGGGCAACCAGTTATCCCAATTTTAAATTAATGCATCATTTTAATTAAATTGGAATTAACACTCCCTCAAAAGTATCCATTAAAAATGGCTCAGCCTTTTTGTCCAATCCCTATCTTGCTTCTTTAAAAAAGGAATTGGTGTCATCCTTTGCTTTGTCTGCATCCCCATCTTCCTGTCATGCATTGGCAGTTTTAATATGGCATTTTGCAATGACCTATATTTTTTGGTAGAATTAAATCTGGAATTATGGGTTGCACAATGTGTGAATGACACCATTAGCAGTGATATAAAAAAAAATGAGTTAGCTGATATACTTCTGACAACTTCCTTCTAAATACTCTTGGCAAGAATTTAAGGCATTATTCACTACATAGAAACACATCATTAAATTGATAATCTGAGAACTTTTAAAAGTATCTTCTAGTCCCCCAATGCAATGGTTTATCTTTCCTTCATTGAGTAATTGACCTTTTGCGACTTCAGTTTTTCTGAAACTTTACTGCTGTATGCAGGTAGCCACAACCAAAGAAAAGCAATCAAAGCAGTAGAGTATGAACTAATGGGTGATAAATTATATTGGATTTAGAAATGAGAATTCTCTCCTAATGTGTTACTATGATAGTGATTATAGTGCTCATGGAATACAGTCATGCGTCACCGAACAACAGGATACATTCTGAGAAATGTATCCTTAGGCAATTTCATCCTTCTCTGAACATCACAGTGTACTAACACAAAATAGATGGCTCAGCCTACTACACACTTAGGCTATTGCTCCTAGACCACAAATCTATACAGCATATTACTGTACTGAATACTGTAGGCAATTGTAATGCAATGATATTTGTGTGTCTAAACATATCTAAACATAGAAAAGGTACAGTAAAAATATAGTATTATCTTATGGGACTCATATATGTGGTCTGTCGTTGACTGAAAAGTGGCACATTACTGTGGAAAGTTTCTCCTCAGTACAGTTTTTTCTTGTGGAAATCCATGCATTCCTCCTAACAGGAGATCAATCGTAATTTAAAACTCTGCTTATCTACTAAAGATGCAGTGAATTTGGGGCTTGAATTATTTGCTTTTGTTGGATACTTGATTAAATAAACACGTATAATCATTTCAATGTTTGTATTCCCTCCAAAATTCATGTTGAAACTTAATCCCTAATTCAACAGTATTAAGAGGAGGTGCCTTTAAGTGGTGATTAGACCATTAGGGCTCTGCCTTTGTGAATGCATTAGTGCCTTTTTAAAAAAAGGCCCAAAGGAGACAGTTGGCCCCTTCTATTCTTTCCACTATGTGAAGACACAGCACTGACCCTTGCTGAGGATGCAGCAACAAGGTGCCATTTTGTAAGCAAAGAGCAGCCCTCACCAGTTGCCAAATCTGCTGGCACTTTGATTTTGGAGTTTCCAGCCTCCAGAACTGAGAGAAATTAATTTCTATTGTTTATAAATATCCCAGTCTGTGATATTTTATTACAGCAACACAAATGGACTAAGACAGTGGGTAATATCAAAATGTTCATTTTTCTCTCCTAACCTGAAAGGGTTAAATTATCAGAAACCAGGAAGGTTTCTGAAAAATTGCTTCAAGAAAAACAATCTATAGGCTGGGCACAGTGGCTCATTCCTGTAATCTCAGAACTTTGGGAGGGAGAGGTAGAAGGATACTTGAGCTCAGGAGTTTGAACCAGCCTGGGCCACATGGCATGACCCCATCTCTACACAAAATTTTTAAAAATTAGCCAGGCATGGGGGAACACACCTGTAATCCTAGTTATTCGAGAGGCTGAGGCAAGAGGATTGAGCCCAGGAGGTCAAGGCTGCAGTGAGCCATGATCGTGCCATTGCACTTCAGCCTCAGTGACAGTGTAAGACCCCCGGCTCTATAACAAAAAAGAAAAAAAAAGAAAAACAGTACATAGATTCTCTCAATAGTGAATCTCAAGTCTGTGTGGTATATATGATAGTTTGGGAGTTACTGTGAAGGCCTATTACCTGAGAAACATATCACAAGGGATTGGGGAACAGAAGTGTCTCAAACAGTTCTAGTCTCTGGGAGATTCAGCCAAAATGTGTAACTATACCTCCTGTAAATTTAAAGTAGTTAAAGGTAAGCATATTTTGAACTGACATTACCTGGGCCTCTTGTTTTTCAACTCCATTTTATTCTTTATCCCAATTTGCCCAATTATTTTGTTTTAACTTGGCATGAATTGTTCTAAGCACCTCAAATCTTGTTATGGAATTAGTTGAAGAATAAGTAAATCATAAACACTCCCAGGATATAACTTGAAAAATGCTGTTAATGCTATTTATAACAAACAAATGAGCAATGATGTATGTATGTGTATATGTATGATA
This sequence comes from Homo sapiens, assembly GCF_000001405.40. Lineage (NCBI taxonomy): Eukaryota > Metazoa > Chordata > Mammalia > Primates > Hominidae > Homo > Homo sapiens. Next base: position 119,631,999 of record NC_000004.12, read on the forward strand.
TATATATGTGTGTATATGTATATATATATTTAATTTTTGTAAATGACCCAGTCTGTGGTATTTTGTTATTGCAACACAAGTGGACTAAGATATATATATATATATATATAAAATCAATGATATATATGTGTATATACATACATATATGTCATTGCTCATTTGTTGCTCATGAGCAACAGCTTAACTAAAGACCTTCAATGTATTCCCACTGTGCTAAAATAAAATTCAAACTCTGTAACGTGGCTTATGGGGTTCTACATTATTTGGTTGTTACCTACCTGTACTGCTAAAGATTTTGGTCATACAAATAGAAAAAACAAATGCAACAAAGCAAAAACACAAAAAAGAAATATAAGGCATAAAAATGAAAAAGTAAACATTCTCCATTTGCAGACATGAGTATCTATGAGGAATACCCAAAGGAATGCACAAAGCAACTACAAGAATTAAGAGGTGATTCAGCAAGCTTGCAGCATAAATGGTCAGTATACAAAAATCAATTGTATCTCTGTATACTAGTCTTATGGGCTGATTTGTTTCCCCAGATTCATATGTTGAAGCCCTAACCCCTAGTACCACAGAATGTGATTGTATTTGGAGATAGGGCCTTTAAAGAGGCAATCAAGGTTAGATGAGGTCATGAGAGTGGTCCCTAATCCAATCTGACTGGTGCCACTATAAGAAGAGGGAATTTGCACACACAAAAAAGTGACACCGGTGATACTCTCCCACAGAGGGATAACCGTGTGAAGAGGCAGCAAGAGAATGGCCATTTGCAAACCGAGGAGAGACACCTCCAAGGAATCCAACCTGCTGGCACCTTGATCTTGGACTTCTAGTCCCCAGCACAGTGGCAAGATCAATTTCTGTTATTTAAGCCACCCAGCGTGTGGTACTTTGTTACGGCAACACTAACAAACTAATACAACTAACAGTGAACAATTTGAAAACAATATTATTTATAATCGTGTAAAAAACATTAAATACTTAGGGATAAATTTGGCAAAATATACATAAGAAATATACACTAAAAGTTATAAAACATTACTGGGAGAAATGCAAAAAGACCTAAATAAATGGACAGATACATTCATTGATCGGCAGACTCAATATTATTATGATGTTTATTCTTTCCAAACCGAGCAATATGATCCCAATCGTATTTCAGCAGACATTTTCATGGAAAGCGAAAATCAGATAACAAATTTTCTATGGAAATGCAAGAGATACAGAATGGCAAAACAATATTGAAAAAGAATAAAACTAGAGAACTTATGCTACCTAGCTTTAAGATTTACTATAAAGCTATAATAATCAAGGCAGTATGGCATTTGCATATGGTTAGTCAAACAGAACCATAGAATAGAATAAAGAGTTTAGAAATATCATTTATACAACTAGTTGATTTTCAACAAAGGTACCAGTTATTCTTTAAATAAAAGTAAAGTTTTTTTCAATAAATAATGCTTTAACAACTGGATCTTTATATGGAAAAATAGTATCCTCAACCAATATTTTATATTATATATAAACGTTAATTAGGAATGAAACAGATCTAAAAACTAAATGTGATTTCTAGGAGGCGACATAGAAGAATATCTTTACAACTTGGGAGCAGCAGGGATTTCTTAGGAGGACACAGAAATCAATTAACTGTACGGAAACAACAACAACATCTAGATTTTATTAAAATCTTTTACTCTTTGAAAGACACTATAAGGAAAATAAAAATCCACAAACTAGAAGAAAATGTTTGCAAAACATTTATCTAACAGGGACTTGTATCCAGAATACATAGAGAACTCCACAGCTTAATAATAAAAAGATAAATGTCTCAATAGGGGAAAAACTAGCAAAGGACTTAAGCAGACACTTAATAAAGTAAGACATGTGAAAGTTCACTAAGCACATGTAAAAATACTCAACACCTAAGTCTTCAGGGAAATGCAAGTTAAACCACCGTGAGATCTGCCTCCACCCTCTAGAATGGTCAAAATTAAAAAGACTGCTAACGCCACATGATGTTTGGTGTTAGATATGTAGCAGTCAGAACTCTCACACATTGCTGGTAGGAAGTTAAAATGGTATAACCACTTTTGAAAAAGGTTTTGCCTTTTTCTTATAAAGTTAAGAATAAGCCCTTTCCTCTATTAATTTCATTTATAGATATTTACCCAAAATATATTTATCCAAAAACTTATATCTGAAGATAAATTATATAAAAATGTTCAAAGTGGCTTTACCTTTAATAACCAAAAGTTCCAAATCTCCAATTATTTCATGAGGAGAATGGATAAATTTTAATATAATGATTAAATAGAATATAACTCAGCAATAGAAAGGAATGAAATATTGATACATTTAAGAATGTGGATGACTATTATAAACATTATACTATATACACAAAATAATATATATGATTGATTCCATTTGCATGAAGCTCTAGGACAGATAAAGCTAATCTACAATGAAAATAATTCAAAAAATGGTTTGCTCTGGCAGAGAAGTTGACTGCGAAGAGGCATGAGGGAACATTATTGGGTGATAGTAATGTTCTGTGTCTTGAAAACTGGTGTGGGTTGAGTATGTGCTTTTTTTCGAAAGTTATCAAATTGTGCATAAATGAAATCACTATGTAATTTTTACCCCAAAAATCTATTAAAAATATTGAAACTAGTTAGTAGGGTTGCTTTTTGTAGGGTATGAGTTAAAAGTTCTGAAACTTCTTTATATTCTAGGCTTGAGAAAAGTGAGCAAATATAGTGAGATCCAGGTTTCTGGTTGTTAGAGAAGAGAATAACATATATGGAAAGGGGAAAGACCAAAAGTTACATTGTGGTGTTGAAATGAAATTGGAGGTTAAAATTTTTAATTTAGTTTAAATTTTAATACATGCATCATGTGGGGAAAATCCACTTGACAAGGAAATATAGGCAGTTTGTAAGAGCTGTGGACGGCCTCCAGCTGATAGCCTACGATGAGTTCCAGCGAGGAAGAAAATGAAGGTCCTCAGTCTTGTGAACCACAAGGAATTGAATTCGCTAACAACCTGAGTGACTCAGAAGTGGATATTTCTCCAGTCAAGCCTCAGATGAGACCACAGTCCCAGATAGTACCTTAATCGCAGCCTTGTGAGAAGCTAAGCAGAAAACATCTTAATAATTGATGTTTTAATAATATTGAGTTCTACAATCCATGGGCATAGTATATCTATCTGTTTATTCATGTTTTTAAAATTGTTGTTTTTACAGTAAATGTCTTGCATATATTTTTTCAAATTTGCATCTATGTATATTCTGTCTATCATCAAGAACTACTAGAAGCAATAACATTCCAGTAGCAGTGAGTACGCTTCATACCCAAATTTGGTTTCTAAGTATCAGTCTCCACTAAAAGCAACCAGGAGTGTTTGGAGTAAAGATTCCAGGTCTGGGGGCAGAGAAGGTATAAGATATGCCTGGAAAATCTTGTTTTGCCAGAAAATAAGAAAGCCTTAAAGAATGATGGAAACATATCAGAAAGATAGATGATGTACTCTCAGTGAACAAATCTGGAGCAATCTGAGCATCAAAATGCATAAAAGTAACAAATTATAAACTATCGACTAAAATAAAAAACTATGATTCTATACTGATATAAATAAATAAATAAATAGATAAGTAAATAAGAGAGAGTGAATTGCTCCTTAGAGTAAAAGGCCCACTAATACATATAAAAGGAATCACATAGTTTAGAAAATCATTAAAATAGATGCTAAAAATAATAGATGAGAGTTTGATAATGAATGGGATATTTACATAGTCTTAAAGTTTAAAAGTTACTCATCTCCTCACAAGTTACTTATTAGTTACCATGGGAAAGTAGTAGCTTTACAATGAAGAAATCTTGTGGATACCACCCTAACCAAGTAATAGATTTAATATCACTTAATACTGGGACAAACCAAAACTATATACCTTTTAGTAGAATGTACTGAGAAGGACACAACATCATTTCCGCTTCTGTGTTATTCCTCCCCAAAATGTCAAATCTGGATCTAATCATAAGGAAACATCATTCATACTGAAGGGCTTTCTATAAAATAACTGGCCTGTATGCTTCAAAAATTTTAAGGGCAAGAAAGAAAAAGAGAGACTGAGAAACTGTGTATTAGTTATTTATTGCTGTCTAACCTTACCACAATCTTAGTGGTATAAAGCAGTATACATTCATTATCTACCAGTTTCTGTGAATCAGGAGTCCAGGCTTGACTTAGGTGGGGTCTCACAATCAAGGTGTCAGCCAGAGCTTCAGTCTCAACTGAGGCTCAACAGAAGGAAGTATCCACTTCCAAGCTCATTCAGACTGCTGGCAGAATTCAGTTCCTTGCAATCGCAGAAGTGAGGGATTCTCTTTATTGCAGGGTGCTGGCTGGAGACCTTCATAGGATGTTGGCTAGAGTCTGTTCTCAGCTTCTGGAAACCACCTGTAGTTTCGTGCCACATGGAGTTCCTCAACATTGCAGCTAGCTTCCTCAAAGCCAGCAAGGGAGGAAGACTTCAGCAAAATGGGCACTACAGTCATGGACAAGTTCTGAGAAATGCATTGGTAGGCAATTTTATAATTGTGCAAACATCACTAAATGTACTTACACAAACCTAGACTGTATATTATAACCCAGCAGCCTCCAACCTTTTTGGCACCAGGGACTGGTTTTGTGGAAGACAATTTTTCCATGGACTGGGGTTGGGGGATGGTTTCGGGATGATTCAAGCACATTACATTTATTGTGCACTTTATTTCTATTATTACTACCTTATAATATATAATGAAATAATTATACAACTCATCATGATGTAGAATCAGTGGGACCCCTGAGCTTGTTTTACTGCAATTAGATGGTCCCATGTGGGGGTGATGGGAGACAGTGACAGATCATCAGGCATTAGATTCTCATAAAGAGCACACAACCTATATCCCTTGCATGTGCAGTTCACAATAGGGTTTGCATTCCTATGACAATCTAATGCCATCACTGATCTGACAGGAGGTGGAGCTCAGGTTGGTAATGTGAGTAATGAGGAGTGGCTATAAATACAGATGAAGCTTTGCTTGCTCACCTGCCACTTACCTCCTGCTCTGTGGCCCAGTTCCTAACAGGCCACAGACCAGTACTGGGGGAGTTGGGGATCCCTGATATAGCCTATTGCTTCCAGGCTACAAACCTGTACAGCATGTTACTGTACTGAATACTGTAGGCAATTTTAACACAATGGTAAATATTTGTGTAGCTAAACATAGAAAAGGTACAGTAAAAGTATGGTATTATAATCTTATGGGACCACTGAAGTATATGCAGTCCATCATTGACCTACATGTTGTTATACAGCACATGACTATAATTGTATGTAATATATGCACACAATCATGTACAGATAATCACATATATCCAATCACCTTTGCCATATTCTATTTTTTGGAAGCAAATCAAGATCTTGCCTTCACACAAGCAGAAGCGATAACACCAGGGTAGGAATCACTGAGACCATCTCAAGAGTTTGTCTAGAATATCACTGTGTGATAAGGCAAAGGGCCTGGGACATAGCATACGTTGGTAGATATTTGTTGGGTCAGTTTAAAAAAGACACGTGGATGTCTACTCTCTTGGAGTACCTTGACTGTACTTCTGAGTATTGTATATAAATATGTCAGCAATTAATCTTTGAGGAAGGGTTGTTTCTTTTAGTGGTCTTAGTGAGTCTTATCACACTTAATAAGATAACCCTTTACATTTAACAGCAGTAGGCTCATATGAAAGAGCGGTTTTCTGTTGATAGTGCTGGAGCTCATATTTCAAGTTGTTGCACAGCAGAGATCAGCCTAATATTTTAAATGCAGCTGTATAGGTCTGTTTTCACATTGCTACAGAGAACTACCTGAGGCTGGGTAATTTATAAAGTAAAGAGGTTTAATTGGCTCACAGTTCTGCAGGCTGTACAGGAAGCATGGCTGGGGAGACCTCAGGAAACTTACAATCATGGCAAAAGGAGTGGGCGAAGCTAGCATGTCCTACATGGTTGGAGCAGGAGGAAAAGAGAGAAGCGGAAGGTGCCATGCACTTTTAAACAACAAGATCTTATGAGAACTCACTCACTATCATAAGAACAGCAAGGGGGAAGGCCACCCCCATGATCGAATCACTTCCCACCAAGCCCCTCCTCCAACACAGGGGATTACAATTCGACATGAGATTTGGGCGGGAACACAAATTCAAACCATATCAGCAGCCTAATATTTTAAATGTGTGAATTTAAATCAAATTCTGATTCTCAATTTTAGGGACACCTTATGAATAATAACACTTTGTTATAGTGCAACAGTTCTGGTGAGCACACAGCATTCCCTTTCCCAAATCAAAACTGGGCTTTTCTACCCAAGTCTCTTGTAGCAACCAAGAATTCAGTTGATATACAGGGGCTTATCCATCTGGAAAAGACATCACACAGAAGATAGTAAGCAGCTGCTCTCCATATCAACGAAGTTCACACATAGAGGAAATGAACTTGCATTAAGACAGGAGGGATTTTAGACAGATATTAAACACACTTTCCCTACAAAGATGTAATACAGATGGATCTATGATGAAAAACAACTGTGGAATTTTTCCCTGGAGACATGGACAAATGGGGTGGACAACCATCTGTTGATAATGCTTTGAAGTCCTGTCTAAGAAGCAGTTCAACCTCAGGAGCTCTTGAAGTGCCTTGCTGCCCTTTCACCTGCATATGGATTGTATGTTACACAGAGGAATTAGGTTGTTTTATTGATAAATAATATTAGCCACTCACAGAAAAACAAAGTAATACAAAACACTTGTAGCCAACACAAATCTATATTCCTCCCATCCACTTTTCTATTTAAAAACAGATTTCATTCTCTAGAGAGAATATCTTACATTAGTCAGAATGACTAAAAATAAATTAATTAGTTTAGAAAGAAATAGCATGGAGTGAAATATTTTAAAATCAACTACATCAAGGTGTGACACACTTAACTAAAAACCAGTTTAAAAGTAGGTCATTTAAAATAGACTCTTTAAAAATTGGAAGAACAAAGATGTATGTTTTCAAAAGAAAATATAGAGAAACAGGTGTACTGATCTTGAATTTCTAGTTTAGAGAAGGACTTCTTTTCCTTTATATCGATTGAAGTTTATAGTTGGTGCTCAAGAGTCTCATTTTTAAAATCTCAAATGGCTTAACAGACATGATTATAGAGCCTGCCCCCTCCCAAATATGTAAGGAAAAGTGTGATTGAATTATCATGCCAGACAAAAAGAAAGAACCTCATGACTGGAAGTAATGTTTATCTTTCAGGAGTAGCCTTTGGATAAACTTTAAATTGATTTTTTTTATTAACATTTTATAATTCAATACAATTAATTAAAAAATCAAGAAAGACCCTCAAATTAAGTACATTAAAAGGTGTACAAAAAATTTCCCTCAAGTTTGATACATGCTTTGAAAATACTACACTTTAAAAATAAAGAAAATGCTATGTGGAGATCTGGATTAAGCCAAAAGTTTATTCTTTATAGATACAGTCATAGTGACTCAATTTTCTCATGATGTCCTTCTAGGGAACTTAACATATTAAAAGGGAATAACTTGCAGCCATTCCAATCTGGAAATACAATTTTCAGCTATGCTTACAGAAAATATTGTCTTTAAATGATAGTACTTCCAAGAAGAGTAGTCAATAAATCAATAGAAAGAAGGAACTACATCCACAGAACAGGCCCTAATTCCTTCAAGTTCATTTGTTTTCATTGTTCTCTGGCTGTGAAATCACTGAAATGGTGGAAAAATTAGAAGTGTTACACAAACTATTCTAGAATGACAATAAGGCCTGCGTAATCACTTTCATATTATGGCCAAAAGTTCCCAATAAATCTGAAAAACATTTCAATAATGTTTTAAAAATCTCAAATTTATCAATGCAAGTGTCTTTTTTATTTGAAAAAATTACTTAGAAAACCATATATTTTTAAAAGTGGCATTGCCATTGCTGAAAACATTTTGGGAAATTCCTCTTTGGAATGCTTTCAGAATCTGTGTTAGTCTTTTTGCATCTCTTCAGCAGTGACAATATTTTTATTTGTTTATTTTATGCTGAGAATGAATTTGTTTCTTTGAATATTTTAAACAGCAAAAAGTCATCCTACCTACGGCTTGGTGGGAAATATTTTTTCTATTTTTCATAAAATAAGAAATGGTTATAAAGTAATGGGACTGATTTTTAGGTTGGAAGTTTATATTGTCCTTCTATTTGCTAGCTGTGCAATCATGGGCAATTTACTCAGTTGTTCAATGCTTCAGTTTGCTTATCTGTAACAGGAATAACAATAGCCCACACAGGCTTGTCATGACTATGTAGTGATACAATCAATTCACAGTAGCAACTGCAGTTCCCAGAACATAGCTAGAGCTCAATATTCTTAGCCAGAGGGTAACTGTATGTAAGGACTTCTAGCCCTCTCCTTTTAACAAACTCCTTTCTCCATCTGTTCAAATACAGCACATCATTCAAAAGTCACCTTGAATCCATCTTCTCAAGTCAGCTCTCCATTTTTGGTGTGACTAATTTCTTTTGTAACTCTCCTTTTTCAGTCAAAGAATCCTTAAGGTTGACCTTACATCATAACTTTGAATACCATCTCCTTCTCTCCATCCCACTTCCAATACTTGTCTTTAATCCATGAATCCTTGGGTTCTCCATGTTGCAGAAAGAGTGATCTTTCTAAAGTACAAGCCTAGGCTGGATACGGTGGCTCACACCTAATCTCAGCACTTGGGAAATCTGGTGTGGGAAGATGGCTTGAGGCCAGGAGTTTGGGAAACATGGTGAGAGCCTGTCTCTACCAAAAGAAAAAAAAAAGATTTTTTAAGTTAGCCGGGTGTGGTGATGGGTGCCTGTAGTCCTAGCTACTAGAGAGGCTGAGGTGGGAGGATCCCTAGAGCCAGGAGTTGTTGGCTGCAGTGAGCTATGATCACGCCACAGCACTCCAGCCTGGACCACAGAGTGAGACCCTGTCTCAGAAAAAGACAAAAACAACAAAACAAGCCTGATGGAGTCACTTCCATCCATTAGTGGCTCTCCATTGCCCTCTGGATATAGGATAAGCTTCCCAGTAGAATCTACAAAGATGTTCACAATCTGATCCTGGCTTGCCTATCACAGAAGCATCAGTGCCACATTTCTTGAAATGTAGCATGTTCTCTCTTTTCCAGGATTATTTATTAAGTGGATGAATGAACACAAAAATGTTTCTAATGTCTTATTTGTGGTTCTTGGGACTCATTAACAACTTTTATTGTTACTAAGGATGTTTAAATTTTATTCTCCCAGATCCTCTCTGCCTTGGAAAAGACCTGTATCTTCCTCCCGAGAGTTGTATAGCTCATCCTTTCACTTAATTTGGGCCTCTACTCACAAATCATCTCAGAAAGATGTCAGATTACATAGGTAAACAATACACACAGTCACTGCATTGTCAAATACAGCTTTATTTTTCTTCATAGCACTTATGAATTCTGTACATTATATTGTTAAATAAAATTGATTGGAGGCCATTGTTTTGGGCTGAGCTCCTGCAACTAGGCCTCAACAGATCCAACCAAAATGAGGTCACTCATTCTAAGTCCCACATAATTAAACTGAAACTAAAAAACAGGGAAAATTCCCAAACAGGTTAGTTTTCCAAAAAACAGGAGATTCACAGCAATCAGTCAGATTGGGCCCAGTTTACTCAAGCTGAGATGTCAGGAAATTTCCTTCTGTTTTATTCCTACAAGAAAAGTAAATTCATAATGCTTTTTGTTTCTTGTTTTGGCTTTCCTCAGTCTTTTCTTGCCTGCAAAACCCACCTCCTCTGCTTAACTCATTGGAGCTCATTCTAAATCCTTTGATGGGATGCTGCCCAAGTCATGCATTGCTAATAAAAAGCCAATTCAATCTTTAAACCAAATGTGTAGACATTTTGGTTTTTAACAATATTCTATAGATATACATTATTTATTTGTTTATTACTATTTGTAAGCTATACAAGGTGGAATTTGTTTTTTTACCAGTTGGTCCCCAGCTCCTGTGACACACCTAGCATATAGCAGATGCTTAGCATTAATAAAGTATTGAATACAACAAATACAAGATTACAAATTCCTTGAGAACAGTAAATTATATATATTTCACATCTTCTAAACTGTTATAGTATATAATTGATAAATATATTCATGCATATGTTAATTGAAATCACCTAAAGCCTCTATCTGCCTGCTGTATCTTTTCAGAGGGGTTAATTTCGTCATGAGTAACAGGATGCCTCTTGAGGCAGACATTAATTGTGGGCATCCTTAGTGGTGGGGAAATTGAAATTAGGTGAAATTTCCAACATGTGGGAAAAGAAGGCAGAAAGTTGCTTTCAATCAAATCTTGCTCTGCTAAGCATCAAGTGAAGTTTTGCCTTTAGTTACGTAAATATAGAATAGAAAGGTTTATCCCACTTGAAGGGGATGATAGTTGAAACAAAAGGCTGCCACTCTCTGAGACCTCCAGTGAGCAAAGAAGGTCCCTGAGATGGAGTTGGATTAATTTTCACAAGGAGCCTTGTACCTCTGGAGGAGGGGAACTACATGTGTCTTTATTCCGTGTGATTTAACACTGGGTGGGTGGGGTCTGTCAAGTTGAATCAGGGTGTCCCTGACCTAGGTACAGAGGCAGGAAAAAGCAATGGCTCCTTTGAGGAAAAATTATCTGCAAATAGGGCAGAGCCTAAAGGCTCTTCTGCCATGTGAGAACAGAGTTCCTCTCTTGCCCTTCTGCCTTCTTCCCTATGAAAGTGCAGTATGAGAGAATAAATTTCTGCTCTTTCTAATTTTTTTCAAAAGGACAGAGGCGGGTTTACCACAAAGCTACAGAAGTTTTTAGGATCTTGCACTTGCAGGGCCCCTTCTGAGTCTCTGGGCAGGTCCCTAGCAAAGTGCTCACATGGATGCATGCATTTAACTGCTGATTGATGACAACAACTGACTTTACCCCAACATTTCCTTCTCAGGTGTCTTCAGTGATAATAGGCATTTTGGAGATCCAGCTAATGGGAGGTTGATTTAGGGATACATTTAAGTTTAAGTTGAATATCCTTATCTGGTTCAAAGCCCATTCTCTTTATCATTATGTTTTTCCTAGCTTCCCTGGTATAAGAATGACTTGCAAGTGTTGGGGTTCAGAAAACACTACTCCAGAGTAATTTGAATTAAAAGAGAGTGGGAGGGCTTCAGAAGCAAGAAGGTCGCTCTGACTTTCCCCCTCCTTTTTGTGTGACAGCTGATGATTAAGGTCACTCTCTGACCTAGCTCCCCTGAAAATCAAACCACCTTTGCAAAGATGACAGCAAGGGAAATCTAGCATGGGTGACTCCATCTTGCTTCTAGCCTCACAGACTGGCTGTCTTTGCTATTCCTGAGCATAAGCCAAACTAACCACGAGAGGAATTTAGTTTATAGTGTAACTTTGAAGCAAGCATGATAATAGTCCCTCCCTAAAACTAACACTCTCTTTGCTCAGGGACTGAAGCCACCTTTTTAAAATTAATGAAGACCAGAAGGTGATGATTATGAGATGGGGGTGAATTCTGCTGAGATGTAGATGTAGCTTCTATAATCCCTTTCTGCACAGGAGTCATGTGGCCAGAGGTCACGAGATTTGTGACTTCCCCAATTGCTCCTATAGATAACATCACTGCTGTAGAACTTAAGATTAGTCTTTTGAGATGTTTTTTGAACTTTGGCATTCTGGCAACTTGACTGACGATACCTTGACACGTGACTCCTGACTCAACCTGTCTTGTGGTTCTCACTCCACCCAGAGGTGGTAGATTCAGTGCACAAGGACCTTTACCCACACCCATATGATTTCATCCCCAACCAATCAGCAACAACTATTCGCTAGACCACTGCCTGCCAAATTATCCATAAAAACCCTAGCCTTTGAGTTCTTAAGGACACTGATTTGAGTAATAACTCCAGTCCTGCTGCTTGGCTAGCCCTGCATTAATTAAACTCTTTCTCTACTACAATACTGCAGTCTCAATGAATTGGTTTTGTCTTTGCAGTAAGCAAGAAGAACCCATCAGGTTATTTACAAAAGTAGGTCATAAGGCTTTAATGTGACAAGTGTCCTGCCTTACACCTGGTGAAAAGGAATGCTATATAAAGAGACCAAGAAAAATCTGAACAGACAGGCCTTGCTGAGTTCCCCACTCAGTTTATTATAACTAGGTAATACCCCTGTTTGTCCAATCATCTTTCTCCGTAATTATCCAGTTATTTCATCACACTTAGCATAAAAATACAGTTTTCCTTGGGTCTTTGGGTCTTCATTTTGGAAAACTCCAATGTTATGCAAAAATTAAATAAATTTGTTACACATTTGTTTCTCTGTCTTTTGTTATAAGACTGTCAGCCATAATCCTTGTGATGGATGAGGAGAAGATACTACTTTTTCTCCCCTATATAAGAATATTTCTATCACCCACTCTTTAGAATCACCTGAAGGATGCTATGGTTTGAGTGTGTTCCATAAATTTCATAAGTTGGAAACTTAATCTCCAAATTCATAGGTTGATAGCATTTGGAAATAGGGTTTTGGGAGTTAGGAAAGATAAGGTTATCAAGATGGGGCTCCCATGATGAGAGTGTTGGCTTTATAAAACGAAGAAGAGAGACCTGAACTGGCATGCTCTTGCCCTCTCGTGATGTGATGCCCTCTGCCATGTTATGATGCAGGAAGAAGGCCCTCACTAGATATTGACACCATATTCCTGGACTTCCTGGCCTCCAGAACCATGAGCTAAATAAGCTTCTTTTCTTTGTAAAGTCTGTGTTATTCCATTATAGCAACAGAAAATGGACTAAGACAAAGAAGCAGAAGTTCTATTGTGGTATGAATGTGTACTACGTTATGCGCTGTTAGAAGTATGTGGATAGTTCAGGAGAAACAAGCTTTTCTGATTTGGGGAATCCAGAAAGCTACAATGAGATTTAGTTTAAAATGTTACTACAAGATGTTTTTAAAATCACTGGACAGATATTCAATGGTTAGCAAAAGATTCTGGAAGAAATAAAATGTGAATGTTACTTTTACTAGACTTTGCTGAAGAAGGTATTAGCTACTAAACCAAAAAGAAGAGGATGTACAGTACGATTTTTAAGGCCTTTACCTGAGACTCTACTTTTCCCTGCCCTACACACACACACACACACACACACACACACACACACACACACACAATTAGTTATTTTTTAACTGACCTCACAATAAAAGAGGGCACACAGTGTTCAATGTTGCTAGATTCCTGGGGTATAAGAGCACTGCATTCTAAGCCTCATCATACTAGCAGACGTAGACTAACATGTTGGAAAATCCAAATCTCTTTAGATTTTTCTTGAAGTTGGGAAATTGAAGTACCACAAATGGTGGGTGTGTTCTAGGAATGAAATTCTAGCCCAAATGAAAGCTCTGAATAAACACTGATTAAGATTTCAAGAGAGAAAGGCATTATAATTGGGAATACAAATGTAGATAATTAAGGGCTTATATGGGTTTCTCCTGGCTGTCATTCCTGTTATCAAGAATACGCTGCTTCATAATCTGGTACAGTGCCCGAAAGCCCTAAAACAAGCATTTGGGGATTAGGAGTCATTGGATACCCTATTTCCCAGAACAGGGGTCCCCAACCCTGAGGCCCCTGACCAATACTGATCAATGGTCTTTTAAGAACTGGGCTGCACATCAGGAGGTGAGCAGCGGGCAAGCAGCATTACCACTTGAGCTCCACCTCCTCTCAGATCAGTGGGGGCATTAGATTCTCGTAAGTGTGGGAACCCTATTGTGAACTGTGCATGCAAGGGATCTAGGTTGCCCATTCCTTATAAGAATCTAACTAATACCTGATTATCTGAGGTGTAACAGTTTCATCCCGAAACCATTCCCTACCACCCCATAGTTTGTTGAAAAATTGTCTTCCGTGAACCTGGTACCTGGTGCCAAAAACACTGGGGGCCCCTGCCCCAGAAGGCTGACCTGTAAGGACTACATCAACAAGCTCCTTTACCCTCTGGCTATTGGCTGCCTTAGTTAATAGGGAATACCAGCAAGCGATGGTAAGGCAGAAGGAGAATTTACTCAGAGTTTTACTAACCTGATATGTTAGACTGAACATGGTGGCAAATTCTCTGCTATTTCTCCCATTGAGAGGCAGGACCTAATTCCTCCCTCCTTTTTAACCTTGACTGGCCTAAGTGACTTACTTGAACAATTGAATGTGGTGAAAGTGACATTTTGGAACTACTGAGGCTAGTTTATCACAAGAAGCCTTGGACCTCCCATTTACCCTGGTTTCCTGGAGCACCCACTCTTGGAGCTCTGAGCTGTTACATAAGAAGTCTCGCTACCCTGCTGGAGGGAGCCACAACAAGCTGGCCTTAGGCAGAAACTACACGGAGAGAGCAATGCTGGCCATTGCCAAGATATTCAGCCTTCCGTGGAAGACATGTGAATGAGAATACCAGGTTGCAGGAAATTCTAACCCCAGCAGATGTATCATGGAGAAGAACCAAAGAACCCAGCCAACATCAGAACTGAAGCCCAAGATATATGGTCCCATCGAGCTTTCTCAGCCATCTCCAGCTGTTCAAACTAACCCAGCAGAGGCTCCCAGCATTGGGAAGCAGACATTCCATCCCCTCTGTGTCCTGCCAGAATTCCTGGCCCACACAATTGTGAGCATAATACATGATTACTGTTTTACGCTAGTAAGTTTGGGCATGGTTTTTATGCAGCAATAAATAACCAAACATTTGGCAACCTCCCAGCTGGGCCATCCATGATTGGCTGAGTTCCTCTGCCAAAGTCCCTTTAAGATAGTTCTCTCCATATAGCTTTTCCTGCCATCTGGCCTGTGGGAGGTAATGGCTCCCTGCCATTGCTGGCTGTACTACTCTTTGTTATTGGCTTTCTTAAATCATGGCCACCTTTTAAAAATAGTTCCTTAATTAAACTCTCCTGAATTATCCAGTTTGAGAGTGCCATGTGTTTCCTGCTGGCATCCTGGCTGATATTCCAGACCTCATGTATAATTCTCAAGACGTACCTGTGGTAGAGAGCAGGGAAGAAAGTTCTAGTCTATGTAAAAAAGTTCAAATTATACTTCAGAAGCCACAGGAAAAGTGACCCTAGCAAATCTCTATGTTTATATATTTACATCAAGTGCTTATATCAAGTAACTAATGTGTTATCCTAAATAAAAAGCCTTAGAATACTTCAGAATAGACTAGGTTCTTAAGCCATCCATAAGGTTTTCTGGATTCAGTGAGTTGAACCTATTCTTCTGCTTTGCCTGTGAGGATAATGGTCATTTTCCGGCACACTGCATGTGTCCTGCATTATTTTATTCATCAGTTGTGTCACACTTTCTGTATTCCAGGCACTCTTCTAAGACCTTTACAAGTAATAACTCATTTAATCCTCCTACTAATCCTATCAGATATGTGTGATTATTACCATTTTACAGGTGAGGAAGCTGGAGCATGTAGAGATTACATAATTAGCCAAGGTTTCTCTGCTAGCAAGTGGCAGAGCTAGTACTCAAAGCCATGCAGTTCAGCTGCAGACTCTGGACACTTGATCACTGTTTTATACCGTGAAGCCTTGCTCAGAAAGACTTAGAAAACAAGAGAGATGAGTCAACCTGGTCTGATGTAAGATTGGGCTCATCGAATGCTGGTGCCTCCTATTCTCAACAGGCATCAGAGATGAGGGAGAGAGAAAGAGGTTGAGAGATCCTCAGATGATAGACACAAGAGAGGACAAGTACAGTAGTTTCTGTTGCTATGTAACCATGTAACGAATTATCCCAAAATTTAGTGGCTTAAAACAAATTTTTCTCTCTCATGGTTTCTGTAGTTCAGGAATTCAGATAGGGTACCACACCGCAGAGTCTCTAACCCACTACCTGTGGGGTCTCAGATAGAAAACTTGAAGGCTCAGAATTGGAATCATCTGAAGGCTCATTAACTCCCGTGTAGTCCTGGCTGGGTCTGCCGCCTAGAATATCCTTCACAATCCCTCACCCTCTATCTGAGTCCAGAGGTGCTTGGAGAAATGGTACCCACAAAATGAAATGCAGTTTCACGTGTGGGAGTTACTATTTTAGAAAACTTCTCTTGGGTTCAGTCAAGATTTCTGAAGAAAATAGAAGGTAAGCTAAAATGAGGTGAAAGGATTATTTATAAAAGTACAGGAGAGGGATCAAAGAAACAAAAAATAAGAGATTATTTAGAACCCTAGGACTAGCAACACCAGAGAGCCATTACATCTCCTAGAACTGAAGAAGCAAGGGAAAAGAGAAATTAACAGAACTCCAAGGGCAACCGTTTGTAGAGTGTCTGACAAGAGCTGTGACCTTTAGAAAGGACTGCAAATAACCAGGGATGACCCAGGGGAGTAGGAGGAGGGTGGATTAACACTGCTATCTTGCTGCCCTCTTGTCCTCTGATCTTCTGCTTTTCTATCCCAACTGGATGCCATAAGGCCAGAACAATCCATACAGGTCAGCCTCCTGGGATCAAAGGATAGGGTGGATGATGGGTGCGGGCAGGCAAACAGAAGATACCCAACACACCAACATATTCCTGGGAGTGGAGTTGGGGGTGAGCAAGGAATGTATTTTGGAAGGTCATCAATTGTTCCTTGTAGAGCTTCAGGTGAATGCTGCTGGAGTTTGTAATGCCATCATTGACAGACTCTATAATAAGTTGAGTCATATGAAATTATCAAAATACTGGGCAAATATTAGCAATTTCATCTAGTTCAACCTAGTATTCTGGGTACTTTCCAATAAAGTTACCAATGAATAAATGCTTATATTAAATGACCAAAAATGTTACTCCTTATTTTTATTGTTGGTTATGTTTGAAGTTAGGATTGCATAAAATACTTAAGAGGAATGGGTATTCTAATTGGTTAACATTAAATTTTTTTGTTGTTGTTCTGAGAAAAGCCAAGACAAAAATATAAAGTCACACATGTTAATTAGCTTGATTTAGCCATTCCACAAGGTATATATTATTTCAAAACATCATGTTGTATATGATAAATATATGGAATTTTTGTCAATAAAAAATAATAAATAAATATAAAGTCAGCGAAACCTTTGAGATAGGCATGTTGCTCGGTACAACTCGTGGTAGTATGTCTTTGGTGCCCAACTGAAATAGTTTAACCTACTTAGCAGTTTGTCCTTCAAAGGTAGACAGGCTTGAACCCAATCAGAGACCTGTAAGGGATGGTCTGATTCCTGGGTTTCAGAAGACCAAGCAATAAGTAGGAGAGGCCCAGGATAGACCATGGAAAGGGCACATTTTGAATTTTATATTCTAATCATGCCTTTGATCATAGTTTCCTCTAATTATATGTTATTTAGTAACCTACTGGATACAAAAACTGCAGTTTTGATACATTCGATACATTTTCTCCCTCTGCCATGTGGCTAAGAAAGTGCAAATCAGGATGCTGGTTAATGTGAAATTTAAAGGAAATGCCCATTGAGACATATCTTTGAATTCTGCTTCTTCCCACTATGCCTAGGGTGAAAACAGAAGGTCTCCCTGAAGTAATCTTTGCTGTGAAAAGAATTATTTGAGTGGTGTGGTTGACAGAATAGTGGGCCCCTAAAGATGTCTACATCCCAGTCCCCAGGACCTGTTACCTTACGTAGTAAAAGACACTTTGCAGATGTGATTAAGGTAAGCATTTTGAGATGAGGACATTATCCTGTATTAGCCAGATTATCCTAAAATATCACAAGCATTCTTATAAGATGGAGATAGGAGGGCTAAATTTAGGAGAAGGTGATGTAATTTAGAAATGGAGATTGGACGTAGTGGTGGTTGGATATAGAATGGAAGACCATGTAACAATTGAATATGGCCGTGATCCAAGGATTTCCAGAAACCTCTGAAAGTTGGAAGAGGCAAAGAATTGAGCCTTCTTTAAAGGAATCAGACCGGCAGACACATTAATTTTAGCCCTGTAAGACTCAATTCTGACCTCTGATCTCCAGAACTGTAAGAGAGTAAGTTTGTATTGTTTTAAGCCAATACATTGCTGCTAATTTGTCACAGTAGCCATGTGAAACCACTAAGAGTGGTTTCCCTAGTTATGTGAATATAGGATGAGGAGGCATTCCATATTGTTATTCTTTAGAAACCCTGATGTGTAGTTTGCATGAGGAGCCCAGGAGCTCAGTGAGATGGGGACCAAGACATGTGTCCAGAAATTTGGAGTTAGAGGGACCTGTCAGGGAAGACTAGGATGATTCTGACCAACACGTGGCAACAAAAAAGGACAATAGCATGCCTAGGTACAAAGTTTTCTTTTTGTTTGTTTGTTTGTTTTTTTAAGAAAGTGGATGGCCTTGGACAATCCAGGCTAAACTTAAGATTCCAGGTGTTGTTATGGGGAAGGACTGGTGTGACATAGCTTGTTATTTAAGCAAGAAGCCTCTCGGCCTCCAGCGGCCCAGATGTAGTATCAAGTTTTTGGGGAATAATGACTGAACAAGACATTGTGAACAAAGAGAACTCCAGGAATCCAAGTGAGAGGAATCCCTGAAGCCAGAGCAGAGGCTTGGACCAGCCCAGAAAGGGTCTGAGGAACTGACAAGACCAAGTTTCAACAGTGACACGTGGCAATGAAAAACTGGTGATAGTAGGCTGACTGGACCTCACTTCCCTTTCCCCCTGGTCTCTGGGCAAGGATTGACCAATTCAGGATTGAACGATCCCTGAAGGTTCTCTGTAAATGGGAAAAGAAGGTCAGGGTAAGGGAAAAGATGGGGTAGAGTTTAAGAGGGTATGCTGGGCTATCTATTAAAAAGATTTTTTTGATTGAATGATTAGGATAAAATAAGAAATATGTACAATTGTTTCATTCTCTGAGTTTTTGGAGCAGGTCATACTAGCTACAGACAACATTTGTTTAGTGTCAGAAAATTTACAAAGAGATTTCTAGCCTATGCTTTTGGTACTTTTGGAAATTTAAACTAGACTATACCAGTCTCCATATTCTTTACTCTTGCCGTTAATAAACACACACACTCACACACACACACACACACACACACACACACACAGTAATTACAGTAATTCTGTAATACAGTACTATGAAATTAAAGGACTTGCATTTATATGCCTCCTACCCTTAGAATGTTAACTTCTTTAATTGGGAGTCTGCATCAATAGGCATTTCCCAAAAGTTGCTTATCTTTTATTGAGGGAACACTTTTTATTTTTTATTTATTTATTTTTTTTGTGACAGAGTCTTGCTCTGTCACCCAGGGTGGAGTGCAGTGGTGCAATCTTGGCTCACTGCAACCTCTGCCTCCCAGGTTCAAATGATTCTCCTTCCTCAGCCTCCTGCATAGCTGGGATTACAGGTATGCGCCACCACACCTGGCTAATTTTTGTATTTTTAGTAGAGACAAGGTTTCACCATGTTGGTTAGGCTGGTCTCTAACTCCTGACCTTGTGATCAGCCCACCTCAGCCTCCCAAAGTGCTGGGATTACAGGCGTGAGCCACCGCACCTGGCCTGTTGAGGGAATACTTTATGTCAGACATGGCCCTAAGATTTTACACACCTCATCTCATTTAAACTTTCCCACATTCAGTAAGGTAGATTTTCTTTCCATTTTATAAATGAGGAAGTAGGTTTACAGAGCTTAAGAATTTCTTCTAGATGTTTATGAGGATGATCTCTAATCATATAATGGGTTGTATAAACATCAATTAAGGTCACACAAATCAAGTGACAAGTGAAGTATGAATACTACTAGTAGGATGCTTAAATGTAGCTAGTCTAGGGACAAAATCAAAATATAATATAAATAGAAGATGTAATGTAACAACAATTTGAATATCTCTTATTTTGCGACAATAAATCACTCATTCCTATTAGCAAGTAGCTCAGCATATCCATCTTAAACTCCACCTCCTCTACCAATTTAACATGAATCATACATGTGTCAAACATGTATAATAGATGTATTTAAAAACGCCCAGTATTATGCATTAAATATAGGAAGTGCTTGTTAAAGTTTGGTTGAATAAAGGTTAGCAAATATATACTTTGAAATGCACAGTAACAAATAGGGGAAACAAATGGAATGTTTGATACCATTTCCAAAGTTACAGACTGATTTAAAAAATAGTTGCTACAGAATGACTGACCTGGTATGTATCCCCTTTCAAAAAAAGTTTAAAAGCACCCCATGAACTTGAAAGATGGAATTGCAAAAAGTCTCCCAACTCTGAGTCATTCTACAGCTACAGAATAAAAATCCTTTATGTATGGAAGAGTATTGCTTTTGATTTTTGGAGGGCTACATTTTACATGTGACCACCAATCACCATTTGACATAGACATTTCTGCTCTCTACTGGCATTCATTATTTTCCTTCATCTAACAATATCCAGGCCTTATGCAGGTATCTTCTACTGTCTCACACCTCACATGGGCCTAAGGAGGACCTGACTTCACTGCTGGATCCAGGGATGACTTTGCTGTATCTAAGGCTAAGTTCATTCCTAGAGCCAGTGATTGGTACAGAAGATGATGTGTGACCCAATTAATAATATTAGGGTGGATTTTCAAAGGATTCTTTGAGAAGCATTCATCATTGTAATGAGAGAGATTCTCAGTGTGACCCTCTTCTTCGAACATTGTCAGGATCCTTCTATAGCTGTTTTGCTACTACCCTGAACATGAAGCTTCTATTAAGAACAGAGAAATGAGCTAGAACCACAGAATAAAATCACCTGCCCTCCTTCTCTTCTTCCAGAAGTAAAATATTTCCAGTCTCTCTTCTAGACGAGAAGCCAATTAATACCTGATTGTTTAGGCTAGTTTGAGTTGGGCTTTCTGTTATTTGTAGGTGAAACTATTCTAACCGATACACCATCCACATTTTATTCTAATCAACAGTTCTGCTGTAAATATAACTCTGGTGTTGAGTCAATACAACACATTAAAAAAAGACAGGCCTGACTCATGGTATCAAAATGGTAGGACTGTCTTGCAAACCCAGAAGTTTATACATAGGGGCCTGCCAAGTCAAATACAGCCCTTCTGAAGACCACATTAGTTTAAAAACTTAGCAATTCAAATATGCCTGTGCATCTGAAGTCATCAAGTTCTAGTTCCCTAACATTGTATATTGTATGTTTTGTGAAATTATATGTATCCTGTGATAGCAGGAAACTCAAGTAATAATTTATTTGGCAAAGAAAAGTGAAGAGTGAAGATGGGTACATAATTTATGTATGAATTCCTGTATAACCTTTGCATATTTTAACACCATATGGAATTACTACAATTTTTTTAAAAAGGCTTAAAAGATTTTAAAAAGCCAACAAATTAAGCCAAGACCACAAATTACTTTTAATGCACTTTTAAAGACCACTGGAATCACAGCCATTAAAATTTATTTCAATTAGGAATGATACTTTTTAAGCTCAAAAACAACATTTGACCCTTAAGTAGATGATGAAAATATACATAATTTAAAAAAGATATTCTGAATTTAAATGATCACAGAGCTATCAATATGGGGTTTCAAATTGAGACTATCTTAAGCAATTAACCTAAAATGCCATGTGCATTTTGTTCAAAGACCTAGCAGGGAAGAGCAATTAGCAATTTGTGAATTATCATTTTATTTATATTTATATTCCAAAAGTAAGCTCATGCCTTGAATATACTATAGAGTATAAAATAGGAACCTAATTTACTTAAAAACTTTAAAAGTTTTTATCTGTTAAATGATTACTTATGGCCTATAATCAAGTTACTATATATATTTTTTAAAGCAATTTTTGGGCCAGGTGCAGTGGCTCAAACCTGTAATCCCAGCTACTCAGGAGGCTGAGGTAGGAGGATTGCTTGGCATTCAAGACCAGCTTGGACAACATAGTGAGATCCCCATCTCTTAAAAAATATATTAAAAGCTTGGTAGGCTAAGGCAGGAGAATCACTTGAGCCCAGGAGTTTAAGCCTGAAGTGAGCTATGATTGGTCACAGCACTCCAGCTTGGGCAACAGAGTGAGACCGCCATCTCAAAAATGAAACAAAAAGCAATTAGTTTTTATGTCTTCTTAAGTTTGCTTATTTTCCATCCCAACTAGTATTCATGGCGTATTTATTTGGAGTAAAGTGGTAAAAACTAATCCCGCTCTTATGAAAGCTAGAATATTGGCTTTTGGAATTCCAGAGAGATTTCGTCTTAATATTTTGCATTTACTAAAATAAACAATAAATTTATCTTTTAAATAATTCAATAAAAAGTAGGACATCCAATCTGTTGGTCAGAATTTTTTCACTGTGTTGTCCCTGATGAATCTTATAGCAACTGTTTTCCAACTCATCCTTGAACTCATAGTTCATTATGTTAAACATTTATTACATCATGTGAAATAGCTACAATGTTGAAACCAAATTAGCAGATATTTATTGACTATCACTATATACAAAGTGCTTTATTTAAATACAATTATTTTCCCTGTTGGACTTAAAAGCCCAGATTATTTAAGCCACATTATCCCCTTATAAAAGGTAGAAACAGCATCCAAACCTTTTAATTTAAAGGAAACCTAATTATTAACTGTAAAGAAAATGTAGTTGCAAAACAAGTCAGTAAAAACCTGAATAGGTATGATAATCGTATCCACTATTAAGTTTAAATTTAAGAGATAAAATATCTCCTAAATGCCTTTTGAAATCCAAATCACCTTGCTTGTTCAAGCCTTTCCCAGTATCTAGTAAAAATGTGACTCTATTCAGATAGATTTATCCCGTATATTATTATTATGATTTTACAAAAGCTAAAGGATTTAGAATTTATAAAACTGTTTTTGCTGCTTTAGGACCCAAACGGGCAATGTTCTAGAAGGGCAGGTAAGTCATTTATTGAGAATAATTCAACTATTCATAGGATCCATAATGTTTTTTTAAGATTTATTCATCTATTTGTGTATTCATTGATGAAGAATTTTGAATACTTCCTATCTAAAATCGTCATTATTTAAAAGCGATTTGTGAAAATATACTATTACTGGGAAGATAGCTATTAGACTATTTATTTTCCATTCATTTTGCAAGGAAGTGTATCCCTCTGAGCTTGTTTGATTTGGATATGTATCCCTAAAATAAATATTGCTATGATGGCTTCCTGTTTAACGTCAGGCTAGTCAACTGACCATAGAAATCCTGCAGTTGTATTAGAAGTTCCTTCACATGGATTCCCATGTAAATGCTTTCATTATTTGGTATGTTAAAACCAACTGCTTCCACCTATATTCAAACTTTTATAGCGTTTTGTTCTTACACTTACAAAGAGACTAGAACTACTTTACAAAGATAATACTATTATTTTTAAATAATGATACTATGTCCCATTTAGATCAACATTTAACATATGCCACATTAATTTTGAGATGGATATTAAATTAGCTATTCTGGTTTCCTGGTTCTTGGCAAGTTATTTATGACTCTCTTTTTTCCTTATCTGCAAAATTACATTCCCCCAAATCTATTACCCTTCCTACAGCTGGACCCACATGCTCTGCCTTTCCTGCCATTCTAGGGGATAAGCATGGCTCTTGCCTCTCTGCTTGTGTACCAGGTCCTGTTCCTCCTTAATTTCTGTGAGCCTTTGCTGATCCCCTGCCTCTTCTGTATAATCACACTTTATTTCATCCCCAAAGCATCAATACATGCTGTGATACCTTCCAATCTTTTATATATATATGTATGTGTGTGTGTATATTACACGTAATATATATTATATATATTTATTTATATTTATAAAGAGCCCTCCCTCCACTCCACATCCCACCTCAGCTTTGCCCATTTTTCTGCTCCCCCTTTATGGTAGAATTCCCTGTTTTCTCTTTTCTTCTCCTCCTCATTCTCTGCCTGGGTCTTTTACCTGAACCTCCTTGATTTTTTTAAGCAATATTTCTACAAAATGTTTCAAAACAAATATCTTTCTATACCTGTCAGTTTGTAGAATTTTAATAAAATCTTACATAATCTTATCTGGATATGTAAATCCCATTTAAGCAAAATTGGAGTCCAGCTATCTATTTACCCATCTATGTAACTTTTTACATATTCTTTTTAAGGTATTTGCCAAATTTATTTTACTCTCTCACAGAACTCTCTCTCTGGAACTCACTGCAGTTAGGCTTTCTTCCCTTCCACTCCACAGAAAAGCACTCTTTAAGGTCACAAATGACCTCTGTCTTGCCACATCCAGCATAAAATTCTCAGTCCTCATCTAACTTGACCTATCAGCAGCATTTGGCACAGCTGACCATCCCTTCACCATTTTCTTCATTTGGTTTTCAAATCACTACACTGATCTGCTTTGAGCCCTATTTCACTGGCTGCCTTGTCTGTCTTTGTTGCTTGAGCTGCCTCTGCCTCCTGACCAGGACTCAGTCTTCAGCTCCCTTCTCTCTATTCATACTTATTTTCTGGCAATCTCATCTCTGAGCTGAAAACTCCCAACATAATATGTCCAGACAATGTTGAGAAAAATGGATTTTTATTTCTCATTGTGATATACAAACAATTAGAAAAGATTTGATAGCACCTCTTTTGATTCCATATTCCTCCCCTCACCCTGTCTGCTATCCTTGGAAGCAAATATGATTTTTATATGCTCATTTATTTGACAAATACTTATTGAGAAATATGTGCCATCTCTGTACTGTCTTACCTCTAATCTGGGCTTCTGATGGTTTCTGTCCTTTTTTCTGTTTTTCCTGGGCAACCTCATTCATTCCCACTACTTGAGGTATATTCTAAACCCTCTCAAATTCATATCTCCAGCCCAGACTTTCTTCACTGAACTGCAAACTCAAAGCTCTGCCTTCTAGGTTTCTTATACCTGGAACAGACACCTCAAATTCCATATTAAAGTTTAAATGCAATTTGATTACAAATTCAAAAAACACAAACAAACCTTGTTCTTCCTGCCTAAGTCAGAGATGAGTCATTCTCAATTCCTCCTCTTTCCCCAGTTCACATGCCTTTCTAAGTACCTCTGTAGCTGGTCACCTTATCTTTATTCCACTTCATCATTTCCTTGCCTTAACCATTTATTCTCTAAGGATCTCCTGGACTCCATTCTTGGATTCCTCCAATTCTTGCCCTACATTTCTGCCAGCATAATCTATCTAAATTGAAATCTGAATATTTCACATCCTTGAACAATATCTTTGATGACTCTATCTCCCATGAGGGAGGTTATGGTTGCTTTCATTGTAAGAATAATACCTCTTAACCCTCATCAGCTTGTCTGCAAAAGCTCTTATGTTCTGGCCCAACAGAAAGACTTGCAGATCTATGAAGCTGAAATGCTCTTCCAGATCTCTGTCTTGCATGTGTTACCACAACTTGAAATGCTTGGCCTTCACCTTGTGTGTCTGGTGAATATGCATTCTTTCATCAAGACTCAGATGAAATTATACTATCTTTGATGCTTCTTAAGCCCTGATGCCACTCAGATGTACATCCTCTCTCCTCTGTTATCATACCTTGTATAGATCTCTTTATTTATTTCCATGTATCTCATGTCATGTCATTATTTGTCTGTATGTCTGCCTACTCCACTGGACAGGAAAATTTATACAGGAAGAAACCATGTATTATGAAGCTTATAATTTTAGCATTTTTATTTTTATTTCATCTTTTCTACAGAACAGGGAACAGCTGATGTGCACTATCCTTTTGATGGATATTTTATAAGCTGAAGAAGTTTAGATTATAAGACAAAATTTCTTTTTCTAAAAGATAATAGTTATTTTTCTAAAATTAGTTACTTCCCACATATACAAGTTTTTCTGTTAAATTGAAATATAATTCATATACCACAAAATTCACCTTTTTAAAGTGTATGATTAAGGCTGGGTGTGGTGGTCCACACTTACAATCCCAGCTCTTTGGGAGGCTGAGGTGGGTGGATCACTTGAGGTAAGGAGTTCGAGACAAGCCTGGCCAACATGAAGAAACCCTGTCTCTACAAAAAATACAAAAATTAGCCAGGCATAGTGGGGCATGCCTGTAGTCCCAGTTACTCTGGAGGCTGAGGCACAAGAATCACTCGAACCCGGTGGAGGTTGCAGTGAGCCGAGATCACGCCACTGCACTCCAACCTGGGTACTCTGTCTCAAAAATAAACAAACAAACAACAAACAAATAAAGTATATAATTTAATGGTTTTTAGTATATTCTAAAACAAAATCATGCAACCATCACCGCTATCCAATTTCAGAACATTTTCATTACTTTCAAAATAAATCCTGACCCATTTAGTTGTCACTTCCCACTGCCTCCCATGCAGCCCAACTAATCGACTTTCTGTCTTAATAGTTTGCTTATTTTGGACATTTAATATAAATGAAATTATACAATATGTAGCCTTTTGTGTCTGGTTTCTTTCATTCAATATAATGTTTTCAAGGTTCATCTATGTAGTAACATGTATTATTTCTTTTTAGGACTGAGTAGTATTTCATCATAAGAGCATACCACATTTTGTTTATTCATTCTTCAATTGATTTTTCCACTTTTTGGCTATTATGAATAATGCTGCTATGAACATTCATGTGCAGGTTTTT
The DNA here is from genome assembly GCF_000001405.40 of Homo sapiens. NCBI lineage: Eukaryota > Metazoa > Chordata > Mammalia > Primates > Hominidae > Homo > Homo sapiens. Next base: position 119,658,775 of record NC_000004.12, read on the forward strand.
GTGTAAACATATATTTTAAATTTTCTTGTATATTTAGGAGTAGAATTGCTGGGTCATATGACAAATCTATGTTTAACTTTTTGAGGAACCACCAAATCATTTTCCATAATGATCACACTATTTTACATTCCCACAAGCAATGTATGAGGGTTCCAATTTCTCTACATCCTTGCCAACACTTGTTATGGTCCATCTTCTAAATTATAGCTGTCTTAGTATGAACTGATATCTTATTGTGGTTATACAGGATTTGATAGCATCCTCCCATAAAAGGGTTATAAAAAGTTCCATTCTCTCTAAAATCAGCAAGTGAATATTTCATTTTATATTATGCTGAAATAAGTGGGAGTTACACATTTCAGAAAACAGAACAATCCTTTTTCTTATCTAAGCATCTTTAATGTTTCATAGAGCTTGTCATATTTTAAATTATTTCTTATTCTTCCTAAGATTGTCACTTATATTTCAATTTTTTTTTTGCAGTATAAGCCTCCCAAATGCAAACTTCTGAATTAAGATTTAACCTATGTTAATTTAGAGGGGAAAATATTTTCTAGCTTTCATCTTCCCATCCATCCTACTTGTAAGTGTTATATGACAGTATATAGTTAGCGATGGGGATAACACAGTTAATTTATAGTCCCTTGTGACTCTTTAGACTATTTTTTTCTTATATTCATAACCAATCTTTCCTGGTAATTAGCTTGTTTTTGTCAATGCTTAACCCACCCAACTTAGTATTATTTGAGAACTTAATTTTCTGCTCCCCAACATGGTGTTCAGCATTTGTAGTAGGTTTTAAAAACTAGGTAAATTTATTTGAACATGTGGTAGGGTGGAGTGACATTTGTTATAGTGGCTGTTTGTACTTTTCTGCACACATTCCCTTGGTTGAGTCTTACAAACCACAAATGAGGTGACTGTGATTGTAGCCAGCACTTTAGTTTCTAGTTAAAGAGAGGATTATTCCAGTTTACATAAAAAATGACAAGAATGATTTGTCCAGATGGATTCTGCAAGCTGATAAGATATGGCCAGATGCTTCAGGCCATTATCTGCTGTGTTAGGGATTTTGAGAGTCTTCTGTTGACATTTCCATGTATATTCTGATGAAGTGGTTGCTATGTGTTTTTCCATGCTTATGTAAATATTCATCTAAAGATCTTGCCTTCAAACACTTTAAGCATTTCTCAGTTTTGTTTGGAGGCTTTTAGCTTAGTCATTGACTGAATGTTTCATTCATTGATTTACTATTTATTCACCCTGGAACTATATTGGTATAACTGTAATTTTCATTATTGTTATTATTATTATTGAGACATTAAACTATTCGCTCCTCAAAGACCCTTTGACCCTTCCTTTAAGCTATCATGTGCTTACATAGTTGTGTATAACCTAACCTACCCATTCTACACAACCTTACCTTCAACATCCTAGCTTAAATATAACTTTACTCTTACGAGTGTGCATAGCTGAATATTTAGCTTAAATAATGTTGTCATCATGCTCATAAATATGTACAACTAAGCATTAAACACCATATAATTTTTACTAATATTCACAATTATTTTAATTTTGTTCTAGCATTCAAAAGTAAAAAGCATTTTATCTATCTATATATATATATATATTTTATTTTTTTATTTTTTTATTTTTTTGAGACAGAGTCTCACACTGTTGCCCAGGCTGGAGTGCAGTGGCGCGATCTCAGCTCACTGCAAACTCTGCCTCCTGGGTTCAAGCGATCATCTTGCCTCAGCCTCCCAAGTAGCTGGGATTACAGGTGCCTGCCACTACGCCCAGCTAATTTTTGTATTTATTTATTTATTTATTTTAACAGAGACAGGGTTTCACTGTGTTGGCCAGGCTGATCTCAAACTCCTGACCTCGTACTCTGCCTGTCTCACCCTCCCAAAGTGCTGGGATTACAAGCGTGAGCCACCACACCCGGCCAGCATTTATACTTCTGCCTGTTAATATACAGTGAGGAAAAGGGGAGTAAAGAGAATTATGTATGTGGTAGAATAACTCATACAACAGATAAAGTCTTGGGAGTTATTAGCTTAAATATGTCTCATCAGTGATGTATGGTTACCCACCGATCCAGACTCATGCATTTTTATTATAAAACACTTTATTTTGTGTTTTGCAATTTCTTTGTTACAACTCTGACTGTTTTAAAGAAAGGGGCTGACATTCTTAGTTATTCTCTAGATTGATGTTAGCAAGCAACTAGCCCTCCCAGTTCAAGCCTATCTTTCTTACCAGTAAAATTTCTTGTTTTTGTTGTCTGCATTTCTAGCAAAATTACATCTAATTTTTGTGACAGGAGCTTGTATAATGGGCTATAAAAATAGTTCTCTCCCCTGTCCTCCCAAGGATATGATATTATGCTTATTCAACTAACAATTTGAGGAAGATTATCTTCCCTCAAATACATGAAGAGGAGCAATGAACAAAGCCATGTGTTTTAGGCACTAGAATTAAAACTAGTGAAGCCTAGTGCATATCCCATTTATCATGCAGTTTATATCATGAAGGAACTTATCACTGCTACAATTGGCATGTACATTTGTAAAGTCTAGGACTCACAAGTACGTCTGTAAATGGAAGATCAAATCCAGAGTTCCTGCTGGTATTGCATCATTTGTTTCAATTTGAATGTATAAATCAATCACATATTCACAGTCCATAAAGTTGATCAGAGTGCAGCCTGGAGGATAAGGTTTTATGGTTCCAGATATTGTCAGATCTTTCAAGTTTGGTTTGTATTAAGTCATCCACTGAATGTCATATTTTTAGAAGAATTTTTCTTTCAGTGCCAGTTGCATTCAATTTCTGTATGGGAGAAGAGGCATTCTGACCCTAATTAATATATTCAGTGAGTTCCAGAGGTCCTATGTAATATAACATATTTTCATAATAACTTTCAACAACATTAGAAGTCAGGGATTTAAAGTTCTCTCTCATCTTGTTTACTTCATTTTACAAATTCTTATTATTAGAATGATTTTAGAACTCTAATTTTGGAAGTAATACCTTCTAGGACCAAGACCAAATTTTGCAAAACAGATGCCTGGCTGTGATCTTGGTCAAATTATGGAATCATGTAAAATCTCAGTTTTCCCATATATAAAATGGGTAATAATAAAACAGCAAAGCCTCCTTACTTGAGCAGGATTGATACTGGAAGAAAAACCCGTTTAAAATGTATCTACCTCAAATAGCATAAAAATTGTAAAGCAAATTGTAAAAAGTTTGAAAACTCATCTTAAAAAATTTGAGCTAGACTATATGAAAATGAATTCATTCTAATTCATAGCTAACATTGCAAAAGGTATGTTATTTCTCAGCAGAAATGAGAATGAATCAGATATTAATTTTTGCTATATTTTTTGGGATAAAATTATATGATGATATGATAGACAATCTTCACTTGAGACTTAGCTTTTAAAGCAGGATAGAAATCTCTTAATATTTAAATTATTCTTTGTGAAGAACATATCCTGTCGACAATTTTAATTTTCTCTTTTTCAGTAGTTAGCTACTTTAATCTCTGCCAGATCCTCATTTGTCAATGCTTCAGCCAGTGATGTGAACAGAATTCCAACATATTTTTTTATCCATTTCATGAATCTCCTTCTTTATCAAGACCTGCAATTGTGCCTTGCTGTTGGTTTTCACTGTGTTTACTGGATGTTTGATACAATGAAGAAGAAACTGAGGGACAAAAACGTTGGCTCTTGCACTGGGATAGATGCAGGCATTAAGTGAGAGTGACATATGTTTGAGTAGGAAGCCATTCTACAAGTGGGGAAGTCATTAGTTAATATCTCATGTTATAGTAACTTTTACTTTCCTCTTAACCATGGGGACCCAGTAAATGATACTAATATAAGGTCTCTGTAACTCACCTAATTATTGATATGGTTTGGATCTGTGTCCCTGCCCAAATCTCATGTCAAATTGTAATCCCCAGTGTTGGAGGTGGGGCCTGATGGGAGGTGAGTGGATCATGGGGGTGGATCTTTCAGGAATGGTTTAGCACTGTCTTCTCTGTGCTGTTCTCGTGATGGCAAGTGAGTTCTCGTGAGATCTGGTTGTTTAAAAGTGTGTAGCACCTCCCCACCCCAACTTCCTTCTGCTCTGGCCATGTAAGATGTGCCTGCTTCCCCTTTGCCTTCCACCATGATTGTGAGTTTCCTGAGGCCTCCCCAGAAGCAGATTCTGCCATGCTTCCTGTACAGCCTGCAGAACTGTGAGCCAATTAAATGTCTTTCTTTAGAAATTACCCAGGCTCTGGTATTTCATTTTAGCAGTATGAGAGCAAACTAATACAAGTATATTACTGAGAAAACTAAATGAGAGAAAATATCTAAGACACTTAGCACAGTGCCTGACATATATTCATTAAACTATACATATTAGTGATGGTTATTACTATCACTATTTTACAAACATTCTCTAACAAAGGCAGTTAACTATAAATGATTAATCTTTGGGGCACTCACTTAGCAGAGTAGACATAACCATCTAGTACTTCACAAACTTTTAGATTCACAGATCACTACAGTGACCTGAGTCACCTGCTTCATTTATTTAGCTCACCAGACTTTACTGCCAGAAACCAACAGACAAAAAATACTTTTCAAAAACCCAGCCTATTCATGCTGTAGCCCAACCTACTCATGCTGTTTTTCTCTTTAAAGGGAGGGCATAGAAGGCAGAGATAGTTTAGGATTCTAAGTCAGAGATTGAGAAGGAGAATGGCTTTGGGCTAAATCAGTGACTGAATGAGGGATCAAGACAGTGTGTCAGCAGCAATTTCTTTTACAGACTTTGCCTCCTTCCTTTCCTCTCCTCTTTCTTTCTGTTTCAGTTTGTCTGCAGTCCTCGGAGCTAAGATAAACATCAAAAATAAAAGTAAGATTCAATAACAATTTTTATTATAATGACTTTTATTTGAAGTTGTGGAGAAAAGAGGCAAAAAATGAAGATAATTGGAAAGACAGATAACCCAGGCTGAGAGCACGCAGTGCTCAGATTCTGGATGTGCAATCAAAATGACCTGATAACAGATAAATTGAACCTGATATAGGATGGTTATCACTTATTTAGTTTGACCCCCCTTTCTATCCTTACTCTCTCTCCTAACTTTATTTTTAAAATGTGGGTTATCAGATCAGTAGATATTTTAATTGTCTGGTTCAGTGCTTCTCAAAATTAATGTGCGTAAGATTCACCTGGGGATTTTGGTAAAATGCAGGTTCTGACTCAGTAGGTCTAAGTCCGTGTTTCTAATAAGCTCCCAGGTGATGTTGATGCTACTGGTCCTGGGCCAAGCACACACTTTGAGGAACCTAAGAATCTAGTATATTCGCAGGAACGTTCAGTGGGATAAAATTAAAGGCTTTCTTGATGTGTAAAGAGATTAAATGTAGTACAGTTTTCCCTTTACTCCCTTTATCAACATTACTTTGCCATATATCAGGAAGGGAAATTAAACTGTTCTTTCTAACACTATTTGGGCTTGTACAACCATGCAAATTACTCTATTTTTGGCCCTTCAAGGACATTTCAAAATGGTGATGTTCTACTTTCTTTTCGGGGTGTTAACATTAAGCTGACTCATCCAATTTTGCTTAGACAAAATTGTGAAAGTAAATGGTCTTTGGTTTTCCTGGTTTCCAGGTTACCTTATGATGTCTTGCCTTTTCTCCTCAATGATGGCTCTACACTTGTTCTAATTAGAGAGCAAAGAAATAATAATAATAGTGTAAGACAGAGGGGAATGCAGTATTAAGTTCCTATTATGTGACATATACTGCTGCAAGTGCTGGAGACACAGTGATAAAACAGAAATGTGTCTAACTGCCTTTTCACTTTAATCCAGTGAGATGCATATTCTTTTCATGATACGAATGAGAACTCTGTGAGGTAAATAACTCAGCAGTGCCACCTGGTAAGTGGCAGAGCAGAGCTATGAATCCAGTTCTTTTTGAATCCAAAATTCTTGCTAAAGCTCCTGAACTCATTCTGAACAGGAATTTGCCTACCCCCTTACCGCAATAAATAACTTAGAGGTTTTGCATTTTTTACCATTCAAAAAATGTTCTATTTCTCTTTCTTATCCTTTCAGAATAAAACTGCTGATGCTTTAGTGACAGGTTTCAACATGTTTTGTAAAAAACGATCCAAGGAATTCAAACATAGAGTATTTTCAGATTGCTTTACAATTCAGTTGTTTTTCTCATTTTACTGTGATTTCCTATGTTTGATATTTTTTAAAAGACAAAGGAAAATCCTACTATACACAGAAATCAATTCAAAGTGGTATTGTAATCTAAATGTGAAAGGTAAAATAATAAAGTTTACAAAGATAACCCAGAAAACTATCTTTATATACGTAGACTAGAGAATGCCTTCTTATGCAGGATACAGAAACTACTCATCATAAGGTAAAGTATTGATAAATTGAATTATATTACATCTTCTGTTGATAAAAACATAGTATTAAGAAGTAGAAAGTCAAGCCACAAAATAGGAGAAGATATTTTCAACACATAAACCAAAAAAGGACTCTAGCTGGCATATTGAAAATAAAAGGAATATCAAGAATTAAAAAAATTAGCCAGGCATGGTGGCATGTGCCTGCATTCCAGCTTCAGGAAGCCAAGGCAGGAGGATAGCTTGAGCCCAAGAATACAAGGCTCTAGTGAACTCTGATGGCACCGCTGCACTCCACCTTGGGTGATAGAGTGAGACCTTGCCTCAAAAAAAAGAAAAAGAAAAAGAAAAAATACAGCAAATCAGTAAGAAAAAGATAGAAAACATAATAGAAGATGTTGCAAAAGTCTTGAATGGGCACTTCACACACAAAAAAAATATTCATATTGCCAGGAGGCATGTGAAAATGTTCTCAACCTCATTTGTTATCAGGGAAATATAAATTGAATTCACAGTAAGATACCATTCCACACCCTCCAGAATGGCTAACATGTAAAAGATTGACAAACCCAAACTCAGGCTATGGTGTGGAGCACCGAGAATTCTCATACATTGATAATGGAAGTAACAATTGGGATAGAAACTTCGGAAAACTCTTTCACAATAAATATTAAAACTGAACAAATGCACACTGACTCAGCAGTTTTATTCCTAGCTGTATATGTAACAGATGGATGAGCAACAGAGTAATGTACATGAATATGCATACTCAAACACTCCTCATAGTCAAAACTGGAACAATCCAAATGTCTATAAACAGAATGAATAAATAAATTATGTTTTATTCATTGAAGGACTTACCATTCAGCACTGAACATGAATTAAACAACTACTACATGCAACAATATGCATAAATTTTATAAACAGTGTGTGCAGCAAAAGAAGTTAGACATAAAGCACACATTGTCTGATTCTGTTTATATGAGGGTCAGAAACAGGCAAAACTGATCTCTAGTTTTAGAAGCCTGAATGTCACTTTGGATAGGAGTGGGTAGCGGCTGACAGGGCATGAGGCAGACTTCTAAGATGCTGGAAATGTGCTATTTCTTTATGTAGGTGGTGGTTACCAGGGTGTGCTCACTTTGTGAAAATTCACTGACTTGTATACTTATGTATGTGCAGACATAACACATATACTTTCCTAGATGTAAGTTATTTTTTTCAATAAAAATACAATATATGAATGGATAAAATTATTTAAAAATCCCTGTTTCAATGCCATCTGTTACTGGGTTTTCTCCCTCTATAGCAAAGAAGCAATAATTTTCTCGATGTCATTCCTCTGCCTTGCATAACTGAAATCTGTTTTTTAAACACATTTTTATGACACTCATAAAATACATTCCTATTTTTTTTTGTCCCCGGCGTTTGCATTTTCTACATAAAATCCATTCTGAATTCTTTTTGGAGTTCTAACCTGATCCTGCTTTTTGTCACTTTTCCATTTGCCTTTTATGTTTCAGCAGAGTTCTGGTAATAATCCCACTTGACCTTAAGACAAATGCATTATCAGACATTAAACAAAGACCAGTCATGCTGGGCCTGATGTGTGACCTCATTCCATCTAACATTTAAGGAAACAAAGGTCCCCTAAGAATGACGGTACACTAGCTTGCTGAGGATGTGAGGCTTAGGTCTGAACAGATGCCCTTTGAGAAGCAGTCCAGATGATGGGAGTTTAAAAGAAGCTTATCCTGTCAGCAGGGAAAAACCACTCTGTCATCACAGTGTGTTGCAGATAGCTTCACACACTTTCTATCACCACCACCCAGGGTAGCCCATGGCAGCATGTTGGGAATGGTTTGGAAAAGACTTGGGTTCTGGGGTGGCCAGATAAGTATTCAAACTCTAGGTCTTACTAACAGTGTATTCTGGAACGAGGGATTCAATCTCTTTGAACTTCAGTTGACTTCCCTATAAAAATGGGAATAAAAATAACTACATTACAAAACCTTTGCAAGGATTTATATTAAATAGATATATAAATGTCTCTAACACAATACTTAGCACATCTAGATGTTCAAAAGATGAACTCTCCTCTCTTCTCTTTTCCATCCTTTTCCTTTTTAGGCAAAATATGTCATTGCAACCATTTGCTGTCTAGATATTTGACATAGCAATCTGGCTTTGAAGATAATGGGCTGTGGAATATTTATTTCATGGATGCATGTTGGATCCATATATCTTTTCCTACCATTGTTTTGTCTTTTGAATTTTCCAGAAGAAACTTATATTTCAAATGGGATAAGAACATAATAAAGATGTTTGTAAAATTCCTTTAATAGGAATGAAAACACTTGACTTACTATCTCAAAGGAATACAGAGAAATAGATGAGGATTTATTTTGTATTTTTAATTTCTATATGTAAAGTGTTACAAATTTGGACAAACCTCTGTTGAAGACCTAGACACAATTATAGTATTTTTAAGGAAATGCACATATGGCTACTTTTGATTATAACCAGTTGAACCTGGCTTTTTAAAAATGTGTTACCTAAAAAAGTTGTAAATGAAATAGCTGTGGGGGACTTCAGCAGTGATCAGTCTCATTTTATATCTGAAAAATTTAGGGAAGTGAAGCAACTTGCCTGATGTGGCCATTGAAAGTTAGGAGTCAGTGAATCACCCCTTCTCTAAGTTCTGTGCAGTAGAAAGTAGTCACAAATGCTGAAGAAATGACCACTGTGTTAATGGCAGATAATGTCAGATTAAAAAAAGCAGATGAGCTGGAGGTTAAAGTGGCAGCGTGCTGTAACCAAGCCTCCAAATCAAGCCCTTGGAGCCGCTATAAGCAGAGCTAGCTGTGCAAAGCTGACTCCACATATGATTGCCCTGCCAGCCTTGTGAAGGAGACGAGGCCTGCCTGGCCAAATCAGACACCACAGAGTGCAGTTCAAGGAGAAAGATGAGCCCTTGTGGCTTCTGTCTGAAAGAATGCCTTGTCGATGGGCAGATGCTTTCAAAATGCCAGAAAATATTCATTTTAAGTACTATTTGCTCTGTAATTATATCTAGAGTATTAATTTGTTTAGCCTGCCTCTGTCAACCATTTGTATCTTATCAGGGAAATTGCTAACCTAGTATCTGCCTAAATTATCATGATTAATTTTTTTTTTGGTTATCACTTTTCTTATTGTTTTGTAGATTTCTCCCTTAACATCAAACAACTTAGTATAATACTTCACAAATGAAGGTTCTTTGAAAATTCTACAGAATGTTGTTGCTGTTGCTTATTCAAATTTATATGGAGTTAGTTCTCCCAAGTCTCCAGGAGCTAGTTCATAGTTCTGAATTATAAAACTGCAAAGCCCAAAGAGAAAGGAAGAAAAATGATAGATAAGGTTGAGGGCTTTTTACCACATGGTAGTCATGATAAAATTAGGAGAAAGAATGAGTTTCTGGACACAAATAGCAGCTTATTCCCTAAAGTTAAGAATCTAGTAATGAAATATAAGGAACTACCCCTTTCTTAAGTCACCTCATTAAGCAAATTAGTTTGATATTACAGCAGGAAGAAACAGGGGCAGGCTTTAAGGACATACATTTTTAATTTAGTTCTTTATATGCCCATTTTGCCACAAAGAATTTGATGCACGTAAACCATTATTGAGAAAAGGATAACTCTTTTTTTCCAGGAATTTGGCACCTAACACATTTGCATCTAGAAGTGTGGATAAGAATGAACTATTCAATAAAAGGCTCAGTGAATAAGTTACATATTTCAAATTTGTTAAACTCTGTGCATTTGGAAAACTCCAGGAACTAAAATAATTGGGAAGGTTGACAATGGAAGGCACATTGTCAATTGTCTCCATGTGGAATCAACAACCCTTAGGGGAAACACACGTTGGTTTATTACTTGCTAATACTTTGTTCAGCTTCTTTCTCTTTTACTGGGTCTTTTTCTTGCTCCTTTACTCCCTTGCTCTTTCCTCCAGATAAAGTCTGGTTTTTGAGTACAGAGTACATTAATTCAGTACCTTCAGTCTCTGCAATCATCTATCACAAATTAAAGTCATTAAAGATATTTTGCATAATGTTGACTGCAAAAAGTAGTTTTAAAAGGATATACTTGTCTGGGTAGGGTGGCTCACGCCTGTAATCCCAGCACTTTGTGAGGCCAATGCAGGTGGATCACCTGAAGTCAGGAGTTCAAGACCAGCCTGGCCAACATGGTGAAACCCCATCTTTACTAAAAATACAAAAATTAAACCAGGCATGGTGGCATGCCTGTATTCCCAACTACTCGAGACGCTGAGGCAGGAGAATCCCTGGAACCTGGGAGGCGGAAGTTGCAGTTAGCTGAGATCACACCACTGTACTCCAGCCTCAGTGACAAGAGTGAAACCCCATCTCAAAGAAAAAAAAACAAAAAACAAAAAAAAAAACAAAAAGGACATTCTTTTTTCATGTAGTAAAAACAGAAAATGCAGCAGTACTTTAGCTGGATGGGTAGCTGTCTTATAATGTATTTATTTCCATTTCTACTAATGGAACGATGTAAATGAGGTATGGCTTGATCTGTCTGCATTCACCTCTGAGCTATTTCTATGTTCTCTTGATTATAGATGATAACTTCCTACTCTGGCAAATGGTGTGTCTTTTTCTACTCAGCAGAGTGCCAACGCGGGGCCTGTACACGGCTTGTTTCTTTGGGTCATGATTTATTATTCTCTTGGCCATTTTATTACTATGACACTGCCTTTATGTTAATCATTTTATATTCCAAAGATTTTGAAGAGCATGCTCAGAATATGGACTATTCCTTTAAAGTCATTGCTGCTCTTTAGTTTATGAACAGAAATCAATTTTTTTATTTATCTCAGTGGTTCTTAACCCAGGGTGCAAGAACAGAATCACCTGGGAGGCTTTTAAAAAATTTAGACAATAATGTCTGAGTTGGGCCTGGGCTCAGAAGTGTTTTTAACCACCTTCCACCTTTCCCCAAGATGATACCACTGAGCCTTCAGAGTTGAGAATCAGAGAGCTGTGTACACAGCTGTCTTCTGCTGTTTGGAGAAGTAAGGCTGCAGAATAGCATAAGAGACCCCATAGCCAGCCTGTTTGGCTTCAAACCCTGGCTGCCACTTTGTACCAGTGTGACTCTAGGCAAGGTAGTTAACCACTCTGATCCTCAATTCCTTGTCTGTAAAATGAGAATGGTGATAGTAATAGAACGGAACAGAGAATTGCTAAAAGGATTACCTGAACTGATGCATATACAGCAGCTAGAATAGTGTCTGGCACATGGCATGTAGTTTATAGGCTATTAATAAATACTTAATTCTCACTTCCAGCATTTTTTAATTTAAAAATGTCTCCCATATGTTAAGAAGAGCCTTATTATTTGTGATTTATGCATTTTAAGTGGTTAACAAGTTGGTGCTCCTAAGCAGTGAACTAGGATTTTCTATTGTTCCCTTGTTTCCTCATCCCCATAATCACCCAGCTCAAGACAACTCAATTAATGATGATATTATTTCAATAACATTTGATTATTTATACCCACACTTTATTCCAAAGTGACTTTGGGTACGTATCTTACAAATATATATGTAATATATAAAGTTAAAAGAGCTGAATAAAACAAGACCAGAGGAGAAACAAGGGTAGAAAGGCAGATTAGCTTTTAAAGTCTGGCTCTCAAGAAGGTACCCTATAATGTCCCGTACTCTTTTAGCCCAGGCCCACATTGCTGAAGCCTAAATTCATATCAAAGTGATATTTCGCATGATATGTGCAATAGTTTTCTCGCTAACAGGAGAAATAGAGAAAACACTTTTATTGTTGCTGTTTTTGTAAGTGGGAAAATTTAGGCTCCAGAAAATGAAGCACATTTTTCTTGTTGATTTTACAGTCAGTGACATTGAAATACCAATTCAAATGCTATTTGTTTTACCTGGAAATGATATAATTTATATCATAATATTAGATAAAATAGAAATTCTTTAAAAATACCTGTTAGACATTACTGCCTTACAAAAGACAACTGTTTATATTCATTGTCTAAAGAAATGAGCCAAAAATGTGTGCCAGATAATGCATTTATTTCCATTTCTATGATTCACTTTTATCAAAGTGTGCCACTGCATGTGGTTAGCCCTCAAGTCTATAAAAGGAGACTAATGAGGAGTTGAGAAGTTTGGCCTAACATTCACCCACAATCTCCTCTGGACATCCTTCCTCTGTCTTTATTACATACCCATGTATATAATTACATGGATATAAACCTACAGCTGGATATGCAGGACACCCATCCTGAATGGCTGCCTGGCAGATGGATAGGTTGGCCTATAATCCCTGAATAGCCAGAGAATATGGGGCCTTCTTAAGCATGAATCTGCTAAGACAAGAGAAAGACAAAGTAACTGTCAAGTCTAAATTTGTTAGAAAGCCATTTAGTACTCCAACACTGTTAGCTTCAGGCTTGATTGTGGAAACATTTCATTTTCTGTGTCAGAGGAGGCAGGTTTGTCATGTTGCACATTAATTAATGATGATGTTAAACTATCCTGGACTGTCTTGTTCCAAGACTAAAATTTTCCAAAGACCTTCAAATTTACAGTGCTCTTCAAGACTTCCCAGGGGTGTGTATAGCTGTGTGTGTGACGAATATATGTATATACACACTATTCTTCCCATTTAGCAAATACTTAACCCCATTGAACATGATATGCTGGCAGACAAAGTGAGAATATAAGGTGGTATCTCCGGGCTAATCTAATTTTGGTTTTGGTCTTAAGATTGATAGTATCTATATTTCTGACTGATAGTTTTTCAATTCTCATATTTTTACCAAAAGATGAAGGATGTTAGAGTATAGAATCTTCATCTGTGTTTTTTTATTCAGCACATAGATAATGATAGCTTTTAATTTCTTTCTTTAGCTTCAGGGTAACTGGTGGGTTGTACTTAAAAATAAAATTATCCTTCTTTATGTACCATTTACTGCCTTATGGGATTAGTCATTATCACCAGAAGCGCTGCCCATTCATTCATCGGTTGGTACATGGCCCTAGGCTAAGTGTTGTGCAGAATATAGAGAACAGTGGTAACCAAAAAAACTTACATGGTAGTGGGAAAAGCATGGATTTTGTTGTCTAGTCTAGGTTTGAATCTCTATTATTAATTTGCTGAGAAAATTCTCAGTTCTCTTCCTTTACATGTCTATCCTTTTGCCTGTTTACACTGTCTTGATTAATGTAGTTTTGTAGCAAGTTTTGAAATCAGGAAGAGTGAGTTTTCTAGTTTTGTTTTTTTTCAAGTTTGGCTTTCCTGTTTTGGATCTTTTGAATTTAAAGATTAGCTTGTCAATTTCTGCAAAAAAATGTCAGCAGGTATTTTGATAGTGATTGTAGTGAATCTTTAGATCAATTTGGGGAGCATTGCCATCTTAACCACATTCAGTCTTTCAATCCAGGAACATAAAATGTCTTTCTATTTAGGCCTTTATTGATTTAATGAAATTTTGTAGTTTTCAGTGTACTCATGTTGCACTTTTTTGTTAGGTTTATTCCTAAGTATTTTAGTCTTTATAATGCTGTTATCAATGGAATTGTTTCCTCACATTTATTTCTAGTTTGTTTATTGCTAGTCTATAGCATTACAACTGATCTTTGTATATTGGTATTGTGTTCTGCAGCTGTGCTGAACTCATTAGCTATAGTGTGTGTGTGTATGTGTGTGAATTTCTTCATGTTTTGTATATGCAAATTATGCAACCTGCAAATAAAGATTATTTTATTTCTTGCTTTCCGATCTGGATACTTCTATTTCTTTTTCTTGCCTAGTTTCCCTTGTAAGGTATAGAAGTGGCAAGGGTTGAAATTCTTTTGTTACTGATTACAGGGGGAAACCTTTCACTCTTTCACCATTATAATGCAAGCTGTAGGGGTTTTTTGGCAGATGTCCTTTACCAGGTTAAGGAAGTCCCTTAATATGTTCATTTGTTCAGTGTTTTTTTAAATCATAAAAGGATTTTGGATTTTGTAAAATGTTTTGTTTGAAATTATTGAGACAATCATGTATTTTTATCTTTTATTCAATTAATATGGTATATTACAATGATTGATTTTCAAATGTTGAACCAATCTTACATTCCTGTGCTAAACCCCATTTTAAATATCATTATTTTCACATCACCAGCCTACAGCAATGATTTTTAAGTGGAAGCTTCAGAGCATTAATTCCATGCAATTCTAATAGTTGCTCCATGAAAAAAAAGAGATTTGTTAAGTAAGTTTGGGAAGTGCTGGGTTAGTGTTACGAAGATTGTTTTACAGTGGAATAGACTCTCCAAGAGAGAGGTATGGTCTGCTATGTATCATAAGCTTATTTGGCAAGGATATTCTGTGAGATTATTTTTCCATCAAATATACTTTGAAATACTTTGGTCCCAAGAATTTTGATTAATCTTCTCTATCAGGTGATAGTGAACCAGAAAAACTTAAACCTGATAGGATCATCAATTTTTAAACTATATATTTCTGTTTAGAAAAATTCATTGAACATTCAATAAATATTTATAGAACATCTTTTATGTGCTAGGTATTCTTCTAGGCTCTAGAAAGACAGCCCCGGGGGGAAAAAACTACAAAAGAAATCTCTGCTCTTGTGGAGCTTATATTCTGGAAGAGAGGCAAACAGTAAACACAAAGAAGTATGCACAATATCAAGTACGTTAGTAAGCATTATATAATTACATTAAAAAGGAAAATAAGTTTAAGAGGTTTTGGAAATTCTGGATGGAATGATGGTTGGCACATTGGACTATTTAATAGGACACTCAGGATAAGCCTTATTGAAATGGTGACATTAGTCATTAGTAAGGAAGGTGAGAGAATATCTAATTTGTCCAAAAACAGCAAAGACGTCAATATGGGTGAAGTGGACCATGTGAGGGAAGAACAGTAGGAGTTATCTCTTACCTGAATTAGTGCAGTGGTCTCCTAACTAATTTCACTGCTTCTACTTTTGCCCCTCAGTTGAGAGTAGGGGTGTGTGTGTGTGTGTGTGTGTGTGTGTGTGTGTGTGTGTGCATGTTTAGGGGTGGGAATTACAGACACAATAGTATTTAGGAGGCTATTTTGTGATCCATGTAAGAAATGATGGGGGCTCAAACCAGGAATGAGGATGAGGAGAAGTGTTCATATTCTGGGTATTTTGTTTCTTTAATTTTTATTTTATTTTTATTATTTTAAAAATAGAGACAGGGTCTTGCTGTGTTGCCCAAGCTTGTGTTTATTCTGGGCATTTTGAATGTAGAGTAAACAGGATCTCCTGGAAGCTTGGATAAGAGGTCTGAGAGAAGGAGAGGAGTCAAAGATTCTAAAGTTTTGGTCTTGTGCAACTCTTAAGATAGAGTTGCATCAACAGGCAAGGGAAGAGATGAGGGTGGAAAAGATTTGTGGAGGAAAGTCAAGATTTCAGTTTTGGAACGTGTTGCATTGGAGATTTCTGTGAGACCTCTTATATATGTTAACCCAACATAGGAATTAAAACACAATGGTCTCTCATTGGCTTGATAAAGTGTGCCTTTTACCCAATACCAGCAGAGACACTAACCTACTAATACTGTACATTAAGAATATCTAAAGAAATGAGAAAAAACTCAGAATTGAATAGATGTTGTTTATAATATTTGTTCTTTAATTTGTATCCTCTCTCTCTCTCTTTTTTTTTTGTTTTTTTTTTTTTTTTGAGACAGAATCTCGCTCTTTCACCCAGGCCGGAGTGCAGTGGCGCGATCTCGGCTCACTGCAAGCTCCGCCTCCCGGGTTCACGCCATTCTCCTGCCTCAGCCGCCCCGAGTACCTGGGACTATGCCCACCGCCATGCCCGGCTAATTTTTTGTATTTTTAGTAGAGACGGCCTTTCACCATGTTAGCCAGGATGGTCTAGATCTCCTGACCTCGTGATCCGCCCGCCTCGGCCTTCCAAAGTGCTGGGATTACAGGCGTGAGCCACCGTGCCCGGCCCTCTCTCTCTATTTCTAAGAAACGGACTGCTTTTTAGAACTTGCCTTATTCATGAACTAAGTAGATCTTACTTAAAATATTTTTGGATCCTATCCTACCAAAAACAAACAAATAAACAAAACACCCCTCCCCCCCGCGAAAACAAAAAACAAACAAACAAAAAATTCCTTCATTTGTCTTTTTATGGAGTGAGTAATCATTCTTCAAGCCCTTTGCTTTTAAAATGCACATCCAGGGCTGACACATAACTGTGAATGAATTAATGGGATGGATTTCCTCCAGCAATTAAAGAGGCAACAGAGGCAGCTGGGAAATGACTAGTGACTAAGAAGAAACTGTATTCTGTAGGCTTATCCAGAATCATATGGCATTGATGACTGTCATTCTAGGAATATTTTAGACTAATTTCCCAGCTTCCCTTACAGTGAGGTGTGGCCATATGACTGAGTTCCAGCCAATGGAATATAAATGGAAGTGGTATTTGTCTCTCTCCCAGGTCTGGTCTAGGAAATCTTTCTACTTGAACTACTTGTTATTTGATTTTTTTATTAGATGAAGACAAGGATGGCCATATTGGAAGCAACATGTTGAAGACAATGGAGCCAATACTGGAAGAAGCTTGGGTCTCTGAATTTCTGCTGAAAGGAGATCATCTGTCAGTTGAGAACTCCTATTTTGGACTTTACATGAGTGAGAAATAAACTTCTGTATTTGTAAGTTTATTTCTTATAGCAGCTAATGTTCTCAAAATTAATACAAAGAGAGAAATGGGGATTAAAAGCACACTTGGCTTACTGCTCACATTTCCCTATTTAGTTCTGTAGTTTGGAGGCAGTTGTTTCCTTCAAGTCTCCTACAAGACTAAAGTTAAGTAGTGGAATTACAAGCATGTGCTTTTAAATGCAAGGTTTAAATGGATCTCATGAAATATTGCGTATTCCGTAGTATTGACTTAAACATTACTTCAAAGATGTATATCTTTGAGGCCTGAGCAAATTGACATAACTGAGATGTTCAGTTTTTCCAATTTAATTTGTGTTGTCAGCTAAATCTGTTTACAGAATACATGGCGGTATTTAGAAATCTAATTCAATGCTCTACTTGAAAATCTCTGATCATGCTTTTGGATCAGAGCTTTTCTCAAATATTACATCCTTTCTAGGATTGTATTTATTTGCAAAAGCATTTCCTTAGAAGTTTTAAAACTGTTTAATATATTCATTCTTTGTTTTTATAGGCATACTGAGTAAAGCCCATATTTTCAATTTCATATACATGTCTGCCAGGAAAAAAATTGTTTTCAGCATGGGACACATCTTCTGTAATGACTCCTTGTCAAATATGTACTCTTCAAAATAAAGTACAAAAAGTTGTGAGTTTTCCAATCTTAGAGGAAAAGAGTAAGGAAATTAACATTCTATAAGAAAGTAAAGATACCAGTGAGTAAAAATTTTCCAGTATTTAAACCCTAATTTAGTTTTGTGTGTAGTCAAATACCACCTGGTATAGTATACATTGAGCATTGGCAAGCTCCTCCTCCACTATTACCTTGAGGAAGGTGACATAGGGTCTCAAATTTATTGTTTAGCTTGCAATATTTTTAATAATAATAATAATGAAATTTTATTGAGCACTTAGTATGTATCAGGGGCTATGTAAAGCACTTGTTATGAATCTTTTTATTTAATTCTCAATATGACCCTATAAGGAGGCTGTAATTATTTTCCACTTTCCTAGTGAAGAAATTGAAGCACAGATAAGCTAAGGGTTGCTCAGGGTTGTATTTGGTATGTGAGAAAGCTAGTTACTGAATAGTCTGGCTGTCTGGCTCTATAGCCCATCATCAATATTCCTGAAAAAGTTAATATTAATTTTCATTAAGTATAAATCAAGTCATCAATTTTATTAATAATTGTACATATTAGGTGTACATATTAGGTGTGCTAAGGCTAGGCACGGTGGCTCATACCTGTAATCCCAGCACTTTGGGAGGCCAAGGCGGGCAGAACACCTGAGGTCCGGAGTTCGAGACCAGCCTGACCAACATGGAGAAACCTCGTCTCTACTAAAAATACAAAATTAGCCAGGCGTGGTGGCACATGCCTGTAATCCTAGCTACTCAGGAGGCTGAGGCAGGAGAATCACTTGAACCCAGGAGGTGGAGGTTGCAGTGAGCTGAGATTGCACCATTGCACTCCAGCCTGGGCAATTAGAGCAAAACTCCGTTTCAAAAAAAAAAAAAAAAACTAATGCAGGAAATTAAAAGAAGAAGCTATTAGTATTTATCCTTATATTAGTCATATATTAATACTTATGCTTATTCTTATGGTTATATAAGTATATATAAAGTTACACTATACCTTATATGGTTATACTTATATGAGTATAGTTATACGACTTACTATAAGTAATGCCGTATTTATATTAGTATATATACTTATATTAATATATAAATGCTATGTGCTGTAAAAAAAACTAAATCAGGGTTTAAAAACTGGAAAATTTTTTTAACTGTTACCTAAATCTGTAAAGAAAATTTAAAACAATTATATATGTGTTGTAAACATACAGATATACCATAGGATTGTACTATATGGTAATATAGTATACTAAAATAACTTATAGTCACATAAATAATAATCACTGCAAAGTTCAATTAAATACAATATTAAAAACATCATTATTTTGTACTAATTTGGGAAAAGTTCAGTCCTATTTATATAAAAAGTATGAAATATAAAATACATTAGATAAAGCACTGATGATATCTTTAAAAATATAAATGAGTTTCTTGATGGCTAGTCTTTTTTAAAAATCTGCAGCACTAGTCCTGTGTCTGGCATATACAGTTTAAATAAATAAATAAAGGATGACTTCAAGTTTCCTTTAGACCTGCTTCACATTAATGAATCACTAATGTGATTCATTATCTAACAAATTTATTATCAATTATCTATATTAATTTATAAATAATTCTAATAGTTTTATGCTAGTTCTTATAACTAGCTCATGCCCTTATGAAAGTTAAACTTTTAATCTATAATGGTTTTTACATTATTAATGCAATTATCTGACATTTTCTTCAAAGTACAAATGTCAATGGTAAACTAGTTCAATCCATGTGAAAAGACTGTGGTTTCCAAAATAGTAAATTTGGAGTTTATGAAATTGCATTGTACTGCTGGATGTGATAACTAGAAAGGCATATTCTAGAGCTGCACTGTCCTGTCTGATAGTTGTTAACTATGTGTGGCTATTTAAATTTAAATTTATTAAAATTAAAATAAAATAAAATTAAAAATTCAGTTACTCATTTGGACCAGTGGCAACCATATTGAATGGCATAGATACAGAATACATCCAAATGCTCCATTAGACAGTGCTGTTCTGAAAAAAGGGAGAAATGATCACATGAATCAATTAGACTTGTGGATAATTTACAAACCTCACTTTTGCTCATAAACTCTTCTTTTCTGTTTCCTCCTCAAAGCCACCCACTAATAAATACCATGACTAGACTGAGTTTAAAGCCTTGCTTGTCCCCTTTCTTTAGCTCTGGAGAAGGTGCTAATGATGGGCAAAGCAAGCCTAAAGGAGGCAAAAAAGGAAAGCAAAAGCAAGAAGCAGGGTAATGCACAAATTGCACAGTAAGCTTTTCTGTGATCAAGAAAGTTGTCTATGATACATCGTAGATGAGTTATTTCAGTTTATAGCTTTCAGTGAGTAAAAATGTCCTTAAAGGAAGTAGAATAGTACTGGGGAGTACTATGTGATTCATCAGTTGAGTAATTAGCCTAAAATTAAATGCTGCACATAGAAAAGGAAATTAGAAACAGCAAATATAAATGGACAAAGGTATATTCCAAATTTTTAAATAACAATACAATTTAACTGCTGCAGAAGATTGAATTTTTCCTTGAAGTTTACACACTTACAGGATTGGAATTTCTGGTGCTTTCTTCCTTTCAGCGATCAGCCCCTTCAGTTGTCTCTTGATTTCTAGGTTTCCGGCACAACCACTAGCTCTCCCCTAGATGCTAACATCCTACCCTGAACTTTTCAACTTGGGATTCCTGTCTCAAACGTAGTCTAAAAAAATGACTGATTACATCTGAGTGGGTTTCCAAGGCCATGGCACAGTATCAGCTATGTTCCAGAAAAGTTCCCATTTCCATTATAAATGCATTAATTCTTACCCTCTTGCTGACCCAATTGTGTTAGGTCACTGTAATTAGATCTCTTCCAGTCACGATCTTCTCTTTTTCAAGCTTCACTTTAATCTATCTCTTTTTCAGACATGACATAATAAATATCAGACTTCAAAAATTTGCAAGGACAAGCAAAAAGAAAAAGGTGTTTGCACATTGGTGCAGACATAATTCACTGCAGTGTTTAACCTTTGTCTTATTAAAACAAACTCTAGCTTTGGGAAAAATACTACAGGAAATAATGTCTCATATTTGCTTCTAAGTGTAGTTGAGACATTTAAAATAAAATATTTAGCCATTTAAACAAAGCTTTCACTTTTCAGCACCAAGTGACCCTAAGTTTTACAACTTACTATGAATTGTTCATACACTGCGTTGTGTAAGATGCATTAATTTTATCTTAGTAGAATTAATAGAGAATATTTACCAGAGTGTTTTAGGAGGTCTTGAATCATTTTAGTGCCATAGTTTAAACTGAGCAAAAAATAAATATAGAAAATTATAATTTCTAATAATTTCTTCTTAGGCTACCGTGTCCAGTTACATACTGGTCGTCACCTAGCCTAAGGCATGTTCAAGCCTTAATGAGTATAATCTACAGAAGAACTTTGAGCCTTCCTGGAATTACTTAATTTTGGGCACATGTTTCTTTAATAGCCACAACATTTTCTAGACGTGAAAAACTTATTGTAGAGTTAAGCTTGGGAGCATGATAATTTTTTCAGAAAGTCAAGAAGTACAGACTTGACTCAGAGCTAGAACAAGACTTCAATATTTATCTGGCATGGAGGAATAGATAAGGGAATAAAATGAGTGGATAAAGTGTAGTAGAAATCCATGCTTGGAACTAAGCTATGCCTACTGCTAAAGCTCAGACTTTTGCTGGACTTTGTATACAGATGGTCTGAGTCTATTTGAATGAAGAACTCAGCAACCTCCTTGGAGAGTCATCATCTTAAAGAGAAGAGGGATTAAGGTATAACTGGAACAAAATCTTCATTACTGGGGTTGAATTTCAATTTTGAATACAGCTATCCTGATCTGGCTTCCATAATCTTAACTCTGAATTCTTGGGGTTGAGAGATGTCTTCTCTGCACCTTCCAGTTTGCTTAGTTTTCTTTTTTCTTTTCTTTTATTATTATTATTTTTTTGGTCAAGTACTTCAAAGCTAGATTAAGGTGCTTTCTTGTTCCTTCGAAGGGCCACAAGTCAGTGTTGTATACGTTCAAAAGAGCAGACAGACTGATACTTACGTGTAGGTAATCTTCCAATTCTTTCTTTTTCATTTTAGGTGACACCCTTAAGTAAAATCAGACAACATTAGAAGCCCTTAATCTATGCCAAGCACTAGGGACACAACGAAGAGCAAGACAGATAGTCTTTTCCTTGATAATTATAGTCTCATGGAGGACCTCAAAAATACGTACTACATTGGGAGGCAGAGGCGGGCAGATCATGAGGTCAGGTGTTTGAGATCAGCCTGACCAACATGGTGAAACCCTGTCTCTACTAAAAATACAAAAATTAGCCAGGCATGGTGGTGTGCACCTGTAATCCCAGCTACTCAGGAGGCTGAGGCAGGAGAATCGCTCGGACCCGGGAAGTGGAGGTTCAGTTAGCTGAGATTACGCCATTGCACTCCAGCCTGGGCGACAGAGGGAGACTCCGTCTCAAAAAATAATAATAATAATAAATAAGTACTACATTAATTACATAATTACAAGACTGTTTGTTAAAGCATATGTGGGGGAACCTAATCTGATGGAATTCAGGTAAAGAAAGCCTCTTAGAGTGTGATTAAATTGATAGTTAAGGGACGGGTCGAATTAGGTAAATGAAACATAGGGAAAGCATTGCAAGAACAAAAAAGAGCATGTGCAAGGACCCTGGGGGCAAGAATGAATCTGCAATGTTTGAAAAAGAGAAAGAAGCAAGTGTGGCTGTTGCAAATAGATTAAGGAGATCTGAGAGAGATGAGGCTGGGTAATAGCCAGGCACCAGGTGGTAAAAGCTCTCTCAGCCATGGTGAAGGTTTTAATTTTGCCCTAAGACTAACGGGAAGCCATAAAAGTGTTTTGAATAGAAAATGACATGACTAGAATTGCCTTATTAAAAGCTCTGTTTGGCTTTCATTGGTAAATGGATTACAAGGTAGCCAGAATGAATTTAGGAACCTGATTAGGAGGCTATGGCAATAACCAAACCAAGACGTGTTTGTGACTTTGGGCTAGGGTGGTCGTTCTCCAAGTGTCATCTGTGGGTCCCTAGAGGTTCCTGGAGATCCTTTCATGAGATCTGCCTGGTAAAAATTATTTTCATAGTCACACTAAGACATTATTGGCCCTTTAAATTGTTTTGACATTTTCACTGCTGGTACAAAAGCCATAGTTCTGGAAATTTAGCTCTAATCAAGGCTGAGGCACTAAACTGTGTTTACAGTCATTAAATTCTTCATCTCTACACATTCTCAGTGAAAAACTGCAAGCGTTCTTTAAGAATATCCTTGATGAAGCAGAAACATTTATTAATTTTATTAAATCTCATCCCCGACTATATATCTTTTTAATATTCTGTGTGACAAAATAGGGAAGCATTTTGCTGAAGTAGCTCAAAGTTATCACCAGCTTCCCAAAGCAGAAGCTACTTTTCTCTTTACAGTAACAGAGGTCAGGTGCTTAAAGTAGCAGAAGGCTGAAGACAGCCAGGATATGGGAGTGAATGCTCTAAAATCCAGAGAAGAAAAGAGATAAACATAATGGGGTCCTATATAAATATGTCTATGGGCAATTATGAGTCACTCTGCAAAGCTATTCAACCTCTCAATCCTGACTGTTAGGTAGTCGTAAATAGAGTCATAGGGTGACGCTAGAAAGCCATTGTCTGGTGGGTACTAACAGTGATCTGCTACAGCAAGCTCATAATGGATCAGAGAATGCTTTGTGTGCATCTCTTTCCAACTCTGCATTCAGTAATGTCAGGTTGGTAGCTTGGAATCAGACATTGTGTTCATATTTACACCATGCAAATTGGCAAACACTACAAATCAGGGTAGTGGAGAATGGGTTGTAAAACGTTTACCAACACACCTCTGGTCCTAGTTAGACCTCTGAATTCTTTCTCCCTCTGATGTTCCCAAGGCAAATCATTGTCTTTCTCCATGAATTCTCATTTATTTAATAATCTTTGTTTCAAAAGAAAATTTGAGATAGAAGTTGGCATTGTTTAAAATGTAAGTATTTGGCATATAATATATGATCAATAAATGTTTGTTGAATATCAAGTGTTAATTGAATAACATGTAAGTCAAATAAAGGCTAAAAATGTATATTTTCATTACCACTGATAACATTTTAAATCTGTCTCCTCATAACATGTATTTTGAATATAGCACTTACATCATATTAGAATTATTTGTTTATATTTGAATGCCAAAAATCTAGCTATTATGCCAAGGAACAGAGTCACTGAATTTCCTTTTTTCTATTTATTTTCATGAAACTATATCTAGAAGAAACTAAAATTTTACTAATTCATTTTCTCAATGATACATTAGTTTAAACAGTTCTATTGTTGACATTAATTTAGAGAAAAAAATAGGGACTTCAGAATTTTGAGAGAGACTTCATTCCATCATGGTTTACAAAATTTTGTAAAGCTACTCTTCTTTAGCTGTCAATTGAAACAAAAAAATAAGCTCACTCATAATCCATTTTCTGTCATTCATGGATTAATGGGCGAGCTTGTGGGGTGGTTATGTCATCTTTGCTTTTCTTTATTCTCTTTTTAGCTTCCTGCCACTGAATCTTTGCATTATTCTTCAGAACCCACACTACTGCCTGACCAGGGAAATAAAGAGCTCTGAAACACAAGTATTTCTTTTACTATTTTTTTAGCAGTTCTCCAAAAATTGTTGTCATAGGAGGAGGAGGCCAAAGCAATTAACTTAAAAGGAAAGTGTTTATATTTATTAGTTTCAAATATCCATTTACCATAAAGGTGGATCTGTTTAACTTTATACACAAAAAAGGGACTAGAAATGCTACTTCAATAAAGTTGAGTTTGTTTAAAATCTCTAAGAAACTTACATATTGTCCACTTCTACAAAGGAACAAAACTTTTTAAAATTAGATAATAACTCTTCTTCCTCCAAAAAGCTTTCACATTTCACAATCTTAAAATACATTTCCACAGCAGGTACTTTGTCATGATGAGTGCATTGGAGCATGCTCCTTGGAAGATAAACAGTGGAAGATAAACAAAATGTTGGGCTTCAGTTATAGCACAGCCTTCCAAAATAAATAAAGTGACTAGTTAATACTTAGAGTACTGGAATTTGCTGGACTGTTAGCCAAACGAATGTGTACATATGTTCAAATCTTGAATCTCTGGTCTGAGGAAAGAGCAGAAAGAAGATAAATGAAGGACCACTGACTGACCTTGTCCAGAGGGTGTTAAGTATTGTAGGGACCATTCCTATTCATGAATGTGCGTGCTTGTGCATGCGCCTATGTGTGTGTGGTGGAAGATGGGAGTGAGGTAGGGAGGAAAACAGATAAGGTTAGCATCACCTT
Source organism: Homo sapiens (assembly GCF_000001405.40). Taxonomy (NCBI): domain Eukaryota; kingdom Metazoa; phylum Chordata; class Mammalia; order Primates; family Hominidae; genus Homo; species Homo sapiens. Next base: position 119,684,040 of record NC_000004.12, read on the forward strand.
TTTTTTGACAGTTGAAGCTAAGCAGACAGTCTCTAAAAGTCTTTTTCTGACAATTTCTAAGGCTTCCATGATAAAAATCACTTTGGGTATCTCTACCTTGGGTGAGGTTTCAGGCAGTCTGATTCTGAAGATTTTTTTTGCTGATGGTGATGCCATCTTTTTAGTTTGAAGATTCAACTAAGCTTTACTACAACTTACTTGGTCTATTTGTCTCTCCACTATGTACAAGTACCTGTGTTTGTATTTTTTTTTTAGCAGTCTCTCAGGATATTGGAAAACACCTAGTTCACAAACAAATACATAAAACTAACATTAAATTTCCAACGCAGCATCTGAGGAAAGTGCAAATATGTACTGTATTGGGCACAGAAGAATCTAGCTCCCTGAACCCATTCTCGATGATCAGACTTAAATTTAATCAACATCACCATGTCCCCCAATCGTTCATGTCTACGGCAGCCACATTGTTGGTTGCACTGGAACTAGGAAAAAACTCTCTTCACTGATTTGCATAGAAAAATAGGAGCTGAAAGAAGGAAACCAAGAGGTGTAGGTGCAATTTCCGAGAGACTCATCAATGCTCTTTAGTTCCCAGAATAACTGTTTCCTACTCTTGGCAGGTCGACCTTTGGGGCAATGTGTGATTTCTCTTTCTGGGCCAGTAAATAGTGAAGGTCAATTCTATTGTGTGGGATAGGGGTCAAGAAAAAAGGAGAAGAAAAATGGCTTTCTGTATTAGTATTAGTTGGGGGAATTTTACCTCTTCTTTTTAATCTACATACTTGCCTCTGAATAACAATGCTATTTCAAATATTTAATTCAAGACACACGTTGGTGTCAAGTTGCAGTAAAGTACCACTTTTGATTTTTCAGGCCCTTAGGAGTGTTATACTTTATTCCTAAAATTTCCTTGAGATCTTAGCATGTTTCTATTCTTTTTTCATGCCCTTCAGTTTATTTCTTACTACTACTTCTGGAGTTTGATTTGTGGATCAAGCTAATTCACACTGAGTCAATAGAGATATGCATTTTGAAAACTCACCTTTGAGCAGCTATTTTACCATGTTATTTTTCCTGTACCAACTGACATCCTCTAAAGGAGAGTTATGTTCCTTTAACCTCACAAAACACAGTTTGATATTTCAGAAAAATGTATGGTTTACAAATCAAAAGTAACATGAGGCAGAAACATCCTTTGTGAAAACTAAAAGGAGGGACAATTAAGCACAGTTCTTAGTTTAAGAAGACCCTATGTGTATAATTAAAGTCAGAATTCAGAATCATGTAAATGGCTCTGCTGAAATTATATCAACACATGTAGGTAAAAAGGAGAAAAACAACAAAAAGTTACGTCACATTGTAGTAATTATTTCTTTACTTCCTAAAAGTGCCATGAGAAGACTTTTAAAGGACCTATTGTAAGTCGCAACAAATCAGAAATAGTTCACTGTTCAATCAACAAATAATTTTTAGTATTTATCATTTGCCAGTCAAACTGCTAGCTCTGCTGCTTTTATAAAATACTTTTTTCTTCTTGTCTATCAGAATGAAGAATTTAAGATTCAGTGTCTTCAAAATGACATGTAAATAATTTTCTTTTAATTTAGTAGATATTTAATAATCATTCTAAGTACTTATATATAATTACTTATAATTTTTTTTTTTTTGAGACAGAGTCTTGCTCTGTTGCCCAGGCTGGAGTGCAGTGGCACAATCTCGGCTCACTGCAACTTCTGCCTCCTGGGTTGAAGCAATTCTCCTGCCTCAGCCTCCCGAGTAGCTGGGACTACAGGCATGCACCACCACACCCGGCCAATTTTAGTATTTTTAGTAGAGACCGGGTTTCACTATGTTAGCCAGGTTGATCTCAAACTCCTGACCTCAGGCAACCCGCCTGCCTCTGCCTCCTAAAGTGCTGGGATTACAGGTGTGAGCCACTGCGCTCAGCCACTTATAAATATTAATTACAGAATATGATTCCTAAAAATCTTAGTTTGAAAATTTCAGATCAATAAGAAGCAGTCAGCAACTGCATGACTACTCTAAAGCATTCTAGATAAGAAATCAAATCTCCCGGCCGGGCGCGGTGGCTCACGCCTGTAATCCCAGCACTTTGGGAGGCCGAGGCGGGTGGATCATGAGGTCAGGAGATCGACACCATCCTGGCTAACAAGGTGAAACCCCGTCTCTACTAAAAATACAAAAAATTGGCCGGGCGCAGTGGCGGGCGCCTGTAGTCCCAGCTACTCGGGAGGCTGAGGCAGGAGAATGGCGTGAACCCGGGAGGCGGAGCTTGCAGTGAGCCGAGATTGCGCCACTGCAGTCCGCAGTCCGGCCTGGGCGACAGAGCGAGACTCCGTCTCAAAAAAAAAAAAAAAAAAAGAAATCAAATCTCCCAGCCTGGGCAATGTAGCAAGACCCCATCTCTACAAAAAATTAACCGGGTATGGTGGCACATGCCTGTAGTATCAGCTACTCAGGAGGCTGAGGTGGGAGGATTGCTTAAGCCTAGGGGTTTGAGGTAACAGTGAGCTATGATCAGCCTGAAAAAAAAGAAAAAAAAAGAAAAAAAAGGAAAAATGAAAAAGAAAAGAAAATATCTTAGAATTGCGTTTTAACAACAACATAATGAGGTATATAGTTAAAATTAACAAGACTTGGTCTATATTATCTCTCTTCTCCTACATGCATCTTTAAGTAAGGGTTACCCTCATGCCTTGGTACCAGCTGATTGATGAAGTTGTACAACTCACACTCTAATTCCATACCCAGTAATCCCAGGACTTTCTGCATGCTCCCATTCCAGTCCACTTCTACCTATTTTTTGCCCCTTGGATTATATTCTCATTGCCAGCCCTGATCCAGGCTGTGGTTCTGTTGTTCATACTTGGTTTCTACATCTATGACTCTTCATGCTTTTTAAGACCAATGATTTGGACCCTCCATTTCCTTTCTGGTTTTGGCTCCTTCTTGCAGAATTCCTAGCCTGGTTTTAACATGTCAGGCTCTAGTCCCCAAGCTTTGTGATATCTGGCCAGTGCCCTGGGTGACCCCATTCAGGTTATATTGCAGGTTATATTTTATATATTTAAAATGGTGAATGAAATAAGATTCACAGTAGCCATGGTATGTGCATTTTTATCTTCAAATGAGAAACGACTTTTCTGATGTATGTGTTTAAAACCTATGTTTATTTTTCTGGTAAAATGCTCTATTTATTTATCAGCAAAATGCTAATAAGAGTTATTTGAGATATAAATATAGTTTTGGGGTGTTTTTTACATTTTGACCAATTCAAAAGAATTTACTGAAGTCCATAACTATATTTGGTTAAATCATAAATGGTAATGCATATGAAAGCATTTTAAACAGTTTCATTGTTCTGCACATGTTTGTGGTTATGTTATTAGGCATAGCTGGTAGTCTCAAGAATAGGCAATGCCTTTGCTTAACATTAAATCTATAGTTGAGTCAGGTTTATGTAGAAAGTGGCTTTTCACTATATAAAATTTTATGTATTAATATCTCAATTAGGAAATAATTTTATGAACACCTATACAAAGAATAGTATCAAAATGAGTGATAAAAATGAATATTACTTTCAAATATGCTTACCTTACTTTTTAGTTTTATTTTATTTTATTTTTGAGAGGGAGTCTCTGTCTTGTTGCCCAGGCTGGAGTACAATGGTAAGATCTTGGCTCACTGCAAACTCCGCCTCCTGGGTTCAAGCAATTCTCCTGCCTCAGCCTCCCAAGTAGCTGGGATTACAGGGGCCTGCCACCACGGCCAGCTAATTTTTGTATTTTTAGTAGAGATGGGGTTTCGCCATGTTGGCCAGGCTGGTCTCAAACTCCTGACCTCGGGTGATCCACCCGCCTTGGCCTCCCAAAGTGCTGGAATTACAGGCATCAGCCACCATGTCTGGCCTTTTTAATTTTATTAATATGCTGAAAAGACTTGGTTTTGATAAAATGCTGAAGATTTGGTTGAGGATTTTCATACTTTTAGAATCTCCCTCCCCACACCTCATACAAATACAGTTTCCTTTCAAATAACATTCTCTCCTGGTAGAATACAAGATTAGATAGCTATCCAAAGTAGCCACATGACAATTATCTTGAAGAATAGCATGTACTTCACCTAGCAGGAGAAACTTGGATTTTTCTACCTTTTAAAAGATAGGAAATTTGTATGTTATTTCTGGTATTCCAAGGGAAGAAATTTGAGTGATCTTCAAGGGAAGGGTCAGCTGAACTCATGAAACATTTTGAAAATTATATTTTATTTGAAAATTATATTTCAAAAATTATATAACTGACTTACTTATGATATAAGAATCATGTCACCACCTACAGCATTTATAATCTATATACGAATATATTCAATACATTTAATTTTAGTTCTAAATATTGTACTCAAATGAAAATAGTGCTCACTGGAAAAAAATTCTTTTCATAGCTATTTTTTTTTCTAAACGTAAATGAAAAACATGCAAAATCAAAGTCACATCAAAAAAACTGACCAAGGGGAATGGAGGGAAGTTCATGTATACTCAGAACTCATGGAACTCTATCTTTGGCTGAAGACTTTGTAAATAAATCTTGTACAACATAGTGGACTGGGGTTAGAGGCTATTTAGTGTAAATAAAACAAGGCTTACATTTGGCATAGTATATTACATAAGACTTTCTCCCAAGAATTTTAAATATTGGAATTCATAATAGAAAGCCAAATATGTCTTTGGAAGTCTAATGGGTTGTTAAAAATGCTCTTCAATTATATGACATTTTAAAACATGTATGTTGGGACTATGAGCTATGGAGTATTTGAAACATCCTTATGATACTTGTTCTGGGGCTATGCCTGCAATTTCCAAATTTGGGAGATCATTGAACTTTATAAAGAGAAAAAAATAACTGCCTACTATGTATAAGGTTTTTCATTTATATCTCTGTTTCTTATAACAACCAACAAGGTAGGCATTCTACCCACAAATTATGGATAAAGACAGATAAGCTTTAAGGGTACTTCTCAAACTTCATTTTTTCATTTCTTTGTGTGTCTTCAAGAAGCAAGTAAACTTATGCTTCATTCATTGAGAGAGATATGTTTATCCACTACAGATAGAGGAAATGGTGCAATTCACACACCTGCAGAAACTCCAGGTGTGGTTGAGCATGTGATGGATGATTGAACCAAAGGTTTCCTTTCAAGGGTAGAAGTTTAAAATATGGAGAAGATCAGTGAAAGAGCAGAGCATAGACGTATGCACTTGGAAGAAGGTACTGTATATATACATATATATGTATGTTTCATATCTTCATTTGGAATCTCAAGGTGGGTGCTGAGGAACATGATTTTCTTTCTGTATTGTGTGTTCTTTATTCTTTATTCTTCTCCCTTTTCCAATAATTGCTGCACATGCAGGAACTAGCTCATTTACTGGCTTTGAATATATACAGATCCAGGAGATATGAAATAATTTTAGGAGCCACAGAAAATACTGTAAACTTTTCACTCCTCAGTGTCTTAACACTCAGATTCTTGTGGAGGAAAACCCTAGAGACTCCTTCAATTCAATTCAGTTCAATTCAATTAAAAAAGTATTACCTTTCTCAGAAGACCATCTGTTATGCCTCTTTCTGATTGTTCTTCTCTCTTTTCTTCAGGGTCAACTTGAAAAACCTGGCCCCTGAGTTTCACCTTTCAAAATCCTTTTCTCATTAAAAAGTAAAAGTGAGACAAAGATGAGATGAGGGGTGCTTATATGAAATCTCTTATGTGAATTTGTTTTAAGGTAACTTATTTGAAGCTCTGACTCTCTTCTTTTGATCCCTCAGCCCGAACAATCCACCAGCAACTCATGAGCTAGCAGCAGAAAAGATGACAGAGCTGGGGCTGGCAGAGCGAGGTATGAAGAAAAGTGTGACTTTTATCACCTTTGACATAACCTTATATGAGTCATATTTGTGTCCCTCTGGTTCCAAATTTTATTACCAATGGAAAACCCCCCAAAAAAGGACATCAAGTTTAAAATTTAGGTACATCCCAGCTTCTTTGCATAATGTAGAATCATAGAAGTTTAGAGCTAAAATGAACTTTGTTTCTCCATTGAGTCCCATGTCTTTGGCTGCCTTAGAAAGAAAAAAGATAAGCATAATACCTTCTGACATATGCCAAGCGAAGTACAGCATTAGGCTTTTTATATACATATTCTCTATACATGTATTTTATAATCTTTCAAATTCTTACAATAAACATCAATTTAGGAATCATTATCCCCAACTTATAGTTGAAAACTCTGATGTTAAGAGAATTTAGGAAGATTTTAAGATTTTTAAGGGCAGAGGAAGCACATATTTTTAAAAATTACTCTGATTGTACCAGAGAAAACATTTTCAGGGTATAAATGCAGATATGAGAAAACCAGCTGTGGCTTATTGCATTAGTCTCAGCAAGTCAGGATGTCAGCCTGGATTAGAGTCAGTTGAGATGAAGAGAAAGAAAGAAAATCAGTAGAAATTTAGAGTATAGAACTGATTGGACTTGGTTATAGATTTGTTGTCAGAGGAGAGGAGAAAGAGAAGAAAGCCACATTTGACAACCAGTGTTTGGCTGGAAGAACTGGCTGGATGGTGGAGTCATTTGCAAAGATGAAAAATCCTAACAAGAGGATTTGGGAAGTGGAAATGAGGCAGGGAGCAAAGGATGGGGAAGGAGATTGTGAACTGCCGCCATGATACAGGGAATTTTTCAAATAGGTTTTATTTTTTGGATTGTAGATCTGGGAATACATATTCTATCAAATGCCCACTCAACCCCTTTTTTTCTCCCCTCATCCACATGGCAATCCCAAGGGTTCTTGAGCCTTGAGTTTGAAAATGCAGATGCTAACTGCATTTTCTAGATAGCTGTAGAGGTTGACATTTATCAACTCACTTGATCTAAGACCATGTTGTAAGGAAAAAGGCTTTGCTGCAGCCAGGCGGGCATAGGCAGAGGTAAACATCCTGCATGACTCAGCAGGATTGGAGTGCAGGTGCACATTCCCATGTTTTATATAATCACAGCTATGTAGACATAACATAGAGAAGCTCATCACCTGGTTCTCAGCCACTGTGGTTTGTGAGGTGTATAAATGTAACACTGACACTGTGAAGGAGCTGCTGAATAAAGCCATGTCTCATCTACCTGCTGTCTCTTGAGTGTTCTTCTAGCTCACTGTGCCCCATCTACCTACTCCCCTCAGACCTCAGCTGGGGCTTGAACCTGACATATGTGATCCCCTTAGACTTAGCTAGATTTTGGTACATTGAAAGAAAGGGTATTATTTTAGAAGAATAATGTGTAATAAGGATATCACCTGAGTTTAAACTGGGATTTTTAAATTTTGGTGTGTGTTTGATAAAAAGGTGCAGCTAAAAGCTCAAAGAGGTGATTTGTGTGAAATAATTTACATAAGTAGGAAAGTGTCTTCAAATAAAAGGGTGTGTGGGGGTAGAGATGGAAAGGGATATGAACGGACAAGAGGCTCTCTCCTTTACTGATGGGTCTCATGGTCTCAGTCTGAACCCTGATGGAGGCAGGGGCTACAGGAGGACACTGAAGATTCCGTTTTCCCAGGCATGGAGTCACCTATCATGTGGCTTAGGGGCTAAAGGGATGAAGCAGGATACAGGTTAGGGAAGAGCACCATTTTCACCGTATCTGGGGATAATACAGCCTGGTTCTGAAGTGATAAATGTTGTTTCAACTTGAGGGTTTGCACTTTAGGTTTGCACCAGGATAGGTGTTGGTACTATGAACAGGGAGCTAATGTTCAGAACCATTCTCAAGTGTTTCTGCTAGCCCTCAACAAGGGATGCCAGGCAGAAAGATCTGGGAGGAGTTCTTGCCAACTCTGTTCTATCTATCTGGGGACTACAGAAATATATAAATGAGACTCTGCAATTATACATAGGGCCATGAGATTGAGCTATGCTGTATTGTGGTTCTGTTTGTAAACACAGGGTGGTGAGGCCTGGGGTAAATGGGGATTACACTAGAAAAGTAGTATGCTTCAGAACAACTGATGGAACTTATTTTAAAATGACCCATGCCCATGCCCCACCTCCAGAGATTCTGATTTAGAAAGCCTAGGGTGACATCGTGGCAGCTGTGTGGTGCCAGAGCTCCATGAGTAGTTCCAATGCTTATGCTTGGTTAAAAACCACTGCATTTAATTTGTCAGAGTTGAGTCAGAGGTGGAAATGGCTAGCAAAGGAGAAGAAATTTAGATTTTTGGAAGTATTTCCCTTTTTGACTTTGTTTTATATTCTTGTCTCCTTCTCCCTAGCTTTCCACATTCCTATCAAAATAGCTTCCTTTCCCTAATATTGGTTTTCTTAATTCCTCACTGAAGCTTTCTCCGAAGGAGAATTACTGGAAGATTCAGCCAGCCTTAGTCTCTTCATACTTGGACTCAGTTGAAAAGAAAATTTAAGAATGCGAACATCTTTTTTTTTCTTCCATAGAAGAAAATGGCTCACAATCTTATTTTGTTTGATCAGCTCAATATTAAATAATTATGTGAATATTTTTCTTGAAGCATCCTCTCTCTTCCACTACTATTTCCACAGCTCACTCTACTGTTATTTTTTGCTTAAAAGTTATCAATGGAATTTAGACATCAGTGTACCTTCAGCTTTATTTCTCCAGTCTGGTTCCACAGGCTGCAAAAATAACCCTCCAGAGTTGTAAGCCACAAAAATGACCCCTCACCAAACACATCTTAGTCCATTCCTATGTAAACTAGGGAAGTATGTCATTCTTTTGTAGAATCTATATCTATAGTATTAAAAATAAACTGGGTTAGTGACTTAATTCTTGTTCAATGATTCCTTTATTTTCCAATGTTATTTACAATTTTCAATACAATGGCATGCTTGCTTTCTTGAAATAAAGCTGAAATAAAATAACTGTAACAATTTTTTTAGTGCAAAATTTCAAATGTCCATTCTATTAACTGAGACAATAGAGGTCAAAGTCACATCAGGAATTAAACATATCTTTCTCCATTTATTCCCAGGAATGAAAGAGAGAGAACAGATCAGTGTTCAGTTTGAAAGAGCCATAATTCAGCAGTCTTTCTACATTACCTCTCAGAAGAAGGAGCCTGCATGTCTAAAGAGAGAAGTGAAGTTTAAGTACTGGAAAAAAGGAAAGTCTTCAGCCTTGGGAATGTAATAACCTGGGGTCAGCTGAGAACCCTGAGGAGGACTGACCCAATCAGCTGCTGGGAGAAGCAACATAACTGTTCTGCTGGAGGGAGAAACAAATTCTAATCAGATGTGAACCAACTATCCAGGGAGCTTCTGTTGTCATGAGAAAAGGAAGTGCTCTTCCTTTCAACTGGAAAACTAGAATGTACCACTTTTTTTTTTTTTTTGTTAATGCTCCCTCTTTTCTTTTTTTATTAGCTTTGTAATAAAAATTTAATTTAAAAGTTGATATGCAAACAAGTGTGTAACAATCTGAATATTTAACATTGATAGATCTATTTTAGAAAATTAAAGTGAATATATCTGAGTTTTAGAGTTTAATGTTTACTGCACACAGGATGAAACAGAAACTAAACTTTGTTACATTTTTAAAAAATTCTTTAACTTCAGTTGGATTTACTATTTGTAAAGTGAAAAGAAACTCTTTTTCTCCAAAATTTTTGTCCTTTACTGAGTGACTTTAGAAAATTGATTTCACTATTCCAAGTTTTAGTTTTTTATTCAGAAATTAAGAAATATGTCAGTATGTGTCTATTATTACTATAGATCGCTTCTTGGCCTTTTGGCTAAGATCAAGTGTATTATTATTATAGAATGGGTTCTCAGATAAAGAAAAAACTAAGAATTTTCTCAGATTTTTGGGAGTATTTCATTATAAAAACAAAAACTATGTAAGATTAAATTGATATTACCTTTTCAATGGACTCACTTGAAAAAGAGTTACAAGATGCAATTTGAGGAGTTTTACGGGCCAATGTTAAGGCTAGGCGTACATTTTCTATTTTGAAATCTCTGGTATCTTTGTGGTACCCAGAATATGTAGTGAGGTAAATAGATATCACCTTAAGAAACAGAAAAAAGAAAGAATAAAAAGAAACACCTTCTATTTCTCAATGCTTATTAACTAAAAATGCAAAATTTATTCACATTTTTCAATAGAGGGGTCATATGGTTTGACACATCAAATACCATATAAATAGTGGTAACACCAAACAGAGGCTTGAGGGCCTCTTTTAGTGCCCTGCCTCTTCCTACAGCCGCTCCACAAGATTTCATAATACTTTTTCCATGTAGACAACTGACATTTTCTCAGTTATATAAAAATTATCTTTTGAAACACTTCTATTTTCATTGATCTGTGAGTTGTGGTCTAATTAAAAACAGGTAAGACACGTTCCTGAACTTTCCCACCCTCTACTTTCTTCTGCCCCTAAATTTCTCCATGTGAACATGAGATTCCAGCAAATACTTCAATGAATACGGAAACATAAATTTGAGTGTTTATTGTCTTCAAAGAAAGCAAAAAGAATAGTGCCAGTGTATTATAAAGACTCATACTTTCACGCAAACAAACTCCTTACTGAAGGAAAAGGGACAAAGATCATTTCTGGAGAACGGAAAGACTCAAATAATTTTATCGTCCATGTTCCACAGACGATTGAGATGAAGTCATATCATTATAACTAAGCTTTTATTCTATCATTTTTATATGTATGTTTCATAGAAAAGCTATATGAGAAAATACAGAAATGAGGGGGATTGTCTGTGTTATTATTATTTTTTAAAAATTCTCGAATTGGCGGCCAGGCGTGGTAGCTCACGCCTGTAATCTCAGCACTTTGGGAGGCCGAGGTGGGCGGATCACCTGAAGTCGGAAGTTTGAGACCAGTCTGACCAACATGGAGAAACCCCGTCTCTACTAAAAATACAAAATTAACCAGGTGCGGTGGTGCATGTCAGCAATCCCAACTACTCAGGAGGCTGAGGCAGGAGAATAGCTTGAACCCAGGAGGTGAAGGTTGCAGTGAGCTGAGATTGTGCCATTGCACTTTAGCCTAGGCAACAAGAGTGAAACTCCATCTCAAAAAAAAAAAAAAATTATTGAATTGGCTTGGGTTTTGACAGTTTCTATCCACCACTGACTTCTATACATCTAAACCTCACACATGCAGCCTGGCCAACATAGTAAGACCCTGTCTCTACAAAAATAATTTTTTTTTTTTAATTAGCCAAGGATGGTTGTGCACACCTATAATCCTAGCTACTTGGGAGGCTGAGGCAGGAGGAGTGCTTCAGCCCGGTGAAATAGAATTGCACCACCACACTCCAGTCCATGATCACACCACTATCATCCAGCTTGGTCATAGAGCAAAACTCTGTCTCTAAGAAATAAAATAAATACATGAATGAATAAACAAACAAAACTCACACATATCGGGACTAGAGGAAAAACAGAGTACATTTTTTGATCTCAGAGACTGGTAGATAGGAGTAATTAAGCAGATATTAGCCTAAGGAAATACTCTGTTTAAAATTTTCTTTTACAGTTATTTGACAAGAAATCTTAGAGTCCTCACTTTCTGGGAGCTCAGAGAAAGGTAAAAGCCTTAGCTGAATTTTAATCTTTCAATCGTGTCCTTATTGTGAGAAATGACACAACTGAGGTTGAAATGCCCATCTGAGATATCCCTTGAGATACAGCTTTAGTTCTGTTTCATCAAAAGCATATTAAGAAGTCACAATGTGTAAAACATTGTAGTTTGGGGATGGATAGAAAGAGGAATTAGACATGGCCTCTGGTTTAAAAGGAGATTTTAATCTGGTGAGGAGACTGATTGGAGAGAGTATACAATCAGATTTAGGGAGTGAATGAAATAGAAGTTGTGGGGAAAATGCTGAAAGTGGTCTAAGTAGCCAAGGCTGCAATTGTGGTTCTGATAGGCAAAGTGTTATTGTTGGGGATGTCTTTTAATCCCTCTCTTTGCTGAGTGCCCTAGGAGCTACACTGCCTAGGTCTGAGGGGGATACTTGTAAATAAATCCCATCTGAATTGGGAATCAAGAGCACCCATTAGTCTGCACAAATATCAAGTATTTTTACAACATCTATAGTCTCAGTGGTTCTTAAACCTTGCAACTGTGTGTATCTTTTAGAAAATGTAAATAAACTAAGATCTTTTCTCATAGAAGTGGACAAAAAAAAAAAAAAGCACACGAACAAATTCAAGGACTTCTTCCTAAAGTCCTTAGGCAAATCATCTAATCTCTCTGTGTCTCAGTTTCTCAATCTGTAAAATAAGAGTGATAATACCTGCTTTATTAAGTAGTGGGGAGAATTAAATGGGAGAATTATATAAAGTGTCTAGCACAGATCCCAGGGCAAATGTGCAATAAATGACAGCCATTATTATATTCTTTCTTTCTTCCTTTTTACTATGAGACTATGCTGTTTCCTTAACTGTGACTGATCCTATCACAGAGACAAGGCTGGGGAGTCAAATAAGGGACTGGTCACCAAGTAAGGCAAATGAAATAAAGGGGATAGATGAGATTCATGCCCAGGCAAAAATATGATAGAATAAGGAAATCTGAAAACTTTTACAGGAAGTCATCTGGGGAAATGACTAGGAGAATATGTAAAATAACAATGAAGATGCTGTTTTAACTGTAGCTATATTGTGAATTTAATATAATGCTAATGCTAATGGTATTAATTTCAAAATCGATGGCAAATGCACACTTATGAAGAGCTTATTATATGCCAGGCATTGTGCTTAGCTTGGCTTACATAGGTCACCTTTTTAAATTCTCATAATATAAAATAATACAGCCCCAAATACCCCATCTGAAATTCTAAAATAAAAAGCCTCTGAAAACTTACATTTTGCAATGATTGATTCAGTAGCAAAACCTGAACTGAACTGCCAGAGGGTGTTTTTAGTCTTTATTTATCTCACTTAGAGTGAATATTCATGCATTTTGAGGCAAAAATCTTAATATTTGGTCATGGTGTTTTCTGTGACCTCACTGGGGTAATACTCCATAATTCCATGTGGACTCTATCCCTTGTGTACAATAGTCCAAATTCCAAAATTCACCTTGCCACCAGGATTTCTGATAAGGTAGGGTGGGCCTTTGAAAACAGTAACATTTATTGATAATTTGCTGTGTACTAGGCTTTGGTTCAAGTCTTATGTTTATTTATTTTATCCCCATAATAATCTTCAGAGGAAAATATACTTATCATCTTTCCTGCTTTACAGTTGAGGTACAGAGAGGTCAGGGAACCCAGGGTTACCAGACAGTAACTCAGAAACATAGAATTTGAACCCAGGCCATCTGCATCTGGGAAGATTTTGCTGAAATACTATACATAATACTTCATTTATATTATTGTAATTGTTATCCTTACTTTATAGCTGAAAATGCTGAGGATTAAAGATCCACTAATTTAACCAAGATAAAGTGTCTGTGTGATCTTGAGCAAGTTACTTAATCTCTCTGGGCCTCAGCTTTCCATTCTGTAAAATGAGGGTAACGATAACCCATACTGCATTGTTGTGGGGATTAAATGAGTTTAAAGCAATGAGAGCAGTGCCTGACATACCTCACGTAATCTATGCATCTTAGATCTTACTACTTTTTACAACTAGGCCATGTGAATGCTAGGAGAAAAGAGAAGGATATGATGGAAGTCAATCCTCATGCAAAGATTTACTATAGAAAAGGTAAAAAATAATATTTTTCAGGTATTAAATCAGTGTTTTCTTTATTTTTTGTTCCTTAGTCCGTAGGTGTATGGTAGCTGCCTCATTTGTTGAATCAATCACCTGGTGAATGGCATGTATTGATTCAGGGTGAGGGTAGATACAGAACAAACAGGTCTTTTATTCTTCTCTGAGTCCCCAGGCTGACATTTTTTAATCGATTGCAAGACTAGTCATAAAGCTACTCTTTGTTAAAGAACAAAAGCGTTTTATGAATCCCCCATATTTCCCTTTACATTCAAAAGCGTGGGCTTGGTTCTTTCAAGTCTTAGAGTATTGTATTTACATGACGCTAAAGCATAAAGAAAACTGAGACTATATTGCAGGGGAAGTTTCTTTATGACAAGAAAGGAGAATTCCCTTTCACTAAGGGAAGTAGAATTTAGAAACTAGAGAAAGAGAATGGGAGAGTTATAGTTATGAGTGACTTGACTCACCTATTTGGATACTAGTGCCCTTGGGAGAGAGAAGGGGGAATGTGGTAAACTCTTTAGCAAAGCCCTGCATTTAGACTGGTGTTGGTACTATGTAGCCTCTAGGCAGAAGAGCAATGCCTGAGGAAGTGTTTCAAGGCCACCAGAAAGAATTCTGCATTCTATGTCATGGTGAGGAAAATCAGCTGATGGCTGCAGGGTCACCCACAAGGGTGGTAATCAGTAGAGCAGACAAAAGATTTAGATAATCAGTAGAGCAGACAAAAGCCACTATAGGGACTTTAGAACTAGGGAGCATGACAAGATCCAGAGGCATCCACAGATGACATCTCAAAAACACAGGACAGGACCAGACTAGTCAGACCTCAGAAGGCACTGGTGTAGGATATCCAAGATGAGAGAGGGAAGGGAAAATCCCAGCAAAAGACAGCGCATGGACCAAAGGTCTCTCTCTTTGCTACCATGCTGACTGGGACCCCAATGTCAGTTATAGAGGAAAGAGAGTTAGGAGAGACTCTGTAGTGGTGGAGAAACAGTTGTGACTAATTTATGTTGACTGGTTTCCTCCCCCAAATATTTTAAAATCAAAACAACCTCAGTTATTATAATTTTACTTGGTCAATTTTATTCACTTTGCTGGCTAGTAGAAGGAATTGGACTCCAGAGATTATGAGATCAAATAATAAATGCTTTTTATTATTTTTACAGCTGAAGGTACATTTCAATTTTATTTTTATATTTCAAAAGTATGACAGGATTTTCTTTTTTTGTATTATACTTTAAGTTCTGGGATACATGTGCAGAACATGCAGGTTTGTTACATAAGTATACACGTACCATGGTGGTTTGCTGCACTCATCAACCAATCACCTACATTAGGAATTTCTCTGAATGCTATCCTTTCCCTAGTCCCCTACCCCCTGACAGGCCCTGGTGTGTGATGTTCCCCTTCCTGTGTCCATGTGTTCTCATTGTTCAACTCCCACTTATGAGTGAGAACATGCGGTGTTTGGTTTTCTCTTCCTGTGTTAGTTTGCTGAGAATGATGGTTTCCAGCTTCATCCATGTCCCTGCAAAGGACATGAACTCATCCTTTTTTATGGCTGCATAGTATTCCATGGTGTATATGTACCACATATGGGCATTTGGGTTGGTTCCAAGTCTTTGCTATTGTGAATAGTGCTGCAATAAACACACGTGTGCATGTGTCTTTATAGTAGAATGATTTATAATCCTTTGGGTATATACCCAGTAATGGGACTGCTGGGTCAAATGGAATTTCTGGTTCTAGATCCTTGAGGAATTGCCACACTGTCTTCCACAATGGTTGAACTAATTTACACTCCCACCAACAGTGTAAAAGCGTTCCTATTTCTCCACATCCTCTCCAGCATCTGTTGTTTCCTGACTTTTTAATGACTGCCATTCTAACTGGTGTGAGATGGTATCTCATTGTGGTTTTGATTTGAATTTCTCTAATGACCAGTGATGATGAACTTTTTTTCATACATTTCTTGGCCACATAAATGTCTTCTTTTGAGAAGTGTCTGTTCATATCTTTTGTCCACTTTTTGATGGGGTTTTTTTTTCTTGTAAATTTGTTTAAGTTCCTTGTAGATTCTGGACATTAACCCTTTGTCAGATGGATAGATTGCAAAAATTTTCTCCCATTTTGTAGGTTGCCTGTTCACTCTGATGACAGTTTTGCTGTGCAGAAGTTCTTTAGTTTAATTAGATCTCATTTGTCAATTTTGGCTTTTGTTGCCATCACTTTTGGTGTTTTAGTCATGAAGTCTTTGCCCATGCCTATGAGTATGACAGGATTTTCTAAAATGAAACTCCATTCTAAATTATGTCAGAGTTTGGCCACGGGAGATAATGGGGATACATAATCACCCTTCATCCATAAACAACTAGAAAACTAGACAAAGTTGAGGAAATAACTGTTTTATGATACTTGATAGTAGGTAGCATGAGACGGTGAACCTTGAGGAAAGAGAAACAAATGAGTTGAGCCATACCTTTGCCCAGACTTTCTACCTGCAGTTAATTTCCATTGCAGCATGCACTAGGAAGAGAAATCCAAACAAAGCTTGGTGATGTCAGTGAGTTGAGGAGAGAGAAATAGGCATCTGGGGAAGGTAAGGCAGTTAGGATTTGTGGAGCAGATTACTGAGAAGGAAGAAGTTATGCAGAAAAAGTGTTCCAGGAAGCTTCATAGGAATTCCATTGAGTCTTCGGCTGAATGTCAATCTACAAAGACATCACTGGATGTGAGCAATTTCAGAGAGAGAAACAACTATGAAGGAGCTGTAAGCTGAACAATCCCTGGAGCTTACAAAGGTCTGGGAATCATCTGAATTCCCACAAGCCAAAGTGAAGAGACTTTCATGAATATATGATGCATGTAGCAGAAACCTAGAAGAACCTCTCATTAAAAGTGAGGCTAAAAGAGCACTACAGTAAAGGTTATCTAGATCCACACTAAAAGATATAACAAAACACAGCACCCTAAAATGTAAAACTACAATGTACAACATCCAGGAAAAAAATTCCTCCATATGTGAAGAAGCAGGAAAATGAGAATCATATGTTGAAGAAAAGTCAGTCAATAGAATAAACCCAAAATTAAAAAGATGGCAAAAATCATACATGTTTTGTGCTATTTTAAAGTTCTTGTCTGTTAATGCTTTGTTTTATTGTTTTATCTTGTTTTATTTTACATCTATGTGTAAAAATATGTATCTATATATGCTGCTATATGTATAGCTCTATATATCATCATATATATATATATAGAAATATATATACCAAATATATATATGGGGTATATATACATATATATCTGATATATATATATCTGAATATATATATAGCATCATATATATATGAAATATATATATATAGCATCATATATATATGAAATATATATATATATAAAATCCTGAATAAAATGAGGACAGAAATGGAAAACATAAAAAAGACCCAAATGGAAATACTAATGACAAAAATGAAACAATTTTTGAAATGAAAAATTTGCTGCATGGGATAAACAGCATATTTAGATACTGTGGAAGGCAGTATTATGGCACATAAAGATGTAGTGATAAAAGTATCCAAAATGCAGCACAGAGAAATAAAGACTGAAAAAGATTCATCTCTCTTGACCTATGAGAAAATATCAAGTGTCTTAATGTAAGTACAATTGGAATTCCAGAAGAAGGAAAGAAACAGAATAAATATTTTAAAAAGAAATGGCGAAAATTTTCCCAAATTTAATTTAAAAAACTATAAATTCACAGATAGAAAAGGCAAAATAAAGTCCAAGTAAAATAAGCATAAATAAAACCTTGCCAAGTTTCATTAGAATCAAGCTGCTGAAAAGCTGTCAAAAAGGGAGTCTTAAAATTAGCAAGAGAACAAAGACACATAGCATCCAGAGAAACAAAGACAAAAATCACATCAGATTGCTTGTCAGAAATTATGCAAATTCAAAGACAATAGGTTTAGCTCTCTAAAATGCTGACCAAAGAAGGTGTCAACTTATGCTTCCATATCCAGTAAAAATGCCTTCCAAAAATGAATGCAATTAAAATTGACAAGCTTACTGAATAATTTACATGGAAATTCAAAGGATCTACAATCTCTAAACAATTTTTTAAATAATAAACATGGTGGACTTACACCATCTGATTTCAAGGTTTATAAATCTACAGTAATCAAGGCAGTACAATAGTAGCAAAGAATAGACATTTAGATTAATGGAACAGCAATGACAGTCCAGAAATAGGACAACAATTACACACAGTCAATTGATTTTCAAGAATGGTATAAAAATTTGATGGAGAAAAGATAGACTTTTCAGTAAATTATGCTGAAATAACTGGATATCTGTAAGGGAAAAATGAATCTAGGCCCTTTCATTAAACCATACACACACAAAAATTCAAAATAGGTCATAGACCTAAATATAGAAACTAAAACTATGAAATTTTTAGAAGAAAACATAGGAGAAAATATTTATGACCTTGGACTAGGCAAAGATTTTTAGATAAGACATAATCATAAACCACAAATAAAAAAATTTATGAATTGGACTTCAAAGTTAAAACTTTTACTTTCAAAAAGATACTGTTAAGAAAATGAAAAAGAAAGCTACAGAATGGGAAAAAATATTTGCAAAACATCTGTCTGACAAAGAATATATATATGTATATGTACATATGTATATATAAATATATGTAGTATAAAGAACTCTTGTAACTCATTAAGAAAACCAAGAACCCAGTTAAGAAATAAGCAAAAGATTTGGACATTTCATAAAACAAGGCATATGAATGGCTAACAAGCTCATAAAAAATACTCAACATCATTTGTCATTAGGAAAATACAGGTAAAAAATAAAACACCACTAAATACTGCTATACACACATTAAAATGTCCTAAATTGAAAGGCTGACAATTCCAAGTGTTGGCAAAGATGTAGAGAAACTGGAACCCTCATGTATTGCCAGTAGGAATGTAAAATGTCACATCTACTTAGTATAACAGTTTGGCAGTTTCTTAAAAAATTAAATCTACACTTAACCATAGGATTCATTGCAACTAAAAAAAAGATAGTACTATATTTTGTTTTTAAACATATGTAGATGTAAATTGTAAGAAAATTGTAACACAAGGAAGGAGAAAATGAAATTATATTCTTGAATTTATATGTTATATATGTTAGCATAATTCTAATTAAAAGGAGACTGTGATAATTTAAACATGTACACATATTATAAATCCTAAAGCAATAACTTAAAAAAGAAAAACATTATCCACCTAATAAAGAATAGTGCAGAAAATGTGGAATTATGAAAAAATATTAGTCTGAGAAAAGGCAGGAAAAGAGGAAAAAGAAAACTAGAACAACAAAGCAAGTGAGAAAAATAGAAAACAGCAAGACGGTAAACAAACTCAACCATACTAATGATTCATTAGCTCTGTGTGGTCTAAAAACTCCAGTTCGTAGAAAGGGATTAATATTTTCAGGTTGAATATAAAAACAAAACCCAATTATATGTTATTTAGTAATTTATGCAATTTAAATATGAAGACAAAAGTATGTTAAACCTATAAATGGAAAATATTCTCCTGTAAACAAGAACCATAGCTGGAATGCTCATATTAGTGTCAAACCAAACAGATTTAAAGATAAAGGAGTATTGCTAGAGACCAAAAGAAAACTTCATAAAGGTAAAAGGATCAATGAATGAAGAAAAACTCTCCTAAATGTGTGTATGTTCACCTAATAACAGAGCTTCAAGATTCGGTTTCAAGAAACAAATGTGGACGAAAGAAAAATGGACAAATCCACAATTATTGTTGGAGATTTCAACGTTTCTCTTCTAGGAACTGATAGAACCAGTAGAAAAAAAAAAAAATCAGTAGGACTATAGAAGACTTAAACAACACTGTCTTCTAATCCAACCTAACTTGCAGTTATTGAACACTCCACCCAACAACAGCAGAACACACATTCATCTAATGCATATATTCAGTATTCAGCAAGATAGACCAAATGCTAGGCCATAAAACAAACACGCAATTTTAAAAGATTGAGATTATAGAGCACATATCCTCTAATCATACTAAATTAAGTAAATGAATAAGAGAAAGATATTTGAAAATCCTAAAGACTTGGAAAATAAATAACATACTTCTATATAATCAGCAGATCAAAGAAGAAATCACAAAGGAAATTACAAAATGTTTTGAGTTGAATGAAAATAAAAGTGCATATAAAAATGCGTTAGATTCAGCTAATTCAGCGCTCTCAGGAAAAATTATAGTTCAACTTCTTATATTAGGAAAGATCAGTGACCTATCCTTACAATTAAAATGGAAAAAGAAGACTAAAGAAGAAAAATAAAATATAACAAAGCAAATTAAAAGAAGGGAATAACAAAAATAACTAAAGAAAAGAATAAATTGGAAGGCATAAAGTGAATGAAAATAAAAGCTGTTTCTTTTTTTAAAAAAATCCATTAACTTGATCAATCACTAGCTAGACTGATCAAGGACAAAATACACATAAATTATCAATATCAGGAATAAAAGAAGGGATCACCAGAAATCCTACCAACATTAAAAGGATAATAAAAGAATATAATCAGAACTTTTTGCCAATAAATTTGATAATTTGGATTAAATGGCCAATTTCTTGAAGGACAGAAATGAACAAAATTGACTCAAAGAGAAATAGCTCCAATAAGCTCATAACTATTAAAAGATTGTATTTGTAACTAAAATGTTCCCACAAATACAACTACAGATAGATTCAGCAAAGAACTTTATCAAACAGTTAGGGAAAAAATAATAGCAATTTTACACGAAACCTTTCAGAAAATAGAGGAAGGAGGACTTTTCAACTCATGTTATTAGACCAGTATTATCTTGGTATCAAAACCAGACAAAGATATTGCAGGAAAAGAAAATTATAAAGCAATATGTCTCATGAACATGGATGCAAAAATTGTTAATAAAATACTAACAAATTGAATTTAGCAATATACAAAAAATGATAATACTCTATGACCAAGCAGTGTTTATTCCAGGGAACAAGGCTGATTTAACATTTCAAAATCAATTCATGTAATTCTAACCATATTAGCAGAATAAAGGTAAATCCATACAATATTCTCAAGAAATAGACGTAAAGCATTTAACAACATTCTACATCTCTTTATGACAAAAAATAAAATAAAATAAAAAACCTCTCAGAAAAGCCAGGCATGCTGGTGCACCCCTATAAGCCTAACTACTCTGGAGGCTGAGGCAGGAAGATCTCTAAACAGAAAGTCAAAAAAGAAACAATGAATTTAAACTATACCCCGGAACAAATGTACTTAACAGATATTTATAGAGCATTCTACCCAACAACCACAGATTATGCATTCTATTGATCAGTGCATGAAACTTTCTCCAAGATAGAGTATATAATAGGCCACAAAATAAGTCTCAATAAATTTAAGACAATTGAAATTATATGAAATACTCTTTCAGATCACAGTGGAATAAAACTGGAAATCGATTCCAAAGGGAACCTTCAAACCCATGCAAATACATGGAAATTAAATAACCTGCTTCTGAATGATCTTTGGGTCAACAATGAAATAAAAACGGAAATTAAAAAATTCTTCAAAGTGAACTATAATAGTGACACAACCTATCAAAACCTCTGGGATACAGCAAAGGTGGTGCTAAGAGGAAAGTTCATAGCCTTACATGCCTAGCTCAAAAAGTCCAAAAGAGCACAAATAGACAATCTAAGGTCACACCTCAAGGAACCAGAGAAACAAGAACAAACCAAACCCAAACCCACAAGAAGGAAGGAAATAACCAAGACCAGAGCAGAACTAAATGAAATTGAAACAAACAAACAAAAAAATTACAAGATATAAATGAAACAAAAAACTGGTTCTTTGAAAAGAGAAATGAAATTGATAGACCATTAGCAGAATTGACGAACAAAAGAAGAGAGACGATCCAAATAAGGGCAATTAAAAATGAAATGGGAGATATTACAACTGACACCACAGAAATACAAAAGATTATTCAAGGTTACTATGAACACCTTTATGCACATGAACCAGAAAACCTAGAGGAGATGCATAAATTCCTGGAAAGATACAACTCTCCTAGCTAAAATCAGAAAGAATTAGAAACCCTGAACGGACCACTAACAAGCAGCAAGATTGAAAGGGCAATAAAAAAATTACCACAAAAAAAAGTCCAGGACCAGGTGTATTCACAGATTAATGGATGACATTGGTTAGTGATAACAATGAGGAAGCTGAAGGGAGGAAGATTTGATTATTAAAGGGCCACATGAGGGATCCTTGAGGTGATGAAAATGTTTAGTATCTTCACTGAGGTGATGAATACATGAACCTATATATGTGACAAAATTGTACAGTAGTCCCCCCTTATCTGCAGAGCATATATTCCAAGATGCCCAATGGGTGCCCAAAACTGTGGATAATCGCGAACTCTACATATACTATGCATTTGCCTTGATATGGTTTGGCTTCGTCCCCACCCAAATCTCATCTTGAATTGTAGCTTCCATAATCACCACATGTCATGGGAGGGACCCAATGAGAGATAATTGAATCATGGGGGCGGCTTTTCCTCATGCTATTCTCCTGATAGTGAATAAGCGTCAGAAGATCTGATGGTTTTATAAAGGGCAGCTCTCCTGCATACGCTGTCTTGCCTGCTGCCATGTTAGACATGCCCTTGCTCCTCCTTCACTTTCTGCTATGATCATGAGGCCTCCCCAGCCATGTGGAACTGTGAGCCCATTAAACCTCTTTTTCTTTATAAATTGCCCAGTCTCAGGTTATTTCTTTATAGCAATAGAAAAATGGAGTAATACATGCCTATACACACATACCTATAATAAAGATGAATGTGTAAATTAGTCACAGTAAGAGATTAACTATAATAGCTAATATTAAAATAGAACAATTCTAACAATATACCAGCATCACTGCTCTTGCACTTTGAGGCCATTATTAATCAAATTAAAGGTTACTTGAACACTAGCACTGTGATCCTGTGACAGTTGATCTGATAACCAAGAAGGCTAAGTGACCATAGGTGGGTAGCATATGCAGCATGTATACACAGGATAATTCACATCTTGTGCAGGACAGAGAAGGGTGGTGCAAGATTTCATCATGCTACTCAGAACAGTGTGCAATTTAAAACTTATGTCTTGTTCATTTCTGGAATTTTCCATTTAATATTTTTGGATTACAGTTGACTATGGGTAACTGAAACCTCAGAAAGTGAAACTCCAGATAAGAAGGGACTCTATATAGACCTAAATCCACAAACACAGGCTCAAAGTTGTATAAATAAAACTGGGAAATCTGAATAGGATGGGTATATTGTATCAATGTCAATATCCTGGTTGTAATATTGTATGAAAGTTTTGCAAAATATTCTCATTGGGGGAAATGGGTAAAGGGTACACTAATCCTCTATTATTTCTTACAACTGCTTGTGAATATATAATTATCTCAATAATTATTTCAATTAAAAGAGTGTCAGTGGGTTGTCCTTGCCACGCAGATAAAGAATGAAATCCTTGCTACACCGTAGAGGGATGGCCTGCCACCTGTTTACTTTCCAGTCCCATCTTACACCAACTCTCTTTGCACTCCACCCACAATGGACTTTTAAACTTTTCCTTGAATGCATTACATTCCCTCACATCATAAGACCTTTGTACACATTGCGCCTAAGGTGAATCCAGGTCATGTGGACCTAAAACTTACTCAGTTTTGGAGGCAGTTTTGAGTAATAACAACAACACAAAAATTATGAATACAAAATTAATTACAGAACTTTGACAGGGACCTGAGAAATTGAGGGGCACCAAAAACTTAGTTCTGATAGCTTTACAGAAAATCAATTTCTAATTATACCCTTTACTTAAAATTTCTCACCCCTTCAACTTCCCTACCGTCCATCCCAGGTATGTATCCTCACAGTGCTGTGTCCCTTACCTCTTAGCATTCATTACAATTTTTAATTATACATTTATTTTTGTGATATTCGACTAATGTCTCTCTTCCTCACTGCAGTCTAGGCTTCATGTAGGTATGGGTTGGGTTTGTTTTGTAAACTATTTTATACCAGGAGCCTAGCACAAAGCCTGACACTTTTTGGTGGGGTTGGATGTGGTTGAAGAAACAGGCCAACTTTCAGCAACTAGGAGGGTCACAGAAGCAGTAGGAGCAGAAGCCATGCCTGGCAAAGCCAAGGAGAGAAAGACCCAGCTATAAGGCATCTATAGTCCAGGTTCAGCTCTTTAATACCTCCTTACCATGTGGAGGTAGAGAACAGGAGGGGTAAATATCATCAAGGTAAATCATTAAGTTTAGTAGTAAATGTAAGCTAGGTAAGATAAGGAGATACTCTAACAATGAATTTGACCAAATTAGAACTGATATGAACCAAACAGCAGTTTGCAGCAAATAGGTCCATATGTAAATAAGCTATTTGTAAATAAACCACAACTTCTTGCTTTGTTTTCCATTTTTAGCTTCTAGAAATCATATCAACAAACAACTAGGGCTATATTATTCTCATTGCTGTAGTGATGACTTCATGTTTGTGCTTTTCCCCTCTCCACTGGGCTTAAAGTATCATAACTAGATAGAATGGAAATAATTTTAGAAATAAACACCAAATAAAAGAGTATGTCTGGATCTGTGTTTCACAATTTATATATTTGTTATTATTTTTTCCCATATGTTATATTCAGAATTATGAAAAACATGGATTTTGTTTTCTCCATTCCAAAACCCTAATGAATTGCTTACAGTGTTGGGGAATTGCTCTCTATAACACCAAAAATGTTTTTTTTTAATTCACACCAGCAAACTAATGTTTGTCAGTGAACCTGCTCCTTCAGTGATCCCTGGGGACAGAAGAGTCTGAGGCAAGTGAACAAGGAGTGCTCATAAAAATCCATAAGTGTTTTGTGAACCCATTAGTCCAAGCTGCTCACCCATAGCTCTAATGCAGCCATTGATGGTGGATTTGAGGAGATTGCAACTTTTCCTCAATCAAAGAAAGAGTTTTTAAAAAGGTCTGCAGAATGTAGGCTAATAGTAGACAAAACATCTTTGAATGAGATCTTGGGAAGTCTTACACTCTGCATTTTGTTTTTGAGTAAAAGTCAGACTGCAAGAGTCATTCTCATCTGAAAGGCATCTTGTTTCCTGCGCAATTTGAATTTGTTGTGATCTGAGTTCAGGCAAGTCTTCATGGAATCATGAAGTTCAAAGATGGGAAAGACCTTTAAGAAGTGAACTAGATAAGATGAGGGGTCTGTTCTCCAACAGGATCCCACCTTCCCTTCCAAAGCCAGAGGACAGAAAGTAATTGATTAAAGCACACCTGTAAGGAGTGCCTTTTGTTCCCATTCCCCCTTACTTTTAGAAATACCAAAATGCTCTTTCAGATTCCAAGGTCATAACACTTTGTATAAATAAAAATATACATAATCTAACATCTTACCTGACTGAAAAATATAAGTATTGTTAAATGCCTTTTAGAGAGAAGAGAAAAAGGTCAGTAACTTGGTAGTATCTTTTTTAGCTACTTTCCCGGTATTTAGTCTTTCCCATCCAGATAGAATCCATAGTAATGTATTGAATCAAGGTAAGTAATCGATTTTTTTGAACTTGATGATAACTTGATAGTTTAGAGAGTTTGACCCATATGGTTATTGTGTGTATAAGTGATGTGTTTTATGAACCTTACTGGTATGCAATAAAACCTCATAAACATCTGTAGAAGTACTCAAATCACCTTAGATTAGATAGTGAACTTTTCATTAGAATTTCCCCACATTTGCTTTTAGACTTCCTAGTTGATTTCTTGGAAACCTGGCAGCTTCTGAGCAAGTTTTCTCAAGGATCTTAGGCCTATTGTTATGCCATTTAAGAACCCAATTAGTAATTTTGTCCTTATTCTGGACGTTTCCATTATAACTAGTGTATGCATGCACACACACACAAACACACACAGGCCCATATGTAATATATTCCATTTCTCAAAAACTGTTTTTGTCTTATTCATAAGCCAAGACTAAGTACTATCAAAGATCAGATGGTTCTTTGAAAAGCTATTAGGGAACAACTTTGAGTTTAAAGACAAATAATTATTTATTAAGCCTTCAGAAAATTCTCAAACTACAATTCATCCTTAAGTTTTGAAAAGGTGAAATTTAATATCATGAATTCTTATGCTCACATTTTCTTTTCTATTCTATTTAGAAAAAAATGAGTAGAATTAATCTGGTAGCATTTTGAGTATCATAATATGATTATTTTAATAGATCACTTATCATCCTATTTGTTTACACTACATTTCTGAGATCATTTGCAACGTATCCATGTTGTTATTTTTCAGTTTCTCATGAAATGTGCTGTCTTATTTCTAGATATATCATCATATTTAAGTGCCTTATTCCTTCCTGTTCAAATAATAACTTTGTCTTTTGTTAACATTCCACAGAAAAAGTAAACAGGTTCTTATAGGTCGAAATGTTTAAGCGTGTCCTCAAAACATTAATTAATTCTGTCACATTTTTACTGGCGAAATACTTTTTAAAAAGGCTTCCAGCAAAACTACTTGTTGTGAAGTCCACTAAGAGATATTCCCACCCTAAATTACTCACTGTTTAACTACAGGAATTAAAAAACAACAAAACATAACAGGAAAGCAAGATAAAAACTATCTCTGAAACACATCAGGTCCTAATATTAACAAATATCAGTCCATGTATAACTTAGACTTTTAAATTACAAAAAGGAAATTTGTTTGAGAGTCTTTATATGTTATAATTAGAAGACGTAGAATAATTTTAGAATAGATTGTACAGAACTTAGAATAGGTTTAGTAACCTACTTGAGGAAATTGTGTAGTTGAAAAAATGAAATAGGAATTGTCTGCCTTCCCACTTTACCAGCTGGGTCACAGAAGCAGCGCTTTGTCCTCCTCAAGCTTTCTGTAGCTAGGCTGACCCTGAGGGTGGACAGTGAGGGATGGATAGAAGAGAATGTATAAACTTTTTTTCTTATTGTAGTCATCTGTCATCCATCAGCCACAGATTCACCAAGTTTTGTTTCTTCCCTCCTGCAGCACCTTGAAATGCAGCTGTAAGAGAAAGTACCACTAATAGTCACAGATTGATGCCTGCAGGTCTAATTGGAGTGTTTTTCCTTTTTAAAATTCATTTTGCTTTATTTATTTTTATTTTTTGGTTGCTGATATGGTTTGGCTATGTCCCCACCCAAATCTCACCTTGAACTGTAGCTCCCATAGTTACCACATCATGGGAGGGACATGGTGGGAGGTAATTGAATCATGTGGGCAGATCTTTTCCATGCTGTTCTCATGAAAGTGAATAAATTTCACAAGATCTGATGGTTTTATACAGGGGATTTCCCCTGCACATGCTCTCTTGTCTACCACCATCCAAGACATGCCTTTGCTCATCTTTTGCCTCCCACCATGATTGTGAGGTCTCCCCAGCCATGTGGAACTGTGAGTCCATTAAACTTCTTTCCTTTATAAATTACCCAGTCTCAGGTTATTAGCAGCATGAGAACAGACTAATACGGTAAATTGGTACCAGTAGAGTGGGGTGCTGCTGTAAAGATATCCAAATATGTGGGAGCAACTTTGGAACTGGCAGAGGTTGGAACAGTTTGGAGGGCTCAGAAGAAGATAGGAAGATGTGGGAAAGTTTGGAACTTCCTAGAGACTTGTTGAATGGCTTTGACCAAAATGCTGATAGTGATATGGACAATAAAGTTCAGGCTGAGGTGGTCTCACATGGAGATTAAGAACTAGTTGGGAACTGGAGTAAAGGTCACTCTTTCTATGCAAAGAGACTGGCAGCCTTTTGCCCCTGCCCTAGAGATTTGTGGAACATTGAACTTGAGAGAGATGATTTAGGGTGTCTGGCAGAAGAAACTTCTAAGCGACAAAGCGTTTGAGAAGAAGCAGAGCATAAAAGTTTGGAAAATTGGCAGCTCAACAATGCAACAGAAAAGAAAAACCCATTTTCTGGGGAGAAATTCAAGCCAGTTGCAGATATTTGCATAATATTTGCATAAGTAATGAGAAGCCAAATATTAATCACCAAGACAATGGGGAAAGTGTCTCCAGGGCATCTCAGAGACCTTCATGACAGCTTCTCTTATCACAGGCCCAGAAGCCTAGGAGGAAAAAATGGTTTTGTGGGCTGGGCCCAGGGCCCCCCTGCTGTGTGCAGCCTATGGACTTAATGCCCTGTGTCCCAGTCACTCCAGCTGTGGCTAAAAGGGACCAAGATGCAGCTTGGATTGTGGCTTCAGAGGGTGCAAACCCCAAGCCTTGGCAGCTTCCACGTGGCATTGAGCCTGCAGATGCACAGAAGCCAAGAATTGAGGTTTGGGAACCTCTATGTAGATTTCAGAGGATGTATGAAAATGCCTGGATGTCTTGGAAGAAGTCTGCAGCAGGGGCGGGGCCCTCATGGAGGGCAGTGTGAAAGGAAAATGTGGGGTTTGAGGCCCCACACACAGTTCCCCCTGGGGCACTGCCTAGTGGAGCTGTGAGAAGAGGGCCACCATCTTCCAGACCCAAGAATGGTAGGTCCACTGACAGTTTGCACTGTGTGCCCAGAAAAGCCACAGACACTCAATGCCAGCCTGTGAAAACAGCAGGGAGAGGCTGGGGACAGTGGCTCACGCCTGTAATCCCAGCACTTTGGGAGGCCAGGGGGGTGATCACAATGTCAGGAGTTCAAGACCAGCCTGGCCAATATGATGAAACCCTGTCTCTACCAAAAATACAAAAATTAGCTGGACATGGTGGCGTGTGCCTGTAAACCCAGCTATGCAGGAAGCTGAGGCAGGAGAATCGCTTGAACCTGGGAGGCAGAGGTTGCAGTGAACCGACATCACACCACTGCACTCCAGCCTGGGTGACAGAGTGAGACTCTGTCTCAAAAAAAGAAAAAAAAAAAAAAGAAAGCAAGCAAGCAGCAGGGAGGGTCCTGTACCCTGAAAAACCATAAGGGTGGAGTTGTCAAAGACCATGGGAACCCACCTCTTGCATCAGCATGAACTGGATTGAGACATGGAGTCAAAGGAGATTATTTTGGAGCTTTAAGATTTGACTGCGCTTCTGGATTTTGGACTTGCATGGGGCCTGTAGACCCTTCATTTTGGTCAACTCTTCCATTTAGAATGGGTATATTTACCCAATGCCTGTATCCACATTGTATCTAAGAAGTAGCTAACTTGCTTTTGGTTTTACAGGCTCATAGGTGGAAGGGACTTGCCTTGTCTCAGATGAGACTTTGGACTATGGACTTTTGAGTTAATGCTGTAATGAGTTAAGACTTTTAGGGACTGTTGGGAAGGCATGACTGGTTTTCAAATGTGAGGACATGAGATTTGGGAGGGCTTAGGGATAGAATGATATGGTTTGGCTGTGTCCCCACTCAAATCTCATCTTGAATCATAGCTCCCATAATTCCCATGTTCCATGGGAGGGACCTGGTGGGAGGTAATTGAATCATGGGTGCAGGTCTTTCCCATGCTCTTCTTGTGATAGTGAATAAGTCTCATGATATTTGATGGTTTTATAAAGGGGGGTTCCCTTCACATGCTCTCTTGCCTGCCACTGTGAAAGATATGCCTTTGCTCGTCCTTTGCCTTCCACCATGATTGTGAGGTCTCCCCAGCCATGTGGAACTGTAAGTCAATTAAACTTCTTTCCTTTATAAATTACCCAGTCTTGGGTATGTCTTTATTAGCAGCATGAGAACAGACTAATACAGTTGCTCATTTTGAAGCAAATTTTGTATTGAAGTGTATATTATCCTTTAATACAAAATAATACACAAATCAAAGTATACAGCTCAAGGAGTTTTCACAAAGTGGGCACATTTATTTAATCAGAACCCAGAATTTACCAATATGGTCAAATTGGGAGATTACTACATAAAACATTCAGAGTTCTGATTTCTCCTGAAAAGTTAGAAAATCTCACCATCTTGAGCCCACATTTCCACTAGCCAGCAGGAAAGCAGCTGGTCCCTTAGGTGGAGCATATGCTGTCTATTTTCCACTGTAGAATTGTGACCAATAAAAGGGACAATAAGACAACAAAAATATAAGAGAAAAGCAGGAGTCAATGAAATGTTATTAAAATGTCAAGCATTTGACTGAACTAGATAAAGGGACCTTAAAAGAGTTCAGATTCTAACTCACTAGCAATTATATTACTTGGAACAATTATATGTTAAAGAGAAAGTTGGCTGGAGCCTGGGTGGAGATTGCAAATTCCATCTACTTGAATCAAATGATAGATATTACTCTGCTAAAAGGTGTTAGGGTTAGGCTTTGACAATGTCTATAGCTCTTCTTTGATTGTGGTATGTGCCTTGAATTTTGTAATTATGTTTCTGTTGCTTCTTACTACTACTTACTTCCAATATTTGGGTTGTAAGGTCACATTAGAATTTCTTAATGGTATCTACTCCCTGAAATTTAATTAGGTACCTTCAAATTAACTCTGGCTAATAAATGGGGTACCTTTTATTAGTAACAACTTGTTAAATATTAATTCTGGTTGTAGAATTTGAGTATTGTTTTACTACCCAATAGCAACTCCCCATACCTCCCAGCTTCTTCCCTTCTAATAGAACACTGATTTTTGTTCAGGTAATTTAACTTCCTTCACATGGCCATGTGGTTTCCTAATGCAATCATGGCAATCTCATTCTTTTTGCCAGTTCGAATTTTAACAACAGGTGTAATGTATTTCAATGAGCCATGAAAGAGAATCTACTGCAGGGTTCAGGGAAAAATTTTGCCATGATTAAAAAAAGATGGAAAAGATTTAAAGAGTACAATTCAAAAATGCTGATAGGAGGCAAGACTAACTTGCAGCTCCGACTTGGACGGACGGACTGAACAGGGTGCAGAGACTCACATTGTAAACTTTTACTCCAAGAACTACCATAGGAACATACCAGGAAAACTGAAAGAATTCACAGACCCTTTGAAAGAAGTGGCTTGCCACTGCAAACTCCATGAGACAGCTAAAAACTGTGAGTGTCCAAAGTGTGAGAGGGGGGAAATGTCTACCTCCAAAGGTACATCCTTACTGGGAAACCTGAAAATCCAGATCACAGGAGAAGGGTTTAACCTTACTTAGAGCTGAAATAAATTTAGAGGGCTGAGTGAAATATAAAAGTAGAAGAAGTGGGTCAGGCATGGTGGCTCATACCTGTAATCCCAGCACTTTGGGAGGCCAAGGTGGGTGGATCACCTGAGGATGGGAGTTCAAGACCAGCCTGACTAACACAAAAAAACCCCAGTTCTACTAAAAAATACAAAATTAGCCAGGTGTGGTGGCACATGCCTGTAATCCCAGCTACTTGAGAGGCTGAGGCAGGAGAATCGCTTGAACCCGGGAGGCAGGGGTTGTGGTGAGCCGAGATCACGCTATTGGACTCCAGCCTGGGCAACTAGAGCAAAACTCCATCTCAAAAAAAAAAAAAAAAGAAAAAAAAAAAAAGAAGCGCAGTAAGAGCCCTTTAGGCACTCCTGGTCCCCAGGGAAGCCATTTCTGACTTTGTCTCACAGGAGTCCTTGGGGAGGGCAGCTAGTGGAATTGGGGAAGTACCACAGGGAGAAAGAAACTTCCAACTCAACTTTGTAATAATTTCGATTGAGTGTGAATTTTGCTGGCCAGAATCCAGTGGCGGGTAAGCGGGTGAATGCAAAGTGCAGCTAGGAGCACAGAACCTACAGCAGGTGGGGAGGGTGGAGCCTGAAAGCCCTGCTTGCTTTCTCAGCAAGGAGGCTTGTCGCCTGGAGCAAGATCTCAGCCCTGCTTTCTGGCTGCCTTGATATAAACTTGGTACTGTTGGTGGGGCACAGTGGGAGTGAGACTGGCCTTGCTGGCTATGTGGGAGCTTGGTGAGGCCTGTGACTGCTGGCTTTACCCCACTTCCCTGGTGACCTGTATGACACAGCAGAAGCAGCCATAATCCCCCTAGGAACATAACTCCAT
Organism: Homo sapiens; assembly: GCF_000001405.40. Lineage (NCBI taxonomy): Eukaryota > Metazoa > Chordata > Mammalia > Primates > Hominidae > Homo > Homo sapiens. The sequence goes on from NC_000004.12 coordinate 119,715,926, forward strand.
AAGCCAGAAGACCATCCCCTATCCCCCACAGCAGCCACAGCAGCCACAGGAAGCCCCACCCAAGGAGACTTTGAACTCAGAAGAGCTTAACTCTGCCCCAACCTGATTGTCTTTCTTTACCCACCCTGATAGCTGAAGACAGAGGACATAATCTTTTGAGAACTCTATGGACCTGTCCACTGTCTGAGAAACCCAAATATTTATCCAGGTGACCCTAGGTCAAGCTTGTATCCCCTTTATACTACTGCAGCTGATGCTGTCTTGAAAGCACCACCTCTTGGATGGAGGCCAACCAACTCAAGCCATTTTAGCACCTCATAAAAAAATAACCTCACTTCAAGAAAGGAGAAAACAACAGCTAACTCCACTGCCTTTAACATCCTGGCTAACCATAGGTCCTGAGTCTGGCCATGTGACAACTTCAATGCTAGCACAGCAAGCATTTGAGAAAACCAGCATTCTAAACTACATAAACAAAACTACAAACAAGGATTTTCACAGAGTCTATTTCACTCCCCTGCTACCTCCCACTGGAGCAGGTGCCCGTATCTATGGTTGAAAGACCTGAAGATGGATCATATCACAGGTCTCTTAGCAGACACTCCGCAGTACCAATCTGGAGCCCAGTAGCTCCGCTGGTTAGCTAGACCCAGAAGAGCAATAATAAACACTGCAGTCTGGCTCTCAGGAAGCCCCATCCCTAGCGGAAGCAGGGGAGCACCACATCAAAGGATCACCTCGTGGGACAAAAGAATATGAACAGCAGCTCTTGAGCCCTAGATCTTTCCTCTGACCTAGTCTACAAAATGAGAAGAAACCAAAAAAACAATTCTGGTAATATGACAAAGCAAGGTTCTTCAACACCCCACAAAGACAACACTAGCTCACCAGCAATGGATCCAAACCAAGAAGAAATCTCTGAAATACCAGAAAAAGAATTCAGAAGGTTGATTATTAAGCTACTCAAGGAGGCACCAGAGATAGGTGAAAACCAACTTAAAGAAATTTTAAGAATTGGGGAGGGGAGAAAAAAGAAAAAAGAAGAAAAATAATACAGGATATGGATGAAAAAAATATCCAGAGAAAGAGATAGCATAAATTTTTTAACAAATCACAACCTCTGGAAATGAAAGACATGCTAAGAGAAATGAAAAATGCATCAGAAAGTTACAATACAATTTAAAAAGTAGAAGAAAGAACTTCATAGCTCAAAGACAAGGCTTTCAAATTAATCTAATTTAACAAAGACAAAGAAAAAATAATTTTTTAAAAAAGGAACAAAGACTCCAAAAAGTTTGGGATTATGTTAAATGACAAACCTGAGAATAATTGGTGCTCCTGAGGAAGAAGACCAGCCTAAAAGTTTGAAAAACTTATTTAAGGGAAAAATCAAGGAGATTCCCTGGCCTTGCTAGAGATGTAGACAACCAAATGCAAGAAGCTCAAAGAACACCTGGGAAATCCATCACAAAAAGATCATCACCTAGGCACATAGTCATTAGATTATCTAAAGACAAAGGGAAGAATTTTAAGAGCTATGAGGCAAGAGGATTAGGTAACCTATAAATGAAAACCTATTAGATTAACAGCAGATTTATCAGTAGAAACCCTAGAAGCTAGAAGGGATTGGGGTCTTATCTTTAGCCTCCTTAAACAAAACAATTATCAGCCAAGAATTTTGTATTCAGTGAAACTAAGCTTCATAAATTAAGGAAAGGTAGTCTTTTTGTGACAAACAAATACTGAGAGAATTTGCCACTATCAAGCCAGCACTACAAGAATTGCTAAAAGGAGCTCTAAATCTTGAAACAAATCCTGGAAACATATCAAAACAGAACCTCTTTAAAGCATAAATCTTACAGGATCTATAAAACAAAAATACAAAAAAAAATTTTACAAACAACAAATAGCATGATGAATAGAATAGTACCTCATAACTCAATACTAATGTTGAATGCAAATTTCTAAACGTTCCATTAAAAAGATACAGAATTGCAGAATGGATAAGAATTCACCAACCAACTATCTGCTGCCTTCAAGAGACCCACCTAACACATAAGGACTCACATAAACTTAAGGTAAGGGGGTGGAAAAAGACATTCCATGCAAATGGACATCAAAAGGAGCAGGAGTAGCTATTCCTACATCAGACAAAATGAACTTTAAAGTAACAGCAGCTAAAAAAGACAAAGAGGGACATTATATAATGATAAAAGGCCTTATCCAACAGGAAAATATCACAATCCTAAATATATATGCACCTAACACTGAGTTCCCAGATTTATAAAACAAATATTACTAGACCTAAGGAAAGAGATAGATAAGAACACAATAATAGTGGGGGGCTTCAAAACTCCACTGACAGCACCAGACAGGTCATTAAGACAAAGTCAACAAAGAAACAATGGAATTAGACTATACCCTAGAACAAATGGACTTAACAGATATTTACAAAACATTCTACCAAACAACTTCAACATATGCATTCTATTCATCAGTGCATGGAATATTCTCCAAGATAGACCATATGATAGGCCACAAAACAAGTCTCAGTAAATTTAAGAAAATAGAAAATTATATCAAGTACTCTCTCAAATCACAGTGGAATAAAATTGGAAATCAACTTCAAAAGGAATCCTCAAAACCATGCAAATACAACGAAATTAAATAACCTGCTCCTGATCGATCATTGGATAAATAATGAAATTAAGATGGAAATTAAAAAGTTCTTTGAACTGAATGATAATAGTGACACACCTATCAAAACCTTTGGGATACAGCAAGAGTGGTGCCAATATTAAAGTTCATACATTAAACACCTTCATCAAAAAGTCTGAAAGAGCACAAATCTAAGGTCACACTCAAACAAACTAGAGAAACAAAAACAATCCAAACCCAAACCCAGCAGAAAGAAAAGAAATAACAAAGATCAGAGCAGAAATAAATGAAATTGGAACTAAAAAATACAAAAGATAAATGAAACAAAAACAGGTTTTCTGAAAAGATAAACAAAATCGATAGACCATTAGCAAGATTAAGAAGAAAAAATATCCAAAGAAACTCAATTAGAAATGAAACAAAAAATATTACAACCAATACCACAGAAATACAAAAGATTATTCAAGGTGACCGAAGTAGAAACTCTGAACAGACCAATTACAAGTGGTGAGATTGAAACAGTAATAAAAACAATTGCCAAAAGAAAAAAAAAAAAGGCCAGGACCAGACATATTCAGAGCTGAATTACGTCAGACATTCAAAGAAGAATTGGAACAAATCCTGTTGACACTATTCCACAAGATAAAGAAAGAGGGATATTCTCTAAATCATTCAATGAAGTCAGTATCATGGTAATTCCAAAACCAGGAAAGGATATAACAAAAAAAGAAAACTATAGACCAATATCCTGGATGAACATAGATACAAAAATTCTTAACAAAATACTAGCTAATGGAATCCAACAGCATATCAGAAAGATAGTCTACCATGATCACATGGGTTTCATACCAGGGTTACAGGAATGGTTTAACATACAGATGTCAATAAATGTGATACACCACATAAACAGAATTAAAAACAAAAATCACATGATCATCTTAATAGATGCAGAAAAAGCATTCGACAAAATCCAGCATCCTTTATGATTAAAACCTTCAGCAAAATCGGCATAGAAGAGACATACTTTAATGTAATAAAAGCCATCTCTGACAAACACACAGTCAACATTATACTGAACAGGGAAAAGTTGAAAGCATTCCCCCGAGAACTGGAACAAGACAGAGATGCCCACTTTCACCACTTCTATTCAACATAGTACTGGAATTCCTAGCCAGAGCAATAAGACAAGAGAAAGAAATAAAGGGTGTCTAAATTGGTAAAGAGGAAGTCAAATTGTTGCTGTTTGCTGATAATATGATTGTATATCTAGAAAACCCTAGACTCATCCAAAAACTTCCTAGATCTGATAAATGAATTCAGTAAAGTTTCAGGATACCAGATCAATGTATGTAAATCAGTAGCACAGCTATACACCAACAGTGACCAAGCTGACAACCAAATCCAGAACTCACCCCCTTTACAATAGCTGCAACAAACAAACAAACAACGAAAAAAAAACCCTTAGAAATATACCTAACCAAGGAGGTGAAAGACCTCTACAAGGAAAACTACAAAACACCGTGGAAAGAAATCATAGATGACACACACAAATGGAAACCATTCCATGCTCATGGGTGGGTAGAATCAATACTGTAAAAATGGTCTTACTGCTGAAAGCAATCTATAAATGCAATGCAATTTCTGTCAAAATAACATCATAATTCCTCACAGAACTGGAAAAAACAATTCTAAATTTCATATGGAACCAAAAATAGCCTGCATAGCCAAAGCAAAACTAAGCAAAAATAACAAATCAGGTAGCATCACATTACCTGACTTCAGATTATACTACAAGGCTATAGTCACCAAAACAGCATGGTACTGCTATGAAAATCGGCACGTAGACCAATGGAACAGAATAGAGAACCCAGAAATAAAGCCAAATGCTTACAGCCAACTGATCTTTGACAAAGCAAACAAAAACATAAAGTGGGGAAAGGACTCTATTCAACAAATGGTGCTGGGGTGATTGGCAAGCCACATGTAGAAGAATGAAACTGGATCCTCATCTCTCACCCTATACAAAAATCAACTCAAGATGGATCAGAGACTTAAATCTAAGACCTGAAATGATAAATATTCTAGAAGATAGCATTGGAAAATCCCTTCTAGACATTGGCTTAGGCAAAGACTTCATGACCAAGAACACAAAAGCAAATGCAACAAAAACAAAGATAAATGGATGCGACTTAACTAAAAAACCTCTGCACAGCAAAAGAATTAATCAGCAGAGTAAACAGACAACCCACAGAGTGGGAGAAAATCTTCACAAAGTATGTATCTGACAAAGGACTAATATCCAGAATCTACAAGGAACTCAAATAAATCAGCAAGAAAAAAAACAAATAATCCCATTAAAGTGAGCTAAGGACATGAATAGACAATTCTCAAAAGAAGATATACAAATGGTCAACAAGCATATGACAAAAATGCTCAACATCACTAATTATCAGGGAAATGCAAATCAAACCACAATGCAATACTACCTTACTCCTGCAAGAATGGCCATAATTAAAAAAAATAAAAAAAAATAGATCTTGGCTTGGATGTGGTGAAAAGGGAACACTTTTATACTGCTTGTGGGAATGCAACTAGTACAACCACTATGGAAAACAGTATGGAGATTCCTTAAAGAACTAAAAGTAGATCTATCATTTGATCCAGCAATCCCATTACTGAGTATCTACCCAGAGGAAAATAAGTCATTATATGAAAAAGATACTTGGACACACATGCTTATAACAGCACAATTTGCAATTGCAAAAATATGGAACCAGCTGAAATGCCTATCAATCAATGAGTGGATAAAGATATCTATCTATCTAGCTACACACACATACCATGGAATATTACTCAGCCATAAAAAGAAATGAAATAATGGCATTTGCAGCAACCTGCATGGAGTGGAGACCATTATTCTAAGTGAAGTAACTCAGGAATGGAAAACTAAACATCGTGTGTTCTCACTTACAAGTGGGAGCTATGCTATGAGGACACAAAGACATAAGAATGATACAATAGATTTTGGGGACTCGTGGGGAAGGGTGGGAGGGGGTGAGGGATAAAAGACTACACATTGGGTACAGTGTACACTGCTCAGGTGATGGGTTCACAAAAATCTCAGAAATCACCACTAAAGAACTTATCCATTTACCAAACACCACCTGTTCCCCTAAAACCTATTGAAACAAAAAACAGATTGAAAAAGAGAATATTTTGTCTGGATATTACCTTGTTTAATTATGATATAAAGTAGTTAGCTTAAGGACAAGCCTAAAGAAATATGAAAAAATGAAAAGACACTCAGTCTTTGATAATGTTTTTAAAGCATTGAAATAAGCAAGCCTGGAGTCACTTAATCTGAACATTTCTTCTGTGAAAGAATAAATGCCATCATGATCCAGCTTGTTAAGCCAAAATTTTCTGTTTCTTGTGGCTGAAATCTTTCTAACTGCCACAGCTTGTGGAAATACTTCATTAGTGAATCATTTACAGTTAAAGGATTTGTCAGGGCTGAGTGCCATGGCTCACACCTGTAATCCCAGGACTTTGGGAGGCCAAGACAGGAAGATCGGTTGAGCCTGGGAGTTCAACATTAGCCTGGGCAACATGGCAAAACTCCATCACTACAAAAATAAAAAAATTAGCCAGACCTGGTGTTGCACATCTACAGTCCCACCTACTTGGGAGGCTGAGGTGAGAGGATCAATTAAGCCTGTGAGGTCGAGGCTGCAGTGAGCTGTGATTGTGCCACTGCACTCCAGCCTGGGTGACAAAGTAAGACTCTGTCTCAAAACAAATTAATTAATTAATTAAATTAAATATATAACCATTTTTGTACATGCACATTAATAAAGTTCCCTTCATTCCTACAATCTCTTTTATATACATGTATATGTATATTATACACTATCTCTGAGAGAATGAGCTAAGGGAGATATGTAGATAGATAGATAGGTATGCATATATATGTTTTGTTTGGCCTGTGAACTATAAAAGGTTATTACATTTTTAAATGGTTAAATAAATAAAAGTAATTTTGTGACATGTAAAAATTATATGAAATTCAAATTTCAGTGACCATAAATAGTTTTACTGAGATGGAACCATGCCCAATTATTTACGTATTGTCTGTGGCCACTTTCCAGTTTCCAAGGCCCAGTTGAATAGGTGCAACAGAGACATATTGCCACAAAGGGTGAAATATTTACTATCTGGCCATTTACAAAAAAAGTTTGCTGATCTTTGGCCTAAACCAATGCTTCTCAGTGTTTACTGTGCATGTGAATTACTTGGGGATCTTGTGAAAAGGCAGACTCTGATTCAGGAGCTGTGAGTGGGGCCTGAGTGTCTGCATTTCTACTGAGCTCCCAGATGATGCAGATGCTGCTGGTCTGAGGACTGCACTTTAAGTAGCATGGGTTTAGAGTAGGGTCAGCAAACTTTTCCTTTGAAGAGCCAAGTAATGAGTATGTATTTTAGGATCTGTGGGCTATGTAGTCCTTTTTACTACTCAAATCTTCAAGGTGAAAGACCTGCCACTGCACTCCAGCCTGGGTGACAGAGCGACACCCTGTCACGAAAAAAAGAAAAAAAGATTTGTCAGACTAAGTAGGTAGGCCTTTACTTCAGGCTTGTATCCTAAGAATAAATTATCCTAGAAAGAATAGAGAAAACTGGATGATGACAGAAAGATAAAATAAACTCATTTTCATTTTTACTCAAGTAAAAAAAAAAAAAGAAAAAATATATGTACAGAAAGAGAGAGAGGGAGATGGCAGTAACCTAGACCAGGAGTCAGAACCTATTCTAGCAAATCCATTTAGAATAAAAATTTTAAAAATACATATTGTGTACATATACACATATACACATACAATATAAGATTGTGTATATATATACATGCACACATTTTTTCATATCTATATATATACACACATAATATATAGGAAACATATATATATGTTTCCCATAAGATTATATATAAGATTATATATAAGACACATATATACACACAATATATAAGAAACATATATAGGAACATATATATATGTTTTCTGTAAGATTATATATGATTCCTATAAGATTATATATATTTCCTATAAGATTATATATATAGGAACATGTATATATATTTCCTATAAGATTGTGTATATATATTTTATATAAAGTGCACTTCTGAAAAATCTTGGGCACTTTCATGTTTCTCAAATTGGTTAACCCAAATTATTAATGCTGTGTTAATTCAATAAAGTGCTTTCATCTACCCATCGTTAGTGACAGGTCTTCATTTTGTGTCTCTAAAGTTAGCTTTGATAAAGTTTGAACATAAAGGTTTCTATGAGCTACACATTTTTTCTAATACTGATCTATTAATAAGCTCTGTATATCAAAAGTTTTGCCTATCAATTAAAGAGACTTGAACCCTGCCAGCATATTTAGAAACAGTTAATATGGTTGGTTTGAATTTGGGGCCAAAAGAGTTCTTAATTGCGGTTAGATTCCCATTCCTTCAGAACCAGGTATGTGTATAAACAGATAGGTTTGCTGACCAACATACATGTATATGAGATTGTAGGGAAGAAGGGAAATTTCCCCTTTGCTCTCTGAAGGTCCACTGAAAAGTCAGCTCACAAAAGGCATATTAATTGGAGAAAAAGCATACAAATTTATTAACGTGTACACGAGGAGAATCACAGAGTGATTACACAATATCCCAATGGGGTACAGGTGCTTATATACCCTACTTCTCAGGGGAAAGGAAGATGGGAACTGTGGATGATTTAGAGGGATAATAAATGGTTTTGAGGGGAAGTCAATGGGCTTGAAGAACATACAATGCTGGCACAAAGTCTGCTGGGCCCACAGCACAAACAAACGTATGTAACAAAAGCCTGTCCAGGTTTTTGACAGACTTCAGTCTTTTTTTTCTGTGGCATGAGTTTAGTTAATGAAAACTCAAGGAAGGAAACAGAGATAATTATTTTCTTCTTTGGCAGGTCCAAATTTTAAGCAGATAAGGAACTTCAGAGAACAACTTCATCCTGTGCTTTGGGAGACACAGAGGATCGAGAGCCAGGAGGGGTGAGGGGAAATAGGTCAGAGAGACCTTGAGGTTTCCTCTTCAATTCATCATGTCAAAGCAAGTCAAAGCACCATATTGTAGGGTATCTGTTTCTGAGCCCCAAAAAGATATACATAATATGTACATTATATACATATGCATAATATATCTATCCTCCTAGTAGTCTCTCTGTACTGTATTTATTCTGCCAATGAAAAATATGTAGTACACCATCACATCATTTGACAGAACCTTTGTTACAAGTTAGAAATTATACAGGAGGAACAGCAACATATTCTAGGATAAATCAGATAAGTAATTAGTAACTGATCTAAAGTCACATGTACTAGAAAATATAAACTAGGCCAGGTGCAGTCTTTCATGCCTGTAATGCCAGCACTTTAGGTGGCCGAGGCAGGAAATCGCTTGAGCTGCAGGAGTTCGAAGCCAGCCTGGAGAACACAGCAAGACGTTGTATCTACAAACAATAAAAACTTAAAAATTAGCCAGGTTTGGTAGCATGCACCTGTTGTCCTAGCTACTCAGAAGGCTGAGTCAGGAGTATTGCTTAGCCCAGGACTTTAAGGCTGCCGTGAACTATGATCACGCCATGGCTCTTCAGCCTGGGTGACAGACAGAGGCCATGTCTCTTAAAAAAAAGAAAGAAAGAAAGAAAGAAAATAAAAGAGAAAAGAAAATATAAACTAGGTGTTTAGAGTCTTGGGGAGAGTGAAAAGGGAGGCAAAGTATTGGCTAAACAATGATGTGACAGTAAGTAATGAGGCAGTATCCTAGACTAGATCTCTGCAAACTATGGCTTATGGGCCAAATCCAGCCTGCTGCCTGTTTTTGTGTGGCAGGTCAGCTAAGAAATGATTGAAATCATTACATTTTTAAATGATTGAAAAAAATAAAAACTAATAACATTTTGTGATGTGAAAATTACATGAGATTCAAATTTGCGTGACCATAAATAGTTTTATTGAGATAGAACCATACCCATTTATTTATATATTGTCTGTGGCAACTTTCCAGCTTCCAAGGCCAAGTTGAATAGCTGCAACAGAGACATATTTTCAAAAAGGTTAAAATATTTACTATCTGTCCCTGTATAGGAAAAGTTTGCTGACTCCTGGCCTTGACAGCCTAGACTAATGCTTCTCGATGTTTACTTGCATGTGAATTACATGGGGATCTTGTGAAAAGGCAGATTCTGATTCAGAAGCTGTGGGTGGGGCCTGAGTGTCTGCATTTCTACTGAGCTCCCAGCTGATGCAGATACTGCTGGTCTGAGGACTGCACTTTCAGTAGCAAGGGCTTAGAGAGGGGTCAGCAAACTTTTCCTTTAAGGGGCCAAGTAAGAAGTACATATTTTAGGATCTGTGGGCTATGTGGTCTTTTTTACTACTCAAATCTTCAGGGGAAAGGCAGCCATAGGCAACATATAAAAGAACAGGAGTGGCTGTTCCTATAAAAGTTTATTTGCAGAAGCAGGTGTTGGGCTGGATTTGTCCCATGGGCTGTAGTTCACCGGTTGCTAGGCTAGAGAATTAGTAAGTGATTTCTATTAAGAAATAAGCATTGTCCTTCCTTCAACGTGCTTCCTGGTTCCATTAACCCCCAATAATAATGGTGATGAGTTTCAGAGAACAGTAACTTATCCAAAACTGCCACAGAAAATCAGTGGTGAACCTGGCATAAAACATAGCCATGATTAGTGGATGACCGTCTGGAGAACATGTACACTGGGATTGTGACTATTCTAGTTTCCTTCATTGTGGGGCCTGGCACTTGCAGACCTAAACAATAAAAGGTGAGACATCTATTTAGGGCCAAAATTAAGTGTAGGTGTCAGGAAACTGGATGTTTGGCTCAGGGAGGGCAGAATTCTCTATTTAATAATAAAGTTTACGCCTTCACTGCATGTTCTTGAAGTTAAGGCTCAGACAAATCTCAGAAAGCAAATGTTTCATAGTCTTGAATTTCTCATGCTCTAAAAATGAAATTGCTCTACTTTATAATAATGTGTTATTTTAGGCACCAAGTAGTGTGGCATTCTGCCTTCCCAGTGTACTTTGGAATTTTTAATTATACAATGAATGTCCTTTTAACCACAATGACTAAAATTACATTTCTCTTTCCAAATTCTTCTAGAATTATTTCCCTCTGTCTAAGCTACAGTTACTGAAATAGGGAATAGACCTTAATTCTGGCCTAGAATATAAGATTTGTTTTATCTTTCTTTATGCTGTCATTTCTGTGTAAATTAATGTGTCGATAAGGCATGAATCAGCATAACTACATGTAATAGATTAATAGAACACTAAGAACATATATGTTATAAATAAAAATGCTTAGGAAAAATTTATCTACAGCCTCAGACACAATATCCTTAGATTACAGATAACATATAGATATGAATAATTGTGTCATTTTTATGAATCATGTGTTGAGAAACTTAACGTCACTGCTTTGATGATAACAATAATTTCCATCTTACAAGCAATTAGTGTAGATTCCTGAGCAAGGAAGAATATAATGAGCGTTCTAATTCCTAAGAATCTATCATCTCAATTTTAGATGGAGCAGGAAGTTGAAATATGACATTAAATAAATATGAACTCACACAGAATCAACGACTCTTAGAGCCAGAATTTTTGATGGTCTAATTTAGCAATTTCATGCAACGCTTCTATGTTTCCACGTAAGTCCATATTGAATAAGTTAAATTGTTAAAGCCATTTTCTTCTTCAACACAAATATATTGGCATTTTTTCCCTGAATGTAGGGATATGTATTAGTTTCTCAGAGCTGTCATTAACAAACTGGCTGGCTTAAAATAACATAAAGTTATTGTCTTACAGTTCTGGAGGCTAGAAGTCTGAAATCAAGGTGTTCGCAGGGCTATGCTCCCTCTGGAAGCTCTAGGGAAGAATCCTTCCTTACATTTTCCTAGCTTCTGGTGACAGCTAGCAATCCTAGGTGTCCCTGTGTTTGTAGAAGCATCACTCTAATCTCTGCCTCCATCTTCATATGCATTTTCTCTGTGTCTCTGTTTTCACATAGCTCTCTTCTGAAAAGTACATCAGTCGTATTGAATTAGGGGCCTACCCTACTCCAGTATGACCTCATCTTAACTAATAACATCTTCAACAACCCTATTTCCAAGTAAGGTCACATTCTAAGGTACTGGGTATTAGGACTTCAGCATGTCTTTTTTTGGGTGGACACAATTCAACCTGTAACAGAATATAAGGATGCAAAGACGTTATTGTTTCCCATGCAGCCCTTAGAGTACAGAGGAGAAAGCGAATGTGTAGATTTTTGAAGATACAGTTTATAATAATTTAATACATACAAAATGCTGTTAGAGTATTGTGGTGGTGGCAACTATTTTTTTCTAAGTGAAATGGTAAAGGAAAAATTTTAAAGGCAGTTGCCATTTGAACAAGGTTTTGAGAGACAAACAGGAATTCATCCTAGAGAAAAAAATTGCCAGATGTGGGGACATATTAGGAAAACAGTTTTGGGTAAAGGCATGAAAATAAGAATGAATAAAGTGTTTATTTCCTGTGATTAACACTAGCAACCTATTGAGTATTAGTATGTGTCATTTAACATTCACAACAACTCTTTTGATCCCGATTTTGCAGATGGGAAAACTGAAATTTAGAGAAGCCAAGTACTTTGTCTCTAGCTTATGCATCTGAAGGTAGTCCTATTGGGTAACAAGACAGTCTGATTGCACAGCTTGTGTTATTAGCCACTGAGATAAACATTACAGTTTAAAACATTTGGAAGTATATATGGGATGGCTACAGATAAAGCTGAAGAAGTAGACTGAAGATTAATTGTAAAGAAATTGGTTTATCAAATCAGGAGTTTGAACATTGAGGATTATAAGCAACTGAACAATGTCCAAAGCTTTAAGGAAAGGTGTCAAATGACCACACTCATGCAGAGTAAAGGGTGGATTGGGGGAGAGGGAGATTGGAGGCCCAGGAGCTAAAAAGGAGGCTACTGTCTCCAGCTATGTTAGAAATAATGAAGATAGGAAATTAGACCATGATAGTGAGATGGAGAAAAATGATAGAATCAAAAGATATTTTTCCATTAATATCAATCAGACATGTTCATGCCCAAGTCAGTATATTTTCTTGTAATCACCTGACAGGTTCTTCCCGCCTGCTGCACAGATAGAACCAATTCACTGAGACAGTGCTATTGCAGTAGAGAAAGAGTTTAATAATTGCATGGCTAGCCAATCGGAAGGACATGGAGTTTGTTACTCAAATCAGCATCCCCCACAATTTGGAGGCTGGGGATTTTTTTAGGATAGTTTGGCAGAGAGGGCTAGGGAATGGGGAATGTTGATTGCTTGGGATGGGGATAAAATCATAGGAGGTCAAAGCTGTCTTTTTGCACTGAGTCAGTTCCTAGGTGGGGTCACAAGACCAGTTGAGCCAGTTTCTTGGCATGGGTTACTAGTCTGGGTGGTACTAGCTGGTCCATCAGAATGCAGGGGCTGAAAAATACCTCAAAACACCAATCTTAGGTTTTACAATAGTGATATTATCTTACAGGGGCAATTGGGGTGGATACAAGTCTTGTGACCTCTGGCTACATGACTCCTTGTGGTTAGTTTTACAAAGGTGGCAGTGGAGGGTGTTTAGTTTCAGGAAGGGGCTGTGATCATCTTTGTTTTAAAGTTGAACTATAAATTAAATTCCTCCCATAGTTAGCTTGGTCTATTTCCAGGAATGAACAAGGGCAGCTTGGAGGTTAGAGGCAAAATGAAGTCAGTTAGGTCAGATTTCTTTCAGTGTCATAATTTTTGTAAAGGTGATTTCACTCTGTTGCATTGCCATTCCTCTCCTTTGACTCAAGTGCCAAAAGTAGAACTTGTCCCAACCCAAGTGATTACAATAACAATTTCAATCCACCACCCTAATCTTAGAAAGAGTCTGGTAAGTCCATGCTGGGGGTATTTAAATAATTATGTGTAGAAGACATTAAAATATGGTTTAAAGTGCTAAAGACTAAACTAACATACTTTAAAACAAACTATACAAAATTAGTAAAGAATATTTTGTCAAAACGCTTTGATACAATCTCATTTATCTTTACTAAGGTGTCAACACCTTTGGGTTAAATTCACCCCAGGGTTACTGTCATTATAGCCAAAGGTCTACATCTCGGCTTATTCCATAAAGCCTGGTTATTTTTTTTAAACTCTTGATTATTTCTTAATAATAGTTTTAAGTTTCTTACCAAGTTAATGCAACAACGTTTTGCACCCATTTGAAAGCAAGGCATCAACCAAAGTTTCCCAGTTGCTTTTGTATGGGACAGAGGAAGTCAGCTCTATGTCTCCTTGTGACTTTTGGCCCTCATCTAAATTAACTGGGACGTTTAACTGAAAATCTGCCCAAACAGTTATGAATATCCAGCAGGATATTTTTGGAATTTCATGAGAAAATATCAATTACCAGAGGAAAATTTATTAACACAAGCTGTACTTCCCTTAAGTGAATTTCTTTTATCTTGAAGAATTACTTCATGCAGGTATCTGGTGTCACCACAGACCATGCATTGTAACTTGCTTATCTTTAGGGATGTTTGGCCTGTCTGTGTGTACTTGGCAGCTTTCCCTACGCATTGGCCAGGGCCATGTCATACAACTGCCATTAGTCAGGCAAAAGCAAACATAAACAATGTTTGTGAATCATTTTTCCACTTTTAGCCAGTTATTTAAAAGCACAACATCATAAACTTGGGAAAAATGAGAGATAAGCTGACATATTTAATGCATTCTATAGCACACTAAAAGATTCCACTAGATCGTAAAAAGAATCCTAAAAATTCTGTTTAATTAGTTATACATTGCGTGATGGACATGGAGGTTACCTGAAAATGGTATAGGGGCCAAGGGAAAACTTTCCCTTCACCTTGTAAAAGTTTGTTGAAAAATAACTAACAAAAAGCAGATTAATAAGAGAAAGGTCATAGAAATTTATTAGTGTGCACAGGGGAGAGTCACAGAGTAATTACTCCAACCCTTCAAGGGGGCATGGAAGCTCATATACCATCTTGAGGTTACTGAAAGAATGAGGGCTCAGAGCATGACCCCAAAAAAGGTTATGGTGCTAAATCAGGTTTTAGGAGGGCAGGAGAAGAAGACCTGGCTAGGAAAAGTGGTTTTGTTATGTAGAAGAACCTCACACGTAGCAGCCTTCAGGGAGTATAGATGGCAAATATTTCCTTTAGGCCTGTAAAAGTATCAGACTGTCAGTGAATCTTTCCTGGATCTGCACAAAGGAGGACCTTGGAGAAAGCCTGGTTGCATCAGTGCAGATTTTCTCTCCAAATGCAAATCTCCCTGACAGAAGACATCTTCATCGATTCGTGTATTTCTAGCTCTTCTTAACAGCCATCTTTAAATATTTCAAATAAATATATTTTGGGGTGAAATATTTTGATTTCCTTCAATGGCAAATATTTTTTCCTAATGTTTTCCCAGGTACCTGAACACAAAATAAAACAAATCCTAAATCATGTGGGAATAATGTTATGTCTTCTTGTGATTGACTTTCAGCTTGATATTTTGCATCATTGCTAGATAAAAGAATGCTTGGAATGTTAATATGGAATGTTGAGCACTAAATTAGAATTCAGTGTTGTAAGATTTGAAACAAACATAGCAATTAAGAGGTTTTAAATTCTTGTATTTCATCACTTCTGAGAGACCATTTCTTTATAGAGTGTTCTACAAAACAGCAGCCCAAATGACAGGGAGATGGAGAAGGAAAATGGAAAAATAGGAAAAATTATCCTTCTTCTTTTGGTTCAAAGGCATGTTTGAAAAAAATGTTAGG
Organism: Homo sapiens; assembly: GCF_000001405.40. Lineage (NCBI taxonomy): Eukaryota > Metazoa > Chordata > Mammalia > Primates > Hominidae > Homo > Homo sapiens. The sequence goes on from NC_000004.12 coordinate 119,731,523, forward strand.
GGTAAATAGTGATAAAAAAATGCTGACAGTGTGAACTTACCAGTGTTGACTAAACAGTACAAACACATCAGTATCGTGATTTTAACTTACGGCTAAAATATGAAAAACAATAGGAGGAAAAAAACCCGACCTATTCTCAGTACCCATGTGACAGTAGGTAGGTAGGCAGACATGAACAGGGCACAAGAGGCTCCCCACAACCAGAAATGTCAAGTGACCATCAGGTGATGGTCAAGCAGTGGTTAAACTGTCTCTTTAAAATAATTGGTTGCAGCCAGCACCAGAAAAAGGCAGTCTCCCTATAGATAGAAAACAGCTGAAACAGATGACCAGCAGCTTCCTGGTAAGATCTCAGGAGCTGGGCGAGTCGGCTCAACCCTGCGTATTAAAAGGCAAAATGGTGGAGTTTAATTGGTATATGACCTCCCTCTAGGAACACCCAACTGGTAAGGGAAAAACACCTCAAATAAGCACGTGCACAACTTCAGTAAACACACTGTGCATGCGGCCCCTCCCAAGTGCTGGCAGGCCAGTACATGTGCAGAATGCTAATGTCTAAAACCCTAAGTCAAAGGTCAAATCAGACATTCAAATCTCTCAAGTGGCCCACTTGGCCCTCTTCCATGTGTACTTTATTTCCTTTTATTCCTGCTCTAAACTTTTTAGGAAACTTTCACTCATGTTCTGAAACATGCCTTGGTCTCTCCCTCTGCCTTTTGCCCTTAGGTCAAATCCTTTCTTCTGAAGAGGCAAGAATTGAGGTTGCTGCAGACCTGTAGGTCTTCACCACTGCTAACACCCAGACTGTCACTGTCAATGTGAAGAAAGTCTCTGCATCACATACTATATTAATGGACATAGTGTGACTCAGGTCTATGGGAGCGTCTAACACTAACATACCTGCATCAGAAGGTAAGACCAACTGTGAGGGGCCTCTTCATCTGCTTCCATAATATTCTGGGAACTTAAAAGGAAACCAACCTGGAATCAAGTGGTGAAGTGGGATCTGTGATGGTTTTTTTCATAGTGAAGAACCCAAACACACCCAGAGAATGATCATATAGTTACATGGTCCATATAGATATGTAGTCTACCCAGAGTTTCCTAGCAGTTTAAAAATGGATCTGGGGATAACAGTGTGATCTGAGAGACCAAAATAAATGCCCCTTTATTAACTAAGATGGACTCAAAGGTTAAGGAAACAAAATTACCTTTGGGTTGAGGGTTCAGGAATTGGCTGGCATGGCTACTTCCTAAATTCCTACAGCTATAAGAAAAACCACACTCTTGCTACACTCTCTAATAACAGGATCTATCAAGCAAATTGTCAGAACCCTCCTAACTTTGATTTACAACCCAGACCACTGCAACTCTGGTTGAACAGAGGACTAGCCTTATAGACACTCCTTCCTGATAAGCTAGGCCAGTTTCAGCCAGTTCATAGAGACTGCATACAAGCTGTCTTTGTATCCATGTTCTGACACAAAGAGCCAAATTCCCCCTCATTTTAATGCTAAAACCCCACCCCAAAGTGAACATGAGGTTGTTGTTATATATGTCTACCCATTGCACATGCTCTTGGCTTCCCTCTTAAATATGTATAGCCTTTCTCCCAAACCTGCTGGATATATATAATACAGGCCCTGTGAGACATTAAACTCAACCTTTCCTTCCCCTCTTTGAAGAGAGAGCACCTTCAATTCACTTTGGAGACTGTCTCTTCCCAGTTTGCAAGCTGATATCACCAGTAAAACTTTTCTTTCTAGTATTTAGCCATCCTTGTGGTCCTTTGCATAAGAGAGAGCGAGAAGGATGTAGAGAGCTCTAAGTTTTTAGACCCCGAGAAAGGGATGGAAAGGGTTAGTTCTGCTTGGTCTACTTAGAGATTCATTTGATTAAGCTTTCATCTGGGCTAGGCTGCTTCATATCTGGATACTCTGAGGTTATACAAAATACAGGGCTTCAAACTATTCAGAATCAAAGGTATATGGATAGGGAACCCTTGCATTTCAGTCCGCCTCTGGGTAAATCCAGTTCATTGCAGGAGAATTCAGCAGTGGTACTTGACACTTGGTCACTCCCTCACAGAGGATAAAAAGTGGTGGATACAGCCTGATCACACCAACTAGCTTATAGGCTGTCTTAATACATTCTTTAGTGATTACACATGCTCAAATTCATGAACATCATTGGTTTACAGAAAGCAGCAATGTTTCTAGTATCTTGTATGTTCTAAGAAAAAGCCATTTGCCATTGGAAGGGCCAAAGTAAAACTTCTTCTTCACTCTCTGAAGGTTCACTGAAAAATCAGCTCACAAAAGGCAGATTAATTGGAGAAAAGGCATACAAATCTATTAACATGTATGAGAGACAATCATAGCGTGATTACCCAACATCCCAATGAGGTACAGATACTACTTTGTAGAGGAAAGGGTGATGGAGAAGTGCAGATGATTTTAGCGGGGTAGTAAATGATTTTTAGGGGAATTCAATGGACTTGAAGAGCATACAATGAACTGGGACAAAGTCTACTGGGCCCACAGAGCGGGCAGTGGTTTGTGACAAAATCGTCCAGGTTTGTTGACAGACTTCAGTCTTATTTTCTGTGATGAGCTCAGTTAATAAAATCTCCAGGAAGGGACCAGAGGTAATTATTTTTTATTTGTCAGGTCCAGACTTTAGGCAAATAAGAAACTTCAGAGAACAGATTTATCCTGTGCTTTGGGAGACCCAGAAGATTGAGAGATAGGAGGAGTGGGGAAGAGTAGGTCAGAGAGACCTTGAGCCTCTTCTTCAGTTCAGCATGTCAGAGTGCCATATTTCGGGGTGTTGGTTTCTTTTTTCTTTCTTTTTTTTTTGAGACAGAGTCTCAGTCGGGAGTGCAGTGGCGCGATCTCGGCTCACTGCAACCTCTGCCTCCTGGGTTCAAGCGGTTCTCCTGTCTCAGCCTCCCGAGTAGCTGGGATTACAAACACACACGGCCACGCCCGGCTAATTTTTGTATTTTTAGTAGAGACGGGGTTTCCCCATGTTGGCCAGGATGATCTCGGACTCCTGATCTCAGGTGATCCATCCGCCTTGACCTCCCAAAGTGCTGGGATGACAGGCGTGAGGCACGGCGCCTGGTCCTGGGATATTGGTTTCTAAACCCCAACACCATTTATAACTTTTCAGAGTTAAAGTCAATAGAGTAGAATTTTAGCAAATTGAAGAAAGATAATAGGGTCATAATGTCTACAATCTTACAATGATGCTTGATTCATATTTTTATTAAAGAGCCAATTTAGAGAAAAATTGTAAATAATGGTGATGATGTGAATCAGAGAAGAGGCAAGAGTTCAGCAATATGGAGGCCTTTCACTGCCTATCCTAGAAAACGCTGTTCTTATGTGTTACGTGGAGTATAGATACCAGTGCTTGGGGGGCTGGAGTCTCATTCTGATGCCATAAATTTGATTCTGAGCTTAGATTATTTGTTTAAAGCAGTTATCTGAAGTGAGACAACACTTACAAATAGATAATAGGACTGCTGTTTAAAGTTTCTGAAAAACCACAGAGCAAGACAATGTATTGAAAAGAATAAACAGTGGGGATTTGGAATGATCTTTCTGAATCAATAACAAGTGACAGAAAAGAAAAGAATTACTGATTTTCTAGCTATTTGGAATGACACAACACTTTCTGGGATTCACATTTCATATCAGAGTTGTTTAACCAGCAAAATGCTGAAGTGATTAAATATGAAACCACACAGCTGAGGCTGGAGAAAACTGTTTGTTCAGAAATGCTTCTGGAATGAGACTGCAGCTTTAGTTATTTTTGTTTGGTTGGTCAGTGATGAAATGTGCTATACTCAGCCTGCTAAAGTTATCCACAGAGGAAGGTTTACTTTGGTGGTTTTAAGGTATCTCCTTTCAGAATTTTGATGTGGCAGCACATCCCTTAACAGCTCATTTCCTGAGGGATACTAAACAAGAGGCAAACCTAGGAAAAAAGACAAGTTTAAGATCTCTCACCTCACTGTGAACTCTTTCCATGTTTAAACATAGAAGACACTCTCATAATCTGGCTTCAACTGAACACTGCCACAAAGGCCCTAACTATTTATTACGCAGTGACCCAGGGCCTATTTTTCAACGGAAAAATAAGAGAAGATATCTTTACTAGCTTTGTGCCTTGCCCAAACATGAAACTGAAGCCAAAATGAGTGAAAAGACTTTGTTTTACCTATAACAATTTAGTTAAGAGAAAATTTTTATAGGTTTATGTGCAGAGTCAACATCTTTTGGTTATCCACTGGAAATTTATAACTATACTAATTTATATCACTTTATTAAATATCCATAAAAATCAGGCTGTTAGTTATTGAAAAATAAGGAGCTCACAGTTTGAAAGATGATAGGCATGTGGTATTTTTAATTATATCTAAACTTATAAGTCAGGGGAAATGGTAGATACAGTTTCTAGTGTAAAGCTTAGGTTGGGATTGAAAAGGTAGCATGATTGGTCAGGGCACACCTTGGGGTTTAACATTTTGTGGTGTCTGTTGGGTGCCTTGGACACTGGAGATCTTGGAACTGTATCCTGGAATTGCATATGGAATACAGTCATCACATATGCTTATAGAGTTAGCACTTCATGGCATGCCATGGATATGCTATTGTCATCTGATGTTTTCGTCTTACTTCAATGGTATAATGCAAAATGGTTAATAATGTAAGTTTTTTTCAAATATAAAATTACTTATAAGACACACATATTCTTAAGAAGCCATATTACTAAACCAAGCAAGCTAAATCCTCAAAACAGGAGACGAACAGCAGAAAGGGATTGCAGCTACATGGAGAGACTCACCAATGTGTCTGAATAAAGTGAATATATATTTTTGAAAGACATCATTTCCAACGGTAAAATGAATGGAATTATTTCCTGCTAAGACTAATCTGCTATAATTTGATTGGTCCATATTCTTTAAATGTAATAGCACCAGTTCCTGAAATTCTTAAGTTATTAAAGATACAATATTTTAAAGGTTCTTTTGATCACAGTTAAATTACAGATGATTTTTATTTTTCTTGGCATTTTATAAAAAAGTTAAAAAATAGCTCTTACCAGTGGTGTGCTGGTAAACGTTCACTACCCAGCTTTCAGGGCAGGGTTGGGGATGTCCTGATTCAAAGTATTTGATGATCAACCAGTATGCAATGCTCCCATAATGGCCAAGTTCAAACTACCAATGGGATATCAACCAGCTAGAAAACCTCCAGAAAGTTTAGCAATTGGCTCTCACAAAGCAGGATGCACAGCTCCAGCACACTGACTAAGACTATTTTTGTCTTAGCCGAATATAAGAGCAATCATCATAACTTAGGAGTTTATCAAATTAGTAACCAAATGTGAATATGGAACCTCAAACACTCTGCCATATGATCCTCCAAACACCTATAAAGAGAAAGGGGAAACATAATAGGAATAAAAGTAGAAAAGTTCTACTATATTTGCTATATCCAGAATCTTACACCAAATATACTTTAAAAGCCTATTAAATTCTGTGAACAGCTTCCTAAGACTTTGGATAAATATTAAATGTGCTTATAAAATATAAATGTTTTTAGTATTACTTATAGCATGGTGTTGTTAGAAGTACAATGTCAATAAATGACCATGAATAAACTTATTTACTGCCAGTTGCTAAACCTCTTCCTTGTGCTGCTTTTTAATTTATATTCCTCTGTTGTTTCCTCTTTGGCATCATTTTTCCTCAAATTAGTTTCCTCTATGACAATGCCAATTTGTTTCACCAAGACAAATACCCTTGTGAAAGCTCTTTGTCAGCTAGACTGTTTATAATACAGAACTAAGGTGATCTTATTTTTCTTCTTCAATACCGCTCCGTAAATGAAAACAACCTTATAGAGATGTTGCCAACCCTCTGCCAGAGCTTTAAGAATTTTTTGAAAAATAACCTCTGAATAATCTCAACATACCTGAAAATGTTAATAATTTAGGGAAAAGACACTTAGTTGTTTGTTTGATTTACCAGAATCTAAAGTTACAAGTAATAGCTTCTTAACTTTGTTCATTGCTTTCAGCAGCTCAAGCTTGGGATTCAGAAGCTCTATGCTGATTAAGCCTCTGAGAATTTTTTCTTTTCTATTGGCAGTTGATAAACAGCGCTTTCACGATAAATGTACTGTAATATAGTTCTCAATTGTGAGATTTTTTTTTTTTTTTTTTGGTCAGGGGCGGGTATAGTTAAGATACAGACTTACCAAAGAACACATAATTTGATAACTTTTACCAAGTCTTTTTTTTTTTTAAAGCACTTAATATGTTTGAACTTGCTAAGTTGTCTCTCATCTTCTATTTTTGTTTTTTGTTTGCTTTAACACAGTAGATGTGTAAAGGTGATACTTAAGAATAATGAAGAGGTAAGGTAGTTCTAAATAGAATTATTAAACAAGAAAAATTTTAGAAAAATGCTACTTCTCTTTCTTGGGCCTTAAAAAGGACTCAGGCAAGATAAATAAGTTGCGTGCATCTTTTTTTTTTTTAATATATTTTTTTAAAGCACTGGGAGCTCTCCCTTCCCCAAAGACTTAAAACTACTGGCAGAAGGACTGTCTTGAAACACATCACGAGTGATAATTTTTCTTCCTATCTACAAGGCAATCATTACCCTTTTTCTTCCTAATCCTTCTGCATTGGCTGCCCATTGATGAATATGATGAGTAGGTGTTAAAATAGGAGGGGAGGGAGAGCATTAGGACAAACACCTAATGCATTCAGGGCTTAAAACCTAGATGACAGGTTGATAGGTACAGCAAACCACCACGGCACATGTATACCTATGTAACGAGCCTGCATGTTCTGCACATGTATCCCAGAACTTAAAGTCAAATAAAGAAAATAGCACATTTATTAAAAAGAAAAATCAATACATATCTTAGAGAAGTCAGCCGGAGTCACAAAATGCACTGTTGGGAAATTTCCATTTACTTACGTTTTAGTTTCTATGTACATCGGGACTCTCATTCTTCAAGGAACTGTTTTTCAAATTACCTTGTTAAAATAGTTTCCTATCTGTGGTTACTTAGGTTAAAAAAAAAAGAAAAGAAAAACAAAGCTTTTATTTTTTGGCAGATGTTGGAAGGAGATCATGGTACCACATGAACTTGTTTAAAAACGAAGAAGGTGGTGTGAGCTGGTACAGTCAGCCTATACCGCAAAACCTCTACCCCCAAATCTCTGAACCTGTTTCTAACAGGATACAAACTTCCTGAGGACTTTCTTGTCATTGAAGTCCCCTGCAGTGTAAAGCATGATGCTTTGTATTTGGTTAAGTGGCCCATGAGCTTTCCTTATTTCCTTGAATTGAGCATCTTGGATACTTAGAACTGTACCCTCTCTACAAAAACAAATGAAAAAACAAACAACCTAACCATGGAGATTTCTAATCTGGTGGTTGGCAGATTATGCTGTGTATGTGATTTTGTTCCCTTTTAACTTTACTATCAGATTTCCTTCTGAAGCATCACTCATTATTCTGTAATATCTTTTAAATCTCTGCGTCTCTGTGGAGTGTCATCAATTAGCAAAACATTATGTTCGCTGATAACAGCCTGATCCTTCTTATATCTGCATTATGCAACAGACTCATGAAGACAGAAAGGCTTCATTCCTCTGCCCAGTAAGGTACATAAAACCAAGACTAGTTGTGTCTTCCAATCCCCAACCTTCTGCTCACCATGGATGAGAGGAAAAAGATTAAATAAGGACATCCCCATTTCTAAGAGTTTATTAGTTCCTAGTCTAACTTCTTGCAGACTTAAAGAAAAACACTGCAGTTCAGATTTTGAAAATATTCTGTTAAAGGAGAAGAATCTCTATTTTCCAGGTTTATCAATAAATGGAGATTAAATAATAGGAAAGGTAGCTCCTAGAATAGTAGGGTCTTAGAACACTTGGGGGCAAAAACAAAAGGCAAATAAATAGTCTTTTTTGTTCTCCTCTGCATTTGCTTAAATATTTTACAGTTCTGCACCCAGATTTGTCTCAGTTGCAGTAAGGACTACATAATTCCTTCAGGTTTTTCAGAAGCCAGATCTCTAGGCTGATCAGCAGATAAAATGTATTGAAAAACCATAGAGTAACATGCAAACAAGAGAAAACCAAAATTGCCCAACAAAAAACCTTTTAATCAAGTGAAATTTTCCTGATTTCTGCTTTTCTGAGTAAAGATGTCATTATTTAAACAGCGTGCTCTTTTGTATAATTATGTGTTCGATTGCATCGCTCCATGGACCTTAATCTTCAAACATGGTGTTTCCTTTAATTTAAAAGGGTTTTAATGTTCCCATTCCCTTATTTTCTAACAGACTTGCTGCTGGGAGAGATTAACCGTTGCCCTAGGAACACTAAAAACATCAATTTCCCTGGAGCAATATCTCACTAACTTCAGCACTTAAGTCCCAATGTTTAGTTAGAGTTTGTTCAGTGAGTACTTTAAGGTTGATTAAATGACCGTTAAATGTCTGAGAGCAACCAAAGTAAAAAGCTCAGAAGCAGCAGATCACCCATGTAGGAATGCAGCTCTCTCCACTCAGAGACTAATTTTGTCAAGACCACCTAGAAGACACACAACTACCATTTACTAATGGTAATTGCAGACTTATAATTACTTACAGTACAGGTAATCCCATGCTTGATTCATGTCTAGCCTATATAAATTTCTCTAAAATTTCCTAAATGTGGCATTCAGTCAAAACCTAGATAAACATTCAAGTGTGTATGTGTGTGCATCCTCAATGTGCAGAATCTGTCTTTTATTTGCTTACCCTCTCACTTGTTGAGGTGTCTTTTTCTCCTTTTTATTGTTTATCATCTCTCCAGGGAGGGGCTTGGCAATTTAGATTATGTCTCTTGAGGAATGCAGAGAGCAGATAATGAATTTTTTTTGAGACAGAGTCTCACTTTATGGCTCACTGCAGCCTCCAAACCCTGGGCTAGGCGATCCTCCCATCTCGGCCTTCTTAGCAGGAAGGACTACAAGTGTGTGCCACCACACCTGGCTAAACTTTTATTTATTTTTTTGTAGAGATGGGGTCTTGCTTTGTTGCCCAAGCTGGTCTCAAACTCCTGACCTTGAGTGATCCTCCAACCTCACCCCCTCCAAGTGCTAGGATTATACGTGTGAGCTACCACACTCGGCAGAAGATGGATTTGAGAGGTATCTTCAAGCTGTTTGATCTCCCTGGAACAGGAATAGGGTTGGGTTTTGTATTACAGTTTGAATTAGGGATTAGATAACCTTCTGACAGAAAGTAGAACATGATTAGAAAAATGCAGTTTCGGCCCGGTGCGGTGGCTCACGCCTGTAATCCCACCACTTTGGGAGGCCGAGGCAGGCAGATCACGAGGTTAGGAGATCGAGACCATCCTGGCTATCACGGTGAAACCCCGTCTGTACTAAAAATACAAAAAATTAGCCAGGTGTGGTGGTGGGTGCCTGTAGTCTCAGCTACTTGGGAGGCTGAGGCAGGAGAATGGTGTGAACCCGGGAGGCAGAGCTTGCAGTGAGCAGGGATTGCGCCACTGCACTCCAGCCTGGGCGACAGAGCGAGACTCCGTCTCAAAAAAAAAATAAAAATAAAAATGCGGTTTCAAAATATGCCTACAAATTAATACATTTGCTCATAAGAGTTCCTGGAAGAAAACAAAACAAAACAAAACAATACAAAAATAAAGCAAAACAAACAAGAACACCAACAACAGCAACAAAACTCAGAAACTCAATTCATAAATCAGGAGTTGATCAGAGATTTTGGAGGATCCCAGTAAAATTCACATGAGTCGTCAAGGGAAATGCCATTCTATCACTTTTGAAATGACTTTCATTAGCTGCTAGACCAGTGGTTCCCAGTCTTTTTGACACCAGGGACTGGTTTCATGGAAGACAATTTTTGGATGGTTTCAGGATGATTCAAGTGATTACATTTATTTTGCACTTGCACTTTATTTCTATGATTACTACATTATAATATATAATGAAATATTTACACAACTCACCATAATGTAGGATCAGTGTGAGCCCTGAGCTTGTTTTCCTGCAACTAGATGGTCCCATCTCGGGGTGATGTGATGGGAGACAGTGATAGATCATGGGCATTAGATTCCCATAAAGAGCATGCAACCTAGATCCCTCACATGCACAGTTCATAATAGGGTTTACGCTCCTATGAGAATCTAATGCTGCTGCTGATCTGACAGTGGTGGAGCTCAGGTGGTCATGCAAGCGATTAGGAGTGGCTGTAAATACAGATGAAACTTCTCTTGCTTGCCCACCGCTCACCTCCTGCTGTGTGGCCTTGCTTCTAACAGGCCACGGACAGGTAGCAATCTGTGACCTGGGATTTGGGGACCCCTGTGCTAGACATTGATAGTTACTCCTAATTCCTATTTCCAATCTACCTTGGTGGAGCATACTACTCTTCTATGAAGATTCAGAGGAATATGGTGTTACTGTATTCCCATTTCACAGGTAATAAAACTGAGGCATGAAAGATCAATGTGTTTCCCTGGACTTGCACAGTTTCCTGAAGCAAGAATATACAGCTGGGTTGGAGAAGTACTTTCACAGAAGGCTACTTTAAAAAAACGTATAATGCTTTGAAATTCATTAAGCCTATTTGCAATAACTTACATACTTTAGTATTATACAAATATATATGTAAGCTCATTGGAAATTTTGGCTGTTATGAATTAAAATCTAATTTGAATGTGTAAAAATAATTTGTGGGAAGGCTTTGCTTGCTACAACTGAGATTTGCATGTAAAATATCTTTTATTTATAATATACTTTGCTTTATTTTTTCACCTAGTTGTTAAATATTTTGAAATATAATTCTAATGTAAAGTATCATTTCTGTGCCTAGGAAACTATGTGAATACTCTTCCATATGACTTAATTTTGTATTGACTCTGGCTGCTAATTACAGTCTGCTTTCCTCCAGTTAGTGGCCACCAAGATGCTGTTCCAAGATGTTTTAAACTCATGTTTTCACAGTGCCCTCTTTCATGTAATACAGCTATTATATTTTAAAGGTGATTGTCCACTTTAAAAATAAAAGATGCCAAAGTAAATAAATAGGAGACACTACGTTATTTATTCCACTGGATAGGAAAGCTGGAAGAAACTCGTGGGATCATCCAGTTGGGCTCCCAATCCTTTCATTTGTTTTTGTTTTTTTGAAACAGTCTCGCTCTGTCGCCCAGGCTGGAGTGCAGTGGCCAGATCTTGGCTCACTGCAACCTCCCATCTGCCAGGTTCAAGTGATTCTCCTCCTTCAGCCTCCTGAGTAGCTGAGATTACAGGCACCTGCCACCACACTCAGCTATGTATTTTTAGTAGAGATGGGGTTTCACCATGTTGGCCAGGGTGGTCTCAAACTCCTGACCTCAAGTGATCTTCCTGTCTTGGCCTCCCAAAGTGCTGGGGTTACAGGCTTGAGCCACCGCACCTGGCTCCCAGTCCTCTCATTTGTAAAGATAAGGATGCTGAGTCTAGTGAGGTGGAGCAGCTTGCCAAGCCCACACAACTAGTTAAGGCAGAGCCAGCATCGAAGCCCACATCTCTTGGCTCTCAGTCAAGTCCTTTCCACTGTACTAAAGGAGACCATATTTAGAAAAGATTAAAATGCTGAAATTTTCTCTCCACATCTGTATTTTAAAGAAAAGGAAATCTCTAATATGAATTATAGTCACTATTTCCAGTGTTTAACTGAAAAATACTGGAGCTCTGAAAAATTTTCAGGTTTGTCCTTCATAATCTACATGGAAAATAATGAAAAAGCCAACTCCACCTCCCGCTATGAACATACTGCTCACTGTCTGATGTACTGGGTGTACAGCTGCTCTGAGCCTTTCTCTTGAACACCCTTCTATTTATTTTATTGCAAAGTTATTGTGGATTTTGGAATCAACTGAAGTATTTCTTAGTTTACAACAATGTTGTTCAAGGTTCACCATTAAAAATCATAATGGTAAAAATACTAACAGCCCTTTCCTCTATTAGAAATAATTTGAAAAGTACCTTAAGATAATATTTCAGAGGAACATTTCAACTTACAGCATATCTGACATTCGTCATCTTAATGCCTGGAAAAGAATTCTTGTCAAGAAGGAGTTTGTTCTTTTACTAGTAGGAAGTGCATTACTCTAAGTATATATGCTTGCTTCAGCTCTCTGGAGGATCAGAGTAGTAATAATAATATATTTCTTGAGTGCTTACTAACTGCTAATCTCTGGAATAAACCTTTACATGCATTACCTCATTGAATTCTCACAGCTACCTCATGAGATTGTTATTATAATCCCTACTTTACAAGTGAAGTAATTAAAGTTGAAGATCATCAGGTTGATAAATGGCAGTGACTGAAATTTAAGCAATCTCAGTTCAGGCCCTAGCTCTGTGTTAGCATGTGAAGTCTCCTGAGGAAGAGACTGCTTCCCAGGCTCGACATTATTTGGTTAGGGCCTTGGTCAGGAAGGACTTTCTGCATGGAGTAATGACCAGGTTAAGACCTGAAGAGACTACAGTGGTGGAGTACATGGGCAGTAGGCACAGACGGCAGGGGTGAGTGTCTGCTTTGATATTTACTACATCTTTCTCTACGTTTTCATTTCTTTGTGTAATGGGAAATTCTTCATATATCCATAGGTTTGCTGTGAGAATGGGATAAGGTCATCCTTGTAAAGTGCTTTACACAATGGTGGGCACATCATATGCACTCAAAAAAGCTTAGCTATACATATACTTGATTGGTACTAAAGACAAAAATGAAATTTTTAGTCCATTGCCAATTTCTCTATTAATTATTTAGTCCTTACTCAAAAAGTATATTTTTACTGTTATTCTAGTCCTCAAGGGAGCTGAAGCAAGCATATATACTTCTTTCTCAAGAGAAAAGAAGTTCCGAATGGTAATCTGGAGGCTAGGGGTGAGAGAGATTTGCTTTCTGCTTTGAAAAGTCCAGCCTCTCATTGAATCTTACTTGTAGGAAAATGAAGCAGCCAGTCAGCAGGTATTTGTGTAGGATATGATAATAGAAACTACAATAAGATGGAACATAACTTGGATATGGTCCTAGCTCTCAAGAAGCTGAGGAAGAGGCATGCTAGCAAGGGATACCATGGGCAGAAACGTGCACAGTCATTACAGGAGCTCATCATTGAGGATGAGGTGTGGGATTCTGGGCAGAGAGCCGCTGACTCAGAGGAAGTACTTCAGGACAGCTTCCTGGAGATGATCAAATGGTTATTATACGAAAAGATGGGGGAGCCCTATTGAGAGTCAAAGAAGCTGTTCTCTGCACCTAGGATATTTCTGGCAAAATGTCTGGGATAGGAATTACAATGAAAAGACAACAGCAACACAACACAGATCTTTCCTAACACAAATGAAGGCTGGTGGTTAGGGTACAGAATGAAATGATGGAATGAGATGAGAGTGGTTGGATGAAATATAAGCATAGGTTATAGAGTCCTAGAGAATATGGTTTAAACATGACTTGGAGCCAGAAGTAACTAGCAAACAACTAGAGATCTAAAGAAGATTTCATGATCAGGCTCTCTCTCTCTCTCTGTCTTTCTCTCTCTCTTGCACCCAATTCCAGGGTTTTATGTTTGGAATACCTCTCTCCCCACTTCTTCCTATTCCCTTCTCCCTCCCTGGACTAATTCATGCAGAGTCTTCAGGTCTCAGCTTTACATCTTCCTTTAGGAATTCATCCCTGACCATAGAGACTGGGTTAGGTATTTTCTTGTAGGTCCTAATGATGGCCTCTGCTTACCTCATCAAATCTGCTTTTGTTTTCTACAGCTGTGTAATAAATTACCACAAACATAACAGCTTTAAGAAACAAACTTTATCCTCTCACAGTTTCTGTGGAGCAGGAGCTCAGAATGCTTTAGCTATGTCCTCTGCTCAGGGTCTTAGAAGGCCAAAAGCAAGATGTTGGCCAGATGAGTCCTCATCTGGAGGCATGACTAGGGAAAGATTTGCTTCCAAGCTCCCTCAGGTTGCTGGCAGAATTCATTTCCTTGCAGCTGTAGGACTGATGTCCCTGTTTTCTTGACAGCTGTTGTCCGGGGCCCACTCTCAGTGCTGGTCCTTGCTGCATGGCCCTCTCTTTAATATGGCAATTTGCTTCTTCAAGGCTAGTGGGAGAATCTCTCTTCTCAACCTTCTATGACAGAGTGACGTTACATAATCACAGGAGTGACTATCCATTACCTTTGTCATATAATGTAACCTAAGCAAGGGAGCAAATATCCTATTATATCCATAAGGCTTGTCCATACATAACAGGAAGAGATTGTACAGGGTATGTATACCAGGGATAGGGGATCTTGAGGGCCCTCTCAGAATTCTGTCTACCACAATATCCTTTGTCACATTGCATTATAGTTGCCAGCTGACTGAGCTCTCAGAGAGACTATATCTTAGTGACCCTTATAGTTTCTGCTTTGCATAGTGCTTAGCAGATACTCTCTTCTTAGTAAAAATTTGTGGAGTCACTTAGTAAGTGTTGACAGGTCAGTTTAGATAGTAGAGAGTATGGAGGCCTGAAGAGGACAGATTTCAATAATTTATACATTTAGTAGAAATAGGTGAAAAGATGCTGTTGAATGGCAATGAAGAACACAGAAACTGAACTAAGTCCAGGGTCCATAAAATCTGTTAATGAAGATAGCTCTGGTGATGGGGAAATTGAGTGCTCTAATTTTGGAGGTAGTGGTTATGTGATGATACTCACTTAGCAATTTTGGTTAATTATATTGCATATGCTGTCGAATGGGTAAGAATGAACAGTTCCCAGTAATTGTGCTAAAGTGTGGAAAGCCGTCATAATCATTGCTTTAAAAAACTGTATATTTAGGCCAGGCACGGTGGCCCATGCCTGTAAAGCCAGCACTTTGGGGGCCAAGGCTGTGGATCCCTTGAGGTCAGGAGTTCAAGACCAGCCTGGGCAACACGGCGAAACCCTGTGTCACTGAAAATACAAAAATTAGCCAGGTGTGGTGGCACACTCCTGTAATCCCAGCTACTCCAGAGGCTAAGGCAGGAGGATCGCTTGAAACCTGGGAGGCAGAGGTTGCAGTGCCAAGATCATGCCACTGCACTCCAGCCACGGCAGCAGAGTGAGACTCTGTCTCAAAAAAAAAAAAAAAAAAAAAAAACTATATATTTATTTGAGCTTTTTCTCTAATCAAAGCACATGGCTAAATCTGTTGGAGGGTGTGTCAGGGCTCAACCAAAAAACTATAGAGAATTTAAACCAGGGAATTGGGTTATGCAAGTGATGGGAACTCTGAGAAACCAAAGAGCGGGCAGTGAGGTTAACCAGAGATTAGCAACACCAGAAAGCCACTATCTTCTGGGGTTACAGAAGGAGGAGGCTGTCATACAGGAGCTTAGGGACCCTAGTTACAGGCAGATCCTGGAACTAGAGTAGGTTGTCCTGAGCAAGAACTGGGATCATAGAGGAGAGTGGGCTGTCTCCAGAGATGCTGGCTGACTCAGAGAGAGGGGAGGAATGCCCTGGCTTCTCCTTCCCTCCTACTCTTCAGTCTTCAACTATTGCCTCCTAGTAATTGAACCCAGCTGAGGCAGTCAATGAGGGAGCAGAGAAAATGCAGGCAGCAGACAGCCGCCCTCTTCCCGGGCATCTCCGAGATTCAGAGCAGAAGATGAGAAATAGACCCATTAGCAAACAAGCTCAGAACCAGCACAAGGACATAAAGATGCATGCCAGGCATCTGTCCTCAAGGGCCTTACATTGTAGAAGAGGAAAGGAGACATGCACGCAGTTAACCATAACACAGGGGAAATCAGCACTTTCTAGAATAGTAATTGATGACTTTTGCAATGGCAGTCTGAGTGGCATCATAATTAAAAACAAACAAAAAACAAAATTGTAGGCATTCAAAATGGAGTTTGTATACGGAATTAAATCAGGTATTAATTGAATTTGTATTTCACATTATAATCAGCAAAAACAAAAAGTAAGTTTTAGAAGAAATTTTGGAATATATGTTTATATGTATGGCTTAATGGAGGAGATTTAAAGATAGGCAACCCAGAAGCTATGAGATAGATACAACTGGTTATACACAATATTTTAAAATTATGACAAAATATATAAAACCATATATAAAGGTAGAATACACATACTAAATTGGGAAAGAATGTTTCTAAGAAATGATACAAAAAGAATCAACACCTATAATGTGTCAACAAAGTAAGAGAAAGACAACCAAATAAAAAAATTAGCAAAAAGTATTGGTAATTCATACAGCAGAGTAAGAGACTATGGTTCAATTTTTGTAAAGCAAAGCATTTTTTTAAAAAAATCCCTCCTTTCTGGTTTATGAAAATGCAGAGAAATATGACAGATGGCATACCTGGCTGGCTTTTTCCATTATTTACTGGAAGGGAGGAGCAGAGGGGTATGGAAGGGAGGACCAGGTCATGGGAGAGACAAGCAAAAGCCAAAGGAGTCAATAAGACAAGTTTGTACAACATATGCAGTGTAAACATGGTCCCATTTATGGGACATCAAGATATTACTTAGCTATTTCTCTGCGTATTTTCTAGATATGGGCAGAAAATTGAATTTGCAGGAACCCAGCTCCTACATCAAATATATGTGCCCTGCATCTGACAGTCTTCTGCAATGGAGATAAATGTGTTTGTTGTTCATGTTTAAAAAACAAACAAACAAAAAACACTAATACTTGCTGAGATAGGAAAAAAGTGGACTGATGTTTCAATTCATTTTGAAGTGCATAAAACAAATAAGATGGATTAATGGATGAAGGGAGGGATTGGTAGATGTGGAATAAAACAAGACAGTTAAGATGTTAATGGTAGAATCTAAGTGCTGATGGTATGGGTCTTCACTGTAAAATTTTTTCAACTTATAAGTATTCAAAAAATTTCATAATAAAATTTTGTGCATTAATTAAGTACAGCAGAACTTAAATTGTATAACAGGGAACTTCAAAAATTTTGTGGAAAAATGGAATTAAAAGGTAAAGGTAAAAAATTTAAACTTTATATCTCAACATAAGCTCCATCAAATTTAAGACACTTGTGTAGGTGATAATATCAGTCATTTAGTTTATCCCTAAAGAACTGAGGGTCCTGGGAATTTAACCATGTCAATGCAGTCTTTTTTATATTATAAACTGAAGAAAAATAAGTGCCTTTTAAAGATTTCTTTTTTTTAAGATTAGGAAACAAAAAGTAGCGAGAAGGAGCCAAACAAGGACTGTAAAGTGGATGTCTAATGATTTCCCACTGAAACTCTCACACAATTGCCCTTGAGAGGAATGAGCAGGAGCATTGTCATGGTGGAGGAGGACTCTCTGGGGAAGCTTTCCCAGCTATTTTTCTATTAAATCTTTGGCTGACTTTCTCAAAACACTCTCATAACCAGCAGATGTTATCGTTCTTTGGCCCTCCAGCAAGTTAACAAGTAAAATGCCTGGAGCATCCCCAAAACTATTGCCATGACCTTTGCTTTTGACTGCTCTGCTTTTGCTTTGCCTGGACCACTTCCATATCTTGTAGCCATTGCTTTGATTGTGCTTTGTCTTCAGGATCATATTGGTAAAGCCATGTTTCATCTCCTGTTACAGTTCTTTGAAGAAATGCTTCGGGGCCTTGATCTCACTTGTTTAAAATTTCCATTGCAGGCTGTGCTCTTGTCAGTAACTGATCTGAGCACAGTGTCTTTGGCACCCACAGAGTAAGAAGTGTACTCAATTTTAGTTTTTCAGTCAGAATTGTGTGAGCTGAACCAATTGAGGTGTCTATAGTGTTGGCTATTATTTAGGCTGTTAATCATCAATCCTCTTCAATTAGGGCATAAACAAGATTAAATTTTTCCTCCCAAATTGGTGCAGATGGTCTGCCACTGCAGGCTTCACCTTCAACATCGTCTTGTCCCTTCTTATAATGAGTTATCCATTTGTATACTGCTGATTTCTTTGAGGCACTGTCCCCATAAACTTTTTGCAAAACATCAGTCATTTCACTGTTCTCCCATCCAAGCCTCACCATAAATTTGTTATTTGTCCTTGCCTCAATTTTAGCAGAATTCATGTTGCTCTGATAAAGACTCTTTTAAAGCTGGTGTCTTATCCTTCTTAAGTGCCTCAAACTAGATCCTAGATGTGCTATACAAGTTAGTACAAATTTACTTTTGTGCAAAAAATTTTTTAATCCATTTGTAGTTTTTTTATATTATGCGTTTTGCATAAACTTTTTAAAGACTCTTCATAATATTCAAAGACCCATCATAATATTCAAAGCTACCTATTTCTTTTTGATGAGTGGGAAAAAATAGATATTCTGATAAAAGCACTAATAGCGTTTTAGACATAGTAAATATTTTAGTCCATTTATTGTCTTACTTAGGATTTGCGGTTGTATAAACCACATTTATTTGATTGGGAAAAAAATCCATTTTGATCATTTGGTAGTAGGGTTTCATCAAATATCTTCTGTGCTTTAAGAGTTTATGTAAGAAACTATGAGAGTCTGTTTTTTCCCCCCAATTAGGACTTTCAAAAGCTTACTGAAAAACACCCTTCTAAACTTGACAGCCATTGAGAGCTGTTGTGCTGAACTACAATTAGCACTGTTAATAATAGCTTTTCCAGGAAAAGAATTTAATGACTATGCAGAATCAAAAACTCTAAATAAAGTATCATTGTGTATATCACTTCAATGTTGTCTTTGTTTTCCATGTAATAAACAGGCAGAAAAATTGGTTTCACTGCTAAATACTATAACCTTTGAAAACACAACTCTAAAAATATATTCATTCATTCATTCCAATGTGCCACACTGTTGGTTACACAGAGGCCATAGAGAGCTAGGAACAGAATTTCCACTAGTTTTTTTTTCCTCTTTCTTCTGCTTCTTCTTCTCCATCTCCTTCTTGTTCTTCCACTTCTTCTCTCTTTCTCTTTTTCTCACTTTTTTTCTCCTAA
This sequence comes from Homo sapiens, assembly GCF_000001405.40. Lineage (NCBI taxonomy): Eukaryota > Metazoa > Chordata > Mammalia > Primates > Hominidae > Homo > Homo sapiens. The sequence continues at coordinate 119,750,585 of NC_000004.12, forward strand.
TCTCCTCCTCCTTCTCCCTCCTACCTCTTTCTCTCTCCTTTCCTCCTGCCTCAGGCTGCCAGCGAGAGATGCCAGGCCATTTCTACATGCTCATTTCTGCCACTAGCGAGATCATACTGAGGCAAAATATAGAGGGATAGAGATGGTTTCTATCCCTATGTTCTGTGTTCCAAACACAGAAACAAGCACCTTGTAAGTTAAAGCTTACTGACTCCTCAAGCCAATCCTAAGAAATAGGTGCATTTTACAGAAAAGAAAACTAAGATCCCAAGAAACCATCCAGGGTGACTCAGTCAGTAAAAGGCAAAGCCAGAATCATATACAAGAGAGTAGAATGTGGCAGAAAAAGCCCTGGGCCAAGAATCCCAGGTTTGAGCTTTTGAACCACTAGTCATCAGCCATGTGGCTCTGGGCAGTCATCCACACCTCTGTAAGCCTCACTACCCACTTGATAAAATTAGAAATCTAGATTCGTCATTTGTGAGATGTTTTTCTAGCTTTGACATCTTGTTATTCAGTGATGCCCAGTTTCTTTATCCACAAATCCTCTTAATCCTGCTATTCATAGACTCTCACTCCCTTTTTAGATTCATACATTGTTTTGTTTTGTTTTGTTTTTAGAGACAGGGTCTTGCTGTGTTGCCCAGGCTGGAATGCAGTGGTGTGATCATAGCTCACTGAAGCCTCAAACTCATAAGCTCAAGCAATTCTCTTGTCTCAGCCTCCTGAGTAGCTGTAACTACATGTGCACACCATTATTCCCAGCTAATTAAAAAAAAAAAAAAGTTTTTTAGAGACAGAGTCTCTCTGTGTTGTCATACATTTTTTATGCAATAAATACTGAACAATTCCACATATATGTTGAAATTAGACAAGCTATCTATATAGTGTATATAATCATTGAATAAATGGCATAATTAATTCGTAAGTGCTGCCTCAGCTGCAGAAAGAAAGCCATTGTGTTTGAGGATCAGGTGGTATCACACAGGACTTCCTGAGTTTCAAACAGGGAAGGCCATTTGTTAAGGATAGATAAGAGTATGTCTTGGAATGTTAATGTCCTGTTGAATACAGTTTGGGAAATGCAGTCCCAGTATTCTGAAATTTGATTTTAAATTATTTAGGCATATACTGAAACACACATATAAGATTTACATAGATGCATAATAGAATCATGTACATTATTTTCCTATAAGTTTGTTGTTGTTGTTGTTGATTTTCCCCTTATGCCATTAATTGTGCATCTCCTTCCATACCCTCCCACTTGTGCTACCAGGGAAATTCATATTAAAAACTTAGGACATACCAATTATCCATACTCATATAATAGTAGAAAACATATGCGTGTATTTAGATTTGCATATACATATAGAGAGAGTTTTCTTGTCATGGATTTAAAATGGAATCATAGTATATGCACCCCTTATCAGCTTGCTGTTCTCACGTGATAATATCTCATGCAATTCCCTCTAAGGAATTTGGCTTAGTTCTAACTAAATTTCTTTTAAGTGTTTTAATAGTGTTCCATAGTGTATATTGCTACTATATTCAATCATTCCTTTTGATGGAAAATTATCTTCTTTTCATTTTTTTGGTCATTGCTAACAATGCTGTAGTAAACACCCTACTATGCACATCCTTATGCTCTTGTGCCCTTTTTCCTTATGGGTCATATTCTCAGGGTGGAATGGAAGGCCAAAATTATATGTGTTTTAAATTTGAATAAACATTAGTGAAAGTATTGTAATAATGAATATTTCCTTCAGCAATGTAGAAGAGTGGTTGCTTCCACTTATTCTCACCAGTAATGGGTGTATTGTTTCATTTTTACCAGGCTGAGTGTTACAAAGTACTATCTCCTTCCTAATTCAATTTAAATCTTCTTAACTGCCGGTGAGCAATTTTCTTAGATGTTTACTATCCATATGATTTGCTCTTCTATAATTGCCTATTCCTATTTTTATTCATTTTTGTTTTTAAATTTTTGTTGGTCATTTTGTTGTCAATTTGTAAGAGCTCGTTATATATTATAGGTAATGAACATTTGTAATCTGAGGGGCTAGCTTTATAAAAAAATTAATTGTCTTTATCTTTTGTCATAAAAATTTTGCAATTTTTATGTAGTTTAGTATACCTCTTCTTTCTTTTGTAAATTCTAAATTTCTCATTTTGTTCAGATTTTTTCTACATGTTATGTGCAGAGTCTAATTTTCTTCTAGGATTTTTTTTTGATATCTAAGTTTTTAAAAAAATTATTTGAAGTTTATTTTTATTTTTTTTCTGGTAAAATGCTTTTTAAAAAAATTTTATTATTATTATACTTTAAGTTTTAGGGTACATGTGCACAACGTGAAGTTTATTTTTAAATAAAGTGTAGGATAGGTATCTAACTTTATTTTCTTCCAAATGAATGGTCATATTAGACAGTACGGTTTATTAAATAACCCAGCCTTTTAACACTAAATTAAAATACTAACTTTAAAGTGGAATGCATTAAATTTTCTAATGCACCCAGATATATTTATAGATTATCCATATTGTGCAATCATCTATCTGTCTGTTTCTTGATCAATATCATACCGATTTGATTACAAAGTTTAGCTAAAGATTATGATACCTGGAAAGTCAAGTCCCCTCTCACTTTTCTTTTAGAAATATTTCTTGGCCCTTCTGAAGCATCTATTTTTTCTTCCAAGAAAACATTAAGAATATTTTAAATTAAAAGTGAAAAATTCTATTTGGAATTGTAATAAATTTCTAATACTTTGGTAATAATATTTATATAATATCAAATATTTTCATTTAAGAATACAACATACCTTTTTATTTGTTTTTGGCATTTGTCCTTAAAAATTTTCCTCCAAACTTTGTAGATATGACAATATTGTTATGTTTATAAGATATGTGCTATTTTTTACACTTTCACTTCTAAATGCTTATTATGGATAGAAAAATGTAATTGATTGTTTTATATTTAAGAAGTATCCAGCTACCTTTTAAAAATTTCTTAATAATTCTAGCAGTGTTTCTTTTGTATTTTGTCTTTTTGAGACTCGTTTGTTAGATAAACAATTCAAACTTCAAAAAATATTATTTTTTCCTACTGTTCAAATTAATAATTTTATTGTTAGCAGTATTTTCATATTGCTACATACTCCACATCACTATTGTATAGCAATGTGATAAAAATCCCTCTCTGATTTCTGATTTTAATTGAAATTATTTTAGTGTTTGGCAATTTAGAATAATATTTGATGTGTTTTCTTTAATAGGTAACATTTTAAAGTAGCTTTCTTCTATTCTTATTTTTATTAGTACTTTACTTAGGAACGGCTGCTGAATTTTGAATTTTTCATTTTCTATTGATATAACCAAAATATTTTTCTATTTAATTGTTATTTAATGGGTTATGTTGCTAGATTTCCTGACATTAAACAGTTCATTTCTAGAATAGAATTATACTTGTGACTGGGCATGATGACTCATGCTTATAATCCCAGCACTTTGAGAGGCTGAGGCAGGATGATCACTTAAGCCCAGAAGTTCGAGACCAGCCTGGACAACATAGGAAGACCCTGTCTCTCCAAGAATAAAAATAAAAAGAATTAGCTGCATGTGGTGGCTCATGCATGTGGTCCCAGCTACTTGGGAGGCTAAGGTGGGAGGACTGCTGGATCCTGGAAGGTCGAGGCTGTGAGAAGCCATGATAATGCCACTGCACTCCAGCCTGGATGACAGTGAGATCTTGTCTCAGAAAAAAATAAATAAATTATACTGGATCACAGAGGGTGGACTTTATCTGCTAATATTGTTAATATTTGGAATATATGTTTATAGGTGAGTTTTGGTACAGTTTTAATTACATTTTGATATTTAAGAGTGCTAATTTCATAATATTAATTGGGTGGCATTTAATCTTTTGTTGATGTCTGGAATGGTTTAAATAACATTGGAATTATTTGTTAATAAGATTAGATAAAATTCAGCTGTGAAACCATCTGGTACTGGTGATTTATTCAGTTATGAATAAATACTTTTCTAATTTAAACAATTTTCTAATCTCTTCTTTGGTAATTAGTGCATTGATGTTTTCTTTTTCTTGAATTAATTTTGATTATTTATGTATCGCTGGAAAAATGTCCCTTTACTATAGATTTTCAAATTTGATGCAATCAAATTGCATGTTATTGTCTTATAATTCTTTTATTCTTTTCTATATTTATCATTGTCTCCTTTTTAATATCTTCTTTCCAGTCTCTGACATTTTGCTTTCTCTTTTCTTCTTTTAGTGAGACTTACAAAGGGTTTATTTAGCCTATTGATCTTTTCAAATAACTAGCTTTTAAATGTATCTATTCTTTCTTTTTACATTTCTGTTTTCTGTTTCATTACTTTCAACTTTTATATTTACAAATTCTCTTTTCCTTGTTTCAGTATTTGTTATTTATTTTACATTTTAAGTTGAATGTTTAGAGTCTTTAATGTTTTTCTTTTTAGAAAATAATGACTTAAGGCTATAAATTTTCCTTTGTGTACAGCTTTCACTGGGTTTTACAATGTGTTCTTTTTATTGCTTTATGTGATTGTTTTCCACTTTAATTTTGATATCTACTTTGATTCAATAATTAGCAAAAAGTATGTTTACAAATTTGTAAGTAGTTACAATATTTTGATCACCTTTTTATTATTTATATATTAAATTATTGCATTACAATGAAAATAAAATGACTTGTGAAATCTCTTCTTTAAAAAAATTTTAAGAGCTTTTTTGTGGTCAAGTATATGTTGAATTTTAGTAAATATTCGATAGATTTGAATATCTACATATAGATATAGATATTCAATTCTCCATTTAAGAGTTATAAGTGATAAAGTTCTCTCTATATATATATTTAAAATATACAAATTTATAAATATTTATATATTAATATATTATATAACATATAAAAACATATATTAATATATCTATTTTGGAGACAGAAGCTAGCTCTGTTGCTCAGGCTGTAGTGCAGGGGCTCTGTTTATTTTTAAATTGAGTTTGTTGGTTGTTCTTTTCAATTTCTCTGTGCCTTAAATTTTTTTTTCTATTAAAGCTCTGTGCTTGATTTGAGAAGAGGTATATTTGTCTGCCACATCAATGTTAAGCACCCCTCTTCTGCTCATAGTCAGACACATTTCTCTGCTCCTATTTATAAACAAGATACCATTTTTTTTTCCACCAAGGCATTCCACTTCTAATTCTCATCCCACTCACTCCACTAAAATAAATTATTTAGCATACTTTCACTTGCTTATCTTCTCTGCTTTATCCCATCAGATGAGAAATTTGGAATGTTTTTATTCCTCAATCTCCTGTCTACCCCAAACCCACCACAAGCTCCTAGGTTTTGTCGACACAGTGAAACACTTTTAATTCTAGACTCATTAGGCTTTCATTTCAGTGTATCTTTTTATTTCAAGAATCCTCATTTAGCACTTAAACCCCACATTCTCAGATTCTCATTATATATTTAGATTTAAATTTATATTTATTTTTATATATAAATATAGATAGATATAGTTAGATAGCTGGATTGTGTGTGTGTGTGTGTGCGTGTGCGTGTGCGTGTGTGTGTGTGTGTGTGTGTACTGTATTAAAATGCTCTTCAATTTCTTTGTTCAACTGATTTCCCCAGGAGCTCTATACCCCTGGGTACCTGTATCCTTTGTTTTCTTATTTCAGGTTGTTATTGTAATGGGTTATTTTTCTTTGTGGACTCATGGGGACCTGGATACAGATTTTGGAGTGCCAGTGGTCCCCTAAGTGAGGGAAAGCAAAGCATCCCCTGCCTAACTCCCTGAGGAATTGTATAACAGGGAGGCAGACAGACTCTGTCTAAGCAATGAAAAGATCATTCAAGATCATTCCTATTCCTCTTTCTACTCACACTTTTCTATCGTCAAAAATAGGGAAGTCTCAGCCCACCAGACATCCCTCCTTGGGCTTTGTGGAAGTAAGACTAAGAACCCTCACATAAGATCAAGTTGAACTTAGCTGCCTGGAGTGCACAGAACTCTGAGGCTTTTCCCAGCATTCATCAAGCACAAACTTTATTTTGAGGGTATCTATGTCTGGTTTTCAGATAAATGCCTAACCCATGTTGGGACAGAGCCCCACATTTTCTCCTCTATCAAGACTTTTTGGAACTCAATACTTTACACTCAACAGCTCACCAGCACAAATTGCTGCTTGTCTCAACATAGACAAATAAATTCAAGCTAGGAATGGATAGGAAATAAAATACTGAAATTCTATCACTATCTTTCCATAATCCTCTTAGAACAGAATTACAGATTTTTAATTAATTAATTATATGAGTGATTAGAACACCTTTAAAATGAAGGAGTAAGCAGAGGTGAAAAAGGGCAGGATCTGGTCATGTGGAATAGAATGTGGTGGAAGCTATTTTTATGGACTGCCCAAAATCCTTCAAGTAAACACTACCTTTCCTATGTCTCAGCTCATGTGATGCCAGCCTTGATAAATTACATTATTAGTTAGAAACATTTCTGTAGCAAGTAACAGAAAAATAAATATATATGTCTTATATAAAAATGGAATTTATTTGCTCATCTAACTATCTGGAGCCAAGCTGACTCTGGGAAGAATAGGAACATTGGACTTTGGACAATTACTATTCAATTATGTTATTGGTGACTAGTTTCTGCCTAACTTCTATTTTTTCTGTGGCAAAACTATTCCATCTCAAGAGTCTAAGATATCTACCCAAAACCTCAGGGATATTGGGTTTCTTGGTCATGTCCAATGGCAAAGAAGTCTTTTCCATTAGCTCACCAAGAAGAGCATGTGAACTTCTTTCCCAGAAGCTCCCAGCAAACATCAACCACATTTCATTGGCCCTGTGTGGATCAAATACTGTAATGGACAAAAAACTGTCCTATTCTTTGGCTTGTACAAAAGTGATCAAGGTAACATAAAGACACACATAGTTTCCACCAAAACTATGTTTGTCAGGGTCACCAAAGATTTCTCCTTTGACAAATCTAGGGATCAATTCACGTTCCTCATTTTACTTGATTCATTAGTAGTATTTGAAACAGTTGATCATCCACACCTTCTTAAAAGACCGCTCCCTTTGCTTCCATGACTGTACGCTCCTGGTTTTTCTCCCACCTCACTGGCTGCTTGAGTTTAGTCTCCTTTGCCGGTTCTTCTTCAAGGTCCAGTATCTTATAGATGGAGTGGGCTTGAAACAGTTTTTAGACCTCTTCTTTTTTCTATCTATACTCACTGCCTTCAAAATCTTAATTTCATGGCTCTAAATATGAACCATACAAATATGTACAATAAACATCATCATCATCTAGAAGATACCAAATCAGCGTCATCTTTCTTATCACTAAATGCAAGAGAAATGTTATTTGATTTACTGCTAGCAGAACCCTATCATGTAGATTCTGTTATTATCCCTGTTTTAAAGGTGAGAAAATGAGACTTAAGAGAATGTAAATAACTTGGGCAAGATCACACAGTGAGAAAATGATAGAGCCAAGCCTGGATCTCAACAGATACATTCCAGAACCGTTCTTAACCAGCACATGTTACCGTCTCTATGGTGTCAATAATTTCTTGATATGTATCACTTCTGAAAGGCATTTATTTGCTCATAGGTGGTAATCTGAAATTATTAGGATGTCTTGCTCTCAGGAGCCTATTTCCCTGATGTCAAGGATTTCCTAAAATTTAAAAATTTCTACTGTTTTAAATGACTTCAGAATTTTCAGTAGTGAATTTTCCTGCTCCTGGGAAAATTTTAGATGCCAAATTACCATTGATTCTATTTTCCTGAAAAAAAAAAAAATTGCTCAACACACTAAAAAGAAGAAGCCTGAACAGTCTTTGAAACATATTTCCCTGGCTTTATTTTGTTCTCAACCATCTTATTGAAATGATAACTTTGGAGAGTAAAGCATAAAAATAATAAAATAAATAAGGTGATAAAAAAAAATGAAATAAAATAACTTTGCTTTCTTGTCCTCCTTTTTAAATCTGTATTCCATCTTCCCCATTCCATTAAAATAACCTCTCAATTACCAAATTCAATAGACATTTTCCAGTCTTTGTTTTCCTCAGTTTTCACCTGGTATTTAACAATGCTGATCATTCTATCCTTGAAACTATTTTCTCCTTTGACTTCCATGACATTATGCTCTTCTGAATTTCCTACTTCCATGACATTTTCTTTAGAATACTACTTATGCAAGGTATGTTTTAAGCTTGGTTTTCTTCACAGTTTTAAGTCCTCTTATCTCCCTGGATAATGTCATCCATTTAAATTGTCATTAAAAAACAAATCACCCCTGGGAGGCCGAGGTGGGCCGATCACAAGGTTGGGAGTTCTAGAGCAGCCTGACCAACATGGTGAAACCCCTTCTCTACTAAAAATACAAAAATTAGCTGGGCGTGGTGGCACATGCCTGTAATCCCAGCTACTCAGGAGGCTGAGGCAGGAGGATTGCTTGAACTTGTGAGGCAGAGGTTGCAGTGAGCAGAGATGGCGCCTCTGCACTTTAGCCTGGAAGACAGAGCAAGACTGTCTCAAAAAAACAAAACAAAACAAAACCAAAAAAAAAAAAAAGAAAGAAAGAAAGGAAAAGAAAAACAAAAAACAAACCGAATCAACCTAAATACCTATCTTTAGGAAGAGGTCTTCAGTCCAGCTAAATATGTATCTTTGGCTTGAGGTCTTCAGTCCAGACTGAAGGCAAGTCTATAAGTCCTTCAGTCAACATATGTAGAGCTAAGTAATCTGGCTCCCCGCGCCCTATGTGTATTAGTGACATACCACAATCTCTACCCAAATACATAAAACTACTTCCTCTGTTTTCTCACTTTCAGCAGCCAGTTGGTCAGCAGTTGTTATATTGCAAGTCTGCCTTTACAGCATCATCGCTCTGGCCTTGTAGTTCAAGCACTGTTCATGTTTAGCCTGAACTGTTATAATAGTTTACTATTGGATTTTTTCTGATTTCAGACTTGCCCCTGCAATCTTTTGTCCGTATTGTTACCAGAGTGACCGTTCCAAATTGCAAATCTGACCATATCATTCCCCAGATGAGTTCCTTCAGTGACTCCCTGATGGTCAGAGGGTGACGTTCAAACTCAACAAAGTCATTTGTAATATGGTTCCAGCCGGCTTCTCCAGCTCAAGTTCTTCCTCTCCTCTTTCTCCTTTTCATTCCCTTTCCCTCTCTCCTTTATTTTCTTTTCTTCTCACACCCTTTTCTTCCTCTTTTTTCACTGTTAAACTGTTCATAGTTCTTTGAAGACCATAGGATTGTTTCATAGGCCTAGAATATCTGAAACATCTTTTCCTATGTTGTTTATCCATTGAACTCCTGTTTATCCCACCAAGGTTGGCTCATATACTATGCTTAGTATATATAATTTCTCCAAACTGAGTTAATTACCTACTTTCTGGTACTACTTTTGGAACTTGCTCACACTTTATTAAACATAAAGCTATCTAGTTACAACTTATTTGAACTCTTTGGCTCTCAGTAGATGGCAAGTTCCTTGAGGGTAGTAATTCTGTTCTTATCTTTTTATTCCTTATCACAGTGTTCAGCACATTATATAAAGTCAAGCTTTATATAATTTGCTAAGCTGGGCTTAACAGAAAGTGTAAGTTAGAAAAATTCCCTTGAAATATTAATAGCACTTCTAGAAGTGATATTATACATTTTAATATCCCCTCACTATGTACTGAGCAGTCACTTATTTAAGTGCAGCCTTCTATTAAGTCTAAGTAATTTTCACCTAAGTTAACTATATAAGAAGTCACATTTTTTATTCCATGGCATTAAGACAGCATTTAGTATGACTAACAAAGTACATATATTATTTTGTGCTAAAATTCTTAAATTTTTGTATGGAAAAGTCACTTCTGTTTTCTCATGGAAATGACAGCAAAGGCAGTGCCATCTGAGGTAACATTAATAGCTGAATCCAAATAAATTTGATTGCATTATTTTGAAGAAATATGTTTCATATTCTTGAGACATCTATTTTTGTAGTTTCAAATTTATAGCATATATAGAGATTATTTAATAATGATGAGAATTAATCCTGATTGTTATTGGAAATAACTCAGTTAAGTTTAGCTTTTTAAAACAGATTTAGCAACTGCAGAAAAATAAAACTTGTAGTTTTGTTTTTGTAGTTAGGGCATACCAAAAATTAATTGCTGTAGACCTTGTCTCCCAATAGTTCTTTTTTTAATTTCTGTCACCTCCCTCAAACCTTTAAACTTGACAGAAATAGAATGTGGTGAAGATTTTGCTTCCCATGAATAAATAAGATTTTTATTATATGCTAATTGTTATCCCTTTTAGTGCTTGGTCTAGATGGGAAAGACTTATAAAATTTACTCCTGTGTAACTACTTCTGCCCTTTCTTTAAGTCATGAGCTGTTGGTATATATTTTTTATTGTGGTGAAATTCATGTAATATAAAAATAACCTTTCTAAAGTGAACAATTCAGTGACACTTAGTACGTTTACAATGTTATACAACCATCAACTCTATCTAGTTCCAAAACATTTTTATTGTGCTAAAAGGTGACCCTCTACATACTAAGCCATTACTCTCCATCACTCACCCCCTTATTCCCTGGTAATTCTGTTTTCTATAGATTCACCTATTCTGGAAGTCTCATATAAACGGAATCCTACAATGTATAGCCTTTTGTGTCTGGCTCCTTTAACTTAGAATAAAGGCTTTCAAAGTCTATCCAGTTTGTAGTATGTATCAATACTTCATTCCTTTTAATGACTGAATAATATTTTATTATATGTGTATATATCACAATTTGTTTATCCATTCATTTGTTGAACATTTGAATTGTGTCCACTTTTTTGCTTTTGTGGATAGTGCTGCTATGAACATTCATATAAAAGTACATTTTAAGTACCACTTTCAATGAGCTGGCATATTTTTGACAAGTATATAAGGGTAAGTTTCCTGACTTTTTGAAAGCTATTTGAAAATGTGACTGAATATTATAGACAATTTTCCTATCTTGGGATGTATCTAAAGAAACCAAATTTTAAAGCTTTGAGCACTTTTTTTCTCTTGAAACTGACACTTCTGTTTCTTACAAAAAGTGTCAGACTGATAGTCATGGGGAAATTCAATTCAACTGTTCATATTTGTTGAATCAATCTCTGTGAAAATTAATTTCTATTATATATCAGGTACTGAATTCAGTTGGTAGTATAGAAACAAATTTCACTTTCAAAAAAGCATATAGATATTCAGAGAGATAGTCAAACAATATATGACAAAAACACATTGGTATGTGACCATGCCTGAGAGTCTGCCCAGGATGCTACAGAGCAACAAGAGGGAGCACCCCATCCAACCCAGGCAGCTCAGCCAGACTTCCAAGAGGAGGGATCTGAGCTCTTTTCAAATATTATGAAGGTAAAGTACAAATTTCCACGATAAATTCTTCTTCTGTCTTACTCCCCAGAAGTAGATAATGTATGCTTCTGGGATATTTTTGTGTACAAAAAAAGGCATACATTTGGGTTGAAAAGACACACAGACAAATATATCAGTAGGCATATAAATTTTAAGATGGAATCAAACTATTCATATTGTTTTGTAAATGCCTTTTGCACTTAACTATTGTAATTTTATTCCTCCGATACCGATGAGCTGAGCCTGAAAATGTATAAGTTAGTCTGGTGAACAAAATTGTGAGGATATTTTATACAAGCAACAGCAGGGGTAAAGGTGTGGAGATGAGGAAGAGCACTGTATATCCTACACCTCTAAATAATTCAGTCCTTTTGGAGAGGGAAGCAGAAACTAGCATCTAAACTTGATAGAGCTGAAAGTGGAAAAGACTGATGATTTTAGATAATCTTTAACTAGATTTGAATGATTTTATGATGATTAAACTCTACTTTTTAAGTCTTTGCATTTTCCTTTTTTTCTTCTTATGTCTCCCTTTCAGGTTCTTAGTGAAGCCTCATCTAAAACAGATTTTAATTTCCCCCAGAAACAACTATTTCACCTTGTTAGTTTACTTATCCAGGCATGGCCCTGAATTGTGTGCAATTTCCCAAAACTTCAGTCTAGTTCAGCATTGTGTGTGTAATGATGATAGTCTAAGCACTGTGACAAAGTCCGGGTGATAAATGGATACATGGAAAAAATCCATGTCTTAATGATATAAGATAATGGAGGATCTGTAGATATGGATAGGGAGATATTGTATAGATAATTTAGAACTATACATCATGACCCTCAGCCCTCAAACTGTTGAGGCCAGGGAAGCCTTCTTGGAATAAATGAATACAAATTATTTAAGACAAGAAGTGTGGGCAAACATTTTAGGCAAAGAAGCAAAATAAAGATAGCTAGGTTTAGAAAAATACAAGCTGTTTCATCTTTTGGAGCATAATATGGCACATTGTGTTGGAAGAGGCAGAGGTGAAAGTGAAGAAGTGGTGATCATCATGTGCAGTGTTAAAGAGCTTGAACTTGATAAGAAGCCACTGAAAAATATTTAAAGGAGATAGAAATGGTTGGAGAGTGTGGATTTGAAACAAGCAAGATTACAGTTGGGAAGACAAGTTAACAGGCCATTACAATACTCTGGCTGAAAGATTACGGGATCTGAACAATAGCAGTGGATGGGAAAGGGCTGGTGAGAAGAGAGCTGAATTAATAAATGTCTTAGAATTAAAATCAGAACTTAATGCTAAGAAGAAGAAATGCTAAGAGGATAGAAGAAACAATGGATGTAACCTAGATTTGTACTTTTGGTGATGGGGAAAATGCCTGTGTTGAGCATTCAACTCTGTTTCCAATGAATATGTGGTTCAGAGACTTGAGGGCAGGTTAAAACTGGAGAAACAGCCTGAGCAACATGGCAAGACCCCATCTCTACAGAACTGCTTGAACACAGGAGGTCGTGGCTGCAGTGAGCTGTGATTGCATCACTGCACTCCAGCCTGGATAGTTGAAGCTGTCATGCAGAGAGAATCTATGGGATAAAAAGGGTTGAGAATAGAAGTATGGAGCAGAAGAGTAGTTAGCTTACAAAAGGGAATGTCAAATAATGACCAGAATATTAAAAATAGAATCAGGAGTGAGTGTCATGGAGTGCAGTAGGAGGATAGTAAAGCACCACAGAGAAGACCACTTAAAGACTGAAGCCCAAGAGTTATCCTTTGGATATTCCCCAGTTGCTATGAATTCTTAAGTGAATTATAAATAGTATAAGGCCACAAAAACTGGTAATGAAATGATAAAAATAATAATAAGAATAACTAATGTGACGGTTAATTTCATGTGTCAACTTGACTGGCCCATGGAGTGCCCAGATATTTGGTTAAACATTCTGGCTTTGTCTGTGAGGGTGTTTCTAAATGAGATTAACGTTTGATTCAGTAAACCGAGTAAAGAAGATTAACCTCCTGAATGTGGTTGGGCCTCACTCAATATATTGTAGGCCTGAATAGAAAAAAGTAGCAGAGTAAGAGAGAATTTGCTCTTTGCCTGTCTTCAAGCTGGGACATTGGTTTTCTCCTGCCTTTGGACTCTGACATGAACTGGAACTTACCTCATCAACCATCACTTCTCCTGGTTCCCAGGCCTTTGGACTTGGATTGAAACTATACCATTGGCTTTCCTGGATCTCCATCTTGCCCACTGCATATCTTGGAATTTTGCAGCTTCCATAACCATGTCAGTCAATTTCCTACAATAAATCTCTTTATGTCATTCAGATATACATGTATGTCTTAGCACTTCTGTTTCTCTGGAGAACCCAGATTAATACAGATTTGGGTACAGAGAATGAGGTGCTACTGTAACAAATACCTGAAAGTGTGGGAGCGGATTTGGAACTGGCTAATCAGTAGAGGCTGGGATAATTTTGAGGTACATTCTAGTAAAAGCCAAGATTGCCGTGAAGGGACTGTTAAAGGTGATTCTGTTGTGGTCTCAGAAAGAAAAGAGGGGAGCTATACAGAAAGCTCTCATTTTCTTAGAGAATACATAATCATCATGAACAGAATGTTGGTAAAATATAGATGATAAAGGCCATTTTGGTGAGGTATCAGAGGAAAATGAGGAATATGTTATTGGACAGTGGAGGAAGAAAGATCCTTGTTATAAAGTGGCAAAAAACTTTACTGAATTGTGTTCATGTTCTAGTGTTTTGTGGAAGATGGAGCATGCAAGCAAAGAAATTCAATATTATCTGAGGAAATTTTAAAGCAAAGTGTCGAAGTAGTGGCATGGTTTCTCCTGATTGCTTATACTAACATGCAAGAAGAGAGAATTACTTTGAAGAAGGAATTGTGGAGCAAAAAGAAACCAGAACTTAAAGGCTTAAAATATTCTCAGCCTATTCATATTTTGAAAAATGAGAAAGTGTGTGGGGAAGAGAACACTAAGGGAGGGGCAAAGAACCATTTGATAAAGAGATTAGTATGGGTGTGAACTACAGACCTAATAGCTACTCTAGCAGAAGCACTTCCAGTTTGAAGGAAATAGAGATGGGTTGAAATAAAGGATGGCTGTCAAACTTACTAGATCTTACAGGACCAGACCATAGAACCATTTGGCTGTCAACATACACCGTTCTTCAAGACAAGGGAAGAATGGCATCAAAGGCAATTCAGAGATCATCAGTTCTGGCTCCTCAGTTTTAAAGGGTGCATGTGGGGATATATTCTCAGTTTTGATAGTCCAAATGGTGACCAATCAGAGCCTTGGGGGCATGACTCCTTCCTGGCAGAGCTGCAGAGGTTGGCCCACCACCCCAAAGGGGCTAGAAGGCAGGACCACCACCCCAGCAGGTCCAGAGGGGAGGGCATCAAGTCCAAGCAGATTATTCTTGAGGTTTTGATCCAATAAAACTTGGTTTGTTGAGTTTTGGACTTGCTTTGGACCTGTCACCCCTTTCTTCTTTCTGATTTCTTCCTTTTTAAATGGAATGTCTATCTTATGCCTCACCCAATATAGTACTTTGGAAGGACACAGCTTGTTTGGTTTCACAGATTCACAGCTGGAGAGGAATTTTGCCTCAGGATGAATCCTGCCTCGAGCCTCACCCATTTCTAGTTTAGATGATATTTTAATAAGACTTTTAGACTTTAGACTTGAGAGTTGATGATGAAATGAGTTAAGACTTTTGGGCTGTTGTGACAGAATGAATATATTTTGCATGTGAGAAGGACATGCTTTTTGGGGTGCCAGGGTGGAATGTTATGAACTGCATATTTTTATTCCCCCCCAAATGTATACATCGAAACCCTACTCCCCAGTATATTTGAAGGTGAGAACTTTGGGAGGTAATTAGGTTTAGATGAAGTCATGGGGGTGAGGTTCCCATGATGGGATTAGAGGAAGAGATCAGAGCTCTCTCTTCAGCATGTGAAGACACAGCAAAGAGGCAGCTATCTGGAAGGTAGGGAAAGGGCTCTTGTACTCAGACTTTTAGCTTCCAGGACTGTGAGGAAATAAAGATCTGTTGTGTAAGCCAACAAGTCTGTGGTATTTTGTTGTAGCAGTTCGAGCAGACTAGGGCAGCTAATATTTCTGAGGACTTGACATATGCCAGTTGTAGTTCTAAATGTTTTGGAGCTTATCTCCAAGTCTCTTCATTTGGACTTGAGTTCATTTTAGACCTACTTCTTAGATATCACTGGGAATTCTCTATAGTCTTTGAAAATTATAGTCTTGCTTCTGACACATTTTTTCTTCTCTTTGGCCAATCTGAAGCACACACCAGTTGGTGTTGTCGTGCTTCTAATCTTATTTTCTTTCTCTTTTGGAAACAGAGCTTAGAGGACAGCTCTGCTTCCTTGAACAATAAACACAACTTTTTTTTTAGTTTATGAAAATTCAATGATGTATTACAGTGGTTTTTCAACTTGGCAAGCTCTTTGGTAACTGTCAAATTTTTTATATTGTTTCTTTTCTCCTAAAACACATAATGCTATTCCATTTACCCTACATAATATCATCCTAATTAAATATATGTTTTTGCTTTAACATCTTTTATCGATCAGCCTATTATACTTCTCTCCAGAAAAATTACGTGTACTATAATGAAGTGGAATTTAAAAAAAATTCTGTGGCCATAATGACATTAATATTTCTATTCTGGATTATGTTGTATTATAATTATTAGTATACAATTGATTAGTGCAACAAGTTATAAAGCATGAAAAATAATTATTAAACATAAAAACATTATTGGAAATGAATATATATCAATAAGTTATATAGATCTGGGTTGATAAATATTACTTATTGCTATATTGAGACAGGTTTCACCATCATTTTCTTATATTTTGTTTATATAGATAAGCATTTCTCAAACCCTTTGGACTCAAGACCCCCTAACACTCTTTTTTTTTTTTTTTTTTTTTTTTTTTTGAGACGGAGTCTCGCTCTGTCGCCCAGGCTGGAGTGCAGTGGCGCGATCTCGGCTCACTGCAAGCTCCGCCTCCCGGGTTCACGCCATTCTCCTGCCTCAGCCTCCCGAGTAGCTGGGACTACAGGCGCCCGCCACCACGCCCGGCTAATTTTTTGTATTTTTAGTAGAGATGGGGTTTCACCGTGTTAGCCAGGATGGTCTCGATCTCCTGACCTCGTGATCCGCCCGCCTCGGCCTCCCAAAGTGCTGGGATTACAGGCGTGAACCACCGCGCCCGGCCAACACTCTTAAAAATTATTGAGGAGCCCAAAGAGCTTTTGCTTATGTGTGCTTTATTGATCAATATTTACTGCATTTAATTTCATTTCTCAAATTTGAAATTGAGAAATTGAAAAAAAATTTTTCATTAAAAAAATAAAAGTAATAAATTCATTGCATGTAACCATAAATAACATGCTTAATGAAGAATACCTCTTAAAAAAACAGTGAGAATATTGTCATTGTTTTCTATTTTTACAAATCTCTTTAATGCCTGGCTTAATAAAAGGCAGTTGGATTCTCATATCTCCTTATGCAGTCAATCTTTTGCAATATGTTGTTTTGGTTGAAATATATAAGAAAAGTCTGGCATCATGCAAATATGTAGAAAGAAAGAAAGGATCTGATGGACCCTTAAAAAGAGTCTCAGGGACTCGTTAGATATTTTGGGACCACATTTTGAGAATGACTGATATAGAGGTAAGTGCTAAAAAAAGACTTGTTCCCACAAAAAGTAGATGAGAGTGGAAGGAGTATATTATTATAACCATTACATACATTCTTTTTTGGAATTCCTTATATAAGTTTTTATTATTAAATATTATTTTTAAATTATCTACCATCTAACAATTCAATTAAGTCCTTTTTCAATTTTATTGAAAATAAATTATTTGAAACCATCCAAGTTGCAAATGAATGTGTTACCCAGTCTTAGGGTCATTCATTTTCTCAATATTTGGGAAGTATACTAAAAGGATCTTTCAGAGAATTAAATAACAATCATGGCTATTACTCTTCCTCTTAGACTCACCTTTGCTTTGACTTTTAACTCAGAAAGAATTTGAAAACTTGAAGTATTGTCAATTTCAATACAACTTTGACAGTATAGTTTTTTAAATTTAAATAATTATATGCAATCACAATACTGTGTGTGTGCATGCGTGTTTCCTCCTCTAATAGTCAGAGTTGCAGTTAGTTCATTCAGTTGATGGAAAATATTGAATCAATCCTCCAAATCAGATTTACACATTAAAAGAAGTAAACTTAAATAAATGGGTTAATATCAATGTTCATGAAAACTGTCTTATCTGAGATTTCTAATTCATAAGTATAAAAAAATAGTTTGAGAGACAGAAATAAGTCAGGGGTTAGAGCGACACGTGTAGATGAGTTTATCACCTGAAAATAAGCTTTCCTTCTTTAATGATTTTATAATATCAAATACAGTATAAATAGCAAAAATAACACCCAGAGAGCAGTGTATCTTTTTGTTTTTGTTTGTTTGTTTGTTTGTTTAACCTACTGCATGGGCTACAAAAGAAATGTCTCTTTTCCTTTAGGCTACAGAAATCTTTCACTCTTTGAAAGATTTGAAAGACCAATCTTTTGAAGCATTGATTTGGGGTAAACTGAATACAAAACATAGCTCGCTAATTTCAGGTCAGTCTTAACATTGATTGAAAGAAATGTATTTCAATTATGGAGATTAGATCAACAGCATTACGTGTGAAGCCCCATGCTATAAACTCATGTGATTTTTTTTACTATTAATATCACAAGTGAGCTAATCCATTCCACTGCCACCTAGACAAAATAGATACTTTCATTAGTGACACTTTAAACATATATTACTCATTTAAAATGAAGTTCAGTAAAACTATTTAGAATAAACACTAAAACTGGAAATGTGCTAGTTAAAATTTAACTTGTTTATTATGTGCTTATTGTAAGCGAGTGTTTAAATACACTGAATTAGCTAGAACAATTAAAATAGGGAGATAAAGCTTCTGTGTTTTCTTCCTAACACACCCCCATGACCTCATTTAAATGACTATTGACCATTAGGCTCCTAATAATAAATAAATAAATAAATAAAATAAAGGACCAAGTCTATTTATTGGGTGCAATGAAAAGAAGGGAACGTAAAAGAACACCAGTTCCTCTAATGTTGTGCTATTGGCCTCAGGGCAGTACATGTTCATGAGTCAAGTGTGATCCATTGGGATAGATGTGGGTGGTGATAGATGCATTGTGAATTACTTTAGCTGCATCTTTGCCAAGGATCCCTGTCTCTGGAAAAGCCAAAAGTGTGAGGATGGTTTGAACTCTGACCAAGCAAAATATGCACTGTGTGTTTTCTTTGACCAGGCTTGGTCTTGGTCCTTCTTTGCTTCTTGGTCCTGGTTTCCTTCTTTGCTTCTATAATCGGGAGCAAGGCCTGCTCCTGACTGGTCTATCTTTTCCATGGCTGCTCCATTAGATGGGAAATTCCATTTCTCCTGAGAACTACTCTTTACAAGTTAGATTGCTAATATTATTGGCTCAGTTGGAAAACAATGTTTAAAAACTGCTGGAATAAAAACATTGTTACAGCCAGGTCACCAGTATCCCACACAAAGCTGTTACTTCTTTCTTATGAGGTTATAAACACACTTGATATTTATTTTCCTACTCTCCTTTCCCGAATTAAAATAATTACAAAAAAACCTTTAAAAAATTCTCTACACATTCATTATTTTTATCTTGTTTTTATTCCTATAGCTATTAATTGAAACCACTTGAAAAAGAGTTGACTATATAGATTAAAACATAATAATCTCCAGATTAAAGGGAAAATGTGTAGGAATATTTTCCTTCAAATTGATGCTGAAAAAGAGAGAACTTCCAAGCGTCTTAAGGTATCTAAAAAATGTATCTGGGCCGGGCGCGGTGGCTCACGCCTGTAATCCCAGCACTTTGGGAGGCCAAGGCGGACGGATCACGAGGTCAGGAAATTGAGACCATCCTGGCTAACATGGTGAAACCCCGTCTCTACTAAAAATACAAAAAATTAGCCAGGCGTGGTGGTGGGCACCTGTAGTCTCAGCTACTAGGGAGGCTGAGGCAGGAGAATGGCGTGAACCCGGGAGGCGGAGCTTGCAGTGGGCCGAGATCGCGCTACTGCACTCCAGCCTGGGCGACAGAGCGAGACTCCGTCTCAAAAAAAAGTGTATCTGAAGAAATTCTAGATAATAAGATAAAAGATGGCTTTACCAAGCCATTTTGAAAAGGATTTGGGGTCTGAGACAAATGCAACCTTTGACCATATCATACCAATTTTTATTCATGTGAAATATGTATTAATAGCAAAAAACTTTTAAAAAATGAATAGAGATGTTTCACAGAATAGTAGCAAAGAGCCTGAAGGTGTATCCTACCTAACGGTCAGATCTGGTTCACCTGTGCTGAGTTTGTTTACACTATTTGTGCCTTGGGTCACTTTTGGCATCCACTGATGAAATCACCTCTGTCAGGACAGTAATTGCTCTGTCCCTCTTACCTCTTTCAGCTTTTAACTCTTGCTGTTATTTCCCTATAGTGGCAATGAATTATTCAAATTACAGGACAGAGCAATTACTGTCCTGCACCCTCCTGGAGCTATGCTGTTTATATTTAGTTTGGTGTTCCCATAGTTCGAAAACAATCTGTGAGAAGGCACGTAGTCTTGTTCTCTGTAGTTAAATATGTCCTCTCTCTATTCTGCAGCCTCCTTTCTTATTTCCCTAATTAGTAGATTGTCTTCACAGACCCAAGGCCTATTAGGGGCTTCCTTCATACACCCTATTTTTTATTGCAGGTATTTGAATCAGTTCAGTTACATGAATATTTACTGAGCTAGATTCAAGACACTATGTGAGGTACCACAGAAATCCTGAAGTGGGTAAAGCAAAATTATTGACCTCAAATATCTTGCAATTTGTTAAATGATTTTAGTACACAGTAAAGTAGTGCCCTAAGATTCATAATAAAAATTCACGCTAAAAATAAGGGACAGATCATATCTGGTTTAGAAGATAAAGAAAGGGTTAATGGAGTGAGAGGGCAATGTTTGAGATTTGCCCACTTGAAGGAAAGAGGGTAGGAACAACTGAATCCCTTTACTGGATTATCTCATTTAAAGCTTAAATTATAACTGTGAGGTAGGAATTATGCCCATTTAACAGATTGTAAAACAGGATTAGAGAAACGAAGTACTTTGCCAACAATTACACAGCTGATTAGTGAGAAATAGAATGCAATGCAACATGACTCCTGACTCCAAAGCTCCCAGCCCTTCTCTCCACCATGCTTGCTGCATTTTAAGTGTCAGGAAGGGAAGGACACCTTAGAAGGATGAAAGCACAGATTCTATTTGGAGGGGAAATCAGATTTGAGGGAAAGTAGTAGGAAATAAGATTGGGAATATGTGCCAGGCCTGTATATTTTGAAGGATCTTGAATCCCAGTGTGTAAATGTTTATTTGGTAGGCAGTGAAGAACCCTTGATGATTCTAGAGCCACAGAGTAAGGTGAGACCCCATGGATAAGAAAGAATAATTTGGTAGCACTGCTCAAGATGGACAGGAGGTCTCTCTTTCTCCTATTATGGAGCTTCATTTAAAAATAATAAGGACTTAAACAAGGTGGAGTAAATGAGGATCACAGGAGGAAGAATGCAAGAAACACTTTGGAGATAGAATCTACATGACCAGATGTTGATAGATTTTTGAGGCGAAGGAGAAAGAAAAGCTGAAAACAACTTAGCTATTATGAACATGAACATATAAAGAAATGGAATTCCCATTACCTACAAACCACAGAAGGATCTCATTTGGGGGAGAAAGTTGTTAAACTAGTTTAGGATTATGCTGAATTTATAGTTCAGATAAGTGTTTTAGGAAATAACAGCCAAGAAATAGCTGAAAATGTGAGTCTGAAGCTCCAAAATGAGCCCTGGGACAGAGAAGTAGATTTATAGTCATCTGTATGGAAATAATGATCAGAGCTGGGAAGTGAATAAGACGAACTTTGAGAGAAGAAAGGTATAGAGAAATCTGGGAAATTATCATGAGGAAGAAGTTGATTATTAAGTTTTCTCAAACACTTTGGAAACACTGCATATGAATTATTAATTTTCATCTAGATCCTGCAAAGGCAAACCTTTTTTTCCATACTCGTGTATGTCAGCCATTTGCTGAAATTACAGACTCCAAAGTATGCATGTTTCAATTGGTACTTCTGCCTTATTATTTAATCATCTTCTGAGCTTCATCTTTTGCTATCTGCTTGAATAATAATTGGTGATGTCAAGCATAAAAATGAACCCTTTTGAGAGTACAGCATGTTTAATATATATTTAATACTGAAGTTCAGCACAGATGATTAGGCATATGTTTGAGTTTCCATCTAGTGACTTCAAAGCATCTTAAATTTGTTTCAGCTTCTTGTTAGATTAAAGGCTTGATTTTTTTTTTTTAACTCACTGACTGTGATGAACAAAGGATGGGGTAGAAATCATATATAAGGGACATTAGGGAACCATGGTAAAAACATCATGAGAATAATTAAAATACAGTTTAAATAACTTGTTCTCTGTTTCTCCTGTCTCTTAATCATGCCATTCTTTTAAATATTATGAATCAGTGATGTGTTTTAAGAAACCCAACTCCTTAAAAATCTATGAAACACAATTTAGAAGTGCTGATGTATATTTGAAGAGAAGTATTTGCTTCATTAATTTATTTGGCATTGCTAGGTTGGGGTATTTAAGCCTTTATTGGCAGATTCTTATTTTCTGAGGAGAGATAGGGTATTTAGGCTTAAAACAACAATAACACAAAATGGCCTCAGTGGAAGGTGTTCTTGTCTGCTGGTGTCTGGCTTCCTGTTTCTGGAGCCTTGCTAACTACATCACCGCTTGGGTCCCCAACCCTGTCTATTCCTCAGCTTCTCCTACTCTTGGCTTTTGTTTGGCTTACCCAATAGATTCCTTTAAGCATTGCCTCCTGCTTCCACAATGAATGTCTTTCTGAATAGTTTCCTGTAAGTTTGGCTCTTGTTGGAGTCTATGTTCTCTTTTTATTGAGGACTTCCACAGAATCTTATGTTGACCAACTTTCTTCAGGGCTGGCTCTCAGCTATTCTGGCTTCTATATTGGCCCCCATTCAGAATGACCCTGCCCAAGTAACTTAACTTCTCTCATTCCAAGTGCAGGGTGGGAAACAACCCTTTTTCTCTATTTATCCTGGGTTCTTCAGTGGGAGCCCTGTAAATTGGACTAGCAAAAGACAGACAAGCAGGAGAAAAACAAAACAGAAGTTCATTAGTGTATTAGTCAGTTCCTGCGCTCTTATAAAGAAATACCTGAGACTGGGTAATTTATAAAGAAAAGAGGTTTAATTGACTCATGGTTCTGCAGGCTGTACAGGAAGCACAGCAGCTTCTACTCCTAGGGAGGCCTCAGGAAGCTTCCAGTCATGGAGAAGGGCAGGGGAAGTGAGGCATCTTACATGGTCAGAGCGGGAGCAAGGGGGTGGGGAGGTGCCACACACTTTTAAACAACCAGATCTCATGAGAACTCACTATTGCAACCACACCAAAGGGGATGGTGTTAAACCATGAGAAACCACCCCCATGATCCAGGCTCCACGCACCAGGCCCCACCTCCAATACTGGTTATTACAATTCAACATGAGATTTGGGTGGGGACACAGATTCAAACCGTATCAATTAGTATGTGCAGAACATTTACACAAGCGAGTGCTCAGCATGAGTAACTTCTGGGCATATATAGCATCTTAATAAAAGAACAATAAATGTTTAGAGACATGATAAGACAAAGGGTAAAGACTTTGAGTTTCTAGGTGTGGCAGGTTGTGGAAAGGCAATTATATGGAGAAACTAATGGCAGATAAGGGCCAATTTTAGCAAGGTTTGTTATGTAGATCTCACTGGTGCAGTCTTCAGGCTGATAAGGGTGTAGATTATCTCTAGTGAGTAACTTCTGTCCTCCTTGGAGAGAGGGAAGGGGGACACCTTTACAAATTTATGTCGCACTTATAGGCAAACAGGTGGAGGGCAGAGGGCTTTTTGTAGACTGCTTTTTTTCAGTTGCTTTCAGCTCAAAAGAAGTCTTCTAACAAAGTGGCATATTTTGCTACTCTTCACAAGCTGTCAGCTGGGACTTGAAAGTTACTGTGAGTTAAGCCTGAATCATAAAATAAAATATGTCTAGAACTGCATGTAAGTTAATGGGAAGATAAAATGTGATCACATTAATTTTACTTATTTTCAGCTGTTCAAGATTACAACTATTATCTAGACTAGTATTTTTAAATACTTATCATTTCTTAAAGACTCACCTCGGGCGTTTGGTAACATAATCCAGACCTCCTTCTGGAGACTTGGATTCAGTGGGTTTGGAATGGGACCTTGGATCTTATTTTTTTTAACTGGAACCCTAGCTCCTTGCTACTCAAAATATAGACAATGTACCAGCAGCACTGGTATTATTGGGAGCTTGTCAGAAATGCTTTTAGGTATGCCAAGAATGCAAGACTGTTACCGGAAAGGGGTCCTGATCCAGACCCCAAGAGGGGCTTCTTGGATCTCACACAAGAAATAATTCAGGGCGAGCCTGTAGAGTAAAATGAAAGTGAAGCAGCATTGTTTGGGGTAAATACTCAAGGTTTGTCTCCTCACTCCAAGGAAATCAAGTACGCAGACATACAAGAAGTGGGTTTAGGGGCAGAGGTTTAATAGGAAAAAGAAAGATAAAGGAAAATAGCAAAGTGCACCGTATTTTATAGACTGACTTAAGGAGGTAGTGTCTGATTTACATAGGGACCAAAGATTGGTTGGACCAGGTGTGACATTTACATAGCACCCAAGGAAGATGGCTGCCCCACCCTAATCTTCTATTATGCAAATGGAGTCTTTGCCTGGCCAGCAGCATGTTGCCTGCTCCTTACTGTACGAATGGTTTGGAAGGAAAAGGGAAGATGGAGCCACTATGTTGAACATGCCTAGCCCCCAGGTAGCCTTTTCCTATTGTTTTAGCTGCTGGCATTCACCCCTGCAAGCTTCCAGCTTGCTTATCTATGTTTGCAGCTCAATTTTACAGGCTGCTTTTTGTTAGAAAATAAATAATTTGGGGGCTGTTTTTTACTAAAAGGGAAATCTTACGGAGGACTTCCTTATCCTTACTATTGGCCTAAATAATTTCTTTTTAATTCCTATATCAAAAGCAAGTTTATTAGGAAAGTAAAGGAATAAAGAATGGCTACTCCATAGACAGAGCAGCCCCGAAGGCTGCCGGTTGCCCATTTTTATGGTTATTTATTGATGATATGCTAAACAAAATGTTGATTATTCATGCCTCCCCTTTTTAGACCACATAGGTAATGTCCTGCATTGCCATGGCATTTGGAAACAGTCATGGCGCTGGTGGGAGTGTAGCAGTGAGGACAACCAGAGGTCACTCTCATGGCCATCTTGGTTTTGGTGGGTTTTGGCCAGCTTCTTTACTGCAACCTGTTTTATCAGCAAGGTCTTTATGATCTGTATCTTGTGCTGACCTCCTATCTCATCCTGTGTCTTAGAATGTCTTAACTATATGGGAATGCAGCCCAGTAGGTCTCAGCCCTGTTTTACCCAGCCCCTATTCAAAATGGAGTTGCTCTGGTTCAAATGCCTCTGAGAAGACCATCAGTACTCTTCACCTGAGACACTTCTTAGGATTTTATTTTCCAGAGCAACCTTGAGAAATGAAGTCATGTTCCTCCTGGAACAAAGAGGCACATTTGCTTATCTCTCGCTATAAAGTGGTAGGTTCTCCAAGACCAGAGTTTTTTTTTTTTAATTTTTTTTTCTGTAATATAACGTACAGCACAGGCAAGCATCCTCCTAGACCCTCCTTCACATTTTTCCTGTGGGCTTGCGCAGGGGAGCTGATGCACATACAGCTTGCTGTCCTGTGAGAAAAAAAGGCCTTTATTTCTGACCCAGGAATACCACGTATTCCACCAGTATTACATGAAATAGTTTCAGCAAAATTTATTTTTTTCTTGAAACAAATAAATGAATATATGCATGAATTTAGAAATAGACAAAGAGATGAAACAAGTTCCATATTTGTGGACATAGGTAATTGTGATGGTTAATACTGAGTGTCAACTTGATTGGATTGAAGGATACAAAGTATTGATCCTGGGTGTGTCTGTGAGGGTGTTGCCAAAGGAGATTAACATTTGAGTCAGTGGGGTAGGAAAGGCAGATCCACACTTAATCTGGGTGAGCACAATTTAGTCAGTTGCCAGTGCGGCTAGAATATAAGCAGGCAAAAAACCTAGCCTCCCAGCCTACATCTTTCTCCTGTGCTGGATGCTTCCTGCCCTCAAACATTGAACTACAAGTTCTTCAGTTTTGGAACTCAAACTGGCTCTCCTTGCTCCACAGCCTGCAGACGGCCTATTGTGGAACCTTGTGATCACATGAGTTAATGCTTAATAAACTCACCTTTATACATATATCTAGTCCATTAGTTCTGTCCCTCTAGAAAACCCTGACTAATACAGTAATGTTCCTTACCTCTGCGAGAAAAAGTACCTAAATAATATTAACCATCCATTATCATCATCCTATTTGTCATTGTCATCATCAACAATATGTTGTTTTGATAAAATGGTTCATTTTCTTTGTTTTTAATTTATAAAGAAAAGAGGTCTCATTGTCTCACATTTCTGCAGGCTTTATGGGAAGCATGTTGCTGCAACTGCTTGGCTTCTAGGGAGGCTTCAGGAAGGTTACAGTCATGACAGAAGGTGAAGGGGGAGCAGGCACATCACATGGTGAAAGCAGGAGCAAGAGAGTGGCAGGGAGGTGCTATACACTTTTAAATGACCAGATCTCATGAGAACTCACTCACCATCACAAAGGCAGCACTAAGGCATGTGGGATCTGCCCCCATGATCCAAACACCTTCCACCAGGCCCCATCTCCAGCACTGGAGATTACAATTCAACATGAGATTTGTGGGGGGATAAATATCCAAACTATATCACATGTTATATAGCAAATAATACCTATTTTCATATATTTGCAATAAGAAAAACCTCTATCATGAGTTGATATGCTTTAAGTAGCACCTAATGCTTACTAAGGCTTTGCTTAGATGCTTACTATTATACATGAGGGTCTTGACTCTACATAGGTACTAATTAAGAATCAATCTGTCTGCTCTGTTTCTTGCCATACAGTTATTTGTCCAATGTTTTCTTCAGTCCATTTTTCTAGCCCACGGATAGAATAACAGCATTGTGAACAAATGTGAGCCTTTAATTCTAAGAAAAAGGCTTTGCCTCCACGTTCTGGAGGAGGTATTTTGTTTGTCCATTTGCTTGTTTTCATTTTGAAGGTGTCAGGGCTGCAGTTTTCTTCCTTTGAGAAGAAGCTGGTAAAGAAGCAGAAATTCAGTGTGCCACAAAATTAGTACACAGGCAGAACGGTCCAAGGCCAGCAAACTGAAAGCAATAAAAAAATGTAATCTCAGCTTATGGCCTATGAGCATAATTTAGAAAAGAAAATCCATTATGAAAAATGAAATTCCTTTTTTTTAACTTTTAAGTTCAAGGGTACAAGTGCAGGTTTGTTACATAGGTAAACTTGTGTTATGGGGGTTTGTTGTGTAGATTATTTCATCACCCAGGTATTAAGTCTAGTACCCATTAGTTGTTTTTCTTGATCGTCTTCCTCCTTCCACCCTCCAGCCTCCAAAAGGCCCCAGTGTGTGTTGTTCCCCTCTATTCGTCCGTGTTTTCTCATCATTTAGCTCCCACTTATAAGTGAGAATATGTGGTGTTTGGTTTTCTGTTCCTGCATTAATTTGCTAAGGATAATGGCCTCCAGCTCCATCCATGTCCCTGCAAAAATCAAGATACTGTTCTTTTTTATGGCAGCATAGTATTCCATGGTGTATATGTACCACGTTTTCTTTATCCAGTCTATCACTGATGGGCATTTAGGTTGATTGTATGTCTTTGCTATTGTGAATACTGCTGCAATGACCATACATGTGCACGTGACTTTATAATGTGACTTTGGGTATATACCCAGTAATGGGATTGCTGAATTGAATGGTATTTCTGCCTCTAGGTTTGTGACAAATCGCCACACTGTCTTCCACAATGGCTGAATTAATTTACACTCCCACCAACAGTGTATAAGCATTCCTTTTTCTCCACAACCTCGCCAGCATCTGTTATTTTATGATTTTTTAAATAATAGCCATCTAACTGGTGCGAGATAGTATCTCATTGTGGTTTTGATTTGCATTTCTCTAATGATCAGTGATGTTGAGCTTTCTTTCATATGCTTGTTGGTTGCATGTATGTCTTCTTTTGAAAAGTGTCAGTTTATGTCCTTTGTCCACATTTTTATGGGGTTGTTTGCTTTTTTCTTGAAAATTTTTTTAAGTTTCTTATATATATGTAAATTCCTTATACATTCCTTGCAGATGCTGGATATTAGACCTTTGTCGGATGCATAGTTTGCAAAAATTGTCTTCCATTCTGTAGGTTGTCTGTTTACTCTGTTGATATATATATATGTATATATATATGTATATATATGTATATACATATACATATATATATATTGCTGTGCAGAAGCTCTTCAGTTTAATTAGATTTTTTGTCAATTTTTACTTTTGTTGCAATTGCTTTTGGTGTCTTCATCATCAAATATTTCCCCATGCCTCTGTCCTGAATGGTATTGCCCAGGTCGTCTTCCAAGGTTTTTATAGTGTTGGGTTTTACACTTAGATCTTTAATGCATTTGAGTTAATTTTTGTATATGGTGTAAGAAATGGGTACAGTTTCAATCTTGTGCATGTGGCTAGCCAGTTATCTCAGCCCCATTTATTGACTAGGGAATCCTTTCTCCATTCTTTTTTTTTGTCAGATTTGTTGAAGATAAGATAGTTGTAGGTGTGTGGTCTTATTTCTGGGTTCTCTATTCTGTTCCATTGTTCTATGTGTCTGTTCTTGTACCAGTATCATCTTGTTTTGGTTACCACAGCCCTGTAGTATAGTTTGAAGTCAGATAGTGTGATACCTCTAGCTTTGTTCTTTTTGCTTAAAATTGCCTTGGCTATTTGGGTTCCTTTTTGATTCCATGTAAATTTTAATATAGTATTTTTCTAGTTCTGTGAAGAATGCCAGTGGTAGTTTAATGGGAATAGCATTGAATCTATAAATTACTTTGGGCAGTATGTCTATTCTAAAGATATTGATTCTTCCTATCCATAAGCATGGAATATTTTTCCATATATTTGTGTCATCTCTGATTTCTTTGAGCAGTGGTTTGTAGTTCTCTTTGTAGAGATCTTTCACCTTCCTTGTTCGTTGTATTCCTGGGTATTTTCTTCTTTTTGTGGCAATTGTGAATGGGAGTTTATCCTTGATTTGGCTCTTGGCTTGACTGTTGGTGGTGTGTAGGAATGCTAGTGGTTTTGCACATTGATTTTTTATCCTGAGACCCTTCTGAAGTTGTTTATCAGCTTAAGAAGCTTTTGGGCTGAGACTATGGGGTTTTCTAGATATAGGATCATGTCATCTGCAAACAGGGATAGTTTGACTCCCTCTCTTCTAATTTAATGCCCTTCTTTCTTTCTCTTGCCAGATTGCCCTGGCCAGAACTTCCAATACTATGTTGAGTAGGAGTGGTGAGAGAAGGCATCCTTGAATGGTTTATTTTCTTCTCTTTAAAGAATCTTTATATTATAAAGCCAAATGCATATTATGCATATTATGAAGTTAGTCAGCAGCCTTTATTAGCTACACTAATTCATGTATGGCTTGTCATTTTATATTTTTGGATGGTTTTTCCATTTTATCTCTTTGAACAGTTAATCCTTATAATAATGTGCTGATAACGTATAAGAGGGTGATTCACAATTAGAGATCAGTGACATCTGCTTTCCAGGGTTGTCAGTGCACCCAGAGTACTCTGTCACACTATCACACTACTGCTGTCAGGGAGACCCTGCTGGGATAGGCTGCTCTAGCAGTAGGCCACCCATCTAAATCACACACATGGATGGTTTCCTCATGCTTGGGGCTAAATCAGGGAGAGAAATTGGAGTTCAAGAAAGGTGATGTCTCAGTTAACCTTCACTGCCCTACAACAAGATAGTTTGGAAAGGATGGAAGAGGTAAAGACCATCTGGGTTTAGCCCACTTCTCTCTTATTTATTTCTTCCCTCCTTCCACCCTCAGCTCTAGCCTTGAGTTTATTTATGTATCCTGTTACAGGGTTATTCTTATACAAAAAATAAAAAGGGAAGTAGAGCAATTAAACAGAGCATTTGATCAAGGAACATAATCTGAAATCTCTCTTTATTGTCAATAATAGAATTTTGCTTCCCATTAATAACCTGAATAAATGTGCCAGGTCTTCACCTTTTCAGACACAGATAAAAAAGCGTAGACATTTAATGGACTTAGGAGGAGTCCAACTGTGAACCCTGACACCAGCCTACTTAGTGTGTTTCCTCAAGAAACAATTGTGCTCAATATTTTCAATAGAAGAATGCTTCATAGGTTTTGAAATTAAAAAGACAAAATCTTTAGCTATTTTTAGGAAATATCCTTTATGGTTTTGTTGTTTGATGTAGAAATAGTAAAGGAGTTAAGTTTCCTTTAAAAGGTCTTTAAGTTGCCATTGGAAAGATGGGTGTGTTTGAAAAATGTAACAAAGTGCATTTGGGAAATTTAGATTCCATCCTGTGAAGAGGCAGGATGAAAGAAGGACAAGTATTTTCCAGACTACAATGAACATGAAATGGTTTCAATGATCAGAGGGGATTTTTAATTGACTAAGAGAATGTCATGTAATCAAAATTTATTTTTAATAGTGTTTGGTGAAGGAAATTCTTTTTTAAGTTAAATAATCATGGAGATAATTGCAACAAAAAATAAGGGTTGATCTATATAATCCTTCCAAGTACAGTATAGAGCAAATAAAAAGATGGGGGACCCCCAAAAACAAACCTCCAAAAAGTGAAAAACTGCATTACACCTTATAGAGAAACCAGAGACTGCAGGCAGAACAGGAAGAGAAATTGAAAGCTGTGTACCACACAAATAAAGCCACCACTTCTTACATGATGAGCAGCTGTAGCATGAATTTACAGCACACATTGGATGGGAGGAAAGCTCATTACCTTCTATACAACTAAGAGCAAATCCAAGAGCTGCAGGAATTGTTTATGGAGAATCTCTAAATAAAGCAGAAACTTAGAACAACTGTAGTTGGAGAACCTAAGAATATTTGATGTTGATTTCAATTCTGATAAAAGAGAGGAAAAATTCTAGCAAGACTTATATGAGATATAAATGATATGGAATACAGAAATCAGTTCACAATAAAACCTCTGTTTAATAAGAAAGAGAAAATATTTAATTTCTAAAACATTTTCTTAGCCCCCTGAGATATAATTTGTTCCTTAGTCTGAAAATATTGAAGGAAATGTCAGAATCACACAATATTATTTATAAGGTTTTGGCCCAATAAATAATTATACTCATTAAAACTTTACTATATATTTTTCTTATTCCTTAGCTTGAATTCAGTTACTATCAATGTTTTAGTTCAAAATTATACAAAGAAAACAATTACTTTAAGCACTTTAAATACATAAATTGAGTGAAACCAGCTGATAATTTCAATAAAAATTTGTATCCAGAGTAGTCAGAAGTGGTAGGTCAGCCCCCAAACCTCTCTTGATTGTAGGGGCCTAAAGGCTTTTCCTCTATGGGTATGCTTCTTCTTATCACAGCTTTTTTCAAAGCAAGTTGCACTTGCCTATGTTTGAAAGGCTGTTCTCAGTACGCCAGTTCTTCATATCTTATATAAATAGATTTTCAGTGATTACTTTCCAGTTTCACATGATACTGCATTATAAAAATATCTCCGTGTTTCTGATGTTTAAACACTTCTCATGTCCTCAATGAATAATTAAGCATGACTCCCTATTCAGTTTTCATAGCTTCTAATATAAAAGACTTTATAACTTTTATAAGGAAAAAACAGTATTCAGAATATGATACTCCATAGAAAAATATTGTATTATTCTGTTTTCACACTGCTATAAAGAAATACCTGAGACTGAGTAATTTATAAAGGAAAAGAGGTTTAATTTACTCAGAGTTCTGCATGGCTAGGGAGGCCTCAGGAAACTTACAATCACTGTGTAATGCAAAGAGAAAGCAGGCACATTCTTTTTTTTTTTTTGAAATGGAGTCTCGCTCTGTCACCCAGAATGGAGTGCAGTGGTGCGATCTCGGCTCATTGCAAGCTCCGCCTCCCGGGTTCAAGCCAGTCTCCTGCCTCAGTCTCCCGAGTAGCTGGGACTACAGGCGCCCACTACCACGCCCAGCTAATTTTTTTTTTTTTTTGTATTTTTAGTAGAGACGGGGTTTCACCATGTTAGCCAGGATGGTCTCGATCTCCTGACCTCGTGATCTGCCTGCCTCAGCCTACCAAAGTGCTGGGATTACAGACATGGGCCACTGAGCCGGGCCGCAGGCACATTCTTCACAAGGCCACAGGTAAGAGAAGCATGTGTGAAGGAGGAATTGTCAAACACTTATAAAACCATCAGATCTTGTGAGAACTCCCTCACTATCCCAAGAACAGCATGGGGGAAACTGTCACCATGATCCAATTTCCTCCCTCCCTTAACACATGGGGATTACAGGTCTCTCCCTTAACAGGTGGAGATTACAATTTGAGGTGAGATTTAGATGGGGACGCAGAGCCAAACCATATCATTCTGCCCTGGCCTCTCTCAAATCTCATGCCCTTTATGCATTTC
The DNA here is from genome assembly GCF_000001405.40 of Homo sapiens. Taxonomy (NCBI): domain Eukaryota; kingdom Metazoa; phylum Chordata; class Mammalia; order Primates; family Hominidae; genus Homo; species Homo sapiens. The sequence goes on from NC_000004.12 coordinate 119,782,982, forward strand.
AAAACTTATCATGTCTTCTCAACAGTCCCCCAAAGTCTTAACTCATTCCAGCATTAACTCAAAAGTCCAAGTCTAAAGTCTCAACTGAGACAAGTCCCTTCCACCTAGGAGCTTGTAAAATCAAAAGCAAGTTATTAATAGTTACTTCCAAGATACAATGAGGGTGCAAGCATTGGATAAACTCTCCCATTCTAATAGGAGAAACTGGCCAAAACAAAGGGGCTACAGGCCCCATGCAAGTCTGAAATCCAACAGGGCAGTTATTAAATCTTTAAGCTCCAAAATAATCTCCTTTGACTTCATGTCTCACATCCAGGGCATGCTGATGCAAAGGGTGGCTCCCACAGCCTTGGGCAGCTCCGCCCCTGTGGCTTTGCAGGGCTCAGGCCCTGCGGCTACTCTCATGGGCTGGTGTTGAGTATCTGTGGCTTTTGCAGGTGCACAGTGCAAGCTGTCAGTGGATCTATCACTCTGAGGTCTGGAGGACAGTGGCCCTATTCTCACAGCTCCACTAGGCAGTACCCCAGTTGGGACTCTGTGTGAGAGCTCCAACCCCACATTTCCCTTTTGCACTGCCCAAACAGAGGTTCTCTATGAGGGCTCCACCCCTGTAACAGACTTCTATCTGGACATTCAGGCATTTTCATTCATCTGCTGAAATCTAGGTGGAGGTTTACAAACCTCAGTTCTTGACTTCTGTGCACCTGCACACCCAACACCACGTGGAGGCTGCCAAGGCTTGAAGCTTGCATCCTCTGAAGCAACAGCCCTAGCTGTACTTTGGCCCCTGCTAAGCTGGAGCTGGAGCAGCTGGGACACAGGGCACCAAATCACAAGGGTGCACGCAGCAGTAGGGCCTTGAGCCCAGCCCACAAAACAGTTTTTCCCTCCTAGGCCTCTGGGCCTGTGATGGGAGGGGCTGCCATGAAGTTCTCAGATGTGCTCTGAAGACATTTTCCCCATTGTCTTGGCTATTAACATTTGGCTCCTTGTTGCTTATGCAAATTTCTGCAGCTGGCTTGAATTTCTCCCCAGAAAATGGGTTTTTCTTTTCTACCACACAGTCAGGCTGCAAATTTTCCAAACTCTTATGTTCTGTCACCTCTTAGATGCTTTGATGCTTAAAAATTTCTTCTGCCATAATCCCTAAATCATCTCTCTCAAGTTCAAAGTTCCACAGATCTCTAGGACAGGGGCAAACAGTCACCAGTCTCTTTGCTAAAACATAGCAAGAGTCACCTTTACTCCAGTTCCCAACAAGTTCCTTAACTCCATTTGAGACCACCTCAGCCTGGGCTTCATTGCCCACATCACTATCAATATTTGGTCAAAACCATTCAACAAGTCTCTAGAAAGTTCCGAACTTTCCCACATCTTCCTGTCTTCTTCTGAGCCCTCCAAACTGTTCCAAACTCTGCCCATTACCCAGTTCCAAAGTCTCTTCCACATTTTCAGCTTATTTTTATAGCAGTGCCCCACTACGTTGGTACCAATTTCCTGTATTAGTCCATTTTCACACTGCTATAAAGAAATACATGAGACTGGGTAATTTAGGAAAGAGGTTTAATTAACTCACAGTTCCACATGACTGGGGAGGCCTCAGGAAACTTGCAATCATGGCAGAAGGTGAAGGAGAAGCAAGAACCTTCTTCACATGGTGACAGGAGAGGGAAGCAGGAAGAAAGAGCATTCAAATACTTATAAAACCACCACATCTCATGAGAATTCACTCACTATCATGAGAACAGTGTGGGGGAAATCACCCCCATGATCCAAGCAGCTCTTTTCCTTAGACACGTGGGGATTACAAGTCCTTCCCTCGATATGTGGGGATTACAATTTGAGATGAGATTTGGGTGGGGACACAGAGCCAAACCCTATCAAATATGCTAACTTAAAAAACAGAAGTTTGCATAGGAGATACAAATTTGTAGAATATAAAGGTAATATTCATCAGCAAAGTCCTATTGCATTTTAATTTCAAAGGGATTAAATTATACATGGTTTAAGTTTTTACCTGAAGACGTATATTAGAATTAATTATTTTGTTTTTCAGTTTTAATGAGGAAACTTTAAATACCTGTTTTTAAAGTCTGCATTAATACTGTTTTATTCTAATAATAGCTCTCAGCTAGCAGTACTGTTTTTTAACAAACATTTCTTTTTTGAATACCTATTATGATGGTCAGTGCTAAATTGTCAATGGGATAGGATCCAAAGGTAAATTTGATAAAAATTCCTATCCTTGGGAGACATAGAAAAATACATGCACTTTTTTTTTATTATTATACTTTAAGTTCTGAGATACATGTGCAGAACATGCACATTTGTTACATAGGTATACATGTGCCATGGTGGTTTCTTGCACCCATCAACCCGTCATCTATGTTAGGTATTTCTCCTAATGCTCTCCCTCCCCTAGATCCCACCCCCTGACAGGTCCCGGTGTGTGATGTTCCCCTCCATGTGTCCACGTGTTCTCGTTGTTAAACTCCCACTTATGAGTGAGAACATGCGGTGTTTGGTTTTTGTTCCTGTGTTAGTTTGCTGAGAATACATTTAATTAGAGTTAACTAACTACTTAGAGAAGTACTTCTAAAATTATTTTGGTCTCAGGACTCCTTCAATCTCTTCAAAATTATTGGGGATCCTAAAGAATTTTTGTTTGTTTAGCTTATATCTATCAATATTTACCACGTTAGAAATTAAAACTGAAAAAATTTAAAATACAAGTATACAATAATAATACATTACTTTAAGTGTCAGTATGATCATCTTATCCCATGTCATGTAGCCTCTGCAAAACTCTACTGTACATACACTTATGAGAAAATGAGAATGAAAATGCAAAAATGTCTTAGCATTAGTGATAAAATATTCTTGACTTTACGAAGCCTCTGAAAGGGTCTTCAAGGCCCCCAGAGACTATAAGTTATCAACCAGTAAACTAGAGGAGATGTTTGATGCTATAGTTGATACGTCATCAAAACATCATGATGATACAGGAAAGAGAGTAATTTATATCAATCAATGATTAAAATTGTTAATGATTACCACTTCACTAATACTGGTCTCCAATTGATCCTAGATTTCAATAAAAAGCAAATAAATGAAATAAATAGCAACAATAGTTTTTACCAAGTAGTTCAGTTCATGAAATGAAGGCATTCCCCTGCCACCTGGTGGCAAGGTGTCCTAATTAGGTATTAAGGGTTTTTTTGTTTGTTTTTTTGAGTGGCACACAATTGCAATATATCTTAGTTGCAAATTTAGAGTTTTTTGAATGTTGATTCTACCACTAAACATTATAAAATTATATTTGGAACCTCTGAAACATGCCAACCTAATGCTAAATAGTTCTTCAATACAATAAAAGCAAATAGGCTAAAATCCAACTGTGTTTTAAAGAACCAATCATTATGCAAGGTTTCCATAGTGCTTTGAATATAGTTGGACTTCAAAATTTCAAGGTGACAAAAAGATAAGTTTTCTTTGTTATTCTCTAATGCATTTTCTCACCGTGTAGTAAAAGAAACAGTAAGAGGAGTCTACAACTGCTACTACATTTAGGTTTTGTGAGCTCAGCCTGGGGTGGGAGGTTGAGAAAATGTCCTAGAAAAGATCACTGTAGCAGACTCCGATTCCACTCTACACAGAGAAGTTCCTAAGGGAATGTATGTTGCTGCAGCAGATGAAATACATCAGTACATGGATACCTGGAAAGAGCAAGTAGGGCAGCAATGGAGGACCAGAAGAACTTCAATCCTAAGAAAAATGGTAGGATGATACGAAATTGTCTGAGGCTATTACTCTTTCTTGGGTTAAATCATATTATCTTCCTTATGTCTTGTTTCTAACCATGACAATAAGACTAGATTTTATTATTTTACTGAGGCACTTTTGAGCTTTTGTAAATCAGTAACTTACTAACTGATAATTTTCATAAGCTTTTAGCATCCTTCCCAATCTTGAGAGGTACAATATAGCATAGAGTAGTGGTGCCAACCTGGGAGGATGTGAACATTTTGCAAGACACCTAAACATGAAGAGTTTTAAGGGAATCAATTTTCTGACACTTTACTTCCATATGTAGCTTTTCCCCAAAATTGTTCTGCCAGAAATCAAGCCTATATTCACAAAAGCCCAAATACCACTTTATGAAGGATATGCAAATTCCTCATTCATTTTATAAGTTACTAAGGTGCATTACCCTGAAGGCTAAACAAATCTGGGTGCCTAAGGAAGGGGAGGCCTTTCCCAGTGATTAATCATAGTACCATGAACCTAGAGGGCTTTTAGGCTCTCCCAGCTTCATACATACTTTTGTTAAGGATAAAGCCTAGAGGTAGAAATGATATTTTTGCCACTTAAGAATGCGGTGAATTCAGGTAGGTATAAAGGTATAAATTTTTATTTAGCAATGTTGCTTCTTTCCTTCTTTTGGTGTTTTTTTGTTCGTTTGTTTGTTTGACAAGGTCTTGCTCTGAGACAAGTTCTTGCTCTGTCACCCAGGCTGGAGTGCAGCGGCACAATCTTGGCTCACTGCAACCTCTACCTCCAGACCCAAGGGATTCTCCCAAGTAGCTGGTACTACAGGTACACACCACCATGTCTAGCTAACTTTTGTATTTTTTTAAAGAGATGGGGTTTCACTATTTGCCCAGGCTGGTCTCAAACTCCTGGGCTCAAGCAATCATCCCCTCTCAGCCTCCCAAAGTGCTGGAATTACAGGCGCGAGCCACTGTGCCCAGACTTCTTTTGTCTCCTATTTCAAAAAAATTCTTTTTTGAACTTCCATAAGGAAGTTCATTAAGAACATAGCAGAAAGAGCATCAGTAACAATTATTAAATGCTTAAAAATAATATTTTCTGCATATTTAAATGACAGGAAAGCTTTCCTATTCTTCTCAATATTATTCTTTAGTATTTAAAAGCACCAAAGAATAACCTAAAAACATACAGTACTAAAGCTTTGTTTTAAATATAGTTGATTATTTTCTGGAAATATTGAAAATTTTAAAATATATTAGAAAAAACTGTGGATAAAATTTTAATGCAATTTCTTTCAGACTTAATGTGTTTTGTTCAATAGTGATTAAAATCTGTTTTTTCAAGTCATGTCATGTGAGATTTATCCTGATTACCATGAATTCTCCTCTTACTTGATCATAAAAATGTTAAATATTTTCTATCTCTTTTTAATAAAAGTTAAAATTATAAACTAGCCATCGGACCAACTGTCACATCTGTGACAGCTTTTGTTTCAAATTATGTTTCGAGAAACGTTTGTGTAGCAGAAAACCTTGGAAAAAAGAGATAGTGTCACCCCTGGGCACAGAAGGCAGAATTGTTTTTGAGCAAGATAAAAAAAATATTCCCCTTTGGGGAAAAGGTTGAGTGGGTTTACTAGCAGACCCTTTAAAAGATTGAGAGTTTCCCAAGCTTGGGATTTCTCAGTTGTTACAGAAATCTACTGGGAGCACATTGTCCCCCAGGTGACTTGGTAGACAAAGGAAGCCAATGTAAGCATGGAGTTCACACTACTCACTGCCTGCTGTGCTGTGAGTACTAAAGTTCTTTGTCTCTGACCCAGAAGTCTCATGTCTTCTTGTCAGCATCTGTGAAACTGTAGCAGGCTCATTTGGTAACTTGCAGGCAGGGTAAAATTTCAGGCCTTTCATAGTTCTTGCCAGGACTAACACTTTACAAATGGAAAGTACAAGCCTAAGGCAGCAAAGAAAAGGCAAGGAAGGAGAAGAGAGGCAAGCAGTATACTATACTGATTACCATAACAAAACCACAAAGAGACATAGCAAGTTATTTAGCAGTCACAGTCACTCTGTGTTTTAGACCTTTCTGGAAGGGTTTAAAGGAGCAACCCATTCTGAGTAGTCCATAAGAGAGAGAAAAAGGAGGGGGAAATTTTCTCCTTGGCTCCCTTCCACATCCTCTTCTCCTTGATCAAGATTTACATCCACGGTGATCTAGCTCCCCCATACTTCTTGGTTGCATCTTGGTGGCTGCTCAGAAAACCAGTTCCTATTCTTTAAAGTATAGTGTCTTATTCAAATATGAAAGTGGAAGAGTGACTTTGTGCAAGTAAAGTGCTGACCATGGCAGAGAAAGAAGGGTGTAGACAAGAGAATTTGAGGTGTCCAAGGTTTCTATTTTAATATAATGTGTAACAAATTTACTTGCATGTCAAGCAGTTCCTATGTTTCTTCTTTCCATAAAATTAAATAGGAACCTAATGGAGTTTTCAGCTGATTACACACACACACACACACACACACACACACACACACACACCCCACCACCAACAAGAAACATTCATTTGTGTGACCTATGTTACTTAGTAATTCCAAGTAGGAATTACTGGGGAAAACATGTGTAGATTAATATAGAATCCTGTCCATTTATGTATAAATAGTGAAACTGGGGAAAATAACTCCATTCATCCCATTAAGATGTACATTTCTAATAAAATTAAACTTTCAAATTTAATGGTTATTTACCAAAATTTGTAACAGGTGTTCTTTTGATTAATGATGAACTAATAATAGTTATAAAAATAACCCAGGAGAAACTGTTAAATATGTAAAGTCTTTTGGTTACAAGGAGGAAAACAAAATTTAAATTTTAACTTCTGTACATATTTTTGGTATGGGAAAGCATGATAAAATGATCAATAATAAACTTTTAAGTATAAGATATTGTATAATTAGATTAAAATTCTGTGGACTGAAATTACATGGTAGAGTTATAAAAAAGAAATATGTAAATTTTCATAGCTGAACAACGACTTTTTCGTGTATGTATTTTTTAGGGGGTTATTACATATTAATGGTATTCAAATTCCATTAGATTCATTAAAAATAGTGAAGTATTTGTTTTATTCCCAATATTGGAGAATTGGAGAAAGTATATTAATTACAGTTATAATGAAACATTTTAAATCAACTAAAAACGTGATTGAGTGTAAAATTTACAAAAAAAATTTCTAGTGGGCAAGCAAACAAAAAAGTTTGAAGATATCTGTTTGAGTGATCAATAGGAAATAGGGCAAATTCAGATGTCATTTGAGTAAACTGACAAAGTAAGAAATGTCACCTAGTGTCATCTGAGCAATTCTGTGGTAGGGGTGACATTCAAAACTAGGTAATTTGTCAAAAGTACAAATGTTTTCAATTATAAGCATGGACATATGGGCATAGTAAAAAGATAATAATGCTATAATCACTAGAATTATTGACTAATTTTACTTTTCCTTTTACAAGTCTATATTTTGTACTTTTTTTTTTGAGGTAGGGTCTCCTTCTGTCACCTAGGCTGGAGTGTAGTGGTGCAGTCACAGTTCACTGTAGCCTTGATCCCCTAAACTCAAGTGATCCTCTTACCTCAGCCTGTTGAGTAGCTGGGGTCACGGGCGCATGCCACCATGCCTTGCAAATTTTTAAAAAATTATTTTTGGTAGAGACAAGATCTCACTATGTTGCTCAGGCTGGTCTTGAACTACTGGCCTCAAGCAATCCTCCTGCCTTAGCTTCCAAAAGTGTTGGATTATTGGTGTGAGCCACCATGCCTGGCTTATATTTTATACAATTTCAGAAATAAGCTTGTGTAACTTAACTAACCAGAGAAAGTACATGTGCATACCATATTTCATCAAATCTACAACAACATTGATTATGAGATACACGATTATCTTTTGTTTCACTGGGAAGAAACACTGCCCATTGGAGCAATGACATGATATTTATTGCCATTGATTATAAGATGACTCACGATTTCAGAAGTGTTAAAATGTAAAGAAATTGCTTTAGAATGAATGGATTACAGTATTTTGTATAATAAATGTTTTTAATTTTCCTATTAAAGTATCATTTGCATACATTAAATTCACCCATGTTAGTGTTTAGTTCTGTGAGTTTTGAGAAATGTCAAGTTATATAATCACCCTGCCACCAAAAGCAAGATGTAGAACAGTTCAATCACTCTCTAAAATTCTCCCATGTTCTTTCATAGTCAATTCCTCCCCATGCCATGAGTCTCTGACAACTATGAACCTGTTCTTTATTCCTATAGTTTTCCCTTTTCCAGAATGGCATATAAACATACATAGTATGCAGCCTTTTAAGTTTGGCTTCTTCCCCTTAGCATGATACTTTTGAGGTTTATCTCTGTTCTTGTGCATATCCATAGTTCATTCCCTTTTTTTTGCTGAGTAGCATTTCATTGCGTAAATCAAACACATTTACACAATGTGTAATATGTTGGCTTATTCATTCATTAGTTAAAGGACATTTAGACATTTAGGTTGGTTTGAGTTTTTGGAGATTACAAATAAAGCTGCCATAAACATTTATCTACATTGTTTTTGTTAGAATATAATATTTGTTTGTTTCTTTTATTTATTTATTTATTTATTTATTTATTTATTTATTTTTGAGATAGAGTCTCGCTCTGTTGCCCAGGCTGGAGTGCAGTGGTGTGATCTGGGCTCACTGCAACCTCTGCCTCCTGGGTTCAAGAGATTTTCCTGCCTTAGCCTCCCGAGTAGCTGGGATTACAGGCATGCGCCACTATGCCTGGCTAACTTTTTGTATTTTTAGTAGAAACAGAATTTTACCATGTTGGCCAGGCTGGTCTTGAATTCCTGACCTCAAGTAATCTGCCCATCTCAGCCTTCCAAAGTGCTGTAATTACAGGCATGAGCCACTGTGACTCATGGCCAGAATATAATTTTTTTATTCCACTTGGGTAAATACTGAGTAACAGCTTGCCTGGTCACGTACTAAGTGTGTGTTTAACGTTATTAGAAATTGACAAACTGTTTTCCAAAGTGGCTACACCATCTTGCATTTCCTCCAGCCATGTTTGAGAGTTCCAGTTGCTTCGCATTCTTGCTAGCAGCAGTGGATATTGCCAGGTTTTGTTGTTATTTCTATTCTGACAGGTAAATATTTACACTTCCCGGTAGTTTTCCTAGTGACAAATTGGGTTGAGCATCTGTTCAATTGCTTATTTGCCATGTGTACCTCTTCTTTGGTGAAGTGTCTGTTCAAATATTTTGCCTGTTAAAAAAAATTGATCGGTTGTTTGCTTAAAATTGAGTTTCGAGAATCCTTTATATATTCGGGATACAAGTCTTTTATCAGATTGTGATTTGCATTTTCAGCAAGTTCCCAGGTGTTGCTGATACTACTGTAGTTTTGGGAGTAGAAATAGCTACCCACAGGGCTTCTTAAACTTTAACATCCATAAAAACCACCTGGGGTGGGATGGGACCTAGTAGGTCTGGGGCACACCTGAGATTCTGCACTACCAACCAGCTCTTAGAAGAACTCTGATGCTTCTGTGTTCACAGCTTTGGCAGAAAGGGCTTAGGGGAATCACAGAAGGATTCCAAGAAAGAGTTACATTTCAGCCAAGATTGAAGGATGAGTATATTTCTCTGGAAAGATACAGGGTAGAGAAGAATAGAAGGTGAGAGAGGAAGAAAAGAGAAGAATAATTTTGCAGAGGGTATAACATGAGCCATGCCAGGTTGAATGAAAAAGTCAGACATTGGAGGTGGAAGATGACCTCTTACTGAGAGGTAAGTCATATTACAAAAGACATGTTTGAATTTTCTTTCCTATATGTGGAAGTGCATTGAAATATTGCAATCAGGAGAGTCATGTGATCAGACTGTCAGTATAGAAATACATCTCTGACCGTGGAATAAAAGTATGATTGGAAAAGAAACTGGAGGCTGGAAAACCAGTTGTTGCAATTGTGCAGTGAGAAATGACAGATGTTTTAATTAAGGCGGTTACAATGGGGTGAAAGAGGAGGAGCCAGATTAAGAGATGTTTAGGAAGAACAATCAACATGACTAGGTAAAAACTGGATGTAGGGGAGAGAGCAGGGGAAAGCTAGATGCTAACTGGGTGGTGTGATTTACCAGAATAAGGAATGTGTGTTTAAGTTTTGTGCAGAAGATGACCAGGTTCATCAGATATGCTGAGGTTAAGGTAATTCCTGTATAGCCACCTACAAATGTCTACAAGATCTTTGTAAAAGAATGGAGGACAGAAGAGACAAATGGGTTGAAGTCATGAACTTGGTAGTAATCTGGTTCTGAGTGTTAATTGAAGTGAAGTTCCTTGATGAAATCTACAGAATGCAAAAGAGATTAAAAGAGCCAAAGTCTCTTTTGCATCCAAGAGACACTCACATCTAAGAGGCAAATGAAAGAAGGGATCCGGGGAAAGAAAGGGAGGCATTTCTTTCAACAGGGGAAATTATTTTAATTTGAAATTCAATGAGGAGATAATGTCAGTCTCAAGGAGTTAATTTGAAATTTTTTCTTTTAATATTTAATATATATGTTCACCCCTTATAGGCAGTAGATAAAATATTCTCCATTTTCATAATTTTCTTAAGGTAAAAGATAATGATCATTTAATGTATGTTTAACTTTTGGTTTGTGGAAGGTCTTTCATGCTTTGTTTTCTATTTAAGTCTTCAATTACTTCTCAATAGAGAGCATAACAAGAAAAATTCTGATTTCCTTCCTTGCATCTAAATCTGTATTTAATAACTGAATGTCTGTAAACAGTACCAGGCAATGCAGTAATTATACGATTACTAAAGGGCATTGTTGGTATGAACATATTTCATTTAGATGCAAACTTTGGTGCTGTATTTCAGACACTTCAGAAATACAGTGATCCACACTAGAAATTAGCAGAGATCTACAACATATCGATACTAACGGTTTATAACATGTTTACAAATATTTCTCTATTATTTGCTCCCAAGATGACAATTACTGTAGGTTTACGAAGGGGCATGATCTAGCTCTTCTGCCCCATATTATGTTTCAAGAAGGACCATGCAATTGAATCTTTAACCACATAGATTAAGTACTGATTCTTCTATTTCTTAGATGTTATTCTTGGGCAAGTTGGTTCAGTTTATTTCAACAATTTTTTTTTACCAAATTTCTATTATTACCAAGTACTGGAGAAACAAAGCTAAATGAAATATATATATGCATAGAACATTTCATAATAATAAGAGAAGTAGGCACAGGGTGCTGTGAGTTTGAAAGAGATTCTTCTCATTCAGCTTGAGGAATAAGAGGTGGCCAGCATTTCTGAAGGAGAAGGTGTCCGAGATGATTTTTAGTCAGGGAAGTCATCACCTTTTCTCCACCCCAAACCTGGTCACACATGTTCGTATCTAAAATTCTCTTTTATTCCACTAAAAGAGAGCAAAAATGCAGTGCAGAATGAATAATAGGGTGTGCCTGGGGAACCAAATGTAGTTTCATATTACCAGAAATTAAAACACGAGATGTGGGTTTCTCGAAGTTCAGGCAGATGTCATGGAGGCTTCACAGGCTGGGATGAAAGCTTGGCATGTAATTGAAGTGATTTGTTGACATAAAAAAAGCAGTCACAGTTAAATTTGCACTGCTGTTATATAACTCTGGTGGCAGTGTGTAGGGTGTATTTGAAGGGGGCAAATCTGGAACCATTTTTAATTCTTCAATGAGGCATGATAAGGGCTTGAACTTGGCCATGATAAAGTCTGGGAAAGGAAGGGCACAATTAAGAAAAAGTAAGGAGGCAACTACTTATGACAATGCTTGTTGAGCTAGAGAAAGCACAGCTTTAAGAGTGAGTGAGGCCTGAACTTGAACCCTAGCTTAATTACTTAAAAGCTTGAGCCTTTTACAAGTTACTGTAATTTTTGATTTTCTGTAATCCTGAAAGCGAGGGTGACTTTGCTTTGTGTCATCCTAGGGATTAGGCATAATTTAAAGCACCTGAAATAAATAATTACCAAAGGTCGGTTCCTGGTTAACATAAGTAAACAAGCCTGTTTCCCCTACACTTCCTTGTACCTAAATTCCCCTGCACTTCCTTGTACCTAATCCTTGCCCTCTGCCTCAGGGTAAGAGAACAGCTGCCTTCAGCTTATTCTTCCCCAAAGCTATGCAGAGCCTTCTGACCTTTCAGAAGGTTTGCGCCCTTTCCCTGTAATTTCTGCCACCATACTGACCGATCTCCTACATGACCTTTTAGGCTCTTAGCTTAAATGCCATGTGAATAGGGTCATTGTTTTAGGTTATGGGTCTCTTTTTATTAAGGGACACTGTAAGAGTCCTTTCAAAACCATCATAGACAGAAATACTTGTTATAAATGATAATAATAATATTAGTAAGCAGGGTGAAAAACAGTGGCTGGAAGAATGTCATCTGTCAGTGGATATGCTCATTCACGGGCAGGCTCTACTTTTCATGTGTTAACTCTTCCCATTTTACAGATAAGAACACGTAGAGAAAACCATGGAAATTAATAAGCTTTTCAGAGAAATATATGCTCTCCCACCTCACATTCAAAGATAAAACTTGACGTGGATGTTGAGGACTTGACTAGAAAGAGAAGTAACAATTTCCTGATTTCTACTTCTCAAATGCATTTTGAGATCCTTCTCAGTCACCAAGTTTGATATCAGGTGTTATATCCTGAAGTGGCATAGCCTTGGTGGAGTCTTCTCAATGGGTGAATTACCACCAAGATTAGCAATTATCATTAGAATTATTGTGATGGATAAATTCAGTTGTAATTATCATTATGGTTTATCTACTTTTCTCTGCGGGTTTGTATTAACACATTTTGGTAAGACTACAAGTAACTGTCTCTAGTTAAAAAAGAAAAGTTAAATGGACTCTGAGAATTGTTTCATATATCTATTATCTACCTTCACTTGTGATACCAAAGAAGTAGTTTATCGGGCACAGATGCTACAGCAATGTTTAGTATATACGTCATACATCGGTTGGAATAGAAAGGGTTTTGAAATTCTCTAAATCCAACTCAGACTGATACTAACTTATGAATAAGCAATATCATCTTTTTTGGACAACTATTGACTATCATGTCCATATGTGTTTTTCTAAAGGCTTTTATATGGTGTTTTGATTATGTCATAATCAATAAATGTCAATTGCTGCATTTCATCAAGTAACTGCCACAGGCCCCTGCCCAAACATAGCACTTTTGATGACTCTGTTACCAATAAGCAAGATTTAAAAACAAAACAAAACAAAAAACTAGCCATCAGTCGAAAGTTTGTCTGTTGGTCTACTTTCTAAAGGGTCAGGAAATGAGTTGCAGATGGATCAGTATTTACGTTCCCTGACATGTCCTGAGGGCTTGGTGGATGTTTCCTTCAGTGTCACCACAACACAGCATTTAGGGCTTCCATTTAAAAGGAGCCCCTGCTTAAGAGAGAGTAGGAGGAAGGGGGCTCCACATGGAGCCGTAGGAGTGTGAGTGGTTCAGCACCCTTTTCTCCAGGTGAAAGTTGCTGCTCACTATTACAAAGGGTGGACTTTGTAACACTCTTTGTAACACAGAGAGAAGATCTGTGTTTGTCTGGGGTGGTTGTGGCCAGCCTCACTGTCTTCCTTTCAGCTTCTCCTTTCCCTCCTCAGAGACTTGTCCTGCCAGTGACACTCTGACATGAGTCTTCAGGTGGACACTGTCCTCCCATTCTATAGGGCTTGGCCCAAATATCACCCCCCCCACTTTTTTTTGAGATGGAGTCTCGCTCTGTTGCCCAGGCTGGAGTGCAGTGGCATGATCTTGGCTCACTGCAAGCTCCACCTCCCGGGTTCACATCATTCTCCTGCCTCAGCCTCCTGAGTCGCTGGGACTACAGGCGCCCGCCACCATGCCTGGCTAATTTTTTGTATTTTTTAGTAGAGACGGGGTTTCACTGTGTTAGCCAGGACGGTCTCGATCTCCTGACCTCATGATCCACCTGCCCTGGCCTCCCAAAGTGCTGGAAATATCACCTCTTTACAGGCAGTTTTTCTGACCATCTTCTCCAAGCAGATGCCACTTACTCCATTTTGCCATTGCACTCACCTATTTTCTTCACATCATCTCTTGCAAGTTCTTGTATGTAGACTTTAAAAAAATGACCAGTCATCCCTTTTGGGCTATAACTTCAAGAGTCCATGGCTGTTTGGTCCTTCACTGTTCATTCACTACAGATCATTGCACATAGCACTCAGTAAATGTTTATTAAATAAATGCTGAATGAAGGGTTTTATGGAATGAACGTATTTCCCACCTTAAGTCTCTATTTATCTCCCTGATTAATGTTTGTTGTTTATGATAACTTTTCAAAATTAATTATATTTAACAAAATTATTGCTATTTTAGTGGAAAACATTATCTTCCCATCTTTAAAAACAAAAGAATTAGCATCAGAGTTCCTTTTGGAAAGAGAACTTCTCCTCTAGAAAAATAGCTATATAGTCCACTTCAGCTGGGTTAGGAGAAACACCAAGAGTATGGCTTATACCATTAAAATGGAAAAATGCTGCCATGTGAAATGTTCAACTGAATATGTTTGTCGTAATCTGAGGTTGGAGGAAGGAGCCATGTCACGTGGTGAGACTCTGAAACTTTCTAAGAAGGGACTTAACAATTAAGCAGATGAACAGTTGCTTGAAGCAGGGTAGTCAAAATCTTTAGAGAGCACAGTTGTCTAATATCTGCTTTAAAGTTGTTAACATGTTCCAAAATAAATTGCTTTTATAGCATCAAACTTTGGAAAAATCTGCATCTCTCTTTTGGGGCCTTAATCTCTGGAGTATTGTTTCTCATTTTTGTTGTCATTGAGAATGTGACTCATATGTCTGCACCTTTTTCAAACCCAGTCAAGTCTGGGAAAACACCTGCTAAATATAAAATCCACACACTTAAGGGCATTTACTTTTTCTCAATACACCAAACATGCAGTTAAGAAGTGAATGTCATGAAGTGGACATTTGAAAAAATCATTCCTTCCTTGAGATGTAAAAATTAGTAAGGAAAACTCAAGTTTGTTTTACCTTTTTGGTTCAAAAATTATAGTTGGGTCATACCTTGTTAAAATATATAAATTCATAAATTATCATGATTGCCAAGCCGCACATAAAATTATGCTTTTGCTTATACAAAATGAGCCTGATTGTACGTTTACAGTTCTGTGGGCTTGATGGCTTGCCCTCTTAAACCTCAGAGGAGAGAAAATTCTCCTCCAGCTACCATTTTGCAGAAAAAAAATCTCTTTCTTTGAGATGCCTGTAATACATGGCTGCAGAACAGATTCAAGGAGGGCTTTCGAAATGGGTTTAGAGCAGATTCATATCTGGTTTTTCAGCTGATTATATATTCATATATCTTCTTTTGAATTACTCAGTTTTGCTTCAGTTGTCCAGTGTTCTGCACCGGGATTATTTATGTTCAGCTGAGCCTCAAGAAAGAAATGTACAGGGAGATGGTGATGATTAGAGGAAAAGAGCATAGGATTTGTACTCGAATCCGCCACAATGGGGATGGCTTAGTCATGTTGCTTAACATCTATGAAAATCATTTTGCTCAACTGTAGAACAGATTTATTTAGGATTACTTCTGCTACATTAGGACCTGTGGTTTACATGGCAAATAAGGGAACATTTTGAGAGTTGAATGGTTACAGTATGCAAATTAACTTTTAGGCTATTAGCTTATTCTCATATCTGCAACTCTCTGCATGAAACATCTTTCTCTCTCCTGTTTATTTACTTGGTTAAATTCTTGTCCTTCTAAGTGCATTTCCCTTGACAGAGAGCCTTTCCTGACTTGCTGGTGTCTACTACATGCCCCTTCTTTCATGTCCAGTTTCTTGACTTAACATATGATTTTGAAATTGTTTCTTGAGTTGCCCATTTCCCACATTTGTCTCTGAGTTCCAAGAAGGCAGGAATCTTACTTTTTAAAATCATTTTGCCCTCCATGTCAATTACAAGCATCACTCTGATGGAGAGTCAGCTCTCAGTAAATATTGACCTAATGGTTTATTTGTTGACGCTTCATGTAGTATTTACATTTTCAAGGTGGAATAATCAACTATGTTTAAAAATTTGGCATTACAATTACATACTTTGTTTCTGGTTTTATGTTATCTTTTTAACAGGGGAATGATGGGATGTTAGATCAGAAAGAGGTCTTGGAATTCATGTAATTCAGTAACAGAATTTTGCATAGGAGAAAATGAAAATCAAGAGAAATTAATCAATAATTAATAATTAATGACAGAACCAGTATTTTATTTCAGAGAGGGAGGCACTGTTCAAAGGTGACCACAAAGGGTTTGAGGTCAAAGGTGTATTAAACTCTGAATTAGCCACTTGGCTCTGGCTAAAGTCTTCAGTTTCTTCACCTGTCATGCAAAGAGAATATTCAGGAAAGAGGGTGTTCTTGTGATGATTAAACAAGTTAATATATGATAAAGCATATATAATTGCACAGAGCTATATAACAATAGTCACAACTAGTTATTCTTAGGATTCTTATTCGAGAACTCTTGATGCTGCCTCTGATTCCAACAGAAAACACTTAACCAAGACTCTGAATGACTATTTAATGCCACAACAGATAGGTGTGAATAGCTTTTCTTGTTTTAAAAAGGAGCTTTGCAATTAAGTTATTAAGTGCTCCTGCAAATACCTACTAAGAAAACAACTACCCATTTGATTTCTATCCAGTCTCTCTTTTTTCCTTCAGTTTAAGTTTCCAACTTCAAGATTGTTAAATATTACATGCTGTCTTGATTCTGACCTGCAAATAACAAGCTGTCATTTGTGAATTCCTTCCTAAATTAAAGATAATTAGAAGGGCTCATTTCTTGTGATTAATGTCTGGAAGAGAACTGGGACTAGAATATTCTTGGCTTATTATTTTGCCATTCTAAAATAATGCCGACATTTGATTCTGATGCTAAGCTATTCTGAACACTTCTTAGCCATCAGACATCTAATATGTGGGAGCTTGTGCTAACACGTAAATGTTTAGGGTTGACATTCAGAGTTAAATCTTACTGTTGCTTAGTGGTAGACAGTGATACTAAGGGGAAGGAAAAAAGAAGGCAGGAAGGGAGTGCCCTTTTGTCTATACCTTTTCTTATCTGAATAATAAATTCATGCATAAATTTTATACATGAATTCTATCTGCAGAAATTTTCTCTTGGGTTCCTAAAGTCAGGCACCCTGGTCATCTAGATGTTGTCACAGCTATGACTTCTTCTTTCTTACTAAAGATAAGGATGATTGTACCTCACCAATGGAAGAGGCTGTTCCTTCATGCTGAGCTCACCCTCACATTTTATGTGACATTCTTAACAATTTTACTTCTGCATGCAGCTACTTTTGCTATCAAGTCCAAAGCAAAGCTAAAGGATTAATAGTTCACAACACTTCCAACTCCTCTGAAAGATATATAGAATTGGTTTTAAATTAATGTCTCTAATTTTTAGAAAATTTTCTAGAGGATATAATTCACTTTGTTTTAATTACTCTTCAGTTTTAATTCTTTGCTACAGAGGCAAAAATTTAAGTCTAATTTTCTGCCATCTGAAGGTCTTGCAGGTGGCTACAGTCTTTATACAGCTTCTGATCTCATTTGAACATGAACTTGCTGTAGTTCGTTAGCCAATATGTCTCCCAGTTCCTTCACTAACCTGCTTGTCTCCTTTTAGGTGCACATCAGTTTTCCAGTGTTTCTCTAAAAGGGTGGAGGCTACAGACACAGTATTTGAAGCCCTTGACCTCATGTTACTCATACCTGAAATTAATGTTTCTATTTCTCTCTTTGCTGACTCTCTTTCCGGGGTTCCTTGTCTCTTTCTTGGCTTCTTCATTGCTTTCCTTTCCTACTGAATCTTCCTTCTTTTTGTTATTCTCCCAGAAACTAGAAAAAATTACATTAAGTAGTTTTTCTGGCTTGTATTTTTTAGTATGTTCCTTGTTAATTGTTAACTACATTTTCACAAAATAATCTATACTTTGTGGAATAAATTACAAAAATATTTGACTTAACAGAAGTTTCTAAGGGGAAAATAAAAGTTCATATTCCCCGCTACTATCCTCCTGTTCTACTCCCTAAAGATAAACACCATTAATGGTTTGTTGTGTGTTCTTCCAGATATTATATATATGTGTATATATACACTTATATACTTTCTAAGTATATATATACCCATACACACGTATACATATACATATATGTATATATATACATCCAGCTTATAAGATATATATCTTATATACAAGGCTATATATCTTAGCCTTGATATATTTATATATGATACATTTATATAAATATATTTGTTTGTTTATTTATATGAAATAGATACCTGCCAGATCTGTATTAGTCTGTTTTCACACTGCTATAAAGACATACCTGAGACTGGGTAACTGATAAAGAAAAGAGGTTTAATAGGCTCACAGTTCTGTGGGCTATCAGGCTTCCACTTCTGGGGAAGCCTCAGGAAACTTACAATCATGGTGAAGGTGAGGGGAATCAAGCATGTCTTCACATGGCTGGCAGGAGAAAGAGAGAGAACAAAGCGGGAAGTGCTACACACTTTCAAACAACCAGGTCTTGTGAGAACTCTATCACGAGAACAACAAGGGGGAATTCTGCTCCTGTGATTCAATCACCTCCCACCAGGCCCCTCCTCTAACACTGGGAATTACAGTTCAACATGAGCTATGAGTGGGGACACAGAGCCAAACTGTATCAAGGTCCAAATTGTGTGTATGTGTGTGTGTTTTCTTTTTTTTTTTTTTAAGACAGAGTCTCACCCTATCACCCAGGCTGGAGTGCAGTGGTAAGATCATGGCTCATTGTAGTTTCGACCTTTTGGGCTCAAATAATCATCTTGCTTCAGCCTCCTGAGTAGCTGGGACCACAGCTGCATGCCACCATGCCCAGCTAATTTTTCATTTTTTGTAAAGATGGAGTCTCACTATGTTTGCCAGGCTGGTCTCAAACTCCTGGGCTCAAGCAGTTCTCCCCTGGGCCTCCCACAGTGTTGGGTTTACAGGAGTGAGCAAATATGCTGGCCCCCAATTTCAAATAAGAGCCTCTAGTTGTGCAAATATCTAAGTTTAATTTTTATACATGAATTTAATTTTTTATGGAACTCCCATTATTCTGATTGCCTCTAAGTTCTGGGAGATCAAATAGCATCAAGGAGATGGGGTCAGCTCATCTGTGTCACTGTCATATTTCTATACGGGCCGCTACCTTTCACTTTTTGTTTGTTTGTTTCTTGGATCATCAGCATGACCCTATCTGGTCATTTATTCTCCTCAGTTTTTTGCCTTACACTCGGGCATTTGTTATTGAACACCAAAAGCCAAAAAATTGATTTTTTAAAAATAATCTTGTATATTTTTCTGCATTATCCTCTTCTGGAGACATAGAACTCACTAGCTGCTGCCTGAATGAAGATAAATGTCAGAGTAACAGCATGTATATGAAAAAATTAAATATATTATCCTAATGACTATATAAATATGTTAATTGAATATTCAGTGGGAATTTCCTGTTTTTGTGGTATTTTGACTGAAGCCTGGAAGATGAGAATAATATATTATAAAGTACCTGCACATTCTCAAGAGAGACAGAAAATCAAACGGCTTGCTAAGAAGTGGCTAAATTAGTCTGTGGACATCCAACTCCCCAACCCCTGCCACCACCCTTACCATCCAATCTATCTAAACAGAAAAGCAGAAATTTAAGATAATGTATTGAAGAAAGGGAATTTATAGAAATAAGGAGTGCTTTGGTCTTTTCTCTTTTCTTCCCTATGCAGGTGTTGCCATTATTCCAGGGTAGGTAGGAGGAGATATCAAGAAAATTACTTAGAGAAATTTGGGAAGGTTCTTGCAAGGAAGCAGTGGCTTCTCACTATCCAACTGGAGTCTTTTTGAGCTGCTGAGACTCAGGGCCATTTCTGAGGACACAGGGATGGAGCACTGCAAGAGTTCTTGGGAGAGCTTGAAATGCATCCTTTGTATCTGCGGCCAGGGGCTGTAGAGAGAATGTCAATGACAGTTGCTTCAGAAGTCATGGAAGTAGGGGGTGGGAGGGAATATTGGAGCTGCTCAAGAGGCTGCAGACAGACAGACAGACAGAGAGAGAGAGAGAGAGAGAGAGAGAGAGAGAGAGAGAAACAGAAAGGCAAGTCTACTTTCCCACTATTTTATGGAGCCTATAAGGCAAGGGGAAGCAGTGAGGTTGAGCTGCCCTGATGAGACACTGCCCCAGGTTGCTGCCTTCTCCAGAGAAGAGATCCTAGGAGTGAGGAGCTGTGAGGTGGGTAGGTCACTAGGGCCTGAGGCCAAGGGAAAAATTAAGAGATCAGTCAGTACATCAGCCATGTAGGGAAACTACGAAATCATTCTTTTCCTCTAATCTCCATTCCAGTTGCACTGAGTGTGGAAGATTCACAAGTAGGGAAGTTGCAGTGAAAAATCAAGGGAGGGAAGGAAAGGGGATGTGTGTGTGTGTGTGTGTGTGTGTGTGTGAGAGAGAGAGAGAGAGAGAGAGAAAGCTGATTATACTGACAGTAACCTACTGTCTTGCAGTTCTCCAAACCCAGCTCTGAGCCTAAGTTGGATGGGGCTGGGGATAGTTTTGTTACATGAGGCAATAAAGGATACAATTGGACTTGTCTGGACTTTGTAACACATAAAAATGAGTTGTAATTAATGAAATAAGATTTGTTCTTATAACTGGAATGACCAGAAAGTTAAGGAAGCATCCTCAGATTATCCTGGGAGGATGTTGGGGCTTTGTTTTGAAGGCAGTGATGAGAAACAAAGTTATTTGCCACCACATTGACAGAGACTCATTCCATGTATTAGTTTTATATTTCTCTATCAGTTTTAACAAACACACTTCTGGAATTTAGTTTTACTTAATAATAATAATAAATATATATATTTTTCTTCATAGAAATTGGATAATCAGTTAATATATTTTGGGCAGGTTTTATTATTAACACACATAGATTAGTATAATTATTTTTAGTGACTCTACAGTAATCCACATTATGGATTTTCATAAATCCTTCAGTTGAAGAATATTTTTGTTTCTGTTTTATTACAAGGAATGCTGCAGTGAATGCTCTTTCACACATAACCAAGCATTTCTATGAGCTATCTATAGGATAATTTGATAAGTGGTATTACTGTTTCAAGGAGTATGCGTACAAATAACAGCAAGTGTACTTAAAATTTAGAAAGCTAAGGCAAATTAATTTTTTGAAAAGTTTCAAAAACGGTGTATATAAACCTTTTTTTAATAGTTTTATCCACATTGGATCTTATTCAACATTTTAATCTCTATAGGTATCATAAGGAAAACTATATAGTGCCTTTTTGCTGTTTTGATCTTAATGTTTTTGAACAAAGTTGATCATATTTTCAAGTATTGTCCTTTTCTAAATATTTAATGATTTAGGTAATACATAACTACAAGTGGCTCATAAAAATTGAAGTGTGACAGAGAAGACTAAAGTCTCCTATGATTATGAACTCAAATCCTAGTCCATTTGCTATCCTTCTCTTTCCACACCCCCATCTCACCAAATATTCCCTGTGAGGACCACATCTAATTCTTTAACCTGTTTCTTCTGATGTTTTCCTTCATATTTCTAAATGCTGTGCTTTTAACAGCTGTGTCTTTATTAAATTGTGACATCATCTTTTGACTTCTTTTCTAGGCATTTTTGCCCATTGACACCATCTTCCTAATTATGACATCATTATTGTCTTGTTTATTTATTGATTTCTGGCTTACATTGGTCTTCTTTCTCTAGTTACATTAGGTAGTAACTTAGATGATTAAATTTTTATCTTCCTTCTTTTCTTCATATGCATTCAATGCTATAGATTTCCTTATGAGCGCTGCTTTTGCTATATTCCACAAATTCTGATAAGTTGTATTTTTATTTTATTCTACTTTAAAATATGTTTAAATTTCTCTTGAGACTTCTTTGACCCATGTATTCTTTAGAAGTGTATTGCTTAATCTCCAAATATTTTGGGATTTTCCAGCCATCTTACTGTTATTGATCTCTAACTTAATTCCAAGGTGCTCTGAGAGCATATTTTATATGATTTCTATTTTTTAATTTGTTAAGATAAAGATGTGTTTTATAACCCAGAATGTGGTTGACCTTGGTGCATGTTACATGCAAGCTTGAGAAAAATGTATAATCTGCTGCTGTTGCATGAAACCTTCAATAAATGTCAATTAAATCTAGTTGATTGATGTCCAGTTGAAGTATATCCTTATCGAATTTCTCCCTGTTGGATCTGTCAATTATTGATAGAGGGAGCTCTTATTAATATCTGCAGCTCCAGCTATAATAGTGGATTTATCTATTTCTCCTTGAAGTTCTATCAGTTTTTGCCTCACTCACGTATTTTGTTGCTTTTGTTAGATGCATATACATTAAAAGTTGTTCTATCTTTTTGGAGAGTTTATCCCTTTATTATTGTGCAATGTCCTTCCTTATCTCTGGAAAGTTTTGAAGTCAGTTTAATTTGTGATTAGTACAGCTACCTTAGCTTTTGATTAGTGTTATCACCGTGTATTTTTCTTATCCCTTTACTGTTTATCTGTGAAGACATGTTTAAAATGGGTTTTTTGTAGACAGTTGAGTCTTGTTTTTTCAACCACCCTGATAGTCTTTTTAGTTGGTATATGTAGATATTTACATTTTAAGTGGTTACTGATATCATTGGATTAATTCTACAATGTTTGTAACTGTTTTCTATTTGTTGCCTTTGTTCTTTTTCAAAAATTTTTTTCCCACATTTTATGCCTCATCTGTATTTTTCTTTATCGTGGTAAAAAATGTATACTATGAGATATACCCTCTTAAAAGTTTTTAAGTGTATAGTACAGTATTGTTAACTAAAAGCACAGTTTCATACAGCAGATATCTAGGACTTTCTCATCTTGCATAATTCAAACTATACCCATTGAATGCAACTCCCCATTTCTCTCAACCCCCAGTCTATGGCAACTATCATTCTACTCTGCTTCTGTGAGTTTGGCTATTTATTTACTTACTTTAGGGATAAGGTCTTGCTATGTTGCTCAGGCTGGAGTACAGTGGCTATTCATGGGTGCAATTACAGGGGACTACAGCCTCAAACTCCTGGCCTCAAGTGATCCTCCCACCTGAGCCTTCTGAGTAGCTAGAACTACAGGCATGTACCCACCATGCCCAGCAATTTTGACTATTTTGTAAACCTCATATAATTGGAGTCATGTAGCATTTGCCTTTCTGTGACTAGCTTTACTTAGCATAATGTCCTCGAGGTTCATCTATACTGTTGTATGTGGCAAGATTTCCTCCTTTTTTAAAGCTTGCTATAGCTTTGATATTTGTCCTCTCAAATCTTATGTTGAAATTTGATCCCCAGTTTTGA
Source organism: Homo sapiens (assembly GCF_000001405.40). NCBI lineage: Eukaryota > Metazoa > Chordata > Mammalia > Primates > Hominidae > Homo > Homo sapiens. The sequence goes on from NC_000004.12 coordinate 119,806,309, forward strand.
AGGTGAGTCCTAATGGAGGCAGATCTCTCATGAATTGATTAATGCCCTTCCTGGTTGTGAGCGGTGGGCGGCGAGTCAGTTCTCACTCTATTAGTTCCCACAAGAGCTGGTTGTTTAAGAGAGCCTGGCACCATCCCTCTTACTCTCTCTTGCTTCCTTCCTTTCCATGTGATCTCTGCATATGCTAGCTCCCCTTCACCTTTCTCCATGACTGGAAATAGCCAGAGGCTCTCACCAGAAGCAGATGCTGGTGCTGTGCTTCTTCTACAGTCTGCAGCATTTGATCCAAATAAATCTCTTTTCTTTATAAATTATTCATCCTCAGGTATTCCTTTATAGCAACACAAAGTGATTAAGGCAAGGCTGAATATATATATATATATATATATAATGGACATTTAGGTTGATTCTACATCTTCTTTTTCTTTTTGAGACAGGATCTTTCTCTGTCACCCAGGCTAAAGTGCAGTGGCATGACCGTAGCTCATTGCAACCTCAAACTCCTGGGCTCAGGGGATCCTCCTGCTTCAGCCTCCTGAGTAGATAGGACTACTGGCACTTGCCAACCACATCTTGCTAACTTATAAAAATATTTATTGTAGAGGTGGGGTTGTGCCTTGGTGCCCAGCTGGTCTCCAACTCTTGGGCTCAAGTGTCCCTCCTGACTTGGCCTCCCAAAAGCTGCGATTATAGGCATGAGCCACTGCACCTGGCTGCACATCTTGAATAGAGTGAGTAATGCCACAATAACATGGAAGCGTAAATATCTTATCAAGAGACTGATTTTAACTTATTTGAATAAATATTCAGAAGTGGAATTGCTGTATCATATGATAGCTCTTTTTTAATTTTCTGAGGAGCCTCCATACAATTTTTTAAGCAGCAGCACTATTTTACAGTGCATAGAGTTACAGTTTCTTCACCACTTCACCGAAACTTGTTATTTTCTGTTTCTTTTTAAATAATGACAATTCTAACAGGTGTGAAGTGATATGTCATTGTGATTTTGATTTACATTTTCCTGATGCTTAATGATACTGAGCACCTTTTCGTATAGCTGTTGCCATTTGTATGTCTTTGTGCAAATGTCTGTTCAGGTTCTCAGGCCATTTTTTAATTGAGTTATTTGCTGTTTTTGCTATTGAGTTGTAGCAGTTCCTACAAAATATACTGGAGAATGTATTTTGTAGGAACTCCTACAACTCAATAGCAATATATATATATATACACACACACACACACAGACACACACACACACACACACACTCACTTTAGATACTAACCCCTTATCAGATGTATGCTTTTTAAATATTTATCCCTATCTGTAGGTTGCTTTTCACTCTGTTGTTTCCTTTGCTATGCAAAGCTCTTTTATTTGGTGTAATTCCACTTAACTATTTTTGCTTTTGTTGCCTGTGCTTTTGATGTCATATTTAAGAAATGCTTGCCAAGGCCAATCTAAAGAAGCTCTTTCCTTATGAATTCTTCTAGGAATGTTATAGTTTCAGGTCTTATGTTTAGTCTTTAAGCCATTTTGAGTTGATTTTTGCATATGGTATAAAATAAGGGTCCAATGTATTCTTTTGCATGTGAATATCCAGTTTTTCCAACACCATTTGTTGAAGAGACTATCTTTTCTTTATTGTGTATTCTTGGTACTCTTGTCAAAGATCTATTGGCCATATGTGTGTGAATTTTTTTTTCTTTTTTGAGACAGAGTCTTACTCTGTTGCCCAGTCTGGAGTGCAATGGCACGATCTTGGCTCACTGCAACCTCTGCCTCCCAGGTTCAAGCAATTCTCCTGTCTCAGCTTCCTGAGTAGCTAGGACTACAGGCACCCACTACCACACCCAACTAATATTTGTATTTTTAGTAGAGACAGGGTTTCACCATATTGGTCAGGCTGGTCTTGAACTCCTGACCTCAGGTGATCTTCCCACCTTGGCCTCCCAAAGTGCTGGGATTACAGGTGTGAGCCACCATGCCTAGCCATAGATGAACTTATTTCTGGGCTCTCTAATCTCTTCCATTAGTTTCCATGGCTTTCCGTGTGACAGTTTCAGTTCCACACTCTTTTAATTACTGTAACTTTGTAATATGTTTTGAAATTAGAAAGTGAAATGCTTCCAGCTTTGTTCTTTTTCCTTAAGCCTGTTTTGGCTATTCAGAGTCCTTTGTGGTTTCAGAGTGGTTTGAAGCCACCATGTGAACAAGAGTGTGAGCCACCATGCTCAGCAATCATGAATTTTGAGATTGTTTTTCCTATTTCTGCAAAAAATGCCAATGGGATTTTGATAGGGATTGAATCAAATCTGTAGATTGCTTTGGGTAATGGGGACATTTTGACAATATTAAGTCTTCCTATCCATGAACATAGATGTCTTGCTATTTATTTCTTCTTCAATTTCTTCCAGCAATGTTTTGTAGTTTTCAGTGTATAAATTTTTTCTCCTCAGTTAAGTTCATTCCTGAGCATTTCATTTTTTGATGCTATTATAAATTGGATTGTTTCTTAATTTCCTTTTTAGGTATTTGGTTGTTAACATATGGAGACACAACTGAGTTTTGCATGTTGATTTTGTATCCTGTGACTTTAATAAATTAATTTAATAGTTTTAACAGTTTTTCTTTTAAAAGAAAACCTTTAGGGCTTTCTACATATAAGATCACATCATCCATAAACAAAGATAGTTTTATTTCTTCTTTTCTAATTTGGATGCCTGTTACTTTCTTTTCTTGCTTAATTTCTCTGGCTAGCACTTCTGGCATTATATTAAATAGAAGTGGCAAAGTGGGCATCCTTGCCTTAGATCCTCTAAGAACAAAGATCTTAGAGGAAAAGCTTTCAGTATTTTTACCATTGAGTTTGATGTTAGTTGTGGGATTTTTATATGTGGCCTTCACTATGTTGAGATAATTTCTATGCTTAATTTATTGAGTGTTTTTATCATGAAAGGGTGTTGAATTTTGTCAAATATTTTGCTGTATTTATTGAGATGCTCATGTAATTTTTTTAAAAATTGAGATAGGGTCTTGCTCTGTTGCTCAGGCTGGAGTGCAGTGGTGCAATCATGGTTCACTGCAGCCTCTACCTCCTGGGCTCAATTGATCCACCTGCCTCAGCCTCCTGAGTAACTGGGACTACAAGCATGCACCACCACACCCAGCTAATTTTTCTATTTTTGTAGAGATGGGGTTTTTCCATGTTGCCCAAGCTCATGTCAAACTCCTTGGCTCAAGCAATCCACCTGCCTCAGCCTCTCAAAGTGCTGGGATTACAGGCATGAGCCACCACACCCAACAATCATGTAATTTTTATCCTTCTTTCTGTTAATGTGGAGTATCACATTGATTGATTTTTTATATGTTGAACCATCTGGCATCCTAGGATAAATTTCACTTGGTCATGTTGTATGATACTTTTAATGTGCCATTGAATTCAGTTTGTTAGTACTTTGTTCAGGATTTTTGCTTTTATATTCATCAGGGATATCGTCTGTAGTTTTCTTCTTCTTCTTCCTCCTCCTCCTCCTCCTCCCCCTCCTCCTCCTCCCCCTCCTCCTCCTCCTCCTCCTCCTCCTCTTCTTCTTCTTCTTCTTCTTCTTCTTTTCTTCTTCTTCTTCTTCTTCTTCTTCTTCTTCCTGTTCTTCTTCTTCCTCTTCTTCTTCCTTCTTGTTCTTCCTCTTTTTTTTTTTTTTTTTTTTTTTTGCAGTGTCTTTGTGTGGCTTTGGTATCAAGGTAATTCTGGCCTCACAAAATGAGGCTGTAAGTATTCCTTTCTCTTCAGTTTTTTGTAAGGGTTTGCGAAGGATTGGTTTCAATTCTTCCTTAATGTTCTGGCAGAATTAACCCATGAAGTCATCTGATCCTGGGCTTTCCCTTCTTGAGAGGTTTATGATGACTGATTCCATCTGCTTACTTGTTATTCATCTGTTGAGTTTTTTTATTTCTTCATAGTTCATACTTGGTAGGTTGCATGTTTCTAAGACATTAGCTGTTTCTTCATGGTTGTCCAATTTTTTGACATATGCTTCTTTATAGTAGTCTCATATAATCCTTTGAATTTCTGTGGTATCAGTAAGGTCTCTACTTTTACTTCTAATTTTATTTATTTGAGTCTTTTTTTCTCAGTTTATCTAAGGGTTTACCGATTTTGTTGGTCTTTTCAAAAAACCAACTCTTAGTTTCATTGACTTTTAAAATTTTTTAATTCTCTATTTTATCTATTGCTGCTCATCTTTATTATTTCCCTCCCTCTGCTAACTTTGGATTTTGTTTTTTTTTCTAGTTCCTTGAGGTGCACCATTGGGTTTTTTTATTTGAAATATATATTTTTTTCTTTTAGAATGTAGGCATTTATCATGATAAACTTTCTTCTTAATACTGCTTTTGCTGTATCCCATAGGTTTTGGTATATTGTGTTTTAATTTGTATCTTTCTCAAGATATTTTCCAATACTCTTTTTGATTTATTCTCAGACTCACTGGTTGTTCAAGACTGTTTTGTTTAATTTCCACATATTTGTGAATTTTCTAATTTTTCTCCTGTTATTGATTTCTAGTGTCATTCCATTGTGGTTGGAAAAGATACTTGGTATGATTTCAGTCTTCTTAAATTTCTTAAAAGTTTTTCGTGACCTAACATGTGATGTATCCTGGAGAGAGTTCTGTGTGTGCTTGAGAAGAATTTGTATTCTGTTGCTCTTGGGTCAAAAGTTCTGTGTATGTTTGTCAGAACCATTTGGTCCATAATGTTGTTCAGTCATCTGTTTCCTTATTGACTTTCTGTCTGGGAGTTCTATTTGTTAGTGAAAGTGGGGTACTGAAATCTCTTAACATTATTGTGATATATCTCCCTTCAGCTCTGTCAATATTTCATCATATATTTAGGTACTCTGATGTAGGATATATGCATATATATTAATAATTGTTATACGTTCACAGTGAAATAACACTTTTATGATTATGTATTATACCGCTTTGTCTCTTGTGACAATATTTCACTTAGAGTCAATTTTGTCTAAGTATGGCCACTCCTGCTCACTTTTGCTTTCCATTTACATGAAACATTTTTCCATCTCTTCAGTTTCAGCCTATGTGTGTGTCTTTTAATCTAAGTGAGTCTCTTATAGGTAGCATATAATTGGATCATGTATCTTTAAGTTCATTTAGCCACACTATCTCTTTTGATTGGAGAGTTCAATCCACTTACATTTGAAGCAATTATTGTTAGGGAAGGACTTTCTATTGACATTTTATTAATTGTTTTCTGTCTGCCCTTGTAGCTCTTTTGTCTATCTTTTCCTCTCTTGCTATCTTTCTTCGTGTTTTATTGATTTTTTATTGTCATGCTTTGATTTCTTTCTTTTGTTTATCTTCTAAAGGATTTTTTTTTAGGTTACCATGTGGCTTACTTAAGACATCCTTTAGTTATAACAGTCTATTTTAGCTGATAATGACAACTTCAATTGCATAAAAAAACTATACTTTTACCGCGACCTTATGCACATTTTATGTTACTGATGTCCCGAAATATGTTTTTAGTGTGTATACATTAACATATTTTAGTAAGCATAGTTTTTAAAATATTTTTTCTTTTAACTCCTATGTTAGAATTAAGTGATTTACACACCAGCATTAAAAGATTACAGTATTCTGTATTCATCTATATCATTTACCTTTATTAGCAAGTTCTATGTCTATATGTTTTCATGTTGCTATTTAGGGTCTTTTTGTTTTAACTTGAAGAATTTCCTTTAGCATTTCTTGCAAGGCAGATCTAGAGATTATGACCTCTTATAGCTTTGGTTTATCTGGTAAAGTCTTCATATTTTATTCATTTTTGAAGGACAGTTTTGCTGGAATAGTAGTCTTAGTTGGCAGTATTCTCTTTCAGTACATTGAATATATCATACATTTCTCTCTGGCCTGTGAGGTTTCTGTTGAGACATCTGCTGACAGTTTTGTAGGGCCTCCCTTGGATATAATAAGTTGTTTTTCTCTTATTGCTTGCAAAATTCTCTCTTTGACTTTGGGTTTTGACAATTAAATTATAATATGTCTTAGTATGAACTTCCTAGGGTTGATCTTACTGGGGCCCCACTGGATATCCTGGGTCTGGGTATTTATTTCCTTCTTCAGGTTTGGGAAGGTTTTAGCTATTATTTCTTCGAATAAGCTTTCTTTTTCTTTATCTTTCTTCTTCTCTGGTACTTCCATAATGCATATGTTGGTCAGCTTGATGATAACCTATAAGTCTCTTAAGCTTTCTTCACTCTTTTTTATTCTCTTCTTTTTTCTTCTTTGCCTGGATAATTTCAAATGACCTGTCCTGCTGAGTTTGCTGATTATTTGTTCTGCTTGCTCAAGGTTGCTGTTGAATCCCTCTAGTGAATTTTCACATTCAGTTATTACTTTCTTTAGCTCCAAAATTTCTGTTTGCTTCTTTTTCATATTTTCCTTATTTTTTTTAAATTTTCAGTTTGTTCATGCATTGTTTTTTCTGAGCTTATTGAGCATCTTTATGGCAGATTTTTTTTTAAATTTGAATTCTCTGTCAGGTAATTCATAAAATTCCATTTCATTAAGGTCAGATCTTAAAGATTTGTCTTGTTTTTTCCTTTGGGCCATGCTTTTCTATCCCCATCCCCCGTCCCCTTGAGTCTTTTTGTTTGTGTCTGTGCATTAGAAAAAATAGCCACCTCTCTCAGTCTTCAAGAACTGGCCATGTACAGGTAAAGGCCCTCACTATCACCTCAGCCAAATATTCTGGGGGTCTCTCAAGCCTTCTTTGTGTATGCATCTTTTCTGGACTTGTGCATGTAAATTCCCAATTGGAGGACTTTCTGGTTTTATTTTTCAGGAATTTATAATCTCTTGCTATTTCTGGTGTCCATCTGCTCTGCTGTGGGCTTTTTAGAGAAACAGCATGCCCTGAACTCTTTTTATTATTGTTATTGTTGTTCTCAGAGGCTCCCAGACATCTGGAGTAGCCAGATCCTGTGAGCACTCCAAAACAGGCAAGATAGAATTCAGTCTGGCTGAATAATGCCTTCAGGCAGCCCCCAGAAAAGTTGGAATATTGGATTTATGGTCTAGCTTCTTTCTTCCCCAGAGAGAAGCTGGGATTTGGGGATTTCTGCTGGCTCACTCTTTGCTGAGCTGGAGAAGCTGTGGCAAGTGTGTGCATGCTAGTCCAAGCTTCTGCCTTTGTTCTCAACTGCTTCATATATGTGGCCTTTTGCTGTCAGCATTCAGGCAAGACAGAAAGCAGTCCCTCAGGATGCCTGAAGAAAAGTTAGAGGGTTGAACATACAGATCAGTCTCTTTCTTCTCTCCCAAGGAGAAATCTTGGAGTTGAGGGATCATGTGGCACTGTGGCACTGATCATGTGGCCCTGCTCATGGAATAGAATTTATTGTGAGAGGGTGCCTCAAATTTTCTTACTGGCTTTGATGATACTGGTTTGCCTTTGCCTGTGGTACAGGAGCTTCTCAAGTGGTTTCCAGACTTCTCACAAAGGGAATTTGTCTGGGTGTTGTTGTTAAATTTGTGTGTCCATGGGGGTAAGAAAGGTCCAGGCTTCCTATTCTGCTGTCATGCTCCTGGATGATTTTAAACCAGATATTTTTTATGGTTCCATTTCTCTCCTCTCTTAGGATACTGATTATGCATTTTACATAAAAATTTTAAATGATTGTCCTAGAATTTGCAACTAATCTAAGCCAACTTTCAAATAACATAATACTGCTTTATGAGCAGTGCAGATAGCTTATAACAAAATAATTTCAATTCCTCCCTCCTGTTCCTCATAATATTCTTGTCATTGAATTGTCAATATACTACAGTCATTCAATGTATTATTGCTATTATTACTTCAAACAGTTATCTATTCTATCAGTTAAGAATAAGAAGAATATAAGTGTTTTTATCTTAATTTATTCCTTCTCTGATGCTCTTTTTTTCTTTCTATATATCCAAGTTTCTGATTTGTATCATTTCTTTTTCTCTGACGAACTTCTTTGAACATTTCTTGCAAGGCAAGTCTGCTGATGACAAATTGTCTCAGAGTTTACTTGTTTGGGAAAGTCTTATTTCTACTTAATTATTGGAGGCTAATTTTGCTGCTCATAGATTTCCAGGTTTTTTTTTTCTTTCAAAACTTTAAATAATTTACTCCTCTGATATTGTGAAATATACATTTGGTCTTCCTCCATGTTTCCCAGTATATAGATAGCCTTTAAAATCCTTGCACTCTCTTAAGTGATAAGTACCTTTTTGAATGCTAATGAGACGACTGGTGACTGGGGACTTCTAGATAACCTAAGATTGGGGCTGGTTGCCAGGGGAATCAACCATATGATTAGAGGACTGGAACTTTCAGTCCACCCCCTGACCTCCAGGAAAGGGAGAGGGGCTCAAGGTTGAGTTGATCACTAATGGCCAATGATGTAATCAATCATATGTATGTGATGGAGCTTCCGTAAAAACCTAAAAGCACTGAGTGGGTTCAGAGATCTTCTGGGTTGCTGAACACATGAATGTTTCTGGAGAATGGCTCACCTAGGGAAGGCATGGAAGCTCAACATCTTTTCCCACGTATCTTTTGCCCTGTGCATCTCTTCCATTTGGCTGTTTATCTGTACTCTGTAATATTCTTTATAATAAACCAGTAAACATAAGTGTTTGCCCAAGTTCTGTTAGCCATCCTAGCAAATTAATCAAACCCAAGGAAAGGGTCTTGGGAATACCCAAAAGAGAGGAAAGAGAGAGGGCTGGAGTTCACTAATTGCCTTTTCCTCAGATCACATAAGGCTCTGAAGGACAGATCCTTGTTACAGAGAGCATTCTGAAAAATATTTCAAAACAGTTACATCCCCCTCCTGTAGCCCAAAATGTGAGGGGATTTTTCTTTGATCTGCACCTTGAAAATCTGTTGGAGTTCCTGGAAGTAAAACCATAAAAATGGGGCCCCTCTAAAATTAGGCCCTCAGGAGGTTTTAGCACTCAAACTAATACTAAATTTCAGTGATTCAACAAAATTACCATTTAAGTGTTCCTGCCAGTTACTGAATCTAGTGGCTTCAGCTTCAAGTAAGCTGATTTCAGCCATAACTCTCTGTATTAGCTTGTCTCTAGATTTTAAGGTGCTGATTAGCCCTGTCACCTTAATTCTCTGATGGAACTAAGAAAAGTCATTAATTTGCAGTTTGTACAGCTTTCGTCCTGTGAGGATGGGAATAATGACTTCAAATCTCTTTTCATATCAGAGTTCAAACTGTAGGTCTCTCCTCATTTTCTTTTAAAACTCTTCATAGTATCATGAAATTCCCCTTTATGTCCCAGGCTTGCCTCCAGGGAGTTGCATCTTGTGCTCCTCCCCATGCTAGTTGCTCTCTCATCTTGCTTCACAGCTGCCATCTCAGTGCTTGGTGCTTCCTTCTTTGCTTTTCTGGATTTATTCCAACATATTTTTTTGGTTCTCATCTTCATTTTGCTATAGTTTATTTTCACAGCTCTCTAAATAAAGAATATGGGAAATAACTATCTGAGTCTGTATCTGAAAATGTCTCCCAGCACTCAATAATACTGATAAAAATTTTGATGTCCTTCTGATTTTTGTTCTGAAAGTTTATATTGTTATGTCTAATCTTTAAAAAAAAATCCTCTGGAATGAGCACTAAGTATACTCTTTCTCCTACAGTTTTGTGTACTTTAGCATTGGCATATTCCCTTGAATTCTTTGATAATCTTATTTCTGCTTTCTTAGATATCTCCTTCTGTGACTTGTATTGTTCTGGTTTTAGACTTTCTGAATTCATTCTCTACCTGGTTAATCTCTCCCCATTCCCATCTTTTTCTTCTTACTGTACTTTCACAGAAACATTTTCTCAATTATATCTTCCAAATATTCTACTAAATTAAAAAATTTTAGTAATCATAATTGAAAATTCCAAGAATTGTTCAATCTTCAATCAGGCATTTTTTTTCTTTTCTTTTTTTTTCTTATTGGTCCTTTGTTTGTTTGCTTGTTTTTGTTTTGTTTTTGAGACTGGATCTCCCTATGTTACCTAGGCTGGTCTCAAACTCCTGGACTCAAGTGATCCTCCCATCTTGGCCTCCCAAAGTGCTGGGATTACAGATGTGAGTCACCATGCCTGGCCTAATTTTTCCTTTTCTGTAACATATTTTGTGTGTTGATGCAATATCTCCTCTAAACTTTTTTGTTCTTCCAATAAGATAAGAGGTTTTGTTTAAGTTTTATTCTGTTCCTTTGGATTAAAGGAGGCAAAATATAAAATAAAAAAAGAATTGTAAAATATTATTAAAAATAAAAATATTATTTTTAAAAGTTTTATTCTATTCTTTAAATATTGTATATTATTTAGGATAATATTTTTCCATTTTTAAATCTTGGTCTTTCACTTTCATGCTGAAGCTTTCCTCAAATATTTGGTAATCCCTGGTTGTTTATTTATATATTATAATAAAACAGTTATATGTGTTGATGAGACTTTTGTTCACATTATAAGAACATATTTGTTCACAGATGGACTTTGCTTTGAGGTGGCCATGCAGGGAGGTTAGTGTTAAACTGGAGAACCTCTACATTATAGTTGCCATATTTAACAAATAAAAATATGGGACATACAATTAAATTTGAATTTTAGATAAACAATAAACTATCTTTTAGTATAATGCCATTATATGAAGGTATTTGCTCAGGGCCAGTCAGTTCCTTTTGAGAGGAACCCTCTAATTCTTTGCCTAGGGGCAGAAACTTGACTGTTGAATTTGTGATATGTATAAGAGTGTACATGTGGGAAAGAGGGGTAGGGTTGGGAGTTGAATGTTCTGTATTTACCCATTTTCAACTGATCCTTATTTCTAGTACCATATCTCACTCCTGTCCCCTGCCAGACCTTAGATTTCCAAATATAATGTGTCTCTGTGATTCTATGACTATGATGGGTTACCATCTCAACTGCATCTCCGTGAATGCATCTTTTAGGCAAGAGCTTCCAAACTAATGTGCCCAGGTAGATTACAAATATATCGCAAGATATTGAAAATTTTACACCTTTTATGATGACAAAACTTTCAAAGCATTTTCACTATCTTTTAAAAAATTTACAGCAGTTAAATTTTTAGCTAACATTCTTTGACTTTCTGCTTTTGTTACTTGTTACTTTAATGCATATAACTCTATGCAGAGCACTGTTTGTCAGAGCAACAGAACATCCAAATTATACAAAATTACTTTTGTAGTGATTTTTTTCAATAAGTTTCTTTATTTTGAGTCCAAGTATAAAATTGTAATAGTATAGCAGACCACTTTTGGCTAGTGTGGCATATCATGCAGACCCTTTGGCAAACCAGGCTCAATTTTTTTCTTTCTCAGTCAACTAGCCTAGGAAATCCCTAGGAGGCCCTGAGTGGAATTACTGAAAGGAGAAAAGACAGCACAGTAAGAGCAGAAACCGTATGTTCATAGGACTTACTTGTGCCTTTAGGTCTTGCTATAGACCTAAAGCTTGTATATCTCATTTTTACATGCCACCTTTAGGGCTTCCCAGATCACATAACACATGGTTTATGACGAACAGTCTCATCTCATGCTATGCATCTCACTATTAAGTCTCAGCCTCTATCAAGAAGATTGGCAGGAAGAGCACATCTGTTTTGTATAAGGAAGATATTTATCTTCTAAAAACAGGCTGATGTGGCTCCAAAATCCTAGAAGTTTATTATGAATCTTCAATCAGGGATTGTCATTGGGTGAATACAAGTCTGTTCTTCCATAGACCTTTGGATTAATAATAGATCTTCTGGATTCCCCACTCCAATTGCTGGGTTAGGAAGAAGCTTACACTGTAGACTGGGTTCGCGTGAATGTCTTATTGTGGCCTGGCTTCTACTTAAAGTCGGCAGAAATATATATTATTTATTTAACGAGCTGAAGGAAGACACACATGCAGATATTTTCTCCAAAATTCATAAAAGCCTACCCAATGTTACATCTCTGTTTTAGTGATAATGAAGTAAGGTGCAGAACCATTGTCTTTCACTGTAGAGGGGATATCCTGGTATGCCTCAGATTCTGAACTCCCTGAGGCTTCAAAGAGCTATTAGGAAACTTAATTTCCTGGGGAATTGTCTCTCCAAGTGCCTAGGGTTCCTAACACTCTCTGCTTACTATCTAGGGTAACTGCTATTCCCTGCTCATCAGATTCTACCAGCATTATGTCATTAATATAGAGGATCAGCATGATGGCTTATGGAATGGTAAAATAAGGTAAGTTTTTGAAGACTAACTACAGCACAATGCCAAATTGTTGAAAGGAAGCAATCATGACCGTAACCTTCTGACTCTACTGGCTGAAGAAAAATGTGTGTGTGTGTGTGTGTGTGTGTGTGTGAATTGTAGCATACAAGGTACCAGGAGCCTAGTTTATTTGTTCCATTAAAAAGCTTACATATGTATCAGCAGCTATAAGTGAAGTCATCATCTGATTAAGTTAATAATAAGCTGTTGATTTTTTTTTTTTTTTTTTTACTAAGGCTAATCTGTTTTCTACATGATACAAAAGCACAAGTTAGATGGGGACAGAACAGGATTTACAACTTCAGGATTTTTAAGTACTTGATAGCGGCACTAATATCTGAAATTCCCTCAGGAGTGCAGAATTGATTTTGATTTACTATTTTAGTAGTAAGGACTTATTCCTGAGGCGCTCAGTTTGCTGTTTCTACCACAATCCTTTTCTTCATAGTTCAGGGATCCAGTGTTGGGATTCTGTCAGTAACTAAGTATATCTCTTCCAGTTGAGCATTCATGAATGGTGGGAATAAACACAAGTGTGTTCTTAGACACACAAGGCCCACTTTGAGATGAAGTTGAGCCAAAACTCTGGTTATCAGTTGACCCCTCAGTATTTCCTTCCTTTCTTTTTTTTATTGTGAATGTTATATATTTATTTTTATTATAAATTGATAATTTATAATTATATATATTTATGGGATACAAAGTGATGTTATGATTTATGAATACAATATGGAGTAACTAAATCAAGCTAACTGACATATCTATCACCTCAAATACTTATCACTTTCTGTGGTGAGAACGTTTGAAATGTACTCTGTTAGCAATTTGGAAATATTTCAAATACACTATTATTAATTATATTCACTATGCTGTGCAATAGACCTCAAAACCCCCAACAACACCTTATTCTGAGGTTTTGTACTCTTTGTTCATCTTCTCCCTATTTCCCCCACTCCCAGCCTCTGTAACCAGCATTCTACAGACTCTCTGCTTCTATGAGTCTGATTGTTCTTGATTCTACATATAAGTGAGAATATTCAGTGTTGGTTGTTTTGTGTCTGATTTATTCAATTTAACAGAATGTTCACTAATTCCAACCACGTTATTGCAAATAACAGAATTTCCTTATTTTTAAGAGTGAAACACAGTCTATTTTGTATATGTCCTCTCAGGAAATCTAGTTGGGAGGTGGGTTGTACTTGGTTAGTCTATTTAACATTTCTATTTTCTTATAACATGAAATCCTTTCCTGACAGTATTCTAAGGATTTTTGGCATGTCTAGTTTATTTAGTGAAAGTATAGTTATATGTATAAATTCTCATTGTGATCTTTAATTCTGTTTCTTCTTCCCTGGCATTCTTAGAATCCTTTTTCTTGATATTCTCCAGGTTAATAACAATGCAAAATAACAAAACAGTTTAATTATTTTGGTGCATATGCTGTTGACTTTCTGAGTTACTGTTTGTACCATTCTCACCATAATATTTGGGTTTGATTTTGGTTATTAATCTCAAAGCAATGAAAGATGGAAGGAATGAAGCATGAGAAGACTCAACAGCCTATTTAAAATATATCTTGCTCAGGTAAAGCCATTGAAGACTCTAAGGTAAGGCAAGTCTCTACTCATCAGACAGAGGAAGAACTGTTTCTGCTAACCAGGGTGCCCCGCTCCCTACCATTTTAGGCAGTTAGAGACCTGGAGTACTCATGGTTATTTTAGTGTCTCCAAATGTCTACATTTAAAATTATCAGGATACCACTCTTTCCCAATTAATATGCTAAATTTTCCAGGAAGTATTTTCTTAAATATATATTTTTTAATTTAAAAAAAATATTTTTAAATTGATTATACAATAAAATGTGTATATATTTATCATGTATAATATATTGCCTTGAAATACATATGCATTGTGGAATAGCTAAATTGAGCTAATTAACATATGCATTACCTCGCAAACTTATCATTTTTTGTTAGGAGAACACTTACAATCTACTCTCTTAGCAACTTTCAAGAATAGAATACATTATTATTAACTATTGTTACCATGTTGTACAACAGATCTTTTGAACTCATTTCTTATCTAACTGAAATTTTGTATCTTTTGACCAGCATCTCTTTGATCCTCCCCTCCTTTCCCAGTCCCTGGTAACCACCATTCTATTTTTTATTTCCTTAAATTGAACTTTTTTAGATTCTACATATAAGTGAGATTATGCAGTATTTGTGTTTCTGTGCCTGGCTTATTTCACTAACCATAATGTTCTCCAGGTTGGTGTATGTTGTTGCAAATGACAAGATTTTCTTCATTTTTTTTAGGCTGAATAGTATTCTATTGTGTATATGTACCACATTTTCTTTATCTATTCATCCAATGATGGACATTTAGATTGTTTCCATATTCTGGCTATTGTGAATAATGCTGCAATAAACATGAGAGTACAGACATCTCTTTGATGTACTGATTTTATTTCTTTTGAATACATACCCAGTAGTGAGATTACTGGATCCAGAAAGGCTAGATAATCTTGTGAACTGGCTTATGTTAATCATAACCTGAACTGGAATTTTAAATCCTAAACTAGTTGTTTCATTTTTTATTAGTCTCAGTAATGTAGTTAAAAGTAGAGAACTTCATGAACTTTACATTCTTCATTTTTACCATAGTATTTTATTTTAGTGGCCATTTGTTTCATCGAGGCATTGACTCCAAAAGACACTTCATTCCAGGTGACCATGGGCGATAAGTAATTGCTTTACCAATGCATATTATGGATTTCTCTAGATCCTACCATTTAGTTTTAGTGGAAGACTATCTCTGCTGAAGCCTAGTTAGATCAGATAGCAAATCTTAGATCGCTCTTTATTTCATACTCTGTTGTAGAGATATTCAGTTGCAAAGAATAGACTCTAGCTTGTTTAATAAAGGATTTACTGTAACATTATATAAAATTCAGAAATATTGGAATAATTGCAGAAACAAGTTATACTCTGAGCTTCGAGAAAGGATTCATAAAGGCATGGAACAGAGCTGGCTGCAAGTATAGCTCTGTTAAAATGAGAAAACTGCCCACCAAATTGGGAAGCTATCACTATAGGTACTAGCTTCAGAACCATGCTGCAGCTGGAATAATCCACACTAGCAAAATAAATGCTTCATTCTATGCTTCTATTTTTACTTCCTCAGTTCTGAGTTCAAGTTTCAAAACAAAACAAAATGCATGAATTGGTGGAACTTAAATCATACCTGGAAGTGTATGTACAAATTCATTCGGGAAATGTAGTTTTTATCACATCTGCCTCTGTAATACACTACAGGAAGATCCCAGTAGAAGTTTAGAAAGCCACTTGGACATAAGCAAAATGGTGGAATAGAAGATTCCAGTCCTCACCCCTTCGCAGAAACATCAATTTTCACAGCTACCCATGGGTGAGAATACATTTTGGGGAACCCTGGAGTCCAGCTGAGAGAATCCAGCATTTGGGGACGTGCTCATTGAAGAGGGTAAGAAAAGTAGTTTCACTTTACCTGCATCACCACCTCTTCCCGAAGGTGGCACAGCTCAGTACTGGGAGAGGTTTCCTCAAACCACAATTTTATCCGTGAAGGAGAGCAAGAGTGAAGTGCACTTGTGGCTTCAGAAGTCTTATAGGACACTACCCTGAAGGCTCATTTCTGTTTCATGCCAACCAAAACACTGAAGGAATTGGCACAGCTACATGGTCTAAGGGTAGCTAGGAACAAGGACTAGTAGCACATGGATCTCAGCAACTGGATATGGTTCCTGTTAACTGGATCATGGACTCTACCAAGAGACACACCCATGAATTCAGCAAAACAACTTGCCTACGGACACCCCCAAACAGCCAACAAACAATATCAGCACCTTGCATGTGCCCCTATATCAGTGCCCTGGATGTCCCCATGAATGGCATCCCATGGTTATTGTGCATGAGTCCCTTCATACAGCATAACAAATTTCAGGAACAGAATTTCAGTAGCCAGCTTGACTCTGTAGGACTGGGATAATGGCCACAACCTTGAAAACTTCAGAACACTGTCTTAGGGAAAATAAATGAGAGACTCTCAGTATCCAGCCTGGCTTTGTGGAATTGAGAAAAGGCACATAATCCAGGGCTTCTCCTCCTAGGATTAGGAGGAAATTTTTGAAAGTGAGAAAAAAACCACCAGTCACATACAAAGGAACCTCAATAAAACTCTCAGTGGAATTCTTAGCAGAAACTATGCAGACTAAAAGAGAGTGGGATGATATATTCAAAGTGCGAAAGAAAGAAAAAAATCTGTCAAAAAGAATGCTATGCTCAGCAAAGCTGTTCTTCAGAAATGAAGGAGAAATTAAGACTTTTTCAGACAAACAAAAACTAAGGTAGTTTATCAACACTAGACTTGCCCTACAAGAAATGCTAAAGGGAGTTCTTCAGGTTGAAATGAAGGATACTAATTTGCAACATGAAAACACATAAAATATAAACTCACTGGTAAAGGTAAGTATCTAGTCAAAGTCAAAATACTCTAATAGTGTAATGGTGGCATATAAATCACTGTTTAGCATAAAAGTTAAAAGACAAAAGAATGAAAAATAAATGCACAGTCATGCATTGCTTGACAAGGAGCATATATTCTGAGAAATTCATCGTTAGTCAATTTCATCATTGTGTGAACATCATAGAGTATACTTACACACAAACTTAAGATGGGTGTAATGTACTACATACCTAGGCTATATGGTATAGTTTATTGCTGCTAAGCTACCAACCTATACAGGATGTTATTATACTGAATACTGTAGGCCATTGTAACACAATGGTAAGTATTTGTGGATCTAAACATAGAAAAGATACAGTAAAAAAAAAATGTTATAAAAAATGGTGCACCTATATAGGGCATTTACCATGAATTTTCAGAACTAGAAGTTGCTCTGGGTGAGTCAGGAAGTTAGTGGTGAACAAATGTGAAGGCCTAGGACATTACTGTGAACTATTGTAGAGTTCATAAACACTGTGCACTTAGACTACACTAAATTTATTAACAATTTTTTCAGTAATAAATTAACCTTAGCTTACTGTAGCCTTTTTACTTTATAAACCTTAAATTTTTTTAACTTTTTGACTTTTTTGTAATAACATTTATCTTAAAACACAAACACATTGTGCAGCTGTACAAAAATAGTTGTGCCTTATATCCTCATTCCAAAAGCCTATCTATTTTAAAACTTTTTTTTTTTTTTTACTTTTAACTGTTTTTATTGAAAACTAAGACACAAACACACACATTAGCTTAGGTCTACATGGGGTCTGGATCATGGCTATCACTGTCTTCCACCCCCACATCTTGTCCCACTGGAAGGTCTTCAGTGGCAATAACATTCATGGATATGTTGTCTCCTATGAAAAAATTATCTTCTAGAATACCTCCTGAAGAAACTGCCTGAGGCTATTCTTGAAAATGTGTCACTCCTCTTGGAAATAGGTCCATGATGGTTTGCTTGGTTGGTTGCTTTTTTTTTTTTCACTTTAGATTTCCTTGTAAGCAAATAATGTACCTTGAGTATTCATCTCTATTAATAAAAACCTTTTATTAAGAGTTAGAGTCCATGTTTTCAATCTTTTTAAGGATCTTGTTGAGGTTTGCAAAAGCTCCTGCTAAGCCCTTCAGTGTGTATTTTCTTGGGGTTCTTCTTTTTCTTCTACTACAGTTTTTCTTTCTCAAGCTCTGTGTTCCTGTTCAAACCATTCCTCATTAATCAGTTTGCCAGAAACCACTTCTAGGAACTCTTCAATGTCATCCTCATCCACACCCAGGTTAGAATTGTTTGCCATCTCAGCCACACACTTTTTTTTTTTTTTTTGAGACGGAGTTTTGCTCTTGTTGCCCAGGCTGGAGTGCAATGGTGCGATCTTGGCTAACCACAACATCTGCCTCCCAGATTAAGGCGATTCTCCTGCCTCAGCCTCCTTAGCAGCTGGGATTACAGGTGCTCACCACCATGCCCAGCTAATTTTTTTGTATTTTTAGTGGAGACAGGGTTTCGCCATGTTGGTCAGGCTGGTCTTGAACTCCTGACCTCAGGTGATCCACCTGCCTCAGCCTCCAAAACTGCTGGGATTACAGGCATGAGCCACTGTGCCCAGCCTTTTTTTCATTTTTATAACATCCTCATCCTTGGCAAATCCTTTGACATTACAGATGAAACTTGCGTGTCTTCGTCCAGGGGCCATTCATATACAGTCCATGGTGACATCACCCAAGCCCAAGCAAGGTTCTTGATGCAGTCATAGGTGTTGTAATTTTTCCAGAATTTCACCAGTGTCTTCTCTGTGTCTTCCTCAGTTGCAGCAGTAACCTGGGCAAAAATCCTCCTCAAGTAGTAGGCCTTATAAGCTGCTATAACTAGTTGATCCATTGGTTTGCTTAAAGATGTGGTACCTGGAGTCACCACTTTGACTTTGGGATAAAGATCACCAATAAAAAGAGAATATGCAGAAGCATTCTCAACAACAAGCAAAATGTAGAAAGGCATATTATTCTTTAAAGAGTATTTCTCAATTTTGCAGCATAGCAATTTAGGAGGACATTTTGAAAGAGGAGGTGGGTCATCCATGACTTCTTATTGTTCCTGTTGTACACAGGCAGTGTGTGTTTATTGATATGTTTGAAAGACTTGGGGTTCTCAGTGCGCAAGATCACAAAGGGCTTCAATTTGTAGCATGCAATATTGCCCCCAAGCAAGACTGTTATCCTCTTTTTAAAAAACCTTGAAACTTCGCATTGACTTGGCCTCCTTAGGATGAAAATCTTTTCAGGCATCCATTTCTGGAATATGGAGATTTCATCTGTGTAGAATATTTGCTCTGCAAGAAATTTTCCTCCACAATCAGCTTATCTAGAGTTTCCCAAAATTCTTCAGCTGCCTTCACATCAGCCTTTGCAGACTCACCACTCACTTTCACATTATGTAATGAATAACAATTTTTCAATAATTTAAGCAACCCAAAGCTGGCACTAAATGTACCAACATAGTCAGGAGCAAACTTTTCCTTCAATATTGCAAACAAACCTTTTGCACTGGCCATGAACTTCATGGGACTGAGAGGGATATGTTTCTGTGTCTTGTCTTCAATCCAGTTCATTAGAAGCGTCTCTATATCTGATATATACCCATATCAAAGTTTTGTTAGTTTCCTTGCCTACAGTGAAGCAGATTCTTTAACAGTTTGTCACATTTTTCTTGTTCTTCAAGATTGTACCTATGTGGGAATGGAACATGCCTGACTGGTGAGCCATAACCATCACGATTTTCCCCCTCTATAATCCTTAATCACTTTTAATTTCATTTCCAAGTCAGTCAGGTCAATCACATGATGTGGCTTCTACCAGCAGCATTATTTGTAGATTTTGTATGCTTAAGGGCCATGATGAACAAAACAATACTAGATTAAATTAACCACAAGATACAATAATACAATCAAAGGACACAATAAACGCAAGATGTATGAGGCTGCTGCTAGCATAATATGGCACACTGTTTTACAGTAAATTTTTTTTAACAAGTGGAAGAAGTACATTCTAAAATAATGATAAAAAGTATAGATGGTAAATACATAAAACGGTTATATAGTTATTTATTATCATTATTAAATAGTATATACTGTACATAATTATATGTGCTATACTTTTATATGACTGCCAGCACAGTAGGTTTATGCCTGCATCATGATATATACATGAGTAATGCATTGTGTTATGGTGTTATAACAGCTGTAACGTCACTAAGCAGTAAGAAGTTTTTCAACTCTATAATAATCTTATGAGGCCATCATTGTATATGTGGTTCATGGTCGATCAGAATGTTGTTATGTGACACATAACTGTACCTACAGTAATTTGGTAATGAACACAAAATATAAAAAGATGTAATTTGTGACATTAATAACATAAAATGTGGGGACAGAGAAGTAAAAGTGTAGAATTTTTGTATGTGATTGAAGCTAAATTGTTATCAGTTTAAAACAGACTTTCATAAGTATAAGGTGTTTTATTTGTGTAAACCTCACAGGCAATTATGAAAAAATATGTAGTAGCTACATAAAGATATCCTGAGCTAAATCAAAATATAACAATATAAAATCATCAAATCACAAAAAAAGACTGCAATGGAGAAAGAAAGAAAGGAACTACAAAATAGTTAGAAAATAATTAACAATATGGCAATATCTAGTCCTGCCTATCAATAATAACTTTAAATGTAAATTGATTAAATTATTTTATCAAAAGACAGAGTGACTGAGTGGGTTAAAAAAAAGAAAAACCATTTATATGGTATCTACAAAAGACTCACTTTAGCTTTAAGGACACGCATAGGCTGAAAATGGAAAGGTGGAAAAAGATATTTTATCCCAATGATAACCATGGTAGTTGTATTTATATTAGACAAAGTAGTCTTTATGACAAAAACTATCATAAGAGATACGTCATATAAACAAGCATATAAACCAATGGAGCAGAATCGAGAGCCTGGAAATAAGCTCATGCATATATGCTCAACTAATCTTCAAGAACAGCACCAAGAATAAAGTAAGGGAAAAGATAGTCTTTTCAATAAATGTTGTTGGGAAAGCTGGATATCCACATGCAAAAGAATAAATTTGAACTTTTATCCTACCCCATACACAACAATAAACTCAAAATGGAATAAAGAAGTACATGTAAGATCCCAAAAGAAAACATACAGAAAAAGCTTCCTCACATTGATCTTGGCCATGGTTTTTTTGGTTATGACACCACAAGCAAAGACAATGACAGCAAAAATTAAGTGAGATTGCATCAAACCATAAAGCTTCTACACAGCAAAGGAAACAATCAACATAATCAAAGTTAACCTAAAAAATGCAAGAAAATATTTGCAAAATATATATTTGATAAGGGGTTAATATTCAATGTGTGTATGAAACTCCTATAACTCAATAGTAAAAAAGCAAATAAACTGGTTAAAAAATAGCCAAAGGACCTGAACAAACATTTCTCTAAATGTACAAATGGCCAACAGGTATCTGAAAAGGTGTTCAATATCACTAATTATTATGGACATTTAAATTAAAACCACAATTTGCTATCACCTCACACTTGTTCAAATGGTCATTATTAAAACTGCAAAAAATAACAAGTGTTGGTGAGGTGTAGAGAAATTGGAACCCTGTGCATTGTTAGTGAAGATGTAAACTGGTGCTACCGCTATGGAAAACAGTATGGAGGCCTCTCAAAAAATTAAAGATAAAGTTACCATATTGTATTAGTCTGTTCTTACACTGCTATAAAGATGCTATCTGAGACTGGGTAATTTATAAAGGAAAGTGGTTTAATTGACTCACAGTTCCACATGGCTGGGGAAGCCTCAGGAAACTTACAATCATGGTGGAAGGTGAAGGAGAAGCAAGCACCTTCTTTACAAGGCAGCAGGAGAGAGAGAGTGCACAAGGAAAACGGCCACTTTTAAACCATCAGATCTCATGAGAACTCCCTCACTATCACGAGAACACGGTAAGGAAAACCGCCCCATGATCCAGTCACTTTCCTCCGGCACCCTCCCTCAACATGTGGGGATTAGACTCAGAGATGAGATTTGGGTGGGGACACAGAGCCAAACCATATCAGATATGATCCAGCAGTCTGGCTTCTGGGTATATATCCAAAGGAATTGAAATCACGATGTGGAGATATCTGTACTTTTTTGTTCATTACAGCATTTTTCAGAGTAGCCAAGATACGGAAACAAGCTAAATGCGAATTGATGGATGAATAGATAAGAAGCATGTGATGTGTATATATATTATGTGTGGAGGGAAACATGGAGCATGACCTAACACAGCTACCAGCATTGATTTGTGAGTTTTGTCTCAAAACCCTTCGCGCATATTTTCTGTGTCTTATTTTTTGGGGGCACATTCTCCTACACTTAAGCATACATACAGGGAAATACTATATGTTAATGGTTTTCCAAATCACGAGTTTGTTTTTATATAGTTATTTAGTTATTTTATTAACCGAGTCTGGTATCTACTGCAAATATGATTATATATTTTCTTCATTCCTACTCCACCTGTTGGGTTAGGAAGCTGTGTCTTAGGAAATGAAAGCGGTGGATATAAATGGTCCCTTATTTTGTCATTTCTACTCTATGATTCTGTGTGGGTGGAACTGGCTATCTGTAGAACTTGATGCAAATAGCTGCTGAGGCTTCCAAGGCTATGTCACTTACCAAACTCCCTTCTGGGCAAGAACTCTGGAGAGGTATGTATCAGTTTGCAGCATGCTCTTTGGTTTTGGCAGGTATTCTTCACAGTTTACAGTTTGGGACTATTCATAGTTTGACCAGTTTTCTATCCTTTTTTCTTTGTTATTTTGTAGGCACAGCTAGTGTAGTGAAATCAAAACAGTTTTATCATGCCATGTTTTGCCAGAAATCCCGTTTTAATTAGGCAAGAGATTGAAAGGGATATTTTATATTTACTTCTTTCAGAGTACTTGCAATGAAACAAAAGTAGAGTTACTTTTAACTTATATAGCTTTTAATTCTTTCTGCATGTCAGTGGGGCTCAATCAATAACAACATAAAGAGAATGAATTTAATAAATCTAAATGGATGATGCTCTAATTTTGGATATAACTAATGGAAAATGTAAATGACAGCTTAAACTTCCACATTGTTTATTAAACATGTGATAAATATAGCCTTTTCCCTGCATAGTACTCCTGAGGAATCTTCTCATCTGGAGACTCATATAAAATTATGATAATATTTTCCCTTTTCCCTGAACAATCTTCTCTTTAAAAAATCCTTAGATGCTTAATCGGCTCAACAGTATATTAAGAATAAATGGCTTCCCTAGGGCTATGGAGCGGAAATGAAAGTATTATGAGTATTAGGACTAGCAGGAATATTTGGGTCATAAATGGAAATGTCACAGTCTCCTGGAACTGTTTGCTTTGCATATTTATGATTTTAGTTATTTATACCTAGCTTTGTTTTTAAAAGGATTTCAGACAGCTTACCAAAGTATAGACAATAAAAACAAATAAGTGAGGGAATCAAGGTAAAGACAATATATTACGGAAAAAAACAAGATGAAACAAGGAGTGAGTGAATATAACATTTGCTGCAAGATTCAATCTACTTACTAAAAGTGGGCTGGCTATCTGGCTCAGAGCTTTCTAGCAGCCAAAGTGAAGAGGGAAATGTAATTAGTTTCAAGATTCACAAACTCATTAAGAGGTAATCCAGGCTGCCTCTCAGGAGACCTGCCCAGTAATCCTGGTATTAAAATACCAGGTTTAAATGTAATGACTTGTTTTCTTGACAACATAGGTAGGGTAAATAAAACAACAAATTTCACAGAGAAATTTCTTGGAATCTTCTTTAATAAGTTCAATGGCATAACACTAAAGAAGAATTCATTTAAAATTTATTCCAGCAGAGACTAGAATGGTACCATTCAGGTACAGACTCCTACTGGTCTGTAGAGTCTTAGAGTATTCAAAGGAAGTGAAGAATTATGTATACATTTCACAAATGATATCTTTACATTTTAGTCATTGTTTTAAATATGATACATGTGCATTAAAAATCAAGTAATATGAATTAAGTTTTAAAAACCCCACCCACCTTTACTCTCCAGGAATACTCATTATTAAAAATTTGGATTTTTTTCTTTATATAAACAAAAATATTAATGTACAAGTGTGTGTGCACATAAACACACCAGCACACCCCTGAGACTAGAGTTAAATTCTAGTTTCCACCACTCGCAAATTTAGAGGCATCATTTTTTAGTCACATACTTGGTGTAGGATGCAGCTGCGGGTCCACATGGACCAACAGGATAATTTTGTTTAGACAGAGTGCTCTTCATGCAGATGACTCCAAATAGACACCTGCCAGGGCATTTACTTAGGGATGCTGCAGTGGAGCAGCTGGTGAGGTCAAGCTCTGTTTCACCTATGGTCTGAATGTTTATGTCCTCCTACAATTCGTATGTTGAGATCCTCACCCTCAAGGTGATGGTGTTAGGAGATGGGGCTTTTGAAAGATGATTAGGTCATGGGGGCAGAGTCCTCATGAATGTAATTAGTGCCCTTACAAAAGAGACCCCTTACCCCTTCTACCATGTGAAGACACAGTGAGAAGACAACATCCATGGATCATGAAACAGGCCTTTGCCAGACATTGAATCTGCTGGTGTCTTGATCTTGAACTTCCCATCCTCCAGAACTTGAGAAATAAGTTTCTGTAGTTTATAAGCTACTCAATTTATAGTGTTTTGTTATAGCCACTCATAATTGTAGTAGGATTTACTTACAAAATTCATAGTCAAACTTCCTAATTTTAAAATTCTTTATTATTTAAATTTTTTTAAATTACTAATTTCTTTGCCTGTGATTGGAAGTTTCAGAACATGCAACATCTATGATGTCTGCCTTTCAGGGCAGATAACACAGTAGTAATAGTGGATCAAAGGAAGTTACAAATGTAGAGATTGAAAAATAAAAAATGAACAGAGATTAGGAAAAAATAAGTTAGAGGGAAAAATAAATATCAAATTCTAAGGGTAAAAATATTTTTAAAGAAAATAAAAGCAGGAAAATAATGTTTTTAAACATTTCTTTTTTTAGTTTCAATCATGGGAGTACCTGTGCAAATTTGTCACAAGTGTATGTTGCCTGGTGCTAAGGTTTGGGCTTCTATTGATCCCATAACCCAGATAGTGAACATAATACCCAATGAAAAGTTTTGTGGCCCTTGGCCCCTCCCTCCTTCCATTATTTTGGAGTCCCCTGTGTTTATTGTTCCCATCTCCATGTCTGTGTGAGCCAAAGATTTTGCTGCCACTTATAAGTGAGTAGTATTTGCTTTTCTATTTGTCTGTTATCTTGTTTAGGATAATGGCCTCCAACTACATCTGTGTTCCTGCAAAAGATATGATTTCATTCTTTTTTATGGCTGCATAGTATTTCATGGTGTATATGTACCATATTTTCTTTATCCAATCTACCATTGATGGGCACCTATGTTGATTCTATCTTTTTGCTATTATGAATAGTGCTGTGATGAACATGATTACATATGTATTTTTGGTAGAATGATTTATTTTCTTTTGTATATATATATCCAGTAATGGTATTGTTGGGCCAAATGGCAGTTCACGTTTTAGTTCTTTGAGAAACCTTCAAACTGCTTTCCACAGTGGTTGGACTAATTTGCATTCCTGCCAACAGTGTATAAGCATTTCCTTTTCTCTACAACCTCACTGACATATTATTATTATTATTATTATTTTACTTTTCAGTAATAGCCATTCTGACTGGTGTGAGATAGTTATCTTGTGCTTTTGATTTGGATCTCTCTGATAATTAGTGATTTGGAGCATTTTTTCATGTTCACGTCCTTTGCCCACTTTTTAAATGAGGCTCTTTATTTTTTTCTTGTTAAGTGCTTTATAGATTCTGGATATTAGGACTTTGTTAGATGCATAGTTGGCAAATATTTTCTCTCATTGTGTAGGTTATCTGTTTACTTTGTTGATAATTTCTTTTGCTGTGAAGAAGCTTTTTTGTTTAACTAGTTCCCATTTGCCTATTTTTCATTTTGTTGCATTTGCTTATGGGTTCTTCATGATAAACTATTTGTGTAAACTAATGCCTAGAAGAGTATCTCTTAGGCTTTCTGCTAGAATTTTTATAGTTTGAGGTCTTACATTTAAGTCTTTAATCCATCTTGAGTTAATTTTTGTGTATGGTGAAAGGTAGGAGTCCAGTTTCATTCTTCTGCAAATGGTTAACCAGTGGAAAATAAAAAAACAGGCAAATAGTTACTAAAGTAAGGATAAGGAGATAACAAATATTACAATATAAATTAAAAGGAAAAGTCATACAAAAATAATACCAAGTAAACAAGCTAGAGTTTTAGAAATCAAAACAAAACAAAAAGTTAATATTTTTGGATAGAAATTATATTCAAGCAAGAAAAGAAAGTAGAAAAATGTAAAGAATGGGAAAAAGGAAAAGACAGACAGACAGGTGACTACTGTAGGTAAGTAACTAGAGTTCTTAAGAAAATCCTGAGATGGCTCTCTGGCTAGCTCCTTCCAGGGAAAGAACAAAGATGACTGACTCTAATATGATGCCCTTAAACTCTGGCACTTTAACTCAAACCTGCAGGCACAAACTTGTAGGCACTCTCTCATAATCTCAGGGGTGGTGGTTTTTTATTTCAAACAGGCGGTAGTCTGTTGTGGTGTTTCTGGGTGGTCCATGTAGCTATTAACATTGCCTTTAAATACCTTTCACATAACTGTACTATTGGAGTATTATAAGAAGTTGGAGAAAAATCACAAACATCCATAGAATTTATAAGCTGTTCAGTAATCCACAGCAAGGAATGTCACTTCACCATTGACGGTAATAGTTGGCATATTCATTGGAATTGTCTCTAAAGTAAACTTTAGAGCAATCTGCTTTGGATTTCTCACTTTATAAAAATGATTCAATATTTTTAAAATATAGACCAGAAAACAAAAAAAAGAAAGAAATAAATAAATGAGAAAAAAGAAAGAAGAAAAAGAAAATGAAAAAAAGAAAGGAAGTAGTAGAAAATGCCTTTTCAAGGCCATGGTTCTAATCAGTGTACATCTGTAGATAGTAATGCCATTTTTCCATTATTGATTTTTGTATTGGGGGACAACATTCTTGAAGGTATAACTGCAATAGTAAGTAAGTATGACTGCAAAATTCAGTAGCCCTTGCTATGCTTTGCTTCTGAGTCTCTGCTTCATTTGTTCTAAGAATTGCCCAAAATAACATGAGAGAATAGTATCAAAAACTACTCAGTGTGGACTTGAATGCCATAAAACTCTAGACAAATAAACTGTTTTAGTGAAATTTGTCATAACATGGACAAACTAGTGAAATTTTTCATAACATATTCTCTCCAATGTGAACTGATACTTCATCTGTGGTGTGATCATACGTGTGCGTGTGTAGCTTCCACCTTGGTATGCTTATGCTTTATGGACTTTTGTACCTTTGGCAACAAATGTTATTACATCTACTTTCCCATGGCTTTCCCCTACTGTGAGTGGAGTGGGAAATAAAATATGCTTTTTTAACTTCCCTTGGGCTTTAAATAAAGTTAGACTATGACTAGGCAACCAGCAACGGGAAACAATGAGAAACAAATGGCAAATTCTCGCAAGTCAAGTCCTTCCTGTAAGGTCAACTCTAGCACATGCACTGCATAGCAGCTAATAATAATAAAAAAGAAACAAGCAAAGCCCTGCAAGCCTTTTGCTATTTACTGCTATTTCCTCTGCCCTCCACATTGGAGGCTTTGTATCCCTGGGACATATGTAGTTGTCAATGTTAATCTTATTTAGTAGGTGAAAACATGAAAATTAATGTAAACTGATTTACATAACTGTGAGTTCCTTAAGGATAGGAATTGTATTCTATTGGTACTTTGAATCTCCAGACAGAGAACAATGCCTAACTTATGTTAGTTGCCCAAGAACAACATAATCCCACCTTCATATACTTGTAGCACACAGATACACTGTTCTGCCAACCCCTATCATGAAGAAGATAAAAAATAGTGCTATAGACACAAAACTCTGAACTCTCCACAAAACATATAGCTCTTTCAGGGTTGTCACCTCTCTACTTGTTCCAGGTTGGGAAATGTTTTGGAGAATATGAAAACATCTTGATTTTCAGATGATGCACGCCAAAAAGATTTGTATGAGAAATAGTAATATGGGACCAAAGTATCCAATCAGGAAATCTTATTATTTTGTCTTTAATAATTTTTACTTTGGGAATTAATAAACAAAACAATTTTCAATAGAATTAACAATCCATGAGATGCAACATAGTGAGTGAAAAAAGCCTGGAGTCATTTAGAGTCACCTGATATTTGCTGAATTGTCTATTATATGTCAGGCTTGTGCTAAGCTTTGGTAATATTGAAATGAGTTAGACAGATATGGTCCCTGTCCTCATAGAGCTGACATTTTAGAGGAGGAAATAGGCAAAAGCCAACCAACTAAACAATATCTTAAGTGGTTCACAGGAAAGAAACATGGTGCTGAGATGGGGCAGGGCAGTGGAGGAGGGAGTTCCAGAGGGAACCTCCTAGGACCTGACTAGGTAACAAAGGCTGAGATCAGAAGGGATCCCAGACTCTGGAGAGGAATATTCCAGAACCATGAACTTACAGAAGCAAACGTTTTGAGATGGGAAAGAATTTGCATGTTAGATCTAGGTCTCAATATAAACATGGTCATTTATGAGCATAAGCTGGCAATTTCCTTTATCTAAGACTCTTAGTTTCACATTTGTAAATTCAAAATAATAATGCCTATGTTGAAAGTTGATGTGAAAGTTAAAGCTTTCTGTGGCAAAGTGCCCAAGACATTGTAGACCTTCAGAAAATGTTGTTTCTCTTTTCTGCCAATATTTTATAACTTCAGATGAATTCCTTACAAAAGTCATAGCAATAACAGCAACAATAAAATGTTAACACTTCCCAAAGATGTGTCATTTTTTTTCCAAGTAGCACTTACTGTAAAAAAAAAAAATCCAACTCTTGGAGGCTTTAAACAGGATTCAGCTGTACCCTAACAACTGTGAAGGTCACAGATTACCATGCCTATTTTTTAATCCAAGTATATTTCAGTGACTGCAAAAAATCAAAAAGGAAATATAACAGATTGAATTCTTTACTTGGTAAGTTTTCAGCAATAGATTAGTGTGTATTTAATGGACTTTTCAGCATGAGCTAATTTAATCTCTTTTACACTAAACAGACTCTTATACAAGACTTCGCAATGCTGCTGTATCACCATCAGGATTATTTTACTATCTATAGACATTTTACGTTTTAAACAGCCCTACAAAAACATGTGTCTGTTTATACGACCTTTCATAACTATTTCAGTTGGGTTTTGTCAACCAATTGTAATCCTTGTTTTCTTAACAAGAAAGCAATCTTCCCATTCTTGAAGGAAGTACATTTCATGCATTAAACTATTAGAGCAATTTAAGTCTTGAGTGAACTCTGTTCACCAAAACATATTCCTCTGAGACAAAACCACAGCCATAAATTGACCCACAAAAAAGTAATCCCTGGGATTAGTATCTGTACAGCTTCATGTTCTGCTGAAAAACAAATGAGCAAACAGGAGCACTCCTCATAACATGCATCCTCAACACACACACACACACACACACACACACACACACACACACACACACACACACACACACAAACACAGAGGGCCGTGGCATAAACCAGAACCGACATGGTGGCTGTCATGATTGCATAAAGGGTTGAGGATATAAATCAGCTCTGGGTTCACAGGACCCTAGATCCCTTGAGTATCTGGAAAAAGACATGTTTTTTCCTAGGAATGTTCTACTCTGTCTTGGATGTAAATTGGAGGTAGCTATGTTCTCTTGCCACTGAGACCTCTAGTTAGCAAGGTTGAGGTTGCTAGGAAGAATTAATGGGGGAGAAACCATATAGGTTTGCAGAGGAGTGAAAATTGCAATTTGGAGCTTGTGGTGGTGCTAAAGAGAAGAAAAGTGGAAAACAAGAGGTTTGCTTGACGGGAGAACATGGAAACTCAGCAGAAACCAAAATTGTGGCATAGGTAAAATAAAGCAAACTGAAATAACTCATTGTAGGCAAAGCTAGGGTGAGTTATCTGGGTTTAAAAAATACTATTTTAAGAGAATGAGAAAATAATATATTTGGTTTAAATTATTCTGAGGAATGTGGAAATTGTTTCTAATAAGGGAAAATGAAAGGAGATACCTGTGGATTGAGATTAAAGGTGATTTTTTAAAAAAATTTGATACCTGTGAAGACTCAGAGTGACTGAGTAAGATAAATATTACCTTTGTCTTTGGCCAGCCAAATTTATGTTCCCGTTTTTTCTTTACTAGTGACATTTCTTTCTTGAAATTCTTGCCTAGAATGCCCCTTATCTCTCCATTTATCTAAATTTCTTGCTTCCTGTTAAAGTCTTTCCTCCTCTGTTGAATTTCTTTTACTGACTCTATTCTCAGTAATCTTGCCTTCCTCTGACTTTCCTTAGCTACTCTTTATTATTGAGCTGTAAATCCTAGCTGAATCTAAAAGGTGAAATAGACTGGTTGTGAAATTGGTAGAATGATGGTCCCTTTTGGGTACCATGTGCAAGAATTGTTAAGTTTTTGTTTCGGGAGCAGCAGGAGGGAGGAGTTTTGTGAAAGTTAAGTGGTGAAGACATGATCGCTATGTAGGGGATGGGATTGAATTTTTATTCTTCTAGCCTTTAGGATAGATTTTGAGCCCAGTGGCAACAGAAGTGGAGGCTAGAAGCTGGAAGAACTGTAGTTATGAAAGACTTGTAGAGACATTAGATACATGCAGCATCGCTTTGTGGCCCATCAGATCACTTATAGCATAGATTTTCATGAGAGGACAAGCTCCAATCATGCCTTCACCTCCTTCTCCAGCTACAGAATCCAGTGTTGTGTTGTTACTTTAAGAGTCAGAAGGCCATTGGTGTGGGGTTGTTAAGCATGCCAGATTGTGCTCCATTGGATAGCACCAGGAGCAGAAGTGATGGAGTGGTACTCAGATGAAGAAGACAGAGCTGAGGCACACAGTCAGGCGGGTCCCAAAAAAATGCAAGACCCCAAAGAAGACTCCCAGAAATGTATAGGGGAGATTCAGAAATAAAGGAGAAGGGGATGGGGGAGGGGCTTAATATCTTCGTAAGCAAATACAGGCTGCAAACCCTAATAATTTGGCATAAATATCAATATAATTTTATTTCTGAACATAGGCTAGTATAGTCATTACCGTCTATTTCATTTACAACTTGCCAACATAATACAGTTTTCTCTTAAAGAAAAAAACCTTTAGGATCAGTGGCACATGTGCAAGTTTGTTACATCGATAAACTTGTGTCATGGGGATTTGTTGTACAGATTATTTCATCACCCAGGTACTAAGCCTAGTACCCAATTGTTATTTTTTCTGATCTTCTCACTCCTCCCACCTTGCACCCTCAAGTAGACCCAGGCTCTGTTGTTCCTCTCTTTGTGTCCATGTGTTCTCGTGGTTTAGCTCTTACTTAAAACTGAGAACATGTGGAATTTGGTTTTCTGTTTCCCTGTTAGTTTGCTAAAGATAATGGCCTCTGGATGAAGGACATGATCTCATTAATTTTTATGGCTGCATGGTATTCCATGGTGTATATCTAACACATTGTCTTTATCCAATCTGTCATCAATGGGCATTTAGGTTGACACCATGTCCTTCCTACTGTGAATGGTGTTGCAATGAACATATGCGTGCATGAGTATTTATGGTAAAATGATTTGTATTCCTTTGGATATACACCCAGTAGTGGGATTGCTGGGTTGAATGGTAGTTCTCTTTTTAGCTCTTTGAGGAATCACCACAATGCTTTCCACAGAGGCTGAATTAATTTACACTCCTACCAACAGCGTATAAGCATTCCTTTTTCTCTCTAACCTTGCTAGCATCTGTTATTTTTAAACTTTTTAATAATAGCCATTCCGACTGGTGTGAGATGGTGTCTCATTGTGGTTTTGATTTGCATTTCTCTAATGATCAGTGATGTTGAGCTTTTTTTCTTATGCTTCTTGGCCGCATGTATGTCTTCTTTTCAAAAGTGTCTATTTATGTCCTTTGCCCATTTTCTCACGGGCTTGTTTTTTGCTTGTGAATTTGTTTAGGTTCCATATAGATGCTGAATATTAGACCTTTGTCCTTTGTCAGATGCACAGTTTGCAAATATTTTCTCCCATTCTGTAGGTTGTTTGTTTACTCTGTTGATATTTTCTTTTGCTGTGCAGAAGCTCTTTCATTCAATTAGATCTCATTTGTCAATTTTTGCCTTTGTTGCAATTGCTACTGGCATCTTCATCATGAAATTTTTGCCAGATCCAACATCCAGAATGGTATAGCCTAGGTTGTCTTCCAGGTTTTTCACAGTTTTGTGTTTTACATTTAAGTCTTTAATAAATCTTGAGTTCTGTATATGATGTAAGGAAGGGGTTCAGTTTCAGTCTTCTGCATATGGCTAGCCAGTTATCTCAGCACCATTTATTGAATAGGGAGTCCTTTTTCCATTGCTTGTTTTTGTCAGGTTTGTTGAAGATCACATGGTGATCTGATCAGATGGTAGGTGTGTGGCCTTATTTCTGAATTCTCTATTCTGCTCCATTGGTCTATGTGTCTGTTTTTGTACCAGTACCATGCTGTTTTGGTTACCATGGCTCTGTAGTATAGTTTTAATTTGGGAACGTGATGCCTCCAGCTTTGTTCTTTATGCTTAGGATTGTCTTGGCTATTTGGGCACTTTTTTAGTTCCATATAAATTTTAAAACTTTTTTTTTCTAGTTCTGTGAAGAATGTCATTGGTAGTTTCATAGGAATAGCACTGAATGTGTAAATTGCTTTGGGCAGTATGTCCATTTTAATGATATTGATTCTTACTATCCATGAACATGGAATATTTTTCCATTTGTTTGTGTCTTTGATTTCTTTGAGCAGTGTTTTGTAATTCTAATTACAGAGATGTTTCACCTCCCTGGTTAGCTGTATTCCTAGGTATTGTATTCTTTTTTGTAATACATTCTTTAAAAGCCAGGTTCTATTAATTGTAATTAAAAGTAGCCAAATATGCATTTCTTTAAAAACACTGTAATTAGGTTCAGGTCTTCACCAGAGATTTATCCAAGTTAGTGACCATATAAGGTTTCTAGGTTTGCCATTAGGTGCCACAAATTGGGTGACTTAAACAGCAGAAATATTTTGTCTCCCAGTTCTGGAGGCTAGAAGGTCAAGATTAAGGTGTTGGTAGAATTTGTTCTGTCTGAGATCCGTACAGGAAAAGCTGTTCCATGCCTCTTTCTAGCTTCTGATGGTTTGCTGGCAATCTTTGGGGTTCGCTGGTTTGTAAGTCTCTGTTTTCATCTTCATATGACCTTCTTCCTGTGTGACTGTGTCCAAATTTCTCCTTTTTATAATGACATCATATATTTTGGATTAGGGGCCCACTGTACTCCAGTATGGCCTTATTTTAAGTAATTACTTCTGCAACAACTCTATTTCCCAATAAGATCACATTCTGTGGTACTGGGAGTTAGGACTTCCATGTGTGATATTTGGGGCACACAATTCAATTTATAATAGCTAGACATAGTTACAAACTGTAGATGAATTAGAATCTTTGGTCTGAGAATCTATGACTGGTGGTGGGGTTGGCAGAATGCTGTTCTTAAAGATGAAGTGCTCTAGGAATAGTTAAGTTATTGGCTATACCTCTGACCCAGTTTTTTTTTTTTTTTCCTTTCTGGTGGCAGAAAGAGTAATCATGTAGGAAACAGACGTTTTCTGATTATTAGCTATTATATTTTTTGAAATCCAAATGAGAGCACATGGTATAACACACACACAGACTGGTAATTGATAAAAATTTATGAAATTGGGCATAGATAATCTGGAGGCCCATGATTATCAAATCTGTAGTAGGCTGTTCATGAAAAAGAATTGTTTGTGATTCACATGATTCCAGGTATGGCAGGCAATCCCCATCCCCGCCCTCCCACCCCCCCGTATCTTTATCCTAATCTCTGGAATTTTTGGATATATGTTACATGGCAAAAGAGTTTTTCAGATGCAATCAAGATTAGGGACCTTAAAACAGGGAGATTATCCTGGATTATTCAGGTGATATCAATCTAATCACATGAGCTTTCAAAAACAGAGAATTTTCTCTGGCTGGAAGTAGTAGAGATGAGGCAGAGAAGGTCAAAGAGATTTGAAGCATGAGAAGGACTCAACCCACTATGCTGACTTTAAAGGTGAAGGAAGCCAAGGCTGTGTGGGTGATCTCTAGATATTGAGGATAACCCCGAGCTGGCAGACAGCAAGAATATGGTACCCTTTACAATCACAAGGAACTGGATTCTGCCAACAACATAAATAAGCTTGGAAGCATATTTTTCCTAGAGCATCCTGATAAAAACCTAGCTAACAAACACCTTGATTTTGTTAAATCAGAACAGAGAAATGAGAGAAGCCAACCCAGATTTCTGACCTACAGAACTGTGAGATAATATCTTTATGTTGTTTTAAGCTCCTAAATTAATAATTGTTACAGCAGCAACAGAAAACAAATACACTAGGTATCAGCTTGGGTTTCTCTGTCTTTAATGTCAAGATAAGATTGGCTTCAATGTTCCTTCTGGTGTCTTCATCAATATTTCTTCAAGGCCTCAGGTCATGTAGGATAATGTATACTCTCAGGTCTTCTCTGGCTCTGAGCTCCTGTTTCTACTTGATAGTCTTGTAGAATATTTGTACAATTGAGTTGGCTTGCTCTTGCCTCTCTGCCATTGCCAAGACAAGAATCCATGGCAAGCCTAGTCAAGATCAGAACTCCCTAATGTCCCCAGATGTGTGAGCAAGAAATGCTCATTGTTTGTTACCAAGGCTTTGTGATTATTTGTTATGTATCGTTATGGTGGCAATGGATAACTCACACTGACTTGAAGGGAACAATTGCTCCCTTGACAGTATTGGCCTTTTACTCTTTGTCCTCTTTCTCATGCCATAGCCACCCTTTTTCTAGCCCCATTTTTGTATGTTTTTTCTCTCTCTGTTTTTCCATCTCCCTCTTGTTCCTATTAATATTAACTTCTTAGTTTTAATAATAATGGCTTCTTTCAGCAGCCTTTTTGAAAACTCTATGAAAGGGAAACTCTTTAGGTTTCATGTAGTAGTCATCTGGGGAACTGAACAAGAAGACTCCTCCATAAAGAGTGAATCATAGCAGGAAGTTATTTCTGAGGATGTCCTGAATGATGCCACCAGGAGCCTGGGTGACCAGTGAATGCTCAGGTTGCCAGAGTGATTTTCAAACAGGGAGGAGTAAGGGATCTGGTCATGGTTTCCTAGATTAGATAACATTATTCAACTTCAAAGGGCCTCACACCAGTCCCAAACTACCTTGTATTGTTGTTATTAATAATATGTATGTCACATAGCCTCAACAAGATTGTAAAACCCTTGATGTAGGCTTTGTTTTCGGTCTCTTTTTGTAATCAGAGTATGTTGCCCAACGTGACCTGCATATATTAGGCCCTTAATCAGTGGGTATTAATAATGATGACAAAGAAAAATAAAAAGCTGAAGGAAGAAGAGAGATTGTGTGAAAAAATCTCAAATTCGTTTTCAGCTTCTCTTAATTTTTTTATTTTAACCTGGGGAGATACACTCTAGATTTAAAAAGGAATAAATGTAAGTACAATTTCTTTAAATAGTTGTTCTTAGAAAAGAGAAATAAATGTGGAATGTACAAATCAAAATGAATAGTGGATTGCAAACTGGAGACTTTGAAACTACTAAAGTCAAAAAGTATGAATCCAACAACCACCTACTGATTATTAGGTTAATAATGATTATAATTCATTGAGATAAGCAGTAGTTCCATATGCCTAAGACAGAAAGCTTGCTAGAAAGCAGCTGTTGACGTGAAAATCAGCCACCGGGCACGGTGGCTCACGCCTGTAATCCCAGCACTTTGGGAGGCCGAGGCGGGTGGATCACGAGGTCAGGAGATCGAGACCATCCCAGCTAACATGGTGAAACCCCGTCTCTACTAAAAATACAAAAAATTAGCCGGGCGCGGTGGCAGGTGCCTGTAGTCCCAGCTACTCGGGAGGCTGAGGCAGGAGAATGGCGCAAACCCGGGAGGCGGAGCTTGCGGTGAGCCGAGATCGCACCACTGCACTCCAACCCGGGCGACAGAGCAAGACTCCGTCTCAAAAAAAAAAAAAAAAAAAAAAAAAAAAAAAAAATCATTGCTTAACATTAAATTTGCTTTTCATAATTCCTTGGCAGAATCCTACTAGCAATTATAACACAAAGCAGAATATGTTGCAACAACACGTGTGAAAATATCAAGAATCTGAAGTTCATTTTATTTAGAGGACTCATCCTTTGCCTTGTACTTGGAGTTTCTACTGATTCCTGTATTCATTTAGAATTTGCACCATTTCTCTCGACTGGTAATAAAGTTTCGCTATGGGTTCAAAGAATTTTACTTTTAAAAATAACTTTTATCTTTTTCTTAATACAAAAGTAATGTATACTTAGAATAGCCTACATGGCCTGTTTTAAATTTCTAAACCTACACACAAAAGTTTGTCATTTGACATTTTAGGTGATTAGCATAACAGCTGGCCTTAATATAATGGGCTTTGAAATGAAAAAAAAAAAAAAATTTAGTTGAGGGTCCAAATAGCTAACAAGGAGTATATTTCAACCTGAAGATAAAGAAAAGAGATGTACTATTGCCTTTAAACTCTCAGTCTTGTAAACTCCTTGCTCTCACACTGGTTCTTGTGATACCAAGTATGGTAGATTAAACATGGCTCTGTAGATTTGTTGCTACTCTTCCCATTTAGTGATGGAGTTTAATTCCTCTTGACTGAAATCTGGGCAGGCTTCAGTGGCATGGTTAACCAATAGAACATGGTGGGAGAGACTTTCTGGGACTTTTGAGGGCAGGTCCTAAGAAACCTTGCAACTTTTACCTGGGGCTAAAAGAATACTCTTTGGTCTCTAACACATAAGAACACATAAGACTAATTTGAGCCTGCAATGCCTGGGGAGTGTTCAAGTTGTAAGTCACATCTTCAAGCCACAACTTCCAGGATGTTGGACATGTGAGTGAAACTGTCAGACTCTCCAAAGCAGACCACTCACTAGCTGACTACCTCTGAGCAGCATCAGTCAATGATATGAGAAACAGAACAGTTACCCTGCTGAGGTTTGCCTGAATTTTTGGTCCATAAAACTGAGCTATCCTAACTTTATTTGGTGTTTTCTTAAGTCACTAAGTTTTGGGGATATGTTCTAGTTGTCTATTTCTAAATAGCAAATCACTCCAATACTTAATGACTTAAAACAATTACAACCATGATCTTTCAGTGTTTGTGTGGGCCAGGAAGTTAGATGGAGCACAGCAGGGCTGGTTATCTGCTCCAAAATATTCTCGGGCCTGAGCTGGATATATTTGAAAGCCAGGGTGATTTGGTGACTGAAGTCTTGTATCATACAGAGACGTGTTCCTTCCATGTCTGGTGGTTGATGCTGGCTGTTGGCTAGGCTCTCAGCTGGACTATTAGCTTGGACACTACCTGTGGCTTTTCCATGCATCATTTCCACATGTATCAGTCAGGGCTTTCTCAGAGCACGGTGCCAAATTCCAAGAAGGCTCTCCTGCCTGTTATGACCTAGTGTTGGAAGTTGCATATGTCCTTTCTGATGTAGTCGCAAGCCTACCTAGATTAAGGAGAGGAAAGGGGGGTTAAAAACCATATCCCTCCTCTGGTTTAAATAAACGAAAGTGAGGAATGCTGCGTCTGGTTCAGAAAACCCGCAAAGAAGAGAAGAGAGAAAATTCCTGAACTGGAAACTCAATCTTTATATAGGAACATAAGTTAAGAAAAGTTAGGAAGGGATGTTCAAGCTTTAGATCAGATTCCTTTAAGAACATTGCATGAACATTGTAGAACACAAAGGGGAACAAAAAGTATTCATAATCACACAACACAGAAATAAACCTTATTTGTATACACAAATACTTATATTTTATATTAAATTAAATTTATTTATTTATTTATTTCGATATAGGGTCTTGCTCTGTTCCACAGGCTGGAGTGCAATGGCACAATCGCTACTCACTGCAGCCTCGACCTCAAGGTTCAATCGATTCTCCCACTTCAGCCTCCCAAGTAGCTGGGACCACGTACGGGCACACACCACCGCGCCAGGCTAATTTTTGTATTTTTTGTAGAGATGGGGTTTTGCCATGCTTTCCAGGCTGGTCTTGAACTCCTGGAGTCAAGTAATCCACACGCCTTGGCCTACCAAAGTGTTGGGATTATAGGGGTGAGTCATGGCACCTGGCCATTTTTATATTTTAAAAAATTATTTTTACTTATAAACTACTTACAATAAATAAAATTTTATTTAAAAATATTTTACATATTGAAGCCTGATTTTTTCACTTAATAATTATAAGTATATTATCTTCTAATTTTAATCTCATTGAATAGTCTAAAATAA
This sequence comes from Homo sapiens, assembly GCF_000001405.40. Taxonomy (NCBI): domain Eukaryota; kingdom Metazoa; phylum Chordata; class Mammalia; order Primates; family Hominidae; genus Homo; species Homo sapiens. The sequence continues at coordinate 119,844,861 of NC_000004.12, forward strand.
TTAGAATAATAGACTCTGAACACTGAAAGTACTCATTCTTTACTTTATACTGAGATTAATATCTGGGACCAATATCTAAAATCCAGATTCTTTTTGGTGAGCATTACAAATAAACATACTCTGACAAATATATACTTCCCTTTCATATTTTCAAAACAGTCTTGGTACCGGGGAGTAGGAATGTAATCATGTATCATCTGTGGAAAGCTCGCCTTCACCTGAGAATGAGAAGGACTCACCTCTAAAAGTTTCATAGGAACACACTGGTTTAGAATGTGCTGGAAGAAACTGTCTTTTATTAAGCATCTACTATATACCAGAGTCTATATTAGGTACTTTCTTTGCAACAACACTGTGAATTTGGTTTTACTAATCGCCATTTTACAAAAAACTGAGAATCAGAAATATTAATGTCACTTAACTAGAAAGGGAAGAAGCCAGAATTTGAACTCAGATTCTTCTGACATCCAAGTTATACTTTTCAAAAATATTACCATTCTTTTCCTTTAGTCACAAAAGGGTCAAATTGTTCTTCTCAAAATTCTACAATAAGACTAAGAAAATGCATACACGTTAAGTATGAAAAATGTTGATTTATAAGTCTTTCAATAAATAGGAGAGATATTATTAACAATAATAAATATACCTTTCAACACATTATATTTATCATTGGTAACAAAAAAATGGAATGATTGATGGTGGTAACCAGCCCAATCAAACATTATATTTAGACATTCAGTACTCATTGCTACCTTTTATTGTATGATACCATTACATTTCTGTTATAACATTCAGCTCAAAATACCCATTTTGAACTCAAGATATCATTGGACTTTTTCATATCATTGGCCTTTTTCATTTTAGGTAGTAATAAAGAAACTATATTATGGTTATTAAGTGTACACCAGAATGCATGGTAATGGGCAATAGGAAATAATAAAATACATTTTCTGACACCAAAAAGTTTGCAATCTATTTAGGGAGAAGAGAGTAGTCCTAATGAAAAAGCAATGACTGATAAAAGACAGAATATATTTTAGTATTAGATTATATGATATCACCTTTAAGTTTTGTAGGTCAGAGACCATAAAGATTTGAATTGAATTAGAAGCTGGGGATTTAAATAACATAAAGAATGGTGAGTCCTTCAGGCACAAAGCACAGTATATGTAAAGTTCACATGGTGAGAGGGAAGCAGGCATGTTTCCAACAGGAAGATACTGATCTTAAAGAATAAGGCCCTCTGTTGAAAAATAATGGGAAATTAGAGGCGTTGGTAGAATAAAATTAGAGGATGAACTAATCCCATTACTGGGTGTATACTCAAAGGAAAGTAAATCATTTTACCAAAAAGACACATGCACACATATGCACATGGCAGCACTATTCACAATAGCTGAAACATGGATTCAACCTAGGTGCCTATCAATGGTGGGTTGGATAAAGAAAATGTGGTACATACACACTATGGAATACTACACAGCCATAAAAGAAGAATGAAATCATGTCCTTTGCAACAACATGGACTCAGCTGGAGACCGTTATCCTAAGAGACCTAACTCAGAAAAAAACCAAATAGCACATGTTCTCACTTATAAGTGGGAGGTAAACCTTGGGTTCAGACAGACATAAGGAAGGGAACATAGTCACTGGGGACTCCAAAAGAATGGTTGGAGGGAGTAGGGCAAGGGCTGCAAAACTCCCTATTGGGTACTATGTTCAGTCCCTGGGTGACAGAATCAATAGAAGCTCAAACTTCAACCCCATGCAATATAACCATGGAAAAATCCTGCACATGTACCCCCTGAATCTAAAATGAAAATGAAAATTAAAAAAAGAATAAAATTAAAATGAACACAGAAAAAGGTTTTAGAAAAGTCACACCAAATAATTTTTTCCATATTGCAAAAAGTTGACTTTTCCTTTACTTTTGCCTAGAATTATCATTTTTTAATATTATTTCTGCACAACCTCTATCAGTCCATAAATTTTCTTAATTCTGAAGTTTATAAAATATACTGTAAAGATGTATAAAAGGCTACTTCTATGCAGTATTCCTCCCACTGATGCTAAAATGAGAGATTAGATTTTGAATTTATTTCCAAAATAAAATAAGGTTAATTTCCATAAAGAAAGCCCATGATTAAATATGGAATCATTCCAATATGGGCCACAAACATTGCTGAGAGAATATGTTATGGTTCTGAATAATTCTGGTATAGATCACAGATAAATGATAGAAAAGTTTCTAACTTAGTTACCAAAATGAATTAAAGCCACTTGAAAATAAACATCTTCCATAGTTTCTTATTTAAAAACTATTCTGAATCTGGAGTTGTTAAGTAAGGTAACCCCAAGTTTCAACTTTGTACAATATTAGTAAGTTCTTTGCTATGTGAATTAGTCCATTTTCACGCTGCTGATAAAAACATACCCAAAATTGCACAGTTTATAAGAAAAAGAGGTTTAATGGACTTACAGTTCCACAGAGCTGGAGAGGCCTTACGATCATGGTGGAAGGTGAAAGGCCCGTCTTACATGGCAGCAGACAAGAGAGAGCCAGGTGAAAGGGGTTTCGCCTTATAAAACCATCAGATCTCATGAGACTTATTCACTAACATGAGAACAGTATGGGGGAAACCACCCCCATGATTCACTTATCTCCCACCAGTTCCCTTCCACAACATGAGGGAATTATGAGAGCTACAATCCAAGATGAAATTTGGGTGGGAACACAGTCAAACCATATCATTCTGCCCCTGACCCCTCCCAAATCTCATGTCCTCACATTTCAAAACCAATCATGCCTTCCCAACAATGCCTGGAAGTCTTAACGCATTTTAGCATTAACTCAAAAGTCCACAGTCCAAAGTCTCATCTGAGACAAGGCAAGTCCCTTATGTCTATGAGCCTGTAAAATCAAAAGCAAGTTAGTTACTTCTTAGATACAATGGGGGTATAGACATTGGGTAAATACAGCAGTTCCGAATGGGAGAAATTGGCCAAAACAAAGGAGCTACAAGCCCCACGTAACTCTGAAATCCAGTGGGGCAGTCAAATTTTAAAGTTCCAAAATATCTCCTTTGACTCCATGTCTTGCCTCCAGATCATGCTGATGCAAGAGGTGGGTTCCTATGGTCATGGGCAGCTCCACCCCTGTGGTTTTGCAGGGTATAGCCTCCCTCCCAGCTGCTTTCACGGGCTGGCATTGAGTGTCTGTGACTTTTCCAGGCTCACAGTGCAAACTGCCGGTGGATTTACCATTCTGGGGTCTGGAGGACAGTAGCCTTCTTCTCACAGCTCCACTAGGCAATACCCAACTGGGGACTCTGTGGGAGTTTCAACCCACATTTCCCTTCCACACTGCCCTAGCAGAGGTTCTCCATGAGTGCCTTGCCCCTGCAGCAAACTTCTGCCTGGACATCCATGTGTTTCCATACATCTTCTGAAATCTAGGTGGAGGTTCCCAAACCCCAATTCTTGACTTCTGTGCACTCTCAGGCTCAACATTATATGGAAGTTGCCAAGGCTTGGGGCTTGCACCCTCTGAAGCCATGATCCAAGCTCTACATTGGCCCCTTTCAGCCACAGCTGGAGTGGCTGGGATGCAGGGCACCCTGGGCCTGGCCCATGAAATAATTTTTTTCTCCTAAGCCTCCAGGCCTGTGATGGGAGGGGCTGCTGCAAAGATCTCTGACATGCCCTAGAGACATTTTCCCCTCGTTACTTATGCAAATTTCTGCAGGTGGCTTGAATTTCTCCTCAGAAAATGGGATTTTCTTTTCTATTGCATTGTTAGGCTGCAAATTTTCCAAACTTTTATTTTCTGTTTTCCTTTTAAAGCTGAATGCTTTTAACAGCACCCAAGTCACTTCTTGAATGCTTTGCTGCTTAGAAATTTCTTCTGCCAGATACCCTAAATCATCTCTCTCAAGTTCAAAGTTCCACAAATCTCTAGGCCAGGGGCAAAATGCCACCAGTCTTTTTGCTAAAACATAGCAAGGGTCACCTTTGCTCCATTTCCCAACAAGTTTCTCATCTCCATCTGAAACCGCCTCAGCCTGGATTTCATTGTTCATATCATTATCAGCATTTTGGTCAAAGCCATTCAACAAGTCCCTAGGAAGTTCCAAAGTTTCCCATGTTTTCCCGTCTTCTGAGCTCTCTAAATTGTTCCAACCTTTGCCTGTTACCCAGTTCCAAAGTCACTTTCAAATTTTGGGGTGTCTTTTCAGCAGTGTCCCACTCTACTGATACCAATTTACTGTATTAGTCTGTTTTCAGGCTGCTGATAAAGATATACTTAAAACTGGGTAATTTATAAGAAAAAGAGGTTTAATGGACTCACAGTTCCACGTGGCTGGGGAGGCCTCACAGTCATCATGGAAGGTGAAGGGCATGTCTTACACAGCAGCAGAGAAGAGAGAATGAGAGAGCCAGGCAAAAGCGGTTTCCCCTTATAAAGCCATCAGATCATGAGACTTATTCATTACCATAAGAACAGTATGGGGAAAACCACCATCGTGATTCAATTATCTCCTACTGGGTCCCTCCCACAACATGTGGGAATTATGGGAGCTACAATTCAAGATGAGATTTGGGTGGGGATACAGCAAAACCATATCACTAGGAAAGATGAGAAAATGAACACACAGTGTAGACAGCTGCCAGGATGGCCTCCGGTGATTCTCACCTTGCATTCTTATATTTCTTCTCTTACTGAATAGGGCTGGCTTATGTGAGATAAAAACTGTTTGTTGCTTTATGCCACTAAGTTTTGCCATATTTTTTTACACAGCATTAATCAATGCACACACCTACCTACACTAACCCTCATCTTCTCTCTCATCTGCTCCTAAATATTTATTACTAATTTTAATATCAATATTTCAACATCACTGGGACTTATAAGCTTATATTTCATTTTGTGGCCATATTTAATTTTTGGCCTTAGTTCTATATTTCAAGAGAAATATGAAAATTTCAGAGATCAGGAGTCCTGTTTACTATGAACTTTTTTCTTCTGAGTACTTAAGTTTTTACATGTATTTAGCTGGCTGGATTTCATCAAGTAGTTTTTTTTTTTTTAATTGGTTCATTTATATTCTATTCCCAGCTATACCACAGCTTGAGGCCAGTGTAATATTTTCTAACTTGCTTATGACTTGCTTTTTTAGTTTGAGTATCCATAATTTTTATGCATGAAATTTAGTACCTTCTCAAGACATAAATCAGTCAGTACATATTCACCAAATTTTCCTTGAACAAGACATCTCCATATTTGCCTCTATATGATTAAATATTTTTCTGTTTCATAATTTCAGTTTCTTTTTCAAGAGTTCACAATACCGGTTAAGTATATGTGCAAGGCTAGGCAAAAGCATGGCCTCTTGAACCCAAACTGCTGGGTTCAAATTATAGATTGACTGTTGATTATCTTTTACAAGTATATAACCATTTGTGTGTGTGTATCAGTTTTCTATCTAAACATGAAGTAAGATTACCTACCTTTCGAAGATTTTGTAAATATTAAGTAATTAGTACATGTTAGGCATTTATAAGAGAGGTAAGCACTGGATTTCTTGTGTTTATTTTGTTTGATGTTCATTTAGCACCTTGTATCTGTAAATTTCTTTTGTTTCATCAAATTTGGGACATTTTTAGCATTTATTTATAAAAATATTTTTTCTGTTTCATTCTCTACTTTCCTTTTGGGATTCCTATATGTTATAATTATATATCTGTTATACCATTTGATATTTAACTGGTCCTGAGTCTCTGTTCTGTTTTCACCACATCTTTTCCCTCTAATGTATAATGGATAATCCTTATTAACTGATATTAAGTTTACTTATTCTTTCCTCTGTTATCTCTTTCTTCTGGATTTGTGTCATTAAGTCTACTCTCTGAAACTTTTAGTTCCAATATTGTATATTTCAGTTATAAAATTGCCATTTTGTTCATTTTACTTTCTGTGTCTGCTAAGATTTTATATCTCTTTACTCATCACGGGCATATTTTGTTTTACTTTCTTTAGAATAATTATAGGAGCTGTTTTTAAAATCATTGCCTGCTAGTTCCAAGATCTCTTTCATCTTGGGACTGATCTTGTTTGATTTTGTTTTTGATTGAAATGTCTTCCATTTTTTTATATGTCAAGAAATTTTGAATTATATTCTGAACACTCTAACTATTAAGTTGTGGGGATTTTGCTATTTTTCTCCAATAATCATTGTTTCTTTTGTTTTATTGGGCTAGTATCTTGGCTGGGATTGAAATGTGAAGTCTGTTTCTTGAGTGGAAACTCTAGCATCAGTTATATTTCTTGATTTTTGCTGATCTGCTTTGAATCTATGCCACACATACATTGTCCAGGGGTGCTATGGTCTGAATGTGTCCTCCAAAATTCATGTATCTAAAACTTAATTCCTAGTGCAATAGTGTTGGGAGATAGGGCCTAATGGGACCTAATGGGAAATGTTTAGGTCATGAGGGTTCTGCCCTCATGAATAGATTATGTCACTATAAAAAGGGCTTGAGGGAGTAGGCTTTCTCTTCTGCACTTCTGCCATGGAAGAATATGGCATTCCTCCTGTGTGGAGGATGCAGTGCTCATGGTGCCATCTTGGAAGCAGAGAGACCAGACGCAAAGTTGTCAGGACCTTTATATTTGAACTTCCCAGCATCCAGAACTATTAGAAATACATATTTGTTCTTTATAAATTATACAGTCTATGGCAACTTGTTATAGCAGTACAGAATTGACTAAGATAAGGGGCCAATGAAAGATGTGGGTAGATGGCATTTGAGGATCCTCTCTTCAATGGGCTTGTTTCTTTCAAATATTTCCATATTTTTACTTTTTACAGCATCCATGTTTTATCTGACTTCAGTTTTCTTCTCCCCTGAGCCAGAAAGACTATGATATTTTCACTGACACCTGCCTTGAGTGTGACATGCTAACAGCACTTAGCCTCAGGCTAAAAGCCATGAAAACAGAAATATTCTTTGTACAACTCCTCGTCTGTCCTCTTTGACGTATTCACATAGCACAAGAGGCTGCCTACTATTAATTCTCTAGTGTCTTCAGGAAATTGCCTTTTGCAGTATGTCTGGTTTTTACAGTTATTTTCCATGAGGAGAGCTGTCTGATAGGGTACTACACTGTCAGTACAACAATCAGAAACCCCTCCCTTATTTAAAAAAATCTGTTGGGGGGTTTTGAGTCAAGGTAATAATAGATAGGTGCTTGTTCTGAAGTTTGTGTCTTTCAAAATGTACATGTTGAAACCCTAACTCTAAGATGATGGTATTAGAAGGTGGGGCCCTTCTAGAGGTGATTTGTTCATACATAGAATTAGTTCCCTTAGAGGGAGGTATCACATTACCCAACTTCAAACTGTACTACAAAGTCACAGTTACTAAAACAGCATGGTACTAGTACAAAAACAGACATATAGACAAATGGAACAGAATAAAGAACCCAGAAATAAAGCCATACACATACAATTATCTGATCCTTGACAAAGTAAAAAATATAAGTAATAGGGAAAGGACTTTCTATTCAATAAATGGTGCTGGGATAATTAGCTATCCATATGCAGAAGAATGTAACTGACCCTTATATATCACCATATAGAAAAATTAGCTCAAGACGGATTAAAGACTTAAATGTAAAGACCTAAAACAATGCTGGAAAAAAATCCTAGAAAAAACTAAAAAATACTTTCCTGGACATCACCCTTGGCAAAGAATTTATAACCACTTTCTCAAAAGCAATTGCAATAAAAACAAAGATTGCTAAGTGGGACCTAATTAAAGTAGGTGTTTCCACATGCCCATGTAAACAGACAACCTACAGAATAGGGGAAAGTATATTCAAAGTATGCACCTTAGACCTTTGGTCTAATATCCAGAATCTATTAGGAACTTAAAATAATCAACAGGTGAAAAACAAATAAGCCCATTAAAAAGTGGGCAAAAGACATGAACAGATAATTCTAAAAAGAAGACATACAAATGCCACCAAACATACGAAAAAAATGCTCCACATCACTAATCAGAGAGATGCAAATCAGAACCACAATGAGATACCATCTCACACAAGTCAGAATGTCTATTATTAAAAAGTCAAAAAATAACAGATGTTGACAAGGATGTAGAGAAAAGGGAATGCTTATTCATTCCTTAATATGAAAAAAAAGAGCCTGTTTGCTCCTGCCCTATGAAGTTGCAGTGAGAAGACATCTATCTATGAAGGAAAGAGGCTCACATCAGACACTGAATCAGCTGGTACCTCGATCTTGGACTTCCCAAGCTCTAGAAGAGTGAAAAATAAACTTCTTTTGTTTATAAGCTATCCAGTCTGTGGTATTTTGTTATGGTAGCCCAAATGGAATAAGACAATATTTTTTTACTCTACCATATTTAACTAGAAGTTCTTCCAATTTAATTTATTTTAATAAAGGACAAAAACACACCTACTTTACTGTTCTTGCTCTCCCTTTGTAAATCTCCTTATAGTAAACCCAAGACAAGGTTGTTTTTGCTGAATCTTTATTTGAAAGCAGAGTCTTTCCACCATGATGTGTTATAAGAGCACATCTCCAAGAACCAGTGGGGAGTATATTATTAGGCAGAACTGGACCACTTGTCAACTGGGTGACATTGGGCAAGTTATTTAATTAGGGTATACCTCAGTTTGTATAAGAATTTGGGACAATAATATTTACTCCAAAGAATGGTGTTGAGAATTAAATGAGATGATGAATGCAAGACTTCCAAAAAAAGTGTAGGTAATCAGAAAGTGCTGACTTGTTAAACTTTTTTCAAATTATGTTCATTCCTAAATTCTTTCTGGACTCTTTTAGTTACTTATAATCTATTCCTGCTTTTTTTGTGTAATATATCCCATTTTATTTATAACTTTCTATGGTTCTGGTCTTATTACCTGGTATTATAGTTATCTGAAATTTTAGTTTATCTTCCTCATTATGTTTTAAGCTCCTTGAGGACAGCGACAGATTTCACTTATTTGTGTGTGGCCTTAGTGGCTTGCATAGACTAGAAATACTCAACAAGTATTTGTAGAATTGAGTTAGCTTTCCTGAATTGCCATTTCATCAGCATTATATCATTTCCTCAAGAGTCATTGTAAAACTCAGTATCTGTTTTTAAAATGCATGAAAAATTCTTAGTTACATTGACTTTTCCTTTGCTTTGATCTTTCTTCAGTGTTTAAAAATAAACTTAAAGATTTGACTTGAAACTCTCGAGATTCAAAAGCACACATAAATCAGTTTTATCTTGAATTCATAATGGCAAATGTCTCCACATTAACTTCAAATATTATAAAAGGTTTGTAATCAAGGACCTGAAATGTCAACAGAATAGTTTTTTTCTTTAATCAAATATTTAAAATAATTGACTAGAGGGTACACAGTAAATTCATGCTTTTTCCTTTTTTCACTTTGCAGATACACTTCATTTTATTCATCTACAGGAATGTTGTCTCTCCCACTGCACACTCTTCAGTATGTCTGCCCAGCTCAAAACATGCCTCATCCTCAGATAATAGGAGTAGAAAAATAATTTCAGCAATGCCAAAACGATTATTTATCTTAGAAATTTGAATCTTGAGTTGGTACATAGGAGGAAAAAAAGCAGTTAAAACAAAGTAACTTATAGCAGTGTGACTCAGATAGAGAGAGACCATGAGCACTTTCTACTAAGGCCCCTTCTATTTTTTTCTTGAAGCTTGATTAGTAAGCTCTACCTTTGTTGCAGTTAGATACTTAGGATCCTGCCAAGTAACTTTTTTTGAAGCCTAATACAAATTCATTTATTTTGCTTTCAACCAAAAACAATATGGAATCTTTTAAAAATTGCCTTAAATATTGTGCTCTTTATACACAATGACATATTATAACTAGAATTTTTCTTGGTTCTGGTACTTGAATAAAAGTCTTGTTTTTCTTTTCCTCTGTTCTATTCTTTTGCTTCTGCTAGTGATCGTAAGCCAGTTGCTCAAAGACCAGTGTGGAAAAGGCTTAAGAAGGAAGAGCACCAGAGGGAAATTACCATCTGGAGACAAAATGACACTGGGAACTTGGAGGAAAACGTTCAGGCACACCGTATGAGGAAGCAGAACACTGGTTGTAGGTTGTGTGTTGATGGCTTTCTATGAGTAAATGCCCTGAAAATGTATGTGACTAAGCACCATAATGTGGATTTCTGAAAGCTGAATGACTTAAAGAAAAATCTTCTTATTTCTAAAAAAATCAACAAGTGGTTTCTTTTAGCAAGTTCTTAAATTTCTGTAAGGCATGAATGATCTATTATGTAAGGAAAGTGTTTCAATACAGGTATTCTGTCCTTAAGTGTCATGGAAACCAAACGTCCTATAATGCAAAGCTCTGCTGCGTGCAGATCTGTCCTTCTTTCACTACTCTCTTCCATATTTATAATGTCTCTATTCATAGTTTATGTGAATAATAAAGGCTGTGGAGTCCCCTGGAATTCTTATTTACTATGCTCCCATTTCCTTAATTATTAAAAGTTTTACACCTTCATAAGAGATGCTTAGTTGCTAGAGCCTCTCCATACACTAATTCCCAGAAGATGCTTAAGACATGAGTCCCAGGAAGGTATCCATTGCAGGAATTCTGGATAGGACTGTGAGCTTATGGACAGACGTTGATGCAAACTGACTTGAGACAGTGCAACCGTTAAGGTCCCTTTAGAAAATATTGGTAGCTGCAAAATTTTGGGGGGAGATGCAGTTTATATATTTATCCACAACATTATTACTAGTTTATAAATAAATGTAAATCTCAAACCAAATTATTAAACAAACACAGTTTACCAAGTATGAACAAAACTGTGAAAATTTGATAACATTCCCACTCTCAGTCCTTTCAAGTGCCCTTCTGAAGACCACCTTGCTTAAAACGTTTACTTGAAACAATTATAACAATAATCTGGAGGCAAGATTTGGCTAATACTATATCTGCCATCACAAAAACAGAATTCTCCACTGCACTGTCTGGACTCCAGTGCAAGTAAGATCTAAGCCTCAAGCTTTGTGTCCAAAGATCCTTTCATGCAAGGGTGGGAGGTATCTCTAAATCTTTAGACAACACTCATATCTTAAATACCACTACTGTTACCAATAAGGACCTATTTGTAATATTCATTATGCTTTCATACAAGCATGATTTTCACAAATGAAGCCCCATTTCTTATATGCATTATTTTAATCAGCAAAAATCTAGCACTGACAAGATAAAAAGATAGCCGAAGTCCTTGTAGTACATTTCTCTGAAGTGTGGACTTTCTGTTACATGCTAGGTGATCATTCCTGGAAAGTGAATTACCAATTAAGGGTATAAATTAAACTAAATAACACATACATAATATCACACATCAATGTTGATATATTTTAAAGTAAATTAAAGGTAGGCAAGTCACTATTCACAATAGCAGAAACATGGAATAAACCCAGGTGCCCGTCAACAGTGAATTGGATAATGAAAATATGGTACATATGCACCATGGAATACTACACAGCTATAAAGAGAATGAAATCATGTCTTTTTGCAGCAACATGGATGCAGCTGGAGGCCATTATCCTAAGTGAACTAACGTGGAAACAGAAAACCAAATACATGCTCTCGCTTATAAGGGAGCTAAACATTGGGTACATGTGGACACAAAGATGGGAACAAGACACTGGGAAGTACTAGAGGAGTGAGTAAGGGGAGGAATTAAAAAAATACTTGTTGGGTATTATACTTACTAACTTGGTGACAGATTCATTCATACTCCAAATCTCAGCATCAAGCAATATACCTTTGTTAAAAATCTGCACATGTACCCCCGATTCTAAAATAAAAGTAAAAAAGAATAAAAAAATTAAAAAATTAAAATGTGCATTTGTTATTCTGAAATTTTCGGGGATTATAAGTGTTTATGGTTTAAAAAGTTCAGGCTCAGGCCAGGCATGGTGGCTCACACGGGTAATCCCAGCACTCTGGAAGGCCAAGGCAGGCCAATTGCTTGAGCTCAGGAGTTCCCAGCTTTGGCAACATAGCAAAACGTTTCTACAAAACACACAAAAAATCAGTAGGATGTGGTGGCATGTGCCTATAGTCCCAGTTACTTGGGGTGCTGAGGTGGGAGGATTGCTTGAGCCCAGGAGGCTGAGGTTGCAGTGAGCCAAGATTGCACTACTACACCCCAGCGTGGGTGACAAAGTGAGACCCTGTCTCAAAAAAAAAAAAAAAAAGTTCCGTCTCAGGGATATTGCAGGATTCAAGACTAGTATTTTAGCCATATTGAGATTTAAGTAATTTTGCATCATAATGAGGAAACAAAAACAACTGTGGAGTAGTAGCTCCAGAATTTCTGACTCTATTTGGAAGGAGGGTCTAGGAAACTTGTATGGAAGCTCTGTTTGCATAACAGGCCACTTTTTTACTTGGATATTATGCTTATTTGGATGGTTTTGAACATGAGATTATGGGTGATCTGGCTTTGGTATTTTCACCAGCCAAACTTGTGAAATATTACCCTTTAAAAAGCTGGGGTGGGTGTGTGTTTTGTTTTTAATAATTCATCTGTAATATGTATAAGGCATTTATACCACATTTAAAAATTTTTTGAATGTTCGATAATTTTAATCTATAAGAGAGACTAAATTATTTGATGAATGGGAAGCTTTATTGCAGAGTTGATTTGAGCTCCACAGATGACAGTAAGAGATTGTAAAAGTTCATTTTCTATAACACTAAACATTAGTGTATACTAGGATCTAAACATAATGGCAGGTCTAATAACAAGTATGTTTCTAGTCTAACAATATAGTATTATTTTATATTCATAATATTTGTTTTTTCTAAGGAAGTAGTAAATTGGAGTGTAACACAATGATCAATCTAAGTGTTGCCATAACATTTATAGTTTCATTAGCCAATTATAATCTTTGATTGTGATTTTTGAAAGCTATTTACAAGGACAGCTTAACCAGTATAAGACTTCACTTTTTCATCTATACAATTACAATTCTCTCTTGAAAGAAAATTGCACTTGTAAATCATTGATGATGAAAGAATCTGTATAAAATTTTAAGTTCTTCCTTAGGCTGCAAATTATAATGAAATTTTTAAACATATGGTTGTCAATTAGTGTGCTTTTTTCCTTTTGAAATAAACACTTCTGCCTTAAAATCTTGCTCTTTTCTTTAGAAACTGAAGCCATTTGTTCTTTGTTTTTAAAGTCTTTAATCTTAAAACCTATTTTAAATTTCAAAAGGCTTAAAGCTTTTATGTGGTCCCTTGAGCTTAGGCAAGAAATAGATTTTGGGATCACTAACATATGGAAGAGATTGGATAAGATCATCCTGAGAGAGAAAATGTAATGAGAAAGAATAGGACAGAGGAAAGAGCTCTGAGGGATGCCAGCATCTAGAAAAAAGGAAGAAAAGGAGTTCACAATAAGAGAGAAGGGAAATTTGGATATTATGACATCTTGAATGCCAGGGAAAAAGATGAGTCACTGTTTTACATTTCTGGTTAGGTTATAGAAGGTTGAAAAGACCATTGATTTCATTGTATCTATGGATAAACTAAAAATAATGTTTGATATGGTTTGGCTGTCTCCCTACCCAAATCTCATTTTGAATTCTAGTTCCCATAATCCCCCATGTGTCATGGAAGGGACGTGGTGGGAGGTAACTGAGTCATGGGGGTGCATGGGGGTGGTTACCCCCATACTGTTCTCATGATAGTGAGTGAGTTCTCACAAGATCTGATGGTTTTATAAGGGGCTTTTCCCCCTTTTGCTCGGCACTTCTCTCTCCTCCCACCATGTGAAGAAGGATGTGTTTGCTTCCCCTTTTGCCATGATTGTAAGTTTCCTGAGGCCTCCTAAGCCCTGTGGAACTCTGAATAAATTAAACCTCTTTCCTTTATAACTTACCCAGTCTTGGGCAGTTCTTCAAAACCCAGCGTGAGAACGTACTAACACAATGTTTGTATTTTAAGTCATCAAAGAGTTGTAGAATCAAATAACTCTAAAGAAACTGAATTCCAAAGTTAGATAAACTTATCTAGATTATCACAAGTCAATGGCCACTTGCATTCCGAGGGTAGTCTGGGGATCTGTTTCCCTTTGTCCCAACAATTTGAGAAAGAAAATTATTAGGACAAAGGGAAAACAATCAAGCTAGGCTGACATAATGGATTGAAATCTGAAAGAAATGTAAGAGCCCTGCCTTCTCATCAATTTTCTCCTATGGGAATTTTGCTGAATAAAGTCACACTTGTTGTGAAGCTAAAGCTGCCCTCAAAAATATATTAAGAATATCTGCAATGCAGAATTTATTGGATTGGATTAATAGCAGACTGAATTAAATAGAAGAAATTATTAGTGACAGGCCAATAGAAATAATAAAACTGGAGTACATAAAAAGATATTTTTAAAAGTATCTTTTTAATTTAATTTAAAAATTATCATTTTAACAGAACTGAACAGAAAAGCAAATATCTGAAAGAAAATATTGACAGTCTAGTATGCATGTAATTGGCGTCCCAGGAGAGCAAATGGAGAATGAGGTAGAAATATATATATGAAGAGAGACTAGCCAATAAATTTTAAACAATTTAAAATTTCAAATTTTTAAAAAAGCAACTGGTTAAAAATCTGAAATCATAGAACTAAAAGGCTTAGTGAACACCAGGCAGAGTAATTACAAAGAAAATCTTGCCTGGGTACATCATAGTCAAACTATTTAAAACCAAAGATAAAGAGAAAGACCTTACAAAACACCTTAGGTATGAATGAGAAATGACTAGCTACAAATAATGAGGGAAGCCAGAAGACAATGGAATAACCTTAAAATGCCAAAAGAAAATCAATACATACTTCTTTATCTAATAAAAGTATTGGTCCATTTGCAGGTGAAATGAAAATGTTTTTAGACAGCAAAACATAAGATTATTCATCACTAGCAGGAAAACATGAAGAATACAAAAATTAAGAAAGCTTCTTTAGGATGAAAAGAAGTAAGCCCAGGTGGAAGACTGGATCTCCATAAAAAAAATGGAGAGCACAAAAAAGGGTAAATATGTGGTTGAATATTTTAAAACATTTAAAAATTTTTTTTAGCTGTTTAAAGCAAATACAGTAACAATGCATTGTGGAATTTAAAATAATAAAGAAGTAAACTATATAACAATAGCACAATGGGAAAGGAGACATATATAAGGTCCTTACATTGTTTTTGAAGTTGTATACTATTAACTTGGGGTTCATTGTGATAAAATAAGAATTAATATTGTAATCTGTAAGTAATCACTTAGAAGCAATATGCAATGAAAAAGCCAACAGAATAGATAAAATGGTATACTAAAACTATTCAAATAATATATAAAAAGCCATGAAATGTGGAGCAAAGAAAAAGAAAAAGAGAAAGGACAAACAGAAATCAGCTAGCAAGGTGGAAAACACAAGTTTAACCATATCAGTAATTACATTAAATATTAATAGAATAAAAACTCCACTTAAAGTACAGAAAATATCAGGTTGGATTTAATTTAAAAACAAGACCCAACAAATCAGTTTATAATTGGATGTTCTTTTATAATCCAGCCTAACATTATCTAGCCTTCAAACATAAGAATGCAAAGAGTTTGGAAATAAAAGGATTAGGAAGCTTATAATAAAAAGATTAATGTAGCTATATTAACATCAGATAAAGTGGATTTCAAGCCAATAAGTATTACCAGGAATAAAGAAAACATTTCATAATAACCAAAGGGTCAATTCATTGGGAAAACATGATAATTCTAAATGCAAATGCCCCTAGTAACATAGATTCAAAATATTTGAGATAAAATCAAACAGAAATAAAAGGGATAATAGACAAATCCATAATCATAGCTGAAGATTTTAACTCTCCTCTTTCAGAAATCTGTAAATGAAGTGTAAAAAAAAAAATCAACGAGTATATGGTGGATTTGAATAATACTGTCAAGCAGCTTGATGAAATTGAAATGTATAGAACAACATACTCAGTAATTGCAGGATACATGTTATTTTTAAATGCATTCAAAACACTCGCCAAAATAGGCCATAAACTGGGCCATAAATTAAGTTGCAAAACATTTCAAAGGATTGAAATCATGCCGAGTATATTCTCTGACTTAAATGAAACTAGAAATCAGAGTTTAAATAATAACTGGGAAATCCTCAAATATTTGAAAATTAAGAAATAACTTTTAAAATAAACCATAGGAGATATCATAAGGGAAATTTAAAAATATTTTAGATCAAACAAGGATGAAAATACAACATATCAAATTTTGTGGGATGCAGCTAAAGCCTTGATAAGAGAAGACATTTTAATACTACATGCAAATATTAGAAAGAAAAATAATTTTATTTAAAAAATGTAATCTTCCACTTCAGAAAGCTAGATAGAAAAGAGCAAATTAAACTCCATGGTTGTAGAAGAGGAAATGACAATGATGAGAACAGAAATCAGTGAAACAGAAAACAGATGAACAATAGAGAAAACCAACAAATCCAAAAGTCAATTCTATGAAAAGATTAATACAAATTTGTAATCCCCTAGCAAGGCCAGTTAAGAAAAAGTAAAAAATATAAATTATCAATATCAGCAGTAAAATGAGATACATGACTACAGATTTAAAAGAATAAGAATAAACAGGGAATATTATAAACAATTTTACTCCAGTAAGTTTGACAACTTGGGAAAAATGTATATATTCCTTGATAAATACAATTTTTTGAAACTAATCCAAAAATAAATAGAAACTATAGAAGTCTCATATTGGTTAATAAAGTTGAATCTACAATTAAAAACATTTCCACAAAGCCCAGATGGCTTTATTAATGAAGTCTACCAAACAATAAAGGAAGAAGCAATACATTCTATACAAGCTCTTTCAGAATATACAGGAAGAGAAAATGCCTTCCAACTAGCTTTATGAGGCCAGAGAACCGTGAAACCAAACTTGGCAAGTGCAAGAGAACAGGTCCCTGGGTGGCCTTGGCTCACCCAGTTCTTCCTCCCGTTGCTTGCAATTCTCTTGCTGAATGTCCTGAGAATACAACATCCTAAGATAAGGACGAAATGCCTGGAAAAAGTCCAGATTATGTCTTTGATCCTCTGCATTAGTCCATTTTCATGCTGCTGAGAAAGACATACCTGAGACTGGGCAATTTACCAAAGAAAGAGGTTTAATTGGACTTACAGTTCTACATGGCTGGGGAGACCTTACAATAATGGCTAAAGGCAAGGAGGAGCAAGTCACATCTTATGTGGATGGTAGCAGACAAATAGAGAGCTTGTGCAGAGAAACCCCCATTTTTAAAACCATCAGATCTCTTGAGACCCATTCACTATCATGAGAACAGCGCAGGGAAGACCTGTCCCCATGATTCAGTTGTCTCCCACTGGGTCCCTCCCACAGCATGTGGGAATTATGGGAGCTACAAAATGAGATTTATGTGGGGACACAGAGCCAAACCATATCATTCTGTCCCTGGCCCCTCCCAAATCTCCTATCTTCACATTTCCAGTTTCCAGTTTCCAGTTTCCAGTTTAAAAATCAGTCATGGCTTCCCAACAGTCCCCCAAGTCTGAACTCATTTCAGCATTAACTCAAAAGTCCACAGTCCAAAGTCTCATCCTAGATAAGGCAAATGCCTTCTGCCTATGAGCTCGTAAAATCAAAAGCAAGTTAATTACTTCCTAGATTCAATAGGGGTATAGCCATTGGGTAAATATAGCTATTCCAAGTGGGAGAAATTGGCCAAAACAAAGGGGCTACAAGCCCCATGCAAGTCAGAAATCCAGTGGGACAGTCAAATCTTAAAGTTCCAAAATGATCTCCTTTGACTCCATGTCTCACATCCAGGTCATGCTGATGCAAGAGGTGGGTTCCCATGGTCTTGGGCGGTGCTATCCCTGTGGCTTTGCAGGGTACAGCCTCCCTCCCGGCTGCTTTCACAGGCCGACATTGAGCGTCTGAGGCTTTTCCAAGCACACGATGCAAGCTGTTAGTGGATCTACCATTTTGGGGTCTAGAAGACGGTGGCCCTTTTCTCACAGCTCCACTATGTGGTGCCCCACTGGGCACAGGTACCAATGGTATTAAAAAGCTGTAGAGACACATTTAAAATTTATACATTCTACTCTATTTTATTTATTCCTGAAAGCACTGAGAAAAATACAAAAATGCTGCATAAATTAAAATAAGATCAGCACTGAAAAGCATCCATTGGAAGGAGGCCGTTGATTGCCTTCTTTGAGAATAATAAACGTGAAATCAGTTTAGATAGCATAGAGAGAAAGAGATGGAGACACTGAATATAGTTAATTCTTTTAAGAAGATTTGCTATGAGGAAAAGGAAAACAGATTTGATGGCAGTAGGAGGGAAACGTGCACATTTATTCTTTAGGGCCAGAAGGGAAAGGATGCCTCATAGATCTGAAATTCTTTTAATTTATAGTTATTATGGGAAAAACTAAAAAATCAGAATATTCAAAGCATTTCCTTTTTTGTACAGTTTTAGATTTACAGAAAATTTAAGGGTATAATAAAGAGTAGTAGCATCGAGTTCCATATACCTGCTTTTGCTTTCCCCTGCCCCCACCCCACCCTGTATAGTTTCCCTTATTATTAATATCTTATATTAGTGTGGTACGTTTGTTACCATTCATGAACAAAATTGCTATATTATTATTAACTGAAGCTCATGGTTTACATCAAGTTTCAATCTTTCCATTGTACAGTTTTATGAGTTTTGGAAAATGTGAAAAATGCATGATGTCATATATATATTAATACCATAACAGTTCAATGCAGAATAGTTTCAGCATCCTAAAAATTGCCTGTGCTTCACCTATTCATCCCTTCTCCAACCCTCTTTTTTTTTTTTTTTTGAGGCAGAATCTCTCTCTCTCTCACCCAGGCTGGAGTGAAGTGGCACGATCTCAGCTCACTGCAACCTCTGCCTCCCAGGTTCAAGTGATTCTCCTGCCTCAGCCTCCTGAGTAGCTGGGATTACAGACGCGTGCCACCACTCCTGGCTAATTTTTGTATTTTTAATTGAGACTAGGTTTCACCATGTTGGTCAGGCTGGTCTTGAACTCCTCACCTCAGGTTATCCACCCACCTCAGCCTCCCAAAGTGCTGAGATTACAGGCGTAAGCCATCGCGCCCGGCTCCTCTTTTTGTTTATAAATAGAAAAATTACCAAACTATCTCCAATCCTTAGAACCCCTGGTAACCAATGATGTTTTTACTGTCTCTACAGCTTTACCTTTTCCAGGATGTTACATAGTTGGAATCATACTTCTTTTATCTTAAAAGTTAGCTCTGCACATTTGCAGTCAATCTTTTCTTTTACCCCCAGCATCAGACAACTACTGATCTGTTTTCTGACTCCATAGTTTGTCTACTATAAAAATTTGTATACATATAATTATACAATATGCAGATCTTTAAAATGGCTTTGTTATTAGCATATTTATCAATTTCATCTGTTTGTTGCATGTATCAGTAGTTTGTTCTTTTTAATTGTTGAGTAGTACTCCATGGTATATATTTATTTACTGCAGATTTTGGAAGAACCATTCTTGTTGTATGTATTTTTTAGGTTCCAAAAATTTGTTACTGTTGTCACCTCTCTTCTTGTGAATTTCTGTCGTTATAACATGCAGTTATAGTGAAGCTTTTGAGACACTGAAATTGAAGGTGTCTGCTAAAGCTACTCTTTAAACTCAGAAGTTTTTTTTTTTCCTTTACTTCATAAGGTGATAGGTGAAGACTTGTCCCATCATTTTACTGTGAGGAGAATAATTACTATGACATTTCAAGTATGTAAAATTAAAATATATCTAATGAACTTCGTGTGTCTTTTTATATATTTTAATAATTAATTATTTTGATGAATGCAGAATATTTTCATGACAACAAGCAAATTATCTTTGCCACAATTATTATATTTAATGGTAACTACTAATCATCTAATGAAATTTAGCCACAATACTGGTGGTATCCACACAGCACCTATTCCTTTATTTTATTTTATTTTATTTTTGAGACAAGGTCTCACTCTGTCACCCAAGCTGGAGTGCAGTGTGGCAATCATGGCTCACTGAAGCCTCGAACTCCTGGGCCCTAACGATCTTCCCACCTCATCTTCCAAGTAGCTAAGAATACAGGTGCTTGCCACTGTGCCCTGCCCATATTCCTTTTAAACATTTTCAAATCTTCTCTTCTAATTGATTATTGCCCTCATAAGAAAAAATTATATCTTTATCACAATTGTAAATGCAGTAAAACCTACAATAAGACTGTACTTGCTTCGGGTACTCCTTATATGTCTGATGAAAGCACTAACTTTATTGTGCATGCATCTTAAAAAGGAAAAGCTATCAAGGTTGAAGGGCATCATACTCAAATTACTTGTATTTCATAGTTTAATAATTGATAGATAATCCAGAGAACCACTTCCATACCATTTTTAAAGCCAGCAAAATTATATAAAACCTTAGAAGAACTACTATGGTTTTCTTTTATGGAATTCTTATTAAAACAATCCACCTGATTATCATCTATGCACTTAGGCAAAATAAAAGCTTACTGGCATTATGTGTGACACAGTTCTGAGCTCTCAATTTTTCCAATTGTTGTGCCAAAACTATTTTAAAATGGTACCTGAGCCTAGCATTGCTTAATATTTTCCTTGGATCTTACTTGGTAAAAGATAAGTTTATGTTTTCAAGGCTGCCCTGTAATTTTTGTTTTCAATTGAGTTTAATATGAATGTTTAAAACTTGCATGATGACCAATTGTAACAAGAATACTATGTTAAAACCTGAGAATTTTTGGCTTTAAAAATGAAACTAAAATAAATAAAGTGCAGAGATTGACTTTATATTACTTAAATAGCTTTTTTTAATTTTTAGAAATTAGACTTGAGATTCATCAATTCATGTTGAAAAAATTGGAATTATTTAATTTTTTCAGAGATAATATTTAAAACTTCTTTTTTTTCAAATTAGAAGGCTATTGTAACTGAAGAGTATGATGCAATCCAATTTTGTAACTTTCTGGTTTTTTTCTTTATTAGACCCAATCTGTGCTGTTTGAATAAATAACTTCCTAAAGAATTATTTTACTGAAAGTGAGGTCTGAAAATGTATAACAAGTTACCTGATTGTCTTACTATTTTGAAACATAATTGGTTTGATTTATAAAACTCATTGATTTAATGGGTTTGCTGTTTCTCAGCATAGTCTGCCTTTTTTAAAAGATCAGTTTATTAAATTTCCCCCCAGAAACCGTAGATATAAGAGTGAGGTAAAAATAATGTTGATAATGAAAATAATATTTAGTTGAAAATAACTGAAGTGGGTGATAGCACAGGCTTCTTCCTTCTCTGGCATATCAGAAACAACGGTATGGTTGAGTAAGAGTAACAGGTAACATAAGTTATGACAACTTACTGTGTCAGAAACCATTTTATGAGCTTTGTATGTAATAAATCATCTTCACAAGGTACATAATATCAACATCACCTCCATTTCATAGATGAAGAAACTGAGGCGAGTCATTTGGCTGAAAAGATGTGAAACTGGGCTGAGTATCCAGATAGTGTGGCTCTGGAGTCCACAAGCTTAACCATCTCTCCAAATTGCTGCTATAAAGGATAATTATCCAGAAAAAATGTGAAAGAAATTATACAAAGGAAAGATTTCTTTCAAAAAAAAAAAAAAAACGATGAATAATGATAATGAAATAAAACATAGCAATCATAATGGAGCAAGAATCAAACCAAATGATGCAAGCCCAATGTGGCTCTAGTTTACTAAGTCACCAAGCAGTACTATTGTGATATGTTAATCTTTATTTGACTCATAAACAATAATAACTAAAATAAAGTCATTAATAACTATAATAAAGCAAATGTCTCTCATTAAAATCAAGAAGAGACAGAGAGTGTGCCTTTCATACTTACTAGTTTTTCATTTTAATTATTTGTTCTACTAACAGTGTTGTAATGGTAGAGGCAGGATGGAAGTGGAAAGAATTGGAGAATCATTTAATATTGAAATGGATTTTAGACATCCAAATACAGATGTCAGGTAAGCTGTTGGATTAATGTAACTCAAACTCAGAGGAAAAGTCTGGGCTGGAAATATAAATTTGGGGATCATTATAATGGTATTTAAACTCATGAAATTAGTTGATATTATCCAGAAAGAGGGTGAAAAAAAGAGAAAGAAGTCTCATAGTAGGGTAAGAGGAGAAGTCAGTAAAGGAGACTAAGAAATAGCAGCCACGGAACAGTGGGGAATGCATGAGTGTAGGGACACAGCAAGGAAAGTGAGCATGGTCAAATATGCTTAAGGCTGCTGACAGTTAGATTATGTGAAGTCTGTCCACTGGGCTGAGCAGCATGGAAGTCACCAGTGAATTTAGAGAGTAGTTTCATTGGAGTGTGGAGATAGAAGCTAAGTTCATGTGGGTGGAAAAATTGTGGTGAAGTGAGGTTAGAGAGATCATGAGTAGGCTAATTCTACCACACTTCCTATAGTTATTCTCATTAGAAAAGCCCAACTTTAATCACTGCCCTCCTCATCCCTATGAAACCGTCTCCATGGAAACACATGACACTATCATATTTTCTCTATATTTCTTTAACTCTCATTTGTTCATCTAGTTCATCTTTTCCTTCAAAATCCCTATTTGGAGAACTCATTTTCTATGGCCATAAGCATCGCCTACTTTTTCAACCACTTCTTCAAATGTTGTCTCTACCGTCTCACCTTACCTTTGCCTTGTCTGAAGACAGTGCTTTCCCAGCAGCCCTCTTGCTGAAGTTGTTTATTGTGTCTCCAATGCGTAGGGGCCTAGAGTGGGATCATTATTCATGTTCACTATTGCCATTTCCAGGCAATACTCCTGCTCTTTTAATGGTTATGCTACCTGGCCGTATTACACATTTCTCTTCTTACTGCCACATTTACTGATTTCCTTATCACTCATATAAATTCGCTAACATTTCAGAATGTGTGAATGGTTTCTTTTAATTTTTTTCAAAAATCTTCTCAAATAGATAATAGTTATCCAAAAATCAAAGTTAAAAATATTTTTGTCTACTTTTCTTAGAAGGTAAGAAATTTAGCAGTCCTCTCATCATCCTTCTCCCTCCCCACCCCGTGCCCAATTTTGACTAACAGGGTCTACAAAGCCCATCACAGTGGCCTTTGGCACCTGTGATCAGGTTCATTCTGTGCTACTCTTTTCCTTATTTTTGTATCCTTAGGCTGTTCTTTCTACCCGCAACAGTCTTCCTAATCTAGTTTCATCCTACTTTTTTAATCTAGGACTTACTACTCAGATCTCTGTTCAAATGTCCTTTCCTAAGGGAAGCCTCCTTTGACTCCCCAGACTAGGTCAGGTGCCCATCAGTTGGTCTCAGTGCCAAAGGTTATGATGATTTTGAGTGAGCTTCAGACTATCATACAGATGGGCTCCAGCCCAGTCCTAGGTAGAAGGAACATGAAGAAGGCAAGAGTAAGAGCAAGAGCTAAAAGATTGATTTGGTCTTCTCTATTTGAGATTGAAAGCATAACATGCATTTCTTTTTCTTTTCTTTTTTTTTTTTTTTTTTGAGATGGAGTCTCGCTCTGTCGCCCAGGCTGGAGTGTAGTGGTGCAATCTTGGCTCACTGACAGCTCCACCTCCCGGGTTCATGGCCATTCTCCTGCCTCAGCCTCCCGAGTAGCTGGGACTACAGGCGCCCGCCACCATGCCCAGCTAATTTTTTGTATTTTTAGTAGAGACGGGGTTTCACCGTGTTAGCCAGGATGGTCTCAATCTCCTGACCTCGTGATCCGCCCGCCTCGGCCTCCCAAAGTACTGGGATTACAGGCGTGAGCCACTGCACCCGGCTCATGCATTTCTTTTTAAAAGAGGTATTGAATATAAACTATAAATAGTAAAAGGTATTATATATATAATTCATCAATAAAATACCTTTTAAGAATCTAACACTTAGATGATTATTCATTCGGTTATTTAAACCTTCAGGTTAAGGACCTCCTTCATAAAAACATGGTTGGATAGGGTTTAGGTTATCTTTAAGTAGCAAAACTGTAGGAGTTTTACATGTAAGCTCTTCTGTCTTTGATGACCCCAAGACTCTTGTGTTTTTCTCCTAGAAATATTATTTGGGGCCAGAATACAACTCAAAGCAATGTTGTTTCAGCTATATCAGAGAGTAAAGATTTTGATTATGAAATTATCTGCTTCTTTAACTGTCTCAGGATGTTATCTCTGAAAAGCAAGTTAACATATTTTCTACATAGAAGACACCAAAAATAGACATGTATGGGAGAATAATGTGACTGCTAAAAAAACTGGGGGAGCTAATCTAGTGCTTCAGAAAATAGAGAGAAACTGTATTGTAACTTTTTGGTTATAAAAATTTTCCACATGCTTATTTTCATTTCTAAATTACAAAGTATTTTGACAAAGAGAGATTTTCTCTGAATTTGTAATCTACTTTGGCTTCATGAAACATCAATTTATTTCTAAATATACCTTTAACCCTAAGAACATTTAAACCCCAGTCTCTTTAGGGCAATAATTTTCCATTTGAAGTGGCTCTATTAAGTTTTGATTCATTGAATTTGATTAAAAAGATCAAGTGCCCAAGAAATTGTAGAATCTATAATTTTAGACAATCTTTTAATATTAAAATACTTTCCTTTCATATATTCATAAACTCATGATTCAATAACTTGCCATAATTTCTAAATATTTTATATATTATTCACCCATCATCTCAAATCTGTTAAGTAGTTCCTTAGTAAAGATAGGTGATATGTTGGGTAATGACTAGGTTTATTATTTAGCGTTACAAAACTTGAAAATGAATCTACCTTTAGGGTTATTTTCTGCCTATGAATAGGTGCCAATGGCGACAATAAACCTCTGGATACCAGAATGATTAATTAGTGAGATGGTCTCTGGAGGCCCTCCCTATCAGTCCTCAGCCCTGACTTCTGATAAAGTCCTCTAAACTAAAACCTTTCTCTGCTTTGCAAATGTAAAATTCTTTTTATTTTAGAAATTGGTCATGTATTTCAAGAGTTTGATTTAATGTATCTGGTTGTCTATTTAACTTTTTCTGCTGAATATTAGATAGGTCAAGACAGAGACTCAATTGTTTGGCTGGATTTCCTCAAACTGATGATGTCACCGTTAACACAACAGCAATAACAATAGATAGAAAATATGTGAGTTAGGTAAACTGTAAATTCCTTGATTGCAGATAGAAAATGACTATGAAGGGCCGGGTGCAGTGGCTCAGGCCTGTAATCCCAGCACTTTGGGAGGCCGAGGCAGGCGGATCACGAGGCCAGGAGATCGAGACCATCCTGGCTAACATGGTGAAACCCAGTCTCTACTAAAAATACAAAAAATTAGCCGGGCGCCTGTAGTCCCAGCTACTAGGGAGGCTGAGGCAGGAGAATGGTGTGAACCCGGGAGGTGGAGCTTGCAGTGAGCCGAGATCGCGCCGACAGAGGGAGACTCTGTCTCAAAAAAAAAGAAAAAAAAAAAAAAAGAAAAAGAAAAAGAAATGATTATGAAGGTAGATTATTTTTGAAGTTTGTTAATAATAGTCAAGTTCTTGAAAAACTTGCAATCACCTATTGCCAGAAAATAGCATTGACTCTGTTGAAACTATTAAATACACACTTCATAGATCTTTATTTTTTAACATACGTTTTATATATTTTCTGCCTTTTTTTGTAACTGTTTAAAGTAGAATATACACTGTTTTATTTTTTAACACTGAATAGGAAGTATTTTTCTTTTTCCATCTATTCAAATGAGATAACTTAACCACCGGGCAGTACACATTTGGAGGCAGAAAAAATGATCTCTGTCTAAATTTTCTTATGTGAGTATGAAGAGAAAATTTGCAGGTCGGAGAAGTCTAGGTATTATGTATTAGTTTATAAAATTTAGTCAAGTCATTAAATTTATCTGTGCTTCATGTACCTCATGTATAAAATGAGAAACTTGGACTGAATTATAAACTCTTCCAGTGCTGGAATTCAGTTACTATTTAATTTCCATGAGTCATTTTGAGATTAGAAATTGAATTAGAACAATAAATCTTAACAATCATGAAAGAATTATTAAGCACTTAATTTATGCATGCCATTTAATGTTTTTCCATAAAATTTAAAGGATTATCTACCTTGAACTAAAGTATATTCAAAAGGAAAAGTCAAATAGACAACCATGTAATATGTAATTCATGTTTTTCAAAAAATGGTTAGTTTGGATCTGACCACTTTGAAATAGCTGAAATATTTTACCACTATTAATTTAATCTCTCAAATGATAAGCACCTCAAGTTACTTTTTAAAAGGTAAAAGGTTAGACAGAAATAGATATTTTTATACTTCTATTTAGGTCAACCTGCTTATTCTTGAAATAAAGTTAAGTTTTTTTAATGACAACCATTAAGTTTTTACTGGTATTGTTCTATATGACAGGGAACAAATCTTATTTAGAATTGTGTATTCCTCAGAGGACTAACCAGTTTTGTAGTGTGACTGTGTATTTCAGAGTCCCTTCTGATTTTTATCAGTTAAAAGGAATGTGAAGACATAATACTAAAAATTATTGTTGTATTATAAACTATGAGTACATTTCTTGTAGGTGTGTGGCCCTGAAAATACATGTGTAGATCAATTTTTCTCAAATTGAATCACATTTTAAATATTCTATGAAAAAACTGCTACCTAAGTAAGCTTATGATTAAGTTGTTAGGAGAAGAAAATATATACTGAGCTAACTTTTTTTTTTTTTTTTGTAGACAGTCTCACTCTGTCACCCAGGCTGGAGTGCAGTGGCACAATCTTGGCTCACTGCAACCTCCACCTCCCAGGTTCAAGCGATTCTCCTGCCTCAGCCTCACGAGTAGCTGGGACTGCAGGTGCAAGCCACCAGGCCTGGCTAATTTTTGTATTTCTTTTTAATAGAGACAGGGTTTTGTCATGTTGGCCAGGCTGGTCACAAACTCCTGAGCTAATTTAATATGCAATTAGATTATAATTTTTTTTCTAGTAATATCTAAAACATGAAAGGAGATCATCTTAAAATTAAAAACTCAACTAACTTCACAATTACATATGTATTTTCTCTGTTGTCTTCTTGGCTTTGAGAAAATTTAATTCTATACAAAACATATCTCAATCGCATTCTCATCTACTCTCACCTTTTTCCTCCCTCTGTGGCTACTCCGGCTTTCTCCCTGTTGCTCTAATACCTCAACATCTTTCTTATTTCAGATGCTTCATCCATCTTCATTCTTTTCTCTTTCTAGTCTTATGAAGCCTGTTTTGACCATTTTATCAGTCACGTCACTTTGTTTGTTTATTCAATAATCTGTATGGGAATTTGTATCTAATCTTTTTTTTTAATTTACATGTGGCAAGCTTCTTCTCTGAACACCTGTCATTTTTATTTGAAAGAAGTCATTGAAAGTAAACAAGACCAGCAAGCCTTCACAATAACAGCAGGAAGTTCCCATAAGTCGGCTAGTTTTGCCCTAGTGATACTTTTCTATCTATTTCACAATACTTGATCCCTTGCCTCCAAAGGCCCCTGGATGGAATATCCTCCTTTCCACTAATTCTTGAACTGGCCAATTCCTCTTCTGAAAGACTAAGCTAAGGCCTAATTTCTCCTTCTACCTCCAAGCAGGCTGAGGTCTCCCTGTGCTATGATCCAACCTTATTCATTTCTCTCATATTTCACTTACCACATGGAGCTTAATTGCTGTAATAGACTTGTCAGCTTTCTGAGAACACTTACTTATTTTAACAGGGATATGACTAGTTTCTTATTAACTTTGATAACCATCAACTATCCCAGTGGCTACTACACAACAGCTGCTTAATTACGTATGTTGAATACCTGAATAAAAACAGGACTATGGAAAAATGCCTGCCTCTGAGTGGTCTCTGAATGTTTAATTTTCCCCTAGATTACTTCCCAGTAGTAAAAAAAGACAGACTGAGCACTTCATGACAAACCCTGGACCCTTAGCTTGACCTGTCTTAGTTCTTCCAAGTAAGCACAAGTAAGGTGGGATATTTCTTTCTTTTTTTTTTCTGCTTATGTTTCATCAATCCATTTTGAATTCCTGAGTAGTTTGGAGAAAATAACTTGAAATGAGTTATAAAGTCTTCCATATATTTTTATATTTTTTATTACATTTCAACCTAATATACTTTTCTTTTCTTCATGGAACTGAAATAGTGATGCAATTACAAAGCAGAGAAGGAAGTAAAGCAATACTTATTTTGACCACCTACTATGCTCTTGACTGTGAGCTAGGCACTCTGGGTCCATTATCTCATTCAATTCTCCTGATAGCCCTAAGAGGGAGGTATACTTAATACCAATTCAAGGTTTAAAACAAAACAAAAACAGAAACAAAAACCTGAAGCACAGCTATATTATTAGTATGAGGGCTGACTGACTTTTTAAAGGACTGTGGCCAATTGTAGTCATATGTTTTGCAGCTATGGAACTCCTTTAGACCAATGCTATGATTCTTTACTATTGCCTGCTTGGAATTACCATAAAATGAGATTTTTCACAAAGTCATTTTTATTTTGAGTTTTAGCGATTTATGAGAATGGAATTTACTAAAATTTAAATGATGCAGAAACTAAGAGATTGAAGGAAAAATAGAAATGGATAGAAATGGAGAAAAAGAAAGAAAACATAATTTATTTTATAGGGAATAACTAGTAGGTCATGCAGCACAATGCCTGATATTTATGTAGTTTTAGATTTATACTTTTGGAGGGTGAGTGGTATATACACACATATACAAATGAAATATTTCAGGGGAGAATTAGTGGCCTATCTATATATCTATCACTGAAAATTTTCAGCCATGTGATAAAGGATCTCAATAAACAATCGTTCTGGGTTGTGGGATTGAAACTCTCAAAGAGGGGGTGAGATCACTCAGTGGCTATTACCATGGGTAAATCTTTTACCTCACCTGCCATCAGTCTCCTCATTTGTAAATAGGTGGTTTCAATAGATGCCCTCTGAGGACTTTTTCTACAAAAATATGTTGTGATTTTTTTAAAGATTTTAGTTTTGACTACCTTTTGATACAGTTATTAATTAACAGAGACATGACTAATTTGTTGGAAAAGTCAGGAGAAGAATCTAAGCAATGTAATACTCAACAAACTGGAAAAATCCGTCCCTTAATAAACAATAAACTATCTGACTTTTTATGAAGTCATTTCCATTCCTTTGATACTTACATATATTTTAAGGGTCCTTTTGTTTCTGTATTTCTGAGCTCATTTCAATTATGTTAAATTTTAGAGATTTTCCCATGGAAGTGTTGCAAACTCTTTTAATAAGTTTGATATATGAAAAACTGCATTCAAAACTAGAATTATTAAAATTAATTTTAAACCTCTGTAGATATATTTCTAAGCAGATGGGAGAATATTTAGGCTATTAAACCTAATCCATAAATCACCATCTAGGGTAATGAGACTTTAATGTTGTCTTCAATTTTTCCATTAATTTGAAGTGTCCAGAGCTTTCAGATAAGTTATTTTGGTTTAATCATTATGGAGCAAATAGGACTCTGTTGCTATGGAAAACTAATTTCTTAAATATGTGTTTTCCTTTCTGTATTGAAATCTCTAATTCATTTTCCATACTCCCATAATCTTATGTAACAAAGTAGATAAGTATTCCAATTTTATATTTTATTAAAATTATTGATATACAAAAGTATCAGAGATTATGTAAGAATAAAACGAAAAAGAAATAAAAGTTTAGCTTTCTTTACGATATCATAATATTGTAGCTACCAAGAACCAAAGTCTATCATTAATTCATAAACTTCTGAATCATTTATATGTCATGATCCAGAAATGATGACCTGATTTATATAACTTGATGGAAAAATTAGAAATTTCATCTTTAAATATGAGTGTCAAGGTTTCCAGAAGTTGTGTGTCTTTGAATATTTAGTACCACATGATGCTCCAAGAAGATAAATTTGAGAAATGCTTTCTTCGAGATACAGCATTTATATATGCATTACATATATTACATGTAAATCTTGCAGTGAAGAAATCTGTTTAATCAAGCTTAACAAAATATTTTACTAATGATCCTGGAACAACTATTTTCATATTTAAGATGTTAGTCTATTTTGGAAACTGTTTCACAGAACTCATTCAGAGAAATATTGCAATATGTCAATAATACAAGCTTTTATCATGATGTAATTTCTAACCTACTTCTATAAGGATCTGTCAATTATTATTATTAAAGAATTGAACATATCTTTAAAAGATGAATAGTCTTAACTAGATTTATATTTGCCAATCACATATTATGATTGTTTTTTTAAAATTAAGCCTGAAGATTGAACATAATTTTTTGGAGGGTAATTTGAGAATGGATGAATTAGGTAACCTGAAAATACTCCTACACAAAGTAAAACACACACACAAAAGGAAAATACAATGAACATATTTTGAGAGTGTACCTGAAATTGCAACAAAGTAAAGGAAATTCTCATGGGTCTCAGGTGAATGGGCATGTGGAACAGTTTTGTGGGGTGGAGACTGGGCAGGTGAAACCCTAGCAGGAAATCTGTCACCCAATCTTGCTGGAGCCCTGGAAAAACAGGGCTAAGAGAGAAGTAGGGGGAAGTTTGTGTTTTAATGGTTATGCTGACACAAGGTCTGTTTATGTTGGAGAGATTGAATCCTAACACTTCATTTCGGACTCTTGGAAGTCTACACCTCAGTGAAATGGTGCTGAGAAAAATCTGCACACTGGACCAATGAGATGATGGGAGGAAGCTTGTTGGAATATGCATAGGCTCTATATAGAAATAGTCACATGCTCTGAGAATTACTTGCATTAGTCAGCCCTCACACAAGTTTGGATTTTGAGTACTAACTACCTGTGAGGTCTAAGAAACCCCAAGCCAAGAAATTAACATAGAAAGTGGTCCCCACTTCACACCTACTAAGGTGACTATAATCAGTAAAATAGAAAATAACAATTGTTGGTGAGAATGTGGACAAATTGGAAGCCTGCATTCTGGTGGGAATGTGAAATGCATGTGAAATGGTGCAGCTCCTGTGGAAAACAGCGTGGCAGGTCCTCAAAATCTTCCGTATGACCCAGCAATTGCACTGCTAAGGGTATATCCAAAAGAATTGAAAGCAAGGACTCAAACAGATATTTGTATACTACAATTTGCATTTACAACAGCCAAAAGGTGGAAACAACCTGTGTCCATCAAGAGATGCATGGATAAACAAAATATGATATATACATACAATGGAATAAAGCCATTATCCTCAGGAAACTAGCACACGAACAGAAAACCAAACACTGCATGTTTTCACTTATAAATGGGAGCTGAACAATGAGAACACATGGACACAGGGAGGGGAACAACACACACTGGAGCCTGTTGGGGATGTGGGAGAAGGAAGAGCATCAGGATAAATAGCTAATGCATGTGGGCCTTAATACCTAGGTGATGGGTTGGTAGGTGCAGCAAACCACTATGGTTACCTAAGTAACAAACCTGTGTGTCCTGCACATATATCCTGGAACTTCAAATCAAATCAAATTAAATTAAATTTAAAAAAATTCAGCCACGAAAGGAATGGAATTTTGATAGATGCTACAACATGGATGAACCTTGAAAATATTAAGTTGAGTGAAATAAACCAACAGAAGGACAAATATTATATAATTCCACTCATGTGAGATATCTAGAATAGTCAAATTTATAGAAATGGATTTAGAAATGGAAAGCAGAATAGAGGTTAGCAAGTGTTAGGAGGAAGGGGGAATTAGAGTTATTGTTTAATGAGTACAGGGTTTATGTTGGGGATGATAACAAATTTGAGGCACAGGTAATGTTGATGTTTATATAACACTGAAAATGTCTCTAATACCACTGAATTGAATAACTACAAGTGGTTAAAATGAAAAATATTTTGTTACATATATTTTACCACAATAAAAAAAGAAGTGGTCTCAGACCAGTGGTAACTCCAAATCACTTGAAGGGAGCTTCCATAAAATGTCTTTGGAGTGACTGGCTCTCTTATTCCAGGCTGTTCAACTATTAGTTCCCAATGAAGACAAATCCACAATCGAAATCACAGCACATAAGAAAACAGTTACTCCATGAGGTAGAGTCAGCAGATAATAAAATATCAAGATTATATTACCAAGAATTTCAGCCAACCCAACTAATTTACTACAACAAAGAAATTAGACGACAATGGAATATACCTTCAAAATACTGACAGAATATATCACCTGCCATTCTACCTCAGTTAAATCACCAAACAAGTGCCAAGATAAAATGGGGTCATTGAAATCAATGCATTATAAGGCCTTAAATTATTAAAAAGAAGGAGATAAATACACTGACTCAACATTCTAAAATTAGTCCATTTTAAAGCTTAAAAAATTTAAAGTTTTAAAGGCTTTAAAGTTTTAAGGCTGTAGTTCTCAAATTTTTTATTCTGGACACTTAAAAAATTTTTAAGGTTAGTAAGAACTTCAAGTAGATTTTATTTATGGGCTTCACATCTATCAACATTTACCATATTAAAAACTAAAAGAAAAGAATTTAAAATACTTGTTAATTTATTTAAACAACAGTAATAAACTTACCATATGTTAATGTAAATGGTAATTTCTGTGAAAATAACTATTTCCCAAAACAAAAATGTATTGTGAAAGGAAAATATCTTCTGCCCCCAAAATTACTAAGCTGGGAAAATTCAAGCTGAGAATCAAACTGTGTCCCGACCACCTTGGGCACATGATGTCAGGAATTCCTGAGGCTGTGTCACAGATGTGCATCTTCAATCTTGGCAAAATAAACTTTCTAAATTAATCTGAGACCAGTCTTATATTTTCTGGGTCTACGGTATTAAGAAACGTAACATTGTTTTGTATTTTTATAAATCTCTATAATGTCTGGCTTTACGGTTTGGCTGGATTTGCATATCTGCTTCTGCATTCAGTTTCTTATGATACATTACCCATTCTCTGGAAAATTCCACTGTGTACATGAAAGAATGAAAGTAGGTAAATAATGTCTTACTTTATTATTTAAAAAGAATTTTGACTTCACATACCCCCACCACTATCAAAAGGTCTTGGGGATCTTCAGGGGCTCCAGACCACAATTTGAAAATCACATTTTGAGACTTAGATTATACAACTGGATTTTAAAAAATACAATTTTATTCTCTCACCACTGCTGTTCAACATAGTACTAGTCATTCTGGCCAGAGCAATCATGTAAGAGAAAGAAATAAAAGGTATCCAAACAGGAAGAGAGGAAGTCAAACTATCTTTGTTTGTAGATAACATGATTCTGCACCTAGAAAACCTCATAGTCTCTACCCCAAAGCTCCCTGATCTGATAAACAACTTCAGCAAAGTTACAGATACAAAATCAATGTACAAAAATCAGTAGCATTCCTTTACACCAACAACATCCAAGCTGACAGTCAGATCCAGAATGCAATCCCATTCACAACTGCCACAAAAAGAATAAAATACCTAGGAATACATCTAACCAGAGAGGTGAAATATCTCTACAAT
Source organism: Homo sapiens (assembly GCF_000001405.40). Classification (NCBI taxonomy): domain Eukaryota; kingdom Metazoa; phylum Chordata; class Mammalia; order Primates; family Hominidae; genus Homo; species Homo sapiens. Next base: position 119,878,634 of record NC_000004.12, read on the forward strand.
GAGAATTACAAAACACTGCTCAAAGAAATCAGAAAACACAAATAAAAAACATTCCATGCTCATGGATAGGAAGAGTCAACATCATTAAAATGGCTATACTGCCTAAAGTAATTTATAGATTCAATGTTAGTCCTACCAAACTACAGATGACATTCTTCATAGATCTAGAAAATACTATTTTATAATCATATGGAACCAAAAAAAGAGCACAAATAGCCAAGACAATCCTAAACAAAAAGAACAAAACTGGAGGCATCATGTCACCTGACCTCAAACTACACTACAGGGTTACAGTAACCAAAACAACATGGTACTTGATATGGTTTGGCTGTGTTCCCACCCAAATATCATCTTGAATTCCAATGTGTTGTGGGAGGGACCCAGTGGGAGGTAATTGAATCAAGGGGGCAATTGAATCCCGTGCTGTTCTTATGATACTGAATAAGTCTCATGAGATCTGATGGCTTTATAAAGTGGAGTTTCCCTGCACAAGCTCTCTTTTTGCCTGCCACCATCCACATAAGATGTGACTTGCTCCTCTTTGCCTTCTGCCATGATTGTGAGGCCTCCCCAGTCATGTGGACTTGTGAGTTCTCCATTAAACCTCTTTCCTTTGTAATTTGCCCATTCTCGGGTATATATTTGTCAGCAGTGAGAAAACAGACTAATACAGTACTGGTACGAGAACAGACACATAGACCAGTGGAACAGAATAGAGAACCCAGAAACAAGACCTCACACCTACAATGTGCTGGAATAACTGGCTAGTCACATGCAGAAGATGGAAACTGGACCTCTCCCTTCCACCATATACAAAAATCAACTCAAGATGTATTAAAGACTTAAATGTAAACCCTAAAACTATAAAAACCCTAAAAGAAAACCTAGGCAATACCATTCTGGACATAGGAACTGGTAAAGGTTTCATGATAAAGATGCCAAAAGCAACTGCAACACAAACAAAAATTGACAAATGGGACCTAATCATAATAACGAGCTTCTGCACAATAAATGAAACTATAAACAGAGTAAATAGACAACCTACAGAATGGGAGAAAATTTTTGCAAACTATGCATCTGACAAAGGTCTAATATCCAGCATCAGTAAGGAACTTAAACAAATATACAAGAAACAAACAAACAACCCCATTAAAAAGTGGGCACAGGACATAAACAGACACTTTTCTAGAGATGTACATGCAGCCAACAAGCCTATGAAAAATGCTCAGCATCACTAATCATTAGAGAAATGCAAGTCAAAATCACAATGACTTTGACTACCTCACTATCTCACACCAGTCAGAGTGGTAATTATTAAAAAGCCAAAAAATAACAGATACTGGCAAGGTTGTGGAGAAAAGAGAATGTTTATGCACTGCTGGTGGGCGTGTAAATTAGTTCAGCCATTGTAGAAAGCCGTGTGGTGATTTTTCAAAGAACTTAGCATTACCATTCAACTCAGCAATCCCATTATTGAATATATACCCAAAGGGATATAATTCATTTTTACCATAAAGACATATGCAAATGTATGTTTATTGCAGCACTATTCACAATAGCAAAGACATGGAATCAACCCAAATACCCATCAATGGTAGACTGGTTAAAGAACATATGGTACATATACACCATGGAATACTACACAAACATTAAAAAGAATAAGATCACGACATTTGCAGTAACATGGATAAAGCTGGAGATCATTATCCTAAGCAAACTAATGCAGGAATAGAGAACTAAATACCACATGTTATCACTTACTATGTGGGAGCTAAACAAGAATACATGGACACAAAGAAGGGAAAAACAAACACCAGGGCCTGCTTGAGGGTGAAGTGTAGGAAGAGGGAGACAAAAAAAAAAATACCTATCAGGTACTGTAGTTATTACCTGGGTGACTAACTAATCTGTACACCAAACCCCATGACACGCTGTTTACCAATATTTACTCTGCCCATGTATCCCTAAACCTGAAATAAAAGTTAAAAAAATATAATTTTGTGCCATCTATAAGAAAAATATTGAAAACATAAGAACAAGTTGGAAGTACATGGACAATAAAAGATAGACCAAAAAATGTGTATGAATTTTAGCTAGTAGGCTTTAAGGAAAAATGTGTTATTGGAGGTCAACAGGATAACAATATTTTGATAATATTCTCTAGGAATCTCTAACAATCCTAAACTTATAGTGTTCCTAATAAAATAAACTCAAAATATAAAAAGACAAAATTTACAAATTCATAACCATGGTGGAATATGTTAACACACATCTCTAGGTAATCACTAGATTCTTATACAATTGAACAATATAAACAAGCTTGTTCTAATCGGTCTTGGAGTGCACTGACATTCTTACCAGCCAGATATTTCATAAATTGTACAAACTTAACCTCCATAAAGTTGAAGGTTAAAACTGCGGGCTCTGACAATCTTATGTTCCTACTGAGAGGCTTCTTAATAAAGATTGAGTTAATTTGGGGGAGGTAATTTAGGCACAGTAGGATTCTTAATTAAATCTTTAAAACTATTAGAACAATTCATTGCACTATTTGGGAAATATTGCGTGTCTGACTGCTGTGAAGATGCTGTACTTATTCACAATGCCATGTTTGCTCTTAATAAGGAAAAAGCAGGGAACTTCTCTGTGCTCAAGAACATGAAAGTGAAGAAATAAGATTGCCTCTTAGAGCTATGTTATTAAATTGATTTATATTGGACCAGAGACTAGGTATTCAATATGTTACCTTAAATGAATCAGATAATTATTTATTGGGCATTGTTTTAAATGTTTTTTTTTTTCATATACTCCTTAGTTCAAGGCTTAGCCATAATCTAATGGATTTTTTTTTGTTTTTTGAGACAGAGTCTTGCTTTGTTGCCCAGGTTGAAGTGCAGTGGCGTGATCTTGGCTCACTGCAACCTCCGCCTCCCGGGTTCAAGTGATTCTCCTGCCTCAGCCTCCCGAGTAGCTGGGACTACAGGTGCCTGCCACCATGCCGGGCTAATTTTTGTATTTTTAGTAGAGATGGAGTTTCAACATGTAGGCCAGGCTGGTCTCGAACTCCTGACCTCAGGTGATCCACCTGCCTCAGTCTCCCAAAGTGCCGGGATTACAGATGTGAGCCACAGTACCAGGCCGAAACTTTTAACACATTGAAGAAAATAATATCACATATGCCAGGTGCAGTGATTCACGCCTTACTTCCAGCACTTTGAGAGAGTGAAGCGGGCAGATTGCTTGATCTCAGGAGTTTGAGATCAGTCTGGGCAACAAGGTGAAACCCTGTCTCTACCAAAAAATACAAAAATTAGTCGGGCATGGTGGCACATGCCTGTAGTCCCAGCTACTCAGGAGGCTGAGGTGGGAGGATCACTTGAGCCCAGGAGGTGGAGATTGCAGTGAGCTGAGATTGTGCCATCGCACACCAGCCTGGGTAACAGAGCCAGACCCCTGTCTCAATAACAACAACAAAAAAATGGGGTTAGTTTCCCTTTCTAGGAAAAAAAAAAGTTTGTAAGGAAATTGTCTCAGGGTGTCCCCAGAAGTAACCAGAAAAAGCTTGCCTTGGCCAACAAATATGATTATGTGGTCCTTGCCAAAATCTTAGTGGCATAGCTTGGTAACTCTGGCCATCGAGAGGAAACAATTAACTTCCTTTGTTCTGATTTCTTGCTTTTTCAAGTAATGTTCTGCATATAATTTGGCTTCCTGGGTATACTCACCTGTAACAAGACAATTTGCTAATAACTGAACATAAATATCTGGTTCCTTTCATAATTGTGTTGTTCTCTGTAAATAAGAATAGCATCCTTTTTTATTTAAAGTCGTTTTAAAGTTGTTTCTGTGTTTGGTCCTTGGGAGTTGTCAACTCCTGTTCTGATTTCCTCTGGGTGTACCTGTAGTAAAAATCTCAGACCACCCAAGTTGAACTAAAATGAGACGATGGCCCAGTGGTCTTCCTGTCTATGGGGGCCTGTCAGGCAGCCAACAGATCTCTCTTGAGAGACAATTGACTTCACTGCCATATGTTCCATCCTCACGGCAATGCTGATCACCCTAAGTATGGGATGCTCTGGCTCATCCTGTGGTCATTGGGTGAGCATAAATCAATACCTTTTCCCTTACTTTTTCTCATAGTTTCAACAGGAAATACATTGAGACCCTACTACCCTGTTGAGCACAGCAGAGTATTTTAAAATGAAATAAGAATTCCCAATCTTCAAAATGTTTTAGCGTAGAAGTGATAAAACAAGTAATGCAATGCTACAAGACAAGACTATTCTAAGGATTTTACAAGAGATACAGAAAATGACTATGGTGTTCACAGGAGACAGAAATCACCTCCACTTGAGGAGAAAGGCTTAATGGTGTAAAAGAACTTTGAAGAAGTGACTGCTAAAGTGACAATTTCAAAACCCAAATGTTTTTTTAAAAACTCTTTCATCTTTCTAACACACATGCTTAAAACCCTTTGGAGGCTTCCCACTGTTTAGGAACAAAGACTAAAATATTTAACACGCCTGTCTCTTTAACTTGACTTTGTCCTGGGCTGTTCTTTGCTCTGTGCTTTCTAGCTGCCCTGGCCTTCCTGTAGCTCCTTTATGGAGCTCCCCACCTGGCATAGGACACAACAATTCCAACTGTCTGAAACTTATTCCATCCAGCATCTCATCTGTATTTCCTACTTTGTGTTTACAAATCCTCTTGATTTCAGTTCAAAATTTATCTCATCAAGAAAAAATCTGCTTGTTATATTGAGCATGAAATCTGCTTGTTAAATGCTCTCATGTGCCACTTAACTTTTCTTCCCAATGTTTGTATTGTGTTGTGCTGTTTCACAGTTCTAATTATACTCAAACCTGGTATATTATTTGGTTACAGTCTGAACCCAAATACTCGAGAGCATAATTTCAAAGAGGAAGAGGGCCTCTGCATGGTGGCATTTTTTTTTTTTTTTTGCACTGCTTAACATCTTGCATAGTGCCACTCATCACCTGACACATGGTAGGCAGACAATAACTATTTGTTGAATGGATGAGGAAGACATGAAAAGAAAAAGCAATCCCACATTGAGAGCACAGAGAGAACCCAAGCACAGAGGTGAAAAGAGCTGCCCAAGCTCAAAAACATAGAAAGTGATATTTCAGTGGCAGGTAGTCTATTACCAAACTGCAGGATATGTGATAAGGGGTTAATGACTCAGAAAAGGGACTAATGTCCCACTAAAGCAATCCCATGGTTGTCACTGACCAGAGTCTCCATAGTAAGATCATTTATTGTTTATCAAGTGGAAGAAAAGTATGACAAAAGCCTAATTATCTAGAAAAAAAAGTGTCTTAAAAATATTTGTTCATTGATTGCATGAAATGCAATTGAGATCAGTTACCGGTGAAAACCCAAAAGCCTTGATAGAAATGAACAGAGCATCCTGAGTGTGTGATGACATTATAAAGTTACTATGAACATTCTTGTATCAATCTTTATGGATATATATTTATCTTAATATTGGATAAATACATAGAAAATTAATGTGACATAGGTAGGTATTCATTTAACTTTATAAGATACTACACAGCTATTTTCCAATGTTTGTAACATTTCACTCTTTCACTAGCAATGTCAGTTCTAGTTGTTCCACATTCTCACCAACACTTGATATTGTCATTGTTTTAATTTTAGCCATTCTAGTAAGTTTGTAGTGGTATTGTGCCACTCATCACCTGACAACTGACACACGTTTTCATGCCTTTGGTTTCAGTTTTAACTTTCCTGATGACTAACAATGTTAAGCACTTTTCATGTCTTATTGGCCATTTGTGTATTTTCCTTTATAAAGTATCTTTTCAATCTTTTGCAAATTTTTAAAAATAGGTTCTTTTTATAATGAGTGATTTGTAGGACTTCTTTATTCTAGACACAAGTTCTTTGTCTGATATATGTTTTGCAAACATTTTCTCCTGGTCTGTGACTTGCTTATTAATTTTCTTAGTGATACCTCTTGATGAGCTGAAGTTTTTAATTTTAATGAAGTTCAGTTTTGTTTTTTTTTTTTTTGAGATGGAGTCTTGCTCTGTTGCCCAGGCTGGAGTGCAGTGGTGTGATCTCGGCTCACTGCAAGCTTCGCCTCCCGGGTTCACGTCATTCTCCTGCCTCAGCCTCCCAAGTAGCTGGGACTACAGGCGCCCACCACCGCGTCCGGCTAATTTTTTGTATTTTTAATAGAGACAGGGTTTCACTGTGTTAGCCAGGATGGTCTCGATCTCCTGACCTTGTGATCTGCCCACCTCGGCCTCCCAAAGTGCTGGGATTACAGGTGTGAGCCACCCTGCCCAGCCATGAAATAGAGGCTTAATTTTTTTCAATAGATATCTAGTTGTTCCAGCACCACTTATTCAAAAGAAAGGCTTTCTTTCTTCTGTTGAATAATTTCAGTGCCTGTGTTAAAACATCAATGTGAGTCTATTTCTGGAATTCCTATTGCTTTTCCTTTGACCGATTTGTGTATCATTATGCAATACTATTGACTATTGTAGCTTTACAGTATGTCTTTAAATTAAATAGTGTCAGTCCTTTAATCTTACTCTCCTTTTCAAGACTAGGTTTTCCAGGCCGGGTGCGGTGGCTCACGCCTGTAATCCCAGCACTTTGGGAGACCGAGGCGGGTGGATCACAAGGTCAGGAGATCGAGACCATCCTAGCTACTTGGGAGACTGAGGCAGGAGAATGGGGTGAACTCGGGAGGCAGAGCTTGCAGTGAGCTGAGATCCCGCCACTGCACTCCAGCCTGGGCAACAGAGCGAGACTCTCTCTCTCAAAAAAAAAAAAAAAAAAAAAAAGACTAGGTTTTCCAGATATTTTTTATTTTCATATGTATTTTGAAATCAGATTGCCAGTTTCTAAAAACAAAACAAACTTTTAAAAAGCCTTCTGGGATTTTGATTGGGGCTGTCTTAAGTCTATAGGTTAATTTTGGGAAAAAAATAACATTTTAACAATACTGAGTTTTCTGATTCATAGATATGGTATATCTCCCTGTTAGTTCAAGTGTCCTTTAATTTTTTGTCAGCAATGATTTGTAGTTCTCAGTGAGAAGTTCTTGCACATATTTTATTAAATTTATCCCTAAGAATTTTATGTTTTATGAATTTTAATGTTATTTATATATGGTAGTTTTTACATTTCTTTTTAAATATTTTTCTTCATTTATTAGTTATAAGTAATACTGAGGTTTTAAATTTTCTTTTCTTTTTTTTTAAAGGTAAGATTATTTATTAACATTATTTTCCAAAATTACATGATCAGATTAGCATTCACTTCCTACTGATCTCCTGAAGTCATCTCACTAAAAATTATGCTTTCAAAACAAATTAATGAGCTTAATTCATTTTCTATGAGTGTATGTTTTGACTTACTTCATTGTTTTTTTTTTTGACATGGAATTGTTTTATTTTTATTTTTATTTTATTTTATTTTATTATTATTATACTTTAAGTTTTAGGGTACATGTGCAAAATGTGCAGGTTAGTTACATATGTATACATGTGCCATGTTGGTGTGCTGCACCCATTAACTCGTCATTTAGCATTAGGTATATCTCCTAAAGCTCCCAACCCCACAACAGTCCCCAGAGTGTGATGTTCCCCTTCCTGTGTCCATGTGTTCTCATTGTTCAATTCCCATCTATGAGTGAGAACATGCGGTGTTTGGTTTTTTGTTCTTGCGATAGTTTACTGAGAATGATGATTTCCAATTTCATCCATGTCCCTACAAAGGACATGAACTCATCCTTTTTTATGGCTGCATAGTATTCCATGGTGTATATGTGCCATATTTGCTTAATCCAGTCTATCATTGTTGGACTTTTGGGTTGGTTCCAAGTCTTTGCTATTGTGAATAGTGTCACAATAAACATACATGTGCATGTGTCTTTACAGCAGCATGATTTATAGTCTTTTGGGTATATATCCAGTAATGGGATGGCTGGGTCAAATGGTATTTCCAGTTCTAGATCCCTGAGGAATCGCCACACTGACTTCCACAATGGTTGAACTAGTTTACAGTCCCACCAATAGTGTAAAAGTCTTCCTATTTCTCCACATCCTCTCCAGCACCTGTTGTTTCCTGACTTTTTAATGATTGCCATTCTAACTGGTGTGACATGGTATCTCATTGTGGTTTTGATTTGCATTTCTCTGATGGCCAGTGATGGTGAGCATTTTTTCATGTGTTTTTTGGCTGCATAAATGTCTTCTTTTGAGAAGTGTCTGTTCATGTCCTTCGCCCACTTTTTGATGGGGTTGTTTTTTTCTTGTAAATTTGTTTGAGTTCATTGTAGATTCTGGATATTAGCCCTTTGTCAGATGAGTAGGTTGCAAAAATTTTCTCCCATTTTGTAGGTTGCCTGTTCACTCTGATGGTAGTTTCTTTTGCTGTGCAGAAGCTCTTTAGTTTAATTAGATCCCATTTGTCAATTTTGGCTTTTGTTGCCATTGCTTTTGGTGTTTTAGACATGAAGTCCTTGCCCATGCCTATGTCCTGAATGGTAATGCCTAGGTTTTCTTCTAGGGTTTTTATGGTTTTAGGCCTAACGTTTAAGTCTTTAATCCATCTTGAATTAATTTTTGTATAAGGTGTAAGGAAGGGATCCAGTTTCAGCTTTCTACATATGGCTAGCCAGTTTTCCCAGCACCATTTATTAAATAGGGAATCCTTTCCCCATTGCTTGTTTTTCTCAGGTTTGTCAAAGATCAGATAGTTGTAGATATGTGGCGTTATTTCTGAGGGCTCTGTTCTGTTCCATTGATCTATATCTCTGTTTTGGTACCAGTACCATGCCCAAAATCTCCTTAAGCTGATAAGCAACTTCAGCAAAGTCTCAGGATACAAAATCAATGTACAAAAATCACAAGCATTCTTATACACCAACAACAGACAAACAGAGAGCCAAATTATGAGTGAACATCCATTCACAATTGCTTTAAGGAGAATAAAATACCTAGGAATCCAACTTACAAGGGACGTGAAGGACCTCTTCAAGGAGAACTACAAACCACTGCTCAATGAAATAAAAGAGGATACAAAGAAATGGAAGAACATTCCATGCTCATGTGTAGGAAGAATCAATATCATGAAAATGGCCATACTGCCCAAGGTAATTTATAGATTCAATGCCATCCCCATCAAGCTACCAATGACTTCCTTCACAGAATTGGAAAAAACTACTTTAAAGTTCATATGGAACCAAAAAAGAGCCTGCATCGCCAAGTAAATCCTAAGCCAAAAGAACAAAGCTGGAGGCATCACACTACCTGACTTCAAACTATACTACAAGCCTACAGTAATTAAATTTTATTTTCTAATTGTGCTTTGCTAAAATAATCTAGGAAATCAACTGATTTGTATTTGACCTATTGGTAACCTGTAACCTTACTAAATCCACTTAATGTTTCTAATAGCTTTGTAGATTCTTTGGGATTTTCTACATAAACAATTATATGTAAACAGAGAGAGTTTTAGTTTTCTCTTTCCAATCTTAATGTGTTGTATTTTTTTCCTTGTTATATTGGCTAAGACCTCAAGAAAAATGTTGAACAGGACTAGTAAGAGTGAATATTATGCTTGTTCCCAATCTCCTTGGGAGAAAGCAGTGTCAATCTTTTACCACCAAGTATAATTTTAGCTATAGATTTTGTACAAATAACTTTTATGAGTCTACTCCTAGTTTGTTAAGGTTCTAAAAATCATGATTAAGTTTTGAATTTCTTCAAATGCTATTTCTGCGTCTATTGAGATGATTATTATTTTCCCTTTTTATTATGTTTATGTAGTTAAAATCAATAATTAGTTGATTTTTAAATGTTGAAACAACTTTGCCTTCCTGTACAAAACTTCACTTGGTTATGATATATTTCCTTTTTTATACATTGCTAGATTTAAATTCCTTATATTTAGTAAGGGTTCTTTTGTGCCTATGTTCATAAGCGCTAATGGTATGTGAAAAAAAAATTTTGTACTGTTCTTACCAATGTTAAGATTATCTTAGTCTCATAAAATGAATTGGAAAGTGTTCTCTTTTTCTCCTCCTCTGTTACCTGGGAGGAAACAAAGTATAGAATTAGTCTTACTTCTTCCTTAATTGCTTGTGGGATTCCTCAGAGATTGGCCTGAAAATGTCTTTGAGGGAAAGCTATTAATTACAAATTCAAACAAATATGGGGCTATTTAGATTTTTTAACTTTTTGTATCTGTTTTGCCAATTTGTGTTTTTCCCCCCAAAGAGGTTTTTACATTTCATCTGAATTGCCCAGTTTTTTGGCATAAAGTTTTTAATAGTATTACCTTATTATATACTTAATGTCTTCAGTTTCCTTACTCTTACCCCACACTCTTCCTAATACTAATATTTGTTTTTTTCTTTTATTCTTGATCAGTCTAGTTATGAGTTTTTCAATTTTATTAATCTTTTCAAAGAATCAGCATTGGCTTTGCTGATTATACTAGTGTTTGCTTATATTCTATTTCACTGATTTCACTTATATGTTTATTATTTTATTTATTTTTTATGTATTAGCATTTAATTCAGTCTCTGTTTCCTAGCTAAAGTTGAAGCTTAGAACTTCTCTTCCTCTAATAGAGAGCTGTAAGTTTTTCCTTAAGCACTATTTTAGCAGTATCATACAAATTTTGACCTGTTGTGTTTTCATTATCATATAGTTCAAAATATTTCATAATTATCCTTATTTTTTTTGGATATATACATATTTAGAAATGCATTGCTCGATTTCCAAATATTTTGAAATTTTCCCAATAGCTTTGTGTTAAATGATTTTTAATTTTATTTTGTTGTGGTCTGGAAGCATACTCTGCATGACTCTAATACAGTTACATTTAGAGAGACTTTTTCTGTTGTCCAGTGTATGATCTATCTTAATGAATACTATATGTGCACTTTGAAAGAATGTGTATTGTCGAAGAACTGGGTATATAGTATCCCATAAATGTCAATTAGATTAAATTGTTTTTTATATTCTTCCTGATCTTTCAGTTTACTTACTCTATTGATTACTGATAGACGAATGTTTAAAATATCAATAATAATTGTGAATTTGTCAATATTTTCTGTCTTTTTTTTTCCTCATGTAGTTTAAAACTGTATTATTTGGTGCATATGAAAGAGGATTGTTATGACTTCTTGATGACTTGGCTCTTTAATATCATGAAACGTACACTTTTATCCCTTTATCTATTTATCATAGCTTTTTAAATAATGTTATTTACCAATACCAGGATCTGTGCCATCACTGAGATTCTTACTTTTGTCTGTTATTTTTCGTAATTACATGTTATATTTCCTTGTGTCTTCTCATATATAGTAGTGTTTTATTATCTGCAGGGAGTTTGTGGATGCTGTTATCAAGCGTCTGGGTTTTCTTATCTTCCCATGAAGATCGTTGAGCTTTGCACTAATGATCAGTTAAATTAGTGGAGGATCAGCTTGTTCCCACTGAGGCTTGCTATAAGGCTATAAGGCTTTATTTGGTTGTGTCTAGCATACCCTTTAGCGTAATCTCCCTTCTCAAACATATTCTCTCTGGCCGGCAACTGAATGTTGAGGGTATTTAGAAAGTTCTCTCCATTGTGGATGGTTGGAATTCTAATTTTTCCCCATACCATATCATCTCCAGAATCAGTATTCCACTCACAGTCACCCAGTAGCTGTTTCGCTCTAGTCCTTGTAAAATCTTGCCCTGTATATACTAGAAAATGGTATTTGGCCAAAACTGGATAGGGGGCCCCATGAAGATTTCTGGTATTCCTTCTCTGAACATCTTCCCACCCTCTAGTACTTTCCTCACAAATTCCAGCTATTTCATAAACCCTGAACACCACTTTCTAATATTATATAAGAATTTACTTTGTGTATTTCTCAAATTATCATTATAATTATCATCATTACTTTCTCTCTTCTTTAAATCTGTTTATCAATCTTCCAGTTCTCGAATTTTTTTCAAGGTTTAGATTTATTTGTTTCTGTCCATACTTATTCAGGGACACTAACCTTCTAGGGATTTATGTCATTAGGAGCCTTTTGCTACTTTTTGCAAACAATCTAACTTGCTTTGAAATTATCCTGGTCTATACAGTTTCTACCACTTCCAAAGGCAACAGATTTGTGGATTTTCCCCCTCTCTTTTCTGTATTTTTTCCTTGCTATGAAAGAAGAATTTACCTGTAAAAGATGCTGTTAATATCGGCTGCATGCTCCCAGCTACTTTCAATGTTTTGATTGAGCGCTATACACTTTTTGAATGACTGCTTTAACTTAAAATAATACACAAATAAAATACACATTATTTTTTGCTGGCAGATTTTTCCACAGATGAACCAATAAACTGGAAGTGAAAAATCAGTATCAAAAGATCCAGAACACTTGCAAAATATTGAGATGATATGGTATTTTTAGACTGACATCTTATGTTATAAATGCACAGACAATGTCCCTTGCTTTGGAAAATTACTGGTTTCTATAATCTCTTACATCATGAGAATAGGATCTGCCTATTCATGGGCATTTTCATTTACATCAACTCTTTCATTAGCATTTATTTAGCTCATATTCTGTGTCTGGCACTGGATTGGGACACAATAACTTCTTTTAAATGAGATAATTAACCAAGGGGAAAAAAAAGAAGAAAAGAAAAGAGTCCTAGTAGGTTGTAGAAGGTGATTTCTCTTGAGTAGATGACTAATTATTTTAGTTAGTTAATGTGAGTTTGAGTGGAACAAAAAGGACATAATAGGAGAGGGAATAAATCTCTTGTAGCTACTGAAGTGAAGCCATAGAAAATGGGAAAAAGGACATACCCAAATTAGTACCCAGTGATTTGATCTTGAGTGCACTTTGTCCAGGTTATTTTGATCTTCATTTGCTCTTTGCAACAGTAAATTTGAACATTATGTCAAAAGCAAACATATATGTATATAGAAAATTTAATTACTCTTTCAGTGAATCTAAAAAGAGGTAATCTCAAATATACCATGATTTTATGTGTCACTATGAAAAAATGTGGTCAGTTAAATTATACCACTACATCAGTTCTAAAATGGATCCCAATTTTATATATATGATCCTTTTTTATGAAAGTATATCTTAAAGTTGGTGAAGGGTATTAAATAGTATTATAATAGATTTATCCTGGACAGCTATGGAAGTCTTCAATTATATAAGAGGACTCAGAGTGAATATTAAAGGTAAAAAATAAACAACACAAATTTACATTGACAATACAAACTACCTACAGCAAAACCACAAAATTTGAATGGGGAAACTTGGTTTTGGTAGATTTGTGGCTTCCAAAGAATGTTCAAAAAGGCAAAAGCTATAAAATGTAAAAGTGGATATAAAAAACAAATTGATTAATCAAATAGAAACTTTAATGTGAAATGTTTATAGAAAGTAGTTGATACCTGATGAATACTTTTGAGTAAAAAGGAGGCAGACAGAAGATATTATGTCTGTGCAAAATATATCTAAAACAAGTTACATTATTTACAGAATTATATAGTGTCCAATATTTTATTATCAATACACTCTCAATCTTCTCAGTGATAATCAAAACCATAGATGCTGTTAACTTGAAAAAGTTAAAATCAATTTACAAACATTCTGATAGTTATATCAAAGGGTATTGCATTTCTTGCTTTAACAGTTCTTTCATCTCTAGTATAACTGCATTTTATGGAATCTTCACATTTGCAAATATTCACTTGCACAGTACATGTGAATTCAAGTCATTCTCACCCTATAGGTCCTCAACAGAGAACATCTAGGTTCTCTGTATCCCTGATGCAGGTGGGACCTGCTAAGTGTCAAGATACCAGTTTAGCTTGAATCCAGTTTTTGAAAAGATGTTTCCTATCTCTCCTACCCCTTTCCCATTCCACTACAGAGAATACAAAATAATCTAATTTCCTACAAAATTTAAATCACATGCATACAAATTACTGACAATTTCAAAGTCAGGGTAAAAAGTAAACTTATGTAAGCTGTTTAGTGGGAGAAATATGACATGAGTGGGAAGGCGATGGTGAAAATGTGTAAGTATATGCATAACTTAAATTTAAGCTCTTTAAGAAGAGAAATCATACTTTGCATATTTTAAATTGCTGGGCCATGAAACTGGAAAGACTCTAGAGAATATAATGTACAACTACTTCTTAAATGCATATATTGAAAATCGAATCCAATTCTCTGTCTTCAGTTCAGCACTTCCCTCACAAAGCTAAGCACTAACTAGATCTTCGCTTAAAAAGATATTTGTCATTATATCACGTAGATGATCACCCCATCTGAGTGTTTAAATGGCTCATACCCCATAATGCCTAAAGAGAAATAAAACCATGTCAATACATTGAAAAAAGTATACCTAATCATTATAAAGTTTCTGTATCAACTTCCTCATAAAAATAAAACTAAAAAAAATTAAAGAACTTGTTTAAAGTTCTTTTCAAGAATAGCACACCTGTTTTTCTCTATTTTTAAAAAAAAATTTGTAATTTTTGTGGGTACATAGTAGGTGTATATATATTTAGGAGGTACATGAAATATTTTGATACAGGCATTCAATGCATAATAATCACATCAGAGTAAATGGGGTATCCATCACCTCAAGCATTTATTCCTTCTTTGTGTTACAAACAATCTAATTATACTGTTTTAGTTTTTTTAAAATGTACGATAAATTATCGTTGACTGTAGTCTCTCTATTGTGCTGTCATATACTATATCTTTTTTATTCTAAGCATATTTGTGCACCCATTAACCATTCCCACTTCTCTCCTCGCACCCCCACTTCTCTTCCCAGGCTCTGGTAACCGTCATTCTTACTTGCCATCTTCATGAGTTCTATTGTTTTAATTTTTAGCTCTCACAAAGTCAAGATGAAAAGTAACTTTAAGTAATCTTAAGTGAGAACATGCGAAGTTTGTCTTTCTGTGCCTGACTTAATTCACTTAACATAATGACCTCCAGTTTCACCCATGTTGGCGCAAATGACAGGATTTCATTTTTTTATGGCTGAAGAGTATTCCATTATGTATATGTACCACCTTTTCTTTATTCCTTAAAACTTAGGTTGTTTTGCATACTTTTTTCTAAGAGAAAATAAATTTATTGTTACACTGACCTGCAGAAACTATTGACAGAAATAAGTAAAATGTATATAGAAAAATTCCTATCAGAAAAAAAAAGGGCACAGAAAAGTAGGCAAAGGTCTTCTTTACAAATAAGATTATCAAAATAATAAATACTTTTATGGAATATTAACTTTGATGAGTGTAGAGAAGTAAAAATGGAACATATTTTGTTCAGTTCATTTACCATTTCACATATGGGCCCTAACCCTTTTGTTTATATGTGCTATGAATATTTTTAATTTCTATGCTTGATTACTTTTTGTACTTTTTGTGTCTCTTTTTTTCTTTTACCCATAGGTCATTATTTCTCCAACTGTAAAAACATTTTGGCCAGGTGTGGTGGCTCACACCTGTAATCCCAGCACTTTGGGAGGCCAAGGCGGGCTGATCATGAGGTCAAGAGTTCGAGACCAGTCTGGCCAACATAGTGAAACCCCATCTCTACTAAAAATACAAAAAATTAACTGGATTTTGGGGGGTGTGCCTGTAATCCTAGCTACTCAGGAGGCTGAGGCAGGAGAATCACGTAAACCCAGGAGGTGGAGGTTGCAGTGAGCCGACACTCCAGCCTGGGCAGCAGTGTGAGACTCCATCTCAAAAAAACAAAACAAACAAACAAAAAACATTTTATGTTTATTTTGTTCGTATCACTCTTCTACCACCAAAGACGCTGACCTTGTCTGTTTACTGTGTATTCCAAGTAGGAGGACAATTACACCCATATTCTAAGAGCTCTGTAGATTTAGAAAAAGTGATGTTTCCCAGCAACCCTTGAGAAATAGCAGCTGAGAGGTCCTGAAAATAAATTGAGTGAAATTAAAGCACCTGTAGGTCATTTGGCACAGGTAGGCAACTGTCACTTTAGCTTTTCCTTTCTTAGTTAATGGACTTGGTTACATAATGCATTATAATCCCAAGTGGTACTGTTTGGTCTTCTGAAATTTAAACTTCCAAGATTTAAGACAGTGATGAAAGGCAAATGGCACCTTGGCTGACTTCTCAACTTTTTAGTGTGGAGTATGGTGTCTTGTGATGAGAACACGCAAACAAGGAACTTTAATCAAGACTGGCTTTAACTGCAGTGCAGTGTGACGATGTGCAATAGAGGCATGAGAGCCCCAACCTCACACTCAGTGACACTCTTGTTTCTTTGGTGTATGTGGGGTTAGGATGTTCTGGGAAGAGCAAAGTATTGTTTATTTTACTTTCATAACTTATACAAGTCAGCTTTCTCGTCTTGGCCTCCAGTTTTATGAGCAGCATAAAAAAATTCAACAATTGCTAACAAATAAAATGAAGCAAAGAATCAGTTTTCTGAGTCAGGAAATTCTTAATTGTTATGACCATTACTACAAAATCTGAAACAATAAAGAGTCTCTTGTAGAGGCTGAGTATCCTTTTACATGGCCCATTGTTATAGACCAGGAGTGGAGATGAATTTTATAGGGTAGTCTCATGCACTCCTAAAGGCTTACTTCCAAAAGCAAACATTCATTTTGGGCTATACACAGCCTAGCCCATTTCCCAGACTCCTGAGCAGAATTGTGCCCCGCTGGTCTAAAGGAAACAAATAAATATTCATTTTATCAATACAGAAGCAGAGCATGGCCAGGAACATGTATTATTCTATAAAAGTCCATGTAAAGACAAATTCAGCAAAATCTTCTGAAAACATTTAGATGAGAAGCTGAAACTTTTTACGCCAAATTCATGGCATCATTTAGTCTTGGAGAACATTTACATGTGTGTCATTCCCATCTCCCAGTAACACAGCAGATATTTCTATCAGTTATTTTCTTTTTTTTTTTTTTGAGATGGAGTTTTGCTCTTGTCATCCAGACTGGTGTGCAATGGCCTGATCTTGGCTCACTGCAACCTCCGCCTCCCAGATTCAAGCAATTCTCCTGCCTCAGCCTCCTGAGTAGCTGGGATTACAGGCGCTGCCACCACACCTGGCTAATTTTTTGCATTTTTAGTAGACATGGGGTTTCACCATGTTGACCAGGCTGGTCTCGAACTCCTGACTCAGGTGATCTACCTGCCACTGCCTCCCAAAGTGCTGGGATTACAAGCGTGAGCCACTGTGCCCAGCCAGATATTTCTATCAGTTATTTTCTACAGAGCTCTTCATGCAGTCAACTCTGATAAACCAGAACGTTATGCAAATTAAATTCTACTGACCATCTCTGGTCAAGTCCAATGTATTTGATGTTAAAATTGTATGTCCTTGGGACCAAATTAACATACATTTACTGAATATTTAATTACCAAAGTATTTTGTAGGGCTACATGGGATCACAATGAGGCATACGATGTGGTGTGTACCCTGGAGGAACTTTTAATCGAGGACGGGAAAGACATATGCTGTCATCTTAAGTGTTAAGTAACAGTTGGGCAAGATGGCCAAGAGGGCCAGATAGGGATTCTGGATGAGAGGAAAGGGCTAGAAGATGTAAAAAGTTTAAGGAGACAAAGATCAACAGTCAGAGAGTTTGACTAAGGAGGGGAGGAGTAGAGAAGTAAGACGTGATCCAGAGTGGAAGAGATAGGAGAATTGCTAGGAGGGGCTCCAGGCGTAGTGGCCACTGATCGTGAGGAGCGGATGTTTACTCTCTGCTCCATTCTATGTTGCCTACTGGCTCTAGGTGACTCCTTGCCACAGTCAGAAAGCTGGGTTCTGATGTTGGAGCCATAGATGCTTCAGTGATTCTATAAGGCTTAATAATATCAGGAATATGTTTGGATTGTTTGCAGCTATATGTGTTTTTATGGAGAACAAACAGTAAGATCAAACCCATTCTTGTACATTCAGTTTTGTAAGATTGAAGAACACAAAAGCGTTTTTCTAAGACTGAATTAGGTACTAGATATAAAAATGTACCTTTGTAAAATGTACCACATGCAAAAACCACAAATACTTTTGCACCAACCTAATAATTATTTATTGCATAGCTTTTGTATGAGTGGTTTTTTTGAACTAGTGCAAACTAAGCATTCTTACTATGCATTTATGAGAGGAAACTAATGGTTCTTTCTATAATTTATAGAAAATGACTTTTGCCATGGGACTTTTCATGAAGCTATCGTCTAATATGTTACTCTAGTAAATTCACTATGTATCATAAAAGATCCATTTATTAATGCAGCATAGACTGCCTTGTTTCTGTTATAGGGATTTAATTTACTGAAAGTAACCATGTTAATTTATAATAATTCCAAATAACTAAAATTATCTAATATTATATCAAAAGGATATTAATTATATGAATGTTCCAAAATCAATTGCCATATTATTTGAACATAACTTGTCATAATCCCTATTTTCTGATATCTTCAACTAATCTCACATTTTTCCAGAAAGGCACAATGTCAAATTGTATGCAACTGGATATAATCTTCAGAAGTGCTTACTCGGATCATTCTCTGCTTGAAAGGAAATTTCTCCCAATATAACCAAAGTTGCCTGTTTATTTAGTTTTAAAATACTTAAAACATAAAGCACCAGATGACCTGAAAAAACATTTGGACAGATTTCCTACAGGGAGCTCAGAGCTTAAATACAGTTACCAGGGTTGCAGATGGTCAGTCTATATGAAAAAGTCTATCAAATTACTGATTTCTTCCTCAGACAGATGGCAAAGGGGCCTGGCAGAAGCTCAATTTTCAGGTTGTGGATGCGTGCGTGTGTGTGTCTGTGGGTGTGTGTGTGTATAATTGTTGAAGAACAAAGGTCTTTATGTTACCTAGACCCTATTTGTCAGTATAACACTGAAGATTAATCCTTGAGCTTTGAAGATATGCAGGAAAAGAATACTTCACCTAACAACAAAAAATTGTAAGGCTGCTGTTTTACCTAAACTCTGGTCTAATTTTCCTATTAAAAATCAAAATAAACAACAGTGAGCACCTGAAATAGTTGCAGGTTGATTTGATTGGTAAGAAAATTTGGAATTTAATATTAATTTTTACTCTTTGAAAACTGGAGACTTGGTTTTTTCATTAGTGATGGAGAGTTTAGAATTCTAAAATAATGTTAATTTATGACTTTCCACTTATAAGAATCAAAATGTTTTTTTTATAACTGCTTATTCCTTGCCTTTAAAAAAATACAATTCTTTATTCAACTTAAGCTCACCTGTTCTGAAAAATAAATTAAAGACTTTTAAGGAATTGTTTATAGCAGAGCAGCACTAGAATTAATAGTGTTCCTTTGCTGTATCTGTGCAGGATACAATAGTTTCATTAGCTCTTTGAGCTAGTAACCTTCTTGAAAATCTCCATGTCAAAACAACTGTTTTTCTCCTAAAATTATTCTATCATCTGACAAATCTCAATCGTTTATTATTAGAAGTTAAAGATTAATGATTTTTTCCTCCTGTTTCTTATTATCTAGGACATGGCAAGTCAGCAAGCAAATTTCCAGTCTAATTTCTGGTGGAATCTGTCACAGGGAACAAGAAATTTTGAGAAGAAAATGAGTTGGACGTTGCTTGGGGTTAGATGTGAGTAAACCATCTATCTCCTCGGAAAATGGAAGACAGCCACTCATTTGACAGTGAAGGCTCGGTCAACTGACAGGGCAGACAATTGACAGAGCCGGAAAAGTGCATCTGGTGCATTATTAAGTATCAGGATGATGAACAGAGTTCATAATTAAGCTTGTACTTAACAGCTCATTGCCTTGAGTAATAATAACGATGACTTTAAAAAAGCATCCTCCTTTCTTTTCTCTCATTGTTCTCACAAATAAATGTAACAATGTCAGAGTTGTCATCACCAGGAAAATTTGTCAGCCCTCTTCTTAATTAAAACCTTCTCTCTAGCCTTCACATTAGAATTTGTATCTTTATCATTTTAAAAAATTTTTTAAATCGCTCTTTGGAAAAAAACACCATATAAATCCCCAAATAACACATGTCAGCCCAATTACAGGTTGTCAGGCAACTACTTAATTTATATATGTCTATATACAAGGAAAAAGAAAATTCCTAGAGGCACCTCATATGAATACTGTATTTTGATGGATAGAAACACTAAAATAAGTTATGCAACAGAAATGACATAATATGGTGTCCTGTAAAATCTGTATTACATTATCAGAATATCTTTGCATAAAGATTGAGTTCTTTCTATTGGAGATAGAAGGGAAGGAAGGGTATTAGCAAATAATTAGAAATAATGTTTTCACAAAACTAATATGTCCTAGTTTTATAAAATAAAGGTAAGATTTGAGTTAAGGTTAAATAAAGAGAAATTAGAATTCATAGTCAAGTGAAATAAAATGTGTAAGTTTTATTAACCAAGAAACCAACACACAAAAAAATAGTAGCTGAGAGAGAGTGATTTTTTTTAATTGTGATAAGAATACTTAACATGAGATCTACCCTCTTAACAAATTTTTCGGTGTGCAATACATTATTGTTAACTATAGACCCAATATTGTACAGCAGATCTCTAGACCTTAATCATCTTGCAGAACCGAACAATTATACCCATTGAGTAGCAACTCCCCATTTCCTCCCACCCATTGCCCCTGGCAACCATCATTCTACTCTCTGCTTCCATGTTTGATTATTTTAGATACTTCATATAAGTGATATTATGCAGTATTTGTCCTTCTGTGACTTGCTTATTCACTTAGCATAATTTCCTCAAGGTTCATCCATGTTGTCATATGTACCAGAAATTTCTTCCTTTTTAGGGCTGAATATTCCATTTTATGTATATGCCACATTTACTTTATCCATGCATCTGTTAATGTATATTTAGGTTGTTTCTACATCTCGGCTACTGTGAATAGTGGTGCAATGAATGTGGAAATGAAATATCTCTTTAAGATCCCAATTTGAATTATTGATAGAGGGTGATTTTAGTATGGCAATTAGCCCCAGATCAAATGGACTATTTAAAAATTGTGGGTTCTGTGTATTCAGCTGCCTATAAATTTTTCATGGGTTTTCTGGGAAGAGTTTTTGATTGTTATATGGCATAGGAGACAAGGCATTGGACAACATACAGATCAAGATTTTGGACCTCAAATTTCAGATCAGGATTGCAGAACTCAAATTTCTGACAAATCCAGGAAGTAAGGAAATCCACAGTTGCTAATGTTGTTATTTTTGCTATTATAATCATCGTTGTTGTTGTTATGTAGTTGAAACCCAAGTATACCTGCTCCTTCTGTGGTCAAGTAATTTATGTGCTCTGGAACAATGGCAATTGAGTGAACTGTGTGGTGCAGAAGACTGAGTAGTATCTCCTTCCCTGATTATCTCCAGTTCCATTCTAAATCACAACCCCATACAGGCTAAAAGAAAAGACTGGAAAAAGTTCTGGTTTTCATACTGGCTCCTATCCTTATGAGCCATCTGACTTTTGGCAGGTCAGTTACACATTTTGGGCTTCAATTACTTTATATGTAAAAAAAAAGGGGTCATGATAATACCTACCTCATAGGTAAATAGAGATAAATAAATGAGACAATGTAGGTAAGGAGCTTAGTGTAGCCTGGCTTCTGGTAAAAATTTAATAAATGATACATATTCTACTTGGACTACATGAAAAGAATTTCCTATTAACAAGAAAAGAATATTATCTTTTACAAATCATTCACCCTACTGATTAACAAGGTATATGACAAAGATAAAATATAATAATGAATCCTCATGGGAAAATGATAGGAAAAAACCTCTTTTGTTGGTACTTGGATTTTGTGTCAGAAAAGAACAGCATTGTCAGCAGCCCAATCAAATACAAAGATATGGGAACCCTTGTCCTAGCTTTGGCGACACAATGAACGCTTACTGTGTGAGCCAGCATGAGAGAACTGACTTAAAGCATCTTTGTCATTGGGATTGGACTCTTGGCTATTTGGATTTTTTTTTAACAAATATGATAGCTTGAAATATTGCTCAGGGATGTCCTGGGTACACCCCATAATAGAGAGTATTTGGTAGCTGTCTCTGTTAGGGAAACACATCCCATGGTGAGTTATTCTATTCCAGCTATTGCCCCAGTCCAACCTAGTTAATTGCTGGCCACTGACCCTTCAAGGGTGGCATAGTCTGCCTGCTCTATTCTCTCTTTCATCGCTGCTATCCTTTTATTCTGCCTATTCTTTCTGCTCCTTGCCTACAAGACCAGTCTAGCTCTGCTGGCCTGAGCATTTGGTCCACCCTGCCAAAGCTTTTGCCCAAATTTGTAAAAATTCTGAAATAAAGTCAAAGTACCACAAAAGATAGTTCATTTTCTACTCACTTGTCCTCATGATGATCCGATATTACATTTCATCTCTTATACATTCTTGGCAAGCTTGCCTCTCTGCCCCTGTGTCCTACTTGCTGGCACAAAGTCAACCTTAGTTAAATCTACCACTTCACATATCCCACACCTACGGCAAACTAGCTCAATGAGACTGGAGAAAAATGCACAGTTGCAACTTCATTCTCAATGCAATTTACATTTACAATTATGTTTTCACCACCAAATATACCAACCTACCTGCATCTAAACATGCATATTGGCTATTCCCCCTGGTCTTCACTGAGTTCAAACTTTTCATTTGTGCAGCTCACCACCTCACATCTTACCGTTTCAAGCAATTTGCTCCTACAATTATTCACTCTTCTGCATCATCAAATTTTCCCATCTATTCCATCATTCTGATCAGCAAATGTTTGCTGTACTATTGCCCACATTTAAATAGAAGCCTTCCTTTACCTATAACATCTTCTGGCTGCCATTGGAATTGTCTGCCTTCCTTACAGTGATATTTCCTTTTATATGTAATGATGTTCCTTATAAAAATGTGCTCATTATTCCTACTTTTTCAACTCTATTATTTTTGATCCAGCTGCAGTAAGATTTGACCGTCCTCTCCACTAAATCTAATCTTATCAAATATCTCTATATTGCCAAACCCAGTGGTCAATTCTCAGTCTGCATCTAATTTGATTTTTCAGGAGCTCTTGACAACATTTGACCACACTACCTTCTTCAATCACTTTATTCACCTGCAATCCAGGAAAGCAAGCTTTTCCTGGTTTTCCTCCTTTTCCCATGGATATCCAGTTTCAATTTCTTTTGGTGTATCTTCTTTATTTTGGTTATTTCCAATTTTAGGGGATGCTCCAAGATGCTGTCTTCAGCCACTCTCTCTCCAGGTGATTTTAATTTTTTTTTTTTTTTGTCTCCCAAATGTATGTTTTCAGTTTTGGCCTCTGAGCTTCAAACTCAAGTTTTTCAACATCTCCATTTGGAAATCTAATTATTTCAAAATTAATAAGCCCCAAATAAAGCTTTTTTTGTCTCCTCTCCATACAAATATTTGTCCCAAGTCTTTACAGACTCATAAATGGCATCTCCACTGTTTCAGTTGCTCAGGTAAGACAACTTGAAGTCATCCTTGAACTTCTCTCTTTTCCTCACACTTTGAATTGAATTAATTAGCCAATCCTGGTGGCTCTATATTGAAAATATAAAATAAACAAATAAATAAATAATTTTTAAAAAGAAAATAGATCTTGGATCTGACCTCACCATCTACTACTGTGGTTCAATTCATAATCATTCCTTATCTGGACTTCCAACTTGTCTCCCTGAACTCTTGGCTTTCTGCAATCTCTTCTCCACAGAGCAGCCAGGATGATTTTATTAAAGATTAAATTGCATCATGTCACTCCTCTGCTTAAATCATGCTAATAAAATTATAATACAGTTCTAATTTCTTACTATGGTAAACAGGGCTCCTCATGATCTGTTTTTTGGTTTTTTTTTTTTGAGATGGAGTTTTGCTCTTGTTTCCCAGGCTAGAGTGCAGTGGCACGATCTCAGCTCACTGCGATCTCCGCCTCCTGGATTCAAGTGATTCTTCTGCCTCGGCCTCCTGAGTAGCTGGGATTACAGGTACGCACCACCACACCCGGCTAATTTTGTATTTTTAGTAGAGATGGGGTTTCTCCATGTTGGTCAGGCTGGTCTCGGGCTCTCGACCTCAGGTGATCCGCCTGCCTCTGCCTCCCAAAGTGCTGGGATTACAGGCGTGAGCCACCGCACCCAGCTGTGATCTGGTCTTTAACTACTTTAATAAACTTACTTGCTATTCCTCCTTCTTGTTACTGTGTTTCAGCAATGCCAAATTTCCTGCTTTTCTGCCAACATAACAAGCTTGTTCCTGCTTCAGGGATTCATATATGCTATTCCTTCTGCTTAGGGTATACTTTGCTCCGGTCTTCACACTGAGCGTCATCTTTTCATTCATCAAGTTTCTATTCAAATGTTGCCTCCTTGAAGGGTCTTTCTTGATAGCATAAATGATATGAATATGTGCAAGCTAAAAGTTGTGTTTTAATAAAGCAATTTTTAAACAGAGACGTATGTGACCAATTTGGGGAAGTATGTTTTATCTCCCTCAAATATGTATTTTTAAATACATTGCCATTTTCAAAGACATTCTTCATATAATGACGAGACCTATCACTGCTACATGAAGAATGTTTCTACCCTGAAAGCTGAACTTAAGTCTATGTCATTCTCTAATTTAAAAAATTCAGAATTAATGTTTTAAATGTTTCAGAATATATACAAATCCTTAATATAATTTTACAGGTAGGAAATATAATAAAGTTTGAATTTATAAAAGTGTCTTGGTTACAAGACCATCAAATAATAAATAATAAGATACATAATTTCAGATCCTGACCCTAAGATTTACATTTAAGAGACCCAGAGTAGCCAAAAGAATCCTGAAAAAGAACAAAGTTGAAGGACTTGCACTTCCCCATTTCAAAGTTTACTACAAAGCTACATTAATCAAGACAATGTGAAACTTACAGAAAAATAGACACATAGACCAATGGAATGGAACCAAGAGCCCAGCGCTAAACTGATACATTTATAATCAATTTATTTTGGGCAAAGGTGTCACGACAATTCAATGAAAAAAGAAGAGTTTTTTTCAACAATGATTCTGTTGAATAGATATTCACATGCAAAAGAGTGAAGTTGGACCCCCTCCCCACACCATACACATAAATTAATTCAAAATGGATCATAGGTCTAAATGTAAGAGCTAAAACTATAAAATTCTTAGAAGAAAATATAGGCCTAAGTCTTCATGACCTGGGATTACGCAAAGCCTTCTTTATTGGTGATTAGGCAAAAGCAAGAAGCACAAAAGAAAAATATATAAATCAGACTTTATAAAAATTAAAAGCTTTTGTGCTTCAAAAAATATCATCAAGAAAATGAAAAGACTGCCCTCAGAATTAGAGAAGGTATTTGAAAACCAAACATCTGATAAGGGATTTGTATCTAGAATACTTAAGGAACTCTTACAACGTAATAATAAAACGACAACCCAATTAAAAACAGGCCATAGACCCAAATAGACATTTCTCCAAAGAAAATTTACAGATGGCCAATAAACACAAGAAGAGAGTCTCAGCATTCCTCATACCCACTAAGATGGCTATGGTTGAAAAAAAAAAAAAGACACAAAATAAGAGATATTAGTGAGGATGTGACCAAACTGAAATTCTCATAATCTGCCCGTGGGAATGTAAAATGGTGCAGCTGCTTTGGAAAATAGTCTTGCAGTTTCCCAAAGGTTAAACATAGGAATGCCATGTGACCCAGAAATTCTACTTCTAGTATATGTCTACACAAAAACTTTTACATAAATGTACCTACAGCCATGAACTGCATAATGATGCTTCAGTCAACAATGGACCACATATATGTTGGTGGTTCCAAAAGATTATGATAAAACTGCCCTTTACAAGTGTACCATTTTTTCATCTTTTATGCCTTATTTTTACCATACCTTTTCTATGTTTAGATATACAAATACCATTGTGTTACAATTGCCTGCAGTATTCAGTACAGTAACATGTACAGGTTTGTAGTCTAAGACCAATACGCAATACCATATAGCCTAGGTGTGTAGTAAGTTATACCATCTAGGTTTGTGTAAGTACTTTCTATGGTGTTGGCATAACAACAAAATCACCTAATGATGCATTTCTCATAACATCTGCTTGTTTCATGACTGTAATAGCCAAAAAGTGGAAACAACTCAAATATAGATCAACTGATGAAGTAATAAATAAAACGTGGTATATCTATCTATACAATGGAATACGATTCAGCAATAGAAAGGAGCAAAGTACTGCCGCATGCTACAGTGTGGATAAACCTGGAAAATATTATTCTAAGTGAAGAAGCCATTGGCAAAAGACAACATATTGTATGATTCAGTAAGTAAATTACTAGTTGCTTAGGACTGCAGTGTGCCTAAGGAGGGAATAGGGAATGAATACTAATGAGTGTGGTTATTTACTTTTGGAGGTGATAAAAATGTTTTAAAATTGATTGTGGTGATGGTTTCACAACTCTGTGAACACGCTGAAAACTCATTGAAATATGTATGTTAAATGAGTGAATTGTATAGTTGTGAGTTATATCAATAAAGTTGTTAAAAGCAAAAAATAAACACAAAATGTTAAAATTTAAATTTAAAATTTAAATAACACATCTTGGATATGTTATTATAGTTTTGTTTGTTTTCCTACTTTATAGCTTTTTGTATTGCCTAAATTTTTGTAATAACAGTATTAAAATCACATAAAATAGTTACTTCTAGTTTGAAAAATATTAATTTATTCAAGTATTAACTGAGTATCAGAAAAAGATATTATCAAATAAACATTATTAAGAAAACTAAGAACAAATGTGATTTGAATTTTGCTTTTTCAGTTTATTTCTGTTACTTAAATTTATGAGTTTCTTTTATTTATTTATTTATTTTGAGATGAAGTCTCACTCTGTCACCCAGGCTGGAGTGCAGTGGTGCTATCTCAGCTCATTCCAACCTCTGCCTCCCGGGTTCAAGTGAGCCTCCTGCCTCAGCCTCCCTAGAAGCTGGAATTACAGGCACCCGGCACCACACTGGGCTAAATTTTTTTATTTTTAGTAGAGACTGGGTTCCACCATGTTGGCCAGGCTTGTCTCAAACTCCTGTCCTCAAACGATCTGCCTGCCTCAGCCTCCCAAAGTGCTGGGATTATAGGCATGAGCCACTGCACCTGGTCTTAAATTTATGAATTTCTTGTGACTTATTCAACTAACAATATGTCTTTATAAGTTTTAAGTTAATGCTAATGTATTTAGTTCTCACTGAAATATACTTATTAGGTTGCAAATCTCTTTGGGATTACTTATCTATTTAATCCAAATAAACCAATTAGATTTCTGGTCCTGGTTTATTAAAATTGAAAACCCATTTCATATTGAACAGATATTATTATGGTAATTATAACTCCTTCAATTTTGATTTAAAAGTTAGTTTAAAAGATATTTAACTTGAGGTCTACAGCACAATTTTATAGCAGCAGTCCCCAGTCTTTTGGCACCAGGAACCGGTTTCATGGAAGACAATTTTCCAAGGATGGGGATGGTTTCAAGATGAAACTGTTCCACCTCAGATTATCAGTCATTAGATTCTCATAAGAAGCACACAACCTGCATCCCTCAAATGCTCAGTTCACAATAGGGTTCAGCTGTTTTGAGAATCGAATGCCGTCACTGATCTGACAGGAGGCAGACCTCAGGGAGTAATGCTCACTGGCCTGCAGCTCACTTCCTGCTGTGTGGCCGGCTTCCTAACAGGCCGTGGATAGGTACTGGTTTGCGGCCTGAGGGTTGGGGAAATCCCTGGGTTATAGGATACATGCAAATAAGAAAATAGTTACTTTAGTGAAGCAAATTAACATATCCATCATCTCACATACTTACCCATTTTCTTGTTGTTTCTGCGGCAAGAGCAGCTAAAAGCTACTAATTTATCATGAGTACCATATACAATATAATTTTATTACCTCTAGTCATGTCATATATTAGATCTGTAGACTTTTTTTTTAGACCGAGTCTCGCTCTGTTGCCCAGGCTGGAGTGCAGTAGCGCGATCTCAGCTCACTGCAACCTCCATCTCCCAGGTTCAAGCGATTCTTCTGCCTCAGCCTCCTGAACAGCTGGGATTACAGGTATGCGCCACCACGCTCAGCTATTTTTTTGGTATTTTTAGTAGAGACAGGGTTTCACCATGTGGGCCAGGCTGGACTCAAACTCCTGACCTCAAATGATCCGCCCACATTGGCCTCCCAAAGTTCTGGGATTACAGGCGTGAGCCACCTAGCCCGGCCTAAGCTTCTTTTGTCCTACATATCTACTGCTTTGTATCCTCTGACCTACATATCTCCATTTCCTCCCTACTTCCATCTCCCCAAACCCCACCAAGTAACTACTCTTCTGTCTGCATATTTGATTTTTTTTTTTTCAGATTCCAAATATAAGTGAGATCATGCAGTATTTTTCTTTCTTTGTCTGGCTTATTTCACTTAGCATAATGTCCTCCAGGCTCATCCGCATAGTGGCAAATGGCAAGATCTCACTCTGTTTTAGGCCTGAATAATTTTATTGCATATATGTGCCACAGTTTTCTTATCCATTCATCCACCAGTGGACACTTACTTAGGTTGTTTCTAAATCTTGGCTATTTGGGATAATGCTGCAATGAA
This sequence comes from Homo sapiens, assembly GCF_000001405.40. Lineage (NCBI taxonomy): Eukaryota > Metazoa > Chordata > Mammalia > Primates > Hominidae > Homo > Homo sapiens. The sequence continues at coordinate 119,907,406 of NC_000004.12, forward strand.
CACGAGAGTGTACATTTTTTTTCTTTTTAAAAATAAACCTCTTTTTTCCTTGTTTCTTATTTACTTTATTTTTTACTTTTATTTTAGCTTCATAGGTACATGTGCAGATTGTTATATAGGTAAATTGCATGTTGTGGGGGTTTGGTGTACAGATTATTTCATCAGCCTGGTAATAATTTTAGTATCTGATAGATAGTTTTTCAATCCTCACCCTTCTCCTACTCTCCACTCTCAAGTAAGCCCCAGTGCCTATACCCTTCTTTGTGTCCATGTGTACTCAATGTTTTAGCTCCCACTTATAAGTGATAACATGAAATATTTGGTTTTCTGTTCCTGCATTAGTTCCCTTAGGATAATGGCCTCTAGCGCCACCCATGTTGCTGTAAAGGACATGATCTCATTCTTTTTTTATGGCTGTGTAGTATTCCATGGTGTATATATGTACCACCTTTCCTTTATCCAGTCTACTGTTGATGGGCATTTGATCTAAGCTGATTCCATGTCTTTGCGATTGAATAGTATTGTGATGAATATATACATGCATGTGTCTGTTCCCAGGCATTGTGACTGCAGACTTTTTTGGGGCTATGGCACTGCTGCCAGTCTGTTCTGGGGTCCAAGGCTTGTAGAGGTCCCTGTGCACTTGAGAGTTGCCTCCGCAAAAACTCTGGGTGGCTCTCTGCCTCAGTTTAGAAGTATGGGGGGTTGCTGTGGGGAAGGCAGTGTGAGGTGGGGGTGGGCAGGGGAATGTTCCTCTTCCCAGGGTTGCACAGATGTCTTTGGAGAGTGTAAATCTCCCCAGGGGGTCTCGCTTACTCACCTGTTCCTGCATTGGGGAGCTTCTCCTGGATCTGCATTGATCCCAGTTGGGCTGCCCAGCTTAACTCCTCTATGCTCTCTGGGTCCCCTTGATGCCTTGATGGAGCCTGGCATAAGTTCTTAGATGATCTACTTATAGGGTCAGTGTTCGCTAGCCTTTTGTTTCCTCCCTGTTAGAGAGGCACACATGAGCTGTTTCTAGTCTGCCATCTCCGTGAGTGTGTCTTTATAAGGTGCCTTCATTTCCTTAGAGTATATGCCCAGAAGAGAGATTACTGGGTCATATAGTAGTTCTATATTCTTAATATTTTTTAGAAAGCTCCATACTGTTTTTTGTAATGGCTGTATCAATCTACATTCCCACCAACAGTGTGCTAGGGTTCCTTTTTCTCCACACTCTTACCAACATTTGTTGTCTTTTGGCTTTTTGATAATAACCTGTGAGGTGGTATTTCGCAGTGCCTTTGATTTGTATTTGCCTCATGATTAATGATGTTGAGTACCTTTTCATGTACCTGTTGGAGAGTTTTACATCTTCTTGGAGAAATGTCTCTCCAAATCTTTTGCCAGTTTTTTAAATTGGGTTGGTTTTTCACTACTGAGTTGTACAAATTCTTTATAAATGTTAAATGTTGACTGCTTATCTGATACATGGTTTGCAAATATTTTTTCCTAATCTGTAGGCTGCCATTTTATTTGATTGCTTCCTTTGCTGTGCACAAGTAATCCTATATATTTATTTTTGCTTTTGTGGGCTGAGGTTTTGGTGCTCTTAATATATCCAAAAAAATCATTGCCAAGGCCAATCAATGTCCAGCAGGTTTCCGCCTATGTTCTATTCCAGGAGTTTCTGGTTTCATATTTAGGTAGTTTCATCCATTTGGATTGATTTTTCTATTTGGTGTAAGAGAGGGGTCCTATTTCATTATTTTACATGTGGAAAGCCAGTTTCCCAGCTCCATTTACTTAAGAGACTATCTGATTGCCCCATGTGTCCTCTGGATGCCCTTGTTGAAAATTAGTTGGTCATGTATGTTTGGATTTATTTCTGGTGCCTACATTCTGTTCCATTGGTCTATGTGTCTTCTATGTCAGTATCATAATGTTTTGTTTACTACATATTTTTAATATAATTGTAAATCAGGGAGTATGATGCCTCTAGCTGATTTTTTTCCTCAGAATTCAAATTTGGGTTTTTAAAAAAATAGTTCCATATGAAGTTTATGATTGTTTTTTCTATTTATGTAAAGAATGTAACTGGAATTTTGATAGGGATTGAGTTGAATCTGTATATTGTTTTAGGTAGCATGGCCATTTTAACAATGTTAGTTCTTCTGGTCCATGAACATAAACATCTTCCCATTTATTTGTGTCTACTTCAATTTATTTCATCAATATTTTACAGTTTTCAGTGTATAGATCTTTTACCTTCTGGGTTACATTTATTCCTAGATATTTTTGATGCTATTGTAGTTGTTTTTGATGTTATTGGGATTGTTTTCTTGATTTCTTTTTTAGTTAGGTGGTTATTTGTGCGTAAAAATGCTGCTGATTTTTGTGATTTGGTTTTGTATCCTGTAAGTTTAGTAGTTCTAACTTTACTAGATGCTTATTAGTTCTAACAGATTTTTGTGGAATCTTTGGATATATACATACATATATATACACACATATATACATATATGGATATATATACACACATATATATGTATATGTATATACACACACATATATGTGTGTGTATATATATATATATATATGATCATGCCATCTGCAAACAGAGATAATTTTACTTCTGCCTTTTTGGATTTAGATGCCTTTTATTTTTCTTGTCTGATTTCTCTTGCTAGTATTTCTACTACTACATTGAATAGAAGGTGTAGGAGTTGGCATCCCTGTCTTGTACCAGATCTGAGTGGAAAAGTGTTCAGTGGTTCCTCGTTGATTATGATGTTAGCTGTATTTTTTCATAAATAACCTTTATTATTTTGAGAAACTCTATTTCTATACCTAAATTGTTGAGAGTTTTTATAAAGAAATGATGTTAGCTTTTGTTAAATGCCTTTATTGTGTCAGTTGAGATAATCATGAGGTTTTTATCTCTCATTCTGTAATGTGACATATCGCATTGATTTGTATTTGTTAAATCATTCTTGCATGTAAGGAATTAATCTCACTTGGTCATGGTGATGATTTACATCCTTTTAATATCTTGTTAGATTCAGTTTTCTAATATTTTATTGAGCATTTTTTCATTAAAGTTCATCAGAGAAATTGGCCTGTGGTTTTCTTTTCTTGTGATGACTTAGGTATCATGGTGATGTTGGCTTCATAAAATGTGTTTGGAAGGATTTCTTCTAACTCTATTTTTTTGGAAGAGTTTAAAAAGTATTCCTATTAAATCTTCTTTGAATGTTTGGTAGAATTCAGCCATGAGGCTACCTGGTCCTGCGCCATTTTTTTGTAGGGAGCTTTTTTTTTTTTTAAATTACTTACTCAATCTCTTATTACTGGTCTGTTCAGGCTTTCTGTTTTACTCTAACTCAATCCTAGTAGGTTGTGGGGTTAGTTTTTTTTTTTTAGAAATTCATCCTTTTCTTCTACATTATCTAATTGTTGTCATATAATTGTTCACAATAGTCCCTTATTATCCTTTTTGTTTTTGAGGTGTCTGTTGCAATTTTTGCACTTTCATTTATTTTATTTGTTTGAGTCTTCTTTCCTTTTTTCTTAGACTAGCAAAGGGTTAGAAATTTAGAAATGAACAACTCATAGTTGTATTGATCCTGTGGTTTTACTGTTCTCTATTTATTTCTGTTCTGATTTATATTATTTTGTTCCTTCTGCTAATTTTGGGTTTACTTTGATCTTTGAAGGCGAGGTGCTGAGTCAATTGTGGCACAGGGAGGTGTGATTGCTTCATTGTACTAGAGGCATGAGGTCCATGGGGGAAGGGGTTTCACTTCAGCTTCAGTGCAGGGGCATAACTGCTTTGGTATACAGGAGGCCTGAGGTCCCTAAGGGCTGAAGACTATAAATCATACACCAGGACAGTCCCAGACAATATGGCATTTATTGACACCCTGAATATATCTGTGCATTTGATCTTTCCGTATATCCCATAGGCATTTCAAACTTAATACCTCTCATAGTGAGCTCATCTCCCTTCCATCGTCATGCTGAAATTCACCCCATCCCCATACCTTTATACAGAGTGTGGCTCTAGCTTGAACAGGCTTCTTACTTACAGAATGTATAGCTGTGCAAATCCCCCAAAATTGTGAATGTGGGAGATTATTTCACACAAGTAGATCATTTCTAACCCCTATTCACTGCAATCACTAGGGTATGTGGGAATGAACTACTCCCTAGTGATTAAAACAGGTTCTATTGAGACCCTGGAAACTGCTGGCCTAAGAATACAAACCATGCTTTCAGATTATTTGGGTGTGCTGACCCACCTTTCAGGCAGCTCTGGTGTCAGCACTTCTTGGGCACCTTCCCTGATGCCCCCAGCCTATAGCTGCTGCCCATCTCCTATGCTCCCACAGCATTCTGTGCATATAAACATGTAGCACTAGTCAATGCTGTGAGTTTGTCTACCTAACAGGTAGATTATGAGCTCCTTTTAAAAGAGTCTGAGTTCTCTAGGAGCCATTTATCTAGCTCTGAATAAATACCTGTTTAATTCATTTCTTTCTCTCTCTCTCTTTTTTTTTTTTTTTTACTTGTAAGTTCAGGGGTATATGTGCAAGATGTGCAGGTTGGTTACATAGGTAAACATGTGTCATGGAGGTTTGTTGTACTGATTATTTTATCACACAAGTATTAATCCTAGTACCATTAGTTATTTTTCCTGAATTTCTCCCTCCTCCCTCCCTCCTCCCTTTGATAATCCCCAATGTGTGTTGTTCCCCTCTATTTGTCCATATGTTCTCATCATTCAGCTCCCACTTATAAGTGAAAACATGCAGTATTTGGTTTTCTGTTCCTGCATTAGTTTGCTAAGGATAATGGCATCCAGCTCCATCCATGTCCTTGCAAAGGACATGATCTCATTCTTTCTCATGGCTGCATAGTATTCCACAGTGTATATGTACCACATTTTCTTTATGTAGTCTATCATTGATGGGTATTTGGGTTGATTCCATGTCTTTGTTATTGTCAATAGTGCTGCAATGAACATGGATGTACATGTGTCTTTATAATAGAATGATTTATATTCCTTTGGATATATATTCAGTAATAGGATTGCTGGGTTGAATGGTATTTCTGACTTTAGGTCTTTGAAGAATTGCCACACTTTGTCTTCCACAATGAAAATTTTTGCAAACTATGCATCTGAAAGAGTTTTGAAATTTGCATCTCATATCCAGCATCTATAATAAACTTAAAGTTACAAACATACACTAAAAAGTAGGCAAAGGGAATGAACAGACTCTTTTCAAAAAAAGACATACACATGGCCAACAAACATGAGAAGAAAAGCTCAACATCACTGACCATTAGAGAAATGCAAATCAAAACCACAATGAGATACCATCTCACACTATTCAGAATGGCTACTATTAAAAAGTCAAAAAATAACAGATGCTGGAGAGGATGTGGATAATTCATTTCTTAATAGGAAGTAAACCCAAAAGCTTATAATGACTAATGACTATCTATCAAAAGTAGAGGAATTGTTATAGCTACAAAAGGACATAGAAATAGTAGCAAGAGAGAAACGTGGATTTAAAAAGTAAGTGAAATCCATCTATGGGCAAGCCTACAGAATAAAGAATTTGAATATTCTGAACATTGTTTCTTTTGTCTATTTGATTTTAATATAGCTTTCATTGTACTTTTTAAAGACTGTAAACATATCATTGAAGCAAACTGGAAAAATACCAATAAATATAGAGAAAAATTTAAAATTTTTCATACTTCCATCATTAGTATACTACCACTTGTAATACTTTGAGGGATTTCTTTCTAGTATATATTTATTTATAAACACACACACATATATATGCACAAATACATACATACACATCATACATACATACACATTCTTTCCTTCTCTATTTATTATATACTATATAAGTTCTTATAGGTCATTGTATTAGTTCGCTTTCACATTGCTATAAGGAACTACCCGAGACTGGATAATTTATGAAACAAGGAGGTTTCATTTACTTACAGTTACATATGCTGTACAGGAATCATGGCTGAGGAGGCCTCAGGAAACTCACAATCATGGCAGAATGTGAAGGGGAAGCAGGCATATCTTCACGTGGTGAATCAGGAGAGAGACCAAAAGGGGAAGTGTTACACACTTTTAAACAACCAGATCTCATGAAAATTTACTCACTATCATGAGAACAGCAAGGGGAAAGTCCACTACCATGATTCAATCACCTTCCACCAGGCACCTCCTCAAACATGGGAGATTACAATTTGACATGAGATTTGGTGGGGAGAACAGAGCTAAACCATATCATTTTGCCCTGCTCCCCCCACAAATCTCATGTACCTCTCACATTTCAAAACACAATCACGCCTTCCCAACAGTCCCCCAAAGTCTTAACTAATTTCAGCATTAACTCAAAAGTCCATAGTCCAAGTCACACCTGAGACAAGGCAAGTCCCTTCCACCTAAAAACCTGTAAAATAAAAAACAAGTTAGTTACTTCCAAAATGCAATGTGGATAGAGACATTGGGTAAATACATTCCAAGAGGTAGAAATCAGCCAAAACAAAGGGGCTACAGGCCACATGCAAGTCTAAAACCCAGCAGGGCAGTCATTAAATCTCAAAGCCCCAAAATGATCTCCCTTGACTGCACGTCTCACATCCAAACCACACTGATGCAAGGAGTGGGCTCCTAAGGCTTTGGGCAGCTCTGCCTCTGCCACTCTGCAGGGTACCACCACCTCAGCTGTTTTCACAGGCTGGCATTGACCTGAGGCTTTTCCAGATGCATGGTGTAAGCTGTCAGTGGATCTACCATCTGGGGATCTGGAGGATGGTGGTCTTCTTCTCACAGCTCCACTAGGGAGTGCCCCAGTGGGGACTCTGAGTGGGAGCTCCAACCCCACATTTCTCCTTCACACTGACCTAGTAGAAGTTCTCCATGAGGGCTCTGCCCCTGCAGCACACTTCTGCCTGGATATCCAGGTGTTTTCATACATCCTCTGAAACCTAGGCAGAGGCTCCCAAACCTCAACTCTTGCCCTATGCACACCCGCAGTCTTAACACCACATGCAAGCTGACAAGGCTGGGGCTTGCACCCTCTCAAGCAGTGGCCTGAGAATATGTGTGGCCCTTTTAGCCACAGCTGGAGCTGGTACAGCTGGGATGCAGGGCATTATGTCCCAAAGTTGTGCAGGGCAGTGGGGTCCTGTGCCTGGCCCACAAAACCTTTCTTCCCTTCTCAGGCCTATGATGGGAGGGGCTGCCACAAAGATCTCTGAAATGTCTTCAAGGCATTTTCCCCAATGTCTTGGCTATTATAATAACATTTGGTTCCTCTTTATTTGTACAAATTTCTCCATCCAGCTTGTATTTCTCCTCAGAAAATGGGTTTTTCTTTTCTATCACATGGCCAGGCTGCAAATTTTTCAAATTTTTATGTTCTGCTTCCCTTTTAAATATAAGTTCCATTTTCAGATCATCTCTTTGCTCACAAATATAAGCATATGCTATTAGAAGCAGCCAGATGACATTTTGAACACATTACTGCTTAGAAATTGCTTCCACAAGATACCCTAAATCATCTCTCTCAAGTTCAAAGTGTCATAGATCTCTAGGGCAGGGGCACAATGCTGCCAGTCTCTTTGCTAAAGCATAGCAGGAAGTCACTTTACTCTGCTTCTCAATAAGTTCCTCATCTCCATCCGAGACCACCTCAGTCTGGACTTCATTGTCCATATCACTACAATTTAACAAGTCTCTAGAAAGTTTCAAACTTTCCTTCATCTTCCTGTCTTCTTCTGAGCCCTCCAAACTGTTCCAACCTCACCCCATTACCCAGATCCAAAGTTGCTTCAAAGATCTAAAGATATTTTCAGGTATCTTTATAGCAATGCCCCCACTCTCCTGGTACCAATTTGTATTTGTCCCACATTGCTATAAAGAACTACTTGAGACTAGGTAACTTATGAAACAAAGAAGTTTAAGTTACTCATAGTTCCACAGGCTATATAAGAAGCATGGCTGGGGAGGCACCAGGAAACTTACAATCATGGCAGAATGTGAAAGGGAAGCAGGCAGATCAGGAGAGATAAAGTGAAGGAGGATGTGCTGCACACTTTTGAACAACCAGATTTCATGAGAACGCACTATCATGAGAACAACAAGGAGGAAGTCCACCACCATGATTCAATTACCTCCCACCCGGCCCTTCCTCTAACACTGGGGATTACAATTCAACATGACATATGGGTGGGGACACAGAACCAAACCATATCAGACATTCTAAGCAAATTAATTGGCTTTTACTTTGAATTGGATGGTTAGCTACTGAAATGTTTTGAGAAAAGAATTGCATAATCAAAGAAGTCACTCTAGCTACCGTGCTGAGAATAATAATGAGAGTGGAAGCAGAGAGAACAGTTAAAAGGATATTGCAGTAATCCAGGTAAGAGATGCTGTGCTACAGACTAAAGGTGTTTTGAGATGATGAGAAGTGGTCAAATTCCAAATGTATTTGGAAGGTAGAAACAACAGGAGTTGGAGTACATGAAAGAGATGGGGAGAATGGAACCAAGTTGGAAAACGCACTTCAGGATATTATCTAGGAGAACTTCTCCAACCTAGCAAGACAGGCCGACATTCAAATTCAGGAAATACAGAGAACCCTGCTAAGATACTCCATGAGAAGATCCACTCCAAAACACATAATCATCAGATTTTCCAAGGTTGAAATGAAGGAAAAAATGTTAAGGGTAGCCAGAGAGAAAGGCCGAGTTACCTTTCTGAAGGGAAGCCCATCAGACTATCAGCAGATCTCTCAGCAGATACCCTAAAAGCAAGAAGAAAGTGGGGGCCAATATCCAACATTCTCAAAGAAAAGAATTTTCAACCCCGAATTTCCTATCTGGCCAAACTAAAAGCAAGAAGAAAGTGGGGGCCAATATCCAACATTCTTAAAGAAAAGAATTTTCAACCCAGAATTTCCTATCTGGCCAAACTAAGCATCATAAGAAAAGGAGAAATAAAATCCTTTCCAGACAAGCAAATGCTGAGGGAATTCATCACCACCAGGCCTGCCTTGCAAGAGCTCCTGAAGGAAACACTAAATATGGAAAGGAAAACGTGGTACCAGCCACTGCAAAACACATGAAAATATAAAGACCAATGACACTATGAAAAAACAGCATCAACTAGTGTGCAAAACAACCAGCTAGCATCATGATGACAGCATCGAATTCACATATAACAATATTAACCTTAAATGTAAATGGGCTAAATGCCCCAATTAAAAGACACAGACTGGCAAATTGAATAAAGAATCAAGACCTATTGGTGTGCCGTATTCAAAAGACACATCTCATGTGCAAAGATTCGCATAGGCTCAAAATAAAGGGATGGAGGAAAATTTATCAAGCAAATGGAAAGCAGAAAAAAGCAGGAATTGCAATCCTAGTCTCTGACAAAACCAACTTTAAACCAACAAATATCAAAGATGACAAAGAAGGGCATTACATAATGGTAAAGGGATCAATTCAATGAGAAGATCTAACTATCCTAAATATGTATGCACCCAACACAAGAGCACCCAGATTCATAAAACAAGTTCTTAGAGACCTACAAAGAGACTTGGACTCCCACACAATAATAGTGGGAGACTTTAACATCCCACTGTTAATATTAGATAGATCAATGAGACAGAAAATTAACAAGGATATTCAGGACTTAAACTCAGCTCTGGATCGAGTGGACCTAATAGATATCTACAGAACTCTCCACCCCAAAACAACAAAATATACATTCATCTTATTGCCACATGGCACTTACTCTAAAATCGACTACATAATTGAAAGTAAAACACTCCTCAGCAAATGCAAAAGAACAAAACAATAACAGTCTCTCAGACCTCAGTACAATCAAATTAGAATTTAGGATTAAGAAACTCACTCAAAACCACACAACTGCATGGAAATTGAACAACCTGCTCCTGAATGACTCTTGGGTAAATAATGAAATTAAAGCAGAAATCAAGAAGTTATTTGAAACCAATGAGAACAAAGACACAACATACCAGAATCTCTGGGACACAGCTAAAGCAGTGTTAAGAGGGAAGTTTATAGCACTAAATGCCCACATCAGACAGCTAGAAAGATCTGAAATCAACACCCTAACATCACAATTAAAAGAACTAGAGAAGCAAGAGCAAACAAATTCAAAAGCTAGCAGAAGACAAGAAATAACTAAGATCAGAGCAGAACTGAGGGAGATAGAGACATGAAAAACTCTTCGAAAACATCAGTGAATCCAGGAGCTGTTTTTTGAAAAAATTAATAAAATAAATAGACCACTAGCTAGACTAATAAAGAAAAGACACAAATAGACACAATAAAAAATGATAAAGGGGGTATCACACAGACCCCACAGAATTAGAAACTACCATCAGAGAATACTATAAACACCTTTACACAAATAAACCAGGAAATTTAGAAGACATTGATAAATTCCTAGACACATACACCCTCCCAAGACTCAATCAGGAAGAAATCGAATCCCTGAATAGACCAATAACAAGTTCTGAAATTGAGGCAGTAATTAATAGCCTACCAACAACCACAAAAAAAGCCCAGGACCAGATGGATTCACAGCCAAATTCTAGCAGAGGTACAAAGAGGTGCTGATACCATTCCTTCTGAAACTATTCCAAACAATCGAAAAGGAGGGACTGCTCCCTAACTCATTTTATGAGGCAAGCATTATCCTGACGCCAAAACCTGGCAGAGACACAACAAAAAAAGAAAACTTCAGGCCACTATCCCTGATGAACATCAATGCAAAAATCCTCAGTAAAACCCAGCAGCACATCAAAAAGTTTATCCACTATAATCAAGTAGGCTTCATCCTTGGGATGCAAGGTTGGTCCAAAACACACAAATCAATAAACATAATCTATCACATAAACAGAACCAATGACAAAAATCACATGATTATCTTAATAGATGCAGAAAAGGCCTTTGATAAAATTCAACATCCCTTCGTGTTAAAAATTCTCATTAAACTAGGTGTTGATGGAACATATCTCAAAACAATAAGAGCCATTTATGACAAATGCACAGCCAAAAGCATACTGAATGGGCAAAAGTTGTAAGCATTTCATTTGTAAACTGGCACAAGACAAGAATGTCTTCTCTCACCACTCCTATTCAACATAGTACTGGAAGTTCTGGCAAGGGCAATTAGGCAAAAGAAAGAAATAAAGGGAATTCAAATAGGGAGAGAGGAAGTCTAATTGTCTCTGTTTGCAGATGACATGATCCTATATTTAGAAAACCCCATCGTCTCAGCCCAAAAACTCCTTAGGCTGATAAGCAACTTCAGGAAAGTCTCAGGATACAAAATCAATGTGCAAAAATCACAAGCATTCCTATACACAAACAATAGACAAGCAGAGAGCCAAATCATGAATGAACTCCCATTCACAATCTCTACAAAGAGAATAAAATGCCTAGGAATACAGCTAACAAAGGACATGAAGGACCTCTTCAAGGAGAACTACAAACCACTGCTCAAGGAAATAAGAGAGGAAACAAACAAATGGAAAAACCTTCCATCCTCATGGATAGGAATAATCAATATTGTGAAAATGGCCATACTGTAATTTATGGATTCAATGGTATTCCCATCAAACTACCATTGACATTCTTCACAGAATTAGAAAAAACTACTTTAAAATTCATATGGAACCAAAAAAGAGCCCACATAGCCGAGACAATCCTAAGCAAAAAGAACAAAGCTGGAGGCATCATGCTACCTGACTTTAAACTATGCTACAAGGGTATAGTAACCAGAACAGCATGGTATTGGTACCAAAACAGACATATAGAACCATGGAACAGAATAGAGCTGAGAAACAAGACCACACATCTATAGCCATCTGATCTTCAACAAACCTGACAAAAACAAGCAATGGAGAAAGGATTCCCTATTTAATAAATGGTGCTGGGAAAACTGGCTAGCTATTTGCAGAAAACAGAAACTGGTCCCCTTCCTTACACCTTATACAAAAATTAACTCAAGATGGATTAAAGACTTAAACATAAAACCTAAAACCATAAAAACCCTAGAAAGAAAACCTAGATAATACCATTCAGGACATAGGCATGGGCAAAGGCTTCATGACAAAAACACCAAAAGCAATGGCAACAAAAGTCACAATTGACAGGTAGGATTTAATTAAACTAAAGAGCTTCTGTACAGCAAAAGAAATTATCACCAGAGTGAACAGGCAACCTACAGAATGGGAGAAAATTTTTGCAATCTACCCATCTGACAAAGGGCTAATATCCAGAATCTACAAGGAACTTAAACAAATTTACAAGAAAAAAAAACAAACAACTCCATCAAAAAATGGGCCAAGGATACGAACAGACACTTCTCAAAAGAAGACATTCATGCGGCCAACAAACATATGAAAAAAGCTAAACACCACTGATCACTAGCGAAATGCAAATCAAAACCACAATGAGATACCATCTCATGCCAGTCAGAATGGCGATTATTTAAAAAGTCAAGAAACAGCAGATGCTGGCAAGGCTGTGGAGAAATAGGAACACTTTTACATTGTTGGTAGGAATATAAATTAGTTCAACCATTGTGGAAGAGAGTGTAGTGATTCCTCAAGGATCTAGAACTGGAAATACCATTTGACCCAGCGATCCCATTACTGGATATATACCTAAAGGAATGTAAATTATTCTATTATAAAGATATATGCACGTATATGTTTATTGCAGCGCTATTCACAATACAAAGACATGGAGCCAACCCAAATGCTTATCAATGATAGACTGGATAAATAAAATCTGGTACATATACACCATGGAATACGATGCAGCCACAAAAAGGAATGAGACCGTGTCCTTTGCAGGGACATGGATGAAGCTGGAAGCCGCCATCCTCAGCAAACTAACACAGGAACAGAAAACCAAACACTGCATGTTCTCACTCATAAGTCAGAGTTGAACAATGAGAACACATGAACACATGGACACAGGGAGGGGAACATCACACACCCGGGCCTGTCAGGAGTGGGGGTGAGAGGATGGAGAGCATCAGGACAAATAGCTAATGCGTGCAGGGCTTAAAACCTAGGTGACAGGTTGATAGGTGCAGCAAACCTATCAACGTATACCTATGTAACAAACCTGCACTCCCTTCGCGTGTATCCTGGAACTTAAAGTAAAAAAATAAAAAAGAAAAAAAATACAATATTTTGTTCTGAGCAGGACCACAGTTAAACTTCTCATGATTTAAACTTCCTAAATTTCTTGTGTTGGTTTTATGAGTTAAATAAATTATCATTGCTTTTATAACATGTTTAAATTTACATATATGAATGTATGTAAATTTATGTGTGTATACACATATAAATAAATGTGTGTATGTATAAATGTATGTGTGTATACATATATAAATAAAATGTTTGTAATTGTATTTGTGAAAAAAAGCTATCTACTCCTTTTTTCCCTAGAGCAGGATGATCTCATGCCTCTAATTCTGCCTCCAAGAAAATATGAATTTGAGCTCTTCTACCATAATATTATGTGACCAGCAATCTGCTAGAAGGCATGAATGTTTGTAGTTTAGCTATGTCATCATGTAGTGCTTAGGTGACTAGAAACATAGGCCCTGCAAGCATTTCACTCTCAGAGAGTCATACTAGACCCCTTTAAACACAGGCTCTCTTAATGATGATGAGGGAGCTGCCCTGGTAAGTCGGTCAGGGTGTAGGCTATGACGGGCCCTATGCATTCCCATCATCCCCATCCTAGCAGTATGTTCTCAGTCCACTAGATGAAATGAGATTCTACCGTGCAGTTCTCTCAGACCCAGATCCCCTTTACTTCTCCACTTGCCTTTCTTTTCCCTGAATCCTGTTATTCTCTCTTTAGACCTCTCAACAACAAAAAAAGATTCCCTGTAATCTTTCACATTAGCTATTGAAGATACATCAGGAAGGGCCCAGGTATTTGAAACAAGAAGGTTTATCTCTCTGGGGGTAGGGAGCTACCTTCTAATCTTTCTGATGACTCACACTCACCCCTTTCCCCTAAGGATGCATCAGGGACTAACTTCCCTTTATAGCAGGGAAAATGAAAATATAAGTTAAAGTCTCAACAATTCAACTTACTTATTACATTTTACCTATGTGCTACAGTACTAACCTAACTACGTTGTAGAGAAACTTGATTAAATAAGATGATGTATATAAACCATGAGACACTCAATACAGATTCTTTCCATCTTAATCTTAGCATTTACCTCATTCCCATTTAACCTTAAAATTCAATCCTTAAGCTTTCTTTTTTATACCTTCAGGCTTTTCTTTCTTCAGACCTCAATTCTCAGAGTTCCTAACACCCAACATTTCTTTTTAGTTATTTTTATTCACTTCATAAAATCCCAATTCTGAAAGAATTCTTAAAGTTTAACATTAATAACCAATATTTCTCTTTTTCTTCAGATTTCATGTTCTCCACTTTGGGAGTCCAGATCTCTGCTGTCCATTCCACGTCAGCCATGTTAATTAACCTCCTTGCTGATTTTCGAGCCCTCCAGGCATGCATTCACTCCAGAGTCTTGCACTGACATTTCCTCTTCCTTACTCTTCCTCTACATATCTGCATGGCACACTCTCTCATCTTTCCAGCCATTGCTTAAGCGTCAGCCTCTCAATGAGGCCTACTGTCACCATCCTACTTAAAATCACAGTCCCTGGCATTTCTGATTCCCTTTCCCAGCTCTAGACGGTGATAGAATGTGTCATCATCTTACATACTAGATAACTTATTTATGTTTATTATTATCATTTGTCTATCAAGAATGTAAGTTCTATGAGGGTAGGGATGTTTATCTATTTTGTTCATGGCTATATCCCCAGGGGACAGAATGATGCTTGTTATATAGTAAGCACTTAATAAACTAGTTGAAAAATACCTACAGTTTATGAGTGTATATACAAAATATTTCCTACTCATAATATATATGTATATATGTATGAATGTATGTGTATCCCATCTTATTTAGCAAGAACTCAAGACACCAACACAAACATACATATGTGTGCACACACACACACACACACACACACATACACACATTCTCTCTGTCCCTCTCTCTCTTTCTCTCTCTCTCTACAGTATCGGTCTTAAGAACACTTTACCGAATTTAGTACTATATAAGAACACAATACAATTAAGACAAGCAGATCTTTCTAATTGAAATAGTTATGTCATTGTGCTATTTCTTATGCCATTAAAGTTAACACAATTATATTTAAAACATGTATTTTTCTAGCACAAAGCAACTAATATGGAACTACCAGGAAGAAGAAATCCAGGCAAGAATAAATCTTGGAAAAAGGAAACTTTTAGACTCTAGCCCCAAAAATGGTATATGTGTGTTACATCAACACATGTTTTGGACCTTGTTAAGACATCACATAAATAATAGGGGTTAAATTAAATATTAACACTTTTAGGGAGTAATTGTGAACATACTTTATTAGAAACGTCTCTATATTTATTTCAAAATTTATCTATCTCTTGAACTTTTTTTTTTTTTGAGACAGAGTTTCGAACTTTTTTTTTTTTTTTTTGAGACAGGGTTTCGAACTTTTTTTTTTTTTTTTTGAGACAGAGTCTCGCTGGAGTGCAGTGGTGCGATCTCCGCTCACTGCAAGCTCCGCCTCCCGGATTCACGCCATTCTCCTGCCTCAGCCTCCGGAGTAGCTGGGACTACAGGCGCCCGCCAGCACGCCCGGCTAATTTTTTGTATTTTTAGTAGAGACGGGGTTTCACCATGTTAGCCAGGATGGTCTCATCTCCTGACCTCGTGATCCACTCACCTCGGCCTCCCAAAGTGCTGGGATTATAGGTGTGAGCCACCGGGCCTGGCCTATCTCTTGAACTTTTGATAATTCCTGTAAAAGAAACATAGGAAAATCACTGTTATGATTCAGTTTATATTGATCATACATAATTCTGTGTATTTGGGTGTGTATAAGCAGCAATAAAGTTTATTTTAGAGTTGGAAAAAATGTTAATAGCCTGGTTCCTATATTCAAAATCAGCATTTCAAAAATATAAAAACCTTTTTATCCACCCCCCACTAATATATTTAAGGCTTTTGAGATATAGCTTTGCACCCTAAATGCTGAGGCTAGAATGAAAAGACTCAGATATTTGTTATTTTAAAAAAGGAAAGAATTGTGAATCTAGTTTTAATTTTACTATTATTAAAAAATAACTCTAGAGAAAGAAAATTTTCTTCAACTAGAATAATTTTGTGACAAGTCACCTACACTAAAATAGGTAAAGAAAATCCCAATAGCCCATAAATTAAAGAGGAAATGTATATAAGAAATTATAATATCAAATGCTCTTATAAAAGTGTATAAGACAACAGAAATACTCCTCACTTTTTACTGTTTCCAGAGCTTAAACTTTTTCAAATTGATATACAATAGTTTTACATATTTAAGAGGTACATGTGATATTTTGATAAATGCATACAATGTGTAATGATCAGATCAGGGTTTTTGGGATATCCATCACCTCAAATGTTTATCACATCTTTGTGTTGTGAACATTCCAAAGGCCCTCCTCTATCTGTTTCAAAATATACAATAAATTGTTGTTAACTGTAGTCACCATACTGTGCTATCAAACACTATAACTTAATCCTTCTACCTAACTGTATTTTGTACCCATTAACCAACCCCTTTTCTTCCCCACTCCTGTCTACCCTTATCAGCCTGTGATAACCATCATTCTACTCACTACCTCCATTAGGTCAATTTTTTAGCTCCTACATATTAGTGAGACCATGTAATATTTGTCTTTCTGTGCCTGGCTTATTTCACTTAACAGAATGTTCTCCAGTTCCATCCATGTTGCTGTGAAAGAAAAGATTTTATTCATTTTTATGGCTGAATAATATTCCATTGTATATATGTACCACATTTTCTTCATTCATTCATTGATGGACATTTTGGTTGATTTCATGTCTTGGTTATTGTTAATAGTGCTGCAATAAACATGAGAGTGCAGATATCTCTTTGATGTACTGACTTATTTTCTTTTCAATATATATCCAGCAGTGGGATTACTGGATCACATGGTAGATCTATTTTTAGTTTTTTCAGAAACCTCCATACTGGTTTCCATAGTGCTGTACTGATTTACATTTCCACCAATGGTGTATGAATGTTTGTTCCCCTTTCTCTGCATCCTCACCAGCATCTGTTATTTTCTATCTTTTTGATAATAGCCATTTTACCTGAGGTAAGATGATATCTCATTGTGGTTTTGATTTGCATTTTCCTGATGATTAGTGATGTTGAACATTTTTTTCATGGACTTCTTGGCCATTTGTATGTCTTCTTTTAAGAAATGTCTATTCAGATCTTTTGCACATTTTTAATTGAAATATTAGTTATTTTGCTATTGAGTTGTTTGAGTTCTTTATACATTCTGGCAGAGTGATAGTTTGCACATTTTTTCTCCTGTTCTGTAGGTTGTCTCTTCACTTTGTTGACAGTTTCATCCGCTGTGTAGGTCTTTAGCTTGATGTAATTCCATTTGTCAAATTTTGCTTTTGTTGCCTGTGCTTTTAAGGTAATACTCAAAACAGAGCCTAAGTTCTTAATGACCACCCTTTCACTGCATTTACTATTGAGCTAAGAATTGACCTCAAATAATTTGGTTTGTGTCAAATACCTGGTTGTCATTGCGGTAGACATAATTTCCCTAGTCCTTCATATAGCTATGTTAAACTTTTTCTTCACATTTTGGCCTGACAGTGAAAACAGCTTCAAGCTTCATATACTATACTCGTCTACAAAATTCCTAGAAAGTCACCCACACCCACTCTCAATCCATACTCAATCCTCATGCATGAAGGATGTGACCCAGACCAGTGACAATAATATATTACATTTACCTTTTGGTGACAGATTCAGAGACAAGCATATGACTTGAACAGAAGCATAAGATACAGTGACTTTCCAGGACTTTTGTAGAAGAGCCAGTTGCTCTTTTTTAATATAACATGTGAAGCTTGAAGCTGTTTTTACTGTCAGGCCAAAACATGAAGAAAAAGCTTAATATAGATATATGAAAGACTATGGAAATCATTCATTCAACCTTTCATTAAACAAATATTTAAATGCCTGATTGAGAGAGAATCAGGTATGAAATAGTCTTAAAATGTGGGAAGGAAAATCAACTGGAAGATGTAGTAGCATGACCAGGCAGAGCTAAATACTTACCAAAGTTTAATGGTTATAAACCTAGTCAGAAAGAGGGTATAATTCTTTCGTACTAGATTCAGCTGATGATATTCAGGCAGGGAGTAGGTGTATAGTTGACTTTATCAGAGCTGGGGTTTTGTTAGACCAATATAATAGAGGGGAGAGACACAAAGACATTGAATGTTTAAATGTGTATGTGTGTGTCATTGTGTGTTGGGGGGAAGTATGCAAGGAAGTGATTATAGTGATGTGATAGACAATGAGGGAAATGTGTATAGCAAGAGTATATTGCATGGCAGGAAGTGATAAGGTCAACACATTAAGAGTCTTCACTAGTATACAGAATTGCAAAAATGAGTTTCCTTGATTTGAATTGGTGGTTTAAAAAGTTGATGCTTGAAATATTTTGGTGGTGGTAAAGTTATCAGTAATGATAAGGCCTCGTGTATGCCCATAAGAGTGTGGGGTAAGAGGACATGATATTGAATTAATCAACAAGTTATTTGCATCATCCATTTGATGGTTAAATTTGGTGAACATGATGATTGTAATAAACACGAAGACAACGAATCAGAAGCTAAAACTTTTAGGAAATCAGAAGTTTTGGGGGTTTTGGTAGATGACTTTGTTAAGGAGAAAATAGTCTTTACTTATGCTTCAAAGGAGTTGACCTTTTGAGAAGAGTGAAAAGAGAAATATGGGTTACAGAACCAATGCTGAGAACATTTTGAAATCTGTAGTCCTAAATTTGAAAGGGACCCCAGTCTGTATGGCTCTTTTTTTTCCCATATGCTCCAACTGATTTGGTACAGGTGCAGAGTAAGCAAACATCATGGAAACCACATCTAATGCCCTTTGAGTCCCAAATCAAGCTGTGCTTGAAGCTAACTATAGCAAAGATGTTTTAACTCGTGAGCCTATAAAAATGTTTTTCTACTTAACCAGTCTTCACTTAAAAGTAAAAAAAATTCTAATGCCAAATGTAGTTAATTCATTCTGTTGAAAGGAGAAAACAATCGGGAAGAGAAAAAAGATTTATTGAGAGCCTCTTGTGAACGCATTGCTGAATGCTTTGCCTGAATTACTTCATTTAATCCTCAAAACAAACCAACAGATGAAATTATTCTGTTTTCTAGCAGAAGAATTGGAATTTCAGAACAGTCATGCAACTTACAGTCACAAAGCCAAGTGAGCTGTTGACTGAGACTCAATTTCAGGTATGTGAGATTCAAAGCCCATGTGCTCTTTATTATTTCATAGTTCACTTATACTTTGCTTTGTAACTATCTGCACTCTGATTTCCTCTTGTGGGATTATTATTTTTCCATTGGGTCTAGTCTAGAAGGACTATAACTTCTCCACTCCCCTAACTTAGAAACAAGCATTTGACTCTAACCAGTTCAATTTGATAGCAAGATCTAGTGCTGTGAGGTTTGAGTGACTGGGGAAGATTCAGAGGCTATTTAAGAGGTAAATAGGACTTGGTCATTTATTGCATAGATGTAGTATTTTACCACATCTGAAAATTAGAATAAAATATATCTTGCCAAAAACTGATAGCTTCCCACTTTTGTAATGTTTGGATGAAAAGGCATAAAATAAAAAGCACAATTGTTCCTTGAAGTTGGGAAAATTATGCCAGTAATTATATTCTGAATCATTTTTTCATTAATAACATTTTGTGTTTTCCCTCCATTATTATTCCTAGGTCTTATTGAGTTTTTAAAAATTAAATTTGGTTTTTTAATTAAACAATTTACTTTTCAGGCTTTAAAAAGCTGCAAAATAGTACAAAGAATCCTCATGTACCTTTTATCTAGCTTCTATGAATATTAACATTTGGACCACAGCACAATGATCAAAATGAGGCAGTTAACATTAATACAAAAATGCTAACTAATCTGCATATTTTATTCAGATTTGTCAGTTGACCCACTAATGTCCTCTTCTGCATGAGGCTTCAATCCAGGAGAGCATATTGTATTTATTGTCATGTCTCCTTACCTGCTCCAATCTGGGACAGTTCTTCAGTCTTTGGCTCTCAGAACTTGAGACTTTTGAAGATGACCGATCAGTATTTTATATAGGCATACATCATTTTTATTGCACTTTGCCTTTTCACAGATATTGTGGTATTGGTTTTTTGGTTTTATTCTTAATTGAAGGTTTGTGGTAACCCTGCATCAAGCAAGTGTATTGATACCATTTATCCAGCAGCACATCTTCATTTCATAACTCTGTGTCACATTTTGGAAATTCTCAAAAATTTCAAACTCTTTCATCATTTTTATATCTGTTATGGCGATCTATGTCAGTGACCTTTTATGTTACTATTGTAATCATTTGGGGATGCCATGAACCATGCCCATATAAGATTGCGAACTTAATAGATAAATCTGTGCTTCCTGAGTGCTCCACCAACTGGCTATTCCTTGCCTCTCTCATCAGGCTTCCCTGTTCCTGGAGACACAGCAATGTTAAAATCAGGCCAACTAATAACCCTACAATGGCTTCTAAGTGTTCTGCGAAAGGAAGAATGTCTCTCGGATTAAATCGAACGCTATTAATACAAACAGTTAAGCCTAGTGAGGAAGGCACGACGAAAGCCAAGATAGAATGAAAGTTAGGGCTCTTGAGCCAAACAGTGAGCCAAGTTGTGAATGCAAAGGAAAAGTTCTTGAAGTAAAATTGCTAACCCAGTGAAGATACAAATGATAAGAAAGCCAAACAGCCTTACTGATGATATGGAGAAGTTTTAGTGATTTGCATAGAAGGTCAAACCAGTCACTGCATTCCCTTTAAGTCAAAGCCTAATCCAGAGAAAGGCCTAACTCTCTTCAATTCTATGAAGGCTGAGAGAGGTGAAGAAGCTGCAGAAGAAACACTGGAAGCTAGCAGAGGTTGGTTGATGAGGTTAAAGGGAAGAAGCCACCTCCATAACATGAAAGGGCAAGGTGAAGCAGCAAATGCTGTTGTAAATGCTGCAGCAAGTGATCCGGATCTAAGTAAGATCGCTGAAGATGGTGGCTACACTAAACAACAGATTTTCAATGTAGACGAAACAGTCTTATATTTGAAGAACGCGCCATTTATGACTTTCATAGCTAGAGAGTAGTAGTCAATGCCTACTACTACAGGACAGGCTGACTCTCTTGCTAGGGGTTGGTGCACCTGGTAGCTTTAAATTGAAGCCAATGCTCATTTACCATTCAGAAAATTATAGGGCCCTTAAGAATGATGCTAAATCAACTCTGTGTTCTAGAAATAGAATAACAAAGCCTGAATGACAGCACATCTGTTTACAGCCTGGTTTACTGAATATTTCAAGCCCATTTCTGAGATCTAAAGCTAAGAATAAAAGAATTCCTTCCAAATATTACTACATATTGACAATATACCTGGTCAACCAACAGCTTTGATAGAGATTAACATTGTTTTTATGCCTGCAAACACAACGTCCATACCATAGCCCATGGATCAAGGAGTAATTTTGACTTTCAAGTCTTACTATTTAAGAAATATGTTTTCTTAAAGAAAGCTGCCATAGACAGTGATTCCTCTAATAGGAGGAGCTCCAAATAGCAACATTAACAGGAGTTTGGAAGAAGGTGATTCCAACTCTCACAGATGAGTATGAAGGGTTCAAGACTTCAGTGGAAGAAGTAAGAGCAGGTGTGATAGAAATAGCAAGAGAACTAGAATTAGGAGTGGAGCCAAAAGGTGGGACTGAATTGTTGCAATATCGTGATAACATTTGAATGGATGAGAAGTTGCTTTTTGTGGATGAGCAAAGAAAGTAGTTTCTTGAGATGAAATCTACTTTTGGTGAAGATCCTGTAAACATTGTTGAAAGGACAACAAAGGACTTAGAATATTTCATAAACTTAGCGGATAAAGCAGTGGCAGGGTTTGAGAAGATTAACTGCAATTTTTGAGAGTGGCTCATGTGGGTAAAATACTATCAAACAGCATTGCATACTTTTCCTATTGTGAAAGGAATAGTCAATCAATGTGGCAAGCCTCATTGTTGTCTTCTTTTAAGAAATTGCCCTGCTACTCTAATCTTCACCAACCATTAGACTGATTAGTCAGCAGCCATCAACATTGAGGCAAGACTCTCCATCAGCAAAATGTTTACAACTCATTAAAGGCTCAGATGATTGTTAGCATTTTTTAGCAATAGAGGATTATAAATAAGGTATGTAGTATTTTTAGATGTAATGCTACACCACACTTAATAGACTACAGTAGAGTGGCATAAATATAACTTTTATATGCACTTGGAAACCAAATATTTTATGTGAATCACTTTATTGCAATATTTGCTTTATTGCTGTGGTCTAAAATCAAACCTGCAATATCTCCAAGATAACCCTGTAATTATTTTAAATGCATCAGTCTCTTAAATTATGGAGAAAACAAAATGTGGAGTTACTAGCCAACGTTGCAATAATACTAGCTTTTTATACTAATAATTTTTTTAAAAAATCATTAGTCTCTTAAATTATATGGAAAACAAAAAGTGTAGTTGCATGCTATTGATACAATAATATCAGCTTTTACAATTGTCCATGTATTTGCCTTTATTGAGATCCTTATTTCTTCATACAGCTTTGAGTTACAGTCAGTGTTCTTTCATTCCACCCTCCAAGACTTTCTCTAGAATTTATTGCAAAGCAAGTTTAGTGGTAACAAGCCCCCTGAGGTTTTGTTTATCTGGGAATTTAACTTCCCCCTCACTTTTAAAGTACAGTTTTGCCAAATATAGGATTCTTGCTTGACAGTTTTTTCTCTTTTAGAACTTGGAATATATTGGCCCCTTGCCTTCTAGATTCCAAAGTTTCTGCTGAGAAATTTGCTGATAACCTTCTTGAGGATCCCTTGCATGTAATGAGTCACCTTTCTCCCTGCATTCCACATATTCTCTTTTTTTTTTTTTTTTTTTTTTTTACTTTTCAGAGTTTGATTATGTGTCTCAGTGTTGATCTCTTTGAGTTCATCTTATTTGGAGTTTGTCGAGCTTGTTGAATATTTATAGTCATGTCTTTCATCAAATTGGGAAATTTTCATCCATTATTTTTTCAAATATTCTATTTTACTCTTTCTCTCCTCTACCACTTTTGTTTTCCACAATGCATATGTTGGCTTATTTGATGATATTCCATATATCCTTTAGGCTCTGTTAATTTTCTGTACTCTCTTTCCTTTCTGTTCCTCAGACTTGATTCCATTGTCCTATCTTTATGTTTGCTGATCCTTTCTTCTTCTTGCTTTAATCTGCCTTGAATACATGTGATGATTATTTCTTTTCAGTTAGTATAATTTTCAGCTCCAAAATTTCTTTTTGGTTTCTTTTTAGGTTTTCTATCTCTTTATTAATATTTCCATATTGTTCATACATGTGTTTATTACTTTCTCCACATCTTCCTTTAGTTCTGTGAACATCTTTTAGACAGTAGTTTTAAAGTCTTTGTCTAGTAGATTTGCCATTAGGTCTAATTCAAGGACAGTGCCTGTTGAATAATTTTTTTTCTTTGAACAGGCCATGCCTTCCTGTTTTTCTTTTTTTGTTGGTGGTGTGATTTTATTGTTGTAAATGATATTTGAATATAATAATACACTAACTCTGGAAATCAGAGTCTCTGTTTACCTGGGTTTGCTGTTTTCTGTTGTTTTGTGTATGTTTTTTATTGTTGTAGGCTGTCTCTACAAGAAGGATCAGCCTGAGGTGTAAATTTAAAGTCTTCTGAGGTCTTCTCTCAGCCTGTACCTTTTTCTGGGCATACATAGTCACTTTCTAATTTTCCCCATATGTGCAGTTGCTTTTGAATGTCCTAGTCTATACTATTTGGTTATCAAAAGGGGAAAAACAAAAATTAACAGATGTGAGGAAAGACCAGTGGCCCTTTACATCCCTTAGAAGTCACTTCAGCCTGAGGGGCAGGGGCCTGCAACAATGGGGAGAGGTACAACAATAATGGCTGCCCACCTCTTTGTCTGCACCTTTGCGGTCAGAGCAGCAATTAGGGATTCGACACAGATTGCTGATATTTGAAGACAGGGTTGTTTTTGCCCACCCTGGCTCCTTCCAACTGTGTGAAAGCTGCTTCAGGACCATGTGCACAGCTGCCTGCTGCATTGCTGGGCGCACTGCCTGCCACATTGCTACTGAGGTAAGAGCTGAAATGGACTGAAATTAGCTACAATTTACTGTCTAAGCCTTCTTTCTGGGAATTGCAAGCCTTCAATACACTCCAGAGTTCCAAAATAGTTACATAAGACAGATTCTCCCAGTGCAATTTTTGTCTAGGTGGGAGACATCTTTCTGATGCTTCCAACTCTTCCCAGAACCCTCTCAACAATGGTGTTTTGGAAGAAATTAAGCTTTAGCTATTACATGTAAAGATAACTATCATATGACTAAGGAAAGCTCCCTGGATTTTCCTAAGCAAGTATCTTCTCTCCTTGGCTTCACTACAAGGAGAAGATGGCATCAGAGTATAACGTATTTCTCAACGCATGCCTAAAAAACAGTCATTCACCATCCTGGTTAGATATAAGAATCACCTGCAAAGTTCTTTCTAAAAATATAGGGTTTCTGTATCTGATAAATCAGAACTTTTAGGGAATGGGAGTGGGAGGGCTTAAAAATTCTCTCAAGTAATTCTAATGCATATAAGAATTGATTATGAGTCACTAGATTCTAGAAGAAGAGAGGTCTCTTACTCTGTGAAAGACAGAGGCAGAAAGAGGAAGTCACCTTGTGATAATCTGGTCATTGGGAAAGGCACAGAGATAAGTCGAGCTATACTTCTTACATTAAATACATTTTCGTGGATGTTTGATGAGGGGCCAGAAAGTGTTACCCAATGAACCTCCATGGTACCAAATACAATCAAGCTTGTCCCAGGTTAGTATTGTCCCTTTACAAGCCATTAGAAGTATCTGTAAGCCCCTATCTATATACCACTTTTATCAGTTTGGTTTAGGGTTAAAAAAAAAAAACCTTAAAGGTTGAAAAGGACAAATGAGATTTGCATTTTTGGCCCCTTCCTACATCTTCAGGATTATTTCACCTTCCTGTGTCTCCAATCCAGCAAACTCTTCCATGTCTCTGAAACTTGATATGCTCAAATTACATCCCTTCTGCATTAAGCGATGAAACATCTCTTCTCAATACGCACTCCTCTTTCTCTCACACTCTCTCTTCCTGTTTCTCCACCTCTCCTTCTAGTTAACTCTAAACTGTTTTTTTAAAAGTGTATTTCAAATAGGCTCTTCAAAGAGGCCTTCCTTGCCTGCCTCTCCACAAGAGTCAGGTATCACTCCCTCTTTACATCTCGCGTCTCACTCTGTTATTTTTCTTTGCAGCATTTATCAGAGTCTTGTGTTACACAGTTTTTGGTGTGAATATTTCATAAATTTCTGTCTCTCGCATTCAAAAATAGGTTTTGTAAGAGTTGGGCCTGGCTCCCTTTTGTTTGCTGCTGCCCCAACCTAACCAAGTGCCTTTCCCCTACTACAGGTTCAAACACTATTTGTTAAATGAGTGGAATAAACCAAAGAGACTTTGTTGTCCCCATCCATGGCAGAAAATGGTTTTATGTATTCATTCAAAAATGTCCTCAATGTGCCAAAGTCAATGAGAATTAAATGATAAATCAAATACAGACTTCTTGAAGTCTTTAGAGTCTACTGGGAAATAAAATATACATATTCAAATAATGATTCAGGATACTGTAAAGGCAGCAATAAATTTTATTAGTAAGATCAAATTTCAGGCCTACAAGGTTGCCAAAACAAGGAGACTCTCCACATGAGAAGACTGAGGGGGCCTCACTGCCCTGGGCTTGTGTGACCTCCTACGTCAGCCCTGTTACCTTATGGCTGCGTGGCTTTGAGGCATTTCACCTATTTGTGCAGCCACCTCCTCCTCTGTGAAAAGGTCACTCTTCTACTGGAAAGAGAACCCTGTTTTTATATAAAATGTTTTTAGCAGAATACTGTAAGTTCTATAATACTGAAGAAGACAAACAGATGGTGAGTCCACATATGAAAAGAAGTTCAGCATCATTAACCATCAGGGAAATTCAAGTTAAGTCCACAGTGAGGTATCGCTACACACCTGTCAGCACAGCTAGCATGAACAATGACACCAGACACTGGTGTGGACACAGGGAAAGTAGATCACTCATACAGTGCTGGTGGGAATATGAAATGATACAGACACCTGAAAAATGCTTTGACAATTTCTTTAAAAATGAAACATGAAACTACAACCCAGAAATCACATCCCTGGGTATTTATTCCAGAGAAATAAAGACGTATGTTGATTCAAAAACCTGTACACAAATGTTTATAGAGGATTTGTTTGTTATAGCCCCAACCTGGAAACAAGCCAGAAGTCCTTCAACAGGTGAGTGGTTCAACAAACAGAAGTATAACCACACCATAGAGTACTACTAAGTGAGACAAACAGATGAGATATAAATATCTGTAACAATCTGCATGAATCTCCAATTATGCTGAATGAAAAGATACATAAATGTTATGTACTATATAATTGTTTATGTAACATTCTCGAAAAGACAAAATTATAGAAATGGAGAACAGATTAGTGGTTGTCAGGGATTAACAAGGTGGTGGAGATGGGAAGGAAGTTGGTGTGGCTGTAAAAGGGAAATATAGACAATCCTTGGGGTAAATGAAATGCCCAGTATCTTGATTGCATCCATGTTAATATCCTGGTTATGTTATTGTACTATAGGTTAGGGAAATATTACCACTAAGGCAAACTGGATGAAAGGTTGATGGAATCTTTCTGTATTATTTCTCACAACCACCTGTGAATCTACGATGATCTAAAAATATAAAGGTGAGATTTTAGAAGTTAAAAGATGGGAGAATATCTGAGAAAGGAGTATGTCAGTTTGTCAGTTGTCGGATGAGCCTTAGAACCTTGACATCATAATGGTGAGTGATCCTGACTACTGAGGAATCCTCGGGCTTCAAAGATTTGCCTGTAGTGCTCTGCGAGGTGCTGCAGACATGACTGATTTTCAGTGCCAAGAATGGAAGAATGAAGGCTGTTCACATCAGTCAAAAAGGTGGTCATTTAAGCCTTCACTGCACAAGGTGTTCTTTTAATATACATTTTTTGATCATCAAAAAAGCCTGGTGGTCTCAGGAAGTGTTCTGTCTTTGTTTCCTCTAAAACGTATGAACTAATTCTTAACTTTAGAATCGGTTTTGTAGGGCTAGTCATGTTCATAACATTTAGTCCTGCTGAGCTTGAGAGAAGGCTTTGTATTCTCAGGGAAGATGCTTTCTTGGCTCCATAGGAGACGATTTTGTCTATGTCTATGAAAATACCTGCTCCTCTTTTGAGCTTTTATGTTCTATTCAATCTAGCTGGCGTTACCTATTATGACCACAGAGTCCTGTTAGAGCTTGGTTATAGCTCAACCAAATAACATTTAAGCACTTTGTTAAGTTTAGAAAGTTTTTGATGTTTCCAGTATTGTTTGGTGTTCTTCAGCAATTTTCCCCAAAATTTGAATATTAATTTAGATAAGATAGGAGTCAGTTTTTCAGAATCCTTAATTATCTAAATTTTTATGCTAATGTGTAACCAAATTGTAATTACTTCTTTGTAAGTCTCCATGTTGTTTTGTTTTATGCATGTTGGGCCACAGATTGTGTTTCCCTTTTTATTTTTATCCAGATTTTAAATGCTGGTTGTTATTCAAAAATAATGGTCCATAGTGGTTGGACACTTCTCTCAGGAATAATGGTCTATAGTGGCTTAGGTGATTCAATAGAAATGAACTTTCCAAAAATATAAATTGGTTTAAAACATTGGGGAAATGTGATTTTATTTTTCCTTTAGAAATCAGTGGAAACTTTTCTTTGGATAGAAGATGATCTATCTGTCACTTTGAATCAGAATTAACTAGCAGTAAATATTTATGGAGAACATTACAGTTTAAGAATGCTTTTGATAGGTTACTTCATTTTAAATTAATTATAACTCTATAAGTAGATATTATTCTTCCAGATTACATGTTCTATTTTATTACTATTGTGGACATTTTGCCAGGTTAGAGACACGGGTACTGTGAATTTCTTAGTGGTCTTTTGACATATATTGTGTATGCAAGACATACTATGTATTCTACTAGTAATTTTAAAATAATATCTCCAATAATACTTCAAACACAATCCCCCCTGTGGCTCTTGGTCCCCGATTCTGGGCCATTGGTTCTCCCTCTGGACTTTGGGCAGTGTTTTCTGTGTCATCCCCTAGCTTTTCATGAAAAGTAGCACATGTTTGCAGCTGAGTAGTTTTATCAGCCTGTTTTCTGCCAGTAGGATTTGAGAATCTGACAGTCCTCTGTTATTGTATACTCTTTCTGTCTTTTTCAACCAAACCTGGCAGTGTTTCTGCAGATATAAAATTCTCAAGAACTTTATGGGTTTCCCATGGTCGTCACTTGTGTTCACTCATTAGGTAGAATTTGGGTTCATCAAGTCTTCTGGCATCATCACTATAGTATTTTTGTCTGCTGCGTAGAGGGCTGCGAGAAAACGCCCTTAAGCTTTTTGAGTGCCTGTAGTTATATTGAGGGGATCTGTATCCCACAACCTTAATCTCTTCAAAGAGCCTTTACTGTACCTAAGTACTCTCATTGTTTGATCTTTATGAAGGTTTAGTAACAGATTGTATAATCACATATTCAACTTTTGTTTTTCTCTGCCACGTTTTCTGAAGCATCCTCTTAATTTTGCCATCATTGGCATCTGGATAGGGAAAGAATCTCACAAATCATCAAGTCTGGTTCTCTTTCATTTAACAAGTTCAGGTTCTCTTTTGTTTAACAATTCTCTCAACTTATCTTTCTCTTCTCACGTTTTCTTATAAGCAGGAAAAAAAAGCACTTCTTTCATCTATTTGCTTGAAAACCTCTTCACCTAAATATCCAAGTTCACCATCTAAAAAGTCCGTGCTCTACATGACTAGAGGGTGCAGTTTTATTTTGTTGGCCTGCTTACAGCAAGGATCTCCCTTCCTCCCGTTTTCAATGCATTTCTTCTGAGTTCTCATCAGCAATGCCTTCAAAATCCATATTTCTACCCAAAGTTTGTTTGTTCTGATTTAACTTTTCTCTAAGGCAAGCTAGGTTTTCTCTATAATGCTCCTCCATAACTTCCAACCCCTTTCTGGCAGAGTCTTTAATGTCTGTATTTTTACTAACAGTCTGTTCAAGACAATCTAGGTGGTGTTTTCTCTAATGCTCCTCAGAATTCTTCTAGCATCCACTTAATTCTGATTCCAGTGCCACTTCTGAGTTTTTAGGTGCTTATCACAGCAGCACACCATTTTCAGGTACCACAGTATAAAGTTTTTATGCATTTATAACAAATTACCATAATCTTAGTGGCTGAAACCAATGAGAATTTATTATGTTACACAATAAGGAGATTACGTAGGCTTGACTGGGTCCTCTGCTTAGGGTCCCATAAGGCTGATCAAGGTGTTGTCAGGGCTGCACTCCTTACTGGAGGGTTGGGAAAAGAATTTGCTAATGAGCTCATTCAAAGTTTGGGGTAAATTCAGTTACTTGAGGTTGTATACTGAAGTCCCCTTTCCTTGCAAGCTGTCACGTAGGGCTGGAGTTTGCTCCTAGGGGCTGGCTATATTCCTTTTCATGCTTTTCATGTGGCTTCTGCCAGCAGTGATAGATCGACCAGAATTTTTAGCATTGTATCACCCTTGAAATTTGGCATAAAATGCTATCATTTGTTTTTTGACCACTGACTTTTTGTTCTTTAGTATTTGATGTGTGCAGGAAAGCACTTTTTTTTTTGTGATAGACACCTACAATGAGAAAACCACATCATTGGAAGGTTCTTAATGAACCCTGCTAATCCATAGCTCAGGACAACTCAGAAGAGTTTGGAGGAAGCAGAAGCGGCATCTCTTTCTGTTCAGTGATTTGTTGCTTGTGTCTAATACCAAGTATGTATACACGACATGCTCTCCTGATTATCATAAAATGCATTTTTACTAACAAATTACATTTCACTAATCCTTACTATAAGAAAATATAAAATAATTTTTCTTCTGCTTCTGCAAATGCTTTGATTTTTCATTTACTCAGCAGGTATTCCTGGAGGTCCTGTTATGTGCAGTACCCTTGTAGAGAACATAATTGAGAATGTGACAGGCAGGGTCCCTCTTGCCTGGGGCTTAATGACAGATGATAAAATAAGATGGGATATTGCAGATTATAATTAGTGTTTCTGAAAGGAAGAGAGATAGGCTGCCATGTGGAGAAAAAGATGTTACAGGGTTAGAGAGGTGTCATCCAAGAGAGCCTCTCTGAGGTAACATTTAATGATAACATTTAAACCTGAGCTCTGGGATGAGAAGCAGCAGCATTTCTAGACCAGGGGCCTGAAACTTCTAGGCTGAGAAGACAACAGGCTTAAGGTGGGTATAGCTTGATCCTTTGGAGGGAGGGGCTCAGGGAAGGCTGATGTGACTGGAGAAAAATGCCTGGGGAAATTATGTGAGATATGAGGGTGGTCACACAGCTGTCCACAGGGCAAAGTGAGGGGTTGGAATATTATCCTGAAGGGCCTCTATAGGAGTATCCAAATCAGGTAAACATTTTTAGTATATTGCTCTGGCTGCTGGGAGATAATAGGTTGAAGGGCAGGCAAAAGTGGAAGAGGGGAGACTGGTTAGGGAGTCAATAGTCCTGATAATTATGATAAGGCTTCATCCTGGGAGTGGCAATAAGAATGAAAGACGCAGAAGAGAGATTTGGCATCTATGTTGGAGGTAGAACCAACGGGTGTACTTTCCTCTTCACACTGTACACAAACAATACCCAGCCTAGAAAAATGCTGATGACTTAGTAAATGTCTGAAGGCAGGGAGATGGGAAGAATTGAGGTGTATGGCCATCTGTTTACCTGCTCCATCTCTGTTTTCAATATTTATGAAATATCATGAAAGACAAAGAATATTTTGATGCACAAAATCTCATAAAGAAGCTTTTTAGTCACTGGAGAAAAATAAAGTGCTTCTTTGTTGACATCATCCTGGCTTGCAGTTTTGCCATGTCATAGATAAGACATGCAAGATTAAGTACTAATTTTTAAAAATCTTATATTTAATCTGAGTGATAATAATGATAGGTATGATTTCCCACAGGCAGATTATGTGTCAGGTCTTATGCTAAGGACTTTATGTACCCAATCTTGTCTAACCCTTACAGCTGCTCTTGTAAGATTGAGATGGGGCTATTTTCCATATTTTACGGGGGTCCTTGGTGTACAGAGGTCTAATGGCTTTGCCCTGGTCACCACATTAGTAGTTAGGGGAGTTCACATTTAAAATTTGATCTGTGTATCTCAAAGCACAGGCTTTTACCCAACACGTGGTGCTCTTGCCTCTATTCTTTATTTATTTTCTTTGGATTTTATAAAAGATTCCACAACCATTTGGTTTTCCATCACCACTGAAATCAACCTTTCCTTCGTGGTGCATAAAAAAACAACTGTCATCTGCTTGGAATCTAGTAAAACATGGAGCACATTGCATAATGAAAGAAGAAATAATTGAGAAGTCCAGCTATCAAAAAAAGTCAGAAACAAAGATGAAGATAATATGTTTTGGATGAGAGCAATTGCCTACAAATATAACTGTTGAGGTGGTGATGTCATAAAGAGAACAGAACAAAGATTGTCTAGGCCTTGGCATGAGATCCAAGTGAAGTGCCCTGAAAAAGCCACTGACAAAGATAAGTCTCTATTTTTAAAAGCATTACAACTAGTTACCATTCTCTGTATTTAACCCAGCGAACTACATATCGGAAACTAAAATTTATTGGAGAGATTCTCAGAACCATACTAGAAACATTACCGAGGTCTCATCTAGTTTTCTCTACTGCCTTCCAAGGTAGGTTTTCATCATTTCTAGGTTTTAGATATGAAAACAGAGGCTGAGAAAGGGTCAGTAAGTGGCCCTGGGAAATTGCAGGGAGGGACTGACTAGAGTCCAGGCCAGCTTTCAAGGCAAGACTGTGCTCTTTCTGCCACCCCTCATTGTACCCAACTGGGCTCAGCCTGAAAGATAAACAACAAGAGTGCTCATTGTGTCCTTCTTCGGACCTTGCAGACCACTCACATTCAATTTTTAAGGGGAACATATTTTCCTTTACTTATTTTGTCTTAATCTTTGTAGTTATGTTAGTATTTAGAAAGAGTAGCCCTTTATTTTCTTACCAGAAGCCATTTGTTGTCCTGGACACCAATAACCCTTTAATGGGTTTTATAGAATCTATAGTATTCTGCTAAAAACATTTCCTATAAAGACAATGTTCCCTTTCTGTCTGCTAAAAAAAAATGTATCTATGGAGGAGCTGAATTTTTATTTTGCTTGGCTCATTATCACAAAAGATGTGC
Organism: Homo sapiens; assembly: GCF_000001405.40. Lineage (NCBI taxonomy): Eukaryota > Metazoa > Chordata > Mammalia > Primates > Hominidae > Homo > Homo sapiens. Next base: position 119,940,182 of record NC_000004.12, read on the forward strand.
AACATTTTTCATTTTTTGCATACTGCTTTTGAGATGGCTCTTTGCATCCAAGCAAGGCTTTTTATGATGTGAAAAAATTTGTATCTATATATTTAATAACATCTTTGTTTAAGAGACTCAGTTCCTAGATTATTTTTGTATACTTTTTACATTCATTGGGAATATTAGAAAGTGAAAGTGATAGAAGTTATTTTAATTTGGTTGTAAGTCCAAGGCCCTTGAGATAGAAAACAGATTTTTTTTTAAAGTTTTCTGTCAGTAATGAATGCTGATGCCTTGTACTAGTTTTTATCATAATTTTTAGGAAATTAGGTACAAGCCTTCCCACAGTAAACATCTGAGGACATTTATGTTTACCATTAGTGTGACAATTTTTTTTTCAGGGAAAAACAACTACTAAAAAGAAATAGCTCCCTGCAACAACAAATATTTCTTCCCTGTCACATCTCACTCTAAAAAGGAGCATTGTATTATACCTTGAATCAATTAATCTGTTCAAATTAATAATCTGAATTTGGTGCCTAGTTTTTCCACTATCCATAAAAAGGGAGTGGAATGATGTAGGTTGCACTGGGCCTCAGCTCACCTCCAGGCTCTGGTTGGAAGCTCTCTCGCTTTTTATGTTGATGCTACAGTAATCAACTCAAGTGGAAAAAATAGTTGACCAATTGCCACATTTGTATTTTGTCAAAATAAGTAAATTTTAGTTTGTGTATTATAACAAAAGGGATTTAAATGTTTGTTTCTTCACAAAGGCATTATGTTTGCTCCAGTTTCGCTGGATGTTAATAGTAAAAATTATTCTGTGATTATTGTCATTTATTTTATATGACATTAAAAACTTCTGTTCTCATTAAAGTCAGTTGAGGCCTTTGTGAGCACTCTTGGTATTCATTTGAATGTTAAATGAGAAGTTATTTTTTCAAATAAAATTATGGCTTTTTTTAAAGACAGAATCTGCTTTATAAATATTAATATATTATTACTAGCAGAGATCCATGAAAACTTTAAAGAAAGAGGTTGTACTTGGCCTACATCCTCCTTGTCATCACTACCATTATATTTACTTGTAAAAGAATACAGAAACAATGAAAAATGAATTTTGTTTATGTCAAAAGATGAAGATGACTATTAACTTGTTATAGTTATGGAATTGCAAACAAATACTTATGAAATTTACCATGATACATGACCCTTACTCCCAGGCACCTAAGGGAGCATCTCTATCTTAGAACTGTGGAAATATCCTTAGAATCCTGTAAATTTCCAGGGTTCACTGGGGCTTTTTCTCCAGTATAAACACTAAAATAGATTTCTCACCCCTCCTCCTCTTTCTCCTCCTCCTCCTCCCTCTTTTCTTCCTTCTTCCTCTTTCCCTTCTTCTGCTGCTACTCCTACTCTTCCTCATCTTCCTCCTCCTCCTGTGAGCCAGTTTATATTAAATTCACACTTTCTTATTTCTACTGAAATAGTATAATAGTGTCAATGACTGAGAGTGAAGAAACATAGAGGGACCCTAAGAAAATCCATTTGAGTACAAAGCTATGTTGTAATACATTTTAAACATTCCAAGGTGGTATCTAGTTTGTTGATATAATGTTATGAGATTTATCCCCTCATTCTCAAAGAGCAATCCCATCAGCAAGCCTGATGGTCCTGGGGAAAGGAGGAAGGCTGAGGGTAGGAAAGATGAAGGGAGTACATCATGAACTATTCTTCCACTCAAGAACTTTAGAAGGTGGGTCAACACCCACAGATGCCAAGTGGTTACAAGGATAGGCTTGCAAGTTAGGTTGTCTGTGTTATAATGTGGGCAATTTACTTTACCTCTCCATGAGTTTCCTCATCTATAAAATGGGGCTAATACAGACTAGTTGATGTATTAGGTTGGTGCAAAAGTAATTGCTGTTTTTGCAATTTCCGGATTAAATGAAACAATGTGAATAAAATATTTAGAAGAGTGATCGGCACATGGTAGATGCTTAGTAAATATTGTAGGAGAATATAAACTTTGTTCTGGGGTCCCACTCTGTCACCCAGTGCAGTGGTATGATCACAGCTCACTACAGCCTCAACCTCCTGGCCTCAAGGGATCCTCCCACTTCAGCCTCTGGAGTAGCTGAGACTATAGGCATATGCGACCACACCCAGCTAATTTTTTATTTTTTTTTTATAGAGATGGGAATCTCACTCTGTTACCTAGGCTAGTTTTGAACTCCCAGGCTTAAGTGATCTTTCCACTTCAGCCTCCGCAAGTGCTGGGATTATAGGAATGAGCCACTGCACCTAGCCTCCTGTTTTGGGCTTTTAGATAACTCCTTGATTTGGTTTCAAAAAACTGGACAGCATGAGCACATTACTGAACTAAAAGAAGAATTACTCAAATAAATTTTTCCAAGTCCTCATATGTAGAAGTTTCCACACAGAATCTTCAGATTTGTACATATAGATACTTATATTAGAAAATCTAAAAATCTATAAAAACAAGCAGGTGTTTGTCACATTTCCAATGGGCCATATAGTGTTAGTTTGATAATGCCTTTAGAGGTGATATCTAGAAAAATGATTTTATCTGATAACTAATTGTTTCATAAAAATCTTCAGATACACAGACATAGGGTAAAAAACATTTAAAAAAATTTCAGGAAAAAAGTCATCTTATATCACAAGACACTTTTTCAACGTGTATTCTTATATTCAATGTGCCCTAAGCTCTGCATCTAGATTATTCTTCATGTATGCTTCCTGCAAAATTCTTTTCATTTCATAAGTTCCACTGAAGAGTTTTAGCATTGTCTCATGAATCAGTGAAGTCACAGGGAGATTTCCACATGAGGCATCTTTGATCTCATTGTAGCTTTGGTGTCTCCCCAAGTACTTCTGACTAGTGGGAAGTCCCTGAGTGCTGTGCCCACAGTGCCTGGGAATCCTTCATCAGGCTTATAACTATTTAAAATGCAAGTCCACCTGAGCATTAAATTTGTAAAATAACCCAGAAGATATGGTGGTTTCTATATTAGAAGTCTAAGGCAGATTAGGCAGAAATTGTCAAAAAAGCAGTTTCACTGCTGACAAAATCGATCACCTTCTTACTCTCCAGAGATAAATGGGAAGTGTGTCCATCACTTACATAGAAGACCTGCTGGCCTCTAGTTGGGATATGTTTGGTTTTGTTTTCTAAGTTGGATTTAGTTTGTAGGCTATAGTTTTTCAGTTTTAACCACAATCTATCAAAAAAAGTGGTATGAACAAAATCTTAAGAAAAGAAATTTAAAATAACCTCTGCTTTAAAGGCTAAAAAAACTTATAAAAACTAAGGTTGAAATGTATTTTATATCCCTCTAATTCAAGGTTATATATTTTTTAGTTTGTCTCTCCTAAGTAAAACTTCTATAAATATTAATATTTTTATAAGTCATGCATTTTTTAGTCTTTGTTCAGTTCCTCAAAATGTTTTTGAAGTAAGAGATAGATAATAAATGTATTAATGGTTCTCTGTAAAAGCAGTATTTTTAAAAGGTAAAGTATGGTTCATACTCAATAGACCAGTCAGTCCATAGCTATTTGCTGCCATTCATAAAGTGTGTGCAGCACCTTCTTGAGCCAGGCTTCTCTCAGCACACATTTTGTAAACGCTCGTCTATCCCCTGTGTCATGTGTATAGGGTAATAGAGATGAATTAGGCCTGCTTTGCCCTGGAACAGGGAGAACTGGTATCTTTCCATGAGTACAGCTGCTCCCACAGCATCTAAGAAACAAACTGACAGAGATCCGGCTTGATTATCTTTCTAAGTATAGAAAATGCTTTTGGATTAAAAAATAAAATACCACTGAACAACCTGTGGACAGCCAATGGTGTGGACAAAGTTGGGAAAGGCCGCACCTGTGCTGGGAGATCCCTTCTCTTGGCCTGGCCCCTGGTGAATTTAATGGCCATCTTCTGGTAAGACCCCACCTTGGTCCTGCGTTTATGTGGGTTAGCTATGAAAGGGCACAGTCAACTTCATATTGTCTTGGACAGGTAGAGAAAAGTAATTAAATTTTTCCCCAAACTTTCTTAAAATGCAAAACATTTTAATATGATGTCTGTTAAGCCAGTAACTCACTTTTTGACCTCCTCTATGGCACTTGCGTACTTTGTACTTTCCCCAAAGAGGTTTTTCTGTGCAAATATGTGCAAATGGTAGTTAAATCGTGGTAACTATTGGAACAATTTCCTTTAGTTTTCATCAGTGGTTTTTCAACACGGCTCTTTGAGTACTTGGGGAGTGGGTGTTCAGGGGCTGTGGAAGGAGAGTTGAGGGAGGAAGTCTCTAGAACTCCCTTTCCAACATCCTACCCCTCATGCCCAGTCTCATCTGTGTTTTTAAACCTCTAAAATAGATCCTTCTTCACCGAGTATTATTCAATAGCCCATTTAAGTTTGAAAAATTGCTTTTATACTCCCAAATTAACTCTGTGAATAAATGTAATCTAACAATACAAATAGGCTGGGCAGGGTGGTCTCACACTTGTAATCCTAGCACTTTGGGAGGCCCAGTTGGGAGGATCACTTGAAGCCAGGAGTTCAAGATCAGCCTGGACAACATAGCAGGATGCCTTCTACACACACCAAAAAAATGCAAATGAAATTAATCAAATAATCATATACTGGATTGCCTGAATTTTTGTATAGCAGATTATCTATTGGTGTCTATAGAGAGGTGACAGTCTAAAACAAAGGTTTGATTCATGGAATGCAGGTCAGTTTTCTAATACACATTCTTAGGCTGGCATAAGGATGGGTAATGTGGCTTCCTACCGTGGACATCCAGGGTCGACACTCTTGGGTTCACAGGGATCGTGCAATTCGTAGTTCCTGCTCTGAACCACCACACACCAAGTTTCATACTTGTTTTATATAGTGAGGGTTCATCGTATGCACTCAACACTCTTCTTTCCTCCTCCGTCCACTCTACCAAACCTCATGCATCACCATAAAAGGTTGAGACAAATAAAATGTTTCCAAGTTATTAATTTAACAGAATCTTCAGTGCAGCTATTTACTTTAGGAAAACATTTCCAAAGCTCACTGGGAAGAAATATATGTTTGTATCATTCCCTGCATATCTTCTTTTTCGTAAAATATTTCTGTAAAGGTTTTCAGTTTCTGTTGCTTAATGTCTTCTCTATGTTGCAGGTAAAAGAGGGAAGTTCAAACTGGAAACATGTAAAATCTTTGATGAGAGAGTTTTCAAAAAGCCTTTTTTTTTAATGAGGGGGAAAGTGGAAACCAGGTTTACATTGTCGTATTTGTTATAAAGCTATATGAATATGTATAAGGCATTTACAACAATGACTGGCACCTATTTCTTTTGCTGTTATTACTCTTCTACAAACTGGCATGAGTAATTAGACATGGAATATATGTAATTATGCATATTTTGGGCCAAGTAGGTGGGCCACTCTCCTGATCCTGAGGTGGTGTGGAGATGGGGAGTAGGGAAGCTCTTGCTGGTAGATAAATAAAATGTGGCAGCCTCCGCAGAAAAGTTTGATGGCTCCATAATAAGTTTTACCTAGAATTACCTTTTGACTCAGCAATTTCATTCCTACATATAGACCCAAGAAAAATAAAAACATACATTCATACAAAATGTTTATAGCAGCATTGTTCATAATAGCCTAAAAGTGGAAACAAATCATATGTTTGTCAACTGATGAATGAATAAACAAAATGTGGTATTGGTGCTAGGAATGAGGGGAATGAGGGTGACTGCTTAATGGGTATAGAGTTTGCTTTGGGGTAATGAAAATGTTCTGAAAAGAGATAGTGTTGATGGGTACATAATATTGTGAATGGGCTAAATGTCACTAATGGTCAATTGTATGCTATATGTAACTATACTACGACTTTTTAAATAGCAAGAGGGTGATAAGTCCATGTATGAATGAACCTTAAAACATTTTCAATTTGGATATTGAATGCTGCAGTGAAATAGTGGAGAAAATATTAATCTTTAGTAAACAATAGGTGAATTGACCTCAATCAGAGAATTGTAGTAATGAAGAGTAAGTTTTCTGAGAACCAATAGGGACCAATTTTAGCAAATCATATATAGCAATTTATTTATCTTATAAAGAAATAACATATTGTGTTTTTTTCTCTAAAAAAAGTATTGTTTCTTGGCCAAGAGTGTTCCATCCAAATGCCAAATTTCATAAGTACGATTTAACCTGAAAACTAATATTCTGTATATTTGAATAGCACTTCAAGCTACAAGAACACTCAGAGGTTTAACTAACCCAGTTTTCAGTTGCGGAAACCGGAGCTCAGAGCAGTTAAGTGACTCGCTTGTGATGACATAGCTTGCATCACATAGTTACAATTAAGTGTTTAACTTCCAAACCAACCTGTCTTCCACTCTGAGATCTACTTCCCATCACTGTAATACTGCCTGTGAAAGAGCAGGGCCCATCAGAGGCCTAGTTATGAGGACAGTACAATTTACACGTGTACCCACATCAGTAACAATAGGCTGCTGATATTTTTTTCTAGAATGACAGTCTTAATATGTTGTTATGAATATTTTATGTAGTTTAACTTTTTCTCCCATTTTTAAAAACTGTAGCTCTTCAGAACTAAAGGAACACTGGTGCTCTTTCCTTCCAAGGTATTTTGTCAGTATATATATTTTAAATCTTTAATTTGCAATAAAAGAATGTAAATCTCTGCAAAGCAGTATTCCCAAATTATTCCCCTTTTCCTTAATAGAAATTGTTAGACCATCCTCGAACAACTTTTTATTTAGATTTAACATGACTGCCTCTGTGTAAATATTGTTTTCTCATTTATCTGTATGTTTTGTTTATTTTCGAGGAAGCTCTGATTACCACTCTCATCTTTTCCTTCTCTCCATCCTATAGATTGGAGCTAGCATTGTTCTTAAGACATAAATTTTCCAAGCCAGGCTAGTCCGAATGCAGTGGTGTTTATAATTAATTGATCACAACGAGCTACAGATTTATTTATTCCTTCTCCACTTCCACCACTTCACTTGACTAGCCTTTAAAAACAAACACATAAATAAATAAAATAAATTTCCAAGCCAGGCATGGTAGCTTGACCTGTTAGCCAAGCTACTCGGGAGGCTGAGGCAGGGGGATCATTTGTGGCCAGGACATCAAGATTACAGAGGCTGCAGTGGCTGCAATGAGCTATAATTGAACCACTGCACTCCAGCCTGGGTGACAGACCCAAACCGTCTCTAAAAAAAAAAGGAAAAAGTTCCTATACATGCTTTCTACCCTTGAACCCAAGAAGATGCTGGGCCTTCCAATCCAGGCGGAGTGTTTGAGGACTGACTCCTGCCCAAATCTGATATCACAGGGCAACTTGTTATTTTGGAGGCCATGCTTTATTTTCCTGAAATATTTTGCGTATTTTTTCAACCCATGATTTGATGTTGCTGAATCTAGCCACATGTTTTTAAAAATACTGTAAGTATATTTAAAATATTAGCAACATAGATTGATTTGAAAATAAGCAATTAGCTAATTTATCCTACTCTATTTTGGGATATTATTAAATTTGATTAGGTACATCAATCTAGCCAAAGAGAAAGACCACCTGAAAGCATTCGCCTTCAAATCTTCACTGAGGACATCAAGAAATGTGTCTCTGTAACTGTTTTTGAGGCCAAATATTAAATTCCAAGTATTTGCCTTAGGCAGAATGAAAAGGAGATAGAGACAGGGATGATATAGAGATGGGAGGAAGGAAAGGAGAGACAAAGAGAGGAGAGAAAGAAAGCATTTAGAAAATACTGTGTGGAAAAGTGTACTTTTATATATTCATGTATGTTTTCACATGTTTAAAAATTAAGGACTAAGCAATATGAAGCAAGAGGAATCCATGTTAACTACAATACTTAAGCTTGAAAAGAATATTGCATGTTAAATGTTCATGAACTTGGGCCAGGCACGCAGGTGCAGGGTTGTAATCCCAGCATTTTGGGAGGCCAAAGCAGGCAGATCACTTCAGCTCAGGAGTTCGAGACCAGCCTAACCAACATGGCAAAACTGCATTTCTACAAAAAATACAAAAAATTAACCTGGCACTGTGATGCTGGCCTATAGTCCCAGCTATTCAGGAGGCTGAGACAGGAGGATTGCTTGAACCTGAAAGGCAGAGGTTGCAGTGAACTGTGATCATGCCACTGCACTCCAGCCTAGGTGACAGAGTGCAACTCTGTCTCAAAAAAAAAAAAAAAAAAAGTCAATAAACTCTAATGGTTTGTTGTAATAAAGTGATTTTCACAAGCAGACATTTCTTACTGAAATTAAACTTTTTTCCCAATCATCACTAGTTACATACAGAGTAATTTTGGTTATTTCCACTTTTTAAAAATGTTTGCTCATTTTCAATTTAAAGGCTTTTAATTATTTGGAAATAATTGTAAGCATACAGAAAAGTACAAAATAACACTAAGAATACCCATATGCCATTTACCCAGATTGACTTATTTGTTTTTTGTTTGTTTGTTTGTTTTGTTTTGGTTTTTTTTTTTATTTTTTTTATTATACTCTAAGTTTTAGGGTACATGTGCACATTGTGCAGGTTAGTTACATATGTATACATGTGCCATGCTGGTGCGCTGCACCCACTAATGTGTCATCTAGCATTAGGTATATCTCCCAATGCTATCCCTCCCCACTCCCCCGACCCCACCACAGTCCCCAGAGTGTGATATTCCCCTTCCTGTGTCCATGTGATCTCATTGTTCAATTCCCACCTATGAGTGAGAATATGCGGTGTTTGGTTTTTTGTTCTTGCGATAGTTTACTGAGAATGATGGTTTCCAATTTCATCCATGTCGATACAAAGGATATGAACTCATCATTTTTTATGGCTGCATAGTATTCCATGGTGTATATGTGCCACATTTTCTTAATCCAGTCTATCATTGTTGGACATTTGGGTTGGTTCCAAGTCTTTGCTATTGTGAATAGTGCCGCAATAAACATACGTGTGCATGTGTCTTTATAGCAGCATGATTTATAGTCCTTTGGGTATATACCCAGTAATGGGATGGCTGGGTCAAATGGTATTTCTAGTTCTAGATCCCTGAGGAATCGCCACACTGACTTCCACAATGGTTGAACTAGTTTACAGTCCCACCAACAGTGTAAAAGTCTTCCTATTTCTCCACATCCTCTCCAGCACCTGTTGTTTCCTGACTTTTTAATGATTGCCATTCTAACTGGTGTGAGATGATATCTCATAGTGGTTTTGATTTGCATTTCTCTGATGGCCAGTGATGATGAGCATTTCTTCATGTGTTTTTTGGCTGCATAAATGTCTTCTTTTGAGAAGTGTCTGTTCATGTCCTTCGCCCACTTTTTGATGGGGTTGTTTGTTTTTTTCTTGTAAATTTGTTTGAGTTCATTGTAGATTCTGGATATTAGCCCTTTGTCAGATGAGTAGGTTGCGAAAATTTTCTCCCATGTTGTAGGTTGCCTGTTCACTCTGATGGTAGTTTCTTTTGCTGTGCAGAAGCTCTTTAGTTTAATTAGATCCCATTTGTCAATTTTGGCTTTTGTTGCCATTGCTTTTGGTGTTTTGGACATGAAGTCCTTGCCCACGCCTATGTCCTGAATGGTAATGCCTAGGTTTTCTTCTAGGGTTTTTATGGTTTTAGGTCTAACGTTTAAATCTTTAATCCATCTTGAATTGATTTTTGTATAAGGTGTAAGGAAGGGATCCAGTTTCAGCTTTCTACATATGGCTAGCCAGTTTTCCCAGCACCATTTATTAAATAGGGAATCCTTTCCCCATTGCTTGTTTTTCTCAGGTTTGTCAAAGATCAGATAGTTGTAGATATGCGGCATTATTTCTGAGGGCTCTGTTCTGTTCCATTGATCTATATGTCTGTTTTGGTACCAGTACCATGCTGTTTTGGTTACTGTAGCCTTGTAGTATAGTTTGAAGTCAGGTAGTGTGATGCCTCCAGCTTTGTTCTTTTGGCTTAGGATTGACTTGGCAATGCGGGCTCTTTTTTGGTTCCATATGAACTTTCAAGTAGTTTTTTCCAATTCTGTGAAGAAAGTCATTGGTAGCTTGATGGGGATGGCATTGAATCTGTAAATTACCTTGGGCAGTATGGCCATTTTCACGATATTGATTCTTCCTACCCATGAGCATGGAATGTTCTTCCATTTGTTTGTGTCCTCTTTTATTTCCTTGAGCAGTGGTTTGTAGTTCTCCTTGAAGAGGTCCTTCACATCCCTTGTAAGTTGGATTCCTAGGTATTTTACTCTCTTTGAAGCAATTGTGAATGGGAGTTCACTCATGATTTGGCTCTCTGTTTGTCTGTTGTTGGTGTATAAGAATGCTTGTGATTTTTGTACATTGATTTTGTATCCTGAGACTTTGCTGAAGTTGCTTATCAGCTTAAGGAGATTTTGGGCTGAGACGATGGGGTTTTCTAGATAAACAATCATGTCGTCTGCAAACAGGGACAATTTGACTTCCTCTTTTCCTAATTGAATACCCTTTATTTCCTTCTCCTGCCTGATTGCCCTGGCCAGAACTTCCAACACTATGTTGAATAGGAGCAGTGAGAGAGGGCATCCCTGTCTTGTGCCAGTTTTCAAAGGGAATGCTTCCAGTTTTTGCCCATTCAGTATGATATTGGCTGTGGGTTTGTCATAGATAGCTCTTATTATTTTGAGATATGTCCCATCAATACCTAATTTATTGAGAGTTTTTAGCATGAAGGGTTGTTGAATTTTGTCAAAGGCTTTTTCTGCATCTATTGAGATAATCATGTGGTTTTTGTCTTTGGCTCTGTTTATATGCTGGATTACATTTATTGATTTGCGTATATTGAACCAGCCTTGCATCCCAGGGATGAAGCCCACTTGATCATGGTGGATAAGCTTTTTGATGTGCTGCTGGATTTGGTTTGCCAGTATTTTATTGAGGATTTTTGCATCAATGTTCATCAAGGATATTGGTCTAAAATTCTCTTTTTTGGTTGTGTCTCTGCCCGGCTTTGGTATCAGAATGATGCTGGCCTCATAAAATGAGTTAGGGAGGATTCCCTCTTTTTCTATTGATTGGAATAGTTTCAGAAGGAATGGTACCAGTTCCTCCTTGTACCTCTGGTAGAATTCGGCTGTGAATCCATCTGGTCCTGGACTCTTTTTGGTTGGTAAACTATTGATTATTGCCACAATTTCAGAGCCTGTTATTGGTCTATTCAGAGATTCAACTTCTTCCTGGTTTAGTCTTGGGAGAGTGTATGTGTCGAGGAATGTATCCATTTCTTCTAGATTTTCTAGTTTATTTGCGTAGAGGTGTTTGTAGTATTCTCTGATGGTAGTTTGTATTTCTGTGGGATCGGTGGTGATATCCCCTTTATCATTTTTTATTGTGTCTATTTGATTCTTCTCTCTTTTTTTCTTTATTAGTCTTGCTAGTGGTCTATCAATTTTGTTGATCCTTTCAAAAAACCAGCTCCTGGATTCATTGATTTTTTGAAGGGTTTTTTGTGTCTCTATTTCCTTCAGTTCTGCTCTGATTTTAGTTATTTCTTGCCTTCTGCTAGCTTTTGAATGTGTTTGCTCTTGCTTTTCTAGTTCTTTTAATTGTGATGTTAGGGTGTCAATTATGGATCCTTCCTGCTTTCTCTTGTAGGCATTTAGTGCTATAAATTTCCCTCTACACACTGCTTTGAATGTGTCCCAGAGATTCTGGTATGTGGTGTCTTTGTTCTCATTGGTTTCGAAGAACATCTTTATTTCTGCCTTCATTTCGTTATGTACCCAGTAGTCATTCAGGAGCAGGTTGTTCAGTTTCCATGTAGTTGAGCGGCTTTGAGTGAGATTCTTAATCCTGAGTTCTAGTTTGATTGCACTGTGGTCTGAGAGATAGTTTGTTATAATTTCTGTTCTTTTACATTTGCTGAGGAGAGCTTTACTTCCAACTATGTGGTCAATTTTGGAATAGGTGTGGTGTGGTGCTGAAAAAAATGTATATTCTGTTGATTTGGGGTGGAGAGTTCTGTAGATGTCTATTAGGTCTGCTTGGTGCAGAGCTGAGTTCAATTCCTGGGTATCCTTGTTGACTTTCTGTCTCGTTGATCTGTCTAATGTTGACAGTGGGGTGTTAAAGTCTCCCGTTATTAATGTGTGGGAGTCTAAGTCTCTTTGTAGGTCACTGAGGACTTGCTTTATGAATCTGGGTGCTCCTGTATTGGGTGCATATATATTTAGGATAGTTAGCTCCTCTTGTTGAATTGATCCCTTTACCATTATGTAATGGCCTTCTTTGTCTCTTTTGATCTTTGTTGGTTTAAAGTCTGTTTTATCAGAGACTAGGATTGCAACCCCTGCCTTTTTTTGTTTTCCATTGGCTTGGTAGATCTTCCTCCATCCTTTTATTTTGAGCCTATGTGTGTCTCTGCACGTGAGATGGGTTTCCTGAATACAGCACACTGATGGGTCTTGACTCTTTATCCAACTTGCCAGTCTGTGTCTTTTAATTGCAGAATTTAGTCCATTTATATTTAAAGTTAATATTGTTATGTGTGAATTTGATCCTGTCATTATGATGTTAGCTGGTGATTTTGCTCATTAGTTGATGCAGTTTCTTCCTAGTCTCGATGGTCTTTACATTTTGGCATGATTTTGCAGCGGCTGGTACCGGTTGTTCCTTTCCATGTTTAGCGCTTCCTTCAGGAGCTCTTTTAGGGCAGGCCTGGTGGTGACAAAATCTCTCAGCATTTGCTTGTCTATAAAGTATTTTATTTCTCCTTCACTTATGAAGCTTAGTTTGGCTGGATATGAAATTCTGGGTTGAAAATTCGTTTCTTTAAGAATGTTGAATATTGGCCCCCACTCTCTTCTGGCTTGTAGGGTTTCTGCCAAGAGATCCGCTGTTAGTCTGATGGGCTTTCCTTTGAGTGTAACCCGACCTTTCTCTCTGGTTGCCCTTAACATTTTTTCCTTCATTTCAACTTTGGTGAATCTGACAATTATGTGTCTTGGAGTTGCTCTTCTCGAGGAGTATCTTTGTGGCGTTCTCTGTATTTCCTGAATCTGAACGTTGGCCTGCCTTGCTAGATTGGGGAAGTTCTCCTGGATAATATCCTGCAGAGTGTTTTCCAACTTGGTTCCATTCTCCACATCACTTTCAGGTACACCAATCAGACGTAGATTTGGTCTTTTCACATAGTCCCATATTTCTTGGAGGCTTTGCTCATTTCTTTTTATTCTTTTTTCTCTAAACTTCCCTTCTCGCTTCATTTCATTCATTTCATCTTCCATTGCTGATACCCTTTCTTCCAGTTGATCGCATTGGCTCCTGAGGCTTCTGCATTCTTCACGTAGTTCTCGAGCCTTGGTTTTCAGCTCCATCAGCTCCTTTAAGCACTTCTCTGTATTGGTTATTCTAGTTATACATTCTTCTAAATTTTTTTCAAAGTTTTCAACTTCTTTGCCTTTGGTTTGAATGTCCTCCCGTAGCTCAGAGTAATTTGATCGTCTGAAGCCTTCTTCTCTCAGCTCGTCAAAATCATTCTCCATCCAGCTTTGTTCTGTTGCTGGTGAGGAACTGCGTTCCTTTGGAGGAGGAGAGGCGCTCTGCGTTTTAGAGTTTCCAGTTTTTCTGTTCTGTTTTTTCCCCATCTTTGTGGTTTTATCTACTTTTGGTCTTTGATGATGGTGATGTACAGATGGGTTTTCGGTGTAGATGTCCTTTCTGGTTGTTAGTTTTCCTTCTAACAGACAGGACCCTCAGCTGCAGGTCTGTTGGAATACCCTGCCGTGTGAGGTGTCAGTGTGCCCCTGCTGGGGGGTGCCTCCCAGTTAGGCTGCTCGGGGGTCAGGGGTCAGGGACCCACTTGAGGAGGCAGTCTGCCGGTTCTCAGATCTCCAGCTGCGTGCTGGGAGAACCACTGCTCTCTTCAAAGCTGTCAGACAGGGACACTTAAGTCTGCAGAGGTTACTGCTGTCTTTTTGTTTGTCTGTGCCCTGCCCCCAGAGGTGGAGCCTACAGAGGCAGGCAGGCCTCCTTGAGCTGTGGTGGGCTCCACCCAGTTCGAGCTTCCCAGCTGCTTTGTTTACCTAAGCAAGCCTGGGCAATGGCGGGCGCCCCTCCCCCAGCCTCGTTGCCGCCTTGCAGTTTGATCTCAGACTGCTGTGCTAGCAATCAGCGAGATTCCGTGGGCGTAGGACCCTCTGAGCCAGGTGTGGGATATAGTCTCGTGGTGCGCCGTTTCTTAAGCCGGTCTGAAAAGCGCAATATTCGGGTGGGAGTGACCCGATTTTCCAGGTGCGTCCGTCACCCCTTTCTTTGACTCGAAAAGGGAACTCCCTGACCCCTTGCACTTCCCAAGTGAGGCAATGCCTCGCCCTGCTTCAGCTCGCGCACGGTGCGCACACACACTGGCCTGCGCCCACTGTCTGGCACTCCCTAGTGAGATGAAGCCGGTACCTCAGATGGAAATGCAGAAATCACCCGTCTTCTGCGTCGCTTGCGCTGGGAGCTGTAGACCGGAGCTGTTCCTATTCGGCCATCTTGGCTCCTCCTCCCGACTTATTTGTTAACAGTTTACCACACTGCTTTTTCATTTATTTTTTTCTCTGTCTCTCTTTTTTTTTCTCCATATATATGTATGTGTACACCTGTTTTTGAAGGACAGTTATATACACCATAGCCTCTTATTAAATATTTATGCATTTCCTAAGAATAAGGTTATTCTCTTTATAACCACCATTCAGTTATCAACTTCAGTAGATTTAACATTGGTAGCATGTTTTAATCTCCCATTCATGTTCCAATTTTGTTGGTTGACCCCAATAATGTTTCTTTTCCAGCACAGAATCCACTCCAGGGTCAGGTAATGCAGTTAGCTGTTGTGTCAAACACACAGGAGTTTTGAGTTTGAGTCTTTCATTCTGAATAATGTCAGGATTGAACTGAGCTGAGAGGGACATCACTTTTAAGTCATCAGCATATGTCTACCTCATTCTTTTTAATGCTACTAGGGAAAATAATCAAACCTTTAGCTTCAATTATTGTGTAAGTTTTGATTTCTGAAGTTGTAGTGCAGTAGCCAGGTTGTTCATAAACATATTCTCCTTTTTTTTTTTTTTTTTTTTTTTTGCACCTTCCCCTTTACAGCAAGTCTAGATCACACAAAATAGTATTCGTAGGTTGGAAAAAAGGATAGTTCAAAAAAGCTATTTCCTGGCTGATAGCAAAGGCCATGCGAATGTTCTGACCTATTTCCAAATACCAGATGCCTTGCTTGAGGGAGCTGAGACTAGAGAGGCCTCCTGTGGGGAAGGACACTCTTGTCTGCCTGCTTTGATTTCATTGTGGCAAATGCTATCATTCAGCATTTTTCACGAAAAATTGCCCTGAAATTTAAAAAAGTGAACTTTAGTTATAATTTATATGAAATAAACATTTCTAATTCTCATCATTCATTTCTGAAGCTCCAGGTTTCCCTTTAATACTGTTTCATTTCATCCTATAGAAAATTTCTTAGCATTTCTTACAGTATAGGTCTGGTGCCAACAAATTTTCTTAGCTTCTTTTATCTAAAAATGTCTTTCACCTTCACTCTTGAAAGATATTTTCTTCAAATATAGAATTTTGCTTGCCATTTTTTTCCTTCCAACACTTTAAAGCTATTTCACTGTTTTTTGGTCTCTGTGCTTTGTGATGAGTAGCATATGATCATTCAGCACTGATCATCTATCTGATTTTTCATTTCATTTTTACTACTTTCAAGATTTTCTTTTTTATATTTGGCTTTGAGTAGTTTGACTATGATATGTCAAAGCCTGGTTTTCTTTGAATCTTATTGTGTTTGACATTTCTGAAGTTATTGAATTTGTAAATTTTTATCTTTTGCCAAATTTGGGAAACTTTTAGCCATTATTACTTAAAGCATTTTTTTTTCTAGACCATTTTGTCTCTTCTCTCATTCTGGGATTACAGTTATGAGTATATTAAAACTTTTTAAAATTTAATTTTAATTTTTTTTTTGACAGAGTCTTGCTCTGTTGCCCAGGCTGGAGTGACGTGGCATGATCTTGGCTCCACTGCAACATCCACCTCCCAGGTTCAAGTGATTCTCCTGCCTCAGCTTCCCAAGTAGCTGAAATTACAGGCACTCACCACCATGCCCAGCTAATTTTTACTATTTTTAGTAGAGATGGGGTTTCACCATGTTGGTCAGGCTGGTCTTGAACTCCTGATCTCAAATGATCCTCCCACCTCGGCCTCCCAAAGTCCTGGGATTACAGGTGTGAGCCACCACGCCTGGCCTAATTTTTATTTTTTAATTGACACATAATTGTACACACTTATAGGGTACATAGTGATCTTTTGATACATAAATATATAATGACCAAATCAAAATAATTAGCATATTCATCATCTCAAATATTTATCATTTCTTTGTGTCGAGAACATTCAGTATCCTCTCCTCTAGCTATTTGAAAATATATAACATTGTTAACTATAGTCATCATACAGTGGTATGATGTATCTATCTGTAATTTTGTGTCCATTACCTAGCTATCTGTAATTTTGTGTCCATTACCAATATCTCTCTATCCCTCCATTCCACCTATTGTTTCTTCTCAGCCTCTAGTAAGCCCTGTTCTACTTTTTATGTCTGCGAAATCAAATTTTATTTAGCTTCTACATGTGAGTGAGTACATGCAGTTATTAAACCTATTGCTATTGTGCACAGGTCCCCAAGGATCTGTTAATTTTTTTCAATCCTTTCATTCCCCCTTCTTTGGACTTCGGACTGGATACTTTTTTTTTTTTTTTTGAGACAGAGTCTCACTCTGTTGCCCAGGCTGGAGTGCAGTGGTGTGATTTCAGCTTACTGTAAGTTCTGCCTCCCAGGTTCACGCCATTCTCCTGCCTCAGCCTCCAGAGAAGCTGGGACTACACGTGCCCGCCACCACGCCCAGCTGATTTTTTGTATTTTTAGTAGAGATGGGGTTTCACCGTGTTAGCCAGGATGGTCTCGATCTCCTGACCTCATGATCCGCCTGCCTCAGCCTCCCAAAGTGCTGGGATTACAGGCGTGAGCCACCATGCCTGGCCAGGGACTGGCCGCTTTCTATTGATTTGTCTTCAAATTCACTGTCTCTTTCATTTGTCATTTCAATTATGCTATTTAGCTCATCCAGGAAATTTTTTCTTGCAGATCTTTCCAGATCTAAAACTTTCATTTTAAAATATTTATATTTCTATGGTAAGACTTTCATATATTTTTATCCTCATGAGCTAATTTTCTTTTACGTAATGGAGCATAATTGTAATTGCTGCTTTTGGTCTCATAATTTGAATGTCTAGATCATCTTAATGTTGGCCTCATCCCTTGGGAATGTGTCACATTTTCCTGGCTCTTAATACATCAAGAAACACTTTAGCTCATATGGGAAAAAAATAGTCACGTTTCATTTTTTAAAAAATGATTTGATAAAAATTTATTTTAAAAAGTTATTTGCTTACAAAGAGCTCTATCTACAAGGAGAACAGAATCAAGAAGAAGTACACATATCCTTGTGAATATTATTTTGACTTTAATATGTTCCTTATGACATGAAAACCTGTTATCCTACAAACAATATAAAGGATGCATATTATCATTTCAAAAGAGATTTTTACTTTATAAAATATTTCATGGTAGAATTTTGAAATTATATGGAAGGACTTTCAGACATTTGAAAAAAAAAAAAAACAGAACTTTTCCTTTTAATTAAATCCCATGCTAGAGTCCAGTGCTTACATCCCCCTAGACACCTTAGCATAAACAGCCCCTGACATCCCTGAGTTTGGGTGCTCTGAACCCTGCTGTTGGGTTCTGAGACACTTTTTCACAATCCTTAGGGCTACAAGCAGCATAGTTTGAAGTCAATGAGTTTAAGATGACTTTGTTTATAAAAACCTAATTAACAACTTTCAGGGTCATCTGTTATGTCAAGCAGTTAGTCCATAAGAAAGAAAAATAAAATGAAAGGGAAAGCAATGAATTATACATTTTTTAACATCATCTTTAAAGTCCATGGGAGTCCACTTAGGTTTTTTATTTGTCTTCTTTAAGCACTGTTTATCAGAGAATGGGGCCCTCATTATGAATGTATATGCATAGAAAATATCCTTGGTTACATATTGCCTTATTTTAAAATAATATCTTTTGAAATTCAGAGTGCAATAGATGTCATCTCAGAATCCTCTTAATCCTTTTGGGTTATTTTCTGCAAATTGTCTTCCTATTTTTATGGAGCAGTTTCTCAATGTGAAGTGCAATAGAGAGCTATTATAGACACTCTACTGTCTGGCAGAGTTGGAAATGGAACTTAAATTTCTAAAATTTTATTTAATTGTCTCAATAGATTTCAATAACGAATATCTTAGTAACTGTGATGCTTGACAGAGAAAATGCTCGCTACCTAGGGATTTGAAAAATGTCTTTTATAGCTAGTTGTTATTCTGATTTTACTAGAACTGAATGTGTGATGTGCAAAGAAATAAGCCATATGGTAAAAACACCACTCAGGAAGAGAGAAAGGGCCCAGCTCCTCCTTTTTAAACTGTTCCCTCCATTGTGGAAGTAGCCTCCTGATGCTGAGGCGCAGCCCCTGTGCCCTCTCTGAATTCTCGGTCTTTCTCTTTCTTGCATGAGCTGTTATATTACAAGTGCCACAAGTCATTTATTTTAAGAGAAATATATGTTTTCCTGAAGTTATTTCTTCTGGTTTCATGTAATATAAAGGAATGAAAATAAATTTTAATTAAGGATTCATGCTCTACATGTGCTTGACTTTGTCATTACCTGGAACAAACTTTGCCTTTAGAATACAGATAATAATGTGAAAATAATTATGTAATCTTATGCATTAAAATTCTTAATTTACAGCCATTTTTTATCTCCTTTTTAAAGTATATAGCCACAACAGTAACAAATTCAGACACAATAAATGACATCATCAACATGTCACTACTAAAGCTAGGAATAACTTTAAGTTACCAACAAGCTATTTTTAATTAAAAATCATCTTTGATTTTTGAATTCATATATATTCAAATATATATATGTTTGATATATATATATATCAGAGTCATATTTTGTCCCTCCACATTAAGGAATTGAAAACAACAAAGATATAACATTAGTTTATATATGGGTACTCTTCTTGTATTCCTATTTTAAATTTTGTGTGAACTGAAAGTGATAGCATAATAAAATCAGTCTACAATTTTAGAGCACTAATAGCATATATATTTACACATATACAGTAACGTTTTTGTAAAAATCTTAATAAGAAAGTTCCAATCTTCTCTACCACAGTGTTCTTTCAATATCTTCTTTCTTTGTTCCTCCCATCCCTACTTACCCTGATTATCATCCAAGGACTCAATCTTAGTATGAGGAGTCCTGAAGGACATGTTTTGTTGTAAATTTTGACATAAGAAACACCTGACTAGAAACCACATCCCCTGTATGCTGGTCCTGATAATTAGGTAACTGACGCCTCTCCTGAATTGGTGAAAAAGAAGACAAGGCTTTCATGACACCATGGATTTGGGGGCATTTGTGTGCACACCACTTCAATCCTGTTTTGCTTTTAAGTGTCTATTCCTTTACATTGATAGAGCTGGTGTCATTTATTGAGGTTTTCTAGTGGAGAGGTGGGCATATGTGAGGATGAGGATGAGGGTTGCAGAAAAAGAAAGATGGAAGTCTATGTAACTGAGAACTTTTATTAAAGAAAGTGACATTCAGATAGACAAAAACAAGAAAATACTTGTATAGCATTGTTCCTTCTATAAAATTGCCTAAAAATGTGAAAATTTCTGGCTGTTGTGACATGAAGTCCAATATTTTTATTTAAATTTAGTTTGACTGTATGATGTAATAACACCTCTAAAAAACTCAGGGCAACCAGAATTTGACATAAGAAATCAATTATTTCTGTACTAGTGGATTTCTGTAATACATTTAAAATAAAATTGAATTTATATTTGCTGATTAAAGCAGACACTTCTGCTTCGCTTCCTAACCTATATGATATGTGTGTCCTAAATAAAAATTTAATCTAGAAGAGGGTGAGTGGAAGAGGGATGGGGCTCATCCAGGTTTGTGATTTTCCTTTGTTAAAGTGATTCATGTCACCAGACAAGAAAGAATTCCTATTGCAATCAAGAATTGAGGCTATCTGGCTAGATATTTATGTATACCTGACTTAAGAGATTCCAACGTGATGCTTCCAAGCCTTACATTAAAATAAAAGATTTTTAGATTGTACTCTCTATTTGCAATACAATTTTGAGCAGATTAGCTCTCTCTCTTTCTCTCTCTCTCTTGCTCTGTGTGTGTGTGTGTGCGTGTGTGTGAGAGAGAGAGACAGAGAGAGAGAAAGAGACAAAGAGAGAGAGACAGAGAAGGTGACAGAGAGTCTCCATACCTAGGACATTCCATAAGGACAAGGCCATGATTTTTATTAAGGAATGAAGGGCAATCATAATGCTTATCAAGAATAACTTCATTTGAAACATGTTTTTGCTTCAGCCTTTCTTGAAGGAATATTTACAGTAATTCAGCAGAGTCTACATAATTTAGATACA
Organism: Homo sapiens; assembly: GCF_000001405.40. Classification (NCBI taxonomy): domain Eukaryota; kingdom Metazoa; phylum Chordata; class Mammalia; order Primates; family Hominidae; genus Homo; species Homo sapiens. The sequence goes on from NC_000004.12 coordinate 119,960,829, forward strand.
TTTGTGGCAAGATTGCCAGTATTGCTGGGCAATAGTAAGTTAAAAAAACAGTAAGTTAAAAAAAAGTAAGTTAAAAAAAAAGTAAACGAATACTGGAAATATATTTGCTTAAATAAAATGCATTAATTTAGTTAAAACAGTGTCTTGATGACAGATAACACTCAGGCTTACAGCAGCACCACTCATCATGGCCCCTGAGCAGCCATGCTGAATGCATATTTTAACATGTTCCCAATTCTTGATTGTGGATTAACTGCTGGTTACCCTGAGGATTTGGTTTTACTGTGTAGGTTATATTGGTTTTATTGTATAGCTATTATGAAAGCTTCCTTTGCCCTACAAAATGCAAATTTTAATTTATGTTCTAAATGGAATATTGACATACTATCTATGCCAGATAAAAAGGAAAAGCAAGAGCTCACCAATATGCGCTTAGTGATAGATCAGAAATGAAAGAAAGGGAACTTTAAACAACAATCTACCTCACAGCAAGTGTTCTATGGTAGGAAGCCATAAAACATGAAAGAGGAAAACACATCCCTTAGCAGACAACTCCTGATGATTGCATTGTGTTTTTCCATTCTGTAAACATTGTTTTGCAGGTTGTTTCTGGGCTTCCAATACCCTGCAGCCTTCTCCCTGGCTGGTACTTATGGGGACACCCTCCTCCCAGGTAGAGCCAGTGGGAGGAAAGCCCAAAGGCAAACACCATGCCCTCCTGCTCTTGAGGAGCCCTGCCTAAAAATTTGACAAAGGGAAAAGAAATCTCCATTAAACTGACAACATCTGTGAAAAATTAGTGATTGTGTTAGTTTGTCTTCATGCTACTGTGAAGAACTACCTAGGACTGGGTAATTTATAAAGAGAAGAGGTTTAATTGACTCACAGTTCCACAGGCTTCACAGAAAGCATAGCTGGGGAGGCCTGAGGAAACTTACAATCACGGCAGAAGGGTGAAGGGGAAGCAAGAATGTCTTACCATGGTGGAGCAGGAGAGAGAGAGAGAGAGTTAAAGGGGAAGTGCTACAGACTTTAAAAGAAGCAGATTTTTTGAAAACTCTGTCACAAGACTGCACTACGGGGATGATGCTAAGCCATTAGAAACCATCTTCATGATCCAGTTACTTCCTACCGTGTGCCTCCCCCAACACCGGGGATTACAATTCAAAATGAGATTGGGTGGGTTCACAGAGCCAAACCATATAATTCTGCCCTGGGCCCTTCCCAAATCTCATGTCCTTTCACATTTCATGCCTTCCTAACCATCCCCCAAAGTCTGAACTCATTCTAGCATTATCTCAAAATTCCAAGTCCAAAGTGTCATATGAGAAAAGGCAAGTCCCTTCTGCCTATGAGCCTGTAAAATCAAAAACAAGTTAGTTACTTCCAAGATACAACTGGGGTACAGGCATTGAGTAAATGCTGTCATTCCAAAAGGGATAAATTGGCCCAAAAAAGGGGGCAACAGGCTTCTTACTTGTCCAAATCCCAGCAGAGCAGTCACTAAATGTTAAAGCTCCAAAATAATCTCCTTTGACTCCATGTCTCACACCCAGGGCACAGTAGTGCAAGGCCAATGTTGTTCTCTTGTGATACCTTTTTGGAGTGTTACATAACATTGAGCAGCATTCCTCAGCCAATCAGATGACAGCTTATAATTTATCCATGTGTATAGCCCCAAGCATTCTTTAGCTGTCTACTTCCTGCTGCTCAGAAGTAGAAAATGGGTTCACGAAAAAGATAATGAGGTCTCTCACTTTTATGCCTTGGGGAGCAGAGCTCCCACTTTAAACCTGAAATTCAAGATATTAACTATGATGAACCCTTTTTTAAGGTGCACACTTTAATTACAGTTCTCTGGAGTAGCAGATAATTTATCCTATTGTAGGAGTGGTAGAAGGTATATGAGAAGGTAGGTTGTTAAATAGGAAATTGAGAGCAGTGAGTCACTTTTTTCTCATCTAGGAGACAAAACACTAGATTAACTATACCACAGAGAGATAAGAAAGTTGTGTAACATGATAGAAACCAACCTGGTCTTTGGAGTTTGACAAGCCAAGATTCAACTCTCAGTCTCATCACTGAGGGATGGGTAACCATAGGCAAAGATTCCAAGCCAAGGTTTCCTCAGCTCAACAATGGCAGTGGTGATAAGGCCCAGCTCCTCTGGTCATTACTGACACCTTATTGGTGGTTTGGATAATATGAACACTCATGGCTCCACACATATTGCCTTTCTCTGTCAATCAGGGCTCACAATTGACATTCAAGCAACTACTTGGCTACTATTTTGTCTCTGCTGCTGGAATGAGAAAACTAGTAAAACATTCTAGAATATCCTAATGGAGCTACAATGTACCTAGTAAAAAGACCCCAGCTCTCTCCCAAGATCACCCAGAGAGCAATCCTGAGGCCAGGCAATGCATGGAGAGGGACTGCAGTTAGAAGAGCAGAGATTTTCTCTCCAGCTGCCTCCTTCCTTCATGAAAGACCCTCAGAGTATCTGCTTCCCAAGTTTAAGATACTTAACGAGTGAATTTCACAAGTTTTTATCTATTGGGTGCTTTATAATTCTATTGGGTACTTTAAAGTTGTGCATATTTTACAAGAAGTGAAGAATATTTATCTTCACTCCAAATATCCTACAGGGGTTACTTGAAAATTACCCTGTTTTTAAAGATATGACCACTGATATAAAATGTTAACTATTAAGCTAGGCTATAAATTATAACTTTAGCCCACTGCTTATAAGTATTTTAACTTACATGCCCTAAATGCTCTTGAAAGGATCATAGCTGTTTCTTAGAGAAAACTGGCTCATGTCTTTATGTATCAACTCTGAATTTTTCTTAGAATTCTGAATTTCATGTTTTTTTTCACTCCAAGATTCACAGATGAAATGTGATTTATAGCTATGCCAAATGAAAAGAGCACCCTATTTTCCCCTTTTGTGTTACAGGTTTCTACTGTACAATTTCTCATTGAAAACTGCCTCAGCATTTTTTAAGAAGACATCACTTCCCCCTTGGGGAAGAAAGAACTCAATGACTTGAAGAAACTGATGCTTCAGGTACCTTGAAAAATTCAGCTGGTTTTGATGAGAAACAGTCAATGGGGCTGTTAGGGGTCCTGGCGGATGCTTAGGCAGTGGCTGTCCTGGATTCCAGGGAATGCCCCAAACCCAGTGATGCAGGACCCAGGACTCCATCTGCTCATTCTTCATAAGGTTGGCTCACAGGTCATCTGCTGAGAAGGTCATCTTCTCCGTCTTCACTGGGCTCACTGAATGAGGACATTCCAAGATCCCAGCTCATCTCATTTGAGCTTTCCTTTTCCTAATCCCATGCATCTGTGTTTGAGAAAATCTTCCCAAGTGATAGATCTTCTATTTTCCGATTTCTTCCATGTTGTATTACTTTTTTTATTAATAATAATAAATACACATATTTTTGGTGTGTACATGCATATTAGTCTGTTTCGTGTTGTTATAAAACAATACCAGAGGTGAGGTAACTTATAAAGGAAAGAGGATTATTTGGCTTAAGGTTGTACAGATCAGCATCTGCTTCTGGTGAGGGACTCAGGAAGCTCTTAGATATGGGAGAAGGTAAAGGGGGAGCAGGCTGGTCACATGGCAAGAGAGCAAGCAAGAGAGATGGGAGGAGATGCCAGCCTCTTTAATCCACCAGCTCTCCTGTGAACTAACAGAGCAAGCCCTTGCTCATCACCTTGGGAAGGACACCAAACCACTCATGAGGAATCCACCCCAATGAACTAAAACCCTCCCACTTGGCCACACTTACAACATTTGGGATCATGTATCAACAAGAGATTTGAAGTGGAGAAATATCCAAACTATATCACCAGGTGATAACTTGATATATTCATAAATCTAATCAAGGTAATTGGTTGGAATATTTATCATATTAAATATTTCTCTCTTTATATTATGTTGGTGTGAAAGTAATTACAGTTTTTGCCATTAATCCTTGATCCATGAAGGTTTTTCTAGAAAGAGTTTCATGGTCACGCTTGCCAAATCCTGTATTTTTCTTCAGGATGGTCAAAATATCTATAAACATATTAGCATCTTAGAGAAAATTTGCAGTAAAGAAACCGACAATTTTCCACATGTATTTGACCATGGAGACACTTTTGGAGTAACCCCATTAATTAATAATCCTGAGAACATACATGAATAAACATTGCTCTATGTTTATTTTCTTAAAACACAGATTTTACCATTGCGCTTACCTACTCAAAAACCTTCAATGAATCTGCCTATTTTTTTTCTAGTAAAATGTCCTTTTGAAGATCCTCCACAATGCAACCTGCTCTTTTAGTCTGATTGTATCTTTGCTGTTTCCCAGTGTAGATCCTTGGCTTTCATAAAGGTCAAACACTTTACTCTTTTCTAAACAAGACTTACTCAAATTTCTAACTATAATCCTCTACTCCCTTTGGTCTCTATATATCCACACACTGGGTAAGCCATTTAAACTCTCCTCTTCACCATGTTTCCCCTGAGCATTCCAACTCAAATTAGTTGTTCCCATATAACACATGAGGACCTGACCTCAGTAGACACTGTACCACGAGGAATATGTTGGTATATTTACGTATTGTCCAGAAAAATAAAATTGTTGTGGTAAACAAGTATATCTTGGGTTTTATATAACTTTTTTTTGGTCTAAGAATATTTTAAAATATTACATTTAAAGCCTGGCTTAATGTCTACTAAAAATGCATGTATTATTAATGAATATATGCAGTTTTCTAAGAATGTAGGGATTTTACATGAATTGCTAACATTGGTACACTTCAAAACTGAAGAGGTAGAAGAGCATAGGAAATTTCAGTGAATAGTAAAAAGACGTTAATTTGACTAACTTAGTGCATTTATTTTTTTTGAGACAGGTTTTTGCTCTGTCACCCAAGCTGGAGTGCAGTGGTGCAATCATAGCTCACTGCAACCTCTGGTTCCCAGGCTTAAGGGAGCCTTAGTCGCCCAAGCAGGTGGAACCACAGGTATGTGCCACTGTGCCCAGCTAATTTTTTAAATTTTCTTCAGATACTGGGTCTCGCTATTTTGCCCAGGGTAATACTTGATACAGTTTTAAGATATGACTTCACAGCTTGTACTTATTCACAAGTATATACTGGAATATACTATTTTTATTCAGCATGCCAAAAGTGAAATATTGATGTGATATATTTGGGGATAATTGCATTTGTGTGAAAATTCTTTTAAATATTTTATCCACACCAGCAGATTAAAAGGGACACAAAAAATACCTTTAAATGCATCTATGAGTTTTTGAGCTAGAAAGTAAGACATGCAAAATCTCTAAATTTGAAAAGAAGATGAGATGAAAAAAATAAGAAATAAAGAAAAGCTGAGATTTGACCAATTTGTCAATTGCGACTCATAGAGGAGATTCTTGCCATATGGAAATACTGTAGTTAGTAAACGATAGTTTTCCCCTCAGGATATTCAAGCACAATATCTATTTGAGAAAGGCAATTTATTTCTTAATTTTGAAGAAAGATCCTACGGACTGATAAACTGTGAAAGGACCCAACAGTGTAATCTAGAGTGAGTCAAAGGCAATTCGACTTTCTGATACTGGCCTTTACCACAGCTGAGAGTAGGACTGTGTAATCGTTAATCAGTCTGCATGTACTGGTATACTTAATATTAAAGGTTTCCAAAAACAGAGGAAGGGTACATAAGATGGATAACATATATTCCAGAGGGAAAAAATTCATAAGCTACCTGTGTCAGAAAACTAATTTTTGTTGATGGTGGGGATTAATTACTATGATATATTGCGTGGAATATATATACACACACAATTTTTATTTCACAAAAGCAGCATGTAAGACTTTGGGGGATGGAGCGTATATTAATGCAAAAAGCCACCTTTTGATCAGAAAGCACTGGGCACGGCCTTTCAAGTTTTTCTACACTTCTTTCCACATTAGCCAAATGAGCCCGTGCTCTAAAGATCTGTAGTTAATGCCGATTCTATTTTCCATTTTTATTCTATGTTTTATTTGTCCATAGCATCTAGGAAAACACTCATTTTTTCCCCCATAGTCCTCAATGTCAATCTTAATTTTTCTGGCTTAGTCCCTCCAAAGAATGAAATTGTTCCTTGGACAAGTAAAAGAAAATTCTAGAAAATAAAATTGTCAAAGAAGAATTATAATTTTCTAAAATAGAAAAAGAGAAACTACATTGTGAGCTTTTTTTCCACAGATGTTATAAATTTTGTTGGGAGGAAATGCATAATTATTAGAATCTTAACAAATATCACCCTATTCGTTCTGCAGCAAAGAACAGAGCTCCATGGGAGGAAATAATTTGGATTATCTACAGTAAGGTTGGGAGATCTAGGAAGAAGGACCTAGGAAGAGGCCACCACTCCCAGCCTCTCCAAAGATTTTTGATTAAAAAAATGTTGTTAGGCTGGGTGCGATTGCTCATGGCTGTAATCCCAGCACTTTGGGAGGTCAAGGCGGGTGGATCACTTGAGGCCAGGAGTTCAAGGCCAGCCTGGGCAACATGGCAAAACCCCATCTCTACTAAAAATATAAAAATTAGCTGGGTATGGTGGCACACCCCTGTAATCCCAGCTACTGGGGAGGCTGAGGCAAGAGAATTGCTTGAACCTGGGAGGCAGAGGCTGCAGTGAGCTGAGATCATGCCACTGTACTCCGGCCTGGGTGACAAATTGAGACTCTGTCTCAAAATTTAAAAAAAAAAAAAAAAAGAAAAAGAAAAGAAAAAAAGCAGTTAAATCTTGGACCTCTTATTCATAGTGTCCAATATCATACAACATCAAAGCACTAACATTGGAACATTTGATTATTGTCCCATGTTCAATTAAACAATATTTAATATAAATGTGCATACTATTTTACCTATTCTATGGGTCATTTTTTGATATTATGGTATCTTCTCTTTGTGAGTAAGCTAGTACTTGCTCTTTCAATTGGCAAGTTTTTGTCCAGTTCCCTACCTCTCCCAAAAAGAGCTTGTAAAGGTGGATGCCTAAAAATAATTAACATGCTGTATTTTCTGCTTTGTGATATCAAGATTAGGCCAATATTTAAATATGTGTTCTAGTACTTCTGATTTGAAAAATAATTACATATTAAATTAAATAATCTAGATCATTGCCCGATTTAAACATTTTATATTATACTGTGTGCTACAAAGAACAAATTAAAAACTTTCTAAAGAAGGCAAATTTCTACTTTTCTATGCTATTACTCATGATTATGTTTCAGATAAAACTGGGAAATACAAAGTTTTGTTTCTTCAGAATAAAAAATGAACTAGCTGGGAAATTTTAAAAGAAATAACAATAAAAACACTGACAGAATAATGGTTACCTCTGTGGAGTAAAAAGGTAATGGGATAGAGAAAAGCCGAAAAAGAAACATCAAGCATATGTATACTATTTCATTAGTTTAAAAAAGACTTAAAAATTCTAACATTATGTCATATGCTTCAGTTACCTATAAAAATAGATATCACATAAATATAGCATATGCATGACTGCGTGTGTGCGTAAGTACATACATGTATGTGTATAAACATACAAAACATTGCTCAATAACTAAACAACTACAGAAATTTTTATCACAACTTTCTTGTCTTATGTTTTTGTGATTTCTCTATATTGATGCATGTGGATCTGATTTACTCAGCCTAGTTGCTATACAATAGTATTCCATTATGTGAATAATGCATTAATCTCTGGATAGATAGATAGATAGATAGATAGATAGATAGATAGATCAATATAGATACATATACTGATCAAACTTCCTGGAGGTTTGCCTAGATTGTTAGCTTTCAAAGGAAGTTTTAAAAAATCATCTCCATTAACTTTTTTCTAGATTGTGTTTTGTTTTTGCAATTATCTTCAACTTTCTTACTGTTCTTTTCAATTCTCTAGCTAGCTTCTTAGATTAAATGCTTATTTTTTGTAATGAAGATATTGGGGCTACTAATAACTTCTAGATATTGTTTTAGCTGCACCTCACAAATTTTGATTTTGTTTTTAATATTTTTCATATTTTAGTATTTTTACTATCATTCACCTACTACATTTTATAGTTTTCTTTGTGACTTTTTTTTAAGCCATTAATTTTTTGGGCTTTGATTTTTATGTCTTCCAAACTGTGACCTTTTAATTACTATTTGTAAGTTAATTTCTAATTTAGTTTCCTCATGATCAGATAATACAGTTTAAATGATTATGATTGTGACTGAGAGCATATACTTTTTTTTGATACCTTCATATAATATGTAGAGATCAAATCAGTGTATCTGGCATATGCATCACCTTAAATATTTTCCTTTTCCTTATGCTAGAAATATTCAAATTATTCTCTTCGTCCTACTTTGAAATGTACAATAAATTATTATAAACTATAGCCATCCCACTCGTGTAACACTAGTTCTTATTTCTTCTATCAAACAGTGCATTTGTACCCATTAATCAAATCTTTGTCATCCCACCTCCCACTAACCTTCCCAGCTTCTGGTAACCACCAATCTACTCTTTATAATCGTGAGATCCACTTTCTACCTCTCATGTATGAGTGAGAACATGCAATTTTTATCTTTCTGTGCTTGGCTTATTTCTTTAAATATAATGATCTCATATTATATTAATGTCGCTGCAAATGACAGGATTTCATTCTTTTCATGGCTAAATAAGATTTTATTGTATATATATACCACATTTTCTTTGTCCATTCATTCCTCAATGGGCATTTAGACTGTTTCCATATTTTGGCTATTTTGAATAGGACTGCAATCAACATGGGAATGTAGGTATCTCTTTGATATATTGATTTCCTCTTTGAGGAGACATATATTCAGTAGTAGAACTGAGGGATCATATGCTAGCTCTATTTTTAGTTTTCTGAGGGACCTCCATACTGTTCTCCATAGTGGTTGTAAAAATAGTGTACGAGGGTCCCCTTTCTCCACATCCTTGCCAGCATCTGTTATTTATAGTCTTTTTGATAAAGGCCATTTTAACAAGGGTGAGAAGCCACCTCATTATGTTTTTTATTTGAATTACTCTGATGATTAGTGATGAGCATTATGTCATATTCCTATTGGCCAACTGTATGTCTTCTTTGGGAAATTGTCTATTCAGATCTTTTGCTCATTTTTAAATCAGATTTTTTTTTTTTTTTTTTTTTTTTTTTTTTTTGCTATTGAGTTGTTTGAGTACCTTATGTATTCTGGTTATTAATCGTTTGTCATATGGGCTATTTGCAAATATTGTCTCCCATTCTGTGGGTTATCTCTTCATTTTCAGTGTTTCCTTTGCTGTACCAAAACTTTTTAGCTTGATGTAATCCCGATTGTTTATTTTTGCTTTAGTTTTTTATGCTTTTGAGGTGTTTGAAAAAAATATTTGCCCAGATCAATCTCTTGGAGTGTTTTCCCTAACTTTTCTTCCAGTAGTTTCATAGTTTCAGTCTTAGATTTAAGTCTTTAATTCATTTTTATTTGATTTTTATGTATGGTAAGAGAAAGGGGTCTAGTTTTATTCTTCTGCGTATGGTTATTGTTTCCTCAGCACCACTTACGTCCTTTCCCTATTGTATGCTCTTGGTGCTTTTGTCAAAGATGAGTAGGCTGTAAATGTATGGATTTATATCTATGTTCCCTGTTCTCTTCTGTTGATCCATGTGTCTGTTTTCATGCCACAGCCATGCTGATTTGGTACCTAGAGTTTTATAGTAAATTTTGCAGTCAGGTAATGTGATGCCTTCAGCTTTGTTCCTTTTGTTCAGGGTTGACTTGACTCTTCAGGATCTTTTGTGATTCCATATATTTTAGGATCATTTTTATTGTTGTGAAGAATATCATTGGTATTTTCATATAAATATTTATATAAATATTCATATGTATTTTATATAAATAGTCATACATTTTCATATAAATATTTATATCAATTTATATTTCATGTAAATGGTTTGGGGTACTATTGTCATTTTAACAATATTAATTCTTCCAATCCATGAGCATGAAATATCTTTACACTTTTGTGTATGTCTTCTTAAGTTTCTTCCATCAGTGTTGTATAGTTTTCCTTGAGAGATCTTTCACATCTTTGGTTAAATTGAATCCTAGGTATTTTATATTCTTTGTAGATATTGTAAATGGAATTGCTTTCTTGCTTTATTTTTCAGATTGCTCACTATTGGTGTATATAAATGCTACTGATTTTTGCATGTTGATTTTGTAGCCTGCAACTTTACTGAATTCATTTAATCAATATTTCTCTTTAGGGTAGTAACACATTATGAGTATGTGAGAGCTTTCCTATAAAGTATATAATCTCTGAAATATATTTAGATTGATAATATACTTATCTGAATGCAATTCAACCAGTAAAGGTGAAACTTCTCTGTTTCACAACTATTCTCCTCCAGCTTTTACAATAGTATAGTACAAAGTACAAAATATAGAGCATACAAAAAAAAGAACATTTCTATTAGTGTTCCTTTTATAAAGTTAAAAAAGGAAAACAAAACATGTTATGTATAGTTAAAACAGAACATGTTATATAGTTTAAAAAGACATCTTGAATTCATTTATTTATTTATATTTTATTTTTTCAAATTCTGTGTATGACCTTAAGGAGACCATATCCAAAGCATTAACAGAAGAGACTGTTCAGTTGATTAAGATGGGAGCATAAGTGCTTGAGAACAATGAATGGTGGCAGCTGGATCTCCTGCTAATCAAATGACAACATACTATTTTTAAACAAACATAAATGGAAAGTAGGACATGTGTAAGAAAACTTAGCTCTTTTGGAAGGAAGAAAATTTTGTTTTTTTAAGTAATCAAGGACATAAAGTAACATAAACATACAATGTTAATCTGCTAAGAAAGAGAATCTCAGGTGTTTATAATTTTACATCACTTAAAAGCAGACTGAATACTCCCACATCAGTTTGTCATTTTAACAGAGGAAACCATGTTAACATAATATTTTAGCAGTACAGAATTCATGGGGCTTTTTTATCTTATAATTAAACTCATAAAAGCTGAGTTAACACTGCCAAAATTTTAATGGCTTTCATTGCTTTTCTTCAGACTCACTTGCAAGTGTTATAAATTAAGGCAAATAAAGTTTATACAAGTGGTGTCCAATCTTTTGGCTTTCCTGGGCCACATTGGAAGAAGAAGAATTTTCTCGGGCCACACATAAAATACACTAACACTAACGATAGCTGATGAACTAAAAAACAAAATCACAAACAAAATCTCGTAATGTTTTAAGAAAGTTTACGAATTTGTGCTGGGCTGCATTCAAAGCCATCCTGGGCTGCACGTGGCCTGCAGGCCGTGGGTTGGACGAGCATGCTTTATATAAACCTTCTAAACTTTCTCTGTCCATAAAGATTTTTCTTTCACTACCCTCCATAGCTTTCTCAACAACCAGACTCTTTGTTTTAAGATAAAACTACTCTCTTTTCCCACTGATGAATAAAAACACGTTCAAATACTTTGCATACATACTTGGTCTTTTCTGAAACCATTGCTCCCAGGATAACTTCTACATTCATCTTTAGCCAAAATATCTAATTTCTCTTTTACAAAAAGTTTGGAAGTAATTGAGCACACAAAACAACTACTTATAGCTGCATTCGCCATTTTTACACCTTCTTAAAGTGGAAAAAATGAACATGTTCAAAATTATAATCAAAAGGAATAAAATTTTATAACATATGCAAATAATGAGCAAAAATTATGGTCTAATATTTCAGTATTCTATCTTGCATAGAAATTATCCAAACATTCAAAGATTATCCATTAATTTACTGTTAGACTAGGTTCCTAAAGTTAACTAAAAAATTTGAAAATTAAGCAGCCTTACCACTTAACATAATTACTGTTGAATAAAAAGTTTTTCAGAATTATATTTAAATTTAGTTAAATACTATTTTTTTAATTTTTAAAAATGTTTATAGATTCATGAGGTTCATATCCTGAGGTACCTGTGTATTGGAAACGAAAGGAAAGGAAACAATCAACAATTGCTGAAACAATTGTATAGCAAAGTAAATAATCAATAGAGAAGAGACAACCTACAAAATGGGAGAAAATATTTGCAAACTATGCATATAATAAGGTGTTAACACACAAAACATATAATAAATCAAATAACTCAATAGTAAGAAACATAGCCAGATTAAAAATGGGCAAAGGGCCAGGTGTGGTGGTTCACACCTGTAATCCTAGCATTTTGGGAGGCCGAGGCAGGTGGATCATTTGAGATCAGGAGTTGACCAGCCCGGCCAACATGGTGAAATCCTGTCTCTACTAAAAATAGAAAAATTAGCTGGGCGTGGTGGCGGGTGCCTGTAATCCCAGCTACTCGGGAGGCTGAGGTAGGAGAATCGACTGAACCCAGAGGCTAAAGTTGCAGTGAGCCAAGATCGTGCCATTGCACTCAAGACTGAGCGACAAGAGCACAACTCTGTCTCAAAAAAATGGGCAAAGAATATGAATACATAATTTCCAAAAGAAGATATACAAGTGGGCAACAGGTATATGAAAAAAAAGATCAACATCACTAGTAATCAGAGAAATGGAAACTGAAACCACAATGGTATATCATCTCACACATGTCAGAATTACTATTATCAAAGAGACAAAAGATAAGTGTTGATAAGGATGTGAAGAATAGGGAACCCTTGTGCACACTACTGATGGAAATATAAATTGGTAGAGTCACTACAGAAAACAGTATGAATGTTCCCCCCAAAATTAAAAGTGTATCCATGTGATCCACAATGTCACTGCTGGTTATATATCTAAAGGAAATGAAATCAGTATGCTGAAGAGATCTGCACTCCCATGTCCATTACAGCATTATTCACAATAGGTGAGATATGTGTCGACCCAAGTGTCCATAATGGGTAATGAATAAAGAAAATCTGGTATATATACATAATGAAATACTATTCAGCTATAAAAAAGAATGAAATTCTGCCATGCCATTTGCAATAACATAGATGAACCTGTGACACTTTATGTTAAGTGAAATAAACCAGCAACAGCAAGACAAATACCACATTATTTCACTTGCATGTAGAATCTAAAAAAGTCTAAACAAAGAGTAAAATGGTGGTTACCAGCAGCTGACAGGTGGGAGGATTGGGAATTATTGGTCAAAGTGTATTAACTTTCAGCTGGACAGGAGGAAAAAGTTCAAGAGCTCTATTGTACAGCATGAAGGCTATAGTTAATAACAATAAATTGTATACTTAAAAATTGCTAAGAGTGTAGATTTTAAATGTTCTCGCCACACACAAAAATGCGTGTGAGGTAATGTATAATGTAAAATAGCTCAATTTACCCATTTCACAATATATACATATAACAGAACATTGTGTTGTACAACATAAATATATAACATTTTTACTTGTCAATTAAAAATAAAAAAGCAGTTTAATGTCTAATAATATTTTAATATATGTAAAATAGTATTGAATCTGTGTAAAACTAAAACATAGCTACGAAGCTTACAAAGAAAACTGGTATAAAATAAGAAAACTGGTATACAATAAGAATAACTGATAAACCCATAATTATAGAGAGGGATTTTAATATACCTTTCTTGAATATTTATAGATAAAGCAGACAAAGAAATTAGAAAGGTTAGATCAAGCAGTCAAAACTCAGTAAGCCTGGTCTAACAAGCATGTAGAGTACCCGACAGATAGGGAGCACATTCATTTCCGGGATACCTGTATCAGTTCTTACAGCAGTTCTCAACAATTGAAATGTGACGTATTGGCAAAATGCAATATAATTATCTACCCACAACATATATATTTGGGAAACTGAAAACTACACTTCTAAATCAGTCTCAAGTGAAAGAATACATAATAAAAGTCAGAATATATATAGAAAAAAATGAAAATACCATATCTCAACACTTGTGCAATGGTGCTAAAGTAGTACTAGAGAAAGATTTACATCACGCTTTGCATATAGTATGCATCTATTAGAAACAAAGAAAGAATGAAAGTGTGTGACCTAAGTACGCAATATAAGAAAATAGAAAAAAGCAACTGTGTACACGAGGAAAATAGAATGAAGGAAATGATCAAATTAAGAACAAAAATTAATATAGGTCAATTTTACTTATGAACATTAGAAACAAAAATGTATGAAATGTCAAAACAAATCAAGGAATATATACATTTTAAAATGTTGAGATACTAAGTGTCAGTGGGGATATGGAACAACTGAAACTTTTATACACTGCTCCACTGCTAGGATGAGAAATTGTTAAAAAACACTTTGAAAATCTCTTAGCAAATTTTAATAAATTCATAAATTGGGAAATATATCCAAATGAAAGAATATCTCAGTATTACATTTAAGAATGTTCTAATAATTCACAAACACCTCAATTCTTCCTCTCAGTTTTCTGAACTGAAATTTTTTATTTACAAGAACAAACATTTACTGAGTGTCAATAATTAGTGAGGAATTGTCCAACATGCTGGAAACACACGATTATGTACAAGACAGAGTTCATGCCATAAGGGGATTCATGGACAACTTCAAGGACAAACCTGAAACTACTAATAGATAAGAATATGGAAGTACCATAGGTATTTACAAAGGAATATGATGAAAAATAAATTGGATATAAAGATTAATTCTGCTAATTCTGCTCAAAGAGGTATGGACAGAAGGTGCCCAGAAAATACTCCCCAGATGTGATATTTAAGTATGATCTTGTAGGATGAATATGCGTTTTCCTTGCAAATAGCTTCTGAGGAGGGGTGAAGATAGAATTTTAAATAGCATCAACAACTGGAAGAAAGTTTCGAAGATAAGAAAGTGCATGGTATGTTTATGGGGTTTGTGTAGTGATGAAAGAAGAAGCTGAGAAATTACCCAGGCACAGTGGTGTGTGCTTATAACCTCAGCTGTTGTGGAGGCTGAGGTGGCCCTATCACTTGAGCTGGGAGTTTGAGACCAGCCTGGGCAACAGAGCAAGACCCCTGTCCCATGTCTACATATACATGGCTAAATTGAATGATATGTATGATATTAGAAGGAGTAAAATAGCTACTATGAAATTACCAGTACATCAAATTGTTTTAAATCCACTGCTGAAAGAAATGATAACTCATTTGCAAAAGAATGTCATGTGACTACTTGAAATTCTAGAGGTAACATATATTACTAACTGCTTAAACATCCCAAGAAATTCCTACTATTTTAATTCAAAAGATTTAGATCATTTTAAAAAAGAATTTTGGTGAGGATAAAATGGAAAAGTCTGAAATACTATGTGTGTGTATGTTTTTCTTTTTTAAGTATGTGTTATCGCATATTTAAACACAACTACCTGTTGGCTGTTGAAATAAGTAGCATGCATTTTATAATGAAAAGAATTGTACTATCCTCTTAGTCCTGTGTTTAATATGCTTAAACACATACAAAAGCCCAATTTAATAGAGCTAATAAGCTTAATATTTTTAATTTTTTAATTTAAATCATATATTAGGGTTGTTTGGGTTACATACAACAGATATCCACTTGGGTTTCTTAAACCAAAAGAGGGAATTTGTAATAAGGATATTCAGGGATGGTGGAATTCCCAGGGTTACTTGAACAATCAAGACCCAGGAAGAGTAATAATAACGACGAAAGCTCCAGGGACCTCAGAAATAAGAGTCCTGTGTCTTCTCAGTTCCATTCTCAGGAATCTAATTCACTGTTGGATCCATCAGCCTTGGCTAGCCTGGCAGGGCCATAGAGAAGAGCAGCAAGTTAGAGCAGTAGGAGGCTACTTTGCACTGGATAAATATATCCATGAGAAAATATGAATTTCACACGTTTCTTCCTCCAAATAGGGGTTCCAAAGAATTAAAACATTTATACACAGGTGAATGAGTGAGTCTAAAGTTCTTGTATTCTTTTTATCTCACTGAACTTATATATCCTCTTTATCCTAACACTTGGCTATAAAGAAAAGGTATGTAAAAATAGCACAGGCCAAGTTCAAACATTTTCTTTATGTTTTGTTTGGGAAAATACCTGACATAATGTTTGTCAGAGGCAAAATGTAACAGTTGCCAGGGAACTACAGTCAGTGGCTATAAAAAGATGAAGACAGGTCTTGTATTAAATGTTACCCTTAGCAAGAAAATCCAGCTAAAGAATGGCAAATGAGATGGATGTTCCACACTTATCTACAAGGGATATGGTGAAGAGGTATTCGGTTTGCAGAATTCAAACAGTCCCTGTTTAAGTTTGAATGTAGACTTTCTCTTTGGTTGTGCTAAGAAAAGGAGATGGATTTGAGTCATGGGTCATGGGCTTTGCACTTCCCTCGGCTAAGAAAAAAAAAAAAGCTTGAAGCAGCTCAGGAAAGAGCCCAAATTTCACACGTGTGGAACTGGTCTGAAGCACTGGAGTGAGTCCCAACCCTAAAGAGTACTGTAAAGTTAAAGGGATCATGTTACCTGAGGTCTCTGGAAAAGCCCCGAAAAGAGAACATTGCAGTTCATAACACAGGCCAATAGCAGGTCACGCTAACTGAGGGCCTATTACATCCCAGACAATTCACTGACAATTCTCTTGCTTTATTTTAATTAATCTTCAAAACAACCTGAGGTAAGCATTATTCTTTCCTACAGTTTACAGTTGAAAAAAATTGAGTCTTACAGAAATCAAGCAGCTTGCTCCAGTAAATGAGAGTCAGAATCTGAACCTTGGGCTCGTGCTTTTAGGAGCCACGTTCTCGTGACCACACAGACATCCTCCCCTTCTTAAGAAAGCACCAGATGTCCTTGGAAATTTATGCCTTTAAACGTTGGCTCTGGAAAGTAGTGAGGGACTGACAAGTGGCCCCACATGAGACCCAAGCCTTTGAACCATATGAATTTACTCTAATACTCCCTATAAACAGATGTCAGCATAAAGAATTTAAGAGGAAAACCAGTCCCTCCATTGTTAAAAGTTTACCCTAAAGTATACCAAGTGATGACAGTTTCTCAGGCAGCACCATCCCTTAGTAAAGCTCTAACTTTGTGCCATATTAAAGATATGTTAGCTTTACTGGGGTTACGAATTTGATTATTTTTAAATGGTTGGCAATTTAGCAGGTCATATTTGCCAACCCCTTAAGGCTTTTCTTGAAACTATAAGAAAAGGTACTCCTCACTTCTGCAAGTGTGACTATTTCTCTATTGTATACCCATCCAAAACAGGGTTGCAGCTCCATGTTCTCATTTCTATGTTTATATATTAGAATCAGCAAGGATATTTACTATTGTTATGAGCATGCATGACAAAATTTTTCATTATAATTATGTATAACTTTTAACATTTATATAGGTATATAATTTGTATGTTGTAGTTCATAATTACAGAAATAATATAATTATTATAATTAATAAATTTAATAACAGGAAGTAATTAGTATTTTATAGAACCGTAAATTCCCATATGTGTTTTTTTCTTTTACACATTTTTTGCTTCCTAATTTGTATACTGATTATTTATGTATCTCCTCAACTATATTATAAGAACAATTAGGTAAGGACTGTAACCTAATTGTAGTCCTAGTTTTTGTGCCACAGTGGTATTTATCCTAGTTACGCTGAGAGGTTAGTAGTCTTTAAATTTTATACCTGAAGTACAGTACGTTTAAAATAGTTTTGAGATACATATCTGAGTTTCTCTATCATAGCAATACCTTCTATTTTTTGTTTTTCTTCCAGAGCCTTGTAAATTGCTTCAGAGAAGGATTTTTAAAACTAGACATTGTACACCTCTTCCATAATTTTTGCCAAATATGTCACTTACACTATTATCTAATCGAGTAATATTTTCTTTAAATAAACTCACGGCCTTACCTAGAATGCTGTCTATGATGGAATTGTGGAACACTTGCAAGTGGATATCTTGCCTTAAATAAGTATTGGTAAAAATTAATACACTGAAAACAAAATTCTAGCTTTATATTCTTACCTGCCCTTAACTGAACTGAGGGGAGAGAGAGAGAGAGTAGAAATTATTAGAGAAACATGACATACACACTGGTATTAATATGAGACTTTATCCTTCACATAATTAGATTAATTGGAAGAAAGCTTTAAAGGGTGTAACTTTTGAAATTATCTAATGTGCGCTACTTAATATCATTTTGCTTACTATCTATAATATTGCTTACAGCCATGGCCCACTTTGGGAAGCATGCATTATCCCATGACCTCCAAACAGAACACACATCAGACCTGAGTTTATATCATGTCTTCTTAACTGTTTGATCTTTGGCAAGATACTTAATTCCTTTAAGCCTTGATTCTTAATCATAAAAGACGGATAATAATATTTACATTTGAAGATCACTTTGAGAATTTATGAGGTAATAATCACACCGCGTCTAGTCCTGTGCCTAGAATTTATTAAAAAACATGAAGACCTACTAAATGCCAGTCACTCTCCTTGGTACTCATGGTACAGAGGAGCACTTGACTGAGAAGCGTTCTGCTTTTAGCTTCTTTTGAGGAAAAATCAACTACGAACATCTCAATAAACAAGCAAAGTCATTTCAGGTGTGATAAAAGGCTCTGAAGTAAATAAAACCAGTCGATATGAAAGAAAGTGACTGCTATTCAAGAAATACTCATTTCCATCCTGACTCTCACCCCTATATGATTGGTATTTAGTACACAGGAAAAAAAAGACTGCATTAAGAATATGCTTGCTTATTTATGTCAGGCAGGTGCAAACAGTGAGTGCAAGTAACAATGGCAGCTAAAAACATATATAAATACATGGCCCTAATATTAAGCTTCTGGATTAAGAAATTTAAGATCTTCCTTCTGAAGTTATTTTCTGTAGAATGTCTGATCTTCTCTTAGAAAACATTTAATTGTTCATGTCATGCAAATTAAATACAGTTAGAGGTTTATCACCTACTTTTGTCATGGTTTTGTGTGTGTGTGTGTGTGTGTGTGTGTGTGTGTTTAATCTCTAGAAGCTGTTTTATTGTGTTTGATGGGTTTGACTTAGAGTTGAGAAAATTTTTTCACATAATTCGAGCTGCTAACATTCTTTTGGAAAAAAAACTAATAATTAAAAAATTGCCCATATTTTTATTTGTACACAGATTAATTTCACTAGGTAATTTCTCAGAACAAATATTTTTTGACAAAACTTCTAAAAACCTGCAATATAAGAAATAGTAAGCCACTCATTTTAAACTGAACTAAACTGAACCTTCTACAGGCTGTATAGAAGTAGGAACTTATCACTGAATTCAACTATCAGAAAAGAGTCCCTTAATGGTCAGGGCTCAGAGGTCAGGGTGTAGGTGATGACAGAATGGATAACTGAGATGGAATAATTTGCTTTTGTACCTGAGACAAAGGATGGATTTATTTACATAAAGAGAAACAAGTTCTGGGATGCCAAAGACCTATTATTTGACCTGTGGAAGATAAATTAATTAATTTGGGGCATTACACACTAATTTTGGAGGGCCAGGAAAATGGTTCTTCTCTTTCAATTTCTTCATTACTTAGCCACTGTAGTCATTTGCAGTGATTTTGAGTTTTGTTTCTTTGTTAGCATTCTTCTGATGTCTAAATGGCATAATTATTGGAATTAAGATTTTGAAGAATCAATTGGAAGAGTCTGTAGTTGGATACTCAATTAACAACTATTGCCAAGGCAGCTACTCAGCTCTCACTGTCTTTCATCTCAGCCATAATTGAATCCTGCTTTTCTCAAATAACAATGAATCTTTTGATCTCTGTACAGCAGGAAAGATCAAACTGATCCTCAGAATCCACAAATGCATGTCTTTCACCCCCGAAACCTTCTTCAAAGATGCAGTTAAATTTGAGTTGCAGTTATGTTTTCAGTATAATTACCAGGCACAAAAGAAAATTACTTCCTTTATTATCATAACGAAAAAACACATTTCTTTCTTCTTCCAGTTTTTTTTAATGTTACATTTTAAATCGTTTCATGTAAATTTTACTTTTTCTCTGGCAACTTACAATAAAGCCTTTCAAAGTGATTTCATATGGTTTTTTTTTTTTTTTTCCTGTCAGAGCTTTTACCTCTAAAACAAGTAGTTCAGTGCCACTGGCCAATAATTTACTTTAGAAACATAATGTTTTCTGTTCTCCTGAACAGCAATTATGAATGCTTAACAGACCAGATGATGTAGTTCTTGTTCTGACCCCAATATTTACTATTTGTTCTTTAGCAAGTGAAATTTGAGTTCTGAACTCCCAGTTTCATATCTGTAAAACAACAATATTTTGCCCATAATGTTATTTGAAAGGAGAATCAAATGTAAATGCACATGTGCTGCTTTTTAAACATTGCAATAAACTCTACAATGTAAGTTTTATTACAATAAAACTTTTTACTATCATGGCTTTAAAAGAACTCAAGCAGCATGCAAGGGTTCATAAAGAGTTGCAATGGTTAACTTCATTTTTTTATTGCTCACTTTGTGCAGCCACTTACATTTGTATGGGCAGTTGGCATTTTGAGAGCTTGAATTTAGTGCTGAAAGCCTCAGTTCTGCTCTAAACAAACCTGTGAAGAGGACCACTGAGATTCCAGAGGTAGGAATTTGGACAGGTCCAGATCTACCCTTACTCATACTCTATCAGGCTTGATGTATGTATCTGACCAATGGACTCCTCAAGAACTTCATGAAAATTTACTAATAGCAATAATGACACAAGGGATACTCCATCGACAATAACATCAATTTAATGACAAATCTGTGTTAATATTATCCTCTTCTGTCGCTCATTACCTCATTCACCAAACCTTTGACAAACAAAGCTACTCTAGAATTTACTCTATGATTTGGTCCAAATGGCTCTCATCTGGAGAGTTCTCCAAAATACAAATCAGGGATTTCAGTTCTGCAGAAAATTGGAGACCCCTTAAACAAATGTCTGAGATCATGTTGCATTTTATTTCACAGAGTAAGCTGAAACTGAGCAGAGCTGATTGAGAAGGTGATGTCAGAAAAAGGAGCCTAACAAACAATAAGACACTGTGATGGTAAATTTAATGTGACAACTTGGCAGGCCACAGTGCCCAGTTGTTTTAGCAAACACTAATCTAGATGTTGCCATGAAGATAATTTTTAGGTGAAATTAACATTTAAATTAGTAGATATTAAGTAAAGCATATTAACCTCCATAATGTGGATGGGCCTCATCCAATCAGGTGAAGGCCTGAAGAGCAAATACATGTTTTCCAAAGAAGAAGAAATTTGGCCTGAAGACTGGAACATAAAACCTTATCTGAGTTTCTTACCTGTCCATGAAATTTGGACTCCATACTGCATGATCAACTGTTACTTGAATTTCTAACCTGCTAGCTTGCCTTACAAATTTTGTACTTCTCAGCCCCTACAATTTAGTGAGCCTATTCCTTACAATAAACCTTTCTTTCTTTCTCTCTCTCTCCATACATACATATATACACACACACACACACACACACACACACACACACAATTCTGAGAATGCATGGATTATAGGTGTGTATAATGGATATATGTATAATGGATATATATAATGGATATGTACACATGTATCTCCATCTATGTGTATGTACATATGTAAACACATATACACATACGCAGACATGTGCACACATTCTCCCACTATATATATATGTATGTATAGTGTGTATACATATATGTGTGTACATGTATATTCTATTGATTCTGTTTCTCTGGAGAAACTCTAACACAGGTCTGCTGTGATTGTTATAAGAAAAGACGTTTTGTTCACTTATTTTTATAATCCAACAAAATGAAGTGTAGAAGTGTACAACAGTTTAAATTGTAAATTCACTCACTGAATAGTCCTTTCAAACTCATCTACTTCCAGTTTTCCAACATTTATTTTTTCCATTTCAACTAAATGTCTAACTTGAAATCTTATAGCAGCAGAATTCTGTGTTCAAGAAGCCAAGTTTCTAAATAAAAGTTTTCTTTCCTGCCAAATTCTAATGTTATCTCAAAGATAATACCTTGTGATCTTAAATTATAGCCATTTACAAATATCATTAAAACTCATTTGTGTACTTTGGAAAGAAACCTAAAACTTGCTAACTATAAAGACATAATAGAGCTGTAATTCACATTCATTCTGGGAGGCCCAATACATCATTTTTTAAGAAAATAGAACACAGAAAGGAACTAACATTTAGAGAGTAGCAAATAGTTGTTTGAAAAATTAAGAGAAATGATCACTGTAGATGTAGTCTGCATGTTTGCACACAAACCAATCAGGAACAAGCTGACTCAATTATCTAGTCATAACTGTGCCAGGCCCTTTGGGTGCGGAAGCTGTAATCTAATGAGAGAGACAAAGCTAAAATATTAAGCATTTATGTCAATACGTTCAGGTTCCCAAACCTTTTGTTTAGATCTGAAAATAAAATAATAAAACAAAAATTACCCAAAAAGTTAAGCTGATTGTTCAAGGTTATAGGAATGACCAGAACGGGCCCCCACTAGTTCATCTCAATTTTCCACTGCTGAAGCCCTGCTCCTGGAGCTCCAGGAACACTATCCAAAAACCATCAAAAAGTCAAGATTCCCTATTTCCTCAATTCCTAGAATGCATGGATTATAGGTATGTTATCTATTTAAAAATATTTGGAGCACAGAGAACCACTAAAAAAACCTGTGTATGTGTGAATACATATGTGTGTATACACACACATACAAACACATGCATATGGAGAGAGGGAGACATACTTCAATTTCAGAAATTTTTAATTCTTAAAAAATGCATGCTTTAAAAACAAAATTTCATAGATATTATGTGTAAAAGGTCATAAGACTATAGAGATGCAAAAGAGAATAGCAACAATGTGACTGAACAAATCGAGATGGATTTCAAAGGGAAGGTGACAGGAAAAGAGGACAAGAGGGGGAATTGTTTGGGAGCGGCAACAGTATGAGCAGAAGTGCTGGAGCAGAAATGACTGATATTGATTTTGGGAAATTGACCAGTGTAGAATGAAGAACCTGGGTACTGAGCAGTGTAGAATGAAGAGCCTGGGTTGTGAGTAGCTGAGATAAATTTAGATTGATTGAGAAGCATTATCGTGGGCAGAACACCTGAAGAGTTTGATCATCTCTGTACATCCAGCGTTTAGAACTGTCCTTGATACATTGGGCGTTTACAATTAAATATAAAGTGAATTTTGCTAGATACAGGAAGTAGTGGGAGGGCAATTTCTTTTAAAAAAAAAATCTGAAAAGTACCTTGGGTTATTTTCTCCCATAGGTCTCATATTTAAACCGTTCATGCAATTACATTCTTAAACAATCCCATACTGATTCAAACTATTGCCTTCATAATATTATAAAATCACATATTCCCCAAAACTCAAAACTTTGTAACAAGATGTTACATTGACTAGAACTAAGCAAGCACAGAGACATGTTTTCCAGTACTATGAATCACTTTATTTTGCTGTCATTCAAGTAGTACATCACTGCTTTAATGATACCTGGGATTTGCCTTAATTAGTTATAGTAAGACACACATGCTCAGAAACGACTGTCGTGAAGGAAGAAGTTTGTTATACTCATAGATCCCTAGAAACGGGGCTGGCGACCATGCAAGGGGATTGGTCAGAAGGCAGAGGGAGTGGGAGAACATGGGGGTAGAAGTCTTTACTGTGGTTTCCTTGGGAAAGTATGGGCCAGGTAGTGTAAATGGTTTAGAATTAGCTAATTTGAATACTTTTAGCAGACTCTGGGGCATAGGCACTCTCTCTAGTTGTCTGATATCTGGCCCTGGGGTTATTAGGACAGGGGGATAGTGACCTGAAGTACAAGGGCCTGATAAAGGAGGTGGCTGAGTTATGGGCTCTGGATTGGTTGGTTTGCATTTGAAAGTTGTGCTCAAGGGAGAGTTGCACATTATCTCTAGGAATTGGTTAATCCTGGGAGGAGCAGTCCCTCCAAGCTCAGCAAGCCCTGCACATCAAATCATCATAATACAGAACATAAAAAGACATGGTTCAATCACAGATGCAATAACTTCAATTCAGAAGCTGTGGCTACCCGGCACATAGGTCTGGTCTACTAAATGTAGCCCAGAATATCCTAAGATGTTATCAACAAACGTGAAAGAAAGCCAAAAAGACCAAAATACTACCTAGGGATCAAATTATGAGGCAAGAAGCAGACTAAGCCTTGAAGCACTGGGACTGACTCCATGACATCCCAACATCTGTGCTAAATGAAACTCTAAGCTACTCATATAAAAGCCTTTCTTGAGAATAGTAGCTTCAGCGGGGCAGATGGGAGCAGCTGAAAAACATTAGATGGAAAGGGTAAGAGCACAGAGAGGGGGAGCTTTAAAAAATTTCCCACTTGAGAAGAGCCAACAAATGAAAATAACAAAATGAGAGATGTGAAGATAGCTGGCCAAAAAATAACTACTCAGGAGATGAATTAATTCCAGATAAAGTTTTAAAATGGAGCAACCCTAAAATGAGTTTAAAATAAGTGTTTAAAGTCCTCGGAGAGGCAAAGGAAGGAATGTTCTCTATTAAAAAACAAATTATATGAATAGAAAAATAGTTACTAATCCTAGAAAATATATAGGCATCTAAAAACACTCAAAACTGAAAGGATAACTATAGAATCAACAAAAGTAAGGAAAGAATTAAGAAACTGGAAGAAAGAACTGAGATCTGGAGAGTCCTTGAGAACCTTATTTAATAGTTTAATAGGATACCAGCAAAGGATAATAGAGGAATGTTGGAACAGCATATTCAAAAAGATAATGACAAAGAAATTATAATATATATAAATAAAAATTGATAAGGAAAAGAGTAACCCTTAGTTTACCAATCTAACAAAAATTAGAGGGGAAAAAAGAAGCCAAGAAAAGTCTTTGATGAAACAAAAACATGAACCAAGATGATTCATGTAACTCCAAATACATTATAGTAACAATAATGTAAATGGATTAAATGACCTTATTAAAAATCTGAAATCATTGGCTTAGGTATAAAAACATCAGTGATGAGCTGCTTATGATAGACAATTGTACATACACGCACACACACACACCAGAAAATTTCAAAATTAAAAAGACTAAGAAATATGCTGGCATATATGGACCAAAAAATTTGATACAGCAGTATCAGTCAAAATAGGAAATGAAGGAAAAGCATTAATATGAATAAAGCATATAAACCAAAATCCTTGAAAAGACTATAAAAATTATAAATTCTATATCTTTAAACAACATGAACTTTAAAACATCAAAAAACTGTAAAACTCAGATTAAAAAATAAATTGACAAACTCACAATTATAATGAAAGAATTTAAGACCTCTCTCAGAAACCACATATTTGGAGAATATATAGCAGATTTGAGTGACACATATAACATGCTTGGGCTATATATATAGTATAATGTACATATATAGTACATATATGTACATAGGTACTATGTATGTATTAGTATATGTATATGTACTATATATAGTATTAATGAACACATATATAGTACCTATATACTATATAGTACATACATATATAGTTATTACATATATATAGTACCTATATATACATATGTGTATATATATGCATATATGTACTATATATGTATATTTAATATAAACATTTGTATATATAGATTACATATATGTATAGTATGTATAGTATATATGTATGTACTATATATATAGTACATATATATGTATATATTTTCCTGCAACAGAGAACCTAAGAAGAATGCATATTCTAAATCATGCATGCAACATTTTCAAATATTTATAAAATTAAACCATAGGACTTTGGGTTTCAAAATGGCGAAATAGAAGCAAACTGGCTTCACACCCCCATTGTCTGGGGATGTGAGACTTTCTTCCCTTTTCCAGTGGAATGCACGCAGAACATCATACGTCACCATTTTGTCTCTTAGTGCACATGCCCAGGAAGTTTCTTTTTCCTGGTAACTGTATTCAATTAACACTTTAATGTTAATGTTAGTAGCTGTGGATCATCAGGAGATGATCCCTCCCTGACGCCCTGGCGCCTGTCAGTTAACATTATGAGAGAGGCAGTGTGATCAGTGTTGAACCCTCACCTGATATTCCTAGTGGGAGGTGGGGGATGGTGGGGGAGAGCGCTCTCCTGCCCTCCTCATGCCTATCCAACTATCTGCAACATAGATATTTTCCTGCAACCAACAGAGAACCCAAGAAGAATACATATTCTAAATCATGAATGCAACATTTTCAAATATTTTAAAATTAACCATAGGACTTTGGCTTCCAAAATGGGGGAATAGAAGCAAACTGGCTTCACACTGCTAGACAGAGAACCAAAAACCAAATATAAAGTAAAAGGAAAATTGGTAATATAAAAATATGTCAGTTGAGACAACTAAATGTCAGAATGTGTGTGTGAGGGGAATAACATTAAAGTTATATTTTTTTTTAGTTTTTCCTTTGTTGGTTCTATTTTTTTTGTGATCTAAGACACGTTGTCATCTCTTTAAGATAACTTGCTCTATCTATAAGATGTTTCTGTAAGCCTTATGGTAACCACAATGCAAAAAAACCTATAATACACTAAAAATAATAAGTAAAAAAGTGAGGCCAGGCGCAGGGGCTCATGCCTGTAATCACAGCACTTTGGGAGGCCAAGGTGGACAGATCACCTGAGGTCAGAAGTTCAAGACCAGCCTGGCCAACATGGTGAAACCCCATCTCTATTAAAAATACAAAAAATTAGCCGGGTGTGGTGGTGCACGCCTGTAGTCCCAGCCACTTGGGGAGGCTGAGGCAGATGAATTGCTTGAACCAGGGAGGCAGAGTTGCAGTGAGCTGAGATCATGCCACTACACCCCAGCCTGGGCAACAGAGTGAGACTCCATCTCAAAAAAAAAAAAAAAAAAAAAAAAAAAAAAAAGAGGGAAACATACTACCAAAGAAAATCACTTAACCACAAAAGAGGCAGTAAGAAAGAAGAAAGGAAAACAGGAGTTACAAATCAAGCAGAAAACAAGCAACAAAATGGCAATAATAAGTCTTTACTTATCAATAACCTTGAATATAAATTGATTTGATTTGTCAATAAAAAGACACAGAATGCCTAAATGGATAAACAAAGAAGACCCAACTAACACATAAACGGAAACCCAAACATCGCATGTTCTCACTCATAAGCAGAAGCTGAACAATGAGAACACATGGAAAGAGGGAGGGGAACAACACACACTGGGGCCTGTCAGGGGTCATGGGGAGGAGGGGAGGGAGAAAATCAGGACAAATAGCTAATGCATATGAGGCTTAAAACCTAGATGACAGGTTGATAGGTGCAGCAAACCACCATGGCACACGTATACCTATGTAACAAACCTGCACGTTCTGCACATGTATCCCAGAACTTAAAGTAAAATAAAAATTAAAAAAAAAAGGAGGCCCAACTAGATGCTGCCTACAAGAAACCTACTTCACTTAAAAAAAAAACACATAGACTGAAAGTGAAGGAGTAGGAAAAGACATTCTGTGTGATTGGAAGCAGAACAGGAATAGGTATACTTAGTAAAGCAGATTACAATTTAAGGTTGTAAAAATGAGATAAAGGTCACTATATTTATAGTTCAATATAGTTCATCATATTCAATCCATTTATATGATGAAGGGGTTACTTTTACAAGAAGATATAACAATTTTAAATATCTATACACCCAACATTAGAGCTCCCAAATATACAAATAGACCTAAAGTGAGAGTAGACTGTGATACAGTAACTGTTGAAGACGTTAACACCACAATCTCAGTAATGGACAGATCATAGACACAAAATCAACAAAGCAACATCAGAATTAAACTACACACTAGACCAATAGGCCTAATTGACATTTACAGATTAATCTACCCAACTGCTGCAAAACACGCATTCTTTTCATCAGCACGTGGAACAGTCTCCAATAGACCATATCGGAGGCCACAAAACAAATCTGAATAAATTTTTAAAAGTAGAAATTATATCGTTTATTCTTGACCATAATGGGATAAAACTATAAATCAATAAAAAGGAGAACTTTGGAAACTACAAACACAAGGCAATTAGGCAACGTGCTTCTGAATGACCAATGGGTTAATAAATAAATTGAGAAGGAAGTTTAACAATTTCGTGAAACAAATGAAAGTGGGAATACAACGTGCCAAAATTTATGAGATACTGTAAAAGCAGTACTAAGAAAGAAATTTATGTCAATAAACACTGATATAAAAAAGTAGAAATACTTCAAAGAAACAGTCAGATGATGTACTTCAAGGAAGTAGAACAAACCAAACCCCAAATTAATGCAAAATTAATAATAATAATAATAAAGGCCAAAGGAGAAATAAAATTGATACAAAAATACAGAAGGTTGACAAAATGAAAAGTTGTTCATTAAAAAGATAAACAAATTAACAAAGCTTTAGCCAAACTAAGAATAAAAGAGAGATGGTCCAAATAAATAAAATTAGAAACAAAAAAGGAGACAACTGAGACCATAAAAATAGAAAGAATAATTAGAGACTATTATGAACAATATATCACAACAAACTGGAAAACCTAGAGGAAATAGATACAGTCCTGAACTCATTAACCTGCCAAGGCTGAAATGTGAAGAAATAGAAAACTTCAACAAACCAATGATGAGTATCGAGATAATAACCATAATAAGAAGTCTTCTATTAAAGGAAAATCCAGGACCTGATGGCATTACTGCTGAATTCTACTAAACAATTAAAGAAGAACTAATACCAATTCTACTTAAAGTCTTTAAAAAAAAAAACCTGAAGGAAAGGGAATGATTCCAAATTGAATCTATGAGGCAAGCATTACCATGATACCAAAACCAGACATGAATAAAACAAAAAAATAGGTAAATATCACTGATGAATATTGATGTAAATTTTCTCAAAAAATGCTAGCAAATGTAATTCAACAGCACATTAAAAATTATAATTCATTATGATCAAGTGGAATTCATCCCAGGAATGTCAGGATTGCTCTACATATCCAAATCAGTAAATGTAATACACCACATTCATAGAATCAAGAACAATATCATGTGATTATTTCAATAGATGCTGAAAAAGCATTTCTAAAATTCAACATCCCTTTAAGAAAAAATTCTCATCAAACTGGGTATAGAAGGAACATATCTCAAAATAATAGGGACAATTTTGGCAAAACCGCAGCTAACATCATAGCGAACAGAAAAAAAATGGAAAGACTTTGCTTTAAGACCACAAGAAGACACAGGTGCCCACTTTCAACATGTTCATTTGACACAGGACTGGAAGTCCTGACTAGAGCAATTAGACAAGAGAAAGAAATAAGGGACATTAAAATTGGGAAGGAAAAAATCAAATTGGCCTTGTATACAGATGACATGATTTTATACTTAAAAAATCCTAAACACATGGACAAAGGTGGTTGCGGGGAAGGGGATGTAGAACATTAGGACAAATACCTAATGCATGCAGGGCTTAAAACCTAGATGATGGTTGGTAGGTGCAGCAAACCACCATGCACATGTATACTCATGTAACAAACCTGCATGTTCTGCACATGTATCCCAGAACTTAAAGTGAAAATAAGTTTTAAAAAATCCTAAAGACTACACACAAAAAACTATTAGAACTGACAAATGAATTTAATAAAGTTGCAGGCTACAAAATCAACATATAAAAATCAGTAGCATTTATATACACCAATAATGAATAATCTGAAAAGGAAATGAAGAAATCAATCACTTTTACAATACCTGCAAAGAATATAAAATACCTACGATTCAGTTTAACCAGATATGTAAGAGATCTATACAATGAAAAGTATAAAAGACTCATGAAAGAAATGGAAGAATACATACAAAAAAGTGGAAAGATATTCCATGCTCATGGATTAAAACAATGAATAGTGTTAAAATGACAATAGTACTCCCCAAAATTCACAGAAATGCAATCTCTATTCAAAATACCAATTACTTTTTTCACAGAAATAGAAAAAGAAATTATCCTAAGATTTATATGGAACCACAAAAGAACCTGAATAGTTAAAGCCAGCCTGAGTAAAAACAACACAGCTGGAGGCATCACTTTACCTGACTTGAAAATTTACTACAAAGCTGCAGTAACTAAACTAGCATGGCACTGGCATGAAAACAGACACATAGATGAATAGTAGAAAACAGAGGAGACAGATATAAATCCACACATTTTCAGCCAACTCATCTTTGACAAAGGCACCAAAAAGAACACAATAGGGAAAGGACTGTCTCTTCAAGAAATGGTGCTGGGAAAAGTGGGTAACTATATGTAGAAGAGTGAAACTAGACCTTTTTCTCTCACCATACACAAAAATCAAATCAAAATGGATTACAGACTTAAATCTAAGACCTGAAACTCTGAAACTACTGAAAGAATCTTTGGGGAAACACTCCAGGATATTGCTCTGTGCAAAGATGTTTTTTCTAACACCTCAAAAGCACAGGAAACCAAAAAATAGACAAATGGGATTATATCAAGCTAATTTGGTACAGTAAAGGAATCAACAAATAAAAGACGGGCTACAGAATGACAGAAAATATATGCAAACTACCCATCTGACAGGGTATTAAAAACCAGAATAAATTCAGAGTTCAAACAACTCCATAGCAAAAACAAATAATCTGATTTAAAATTTGGCAAAAGATCTGAATATGCATTTTTACAAAGACATACAATGGCCAACAGGCATAAGACATAATGCCCAACATCACTAATCATCAGAGTAATGCAAATAAAAACCATAATGAGATATCCTCTTACCCTAATTAGAATGGTCTTTATTAAAAATATCAAAAATAACAGATTCTGGGAAGGATGTAGAGAAAGGGAAATTCTTGTCCACTGTGGGTGGGAACATGAATTATTGCAGCCACTGTGGAGAACAGTATGGAAATAGAGCTACATAGTGGAATCGGACACACCGATTCCACTATGGAATATATATCTAAAGGAAAATAAATCAATATATCAATGAGATATCTATACTCCCATGTTGACTGCAGTACTATTCAAAATAGCCAAAATATGGAAACAACCTAAATGTCCATCAAGGAATGAATGCATAAAGAAAATGTTGGATATCACAAGAAAAAATATTCAGCCATAAAATAATGAAATCCTGTCATTTGCAGCAACGTGAATAGAACTGGAGATCACTATGTTTACTGAAATAAGCAAAGCACAGAAAGACAAAAATCACATGTTCTCACTCATACATGGGAGCCAAAAAGTGAATCTTCTGAAGATAGGCAGTAGATTGTTACCAGAAGCTGGAAAGCAGAGTAATAGGTGGGATGATAAAGAGTTGATTAATGGGTACAAATACATGGTTTGATAGAAGAAATAAGAGCTAGTGTTAGATAGACTGGTAGGGTGACTATCATTGACAATATTATTGTACATTTCAAAATATGTAGAAGAGAATAATTTGAATATTTCTAGCATAAAGAAAAGAAAAATATTTAACATGATAGATATCCCAAGTACACTGATTTGATCTTTACAAATATGTGAATGTATCAAATTATCACATATACCATAAAAAATTAACTGTATACTCAGTCACAATCATAATTATTAAAAATATATTATCTGATCACTGGACAATTACATTAGAAATTTACTATTACAAATAGTAATAAAAGGGTCACAGTTTAGAAAACCTAACAAAAGCCCGAACAATAAATGGCTTAAAAAAATAAATCCCAAAGAAAACTATAAAATACAATGATTGAATGACTGAAAAATACTAAAATACTAAAAACATAAAAAGCAAAATCAAAATTTGTGAGATGCAGCTAAAACAATATCTGGACGTTATTAAAAGTTTCAATACCTTTATTACAAATAAAGTAGTTAAGCATTTAATGCAGGAAGCTAGATGCAATGAAAAGAACAGTAAGAAAGTTGAAGATAATTATAAAAACAAAACACAACTTAATAACCGAGAAAATCAATGACGAAAATGATTTTTAAAACAGTTCCTTTGAAAGCTACTAACCTAGGAAAGCCTCTAAGAAGTTTTATTAAAATATATATATATATACATGCAAAGATTAATGCATTATTCATGTAACAGAATACTATCATACATCAACTAGACTGAGTGACTCATATCTACAGGTAGCAATATAGAGAAATCACAAAAACATGTATTAAGAAATAAAGTTGCAATTAAAATTTCTGTAGTTTACTGGTTGAGTTACTAACTGAAAAATGTTTATGTGTTTATATGTAGCAATATAGAGAAATCACAAAAACATGTATTAAGAAATAAAGTTGTGATTAAAATTTCTGTAGTTTGCTTGTTTAGTTACTGATGTTTTATATATGTATATATATGTGCATACATACATATACATGCATACACATGTATGTTGTAGATATTCATGTAATAAAATTGCCTATAACTTTTTATTAGTAATTGAACCATATGGCATAATGTTAGAATTTTAAAATATTTTTTAAAGTAAGAAAATAATACATATATGCTTGAAGTTTTTTTTTCCATCTCTTTTCTGTCATATTGTCTTTTCCTCCCAACAGAAGTAGCCATTATGCTGAGGTCAATATTGTTGTTTATTTTTCTTTTCCAGCTAGTTCTTTCTGTATTTTGAGCAAACAAAATCTTTTATTTTGAATGTTATCTGAAACAAAATACTGAGTAATGTCAGGCCTCCGAGCCCAAGCCAAGCCATCGCATCCCCTGTGACTTGCACGTATATACGCCCAGATGGCCTGAAGTAACTGAAGAATCACAAAAGAAGTGAATATGCCCTGCCCCACCTTAACTGATGACATTCCACCACAAAAGAAGTGTAAATGGCCGGTCCTTGCCTTAACTGATGACATTACCTTGTGAAAGTCCTTTTCCTGGCTCATCCTGGCTCAAAAAGCACCCCCACTGAGCACCTTGCGACCCCCACTCCTGCCCGCCAGAGAACAACCCCCCTTTGACTGTAATTTTCCTTTACCTACCCAAATCCTATAAAATGGCCCCATCCTTATCTCCCTTCGCTGACTCTCTCTTCGGACTCAGCCCGCCTGCACCCAGGTGAAATAAACAGCCATGTTGCTCACACAAAGCCTGTTTGGTGGTCTCTTCACATGGACGCGCATGAAATTTGGTGCTGTGACTCGGATGGGGGACCTCCCTTGGGAGATCAATCCCCTGTACTCCTGTTCTTTGCTCCGTGAGAAAGATCCACCTATGACCTTAGGTCTTCAGACCGACCAGCCCAAGAAACATCTCACCAATTTCAAATCTGGTAAGCGGCCTCTTTTTACCCTCTTCTCCAACCTCCCTCACTATCCCTCAACCTCTTTCTCCTTTCAATCTTGGCGCCACACTTCAATCTCTCCCTTCTCTTAATTTCAATTCCTTTCATTTTCTGATAGAGACAAAGGAGACATGTTTTATCCATGGACCCAAAACTCCGGCGCCGGTCACGGACTGGGAAGACAGCCTTCCCTTGGTGTTTAATCATTGCAGGGACGCCTCTCTATTCACCCACGTTTCAAAGGTGTCAGACCACGCATGGACGCCTGCCTTGGTCCTTCACCCTTAGCGGCAAGTCCCGCTTTTCTGGGGAAGGGGCAAGTACCCCAACTCCTTCTCTCCTTGTCTCTACCCCTTCTCTGCTTTCCGAGGAAAGGGCGAGTATCCCAACCCCTTCTCTCCTTGTCTCTACTCCTTCTCTGCTTTTCTGGGAGAGGGGCAAGTACCCCTCAACCCCTTCTCCTTCACTCTTAGTGGCAAGTCCCGCTTTTCTAGAGGAGGGACAAGTGCCCCAACCTCGTATCTCTGTGCCCCAATCCCTTATTTCCGTGCCCCAACCTCTTATATCTCTGCACCCCAATCCCTTATTTCAGTGTCCCAACCCCTTATTTCCGTGCCCCGACCCCTTATTTCTGTGCCCCTACCCCTTATTTCCGTGCCCCTACCCCCTATTTCTGTGCCCCTACCCCTTATTTCCGTGCCCCTTCCCCTTATTTCCATGCCCTGACCCCTTATTTCTGCGCCCCATCCCTTATTTCTGCATCCCAACCTCTTATCTCTGTGCCCCGACCTCTTATCTCTGCGCCCCAACCCCTTTTCCCACTTTTCTGGAAGGTAAGAACCCCCGAACCCCTTCCCTCTGTTTTTCTCTCTTTTCTCTAGGCTTGCTTCCTTCACTATAGGCAACCTTCCACCCTCCATTCCTCCTTCTGCTCCCTTGGCCTGTGTTCTCAAAAACTTAAAACCTCTTCAACTCACACCTGACCTAAAACCTAAATGCCTTATTTTCTTCTGCAATGCCGCTTGACCCCAATACAAACTCGACAGTAGTTCCAAATAGCCAGAAAATGGCACTTTGAATTTTTCTATCCTGCAAGATCTAAATAATTCTTGTCATAAAATAGGCAAACGGTCTGAGGTGCCTGACGTCCAGGCATTCTTTTACACATCAGCCCCTTCCTAGTCTCTGTGCCCAGTGCAACTTGTCCCAAATCTTCCTTCTTTCCCTCCCGCCTGTCCCCTCAGTACCAACCCCAAGCATCACTGAGTCTCTCTAATCTTCCTTTTCTACAGACCCATCTGACCTCTCCCTTCCTCCCCAGGCTGCTCCTCGCCAGGCCGAGCTAGGTCCCAATTCTTCCTCAGCCTCCGCTCCTCCACCCTATAATCTTTTTATCACCTCCCCTCCTCACACCTGGTCCGGCTTACAGTTTCCTTCCGTGACTAGCCCTCCCCCACCTGCCCAGCAATTTACTCTTAAAAAGGTGGCTGGAGCCAAAGGCATAGTCAAGGTTAATGTTCCTTTTCTTTATCCCAAATCAGAAGCATTTAGGCTCTTTTTCATCAAATATAAAAATCCAGCCCAGTTCATGGCTCCTTTGGCAGCAACCCTGAGACGCTTTACAGCCCTAGACCCTAAAAGGTCAAAAGGCCGTCTTATTCTCACTATACATTTTATTACCCAATCTGCTCCTGACATTAAATAAAACTCCAAAAATTGGAATCTGGCCCTCAAACCCCACAACAGGACTTAATTAACCTCAACCTTCAAGGTGTACAATAACAGAAAAAAGTTGCAATTCCTTGCCTTCACTGTGAGACAAACCCCAGCCACATCTCCAGCACACAAGAACTTCCAAACACCTGAACCACAGCGGCCAGGCATTCCTCCAGAACCTCCTCCCACAGGAGCTTGCTGCATGTGCCAAAAATCTGGCCACTGGGCCAAGGAATGCCCACAGCCCGGGATTCCTCCTAAGCTGCGTCCCATCTGTGTAAGACCCCACTGAAAATCGGACGGTTCAACTCACCTGGCAGCCACTCCCAGAGCCCCTGGAACTCTGGCCCAAGGCTCTCTGACTGACTCCTTCCCAGATCTTCTCGGCTTAGCGGCTGAAGATTGACACTGCCCGATCGCCTCGGAAGCCCCCTAGACCATCACGGACGCTGAGCTTCGGGTAATTCTCACAGTGGAAGGTAAGCCTGTCCCCTTCTTAATCAATACAGAGGCTACCCACTCCACATTACCTTCTTTTCAAGGGCCTGTTTCCCTTGCCTCCATAACTGTTGTGGGTATTGACAGCCAGGCTTCTAAACCTCTTAAAACTCCCCGACTCTGGTGCCAACTTAGACAATACTCTTTTAAGCACTCCTTTTTAGTTATCCCCACCTGCCCAGTTCCCTTATTAGGCTGAGACACTTTAACTAAATTATCTGCTTCCCTGACTATTCCTGGACTACAGCTATATCTCATTGCCACCCTTCTTCCCAATCCAAAGCCTCCTTTGCATCCTCCTCTTGTATCCCCCCACCTTAACCCACAAGTATAAGATACCTCTACTCCCTCCTTGGCGACCGATCATGCACCCCTTACCATCTCATTAAAACCTAATCACCCTTACCCCACTCAACGCCAATATCCCATCCCGCAGCATGCTTTAAAAAGATTAAAGCCTCTTATCACTCGCCTGCTACAGCATGGCCTTTTAAAGCCTATAAACTCTCCTTACAATTCCCCGATTTTACCTGTCCTAAAACCAGATAAGCCTTACAAGTTAGTTCAGGATCTGCGCCTTAGCAACCAAATTGTTTTGCCTATCCACCCTGTGGTGCCCAACCCGTACACTCTTTTGTCCTCAATACCTTCCTCCACAACTCACTATTCCGTGCTTGATCTTAAAGATGCTTTTTTCACTATTCCCCTGCACCCCTTGTCCCAGCCTCTCTTTGCTTTCACTTAGACTGACCCTGACACCCATCGAGCTCAGCAAATTACCTAGGCTATTCGGCCGCAAAGCTTCACAGACAGCCCCCATTACTTCAATCAAGCCCAAATTTCTTCCTCATCTGTTACCTATCTTGGCATAATTCTCAAAAAAACACACGTGCTCTCCCTGCCAATTGTGTCCAACTGATCTCTCAAACCCCAGCACCTTCTACAAAACAACAACTCCTTTCTTTCCTAGGCATGGTTAGCGCGGTCAGAATTCTTACACAAGAGCCAGGACCACACCCTGTAGCCTTTCTGTCCAAACTTGACCTTACTGTTTTAGCCTAGACCTCAGGTCTGTGTGCAGCGGCTGCCGCTGCTTTAATACTTTTAGAGGCCCTCAAAATCACAAACTATGCTCAACTCACTCTCTATAGTTCTCATAACTTCCAAAATCTATTTTCTTCCTCATACCTGATGCATATACTTTCTGCTCCGCAGCTCCTTCAGCTGTACTCACTCTTTGTTGAGTCTCCCACAATTACTGTTGTTCCTGGCCCAGACTTCAATCCGGCCTCCCACATTATTCCTGATACCACACCTGACCCCCATGACTGTATCTCTCTGATCCACCTGACATTCACCCCATTTCCCCAAGTTTCCTTCTTTCCTGTTCCTCACCCTGATCACGCTTGATTTATTGATGGTGGTTCCACCAGGCCGAATCGCCACACACCAGAAAAGGCAGGTTATACTATAGTACTAGCCACTAGCCCGTCTCTTAGAACCTCTCATTTCCTTTCCATCGTGGAAATCTATCCTCAAAGAAATAACTTATCAGTGTTCCATCTGCTATTCTACTACTCCTCAGGGATTATTCAGGCCCCCTCCCTTCCCTACACATCAAGCTCAAGGATTTGCCCCCACCCAGGACTGGCAAATTAGCTTTACTCAACATGCCCTGAGTCAGATAACTAAAATACCTCTTAGTCTAGATAGATACTTTCACTGGATAGGTAGAGGCCTTTCCTACAGGGTCTGAGAAGGCCACTGCAGTCATTTCTTCCATTCTGTCAGACATAATTCCTCAGTTTAGCCTTCCCACCTCAATACAGTCTGATAACAGACGAGCCTTTATTAGTCAAATCAGCTAAGCAGTTTTTCAGGCTCTTAGTATTCAGTGAAACCTTTATATCCCTTACGGTCCTCCATCTTCAAGAAAAGTAGAATGGACTAAAGGTCTTTTAAAAACACACCTCACCAAGCTCAGCCACCAACTTAAAAAGGACTGGACAATACCTTTACCACTTTCCCTTCTCAGAATTCAGGCCTGTCCTCAGAATGCTACAAGGTACAGCCCATTTAAGCTCCTGTATGGACGCTCCTTTTTATTAGGCCCCAGTCTCATTCCAGACACCAGACCAACTTAGACTGCACCCCAAAAAACTTGTCATCCCTACTATCTTCTGTCTAGTCATACTCCTATTCACCGTTCTCAACTACTCATACATGCCCTGCTCTTGTTTACACTGCCGGTTTACACTGTTTCTCCAAGCCATCACAGCTAATATCTCCTGGTGCTATCCCCAAACTGCCACTCTTAACTCTTGAAGTAAATAAATAATCTTTGCTGGCAGGAATATGCTGAATCTCCTTAGGCACTCTCTAATCAGATATCCTGAGTCGTCCCAATTCTTAGACCTTTTATACCTGTTTTTCTCCTTCTGTTATTCCATTTAGTTTCTCAATTCATCCCAAACCGTATCTAGGCCATCACCAATCATTCTATAAGACAAATGTTTCTTCTAACATCCCCACAATATCACCCCTTACCACAAGACCTCCCTTCAGCTTAATCTCTCCCACTCTAGGTTCCCATGCCGCCCCTAATCCCGCTTGAAGCAGCCCTGAGAAACATCTCCCATTCTCTCTCCATACCACCCCCCAAAATTTTCGCCGCCCCAACACTTCAACACTATTTTGTTCTATTTTTCTTATTAATATAAGAAGGCAGGAATGTCAGGCCTCTGAGCCCAAGCCAAGCCATCCCCTGTGACTGGCACGTATATGTCCAGATGGCCTGAAGTAACTGAAGAATCACAAAAGAAGTGAATATGCCCTGCCCCACCTTAACTGATGACATTCCACCACAAAAGAAGTGTAAATGGCCGGTCCTTGCCTTAACTGATGACATTACCTTGTGAAAGTCCTTTTCCTGGTTCATCCTGGCTCAAAAAGCACCCCCACTGAGCACCTTGCGACCCCCACTCCTGCCCGCCAGAGAACAAACCCCCTTTGACTGTAATTTTCCTTTACCTACCCAAATCCTATAAAATGGCCCCACCCTTATCTCCCTTCGCTGACTCTCTTTTTGGACTCAGCCCGCCTGCACCCAGATGAAATAAACAGCCATGTTGCTCACACAAAGCCTGTTTGGTGGTCCCTTCACACGGACGCGCATGAAAAGTAATAGCATAGAAAAGTGGGGATTTACCTTCTTTAGAAAGTTTTAAATTTATCCTTTGTGGGGCACAGTATAATATAAAATGTTTAAATTGGGCAATTATCTAGATTATTTAATATGCAATTATTTTTCAAATTAGGAGTAGCATAAAGCACGGTTTAATCTTGGCCTAATCTTGACATCACAAAGCAGAAAATATAGCATGTTGATTATTTTTAGGTATCCAATTATACAAGCTTTTTGGGAAAGGTGGGGAACTGGACAAAACTTGCTAATAGTTGAAAGAGTAAGTACTAAATAGTCTTATTCACAAAGAAGCCATAGTATCTAGAAATGACATATAAAATAAGGAGTATTGTACATTTGTATTAGGTATTACTTAATTAAATACTGGGCAATAATCAAATGTTTCACTGCTGGCGCTTTTATGTTTTGTGATATTGGACACTAAGATCAAGATGGCCGAGATTTAACCTCATTCTTTTTAATCAAGAATTTTTGGAGATCCTTCCCTTACATTCTCAGCTATCGTTAGCCTTCTGAAAAAAGATTGAAAATAGAGTAAATTTGTAATTTACACCATATACCTTCGTTTTCTATACTTTTTCTCATTTTTTGGTCCTTCCTAGATTCCCTAATCCCACTGTGGACAATCCAAATTATTTCAGAACTCCCATGGAGCTCTGCTCTTTGCTGCAGAACTAATAGGGTGACGTTTATTAAGATACTGATAATCACGTATTACCTCCCAAATGGATTTGTAACTTAATGTTTGTGAAAATAATTCACAATATAGTTTCTCTTTTTCTGTTTTAGGAAATTATAACTCTCTTTTGACAATTTTATATTCCAGCATTTTGTTTTACTTGTCCAAGATGCTGTTTTCTTCTTTGAAAGGATTAAAAGCCAGCAAATTAATGCTGGCATTGAGGCCCAAGGCCAAAATGAAATCAGTGTTTTCATAGTACCAATAATATTATGGACAAATAAAGTATGAAACAGAAATGGAAAATGCAATCACCATTCACTACAGATCTTGAGAGTACTGGCTCATTTGGCAACGTGGAAAGAAGTGTAGAAAGGCAGTGCTCGGCGAAAGTCAGTGCCCAGTGCTTTCTGAACAAAAGGTGGCTTTTTGCATTACATACTCCATCCCCCAAAGACTTACAGGCTGCTTTTATGTAACTGAGTGTGTGTGCATATATATTCCACTCAATAAAGATATCATAGTAATTAATCCCCACCATCGATGAAAATTCGTTTTCTGACACAGGTAGCCTATGAGTGTTTTCCCTCTGTAATAAAATAAGATATCCATTTTATGTACCATTCCCCTGTTTTTGGAAACCTTTAATTTTAATTACAACAGTACATACAGACTGATTAATGATTACACAATCTTACTCCCAGCTGTGGTAAAGGCCACTATCAGCCAGTCTAATTGCCTTTGACTCACTCTAGATTACACTGTTGGGTCCTTTTACAGTTTATCAGTCCCTAGGATCTTTCTTTAAAATTAACAACTAAATTACCTTTCTCGAGGAGATACTGTGCTTGAATACCCTGAGGGGAAAACTATCATTTACTAAGTACAGTATTTCCATATGGCAAGAATCTCCTCTATGAGTTGCAACTGACAAATCGATGGAATCTCAGCTTTTCTTTACTTCCTTTTTTTCTATCTCCTTTTCACATTTCAGAGAATTCTGTATATCTTCCCAACTCAAAAACTCACAGATGCTTGCAAAGCATATTTTTTGCCTGTTGTATTTTGCAATTGTGGATAAGATAGTCTAAAATTCTTTTCACACAAATGCAAACATATTTAAAAGATTTTTCACAAAAATGCCATTATCCCCAAATACACCACATCAATATTTCCATTTTTTGGAGGCTGAATACATATATTATATTCCAGTATGTCCCTGTGAATAAATAAAGGCTAAGTCATGTTTTTAAAACACATTAAATTAGTCAAATTAATGTATTACCACTCACTGAAATTTTATATATGCTCTTCTACCTCTTCCATTTTAAAGTATACAGACATTACTAATCCATGTAAAATCTCTACATTCTTAGAAATGTGCACATATTTATTAATATATTTT
Source organism: Homo sapiens (assembly GCF_000001405.40). Taxonomy (NCBI): domain Eukaryota; kingdom Metazoa; phylum Chordata; class Mammalia; order Primates; family Hominidae; genus Homo; species Homo sapiens. Next base: position 120,001,779 of record NC_000004.12, read on the forward strand.
TACCAAACATTGAGCAAGCCTTTAAAAGTAATATATTTTAAGTAACATTCTTAGAACAAAAAGTAAAAATAACCTAAAACAAATAACAAAATATAAGATATAGTCCTTTACCACAACAACTTTATTGTTCTGGACAATATATAAACATACTAATATATTCCTAGTGGTACAAAGCAGCATGTAAGCCATTGCCTACTGGGGTAGGGTGCTCATGTGTTCTATGGGAACAATTAATTTGAGCTGGAATGCTCAGGGAAAACATAGTGAAAAGAGCCCAAATAGCTTACCCTGTGTGTGGATATATAGAGACCAAGCGGACTGGAGGATTATAGTTAGAAAATAGAGTAAGTCTTGTTTAGGGAAGAGTAAAGTGTCTGACCTTTACTAAAGCAAAAGATCTACACTGGGAAATAGCAAAGTTAAAATTAGATCAAAAGAGCAGTTTGCATTGTGGAGGATCTTAAAAAGGACATTTTACTGGAAAAAAAAAAAAAGCAGAGATCCATTAGAGGTTTTGAGTTGGTAAATGAAATGGTAAAATCTGTGATTTAAGAAATAAATTTAGAGCAATATTTATTCATGTATGTTCTCAGGAATAGTAATTAATGGGGTTACTACAAAAGTGTCTGCAAGGTCAAATACATGTGAAAATAGAAAATACTGCGAGTTTTCTCTACGACTTTAAGATGTTAATAGATATTTTGACTCTCCTAAACAAAAACACAGGATTTTGCCAATGTGACCAGGGAACCCTTTCTAGGAAAACCATGCATGGATCAAGGATCCCATATGTAGTGGCACCAATCTAACTCTATAAACTGAGATATGTAAGAAATGTACTGTTCCACATTTTAAGTAGCTCATTTAATTTCTACTTTGATCCTTTCTTCTCAGATTGTAGAACCTCAAGATTTCTTCTTTTTCCCCATGAGGGTGTGTTCTGGAGTCTAATTGTGCCAAGGAATTAGAGAGTTGTAGAATAGTAGAGTGGCACTTATCTGGTCCTCTCTGTCATCTACATAAGTTGGCATCTGTGAGATGGTCTAACCACTATCCGGTCCCGAACAATTGGTCTGTACAACTGTTGCTGAGACATGTCTCATTCAAATCCACTGGTTCTCTTTACTTCCATACTATTCTTGGGCTGATGGAATAATTGTCCTGATTTGTTCTATGATGAGGTACAAGAAACTGTATGAATGTGCAGAGCTCCAAACTCACAAGCCACAAGAGCTCTTTTCTTCTCATATTTCTGCTATAACTTCTCTTCTTTGAGCTAAGGGCCCAATTACCATAAAGGAAGATGGATGGGAGCAAGAAATACCTGAGAAAAAAGTTTGTTATTATTTTAAAGATATTTCCTTCCACTCGGAATACTCTTTAGGAAATGCTAAAGAATGGAGGGTTATAAACTGATCAGTAAAAGGATGTGTGTAGTAGTGATGCTGCCTTGAGTTGTGATTATTATATGTGGCAGATTACACTAATAGCTCTCAATAGCAATGAATTACACTTTGTTTTATAGCTTTGTATTTTGTCTTTACATCCCTTGTGCCATCTCCTGCATTGACTCTAAGCTTGACCATGTGACTCTGGACATTGATCAACGTGACATTAGCAAATGTGAGGCAAACAGAGGCTTGAACAGCATTTACCCTTTCTTGCTGCTGTATACACTTCTTCCTCCAAACAAATAAGGCTGAGATGGCTTATTAAAGACATGAGGACCAAATGAGAGCAAACACTAACCAATAGACACATAAGTTAGCCTCAGTGGAGCTGCGAGCTGACTGACGATGCATGAGGACCCAGGTAAGACCAGAAGAAGAACTGCACAGCTGAGCCTCCACCAAAACTCTAATGTGAGTTATGAACAAATAAAATGGTTGCCTAGGATATCGAGTTGCAGAGTAATTTTTATTGCATCAGTAAATATATACACAATACAATACAATAAAATGTAGTACAACAGACTCCTGGTTTAAAAATGCCATGATAGATTCAAGCTGGCTTCACTCTCAGGAACCAAATGTGAGAATGCATTAGTTCTCAGAGCCACAAAGAAGTGAAAAACATCTGAGCAAATGGTAAGAATATTGGATTTTCATGTTTGTGATGACCCTCCCCAACCCCTAATCTATCTGGCACCAAAATGCAGAAAATTTCCCATGAATCATGGTTTCTACACTGAAAAACATGAGATTGAGGTGGACACCAGCTTCCTCATCATCTTGGGTTCCCTGGCAGGAGGCCAGTCTCTGCCTCACCCCACGGGAAGCATTAGGGTGCCTGAGGAAAGAAATATCCCTGAGGACAGTTGCAGACAAAGGGAGGAAGTGGGACTACTATCCCCAGCCCTAGAAACTCTGCTTTGTGACTCCACCAAAGCAGACGTTAAATCAGAGTCGTGGTTCAGCAGCACCACATTATAGGATGTATGTTGCACAGGGACCCTGGATACGAACCCTTAGCCAGTCTTTCCACGCAGCCTTAATATTCCCTTTAGGACTTTCCATGTTCAGGATAGGCAGTGCTCTGATTGCTTGCTAGAGCCAAGACAAACCTGGGCTTAAGGTGTCATCTAGTGCCAAAAAGAAGGCAACAATCTTGTGGGGAAAAAGAAATTTAACAGTCAAATTACAAAGAATCTCTAAGCAAGCATACTGAATATAAGCCAAAACAAGACGGAGAAGATTAGAATACATAACCAATCCATCAATGCAAAGGCACAGACATACATCCACAAGAAACAGCAGCAAACAGGGAATCATGACCTCTCCAAATGAACAAAGCAAGGAACCAGTGACTGACCCTAATGAGATGGTGATATGTGAGCTTTCTGATCAAGAATGCAAAATAGCAATTTTAAGCAAACTCATTAATCTCTAAGATAGCACAGAAAAGCTACTTAAAACTTACCAATAAATTTCACGAAGATATTGAAATGATTTTAAAAAAATCAAAGAGAAATCCTGAAACAGAGAAATACATTTATATTTGCTGAACTGAAAAATTCACTACAGGCTCTCAACAGTGGAATGAATCAAGCAAAGAAAAGAATCAGTGGGCTCAAAGACAGACGATTTGAAATTATGCAGTCAGAGGTGAAAAAAAACCAAAACAGAATACAAAGGAATGAAAATCATCTACAAGACAAAATTACCTCAAAAGACCAAATCTAAGAAATATTGCTGCCCAAGAAGTAGTGAAGCAAAAGTAAGGTGTAGAAAGCCTTAATCAAAGAAATAACAAAAAATTTCCCAAACTTGAGAAAGATCTGAGTATTAGGTACAGAAAAGTGAGAAAACACCAAACATATTTGACCCACACAAGACAACCCCAAGACACACAATAATTAAACTCTCAAAAGTCAAGGACAAAGAGAGGATGTTAAAAGCAGCAAGAGAAAAGAAGCAAATAACATAGAAAAGAGCTCCAATTTATCTGGCAACAGAGTGACAATGGAATCCATACAGGCCAGGAGGGAGTGAGAAGACATTTGCGAAGTGCTGAAAGAAAAAAACAATGGAGCTTGAGAACGAGATGACTAATAGCAATGACTTGGAAAAGTAAGAAATTCAACAGCCAAATTACAAAAAAATCTCTTTGCCAATATGAAAGAGAAAAATATCCCTGAACAGAGAAATATCAGGGTGTGGCACCCTGAATATCAGTTGTGAGCCCCAATGATGATGTATATTCCACCTATCTTGATTATATTTTAGGAATGTATCAAATCATCACATAATGAGATAGTTTGAGTATTTGTTCACTCCAAATCTCTTTTTGATACCTGATCTGAAATGTGATAGGTGTGGCTAAGTGGGAGGTGTTTGGGTCATGGGGGTGGATCCCTCATGAATGGCTTGGTGCCCTCCCCAAAGTAATGAGTGAGGGCTTGCTCTATTAGTTCACAGGAAAACTGATGGCTTAAAGTGTCTGGCATTTCCTCCCATCTCTCTTGCTTCCTCTCTTGCCATGTGACCCACCTGCTCTCCCTTCACTTTCTGCCATGTGTAAGAGCTTCCTAAGTCCCTCACCAGAAGCAAATGCTGATGCCATGCTTCTTGTAAAATCTGCACAACCTTAAGCCAAATAAAATTCTTTTATTTATAAATGACCACACCTCAGGTATTGTTTTATAGCAACACCAAACAGACTAATATGCATATACACAATATGTGCATTTATTATTAATAATAATAAAGTAATACAACATGGAAGAAATGGGAAGATAGAAAATCATGTGGGAATATTTTCTCAAACATAGATGCATGGGATTAGGAAGAGGAAAGTTCAAATGGGAGGAGCTGGGATCTTGGAATGTCCTCATTCAGTGAGCACAGTGAAGGAGGAGCAGGTGACCTTCTCAGCAGATGACCTGTGAGCCAACCTTATGAAGAATGAGCAGATGGAGTCCTGGGTCCTGCATCATTGTGCTTGGGGCTTGCCCTGGACTCCAGGACAGCCACTGCCTAAGCATCTCTCATGACTCCTGGCATCCCCACTCACTGTTTCTCATCAAAACCAACTGAATTTTTCAAGGTACCTGAAGCATCACTGTTGTCACAAGTCATTGAGCTCTTCTCCAAGAGGGAAGTGATGTCTTCTCCAAATATGCTGAGGCAGTTTTCAATGAGAAATTGTACAATAGAAACCTGTAACACAAAAGGGAAAAATAGGGTGCTCTTTTCATTTGGCATAGCTATAAGTCATATTTCATCTATGAATCTTGGAGTGAAAAAACATGAAATTCAGAATTCTAAGAAAAAATCAGAGTAGATGTAGAAAGATATGAACCAGTTTTCTCTAAGAAAAAACTACGATCTTTTCAACAGCATTTAGGGCACGTATCTTAAAATACTTATAATCAGTGGGCTAAAGTTATAATTTATAGCTTAGCTTAATAGCTAACATTTTATATCGATGGTCACATCCTTAAAAATAGGATAATTTTCAAGCAACTCATATATGATGTTTGGGGTAAGGATATATATTCTCTAAATTTATAAAGCACCCAATGGATAAAAACTTGTGAAATTCACTTGTTAAGTATTTTAAACTTGGGAAGCAGACATTCTCTGAGGGTCTTTTGTGAAGGAAGGAGGCAGCTGGAGAGAAAATCTCTGCTCTTCTAAGTGCAGTACCTCTCCATGCATTGCCTGGCCTCAGGATTGCTCTCTGGGTGATCTTCGGAGAGAGCTGGGGTCTTTTTATTAGGTACATTGTAGCTCCATTAGGATATTCTAGAATGTTTTACTAGTTTTCTCATTCGAGTGGCAGAGACAAAATAGTAGCCAAGTAGTTCCCTGAATGCCAATTGTGAGCCCCGATTGACAGAGAAAGGCAATATGTGTGGAGCCATGAGTGTTCATATTATCCAAACCACCAAAGAAGTGTCAGTAATGACCAGAGGAGCTGGGCCTTATCACTACTGCCATTGTTGAGATGAGGAAATCTTGGCTTGGAATCGTTGCCCCAGGTTACACATCCCTCAGTGATGAGACTGAGAGTTGAATCTTAGCTTGTCAAACTCCAAAGAACAGATTTTTTTTTCTATTACGTCACACCACTTTCTTATCTCTCTGTGGTATAGTCAATCTAGTGTTTTCTCTCCTAGATGGGAAAGGAGAAGTGACTCACTGCTCTCAATTTCCTATTTAATAACCTACCTTCTCATACACCTTCTACCTTCTACAATCCCTAGAATAGTATTAATGAAACTGCCACTTCAGAAGTGTAATTAAAGTGTGCGTCTTAAAAAAAGTGGTTCCTTTGAGTTAATATCCTGAATTTCAGGTTCAAAGTGAGGACTCTGTTCCCCAGGGAATAAAAATGAGAGATCTCATTACCTTTTTGGTGAACTCATTTACCACTTCTGAGCTGCAGGGAGTAGGCAGGAAAATGCTTGAGGCTATACACGCAGATAAATTATAAGCTGTCATCTGATTGGCTGAGGAATGCTGCTCAATGTTATGTAACACGCCAAAAAGGCATCACAAGAGAACAACATTGGCCTTTGGCAGCTGGTCTAAAAGCCTAAACACAAAAATATGCACTCTCAAAGCCAGGAATTTTACTCAGGAAGTTGTAAATACAGAGAAATAAAGCAAGTTTTTTTTTTCATATAGTATTTACATAACTCAGTGAAAATACAAAAGAATAGAGAAATATGTTCTTCATATGTAGTAAGACAGCATTTTAAAATGTGTCTTAGGAGATATATCAGAAAATATTTCCTTGTAACCACTACAGTGTTTCCAGTACTTAAGCATAAAAAGGATAAAAATTCCACTTCTGTTAAGATTAAAGGATTACTATATGCCAAAGGATGAATTTTATCAATTCACGGGAGATATTTTGAGTTTTAAGACTGAGTAGTGTAAGATGAAGACATAATTACAGGAGATTTGGGACTAGTGTGGAGTTGAAGAAAGGAGCTGAAATGAGGATGCGAAGGGAAGGGGAAGTCCCAGAGATTCATAACAGAGAGCCCATTTTGATTCATCCAAGCCCGCGTACATGGGTCTTGGCTGAAACCATCGAAAGAGTATCTTTCCCTATTGTCTTTGCCTTATGATCCTGCAGCATCTAAATCATATTTCTAGTCACTGAAGTAAAATTGACAAATCTTCTCTATCAAAGCTAGGGTTCATCATTGTCTAAAGATTTCTCCACTTTGCGATAGATTTGGATGAAAACACTTGACTCCCCCAGAGTTCTCTCTCTTCAAGAGGGCTACCAAAAAGAAGACCAGACAAAATGAGACCTACTAGCAGAGGGGCAGGCAGCTTGTCATTCTCACAAACATCCGTGGGAGAAGCTCCAAACAGCTGTCCTGGGTTTGGGGCAGGTGGAGCCATTCACAGGTTGTCTTGGCAAGGGCTAGAAGCCCACCAAAAGGCCCAGTTTATCATAGAACATCTTCTTTTAACTCCCTTCTGGTCTGAATACATAAGTAAAAAGTGAGATTATTTGATGTAGTAGTTTAATCCGCTTAACTTTATTTTCACTATTTCCATTTTACAACATGTTTGTTGTGATGTTGAGAAGAGAAACAATCATTTGTTGTGTAGATTTTCCCACATTCTGAAATTGGCTAACTGCATACTTGGCGTTAATGTGTTATTCTTCCCTATATCCCATAGACTGCAGTTAAACCTGGAGGCTTGATCAGACTTATGTTCCATTCTTCCAGTAGGAATACTTCCTAGACAGTACTAGTTACCACCTCTTGCATTCTATCATAAGGTACTTAAGATCTAGTTGTTCAAGTTTACTGATATTAATTGTAATCAGTGGAGTCACATGTCAGATCCCACTTTAAAACCTAAAAATAGCCAGCATGGTGGCTCATGCCTGTAATCCCAGCTACTCAAAAGGCTGAGTCAGGAGAATTGCTTGAGCCCAGTAGTTAGAGTCTGCAGGAAGCTGTGATGGCGCCACGACCCTTTGGCTTGTGTGACAGGGAGACCCAGTCTCTACGAGAAAATAAAAAGTTAAAAATACTGGATATTCAAATAAAGTAGAGCTCAGTAATTATCTACTTTCGTAGTATGTCTCCTGCCACTCAGATTTCCTGTTGGACTTTCCGAATACTCAACCATGGCCAACTCTCTCCCATCAAAAGGATCCTGTCCTTCATGACACAACCTGCCTGACCCCACTTCTCAGTCAGCCTCTGGCTTCTTTGTTTTGGAGGCTGCAACTGTTAGGCATCTCCATGGATGACTTGAGTCCACTTTCTCTAGTCAGTCCTTGGTTCTGTGGTAAGATCCCTAGTGGCCCTGGTCCTTGTGACACCCTGACCAGCTATCTAGAAATAATTTTTACCTACCCAACGACCCTACCAAAGAAATGCTGAAGAAGAGCTTCTCAAGGAAAAGTGATCAGCAATAAAAGGTTGAGTTGAATGTTCCCACTGCTCAACTATAGGTGTTTTCCTAACAAGGTACTTTAATATTCTTATAAATAACCTCCTTATACCACGTACTGAAAAAGTCAACAGAGGAGGCAAGTTGTAGAATGATAAACAAATGAGCAACATTTCACCATTTCAATGTTTCTTAAACACCCATCCACTTGGCTTCCCTGGGACATCGAGTGCATCTCTCTGTACACACACATAGTGGCAATACTCATGCTGACTCACAGAGGTCAGGATGGGCTCCTGGTTCTGCTATGTAGTCAGACAACTTCCTCAGAAGTCTTTGAGCTTCAGTTTGCTCAACTTTAGCATGAATGATGCTACCTACAGCTTACTGGACTGAGTAATAGAATGGACTGCTCAGGACAAACCATGGTTCAGAGCAGTCTTGATAAAAGTAATTTTATCCCTCATTCAGATGGCCTAAGGCAGACTAGACATCAGTCTCCTCCCCCCAGAACAGATCCCACCACCATTCTCCATTTGGTTTTGCAAGGTATGCAGTCACAAAGGCATGCCACCACCCTACCTAACAGTCATGCCCCTGTTGTTTTAAAAGAAGGTAAGGAAGAAGCAAAGTCATCCTTCAATCCAGAAGGATATATCTGTATGTCATCATGTGCAAATATTTATTATAGTACACATTAATATATAGGTTAAGTTGTTGTACATAACCTGGTTTCCCTATTCTTAATTTGATTTTATTTTTTCTAGAACTATCCAAATGTATTCAGTTATTTAGCTTTAATAAGAGAATGTTCTTAGGAAGAATTCTCTAACCCTTGATGCAAAGCTATATAACTAGCTACTCTCTGAATAAAGGCCAAGAGGAAAGTAGACATTGAATCCTGTACTTTCTCAAAAATATTTTCTGGCTTAGCTGCACCTTTCGTAATGCACATTATTTGGTGCAAGAGTTCCTATCACTTCTTTAAACAATAAAAGTATATGCTATTACCATGTAAAAGGCAAGATGATTAAACAAGCTAACTAGCCTTTCTTAAATAGCCCTGGAAGAATTGGGATAGTGGTTTCCGCAGGCTCAAATTAGGATATATATAAAACTTTTGAAACTTTCTGCCTATAGACTAACAGTCACAACAATAAAAATGCTTTATTTAGAAATTCCATTCTTGCCAAAATATTTCCCAAATTAATAACACATTTTCTTCAGAGAAAGAAATATCAATGGCAGGATACTGAAATGGTAGTGGGGAAAATGGCGAAAAGGGAGATAAAAAAGCCCACAATCATAAATGTTCATGCCAGTTCCAGTCTAAACCTGGATCTGAAGCCGACTTGGAAAGTAAGCGTGGTGGTGGGGAGAGAGTAGAATTGAGAGTCTAATTCAGGATAGAACCCAAGGGGCACTTCAGCCCCAGTCCAGAGTAGACTGCAGTTCAGTTCTATAACTGCTTCTCTCTAGATGTGCCACTCCAGATGTGTTTAAACCATGCCATCATTTGATCACCTCCTGCTTTGGGCTCAGCTCATCAGCAAAACCCTGGGATAGAAAATGCCTGAGTTTCCAGGCCTTCAAAAGCCATATTCTCACCAGACACACAGACTGCACACACATAATTATATGTGTAGATTGTTCTGAGGATACACAGAAGAGTGTATCTACCTACTTACACACATGAAAGAAATCTTCCTAGAAGTAAGTTGGGCCTTGACTTCAGACATTTCAGGTTTCTCTAAGTCTGATTCTGGACAGGTATTGGCTTCCTGCCTATACTGTCCTCCTTCCTCTGCATGGAGAACGTGTCTGTGTCATGGGCTTGGTTTTAGGAATGGAGACTTGATCTGAGAGAAGGCACTTGCAAGAAGGAAAGGCACTCACCACTCCCCTGCTGGCCTCTGGCTGGCTGCCTGGGCTTCAGAATGAACCCGCCTTCTATGTCTGGGGATGGCTGCTCCTGGAAGGGCTCCTGGAGTGTGGAAGAAGAGGTGGAGCACCCTGGTTCCTGTGGCAGGAGCATAGTGCCTTGAAGGTGGCTCATTTCAGTTCCACAGGGATGTTCATGTCCTGCCTGAAGCAAAATCTAAATACAGGTTCAGGCTGATGGTGATGGATGTGATCAAACCTACCTATTGTGGGTGAATGCACCCCACTGGTGCCTGCTGTAGTAATCTGGGAGCTTCTAGAATAAGGAAGTCTTGTCTCCCAAGCAAGCATCACGTGCACTCTCTCTGGAGAGTCCCCACATAAAGCAGGCATGCAAGCAGAAGAGTTTTTAAAAGTACAGAGAAAAATAAAGTTGGAACATGTTGTGTCACTTGGGATGCATAGATGCATCAGTGCCTTGCACAATGGTGACTTTTGCTCTGTTTCCATTTGAAGATATTTAAGAACTTCTAGTTTCTGTCTTGACAAATCTAGATATTTACATCTTAGACAAATGACCCCTTTACGCTTACAGTCATCATTTTAAATACTTACCCTTCCTATCATACAGACTTATGAAGATAAAAGTAAATACATTCCTTCACACTGGTGGTTAATATTTATTGAATAACTCCATATATACAGTATGTGTTAAATAATTCCATGTCAAGAATAGCTATGATCGCTATTCTCTTACACATGATGTCAGTTTAACGGAGATTTTACTTCCCTTAGTCAGTTTTGTAGCCAGGGCTTCTCAAGAGCAGAGGAGCAGGGTGTTTGCCTCTGACCTTTCCTCCCACTTCTGCCCTAATTGGAGGAAGGAGCTCCTCATAGGTACCAGACAGAGGGAAGGCTGCAGGGTGTTGGAAGTCCAGACACAACATGCAAAACAGTTTTTGCAGAATGGAAAACCACACTGCAATCATCAGGAGTTGCCTGCCAAGGGATGTGTTTTCCCCTTTCATGTTTTAAATAGTTTCCTTTCCATAGAATACGTGCTGTGAGGTAGTTTTTTTTCTTAATTATATGATCCATTATTTATTTTATTTATTTATTTTTATTTTTCCATAAGTTATTGGGGGTACAGGTGGTATTTGGTTACATGAGTAAGCTCTTTAGTGGTGATTTGTGAGATTTTGGTGCACCCTTCAACTTAGCAGTATAAACTGCACCATATTTGTAGTCTTTTATCTCTCATCCCCCTCCCACTCTTCCCCAAAAGTCCCCAAAGTTCATTGTATCATTCTTATACATTTACATCCACATAGCTTAGCTCCCACATATCAGTGAGAACATACGATGTTTGGTTTTCCATTCCTGAGTTACTTCACTTAGAATAATAGTCACCAATCTCATCCAGGTCACTGCAAATGCTGTTAATTCATTCCTTTCTATGGCTGCATAATATTCCATCATATATACATATATATATACATATGTGTGTATATGTGTGTGTGTGTGTGTGTGTGTGTGTGTGTATATATATATAAAATAGTTTCTTTATCCACTCATTGACTGATGGGCAATTGGGTTGGTTCCACAATTTTGCTATTGTGAATTGTGTTGCTATAAACATGTGTGGGCAAGTATCTTTTCCTCTGGGTAGATACCCAGTAGTGGGATTGCTGGCTCAAATGGTAGTTCCACTTTTAGTTCTTTAAGGAATCTCCACATTGTTTTCCACAGTGGCTGTACTAGTTTACATTCCCACCAGTAGTGTAGGAGTGTTCCCTGTTCACCACATCCACACCAACATCTACTGTTTTTTGATTTTTTTATTATGGCCATTCTTGCAGGAGTAAGGTGGTATCGCTTTGTGGTTTTGATTTGCGTTTCCCTGATCATTGGTGATGTTGAGCATTTTTTCATATATCTGTTGGCCATTTGTATATCTTCTTTTGAGAATTGTCTATTCATGTCCTTAGCTCACTTTTTGATGGGATTGTTTGTTTTTTTCTAACTGATTTGTTTGAGTTTGTTGTAGATTATGGGTATTAGCCTTTGTCAGATGTATAGATTGTGAAGATTTTTCCCCCACTCTATGGGTTGTCTGTTTATTCTGCTGACTGTTCCTTTTGCTGTGCAAAAGCTCTTTAGTTTAATTAGGTCCCAGTTATTTATCTCTATTTTTATTGCATTTGCTTTTGGGTTCTTAGTCATGAAATCCTTGCCTAAGCCAATATCTAGAAGGGTTTTTCCAATGTTATCTCCTAGAATTTTTACAGTTTCAGGTCTTAGGTTTAAGTTCTTAATCCATTTTAAGTTGCTTTTTGTATATAGTTAGAGATGAGGATCCAGTTTCATTCTCCTACATGTGGCTAGCCAATTATCCCAGCACCATTTGTTGAAAAGAGTGTCCTCTCCCCACTTTATGTTTTTGTTTGATTTGTCGAAGATCATTTGGCTGTAAGTATTTGGGTGTATTTCTGGGTTCTCTATTCTCTTCCATTGGTCTATGTGCCTATTTTTATACCAGTACCATGTTGTTTTGGTGACTATGACCTTATAGTATAGTTTGAAATCAGGTAGTGTGTTGCCTCCAGATTTGTTCTTTTTGCTTAGTCTTGCTTTGGCTATGTGGGCTCTTTTTTGGTTCCATATGAATTTTAGAATTGTTTTTTTCTAATTCTGTGAAGAATGATGGTAGTATTTTGATGGGGATTACACTGAATTTGTAGATTGCTTTTGGTAATATGGTCACTTTCACAAAATTGATTCTACCTATCCGTGAGCATGGGATGCATTTCCATTTGTTTGTATCATCTATGATTTCTTTCAGTAGTGTTTTGTAGTTTTCCTTGTAGAGGTCTTTCGACTCCTTGGTTAGGTATATTCCTAAGTTTTTTTTTTTTTTTTTTTTTTCAGCTGTTGTAAAAGGGGTTGAATTTTTTATTTTATTCTCCACTTTGTCGCTGTTGGTGTATTGAAGAGCTACCAATTTGTGTACATTAATCTTGTATCGAGAAACTTTGCTGAATTCTTTTATCAGTTCTAGGAGTTTTCTAGAGGAGTCCTTACAGTTTTGAGGGTAAATGATCATATCATCAGCAAACAGGGACAGTTTTACTTCCTCTTTACCAATTTGAATGGCCTTTATTTCTTTATCTTGTCTGATTGCTCTGGCTAGGGGTTCCAGTACTATGTTGAAGAGGAGTGGTAAAAGTGGGCATCCTTGTCTTATTCCAGTTCTAAGAAGGAATGCTTTCACTTTTTTGCATTCAATATTATGTTGGCTGTGGGTTTGTCATAAATAGCTTTTATTACATTAAGTTATGTCCCTTGTATGTTGATTTTGCTGAGGAGTTTAATTATAAAGGGATGCTAGATTTTGTTGCTTTTTCTGCATCTAATCATGTGATTTTTGTTTTTAATTCTGTTTATGTGGTGTGTCACATTTATTGACTTGCATATGTTAAACCATCCCTGCATCCCTGGTATGAAACCCACTTGATCAAGGTGGATTATCTTCTTGATATGTTGTTGGATTCAGTTAGCTAGTATTTTGTTAACAATTTTAGCATCTATGTTCATCAAGAATATTGGCCTGTAGTTTTCTTTTTTGGTTGTGTCCTTTCCTGGTTTTGGTATTAGAGTGATGCTGGCTTCGTGGAATGAATCAGTGAGGATTCCTTCTTTCTCTGTCCTGTGGAACTGTGTCAAAAGGATTGGTACCAATTCTTCTTTGAATGTCTGGTAGATCTGCTGTGAGTCCATCTGGTCCTGGACTTTTTTTTGTTGGTAATTTTTAAATTACGATTTCATTCTTGCTGCTTGTTATTGGTCTGCTCAGGGTATCTAATTCTTCCTGATTTAAGCTAGGAGGGTTGTATTTTTCCAGGAATTTATCCATCTCTTCTAGGTTTTCTAGTTTATGTGCATAAAGGTGTTCATAGTCGCCTTGAATGATCATTTGTATTTCAGTGGCGTCCATTGTAATATCTCCTGTTTCATTTCTTAGTGAGGTTATTTGGATTTTCTCTCTTCTTTGCTTGGTTAATCTTGCTAATGTTCTATCAATTTAATTTTTCTTTACAAAGAACCAGTTTTTTGTTTTATTTACCTTTAGTATTTTTTGTTTGTTTGTTTCAATTTCATTTAGTTCTGCTCTGATCTTGGTAATTTTCTTTCTTCTGCTGGATTTGGGTTTGGTTTGCTTTTGATTCTCTAGTTCCTTGAGGTGTGACCTTAGAATGTCAGTTAGTGGTCTTTCAGTCTTTTTGATGTAGGCGTTTAGGGCTATGAACTTTCCTCTTAGCACCACCTTAGCTGTATCCCAGAGGTTTAGATAGGTTGTGTCATTGTCATTCAGTTAGAAGAATTTTTAAATTTCCATCTTGATTTTGTTTTTGACCCAATGTTCATTCAGGAGCAGGTTATTTAATTTCCATGTATTTGCATGGTTCTGAAGGTTCCTTTTGGAGTTGACTTCCAATTTTATTCTCTTGTGATCTGAGAGAGCACTTGACATGATTTCAATTTTCTGAAATTTATTGAGGCTCATTTTATGGCCTATCATATGGTCTATCTTAGAAAAAGTTCCATATGCTGCTGAATAGAATGTGTATTCTGTGTTTGTTGGATGAAATGTTCTGTATATATTTGTTAAGTCCATTTGTACCAAGGCATAGTTTAAATCCATTGTTTCTTTGTTGACTTTCTGTCTTGATGACCTGTCTAGTGCTGTCAGTGGAGTACTGAAGTCCCCCACTATTATTGTGTTGCTGTCTATCTCATTTCTTCGGTCTATTAGTAATTGTTTTATAAATTTGGGAGCTCCAGTTTTAGGTGTGTATATGTTTAGGGTTGTGATATTTTCCTGTGGGACAAGATCTTCTACTAGCAAATAATGTCCCGCTTTGTCTCTTTTAACTGCTGTTGCTTTAAAATTTGTTTTGTCTGATGTAAGAATAGCTACCCCTGCTTGCTTTTGGTGTCCATTTGCATGAAATGCCTTTTTCCACCCTTTTACTTTAAGTTTATGTGAATCCTTATGTGTTAGGTGAGTCTCCTGAAGGCAGCAGATGGTTGGTGAATTCTTATCCATTCTGTGGTTCTGTATCTTTTAAGTGGAGCATTTAAGCCATTTAAATTCAATATTAGTTTTGAAATGTGAGGTGCCATTGCATTCATGGTGTTTTTTGTTGCCTGTGTACTTTGGGTTTTTTTTTTTTTTGCTTTTGCTTTTTAACATGTATTTTTGTTTTATAGGTCCTGTGTGATTTATGCTTTAAAGAGGTTCTGTTTTGATGTGTTTCCAGGATTTGTTTTCAAGATTTAGAGCTCCTTTTAGCAATTCTTGTATTGGTGGCTTGGTAATGGTTAATTCTCTGAGGGTTTGTTTGTCTGAAAATTACTATATCTTTCCTTCATATATGATGCATAGTTTCGCTGGATACAAAATTCTTGGCTGATAATTGTTTTGTTTGAAGAGGCTGAAGACAGGGCCCCAATCCCTTCTGGTTTGTAGGGTTTCTGCTGAGAAATCTGCTGTTAATCTGATATGTTTTCCTTTATAAGTAGGTTACCTGGTGTTTCTGTCTCACAGCTCTTAAGATTTTTTTTTTTTTTTTTTTTAAGAATAAAGTTCCCTTTTCCCATTTTTCACTGAATTTATCCTGGTGAGCTCTTGTTTTTTCTTTTTCATCTGGCATTGATAGTATGTCAATACTTTGTTTAGAACATGAATTACAATTTGCATTTTGTAAGGCAAAAGAAGCTTCTATGAGAGCTACACAATAAAACCAACTCCTCAGGATAACCAGCAGTTAATCCACAATCAATGATTGAGAACATTTTAAAATATGCATTCAGCATGGTTACTCAGGAGCCATCATGAGTGATAGACTCTTCGGATTTCTTAGTGCTAGCCATGATGAGTGGTGCTGCTCTAGGCCTAAGAGTTATCTGTCATTTAGACACTGTTTTAGCTAAATTAAAACATTTTATTTAAATAAATATATTTCCAGTATTCATTTACTTTTTTTAACTTACTTTATTGCTAATATTTTTGCAAAGATGTCAACATTAATTTCAAAAATGAAATGGATGAGTGAATTTTGTTCTCAGCTATGTACTTGGTGACACTGTTTTCTAGATGAGAATGTATATTACATAGAAAACAACTTGGTAGTTTAGATTTTTTTGAATCACTTGAAAACATCCTGCATTACACAGTAATGGCCTCACATGATTCTTGAAAGGATAAAGGAAAAGAGAGAAAGAATGCAGGTAAGAGGGAATGCTCTATGACTTTTAGCAGAAATCATCACCATCACGCTATTGCAAGGTCAGCCACAGATCCAATCCCCTCCCTCGTTTTAATCACTCTGTTTCTATTAATCACATTTAAAAATGTTGGTAATGTAAGAATTATCTTTCATTAGATAAATTATCCTAATACCTGTTTTAGGATAGGCATAATCTACTCATCAATAACCTCAAGGACAAATGCTAGAAAATTCAACCTAAGAAACAGCAAAGTCCAAGTTGGTCAGTCAGGAAAGCTCTTCAGAAGTCTGAATCATATTTTCATTATCCTGAGAAAAGTTCTGGGCATTAAGCAGGTGTTAAATAAATATTTGTACTTGGATTCAGAGGCATGACTGGATTTTAGAAATTCCTTACAAAGTAGAAGTTACCTAGTAGTTAGGAAATGAAACAGAGTTTTCACACGGGGAAAAAGAAATTCGAATACATGCTAATTTCGTGACAAAAAATAGTTTCTTTCAAGAAAGCTGTTTGTCAATTAAAAGAGCAGACAGTTCAAAAAAAAACAAAACAAAACATTTTTCTTCCCAATTAGACCATAAGTTGCTGAATGAATAGATGTTATCAGGTACCTGGGATAAAGTAAGTGTTTGGCCATTATTTGTTGAATGTATGAATAAATATTGCGTAAGATTGTTGCTTTTAAACATGTTCAACCTTAAGACCAAGCAACGAACAATCAATACTTGGAGACTTTAGAGTTACAATTTCGAACCCAATCAATCTCATTTTAGATTTTCCTTGACACTTAGGAAAGTGGGGATGGGGACTCTTTTTTGCCAGACCTGACCCATAACTGGTAATCTTTCTCAGCACCCTTAAAGACAAAATGAACTAATAAGAATTACAACAAATCTTTCACAGTAAATATTTGAAGAGGATCACACTTCCTTAGGATTTCTACATTTTCAGAAAGGAAAGGAACTAGGACCAGTCAAAATGCAATTTTATCTATGGGGCTGGCCATGGTTTTTGAGTTAACAGGGCTGATTTCAGTAACCCCTGTTTTCCACCCAGCTTCTAATAAACTATTCCAGATTCTTGCCTTGTCCCTTTTGAAAGGCCATGGATCTGTGAAACCACAGTGCAATCAATCCCTCACTTTCTGAGTGACCCATGGAATACAAAATCACATATACACTCCCTCACTAAAAAAGAAAAGGCTAGCTGGGGAGTCATGCTTTCTGCTATACAGACTTTTTGGAGAATGTTGAACTTTGCCTTCACATCTCCCTGCCCAGACAAGCCTGTTGCACAGACAGCGATACATCCACATGGAAGGCATCAGAAGCTCATTAAACCTGAGCACAAAGAGACAAATGCCCAAGAGGTCTTGAAGAGATGTGAGAGTGAAGTCAGGCCTCTGGCTTTCATTCAGATAAGCCCTACTGTGGGGAGAGAAGGGACAAACACTGACCTGGGGACCAGGCCAGATGCAAAGAACAATTATCCACAGCAGAAGTATTGCCCAGCAATACTGGCAATCTTGCCACAGACATATCTAAATTATGTAGAATGCTGAATTATTGTAAATAGTCTTTCAAGAAAGGCTAAAGCGAAAGCATGTTTCAAATGGAGTTATTCTTGATAAGCGCTATGATTGCCCTTCATTCCTTAATAAAAATCATGGCCTTGTCCTTATGGAGTGTCCTAGGTAGGGAGGCTCTCTGCCTTTCTGTCTCTCTCTCTCTCATGCACACACATGTACACGCACACACACAGACAGAGAGAGAGAGAGAGAGCATATTTTCTCAAAATTGTATTGCAAATAGGGAGTAAGATCTAATAAAAATCTTTTAATGTAAAGTTTGGAAGCGTTCTGTTGAAATCCCTTAAGTCAGGTATACATATCTAGCCAAATAACCTTTTTTTTTTTTTTTTTTTTTAAACAGAGTCTCGCTCTGTCACCCAGGCTGGAGTGCAGTGGTGTGATATCGGCTCACTGCAGCCTCCGCCTCCTGGGTTCACGCCATTCTCCTGCCTCAGCCTCCTGAGTAGCTGGGACTACAGGCGCCCGCCACCACGCCCGGCTAATTTTTTGTATTTTTAGTAGAGACAGGGTTTCACTGTGTTAGCCAGGATGGTCTCGATCTCCTGACCTCATGATCTGCCCGCCTCGGCCTCCCAAAGTGCTGGGATTACAGGCGTGAGCCAACGCGCCCGGCCATAACCTCAATTCTTGATTGCAATAGGATTCCTTTGTTGTCTAGTAAGACTGGTCATTTTTTAAAAAAGGAAAATCACAAACCTGAAATAAATTAAGCTACATTTTATTTTTAATTAATCTCCCCAATCCCACACCTAAAACCACTTGCTGTCTTCAAGACAAGATTACATTCTTCTTTTTTATTCTTTTTTTTTTTTTTTTTTTTTTGAGACAGAGTCTTGCTCTGTCGCCCAGGCTGGAGTGCAATGGTGCAGTCTCGGCTCACTGCAACCTCTGCCTCCCAGGTTCAAGCAATTCTCCTGCCTCAGCCTTCCCAGTAGCTGGGATTACAGGTGCCCCCTACCACGCCTGGCTAATTTTTTTTGTGTTTTTAGTAGAGGCAGGGTTTCACCATGTTGGCCAGGCTGGTGTCGAACTCCTGACCTCAGGTGATCCACCCACCTCGGCCTCCCAAACTGCTGGGATTACAGGCGTGAGCCACCGTGCCCAGCCCAAGATTACATTCTTATAGGTCACACATATCATATAGGTTAGAAAGCAATGCAGAAGTGTCTGCTTTACTTAGTACATACAAGTTCAATTTTGTTTTAAATGTGTTACACAAATCCGCTAGTTCAGAAATAATTGATTTCTTATGCAAAATTCTGGTTGTTTTGAGTTTTTAAGGGGCTTTATTATAACACTCAAACAAAACTTAAAATATTCACATCATGTCACCACAACAACATGTTTTCATGTTGGTGGGAAGTTTTATATAAGAAGCCATGCTATACAAGTATTTTCTTGTTTCTGTCCATCTGAATGTCACTCTTCAATAAAAGTTCTCAATTATGTGGACTTACCTCTTTCCTCTTATGCAACCCTCATCTTCATCCTCAAATATGTCAACCTCTTCCACTAAAAAAACTCAACAACTTATACTAGCTCCATCAAAACATAAAGAAACATACACTTGAAAACAAAAGTCATGCAAACCTGGAGGCCATGGATTTGTAGGCACTGGTGGACACACCACTCTTCCTTTATAAATTCAGGAGAGGCATCAGATATCGAATTCTCAGGATCAGCATCCAGGGGATGTGGTTTCTAGCCAGGTGTTCTTTGTGCCAAACTTACAACAAAATGTATGCTTTAGGACTCTTCATACTGAGATTGAGCCCTTGGTGATAATCAGAGTGAGTAATAAGTACGAGAGGAGAGGAACCAGGAAAAAAGATATTGAAAGAACAGTGCAGTCGAAGAGTTTGGAACTTTTTATCAAGAATTTTACAAAATTTTATTGTATATGTGTACCCATCATAAGAAAGCTGATTATTATAGATATCAAAGTCATATTTTGTACTCCCACACTTAGGAATTGAAGGCAACAAAGGTATAATATAATATTAGCTTATATGTGGGTACACTTCTTGTATTTCCATTTTAAATTTGGTGTGAACTGAAAGTACTAGCATAATTATATTAGTGCTCTAAAATTGTATGTATATATCAAATTTCAATATATATTTGATTATATAGTTGAATATATATCAAATTTCAATATATACTCAAACATATATTGAAATTAGGCTACAGTTTTAGAGCACCAATAACATATATATTTACACATATATGTTAGTGCTCTAAAACTGTAGCCTGATTTCATTATGTTTTCACTTTCAGTTCACACCAAATTTAAAATATACCTTTGTTAGGCCGGGCGCGGTGGCTCATGCCTGTAATCCCAGCACTTTGGGAGGCCAAGGCGGGTGGATCACAAGGTCAAGCGATGGAGACCATCCTGGCCAACATGGTGAAACCCTGTCTCTACTAAAAATACAAAAATCAGCCGGGCGTGGTGGCGGGTGCCTGTAGTCCCAGCTACTTGGGAGGCTGCGGCAGGAGAATCACTTGAACCTGGGAGGCAGAAATTGCAGTAAGCCGAAATTGCGCTGCTGCACTCCAGCCTGGCAACAGAGTGAGCTCCATCTAAAATATAAAAAAATAAAAAAATACCTTTGTTGCCTTCCATTCCTAAATGTGGGAGTACAAAATATGACTTTGATATCTATAATAGCTGTCTTATCATGGGAGGTGCATTATACAAACACATGTGTGTATGTGTGTTCATGTACATATACACATATATAGTTGAATGTATATAAATTCAAAAATCAAAGTTGGTTTTTAACAAAAATAACTTATAGATAACTTACAGTTATTCCTAGCTTTAGTAGTGACATGTCGATTATGTCATTTGTTGTGTCTGAATTTGTTATCACTATGGTTATAGACCGTAAAAAAGAAATGAGAAAAATTACTATAAATTTGGAATTTATTGCATAAGATTAAATAATTATTGTCAAATTATTAGCTGTATTCCAAAGACACAGCTTATTTCCAGGTAATGACAAAGTTAAGCACATGTAGAGCCTGAATCCTTAATTATAATTTATTTTCATTCCTTTATATAACATGAAGCCAGTACAAAGAATTTCAGTAAAACATATATCTCTCTCTTAAAATAAAGGACTTGTGGCGCTTGTGAGATAACAGCACAGTCAAGAAATAGAAAGACTGAGAATTCACAGAGGGCACAGGGGCTGCCCCTCAGCCTCGGGAGGCTACTTCCGCAATGGAGAGAACAGTTTAAAAAGGAGGAGCTGGGCTGTTTCTCTCTTCCTGGGTTGTGTTTTTATCATATGGCTTATATCTTTGCACATCACAAATGCAGTTCTAGTACAATCAGAATAAGAACTAGCTATAAAAGACATCTTTTAAACCCCTGTGTGGCAAGCATTTTCTCTGTGCTGGATATCATGGTTACTAAGAACTTCATTGTTGAAATCTATTGAGGCAATTAAATAAAATTTTAGAAATTTAAGTTCCATTTCCAACTCTGCCAACGAATAGGGTATCTATAGTAGCTCTCTACTGCACTTCACATTGAGAAACTGCTCCATAAAAACAGGAAGACAATTTGCAGAAAATAACCCAAAAGGATTAATAGGATTCTGAGATGACAACTATTGCACTCTGAATTTCAAAATACATTATTTTAAAATAAGTAAATATGTAACTAAGAACATTTACTATGCATATGCATCCATAATGAGGGCTCCTTTCTCTGATAAACAGTGCTTAAAGAAGACAAAAAGCATAAGTGGACTCTCATGCGCCTTAAAGATGATGTTAAAAACAAAATTAGAGGAAACTCTTTTACAATTCATTACTATTCTTTTCGTTGGATTTTTCTTTCTTATGGACTAACTGCTTGACAGGACAGATGGTGCTGAAAGTTATTAATTGGATTTTTATGAACAAAGTCATCTTATATTCATCGATTTCAAACTGTGCTGCTTGTAGATCTAAGGATTGTGAACAAGTGTCTCAGAACCCAACAGCAGGGCTCAGAGCACCCAAACTCAGGGATATCAGGGCTGCTTACGCTAAAGTGTCTAGGAGGGTGCAAGCTCTGGGCTCTAGTGTGGGATTTAATTAGAAGGAAAGGTTCTGCTATTTTTTAAAATGTCTGAAAGTCCTTTCATATAATTTTAAAATTCTACCATGAAATCTTTGGTGAAGTAAAAATCTCTTTTAAAATGACAATATGCATCTCTTAATATGGTTTGTAGGATAATGGGTTTTCATGGCATAAGGAACATATTAAGTCCCAAATAATAATTACAAAGATATGTGTATTTCTTCCTAATGCTGTTCTCCTTGTAGACAAAACAGAAAAATTCCAGTAGGTAGTGCTGTTTATAAACAAGTATTTTAAAAAAATAAACTATTAAATAATTTCCTAAAAAATTGAAATGTGGCTATTTTCTTCATATGAGCTAAAGTGTTTCTTAACATATGAAAATCTAGGAAAATGTAACCAATTCCAATTGAGGCCAACTTTAAGGTGATCTAGATGTTCAAATTATGAAACAAAAAACAGTTGTTATAATTATGCTCAATTATGTAAAGAAAAATAATTTCACAAGTAACAATATAGACAATCTCATCATAGACATAGTATATATTTCAAAACAGGCATTTTAAATCTGACAAATACATGAAAATATTTACTTGATGTGCTAAATAGCATAACTGAGATAACAAATGAAAGAATCAGTGAAATTGAAAATAAATCCATAGAAAGTGTCCAATCTGAAGAAGGAGAAAAAAAAAGGGATTAAAAATAAATGAACAGAGCCTAAGGGACCTGTGAACAATATCAACAGGTTCAATAAATGCATTCTGTCACTCATATGTGGAAGCTAAAGAAAACTTGATCTTAAGAAATTAAAAAGGAAAATAGAGGCTACTAGATGCTGGGAAGGGCAGGGGAAATCGAAGGATAAGAAGAGATTTGTTAAAGGACACAAAATTACAGCTAGATAGGAGGGATAACTTCTAGTGTTTTATCACACTGTAGGATGATTATAGTTAACAATAATATACATTTTCAAATATCTAGAAGAGAGAAAATTGAATGTTCACAACACAAGAAAAGGGTAAATGTTTGAGATGATGAATATGCTAATTACCTTGATCTGATCATTATACATGGCATGTATTGAAACATCACTATTTACCCCATAAATGTGTATAATTGTGTGTCTAAAAATAAAAATGAAATTTTAAAAAGTTTTACATGGGATGGGTGCAGTAGCTCACACCTGTAATCCTAGAACTTTGGGAGGCCGAGGAGGGCAGATCACTTGAGGTCAGGAGTTCAAGACCAGCCTGGCCAACATGGTAAAACCCTGTTTCTACTAAAAATACAAAAATTGCTTGGCATGGTGGTGAGTTCCTGTAATTGCAGCTACTTGGGAGGCTGATGCAGGAGAATTGCTTGAACTCAGGTGGCAGAGGTTGCAGTGAGCCGAGATCATGCCACTGCACTCCAGCCTGGGTGACAGAGTGAGACCCTGTCTCAAAAGAAAAAAAAAAAGTTTTACATGTAACTGAATCCCAGAATGACAGAAGAAAGAAAATGGGATGGAAAAAAAATGCTTGAAGTAATAACGGCTAAAAATTTCCCAAATTTGGTAAAACATAAAAATTAACAAAATCAGTAACTTCAGAAAATGCCAACTAGAATAAATTCAAAGAAAACTGGGCTTTGACACATCATAATCAAACTACTCAAGGCCAAAAATAAATAGAAAATATTGAAAGCAGTAAAAATAAGATGAAAAATCAAAGACAGAAGATCAATGTTTAATGATGTTAGACTACTCATCAGAAAGCAAAGAGACCAAAAAACAGTGAAGTAGCATTAAAGTGTTGAAAGAAAAATATTGGCAAGGAAAATTCTATATCTAAGGAGAATATCTTTCAAGAGTGAAGGTGAGATAAAGACATTTTTTAAATTAAAAATAAACTAAGAAAATTTGTTGGCACCAGACCTACACTATAAGAAATGGTAAGAAAAGTTTCTATAAAATGAAATGAAACAGTATTAAAGGGAAACTTGGAGCTATGAGTGATGAGTGGAACTTGGAAATGAGTGATGAGCATTAGAAATGTTTCTTTCATCTAAATTATAACTAAATAAAGTTTACTTTTTTAAATTTCAGGGCAAGTTTTCATGAAAAGTGCTGAATGTTATCATTTGCCACAATGAAATCAAAGCAGGCAGACAAGAGTGTCCTTCCCCACAGGAGGCCTCTCTAGTCTCAGCTCCCTCAAGCAATGCATCTGGTATTTGGAAATAGGTCAGAACATTCGCATGGCTTTTGCTATTGGCCAGGAAATAACTTTTTTGAAATATCATTTTTTCCTCCTACAGATACTATTTTGCATGATCAGAGCTGCTGTAAAGAGTAAGGTGCCATAAAAATATATGAAGAATATCTTGTCATCATTATGAACAACCTGGCTACTGCACTACAACTTCAGATATCAAAACTTACACAATATTTGAAGGTAAAAGTTTGATTTTTTTTAAAAACCAACAGCATAAAAGAAATGAGGTAGAAACATGCTGATCACTTAAAAGTGATGTCCCTTTCAGCTCAGTTCAATTCTGACATTCTTCAGAATGAAAGACTCAAAACTCTGTGTATTTGACATAGCAATTAACTGCATTACCTGGGCTAGAAAGGGAACATTATTTGGGTCAACTGACAAAATCGGAACGTGAATGGGAGATTAAAATATGCGACCAATGTTAAGTTTACTAAAGTTGACAGCTGAATGATGGTTATGAAGAGAATAACCTTATTCTTAGGAAATGCGTAAGTATTTAAGAATCAGGGGCCATAGTGTACATAACTGTCCTTTGAAACAGGTGTACGCATACACATAAATGGAGAAAAAAGAGAGAGAGACAGAGACAGACAGAGAATGAAAATACATGGAAAATCAATGTGGTAAACTGGTACAACATAGGTGAATCTGGGTAAATAGCATACGGGTGTTCTTTGCATTATTTTGTATTTTTCTGTATGTTTACAATTATTTCCAAGTGAATAACTTTTAAAAATAAAATAAACGTTTTTTAAAAACCTGGAAACAACCAAAACTACTGTGTCTGTAAGTAGTGACAATTGGAAAAAAAAATGTTTAATTTCAACAAGAAATTCCTGCTTGCGAAAATCACTTTACTACAACAAACCACTAGAGTCTACAGATATTTAACATGCAATATTCCTTTCAAGCTTAAGCACTGTAGTTAAAATGGATCCTCTTGCTTCATATTGCCTAGCACTTTCTTTTTATACATGCAAAAGCATACACGAATATATAAAAATATAGTTTTCCATTTGGTACTTTTTAAATACTCTTTCTCTCCTCCCTTTATCTCTCCTTCCCTTCCTCCCCATTCTAGCTCTGTCAACTCTGTCTCTCCCTTTCATTCTGCCTAAGTCTGGAATTTTGAATTTAATTTTTGGTCTTAAAAACACTTACAGAGGCACATTTCTTGATGTCCTCAGTGAAGATTTGAAGGGGAATGTTCTTCGGGTGGTCCTTTTCTTTGGCTAGATTTATGTACCTAATATAATAATAAATTAAATCTAATAATATTAAATCTAATAATAAATTAGATGTATCTAATAAATAAAATAAATCTAATAATAAATTGGATTTAATAATAATGCCAGAGTAGCATAAATTAGCTAAGAGCTTATTATTGAATCAATCTTTGTTGCTAATATTTTTAGTATACCTTATGTTATTTTTTAAAATGTACGACTAGACTAAGCAAGATCAAATTGTGGATTGGGAAAATGTGCAGAATATTTCAGGAAATAAGACATGTCCCAGAAAATAACAGGTTGCTCTGTAATAAAATATATGGGCAGCAGAACCAATCTCATTCTCATGCACTCCTGCCTGGATTGGAAGGCCTACCATCTTTCTGGGTTCAGGAGTAGAAAGTAGCAGCTGCTTTGAGAATCACTCAGTAGAGTAACCTACATTTATGAAAATTTTTTCTTTCATTATTTTTAAATTTTTATTTTAATGGAGAGATGGAGTCTCACTATTGGCCAGGATGGTCTTGAACTCCTGGCCTAGAGCAATCATCCTGCCTCAGCCTCTGGAGTAGCTGGGATTACAGGCACAAGCCACCATTCCTGGCTTGGAAATTTACTCTATGTCTTAAGAATAGGCTGGGCATGGTGGCTCACACCTGTAATCCCAGCACTTTGGGAGGCCGAGGTGGGTGGGTTGCTTGAGCCCAGGAGTTTGAGACCAACTTTGGCAAGATGGTCTAACTCTTCTTCTACAAAATGATACAAAAAATTAGCTAGGCATAATGGTGTACACCTGTAATCCGGAGGCTGATGTGAGAGGATCACCTGAGCCCAGGGATGTTGAGGCTGCAGTGAGCCATGATCCCGCCACTGCCCTCCAGCTTGGGCAACCGAGTGAGACTCTGTCTCAAAAATAAATAAAAGAATAATGTTATCTCCCATCTATAATGGGGAGAGAAGAGAAAGATGAGAGTGGTAATCAGCACTTCCTCAAAAATAAAAATTAAAAAAATATGCAGGTAAATGAGAGAACATTATTTACAAGGCAGCCAGGATAAATTGTTTGAGGATAGTCTAAAAATTTCTATTATAAAAAGGGGAATGTGAATAGAGATTTGCATTTTTATCACAAGTTAAATATTTAAAATATGTATACTGACAGAATAAAATGCCTTTCTAGGAAAGAGCACCAGCATTCCTTCAGTTCTGAAGAACTACAATTTTTAAAAATGGGAGAAAAAGTTAAACTACATAAAATATTTATAACAACATATTAAGACTGTCATTCTAGATAAAAATGTCGGCAGCTGGTTGTTATGATGTGGGTACATGTGTAAATTGTACCTTCCTCATAACTGGGCCTTGATGGGCCCTGCTCTTTCACAGGCAGTATTACAGTGAGGGGAAATAGATCTCAGAGTGCAAGACAGGTTGGTTTGGAAGTTAAACACTTAATTATAACTATGTGATGCAAGCTATGTCATCACAGGCAAGTCACTTAACTGCTCTGAGCTCCGGTTTCCACAACTGAAACGCGTGTTAATTAAACCTCCAATTGTTCTTATAGCTTGAAGTGCTATTCAAATATAAAGAATATTATTTTTCAGGTTAAATCAGACAAGAAATTTGGCATTTGGATGGAACACTCTTGGCCAAGAAACAATACATTTTTTAGAGAAAAAAAGCCAATATTTTATTTCTTTACAAGATAAATAAATTGCAATAGGTTAATTGGTTCCTAGAAAACTTACTCCTCATTGCTACAATTCTCTGATTGAGATCAATTCACCTGTTTCTTACTAATGAGTAATATTTTCTCCACTATTTCACTGCAGTGTTCCATATCCAAATTGAGAATATGTTAAGGCTCATTTGTAAGGACTTATAAACCTCTAGCTTTTTTTTTAAAAAAGTAGCAAATTGCATATAGCATGCAATTGTCCATTAGTGACATTTAGTACATTCACAATATTTTGAAACCAGCTACACATTCTAGTTTCAGAACATTTTCATTACCGCTAAAGCACACACTATGCCTGTCAAGCAGTCACTCACCCCTCATTCCCCGCTGCCCTCAGCACCTGTACCACATTTTGTTTATCTATTCATCAGCTGATGAACATTTGTTTGTTTCCACTTCTTGGCAATTATATATTAATACAATACTGCTATAAACATTTGTGCCAAAGTTTTGTGTAGATGTTATGTTTTTTATTTTTATTCGGTCTATACTTAGGAATAAATTGCCAAGTCAAATGGTAATTCTGTATTTAACTTATTATGGAACCATCAAACTTTTCCGCAGGGTCTGCCACATTTTATATATCCACTAGCAACAGCTCTCCCACTCCCAGTTGCCACTGCCCACTGCCCCCAATCTGCATACCTATATGGATACAGTGTCTTACTACTCAGGCCAAACTGTAGAAGAGTAATAACAGCAAATAGCAAAAGAACTAGTTGCCAGGCATTGTTGTAATTGCCTTTTACATATCCATATGGCTTTATAGCCAATATGACATTTGTAAACCTGGTTTCCACATTTCCTCCATCATTAAAAAAAGTTTCTTAGAAACCTTCTAATCAAAGGCTTCTCTTTGATTAAAAGGTATTTAAACTGCTTGCTTTCACCTGCAACATGGAGAAGGCATTAAGCAATAGGAACTAATCACCTTTACGGAAATCTGTCATGGAAAACAAGATATGCAGGGAATGATACAAACATGTATTTGTTCCCAGTAAGCTTTGGAAATGTTTTCCTTAAGTAGGTAGGTGAATTATAGAATTTAGTAGATTAAGAACTTGGAAACATTTTAGTTGTTTCAACTTTATGATGATGCATGAGATTTTGGTGGAGTGGAGTGAGGAGGAAAGAAGAGTGCATACGTTGAACCCTTGCTGTGTAAAACAAGTATGACACTTGGTGTGTGGTTGCTCAGAGCAGGAGATACATGTTGCATGATCCCTGTGAACCTGAACCCGATGTCAACGAAAGGATATCCAGGGTAGGAAGCCACATTACCCATCCTCATACCAGACTAAGAATGTGTATTGGAAAACTAGCCTATGCTCCATTAGTCAAACTATTCTTTTCGATTGTTATCTCTCTATGGATACCAAATATGATAGTCTGCTACATAACAATTCAGGCAACCCAGTATTTGGTGATGTCATTAATTTTATTTGTATGTATATACTTTTTTTTAAGATGGGGTCTTGCTATGTTGCCCAGACTGGTCTCAAACTCCTAACCTCAAGTGATCCTCCCACTTCGCCTCCCAAAATGCTAGGATTACAAACATAAGACATGGCACCAGGTCTATTTGTATCATTAAATACTATTTATTTGGGAAATCAGTTTAGGAGTATAAAAGCATTTTTTCAAACTTAAATGGACTATTGAATAATACTCAGTGAAGAATGATCTATTCTAGAAGTTTAAAAACACAGATAAGACTGGGCATAATGGAAGGAGGATGTTGGAGAGGGAGGCCTACAGCCTTGTTCCCTCAACTCTCCACAACCCCTGCACACTCACTCCCCAAGTACTCAAAGAGCACTGTCGAAAAACAACTGACCAAAGCCGAAGAAAATTGTTCCAATGGTTCCACACTTTAATGACTATTTACACATATCTGCACATAAAAACCTCTTTGGGGAAAGTACAAAGCATATAAGTGTCATAGAGGAGGTCAAAAGTGAGTTACTGGCTTAATAGACATCATATTATAATGTTTTGCATTTCAAGAAAGTTCAGAGAAAATTTTAATTACATTTTTCTACCTGTCCTAGACACTATGAAGTTGACTGTGTTCTTTCATAGCTAACTCCTATAAACACAGGGCCAAGCTGGGGTCTTACCAGTAGCTGGGGTCTTACCGGAAGGTGGCCACAAAATTCACCATGGGCCAGCCCAAGAGAAGGCACCCCTTGGCACAGGTGTGGCCTTTCCCAACTTTGTCTGCACAGTCAGCTGCACACAGCTTATTCAGAGGTATTTTATTTTTTATCAGAAAAATTTCTATACCTAGAAAGACAATCAAGCAAGATCTCTGTTTGTTTCTTAAATATTGTAGGAGCAGCTCTGCTCATGGGAAGACACCAGTTCTCCCTGTTCCAGGGCAAAGCATGCCTCTCATTCATCTCTATTACTGGACACACGCCATGGAATAGCCAGATGGGCATTTGCAAAGTGTGTCCTGAGAGAAGCCTGGCCACACACTTTACGGAGGGTAGAAAACAGCTGTGGACCATACTTTATCTTATAAAGATACTGCTTTTTTATAGAACCATTAATTCATTTATTATCTATGTCTTGCTTCAAAAAATTTAGGTTCTCAACAAAAATTTAAAAGTACACGATTTTTAAAAGTATTTATAAAATTCGTACTTAGACTAAAAAATATAACCTTGGATTACAGGGATGTAAAATACATTTTAACTTTGATTTTTGTAATACTTTCTAGCCTTTAAAGCATAGGTTATTTTAAATTTCCTTTCTTAAGATTTTGTTCACACCACTTTTTTATAGATTCTGATTAAAACTGAAAAACTATAGCCTACAGACTGAATCTAACTTAGAAAACAAAACCAAACAAATCCCAACCAGAGGCCAGCAGGTCTTCTATGTAAGTAATGGACACACTTCCCATTTATCTATGGAGAGTAAGAAGGTGATCAACTTTGTCAGCAGTGAAATTGCTTTTTGACCATTTCTGCCTAATCCACCTTAGCCCTCTAACATAGAAACCACCATATCTCCTGGGTTAATTTACATATTTAATGCTCAGGTGGACCTGCGTTTTAAATAGTTATAAGCCTGATGAAGGATTCACAGGCACTGTGGGCACAGCACTCGGGGACTTCCCACTAGTCAGAAGTACTTGTGGAAACACTAAAGCTACAACAAGATCAAAGACATCTCATGTGGAAATCTCCCTGTGACTTCATTCATTCATGGGACACTTAACATTAAAACTCTTCAATGGAATTTATGAAATGGAAATAACTTTGCTGGAAGCATACATGAAAAATAATCTAGATGCAAAGCTTAGGGCATATTGATTATAAGAAAAGTGTCTTGTGATAAAAGGGGGCATCTTTCTATATTTTTTAACATTTTTTACCCTATGTTTGTGTAATTGAAGATTTTTATGAAACAATAAATTATCAGATAAAATTATTTTTCTAGGTAGCAGCTCTAAAGGTACTAATCAAACTAAAAATGTATGTTCTACTCAGAATACAGACACACACTTGCTTGTTTTTACAGATTTTTAAATTTTCTAATGTAGGTATCTATCTGTACAAATACCTAACATTCTGTATGGAAACTTCCATATATATTGACCTGAGTAACTTATTTGAGTACTTTTCCCTTTAGTTCAATAAAGTGCTAAGATTATCTACTTCCTTGAAACCAAACCAAGGAGTTATCAAAGTCCAGAACATAGTTTCCATTCTCCTACAATATTTGTTAAGCATCTACCATGTGCTAATCACTCTTCTAAATATTTAATGCACATTATTTTATTTACTCCTCAAATAGCTACATGAAATAGTCGCTATTAGCCCCATTTTATAGATGAAGAAACTCATGGAGAGGTTAAGTAAATTGCCCACATTGTAATACAGACGACCTAACTTGCAAGCCTATCCTCAAAATTACTTAACGTCTGCAGGTGTTGACCCACCTTCTAAAGCTCTTGCGTTGAAGAATAGTCCCTTCATCATTCTTGCCCTTGCCCTTCTTTTCCCCAGAGTCATCAGGTTTGCTGATGGAATTATTCTTTGAGAATGAGGGGATAAATCTTATGACATTATATCAACAAAGCTAGATACCTTGGAAATGTTTTAAATGTATTACAACATAGCTTTGTGTTCAAATGGATTCTTGTAGAGTCCCTCTGTTTCTTCAATCACTGACACTGTTATACTATTTCAGTAGAAATGAGAAAGTATGAGTCTAACATAAACTGGCTCATAGGAGGAGGAGGAAGATGAGGAAGCATAGGAGTAGCAGCAAAAGAAGGGAAAGAGGAAGAAGAAGTAAGAGAAGAGGGAGAAAAAAGGGGGAGAGGAGGAAGAGAAGAAGTAGGATGAAAGAGGAGAAAGAAGAAGAAAAAGGAGAAGGAGGAGGATGAGGAGGAGATCTACCTGTCTTTATACTGGAGTAGAAGCCCCAGTGAACCATGAAAATTTACAGGATTCTAAGGATATTTCCCCAGTTCTAAGATAGAGATGTTCCCTCAGATGCTTCTGAGTAAGGGTCGTGGCATATTCCATAAGTATCTGTTTGTAATTCCATTGATAATAAGTCAATAGTCATCTTCATTTTTGACCTAAACAAAATTCATTTTTCATTCTCTATTTTTTAAATAAGATGGCAGTGGTGGCTAAAGAGGGTGTGAGCTAAGTACAGCCTCTTTCTTTTTGTAAGTTCTTCGTGGACCTCCAGTAGTATTAATACCTTAATATTTATAAAGCACATTCTGTCTTAATGTCCTTTGTAGGGACATGGATGAAATTGGAAATCATCATTCTCAGTAAACTATCGCAAGAACAAAAAACCAAACACCGAATATTCTCACTCATAGGTGGGAATTGAACAATGAGAACACATGGACACAGGAAGGGGAACATCACACTCTGGGGACTGTTGTGGGGTGGGGGGAAGGGGGAGGGATAGCTCTGGGAGATATACCTAATGCTAGATGACGAGTTAGTGGGTGCAGCGCACCAGCATGGCACATGTATACATATGTAACTAACCTGCACATTGTGCACATGTACCCTAAAACTTAAAGTATAATAATAATAAATAAATAAAAGAAAATAAATAAATAAATAAAAGTCATAATTTTATTGGAAAAACAACTTTCTATTTATCATTCTAATGAATATAAAGAGTAATCATGAAGTCCTCATCTGACTTTAATATTTGAGAGCAGAATTTTCTAATGTAAAAATTATGGTAAAAACTTGTACAAGGTGGTAGCATTCAGTGCTGATAGCCACTTTCTCAAAAAATCTGTTTTCTCTATCTCAAAGACCTTGGGCTTACAAACCAATTTCAGATGTTTTAGATGACTTACACTTTCTAATAATCCCAATGAATGTAAAATGTATATAAAAATGATCTTTCAGGAACAGCACATCTTAAACAAGGATATTATTAAATAACTTTATATATATTTCATCACATCATGAAAACATTTGCGTGGATACAAAGAACTATCTCAAAGCAGTATTCAAAAAATGAAAAATGTTGCACATGTGTGTAATAATGAGCCAAGGAAAATAAAAATTCAGCTCTTAAATATATGAAATTTTCTAGCAGAAAGGGAACATTGTCTTTATAGGAAATGTCTTTAGCAAAATACTACGGGTTCTATAAAACCCATTAACGGGTTATCAGTGTCTAGGACATAAATGGCTTCTGGTAAGAAAATTAAGGTCTACTCTCCCTAAATACTATCATAATTACAAAGGTTAAGAAAAAAGAAGTAGAGTAAAACATGTGTCCCTTAAAAATCAAACATGAGTGGTCACAAGGTCCTAAGAAGCAGAGAATGAGAACTCCAGTTGCTTGTTTATCTCTCAGGCTGAGCATGGTTGGTTACAATGAGGGGTAGCAGGAAGAGCACAGCCTTGGACTCCAGTCCAAGGAACTCCAGTCTCTCCTGCAATTTCCCAGTGTTTGACCTTGGGCCACTTACTGTTCCTTTCTCAGCCTCCATTTTCATATCTAAAACCTCGAGATGATAATACCTGCCTTGGAAGGCACTTTGGAAAACTAGGTGAGCCCTCGGTGATGTTTCTAGTATGGTCCTGTGAATCTCTCCAGTAAATTTTAGTTTCCTATATGTACTTACTTGGGTTAAATACAGAGAATGGTAACTAATCTAAAAATATTTCTCAGTAGTAACTTATTCTCTATCAGTGGCTCTTTCAGGGCACTTCACTTGGACCTCACGCCCAGACCTAGATAATCTTCTGTTCTCTTTATGACCTCACCAGCTTGACAGTTACATATTTAGGCAATTGCACTCATCCAAAATATATTTTATTATCTTCATTTTTGTCTCTGACTTTTTTTCATAGCTGGACTTCTCATTCATTTCTCCAGTCACTGTGCAATCTGCTCCATTTTTTACTGCATACCAAGCAGATGCAAGTTGGTCTTTTACTCACGGCAAGGGAAAGGTTGATTTTGCTGGTAAGAGAAAAACCAAATAGTTGTGGAATCTTCTATAAAATCCAAAAGAAAAGAAATAAAGAATAGAGGCAGGAGCACTACATGTTGGGTAACAGCCTGTGCTTTGAAATAAACAGATCGAATTTCAAATGTGAACTCCACTAACTAATAATGTGGTGACCTGGGGGAAGCATTAGACCTCTGAGCCTCAAGGCCTTCTGTAAAACACGGAAAATAGCCCCATCTCAATCTCACAAGAGCAGCTGTAAGGATTAGACAAGATTGGGCACATAAAGTCCTTAGCATAAGACCTGACACATAATCTGCCCCTGATAAATCATACCTATCATTACTGTCACCCTGGTTAAATATGGCATTTACAAATATTATCACTTGATCTTGCATATCTTATCTATGACACAGATTAATTGGAAACCAGGATGAGGGCAGCAGAGAAAAGGTGTTTCTTTCT
The DNA here is from genome assembly GCF_000001405.40 of Homo sapiens. Lineage (NCBI taxonomy): Eukaryota > Metazoa > Chordata > Mammalia > Primates > Hominidae > Homo > Homo sapiens. Next base: position 120,035,653 of record NC_000004.12, read on the forward strand.
TCCTTTTTTTTTTTTTTTTTCCACCCTGGTGATGACAAAGCTTTGTGATGAGATTTTATGTGTTGAAATATTATTTGTTTTCATGATATTTTATAAATATTGAAAACAGAAATGTAGCAGGTAAACAGATGGCCATCCATTCAGTTCTTTCCATCTCCCTGATGTCAGATATTTCTTAAGAAATCACCATTTTTCTAATATTGCATTTGTGTTCCGTGTGGAGAGGAAAGTACCTGCAATTGGTTCTGCCTCCAACATAGATTCTAATTCTGCCTTCTGCATCATTCGTTTCTATTGTTGCTCCCAACATAGAGCCATTGTCATCATATTTCAGAACAATTGCCTCCCTAACTAGTCTCCCTGCTTCCACTTTTCCTTGCCCTCCAATCCGTTATCTACCAACAGCCAGAACAATATACGAAAAATATTTACCAGATTTGGTCATTCCCCTACTGACCCTTCAGAATAATATTCCAACCCCTCACTATGCCCTATGAAGACCTGTGTGACCACTCTTGTGTCTGACATCATGTCTCCAGGCATTTGTTTCCAGTCACATCAGCCTTCCTGGAGCCCCTCCCTCCAAAGGACCAAGCTGCACCCACCATAAGCCTGTTGTCCCCTCAGCCTAGAAGGTTCAGCCACCTGGTCTAGGAATGCTGCTGCTTCTCATCCCAGAGCTCAGGTTTAAATGTCATCACCTCACAGAGGCCCTCTTGGATGACACCTCTCTTACCCTGTGACATCTTCTCCACATGGTACCCTATCTGTCTTCTTCTTAGAATCACTATTCACAATCTGCAATTTCCCCTCTCTTAGTTTTATCATCTGTCATTAAGTCCCAGGCAAAAGGGACCCTGCCTGTCACATTCTTGATGATATTCTCTACAGGGGTGCTGCACACAACAGGACCTCCAAGAATACCTGTTGAGTAAATGAAGGATCAAGGCATTTGCAAAAGCAGAAGAAAAAATTATATTTTCATATAGTAAGGATTAATGAAAATGCAATTTGTTAGTAAAAATGCATCTTATGATAATCAGGAGAGCATGTCATGTATATGTACTTGCTATTAGACACAAGCAACAAATCGTTAAACAGAAAGAGGTGCCACTTCTGCCTCCTCCAGCCTCTTTTGAGTTCTACAGAGCCATAGATTGGCAGGGTACAATTGGCACCCTTCTCACTGTGGGTGTCCATCTCAGAAAAAGAGCTTTTCCTGCAACACATTGCACACAACAAAACGAAGAGTCAGTAGTCAAACATATGATAGAGTTTTATGCCAAATTTCAAGGGTGATACAATGCTAAAAATTATGGTCAATCTATCATTGCTGGCAGGAGCCACAAGGAAAGCATGAAAAGAAATACCGCCACACCCTAGGAACAAACCCAGCCCCGGGTGACAGCTCGCAAGGAAGGGGGACCTCAGTACACAACCTCAAGTAAATGAATTTACCCCAAAATTTGATTGAGCTCATCAGAAGCAATTTCTTCTGGAGAGCCTCCAATAAGAAATGCAGCCCTGACAACACCTTGATCAGTCTTATGGGACCCCAATTAGAGGACCCAGTCAAGCCCACATAATCTTCTGATGTACACAACTGCAACATAATACATTCTTGTTGCTTTAAGCAACTAAATGTATGGTAATTGGTTATAATGGCTAAAAAACAAATATAGACTGTGATACTTGAAAGTGAGGTGCTACTGTAATAAACACTTAAAATGCAGAAGCAACATTGGAATCAGCAGCAAGTGGACGTTGGAAGAATTTTGAGGAGCATGATGGAAAAAACTATCTAGATTGTCTTGAACAGACTGCTAGCAAAAATATGGACATTAAAGACTCTGCCAGTAAGCGTTCAGAAGATACTGAGGAGTATTATAGGGAAAAATCTAACTTGCCTTAGAGACTACTTACATCACCCCAAACAAACAACTGTTGGTGGAAATACAGATTTTAAAGGCACTGCTGCTGAGGGCTCAGAAGAAACATGTTATTGAAAAGTGGAGAGGGGAGATCCTTGTTATAAGCAGGCAAAACACTTAGTATAATAGTGCCCTCTAGTTATGTGGAAAGTGGTCTTTTTAAATGATGAACTTGGATCTTTAGGTGAAGAGATTTTCAAGCAGATAGTTGAAAGAAGTGGCTTTTTGTTTTTTTCTTGCTACTTACAGTAACATGTGAGAAGAGAAAGATAAGTTGAAAGAGAAATTGTTAAACAAAAGATAATCCAAACTTGTTCAATGAAAGAGAACCCACACTTGATGAGTTGGGAGATTCTCACCCTATACAGATGCCAAAGACAGCAAAATTAAGAGGATGCTTCAGAAAATGTGGCATAAAAAATACAGAGTGTGATTGTACAATCTGTTACTAAACCTTCATAAAGATCAAATGATGATAGTACTCAGGCACAGAAAAAGCTCTTTGAAGAGATTAAGGATGTGGGTCATAGATCCCCTCAATATAGCCAGAAGGACTCAAAAAGCTTAGGGGCATTGTCTTGCAGCCATCTAGGCAGCAGACAAAAATACAAAGCGAGTATGTCAGAAAACTTGGTACACATAACTTCTAGCTAATGAAGTGATCGGTAGGAATGGTAACCATGGAGACCCATAAAGTTCTTGAGAATTTTATATTAGCAGAAGCACCATCAGGTTGGCTTGAAAAAGACAGAAAGAGTACAGAATAACAGAAGGCTGTCAGACTCAGAAATCCTATTGGCAGAAAACAGACAGACAAAACTACTCAGCTGCAAACAAGTGCTACTTTTCATGAGCATGTAAACATGACACAGAAAGCAGTGCCCAAAGTCCGGAGGGAAAACCAAGGACCCAGAGGGTGGAGCCAAGAGCCACAGAGGATTATGTTTGAAGTATCCTTGGAGAGACTTTTAAAGTTAATAATATAATATACACTATGCCTTGCATATGTAATATATGTCAAAAGACCATTAAAACAATTTAAATTACCAGGTCTCTAATCTGGCAAAATGTCAATGATAGTAATAAAATAGAACATATAATCTGGAAAAATAGTATCTTCATAGGGTTATAATGAGACTTAAAATGAAGTAAGCTATGAAAAGCATTCTTAAACTGTAAAGCTCTCCATAAATATTTATTACTAGTTAATTCTGAATAAAAGTCACAGATATGTCATCCTTAGAGATAGGGTTTCACTGTATTTTTAAAAATATAATCACATTTCCCTAATGTTTTAAACCAATTTATATTTTTTAGAAGCATCTTTCCACTGAATCACCTAACATTTACTCTACCTAAGCCCTATGCTGCACTGTGCAAAAAAAGACTCAGATGGATCTGATATTTTTTGCATACCAAGCATTTACTAATAAAAATAAAAACAAGCACACAGACACAAGACATCCTAACATATACAAAACAAAATTATATAGAGGCTTGCAAACAAGTAATTAAAATTTGGCTCCTCATCAGCATGAAAATTTAGGTAACTGAGGATCCTGGAAAACTGACTCCCATCTTACTGAAATAAATATTGAAATTTTGGTAAAAAAAATTACTAAAGAACACCAAATAATACTGGAAACATCAAAAACTTGCTAAACTGAACAAAGTGCTTAAATATTATTTGGTTGAGCTATAGTCAAGCTCCAACAGTACTCTGTGGTCATAATAGGCAATACCAGCTAGATTGAATAGAGCATAAAAACTCTTAAAAATAGGGCAGACATTTTCATAGACCTACAGAAAATTGTCTCCTATAGAGCCAAGAAAGTATCTTCCCTGAGAATACAAAGACACCTCTCTCGAGCTCAGCAGCACTAAATCTCATGAACATGACTAACTCCACGAAACCAGTTCTAAAGTTAAGAATAAGTACATATGTTTTAGAGGAAACAAGACAGAAAACTTTTTTGATGATCAAAAATTATATATTAAAAGAATATCTTGTGCAATGATGCTTTAAATGACCACCTTTTTGATTGATGTGAACATCCTTCATTCTTCCATTCTTGGTATTGAAAATCAGTCATGTCTGCGGCACCTTGCAGAGCACTACAGGCAAATCTTTGAAGCCCGAGGATTCCTCAGTAGTCAGGATCACTCACCATTATGATGTCAAGGTTCTAAGGCTCATCCGACAACTGACAAACTGACATACTTCTTTCCCAGATTGCGCTCATCTTTTAACTTTTTAAATCTAAGCTTTTTATTGTTAGATCATTGTATAATAGATTCACATGTGGTTGCAAGAAATAATACAGAAAGATTCCATTAACCTTTCATCCAGTTTCCTTTAATGATAATATCTTCCAAATCTATAGTACAATAACATAACCAGGATATTAACATTGATGCAATCAAGATAATAGACATTTCCATTACCGCAAGGATCTTCTATATTTCCCTTTTACAGCCACACCAACTTCCTTCCCATCTCCACCACGTTTAATCCCTGGCAACCACTTATCTGTTCTCCATTTCTATAATTATGTCTTTTCATTAACGTTATGTAAACAATCATTTGGTACATTTGCAGATTTTTTTTCATTTGGCATAATTGGAGATTCATGCAGATTTTTGCAGATATTTATAGCTCATCTATTTGTCTCACTTAGTAGTATTCTATGGTATGGTTGTACTTCAGTTTGTTTAACCACTCACCTGTTGAAGGACTTCTGGTTTGTTTCCAGGTTGAGGTTATAACAAATAAATCCTCTATAAACATTTGTGTACAGGTTTTTGAATCAATGTAAGCCTTCATTTCTCTGGAATAAATGCCCAGGAATGTGATTTCTGGGTAGTAGTCTCATGTTTAATTTTTAAAGAAACGATCGGTTTTCCAGAGTGTCTGTATCACTTCACAATTCCACCAGCACTGTATGAGTGATCCACTTTCCCCATGTCCACACCGGTATTTGGTGTCACTGTTCATGCTAGCTGTGCTAACAGGTGTGTAGGATATCTCATTGTGGACTTAACTTGAATTTCCCTGATGGTTAATTATGCTGAACTTCTTTTCATGTGTTGATTTGTCTTCTGTATATCTTCTTCAGTATTATAGAACTTACAGTATTCTGCTAAAAACATTTTATGTAAAAACAGCATTGCCTTTCCACTAGAAGACTGACCTTTTCACAGAGGAGGGGGTGGCTGCACAAATAGGTGAAATGTCTGGAAGCCAAGCAACCATGAAATAACGTGGGGACTCAAATCCACCTGATGTGAGAGGTCACAAGCCCAGGGCAGTGAGGCCACCTCAGTCTTCTCATGTGGAGAGTCTCCTTCCTCTGGCATCCTTGTAGGACTGAAATTTGATCTTACTAATAAAGTTTATGGTTTCCCTTACAGTTCCTTAAATACTTATTTGAATATGTATTTTTCATTCCCCTCTAGACTCTGAAAACTTGAAGGAAAGAGGCTATATCGGATTTATTATTTAATTCTCACAGACTTTGGCACTTTAGGGACATCTGAAAAACTTTGTTGAATGAATAAATTGTTTTATTCCATGGATGGGGACAAGAAAGTCTCTATTTTGTTTACTTCATTCATTTAACAAATAGTGTTTGAACCTGTAGCAGGAGAAAGGCACTTGGTTAGATCTGGGTGGCAGGGAACAAAAAGGAGCCAGGTCAAACTTTCACAAAAACTAGATTTAAATGAGAAAAGTAAACATTTACCGAATACTCACATCAATAACTGTTTAACATCAAACTTTGGTAAATACTGCAAAGAAAAATGAAAGAGTGAGGCACAAGATATAAAGAGGGAGTGATACCTTACTTAGATTATGGAGAGGCAGGCAAGGAAGGCCTCTTTGAAGAGCTCATTTGAAATAAGCTTTAAAAAAATAATTTGGAATTAACTGGGGTGGGGTGGTGGATAGGGAAAAGAGAGAGAGAGAGAAGACAGGTGGGAGGAGAAAATGTGTTGAGAGGAGAAATTTCATAATTTAATGAAGAAGGGATATAATTTGATTATATCAAGTTTCAGAGACATAAAATAGTTTGCTGAATTGGAGACACCAACTGAAAGTACAGGAAAGTGAAAAAATTCTATAGTGGTAGGTAGGTAGAGGCCAAAAATGCAAATCCCATTAGTCCATTTAGACCTTGTTAAGGCCTTTTATCCTAAAAACAAGCTGGCATAGAAACGGCTTCTAGATAGTGGCCTCAACAGACATCTAACAGCTTTTAAAGGGACAGTACTAGTTTGGGACCAGCCTGACTTTTAGAATCTTGAAATTTCATTGGTAACACTTTCTGGCCTCCCATGAAACATCTGTCAGAACACATTCAAGGTAAGAAATGTAGGCTGACTTACCTCTGTACCTTTCCTAATTCCCGAATTATCTCAGGGTGACTCTTCCTCTCCCTGCTCCTCTGTTACACAGAGTTAGAGACCTCTCTCCTTCTAGAACTAGTCACTGGCAACCAAATCTTATATGCATTATAATTACTTGTGGGAGTTTTTATGCACCCCCCCCGACTGCACTCCAGAGGTACTGATTTATCAAATACAAAAAAACCCTGTATTTTTAAAAAGCTTTTCAGGTGATTCTTACATGTAACCAGTATTGTGAATGATGTTTTTAGGCATATATTGAAAAAAATGTGATATTCTGATAACATCTTCTCATAGTGAAGCAAAGGAGAGAAAACATTTCCTTAGACAGATGAAGGGAGCTTGCTGGGTGCAGTGGCTCACACCTGTAATCCCAGCACTTTGGGAGGCTGAGGCAGGTGGATCACTTGAGGTCAAGAGTTCGAGAACAGCCTGGCCAACATGGTGAAACGCCGTCTCCACAAAACATATACAAAAATTAGCCGGGTGTGGTGTTTCACACCTGTAATCCCAACTACTCAGGAGGCTGAGGCAGGAAAATCTCCTGAACCTGGGAGGTAGAGGTTGCAGTGAGCCGAGATTGTGCCACTGCACTCCAGCTTGGGCGGCAGAGTAAGTTAGACTTGGTCTCAGAAAAAAAAAAAAGATGAATGGAGCTTTCCTTAGTCATGTAATAATTACTTTTACATGTAATAGCTAAAGTTCAATCTCTTCCAAAATATAATTGTTCAGAGAATTCTGGGAAGACTAGGAAGCACCAGAAATTTGTCTCCCACCAAAAATCTACACCTCCCCGCAATTGTTATAAGCCCCTGCCCCTCAGGCTGAAGTTAATTCCGAGGGATATAAAGTACCACTGGCCTTTCCCCATACCCCTTCATTTTTCTGTTTTTTCTGCCTTTGGGAGCCAGACAATATAGACTAGGACATTCAAAAGCAACTGCAAAATGGGGAAAATGAGAAAGTGAACACTTATGCCCAGGGAAAAATACAGGCTCAGAAAATACCTCAGAAGACCTTAAATTTATACTTCAGGCTGATCCTTGTTGTAGAAACAACCTAAAACAATTTTTAAAAATACACAAAATGAATAACAGAAAACAGCAAAACCTGAAGAAGGGAGAGAATCTGATTTCTAGGATTCTCACGTTACATTCAAATGTCCAGTTTTCCCCAAAAAGGTGTACAAGAAAACAAGAAAGCACTGTCATTCAAAGGAAAAAAAATTGTTCAATAGAACCTGTCCTCTGAAGTAGGCCTAATGGCAAATCTATTAGAAAAAGATTTTAAAACTATTGTCTAAAAGATGCTCAAAGAACTAAAGGAGGATGTGGAGAAAGCCAGGAAAACAGTGCATGAACAATATGGAAATATTAATAAAGAGATAGAAGAACTAAAAAGAAACGAGCAATTCTGGAGCTGAAAAGTACACTAACTGAACAGAAAGGTTCATTAGGTGGGTTCAGAGGCAGATTTGAGCAGGAAGAAGAAAGAATCAGCAAATGTAAAGAAAAGACAGTGAAAAACATCAAGTCTAAGGAATATAAAGAAAAGAGATTAAATAAAAGTGAACAGAGCCTAAGAGACATATGGAATACCGTCAAGTGAACCAATGTACACATTGTGGGAAATAGAAGAAAAGGAGAGAAAGAGACAGAATATTTGAAGAAATAATGGCTGAAAACATCCCAGTTTGATGAAAGTCTTGACTAAAAATATGCAAGAAGCTCAGCAAACTCCAAGCAAGATGAACTGAAAGAGACCAACACTGAGACACATATTTAATCAATTTTCGAAAAGTCAAAGAAAAGGATTTTTTTTAATTAGCCTATACCATGCTTCGAAAAAAAGAGAGAATCTTGAACTCAGTGAGAATGAAGCAACTCATCACAGGTAGGTGATCCTCAATAAGATTATCAGCAGATATAGCCACAGAAACTTTGGACTCTGAAGGCAATAGGCCAATATATTCAAAGTTTTAAGAGAAAAAAAAGCTGTCAACCAAGAATCCTATATTTTGCAAAACCGTGTTTGAAAAGTGAAACCAAAACTGCAACATTCCTCGCTGTGGCTCACACCCAGCCCTTTGGGAGGCCAAGGCGGGTGGATCACCTAAGGTCAGGAATTTGAGACCAGCCTGGCCAACATGGTGAAACCCCATCTCTAGTAAAAATACAAAAATATTAACCAGGCATGGTGGTGGGTGACTGTAATCCCAGCTACTTGGGAAGCTGAGGCAGGAGAATTGCTTGAACCTGAAAGGCAGAGGTTGCAATGAGCGAAGATCACGCCACTGCACTCCAGCCTGGGTAACAGTGCGAGACTCCGTCTCCAAAAAAAAAAAAAAAAAGAGAGACAAATAAATTTTTTAAAAAAACAGCTACTAGTATAAAAGGTAGCATTATTATAATTAGTAACTCTATGCTTTGTTTTCTCCATAATTTAAGACACTAATGCATTTAAAGTAATTATGGACTTATCTTGGAGGTATTGCAGGTTTGATTTCAGACTGTGGCAATGAAGTGAATATCACAATAAAACAATTCACACAAAATGCTTGGTTTTCCAGTGCATAAGTTAGGTTTATACCACTATACTGTAGTCTACTAAGTGTGTAATAGTATTATGTCTAAAATGCAATGTATTAGGTTGGTGCAAAAGTAATTGCAGATTTTGCCATTACTTTTTACTTACCTTAAATAAAAATACTTTATTGCTGAAAAATGCTAACAATCATCTGAGCCTTCAATGAGTCCTGAACTTTTTGCTGATGGAGGGTCTTGCCTCAGTGTTGTTAGCTGCTGACTGATCAGGGTAGTGGCTGTTGAAGATTGGAATTGCTGGGGTAATTTATTAAACTAAGACAACAAAAAGGTTTGCCATATTGATTGACTCTGCCTTTCACAATAGATTTCTTTGTAGCATTTCATGGTGCTTGAGAGCATTTTACCCACATTATAACTTCTCTCAAAATTAGAGTCAATCCTCTCAAACTCTGCCACTGCTTTATCGGGTAAGTTTATAAAATATTCTAAATCCTTTGCTGTCATTTCAACAAGTCACAGCATCTTCACCAGGAGTAGATTTCATCTCAGTAAACCACTTTATTTGCTCATCCATAAGAAGCAACTTCTCATCTGTTCAAGTTTTTTTATTTTTATTTATTTATTTATTTTTTTGAGAGAAAATCTTGCTCTTGTCACCCAGGCTGGAGTGCAATGGCACGACCTTGGCTCACTGAAACCTCTGCCTCCTGGGTTCAAGCGATTCTCCTGCCTCAGCCTCCCGAGTAGCTAGGATTACAGGCACCTGCCACTACACCTGGCTAATTTTTAGTAGAGACAGGGTTTCACCATGTTGGCCAGGCTGGTCTCCAACTCCCGACCTCAGGTGATCTGCCCGCCTCGGCCTACCAAAATGCTGGGATTACAGGCGTGAGCCACTGCACCCAGCCGTTCAAGTTTTGTCATAGAATTACAGCAATTCAGTTTCATCTTTAGGTTCTACTTATAATTCTAGTTCTCTTGCTATTTCCACCACATATGTGCTTACTTCCTCCACTGAAGTCTTGCACACTTCACACTCATGCATGAGGGATGGAATCAACTTCTTACAAACTCCTGTTAATGTTTATAGTTTGACCTCCTCCCAGAAATCATAAATGTTCTTAATGACATCTAGGATGGTGAGTCCTTTCCAGAAGGTTTTCAGTTTGCTTTGCTCAGATCCATCAGAAGGATCATTATCTATGACAGCTATATCCTTAAAAAATGTATTCTTAAATAATATCCACGTGCCACAGTATGGATGCTGTGTTAGCAGGCACAAAGACAACTCTAATCTCCTTGCACATTCCCATTAGAGCTCTTGGGTGACCAGGTGTATTATCAGTAAGCAGTAACATTTTGAAAGCAATCTTTTTTTTTTTTTTTTTTTTTTTCCGAGCATTAGTTCTCAGCAGTGGGCTTAAAATGCCATGCTATAAACAGATGTGCTGACATTCAGACTTTGTTGTTCCATTTCTAGTGCGCAGAGTAGATTTGGCATCATTCTTGAGGGCCCTAGGATGTTCTGAATGGTAAATGAGCATTGGCTTCAACTTAAAGCCACCAGCTGCATCAAACCCTAACAAGAAAGTCAGCTTGTCCTGTGAAGATTGGAAGCCAGGCATTGACTTCTACTCTCTAGCTATGAAAGTCCTAGATGGCATGTTCTTACAATATAAAGGCTGTTTGATCTACATTGAAGAATTTGTTGTTTAGTGTGGCCACCATCTTCAGTGATCTCATTTAGATCTTCAGGATCACTTGATGCAGCTTTTATTTACACCAGCATTTGCTGCTTCATGTTGCCCTTTCATGTTATGGAGATGCTTCTTCACTTTAACCTCATCAACCAACCTCTGCTAGCTTCCAACTTCTTTTCTTCAGCTTCTTCACCTCTCTCAGGTTTAAGAGAATTGAAGAGAGTTAGGCCTTGCTCTGGAATAGGCTTTGGCTTAAGGGAATGCTGTGGCTGGTTTGATCTTCCATCCAGACCACTAGAACTTTCTCCATATTGGAATAAGGCTGTTTCGCTTTCTTATCATTCATGTGTTCACTAGATTAGCACTTTTACTGTCCTTTAAGAATCTTTACTCCGCATTCACAACTTGGCTAACTGTTGCAAGACTCTTCAGTCTTCCTGGCTTTTGACATGCTTTCCTCACTAAACTTAATCATTTGTACCTTTTGATTTAAAGTGAAAGACATGCAACACTTTCACTTGAACACTTAGAGGTGATTAAGTTCATCTTAAGTTCACAGGACACCAAAATAATCACAATAGTAACATCAGAGATCACTGATCACAAAAATGAATATCATCATAATGAAGAAGTGTGAAATATTGTGAGAATTGCCAAAATGTGACAGAGACACAAAGTGACTGTGTGTCGTTAGTAAAAAAAACACTGATAGATTTGCTCTATGCAGGGTTCCCACAAAGCTTTGATTTGTGAAAAATGCAGTATCTGTGTGTGTGATAAAACGCACAACAAAACAAGGTATGCCTGTATTAGTTTATGTTTTGGGGCACACAGTGTATACAAATATGATTTTAAGACATCAACCAAAAGGAGTAGGGACGAACCTGTAAGGGAGCACAGAGGTGGATGTTATTGAGGTGAAGCTGGTAAAAATTCCAATTAGATTGGCATAACTTTAGGATGTCAGATGTAATCCCCATGGTAGCCACAAAGAAAAATCGCTATAAAATATGTAAAAATGGAAATGAGAAAGAAATGTAAACGTTTTAATATAAAATATCAAGTGAACACAAAAGAAGACAGTAATGCAGAAAATTATTGACAAAAAACTACAAACCATATAGAAAACAAGTAGCAAACTGTTAGAAGTCCCTTTGTTGTTAGTAATTACTTTAAATGTAAATGCATTAAACACTCCAATTAAAGGATTGGCCAAATGGATTAAAAACCATAATCCAAATATATGTTACGTGCAGGAGGCTCACTTTATTTTTTTTTAATTTTGAAATTTTTTATGAGATATGGGATCTCACTATGTTGCCCAGGCTGGACTCGAACTCCTGGGCTCAAATGGTCCTCCTGCTTCAGCCTCCCGGGTTGCTATCACTACAGGCATATACTACTGCGCCTGACATTGAGATTCACTTTAGATCCAAAGGCACAAATAGATGGAATGTGAAAGAATGAAAAAAAGATGTTCCATGCAAACAGTAACCAGAAGCGAGAAGAGATGGCTATACAAATATTTTTTTAAAAAAGCTTTAAATCAGAAAAGACAAGAACAAGAGACAAAGGAGGAGACAAAGAAGGACATTGCACACTTAGAGGGTTCAACCCAGCAGAAGTTATAACAAGTATAAACATGCATGCATCTAAAAACAGTCAATTAAAATACATAAAGCAAAAACTGAAAATTGCATGGATAAATAATCAGTTCTACAATAATAGTTGGAGATTTTAATATCCCACTGTCAATAATGAATAGGACAACCAGACAAAAAATAGGTAGGAAATAGTGAACTTAAACAACACATGAATCAGCTATATCTATCAGACAAAATTATGATTACAAAAAGAAGCATGGTGGTTACCAGGGGCTGGAGGGAGGGGAGAATGAGGGGTTATTGTTTAATGGTAATAGCATTTCCATTTTACAAGATGAAAAAGGTTATGGAGATGGATGGTGGTGATGGTTGCCCAACATTATGAATGTATTTAATACTACTGATTGTACACTTAAAATAATATGATGGCAAATTTATGTTATGTAAAAAACAATTTAAAAAACTAGAAAAAAATGAGAAAAAAGCCAATAAAAATTATTCTTGTTATTTATTTTAATTTGATAGATGAGCTCTTAATAGAATAACAGTGACAGAGTCTGTGTCTCAGTCAGCTCAAGCCACCATAACCAAATCCCATAGACTGGGTTACTTAAACAACAAAAGTTTATTTCTCACAGAAAAAAATTATTTCTCACAGGAGGTTTAAAGTCCAAGATCAAGGTGCTGGCATTTTCAGTTTCTGGTAGGGGCTCTCTTTCTGGCTTGTAGACAGCCACTTTTTAACTATATTTTTACATGGCAGGGAGAGAGAGAGGTGAGGGCGTCAATATATGAATTTAGGGGGACACAATTCAGTCCATAGCAGTCTCTCATTTATTTCTTTAAACTGAATTTTCACCCTAAAAATCACATAGAAGAGATAGTACAAGGTGATGCTATGCCAGTAATACCAACATTTAAGCACATCACAAAGACAAAACTACACTATTTCCTCTTTCTCTCTTTCTCTCTCTTTCTCCCTCTCTCTCTTTCTCCCTCTTTCTTTTCTATTTTCTTAATTCTATTTTTTCTCTTAAAATTTTTAATCGATGATAAAATGTCTGTATAGAAAAGGAGGTTGTATACTGTTAAGAGCATGAGCTCTGGAATCAAACTACTACCTGGTTTTGAACCCCTGATCATTACTCACTACCTATGTGACACTGGGAAAACCAGTTATACTATTAAAGCCTCCATGTCCTCATCTGCAAGACAGAGATGATGATAAGTTACCTCATAGGGTTGTTATGAATTTTAAATAATACCATAGAAAACTTTCTATGGTACCCAACATAGCAATCTCTCAGCTAATGTCAATTATGCTTATGGGAAGACTTTACATTTCAAAATAGCAAGCAATATTACAGATATTCTTCCATGACCAAAGGGAAGGCAGAGAGAAAAGGTAGTAAAGTCAATCGAGCAACTACAGGTGGCCAAGCTCTTTGCCAGGTAGTTCATGTACATCATTTGCATTTCCTCGAAGTAGCCTTATGAGATAAGAATTTTCATTTTTACAGATGGAGAAACTGAGGCTCCATCAGTTAAGTAACCAAGAGCCACATACCGAACAATTCAGAGAGTCCAGTGTGTCTGATTCCAAAGTCACATGGTGTTTCCACAACGAAACATTGTTTCCTCCCAGATGTGTGTTGGCTCGGGGGGCAGGACTATATTTTAAAGCACATCGCATTTAGGCAGGCTCCTAAATTATTTAGCTGGCATGTACATGCGAATATCGTCATCATCCTTCAGCGTTTGTATTCGGTGCTCATACTCCACTCAATCTCTCCTCCCCAAAATGGCTGGTTCTGGAACCCCTAAGCACTTGGCAGCATGTTACCAACTCTCAGACAGGAAGTTTTCATTCTCTTCCACAGTTGATAGTCGATGCCTGAGACTTTAAGGAGCCACACCGCGGGCTTGAGAGACGCTGGGAGTCGCAGTCAGGACTGCGAAAGAACTCAAGTGATGATTCACCTCCTGAGGTCTACTTGCTCACATCTCTATGGCAGATACCGGGCTGCGAATTGTGGCTCCCTTTTGACTAAACCTTTTCACTCCCTGCTTAGCCTGGTCTCTATCCTGGGTCACTGCCACTGTGAGTAGTTTCGCTTCTAATTCTGGCCATCTGGACCTCTACTTCCCAGTTCCTGATTTTTGCCTCCACAAAGTGAAGGATGCCCAGGCCCTGAGAGCAAGCACGTACTCCACTGCCCTTTGCTGCCCTCTGCTGACCATAACTGGAAATGATGGTTACTCTTTCAGGCCCTGTCTCAAGGCAGGTACTACAGTGAGAAGAACGAAGCCTGGAACACAAAATTTTGAGGGTGAGCCCCCAAACTAACTAAATTAGATAAATAATATTTTAATGCAATAGTTTTAAAAGTCAAAATAACTGTAAAAAATACATGATGAACAAAATATGTAAATGTACCCTAAATCATACTCCTAGCTTCTGTGTACACAAGCCATGGCATCTGTCTTTTTATTAAAGGGAAAGTCCTAGTATCACAGTAGAAAACCATGCTACCAGTATTGATCACCTTTTTTCCATCATTCACATAGATTTTTAAAACTCACAAAATTTAGAAGAAATAAACAGCAAAAATGAGAACGTCCAAGTGGAGCAGATATACTAGGTGACTCCTGAAGAAAGTAGGTAATTAAGAGAACAGAAGAAAAATTGATCTTTCAACAAATATTAACATCTTCATAGTTAAGAAGCAAATGAATGGGTGGCTAGAATCAAGCACAGTAAAAAATGTTTATGTTTTATGTTTAATTTCTTGGATATTAAAGATATAGGCTAAATGAATAATTTCATAAGAAGGCTTGAAGATTGAGTTTATGGACTCCTTTTCTATCTTGTCACTTGGAACATTCATCGTTCAGTATTAATGAACTAGATTACATTTTCTCCCCTTAATAGGTAGACTCATGCTATTTGATCAATCAATAAGGGGTAATTCAATAATCAGGATAATGAAAATGCTATTTCAATTTGTAGAGTCAACAAATCAACGAAACTGGAAGACAATAATAACTATAAAAGAGAATCTAACTAGTATTAAAATTGATAATGGAAAAAACACAAAAGTCTGAATGTTAAGGTAGCAGAGAGATGTGGCCAGCAATGTCAGACACAAATTCTTGTACCTTCTATAGCAAGGAATCAACATACTAAAATTGATGTAACAAAATATAGAGCTTGAACATATTCTTTAAAATTATAAAGATAACCACCAGAAGAAAATAATATGACTAGAAAAACTCAGGAGTAGATGGATAAAGAAATACGAACTAAGTTTCTCATCTTTCAATAGATGTGACCTAAAGTTGAAAAACAACAACAAAAAAAATAGTAATATTAACATATGCTTAAAGGTATGGTGATAACCACTAACAGAACAAAACATGTTTGAAAATAAGGAGCTAGATTAGACGTGGGGAGTGGGGGAATGAAGACAGGTGGATAATTTACTCTTCACTTGGTACCATTCTGTACTGTTTGATTTTATTAACTTATGAGCATATTAATTTTACACTATAAAAGTTAAAAAAATGAAAACAAAACTTTCTGCAGCTGCAGCTCTTGGCACTATTTCTTTCCCCAGCTGCAGTCACTCTCCTCATACTCATGGTTAGGTCCAATTGAGACAGGAAGAAATTAAAGGGCAACAGAAAAAGTACCTGCCCTGAAGTTCAGGGTTTCTGGGGTCTTCTTTCAATTTACTGTGTTCTGTCTTTACAGGGGCCTAATTCTTTGGAATACTAACTTTTGACTATTTCAGTCCATCAGATCTAGAATCTCCTTAAAGCTTTGCTAAACTTTGACATCATTCTCTTATTTCTTGAGAAGAGTAAGCTTGACTCCCTGGCTCTTTCTGTGATCCTTGAGTTTTAACTTCTTTTTTTTTTTTTTTTAATTTTGACTATGGTTAACTATTGGTCAGCTGGGACCAACCTGACCTGCCCAGGTAGGAATGAAAAGCATATGGAATAGTGGTGACAATTACTATTATCTGAATAAATACAATATGATATATTATTAAGTTAAAATAGTGCTAAGGGAGTAGAGTGATGGTCACTACTCCATTCCTCATGTTTCCACAAAGGAGAGACTTCACGCTCCTAGAGAGAACGCACCTGAAGATATTTGGGAATAGAGGTTTAATCTAGACTAATCACAGTCTTGCACTGAAGTGCTAAAAGCATGAAATGCAAGACATGAAGAAATCAAAACATCTAAATTTTCTAAGAAGGAATAATGTCTCAAATGTCATTCACTGAGAAAGTAGGTAATATACATGGGGAGTTTGCCAGAAGCATTGCCACTACACCTACCACCACCACCACCACACACACACATACACACACACACACTAAACATGTGGAAGCATAATTGTTGATGGGCAGTTTCTGCTCAGTGTATATAGATTTACAGCCTGTGAACTCTTGACACTGGCACCGCTGGCTGGCCCTCCCTGGAACAGAAACCCAGCTGTTTTCAGGTCCTTCTGTCTACAACACAGGTACCATTAAGTTATCTGCCATGCTCTTTGGGTGGCGACAACCGTGTCAAAAAAGATTACACCATTCACTTAATTTGGGGACCATAATTTTGCTTGTAATAACTTACATAGTGGAGCCACAGTTTCTTTTGTGATTAGTTACCCCTTGGAGAGCTGAATTACTTAGAAATTTGAATTAATTTTGAAAAGACTGAAGAAGCTGTAACCATTCCTATGAAAGACGGCCCAGGTTATAGCTGAACTTATAGGAACCCAGAGATCAGTGTAAGACCCTCTGGCTGAGAATGAGCCAATTGTATAGAATTGGGAATGAAGGAATTTGACCTTAATTTCTATGGGCTTTTCATTTGCAAGGGAATTTAGTCTGGAGGGTTAAAAAATGAGAAGAGTTTCATATTGTTCAACTTTAGAATATTTTTATGTTGTTGATCTGGTCTTGGCATTCATGAATACATTCATGAATGTATACATGAATATAAAATGAATACATTCATTAATTCTGGACAACATGACTGAGCATAATCAGTAATAGGAAATAGAATGGGGAATACATTTTCTGCTTAGGGTGCTGCATGCAGTTCTGTCTGACTCATGTTGCTAGAGACTTTTGTTGGCAAAAAGCGAAATGCCCATTGGCAGCTCTGGAGGGAATTAGTGTGGAAAGAAGGAGGGTTTAGGAAAGTGAGAACATGACGGCCCTGTGAGCAAGCAACTTCCCTGCTGAGAGGAACAGCCCACCCTGGCTTACTTCCAAGTTGCTTAAGTCCAGTGGGTTATGACATTGTTTCCCAGCCTTCCTTCATATGTGGCCTTCGTGTCTGCATATCGCTCACACTAATACTGATATAATATTTTTCCTTAAATATTGTGTATACTTTTAAAATCTTTCGCTCAATTTTTTACTCATGATAAACAATGTTACATATTTTTCTGATTACAACATATATATTACTAAAACTTTTTAAAAAAATGCCTGTCATCATGCTACCTAAAATCAACTTACATAATGCCAGTGGAACACACACTGTAATATACCAAGAGATGAAAAAGCTGGCAAATAGCAGGAGGGATGCTTGTTACTCCACTCTTAGGGTTTCTGTTCCAATCCTGATGACAGAAAACAGCACTGGAGTAACGTTCTGGGGCCCTCTCTCCACTTTTTCTCTCAGCCCATCCCAAGCAGCAAAGAAGAAATTTTTCCATGGCTTGTAGCAGCTCGAGTACAGTGCTTTCTAATTTTGCCCTTGGCAATTCAGCATGCAAGGCTTCCTCCTAGGTTGGAGTTGGGCTGGAGAAGGAAGAATGAAGTTGTCTGGCCCTTCCACCTGTGACTACACAGGCTGCTTGGTTCACTTAAGAAGGAGTAGCAAACCCTATTTCTGACTTAAGTGTAAGGCTCATTCTCCAATCCAGCTTTACTATAGAGTGCTGTAATTTGGGTAATAATACATATAATAAATTTCAATCTTCTTCTGTTTCCTGCATCTATGTCTCAAGTTGGTTAAAACTCACAAAGTAGAAGGATCAGGATTACATGTTAAACACAAATTCCAACACACCTTTGGTTACAAAAACAAGTGAAAGAATTAGAGAAGAAATGTTGCTGGAAAGAAAATGAATGCTCCTGTTTTAAAGCAAAATGCCCTGTGTGAACATTTAATGGCAGTATTATGAAAAGTTAATGCAATATTCAAATATTTTGACTACAAGTTCTTACTTCCTCAATTTGGAGTGAGATTCACACGGTATTCTAGTCTTTTTGTAGCTAAGTCTGGAGCAGGAGAACCCTCCTCTGTCCCCTAGACTCTGAGAGGAAACAAGATATAATAAAAGGATTTGGTTCCTATTGGTTTGGGAATTGGGCCAGCACATGGATTCTGGATGTTTGCAGTTGGGCAAATTACTTAACCTTCCTGAATCTTAGTTCTTAAATCTATAAAGTGGGGATATCAATTCTCACAGGGTTGTTGCAAGGATTGAGATAATGCATGTAATGAATGAATTTGAAGACTGATCCCTTCCCTGCCCACAAACTGAGCTAAAGATGTTCTATAAAGGATTCAGACTCCCCAGTGTTTCTTCATGGTTTTGCTTTATGGGTCTCCTCTGGGGCGATGGAGGCATCAGCGGAGTTGTAGAATTTCCATTTTGGATGCAGTCCTTCTCTCCCCACCCTCTTCTCCCTCACAGCCCTAAATTGAGGTTTGGGGGCTGTTCCTTGCTCCAGAGGACTCCTCATTTGGAACTCAGACTTAATTTCCTTTATCTCATGGCTCTCCCCATGTCCCATCATCAGTTTCTAAGACCACAGCTTGTGGCCCAAGTCTTCCATTTCCCCACTAACCCCAACCTCCATTCATTTAGGAGTCAGCTGAACAGATGTAAAGCACTTCAGTGGTGCCTGGCATACAGTAGATGATCAATACCCATGAATTTCCTTTCCTAGACTTGGAGGCTGTAAGCTTTACAGCCTGTTTTTAAAGAGCTGTACTGACTCTTATGAGTGTGAACACAGTGATCCAATAACTGCATGTTAGATATGAAATATTTTGCACATCACAGACCCAATCTTTAAAACCACTAGCATCTGTACTTGGTCAGTGAGACTGCCATTTCAGAAAGAAATTCATATCCATGTCTAGGCATCCACTAGATATGTCCATATCTAGAAAGTTTTTTAAAGTGTTTGGACTCTTTCCCTTGCAAGGAAATGGACTATGGGTGGTCCAGCTTATATTTGGGATGCCTTTTTCCACACAGATAAAATTCCAAGAAAATAAGATTTTGATCTCATGTAAGTTCCTTTGTGCAAACAAGCTTGCATAGCAAAATGGTGCAGATAAATGTAGATGAAATGGGCTTTGTACAAGTAAATGTAACTATATTATGTTTCTCTGGTATAAAAATAGATCACATGGTGGAGGACAAAAATAGGTGACATGGTAACATAAACCAACTTGTGTAATCAGAGGGTCAACTCTGACATTTTTCACTCTAGGCCTTTTCTAATAGTCTTGTTGCTAGGGCTACAATGTTTTTGCCAGATTGGAACAGAATTGTCAACTCTAATGAAGATTAAGTAGCTTGCCCAACTACGTTTGTTTTTTTTTTTTTTTTTAGCCTCAGTGAATACTGCTGGCTTTAAAAGTCATAATTATGAAGAATGGAAATATCTCTAAAAGATCTATTTTTAAAAATATATAACTAATAAAATTTAAAATTGAGTAGACAGTTTCCATTTCACAGCTATTCCAATATAAACTTTTATCAGTCACATTGAACAAAATAACTAGAAATATTTCATACATTTAAAAAAAGAATAAGAAATTATTTACAAGTTAAGCCGCAAACAATTCACCAAAAACTGAGTAATTAAGGTTACTTAACAAACAATTCTTCTGATTAGTTGGAAAATTGTTTCATTACTGTTCACAAATTCATACCTGATTTACTCTGTAGACAATATAGATTAGGCATAGGATAAAATCCTCTGTATTTGGTTCCTCCCAATCATTGGTCAAAGTCATCTGACAACAGACTATCTGAGGAAAGTGTAAATACAAAGTCACCCAATAAAACATGAATAAGTTTTGCAAAGCACAGTAAAGGAAAACCAGTTTGTTCTGAACACTTTATTGCTAAAAGGATGTAAAGGGTAAGAGGAAAAAGGTGACGAAACACTCCTTTTGATATGCTTGTTGGGGAGTCAGGATGAACTTCCTTGGCTAGGGATAGAAGGAAGAGATCACCTAAACTTCAAAAACCACAATACAATTTGCATACTTCCTTGGCCAGGGATAGGAGAGACCACTAAACTTCAAAAACCACGACACAATTTGCATGCCCATTGACCCCCAGTTTTACTTGTGCACAAAAGCATGAGAATTAAATAAAAATTCATGTGAAGTGACTAGTAAATAATAAATGCTAAGTGTTTATTCCCCTAATGTATTTATATATTTGTTGCCAGGAATTCCAATGCTGAGTAACCTTGCTTTTCCAATAAGCTTACAGCCTTTAGAACCAAAAGAAAGTCATCTTAATTTGAATATTACAGCATTAGTGACATCTGGTGGAAAATATAAGAGTTACAAAGTAGCATTACATAGCTATTCTGATCTTTCATGTAAATTTTAGATAAATTTTACATACTAAATGAAAACAAGATGAAGAAATGGTCTATGAAGTTATCTACCTTATTGTGCTAATAATCTTTGAATCTATATGCTAAAATATATAGGAAGTCAGTATAATTAGCATTATACTAATAAAAACATTTTTCAGCATGCATGTCTATATAGTGAAAAAATGATTAAAAATAGGCATGGGCTCTTTATCCTATTGTGAGTCTCATAAAAAGGGTCTCTTTTTTAAAGGAGAGCCCATACCTCTCTTTTTATGGCATCACATGCCAAAGAACCTCCCTTAACAAGTTTTCAGATCAAATTGTGAACTGTGGGGTGTGTTAGGAAGTATGTCAAGAAAATAGCTGGTTGTGCTTCAGAGAATATGGAATTTAGGTATATTTGGGAGAGACATTCTGTTTGAGATACTATGGATGGAGGCAACAAACGATGTTTTACAAGTGAGCTTTAAATATTACGGTATCAAATGCTCTGAACTAGGGAGGGGTTCAAGTATTTGTGACCAAAAGAGCAAACTGTGATCTGTTACAGGACTGGTAAGCTACAACCCTGGGGCCGAAGCAAACAGCCATGTTTTTTTCTTATTGGAACACACTCACGCTCATTCATTTATGTATTGTCTATAGCTGCTTTCAGCCTCGAGTAGGTGCAAGAGACCATATGCCTTCAAAAGCAGAACTATTTACTACCTGGCCATTTACAGAAAGTTTGCCAACCTCTAGTCCATTAGATAACTGTCATCAAACTTCTCGGTGCCATTCCCACCACCTCCATGGGAGGAGTATACTTCCTGGTCCCATTAAAGTTAGGCTTGACCTTCACTTGCTTTGGTCAGTGTGAAAAAGCTGGCCTTCAGAGTCCTGACTAACCAATGTCCCTCCAACAGAATGAGAAAGGTGCAGCAAAAGCCAACCAATACATGAGACTGTTATACCTCTGCACAAGCATTCTCACAGAGGTTTGACTTCTCTGATTGATGACACTGGGAAAAGGATCCTGAAAGCCAGATACAGTTCAGTTCCTCCTGGGCTCTACTTCAGACCTTGATGGGCTTAACCTCTGTTCATCCTCTACATATGGTAAGCAACACTGAGCCAGAGTCCAGGCCAGGCCTAGAGGCCTATCATGCTGTCTTAGAACCTTCTCTTTAACATGGTGTAGAAACCACTCACAAGTCTTTCAGCTGTTGATTTAAACATCATCCTCCTGAGGTAAGCCTCAAGGTCTAGAAAGAGGATGGGACAGTCCACTTGGAGCTACAGGGCAAAGCTTTTCCAGTATAGCTTCACCTCAATAAAACTCATAGTTTGGCTCCCACTCAGCTCCAAAATGTGTATTTCTTTTTTATTTATTATTTTTTGAGATGGAGCCTTGCTCTGTCGCCCAGGCTAGAGTACAGTGGCACGGTCTTGGCTCACCGCAACCTCCACCTCATGGGTTCAAGCGATTTCTCCTGCCTCAGCCTCCCAAGTAGCTGAGATGCGCCCGCCACCACGCCCAGCTAATTTTTATATTTTTAGTAGAGACGGGGTTTGACCATCTTGGCCAGGCTGGTCTCAAACTCCTGATCTCGTGATCCACCTGCCTCGGCCTCCCAAAGTGCTGGGATTACAGGCGCGAGCCACTGCGCCCAGCCCAAAATGTGTATTTCTTAATTGATTATATAATCTGTAAGGGGTAAAATGACTCATCATGACTAGCTCTCCAGAAACCTCAGAGTAAATAGTAGCATGCAAATGATACAAAAATCTAAGAATTTAATCCTGTTAATATTGGTAGCTGAGTTGAAATGACCAGAGTATACACACAACCTTTAAAAATGTGATTTCAGCCGGGCGCAGTGGCTCACGCCTGTAATCCCAATGCTTTGTGAGGTCAAGGCGGGCAGATCATGAGGTCAGGAGTTCAAGACTAGCCTGGCCAACATGGTGAAACCCTCTCTCTACTAAAAATATAAAAATTAGCCAGGTGTGGTGGCACGTGCCTGTAATCCCAGCTACTCAGGAGGCTGAGACGGAAGAATGGCTGGAATCCGGGAGGCAGAGGCTGTAGTGAGCTGAGCTGCGTCACTGTACTCCAGCCTGGGCGACAGAATAAGACTCCATCTTGGGGGGGAAAAGTGATTTCGCAGAATTTAGTCTGACTTCTCAAATAGTTAAAATACAAATGAAGCATTTAATTGCCACTTTTCTTGAAATCATCTAGGTTGGTAACACCAGTGGTCCACTTATTCCATAAAGATATGAAGAGTCTACAAATTTGTCACTGAGAACCCAGAAACTGCCACTGATCCACAGTATTTGCTCAATATGTAATTTCTGAATGAACAGATTCAGACTATGTGCAATTACTTAAAAATAGTGAAGGTTAAATAAGTTAATACACATAAAGAACTTAGTGTCTAATAATAAACATTAATAAACTGAATTTTTACAAAATGAGGTCAGATTTAGATTAGAGATTAGAGAAGACTTTACAAATCTGCCTTAAACTGACCTTGGAAAAACAGGTGAGAACTGGATAGAAAGCATGTACCAGATGAGGGTATTAATGAAAGCACAGGAATAAGCATAGTATTTAAGTATATAAGGAAAAGTAGGCTGACAATAAGGCTAAGAGTATAGTAAAGTACTAAAATCAACACTTGTTCAACTGGAATTGTTGGACTAATTCCAAAGGACATTTATCTTTTCACAATGATGAAGTAATAGCCTTAAGTCTATTGCTATGAGATGAACAGGATGTGATCAAAGTTTATCCATTAGATTGAAGACACCTCAAGACTCACTCAACTTTGGACCCTTAAGTTCTATAACTTCGTAGGAACAAGAATTCATTAGCTATGCTGAATCAATTCTAATTACCATTTAACTATATCAACACCAAACCAGTATCAAAATGTTTTAAGACAAATTTAAAACAAACTTAACTTTATTTCCTCACTTTCACTTAAAACTTGATTTTATAAAACACATGAAAAAACATTTTTAAGAGTTCTGTATCACAGAACATTAAACAGTACAAATATCCATTGCTTCATAGGTTCAAGTTACATAAATTAAAGTCAAATAATTGGAAACTGATTCAATAGGGAAAACTATACATGAAATGAAGGTCAAAAGGAGCTATACAGCAATATTTCATTGTTTATAGATTATGAGTTACTTTCAGGACCTTAACAAAGATTCTGAATATTTAGACTTCCTTTGTTGTATTTTATACTTAAATATCTCCCTACCTATACTGAGTCAAACTACTTGACCAAAACATCTGATTTAGGAAAGCATCTAGCTTTATAGCACAAGTTTTTCCATCTACAGTTACTATCTTCAAAGGAATATACATCACAATGTTGACAAAAAAACCTCCTGGTTCCTTTTGAACAATGTGCAATAAATTCATGATGTTAACTCCATGGTAAGTCAAATAGGTACCAAAAAAATAAAAGGAACAATTACACACAGTTCAGTAAGTATCATTTTGGTTTTCTCCATGTAAAAATTAACCAATGAAATAAAACATATCAACTATAGATGACTTGATTTCAGGAAAACCACATTTCAAAATTACAATTACATTATTTTCCTCATGTCATCCTCAGTCATTGACAGGAATTTTGTAGGCCACCATGCTATTTACTTTGTGGATTGTAGTAGTAAATGAACGAAGGCGGACTTCCTCAGAATTGGTAATAAACTGTGGTCCCGACTCTTCCCATTTTTCAGGTACAACCAAATCTTTGTCTGTATAAATCAGCAGATCAAATGAACCTAAATTGGGGATAAGATCATTGAAGTATATTATTTTCTAAAAGTAAAACTAATCTTGCTGCCTCTCTTCTATTTTGAACCACTCACTGCTGGAAAAGGTCATTTGGCTTGGTCTCCAATCACTAGTTAATTTATTTTGCTCAATGAACATTTATTTCAGTAAAGAAAATATTGTATCTAACTTCCGTGCAATTTAGTGATTGTGTTCAAGTAACCCTTATCTTATTTAATAATGGTCCCAAAGCACAAGAATAGTGATGCCAGCATATTGTTATAATTGTTCCAGTTTATTATTAACTCTTACTATGCTTAATTTACATATTAAATTTTATCATAGGTATGTATGCATAAGAAAAAAACATTATATAGGGTTCATACTATCCATGGTTTCAGGTATTCACTGTGGGTCTCCCTGTGGAAAGGGAGACTACGATACATTACTTTTGCATGATAATGTTTTTCCTTCAATTTATATTACATAAATCTGATAAATAAGACAAAATTTAATAAAGGGGTGATTACGGCAGTAGCTTAGTCTTTTTGCCAATCAATTTAATTCAACAAGAAGTTGTATAATACTTACAAGAAACTTCCAACAGTGGCAGAAATGTCACCGTAGCTGTGATCTGTCTGATCACTGAACGGATTTCATCCTGGATAGCTTTCTGAGACTTTTCTCTGGGTGCACTGTCAAAAAAAAATCAAATCAATTAATTCATTTCAGGTCTTAACAAATTATTTCAAACATAGTGGTTAGATTATTTATCTGATTAAATGCTCTCAACATCAAATAAGCAGGGCTTATTTGAGAAAGGAGGTTTGTAAAAAATGTGAGTGAAAGTATCCTTCAGACCTACAACCTAGTAGGCACAACATTCATCCTTATTACTTCATTTATCCTGCCAGTCATCTTTTAGAGCTGGTCTTAGTGTCAGGTCATTTAGTATCAGATGACTAGAAAATTTGCCAATCACTTCAAGTTCAGGAAACTTCAGCATCTCTTGAAATAAAAATAAGTGATATCTAAAATATGTATTGGTATAATCATTTCAGCATTTTTAGTAATGCCTAAATGTCTAATTTCCTATTTTCTCAAATAAAACATTAAATTGTATATCAAATTATTTTATAAGCTAAAAATTTCCTAAAATACACCAAAGCCTTCAGAAGCAAACTACATTTCACTATAAGAAATGGTTCTCAGTTTATAGAAGAGCATGCCTAGGACAATGCATTTCTCTTCCAGGGAGTCTGGAACCTTCAGAAATTTATGAAGTGTCTTAGGAAGTAGATGGCATTAAAGGAAGTACAGCAGAGCTACATCTTAAATTGTGTGAGTCTAATATCATTCCTTATAGTTAAAAATATCTTAGAACAATTATTAAATGGTTCATCTAGTATATCATGTGTAGTTTTGTATATATCACCATAAATACTGTTTGAAAACTACTGATTTAGACTAAAGGCAATTATGTTAAAATTATATTATATATACAAATCAATGATATGCTAAACTGAGCACAATTCTTTTCCATAGGTGACTGAGGATATCTTAGAAAATATAAATTAGAAACAAACTATATTTTATATAAAACTAGTTCAATACAATTAGAACTCAATTAGTAATAAAAACAAGTTTTGAAAAAAAATATATCAAAGTAGAAATAATGTAATTCCTATTTACCTGTCATCTTTTGCAGTCTTGTCACACTCAATATCAAACTGCCATCTTTCCAGGACCTCACCACTTTCAATATTTGAGATAACTACAACCAGTTTCTGAACTGAACACTTGTATAACCAATCTGCAACATATAAAAAGGAAGGCATCTTTCTTGGTCCACTGCATCATAAAGTAGCTCTCTTCTCGGGTCCCACTCCCTATCCTCAGCAAATTCCTACCACTGCTATCTGGGACCTCCTCCTATGTGCAAGAAAATTTGCACCATCAATAATCTAACTTCTGTTTTCAAATTCTCAGTATCTGTATCAGGTACAGTAATTGGTGCTGAGGACAGAATACTGAACATGTGGTAGTTTCATCCTAATCCAACATAAAAGCATAGGAGATGGGCATTAATCTACTCATCACACCAATAAATGAGAAATTATCATTGTAATGGCTGCTATGAAAGAAAGATGTAAGATGCAATGAGAGCATAAAAAAAGGAAAATTTGAGCCACTCAGGGAGGTCAGAAAAGGTCTGAGTTTAGCTCTAGGGATAAACAGCATTAAATATGCAAAAGGATACGAAAGAAGATACAGGCCTCAAATACTGCCAAGGGAAGAGCATATAGAGGGCTGGAAGCAGCCCACTACAAGTGCAATCAAGAAACAAACAAACAAAATAAAACAAAGTAATCCTTGCAAGATTAACAGGAGCCAGACCATGCAAAGCCTGGTGGATCAAATTAAAAAAATATATACTTCAAGACCAGGGAAGTCATTACTGTGTGTGAACAGGATGTAAAGCAATTAGACTTGTATTTCAAAACTATCATTCTAGCCGTGATACGGAAAGTGGACTGGAGATGTTAAAGAGGGGATCTAGAGACACTAGTTAGTCAATCAGTAATTCAAGCAAGAGTTAATGAAAGCTTGTAGGAGGATAAACTGGTAGATATGGAGCAATAGGTAGATTTAAGAGATTTCATGGTTAAAACGTATTGGGTTTAGTCACGATAGTAAGGAAGAAGCATGATTCAGGGACAGCTTCCAAGTTTCTTTTATTTCTGGCTGGACGGTTTAGTCATTCATTGAGAGAAAAAAAGAGAATTAAAGAGTATCAGTCTTGGAGATGATCCTAAATTTAGTTTTTAGTATACTTGAGTGTACATTGTCTCTGGGATAGCTACATAAAGATATAGCTGCTGGATATATGAGTCTGGAGAAAGAGGCTTGGGATAGATGTAAGTTTGTGAGCTGACTACACAGAGGTTGTTAGTGAAGCTATACACAGGTCAGAGATCACCTATAGAGAAATTATAAACACAGAACGGGGGCTCAGATTGAGCCTTGAAGTAATCTTGGAAATTGAAACAGCATATTCAGGAGTCAGCGAAGTTTTTGTAAAGAAACAGAGTAATTACTAAATATTTTAGGCTTATTGGCCACCAAGATCTCTGTTGCTTATTTTTAAACAAACCTGTAAGTGTAAAAACACTCTTAGCTTGTGGGCAGTGCAAAAACAGGCCACTTGTTGGATGTGGCCTGTGGGCCTTGTGATCCCTGGCATTTATCAACAACTTTTTATTAGTTTCACTCTGAAAAGGAGACTGGGTGGTAATTTGCTCTTCCTTTAAAACTGGAGAGATGAAACCAATGGGGATAATTAAAATCAAAACACAGAAGCAGAAAATATAAGAGAGAACAGGATAAAGACCCTGAAAAAGGCTAGAGGAAATTACATTCAAAACAAAACAATTGGCCAGCAAAACAAAACATGAGCAGCCACTCATGCCTGTAATCCCAGCACTTTGGGAGGCAGAGGTGGGTGGATCACGAGGTCAGGAGTTCGACACCAGCCTGGCCAAGATGGTGAAACCCTGTCTCTAGTAAAAATATAAAAATTAGCCAGGCACGGTGGCAGGCGCTTATAATCTCAGCTACTCGGGAGGCTGTGGTGTGGGGGCAGAGGTTGCAGTGAGCGGAGATCACGCCACTGCACTCCAGCCTTGGTGCCAGAGTGAGACTCCAAACAAAAAACAAACCGAACAACTTGCCTCTAGGGAAGAGCAATTTTTCCACTTTAACTAAAATAAAAGGGACAAGTTAAATAGGAAGGTCTAGACACAAATAAGGTGAAATGTCATTAACGCAGTCTCAAAGGAGACAACCTAAAAACCATTGGCTTAGGCAATGCTTGCTTCTCCAGCAAATTAAGATAAAAACACACATCCATAGTTGTCTAGAGGTTCCAGGCCAAACGACCTGAGTACAGCCCTATGAATCACTATAGATGATTTATTCCTGACCCCCAATTTTGGATGCAACTCTGGGAGAGGTGGACACTCTTATCAGTGTCTTTCCTGTGTACACTTGAGAACAGAGGTCTATTCCCACACCAAAAGAGGTCTCATCTTGCTATTTTGACAATACCAATCTACTATAGCAGAAGTTCTCAACCAAGGGCAGTTTTGTCCCCTAGGGCACATCTGGCAATATAATACATGGAGGCATTTCTGGTTGTCAGAGCAAGGGGGTTTGTTACTGGCATTTGGTGAGTAAAGGCCATAGTTGTTGGTAAACATTCTATAACACACAGAAAAGCACCCACACCAAAGCAAAGAAAAGCACCCATACCAAAGAAATACCCAGGCCAAAATGTCAACAGGGCTATCTTCCCTTGCCTGTTAATTTGAGACCTGACATCCACAGGTTGTTGTGGGATTCCCCTCCTGTACACATAAATGGCAAGGCAATGTTAACAGTTTATCTAGAGGATAGTATAGCTTGAAAGAGAGTTACCAAGCTAAAAAAGTTCACATGGCCATCATTGGAAGGGCATATTAAAAATGGGTTAGTAAAAATGCAATAAAAACGGTAAAAAAGACACATTTCTGGTCAACAACAAAAGAAATAATTTCTAAATTAAAAAAAAAAGATGGCTGCTGTAGTACTTTTTAAAATTTTAGAAGATCAAATGGGAGAAACACTTGAACAATTAGAAATGAGAATCCTAAGTGGAGGGTAACACGAAAGAAAAACTAACAGGAATTCTAGAAAGGAAAAAGAAATCGATGAAGAACAAGTATTCACCCAACAGGTAATACATCAATGTCTTCAGCTAAAGAAAAACGAGTGTTCAGACAGAAAAGGCTTACTGAATCACTGGCAGAATTTTTGAAAACGACAAATAGAAATACGTGAAAAACAAACAAACAAAAAAACTGTGAGTGTTCTGTTATTTAGTAGCTAATCTTTTCTCTTTTTGAAGTTTAGTTCTCTGGTTGAATCCAATTTCCTTGATCTTAATGTAATGATAACATTAGACTACAGAAAATTAATTAGTTACAGAAAATTAATACATTATATTGAGAATATGTAGTGTATATTGTCTCAGATAGTGAACACCATTATAATTATGTAAAATTCCAACCTGTTCCATTTGGCCACATTTACTGCAAAAGCCACTTCTAAGGGAGTTGATGAAGACTATTTTTTTAGCCATATCAGATTTCTAACATCAAAATATTCAGCCCACTCACAATGTAGTGGGTGGGGGAAGAGTGTATTTCTTCCATTTTATATATTATTTTCTTCCTCTCAATTGAAAATATATTTGAGATGTCAGTACACTTCTATGTGCAGAGCGGAAAAATGACTGCTTAAGATGCTAGAAAATCTGCAAGACTCAAATTGTTTCCAATGATTAAAATACCTTTCAGTTGTTCCACCACATTATTTAGGTATTTTATGAGCTCAAGATCAGTAGTTACAAGCAAGGTGAGTCCGTATTTCTGCACTCGAGTAAAGGTTTCAGATGGATATATGCCACGCTGATATAAAATGCTGTTGATGCCGAATGCTGCAAGCAAAAGAAATGTTACAGAAAATTCATTATCCCTGCATAACTCTGGAAAATAAAATATATTTAGATGTTGCTATATTTTCATTAGGCTATACAGCTATAAATGACTGAACACACGTGTATCTTGCTGAAAGCAGAGTAGGTACAAAGTGGCATTAAAAATCCTTAAAAGTCTTGCTTCTAAGTAAAACAGATAATTGCTTTCACGTGGCAAAAAAAAAAAGCCAAAGTGTATCAACTTATTATTGCCAAATTTCACCTCATTGTAATCCAAGTCCAAATTCAGATTATGAGGCTAGAG
This sequence comes from Homo sapiens, assembly GCF_000001405.40. Taxonomy (NCBI): domain Eukaryota; kingdom Metazoa; phylum Chordata; class Mammalia; order Primates; family Hominidae; genus Homo; species Homo sapiens. Next base: position 120,066,123 of record NC_000004.12, read on the forward strand.
GATGTCAAAATAGGCTGTTGCATTCGAGTTAGCAACTGACTGAATAGTCACTGTGCTCCAGACAAGCCTTTATCTTCCCCTTTCCCTCCCAAATCCTGCCAGGTTCCTTTAGAACGTGCAGCTGGCCTGTTCGAAAACAAGGGTTCCCAAAGTCTTGTCTACTGCCAGCCTCATGCCCAATAATCACTTTGAGTGGGAGGGTGAGGGTGCTCTCGCAGTTAAAAAAAAAAAAGAAAAACACACACATACGCATACACTGGGGCCCACCCCAGTCACACCGTGTCCTGTATCGGAAAGTAAGGGGTGGGAGGTGGGACGGATCTGCACTTAAAGGAAGAAACGCTCCGGAAGAGGCTACGCCGCGAGGTAGGCCCCAGCAGCACGCAGGCCTGCAGCTCCACGTTAGCAACGCGTCTGGAGGAAGCGCCTGCAGCCGCCTCTCCCCAGATTACTTCTCTGGTATCAGAGGCCGAGCTGTGGGCCTACTGAGCCGTCACGACTCCGTTCCCCCCGATATATTGGCCTGCGCGAGAACTTACAGAAGAACTCGGCCACGATTTCGGCGCTCCCGCGCAGGGTGATTCCCTGCTCCCGGGAGAGCTGCAGCGCCATGGCCAGGGACACAAACAAAAGCACGCGCTTCCACTCCGCGGACAGCAACCACAGCGGCTCCAACAGCACTTCCCCGCCAAGCGTTTCAAAAGTAACGACGCAGCACGTCGTCAGGTCCTTTGCGCAGGCGCGACGAGCCTTTAAGCCCAGCCCCACGCAGCGGGGACCTGCCCTTTCTCTCAGCCTTCCTGTGATGTCGCGGGAGCGGCCGGTTCGCGCAGGCGCAGTTGGTGGACCTGGTCGCGCTGTGCCGGGTGTGACACTACGGTAGGTGTAGGTTAGGATGTGTCTTCTGGTCGTGGTCTACTAGTTGGGGCCGAGGGAAGAAGATGACGATTCCAATTTCAGTAGCCACTCTCTAGGCTTATGAACTGAAAGACCAAGGAGCACAATTTCCGAGTTTCAAAGATACTTTCAAACTGAAAGGAACTGTTCGCCAGCTGCTCGCGAAGTGGCCCATGTGACCCCTAGTGAACGGTCTAAACTTCCGCTAGATGCTTTGGGAATTCGTAAAGCGACTGCGTGCGCGGCAGCCAAGCCACAGCTTTACAGGGTTCGCCTTCTGTGTGGGAACGCAGCTTTTCCCGAGAAATTGGGTTAGGGATTAAAGAGAAGAACTGCATCCTTTTTACTGCCCTTTTTCCACGTCTGTCCTGGGCTTAGGGCCCTCCTCAGAGGCCAGAGGGGTAGGCGAGTCCGGGGCGGTAGGGGGCTGCGTCCGGAAGTCCAGGCTGCGTTCTGTCCACCCTGCCCACCCTTAGGGGGCAGGACAGGAATAAGGTCACCTCACCAAAGAGGCCCATCAACATGGAAGAATATTTCAGTGAATCTTGACTCACCAAGCTCAGTGACTTTTCATTGAAAAGGGTGAGAATTATTAAGGAGATATTGCACAATTAATGTTCATGTCAAGTTTGAAAAAAAAATTATTCTTAAAGCAGCTAGGAAGATATTTGTAAAATGACGCCTGAAAAACTTTCATGTCTGCCGGACGTTATATGAGAAATACTTGAGTGTTGTTAGTTTTCTATTGCTGCATAACGAATTACCACAAATCAGTGGCTTCAAAACACCTATTCGTTTTCTCAGTCCTGTAGGTCAGAAGTCTGGACGTGGCATAGTTGACGGTTTTGCTCAGTCACACAAGGTTGAAATCAAAGGGTCTGCAAGTGGGATCTCATCTGAGGTTTGGGGTCCTTCTAAGCCCTCTGGCAGAATTTCGTTGTGGTTGTTGGACTGAGGTCCCTTTTTGTCTCGCCAGCTGTTGGCCAGAGGCCAGCTGTGTGTCAGCTAGACCTTTTACAGGCCTTCTAACACTTCCCATCTTCGTGGCTTTCGGGAGCCCCCAGCCCCTTTTAAAGGCTCACCTGATTAAGTAAGACTCAGTCAGATCTCCCTTTTGATGAACCTAGTCCCAGAAGTGATATCTGCTCATATTTGTAGGTTCTACCCAAACTCCAGGGGAGGGGATTATGTAGATGCGCTCTCTAGGGGCCAGGAATGTGGGGAACTAGCTTAGAATTCTGCCTGTACAGCGTTGTATATATCATGTTTCGATTAGTTGGAAGAGTAAGGCATGGGTGTGATAGGTAACAGGTTGACTTGACCCAGTAAAATTTTTTTCCTTAAATCCTTTAATCTCTGTGTGTGTATAAATCACAATCTTTGATATGAAGAGCAATGTCAGGGAAAGTGAGGAGTAAAGAAGCAAGGGAGTTGGATATCCTTCACCCCTTCCACTGGGAGCTTGGGTAGAGCTAGAATTTTGGCGTCACGCTGGTAGACCATGGTGCCCATGTCTTTCCACATAAAAACTCCCTCTCTTTCTAAGGAATTTTATGTTAAAACTCAGCACTTTAGGAAAGGTTTTCTTGAGTTTCATGATGATGTGCTTTTTAAGTTACCTGAAGCTACACATAATTGTTAGTATAACCTGGAAATTCTAGAAATTAAAAGGCTGGCACAATTACGATTTTTCTATGTACAGAGGAAGTACTAAATATCTGTACTCTATGAGGAGACATAAGACATGAGGTTTAGAAGGAATGGTCTGTGTCTTTTGAGGAGTTTGTAGTCTACTTTGGTTTAAATATTTATACTTTTTTTTTAAAGGAAAATTGGAAGCTCATGAGTTTGGCCTTATCTGGTTTCTGCCTGCCTGGGAAGCCCCCTATCAGATTACTTTCCTCATCTGTCTGCTTCTTTCAGTAACTTGGCCCTCCAATGTTCTTTTCCACCTTAGTGCTTTCCATAATGTATATTCCTTCTCTACCTAGAAATTTCATTTTATCTGCTCAGATTCCTAATTATATTCACACTCTTTCTTAACTTAAATGTTACTTTGCTTAAAGACATTTTCCTTGGCCCTTCAGACTGTATAAGGACCTCTCTGAAGTATTTTCATAGCATCTCATAGTGCTATTTCAGAGCATTTATTTTATTGTAAAAAATTGTGTAATGGTTTGTGTTATACCTGATCTGTTTTCCTGTATCAAAAATAAAATTAGGATGAATCTAAAAGTTTATTGTCATAGAAAAAGTACAGATCAGAATCCAGGAGACTTCAAATCAAGTGGGAAGAGTGGTAAGAAGCTTGCACTCACCAGTAACAGCACAGCTTATAAGGATAAAGGAGGAAGCATTTTGAGCTTTTCCATTATTGGTCCTTATACATTAAGATTTTGTTGGGGGGTGGCAAACAGCTGTTTAAGTTGATTTGTCTACAGTTGATTGGCTTAATTTCACGGAATCATACTAACAAAAATGTAAAGCTTATGTTTTATATTTATGATTAGAGCATTTCAGGGAAATCAGGATGACTTAAGTTTTGGTTTATGTGGTTATGGGCAGTTGGTCTTGATGTATATCTAAACTGTGACTTCCATTTTTATTTTATTTTTTTTTAACACCTGTAAGATCCATGATGGCATTTAGTGGGTTCTCAACAAATATTTGTTGAATGAATGAATATTTGCTTAGGAAAGCTTTATGTAAGAATCCAAAACATTTTCTAATTGAAGAGTAGGTTGGATGGATGAATGAGGTCACTTTTAGAGAACTGTGAATACCTATCTGTGTTGATTGAATTGGAGGTACCAGGGTTTTCTAGGTTCTTAGGATTGACATAATTAAAGGGGCATTTTTTTTTTCAAATGTTAATTCAGTAATGGTTGTAGAATGGATTGTGTACAGGACAGTCTAGGTTAGTGGCCTCAAACTTGATCATGTAGAAGAATTACCTGTGTGTTTTGTAAATTCCTGGCTTTTATTCCACCTTCCCCAGAACTGGTTCAGGCCACACTTAAGCACCTGAAGTATGCTGATCCAAATTGTAACATGCTGCAAGTGTAAAATACCAGATTTCAAAGACATCTAAACTAATGGATATAAAGTATTATGTTAATATGTTTTCTAATTGATTACATCTTGAAATAATATTTTACATTCATTGAATTAAATAAAATGTATTATTAAAATGATTTCACTGGCTTCTTTTTAGTTTATTTTCAGTGTGATTACCATGACATTTAAAATTATGTATGTGACTCGTATATTTTTATTGGACAGTATTTGTCTACAGTGTGGGGTATAGAGAATGACATGTTTTAACAAGCATTCCAAGTGATTCTGATGCAAGTTCTTAGACCAGTCTCTAAAAAACAAGATACTGTGATGGATATTTTAGCCTGCAGGGCTAGGAAGTTGAGTGTCTGAAATAAATGGATGCCAGAGAGGTTGAATAAGAAGAGATACTTTAGGAAAAGACATTTTGAAACAAGGACTGAGTTGATGATTGATAATGGAAGAATGAAGCGGTAGTTCAGATAAATCTGAGGTGCCACATCTGCAATACAGGGTAGTATTTGATCCACATTATGGTAGAAAGAGCTGCCCAAACTCTGAACTCGTACTAGTTCTTATTTATCAAAGTAACACCCAAGATTCTAAAAGCTTTGGAGGGACTTCTTCCACATTAACTTTTGGGAACTTGATTTGCCATTGACCGCATCTTATCAAATACATGCACACTTATCTTTACAGAATGTTTCAAAACTTGTTTTCAGTTACTTTAACTTACTTTTCTTTATAATTCAATGAAATCTTTTTAATGTGTATTATTTAGGGGAAGCCTATTTGGACAGGGAGAAGAATAAATTAAGACTTTTTTCTGAAGAAAATTCAAGCAGAATGCATAACCAAACAAACTCATATTAGTAAAAGAGATAAGGTGTGTCATAAACAGCCCTTTATTTCATATTAAGGTGCTAAAAATAGAAACAATTTTCTAAAGCTAAAATCAAATAAAATTTTAGGTTGAAAGTGACTTAATTAATGATTAGTTGAACAACCTTAAAGATATGGAAACTGAGGTCCAGAATGGCTATACAGTTTGTCTAAGATTCAGTATCTTGACAGTGGTATAGTTAGCAGACAATCTAGGGTTTCTGACTTAGTCTCCTTTTAAATTATATCCATCTGAAGACATTCTGAAAAATGTTCTTTTTCAAAGGTTATTTTGAAAAAAAACAACGGCTTTTAGGCTAAGGATTTTTACTCAATAACCTATACACATAACTTGTCAAAAAAAATGGCAGTTATTTAATACGAACCATAATTTTATGTAGATACACAAATACTTACAACTGCCACAAGGTGGCACCGTATGCATGCGAAATACTACCTTTTAATACCAATAGTACATGTGAATGTGCTTTAGTTCAAGGAAAAATGAATTTGTTATTTTCTAAGGTACTAATATGTGTGGAATACTTCAGAATGACATGTGGAATCATAATATATTACAAAACTGGTATCCTTTTTTGTTTGTTTGTTTTTTGAGACAGAGTCTTGTTCTGTCGCCCAGGCTGCAGTGCAGTAGCATGATCTCGACTCGCTGCAACCTCTGCCTCCCAGGTTCAAGCAATTCTCCTGCCTCGGACTCCCAAGTAGCTGAGACTACAGGCACGTGCCACCATGCCCGGCCAGTTTTTGTATTTTTAGTAGAGACGGGGTTTCACTATGTTGGCCAGGCTGGTCTCCAACTCCTGACCTTGTCATCTGCCCGACTTGGCCTCCCAAAATGCTGGGATTACAAGTGTGAGCCACCATGCCTGGCCCAGAACTGGTATCCTTTTAAACATTTAATATCCTCTTAAGCATTTAGTATAGATGCACACACACACACATACTGAAAGCATACATACACAGGTTGAGCATCCCTAATCTGAAAATCTGAAATCTGACATGCTGTAAAATCTGAAATGTTTTGAGCATTGATATATAATGCTCATAGGAAATGCACATTGGAGCATTTCAAATTTTGGATACTAAATCAGTAAGTATATATAATGCAAATATTCCCAAATCCGAAAAAATCCAAACTCAGAAACACTTCTGGTCCCAAGCATTTCAGATAAAAGGGTACTTATCCTGTGTGAGGTTTTATGTATATGTGTATATATGTGTGTGTGTGTGTGTGTGTGTGTGTGTGTGTGTACACATACACCATTTAATTTGCTTCTTACTTAGAAAACATTTTTTAAAGTATATTATTATTCTCATAAACTTACAGAGTTTTTTTTTAATCAAATAGAAGTTATTTTATTCCTAAGGCCAACATCTTGAAACAGAGCAGTTTCTTTTAAATTTTATAAAACAGTAAGGGATACTTATTTTTATGATAATTTTAATAAGAACAAATTTTGAAAAAATATTTTTGCCCATATATATTTGATTATGTCAGTTTGAAAATTTGCTTTTTTAAAAAATCTTTCATAAAACTTAGTGTTATTCTGTTTGTTGTATCATACAGATTATTTTTCATTTTATGTGAGGGCAATAATTAAATCTGTAATTTTCTACTTTGATTACTTAGGGTTTATTTTGTAGATTTTTTTCATGGGCCTAAGAATTAAATTGCATAATCTACATCTCCTAAAGTCCCCTCCTCTCCCATACTTTTCTCCTAAGGCCTCTTTGATTTGGGTTTGCATGCTCAAAAAAATAGCACCACAAATTTGATTAATAACATTTTATCAATAAGCCATGGCTTAATAAAGTCAACAGGTATGTCTCCATACTGGCAGAATTCATAATTTTTAATGATCCAGTTGCATATATAGGCTATTAAGATTTTAGCTGTAGTAAAAAATACTAAATATTATTGAAAAAATAATAATTCCATAAGGTCTTGTTATGAAAATTACAGGTAGTTTTTTTTTCCAGAAAGCGGTACCATGTTATAGTATGATTTTATTTTGATATTATAATTTTATTTTGTCAGTGGTATGTAGTCACTTAGTCTTCTCATAGCTCAATCACAGGTAGAGAAAGAATTTGAAAGGTAGATGATAATTTATTAATATGTGATCTTCAGAGACTGAATATATCTGTAGGCCATATATATGTTGAATATATATGTGGGCCATATATATGTTGAATATATATGGAATATATATTATATAGACTATGTGTATATGTATATGTATAAATATATATGAAACCTGGGTGCAATCAACTGGATTTGACAGCACAAAATATTTTAAAATATAATTGAAATTCAAAACAGCTCAGAATAGTTGCAGATATGGAAACTGGCAACACAAAACCTTTGTGAAGCAATAATAAACCACAGTCCTATTAAAATGAATACAAATAAATTTAATGAGTTAAATGATTTTATAATTACTTACGAAATTTGGTCAGACATTTTATGCCTGTAGTAAATTTTCGCTGGTTTCTTCTAAATACATTGTATGTAGGATTATTTTTATTATTGCTTAATATGTAAATATTGGTGAATTCTGCTAAATCTGTCAACTCATAATAAAACTAAGGTGTTCTTTGAGTAAGTAGGAAAATATTTCTTAAAGAGTTCCATACATAAAATAAATAGACTACAAATTGGGGTCTTTCTTGAATATTTGTCAATACCATTTTATAAGACATTTGTAGGTTGAAAAAGCTTTCTGAAAGCATGAAAAATCACTTTATATTTGTTTATATTTTTCTATTTAGATAAACTCAGCTTTTTTGACTGGAACGGTTTTCTCATAACTTGCCTTGTGTTTATAGCTCATTCAAACAATAAGGTAGTCAAGCCATATTTATCAGGTTTCAGATCAGTCATGCACATTAATTCCATTATTTGTGCTGAACTTTTCAATTTATAAATTGAATATGACTTTTTTAAAATTCTTGAATAATGTACCCTTTTAACATCAGCCAACAACAACAAAAAGGCTTACTGAACTTGAGAGCTTTTGGTTTAAACTTGGAGATCAAGTGGATTAAAAATAAATGGTGTCTTTCATGATTGCTTAATCCTAATATGTTTACAAATACAGATTCTAACTTTTTGCACTCAGGTAGATGGCAATTCTCTGTTTTAAGGATCTTTCTTAATCTCTGTTACAACATCATCAAAATAAAAGAAAATTTGAAGTTTTATTTAATTAAGAATATTTCCAAGAGTATACTTGTAGACTATAGTATGAGAAACAATAGATCATAGCATTTAGTTATTTTAAAATGTATCCACAGAATTTTGAGATTTAAATGTAAAGTGTGGTTATTAATTTGTATAGTTAGACGATAAGATAGGCTCTTTTTGTTTTTGGAATTTTACATTAAGATTCATTAATTTTGAGCTATTTTAAGAATAATAAGATTCTTATTGAGTTAGTCTACATTGAAATAAGAAGAAATTATAATACTTAACTCCCAAAAGCAGCCAAAAGTACTCATAACATAGAAGATGAACATCTTCGGGACATTGTAGGTGTAGCATTCCACACTTACAATGCTTGCCTGCCTGACTTAGGAAAAAGATCAGGAGTGTGGGAAAGGCAGGTCATAGTTCTACTTATGCCCCAAGTACACTTGCCTGTACCTCCTGGGAGACTGGAACTTGTAGGGAGATTATTTGAAGCAATCTGGAAATGTGAATGCACCTTTCTCTTCTCTTTCTCAAAGGTCTTGTTTTCCAAAATAGTGTGTACTATCAGTAACAGAAAAAGTTATGAATATACTTATGTAAATGTTGGTTATTTATCTCTAAATTATAAACATTTTCCACAGTGTTAGGTATAGCATATGTGTTTAAATCATACCAGTTGTTCGAAATTAAGAAAGATGAGAAATACTTTTAAAATAATTCTGTTTATATTATTAGAAAATAAATTATTTTTACTTTCACTAAATATATTAATAACCATATTAAGATTTTTGCAGTGAATATGTTTCATTGCTTTTAAAAATCATGGTTTAATTATTTTTGAAAGAGTGGTTTACAAGTCTAATAATTCAGCTTATTTTAATAGTTTTTTTGTTTGTTTTGGGGGGTTTGTGTTTTTTGGCCAGCAGAGCTAAAAGAGATACACCACAAAGATATGAAGGTCCAAATGGAAGAAAGTACATTGTTGACTTCTTATTCTTTTTATTTACCTGTATTAGCAATTATGCAAAGTTTTTGCTGAAAAGGGATTATTAAATTTCAATTTAATGGTACCAATTAGGTGTTCTTACAAGCTGGTTAAAAAGTGACATATGATATTTTAATAATTTTAATGAATGTGTTCAAAAACAATGGTTTAAGCAGTTTTTTAACCCTTTTTTTTTTAAAAAAATATCAAAACAATACCTTCCTATTAGTTTGGGAACTAATTAAATGCATTGTTTGACCTTTTAGTTAGTTTTGGAACTAATTTGTAATTTAGAAAAATTATAGTTTAGAGAACTCTGTTTCCAAACTTTTCAATTGTACAGATGAGACTTTTTTAAAAAATAGTTTATCCAGGCCAGGTGCGGTGGCTCATGCCTGTAATCCCAGCACTTTGGGAGGCTGAGGAGGGCGGATGACGAGGTCAGGAGATTGAGACCATCCTGGCTAACACAGTGAAACCCTGTAAAAAAAAAAAAAATACAAAAAATTAGCCGGGTGTGGTGGCGGGCACCTGTAGTCCCAGCTACTCAGGAGGCTGAGGCAGGAGAATGGCATGAACCCGGGAGCTGGAGCTTGCAGTGAGCTGAGATCGTGCCACTGCATTCCAACCTGGGTGACAGAGCGAGACTCCATCTCAAAAAAAAAAAAAAGTTTATTCAAACGTGCTCCTTCCATAACATGAGTGTCTTTTGAAAAACGGAATGGAAGAATGTTAATTTTTCTGAAGTTCTTGTTAGCACAGTACTGCAAAGAGAAAGAGCCAGTAAATCTGGCACAGCTGACTTGCATTTCCTCAGGGTACCAATCATGGCCTATGACTCCCTTTTTTTTCTAAATTTTTAAAACTGACAAATAATAATTGTACATATTTACAGGGTGCATAGTGATGTTGTGGTCTATACAATGTATAGTGATCAGATCAGGGTAATCAGCCTATCTATCATCTTAAACATTTATAATTTCTTTGTGTTTCAAACATTCAATATCCCCATTCTAGCTATTTTAAACTATTATTAACTTGTAGGATGTAGTCATCCTACAAGTGCTGTAGAACACTAGAACTTACTCTTATCTAGCTGTAATTTTGTTTCCTTTAACAAATCTCTCTGTCCTCTCTTTCCGCCTACCCTTCCCAGCCTCTAGTATTCTCTGTTGTACTTTTTACTTCTGTGGGATCAACTTTTTTAACTTCCACATATGAGTAAGAACGTGACCTTCTGACATGGAGACTGTGTGAGTGTGCAATGTCAGTCCATTTTTTGAAATCCATTTTTTTAGTAAAGCTTATTTTCCTAGGTTAAAACATAAATTAAATAGAAGTTGTAACATTCCTTCCTATACTCCCAAAAGGATTGTTTTTTGCATATATTCCACTTTGGAAGCCACTGATTTTGAGGATGTTTGCAGAAACCTTATTGATTAGGGGATGAGGCACCTGAGTTGGGAATAGTAGTGTTCCGTGCTTGTCCTCTCTTCTAGGTAAATATGGAATAGACCTAGTTAGGATGGCTGACCTGCATGCCTATGTGGAAATTTGAAGTATCATTCTTTTTTTTTTTTTTTTTTTTCTGAGACAGAGTCTTGCTCTTTCACCCAGGCTGGAGCGTGGTGGCACCATCTCAGCTCACTGCAATCATCGCCTCTCAGGTTCAAGTGATCCTTATTCCTCAGCCTCCTGTGTAGCTGGGATTACATGCATGCACCATCACACCCAGCTAATTGTTGTATTTTTTAGTGGAGACAAGGTTTCGATGGTCTTGCACTCCTGGCCTCAAGTGATTCACCCACCTTGACCTCCCAAAGTGCTGGGATTACAAGTGTGAGCCGCCATGCCCGGCGTGAGCTATCATTCTTTATAATGGACTTTGCAGAACAATCCTGTAAGGAAAATACATTCTTATTGGGAAGGAGTGCTCCAGACTCTTGAACCCCATCTATTTACCACTGCCCAAAGCACAGAATAAAAGCCATCTTAGGGGTTTCAACAAATCCTGTCATAAAAGTCCACTTAGATCACATAAAAAAAAAAAACTTTATTACTGGTTGCATAATGAGGGAGTGTCATGGTCTTGTCTAAAAGAAGCAGGAATCTCCAAGCAATCTACCAACAGCAGAGATCACATGCAGATATGTCAAAAAAAGATGTTAGCCTAGCATGTTCCAGAGAAACTTCTTAGAAGCAGACTATCTGGACAATTTAAGAAGAATTATATAGGAGTTATTTTCCTTATCGGTAAAATGGATGTAACAATAGTACTTGTCACATATAATTTTTCTGAGTATTACATGAGATAATTTAAATGAAGCTTTGGCTTAATGCTAATATGTTATTGTTATTGTTTTATTATTATATTGTTACTGTTGTTGTTAATAAGACAGCTTTTCACCACTTTTCCACGCACCTTTCCTGGGTTGGTACATGTTTAGTTTAGCATAACTAAAGGAGGCTTTAGATAATACAACTTAAGGCACAGATGAGATAGAAACTCTTATAACATATATAATAATGATAGCCAACATTATTAACCACATACTATCTGCCAGGCACATTTCTATGTGCTTTACAAGAATCATTTTATTTAATCCCTCATTAGCTCAAGAGTTAGATACTACTATTACCTGAATTAAGTTACAGAAGGAAGTTGAATAATTTAGCTAAGGTCACCCAGCTAGGAGAACTGGAGTCAAATCCAAGCAATCTAGATGGTACCAGAATATGAATCCTGAAAGCATCAAAGATCTGACTATATTTTAGATAACTCTAATTTGAGGCAAACTATAGTGGGTCCTTAATATTCCTCCATCCTTGCTATGTAACTCCTGAGACCCATTCAGCAATGGAAACCAATGGAGCTGAATGGCTGGAAAGTCACAGAATTGGAACAAGGAAAATAATCCAAAAGTGGAAGAAAAGAGTCCAAAACTGGAGGAAAAGAAACAAGAGGTAGGATCCAGGGTGCAATACTGGCTCATCTGGCTAAGAGTGGATGGCCAAAAGGGGTACCCTGACTAGGGCTGCAAAAACAGGAATTTTTTAAAAATTTTGTGCTTAAAAGATCTTGTCAATTTTCTACTTAAAAGATCTTCAGTGAACTAAGAGGAGGCATTAAACAAATATTCTGGCCAAGGGATAGAATGGCATTTGAAATAGCCTACTCTTTGTCCTGCCAATTTTATTGATAGCTCAGACAAAAGGAAATGAGAATATGCAATACAGCAGGAATGTAAAAAGATGACAAATTTGAGAGACATTTTAAAAATGTGTTGAGATGTGTTTGGTTGTACTCTGAAGAACAGCCTGGGTTTTGGGGGATCATGGTGTGGAGCTGTTATACATGGAGATGATATAGATAAGTTTGTGGCATTCGATTCATTTTCCTTCAAGTGGTTTTAGGCCAGGCAAAAAAAAAAAATTTTTTTTGAGGTAATAGCTAATAAAATGACACATTGAGGAAGAAGAGGCAGTGAAGGAAACTCAGAAGAAATGGAAAAGTAGGAGGCAAATTGTGAGAGGAATGTCAGAACCTATTTAGTGAATTTGGATTAGGTAGAAAAATACTATTTTAGTAGTTTAGTAAATAATTCAGCACAAATAAGAATGACTGAGGAAGAGTCACAGATTTTGTACTTGAAAGATTTTTGGTGAACTAAGAGGAGACAATTTGGGTCACACGGTAGGGTATAAAAGTCTTTTACAAGGAGTTTGGAAGTAAGGCTAAGAAGATAGAAGTAAAAGGTTTGCAAGAGAAATGGAGAGTGGAGAAACCACATAAGCAATTGCTGGATCTTGGGAATTTTATGTTTAGGATATTTAGAGGAAAGAGAGCAAAAGAAATATAAATACTGAAGTTGAAAGTTGGAAAGGCCTAACTAATAGAGCCAGACACCTGAGGCCACAGAAAGCAATGGCATCAAGGACCCAAGTAGAGAATAAACAGAAGAGACAATTCCCTCTTAGAAATTGAAAACAAGGAAGAAGGGAGATGTGAGGATGCAGATAAATTCTCATTTTTTCTTGAAATGCAAGTAAAGAATAATCTTTAGCTTCTCAGTGGAGGAGGAGGTGAGATAGGGAAGTGGAGGAAGGGAAAGATAATGTCACATAAGTGAAAAGAGTTGGAAATTTTTTTTTTTTTTTTTTTTTGAGACAGGGTCTTGCTCTGTCGCCTAGGCTAGAGTGTAGTGGCGCGATCTCGGCTCTCTGCAAGCTCCGTCTCCCGAGTTCATGCCATTCTCCTGCCTCAGCCTCCCGAGTAGCTGGGACTAGAGGAGCCCGCCACCACGCCAGGCTAATTTTTTGTGTTTTTTAGTAGAGACGGGGTTTCACTGTGTTAGCCAGGATGGTCTCGATCTCCTGACCTCATGATCCGCCCGCCTTGGCCTCCCAAAGTGCTGGGATTACAGGGGTGAGCCACTGCGCCACGCCAAGAGTTGGAAAGATTTTTAAAGCAGCCATTATGAGGAGTGGGATGATAAGTCAATGAAGGAGAAATAAATGGATATTTGTTTTCCTAAATAGATATTTATTGAGTACTATTTATCTTACAGTGCGGTGCTGTATGGATGCAAGAGGAAAAATCTAGCTGGGAATCTAGTTGGGGAATTATTACACAAAAATAGCTGCACATAAGAAGGTACAGGATGAGAAACAATTGAATGTATGCAGTAATTGCCAAACAAATTCAAAGATAGCAAAAGAAATATTCTTGGAGGATGTAAAACTTGAAGAGTTATAAACATTTTCCACAGTGTTAGGTATAGTATATGTTATAAACATTTTGAAGAGTACTTAGAACTTGAAGAGTGCTTAGAACTTAGGCAGGCAAAGATGGGTGTCAATTAGAGGTTTAACGGAGATGATTAAAGTCCAGTCTGGACCATAAAGTAAAGGTGGGGATAAAAACCTTTATAGGTATAGATGTGTAGAGAGAGGACGTCACAGGCACAGAACTTAAAAATCTATGGGACAAAATATGGAAGCATCAAATTAGCTCACTTTTCCCCAGGACAGAGTCTTCATGTGATCAGATTACATCTGGGTTCTTTTTCTAGAGAGCCTTGTGTGACAGGCTAAAAGTTTGGACTTTTCTCAGGAGACGTTAGAGAGACACTAAAAGTTTTTATAGAATTATATTGGGGACAATATAAAGTTGTGTTTTAGTAACGTTACTGTAGCACAGGTGAAGTACAGATTGGAAAGCTATAGTGACAGTCCAGGTCGAGGCACTTAAGACTTCACTATTTTAATTATCTTCACTATTTAAATTCCAGTAAGTGCTATAATTGCCAGGAAAATCTCTGGTTTTGCCTCATTATCATAGATTCATTAATTTCACCTTTTTATCCATCTTCCATATCTGATGATTTTTAGTCCTTTAATTCTGCCAAATTTTCAGTCTTCTCTTTAGCTCCGGTCCTTTCTTGACCTCCTCTGTTTTTCTGTGCTCTTTTTTTGTATGAACTTTTCCTGTTTTCTGTTCTGAATTTATTCAGAGTAGACCTGCACACTTCAGCTTCACAATAGGGAATTCCAATAAAATGATGATGCTGTGTGTCATTCATTTCCTAATGTTACTGATATATTCCATAATATTTGCTAAGCTTTAATGGTTATTAATGTTTTATGCTATCCTATTACATAAGCTCAATAAGATTTCTGATTTTTTTGGTATTATGACTAACCGGTGAGCATATTAAATTCAGTGTGGTTGTATTTGTGAGTGGAAGATAAGGATAGTAGCACTTGTAACCCTATAAGTTTCTTACCATTTTACTAAGTTTTCACTCAATTTTAATTAAATTTGAAAGTCTTTAAAATTAAGGTCAGAAACTTATGTATTAGTTTGATCTTGGTGCTTTTCTTAAAATATCAAAATATTAGTGCTTATTTCTATCTGGATAAATTGTTTTTCTATTTAATTATCTATTTCTGCCATCTCTTGTAGTGACTTAGTTTCCAAAAATGGTGAATATTAAAATATATAAGGTGAAAATATATAAGAGATGAAGAATGAATAGAAAGAAATCTAGGTTCTGGAATATGGCTATATTTACACAAACATAGTATGTTTCTGAAACCATTTAATCTATAACAACCTTCCTTTAAAAGCATCATTATAGCAGTTTCTTGAAAGTATCTTGAAATTATTTTTATGTTACTTAAAAAAAAGTTACTTAAGGCTTTAGAAAGTAGAAATTCTGAGTAATTAATGCTTAATGCAAATTTTACTGAAGGCAATAAGAAAGCATCAAGTAAAATTGACTTTTTAATTATAAATGAAATATTTTATTAATGATTCAGTCCTGCACTTCTGCTTGAACACTTCTACTTGAAAGTTTTTTCTTCCTTTTTTCCTCAGTGAAAGAGGACAATTGAACTTGGTTTTAACTCAAGAGTTCAAGAAGGGGTGAAAAAAATGAATAGAAGGAAGTCTTCATTCTGGAAAGGGACTCATTTTGAAGTTCAACTAAAACAGGCTGTTTTACAATTTTGAATAGAAAATTATATCTTCATAATCATCTTGATTATTTGATTTACAGTGTAAAAAAGCATAATGTTTCTTACAGTCCATAAATAACCACTTTTTTCAAGCATGACAGATTAAGTGAAAACAAAGGGAGTGAACAAAAATGGGAGGGGGTCATGAATCTATCTGCCCTGAGGAAGAGGGCAGTACTTTTGGGGAGTGCAATTTACATGAGCATCTGGGTCTTTTGTCATGTTTTGGATGGATGACCTGAGTCTGATATATTGGTGAATAGCATTAACAAAGGTCTGGTTGTCAAAGGCTAGGAAGAAAAATGCAATTAGCCACAGCAATGAGGTGATGTCTATGTTTGGGGAAAAAGAACCAATACCTAAATGGCAATGGAAAACACTGGAATGATACCATTAGCAAAAGGCCAGATTTGTGTGTGTGTGTGTGTGTGTGTGTACCTATTATGTAGTCATCTTCACTCAGTGGGATATGGCAAAAAAACTCATTTCTTTGTCAATGTTTGACTTATGTAATGAGAACAAATATGTATCTGTTACTAAAGAAAAGACCTGGTGAGCTCAATGAATTTGTAACTCATAACACACTAATTTCACCAACCTAACATTTGTAATTCTGTTTGTTTCTATTTAAAGAAAATTAGAATTAAATAAAGAGCATTGGAAGCTGAAAGAAGTTTGCTCTTTTTTCAGTCTCATTTTTTTTTTTTCTATAAACCATGCTATCCAGCGTAGAGAACCATATCTAATCTCCCAATTAGGTCAGGCCCCAGGATAATCAATCTCCTTAACAGCAGATGCCTTGTTTTAGCAAATGAATGCTTGATTTCAAAAGAAGTTTTGTGTTGAGAGAAGACTGCAGTTGGCATGGGTGATTAGAACTCTTTTAAACCCTATAAAAAGCTTCTGTAGATTGTTTTATGCCCACACTTTGTGAACTGAAGTAAATGCTGTATATATTTATCTTCAAATGAACATGGTGGGGACTTAATACAGTCTGTGAGAACATCTATATGCATATAAATGGAACTATTTACAGTCTAAAATATTTATGTCCATTTGAATTAAACTATGCTTTTGATAAAATCTAAAATGAATTTATATATTTTGAGTAGGTGCTTTCATGTTTATTCAGTATGCTCCTTAATAACAATAACTTAATTATTACAGTAGCATTGTTTGAACTGAAAATATAATGACAAGTTCATATGATTCTCATATTTGTTGTTTGGATTACCTTTACATTAGTTTATAAGTGCGTTTCTTCCTATCTGATGCCTGTTCTGTTCATACTTGCAATTTGTGTTAATGGGCAGTGTGTGAGATAACTCTGAAACCAGAAAAAAAATATAAAATTAAATGTTATAAACAATGTATATTAAGTCAAAATAATAGATTGACTTTAATTTGCTCGAATCTCATTTGATCTAAGATAAATTGAAATATAATGAAATAATTTTCAATATAGTATAACTTAAAACAAAAACCCTAAGCCTCAATAAATTATTTTAGGTAATCGTTGTTCAGAATCTGATTGCTGGAACTTGTCAGTGATACCTGAATACATAAAACACTTCAGGAGGCTACATAAATACCTATTTCCTTTTTTAGGAGAGCAGATTACATTATCAAAAGCACCAAGTTGAAACATTTGCAAGGTAGGTGAGAAAAAAAGCATTCGTCAGCATATTTTGGATTTTATCATTTTGACTTTATTGCCTATGGTCAGTTCTGCCAGTTTTTGTCTCCTTCTAAAAATTGTTTCAATCTGCTGAATCTATGGAAATTTAATATTTTCCATAGTGAAGGCTGATAAGACATCTGAGGAAGAATTAAAAACAGATGATCTCTAATTTAAGAAACATTTGATGCTAATTACTTCTTACCTTTTCACACAACTTAAATATTGGTTAATATATAGGATTACATTACTTTTTAAGTGAGATTTTAAAGCTAAATTGATAAAGTAGAGATCTAGTGAGATAATTAGATGTTCATACAAGATTTGAAAAATACAGACATTCTTAGTCACACAAAAATACCAAAAAGCATTGTGATAATTCACTTTTTCTTATTCTAATTTGTAACAGCATTTTAATATGGTCAGTAGAATGGCTTCAGCATATTTACAATCTTAAAGTTTTTAACTAGAAAACAGTTTGATGTATAGATCTGTTACTCAGCAACATTTTAGATTTAAAACTTAATTTAATTTTATAGCTAATTTAATTTTATAGCAAATTTAATTGTATAGCATGTAAGGCAGTTTACATTTGATTTAATAAAATTAACACTTAGGCTTTTATGATAGCTTTCTAACTCAGGTATCAGTGATTTTCAGAATGCAGAGATTTTCAAACTGAAATTTTTTTTGTCATGATGCTCTTGTGGCTAAGTTTATACTTGGGTTATTTCTTCTTTACACACACACACACACACACACACACACACACACACACACACACCCCATAATATGAAAAAATAAAGTCTGAAAGAAAATATACAAATACATTACTATTTTTTGGACAGTGTATAGATTTGAGTGATCTGTAGAACCTTCTTTATTGTATTATACAGGCTTAAATTTTTAATGATTACTTTATAATTCGGTAGAGTATAGCTATTTTCATTTTCAAAAACATATATATGACAATCCCAGTATAGGTGATACATTGTTTTCACAAAAATTTTATAATAAATATTGACAATAATTTTTTCCTATCCTCTTGAATCTGTAAAAACCTGCCAGAGCAAATATCCTGTTCTTTCCTTGGCATTACTAATTTGTTCATGGTATTGATATAAACCACTCAGTGGAAGTTACAGTGTAATAACTGTAAACTGCAAGGGGTATGTTATGCTTAAAGGATCCCAGGAATGATCCAAGACAAACCACAGACATGGTAAACAGAAATTATACCTCTGCAGGATCTTAGGACTCCTCTACACTGTTAACAATTATTGAAGACCCTTGCAAAGAACTTTGTTTATGCAGGTTATGTTGGTATTTATCATATTAGAAATTGAAACAGAAAAATTTAAAAAATATTTACTAAATCATTTAAAAACAATGAAAACATATTACATGTTAACATATGTAATATAGTTTTTCTGAAACAAAATAAACAAATATGTATGTATACATATATAGCGAGAAGAGTGGCACTGTTTTACATTTTTGTAAATGTCTTTAATATAAGGCTTAATAGAAGACAGCTGAATTCTCTTACCTGCTTCTGCATTCAATTGGATGCAATATGGTATTTTGTTTAAAGTAAAATCTGTCTTTACACAAATATGTAATTATAGAAGGAAGGAGTATTTTAATAACTTTTTCAGTTGATTGTGGATATTCTTTAATATTACAGTGAATCTCAACAAATGATAGTCTGTTACAGATTAGTTGCATTGTGAAATCTGAAACCATATAAATCAACTTTTCAGACTTTTGAACCTAGCCTGTTTCTTAAGGAAGATTTCTGAAAGGTGTCTAACTTTTGCTTTAAAAAAATAAATTGTAAAATTTAAATCATAGTAAGACAATCTCAAGCACATTCTGAAGGATATTTTAAGTTTACTTTTCATCAAAGTTACTTTATAAAATATTCAAGCACTGCTTAAGTCTCTGATCCTGATTTCTTAATGTTTAGATTAATTGAATTTAAAGTTTATTATTTATTAGATGTTCTAGCTCTTAAAGTCTTTGCTTTGTGACTTTCTGGAGGTAAGTTTTTGTATATTAATTAAGCAGATGTAAACAGCATAGGAAAAAATAAAGGTTTGATTAGTGATTTTTTGGCATGGTGCTCCACTATTCTAGATTTCTGTTAAGTACTAAAGAAAGTAATTTCCAAACAAAACCTTTGCTTGAGCTTGAGAACCGAAATACTGATTTCAAAAAAAAAATTTTTTTTGTTTCAGTGGTAACGGTTTATTACCAGAAACTAAAGCCAAAATACACATTTTATTTTAAAGACACTCAAATAGTATGTCAGACATTGTTAAAAATAATTTAGAATGTTCTCACGTATTGCTTTTGATGATGTTTCCTTTCTTTAGTAAACATTTGTACAAAGTGTTGCAACAATTAACTGATTATAAGAACTCTGTAAAAATGCCTTTTCTTTCAAAATTGAGGTCTGGTTATTTCCTCTACCAGACCTCTTTTTTGAATGACAAAAACAATGATGTCATTCTTTACTCATAGGTCAAATAGCAGTACTAGAGGCTGTGGCTATCTAGTACATTCAACATCCCAAGGAAACCATCCTTTGCCTTCTGCTACTGTCCCAGAAGAGATCAGGTTCCCCTATTGTGCATTCTCATCTCTGCCACATTGGATTTCCCCTTGTTGCACTCAGTTTGGTTTATAATTATTTATTTGCACAATCAACTGACTAATGTCTGCCTCCCTCATTACACTGTAAACTCTAAGAAGGAAGGGTTTGAGCCTGCTCTTTTCACCATCATATATCCAGGACCTAGGACAGTATTTGACACATAATAGGAACTCTGTAATACTTGCTGAATATCTGAATATAAATGAATACCACTGAGCATTTGATGGACTTTAGATTCTCCAGAATATTTCTCTGCACCTTTTATGAGTTTCTTCATCCTTCTTGAAACTGGCTACTCTGATAAATCTCAGTTCTTGTGTTTTTTCCCACCTCCTTGACTACTTCATTCTTGCCTTCTTTCATGTTTTTTTTTTTTGCTTTAATTTCCAGTTCTTTAAGGAAAGCATGAAGTTCTGTCTTGCCCTTTACATTTATTTTTTACAAACTATCTTTCAATTAGTCATAACCTTTGTGATTCTCAAGTTGAAATCTTGAATGTCCGTCTTTCCCTCAAACTGTGGCTCTGAATCTTTGAGGTATTACCTATATACTTCGACCAGATGTCCATCCTATTAAACTGAATAGGTCCGTGACTAAATTTGTCATTTCCCCTACTAAACCAATAATCCCCTGTGCTTTCCTGTGTGTCCCAGCAGAATTTCTGCTCTTCCTACTTTTGTGTTCCTTTATATTTGCTTTCCCTGAGTCCTATCATGTCTCTCACTCAGGGTCCATGTCTTCATCCCAGTCACATTAGCTCACACCGTGGCTATCTTGTTTCATTTCTCTCCTGTTGTGGTGGCTTTTACACTGCCCCTCTATATTCTGGCCCTCTTGGCTTTAATCCATCCTATGCACAGATGGGAGAGTAACCTTTCTCAGTCATTTTTTTAATCACACAATTCTCTTTAAAACTTTGTCAATGGATAATTTGAATATTACCTGGATAATTGATGGTATTAAGGAATTATTGCTAATGTTTTCAGGTTTGAAAGTGGTATTGGGCTGGGTGCGGTGGCTCATGCCTGTAATCCCAAGGCAGGTGGATCACTTGAGGTCAGGAGTTTGAGATCATCCTGGCTAACATGGTGAAACCCTGTCTCTACTAAATATACAAAATTAGCTAGGCGTGGTGGCGCATGCCTGTAATCCCAGGCTGCGCCTGGGAGGCTGAGGCAGGAGAATTGCTTGAACCCGGGAGGCAGAAGTTGCAGTGAGCTGGCATCTTTCCACTACACTCCAGCCTGGGTGACAGAGTGAGTTTGACTCCATCTCCAAAAAAAAAAAAAAAACCCAAACAAGAAAGTGGTATTGTATTTAAGAAGAGGTCGTTATTTTTATATATACATACTGAAATATTTATGAAAAATTGATATGTCTGGAATTTGATTCAAGTAATATGGAATGGGAGAATACAGATAGGAGTATAGATAAGGTGAGATCGGCCAGAATTGTTGTTTATTGGGACTAGATGATGGGTGCATGGAAGTTCACTATACTTTTCTTTACAATCTCACACATTTACATTTGAAATTCTGCATAATAAAAAATAAGTCAATCATTTATTTCTTTCAGTGCTTATAAAATAGAATCCAGGCTCTTTATTTAGGAATTCAGAGACACAAACCAATCCTAGTCTGTGTTTCCAATGTCATTGGTCAATGTCACCTACATATATCCTCTGCTGATGTGACAGACCAGCAGAGTCTGTTGGTATGTGTGACCATCTTTCTCCAGTAGTCTGCATTCCTATACACTTCTTACCACATGTACATTGACTGCAGGATTGCTGTAAGTGTTATAAATACCACTGGTAATAGCTCTTATCCAATGACAAATTCCACAACTTTTTTCTCCCTTGAGTGGGTCCCCCAGAGGTCTCTAGTGGAATTGAATCCTAGTTACACACACTGATAAATAATCTTTACCACAGCCTGTGTTGCCTTTCCTTCTTTCCTTGTCTTTTCTTTTCTACTGCTCGTTCCAGGGTCAGTTTACATCAAGTCTTAATATTAAAGTCTGCTTTTTGGGCAATTCCAATGTCACTCAGCTGCAAAATGATTCCATTCCTGACTCTTTATTCAAGTCAGTTTCTTGGCAGTTATATTAGTCTGTTTTTATGCTGCTGATAAAGACATACCTGATACTGAGAAGAAAAAGAGGTTTTAATGGACTCACAGTTCCACGTGGCTGGGAGCCCTTACAATAATGGCAGAAGTCAAGAAGGAGCAAGTCATGTCTTACATGGATGGCAGCAGGCAAAAAGAGAGCTTGTGCAGGGAAACTCCCCATGATAGAACCATCAGATCTCATGAGACTTATTCACTTTCATGAAAACAGCATGGGAAAGACCTGCCCCCATGATTCAATTACCTCCCACTGGTATCTCCCACAACACTTGGGAATTCAAGATGAGATTTGGGTGGGGACACAGCCAAACCATATCAGCAATGTATACTTTCTGTGTCTCTTTCTTCTCTGCCTTCTCTTAAATTTTAAAACAATGCCAATTGTGGAAAATTATAGAGAAAACAAAAACCTTCTGTGATCATAAGACTCCAGAGATAAACCTTTTCTTTAGTCTTTGCGTGTGTGTGTGTGTGTGTGTGTGTGTGTGACTGCAGTCATCTGACTGCTTGATAGGGACCGGGGTTTCACTTCCAAGATGGCTCACTCATGTGGTTGTTACTGGGACCTGTTGGATCCTCACTGGCTTTGACAGGTTTCAGTTCCTTGCCACATTAGACTTTTTTCAGGACACCCTGATTATTCATACAAGATGGCAACTGGCTTCCATCCAGGGAAGTGATTCAAGAGAAAGCAAAGAGAATATAACAGTGCCTTTTCTGACCTAACCTTCAAAGTGGCATATCATTACTTTTGCTATATTCTATTGGTCACACCAACCAACTCATATGCAGTGTGGAAGGGGAACATACAAAGGTGTGAATATCACAAAACAGGGATCATTGGGGTGTTTTTGAGGCTGACTTGCACAGCTGATTCATAGTGCAGAGCTACTCTGGGGGTTTTTGAAGACGTTCCTTAGGGCATATTAAAATCAATATCCCTGACTCAAGACACTACTTTTTAAATGTGCCAGGACTTGAATAGTAGACTATACCACCAGTGTTTGACTTTCTATTTTCCTATAATCCTTTTAGGAAGGTCAGTTGAATTTTTAATGAAGTAACTTGCTTATTTTGTTTCTTTTTTTATCTCATGCAGAGATAGTGCTGTTTGCTGAATCTGAGTTTTTGTCTTTGTTTGGGGCCCAGACGTGGTTTTCTAACATTCTTTTCTAGATTCTGTTCTGTCAGTCTTCTCATAATAAAAGATATAAAAGCGTTCTAGGTTGACCAAAGGTATCATACAAATCCTATTCTACTTCATCATCCAGACAGAACCAGACTAAGTCTATCTGTTTTTTCATGGCACCATTTTAGTAGCAGCAGCAATAGAAGTAATAGTAGCTGTAGTGTAGTAGTAGTCATAGCAACATAATAGCTAATATTTATATGGTTTTAGAATGTCTTACCTTCCCTGTACTTTCTTAGAATTCTAATTTCAGAAATATTGTGGATCTCTTCCTCAGGACACAGATAATAACGGAGTCCGACTTATAGTAGCTGTGTTACCATGTAACTCACTTAATGGTACTTGAAATGTCTTACTTACGGTGGTCTTTCTTATAGTGCCCTAGTACCTATTTCCAGTCTTTCTGAATACAATCTATAGAGCACTGATAGGTATACTAAGAGCACATTTCTCCATTGCTTTCTGCATCTTGATTCCTTAGGTAGTTATTTCAGTCTGTTCTTAAATATATTGCCACTCTTTATTAGATGTCTTTGGGCATAAATCTCACTGTCTGATCTGATAATACTGATAAACCATCACTGCTTTTATCTAATAGACTCATTAAAAGTAGTAGCTGTTATACTTGGGTGCATCTCTTTTTTGCCTTTTATATCTATCTAGCCTGGCCTCTGATCATTTAATTTCCCTTTTCACCTATATCTCATCTGTTTTTTAAGAGCTCAACCTTTCTTCTAGTACTCTCTGTTTTATGATACTGTCTCCCTTTCTTTGTTATTATTCTCAAACTGCTCCTGTTCTGCTGATAAGACTCTAGCATAATTTTCAAATCTCTCCCTTTCCTTCTTAATTTCTAGAGCATCCCTGATGTCTAGACTCAGAATAGTCTAGGAACAATGCTGTTAAATTGCTTTCTTACACATTAGGTTGCCTTATTTTCAAAGTTGTTTCTCTACCTTAAAAAAATGATATATTCTCTTTATAATAAGAGCCTTCTCCATTTTTATTTTCTCATTGTTAAAATATATCACCATTCTCTTGGTGAAATAAAAGTTTAGGTCCTGAATATCAAAAACTATCATGAGAATTTGTGTATCAAAGACAACTTGTGATATGGTGATGAGGGGGTATCTCTTGAAGCCGTAGACAAAGCTACATGATTCCAGAAGTGACCCCTTTCACACATTCTTCTTTGGCTGTGAATATGGTTTAAAACAGAATAAGAAGAAAAATGATTTGGAATAACTCATCTACCGCTGCTTATCAAGGGCCTACATTAAGAATGTAAAGCTAGAACTCTACACGTTAGTACTGTCGACCTTCTGGAGCTCTGTTACCTTTGGATTTTTTTTTCAAGTTCTGAAAATATTTTTTATTAATTTGTCCAGTTATTTTATTTTCATTAAATCAAATTATTTTAGAGCTAATGTAAGCTTAGCTTACATTCTAATTAAGGTTATATTATAACACTAATTTTAATGTCAACATTGAAAATTAAACATTAAAATAACATTAATACAGAAATTAAAATAAAAATATGAAAATATGTACAAGAGGGTTAGCAGGAAAAACTTGGTAAAGAATTAATTTAAATACCGTACTTTCTTTTTCAATACCCATTAGTAAAAAATGGCAGTAAAAATATTCTGGTTCATAATTGAATATAATGAGGAGTTCCTAATGGGGAATGTGCCTTTTTCTAAATGTCCCATTGTGATAACTTTAGACCCTCAACATTCTTCTTCAGGTTCAGTAGTTCATTTTCCTGCCTTCTTTTCTCTAGTTTGAAGGTTCATTTGTTAGCTTTCTTCTCCATTCTCTTGTGCTCTTTTACAGCTTGCTTTCTTTCTCTTTTATTTTCTTTGCTTTCATTTTTAGAATGTGGGTTGATACCCTTTGCAGATCCCTGCCATTAATCATCTGCACATATTCAATTTGATTTGCGTTGAGTTCTTTCTTTGGTAAGCCATTGAGAGATATTCCTGTTTCTCATTTTTGGATTTGTTGGGCTTTCGTTGATGCTGGATAAACTAAAGATGGTTATATAAATGTGAGCATGCACGGCAAATGGATTCTTCATCAATTTGCTTTTGCTTCTTTTAGAACTATAGGAATTATCTCTACCTCCCCCAACTCATCAATCTCATTTACTGGCAGACAATTTTATCCTCAGAGGCTTAAAGAGTATTCAGCTTTACACAATTTGCTGCCTTCTCTTTGTATCAGTCATTCAAAACTTTGTGTAAACGATTGCTCAAGTAACTCAGGTCCACTCTGTCTATGTGAATGAAACCCTCCAATTTGTCATCATCCAGAGCTACAATCTTAAAATCATCATATTGTTCATAAAAGTTCTCAAACTTCTCTTTTTATAGGGTCAGCTACTCTTTTCTTTTTAGGACTCAGGAAGTTATATTCTATGAAATGACAACACATTTCCTCTTCCTTAAAAAAGTGGCTTTCTATGACTTTGTGAGATTTTCCCAGGCAGACAAATAATCTTCATCTGAAAATGGGCTTTGAAAATCAGTCATTATTCCTTGCTTTCACTTTTTTTTTCTCATCCATAATCCATTAACTATCTAATATCTTTCTCAAACTCTGATGTAAACATTGATTAAGGCAAATTAATTTCAGGGCCTGGAATTACAAAATTCCTTCTTTCTCATCTCTTTTCCTGCATGTACTGATGTGTTTTTGGGAATAAGGGGAATAAGCACTGAGGGCCCAGATGGTTCTTTCAGATGCTTTAGGTAGTCACAACCATCATCAAAAACACTTCATAACTTCCTCTGTTTTACTCACCTTGTTTATCATTTTTTTTAATGTGTGGACAACACAACTCCTCTGGGATACATTGGTATCTGCTACTGAAAATCTCTTTGACTTGAGTGGACCATGTGAAAAGACACAGTTTTCTCGTCTATAAAGGTCCCCCTCCCCAAACTCATTCTGCAACTGTGTAGGGCTTCCCCTCAAAACAGCAACTATATACCTTAGTGTCCCAGACAGAGCAGGTAACATTACATCCCAGGAGTGTACAAGGACCAGTTAATAGCCACATCTTAAGGCCTTGCCACAGTGCTGCCTTTGGATTTTGTAGCACAAACCTGAAGTCTTGGCTCAGAGACACAATGAAAGCTGCAAATATTCCACCCAGCAATGCCTGAAAACACCCACTCTGTCTCAGCCACACCCGCAAGGTCAACCAAAGCAACCCAAAGTCTTAAATTATCTGCCAGATTCTGTGCCTCACTCAGGGTTGAAAGCCCACATAGGTTATCACCTAAAGCCCTCAGCCCTGCATTAAAATACTGTAATTTCCTATGCGATTTTGTCCCCCAAAACCTACCCACCTGGTCCATTTCTTATTTATTACTCAAGACTCCTTGTATATCTACCAAGATTTTGGAGTTTAGTGAGGATCTATCCCTTTTTTCCCCATCTTAATCCTTGAACCAATCCAGAGACAGATGCAGGATTTCAACAGAAGAAAATAATATTTTAATATAGCACTTTTATTAAAGATAAAGTTGATTTCTAGAGTCGGAGTATTCCAGACGTAGACTTATTTATTTATTTAATTTAATTTAATTTAATTTTTTTTGAGATGGAGTCTTGTGCTGTTACCCAGGCTGGAGTGCAATGGTGCAATCTCTGCTCACTGCAACCTCCGCCTCCCAGGTTCAAGTGATTCTCCTGTCTCAGCCTCCTGAGTAGGTGGGATTACAGGCACCTGCCACCACTACCCTGCTAATTTTTTTTTTTTTTTTGTATTTTTAGTAGAGATGGGGTTTCACTATGTTGGCCAGGCTGGTCTTGAACTCTTGACCTCATGATCTGCCCACCTCGGCCTCCAGAAGTGCTGGGATTACAGGTGTGAGCCACCTCGCCTGGCCTCTATATCTTTACTTAACATGTTCAATCTTTTCTTAACTGCTTCAACAAATGGAATACAGTTATAAGAACCATATTATGTTTTATGTATTTTAGGTTTAATATCTTTGACTACCAATTCTATTATCTGTGTCATTTCTGTGTCAATTTTGATTGATTTATTTTTTCCTCATTATAGATTATATTTCCCTGCTTCTTTGTATTCCTGATCATATTTTAACATGAGACATTGTGAATTTCACCTTGGGTGCGTTATATTTTTGTAGTCTTTAAAATATTTTTAAGCTTTGTTTTTGGACAGGGTGAATTGGGAACTACTTGATTCTTTGTGGGTCTTGCTTTTAAGTTTTGTTAGCAAAACTAGGGCTGCATTTAATCTAGAGTTAAGTTTCTGCCAATACTGAAGCAAGACCCTTGTTCTTTGACTATGACCCTTGATTATGAGGTCTTACCCTCCAGCTGTTGAGTTAGGCATTATTTCTGATGCTGTTTGGCCCCTGGATACTGTTTTCTCTAATATTTTCATGTGATTCTTTACCTGGCCTCAGGTAGTTTCCTCATATGTATGCGTTGATTAGTACTTGACTGAATGCTCACTGAGCCTTCTGCCTATTTCAGCATTTTTCTCTTTGTAAAACTTTTTCCCTTCCAGTACCCTGTGATGTGAAGTCTAGCCACCTCTACTTCTATGGACTGTCAGCTCTGCCTCCTCAACTCAGGGAGATGTCTGGGTTCTGGGCTCTGTCTGGGTTTTCTTTCCTTGTGCCATATCCTAGAAAGTTTCTTCAGACAGTAAGCTGGGTAATCAAAAGACTCGCCTCTAGTTTTTGCCATCTTTCGGGAATCACTGTCCTTCACTGCCTGATATTTATTGTTTTGAGTGTTATTGTTTCATGTATTTTGTCTTTTTTTCATTTTTTTCAAGACGGAATATAAACCTAGCTGCTATTATTAAGTCTTGAATGGTAGTGGAAGTCCCATTGATCAATTTTCAAGTATTGCACAAAGCTTATATTCCAGTATAAACCCCACTTGGTCATGATATGTTGTTCTTTTTATATATTGCTAGATTGATTTCGTTAAGAGTTTGTTGAAAGTTTTTGTGTCTGTGTTCATATAGGATATTGGTCTGTTCCTTTCTTGTAATGCCTTATCTGGTTTTGGTGTCAGGGTAATACTACCTTCATAAAAAGAATTGAGAAGTGTTTTCTCCTCTTCTAGTTTCTGGAACAAGCTGTATAGAATTTATATTATTTTTTATTAACGGTTGGGTAAATATTACCAGTGATAATATCTGGAACTACAGTTAACTTTAGTTTTTTAATGACAAAATCAATTTCTTTAATAGATATAAGACTATTCAGATCATCTTTTTCCTTTTTTGATTTGATATTTTGCATCTTCTAAAGAATTAGTCAATTTTGTCTAAATTGCCAAGACTGTTTCTATGGAGTGCTGAAGGCAAAAGCCAGACCAAAGGAATTTAAGAGGTTTTTTGTAGAGTTTTGGTACAAAGGGTAGGACATAATGTGGTAATATCTGGAAAGAAGTGAGTTTAAGAGAAACCTTTAGATTTTTTAAATATATGGGAAATAAGATAATATATGATGATGAGAACATCCCAGTAGAAAATTTTGGTTGCTTCATGCTTAATTGTTAGGGTCAGTGTGCAATCAAATTGGATAAAAGGTATACAGACAGGCTTTAAATCACAGGGCGGCATGCAAAAGAGAGTTTTAATTTTAATTTAGTGCACATTTTTCTTGATCTTTCATCCTTGCATCCTAGACCAAGGCAGATTACTGAGTTTCACTCAGGCAAGAACTCTTCTACCAGCTTATAAAAACAAATGGCCAGGTAATGGTTGATCTTCAGGTTTAATCCAAAATGAGAATTATCATAGTTAAAAGGGGAGTTTTAATATTCATTATCATTGTCCCCTTTTTCTCCACTTACTCTCCCATTTTGTCTCAAAAATGGGAAATGAAAAATTATACTGATAATTTTTACTCAATTGTGAAAATAGCCACTGAATGGATGTAACAAGATGCTCTAATGCCCTTAAAAGAGGAGGAAAGGTGTTGACAGCTGATATGTAAACAGTTATGCAGCGCAGACAGGATGAGAGATGAGCCCTACTGGCTCAGATCAGTAAGTTTTCTTGGGTTTGGAACCAGCCATCATGCACAGAGCTGGGACAAAAGCGACCTAGGTGAAGCTTACTACAAATGCAAAATCCAGAGAGGGAAAAGAGCTTAATGTCATTCAGTGTACAGTGTGACAGAATGCAGTGATAGGGCCATGTGTTACAGGATGAGCTCCTCAGATGTGGTCGGGTCTGAATTATTAGGGACTTGTGGGCTGTGGTTAAAAATTAGATTTTATTCTGTGTGATGCTAAATAGATAAAGAATTTCTATTTTAAAAAGATGACATAGGCTGCTGCATAAAAGATGGATTGTAGCAAGCAAGAGTGGATGCTGATAGCAGGCTATTGTGGTAATTCTGAAGATGATGGTATTGTGAACTAGGGTGGAGACGAAGTGAAATAAGTAAATTGGAGTGTATTTTGGAAGTAGAACTCAAATTTTGAAATCAGATTTGGGCTAGCATTTATCTGCAAACTACTTATATGACTTTGGACATTTTTAAAAACCTTTCCTACCTTGTTTCTCATTTGCAGAATGACGATTATGGGAATATTAAAATAACACATAAAATATAAGGTTTGTCCCATGATGTCTGGCATGTATTAAGCACTCAGTAAATAGTAGCTATCATTCTTATCATGTTATTGTAGCCCCAAACTGATCTCCGTATGGTCCATTTCTCTCTCTACACCACACAATATTGTTGCATTGCCACCAGAACTATCTTTGTAAGTCACAGATTATATCACTTCTTTGCTTAAGAAACCACTTAATTTCTTCTGATCATTATAAACTTCATAGCATGTAGAAAAGATATCCATCCATCTGTCTTTGCATCTTCACTTCTCACATCATTCTTCTCCCATTTACTGTATGCACTGGAGTAATGCTTCTCAAACTTTAATGTGCCTGCAGCTCACCAGGGCATCTTGTTAAAATGTAGACTCTGATTCAAAAGATCTGGGTGAGGCCTGAGGTTCTGCATTTCTAACAAGCTCCTACAGATGTTTCTTCTCACTGGACCACACTTAGAGAAGTAGCACTAAGTACTTAAAGTTCCTGCAAGGTTATTTTGTGTCCCTATAACTTTTACTCTACTAATTAATCTGATCTCACTGTCTGGTATGGCCTTTCCTCATTTCTCTACTTAATGAAATCATTCTTATCTTTCAAGACCTATCTAACTCAGAGGTCATTTTCTCTATGAAATTTTCTTCAAACACACATTTGATTCACCGCTGAAGCTTCCCAAATGTTTGCTTTCTCCCTTCCTCATAGTATTTGGTAAATAGCTTTTATTACAGTGTGTGTCATTTTGTACTGCTGCTAACTTTTAGATTGTTGGTCTTCCTTGGAGGACAGTGCTCCTTGAGGTCAAGTTTTGTGTCTTTGTTTTTTTCAGCAAGTTGCACAGCTCCTTACACAAATAAATAAATGAATAAATAATGCTGTGTTGTGTATCTCTGAAAATGGTGAATCACTCTGTACAGCAAATGTTACTTCAGCAAATAAAAACATGGGGTTTTTCAGCTTAAATTATTGATTTGGCATTTTTTAAATATAAAGCACTCCTTAAATTCTCTTCAGTCATTGTAGCTGGTCATCTAAATCAATTTTACATTCATTAGCAAGTCAATGTATTGTTTATTAACTCTTAACAGAGTCATATTTCTTTTCCGAGTCAGAAAGCCTCAGGCTTTTCTTAGCTAATACAAAGCTAAAATTTATAAAGATTATACACACTGTGACTAATCATTTCTTTTAACAGTGCTCCTAGAGAGTAACATAGTTAAAGAATGTTTGCCTGAAGCTTTTAAGAAATGAGGGATAAAATGGAAATATAACTGGTTTTTTTTTTAGCATTTAAAGAATGTAAAAAGAAGAATAGGTATGCTACTTAATTTATATTGTAATATTTATAGCCACATTTTTAAGTTCATGCTTTTTAAAAATTATATTTATTTTACAGAGTAATTTATGAATCACATTGGACCAAAAGTTTCTTCAGGGGATCCATGTGCAGTTAACTTCTATTTCATAAGAATCCTTTAGCTTTTATTAAATTTTCTCAGGGAGAGAAATTATGTTTGTTTCCTCTTTCTCAACCCTCCCAGTTCCCAACCAGGGAAAATCTCTTTGAAGTCAATTAGAACTCCTTGCTTACATTGTAACATAAAGTGAGTAGTGCTTTCCCTAAAATGGAGAAGCTAGAGATATGACTGTCTATCAGCAGGCGGGATGGCTTTGCTCTCAGGCTGATGAATTGTGCTTTTCCATACGCAGAACTCTTGGTGTTGCTGATTTCAATTAAGTAGACTTCCAAATTTTAATTTACATAGCATTAACACGTTTCCCTGAGAAGTGACAGTTTTATGGAGACATTTCCTTGTCTCCTCTCATGAAACTGAAAAAAAAAAAAAATCCACAGAGCATTCATTTACACTTCTAAAAGTGATAGGCTTTGTTTTGATGCCACTTTCATTGCACTGCTTCTGATCTTCTATTTCTAATTAAAATGGGAATTTAGGGTAATTTAAACAATACTCTGGCTATACTAGAAGCTATTTTTTTGGTCTGATAATAAAGGAGATAAGGCTATTGGACAAAGGCTAAGGATATGCTCTTTATGTCTTGGCTTTCAAGAGGCCTTAGAGTCTACTGTGAGTGCCTTCCCTTGTAGACCTTCTTCAAGTTTAGCTTCTATTACCCTTCATTCAGTCCTACTTCAGCCCAGAGAGGGTACCCTAAAATCAGTCACTTTGGAGGGAAGTGGGAATTTAAATTGGGTCTTGTAATGGGAATATGATTTTAGTATGGGGAGGGGAGTTAGTTGATTATGCTTAGTTAAGAAATAATTGTTAGTAGAAGCTCAAATATAGAGAGAATGTTAGGAATATTCTGGGGACAGCTCAGTGATCAGTTTTGTTGAATAATAATAGATAATTGAAAAGGAAGCTTGTGACCGGATTGTTGAGAAACTTAAATTTGGATCAAGTCATTTGGACTTTACTTATTCAGTATATATTTTAAGTTATTGAAGGACTTTTTAAAATGGCATGGATGATAGCCTTGTTAAATTTGGATGGGCAGAGGTATGTGACATCCTGGGACAATAGGGATAGCAAGTGAGGAAAGGGAAGAAAATTCTACAGTTAAAACGGAGCCGTGGAATTCTGGCCTACATGTATAGTCTGGTCCATGAGAAGCTCACAAACTCATGTAATAAATAGGCAATTATAGTAGCAGGAATCATTCTTCCTGCTGGGGAATAGCAATAAAAATATGTAGCAATCATGGAAGTCAGAGGGCAGGGTCACAGTGCACATCACAAAGTCTTCCCATTTAGTAGGTCCCTTGCCACTGGGGGACAAGTTGAGTGTACAATAATCAGGTAAAGAAAAGGGCTTATCATGATAGAGAAAGAGGACTAGGAACCCCTAGTTACTTATGGAGGTTCAGGGCAGGATCTCAGTTCTATAGTTTGTGTATGGGATAGAGTGGGATAAACCGAATGTGGCAGAAACCTGGTAACATGGCAGAAAGTAAAGAGGGAGACTAGAGCCAGAAGCTCAGTCCGATGGTTTAGGACAACAGGATATGGCTGTATGATCACCCCAAGCTTATACCTAGTTCACTGGACCCTAGGTATGTTGGTGATGAAAGAGGCTGTAGGCTTCAGGCAATGATAGTCCAGCTGTAAGTGCTGGATCATCAGACCTGGAGAGGCCAATCTGATAGTGGCAGTGAGGTTGTAAACTACTATGGGGCGGAACCTGCAGTAGTTGATTCAGCTTAGGGGAAGAAGCATGGAAAATGAAGCAGGGTATAGCAGATGTTTCGTAAGTGTCTCTTTCCTCTTGAAAACTCTCCAGTGTTCTTTATGATAACGTTCTAATGCAGTGGCCTACTATGCAAGTCCCTACACAATATTAGTCAAATGGCTCTGTAATTTATTATCTTTTACAGTTCTCTACATGGACTTACTCTTGTAAGCAACTTATTTATACACTATTCTCGTGCACCTTATGCTTTCCATTTTCCATTCTTTTTCTAAAAAATTGTCTTTTCCTGGATCACCCTTTCTTAATTCTTTCTACTTATCAAAATTCTATAAGATCCAGGGCAGCCATTCATATCCCCCTTGTTTATTTCAGCACAAAGTAACCTTTTTCTAACACCAGACCTCTTCTTATCCATTTAATATTTGCTTACCCTACCTTCCTGTGAGAATTTTTCATCTGCATTTTTCAATGTAACAGGTTTATTTAGAATCTACTCAGGCACTTTGAAAGGTGCTAGGGAAGAGTATTTTTTTTTTGTAATAAGCTCCAACCTCTGTATTTCCTAAGTTACAAAATATACTATACATTTTACTGGGTGAATTAGACTGCTCATGCTGCCAACAAAATACCATATACTGGGAGTCTTAAGCAATACAAATATATTTCTTACAGTTATAGAGGCTTGGTAGTCCAAGATCAAGGTGACAGTAATTCAGTTCCTGGTGAAGGCCCTCTTTCTGCCTGAAGATGGGCCATCTTCTTGCTGTGTCTTCCCATGGCAAAGAAAACTCTCTGGTGTCTCTTCCTCTTCTTAGAAGGATATTCGTCCCACTTTGGGGGCTCTACTCTTCTGACCTCATTTAAACCTAATTACTTCCCAAAGACCTCACCTCCTAATACCATCACATTGGGGATTAGGGTTTTAGTATATAAACTTGAAGGGAGAACACAAGTATGTAGTCCATAACATTCCAAATGTATGTGTCCATAATAGTCCAAAATGTATGTCCTTCTCACATGCAAAATATAGTCATTGCATCCCCTAATAAGATGATGCTTAATTCATTCCAGCATCAACCCTAATGTCCAAAGTCTCATCTAAATCAGATATGAGTGAGACTATAAGTATGATTCATTCTGACGCAGAATTTTTCTCCAGCTATGAACCTGTAAAATCAGACAAATTATGCATTTCTAAAATAGAGTGGTGAGCTATGCATAGGACAAACATTTCCATTCCAAAGGGGAGAAATAAGAAGAAGAAAGGAGTAATAGGTCCCAAGCAAGTCCAAAATCTAGCAAGGCAAATTTCACTAAACATTAATAGTAAGGTGTGACTATTAATAATCCTCTTTGGTTTGATGCTCTGTCCTGTGGGCCCACGGGGGTGGCAACATCACCCCCATGGGTGGGTAGTGTGGCCCTGCCTTTTTTGGTGGTGGAGCTGCAACTCTCTGCAGCGGCCCACCTACACTGCAGCTCTCTGCAGGACTGCAGTTTTCCTTTTGAAACTGACATGGAGGTACTCTTGCTCCCTGGGCCTGTATGCTCTGGGCCCGTGGTGATAGTGGCATTCCTGACGATATCTAAATAGCGTTTGTGGTCCTTCTTCCTTTTCTTGAAGGATGGTACCTGTTCACGGCTGAATAGCTCTGTGGTCCCATTTGTAGAATCAGAAAAACCCAGCAGACATTTTTTATTCCCTCCCACTTTTTCTGTCCCCTTTCATTCAAATGGGCAATGTCTTTGCTGGCATAATTCCATCTGTATTCCTGGCCTCTGCTGAAATGGCTGAATAAGTTTATGAGCCACACTCATGGTCTTTTTATCAAATGGTTGCTCAGCCATACCCTTAATAGTCTCTTCTGAACAAACTCTCTCATGTTTTATAATAGGAATAGGCTGAGAGTTTTCCAGGTCTTCAAGTTCTGGTTCCTTTTTTCTTAACAACTACATCTTCAATTTATTTCTCTACTGTCACATTTTATTATAAACAGCCAGGGGGAACAAAGCCATTGCTTAAAAACTTTACCTAGAAATATTCTTGGCTAAATATTCAATTTTATTGCTTCCAAGTTCTACCTTTTGCAAAAAGCTAGGACATGAACACAATTCAACCAAGTTCCTTGCCATTTTATAACAAGGATGACCTTTCCTCCAGTTTCTAATAATATAGTCCTCATTTCCATCTGAAACCTCACCAGAATGGCCTTTGTAATCCATATTTTTGCCAACATTCTGTTTACAATTATTTGTGTATTCTCTAAGAAGATGGATGCTTTCTCTATAGCTCTTCTCTTTTCTTTCTGATCCCTCATCAGAATCTCCCCTTTTCATGTCCATATTTCTAGCATAACCTCGAAACTCCTTTAGCCTTTGCCCACTACCCAGTTTTAAAGCCACTTCCACATTTTTAGGTATTTTTCACAGCATCACCCCACTTCTTGGTACTACTGGGACAAAACAATTCTAAATGTCAATGTGCCCAATAACAGAGCTTCCAAATGCATGAAACAAAAACTGATAGAACTGTAAGGAGAAATATATGTCCACAGTTATAAAGATTTCAATACCTGCTCTCAATAATTAATAGAAAGACAGAATATAAGAAAGTTATAGATTTGATAATCATCAACCAACTTAACCTAATTGACATTTATAGCACACTGCATCTAACAACAACAGAATTCAGTCTTCTCTAGAGCACAAGAAGTATTTAAGAGACATCATATGCTGAGCAGTAAAATTAATAGAGATTAAAATTAAATGAAGTATGTTCTCTGACCACAAAGGAGTTAAATTAGAAATCAATAATAGAAAGGTATTGGGATAAATCTCTTAATATTTGGAATCTAAAGAACATACTTTTAACTAAACCATGGGTCACAGAAATCAAAAGGGTGATTAATATTTTGGATGGAATGAAATTAAAACACAGCAGTTAAAACTTACAGGATGTAGCCAGAGTATGTAGAGAGAAATTTATAGCACTAAACACACACACACACACACACACACACACACACACACACGTATGTTTGTCACCCGGGATGGAATACGCACACGTGTGTGTATGCACCCAGGGTGCAATCATGGCTCACTGCAGCCTTGACCTCCTGGGTTCAAGCCATCCTCGCACCTCATCCTCCCAAGTAGCTGGGACTACAGGTGCTTGCCACCATGCCTGGCTAATTTTTATAATTTTTGTAGAGACAGGATTTTGCCATGTTGTCCAGACTGGTCTTGAACTCCTGTGCTGAAGTGATCTGCCTGGCTCTCCCTCCCAAAGTGCTAGGATTACAAGTGTGAGCCACTGCACCCAGCCACTAACCACATATTTTAAGAAAGAAGAAATGTCATCAATGACTTAAGCTTTAATCTTAAGAAACTATTAAAAAAAACTATTAAAGTGGCAAATTAAAGCTAAAGTTAGTAGAAGAAAGAACATAATGGAAATAAGGAAATAATAGCACAAATCAATGAAATTAAAAAAACCCAAAAAAGCAGAAAATTAATAGGGCCCCAAATTGATTAATTGAGAATATCAATGAAATTGATAAAACTCTAATAAGACTAATCAGAGATAAAAAAGAGAAGATACTTATGCCAATATCAGGAATGAGAGAGGCAATATCAATACAGATTATACAGATATTATACAGATAATAATGTTATATAATTTTGTGCTAATATTTAAGATAACAAATAATATGGGCAAATTCCTTGAAAGATACAAATTATCAAAATTCCTTCAAAAGAAATAGATAACCGGAATAGTTCTGTATCTATTAAATTTATTAAAGGAATTGAATCTACAGTTAAAAACCTTCCCACAAAGAAAACATCATTTCCAGAGGCTTCTCTGGTGAATTCTACCAAGCATTTGAGGAAGAAATCATACCAATATTGTGTAAATTCTTCCAAAATTTGAAGAGGAGGGAATGCTTCCAAACCTGTTCTATGAAGCCAGCATTACTTGATACCCAATCAAAAACATTACATAAAAAAGAAAACTACAGACCAATATCTATAATAAACATAGATGCAAAAATTCTTAACAAAATTTTAGAGTGTCAATAATACAACACTATATAGAAGTGATAACACATCATGACCAGGATTAACCCAGCAATGCAAAGTTAGTTTAACATTTGAAAATCTATCAATTTAATACATCACGATTAGCTTAATATATGAGAAAAAGCATTTAACAAATTCCAATATCCATTCCTGACTGAAACCTTTTAGAAAACTAGGAATACAAGGAAAATTCCTTAATCTGATAAAGAGTTATGTAGAACCTACAATTAAAATTATACTCCATGAAATACTGAATGTTTTTCTCCTTAAGATCGTTGAAAGTTGTCTGCTCTTACCACTTCTAGTCAATATTGTAGGTTCTGGCCAGTGCACTGGGCACTGACTGTATGTCCAACATTGTTCTACATGTTTTATGCCTGTTACCTCCTCCAATGCTCAAAACAACCCTATGTGTTAGATTATGCCCTTTTTACAGATGATGAAACTGGATCACAGAAAGGATAAGTAGCTTACATAAGATGATGTAGCTGATAAAGAAGAGATCTTTGAACGCTTAATTTTTGATTTTGGAGCTCCCACTCTGTTAACCACTGTGTTACTGAGGCCTCTGGGCATCCACAGTTACTATCTTTAGATACTGTTGTGTCACTTTTTCAAAGATCCTGCCTATCAAAGATGGGGAAAGGAAATAATTTCATGGTTTGCTATCTAACCAATAGAAACAGTCTCCAAATAGCAATAATCAAATAATCTGACAAAAGGATGTCACCAGTTAGTATTTACTCTAGATACAGAAATGCAAATTGTTACAGAGCTTTTTTCATTGTCATAAACATGAAAATTATAGGGAAGGGAAGGTAGACCATACCAATGACTTGAGTTTGCTACATGTGCTTGTGCTTCTTTTCCCTTCAAATTAGGTGTCAAGTTTAGTTCATCAATTCTGATTCATTGTCATCCTATCTAACTCTACCCAACCAATTTATGTGTGTCATAATACTTTTGTGTATATGTAAATTAGAAAAAATGGTCTCTATCAGTAGAATTTTTGTTAAACTAGGTTTAGGATCAACAAAAGGTGAGAAACAACCCATTGAATGTCAAGTATCTCCCAGTGAGAATGCATCACTTTTTTATGAATGTCAGATTGGTAATGGCAACACAAAGACTGAAATCTACTTGTTTTCTCTATTGATAGTCTTTATAACCTGTCTTCTGAAATAGCAATGATTGGAATTATTCTTAGGATTCTGCCACTTTTCAACTTTGTTCCATTTTATATCCGTTCTTTATTTGTTTCATCTAATTCTTGCATTCCAGACTGTTTTATTCACAAATGTATTACTTTGCAAAAATCAAGGATTGTTATTCAATGTGGAGATTCATAATGTTCTTCAACCTTTTGTTTTGTTTGACTTCCTTACTTCACTCAAATATTCTAACCAGCAATATCCTAGGAATTTTTATGCTAGGTATTTAGACATAGAATAGAATTCCAAGAAGTAAATAAAAATTTTATCTGCATCCCATAATTCCTACCACTAGAACAGTTCCCAGGGTCTGATTTGACACAGGTGGGCCTTAAAGAGTTGGCCTGTTTCCAAGCCATCTCTTATATTCATAAAAAAACCATTCATGAAACAATTATTTCAGTGTCAATTATGGTCCATATGGGCAGTTATGCTTAACAGACTTCAAGAATGTTCCTTTTCTGTATTTCCATCCAAGTGGTTCATAAATACATGGCAGCCTGTTCATGTATTTGAGTGAGAATAACACTGATTTGACTGTATCTTTTAGGATAAGTGACGAGGTTTTTTTGGTTTTACTTGATGGAAATATTTAATATTTTTAAATGATGAAATATGGTAGAAAACAGTGAATCAAAGATATGAGCAATTTAAAATATACCTGCATCAAACTATCCCATATACTCCATAAATATATATACCTACCATGTACCCATAAAAGTTAAAACATGTAAAATCCTTAGAAAATCTACATTTCTAAAGAAAAATAAGAAAAGCAACATATGTACTAGATAGGCATAAATTTGTACCTGTTTTAAAATGGCTTTTTAGATTTTTTGACATTAAAAAATAAAACACTAATGACAAGCATTATTATATAGTAAAGTGTTATATTGTAAAGATGTCGTCCTAAGTACTTTTGCTTTCTGGCATTACTTTTTATCTTTTGTGGGGGCATATATCCAGATGTATTAAACTAAACCCTATTTCAAGCATTGTGAGAGGCATACCACTCTGTCCAGTATTTCTATCGATTCTTGGTTTGGGGTGGCATAATTTTTAGTCTGTACTAAATTCCTGTTCCTATAGATGTCTCCATCCTAGATTGTTATTTTCTTTAGGTTCTGACCTTTTTCTGCTCTGCTTCTTTCTTAAGTATAGGACCCAGACCTGGTTTTTCAGTTCCCCAAAGTTATAGTGCAACAAGGTTATCTATGTAACTGTCTTGGGTTTGATGGTTAACATAGGGAGTTTAACCACAGAAAGAACAAAAACTCAACTTAGAACAGTAGTTTTTAAAAGTCCTCTGGCCATGTTGGCTAGTAGGAATTTCTCACTAGTCATCTCTTCCCTTGGCTGTCATTTTTCTGAATGTATTATTCTCTCTGTATCAGGTATTTCTCTCATTTCTAGGATTCAACTAACTGGCTGCTATATCTCAGTCACCCCTTGTCCCACCAATGGAAAAAGTAGACATCTTTTTCTAAACAAAAAAAGTCAGATTTTTCACATTAACTGATTAGTCCAAGGAAATATAAAAATATTCTAGTAAGTAAGCAAAGGAATAATAAATAAATAAATGAAATATTTCATTAATTTATTTTACACATTAGGATACCGAGCAATCTTGTGGAGGACATCATGCTAACCGTGGAGGTGGTATTCAGTTGATAGCCATGAGGCTGTTCTGCTGCTGACAGCAGTGCCCATCCTGATTGATTGGTGCCCACACCCAGCAGTTATTAAATACTTTGAATATCATCTCTGGCTATATCTATTTCTTATTTAAAATAAAGGCACACGTTAATGTATGATAAGTTTTAGTTTTTTTGTAGGTACTTCATTTTTTATTTACAGTTGACCCACCTCGGGTTGCTTTGCTTGCTGTCAATCAAAGATTGATAGTAATGATATGTCTTAAAGAAACAATAAATATATGTAAGAAAATTGTCTAATACATCACTTGCTATTTTCTTTTTTCCCAATCTTCCTACCTCAAGATCAAGTTGCAGATTTACATGATTTTCTCAGTGGCACATGGATCAGAATTTAACATTTAAAAATATTTACATATAAATTTTAGAAAACGTTTAGCTATTTCTGTGTTTTCTATCTTGTGAGATTTTTGATGATAAGTTAAAAGAACCTCAAAGCTGGTCTGAGTTACTACTGCTATGAAAACTGAAAATCTAAAATTTCAGTGTGGATAACATATTGAAGCATATTTGTTTATATTCTTCTTTTAGCTAATTTTCTCTGGTTTAAGTATAAACTTCTAAGAACAGGCATAGCAATATCTCGATCAGATATATCATACTAGGAGTCTAACTCCTAGAATGTTTACTTTAAGATTATATATTTGACTCAATGTTTATAACCCCAGAATGTTTGAACCTAATTTCCAGAAATCAGTCTATAAACTTAAGGAGATGAAAATATTGTTGTTTAAGAAAAAACCATCTCTCCCAGGTATATAGTACTTATAATCTCTTAGAAGCAAGGTCTCTCCCTTTTTTTTAATTTGGAAAATGTGGGAATAGGATGAATGCAATTCCATGGCAAATTAATAACCCCGAAAAAGTAACTACAAACACATTTCTGGTTTTCTGCTGCTGGTAAAGATGTCTGCTGCTGGTTCCATTTTGGTGAAGGTGCTGACATTATCTTTGCAGAAAAGGAGCAGTAGAAAGGCTGCCATCTTCTTTTTTAAAGCTCTGTATTACTCTTTTTTTTTTTTTTGCTCTTCTCATTTTATTTTTTATTTTTATTTTTTATTATACTTTAAGTTTTAGGGTACATGTGCACAACGTGCAGGTTTGTTACATATGTATACATGTGCCATGTTGGTGTACTGCACCCATTAACTCGTCATTTACGTTAGGTATATCTCCTAATGCTATCCTTCCCCCCTCCCCCCACCCCACAACAGGTCCTGGTGTGTGATGTTCCCCTTCCTGTGTCCAAGTGTTCTCATTGTTCAATTCCCATCTATGAGTGAGAACATGGCGGTGTTCAGTTTTTTGTCCTTGCGATAGTTTGCTGAGAATGATGGTTTCCAGCTTCATCCATGTCCCTACAAAGGACATGAACTCATCCTTTTTATGGCTGCATAGTGTTCCATGGTGTATATGTGCCACATTTTCTTAATCCAGTCTATCATTGATGGACATTTGGGTTGGTTCCAAGTCTTTGCTATTGTGAATAGTGCCGCAATAAACATACATGTGCATGTGCCTTTATAGCAGCATGGTTTATAATCCTTTGGGTATATACCCAGTAATGGGATGGCTGGGTCAAATGGTAATTCTAGTTCTAGATCCCTGAGGAATCGCCACACTGACTTCCACAATGGTTGAACTAGTTTACAGTCCCACCAACAGTGTAAAAGTCTTCCTATTTCTCCACATTCTCTCCAGCACCTGTTGTTTCCTGACTTTTTAATGATCGCCATTCTAACTGGTGTGAGATGGTATCTCATTGTGGTTTTGATTTGCATTTCTCTGATGGCCAGTGATGATGAGCATTTTTTCATGTGTCTTTTGGCTGCATAAATGTCTTCTTTTGAGAAATGTCTGTTCATATCCTTCACCCACTTTTTGATGGGGTTGTTTGTTTTTTTCTTGTAAATTTGTTGGAGTTCTTTGTAGATTCTGGATATTAGCCCTTTGTCAG
The DNA here is from genome assembly GCF_000001405.40 of Homo sapiens. Lineage (NCBI taxonomy): Eukaryota > Metazoa > Chordata > Mammalia > Primates > Hominidae > Homo > Homo sapiens. Next base: position 120,108,123 of record NC_000004.12, read on the forward strand.
ATGAGTAGATTGCAAAAATTTTCTCCCATTCTGTAGGTTGCCTGTTCACTCTGATAGTAGTTTCTTTTGCTGTACAGAAGCTCTTTAGTTTAATTAGATCCCATTTGTCAATTTTGGCTTTTGTTGTCATTGCTTTTGGTGTTATAGACATGAAGTCCTTGCCCATGCCTATGTCCTGAATGGTATTGGCTAGGTTTTCTTCTAGGGTTTTTATGGTTTTAGGTCTAACATTTAAGTCTTTAATCCATCTTGAATTAATTTTTGTATAAGGTGTAAGGAAGGGATCCAGTTTCAGCTTTCTACATATGGCTAGCCAGTTTTCCCAGCACCATTTATTAAATAGGGAATCCTTTTCCCATTTTAAAGTTAACACTTTTTCGAATTCCTGGTGTAAAGGCTCAGATGAACAGTGAAGAAATTCCAAGATACCTATAGAAAACAAAATTGTAGCACATGTTTCTTTACAATATCTCCAAGCTCTTAAGATATATAACATGAATATTTATTCTTTTTTGAACATTTTAACATCTCTGGAACCAGGTTGTGTGTTGTGGCAGCCCCGATTTCATCACTGCCTGTCCATGTGCATCAAAAACTTGCAGAATGAATGTCAGCAGCTTGGAGAGAAATTCCAGAAACAGCACTGCATCAACAACACTCTTACTGCCTAGAGAACAGTATTGTGTAGTAAACGAATTTGAGTTAAAAATACTTGGGAAGACCAGACCCAAAATGTGGGTAAACTTCAGGAAGACCTTAACCAGTTTGTTTTGCTTATATTTTAATTTTTACAAAGGTCTAAACGAATTTGAGTTAAAAATACTTGGGAAGACTAGACCCAAAAAGGTGGGTAAACTTCAGGAAGACCTTAACCAATTTGTTTTGCTTATATTTTAATTTTTACAAAGGTCTAGGGGTGATATAAGATAACCTATAGTTCAATAAGTACTAAAAAGAAAAAGAACCTTTTCAATAAGTATGAAGTATGAAGTGTTTTCTGGGTCATAGAAAACATTGTGCTATAACTTCTTTGGCAGTATTTTCCCCCCTATGTTACATAAAATAATAGCATCCTCACAATCAGTACAGTATCTTGATTCTGATACACACGCAGATTGTGGGAATACAAAATTCTTAAATTGCTAATTTTAGCAAAATTTTTGTTGTTGTTATGTTTTTTAAAGGGATGATATGAATCATACCATATCAAAGGAGGCATTAAAGCATTTTTAGGAGAGACTGGAAAATAAATTTTAAAAGGATTTAAAATATCCTTTCATTCCATAAATAACATTCTTTTTGAGGACTACTTCCAAATATGTTCTTTAAAAGTGAACTTCAAAGTCTCACTTTGGGCCATAAGTAAACACTTTGTCTGTTTATTATAGACAATCATTTTGGAGGATTTTGAAGTTTATTTTGGAAGAGGATTTAGCACTCTGCAAGTTTATATTTAAGATTGCAATATTGACTGATAGTCTTTCCTAAGATGGAATAGACATAAGTGCCTAGCAACACTCAATATTTTCAGAGTGTTTGCTATTGCTGTATTTGATGGTTATTATTTTTAGAAAATCCCTCTGATCCCTCTTTCTAAAGAGGAAACCAAAATTACCTCTAAATCACTTCACTGTCTATATGTAATCTATAATTTAATATTTCTAAGTGAATATAGTAACACCTCATTTTCCCAGCATTGCCCAAAATTTGTTCTATATCAGTATATCCCCTAGATAATTGAAGGATAGAAGTGTAAATTCCAAACCTTAAACTTTTTTTCTTTACTATTTCTGATGGAAATATTTCTGTAACAAATCTTGCTTTTTTTTTTTTTTTTTTTTTTTGAGACAGAGTCTCACTCTGTCACCCAGGCTGGAGTGCAGTGGCGCAATCTCGGCTCACTGCAAGCTCCGCCTCCCGGGTTCACGCCATTCTCCTGCCTCAGCCTCCCGAGTAGCTGGGTCTACAGGCGCCCGCCACCATGCCCTGCTAATTTTTTGTATTTTTAGTAGAGATGGGGTTTCACCGTGTTAGCCAGGATGGTCTCGATCTCCTGACCTCGTGATCCGCCCGCCTCGGCCTCTCAAAGTGCTAGGATTACAGGCGTGAGCCACCGCGCCCAGCCTGCTGTTATTCTTAGATGTAGCATACTGAAAATTGAAACTAAAATTTTGTCTTATGTGGCAGTCTCAAGAGAGAAACAGCTTCATTTGTTGATGCATCTTTGGTACATGATGGGTAGTAAGATAAGTGGAAGCAGTCAGTGGAAATGGACTGCACTCAAAATAAATGAACTTTTGCCTTCTCTTGAAGACATAGACTCATTTTGAATATCAGTTATAGCAGACATTGGGGGCTTTCTGCCTCCGGATTCCATCACCACCTCAGGCACAGGGCTCTCAAATGTGCATCAGTTACTGCACGATTTGACTGGAGTTCAAATGTATTCTGATCAATGCTTGGATTGAGCATTGCCTCATTTTGCTTCTCCTCCTCACTTTCTTCTTTATACTCATGGCACAGCTTCTGTTTTAACTGTCCAAATATGAAATCTTGGCAGAATCTGTGATTTTCTCCATGTTCAGCCTTCCAGCTAGGTCTGTCGGTTGTACCTCTGCTTACCTGTTTATATCTCTACTTTCTCTGCTCTGTTAAAAAGACTTATCATTGCCATTGCCTAGAACATTTTCATTTGCCTTATGAATGTTGACTAGGTCTCCAGTCTCTTCAGTTTCTTTCGGTGTGTTCAGCACAGCTGACAGATCACTCTGCTCATGGCACAGCTGCGATTGCCACTTCCCTGTTCAAATATCTTAGAAATTCCCTGTTTTTTTTTCTTTTAAAATTATCTTTTACCAAATAATAAAACGCAATTACCAGCAGAGGCCCAACATCAACTTCCGTTGGGTCACAAATGGATGAAAGGATATGGAAGTATTCTGGCATTAAGCACCACAGTCCTTTCCTACAAATCATCTGATTAGTCAACCTGCTGTAAAATATCCTTGGGAATCAGGATCAAATCACTCTTCCATTTCCAGGATAAATCGTTACTTGGGAAATCTGCTCTATACACTCTTTAGAAACCACTCGAGATCCATTGACCTTTCATAACTTATCTACACATACTATGAATACTTACCTACATATACTGTACATTTATTTAGCAACTTGAGACATTACTGAATCCTTTCAAAGCCCTTGATTCTTCTGATTATGTATTCATTTCTATATTCATGTGGTTTTCACAATTTTAATTGAAATACTATTATGCATAGGTGTGCCAGGTGTTATAGACACAGAAACAGATGATTTTGCCCTTACAGGGCTTATAGACTAGCCCTCTTCATTACTTTAGGTTGAAATTCATACATTTTTATTGTATATTCTATTTTTAGAATTTGAAGGTCTTTTTGCTTATAAAAGAAAAATAGATTCTATTGTCTGTTAGCAAATTACTCTTTTCCCCAAGTTAGTAAGATTCTTCCTTTCCTGTCTTTTCTCTTCTTATTGCTTCAAATATGATGGAAAAATACTTCTTATTATCCTAAGTGTCTTTCACAAGTCTCAGCTCATTTTGAATGTAGCACTTTTAACACTGATTTAAAACATACTCCGCTCTCTCTCTGTGTGTGTATATGTATATATACGTATATATATATCTGTGTATGTTTTTTAACTTTATATTGTATTGTGTATTTTTTATTTAATTAAATATGTTCTGAAAACATGACATTTAATGTCTGTTTAATAGTCTATCTTATTTAAGTATATCCTATGTGGGGTTGTTTGCTTTCAGTCCAATTGTTTTTTTTTTTTTTTTTTTGCTTGTTCAGCAATTTTAAATACTGCTTCTGTGAACATCTTGGTACATAATTCTTTGCCTGCATTTCTGATTATTTCCTTATGTAATACTCTAATGTCCAAATACTGTCCAGTTCTTGTGCCCAGGGACTAAATAGGCTGGATGTTTTTCCAATTGATGTCCAGTGAAGGTATTTTTCACTCCATGATCTCTAGAACTTTTTGGATGACTGACTAGCTAGAGTGTTGCCCATCTGTGCCTCAGGATCTTCCGTGTTCCCCTCCAATTTACAGCTTTGCTGCCTAGGAGTCTGTAAGGACAGGGGAAGCAAGGTAAGGACCTACACCTTGCTTGGTAATGATGGTAGAGGGTAAGCTGGTGTATGCATGCCTGCGTGTGTGCATGTGTGGAAGGTGAAGGGGCTATTGATGCTAAAGGCAACCAGTTTATGATTTCCTTTGAGTGAAGAAAATGGTAATATACAGACTTTTTAGACTGATTCTGAGTATTAGCTTAAAAAACCTTGAAACCCCAAGCCCAAAAGCTTGGCCAACTATAGTAAAATATTTTATCTCATTTTTATCAGTATTTATTTAGTCTTGCTACTTTTTTCTTATTTCTTCCCTCTTTTCTTTATGTAGTATTTGAGATAATGAGTAAATTATGTAAACTAAATATGCTATTTCAGTTTCAAGCTTACATTATTGCTTTTAGCCTGTAGCTCAAATCAGGATCAATTGAAGATTCTTATTTCAAAGACGGTCCTTAAAGGCATATATTCAGTCATTTATATGGGAACTCCTTCCAACTTTAACTGATTAAAAAAATTGAATGCTGTAATAGCCCTTTAAGCTCCTCTATTTGGTTGACTCTTCCTGTTATGATGACTGATTTTTCATTTGTATGAAATTTCTAGAATTTAATATTTCAGTTTTGTTTTCTTTGGGATAAAGGAGCAGGATGTTATTCTACTCATATGGTCTCAGTGGATTGTATAGAGGGATTATTGTATAGAACTATGTTTCTGACATCTTGTGGAGGGGGCTTTCTTTGTCCATGTTGACCTCTTTGTCTCATGAGGCATATTGTTGTAACTGAATTGTTGGGTCTAATTCATACCAGGAAATACATGTCTTATGTGGCCACTGTGTGTTGCTGCAGTGTGTGAGCCGAGAAAGCTGTTGGGCTGTAAGTTTTCCTTTAGAATGTTTGCAGAACCCTCAGGTACTATTGAAAGTGAAGGATAAGACTGATCTCAGGAAAACAAAGGTTTTATTACACTTTCTCAAGTAATGAGGCTATCTACAGAAAATAAAAAAACAAAGCAGTAAAAGTCATACATGTGGTGCCATGTGCCAACAAGATAAATGGCTGACCAAATATAAAAAAGTCCCCAACGGGTTGCTGCTAGCCTAAGGTTATCTCCTCATGCTGCTGTGGATCTTTCAGAGGAAAAATCAAACACCTGCGTCACATCAAACAGGTATATGCACCTGAGGTTTGTGCATTTCCCCTATTAACCCGGCCTCTATTTTCAAATAAGTACAGTAGGCTGTAAAGGTTGCAAATTAAACACTGGCTTGCAGCAGATGAAGTGTGAGACGCTTGACTAAGCTACCACATTGTCATCATTATCCTCACCTTATTTTGGACCTAAAAATTAAAGGCAACAGTGGTTAAATATCACTAGAGATATTGCAATGTTATACTCATATAATAGCAATTTTGTGAATAAATTTTTTTTTTTATTTTTCACCTGAATTTATGAATATCTAAGGTTTGATACTAAAGCAGATTCTCTCAAGTTCTTGAATGTTCTTATTGGGTTAAAAAGTCTGGACAGACCTAAGATAAAATATCACGCCACTATGACAGTCTACTACATCTGTGTTCTTGTGAAGCAGCAAACTGGTGAAATTGTCAGGGATGGAGCTAAAGAAGGTCAGTAGAGTGACCACAATTGACAACACTGAATCCAAAAGAATACATGTCCAGCTTCATTTTCTTGGTATTTCTACCCTGGGATCAGAGCAACTGTGCTATAGCATTGGCAACATTCAGAGCACTGTCCCTTTTCGTTGGACTCACAAGAAATGTGTTGGACCTGAGCCTTTTGGACTCAGGAGGGAAACTTGAGTCCATACCTAAGGTGTAAACAACTGTTACACTCCATTTCAAGAAATTTTATAGGAATTATTTTATAGTAGCAGGATACTCTGAGAATAATCCCAATATTTATAAAAACTTAATGGCTAAAAAGTAGACTCAAACTTCCATTTTAAAGGTTTAAAATTTTTTCCTAAAACTTAAAAGTAGGCAGTGAAATTTGGTTGTATCTTTGGAGAACTCTTTCACCACATAAAGTATTATTTTAAAACTCCCCGTAAGGGGCCTTCATCGCCTGCAAAAAAAACAAAAAACAAAAACAAAAACAAAAAAAACTCCAAAATCATTTTTCTGGCTGAGAAATTAAATTTTCTGTTTAATAAAATAAGTTGGGTGTCATTTTAGTAACATTGCTCCTATAAAGTTATTTTTTATTTTTTTATTTCTAAGTCTGAATTGGATTTGCTTGAAGACTTCCCAAATCAAAATTGAAGGCACTGCAGATTAAAAAGGATTAATTTTTTGGGAACATGTACATTATTTCACTATAAGTGTTTGCACTTATAAAACTGTAAGACTAGACCAAACTAGGAGGGAAATAAATATGTGAATTTCTCTTTATTTTATACTAGAAATAAGACTGAAAATTGAATGGATTTGATTAGGCTTGGCACAGTGAAATCTGGGCTGAACTGCTGGTATTCCACTACTAAGGTTATGATAGATTAGATAAACCAGATTTGGGGAATTTATTTAAGCTGCTTAAACACACTTGGCATTTGGTCAACCATCCTATCACTGGGCAGTGAATAAGATGTGAAATGTGAGAAATAGGATGATTTCCTTTCTGGAGTCCTAAAGAGTTAGTAGGAGCCCAGACTGTAGGCAGAATTAAATGAACAAACAGGATTGCCTTCTGTAGAAGATGAGATGCTCTTGATACATTGAGGCAAATCAGAACTTAGTGGGTGTTCAGCTACTAGGGAAGCTCCTGTGAGAGGTCCCAAGTGACAACAGAGGAATGTCTGGAACCAGAGGTGAGAAGCTATAGCCAAGACATATTTGTTGGACAGTGTAATCCTTCCCTGGGAATTCTTAAAAACACAAAGGTTAAGAAATCTTAGTAGATGTGGACTTCCTATAACACACAGAATGGGATCTCACACTAAGATAATTGGACTTTTGTTAAAAAAAATTAATCAATGATAATTAAAATAAATGTTAACCATAGCAATTTAGAAAAGAAAGAGATTTATGGGACTTACAACAACACATATGGACTTAAATCACACATATGGCTTGCAAAGCAAAAAATTACTTAAGAGATGTGGAATAAAATTTCAAAAATTCATCATATCAACTTATTGCTGAAAATGCAAGAATTTTCTTATCTGTTTTACTGGCATAAATTTGAGAAGAATAATTTTTCATAACCATATAATGAATGTCATGTGTGAGATTATAGATTATAAACTAAAAATTATTAGGTTTTCATATTATTTTCTCAAAGCTTTCATATTTTTCTTTTATGTACATAATTGAACAATAAAGTAGTAGCAAAAATAGACTGCCTCAGAATTATGTATGTAACATATTTGTAAATAAAAATGTTGTCTCACAGTTAGCTTGCTTTTAAAATGGAAAATTCCATTTAAAACCTATTTCAAATACTGCACTTAAAATTTGACACTTTGACTAGGCTTCTGTAAAGCACAACTACAGCTATAAATTAGAAGAAATGATATAACTTTATAATAACAAATACATCCATCAAGTTAACTGAACCAGAAATAGTTTCATTTTCTAGGTATTCTTTTTGCTATATAGACCTAACACCACAAAGCAATTTGTTAAAATCTTAAAGGTAGCCAGGCATGATGGCTCACACCTGTAATTTCAGCACTACGGGAGGTTGAGGTGGGCGGATCACTTGAGCTCAGGAGTTTGCAGCCAGCCTGGGCAACATGGTAAAACCCCGTTTCTATAAAAATACAAAAATTAGCCTGGTGTGGTGGCGCATGTTTATAGTCCCAGCTACATGGAAGGCTGAGATGGAAGGCCTTGAGCTCAGGAGGTCGAGGCTGCAGTGAGCTGTGATAGACAAGACCCTGTCTCAAAAAATAAAATTCTTTCATATCTGTTTAAATACTGTATCAAAGGAGTCATGGAAGATATATAGACTGATACAATTAGGGGTAACAACAACAACAAAAGGCTCCACTAAGTAGATCTATCTAGGTTCAAAATCCTGGAGGATGTCTTTAGCCTGTTTGGTAAAACTCAGCCTGAAGAGCGTGGGTTTGTATACTTTCCAGAAGCAGCAGGATTTCTTAAGACACAAAGTTTAACACTTCTTATATACAGTACTTTAAATGCCTGAGAATTTTTTTTTTTTTTTTTGAAACAGACTCTTGCTCGGTCACCCAGGCTGGAGTGCAATGGCATGATCTCAGCTCGCTGCAACCTCCACCTCCCAGGTTCAAGCAATTCTCCTGCCTCAGCCTCCCGAGTAGCTGGGAATACAGGTGCCCGCCACCATACCCAGCTAATTTTTGTATTTTTAGTAGAGGTGGGTTTTCACCATGTTGGCCAGGCTGGTCTCGAACTCCTGACCTCAAATGATCCACCCACCTCGGCCTCTCAAAGTGCTGGGATTACAGTCATGAGCCACCGTGCCCAGCCTTGCCTAAGAAAATTAAGAGCACATTCAGGATTCTGGCGGACGGCCACAATTAAGTCAGCTCCATAAATGACCTTAAAGTTTTCCTTTTATTAGTCTCTGCTCACTCCTGCACATAGATGAAGACTGATTTTTTTGTTCAGTACAAATAAGGTTCTTCGGCATTCAACAAGAAATCTGATGGGCAATGTGTGTTCTTGTATGTTGTATTAGTCCATTTTCACACTGCTGATAAAGACATACCCGAGACGGCAATTTAGAAAAGAAAGAGGCTTGTTGGACTTACAGTTCCACATGGCTGGGGAGGCCTCACAATCATGGAAGGAGGAGGAGCAAGACACATCTTACATGGGTGGCAGCAGGCAAAAAAGAGAGCTTGTGCAGGGAAATTTCCATTTTAAAAACCATCAGATCTCATGAGACCCATTCCCTATCATGAGAACAGCAGGGGAAAGGCCCGCCCCCATGATTCAGTCATCTCCCATTGGGCCCCTCCCACAACACATGGGAATTATGGGAGCTACAAGATGAGATGTGGGTGGGGACACAGAGCCAAGCCATATCATTCCACCCTTGACCCCTCCCAAATCTCATATCTTCACATTTCAAAACCAATCATGCCTTCCCAACAGTCTGCCAAAGTCTCAACTCATTTCAGCATTAACTCAAAAGTCCACAGTCCAAAGTTGCATCCAAGACAAGGCAAGTCCCATCCACCTCTGAGCCTGTAAAATCAAAAGCAAGCTAGTTACTTCCTAGATACAATGGGGGTACAGACATTGGATAAATACAACCAATCCAAATGGGAGACACTGGCCAAAACAAAGGGGCTACAAGGCTCATGCATGTCTGAAATCCAGTGGGGCAGTCAAATCTTAAAGCTCCAAAATGATCTCCTTTGACTCCATGTCTCATATCCAGGTCACTCTAATGCAAGAGGTGGGTTCCCATGGTCTTGGGCAGCTCTGCCCCTGTGGCTTTGCAGGGAACAGCCTTCCTCTTGGCTGTGTTCACAGGGCTGGCATTGAGTGTCTGCAGCTCTTCCAGGTGCATAGTGCAAGCTGTCAGTGGATCTACCATTCTGAGGTCTGGAGGATGGTGGCCCTCTTCTCACAGTTCCATTAGGCGGTGCCCCAGTAGGGACTCCATGTGGCAGCACCAACCCCACATATGCCTTCCACATTGCCCTAGCATAGGTTCTCCATGAGGACCCCACCCCTACAGCAAACTTCTGCCTGGGCATCCATGCATTTCCATACATCTGCTGAAATCTAGTCAGAGGTTCCCAAACCCCAATTTTTGACTTCTGTGCACTTGCAGGCTCAACACCACGTGGAAGCTGCCAAGGTTGGGGGCTTGCACCCTCTCAAGTTCCAGCCTGAGCTCTATTTTGGCCCCTTTCAGCCATGGCTGTAGCAGCTGGGACGCAGGGCACCAAGTCCCTAGTCTGCACACAGCATGGAGATCCTCGGCCCAGCCCACAAAACCACTTTTTCCTCCTGGGCCTCTGGACCTGTGATGGGAGGGGCTGCCATGAAAACCTCTGATATGCCCTGGAGACATTTGCCCCATTGTCTTGGGGATTAACACTGGGCTCCTGGTTACTTATGAAATTTCTGCAGCAGGCTTGAATTTCTCCTCAGAAAATGGGATTTTTTTCATTTCTATCCCATTGTCAGGCTGCAAATTTTTCAAAGTTTTATGCTTTGTTCCCTTTTAAAACTGAATGCCTTTAACAGCACCCAAGTCACCTCTTGCATGTTTTGCCACTTAGAAATTTCTTCCACCAGATACCTTAAGTCATCTCTCTCAAGTTCAAAGTTCCACAAATCTTTAGGACAGGGGCAAAATGCTGCCAGTCTTTTTGCTAAAACATAACAGGAGTTACCTTTGCTCCAGTTCCCAACAAGTTTCTCTTCTCCATCTGAGACCATCTCAGTCTGGATTTCATTGTCCATATCATTATCAGCACTTTAGTCAAAGCCATTCATCAAGTCTTTAGGGAGTTCCAAACTTTCCCACATTATCCTGTCTTCTTCTGAGCACTCCAAACCATTCCAACCTTTGCCTGTTACCCAGTTCCAAAGTTGCTTCCACATTTTCAGGTATATTTTCAGCAATGCTCCACTCTACTGGTACCAATTTACTATTCTTACACTGCTGATGAAGACATACTCAAGACTGGGCAATTTAGAAAAGGAAGAGGTTTAATGGGCTTACAGTTCCACATGGCTGGGGAGGTTTCACAATCATGGCAGAAGGCAAAGAGGAGCAAGTGACATTTTATGTGGATGGCAGCAGGCAAAAAAGGGAGCTTGTGCAGGAAAACTCCCACTTTTAAAACCATCAGATCTCACGAGACCCATTCACTATCATGAGAACAGCATGGGAAAGACCCGCCCCCATGATCTAATCATATCCCACAGGGTCCCTCCCACAACACGTGGGGATCATGGGAGCTACAAGTTGAGATTTGGGTGGGGACACAGAGCCAAACCATATCATATGTGTACCAAATGGCTTCAGTAGTAATCACAGTGGAATCAATGGGGATGAGATAAAGTTCAAATCTAATTTAACTCATGACTCACCACATCAAAATTGTCAGTGTTAAAAAAGCAACTTGTGATTGCAATAAGGGAACACAACTTGTTCTCCTGGACACTTAATCACTTTCTCCTAAACAGCCCTAAGTCTTAACAAAACATAACAGGAGATAGATTCCCTCTAGATCCTTACACTGTGGCTTAGACGGCAGTTTGGGTATAAACATTTCTATGGTTAACTAAAGGGAGATCTCAAATTAGAGCATGGTGTAGATGTTCTCAGTAAAGCCTCGACTTATGGACATCAGTTAATTTTATGTATAGACTCGTCCTGTTCTGATAAGCAGTCCAGCCTGTAAGTTCTAAATTTTATCAATTGTTTTTAGAAAAGTGCTATTCTTTACCAATATCCATTGTAAATCCTAGTTGTTGTTTCTATGTGCAAACTCTGGAATCATGCATGCAGGAAGGCTCTTCATCTATCACTGGAGTCTAAGGACTGTGGTTTCTTTGAAGCCTATGGGTTTCTGTCAGGATTTGTGTATATGTGAGCCATAGTGGTGATGCAGGTATTTAAATTTCCTTTCAGTGCGGGTCACTCTATATTTGAAGTCTAACCTGAAATGTCTTCACTGGCCACAGCACCATGACACTTTCTGAGTAATGGAAATCAAATACCAGGAAAAAACAATGGTGGGCAATATTATTTCAGTGCCTTCTGACCATACCATAATGAGGTACATTTGTGTTCCAGCTAGCATTATGAAGAAGACACTGGAATGTGCATAGTGTCTAGGTGCCCTTTCCCTAGAAATAGAAAAACTAGGGAAAATAACTGAAGAAATGATTTCAGAAATGGAGTCTGGACCCATGTATAGGCAGAGAAGGAACATGTAATGAGGCTCACATTTCAGGGTTCAGGAAACAGTTTGTGATGCTCTGTAAGAGCAGCAAGAGGCATTCAGGTATAGAAGTAACATTCTAGATTCTCTGTTCCAGGATCAGTGCTAAGTTACCAGATAAAGTAGCTATATGTCTAAGTCAGCTTGGGTTGCCGTAACAAAATACTATATACTGGGTGGCTTAAAGAATAGTAATTTATTTTCTCATAGTTCTAGAGGCTAGAAGTCTCAGGCCAAGGTAACAAAATACTACAGACTGTGTGGCATAAACAACAGTAATTTATTTGCTCACAGTTCTAGAGGATAGAAGTCACAGGTTAAGGTCAGGGCCAGTTTTTGATGAAGGCTCTCTTCCTGACTTGTAGATGCCACTTTTTCACTGTGTCCTCAAAATGACAGAGTGACAGTGGGGGCAGAGGGGCCTGTGTCTCTTTGTCTTTTTTTTTTGAAACAGAGTTTCACTCTTGTTGTCCAGGCTGGAGTGCAGTGGCGCCATCTCGGCTCACTGCAACCTCCGCTTCCCATGTTCAATCGATTCTGTGCCTCAGCCTCCCAAGTAGCTGGGATTACAGGCGTGTGCCACCATGCTGGCTAATTTTTTTGTATTTTTAGTAGAGACGGGGTGTCACCATGTTGGCCAGGCTGGTCTTGAACTCCTGACCTCAAGTGATCCGCCCACCTCAGCCACCCAAAGTGCTGGGATTACAGATGTGACCCACCGCGCCCTACCGTCTCTTTGTCTTTTATAAGGAAGTCAGTTATATGTGATCAGGGCTCCACCCTCAGGACCTTATTTAACCGTAGTGACCTTAAAGGCCTTATTTCCAATAGAGTCCTATGGGGAGTCAGGGCTTCAACATAGAAATCTGGGGGGGAATGCAATTCAGTTCATAGCACTAGATATCACACAAGAACAAATCCCAAAGACAGAAGTAGAACTCATATCAGGAAACAGGGTGGGCATCATGTGTACAACAAGCAGGCTAAGAGTAGGCAAGGATGGCTTTGAGCTGTTTGTCAAAGGGTGTGCTATTTTCCTAGTTTTTTAAAATAGTATTTTCCCTAATAATTTATTTTGAAAAGTTTTAAACCAACCGTTGGAAAAAAAATAGTTCAAGGAATACCCGTATTCTCTTCACATGAATTCACCAATCATTAATGATTTTGGAGGCCCTGTTTGCTTTCTTTCTCTTTATTGAAAAAATATTTTCTTCTGGCGAGGCACAGTGGCTCATGCCTGTAAATCCCAGCACTTTGGGAGGCCAAGGCAGGCGGATCACCTGAGGTCAGGAGTTTGAGACCAGCTTGACCAACATGCAGAAACCTCGTCTCTACTAAAAATACGAAATTAGCCCGGTGTGGTGGTGCATGCCTGTAATCCCAGCTACTCGGGAGGTTGAGGCAGGAGAATCACTTGAACTCAGGAGGCAGAGGTTTCAGTGAGCCAAGATCTGCCATTGCACTCCAGCCTGGGCAACAAGAGCAAAACTCCATCTCACAAAAAAAAAAAAATATATATATGTATATATATATTTGTATATATAAATATATATAAATAATATATATAAAAATATATTATATATAAAAATATATTATATATAATTATATATTATATAATATATAATGATATATATTATATAATATATAATGATATATATTATATAATATATAATAATGATATGTATTATATATATTATAATGATCACATTTAAGACATTTAACAAAGATGTCATAGTTGTGTCGAATTTACAACCCATGCTCAAATTTCCATGACTGTTCCTACAGTGTATTTTATGGCTATATTTTTTCAGTATTCAATCAATGGTCGGGCATTACATTTAGTTTATATCTTTTCAATCTTCTTTAATTTGGAAGTTTCCCTTCTCTGTTGGTCTTTTATGGCATTGACCTTTTGAAGAATCTAGATCACTTCCTTTGAAAAATGCCTGATGATTTGGATTTGTCTGAATGCTTCTTCATGATGAGATTCAGGTTAGCATTTTTGGTGGGCGTAATATATAGGTGGGGCTGCATCCTAATCAGAGTGCCATGGACGAATCATGTAATGTCAGTGTGTCCCATTACCAATGAAGTTTAATCATTAGGTTAAGTTGGTGTCTTCCAGAGTTCTTCATTGCAAAGGCACCTTTCCCCTTACCTGTTGGGTGATATTTTGAGGTTATTTTAATACCCTGATTTTAAAAATTCACTCCCATTCACTTAATATGTTAGCATTGATTGATTATTCTTCTGAATCAATTATTACATTGGTGGTTGAAAGCTGGAGATTTTCTAACTCTATAATTATTTTACATTTACTAGCTCTCATTCTTCTGTAAAAAAGACCTTTTCTTTCCCCAACTTTGGTGTTTTAGTATCATTACAGACTCATAGATTCTTGATTTTAGTTCAATATGTTACAATCTATTACTATCATTATTCTTTTTAAAAATTGAAGTATACTTTGCATATAGTGCAGTGTCCAGATATTAGATATATGTCAGATGAGTTTGGACAAGCATACACATCCAGATAATTCACACCCTTATCAAGATATGGAATATTTCCAACACCCCAGAAAGTTTCCTCAAGTTCCTTTCTAGTTAAGCACTGCACTAATTCTAGGCAATCACTTTCCCTTATTAATTTTATGGCTCAGATTATTTCAAATTTGGCCAATACGAACCTTTTACTCTGACTTCTGGGCCTTTTTGTCATGCTTCCATCCATTTTTGAGCACTGCTTGCTTTCCTGAACACTCATCTTTTGACGTTACTTAGGTGTTTTTGCCATATTAGTGTTTATTTTAATGCAGCTAAATAATCATTTTTTTTTCATTGTAGCTGGATCTCCAATTATAGTTACAAAGCCTTTCCCCACAGGTAGTACCTGTATGGGTCCATCATTTACATTGAATTTCTTATGTATTTGTAGTTCATTCTACTGAATATGCAGAAAGAAGCCACATTTATCATTTTCTCAAAGGTATTTCGGTTGTCCTAATGCCATTTGTCAAAAATTCCAGCTTTTCCTCAGTGATTTGAGATGCCAGCTTTATTATACACTAAGCGTCCATGTGTACTGGGGCTGTTGTGCACTTTCTATTCCAGACCACTGGTTTTAATTTTACTTTGTCTTATGTCAGGATAATAACCTTTATTTCTGATTGTTTCCCTTTGCCTGATATAATTTGCCTATCCCTTTTTTAGCATTTTGAAACAATTCATTTTAGATGTCTTTTATATTCACCATGCCTTGGCTTTTACTCTTTGAGCCAACTTGGAAACCTTTTTCTTTTAATAGATAAGTATGTTTATGCTTATCATCATGACCATTTGCTCCTAACTTTTTCTTATTCTTTCTTGTATTTACTATCAGTTTTATATTGTTTACTGTGCTTCTTTCTCTCTATTATCTGTTCTTTGCTTATTTTTCTTTTGTGTATTCCTTTCTGAATTAAAAAAATTTGTATGATTGTGCTAGTACATTATACTTTTTAAAATAATTTCAACTTTTATTTTAGATTCAGAGGGTACAAGTGCAGGTTTGTTACATGGGCATATCGCGTGATGCTGAGGTTTGGGGTACAACTGATTCTGTCACCCAGGTAGTGAGCATAGTACCCAATAGTAAGTTTTTCAACCCTTTCTCCCTTCTCTCCCTCCTACCTCTAGTTGTCTCCAGTGCCTATTGTTGCCATCTTTATGTCCATGAGTAACCAGTGTTTAGCTCCCCACTGATAAGTGAGAACATGCAGTATTTGGTGTTTTGTTCCTGCGTTAATTTGCCTAGAATAAGGGACTCCAGCTACATCTGTGTTGCTGCAGAGGCCATGATTTCATTCTTTTTTATGGCTGTGCCTACTTGTTTTTGTTGACAAGTGATGGCTCTATAGTGAGGGAAGCAGGACACTTTGATGAAGTCACTTTAAAATTTCATTTTCATACAATCATTTTGACTGAGAAGAACTTCACAGAGCAGTTTTGATGAGGCTGTATCAGAATGATTCTGTACAAATATAAAAATTTCAACATTTTATTTTCAAAAGATATCCCTTTATTTTATCCTTATTCCATACCTTACAGGAAAATTTTCGCTTTCTCCTTTAAGAAATTATTTTATTCTTAAACTTTTAATGGCTGTGTTTTATTTATATTTTAAATCTTCGACATATTTTAAATTACATAAATAGTATATGCTTCTGAAGGCAAATTCAAAAAGTATAAAATGTATAAAGTTGTATATATATATAATATATATATATATATATACACATGATAAGGAAGTAAAAATTATCTGATCCTCTCTATTCCCACATCCTAGTGTTCACTACCATTAGTAGTTTACTGCAACCATCCCAAGAATAGTCTGGGATTATTAATTAAGCAAACTTTTAGTTAAGTTCTCAGAGGATAAGTGACTAGGTCTTAGTGAGATGTTCTAATGCACTTGTATAAAAACAATATTAGGTTGGAATTTTGGCTAGTGCACTAAGATAATATATGCTGGGCTCCAAAGTGAGATGAGAAAAATCTTGATGCAAAATTGTCAAAGGAGATGTCAAAAACCAATTTTTGTTATTTTTAAGCTCTTTAACTCACTCAAAAATATATAACATTTAGGAGAATTGAAGATTAAATGGAAGATTTTTGGGAGGGAAATATTTATATGCTGTAACCCTTCTAACACATGGTGGGCAGGGTGGTGAAATCTGTGCCTTTACACTCATTCAAGAGAAAGGGACCTTGAAAAGACCATTTGGAGTGTCAAGTACTCTCTGGGAATAGCAGACTGGGGTCTGACTCCCACCTGAGAAGTTTAGTGGGTGAGGAGTCAAGTTTGATAAAGTGGATGATATGGACTTCATAAACTGAGTGGTTTTTCTCAAGCTGAAATAAAAATAATACTTTCATAATGAATAATATCACATTCATTGTTTAGAAATTACATACAGAAAATTCACTTTGAAAAAGAATTTTTGATATGTGAGAATTCATACTCTTAGTTCTGTTTGAAAATTCCAGGGTAAGATGAAATAAAAATGTATACACATACAAGCACATACCTAAATAATTTTAAATATAATGCCATTTTGTATCATATAATTTTTCTTCTTCATGAAATTTGCAAACCCATTTTGGAGAAAAAAAAAGTCAAATTACATTACAGGTCACTGAATTTTACATTTAAAATTGCTGAATTTTACTGTATATAATTTATACGTTAATAAAGCTAATTAAAAATTGCATTATCTACCAAGCGGACCTAATAGACATCTACAGAACTCTCCACCCCAAATCAACAGAATATACAGTTTTTTCAGCACCACACCACACCTATTCCAAAATTGACCACACTGTTGGAAGTAAAGCACTCCTCAGCAAATGTAAAAGAACAGAAATTATAACAAACTGTCTCTCAGACCACAGTGCAATCAAACTAGAACTCGGGACTAAGAATCTCACTCAAAAACGCTCAACTACATGGAAACTGAGCAACCTGCTCCTGAATGACTCCTGGGTACATAACGAAATGAAGGCAGAAATAAAGACGTTCTTTGAAACCAACGAGAACAAAGACACAGCATACCAGAATCTCTGGGACACATTCAAAGCAGTGTGTAGAGGGAAATTTATGGCACTAAATGCCCACAAGAGAAAGCAGGAAAGATCCAAAATTGACACCCTAATGTCACAATTAAAAGAACTAGAAAAGCAAGAGCAAACATTCAAAAGCTAGCAGAAGGCAAGAAATAACTAAAATCAGAGCAAAACTGAAGGAAATAGAGAGACCCTTCAAAAAATCAATGAGTCTGGGAGCTGGTTTTTTGAAAAGATCAACAAAATTGATAGACCGCTAGCAAGACTAATAAAGAAGAAAAGAGAGAAGAATCAAATAGACGCAATAAAAAATGATAAAGGGGATATCACCACCGATCCCACAGAAATACAAACTACCATCAGAGAATACTACAAACACCTCTACGCAAATAAACTAGAAAATCTAGAAGAAATGGATAAATTCCTTGACACGTACACCCTCCCAAGACTAAACCAGGAAGAAGTTGAATCTCTGAATAGACCAATAACAGGCTCTGAAATTGTGGCAATAATCAATAGCTTACCAACCAAAAAAAGTCCAGGACCAGATGGATTCACAGCCGAATTCTACCAGAGGTACAAGTAGGAGCTGGTACCATTTCTTCTGAAACTATTCTAATCAATAGAAAAAGAGGGAATCCTCCCTAATTCATTTTATGAGGCCAGCATCATCCTGATACCAAAGCCGGGCAGAGACACAACCAAAAAAGAGAATTTTAGACCAATATCCTTGATGAACATTGATGCAAAAATCCTCAATAAAATACTGGCAAACCAAATCCAGCAGCACGTCAAAAAGCTTATCCACCATGATCAAGTGGGCTTCATCCCTGGGATGCAAGGCTGGTTCAACATATGCAAATCAATAAATGTAATCCAGCATATAAACAGAACCAAAGACAAAAACCACATCATTATCTCAATAGATGCAGAAAAGGCCTTTGACAAAATTCAACAACCCTTCATGCTAAAAACTCTCAGTAAATTAGGTATTGATGGGACGTATCTCAAAATAATAAGAGCTATCTATGACAAACCCACAGCCAATATCATACTGAATGGGCAAAAACTGGAAGCATTCCCTTTGAACACTGGCACAAGACAGGGATGCCCTCTCTCACCACTCCTGTTCAACATAGTGTTGGAAGTTCTGGCCAGGGCAATTAGGCAGGAGAAGGAAATAAAAGGTATTCAATTAGGAAAAGAGGAAGTCAAATTGTCCCTGTTTGCAGATGAGATGATTGTATATCTAGAAAACCCCATTGTCTCAGCCCAAAATCTCCTTAAGCTGATAAGCAACTTCAGCAAAGTCTCAGGATACAAAATCAATGTACAAAAGTCACAAGCATTCTTATACACCAATAACAGACTAACAGAGAGCCAAATCATGAGTGAACTCCCATTCAGAGTTGCTTCAAAGAGAATAAAATACCTAGGAATCCAACTTACAAGGGATGTGAAGGACCTCTTCAAGGAGAACTACAAACCACTGCTCAATGAAATAAAAGAGGATACAAACAAATGGAAGAACATTCCATGCTCATGGGTAGGAAGAATCAATATCGTGAAAATGGCCATACTGCCCAAGGTAATTTATAGATCCAATGCCATCCCCATCAAGCTACCAATGACTTTCTTCACAGAATTTGAAAAAAACTACTTTAGAGTTCATATGGAACCAAAAAAGAGCCCACATCACCAAGTCAATCCTAAGCAAAAAGAACAAAGCTGGAGGCATCACACTACCTGACTTCAAACTATATACAAAATACTACAAGGCTACAGTAACCAAAACAGCATGGTACTGGTACCAAAACAGAAATATAGATCAATGGAACAGAACAGAGCCCTCAGAAATAATGCCGCATATCTACAACCATCTGATCTTTGACAAACCTGACAAAAGCAATGGGGAGAGGATTCCCTATTTAATAAATGGTGCTGGGAAAACTGGCTAGCCATATGTAGAAAGCCGAAACTGGATCCCTTCCTTACACCTTACATAAAAATTAATTCAAGATGGATTAAAGACTTAAATGTTAGACCTAAAACCATAAAAACCCTAGAAGAAAACCTAGGCAACAACATTCAGGACATAGGCATGGGCAAGGACTTCATGTCTAAAACACCAAAAGCAATGGCAACAAAAGCCAAAATTGACAAATGGGATCTAATTAAACTCAAGGGCTTCTGCACAGCAAAAGAAACTACCATCAGAGTGAACAGGCAACCTACAAAATGGGAGAAAATTTTCACAACCTACTCATCTGACAAAGGGCTAATATCCAGAATCTACAATGAACTCAAACCAATTTACAAGAAAAAAACAAACAACCCCATCAAAAAGTGGGTGAAGGATATGAACAGACACTTCTCAAAAGAAGACATTTATGCAGCCAAAAAACACATGAAAAAATGCTCATCATCACTGGCCATCAGAGAAATGCAAATCAAAACCACAATGAGATACCATCTCACACCAGTTAGAATGGCGATCATTAAAAAGTCAGGAAACAACAGGTGCTGGAGAGGATGTGGAGAAATAGGAAGACTTTTACACTGTTGGTGGGACTGTAAACTAGTTCAACCATTGTGGAAGTCAGTGTGGCGATTCCTCAGGGATCTAGAACTAGAAATACCATTTGACCCAGCCATCCCATTACTGGGTATATACCCAAAGGATTATAAATCATGCTGCTATAAAGACACATGCACACGTATGTTTATTGCGGCACTATTCACAATAGCAAAGACTTGGAACCAACCCAAATGTCCAACAATGATAGACTGGATTAAGAAAATGTGGCACATATACACCATGGAATACTATGCAGCCATAAAAAATGATGAGTTTATGTCGTTTGTAGGGACATGGATGAAGCTGGAAACCATCATTCTCAGCAAAATATCACAAGGACAAAAAACCAAACACCGCATGTTCTCACTCATAGGTGGGAATTGAACAATGAGAACACATGGACACAGGAAGGGGAACATCACACTCTGGGGACTGTTGTGGGGTGGGGGGAAGGGGGAGGGATAGCATTAGGAGATATACCTAATGCTAAATGACAAGTTAATGGGTGCAGCACACCAACATGGCACATGTATACATATGTAACAAACCTGCACATTGTGCACATGTACCCTAAAACTTAAAGTATAATAATAATAATAATAAAAATTGCATTATATGGAAAAAATCTGTTAAAAGTTTTCAGAAAGAGTAGAATAATTCACTACCATGGTAAATGTGCATTCATGATATTAATATATTAAAACTTTGATAACTAGATTGCAAAATATAAAATATTCTCTTGCTTTGGGTCTATACCAATCATTTATGTTTGCTGTCTTTTATGTTTACTTTCCCACTTATTTGACATCAAGTCCTGGCCCATTATATTTAGAAACTAAGCTATCACTTTAAAAATATAGGCTCTGTGCTTGCCAGATGGCTTTGGAAGTTCTCACAGAAATGTTTTCATTGTCATAGTCCACTTCACAATCCCATCATGAATGAGATCATTAGGGAATGACATCATTTTCAATACCTCCTAGATTATAATATTTAAAAAAAACCCCTCACCTTCTATTTGTTTCTCTTAAATAATCATGTCCTAAATGAATTAGGACATGGTTTCTAAATCACACACACACAAACACACAAGATAACATGAAATCATGTGACTAGAGGAATTTCTCAGGACATAGATAGTTGTGGGTGGTCATAAAGTGCTAAAGGCTTTAAAAAAATACTCTGGGAATATACTATACCAGGCCAACTGGAAGAGTCCACCAAGAGATGGCAGAGCAGATGAATTCAGAAAGGAAGTAAAAAAGCACCTAGGAGCTTTTCTGCATTCTTTACTCCTTTGAGAGACTATATAGAAAGTCACTGCTGTCTTTAAAAAGAGGGATTATATAATGAGAGCTTCAAATTCCTATTTATTTATTTGGTCATATATACATGCATATAGTCAACAAATATTTATGATATATATTCAATATGTAATAGGATAAGCACTAGAGATAGAGTTGGGAAGAAGTTAGATATGGTCTTTGCTCTTATGGAGCTAAAATGCTAGTTGGCAAGACAATCGACCAGTAACCAATTACAGGGATAATTTTAAATTTTCAAATGTTGTCAGTGTTATAAAGAAGTTCATGTTTCTATGAAAGTCTCTATCAGAAGGTCATAAGGAGATCTAGAGGGCCATGAAATCGTCCTTGGGCTCAGCTTTAAAAGACAATGAAGAATTAACTACAGGAGCAAGTTTGGTATGTGGTGTGTGGAAGAGACTGTTCCAGAGAGAAGAACCTCATGTACCATGTCTTTGAGACAGAAAACTACACTACTGTGGTAGTAAGTTGATGGGACAGAACTCTGAAATTGGGGAGGAAAAAGCAGCTCTCTTTCACAAAAAAAATTCCCATCCACCAGAAAAATATTTTTGGATAAAAATATTTTCTCCTTTAAAATGAAATATCCCTTAAAAGGATCAAAGCAAGTCTTTTTTTTTTTTTTTTTTTTTTTTTTTTGAGATGGAGTCTTGCTCTGTCGCCCAGGCTGGAGTGCAGTGGTGCCATCTCGGCTCACTGCAAGCTCCGCCTCCCGGGTTCATGCCATTCTCATGCCTCAGCCTCCCGAGTAGCTGGGACTACAGGCGCCCGCCACCATGCCAGGCTAATTTTTTTTTTTTTTTTTTGGTATTTTTAGTAGAGACGGGGTTTCACTGTGTTAGCCAGGATGGTCTCGATCTCCTGACCTCGTGATCCACCCGCCTCGGCCTCCCAAAGTGCTGGGATTACAGGCATGAGCCACCGCGCCTGGCCTCAAGTCTGTCTCAGAGTGAATTGTTTTAGAAAGTAAACAACATCACCTTGTAACTTGGTTTTCAGGCAATGGTTTGGGAGAGAAAGGGGCTGCTGAGTGAGGGCCATGTGTAGAAATATGTGGCTTATCTACTCCAAACTTCAGATTGGCATTATAGTGAAGTCCATTTAAATATTCTATCCCAGTGCCCTGATAATGTTAGCTAATTCAACAAGGTGTAGTTACAGATGCCTGTTATATCCCAGCCACTGGCTGGCCTCGGAGGTCTTGGTGTGTCTTACTGCAGTGCCCGTATTGGTAATGACAGCAATAACCATAGAGACACAAATGAACAGGAATGACAGAGATTTGGCTTCTGAACTTCTTCCTGTTTCTTGCTGGGTGGCCCTAGTCTTCCAGGTGTGTGTCAGAGATTGTTGCAAATAAGGGTAATTATAGTCACAGCTGCTCTGAGCTGGTCTGATTAAGATAGAATAGGTTTTCTTATGCAGAGAAATAGCTTCTAAAATGATGCCAACTAATGATAGAAATTTAAGACAAGACCCAATGCCATTTTTGAAATTATAGTTTATTTTTGAAGGTGAATAAATCATTTGCTTTTCTGGGAAAGTGTTATGAGTGTACAGTCTTATTTTTACTATTTTTTATGGGGGATGTTTGCATCATAGAGCATTCGAAAACATTGTTAAACTGCACTTTTGGCAGGTGGTGTTACTGTTCGCAATTATACATGATGCCCTTTTCTTATATACAGTTTATCTCTCCCAGCTTATTGCCACAGCAGTTCCCTGCTTCCTGTTGTGGAAGGTGTATGTTTCCCCTCCTTTTTGAATTTAACCATGTAATTTCTCTGGCCATTGCAATGTGAACAGCTATAACTATGCTACCTGCAATAAGAGGCTTTAAATGAAATTCTAAGGGTTAGCTTAGCATCTTGGTTTTCTTCTCAGCTCCATAAATGGGTGTGCTCCACACTTCAGCTTACGTGAGTAAAAAAACCTATAGAGCTGAGTTAAGCAGAGCCCCCGTAGCTGCATACATCTAATAACTGCCTAGATGAAACACAAAACACAAACAAGAACAAAATGCCTGTTTTTGTAAGCCCTTGGGATTTCAAGATTGTTATGTAGAAGGCTGAACAGTATAGAATTTGATACTTAGAAGTGGAGTGTTATCATAATAAAAAACTTAAAATATATGGCATCGATTTTGGGGGCCAGAGACAGCTAGCAGTGAGAAAACTTATTAAAGGCTAGAAAATGGGTGACACATTTTATGCAGCAGCAAAATATTTTGGGCAACACATGTATCATGTACTGAAGGCTTCCAGTAAAGAGGATTTGAAATGTTACTAATGTGAATTAGTTGTTAGAAACTGCATTTGATAATACAAGAAAAAGAATGAGTACAAAAATAAGTGAGTTGTTTAACACAGGAGATGAAAAGAAGACTAAAGAGCTGAGAAACTCCAGGATTTGCAGGGCTGCAAAACCAAACTGTTTCTCATCTCTAACTGGTGAAATGATAAATATTTTGAGCTGCAAAGGCTAATTAAGACTCAGAATAAGACTCATTTTAGGGACAAAGACCAAGTTAATAGCCTGTGCACAAAACCTGATTGGATTAAGCCGTTTCTCAGTAAATCGTTCCAGTTGGACAAAATGGCTTGGGTGGGAAAAGAAAATCAAAGGAATAATCTCATGAAGTCTGATAAGCTCAAATACCTGTAATCAAGTTTAGAGAGAGAGAGAGACAGATTTGTAAAAGAATAGAGAGTGAGTCTATTAGTATATAGAGGAGAACAGATCAAATGGACATTAAAAAAGAGAAAAGTTAAAATTTTAAAAAGTTTTAATGCCAGGAGTATTGCCAAAAATAGAAGAGTGTGTGGCTTTTTATAGCTTAAAAAGTCTTGCCTACACTCAACTTTCTGAGGATAAGATAGTCAAAAAAGCTGCTCAGCCCAAGAAAGGAATATTTTATAACTTTTTTTAGATTTGGCAACGGAGGGCAAAGAACAAGGAAGAAAGAGGCTGGTGCCTGTAACCCTGGAGAATATTCTCTGGAAAGTTAATTCAAGTTGCAGACCCCTAATCAAAGACTCTTAATCAAAGTAGTTTCCTCTATCCCCAAGGCCAGCACGTTTGCCCAGTGGGATTTCAGAACTGCTACCTACTATGAGTTTTCTGTTTTCCTTTTTTTTTTTAATTTCACATTCAAATCGGAATGTTTATGTGTTTATTCTGCCTCTTCTCTACCATTTTATGTTGGGTGCTTATGAAGAAGATAATTTGTTTACTTAGTTCATGTGTCCAGATCAAGATTTGCTATTTGGATCTGATGGCAATAAGATCATGAACTTTCAAGGCTGATGTTTGGATTTGTTGAAACTTTTAGGATGTCTTCCATGTGGCTGTAAGTAAATTTTGTGTGTACAGTGAACAAAGTGAGTATCTGTGACCAACAAAGGCAACCGAGGTGGATTGTATTTACAATTAACTCACTTCCTCCTTCTAAGCAGGAGAATTACATTATCACTGCTGATTGCATAATTTGGCCTTGGCCACGTGGCTTACTTTGTCCAGTGAAATGTAATGTATGCCACATATAAACAAAAGCTTTAAATGCAATGTCTTGTTTAAACTAGGCCTCTTGCTTTTCTTCTTTTCAAGTATTTATGAGAATGTCTTAGAAAGGGCTGCTTCTTTAGCCTGGGAGCAGGAATGGGGAGACACATAGAGCAGAGACAACCAGAGCCAGGAAGCTAACTCTTAGCCAGTGATGTGTAAAATCAGAAAAAATTGAATGTTTATTTCTTAGGCCACTGAGATTTTGGATTAACTGTTATGCAGCAAAACTGACTGATACAGCACTTAAGAAATTAGGGATTTTTCAGGATTGATGTGTTTAGCCTCATGAATTCAATCTTGATTTATAAACCTAAAGCACTTTTAAGAGTACCGATATAGACATGCATTGCTTCTTTTTAGAAGCTTGCATATTCTCTTATCTTCATGTTTTTAAATATAAAATTTAATTTGTACCAAATCAATGGAAATTTAGATGCATTTTTGTTTCCTTAAAAGTCCTATAAATGTTGATAATTTTGACATCATGCTGTTTTGGGTTTCATAATTGTATGATAGAAAGTATTTGGGGAGGAAAAATAATTTATTTTCCCTGAGTGTTCTGTAGGTGGAAACAGACCATTTAGATAATATTAATATATAAGACTTATCAGGTGCTCATAATGTCAACTATTGTGCTGCATGCTGCACATTTATTATCTTATTTATTACTGAAAACTGCTCCATGACAAAAAAGTTCTGTTGTTATTTCCCTAATGAAACTCAGAGAAATTGGTAATTTTTTTCAAGATCACACAGCTATTAAGGTGGTAGAGCTAGGATCTGAATCTAGAACTCAGACCCTTAACCCATACTGCCTCATTATTTTGGTTGATATATGAATGCTTTTAGGTGCCAATTACTGTGTAAGTTGAATATTTCTGAGGCCGTAGCTGCTTTGGAAAGCACAATGTCTGTCTTCATTCATAATAAGAAGATTTAATAGTGTTATTCTAGTTTTTTGGGTTATGAAGAGAATATATATGAACAAAATATATCTCTAAATGCATATGGTCTGTGACAGAAGAATATATACATGTCTGTCAATAAAATAAAATATATATTTAGCAATTTCTAGGCCTGATCATAATTATTTGTGTAGTTTCTAGATTCAACGAAATGATATAATCAATGTAATGTAACCAGACTGACTCTCTCTGTTACATTTTCAGGAATTTTAGAACATAGCGAAATGATGATTAGTGATTCAATTTATTTTCTAGAAGAAATAGATATGCCTCCTCTGTGACAGAAATTATATATGATCTTCCACTCTTGTATCAAGCCCATGCCCTCAAAAGTGCTCCAAGCATTGTTACTTTCCTGGATATCATGTTATACTATGAAAGTGTTCAGTGGGAAGTTAAGGATTCCACATTTTTTAAAAAATTTCTTTTATTGGAGAGTCATCAGGGCCTTCCATATACAATGTACATTAGTTTTTCAAAAGGAGTATAGATATGTTTTATTTCTCAGATTTATTTGAAGTGGACTGAGTCATAGATCAAAATTGGAAAACATCGATTTAGAATGAGGAAGGATTAAATTTATCCAGAAAAAAGCAGGAATAAACACACCATATTAAAAGGTGGGTTTATAATTTATTACAGGTGGGCCTATCTACATGTGTGTATATAGAAAATTTTATGTTAATTTAAAGCAACACTTATAGATGAATTAACAATTAGCAAATAATAAAGCTAGTAATAGAGGAAATATATGAGAACATTTAAGTCATGTTGCAGGGAGATTTTAACAGTTAAAAGTATCTTCCTGTTTCATAGACACGCAGACTTATAAACCAGACATAAATATCTACTTAAGACAGTTCAGTCCTGTTTAGTATAAGTCATGATTATGTGATTTTAGGTCATACAAAGACTCAGAAAGAAAAATACCTTAATTGTACTAGCGAATAATAGTGACAGCCTATAATGATGAAACATTGTTTCTAAGGGTAAAAATACAATTTTATGGTTACAATGGCTGTCCTCAATACATTGGTTGACATTAAATGTCAGAGTATCTAAAACTGTTCATGTCTCCAGGAGCCAGTCCTTACTGAGTTATAGTGAGAGGTATAAGAATTCCATTTGACAGAATGTCACTGATGAAATCGATCTAGAATCTTTACAAACTGCTGCTATTTTTTCTTTGCTTCCTTCAAAATTTCTGGACTTTCTACTCAGTAGATACATCCGGAAAACGATGGGACGAAATTAATGTGGGATACAGTAATACAGTGGGTAGTCAATGAGAAATAAATAAAATATTTGGGGTCTGCAAAGAAAAGAAATGACAAAAAGAAAAATAAGACCTTGTTTTATTCAGGGATGTGACACTATCAGTGTAATAGGCAGACATTTTAAATACTATAAATGACCTAAAGTTGTTATATAATTATGGATAATTCATTAATTTGGAGGAACATATATCATGTTTTTCAGTGATTCATAGAAGAAAACATTTCCATGGTCACAAAAATCTATTTCTCAAAGAAAATATATACAGATTTCAATGGCTCAGTAAAAAGACATTCATATCCCAAGGCAGGATTTAGTGAAATTTTTACTGCTATGTGTTGAATGAAGATCTCTGTAATATTTGTCTGTGTTCAGGCTTATCAGAGGTTAAATGCTGAAGGTGCTAATGCCAAAAAAGTTATCACTTATCTGTTGTCATTTGAAGGGAAATACTTAGAGTTTCAAGTATTATTTTCTGGGAATTTCAGGATTTTCTTGGAAATCTGGCTTTTTAGAATTATAGATATGAAAAATTTGTGTGGTGGTAATTTGATCATGAGATCAACAGGAAATGACATAAAAACATTTCTAAAAGTCTTACATAACTTTGATTCATCTGGTATAAAGGTTAAATTATTTTTTGGATCTTAGAAAAAGAAAATAATTATGATTACCTTTGGCATTTATTTCAATCAACATAAAGCATTTACATTATATGACATGCTTAATTAAAAAAAACAAAAAAGTTTACATTATCCAGAAACTTTAATTTCTATTACAATTTATTTTTCGTGAAAACACTTTCTTGTTTCTTGTAGGAAAATATATTTTCTGGGATTGGAGTCACTATTTTGAGCCTTTCACAGATGTGGTTGTTTCCTACCACTAGTACACCTTCTTATAATAAACAGCCACAAAAGGCTAGATGCCACTGGCTGTATGGACCTGAATTTTGAGTAAGAACCCTTATAGATTTCTTGAAGCCTTTGCAGGGATCAAGAATATCTACAACCACCTAAAATATGCTAATACAGTTTGTCGCTTTGTGGCATGATATTGAATAGCTTAAGCTTTGGGTATTGATAGATAGGGTTTGGACTACTAGCTCTATCATTTACCACATTAGGTAATTTTCTTAACTTCTCTGAACCTCAATTTCTTCATCTGAAAAAGAATAATAAGAATAGCTAGGCTGGGCATGGTGGCTGACACCTGTAATCCCAGCACTTCGGGAGGCCGAGGTGGGCAGATCACCTGAGGTCAGGAGTTCGAGAACAACCTGGCCAACTTGGCAAAATCCTGTCTCTACTGAAAATACAGAAATTAGCCAGGTGTGGTGGTGGGTGGCTGTAGTCCCAACTACCTGGGAGACTAAGGCAGGAGAATCACTTGAACCCGGGAGGCAGAGGTTGCAGTTAGCCGAGATTGTGCCACTGCACTCCAGCCTGGGTGACAGAGCAAGACCCTTTCTCGAAAAAATAAAAATAAATAAAAAGAATAGCTAACTTACGACTTGCAAAGATGTTTAAATAAGATATTGTGTATAAAAGTACTTACTGTGCTTCACACATTGTTGGAACACAATAAATGGTAGGAAAAATGCGTTCTCTTAGTTATGCCCCTGTATTAGTCCATTTTCATGCTCTTGGTAAAGACATACCCAAGACTGGGCAATTTACAAAAGAAAGAGGTTTAATTGGACTTAACTGCACATGGCTGGGGAGGCCTCACAATCATGGTAGAAGGCAAGGAAGAACAAGTCCCATCTTACATGGATGGCAGCAGGCAAAGAGAGAATGAGGAAGACGCAAATGGTTTTAATGATAAAACCATTAGATCTCGTGAGACTTATTCACTACCATGAGAACAGTAGAGGGGAAACTGCACCCACAATTCAATTATCTTCCACTGGGTCCCTCCCACAACACGTGGGAGGTATGGGAGTACAATTCAAAATGAGATTTGGGTGGGGACACAGAGCCAAATCATATTATTTCACCCACGGCCCCTGCCAAATCTCATGTCCTCACATTTCAAAACCTATCTTGCCGTCCCAACATCCCCCAAAGTCTCAACTCATTTCGGTGTTAACTCAAAAGTGCACAGTCCAAAATCTCATCTGAGACAAGGCAAGTCTCTTCCTCCTAGAAGCCTGTAAAATCAAAAGCAAGCTAGTTATTTCCTAGATACAATGGAGGTACAGACACTAGGTAAATACAGCCAATCCAAATGGGAGACATTGACCAAAACAAAGGGGCTACAGGGCCCATACAAGTCCCAAATCCAGTGGGGCAATGAAATCTTAAAGCTCCAAAATGATCTCCTTTGACTCCATGTCTCATATCCAGGCCACACTGATGCAAGAGGTGGGTTCCCATGGTCTTGGACAGCTCTGCCCCTGTGGCTCTGCAGGGTACAGCCTCCCTTTTGGCTGCCATCATGGGCTGGCATTGAGTGTCTGCGGCTTTTCCAGGTGTATGGTGCAAGCTATCAGTTGTGGGTCTGGAGGACGGTGGCCCTCTTCTCACACCTCCACTAGGTGGTGCCCCAGGAGGGACTCTGTGTGGGGGCTCCAACCCCCATTTTCCTTCCACACTGCCCTAGCAGAGATTCTCCATGAGGACCCTGCCTCTGCAGCAAACTTCTGCCTGGGCATCCAGGCATTCCTATATATCTTCTGAAATCTAAGCAGAGGTTCCCAAATCCTAATTCTTGACTTCTGTGCACCCACAGACTCAGCATCATGTGGAAGCTGCCAAGGCTAGGGGATTGTACCCTCTGAAGCCACAGCCCAGAGGCTCTACACTGGCCCCTTTCAGCCATGGCTGGAGTGGCTGGGATGCAGGACACCAAGTCCCTAGGTTGCACACATCATGGGGACCCTGGGCCCAGCCCACAAAACCACTTTTTCTTCATAGGCCTCCAGGCCTGTGATGGGAGGGGCTGCTGTGAAGACCTCTGACATGCCCTGGGGACATTTTCCCCATTGTCTTGGGGATTAACATTCAGCTCCTTGTCACTTATGTAAATTTCTGCAGCAGGGTTGAATTTCTCCTCAGAAAATGGGATTTTCATTTCTCTGAGATTGTCAGGCTGCAAATTTTCCAAACTTTTATGCTCTCTTTCCCTTTTAAAACTGAATGCCTTTAGCAGCATCAAAGTCACGTCTTGAATGCTTTGCTGCTTAGAACTTTCTTCCATGAGATACCCTAAATCATCTATCTCAAGTTCAAAGTTCCAAAAATCTCTAGGGCAGGGGCAAAATGCTGCCAGTCTCTTTGCTAAAACATAAGTCACCTTTGCTCCAGTTCCCAACAAGTTCCCCATCTTCTGAGACCACCTCAGCCTGGACCTTATTGTCCATATTGCTGTCAGGCTTTTGGTCAAAGCCATTCAACAAGTTTCTAGGAAGTTCCAAACTTTCCCACATTTTTCTCTCTTCTTCTGAGCCCTCCAGACTCTTCCAACCTCTGCCTGTTACCCAGTTCCAAAGTTGCTTCCACATTTTTGGGTATCTTTTCAGCAATGCCCCACTCTATAGGTACCAATTTACTGGAATAATCCATTTTTATGCTGCTGATAAAGACATACCGGGGACCGGGCAATTTACATAAGAAAGAGGTTAACTTGAACTTGCCATTTGGCTGGAGAAGCCTCACAATCTTGGTGGAAGGCTAGGAGGAGCAAGTTCCATCTTACATGCATGGCAGCAGGCAAAGAGAGAATGAGGAAGATGCAAAAGCAGAAACTCCTGATAAAACTGTCAGATCTCGTCATCATACTACCACAAGAACAGTATGGGGGAAACCACACCCACGATTCAACTATCTGCCACCGGGTCCCTCCCATAACATGTGGGAATTATGGGAGTATAATTCAAAATGATATTTGGGTGGGGACACAGAGCCAAACCATATCAGCCTCCCAGGTCCCATTTACCAGTTCAATGCTTGTGATTAATTGTTCAAAATCATGGAAGAACAATATACAAATAGTTTACTTTTGATGACTAATTAGCATGCTGCCCATTAACACATGTTCTGTGGTATAAAATGTTACTCTGATATGTGTATATCTTATTTAGTTACTGAGCTGACTCACATGGCCACCAGAGCTTTTGCTGTTGTAATGTGACTGTGAACCTACTCACTACTTGAAACAATGGGAGAGGAGCTGGGCAGAAACAGGCACTGGAAACTTCAGTAAGTGCATGAAGTCAGCCTGGGAAGTCAGGGTTGATATGGAGCTTGCTGGTAACACCAGGTGGGAAGATCATGGCCCAGTCATCCAGGGGCAGGGGCACAAAGATTAGGGCTTATCTAGAGAAGAAAGGAGTTGGGGCCACCACAGTAATAAGTAGGGGAAGAAGAAGGGTTGGCTGTCCATGGAAGGTGGACAGCAAGACAAAAGATGTTCCTGTTGGAAAAAGAGAAAAGTCACCCTGCACCCTGGTTAAATATTTCTGGTTCTGAACCTAACCATATGTACTGGAGGGCAAGATAACCTCTCTATTACATTTTTATTTAAAATATTATGCACAGATCATGGAATCAGCATTTTATCCCCATTTTACAGATAGATAAATACACTGAGTCACAAAGAGTTAGTAGTTTATTATTTTAAAAATAATGTATTAAGATAGAATCCATCTCAGAATTAAATATCTTTTTATGATCATTCTTTATTTTTCTTACTATATATTTTTTTCTTAAAGCTGTTACCATTAACCTTGCTAGAACTACAGTGCATCTCTAAACATGTGCTTGCCTCCCAGCAGAAAGGCTGTAAAATGATTAACAACTATGTTCAAATATATAGACAGTTTTTAGAGAGAAAAATGACTTTTTTTCATTTGTTTCACCAAAAGCAACATGAAAGGAATATCAAGTTCAAGGAAATATTTAGGCTAGAAATCACACAAACACACACAGACACACACACTTAGCTACTAGCTAATATAATAAGTTTTGTAGGGGTAGTAAGAATTGTTTTCCTGGAATTTTTAGAGATTTCACAGATAATTATAGGAATAGTCATTACCTAAAATTAAATTAATAGTGCCACTTAAAAATATGATTTGGATACTTCAGGTAACTTTAGTTTGTGCTTCTACCCAGTCCACAAGAATATTTGAAGACTGTCTACCTGCCTAGCATTATTATACATTATACATTATTATACATTGATACATTTTGTCAGACAATATATTTATTGACTTACAAATGTAACTAAGCAGATACGATATAAAAGAATCCTTTACTTTTGGCTAATTAGAAAGTACATTTCTGGTGTTCCTACAGTACAGAAGCTACCTAGGGGTTGATACAGACAGGAGACAGGGAAATATTGGGTAGAAGAGGGTGATTCCCTGGCAAAGGTCCCACCCTCAAGCCTGGATACTCACGGCCTTAAATGGGAATGGGCATTTCTGTTTTAGCACCCAAAAGTTGCATTTTGGCCCACCATGCCCCCCTATCCTAGATCCATATAAACCCCAAACCCCCAGCCCCAGAGAGAGATGAAGAGACAAACAGAAGAGCAGAATGACAGCAGAGTGGTGTGGTAGAGAGAAGAGAAGGAGCAACTGAACGCCAAGAAGAATTCAGCTGGGGACAGTCGGTGAGGAGATTGACTGCTGGGTGGCCAAACCCTAGGGGAAGATTATTTTCCCACTCCATCCCTCTTCCAGCTCTCCATCCATCCCACTGAGAGCCACCTCCACCACTCAATAAAACCCCCACATTCACCATCCTTCAAGTCCATGTGTGACCCCATTCTTTCGGAATGCTGGACAAGAGCTCAGGATACAGAAAGCTGTCACACTGGCCCTCTGCCCTTGCAAAAAGGTCCATTGAGCTGGTTAACACTTGTATTAGTCTGTTCTCACACTGCTGATAAAGACATACCTGAGACTGGGCAATTTACAAAAGAAAGAGGTTTAATGGACTCATCGTTCCACATGGCTGGGAAGGCCTCACAATCATGGCAGAAGGTGAAAGGCATGTCTCACATGGCGGCAGACAAGAGAAGAGAGCTTGGGCAGGAAAACTACCCTTTATAAAACCATCATATCTTCTGAGACTTATTCACTATTATGAAAATAGCGTGGGAAAGACCTGCCCCCATGATTCAATTATCTCCCACTGGGTCCCTGCCACAACACGTGGGAATTATGGGAGCTACAATTCAAGATGAGATTTGGGTCTACAGGCTAAAAGAGTGCATTGTAACACACGCCCACTTGGGTTCCTGCATCTGTCCATCTGTGTGCTCCCCCTCCAGTAAGGGGTTTGAGCAGTGGCAGTGACCGAACAGATGAGCCACACCCGTCACATGTCCTGTGATGGGGGTCAGAGAACTCTCCCATTTCAGTGTGATTTCTGATGATCAAGAAATTTCTTTACAAAACAGAGGATGGAAAGGATGCGGCCAAGGACACAGGTTCCAAGTCAAACAGCCTTGGTTTACTACTAATTAAATATGACCTTGAGGAAGTCACTTAGTATTTCCTACCTTGGTTTTCCCATCTGTGCAGTGGGAATAATAATAATAGTCCTTCCTTCTAGGAACGGCATGAGTTATACATGAGAGAATATATGTAAAATTGGTAATTATCTGTATTATATACTTGGTATCATAACTAATTATAGATAGAATTACTTAAAATTACTTGGCATAAAGTACTCAGTATTTGGCTGTTTTCATGACCGCTGTTAACTGACTTGCTACCCTTGGGCAAGACACTTAATTTTTCTGAGTTGTCATTTGCCATGTGTAAAATGCTGACAAATCCCTACTTTGTAAGTTTGCTGGTTGGAGTCTACAAGCTTCTAGCTCATAGTTTATGATTAATATTACATTTTTCTTATTTATGCGCTTTTTGACCTTTATTGCCTTTTCTATTTCACATTATTACTATTATTTTAAAAAACTAAAGTCATTGTCTTTCAGCAGTAATGTTTCTAAATTTGAAGGGTTTGCCCAAAATGAGTGATATATTCATCAATCGTCCCGACTCAATTAGTGACTGAAATACTTCCTTCCGTACCAGCACTATCATTCTGAGGGATGTGGGGCTAACAAGAACCACCTCTTTTTGGGTGATTGGCAGGGAACCTGTAATCCAGGGGTCAATTCCCATGGGGCCTTGCACAATTGACACTACAGGCTGGCTCCTTTTGCTGAATAATCCACAGATGGGCTTCAGAGGCTGCTCCCTTCTGTAGATGAGGAGCTGTGCATGTCAACAGTAGCCTAGGGCTTTGTTCTACAGGGCCTTTGGCTAGCCATCTCAGGGGCTCTCCTGGCACATTACAAGAGATCTCTCCTCTCCTTGCAGATCTCATCCTGCCTTTCCTGGACCCCTGCCCTCCAAGGCCAGGCCTCACCTGTTCTGTCCACCTCACGAGATTCAAGTGTCAGGGTATCTGCCTTTATCTCCATTTTCTCACCTGCCTTTATTATGGCATACAACTCATGCTCTGTTCACCGCAGGGACTTTCCCTGTAAAAGCTTAGTTTGTAAAACTTCTTCTTTGACATCTTGAAAGACCCGAAGCTCCTGTAGGAAATGGAAATACCACTGCGTATTCAGCAAACAGCCATGAGGTGCAAGAAAGAAAGGAAAACCCAACACTGAAGGTGAATATTCCAGGGACTTCTCTCATCACTTGCATGGGGCCACAGTGTTGCTTTATTGTCCTCTAAATGTGTGGTGCCTGAGTCACCGCACCTACTTCACCATCATACCTGATCTTTAGGAATCTCATCAGTTCTGCATTTTAGAAAGCTCTGTAAGCATACTTGGGCCCAAGCTTTATCTGTGCTTCCAAGAACATAATAAAATTGCCTATAATATCTTGGTTCAAGAAATTGAGAAAGCTTCCAACCCCACTGGAAACAAGAAAAATATATTTTTTAAAAAGAAAGAAATTAAGAAAGCTGTTCACATCATTTGGCCCGTAACTCCTATTTCTAACTATATGTTGAATGTCTACTATGTGCTAGGCTCTGTAAAAATGATAGTTGATGTTAGTGGCTCCTGTGAGCTCTGAGTACATTGTCTTATTTAATCCCTGTAATAATCCCAGTGAGTGGGCATGATTACTACCACCATTCTACAGGTGAGGAAACTGGAACTTGCATGGGTTAAACAGAAGGAGGGGGCAGGATTTGGCCTGGAAGGCAGGCCTGCCTGTTAGAAGGCAAATATTCTGTGTTTGACCACTCTGCTCTACCATCTTATTTAACTAGAAGCTGCCTTCTTGGAAATTTTAACTATTTATTAGAAGCCTCTGATGAGAAAGAATGCAAGAAAGGCCCTGACAGCTGTATGCATTCACATAAAATGGTTCATGTTTTATATAAAAAGAACAGCCTCTTATCCCATCACTCCTATAGGCTTAATTTTCTGATTATCCAAACACAGGCAAGGTTACAAAATGTCAAGTTAGAGGATTGGGGACAAAGATGTTGCTAGAAGTAAGCACTCAAGGAGGGTGGCAACAGGAACAAGTGGTAGTGACAGTGAGGGTGAAAGACAGAGATTCCACCAACAAAACAAAGCACAACATCAGAGCACATCCACGACAGTGGGGACCTCATCCGACCTGTGCGCCACTGAACACCCAGCACTCAGGAGAACACGTCTTTGTTGACAAGATGAACAAATGAATGCGTGTTAGAAAACACTGCAGAATGCTGAGGCCTTCTGGCATGAAGAAAATCATTTCTCAAAGAATATTCCTTGCAACAGTAGGCCCCAATATGTTTTTAGGAAAAAAATGAAGAATTGTGTGGTCTAGTTAGTTATGTATACATTTCATGTTGTATTCCAATCTGTCATTTTTGCCATGCAACTAGCTCTGAAACTATCCCTCAATTGAGAAATCTGTTCAGTTTGTTTTTGTCCCATGTTGTCCTTTTGATCAGAAAATCTTTTTCATATAACACCTGAAAATGTGCTTGGAAGCTGTATTTTGAGAAAGACAAAAGCACACTTCTGAATGCTGGTGCAGGGCCAGCAGTTGTACATCTTTGATGTGCTTGAGGGTTCTACTATTTTAGAGCTAGTTCAGAAAAAATGAACGGACTGTGTAATTTATGTTAGAAGCCAAGAGTATGACAGAAATTTAAAAAAGATATCCAATAAGACAAAGAAAAAATTGTGTTTTGGTACTTAAAATGTTAACATTTTATAAATCTGGAAAAATGCCTCTGACAGCCTTCCCCTCTTGGTCCTGGCCCCAGCAGGCTGGCCTGTATGGATGACATTGGCCGGCTTCCTTGATTTCTAGCTGCTAGTAAGGGGCCTGGTAGGAGATCCCCAGGGGGGCAACTATGAAGTCAGGGTCTAAATGCCCTGCCTCCTTCCCTGCCCATTCGCTTTGGGTTGGTTGCCTCTCCCCACATGACTTGCTCTTTCTGGGTTCCAGTAACACCCACTCCCTTTGTCCTTTTTGATGGACACAGCCTCAATACTGGTAGCCTGAGAAATTGCGCTCTTCTCTATGGCCAGCTCATACTTTTAAAAATAGTTCTTTCAATTAAATCCTCTTTGAATTATCCTAATTGAGTGTACCAGTCATTTCCTATGTATTGTTTATCTTCTTTGTGAGTGAGCAGTTGGTTATTTGGAATATGTCTGTATAACACTAATGTGATTTGCAGTTACCCTGATAATTTATTTAACTGGATAAATACTATTTTGTTTTAAATTTCCTAAAGGAAAACTTTTTTTTTTTTTTTCTCTAGAGAGTTCAGGGTCAACTCTGACAGTAGAACATAATGGTTAGATTAGGTGCAGAGACTCTGGGATGAAAATGGTTGGGTTTTAATTTTAATTCTGTCTCCACTAATTGTGTGACCCCAGGCAAGTCATTTAACCTCTCAAGTACTCAGTTTATCAGTAAAGGACGGATAATAATAGTAGGTGACCTAAAGATTGTAATGAACATTTTAAAAGTCAATATTTAAAAAGCACTTAAAACAGTGCCGGGCACATATTAAATGGTAAGTATTTGCATAATAGACATGATTTTATTGAGTGCCTATTGTGTTCTGAGAAGTATGTTAAATACTTTTTAATGTTTTATTCCATTCACTTCTCAGAACAATCTTGTTAAGTAGGTATATTCATTTAATAGAATAAATTGAAAGTCAGAGTAATTAAATAATTTGCCCCAAACCACATGGTAACTAAACAGTAAGGTTGAGCTTTGAAGGCAGATTGGAATTATATCTTTATTAAATTAAATTACACACACAAAGACAGAATGTATACGTACGAATATATACCCAGACATATCTTTACATACTATATATGATACTTAATATATAATATTTAAATTTACAGAATTACTGTGCCTGGCATATCATAGACGCCCAGTAAATGTTGCTTCATCTCACTCCTAAATCCCACTTTAACACACTGATTCTGTCTTATATGTAAAGGAGTAAAATGAACTTTCTAGATGTTCTGTGAGTATAAACTGGAGAGAAAAAGGATGTAACTTACCTGTACCACCTAACCTGTCCCTTCTTCCCACTGCCCCAACATAATAAAAGCATTAAATTAACAACATATTTGAAGATATACAAAATTTGGATTGTTTGAAACATACTAAGGCATTAACTTAGAAAGCCATGGAGGGCTGTGATTGCTGCAGTGGATGAGTCCCAGATAACGAGATCAAAGGTGATCAGGGGTCTAGCCAGATGTCTCACTAAAGGGCTCTGCCTGTTTTCAAAGTAACTGATGGATGATGAGAGAGGTTCCATTGGAATGCTTTTGAATGCTGTACATGAATGTCATAAATGTTAGAAGTTTTGTCAATGAATCAAATGGCTTTTGGGCAACAACACTTTGTTAAAGCACTGTTCACTTAAAACATTATCTGATTTTATACAAACGTAACTAGGAATTCAATCAGAAGGGACCTTTTCTCGAAACCATCATAAAACTTATCCATACCACTATTATGCCAGTGTTCCATACGGAATTTGAAAATATCATTTGAGTTAAGAATTTTAAAAATTCCAAAGTATTATTACTTTGTTAATTGTAAATGTCATAGGCAGAAGTTAGATTTAAATAAAGGTCCTTCTAGCTTCAAAATTCATGTGTTTTCTTCTGTACATATATTGCCTCCAACTTCAGATATGCATATACATTTTATTTCTTTAATGCTATCAAAGTGACTAGCTCATTAATCTGTAAGTTTTGCGCTGGAACATCTAGGGTAGTATTTACTAGCCAAACGTTACCCATTCCAATATTTATTAGTTACTCTTATCCTTTCCCTTAGAAGTTATTTATTTATTTATCTAAAGATTTGCCTTCTTTAGTCTAGAGAATCTAACATGATCCCCAGCTTTTTTTTTTTTTAATTAGAAGGGCTTTTCTTCTTAATAAACAGGAAGAAAACAAGAAAAACAACTTTTGTTTTTCACCTTCTTCATTGTCTCACTGAAAAATGTCTTTGGAATCTACATTTTATTTTTCTTTTTGGTTTCTGGAGTAAATGTGTTCATTGTAATTTCAGGAGTGGTGATATTATTATAGCAGTTAAACTTTCTGATTCTGTGACTTCTGGCTTTGTTCTACTTGGTCTTATTCTTAAACAAAATTCAGCAAGTATAATTTTTTTTTGTTCCATACAGTTATTACTGTTTTAAAATCATTAGTGGAATCATTATGTTACATGGCTTTATATGGCTCTTACTACACTTTTTTTTTTTTTCTGGGACTAGGAGCTCATTCAACTACATCTTCCAAAGAGACCAATTATTGATTCAACTTTGGTACCCAAATGATATTGAAAAGCAGATGAGAAAACCTTCTTCTGTTTGCTTTCAAATTCTCCCTAGGAACAGAATCTCTGACCCACAGGCTGTGGTATTCCTGGTCACCTTGAAGTCTATCTTTAAGAACTGACAGAATTATATAATAGTTTCCAAAGCGATGTGGATTTACACACCAGCAAGTCATTTGCCTAAACTCAAGATAAGTGGGAACACCAGTATCAAAGGGGAAGGCAGGAGCCCTTGTCCTGTGAACCATGACCCAAATGCTAGTTAAGGATAACTTACACATTTGAATGTTGGGTGGTTTCTTTCTGTAGAGGGCCTGGGTCTTCGGCTCAGTTCCAAGTAGGCAGTTTTATCCCATTGACAGATAAAAGCATTTGGTAATTTATCAGTGGTAACCTTGGCATTTTATGGTATGGAAAGTGCCAAGTTTTCTTAGACTTATTATATGCTATTGTTGTTTTAGAATGTTATGTATTCTTTTTCTTTTAGATAATTTCTCTCCTTCTCAGAGACTCTGTCTTACCTTGAGATATTTAGTTGATTTTTGGAAAGTCAGAAAGTATCTCTGAGGAATGATTTTACTAGAAAGGTCAACCATTTGATCACACCTCTAAAGAGTGTGGCAGAAAAAGGATGTTTCTTCCAAGTAGAAGGACACTCCATAAATGAACCTATGCACATCAGAGGGAACATGTCATATCATTCCTTTTCAAATGATAAACAGAGAATTGTTAGAAAACTTACATGTCAAATGTGCAAACAATTGGGCAAAAACTAGAGTCTCAGAGAGTAAAAGAAATTACCTGGATCAAAAAAGAATTCAGACTGGGGCATGTAAGAATTTTAATGACAATGACACAATAATCATTGCTGACAGTAGCTTCAATCATTAGATGCTATTTTTCTTCATCCAAACAACATGGTATAGTGTTTAAGTGGGTAGACTTTAAACCCAGGTCATCTGGGCTTGAATCCTAGCTGAGCCGTCTTAGAGCCATGTGTCCTTGGGTCATTTACTTATTCTCCCTAGTACTCGGTTTTCCCATATTTAAATAAGGGGTAGTAATACAACTTACCTCACAAAAATGTTATGAAGTTAAATGAGTTATTTAACAGTACTTAGGACTAAGTTTTGCACAAAGTAAGTGCTTTTTAAATGCTTGTTAGGTTAATACCATAATATCAATGCATTTATAATGTTTGCTGGGCTACTGTGTTCCAAGATACTGTACTGCAGCATTGTCCCTGCCTACAAGGGATGTTTAGTCAGGAAAACTTGATGGCATTCCAATATGGGAAGATGGATCCTAAATATATGCTCTTGGAGACAGTGATTTGTAAAATTTTAAAGTTTAATTTTATTTTAACTAGAAAATTTGAAATGCTTACTTTTTATTGTTAATTCCCTAAGAGCATATACTTCCCTTTACATATATATATATGTGTGTGTGTGTGTGTGTGTGTGTATAAATACTTCACAGGACATAACAAAGAATTAGACGCAAAGGTAGGAGCCATCAGTACTTGTTTTTAAAAATGAATTAACATTTATTCAGGTAGATATCAAGTTACTTCATTTTATCTTGTAATTGGACTAAATGTAGCCCTTGGTTATATAGACATGGCCTTTGAGTTTCAAATATCATCATTTGTTGAACTGTTCATGTAAAATTGTCACTATAGTTTATTTTATAGGGATTTATTAAAAACTAAAATCAAAATGCTATATTTATACTAGCTATAAATATAATAAAATGTAAATGTATTAATGTCATATTTAAATAATCCATATTTATAAAATCATATTTTAAGAATTATAATTCTGTCGGGTGCAGTGGCTCACGCCTGTAATCCCAGCACTTTGGGAGGTCGAGGTAGGTGGATCACCTGAGGTCAGGAGTTCAAGACCAGCCTGGCCAACATGGTGAAACCCCATCTCTACTAAAAATACAAAAATTACCTGGGTGTGGCGGTATGTGCCTGTAATCCCAGCTACTCGGGGAGCTAAGTCACTTGAACTCAGGAGGTGGAGGTTGCAGTGAGCTGACATTTTGCCACTGCACTCCAGCCTGAGTGACAGACTGAGACTCTGTCTCAAAAAAAAAAAATTATAATTCTATCAGGCTTCAGCATAAGAAATTGAGTATTCACCTAACAGCAGTAAAATTAAAAGGGAAAATTTCCAAGATTATTTCAAAAGACAGACAAAATAAATTTAAAATGGAAGCAATTTACTCTTAAGGCTCACATTTAAATATCCTGCATTTGTAAAATATTTGAATTGGAATTCTATCAAGCTATATCTGAATAATGGTCTAATCACTTAATAGTAATGAAACTAAAAGAAAAACACAAAATTTCTTTAGAAAAGAAACAATAAAATGTTGCTGTGGTTCAGAATCTTCCAAAATAGGCTCATTGGAGGGCTGGATTCTTCTACAGAGTGGGGGGATGGGGGAATACCCAGTGCTTGGGTATAAAGACATTTCTCTTTGCTAAAGGAAAATATGTTAGGCCAGGAGTATCTCTCAATGATGAGTCTTCTTTGGGATGCCCGTATTATCTTGTGTAGAATGGAGAGGTAGAAAAGAAAGTTCTCTTCCTATGAACTGCCCCCTGGAGCTCTTCTTTCTCATGTGACTTCTGACCGGGGTAAGAGGCAGAGGAAGAAAGACTGGCCCTGAATTAGGTGTACATAAGTTGTTGAGATCATCCTTTGGGTCATTTCTACTGGATTCAATTTTTGAAGATGCCCAATCCTAAGGGTTAATAAAAGACAGTAAATTTTGGTTTCTGCTGGTCTAGGGAGAGTATGCCAAGCTAGACACAGTAGGATAAATTGCATAAGGCTTCTGTGGAGAAATTGTTGGAAAATATAGCAACTCGATGGAGGAACCATTTTCCTATGATTCTAGCTCCATTGAGGTAACGTTTTCAATATATTCAGACACTCAGTCCTTCAACTATCACAGCTTAATGCTACTGCTTTCTTGGTGGACTGATAATCCAGAATATAACTTGGTGGTCCTCTCCCACTTTTGACCTATGCCCTGTTTTAAGCAAGGAATTACATTTAAGCTCTACCCCATTGAATTTTTTTCTGTCATATGTATTTTCTTTTCTTATTTTATTGAGTTTTCTCTTGGCCAGTAGAGCTTTTGATCAATTACTGTGAGCACTTTTCCCCCATGGGAAACCATTTGCCTTTAATAAGAGTAACTTCTTTTTAATTTTTCTGTTAAAATGTTTGCTTGTTTTCTATAGGTGTGCATCATTTCACAATTATTGGCAATGGTTCAATGGTTTCATCTGCTTTGAACGGTTTCTTCTCTATCATTAAGAGGTAAATTCTCAATTTATTGAATATGGCCATATATGTTATTTACTTCATTTTTTCAGTGAAGGTCAATAATGTCTTTAAGTTTTTTGGTGAAGATTTCAGATATCACTTTCAAACTGTGCATTTTTTATTTTCAATGAAGTTTTTAAAATTTAAAAATTTTAAAATCTTAGTTTGGAGAATTTAAATTTGATCTGTAAATTTATTATATATAATAGAAACATGCTTGAGAAGGTGAATATTATAAAATAATAATTTTAATAATTGCTGATTTTTCAAAGAAAATCTCTGGAGTATATAGAGCTTTTCTAAACCAGTCTTATATTTTTCCCCTGAAGACCTGTTATGAATATGTAGCTGGAGACACTTTCCCAAATGTAAACAAGGTTTGAATACTTTTCCTAAAGTCTGCTGTTGTAAACATTGTCTATGTTTAATAACATTAAAATATTATGATATAAACATTGTACATGTTTAATAATATTAAAATATGATATAAACATTGTCTATGTCTAATAATATTAAAATGTTATTAACATCACCGTGAACATTCAATATGCAACTTTATCTTTCCATCTTTGGCACCTGAGGAAACAAGTAGGTTTCCTTTCTTGGTGTGTGTAATGTGACATATACCTGCCATTGGACTACTGTCACAAAGTTACCAA
Organism: Homo sapiens; assembly: GCF_000001405.40. Classification (NCBI taxonomy): domain Eukaryota; kingdom Metazoa; phylum Chordata; class Mammalia; order Primates; family Hominidae; genus Homo; species Homo sapiens. Next base: position 120,151,287 of record NC_000004.12, read on the forward strand.
CTTAAGCCAATAGTTTTCCCTTCCTCTTTTGCAAAGTAGTTGATTATTAGGGAATTGATCTCAAATGACTTAAGTTTAAAGCTTTGTGGAATAGCTCTGTGTGTATGTGTGTGGTTGTGTGTGGTGTGTATTTGGGGAAAAGCTTATTAATATCTGTTATTGATCTCACTGTCAATTGATGTGCTTACTCAACTGAATTGTGGCAATCTTATTATCTATTGCTACATGTGCTGTGAGAATGCAAAGAGTTGCTTATCAAAGCCTGGCTTGTCATAAGATTAACTTTTTGTTTCTATTCAAATATAAAGATGGCAACAATGAAACACTCTTGTAAAATTATCTTTTTTTCTACTGTATTTCATTATGGGGAAAGAAAAATTTTAAAGGCATTTTTCAAAAGACTATAATATATTTCACCTAAATAAATCCCTCTCTTTAAAAACATGTATATATAGCATATGTATTTGTGTATAAGCAGAGGTTTTGTTTATGTCTGTGTATACAATATACTTACCTCTTTTCATTACAGGATAGAATGCAAATCTAGGAAATCCTCTCACAGGGGATTATCTTTTAACATATTTGAGTCAATTTTAGGAAAGCAAACCACAAAACTTGATTAAATTACCAACTTTATTTGATTTTGTTTATTTTTAATGAATTCTTTTGTGATTTTTGTCTGGATAACATTCAGGATACATACTGTACCTTTTGGAACATAACCATCAACAAATTGCAAACTTCTGCAACTTCGACATTTCTGAATTATCCTTTTGCTGAACTTTTTACAAAATCACCAAAAAAATCAAGAAAATATCATTTAGCAGGACCTTGTATAACTTTTATACTTATATTTGTTATAAGATCTGGGAACATTGATTTCCAGTATAAACCCAAGTATTTTTATTAAAAACTTGTGTTTCTGTTGTTAGTTTGAGAGCATCAAATATCCTATCTGTTTACTCACTGCTATTTTCTCAGTCCCTGGAATAAAACATATGAGTAAAAGAAGAATGAATTCTAGATTTTCCTAAAGTCATAGTAATAGATAGGCTTTTTAGTTGTCACAGATCTCATCATCATAAGTTATCAATTGGTGAATAGTATTTTATATTCAACATGTACCTTCATGTACAAGATGGCCCTTATAAAGAACATATAAGATATGAAAAAAGATACCCAGAATATGTCTATGTTACTGATGAAAAAGTTAATGTATGTCATAATCAGACCAGAATTCAGATCTTCTCAGCTGTGTTTCACTGTACTTTTCATTGTACTGCCTCGATTAGAGATCTGCTGTAGCTTATAATCATATGGACTACTAATCTTTATAATATCTTCAGAGAGAGATGTTGTTGTCTGTTTATGATCTATTCCAATGTATAATCATCTTCATTGATCAACAATTTAACTTATAATTTAACCAAGTTACTTGACCAAAATTTAAGTTCATTTCTTCATAAAAGAACTCATGCATTACAACAGAAAGTAAGTTATGCTTTGCACAGAATACTCTTTATATACTTACAGCATTTAAAAATAATTTCTTTTCCTTTTTTCAAATGTCTTTAATTTTTAAAAAATAAAACATACATTCTTTCTTGTAGTAATTTTTATTACATTAGAACTTGTGTTTCTCCTTTCTCCTCTGCCCTCAATATTTGTATCTCCACTTGATTTTACACACTTCTTTCAAATTCTGTTTCCCACTATTTCATATTCAGAATCTTAATTGACTTTCTACAGCGTGGACAAATACATCCTTAGCCTGGCATCCAAAACCTTAAGTGATACAATCCAACCTACAATTGCAACCTTATTTTTTTCAACTCATTTGTGTGACTTATACATAATTGAGCTTCAGCCTGAACTAGAATGGACTTAGGAAGTTGTGATTTTTAACATTTGAGATGTTGATATTGAATAAGTATGCCCAAAGGTCCATGGAGTCCAGTTATTATTGAGGCACTCTTTGTATTGTAAGAATTGCAAGCTGATGTGAATGTGAAAACAGCACTCAAATTGTAGTGTACCCACTATACACAAGTCTTGTGTAAGGGGTTTCAAATATTTTGGTCTCAGGAATCCTTTACACTTTTAAAAATTATTGAGCCCTCCAAGGAGCTTTTAGTTAAGCAGGTTATATCTATAGATATTTACTCTATTAGGCTGGTGCAGTGGCTCATGCCTGTAATCTCAGCACTTTGGGAGGCTGAGACAGAAGGATTGCTTGAGTCCAGGAGTTCGAGACCAGCCTGGACAACATGGCGAAACCCCATCTCTACTAAATATACAAAAATTAGCTGGGCATGGTGGAGTGTGCCTGTAGTCCCAGCTACTTGGCCTGAGGCAGGAGAATCCCTGGAACCTGGGAGATGGAGGCTACGGTGAGCAGAGATAGCGCCACTGCACTCCAGCTTAAGTGACAGAGCAAGACCCTATCTCACAAAAAAAAAAAAGCTCTTAATAAGAGAAAGTCAATTTAAAAATAAATAATAAATAAATTTTGAGGCCTCCAAGAAGCTTTTGTTTAAGTAGGTTGTATCTATAGGTATTTACTCTTTTAGAAATTAAAACCAAGAACTATTAATTTATTTAGAGTATTTTATATATTTAAAATAATAATTAATTTAAATCAACAGTAATAAACTCATTATATGTTAACATGAGTGCATAATTTCATCAAAATTAAACATTTTCTTAGTCTGGGCACAATGGCTCACACCTGTAATCACAGCATTTTTGAGAGGCTGAGGCAGGGCAGATCACTTGAGGTCAGGAGTTAGAGACCAATCTGGCCAACATGGTGAAACCCGTCTCTACTAAAAATACAAAAATTTAGTCAGGTGTGGTGACGGGTGCCTGTAATCCCAGCTACTCAAGAGGCTGAGGCAGGAGAATCACTTGAACCTGGGAGGTGGAGGTTGCAGCGAGCCAAGATCATACCACTGCACTCCAGCCTGGGTGACAGATTGAGACCCTGTCTCAAAAAAATCATAAATAAATAAATACATTTTCTTAAAATACTTGTGAGGAAAGTGGCACTTTTTTTTTTCAACTCTCTTCAGTATTTTGCTTAACAGAATATAGCTGGATCCTCGTACCTATTTCTGTATCCAGTTCATCACATAGCCTTTGGAAAAACTCCACTATGTATTTGTGAAAGAAGGAAAATGTAAAAAGAAAATAACTTCTGAATATTATGATGAATATGGTTTTGAGTTTGCAGACCCCCTGAAAATATCTCAGGCACCCCCTGGAAAAAATGTAAATTAGATAAAATGTAAACGTGATAAGACATATTGGTGGTAGGTGTTTTAAGGCAGTTTAGTCTCTACTCTGACAGTATGTGCCCTCTTGGGCTTATCCATATAGGCAAATGCTTTATATTTTCCTTTGAAATCATCTGTTTTTTGGTTCATTGTTTCAGCTTTAGTTTGTTATGAAAATAGACACATGGTTGATAGGTTCCGTGCATTAGAGAATCAGGCCCTTGGAACACACCTTAAGAACAACTCACATAGAGGTTAAGAGCTTAGGCTTTGATGCCCACTGCCTGTTTGTGTAGATCAGCTTCTCCACGCCTAGTTCTGTAATATTGGGCAGGTTATTACACTTCTTATGCTACGGTGTTTCCTTCTCCAAAATGGAATTAACAATAATATATCTCGAGCTGTGTTTTGAGGGTTAAATAAATTAATACATGATTTGCAATTATAACAGTTCTTAGCACTAGCAATAGTCAATTTTATGGCAGGGTCAATACATTTTTTTCTATCTGGGGCTCCTCTCTCTATCCCTAGAATTCAGTGTCTTATCCAAATTAATATTTATTTGTCTTAAAGATAGAAAAGTAGGGAATATCTTTTATGTTGATCAAGTCAACATTTAGACAGTGTTAATCCTTTGATATTTAGTTATCAAATAATTCAGATATAGCTAAGTTATCCACAGGGATTTCAATATGTACCTGAAAGAAGTAAGAGCAAGCAGCTCTAAACATTTTTATTAACCTACAAAGTGTTATTCATTCCATTCATTTGCATCGATTTTCCTTTTTTTTCAGCAATCTGTCATGCTTAATTTAGTCCTTCCTTTCTCACTAGGTTAAGAAAATATAAATGAGTCTAGAATTCATTCATTCATTCATTCGTTCATTCATCATGTACCTGTTGTGAAATGCCAAGCCTTCTGCTAAGCTCTGTTGTGCAATCTTAAAATCTTGTGGCAAAAGACACATATTAAACCAATGAGCAACAAAACAAGCGTATAAATTAAAAATGTGAGAAGATTTTGAAATGGTCTTTCTTTTGCTTTTTTATGCTTTCAATATGATCTTTATGACATATCAAATGTTTAAGCTTTTATTAAAATTGAATATTTTACCTTCACTTTGTTATATGTTAAATAATTGATAAGAAATGATTGGGCAGAAAGGGAAACCATGAAAAGAGCATTAGTTGATCTAGCTTCTGGTTTCAACTTTGACACTAACTAACAATATGATTTGAATAAGACATGAACACTTTAGTCTCATTTTTCTCAATTGCAAAAGTAGGCAGTCGTCTGAAATCTCTCCCAGAGCTATTATATTTGTTATTTTAGGAATAAGTATATCTTTACAGCAATTTTCACATGTTGTTTGAATGAGGTAGATTGTAGCATTTTAATTTCACAATTGTAATTACTTTTTTCAACCTATCAACCTATGGGATTACAAGCATCTTGAAGTTGGCTTCTGAATCGTCTTCATTTTTGTGTACCCAGAATGCTCAGTGCAAATTTTGTTGAATGTTGAATGTAGTTTTAAACTGTATTTGTGATGGCAAATAGTCCTAAAAGACTTTTCATTAAGTTTCCTGGGATGACCAACGGAAACAAGTCTGAACCTATGTTTCTGAGTACATTGAAAAGAATAGCAAGTGTTTCATAAAGGTTAAGTTTTAAGGAACAAGGGCTATGCTTGGTTGGACTTTTCACATGTGAAACTGCGTTCACAAGTCTTTAATTTTATCTGTGTCCAGCAGATGGCACTAGTGCCTCAAATAAAACTCCAGTTTGAAGAAAATGTAAGGTAACGCATACCTTAAAACTAAGCAGATGTCATGAAAATCCAAGAGAATATCACACAAATATTCAGATCTGTATAGTTAAATGAAACATGAAATTGTTGAATAAGTATTTATCTTTTAAAAAATTCTCTGAATTTTATGTTTGTAATTCATCGCAATTATTCTAGAAAAGTAAAAGACTACATAGGGGGAGAAAACAAACACAAACGGGAAATATTCCAGAAGAAAAAGTTCCTCCAAGGTCAGGACATGCTCCAAGATGCTTTTTGGCTATATCTTCTCTGCAAAATTTATGAAAAATAATCACAAAAAGCAATAAAAAGTATTCAATTTCTCCTTTTTCTAAGCTGTCTCTTGTCTTTGTTATATTTTAGTACCCTACCAATTGTATACAATTATGAAAGAGACATGCGTGAGATACTGTTGAAAATTATAGAAGAAAAGCAAGAATAAAGCAATACTTCTAAAACTTAACTTGAGAAAATTATTGTTGTTCAGAAAGACTTTTTGGCATTGAAAGCCTTGATTCATAATAACATCCTCCTTCTTGAATATTGTTATTTTCCTTTTCCCAATCAAGTAATCAACAGTTTTCCTTTTCTTTTAAAATATGAAATGAACAAATGTTTACTCATAATATCTTAAAATGTCATTTTTTTATTAGTAAAAATCTTTACTTCATTTCTTATTATATGCAATTAGGCTATATTAGTTTTTAACTATTTGTAACTTTTAAATTTGATATGTTCACCCTTTCTTTTAATCTATTTTTTCAAACCTAATAAATATTATTAGCTGATTGAAATTAACAACTCATTTAAAAGAAACAGAATTTTATAATATCCTGTTTCTTCCTCAGAGTAGTTTGATAGTATTAACGTAATAACTATTCTCACTTTATTCAATAAGATCAAAGTAAAGATTTGGGGGAAGCATAGAAACAACATTTATTTGCCTTAACTGGATCTTTAATACAGCACCTCTACTTAAGAAATTTAAGAAATACTCTGAGAAGCTATTTATATAGAGAGATTTTATCATTCAATCATGCTTTTGGTGAAATAATTATTAAAGATTATTAAGGATTAATAAGGATTAATATGTAAAAACATAAGGCTTTAATTTGTTGATTTTTTAATTCTGTAATTTAATTATGATGTTCAAAGAAAGGAATAGAACCATCTAGTCTCAAAAGTGGGAGGAGCCTATCATGACTTCCCTATCTCCTTTTCTTCTCACCCTCTCTAACTCAGTGACTTATCCAGTTTTACTTCATGTCTGTTGTCAGTATCTTGAGCAAATAAAAAATAGAGGGAATAAAAATCAAGAATGTGTGCCTTAGGAGAGGACAAGGTACCATACAATCTCATATTGAAAATTAAATAAAAATATATCAAGTTATAAAATCAAAAAAAAGAGAAAAAAAACAAAACAAAACAACAACAAAAAGTATGCTGTGAGTTTATGTGGTCACCAATGTAGAACATGCAGTTACAGACTCTAGATTTCTTTAATTATTTCATAGTCATCTGAAGAATAATTGGTTTGTTGGACTTTCACATACGAAAGACATGTGGTAAGACATTGGCAATAGGTGTTTTAAGGCAGTTTAGTCTCTATTCTGATAGTATATGCTCTCATTGGCTTATCCATATAGGCAAATGCTTTATATTTTCCTCTGAAATCATCTGCTTTTTGGCTAATTGTTTCAGCTTTAGTTTGTTATGAAAATAGACACATGGTTGGTAGGTCCAGTGCATTAGAGAATCAGGATGAAATAATAGAAAAATAGAACTTTCCCACCCTCTGCCTTACACTCTTCTATGCATGTTCAGGGGGAAAGTGTGGTGAGAATTCAGTGTGTCTGCTCCACGCTAGCAGTTACCTAGAGGTGGAGCAGTTATGAAAGAAGTGGAGATGGCCAGGAGGAGCTGGAAATAGCATCGGGAAATGTGGGTAGAGGCTATACAAATTTTGTGGGCTAAATAGAATTCTGGTGGTTGGAATGCTTATCCAAACTATTTTGAAAGTTAATTTACATTTTTTTCCAGGGATAAGTTTTTATTATTTTTTAAAATGAGAGAGGGATGGGAGATAGAGAGAGAGAGAGAAAGAGAGAGAGAGAGAGAGAACTAGCAAACATCTACCCCTCATTCCATCTGCTCCTTAGATATCTCAAAACTTATTTTTCTTCTTTCCACTATCACAGATCTATTCAGAATTAATAGTATGACTTTTATGATTTTACCAACAATGTAAACTAAAGTTGTCTTTACATTTCTATTTTTAAAAAGCAAGTAAATTATTTCAATACAGAGAATCTAAAATAAATAAAAACAACAACAAAACAAGAAAACCCTTACCATCTGGGTTCTACTACATTTGCACTGAAATCTTGGGTAGTAAATATATATCTGGACCATTTAAAAGTAACTTTACTTTGAGGCGCATCACGTCAAATAGAGGCTGTTTTGTAGTCTACCTTGTATTTTACTGCTGTGAACTCTGTGAGCAAACAGAATTTGTTCACAGGGTGAAACACATATTTATGGTCCTGAATAAACTGCACAGATTCAAAAACTATTTGTGTGACAGTGCTAGACACAGGAATTCTGAGGCCAAATGGGATGTTTGTAGTCCACATTTGCATATCAATACCCAGACTCCCCTTTAGGAATACTGCTGCTTCATGACAATGCTGTTGTCTGAGGTCTGGGGGAAAGAAAACCCATAAAAGTTTGGACTCACTTTTCAATGCCCTCGATTCAATTCTTTTTTTGTGCTTTGGAAAACTGTGAAACAGGGTCACCAAGTTCAATTCTCCATAGTTTTATTATGTTTTAAATGAAGCGATTGAACCTGCACAGAACCCAGACGGACAGACACCACATGGCCACTTTGTGGCAAGGCAGCTTCTTAGGAATGGTGAAGCTTGTCTTAGTATGTTTCATGGGGTTGGGATCTGCACTATGGTTCCTTAGTTTAAAGAACCAAAGTAAACAAAACTCTTAAGCAAAATACTTAGAACCCTTTTTCCTGGAGAAAAAGTATACAATAAATGATTCTTTTAGCTATTGAGAAGCTAACCTAAGCATGTAATCATTATTTGAAAACCAGCCTGTGGATATCAAAGGGATTTTATAAGGTGATGTCATTTTCTACCTGGCCAAGCTGCCTTGATGGCTTTCAGTTCTTGTCCTTGAAATAGAGTTCTTGTCACACAGAGCCTTTCATAATTTTGCTGAAGAGTTATTTGGAAAAAATGATTTCATTCTTATTTTTTGTCTAGCAATGCTTTGGTCTTCCTGAGGAGAATTTTAAAAGTTAACGTTTTCCTTTATTTTTTAGAATGTAGTTGATTTTGTTAATTGCAACCCTCTGAAGACACAAGATAAAAAGAAGGCCATGTTTTGATATTACTGCCCTTTTCTACTACTGCACATTTGCAAACATCTTTGTGAGAGTGCTGTAACTGCAAATGTCAGCATTAGCAGTATTTCTTCTTCACAGTTTTACTTGTGATATAGTGACATATTTTTCCATGCAACTACAAGGTATTGTGTTCTTAAATGCCCATTTTAACCCTGCTTTGTTTTAACTCACATACTGATTTGCTTTTAGATTTTGTCATTAATTTTCTTTTTCTATGCAATACAGACATATGTCTGCTTGAATATCTTTTTATGGCTACCTCAAGAATGACTTACAGGGTATAAAATTGTCTTTAATATAGGTGACGCTGGGTTAGTCATATTTTAATTGTTTTGATCAGAGCTCTGAATAGTTTCCTGATTCTCCTCCAATTACCTGTCTTCCTAATTCTCAGCTTCTAAGGAAGAAGACAAGTAAGAGTCCATCTGACAAAAGAAGCTATTCTGATCTCTAGATCCCATCTTTATTTGGTACTATTGACAAAGAACTGTTATTGCCCCTGCAGAGAACATTGGTGGCTTCACTGTCCTTGATTTTTTACATAAAATTTGCTATTACTGTCCCTTCTCTGTTTTCTTATTTTCTTTTCTGGTATCTCTCTTCTCTTCTAACCACTCTCAAATAGTACATACAATTGTGTTCTTCTCTTTCTAAATTCCCCGTTTTCATGTTTTTCAGTGCCTTTAGGTCTTCATCCAATACCTCGATGTAGGTAATTCCAAAAATGATAATTTTACCTCAATTCTACTCCAAGAGTTAAGTTGTTCATTTGGTGTTTCTATTGGTTATTATACTTATTACAAATCTTGGTAAGTCTGAAACTAGGTACTATAAAAGATTTTCATGTGGTAGTTTTTAAATGTGTTCAAAAATTATTTGACACAATCCTCTTGAAAAAGTAGAGCTGGGCCGGGTGCGGTGGTTCACGCCTGTAATCCCAACACTTTGGGAAGCCAAGGCGAATGGATCACCTGAGGTCAGGAGTTCAAGACAAGTTTGGCCAACATGACGAAACCCCGTCTCTACTAAAAATACAAAAATTAGCTGGGCGTGGTGGCACGGGCCTGTAATCCAAGCTACTCGGGAGGCTGAGGCAGGAGAATTGCTTGAACCTGGGAGGCAGAGGTTGCAGTAAGCTGAGATCGTACCACTGCACTCCAGCCTGGGAGACAGAGAAAGACTCTGTCTCCAAAAAAAAAAAAAAAAAGAAAAAAAGAAAAGAAAAAATAGAGCCTAACATTCCTCTTCTTGAAGGTGTACCAACTTTAATAATCCTTTCTTGTGAATAGAATGTGACAGAACTGGCCATGTGTGACTTCTGAGGCTACATGGTAAAAAAAAAAAAAAAAAAAAAAAACTTTGCCTCTTCTGCCTTGCTTCCTCTTAGGTCACTCACTCTGGTAGAAACGAGCCACCATATCATGAGAATAGTCAAGCAGCCCTACAGAGATGTCCATGTGGACAGCAACTAAGGCCTTTCCATCATGGCTCCACCAACTTGCAGGCCAGCTGTGTGAGCAAGCTTGCAAGTGATCTTGTAGTTTTAGTCATTCCTTTAGATGACAATCCTGGTTGACATCTGACAGTAACCACATGAGAGATTCTAAGCCAGAGCCACCAAGATAAATTGTTCTTGAATTCCAAGTTTACAGAAAGTCTATGAGATAATATTGTTACTTTATGCCACAAAGTTTTGGGGTAGTAGCTTACGCAGCAATAGATAGCTATTCTAGCACTCCTCCAACAGCCACTTCATTTCTTATACAGTCATACATTGCTTAACAACAGTGATATATTCTGAGAAATGTATTGTGCAATTTTGTTGTGCGAACATTGTAGAGTGTCCTTGCACAAACCTAGATGCTATAGCCTACTACACACCTAGGCTATATGGTATAGACTATTGCTTCTGGGCTACAAACCTATATGACATGTTACTGTACTAAATACTGTGGACAGTTGTAACACAATGGTTAAGTATCTGTGTATCTAAATATATCCAGATATAGAAAAGGTAGAGTATAATATGGTATAAAAGATTAAAAATGGTATACCTGTATAGGACACTTACCACAGATGAGTTTGCAGGACTGGAAGTTGCTGTGGGTGAGTCAGGGAATGGTGAGTGAATGAGAAGGCCTAGGAGGTTCCTGTACACTACTGTAGACTTTATAAACACTGTACACAGGCTTCACTAAATTTATACAATTTTTTTCTTCAATAATAAATAAACTGCTTACTATAAGTTTTCTACTTTATAAACTTTAAAAAAACTTTTAGACTCCTGTAATAACACTTAGATAAAAACACAAACAGATTGTACAGCTGTACAATAGTATTTACTTTCTTTATATCCTTATTGTATAAGCTCTTTTCTGTATTTAAAATTTTTTTTTTACTTCTTAAACTTTTTGTTAAAAATGAAGACATCTACACACACATTAGCCTAGGCATTCCCAGGGTCAGGATCATCAAGACATCACAGGCAATTGGAATTTTTCAACTCATCATAAACTTATGGGTCCTCCATCATATAGGTGGTCTATCATTGACCAAAACATCTTTCTGCATCACATGACCGTATATGAAGAATTTTTAAGTTTCATGCCTTCTTACTTTGAAGTGATTTTGGTATCTGCTTCTTTGAAATGTAATTGCCATGTTACCCCAAATTTAACAGAAAGTATTGCCTCCCACATAGCTGTATTGCTTAGCCTTTTGACCAGTCTCCCTGATTCTTTTCTTTTAGTCTCCATAGTACACCTGTAGAAGCTTATTTTTCTCTGAAATACGTGGGCGCCATATAGTTCTAGTGCTCCAAAAACTTTAGAGTTGTTTTCATTTACCTTCAAGATAAAACCTTGTGTTTCTTAGCGTGGTATATTGGATTCCCATTCAAAAATATTACTCCCTCTCCTCCTCCTCCATGGGAGGACACTTCCTGTCCATCTGATACTGGGCTTGGTCCTGAGACTTGCTTTGACCTCATGATAAACAGGGTATAATTCTACACCCCTTGATTTGGACTCATCTATGTAACTTATTTTGGCAGTAGAATTTTTAGCAGACTTGACATAAACAGGGCCATGAAATGCATATAGTTTGTTGGGCTTGCTTGACTGTACTCTGCCATTCCTGTGAGAAGCACATCACTTAGCTAGACTGCTGGTTTGAGAAGGATGAGAGAAATATGGAATATACATAAGCCCAACACTGTGTGAGGAGTCAAGCCCAGGTGGACCTACAATTTGAAGCAGAGCTACTGATCTGCGCTCAGCATACATCAGCCAAAGCCTAGCAAACCCAGTACGAATAAATAATTGTTGTGTTAGGCCATCAATGTTTTGGAGTGATTTGTTATACAGCAACAGCTGACTGATAGTTAACCTCTGTTACCTTAGGTCCGTCTTATGTTTACAAATATATCATTTTTTTTTCTGCCTAACGTAGCCCATTATTTCCTGTCTCTTTTCTGTTTTCTAAATGTGCTTTTCCATTCCTATTGACACAACTTTTCCATTTTTCCATAAATCCTGTTAAGATCCTATTGATGACAACTAATATTTATTTGTTAGTAATCTTTTCAGTTGTAATACTGTCTCTCTTATGGCAGCAATGTTATTTTCATTTTGAGAGAAAGTTAAATCTTAAAAGTTTTTAAAACTTGCCCAAATTCACAGAAGAAGTAAATCAGGAACAGATTTTGGACTCTGGGCTTTGTGATTTAAAAATCAATACTTGTAACTAAGATTCTATATTTGTTTCGGTCCCAATACCTTCCCTTTTGACAATTCCAATCCACACATTTTGCTAATTTTTCAACTCCAAATGCACTTAATATTTTCAGCACTAATAGTTTTTATAATCATATTGAATGTGTTTTTTTAGCATTTTATAACTAATATAGCACATTACAATCTTTTATTCTAGCCAGTCCTTATAACCTCTTTCTGAAGAATGTATGATTATTCTTTTCTCCAGGAAGAAAATAAGATCTCTGGTTAAATAATTTGGTCTGAGCCCTTCAGCTGTATGTGATGGTGCTGAAAAAGAGCTGTTATAAACTGAATTGTGTCCTCCCCACCCCAAATTTATATGTTGAAGCCCTAACCCCCAATATGACTGTATTGAGTTAGAGATAGGGTCTTCAGGAGGGTAATTATGTCAAATGAGGTCATAAGTGTGGGACCCTAATCTGATAACACTTGTGTTCTTATAAGAAGAAGAGACACCAGAGTGTGCATGCTCCCTCTTTTTCTCTCTCCCACTCTCTCTCTGCACATGACCAGAGGAAAGGTCTTCTGGGGACACAGTGAGAAGGCAGCCAACTACGAACCAGGGAAAGAGGCTTTACCTGAAATCAACCCTGATGTCATTTCCATCTTGGACTTCTATCTTGGAATTCCTCCATTCTCCAAAACATTGAGAAAATGAATTTCTATTGTTTAAGCCACCCAGTCTGTGGTATTTTGTTATGACGGCCTCAGATAACTAATAGAAAAACTAAGCTTTTTCACTCCCAATATCTGCATCCTCAGTTTCTTACATCTTTTCTACATTTACCACTAACTCTCTGAGGACAATGATGACATCTTTGTGTTCCCCACCATATGTTATGTGTATAGTAGATTTTTCAATATTTCATAGGCTCCCAGAAGATTTAAAAGTGGAGGAGGTCTAAGATGTTAACTTATCCTCCCATTTTAAAGCTAAACAATTCAGATCCAGAGATGTTCAAAGACTTGGCCAAAATGGCTCTACAGTTAGGAAAGAGCAGAGTATGAAAATCCAGAGGCCACTTGCAGCCTCTGGGAAACGGCACTTCCATTATTTCCCTGGGGGAGATGGAAATGGGATGCATCACCCTACTGCTAATACCGTCTCTTGTTTTTAATAATATTGTATGATGGAGCCCAAACTCCACAGGAACTGAACAGTTGAAACTAGATCCTAATTAGAATAAGGAAAAATCGATACCACTTGATGTACCAAAAAGGAAGTATAATCCAGGCTTTTCAAGGAAGGTGACAAAGCAAACATACTTAGCAGACATATTATTTTATTCTTATTGGCTTACTCGGTGAAAAATTTAAATATGTTCTATTTTTGTGTGTGAGAGTGAAAAATGTAAACATATTTGTGTGGTTAATCTAATTGCGCATAATGTGTTGGTCTTTATTTACCAGAAGGGGAACCTGACTCAGGTGGCCCCAGGACATGTCAGAAGCACTTATATATTTTTCTCCATCTATCAAATCAGTCTGTGCAGTGGGTTCAACTGCTTTATTGTAGGGGCACAATGTGTAAAAGACTGGAGTTAGAACAAAAGCCACCAATAAAACTATCCTTGTAAAAATGATGACAGGATCTTTCTGCTATTATCATGAACTATTTTAAATGCTAAATCAAAAGGATGCCAACTGGTGGCCTTGTTGCCTCTCTCAAGAGAGAAGAAAATGATTAAATTAACACAAAGCTTTAAATCCATTCCCACTTGGCAGAGAGGTCTGAAACTGATCATCATGGTAGCATGTGAAAACTTGCAAAGTGGTGGTTAGCGGTACTTTTGTGTAATGGAAAAATAACACTCACAAGTTGATAATGCAGGCTGTCATTTTTATTCAGTTATTCATCCAACATTGAGATCCCTAAGTTAGATCCCAAAGTTTCAGTCTCTTTTTCTCTTGATTTTGAAGGTGAAGGTTGATCATGGTGATGTGAAACTCTACCAAAATCTCCATCTGCAGAGCGGAGGCATGTTGCTGTAGAAGCGCACTGGAAGGAAACTCAGATCACTGAGGTCCAGCCTCACTGCAGCCTTTGGTTCTTTCCTTGGCCCATGAAGAGTCTCTTAGCCTCACTGAACCTATTTTCCTCCTCTGTACAATGTTCACAATTAAGTCCTTGCTTAATGCACAGTAGTGTGGGGAAAATATTAGAATACCATTTACATTTGTATGATCTTTGATAACTAATGAAACCCTTCTCCTCTGGTTTTTCTTTTTTTCTCATACAAATGCAATGAAGTAGTTGGCCTAGGCAAAGAATTTATGACTGATCTCAAAAGCAAATGCAACAAAACAAAAATAGACAAATGAGACTCAAACTGAAAAGCTTTTCCACAGCAAAAGAAATAGTCAGCAGAGTATACATATGTAACTAACCTGCACAATGTGCACATGTACCCTAAAACTTAGAGTATAATAAAAAAAAAAAAAAAATCTGTAGGATAATATCATCAGTGAATTTACATTTAAAAATGCTAAATAAATATGTATGTATTTCAGATTTCAGAAATATATTAAAAATCATGGAGTATGATTAAAAAAAAAAAAAAAAGAAATAGCAGAATAAACAGACAACCTATCAAAAGGAAGAAAAGTATTTGCCAACTATGTATCTGACAAAAGGGTAATATCTAGAATTTACAAGTAATTAAAATAACTCAACAAGAAAAATACAAATAACCCCATTAAAAAGTGGACAAAGGACATGAGCATTTTTCAAAAGAATACATACAGGCAGCAACAAACGTGAAAAAAAAGTTCAACATCGCAAATCATCAGTGAAATGCAAATTGAAACCACAATGAGATAGCACCTTTCACCTGTCAGAAAGGCTTTTATTAAAAAGTCAAGAAAACGTAGATATTGGTGAGGATGAGGAGAAAAGAGAATGCTTATACACTGTTGGTGGGAATGTAAATTAGTACAACCTCTATGGAAAACAGTGTGAAGATTTCTCAAAGAGCTAAAAATAGAACTACCATTTGATCCAGCAGTTCCACTACTGGGTATTTGCCCAAAGGAAAAGAAATTAGTATATTAAAAAGACACTTGTGCTCGTATGTTTATCACAGCAATATTCACAATAGCAAAGACATGAAATCAATATATGTCCATTAGCAGATGATTGGATAAAGAAAATGTGTATACATTCTTGGAGAAACATATATATATATATATACACACACACACACACACACACACAAAATACACACACATATATTATACACATACACTCATGCACACACACCATAGAATACTATCCATTTATAAAAAATAATGAAATCATGTCTTTTGCAGTAACATGGATGGGACTGGGAACCTTTTTTTTTTAGGTTAAATCACTCAGAAAGTCAAGTACTGCACATTCTCACCTAGTAGGAGCGCAACAATGTGGACACATGGACATACAGAGTAGAGTAGTAGACACTGGAGACTCGAAAAGGTGGGAGGGTGGGAGGTGGGTGTGGAATGAGTAATTACCTGTTGGGTACAATGTACCCTATTTAGGTGATGGTTCCACTAAAAGCCCCGACCTCACTGTTACACAATATATCCATGTAACAAAAATGCACTTGTACTACCTGACTCTATAAAAATTAAAAAAAATACAATGAATTAGGAAACACAGTAATTTGTTTTTCTCATTTCAGACTGGGATGCCCAGAGGTTTTACATGCTTAAGGTGAGGAACTGAGGCCAGAGTCACCTTGTCATAGTCATTGCGTGGTGCTTTTTGGCTAAAGTACAAATGAGTACTATGTATGTGAAGGAGAAGTATTAGGCTATGATGTCTCTAATTTTTAAAATACTATTTTGACAACCTAATTAATAATATTGGGCTTAATTTTAAGGGTAAGTAATGTAATTATATTTTCACATACCTCAGTTTTGCTATAGTAGATTACCAAATTTGTATGCTTCATTTTCTACATCCATAAAATGGGATTCACAATATGCAATAAATGAAAGGTTGTGATAATTCAATGTATTAAATCATGTAAATGCATAGGACTCTTCATAGCATATGGAAAGGACACAATAAACATAATTATTATTTTTGATCTTAGATAAATAAAATATGTGTGAACTTAAATGCACAAACCACACATGCATGCACAAACACACAGGCCTGAACACAGGCAAGTAGTTACTGAATGCCAAATAATCATTAATGTAACAAGTGCTTGGGGTTCAAAGGAGGCGTAATCCTCAAAAGCATGCTGAAAGAGGTGGTCTCTGCACTGCATTGAAGGATATGGAGTATTTCAGTTTCAGTAATAGAGAAAAGAGAACAGAGGAGAGCCATGGATAAATGTGTAGAGGTAAAAAAGTGCAACGTGCAAAATATTCTTGTTTTGGTAAAAAATATGTTTGTACATGAATAGTGGAAAAGTCAAGGCCATATTATAAATCAGTGGTCTTTAAATGCTTCACTGGTAATTCAGATATGTCATCCGCTAAATAGAGGGAAATTATGTATTGTTTCTACGTAGATGATTACATAAATTTATCAATGGTTAGGTTCTATTTAAAAAGTAGTTAGTTGTTCAGTGCACCTTTAGATGTACATGAGGTATACCCTATTATAAGGGAATGTTTTAAGAATCCACCTAACTCTACAAGAGCATTATGTATTTAAATGTATGCTGCATTGACTGCTGATTCATATGGATACATTGTCACAATCTGGCTTTTACATTTTTTAAGGTGCAGGGTCAATGATAGCAGTGTCCACTAGGTTTTCTGTGCTTATTCAGGGTGAAAGCTTCTCAGCAAAACTGGTTGGTGAGGGGGTGGAAATGAAATGGATAATATATAAGCAACATTATCGGAGCTGTATAATCTTTCTTTACCTTTTCCTTCCAAGTATCCAATGATTTAATACTTAGTACCACCATTTAATATAAATCCCCAAACTCCCTTTATAGGAACTATTGATTAATCAATTATAAACCTAGATTAGGCCAGGTACTCAGATAGATGCTGAGGGTGGTTATAATCAGGCATGACCTCAAAGAGACGTGTGGTTGGGTAAAGTATAAGATAGATGTACTAGGTTCATGTAAAACAGAATGAGGGAATGGCTGTTTTACTGAATTGTACTCTGATTTTACTGTGAGTGGAGTAATTGACTGAGCCACCTCCTGCTCACAAACCCAGGAAAGTTGGATGCCTTGCTGACCTCTAAAGTTACCTATTTGCTATCTCCCGGGAGTGCTTCATTCTGTCATCTCAGTATGGCAAAATCTTAGCCATTTCTCAAGAAGCTATACATTTGGGCACACTCGTGAGGATCTTTGCCACCGAATCTCTCCACCCCAAGGTTGTTTCATCCTTAGAAGAGAGGTGATAATAACTACAGAAATATTTACAGGACCCCAGAAATTAGAGGGAGAAGTTTAAAGGAGGAATTTCCAACTTCTCATTAGGAATCCCCAGAGCAGCTCAGTGTGTCTAAGAAGAGAGGGCCTGTAATAGTGCCAGAGTCTTCCATGGCATGGAGGGGCTATGAAAGAGCCCTGGCAATAAGGATGAGAGAAGACTGAACACAGAACCGATGATGTAGACCGTGGGAGAATTTTGCACATCCTAGATGATCCCAATGAGGCATTATCTGATGACCGAAAATCATGGAACTAAGGTGGTAATAATTTTTTAATGTGAACCTGAATGTGTAACTTGAAAACATTACAACTGCTATATGGATCACGGGATCACGTGTCTCCTCTTTCAGTCTTCTCTATGAAGAAATTGTCTGTCTTCTTTACATGTCTGCTCCTTGTTTGAACCTTTCTCATGGCAGTGTTTTTTTTTTTTTTTTTTTTTTTTTTTTTTTGGTTGGGGGGAGAATATATTAGACTAACTAATGTTAGCTGCTTGTTCTTCTTTTTTAGATTGTAATTTTCTTGTCTGTTTGTGTCCCAATTTGTCTTGTTCTATCCCCATCCCTTGTGGAACCTAACACAGTGCCTTGTACTACTCACATAGTAGGCACTTGTGTATATTTAATAATATACTCTGAAATTAACAGAATTGTGAAGAAAGAAATACCATTTAGTTTGTATTCCAGAAAAGATCCTTTCATACAACACACTATAAGACAAGGGGGTATCACATACCACTTATCACATGTTTGAGTGGATTGGAACACAAACATAACATTTAACTGACATAATTGGAATATTAGCAAAATTCTGTCTGTGACATTGCGATAGTTTTGCAGAAAATTTACTCCAAGCTCTGTAAAGCAGGTGAAGCGTCTTGTGGCTCCACATGGGTAATCATTATGTTTTCATAATGCCATTTTCCTTACCCATCATTATAGAAGTCTTTAATGGCAGGGCACTGTTTTAAAAAATGTGTAACCATTCCACGATGATTCAGATTTCCACTCACAAAACATTATGTAAGGGAAAATCTTGGCTGAATAAACATTAAGAAAATGAACAGAGAAACTTTAGTATGAAACCTGTAATTCTAAGAATTTTCTTCTGTCCTGAGTCTGGCCTCATTGCAGAGGGCTGTTGGAATAGTTTTTGTCTTTCCTTTCCAATTTTTTATTTTATTTCATTCTAATAAAATTGGCATTGTCCAATGTATACATTTCAGTATAAAACTTGAAAAATCATCTCCATAAGTCTGTATGGAGCTGTCCCACAAAACTGGCTACCTCATACTGAAAAAGATGGGATATTGATTCTTTCATGCATATGAGTAAAATTATTTTTTATGTGTCTCAAATTATAAGACATTCCTACTAGAAATGAAATTGAAATAATATTTTTATAACAAATGTGTTTGTTTTAGGAAAAAGAGTTTTGTACCTAATTAAGGTATATGACAAATCAGAACTTTTATATTCTGGAACAAAAATTCCTAATGTTTTGACATTTTAAGTGATAAAATTTTAAACACATTTTTATATGTATTTTATATTTCTCCTTATATACTTACATATTTATATTTATTTTCCAAAGCGTTTGCATTTTAGAACCACTTAATACTTTAGAGGTAGTGATAATTTTCTTATTTAAAAACAAAACCAAACAAAGAGAACAACAGCACAAAACATGTAGTCTGAGAATGCATTGGCTATTTATATTCTTACCTTTTCAGTCTCTTAACCTGTAACCCAGAGCATCAGAATAAGCAAGACAAACACCTTGGATGGAAGCAAATGCCTTTGCAGTGTTCTCACAAATGTATACTCCCATTTTTACAGATCTAGAGGGATGTAAGTGTACTTTAAGTTTATTTTAGGATCATAGCTATATTTATTTCTCATAGTTAATGGTAAGATTTCATCACTATTGGGAACTGATCTCTGTAAAGGAGAAAAACAAATCATTCTTCAATGACAAAACATGGTTTTATTTTATTTTTGGGACAGGGCCTTGCTCTGTCACCCAGGCTGAAGTGCAGTGGCATGAACATGGCTCACTGCAGCCTCCACCTACTGGATTCAAGTGATCCTCCCACCTCAGCCTCCCAAGTAGCTAGGACAACAGATGTATGCCACCATGCTCCACTATTTTTTAAAAAAATATTTTTAGTAGAGGCGGAGTTTCACCATGTTGCCCAGGCTGATCTTGAACTCCATGGCTCAAGCGATCCACCTGCCTCAGCCTTCTAAAGTGCTGGGATTATAGGTGTGAGCCACTGAGCCTGACCCAAATGTGATGTTCAGAAATTATAACTTTGATTTAAAAGGAGTTAGAAAAAAGAAAGTAAGAACACCTTTCTTCTTCTTTCATACTGCATTTCACACCACAATTGCTAATATCAAACAAAGAGTGGAAAGTCATGTAAAAAATTGTAAAGGGTAATCCAGTACAGGAACTTGCATATAATTATTTTCCATTAACTAATCAAAATCTTCATTAATGTAAATGAAATCTATTTTAACTTCAAGGAATGTCATTGATTCTTTAAGGGATCTAAAAGAATAAAGAATAAATGTGTAAGAATAGTAATATGAATGTAATGTGTAATTATACATCGACCTAATTGCACAATACAGTACAACGTGTAATCAGTATGGTGAAGAGCAATTTAGTAATCATTAAGAATTCTTAGGTATTTGCTTCATGGTTCAGTGATACAAAGCAAATGTACATTTTATACTAATATCACTATCACTTTTAAACTGATTTCAAGTTTATCCTTTATTGAATACAAAAATGGACTGTCATTGATTTCAAATAACTTTTAAATATAAAAATGCTTTCATATTATATTACTTATGATGTACTTAACCTACATGCTCTAGCCTTCCACAATTCAGCCTGATACTTTTTTAATCTTACACACAAACTTAAACATCTTTTGAGTAAAATCCTTCCCTACCTGGTATCTCTTTTTGTTGACATATCCTAGAGATATGCTAGTTCCAGAAAAAGGATAAAGAGACAAGAATCTTAATCACCAAATCACAAAATCTTTAGTAAATAGAGTTGTATATCCTCTGGTGCTATGTTCATAGCCTTGTAAACTAAAGATATTTCAGATAGTAGATATTGTCCCCCTTTAACAAAATCATTTTTACCTTTTGGAAGTCTACAAATAGCACACTAAATAAAATAGTCTTTTTTTTTTTTGTACTACAGTAGCTTTAAAAATAAACAACAGCCTCTTTGCTAAGATTGTCTAATGTATATTAGATACATTTGAGCAAATTTTATTTAAGTGATTCCTTGTCTTCCATGAACATGCACATTAATAGTCTTGGCATGTAGTTGGGCCCGTGGCCATTTATAACTGTGGGGAATATATTTGTAGGGGGAGAAAATATTGCTGTATTTGTCATTGCTTCTCAAACTTTAATATGCATATATATCACCTGGGGGTGGTTGTTAAAATGCAGATTCCACTTTATTAGGACTGAGTTAAGGTCTGGAATTCCACATTTCTAACAACCTCAGGCGATTCCAGTGCTGCTGGCCCACTGGACCTTACTTTGATAGGCAGGCTCTGTGATGTATTTTTATCTTTCATCTTGAATTAAATGAAATCTCTTAAAGAAAGAGACCTGACATATCTTCATTTTTTCCCCAGCAGTGCCAAGCACAGCACTAGGCATCTAATGGGTACTCCACAAATATGTGTTGCTTATCTGAAGATAAAGCAAGAGTAGAAGACATATCTCTCTCTGATGATCTAATTTTTGTTTTCTTTCAGAAGGTATGAACAACCAAGGAGGCTTCTTTTCAGCTTTTACATTTATTTAGTACAACTCAGGATAGTGGTATTGTCTGAGAGTAGCAACTTGAACTTGTAAGAACTACACTAGAAGCCACAGAACTTGGAAAGGGCAGCCAGACGTACCTATTTGGGTCACTAGACTATTTTCAGATTCTGGAAATTATTTATCTGGTCATTTCTCTGGTTATTTAGGAAACTTTAATGACAAATCTACGATTGCTTCTTTCTTCCTATCTTCTTCTAGGACTATTGCTTTCTTCAACTCATAGAAATAAAAGTACTGCATAGCCCAAAGTATTGGAGTCATAAACCCTTCAAGGGAAGGTGAGGAGGAAACAGAAGGCTGAGGATTATGCCTTGAAAGTTATTTTTAATATTAAAGCATCAATAGATAGTCATGTAGAGCTACATGTACATTGTTTTGACCTCTCTTCTAATATGACATCGTCCTTGAAACAATTTATTCATACTATTTCTAGTTAAAATTACTCCCAAGCATTTTTGGCTACTGAAAATGTCAAAGATGTGTGCTGTTCTGTTTTGTTGCTTGATCACTGGGAATCTATTTGCAAATGTGCAAAATGAAGTGATCCTACGGAATGACTGGGCAGCTTGGCTTCCCTCTGTGATGGGTAGATAATTTTGCTTAATATGTAAACAGTCTTTTCAACACTCTGTGCTTAAATAATCATTGTTGGTTTGCTTTCTTCTAGTATTCCATATTAAGTAATGACTTGGCTAATGAGAAGGATGCTTGTAAGTATATTAGCATCAAGTTCAAATATAGAGAGATTAAATAACCTTCCCAAGGTCAACACACTGGTCATTGACAAATATGGACCAGATCTCATCTCCAAAACCCCACACAATTATACCAGGTTAGCTCATTCTTTCTTCCTAGACATCTTATTTTCCAGGGAGTAGTGAAGGTCTACAAAACTTTCCTACTAAATAGGAAATATATTTTGTTGTCAGATGTAAGCCCAGAAAAGCAATGGCTAAACTGCTATGTATCAAAAACTTTGCAAACTTATAACAGTTTAAAATTTACTTCTAGCTATGTTTAGAGCCCTAAGGAGATAATGGCAAGTCATTTTTTCTTCTTTATACATATGTCATCATTTATGGACAGAAAATAGTTCTCAATTGTAAAAAAATAGCTCTCTATAGGATTTGCTGAGTTTTTTATGGCTAGAGTTATTAAGTAAAATAAATGACATCTGAGAGCACTCTGCTTTGTCTTTGGCTTCAAATAATGTATTTTACTATATTTTTTCATTCTTCGCTGCCATAAGTGGCAGAAAGAAAACCGCTTTTCAAATGGCTAGTGCCTAAAAAGCAAATACTTTGTGGATCTTGGGGCCAGTGTAAACTCAGAATGCAAGATATCTTCCTCAGCTTCAGTACTTGCACAATGCCTGTCTTTATTAAACATGAGTGATTTGCAAATATGATGTTTCTGAGACAGCTAATATCATGGGCCAAAATGAATGGAATCAAAACCTGAGACACATTTCTGTTAATGGGGCTCTATTTGAGAAATGTGCATTATTTTATCAGCTTCCTTATTTTAACCATTCTACCCTGTCAATACTAATACCAAGTGTTCATTTTCTTTATTAGTTTAAATGGGAGAAAACAATGCAGAAAGCTTAATAACTGTTCTATTTTTAAAGCCTTTATAGAAAACATAATATAAAAAGTGATATGAACTAGGCACAAGACAAAACTGACTTTAATATGTTATATGTTAATCTGTTAAAATACAGTACATTTTACTGCAGAATGTTAGCAGGGTATATTTGTAGATAATAGATCATTGACATTTTTATCCTATATCCTTTTTACCTTTTATTCCTTTTAAACATTGATTACCTTTGTTATAAAAAGCAACAACAATAGTTTGTAAAAGATTAAGATATTTAAATATTTAAAAATTTTTCATAACTATATTAGTAAACAGTAGTACATAAGTCTTGATAGGTACAAATGATGTCTCAAAAGACAGATGAGGTGGAAAATTACCACTCTAGCTCATGGCATGACCCCAGCCGTGCAGAGGAAAGATTTCTTCTCCTCCCCTATTCACCTCCGGGTCCCAGCTATCACTAAATATATCGGGGGTCGCGTTGCTGATCAGCAGCCTTAAGCCTGAACATGGTGGGTCCTTTGCATTAGTTCTCAATTCCCACCACCCTCCTCCCTTCCTGTGTCACGAGGCTCACTCATTTCCTCAGTGCCCTTCCCAGTTACTGTCAAATCATATAAACTCATTTCTCTGCCTCCAGCCTTTTATTTCATCAACATATCTCCTATTATATCACCAGATTAATCTTCTACAAATATTTCTTTTACCATTTCTCACTTCTGTTAAAGAATCCTGAAAAGCATCTATCTCTTGTTTTCTGTTGTTCCAAATCTAAACTCCTTTTGTCCTCTCTAGTTATCCTATAATTGGTTACAAACCATTTCTCTGAGCTCATATTCTACTACTCACCATGTCACAATTCTAGTCAAGCAACTCTTCTCTCCTTCTCCCACATAATCAGGCACAGTTCCACATCCCAACCCTTATTTTTTCTGTTCTGCTATCATGTAATATCTTCCTGTTTCTTTTCAATCTGTTGAAATACTAAGGACCCTTCAGTCTGCTCTAATTACCATTATTGTTCATGAAGCTTGATTGACAAGTCCAACCTGCAGAGAGGTCTCGCTTACTGATTCTCACTTGTTCATGTAATATGATCATTTAAAAAATTCTGTTTAAAGCACGAACTGACTACAACCACTTTGACATACTAGACAAGTGGCATTATTACATTAGGAGAGATGATTCTTGTTTTTTTAGGAAAATAAGGATTCTTTGGGAGATGAATTACAAGAGTGCCAAATTGATCTTCAAAATTAAAGGGTAGAAAATGAGATTATCTGATGTCCTGGATAAGAGAGAGTAGAAAACTTGTAGGAACTGGAGAAGAAGAGGTGACAGAGAGTTTGAGAAAATGTAGCTAATTCAATAGCTTTAGGGAAGAGTGGACAATGAGAAGTTACTCATGCTTAGGACTAACTAAAGAGTATAAACATTTAGTTTTAAATTGAAGGCTGTCCTATGTTGTAAACCCACCTTCTACTATCTTAAATCCTCAGTGAAATTCTGTTACACACAGCTACGCTGTGTCTTTGGTATTCTGGAGAAGCGAAGGACTCAGTTGTGGCCAATGGGAGCACAGGTATGCCAACCACAGGCAGTGGCTGCAGAGGTGAGATGCTGAGTGTGAATAGTGAAAGAGCAGAATCAGAAAATGTAGCAAGAGGAAACTAGGAGAAATGCCTCACTAATAATTCTCAGGTATTGGAGTGGTTATTGGTTTTTTTATAGTACATGAGACCGAAGCAATGCTATAATATTATATTTAAATAGTAAAGGAAAGGGGGTTCCAAAAAGTTGGGAATGCTCAAGTAGCTGTCTATGGAAGTCACACAATTTTGAAACAACCTCAATTTATTTCTTAAGTCTGAGATATTTTCATATTGGTAAATGTTATCTATACCACAAGATTATAATCTAATTAAAGGAGCAAATAAATCTTATAACCTTTTAAATCTTCACAATTGCTACCCTGGGGTCGGTTGCTCAATAAGTACTTTTGGATTGCAGCAAATTAAGTTGAGTTAAGAGACTCGTTTTTCATAATAACAAGAATGGCTATAAATAGTATTGCCAATATAAAAATGTTATGTGTGGAGTCAACCATTTTACAGTATGGATACTAATTTTGTAAGACTTTCAGAACATTTATGTTAGAAAACAAATGAAACTGTACTATCAAAATTGTTATAAAATAAACTGATCAGAAAATATTTTCCCCCTACTGAATATAGAATAATCACAAGGCTTTGCCTTTATGGCTGTTAGAATTATGGTTCATAGAGTTTGAACACATTGATGACATTCTTCTAATGTTCTCATTCTCCATATGATATATAACCACATAAGTTATGTAAGGAAGAGGGAAATGTTATTTCATTTAACTTGTAGTCTATGCTTGTTTTGGATATAATAAATTAAGTCATTATATTTGTAGGTAGTCATTTAAGATATTTGAAGGCTTATAATTTCTACCATTAAGCAATTAGCCTGTCATTTTTTAACTATGGCACTGGGTAGGAAGTTAATATGCATAATTTTGTATATTCAGTAGTAAGTATACATTTAACTTTTATCTAGCCCTAAAAAGTAGTCTCAATGAATATATATCTCTTCCTGAGTTCACTTTCAAACTTTTAGAAAGTGAAATCAGAACTGAACTGACGATAGGTGGAAAAGGCCTTATTTTTAGAGTCCGATGGAAGAAATATCACATACTTTAACTTCTCTTTTTTCCCATGGCCTTCACACTTGGTTTAATTGAAACAGTGGCGACTTTTCATAAAAGACTAATTTGATGAGTGAATCTGATGAAGTCAGGTGTGGTAGGGATAACAGGCTTTAGAGAGTTGTATTTATATATGTTGAATGGAGGCTCTTAGAGGAGCAGGTAAGCTGTAGTTAGGAGTTTCTAAGATGATCCAAACAGTAATATTTCTCAGAAAATTCCATTTGAATCTAATGCCTACTGATATTTTGTACACAGCCAATGCATCCCCTAACTACTATTCAGATAAAGTACTCAAAATGAATAATATCATTCATCTATTATATTGATTGCCTGAAGACGGACAGCTATGTTTGGTTTAGGAACACAAACTATACAAATAAAAAAGTATTAATTAGTAACTAAGCACCATAAAATTAATGCCCATTCAAATATCCCTTCTTTTGTAGTACCAATAGTGGTGTCAGACAACATCTTTGTCAATCGGTGCTTTGAAGATTATCAGCTGCTTATGCTGTCTAATTATATAATTCAGTTTGCTGATGACTAAAAGTGCAAAAGATTCAAGATTTATAAAGTGACCTGGGAGAACTGCTTGAATCTCATACACAGCCAATAAAACATGAGGCTGTGGTAGCTTAGGTCAGAGGAGAAAAGCAACAAGATTTATATGTGAAGGGCTTTCAATAGAAAATAATTTAGGCCTCTTCCTGCTTAAGAAAAGGAGAGGGAATACTAAAGGGGACTTTGTTTTGCAGCTTAGGTACCAGCTCTGCCACAGTGGGCTCTTGGAGGCCCTGATTCCAGGGCTTGGCTTCTGGATGGCATTTCTGGACCCACCCTGAGCCAGAGGGGAACACACTGCCCTGATGGGAGAGTCCCAGGCCTGGCAGCATTCACCACAAGCTGACTGAAGAGCTCTTGGGCCTGGAGTGAACATTAGCGGAGCCAGGCAATACTCACCATGGGCCTGGGGTGGTGGTGGCCATGGGGAGAGATTCCTCTGTTTGTGGAAAGGGGAGGGAAGAGTAGGAAGGAATTTGTCTTGTGGCCTGGGTCCCAGCTCAACTGCAGTAGAATGGAGCATTAGGTAGATTTTGACTCTGGTGGTCAAAAATTAAGGTTTCCAACTGCAGACCCTGGCTCCTGGATGGCAATTCTGAACCCATCGGGGGCCAAGGGGGAACTCACCATCATAAAAGGAAGGGCACAAGCCTGGCTGTCTTTGCCACCTGCTGATTATAGAGCCCTAGCGTCTTGAGTGAACATAGGTGATAATCAGGTAGTGATTACTGTGAGCCTTGGGCAAGACCCAATGCTGTGCTGGTTTCAGGTCTGACCTATAGCAGGCTCAATGATGGTGCCCACAGAGGTGCTTCTGTCACTCCTCTCCCAGCTCCAGGCAGCTCAGCACAGAGAAAGAGACTCAGTTTCTTTCTGAAGAGAACAAGAGTCTCTGCCTGGTAATCCAGAGAATTCTTCCAGATCTTATCCAAGACCACCAAGTTGGGACCTCTGTGAGTTGGCAAGAACCACAGAATTACTGGGCTTGGTGTGCCCCTAATGCAGATACAGATGTAGTGACCAGAAACTTAGGTCACAACACCCAAGTCTCTGAATTCCTGGAAAGCCCTCCTAAGGAGGATGGGTACAAACAAGCCCAGACTTCAGAGACTACAATAAATACCTAACTCTACAACACACAGACATGAACTTACACAAGCATCGGCTCATCCAGGAAAACATGACCTATCCAAACCAACTAAATAAGGCACCAGTGACAAATTGTGGAGAGACAGAGATATGTGACCTTTCAGAGAGAGAATTCAAATACTTCTTTTGAGGAAACTCAACAAAATAACACAGAGAAAGAACACAGGATTCTATCAGATAAATTTAACAAAGAGATTGAAATTATTAAAAAGAATCAAGCAGGAATTCTGGAGTTGAAAAATGTAATTGACATATTGAAGAATGCATCAGAATCTCATACCAGCAGAACTGATCAAACAGAATAAAGAATTAGTAATCCTAAAGACACCTATTTGAAAATACAGAGGAAGCAAAAGATAAAAGAATAAAAAAGAATGAAGCATACCTACAGATGGTATGCTTCAAAAGGAAAATCTAAGTTATTGGCCTTAAAGAAGAGGTAGAGAGACAGAAAGGGGTAGAAAGTTCATTGAAAAGGATCATAACAGAGGACTTCCCAAACCTAGAGACAGATATCAATATTTAAGTACAAGAAAGTTATAGAACACCAAGCAGATCTAACCCAATCAGACTACCTCAAGACATTTAATTATCAAACTCCCAAAGCTGAAGGATAAAGAAAGGATCCTAAAAACAACAAGAGGAAAGAAATAAATGACATACAATGGAGCACCAATACATCTGGTAGCAGATTTCTCAGTAGAAACGTTACAGGCCAAGAGAGAGTGGCATGACAAAAAGTGCTGAAGGAAAAAAATTTTATCCTAGAATAGTATATCCAGTAAAAATATCCTTCAAATATGAAGGAGAAATACCTTCCCAGACAAATGAAAGCTGAGGGATTTCATCAACACCAGACTTGTCCTACAAGAAATGCTGAAGGGAGTAAGTATCTCAATCTGAAGGAAAAGGATGTTAATAAACAATAAGAAATCATTTGAATGTCCAAAACTCACTGGTAATAGTAAATAAACAGAATATTGTAACACTGTAATTGTGGCTTGCAAGCTACTCATATCTTGAGTAGAAAGACTAAAGGTAAAAAAATAATGACTACAACAACTTTTCAAGACATATATCTTATTACTATAAGATATAACTAAAAACAACAAAAAGTTAAAAAATAGTAGAATGAAGACAAAGTGTAGAGTTTTTAATAGTTTTCTCTTTGCTTGTTTGTTACTCATGCAATCAGTTTAAACTATCATCAGTTTAAAATAATTGGTTATAGAATATCATTTGTGGCTGGGCACAGTGGCTCATACCTGTAATTCCAGCACTTTGGGAGGCTGAGGCAGGTGGATCACTTGAGGTTAGGAGTTCGAGACCAGCCTGGCCAACATAGTGAAACCCCATCTCTACTAAAAATACAAAAGTTAACTGGGAGTGGTGGTGCATGCCTGTAATCCCAGCTACCCAGGAGGGTGAGGCAGAAGAATTGCTTGAACCTGGGAAGCAGAGGTTGCAGTGAGCCGAGATCATGACACTGCACTTCAACCTGGGTGACAGAGCAGGACTCTGCTCAAAATGAATAAATAAATAAATAAATAAATAAATAAATAAATAAATAAATAAAATATCATTGGCAAGCCTCATGGTAACTGCAAATAAAAAAATATACAATGGATACACAAAAATAAAAAGCAAGAAGTCAAAATACACCATCAGACAAAATCACCATCACTGAAACGGAGATAGGAAGGAAGGAAAGAAGAAAGAGAAGATCACAAAACAACCACAAAACAAATAATCAAATGCTAGGAGTAAGCCCTTATTACTAATAACATTGAATATAAATGGACTAAACTCACAGTCAAAACACATAGTGTGGCTGAATGGAGAGAAAAGAAAAGACCCAATGATCTGTCACCTACAAGAAAAACACTTCACCAATAAAGACACACATAGACTAAAAATAAAGGGATGGAGAAAGATATCCTATGCAAATGGAAACCAGAAAAAGAACAGGAGTACCTATACTTATATTAGACAAAAAAGATTTCATGACAAAAACTGTCAGAAGAGACAAAGAAGATTATCATATAATAATAAAGGGGTCAACTCAACAAGAGGATATAACAATGGTAAACATATAGACATCCAGACATATAAATGAAATATGATTACAGCTAAAGAGAGAAATAGATACCAATATACAAATAGCAAGAGACTTTAGCACCACACTTTCAACATTAGACAAATCATCCAGACAGAAAATTAACAAAAAAATGGACTTATTCTGCACTGTAGACAAAACTGACCTAATAGATATTTACAGAACATTTCATCCAGTGGCTGCAGAATACACATTCTTCTCCTCAGCACATGGATCATTCTCAAGAATATGCCATATTTTAGGCCACTAAATAGCCTAAAAAATTCAAAAACCTTGATAGTATATCAAGTATCCTCTCTGACCTCAATGGAATAAAACTAGAAATCAATAACAACAGGATTTTTTGAAACCGTACAAACACATGGAAATTAAACAATATGTTCCAGAATGACCAGTGGGCCAATAAAACAATTAAGAAGGAAAGCAAAAAATTCCTTGAAACAAATGATAATGGAAACACAACATACCCAAACATATGGGATACAAGGACAGCAGTCCTAAAATGAGAGTTAATAGCTATAAAAACTTACATCCAAAAAGTAGAAAACCTTCAAATAAACAACCCAAGGATGCAATTTAATGAACTAGAAAAGCAAGAACAAACCAAACCCAAAATAAGCAAAAGAAAAGAAATCATAGAGAGCAGAGCAGAAATAAATTAAATGGAAACAAACAATGTAAAAGATGAATGAAATGAAAAGTTGTTTTTTTTAAATATAAAATGAACAAACCTTTAGCCAGAGTAACTAAGAAAAGAGAAGACCTAAATAAATAAAATCAAAGATGAAAAGTTAGACATTACAATCTTTATAGCAAAAATTTGAAGGATCATTAAAGGCTACTATGAGCGATGATATGCCAATAAATGGGAAAACCCAGAAAAAAATAGATAAATTCCTAGACACATATAACCTACCATGATTGAACCATGAAGAAGTCCAAAACCTGAACCAATCAATAGCAAGTACTGAGAGCGAAACCATAATAAAAAGTCTCTCAGCAAATAAAAGTCCAGGACCTGATGGCTTCACTGCTGAATTTTACCACACATTTATAGAAGAACTAATTCTAAGTGTACTGAAAACTATTCAAAAAACTAGAAGAGGAGTGAGTACTTACAATGTTACTCTATCAGGCCAGTATTACCCTGACACTAAAACCAGACAAAGGCACATAAACAAAGAGAAAACTACAGGCCAACATTCCTGATGTATATGGATACAAAAATCCTCAACAAATACTAGCAAACTGCATTTAACAGCACATTAAGAAGATCATTCTTCTATTCCAGGGATGCAAGGGTGTTTCAACATACACAAATCAATCAATATGATACATCATAACAGAATGAAAGGCAAAACCATATGATCATTTCAATTAATGCTACACAAGCATTTGATAAAATTTAACATCCCTTCATATTAAAAACCCTAAAAATAGATACAGAAAGAATATACCCCAATATAATGAAAGCTATATGTGACAGACCCACAATTAGTATCATACTAAATGGGACCAAGTGAAAGCCTTTCCTCTAAGATCTAGAACATGACAAGGATGCCCCCTTTCACCACTGTTATTCAACATGGTACTGGGAGTCCTAGCTACAGCAATTAGACAAGAGAAAGAAATAAAAAGCATACAAATTGGAAAGGAAGAAGACAAATAATCCTTGTTTGCATGTGATATGATTTTATATTTACTTGAAAAAACATAAAGACTCCACCAAAAAGCTGTTAGAACTGATAAATTCAGTAAAGTTGCAGGATACAAAATTAACACACAAAAATCAGTACCATTTCTATATGTTAATAATGAACAATCTGACAAATCAATAGAGCAATCTCATTTGCAGTATCTACAAATTAAGTAATATAGCTAGGAATTAACCAAAGAAGTGAAATGTTTCTACAATGAAAACTATACAACATTGATGAAAGAAAGTGAAAAGGACACACAAAAAATAGAAAGATATTCCATGTTCATGGATTGGAAGAATCAATATCGTTAAAATGTCCATACTACCTAAAGCAATCTACAGATTCAATGCAATGCCTATCAAAAATTTAAGGACATTCTTCACAGAAATAGAAAAAAAATTCTAAAATTTATATGAAACTGCAAAAGACCCAGAATAGCCAAAGCTATCCCGAACAAAGGGAAAAAAAGCTGGAGGCATCATATTACCTGGCTTCAAATTATACCACAAAGCTATAGTAATGAAAATAGCATGGTATTGGCATAAAAGCAGACATACAGACCTAGGATCAGAATAGAGAACTCAGAAACAAATCCATACATCTACAGTGAGCTCATTTCTGACAAAGGTGCCAAGAACGTACACTGGGGAAAGGACAGTCTCTTCGATAAAGGGTTCTGCGAAAACTGGATAGCCATACGCAGAAGAATGAAACTAGACCCCTATTTCTCACCACATACAAAAATCACATCGAAATAGATTAAAGCCTTAAATCTAAGACCTTGTACTATGAAATTGCTAAAAGAAATTATTGGGGGAAATTCTCTAGGACATTGGACTGGGAAAGATTTCTTGAGCCATACCACACAAGCACAGGCAACGAAAGCAAAAATGGACAAATGAGATTACATCAAGTTAAAAAGCTTCCACACAGCAAAGGAAGCAATCAACAAAGTGAAAAGACAACCCACAGAATGGGAGAAAATATTTGCAAACTATCCATTTGACAAAGGGTTCATAACTAGAATATATAAGGAGCTCAAACATCTCTACAGAAAAAAATCTAATAATTTGATTTAAAAATGGACAAAAGATCTGAATAGACATTTCTCAAAAGAAGACATACAAATGGCAAACATATATGAGAAGGTTCTCAACATCATTGATCATTACCTGAGAAAATGCATATCAAAACTACAATGAGGTATCATCACGCCTGAGTTAATATGACTTTTATCCAAAGACAGTCAGTAACAAATGCTGGCGAGGATGTGGAGAAAAGGGACCCCTTGTACACTGTTGGTGGGAATGTAGATTAATACAACCACATGGAAAATAGTTTGGAGGTTCCACTAAAAACTAAAAATACCATATGATCCAGCATATGATCCAGTAATCCCACTGCTAGGTATATAACCAAAAGAAAGAAAATCAGTATATCAAAGAGATATGTGCACTCCCATGTTTATTTCAGCACTATTCACAATAGGCAAGATTTGAAAGCAACTTAAAGGTCCATCAACAGATGAATGGATAAAGAAAATGTGGTAATATACAAAATCAAGTACTATTCAGTCATAAAAAAGAATGAGATCCTGTCATTTGCAACAACATGATGCAACTGGAGGTCATTAAATTAAGTGAAATAAGCCCAGCACAGAAAGACAAGCTTTGTATGTTCTCACTTATTTGTTGGATCTAATAATTAAAACAATTGAACTCATGGAGATAGAGTGTAGAAGGGTAGTTGGGGAGGCGTGATGTGGATGGTTAATGGTTACAAAAATATAGTTAAGTAGAATGAAGAACATCTAGTATTTGATAGTACAACAAGATGACTACAGTCAATAATAATTTATTATACATTTAAAAATAACTAAAATAGTATAATTGGATTGTTTGTAACACAAAGAAGAGATAAATGCTTGAGGTGATGGATACCCCATTTACCCTGATGTGATTAGTATGCATTGTATGCCCGTATCAAAATATCTTATGTAACCCATAAGTATATATACCTACTATGTACCCACAAAAATTAATAAAATAAAATAAAATTAAATGACTGATACATCCTATAAAAATATACAATGATTTAAGAATGATAAGATGAAGAGATGAGTCTAGGAAACAAAAATGAGCCTGTTGGCATCTGTGATATGAAGTTCAAATTTGAAGGGAAGAATGTGCTATAACACAATTTTCTTAGAAAAATATTCCTTCCACAAATCAATGATTCATTTCTGATTTGTTCTAAAAACTATTGCAAAATTTCTATTATAACATGATTGTAGAGATATGATCCAAATCAACTCATTTTCTTAATTCTTAGTTTCAATTTTCAAGGCTAAGGGCTAGTTGATTTCTTTTCTCTATGTAATATAAAATTCTTCATCTCCACTGTTTATGAACTCACTTAAAATGATCTTTTGTTGGGGGCAAACTAATTATCCTTAAATTCACTTTTGCACTTTTCCTATTTTAGCTTATTTCCTAAAGCATCATTGAGATAAATATTGAGTTAGAGAAATAATATCTCTTCTTGATTAAAAGATGGCATATTACATATTCTTTATAACTCTTCATTTTTTCAATAGAATTATATTTTAATATTAATATTTTATTTTAACACATAGTTTTTTGTCAGTTATTTACTTAATTATTTTCTAAATACTTACTGAGCACCAGCTATTGTTGGGGTGCTGGCCTTACAACAGTCAACTAGCACAATCCTACTTGGCTTTTTCTCTTCATGTCCTTGGGAAAAATTGCCTGGCTGCCCTAACACTATCAGAGAAATGATGGGACACTTTAAGTTCCTATCCAACTGTAACTTCTTTTATCCTGTGATTGTCAAATATCACACATTTAACTCTAATAGGAATCCTTTTCTAAAATAGGAAGCTGATGAAAGTTCAATATGGCTTCCCATTCACTTAGTGCTCATTTCCTGGATAATAGGTAGTAGGTTTTTTCCTCTTAGATACTGCGTTTTAATACATGAACCTCAACTGTTCATGTGCTATGTTAAATTTTATTGCTCCTAGCAGACCATTATCCAGGAGTATTGCTCTTAAGTAACTTCTCACCTAGTTATAAGCATTGTGGCCTCATTACATGGGGAATAAACATACTTATTCCCTAATGGTCAAGTCAAGAGAATGGCTGTTTCAACAAGTCAAGCAAAGGAATTATTGCATTGTGTTTTGTGAAATCTGCTGTACAGATTTAGAAGACTGAAATATTTTAATATCTTGGAAAAAGAAATTATTTTCTTTATATTTTAAGTTAGGCATGTTTATTAAGAAACATTCTGTGAACTTGATAAATATCTCCTCCAGCCCATTACATTTAGAAATTAAAACAACGTGTTATCTGGTGGGATAGATTGGGTTTCCTTGATCTTAACTGATCCAGAGAAAGTACCACTTGATGTGCACTCTATACCATAAACCATATTAAGACAGCAAAAAAAAATCAAAAACCAAAAATATAACTGTGATTAATTAAAATGCTTGATATTGAAAGAGGCTTTCAAAATAAACATGCTAGCTCAGGCAAAAATGTTCTTCCTCACTGAAGGCCAGCCTTTTCTTTGATTCTCTTAATTCAATCTCCTTCTGCCTCTTTAGTGCCCATCTAATCAAATATCCCTCTGCTGTGTTTCATGTTCAGTATCACCTGCTTCATCCCATACATTTCATCTACTTGTTCCTCCATTCATTTCTTCAAGTCTTTTAAAAAATGACTTTTATGTGTTAAGCACTGCACAAAGTATGTATCAATGAAAATAAAAACACATAATCATAATAACCATCTACATTTCTTAGGCTTCTCACACATTACTTTGTGTCATGCACAAAATGACCCATGTGGTTGGCAGTGCTTTTATGTCCCTTTTACAGATAGAGACACAAGAAGAACTAATCACATAGCTAGTAAGGGGTAGAGCTGGCATTTGAAACTAGACCTTTGGACTGCAGAGCAGTATGGTCTCTGCCCTCTGACACACAAATGGACAAGTGTAATGTATGATCATTTAAATATTGCAAACATGCAAAAGAAACAGTGAAACCCCAGATGAGCTGTGGGCAAGATTTTACAGAAGTGATGCTTGAACTGAATTTTGAAGGAAGACACAAAACTTTGAAATCATCCTTGACTCCTTGACTTTGTAATCCCCTCCTGACTACAGAGCTTCATCTCTGTAGTCTGACCCAGAGCTTCATCCCATAATTTGCTTTGACTAATGAGACCAAATATGCTACATAGAATTAGAAGCTCTCTGTGCCTTTCTGCTCACACTCCTGCTTCTTTGCCTTCACTACTAGGATATGCCTGCATCAGCCTGCTGGAGGATGAGAGACTAGAAAGAGCAGAGTCAGCCCTGCTGTCCCAGATAGGCTCCATACATAGTCTAGAGCCCCGCCAAGATAAGCAGATTCCTGAGTGAGCACCTCGTTTCCACAGCCCAACTCAGGGAGCTGACTTATCCAGCCAACCCATAGACACATGAGCAAAAACAAATTCTTATTGTTGTATGTCACCAAAGTTTTATAATTTTTGTTACATAGATTATGGCAAGGGATAACAGATGTAACACCTATCTATCCATATTTCATTTCCCAAGTCCAATTAGTTGTTCGGTGATAGCTATGACATCTCTGTGCTATTGTCATTCACACTTCATTCCCTTTCAATTATTGTTACAACTACCCTAGTCAATTTTCTCATTGCCTGTTTTCTGGACTATCGTGGTAGCTTATTAACTGGTGTTCTTGCCTCCAAATCTCTCCCTTCTTCAACCTATCTATATAAAAGTGATTAGGTATTTTTATTAAAACAGTACTGGTGTTGCCACTCATCTCTTCCAAGCCTTCAATGATTTATTTCCCTAAGACCAAAATCCTCAGCCTAATATTGAAACTCTCTACACCTGTCATCTAGTCCCACATTCCTTCTTGCTTACCTGTTCAATTCTCCTTTTCCATTACCACACTATTCTTCCCCTCTTTGCTATCAAACATCTAAGCAAATGCACATCCTCTTCCCTCCATCTAGAATGCCCTGCACCCTATTTCCAGATGTCTAGATTTTATCATTCCTGCATGTCTAGATCTTGTGTCTGTGCCCCAGAAACCTTTATCTGATTCCCAATTCTGAGTCT
Organism: Homo sapiens; assembly: GCF_000001405.40. Lineage (NCBI taxonomy): Eukaryota > Metazoa > Chordata > Mammalia > Primates > Hominidae > Homo > Homo sapiens. Next base: position 120,187,854 of record NC_000004.12, read on the forward strand.
TCCTCACATTTTTTATACCACCTTTAGAATCTTGAGCACTCACTTTTTACCATAGTCATTTATGTCTGAAGACTTGCATATTCCACAATATTGGTCCTTAGGGCTGCTGTAATAAAGTATCATAAACTGGGCATGTTAAAACTACAGAAACTTATTCTCTTAATTCAAATCAAAACCTTCATGAGATACCATCTCACACCAGTCAGAATGGCTATTATTAAAAAGTCAAAAAATATCAGATGCTGGAGAGGTTGTAGAGAAAAAGGAATGCATATACACTGTTGGTGGGAGTGTACATTAGTTCAATCATTGTGGAAGGCAGTGTGACAATTCCTCAACGAGCTAAAAACAATAATACCATTTGACCCAGCAATCCCATTACTGGATATATACCCAAAGGAATATAAGTTGTTCTACCATAAAAACACATGTACATGTTTGTTCATTACAGCACTATTCTCAATAGCAAAGACATGGAATCAAGCTAAATGCCCATCAATGGTAAACTGGATAAAGAAAAGGTGGTAGATATACATTGTGGAATGCTACATAGCCATAAAAAAAGAATGAGATCATGTTGTTTGCAGGAACATGGATGAGCTGGAGGCCAACATCCTTAGCAAAGTAATGCAGGAACAGAAAACCAAATACCGCATGTTGTCACTTGTAAGTGGGAGCTAAATGATGAGAACATATGAGCACAGAAAGGAACAACAGACATGGGGGCCTATTTGAGAGTGGAGAATGAGAGGAGGGAAAAGAACAGAAAAAAACAACTGGGTACTAGGCTTAGTACCTGGGTGATAAAATAATCTGTACAATAAGCCCCCATGGCACAAGTCTACCCATATAACAAACCCCCGTGTACTCCAGAGCCTAAAATAAAAGTTAAAAATAAAAAAGAAATTTATTCTCTCACAGTTCTGGAGGCAAGAAGTCCAAAGTCAAGGGACTGGATGGGCCACTTTTCCTCTGAAGTCTCCAGGGGAAAATCCTTTCTTGCCTCTTTCAGCTTTTGAAAGTACCCAGGTGTTCCTCGGCTTGTGACAGTATGACTCCAATCTCTGTCCTTACTTAATGTTCTCTCTGTGTGTCTCTGACTTCACATGGCATTCCCCTTATGTGTCTGTGTCCAAACTTCCCCCCTTTAAAAGTGTACTAGCCATATTGGATTAGGACCCACTATAATGCCTTCGTCTTAATGTGATTACATCTGCAAAGACCTTGTTTTTCAAATAAGGCCACATTCACAGGTACCGAGGGGTTAGGACCTCACTGTGTTTTTTTGAGGGGACAAAATTCAAGTAATATGCAGCATACTTGAGAATAAACATTGCATCATTTTTCATCTTTCATCTTCATTTTTACCTTACTACCACTCTGACTAGCAAAGCTCCTGCAGGATGGGAATGATATCATCTTCATTTTGTACCTGCTGTGCACATGAAATTTACTCATTGTTCAACTTTTTTTCTGAACTGAATCCAATTGTTTATTTAAACATATTTGGGAAGATCACAAAAGTATTCAGAGGATGCCATGAAATATTTATTTTTAAGCATCAATAATATGTGAGATGTTATAAAGCCTCAAATATGGAAGTAGTTATTAACACATTTTTAAAATCTCAATTTGGCAGAGAGAAAAGTTTCAAATGCACCAACAGAGACTGGCAAATTCAATTTTGGGAGGTATGAGTGAGGAAGAAAATAATTATCAGTTGAGTTTTTTTTTCAGATGGGCTAATAAGTTGGCTAACTTCGAAAATTAGGTTGCAATTATTGTGTTGTCTTCATTTTGAAGTAGTGAATTTTTAAAAGAACATTGACCCCTGTCATGCCTGGAATATGCTGACTGGGGATCAAAGAAATGGGGTTATAAAAATGAAAATGTTCAGCAAAGAGAAGCCAGAATTCATGTTTACAGTCAAAAGACAGGCATATTCATTAATTTTTTCAGTCAAATTATCCTTTTTGAAAGAACGATGGTGGCACCATCTCTGTGAGCAAAGGTCAGGAAAATTTTGTGTAGAAGTCACAAAACAAATCACAGTAAGTACTTTATTTGCCATATTCCAAACTGTCATCACAGGAAGTCAATGGGCAACACAAACTGCTGCTACTGCCCAAGGAAGCAGTTCTTACAAACATGGTGTGGAAGGGGCAAGGCTGTGAGCTCAGGTCCTACCCAGGGTCTTCACTCAGAGAATTAAATTTGCAGGTCACCAATTGGCTCTCCTTAACCACCTTGTAAATGTGAGCTTTTGGTCAAAAAGAAGACTGAATAGGAAAGAGTGAATGATATGTGAAGAAATTAGAAATACACTAGAAATTATAAAGAAACATGATATGGTTCAGTGGAGAAAGCAGAGATGACTAATGTTTGGGTCTGGGATCTGCCGCTTATGACTGATAATTATGAGCGAGTTCCTTTTTCTCCCTGAGCTCAAATTTTCTCATTTATAGAGTGGGTATGGCACTAACCTGTTGTGATAAGAATTAAGTGAAAATATGCATTTAAAATGCTTAACACATGGAAGGAATGCAATAAATTCTAATTATTACTTCTGTTATTTTATTGGACACAAAAAACTCAAAGCATTTATCTATTACTGATCACGGAGAAATACTGGCATTTAAAAAATAATGTAGGTCTTTATTTCAGTGGCAAACAAGGCATAATTACAATGTACTGGTTTTACTTATAAAGTGGTGTAACTTTTTAACTTTAATTGATAAATACATTGAATAGAATAGAATATTTTATTTTAATAAAAAATAAAATATTAATATTGAACCCATAGAAGAAAATACTAGCAGTACCTAGAGCTCTAGTTTCAGGTTATGCAAAATCACAAATGAGAAGACCACTATGTATCACTTAGATTCTTCACCTAAGGCCTTTCCACACAGTAGCTCACTCAAGGAAGCATGGGTTTAATTAATTTAATATGCAACCACTAGGGAATTCTAACAAATGTATTTTAAGAGTTGGTTGGTGCATTCTGGGTCCTCTGACTCTGTTCAGCCAGGAAGTTTGCTACTAGTCCATGGGTTTTCAAATTAATTCTATATATGGATAGGTAGCAAATATTTGTGTGGGTCATATGGTCTGTTGCAACTATTTAACTTTGCTATTGTAGCAAACTGCTACTTTATATAAACACATAGATTTGGCCATGTTCCAATAAAACATTATTTGGGGGCATTGAAATTTTGAATTTAATATAATTTTCAAATATCACAGGATACTATTATTCTTTTGGTTTGTTTTTAATCCTTTAAACATACTCAGCTAATTCTTAGCTGGTGAATTATAATGAAATAGGCAACTTGTGGGCCAGATTTGGTCCAGGGGCCATAGATTGCTAAACTCTGTGTTAGATGAGCAAATATGTTAAGTAACCATTTATAGAAAAGACTTTATATAAATGAAAACAGCACAATTTTCTTCCTCAGATGTCAACCTTTTCCTGTATCTCTATAATTTTGAAACTTTAGGAATTGCTTCCTGTATCTAGTTAGACAGCAATTAATCTTGCTGAAGTTAGTCTTTCATATATAAAGTGGTGTGAAATTTTGGGACACAAACACATGTGTGCCAAAACTTCAGTTTCAGGAGAAATATATTCTCTATGACTGAACTTTCTTCATATTTTAAAATCCTTTCCATAAAACTCTAACACTTCCTTCATCTTGAGTAGTTCAAGACCTTCCCTCTTCCCCTTGTCCTAGGTTATATCTAAATTCTGGAGGATCACAGAGCATAAAAACAGAGTGTTGTGGGCCTTGTGTGGCACTGCTCCATGCTTGCATCTGCTGAAATGTCTCCTCTAGTCCACAGTCACTGTTGACTCACCATGATGATGTGCTGGACTTCAGTTCCCTGTTTCATCTTTGGTGATGGCTGTGTTTGTTTCTACAGACCTGTCATCTGTACTATGAGGCCTCTCCAAGCTCACCAACTCTTTCTTATCTAAATTCCACTCTGTTTGGAGGTTTGTGAATGTTTACTTGCTCTACTATACCCCACTGGGATTATGAGAAACTCTCTAGCACTGTCATGCATGCAGCCATCTTTATGCTGAAGCTTGCACACTGTAGTGGGTGGAGTCTTGCAGGGCTGCCATCTCCAGGGATCACGAGGGGTCCTCGACTTTTGGACCCCAAACCTGGAAAGGGATCTGCTGCCCACTCTAACCTCTTCTCAGAGCCCACAGCACCCCCTCACACATGACCGTTTTCCTCACTGATGCTTCACTTCCAGTTCAGAGGAATTTTTTTTTCATCACTGGAGTAGTAAAAACTTGCTCTTATATTTTTTAAATTCTTCCAAATATGTTCTTTTGACATTAATTTTATGCTTTGATTTCCTCAGCATCTAGCCTTCTGAGATTCAAAAACTTTAACATAATTGCCCCATTTTGTGTTTCCAATATCAATTTTGAAAGGCAGAAGCTGAAAACAGGCTCTATTTTTTTACTCCTCTCTGCACAATGTTTTAAAAATTCTATCCTGGAGCTAGACTGGGCCTTCTCTTATCTGTGAATGGGTTAAAAAGTAATGGGACCACAAATAATCCCTCAGCTTAGTATATTACCTTAACATAGCACAGCTGTATCTGCCCCTGTACCTTGTTGAATGGTTGTACACTCAGCTTATGGTGAGTTGAGGCACACTCCAAAATCCACAGGAAAATGCCTTGGAAACATTTTACTTAAGAGTACAGAATTTAAGTCCGGGCACAGTGGCTCACGCCTGTAATCCCAGCACTTTGGGAGGCTGAGGCAGGCAGATCACCTGAGGTCAGGGGTTCAAAACCAGCCTGGCCAACATGGTGAAACCCCATCTTTACTGAAAATACAAAAATTATCCAGGTGCGGTGGTGGGTGCCTGTAATCCCAGCTACTCGGGAGGCTGAGGCAGGAGAATCGCTTGAACCCAGGAGGCAGAGGTTGCAGTGAGCCAAGATTGCGTCCTTGTACTCCAGCCTGGGCGATAGAACAAGCAAGACTCCTTATCAAAAAAAAAAAAAGAGTACAGAATTTAATGTTAAATCCCAAAACAAAAGAATATAGGTAGAATGTGTTATATTCCCTGTCATATCTCCCAAATAGGCAGATAGCCAAAAATTCTCATGGCTTTTCTTCAATTTTTTGTCTTTGGAAGTTAACATATCCTGTAACTGTGCTTGGTTTATATATTGCCAACATTGATTTCTAGTTTCCCTTCTACATTCATTTAGTGGGTCCTTGGTTCTGTGAGCAAAAGCAAACGAATGAGGTTCCACAGGTATGAGGCCCCACCTGATAAAATGCAGCTAAAATTAAGAACAGAAAAACCGAAAACACTGTCCACTAAGCAAGACATATGATGTTTTGTTCAATTATTTGAAGGCCTGGAAATTTATTTCATGTTTAAGCTATGAAGGAAAAGTGACATATAGAAGAAAGAGAATTTTAATACCAAACTTTCCTGTAATTCAGCTGTTCACAGCAATATCAAAAGCACTATATTTTTTCTCAAGTATGATTTGACTGAAATGATAAAATTTCGTCATTCAGAGATCTCACATTTCTCTTTATGAGTTTCAGAATGTGAAGACAAAAAATTGCTAACCTGCTATCTGTTTTCAAGTCAAAACTGATTATCCCAAGTCATTGCCAGTCTCAATAAGAATGCTTAACATGTTTTAAAAATTCTTTTTATTCTTTTGAAACGTGCAGGGTAATTTTATTTTTAATCCTTCTGTATTCACTCTTGCCAATCATTCTGAATGTGAGTGATAAGTTTGTTTTGTATACATTTTATTTATAGCATAAAAAGTAAATCAAAGACATTAGTTTCATAAACCTTTCCTATTATCTTTTTTTGAGACAGAATCTTGCTCTGTTGCCCAGGCTGGAGTGCAGTGGCTTGATCTTGGCTCATTGAAACCTCTGTATCCCAGGTTCAAATGATTCTCCTGCCTCAGCCTCCTGAGTATCTGGGATTACAGGCATGTGCCACCACGCCCGGCTAATTTTTTGTAGTTTTAGTAGAGACAGGGTTTCACTGTGTTAGCCAGGATGGTCTCGATCTCCTGACCTTGTGATCCACCTGCCTCGGCCTCCCAAAGTGCTGCAATTATCTTAAATTAACAATTCCAGAAAGTCCTGCAATTCATGAGACTTGGTGAAAGTGGATTAGAGCTTTTCAAAGGTATTTTTTACAAAGTCAATGTTAATTTTATGAAACTGCTTCTAATTTGAATAATTATTTATCTTTTACCCAACCTGTAAGTCCTCTGTCCAATTAACGAGACTTTGGCCACCCATGACAAAGTTTACTCATTTGTTATCCTACTTGCAAAAGTGATGTTGATGGAATTTGTGATAAGCTCTGGTTTCTTCAAGTAATACTCAGTCTCTAACCTCTTCCAGAATAAAAGCCTAGAAAATATTCTGTGATCCCTTACAACTGATTGATTGGGGATGACATGTCAAGCTTTGGGCTGGAGATTCAGTGATTGCCTCTTGCCTAGGAGGTTTAAATTTTCATGTCTCCCTCTGAGCTGCAGCTAACATGTAACAAATTTGCCTGGTTAGATAACATTATTGCCTACAACTCTGGGCATCATACATGACTTGCCCATCCTGTAGTAAGGATAGGCATAGCCAGGCCTGGTGTGTGAAGCTGTTGATAGATGAATAATCCTCCATACTGCAGAAGCCAGAGCAAAAAAGCTAATCATGTATGGCAGTGAGCATGAAGTAACCTGCCTTCCCTCCTAAATAAACAGATGGAAAGAGTTTGCAGTTCATTTCTTTCCAAGGTAACAAATTATTTTATTTCTATGTTTTACAGTAACAGAACCAAAAGTTCTTCTCTTTGGGGAAATTTTATTTTTCTTTAATTATTCCATGCAAACAAGAGACCTGAGTCTTCTGGGGACAGATGCAGAGAAGTCAAAATTAATTAGTTTTTCTTATGATACACTGCATTTGGGTAAAATATCACTGTGGGGGCACAATGACAGATTACTCGATCAAGTGCTGAGTTACTAGAAAGGCAGAATTTTATCAGAAAAATCTACATAGAAATAATATTTCACCTTCCTTGAAAGTCAACATCGTTTGGTACTCTCCTTGGAGTTCTCGGTTCATGTACTTTCTTTCATCTACTCTTTGTCTTTCCTTTAAGATGTCAGACAGCATGGGAAAGTGATAGAGTGGCCTACAAGTCCCCAGTGAACTCAAGAACCATGTTGCTATTTAACTATAACATAAAAGTCACAAATCAAACTCAGTTTCTTTTTCTCTTATGATTGTCAAAGTTATACATTCTGAAAAGCTTCAAGGTGAAACAAAGAAATCTACTTCAATGATTCTCTGTCATTTCATAGGTAGGTGTTCAAATCAGGCTGTGAGCATTACACAAATACATCTGTGGCTCAAAAATCAGCCTTCAAATTAGGTATTTATTCTTTTCATGCCTGATTAAGACCTGATTATATGAAAGCATGCCAAGTACATGATTTACATTATTAAAATATAAGACTTCAGCATTGAGTATAATTCCCAAGTGATCTTATTATTAATTTATTAAGCATGTATCTTGTAATGAACTCAAGATTTCTGTCTCACAAAAGAATAGCATTATCATGTACTAATGAAATAGGCAAAGTATGAACCTCATATATTGAAGGCAAGTTACACATAGATGTCTTCAAGTCAAGGTCTAAGCAAGGTTGTTTGTAATTCAGGGGAAATTCTGGAAATAATCACCACAAAAATGTCTCTGTTAGTTCAAAATATTCATTAACAAAACCCAGGCAAATACCTAAAAACAGAGACTTCCTTGAATAAGTTTACATTTCAATTTTACTCATCCATTTATTTCTTATAAAATGATAAATAATAAACAAAGACCAAGAAAAGAAGAGCCCTTTCCAAAGCTTTCCTAATCAAAGACAATTTTTTTTTCTTGGATCTATTTTGTATACTCATTTCACATAGTAAACATATGACCATCTGTGATGGTTAATATGAGGTGTCAACTTGATTGGGTTGAGGGATGCATAGGTGGCTGGTAAAGAACTGGGTGTGTCTGTGAGGCTGTTGCCAGAGGAGACTGACATTTGAGTCTGTGGACTGGGAGACAAAGACCCACCCTCAGAGCACCTTCCAAAGGCTGCCAGCACAGCTACAACAAAACAGAGGGAAGAAGAGGAATAAGTGTGGCTCTTTCTGACTCTCTTTCTTCTTCCCATACTGGATGCTTGCTTCCACTCTTCCTGCCCTTAGACATCAGACTCCAGGTTCTTCTGTCTTTGGAGTCTGGGACTTGCACCAATGGCTTCCAGGAGCCTCTTGGGCCTTTGGCCACAGACTGAAGGCTGCACTGTTGGCTTCACAGGGAACTGTCAACTTCCTGGTGTCGAAGCTTTCAGACTTGGACTAAGCCACTACCAACTTCTCTCTTCCTCAGCTTGCAGACAGCCTACTGTGGGACTTTGCCTTCTAATCATGTGAACCAATTCCTCCTAATAAACTCCCTTTGATGTAGACATATTTCCTATTGGTTCTGACCCCCCGTGAAGAACCCTGACTAATACTATTGGTTCTGACCCCCTGTGAAGAACCCTGACTAATACACCATCCAGACTCTTCACTGCAGGAAAATTACCTTCTTCAACAAGGGAATTTTAAACCTGAGGACTTTCCCCCAAATATGATAGACGAAGTGTGAGATTGTTGACAACCTGATGTACTGATATGAATTCCTATGGTACCCTGGAGCAAAATTGACTTCTGCTTCTAATTTTGGAATAAAATAGTAGATTCTGTATTTTTTAAGATGAGAATTAATTCACTATTATGAAATACTTGACATCACCATCTCAGGCCCATTTTTGAACTCTTGGAAATCATTCAAATAAGACTTTCTTTGAGAGACTAATGGTGCAATGGTACATAATAGTGGAAATGATAGAATTGAGCAATTTAAAAAATTTAGGGCTAATTTTCTTTGGTTGTTGGTTCCACAAATGAACAAATCTAACAGTTTCAAAACGTGTGCCTGTTTTGAATCAAATCTAAGGAAAGGTGGAGGCAAAGCAAGATGGAAGAATAGAAGCCTACACCATTCATCCTTGCCACTGGGACACCAAATTTTAACAACCATCTGTACACAGAAAAGCACTGTCACAAGAAACAAAAATCAGGTGAGCAATCACAGTACCTGGTTTTAATTTCACATTGTGGAAAGAAGCATTCAGGAAAACAGGACAGACAGTCTTGAAGCACCAACATATCCCTTTCTAATCTCTTGGCAGTAGGCCTGCAGTGTGGAGAGAGAATCTGTGCACTTTGGGGAGAGAAAGTACAGGCACTGGGGGATTTTACACTGAACTCAGCGCTGCCATGTTATAGTGGAGAATAAAGCTGTGCTGTGCTCAGTCAGCATGCGCTCATCCGCACATGGAGGGAATATTTGGACCAACCCTAGCAAGAGGTAAATTGCTCTCCCAGTGGTCGAAACTTGAGTTTCTCAGGAGGCCTTGTCATCGTGGGCTGAAGTGCTCTGGGGTCCTAGATAAACTTGAAAGGCAGTCTAGGATAAAAGGACTCTAATTCCTAGGCAACTCCCAGTGCTAGACTGGGCTTAGAGCTGGTGAATTAGAGTAGCACATGACCTAGGGAGACACCAGCTGGCATGGCTAAGGGAGGGCTTGTGTCATTCCTCCCCCAACCCCAGGCAGTGCAGCTTGTACGAACAAAAGTGAACTCATTTTTCTGCTTAAGGAGGGAAGAGTGAAGAATAGAGAAACTCTGTCTTGCCTGTTGGATGCCAGCTCAGCCACAGTAGAATAGGACACTGGGCATAGTCATGAGGACCCCATTCCAGTCCCTAGCTCCTGAATGGCATTTCTAGACACACCCTGGGCCAAAAGGTAATCCACTGCCTTGAAGAGAAAGACCTGGTCCTGGCAGGATTGATGAAGTGCTTACTGAAGAGCTCATGGGCCCTGGATAACTACCAGCAATAGCCAGGGAGCATGCCTTGAGCCTCAAGTTCAGAGATATACTGGCTTCAAGGGAGCCCCAGCACATTCCCAGCTCTGGTGGCTATGGCAAAAGACTTCTTCTGTTTGAGAAAAGCAGAAGGAAAAGTAAAGGGGACTTTGTTTTGCATCCTAGCTACCAACTTGGCCATAGTGGGGTAGAGGAACAACCAGGCTCCTGGGGGCACTGCGTACAGACTAGGATCTTGGATACATTACTGGATCTTCTCTGGGTCAGAGGGCATCCCACTACCTTGAAGGGTGAGTCCAAGGTCTATCAGCATTCACCACAAGCTGACAGAGGAGCTCTTGGCCTTTAAGCAAACATTGGTGATGGCCTGGCAGAATGCCCCACCTCCATGCACTGGGGATAGTTGTGACCACAGGGAGATGCTCTTCTGCCTGTGGAATGAAGACAGAAGAGCAGGAAGGACTTTATATTGTGGTTTGCATGCCATCTTGGCCTCAGTAGAATAGAACATCAGGTAAATTGGTAAGGGTTTTGACTTGAATGTCCAGCTCCCAGACAGCATTTCTGGGCATGCCTAAGGCCTGGAGGAACCTGCCACCCTGAAGGGAAGGGCCTTGGACAAGGCCCAGTGCTGTGCTGGCTTCTGGTCTGATCCAGTGAAGTTCCAGTGGTGGGGACCACAGGGGTGATTGCATCACTACATTCCCAGTGCCAGGTGGTTCAGCACACAGAGACTCTGTATGTTTGGGAGAAAGTAAAGGAAAATAACAAGAATCTGTCTGGTAATTTAGAGAATTCTCTCGGATCTTATCCAAGACCACCAAATGGTATCTCTATGAGTCTGCAAAAACCACAGCGTTCTTGGGCTTGGGGCCCAAGTCCCTTCAATACCTGGAAAGCCTTCCCAAGAAGGACAGGCAGAAACAAGCCCAGACTGTGAAGGCTGCAGTAAATACCCAACTCTTCAATGCCCAGACACCAAAGAACATGTACAACCATTAACACCATCCAGGAAAACATGACCTCACTCAATGAACTAAATAAGGCACTGAGAGGCCAATCTTGGAGAAACAGAATTTGTTTAGACCATTTGGAGACAGAATTCAAAATAGCATTTTGAGGAAACTGAAAGAAATTCAAGATAACACAGAGTAAACAATTCAGAATTCTATCAGATAAATTTAACAAAGTGACTGAAATAATTCAGAAGTGTCAAGCAGAGATTCTAAAGTTGAAAAATGCAGTTGCCATGCTGAATAATACATCAGAGTCTTTTAGTAGCAGAATTGATCAAGCAGAAGAATTAGTGACCTTAAACACAGGATATTTGGGAATACACAGTCAGAGGAGACAAAAAAAAAAGAGAGAGAGAAAGACAAAAAAAACAATGAAGCACACCTGCAGAATCTAGAAAATAGCCTCGAAAGGGCAATTCTAAGAGTTTTTGGCCCTAAAGAGAAGAAAGAGAAAGATATGAGGGTAGAAAGATTATTCAAAGGGATAATGTCAGAGAACTTCCCAAACCTAGAGAAAGATATCAACATTCAAATATAAGAAGGTTTCAGAACACCACGTAGATTTAAGCCAAAGAAGACTACCTCAAGGCATTTAATAATCAAACTCCCAAAAGTCAAGGATAAAGAAGGATTTTTCAAGCAGGAAGAAAAAACAAACAACATACAACAGAGCTCTAATACATATGGCAACAGAGTTTTCAGTGGAAATCTTACAGGCCGCGAGAGGGTGGCATGATGTATTTAAATTGCCGAAAGAAAAAACTTTTCCCTAGAATAGTATATCTGGTGAAAATATCCTTTAAGCATGAAAGAAATAAAGATCTCAGACAAACAAAACAGGGATTTCATCAACACCAGACATGTTCTACAAAAAAATGCTAAATGGAGTTCTTCAATCTGAAAAAAAAGGTTGAACAATAAGAAATCATGTGAAGGTACAAAACTTACTGGAAATAGTAAGCACACAGGAAAACACGAATAGTATAACAGTGTAATTTCAGTATGTAAACATCTTGATGTAAGTAGAAAGACTAAATGATGAACCAATCAAAAATAATAACTACAACAACTTTTCAAGACATAGACAGTACAATAAGACACAAGGAGAAACAACAGTTAAAAAGTAGGGGAGATGAAGTCAAAATGTAGAGTTTTTATTACACAAAAAATAAAAAGCAAGAAATTAAAGCATACCACCAGAGAAAATCGCCTTTACTAAAACGAAGATAGGAAGTAGGAAGGAAGAAAAGAAGAGAGAGAAGACCACAAAACAACCAGAAAACAAATGATAAAATAACAGGAGTAAGTCCCTGTCTTTCAATAATAACGTTGAATGTAAATGGTCCAAAATCTGCAATCAAAAGACATAGAGTGGCTGAATAGATGCATAAACATGATTCAATTATTTATTGCTTACAAGAAACACACTTCACCTCTAAAGAGGCACATAGACTACAAATAAAGGCATGGAAAAAGACATTCCAGGCCAATACACACAAAAAAAAGCAGGAACAGATATACTTATATCAGACAAAATAGATTTTAAGACCAGAACAATAAGAGACAACATAGGTCATTATATAATTATAAAGGGGTCAATTAAGCAAAGGGACATGACAATTTTAAATGTATATGCACCCGGCAATTGAGCACCCAGACATATAAAGCAAATATTTTTAGAGCTAAAGAGAGAAATAGATCCCAATGCAATAATAGTTGCAGATTCAATACCCGACTTTCAGTATCAGACAGATCTCCCAGACGGAAAATGAACAAAGAAACATCAGACTTAATCTGCACTATAAAACAAATGAACCTAATAGAAACTTACAGTACACTTCATCTAACAGCTTCACAATACACATTTTCTCCTTAGTACATGGATCATTGTCAAGGATAGATCACATGTTAGGTCACAAAACAAGTCTTTTTTTTTTTTTTTTTTTTTTTTTTTTTTTTATTCTTTTGTGTTTCCCCTGCATCATTATACCAACCAGACCTAGCCTGTTGTAAATTGCTTTCTATTGTGTCCCATGTGTTGGAAACAATAGTCTTAACAAGATTACAAGCCCATTGCAGCACTGCATCTAGCCGAATTGCCTTCCCTGTATGTAACCCGTGATAACTTTCCTGTGTATTTTTTTTTTTATTTTATTATTATTATACTTTAAGTTTTAGGGTACATGTGCACAATGTGCAGGTTAGTTACATATGTATACATGTGCCATGCTGGTGTGCGACACCCATTAACTCGTCATTTAGCATTAGATATATCTCCTAATGCTATCCCTCCCCCCTCCCCCCACCCCACAACAGTCCCCAGAGTGTGATGTTCCCCTTCCTGTGTCCATGTGTTCTCACTGACAAAACAAGTCTTAAAACATTAAAAAATAATGTAAATAACATCAAATATCTTCTCTGACCACAAGGGAATAAAACTAGAAATCAGTAATGAGGAACTTTGGAAACTATACAAACACACAACAATTAAGCAATTTGCTCATGAATGAGCAAACAGTAGGTGAATGAAGAAATTAAGAAGGAAATTGAAACATTCTTGAAACAAATGATAATGGAAATACAACATACCAAAACCTCTGGGATACAGCAAAAGCAGTATTAAGAGGAAAGTTTATAGTGATTGAGTGGCTTCATCCGGATTGGTTGTTGAAGAAACATTAACCACAGTAGATACTGCAGGGCCAAATGACATCTCTAAAAATGGGAATTAAGAGCCAGTCTGAAAGTGGGAACATCAGCCCTTTTTTCTTACTAATAAAATTTCAAAATATCAGGTGGCAATAGGGTCTATGTCCCCCAAGGTAAGAAAGAGTAGGCATCTTCTTTTAATAATCACAGAAAAAACAGCCTTTAAATGCTGACATAGAAGGACCCCTGAAGTAAAGAAAGGAAAAAAAATGGCTTCACATTAAGATCTTACAGTGAAGCCCCAAGTGAACAATCACCACCTCCAAATACTCCAAATACAGTACTTCCAGTAGGTTCTTAATGCTTTACTTTTAAATACGAATGAGCAAACAAAGATAACCATATATTCTAGGAGAGCCTCCACTGAGACAAAGAGATCAAAACAAACAAATAGAAGAGTAGATCTGGGATAAATAAGGAAAACTTGAATTACTATCCCCATAATGTATTTTATCCATAAATCAAGATCTGAAGCCATGAAAATAAAAAATAACCAGTAAAAACACTTTGAAAATTAAAATTGAGTGCCAGAAATTTTGGAAAATAATGGCAGATATTCCCCCAGAAAGAGAAATGGAAAAGAAAAAGAGGCAGAAAACAGATGAGAGAATATCAGAATATTAAAAGATCAGACCAGGTATAGATAGACAGATAGATAGAGAGAGAGAGTACATATATATATATATATTTTTTTTCTATATTATATTTTGACATCTTAAAAAAAACCCTCCCCCCCCTCCAAAGAAAACCCCAACCTTTCTGCCTGGGAGATACTGCCTTTCCTGGGGCTAGCCAATTAGAGACAGCAAAGGGCTCAACCAGGAACATGTCTTTGTTATGCAGACTAACCAATCCAGAGTCATACCTCCTCTATTTGGCCTGAGGCCCTCAGAAGTCAATATTCCTCTGCTTTAATAATCCCAGGAACAGATACCAGGCAACTAGGGACCACCTCTATAGTTTAGAGTCCACAGAAATTATTCACGCTATAGGTATGGAACTGAACTGGGATTCATCCGCCCAGTGCAGTAAGACCAGATAGTCACACTGAGGTTTGCAGCCAGATACAGGAAAGTGCTTCTTTGTAGGGTGCCTAACAAGGAGGATCTGGCAGCTAATGCTTAAATCCTGGCCTCTCTGATGGCTTAAGGTAAGGGTTTTTAAAGGCAAGGGTAAGTTTCAGAAAGCAGAAGTTACAAGCACAGTTGTAAATCAAAACGTGGAAGTTACACATTGGTTTTGGCCTAAAAGGGTGGGATATCTTGAAGCTGGGGCTTACAGGTCGTAGGTAGATTCAAATATTTTCTGATTTTCAATTTGTTTAGGAAGAAAAGCTTTGTTTAAAAAATTAGGGTCAGCAGAAACGAATGTTAGCCTGGCTCATGGGTGTGACTTTCTCCAGGCACCTCAGGAGGAAATTTAAAACAAAGAATGTTGGTCAGAGTTCAGTCCCCCATTCCCCCTTATCTGAGGCCCATGTGCCATTAGATCTGTTTAACGGAGGTTGGGGTTTCTGAAAACAACTCAGAGACATACTTGAAGATGCTATCTTTACTCCATATAGGGAAACCAAGCATCTGCTGATTGTGTTAGCAGTGGTGAATCCTTACAGGTCTGCAGTAACCTGATTTCTTGCCTCCTCAGAAGAAAGAATTCAGCCAAGGGGCATAAGGCAGAATGAGAGACCAAGGCAAGTTTTAGAGCAGGAGTAAACATTTATCAAAAAGTTTTAGAGCAGAAACGAAAGGAAGGAAAGTATACTTGTAAGTGGGTCAAGCAGGTGACTTGAGAGCTTCAAGCATGCTGTTTGACCTTTGACTTGGGGCTTTATGCGTTGGCGTGTTTCTGGGGTCTTGCATTACTTCTTCCCTGATTCTTCCCTTGAGGTGGGCTGTCGCATGAATAGTGGCCTACCAACACTTGGGAGGGGCTGCATGCACAGTGTGTTTACTGGAGTTTTACACATGCTCACTTGAGTTGTTTTTCCTTTACCAGTCAAGTATTCCTGGAGGAAGTTCATATACCAGATAAACTCTGCCATTTTGCATCTTAGTGTGCATGCTTGAGCCCACTCACCCAACTCCTGAGATCTTTTCAGGAAGCTGCTGCTCAGCAGTTTCAGGTGTTTTTTTGTTTGTTTTGTTTTTTTTTAATCTGTTGGGAGACTGCCTTTCCCTGGTGCTGGCTGCAACCAATTACTATTTTAGAGAGACAATTTAACAATTGCCTGACCATTACCTGATGGTTGCCTGACATTCCTATTCCTATTGGTGGGGGAAAAAGGGGAGAGGTAGGGCCTCTCCCCTGTTCTGCTTATGTCTGACTATCTACTCTAACAATTCTAGCTTCCTTGGCTACTGTTTCAGGCTACTATTACGTTCTAGTTTATCAAGTTGCTTACTTAGTTCTCAGGGCTAGCTAGGTGCTTGGAATTTCACTTGAAAGAACTCACGATTTTCTTTTATTTCCATGCTTTGTGCAGGGAGGGGAGCTGCATTCCCCTAAGTAGGGTTCCCTGCATTGTCTCACTATCCAATCCTAAATTGTTCACCCTGCCTTGCATTTCCCCATGAAACCATAATAAAGACTCGGGCCTAGACCTCCCCCTTGATTCTGTCTTCTTCCATCTGGCTGCACTGGTGTATTTCTCATGTTGCGCCTCTTGTGTTTAAGACCTCTTGGTGTAATAAACTTTGTTTTCCTGAACCTCTTTCCTGTCTTCTCTTGACTGACCATCTCATAGAAGAATACAAAACACCAAGAAATCTAATGGTGTGATAAAAATTTTAGTAAGGACGATCAAAGAAAACAGATGAGAAGAATTATTCAAACAGGAAATAGAAAAATACTTCCAGAAATGAAGGACTTGACTTTTCAAATTAAAGGGTCGGTGGAAAGCTTCATTATGTAAATAAAATAATAATAATAAATGACACCAAAGCACATAATTGTGAAATTTTAGAATACAGACTAAAGTATCTACTGAATATTTCCAAAGTAAACAGTCAGGTAGGCATACAAAGAATAGGGAATCATAATGTCATTAACAGTATCATTGAGAAGATAGAAGAGAGTGAGTTATGATGTCATAATTTGGATAGAAAAGCATTTTCATCTTGTAATTCTTTACCCAGCGAAACTCCCAATCAAGTATAAGAATAGAACAATTGCATGCAAGGATTAAACCTCCCATTGAATTTTAGCATAGGAAATTATTGAAGGATTGACTCCAGCAAAATGATAAAGTTAACAAAGATGAAAGAAGATAGGTTATCAGGAAAACAGGAGATTCCAAACCACAAAGTGGTAAACCAAAACTAAGATGAAGACTGTAGGTAATTCTAGAATGACAGCTGAGCAACAGGCTCAGGAAATATTCTGTTCAAATTGGAGCAAGAAGATAAGACTTTGGGGAGCAGATCTTAGGGAAATGAAAAAGAGACAAAGCAATGATAGATCATTGATTTATGTGAGCATTCAGATGATAATATGGATAGGTGCTTGACAGATGCATTGCAGAAGGTAACAAATTGGTATTAGTTAGTATATTTTTATAAGTAAGAAAATTGAAGAAACAATAAGTAATTTACTCCAGCAAAAATTCCAGTATTGAACAAAAAGGGAAACACAGTCATAGTGCACTGTTGGTCTCTGTAGTGAATGGTTTTAAGATAGTCACAGTAATGTTAGTAATGATTAGTTAGTTAATGATATGCTTAATATTACTCAATGGGAGGAAGATATTAGGGAATGTAGTGGGTGAGGTGTAAGAAAACTAAACCCTCATTTGATTTCTCGGGGAGGGTATTTTATTATTTATCCACTGAACAAACAATATTTATCCATTGAACAAACATACATTGAACAGTTACTATACAGTCTCTCTTCTAGGAATAAAAGATACAGAAAGGAACAAAACAGGCAAATAACCTGCCCTCAGGAAACTTACATTCTAGTTTAAAAAAAACAAACATGTAGAGTGTAAAAATATAGTAAAATATGTAGAATGTTAGCAATAAGTGCTATGGAGAAAAACCAACGGAGTAGGATTGGGAATTTGTGGGGAGAAAGCTGGTAATTTTAAGTATGGTGGTCAGCGAAAGCCTCACTAAGAAGAAGACATTTCAGTAAACATCTGAGGATCTGAGGGAGCTAGTGATGAGGATATCTGAGAGAGGAGTGATCCAGGCTTAGAGAATGTCAGATAGGTAGGCTCTGAGATAGGAAGCATACCAGGCATCATTAATGGAAGAGTAAAAGGGGCTGATTTGACTTGTGCACTGAATGTAAAGACTTTGAATTTTACTCTGAACAGAGAAAAATGATCTGACTTACAAATCCACTCTGGCTGCTATGTTGAGAATAGACTGAAGAGGAAGAGGGTGGAAGTTGAAAAATTAGTTGGAAAGCTATCTAATCCATGTGACAGATGACAGTGACTTGGATCTAAGGAGTAGTAGTAGTGAGCTTGAAAGGAACTAGGCAGATTAT
The DNA here is from genome assembly GCF_000001405.40 of Homo sapiens. Classification (NCBI taxonomy): domain Eukaryota; kingdom Metazoa; phylum Chordata; class Mammalia; order Primates; family Hominidae; genus Homo; species Homo sapiens. The sequence goes on from NC_000004.12 coordinate 120,206,085, forward strand.
AGATATATTTTTGGGGATGGATCTACATGGATTTGCTAATACATTAGATGTAGTATGTGAAAGAAAGAGGAATCAAGGACTCAGATTTTTGTCATGAAGGATGTGGTGGCTGTCAACTGAGAGTGTTTTTTTTAAGCAGATTGTTTCTCTTGTTGTTTTGTTGGCGGTAGTAGGGAACATCTAAACTCAGTTTTTTACATATTACATTTCAGATGTCTTTAGATATATCCAAGCCTGGATATATAAATTTAAGTGCAAAGGTCTAAGCTTGAGATGTGAATCTGGAAAAGAATATAGTATGTAAAGCCATGAGACTGGTTATAATGACTAGGGTGTAGATAAAGAGATGTAAGGACTGAGAAGAATCTCAAAGATGCCTTAATATTAAGATATCAAAAAGCAAAAGAGGAACAAGTAGACTAAAAAGTGAGGATCATGATTTGCAATGGTCCTATGACCTCCTGTACCACCCAGAAGCCAAATAAATTATGGATCAACATCTTGGAGGAATTGCTGAGTAGCACAGTTGGAGTCAACACCTTATGAAGGAGAGGAGCTGTCCTGGATGCAACCAAAAAATGAAAATAGGAGTCGTTTTGCTCACGTTATCCTCAGTGACTCAACTGGGAGGAATTTGTATATCCATCTTTACAACTTTAAGCTTCATGGGTCTAGAAGTTTTTGTTCCCTTCCCTTACCAGGAGGCAAAATAAAAGTCCCAGTAAAAATCAGAGCTATAAGCTGGGTGCAGTGGCTCACGCCTGTAATCCCAGCACTTTAGGAGGCCGAGACGGGTGGATTACAAGGTCAGGAGATTGAGACCATCCTGGCTAGCACGGTGAAACCCCGTCTCTACTAAATAAAATACAAAAATTAGCCGGGCATGGTGGCGGGCGCCTGTAGTCCCAGCTACTCAGGAGGCTGAGGCAGGAGAATGGCCTGAACCTGGGAGGCGGAGCTTGCAGTGAGCCCAGATCACGCTACTGCGCTCCAGCCTGGGTGACAGAGCAAGACTCCTTCTCAAAAAAAAAAAAAAATCAAAGCTATATATAGCTTTAAGTTTGGGTCATTGTTCCAGCAGATAATGAAAGGATTCATTGTGACATCAAGCAGCTTGAAAATCAGGAGAGTATGGTGTTATGATTCAGTTGAAGGCAGTGGTCCAATAAGGAGGAAGTTACCAATTATGAAATGCTTACTTGTTATATCAGAGGAATATGGACTGAAAGTTGACCTTGGACTTAGTGAAATGGAAGAAACTGGGGACCTTGATAGAAGTAGTTTCAATGGAGTGGTAGAGGGGAAACATAATTGAAGTGGGTTCATGAAATGGTGAGAGAAAGAAGAATCCAACAATGAATGCGCACAACTGTTTTAGAAGAGGGCTGAAGAGAGTAAATAAATAGGTTTCCAGAGGGAAGAAATGAGGCTCTGGTGGGAGAGAGGGAATCAAAATGGTAAAAGAATGTGAAAGAGATAGATCATGTAAAAACGGGGGAAAAAAATGATGAGAGAGAAAGAACAGATTACCTGGAGCAATGTTCTTAGGTAAGCACGAAGAAATGGGACGTCCTGTGCCAATGCGAAGTTTGGCCTTAGGAGCACAGATAGTTCATCCATAGTAACAGGAGGAAAGGCAGAGAAATATGAGCACAGGTAAAGGCAGTGACGTACATTTGGTAAGAATTTAAGCTAGTTGTGCTCTAAATTTTCAGTGAAATAGAAGGTAATGTCATCAACAAAGAATGAGAGTGGATTGGTCTTGTTTGGGTTTGAAGAAAGCCAGCACTCAGGCCAAGGACATTGGAGGCATTTTTGACTCCTCTTCTCACAGATTTTCAATACTTCATGAAATTCTGAGCCAAAATACACCTAAAATCCAACCATATTTTACCCACTTATACCACTACCTCACTGGTTCAAGCTATATTATTCTTCTCCTGGGTTATTCCAGTAGCCTCCTACTTGGTGTCCTTGCTTTCACCATTGGTCCCTCTATTGCTTATTGATAAAACCAGCCAAATAGAGCATTTAAGCATATGTCAGATCAAATCATTCCTGTGTTCAAAGCCTCCAGTGCCTTCCCTTCATACTCAGAACATGAACCAAAGCTTTGCAATGGGCTTACAGGGACCTCCATGGTCTCAGCCCCTGCTCCCTCTAAGGCATCACCCCTTACTGGCCCACGTGCTGACTGGACACTTAATGTTTTGGAACATGTATAATGTGTTTCTTCCTTAGGGCCTTCACACTGTTTGACCCACTTCCCACAGATGTCGACATAACTAGGTGCCTGAGATAACTATTAAATTTGGAAATAGTTTCCTCCCAACAAACATATATTTCATTTCCACATTCTTACTTAATGTTTTTATAGTACTTAAATCTTTCTGGTATATTATATAATTTACTTATTTTTAATTTGTCTTCCTATGGTAGAATATAAGCTCCATGAAGGCCACAGTAATTGTCTGTCTTGAATGAATGGGAGAGATAGTGAATAGATTAAGGAAATAAATACAACATGATTAATGCAGCATTGAAGGCACATTTGAAAATAGAAATCACACATTAACCTTCCAACATGGGATGTGTTGGAAGAAATAATTCAAAAAGAGGCTTGGGGTTGTTGAAGGGATGAAGGAAGGTTGAGACAACTTCAAAGACCTTGCAGCAATAACAATAAACAATCAGCTTACAACTTAATTGCCTCATAAGGCATGTGGGTCCAGTTAGCATCTGCATTTTCTCTTTGCTATATATCTGGGATATATAGGTCTGGGGCTAGTGTTAAATTGCTTCTAAAGATAGCTTATTGGTTTGAGACAGTGGTAAATTTTTAGCCTTTCTGGAACTCCTTTCTAAGTTCACCTGCCTCTGGGTAAAATTAGCTGTTCCCAAATATTTAGCCAGAGAAGAAAGTTTCACAGACTCTAACACTGGAATAATCCAAGAAGAAAATTATCGATTGATCTTAAAATAACTGTTTCCCAGCTTGTGTACTTTGTGTGCATACGTGTGTGTGTGTGTGTGTGTGTGTGTTTTGTGGGGGGCAGGTGATATATGCTCCAGCTATAGAAACACTGCAGAGCACAGGGAGTGGCTCCCCTGATAACACATGAGAAGTTTCTATGCACATGATCCTCTTCCTTGTCTTCAAACATATGGGATGGCTCTAGGATATCACTATTGTCCATACTTCATTATATTCAAGAGTTTGATTTTGACCACATATAGAATGAGGAGATGATAGTACTTTCAGTGTACAGATTTTGAATAGTTTCTTCCTTTGAGAAAAGAGATCTGTTTCTTTCTCCTTTCCAACTCACTTCTCTCTCCCCTCCCTACTTACTTTGTTCCCACCACGATCTCTCTCTGTCTCTGTCTCTCTCTCTCTCTCTCTCTGTCTCTCTCTCACACACACACACATGGACACACACACACACAGAGTCATAATCACAAACTTCCTATGTTGCAAATGATTAGAGACTATAGTGAGAGCAATGTGGAATTTTTAACTTTCTTCAAATTCGTGTAACAGGAATGGTATGTGTAATTTCTTCAGTCAATCAACAGAAGTGGAAGCCTGAGTATAAACTGATGAAGGTATATTTTTGCTAAATACTTGCATACCACTTGTTAAACTAAATTTGGTCTGAGGCTGCCCCCATACTTTTAGTTCCTACATAGCCAACTGCGACCTAGCTTAAGAGTTTAGTCTTGTAACAAATAGCTTGAGTTTCAGCCACTCACAGCAGCAGAGCTTCAGCCAATCACAGGCTGGCAACCCCCAATCAGACCATGTCCATATAAGGCAAATATCTCATCACGCCATGCACAAATAAGGTAAACACCACGCGGTGGTGTTTCTGAATGTCATTGGCTGTTTCTGAATGTCATTTCCTTTTTCTGTTTATAAATACTACCTGCCTGCAGTGCTTAGTGGAGCTCAATAAACTCCCAGTTTTGAGAGTTGCCCAATTTATAAATCATTCTTTGCTCAAGCTCTGCTCATTTTGTTTTGTGTAAAGCTTTTAACAATCTTTTTTACTAGTTTTTTTCTTTAACCTAAGGAATTAATTACAGATAAAGTGGTTTTCTTTCAGCTTGAAATAATATAGCAGAAAGTCAAATAACCCATTAATTTCTCCAACTTTGGGCACCAGATGGTATAATCCGTAATATTTAACTTTATTTAAAAGATGAAGAATCTTTTGAAATAATCTATTGTAGTTTAAATAATAAAGGACTAAATAAAATTTTTTAAAAATATAATTACTTTGGGGGATATTATTTTGTAGAAGATAGCATGATGTCATTTTTAATCACAGGACAAATTTTTCTCTTGCTGTTTATTTAAGTGAAGAGAAAATTAATTTATAATCCCTTTCATGGCTTTTGTTTTCAGTAATTTGATTTCCATTACATATTGAGATCAGAGATGCTAAAAGAGCTGCCAGTGACATCATTTTTCCATTATAAAACCAACCCAGTGAGGGACTTCTTTCTTTTATTTTTTTAATCAAGAGAGGATTATTAGTAACAATATTCCTGCACTAAACAGTACACTTCAAAAAGAATACATAGAAATAACATACTAAAGAAAAACACAATCTTAGAAAAAGTTTACGTTAGAAGAAATGCCTTTAGTGTGACATTGCCTTTTTATATGAATACAAGTTGAATAGTTGCCCTCAGGTAGTAGTTTTCCATATTCAAATATGTGAGAATCATCTGGATTGTTCATGAGATGTGGAGGTTCTTGGACCATTCCAGTGGAGATTAGGATTCAGTGGGTATGGGATAGAGCACAGTAATCTGCATTTTCACAGATATTCCAGATAATCCTCATCGAAGTGATCTGTGATTGAGAAACATTTTTAAATTATAGAATTTTTTTTCTTATTCTCTTCAGCCCAGCTAAGTGTAATTATCTTCACTTTCTTAGGCTGAGGTTGACTAGAAGTTTTTCAATGAATGATGAGGAACAGAAAAAAATACTTCAAACAAAAACATACAACATCAAAAACAAAAATAACTTCTTCCTTTATGAGATCAAAAGGCTCAAATTACAAATACCTGGTTCAGGGAACATCTTATTGTGACTGATGTTTATTTTACACAGGTAACGTGCCCTTACGTATAAACTGATACTGGAAGGTCAGGAGACAGTAAAAGATCAAGAAGGCATTGGGGAGGGCTAAAATCTTAACGAAAGGAGGAAGGACACAGGAAAAGAAGGGTGGAGACTATGGAAACCTAGAAAGAGGATTTACAGTTTGGCATAAATTGGATATTCAGTATTCACCTAAGCAAGAGATAAGTAAAAGGTCTGCACTAAAATATTTCTGGCCTCATAGCTGCTACAGACAAAGTGTTCAAGGAGTTTTATGGTTGATTTTGTTTGCTGTGGTTGTTATTCTGTAACTTCATATGACTTTGCATAAATCTTTGTGCTTCATATAAAGGAGTTTTGGTCTGAGGTAATTCATTTAATGTAGATGTTTTCACATATACAACATACAAGTAAAATAAGAAGACTTAAACTGCCTACACATTTCCCCCTTTCCCCTTCCCCTTCCCTTCCTTTCTCCCTCCCTCCCTCCCTCCCTCCCTCCCTTCCTTCCTTCCTTCTTTCCTTCCTCCCTCTCTTTCTTTTATTTGAGTCGTGTTTCATTAGGTATTTTGCTTATCTCTGGCTTAATAGTGAGATTGGACATTATCTCGTGCCCTGCTGTAATTGGTGAAAGAGACTAATTTCAGCATTTCTATGGGGGGAAAGAATTTGGATATACCAAGATGTCAGGAATAAAAATAGTGCGAAAGAAGTAATGAAATTACAATGAGTCACTTAGAACAGGCAGAAGAGTTGTTTTATTTTTCTCACACATGAAGAAAATAGAAAACGTAAGGAGATTGGAAATCAAAAAGGCAATTGAACGGAGTTCCCAAACTTTGTCATAAGGGTGAGTTGGTTAATAAATGCAGGGATGTGTTCAATATTCCCTTTCCCTGGTTTTATTTAGTGTCCTATCCTGTCCTGAGTTTTTGGAGATTTAAATGTCAACAAATGGCTTTATGCTTTCAGTTTGAGAAGTACTGGCGGGAGTTGATATGGTGTATGAATTTTGCCAAGATATTCTGAGATACTTTCTCTTTTTGGCAGAAATAACATTTGATACAGGAACCTGATCAAGTATAATTGAAATCAGATTCCATTTTGATAGATGAGGTAGAAGTATCCTCTCTATAAATAAAGCAAGATGCTGTCAATATGTGAATTTACAAGAGCTGAGTCTTCTAACCTCTTACTCTAGCTGAAGAATTTTAGTTAATCTCAAAGTCAAGTATAGTATGTATTTCCTATGAATTGAAGATAAAATAACATTACTTATGAATATTACTTGCCATGTAGGAGGAATTGTGTTGCATATTTAAAGTACATTAAATTTTAATGAATTAATATATCTTTACTTTGTTTTTTAAGAATTTTCATTTAGAATGTCTTTTGTAAATTTTAAATTTTTAAGGTTATATACATGTGAAATAAAGAAATGCAGAAAAAAAATTTAGATTAAATCCTTACACAAATCCTCATGCATGTATGTATTTCCATGTTTTGATAAATATATATTTGCAGTAGTAGTATCAGAGACCTGAAAATAACCAGAAAAGTGAAACGTAACCAAGGTTCATTTGGGATTTGAAAACTAAAATATGCCATAGGAAGTGCAAATTACCTATTTATAAAAACTAAATTTTGCCTGGTTTATTTAATTTTTTTAATTTTTAATATATCTATATCTATTATAAAATTATTAAATCATGTATTTTCTCTTTATTACTTATTTTTTTAGGATTTATCAGAAAGCAATTTTTGGTTAAAATGCTAAGAGAAAAGATAAAACAAAATTTCCACATGAAAAAAGCTAAAGAGTCAAACAAAAATTTCCTATTTCACATCTGTATAGTATTTATCTTAACGCTATTTATTTTGTAAAATATGATATTGTATAATAATTATTTTTGAAAGAGCCATGCCTTATGTTGAATTACATGAAAAATTACATGACTTTTGTTTAAGTCAAAACAACCAAGTTCCAACAATTTCAAAATATTCAACCTTTGTATGTATCAGAGCTTCATTTTTTCTTTTTGTATTTCCGTTGTGTAGTAGTATGGGAGTATTGGGAAATCTTTGACTTCTTTGGCTCATAATATTTTTCATGCACAGCATTTTGTAAATTTAAGTTAACTAATGGCTAAGACCATTTATCCACTTTATGGCAATAGTTGTACCTTATAGGGATTTGCATTAAACAATCTATTATTATTATGGTTTTATGATGATTTGTCCTGAATTTTCTCAAAGGAAATATCTATTGAAAGGGAGAAAAGGAAAAGACAATCTGAAATTTAGGAAAATCTCAGAAAACAAGAGAAAAAAAGATTTATTTGATAATGCAGTAAGGTATGCATTTATAAATCTTACTAGTTCCCAAAACAAAAATCTATTTCTATTGCATCTTTAAATAGCAATTTTACTGTTTTAAACAACACTTAGAGTCAATCATAGACATTATGAAATGGAAGGCAGATGTAGAGGTCACTATTTAAGCAAGTTTTACTTGACCTTTTCCAATCTAATCTGTCTCTATTCTATTTCTAATAATCTCCAGGGATGGATATTTCAGAACATTTTTTAGTAAAATGTTTCAATGCTTAAGAACCATGAGTACTGAACAATTTCTCTAGTTATTTATCTTATTTTCATATAATTATAAAAAATAACAAATGTTTATTTGATATTTTGAAAGGTACAGAAATTAACAAGGAAGGAGTTAACACCTCCACTCTCATAATCCTACTGGTGACTTCTGTATAGCTAAAATAATTCCTGTTGGTATCATATTCTTTAGTTCTATACTCACTGGAAAAAGAAAAATACCTAGGCATGCTTCTCCATATTGTTTAACAGTTCTCTTCTTTAGTTTTTAATTTCTTATCTTCTGGTATCACAATTCTTTTTTTTTTTTTTTTGTAAACTTTCTAAATTCTTCGTATCTCTAAATTGTGAAACCCCAACTCAGTAAAATATCTTCTTAGTAGTATTGTTAATAATGATTCTATATGTTTTTACTTTGGACCTTTGTTATTCCCTGGTAGTACATTAAAATTTTGAGGTTACATTAATCCTTTTAAACCATCAGAATATCAATTAGTGCAATTTATTAGTTTTTGAAGCATACTGGAAATAATTTGACAACATAATAAAGGGAGAAGCAAACCTAAATATATCTCTATTTGAAATTCCATAGCTTGCTAAAGTGTAATTACTGCGTGAATACCTTTTAATAATTCTCCTTGGAGGCTGAGATTATGGTTATATGCAGGGGAGAAGGGGGATGGAAAATAGATGTTTTATTGTTCTAAAACCTAGGTAGGTGGATTCATTAACACAGAACATTTTTGGAAAAATAAAACAAAAATTATGCATGTGAGAGACTCAAGAATACTTCAGGGAAATTACCACAAAGCAATAAGTTATATATTGATTCACTTAGCAAATACTAATTGAATGACTACCATAATGCTGTCACCATAGAAAAAGTAATGATATGTTCCCTTCCCTGGGAGAATCTCACATTTTGATAGAAAAGACTGAAATATGAACCAATAATTACAGTACAATATGAGCAGATGGAAGTTCAAAGTGTAGTGGCAGAACAAACTGGGGTGTCTGGGAAGACTTCATAGATGAGGCATCATTTGCATTCCCTCCTAAAGACTGAGTAACTTCTTCAGGTAGGTGTATGACAGGACAATTGTCTGTGCTTGGGATATCAGATATATGCAAGTGGTGAGAGTAAGAAGTAAGAAACCTTATTTTTATGTGTGTGAAAAAAATTTCATTTATAAAGAAAAAGCAGATTTCTGAGTAATGTTCTTCATAAAACTATTGTATAGATAAGGCCAAAATTTTATTATTTTTTTTTCTGAATTTCCTGAATTTTCTTATTTCTAAGTTCTTTTGTCTATCGTTAATTTTTTTGAAACAAAAGATTATTATACAGTCTTAAATCATTATACTCATCAAATGTGTGCACTACAATGGAAAGCAAGAGATTTAACATTGTTTATACTAAATTTTCCACTCTGTGTTTCTTGTCGTTGGCTTTGTATTCCATAAAATGGGTAAAATAGATTATATTATCTTGTTATTATTTTGTTAATATTGTTAATATGTTGTCCAACAAAAATATTCTAAATGTTTAACTATACCTATAAGAAGACATTGCTTCGAATATTAGAATGGTAAAAAATATCTGGGCTATTTAGTTTTCTTGATATTCTGAATTGAATATTGTGAGGAACTATGATTTTGAGAACTAAAGTGGAAATGTTTTTAATTATCTTAGTGAGTAGTTTTGGGAATAATGAAATGTGATCTTCACAGCCTTGCATAAGAGATTGTTTACCCTACCAAGAAAAAAGAGAGAGAGAGAGAGAGAGAGAGAGAGAAGAGAGAAGAGAGAGAGCTGGATTTTTCTCAAAGAAAAACATCTTAAATATACCAGAGCTACATTCAAGTGTAGACAAGGATAACTCAAGAAACATAAAATCAATCATGTGTAAGAGCTGTGGAGAGCTGTGCTCCATTCCTACTTCCTTCTTAGAAGTTATTCCAGATCCTAATTAAAACTGGTTTTTATTATTATTTAAATGTTCCACAGGGAAAGGCTTGTCACCTTTTAAAAATACTTTTGCAGTACAAAGTTCCTCAATGTCATGGCATAAGGATACAGGCAGGAAAAGACAAATGAGCTTTGGCAATGTTTTCCCACATGGATAAATCCAGAAGGAGAAGCTAATAAATCAGGAAGGGTCATTGCCTTGAAAAGGAACATTGTCCATTCCTGAATATTTCAGACTTACATAAATGGGCTCCTCAAGATTCGTTTTACCTTTCATCATTTCTACATCAAAGGGGGAGGGGAGAACTAATGGCTAAGCTAAGGCTAACACTAAAGCAAACATAAATAATTTCAAAATCAGAAAAATGTATCTATTTTCATAACAATGTACAAATCTAAAAGAAACTAAGCATTTTTAAATTGGGAGAGAATAGAAATGGATAAATATTTGGTCAATGGTCTATGAAAACTGGAGAAGAAATGATCAGTGTAATGTAAGAAGCTAACCAACGGCATCCATGTTGCTGCAAAGGACATAATTTTTTTTATGGGTATGTGGTATTCCATGGGGTATATGTACCACATTTTCTTTATCCAGTACATTCTCGACGGGCACCTAGGTTGATTCCATGTCTTTGCTATTGTGAATAGTGCTGCAAAGAACATATGAGTGCATGTGTCTTTTTTATAGAATGATTTATTTTGTTTCGGATATATACTTAGTAATGAAATTGCTCAGCTGAACAGTCATTCTGTTTTAAGTTATTTGAGAAATCTTCCATGAACAGTGTATAAACATTCCATTTTCTCCACAGCTTCACCAGTATCTTTTTTTTTTTTTTTGACATTTTAACAATAACCATTCTGACTGGTGTGAGATGGTATCTCATTGTGGTTTTGATTTGCATTTCTCTGATGTAATGATGTTGACATTTTCTTATATATTTATAGTCTTCTCCTATGCCTTCTTTTGAGAATGCCTATTCATGTCTTTTGCCCACTTTCTAACGGGATATTACTTTTTGCTTCTTGAATTAAGTTCCCCATAGATTCTGGATATTAGACTTTTGTTGGATGCATAGTTTGAAAATATTTTCTCCCATTCTGTAGGTTGTCTGCTTACGCTGTTGGTAGTTTCTTTTGCTAAGCAGAAGCTCTGTAGTTTCATTAGGTCTCACTTGTCAATTTTTGTTTCTGTTGCAATTGCTTTTGAGGTCTTAGTCATATATTGTTTTCCAATGTCAATGTCCAAAATTATGTTTCCTAGATTTTCCTCTAGGATTCTTATAGTTTGAGGTCTTACATTGAAATCTTCAATCCATTTTTTGTTAGTTTTTGTATATGGTGAAATGCAGGGGAGGAGTTTCATTCTTCTGCATATGGCTAGCCAGCTATCCTAGCACCATTTATTGAATAGGGAGTCCTTTCTCCATTGCTTGTTTTTGTCAACTTTGTTGAAGATTAGATAACTGTGGATGTGCAGCTTTATTTCTGGGTTCTCTATTGTGTTCCATTGGCCTGTGTGTCAGTTTTTGTACCAGTACCATGCTGTTTTAGTTATTATAGCCTAATAGGATAGTTTCAAGTCAGATAGGGTGATGCCTCCAGCTTTTTCTTTTTGCTCAGGATTGCTTTGGCTATTTCTGCTCTCCTTTTTTGGTTCCATATGAAGTTTAGAATAGTTTTTGTCTAACGCTGTGAAAAATGATGTTGGTAGTTTCATAGGAATAGTGTTGTATCTGTAGATTACTTTGGGCAATATGGCCATTTTAATGATATTGATTCTTCTAATCCATTAGCATGGAATGTTTTTCCTTTTATTTGTTATATTGGTCTGTTCTCATGCTGCTAATGAAAAGCATACCCAAAGACTGGGTAATTTCTAAAGGAAAGAGATTTAATGGACTTAACGGTTCCACATGGTTGGGGAGGCCTCACAATCGTGGCAGAAGGTGAAGGAGAAGCAAAGCCATGTCTTACATGGCAGCAGACAAGAGAGCATGTGCAGGGGAACTGCCCTTTTATAAAACCATCAGATCTTGTGAGACTTATGCACTATTAAAAGAACAGCATAGGAAAAAATTGCCCCCATAATTCAACTACCTCCCACCAGGTCCCTCCCACAGCACATGGGGATGATTATTATATTATTTATTTATTTATTTATTTTTGAGACAGAGTCTTGCTCTGTCACCCAGGCTGGAATGCAGTGGCTTTATCTCCACTCACTGCGAGCTCCTCCTTCCGGGTTCGTGCCATTCTCCTGCCTCAGCCTCCTGAGTAGCTGGGACCACAGGTGCCCGCCACCACGCCCAGCTAATTTTTTGTATTTTTAGTAGAGACCAGGTTTCACCCTGTTAGCCAGCATGGTCTTGCTCTCCTGACCTCGTGATCTGCCCAGCTCGGCCTCCCAAAGTGCTGGGATTACAGGTGTGAGCCACCACGCCCAGCCAATTATTATAAATTCAAGGTGAGATTTGGGCGAGGACACAGAGCCAAACAATATCATTTGTATCACCTTGATTTCTTTGAGCAGTGTTTTGCAGTTCTCCTTGTGGAGATCTTTTACCTTGATGTAGTTTGGATATTTGTCTCCACTCAAATCTGATGTTGAATTGTAATCCCCAGTGTTGGAGGTGGGGGAATTGGTGGGAGGTGATTGGATCATGGGGGCAGATTCTCTCATGGGTTGGTGCTGTCCTCGCAATAGTGAATCACAAGATCTGATTGTTTGAAAGTGTGTGGCACCTCCCCCTCCTCTTGCGCTTGCTCTCACCATGCAAAGTGCCTACTCCTGCTTCTGTCACGAGAAAAAGCTGCCTGAGGCCTCCCCAGAAGCTGAGCAGAGGCTGGTGCCATGCTTCCTGGACAGCCTGCAGAACCATGAGCTAATTAAACCTCTTTTCCTTTTAAATTACCCAGTATCAGGTTTTTTGTTTTTTGGGTTTTTTTTTTTGTTTGTTTTTTTAATAGCAATGCAAGAACGACCTAATACATACCTCCATGGTTAGATATATTCCTGAGTATTTTATTTATTTTGTGGCTACTGTAAATATGATTGTGTTCTTGATTTGGCTTTCAGCTTGAATGTTATTAGTCTCGAAATGCTCCTGATTTTTGTACATTGATTTTGTATCCTAAAACTTACCTGAAGTCATTTATCAGTTTCAGGAGCCTTTTGGCAGAGTCTTTACGATTTTATAGGTCACGATCATATTGTCAGTGAAGAGAGACAATTTGCCTTCTTCCTTCCTATTTGGATGCCTTTTATTTCTTTCTCTTGCCTCATTGCTCTGGCTAGGACTTCCAGTACTATGTTGAATAGGAGTGGTGAGAATGGGCATCCTTGTTTTGTTCTGGTTCGCAAAAGGAATGCTCCAGCTTTTGCTCATTCAGTATTATGTCAGCTGTGGGTTTGTCATAATTGGCTTCTTTTATTTTGAGGTTTGTTTCTACTATGCCTAGTCTGTTAAGAATTTTTATCATGAAGGAATGTTGGATTTTTATCTAAAACCTTTTCCATGTCTATTGAGATGATCATATGGTTTTTTCTTTTAATACTTTTTATTTTGAGGTATGTTTCTTCTATGCCTAGTCTGTTAGGAATTTTTATCATGAAGGAATGGTGGATTTTTATCAAAAACTTTTTCCATATCTATTGAGATGATCATATGGTTTTTGCTTGTAATTCTGTTTATGTGATGAAGCACACTGATTTGTGTGTGTTCAGCTTACCTTACATCCCAGGAATGAAGCCTACTAGATTGTAGTGAATTCGCTTTTTGATGTTGTGATGGTTAATACTGAGTGTAAACTTGATTGGATTGAGGGGTACAAAGTATTAATCCTGGGTGTGTCTGTGTGGGTGTTGCCCAAAAGAGATTAACATTTGAGTCAGTGGGCTGGGGAAAGCAGATCCACCCTTAATCTGGTGGGCACAATCTAATCAGCTTCCAACGAATATAAAGCAGGCAGAAAAACATGAAAAGCCGAGATGGGCCTAGTCTCCCAGCCTACATCTTTCTTCCAGGCTGGATGCTTCCTGCCCTGGAACATTGGCCTCCAAGTTCTTCAGTTTTGAGACGTGGACTGTCTCTCCTTTCTCCTCAGCTTGCAGACAGCCTATTGTGGGACCTTGTGATCATATAAGCTAATATTTAATAAACTCCGATATATATATCAAGAGATATATATATCTATATATATCCTATTAGTTCTAGGTTCCAGGGTTCTCTAAGAGTACTCTGACTAATACAGATGTGTGCTACTGGATTTGATTTGCTAGCAATTTTTGAGGATTTTTTCATCTTTGTTTATCAGGGACATTGTCCTGCAGTTTTTTTTCTTTCTTGTTTTTTTTTTGTTTGTTTGTTTGTATGTTTGTTTGTTTTTGACACAGGATCTCACTTTGTTGCCTAGGCTGGAGTACAGTGGCCTAATCATGGCTCACTTCAGCTTGGACCTCCCAGGCTCAAGCAATCCTCCCACTTCAGCCTCCCAAGTAGCTGGGACTACAGGCATGTGCCACCACACCTGGTTAATTTTTTATTTTTTGTAGTGTTAGGGTCTCTCTATCTTGCCAGATTGGTTTCAAACTCCTGGGCTCAAGGAATTCTTCTACCTTGGCCTCTGAAATTGCTGGGATTACATTTGTGAGCCACCATACCCAGCCTAATTTTCTTTTCTTTGTGTCTTTCCCAGGTTTTGGTATCAGGATTATGCTGGCTTTGTAGAATGAGTTAGGAAGTTCCTCAGCCTTGAATTTTTGAATAGTTTCAGTAGAATTGGTACTAGCTCCTCCTTTGTACATCTAGTAGAATTCAGCTGTGAATCCGTCTGGTCTAGGGCTGTTTTTGGTTTGTAGGTTTTTTATCACTGATTCAATTTTGGGACCCAATCTTGGTCTGTTCAGAGTTTCAATTTCTTCTTGATTCCTGTGTGTTTCCAGGAATTTATCCATTTCCTCTAGATTTCCTAGTTTTTGTGAATAGAAGTGTTCATAATAGCCTCTGAGGATCTTTTGTATTTCAGTAGGATCAATTGTAATGTCACCTTTATCATTTCGATTGTGCTTATTTGTATCATCTCTCTTTTTTCTTTGTTAATCTAGCTACTGATCTAACCATTTTGTTTGTGCTTTCACAAAACCAACTTTTGATTTTATCAATTCTTTGTAAGCATTTTGGAGTCTTAATTTCATGCATTTCTTCTCCGATTTTCATTATTCCTTTTCTTCTGCTAGTTTTGAGCTACTTTGTTGTTGCTTTTCTTGTTCCTCTAGGTGTGATTTTCTTGTTCCTCTAGATCATTAATTTGAGATATTTTCAACTTTTTAGGTAGGTGTTTAGTGCTATAAACTTTCCTCTTAACACTGCTTTTGCTGCATCCCAGATATTTTGGTATGTTGTGTCTCTGTTTTCCTTTATTTCAAAGATTGTTTTTTGAAAAATTCTGCCTTAATTTTGTTGGTTGCCCAAAAGTTATTCAGAAGCCAGTTTATTTTCCATGCAGTCCAATGATAATGTGATTAGGTAAATTATTAGGTGATTGAGTACCAAACCTCAGGAATTCTAGGAGCACATTTTGTCTCAATACTCATTTACCATATCTTGAAGCAATCGAACAAGAAACAGCTGTTTGCTGAGTATCATATTGGTGTCTTTAAATTGATTGTGTGTTGTATGCACAAGTATGGATATGC
The DNA here is from genome assembly GCF_000001405.40 of Homo sapiens. Lineage (NCBI taxonomy): Eukaryota > Metazoa > Chordata > Mammalia > Primates > Hominidae > Homo > Homo sapiens. The sequence continues at coordinate 120,221,481 of NC_000004.12, forward strand.
CTTCATATCTGTCATGAGGAACTCATGGTTTGTAAGCTTTAGCTTTTTGATCTGGTACTCCGAATCTACATATCACCTTGGTCCTTGAAGCCAGGATCCACTTATTTCACTGGATCTCTGTGCATTCGTTTATTTTTTTTTTTTTTTGACATGGCCATATCTTATATTTTTATATTAAGAAAAAAAAGACTCACTCAAATCAACAGCAAGTACATAAATTATTTGAAACCTAATAATTGAAAGGAGTAAGTGGAAGTTCTGATCATGGGTAGAGAAGTAGGTATATTTTATCTGTATCTCCATCAAATACAGCTCTAAAACCTAGACAGAATTATGTAGTATATATTTCAGGCCCTTGAAAAGTAAGGAGTAGCTGACAGATAAGGAAAGAAGACCCAAATTCAAAGTACACCAAATTGGTGGTGAGTTTCCCATTTTCTTCTGGTATATCCTGGCCTGATGCAAAGAAGTCCCAAACTCAAAGGAGGGCACCAAGATGTAGTTAGAGAGAGTTCTGGGAGAAGGCCTCTAGTTGTATCTTGAACAATGAGAAAGAGGTCTCCAAATGCTCATGTCGTTAGGAAGAGTTCTGGGAGAAATCCTGTATCTTGAGCAATGAGAAAGGGGTCTCCAAATGCTCAGAGTGGGAAAAAGCCCCCATTTGTTTTTCATTGTTTTTGTTCTTTTACCATTTTTCTAACACATAAATCCACATTGGCTATGGAAACAGCAGCAACAGTGGTGATAGCAGAAGCCTAGAGGTATCAAAAATTCAAAGGGAAGATCTTCTCCAGTTGGAGGAATTATGGTTCCAAAAAGGTTGAGTAAACCCCTTTCCACTGGCCTTATGCTCGTTGGCCCTATGCAGGCCCCGATAGGGCCTATACCCATTGGCCCTATACAGGCATAGAGTCATAGAAGCGTGCAGCAGAATGGGGGCAACTGAACCTCTGCTTTTGACCAAGGCTCAAAAATGGAAGGGGCTTGGAAAAGAGAACTATAAAGTTATTTATAAACACCTGGGGTCACTCCTGAGCTCTAAATTCATGAATCAGATCTCATCATAAACACATGCCAAAGACATTGAGAATGAAGTAACAGATAAATCACCAATGATCATCCAGGTACCAGACTGACCACTGAGTGGCTTACACAGGGGAGAGATATGAGTAATCATTGGAAAGGTTAGAAAACAGAACTGACACTCACAGAAATCTGGTTGGAACTTGTGACTGGATGTTAACTATATATATTACCTGTTAATACTACAATATGAACATTCTTTATAGAATTTTAGTAAGAAGTGGAGTCTCATAACATAATATTGAAACTTCCAAGATGGAATCTAAAATTATTTGGGACATGAAGAACATAAAAACTTCTACTTATATGGGAAAAGGCAATGCCAAGATGACATATGTTTTGAAATTATCTGAAAAATACTTCAGAACAGCTATCATAAAAAAAAGCTTGAAGAAGTAAGGGTGAAGGCTCTTAAAATGAATGAAAAGATAGAAAATCTCAGCAGAGAAATGGAAGATGCAAAGAAGAAATAAGTGGAAATTTTAGAACTGAAAATACAATAATAGCAACAAAAACATTAATAAACAGGTTCAATTTCAGAATGAAGATGATAGAAGAAATCATCAGTAAACTCAAAGATAGATTAATAGAAATTATCCAATGTGAACATTTAAGGAAAAATAGTGAAAAAATATAAATGGAACCTATGGCACAATAACAGGAGGTAAGACATTTATGCCATTAAAAACTCAGAGGAAAGGAGAAAGACTATGATGTTGAAAAAGTATTTGGAGATATAATGGCTGAAAATTTTCCAAATTTGGGTAAAGAGATGAATCTACAGATTTTAGGAGTTCAGCAAATCCTAAACAGGACAAACTCAAAGAAATCCAAACCCAGACACATAGTAATTAAATTCTTGAACTAAATAATAATTAAATTCTTGAAATAAATATATATATATATTTAGTTATATATATAGAACCTTATTAAGTTATACTTATATATATATAACCTTAATGGTACTGAGGAACAGTGACCCACTACTTATAGGGAACAATAATTCAAGTGATTTTGTTTTGTCTTTAGAAACTATGGAGGCAAGAAAAAAGTAGGACAAAATTTTTAAGGAGCTGAAAGAGTGAACTCTCAACCCAGAATTCCATATTCAGTAAAATATCCTTCAGGAATGAAATTGAAATATAAACATTTTCAGATGAAGGAAAACTAGGAGAAGTAATTCAGCAGCAAAGCTGTTCTAAAATAATTATTTTAAAAAGTCTTCAGACAGAAGGGAAATACTACCAGAAGAAAATTTAGACCATCAAGATGAAGGAAGAGCAGAAATGGTAATTGTCTGTGTAAATATAATAGATTGGTTCTCTTCTTTAAAATATGTCTGATGGTTGAAATAAAAAATATAACAACTTAGTCAAATCTCAAAGGCTGCATGCAGGGTGAAAGAAGCCAGCCTCATATTGTATGACATTCTTTTTTCTTATTCTTCTTCTTTTTCTTCTTTTTGAGACAGAGTCTCAGTCTATCGCCCAGGCTGGAGCGCAGTGGCGTGACCTTGGTTCACTGCAACCTCTGCCTCCTGGGTTCAAGCGATTCTCCTGCCTCAGCCTCTAAGTAGCTGGGATTACAGGCATGTGCCATTGCACCTGGCTAATTTTGGTATTTTTAGTAGAGATGGGGTTTTGCCATGTTGGCCAGGCTGGTCTTGAACTCCTGACCTCAGGTGATCCACCTGCCTTGGCCTCCCAAATTGCTGGGATTACAGGCATGAGCCACCATGCCCGGCCACGTATCACATTCTTAAAAAGACACTTGTGATGTCTTCTGTGATTCCTTCTACCCCCAATCTAATGTAACTATCACCTTCATGCCTGTCATGTCACCTGGTTTTATCTGACTCATAGCGTCCTAGCAATTATTACAATATAAGTCATCTTGTTTTAGACTTGTTTTACTTGTTGTCTGTCTCCTCCTCCCCCGCCCCATCTGTTTGTCCAGTGAATTTGCTGATTTTAGTTGTCACTGTATTCTTAGTGTTTAGAATAACAGCTAATACATATAGACATTCAATTGCTCTCTTTCTCTCTCTCTCTCTCTCTCTCTCTCTCTCTATATATATATATATATATATATTATTTTTTAATTTTTTTTTTTAGATGGAGTCTCACTCTGTCACCCAGGCTGGAGTGCAGTGGCACGATCTCAGCTCACGGCAACCTCCGTCTCTTGGGCTCAAGCAGTTCTCCTGCCTCAGCCTCCCGAATAGCTGCGACTAAAGGCATGCACCACCAAGCCTGGCTAATTTTTATATTTTTTGTAGAAATGGAGTCTCACTGTGTTGGCCAGGCTGGTCTCAAACTCCTGACCTCCAGTGATCTGCCTGTTTCTGCTTCCCAAAGTGCTGGGATTACAGTCATGAGCCACCTCACTCAGCTAAATATATATTTTTAATGGCTTAATTAATTAATATTTTAGGAAGCCTGATACTAATACATTCATACTGAATGAATTGGAATGTAGTGTCTTAATAGCTATATTAGTTTTCTAGGACTGCCATAACAAAATCCTATAGATAAGGTGGTTTGAGCAAAAGAAATGTATTTTCTCACCATCCTGCAGGTTGAAAGTCTGAGACTGATGTATCAATAGATTTCATTTCTCTGAGACCTCTCTCCTTCTTGATGGTGGTCACCATCTTGCTGTCGTGGTTGTTTCCCATTGCATATGCACTCCTAGTGTCTGTCTGTGTGTTCAATTTCTTCTTCATATAAGGACACAATCAGATTTGATTATGCCTACTCTAAAGGCTTCACTTTGACTTAATCGCCTCTTTAAATGCTCTGTCTCCAAATACAGTCACATTTTGAGCTACTAGGGGTTAAGACTTTAACATAGAAATTCTGTGGAGACATAATTCAGCCCATAACAATAGCTGTCTTAGTTTGTTTTGTGCTGCTATAACAAAAAATACCTGAGAGTAGGCAATTTATAAAGAACAGAAATTTATTTATCACAGTTCAGGAGACCGGGAAGTCCAAGATCAGGGCACCAGCAGGCTCAACTGTCTGGACAGGACTGCTTTCTGTTTCCAAGATGGAGTTTTGGCATCATTTGCATGGGAGGAACACTGCATGCTCACAGAGCGGAGGGACAGAAGGGTGAAAAGGGACAAACTCCCTCAGTCAAGCCCTTCATAAAAGTTGCCTAATCCCATTCATGAGGGCTCTGACTCAATCAGCTTTCAAAGTCCACAACTCCCAATACTGTTGCATTGGGGATTAAACTTTAACATGAATGTTGGAGGGAACAAAAGCAATCAAACCATATTCATAGCTAACATATTTTTAGTGCTTGTTAGATTTACAGATGTTGTTATAGCACTTTCTGTGTATTCCTTTATGTAAGCTTCATAACAATTTCATGAGAAAATTACCATTTTTATACTTGATCTATAGATGAGGAAAAGAACCACAAAGAGGTTAGAATCATTTGCCCAAAGTCACATATACTAAGTGGTGAACCCGTAAGATAAAATCAGAAAGTTTGAGTTTAGAGCTCTTATCAAGATGTTACTTTCGTTCCTTTAATCCTAGAAGCAAGGATATCAACTGAGACTCTGTTTTTAAGTGCTCCAGACTTGAAATGAAAAGGTCTAGAATTTAGGTGGAAAAGGAAGGAGCATTTAAAACACATGACAAGGTTTGATGACAGGTTCAAATTATGTTTCCTGATTGAAAGTCAACCTGTAATTCACATTTTTGTATTTTGAAATTTGGAGTGCATTTTAATATATAATATAGTCTTTGGTTATATTTCTTTTCCGATGTGTCTCACAATGGAAAGTCTTTGGTATTACATATTATGAGATTAGATTAAGATCACAAGGAGTATAGAGAAAGAAGGAAAGATTAAGGATTGAGAGGAGTTGAAGACCTAAGATTGAGAGAACCGTGAAGTAGAGTAAGATCATAGCCAATGCTTCAGCCACCTCAATGAGCTAACTGATTGTCCTTTTGGCCTTCTATACTCACCAGCTGGTCCAGAGGGATTAAAACCACATGTAAACTAGTTCATGTCCATTTTTTTTTCTGTATGTAAAAGTTCAAAGTAAATTACAAAGCATAAATTTGTGAAATAGCTATAATGATTCCTTTCCTCCTATCTTTGATACCTAGGAACATTTATTTGTTCTCAATCTTGCATAACTACAGCATAGCATAAGAGGAGTTATGGTAACATTCCTCAAAGAGGACATTACTCCGAAGTCAGCCCCCAATACAGCCAGTTCTCTTTGAAGTAATTAAGATTTTTACATTGATAGGTTTTGTCTTTCCCTGTCTGATTGCTCTCTTGCTGGGCATTAAACATTTTTGTATTAACTTTACTTAAGGCTTACTACTCCCTGACAATTACTAGGCTATTCTTATCTCCTAGGTGAAACTCCTGAAATACCATTGCATTTAGGTCCAAGGATTAACTGACCATTTCTTTTACTTTCCCAGAAATCTGGTTGGAACTTGCGACCTGATGAAATAATTATAATTATTTTTGCAAAATAATAATAAAAATTCTCATGCATTTTTCATGGCCACAGAGTCAAGATCAAATGCTATGAGCTTTAAAAGTTTAAAAGTTCTGTAAATTATGTTGAACACATACCCTTGTTTAAAAATAAGGGCAAAGAAAGTTTTCAAAATGACAGTTGTAGGGTAAGAGGTGCAATGAGGTTTAATTTTCCTTGAGACATGCAAGAGGAAAGTTAATAATTTAGGGGAAAATATTAAATGCACTAAGGGAGAAAAGGTAGAATTTAAAGAAAAGTCTCCCACATTTAAAGGATTTCAGGAGAAGAAAACTAATGGAATGTTTATAAGAATGGCTAAAAACATTAATTCTAAACTACCAAAGAATGTTTTTCAAAGTTCATAACATAAGCTAAACTTCGCTGTTCAGAGTCTATATTCTGGCTAATGGGATAATTAAAATGTCAACCCAAAATGAATATATTTCAATTATAGCCGTGCCCTGTGCAATTAAAAATGCCTCACAGGAAAATAAACTTATTATTATTATGGGGGAATTTTTATTAGTTAAGGAATGCATTATCAGAGTTGATTGAGGTGATGTGGTAATGTCACCTTAATTCTCATAAATCAAACAAGGAATCCGGAAAGTGAACTTTTAAAAACATTTTAAAATGTTCAGCCTGAAGGAAAATAGATAAAGGCATATTCTATTGCTTTAGCAATCTTAGAATAGTAATTACCCTCCCAATAGGTGAGTGAGCAGGAACATTTAGCAGACCACAGGAGTTTAATGCCTATAAAATGGCCTTTCTTAAGTTTAATAGCAGATGTGTAGTGTTGGTTACCTCATTTTCACTCTCATTAAGTAGAAAGTATGGCAACATTAAATGATTGGAAACTAGTCTCCAGATTTTTCTTTCCTTTTCCTCAGTAGATTTATAGATAATATCCATTAAATTTTTAATTAGTACTTACATATAATATAGGAAGAACAGAAATATTAAATAAAAACATGCATATATTGATTCAAGCTGGATTTTTATTTCTGATATGATGGGCAAAATGTAACTGTCATTTCAATCATATTTTTAAGGCAGCTGTTAAGCTTGCATCTGAAAAAAATTGTGATGTAAATTATGTTGCAAGACAAGTAAGGACTGGCCAGTAAGTATTACCACAACGTTCTCAGTTGTTGTGAAACCTAGGAGCCATCCTTGATTTGTTTCTTTCATTCATATCCAACATTCAATCCATCAAGTCCTGTTCACTCTGTCTTAGAAATGTAACTCTCAACTGATCTCTACTGACCACTTCCTCTAGAGTACAGAGTCTTCCCTGTGGCTTGCAAAGCCTCTGTGATCTGGAGTTTGAATTCCTCTATTCCTCTCTAGTCACACTGGCTAGTTTCTTCTATCCTCATGGGTTTGTGCTTGCTGTTTTCCTGCCTGGAATATTTCTCCCAGACCTTCCCATGCCTACCATTTTGCTTCATTCAGGGAAGTCTTTGCTTTCTGGCTCTTGCTGTGCTAAGAACTCTCTGACCCTGGAATTCGGATGCCTCACAGCACTACCACCAGGACCTATCTGACCATCCTGTTTTATACTGCCAGGTCCTGCCAGACCTAGCACTTCAGGTCTTCTAGGTCACCTTCTACTTCTCGCTATAGCACACAACACCTTCTAACATTACAAAACTAAATTAGTTTTCATATTTCCTGCTTATTGTCTTCCTCTACCACAGTGCAAGCTCCATTAAGCAAAGATTTATTGGTGTCTTCTTTTTAGTTATTGTTGTTCACTTTTGTGTCCCAAATGCCTAGAACAAAGCCTGGTATATAGTAGCCCTGTAATAAATAATTCCTGAATGAATAAATGGATTTATTTGTCTTAGTTGTATAATGGTCTATCAGAAACATCATTTAGGTTTAAAGAAGAAATTTCAAAATTAAGATTAATAGGAGTCAAGACAATATTTTCATAATAGTTTAAAATTTAGTGTTAGAAAATAGCAAAATTGCCCTCCATAATGTGAGTGGGCCTCATCTAATCAGTCAAAGGCCTGAATAGAACAAAAGACTGACCCCCACTGATGAAGAAGAAATTCTGCAGCAGATGGGCTCTGGACTTGAACTGCAACATCTGTTCTTTTCTGAGTCTGTAGCTGATAGCCTTCAGACTTGAACTACAAATTTTGAATTTGCCAGTCTCCATAATCATATGAGCCAATTCATTAAAACAAATCTCTCTCTATATATACACACACATCCTATTGGGTCGATTTCTCTGGGAAACTCTGGCTAATACACTTTTCAATGACCCACCATCATTAAAATGATGATGATGATAATAATAAAATTGGTAAGGATAACAGGCATTTAATGAGGATTTACTGCATGGCTGACACTATTTTAGTATTTTGTGTGTTTTAATTCATTTAACACTTCCATAAGTTATGATAATTATTTTCCTTTTTCAAATAAGGTAACTGGGACAAGAGAATATTAAAGGATTTGCCCCAAGCCCCACAGCTAATAGAAGGTGGAGTTGGGATGTAAACCTTCATGGTCAAGTGCACTAAAAGCCCTAGTAAATGAATAAAATGCCAAATCACTGTCTTTAATATTTTTTTTCTACAGAGCCATGTTACATATTTTAGTTTAAAGCTTCAGGTAAGTGAACTTTTTCGAGACAAAAAAAATATGTTTATCTTCGGAGCTCTGTAGAAATCCTTTGAACATTTTATTGGCATATGTTTTAAATAGCTGTACTGCAAAGGAACTTCCTTTGTTTATTTCTAACTTGTGACTTCTGTTCTTCTCCTTAAGCGGCTGCTGACCTTTATCTTTTCTTCAAGCTGTAAAAAAAACAAGAGATATTCTAAATTAACCCCAAATTTCCGACTTGGCAGAGCTGTGTCAGAGATATTGCCCTGATAAAAAGTAAGCAAAAGGTAGATATCTGGGGAATGTTTAATTGAGTCATTTTGGAAACTGTTCAAGAAGATATTAACCTTATTTTGAAGCTAGGAGGGAAGAGTGAGGAGGGACATAGAATTAATTTTTACAATTTCTTATCCTGTCTTCAGAGACCATTTATTACAGAGTTATTGTTGAAGTACTTAGTTAACATTAAATGGTTGAGTCAGGGTACCTCATCATCAGAATGTCTATTAGAACTGTAAGACTGTTGATTCTAGAAGCAGAGATACATGTTGAAAAAATTTTATCCTTTTTCTCAAGTTACTTTTTTCATGAAAAATAATTTGAAATAGAACAATTATGTTTTTTGAAGCCCATATAATTGTTTTAAGTTATATACTATGGAAAAATAGCTTTTTTTTTGGACTTCTCCCTGGAAGTAGGGATTAAAGTTTATATTTTACAATAAAGTGACTCAATTTTTGTTCATTTACATCTGTTGCAATAGTTATGTAAATTCTACAAATTAATATTGTTTTAAAATACTGTCCAAAATGCAATGTAATTCTTCTTCTTTTTGTCTTTTGGCCTTTACTGAGAACAAAAAACATATTACTAAGAAGGAAACAGATGAAGGGTAATTCCACAATTCTTAGCTGAATCCCCAAAGAATACCCTACTCCCTATCTTTGTTTGTTCACATTTTGCAGGGGAAATATTAAACAATAATATTCATGTGATCACTTCATATTGGTGGGCAACACAGCCTTTCAGAAAAGCAACTTGGAATAAAATGAAAAAAGTAGTTTTTTTGAAATGTATTAAAGAAGTAGAGAAATATTAGAATGTCAGTGAAAGGGAATTTTTCAACACAAAACTACTAATTTTAAGCACTTTCTATTTCGCAGTTGGTGTGAGAAAATTTATCCAGTGGAGATATGAAATTTGAAAGCCAAATTAGACCCTTTGAAAATCGAATCCAAATGTTTATGTGAATATTTGTCTGTGTGTTTTGGGAGAAGTTGTGAAGAATAGTTTCAATCACATGATCTCCATTTTAATTTTATCCACATGATCTCGGATCCTACAGGGACCCCTTAAGAAGAGAGAAGTAGGTTGGTGCAGGTGTCAGAGCAAGATCAAAGGACAACAGGCCATCTTTAAAAAATAAAACAGGAAAATAACAATCTGGAATCTAGTCTTCAAGTGCTTTGATAATGACACCTACTTCGAGGAAAGCTTTTTGTGAATTTTTGATCCACATAAAACAAACACTCGCAAACACATTTTGTATTAAAAATAATTATCCATCAGGACGTTTAAATATTTTTTTAAATCACTGTAGTATTAATACTTAAAGAAAGTCATGATGACGTCTGTTTTCCAGAGACATAGCTTCATGAGAAATATTACCTGTATGTGAAATTTATCCATGTAGAAACAAAGTTGAATTAAAACATTGTTTCTGCAAGTTACACTTTAGATGGGAAGCTTATATTATGCAACAAAAGAAATTAATGAATGTATAAATTAAAATGTGAAAAGTTCAAAGAAAATAAGTGAATTCTGGAAGAGAATATCACAGACAAACTTGACCTAGTATATGGAAGTAAAAGAAATGATACTTCCCCTGAGATCAGGGATTGAGCAGGAGTTAACCAGTGATAGAAGGGAGCAGGAAGAGAATCCTAGATGGAGAGGGAAGTACAACATCCCTTGGAGGGAGGAAAGCCAGAAAGATGGCCAGGGTGGTTGGAGAGGAGAGAGGAAGGTGAAAAGAGATTGGGAATAAAGCTAGAGAGGTTAGCAAAGACCAGATCATGTAATAGCTCCCCACAGACCATGCCAAAGATAAGGGCCATTATTCTAAGAGCAACATAATAATAATTTTAAAAAGGTTATAATTGGGCTGTGAAGTGGGAGAAGAATTAGGGATGTGATAAGATCAGATTTACATTTTGAAAGAGGTAGCTTAACATAGAGAACAGGTTGGTCAGGGACTAGAATAAATTTTGGGAGGCCAGTTACTACAGAAATCCAGGGTAAAGGTGAAGATAAATTGATTAGAACAAAGGTAATGTAGTTAGAGAAGTTAATGAAATTTAGAAGTGATTAGCATGTGAGTTGCCTGAATTTGGTAATTTCTTTGATGTGAGAGGTGATGGATTGGGAGGTGTCATTCATCTTTGATTTCCAGGTTGGGGGTTGAGCAATTGGTTGGATGATGTGGCTGTTTACTTAGATATTGAATACTATAAGAAGGTTTGTGAGGATAAGAGCATGCTTCAGCGTAGGATATACTGACTGCAGAACCTCTGAGGAATGCACATGGAATGTTTTATATGTGGCCAAAGATAAAAGCCTGGAATTTAGGAGAGAGTTAATTGTGGAGTATTAAATTAGTGAAACTATGGAAATGGATGAAATTAGCCTACAGAAAGAGCATAGTGTGGGAAGAGATGGCAAGTAAAAATAAGCCAAGATGGCAACATTTAATGGCTGGAATAAGGAGGATGAGATACCAAAGGCAAAGGAGAAGGAAGTGCCAAATATGTAGGAAGAAAACAAAGAGAACGTAGTTCAGGAACGATGAAGAAAAGAGTGCTGAAAGAAGTGAGTGGGCAGAAGTATGTAGTGACTGAGGAATCAATAAGAGGAGGATTAAAAATATTTTTTAAATTTGGACCAGGCACGGTGGTTTACATGTGTAATCCTAGCATTTTGGGAGTCTGAAGTGGGTGGATCACTGGAGGTCAGGAGTTCAAGAACAGCCTAACCAACATGGTGAAAACTTGTCTCTACTAAAAATAGAAAACATTAGCCGGTTGTGGTGGCATGTGCCTGTAATTCCAGCTACTCAGAAGGCTGAGGCACCAGAATCTCTTGAACCTGGGAGGCGGAGGTTGCTGTAAGCCGAGATTTTGCAACCGCACTCCAGCCTGGGCAACAGAGTGAGACTCCCGTCTCAAAAATATATATTTTTTTTAATTAAAAAATTCAAAATTGGTAATCAGTAGAGACATTTTTGTTGACATATGCCTTTTATCTCTCTCAAGTAAATGTTTAGAAGTAGGATTGCTGGGTCATATGACAAGTGTGTGTTTAACTTTATAAGATATTGCAAGGTTACTTTCCATTGCAGCTGTATTAACCATTCCACCAAAAATACACAAGATTTCCAGGTGCGCCACTTCCTCACAAACACCTGGTACTATGAGTCTTTTTAATTTTTTAATGGCTTTATCGAGGCAAACTTGACTCTGTTAGTCAGTTCTCACACTGCTGTAAAGAACTACCTGAGACTGGGTAATGTATGAAGAAAAAAAGTTTAATTGACTCACAGTTCCACAGGCTATACAGGAAGCATGACTGTGGAGGCCTCAGGAAACTTACAACCATGGCAGAAGGCAAAGGGGAAGCAAGGCATGTCTTCATATGGCCAGCAAGAGAAAGAGGGGGGTGGGAAGAGATGCTACACACTTTTAAACAACCAGATCTTTTGAGAACTCTATCAGAAGAAGAGCAAGGGGGATGTCCACCTTCGTGATTCAGTCACCTCCCACCAGGCCCCACCTCCAACACTTGGGATCACAATTCAATATGAGACTCGGCTGGGGACACGGATCCAAACCATATAATTGACAGACAATAAACTGCACGTATTAAATTGTACAGTTTGATATATTTTGACATAGGTGACCTGTGGAACCACAATTAAGACAAATACATATTCATCACCTCAAAAATTTCTTTTTTGTAACTCCCTCCTCCCACTGCTCCGCTACCTCCACCATCTCTGGTAACAACTAATTTGCTTTCTCTCACTACACAATAGTTTGCATCTTCTAGCATTCTGAATAAAAGGACTATACTTAAATGAAAGCTCCCCTTGTCCATTCTGTATTACTGTGGATAAGACTGTGTACTTAGATTGTAATATTTTACAAACCTGTGTGAAAATTATGGAGGCCCATATGTGAATTAAACTTTGAAGCATTTTCACATTCTCCATGATCCACATAATTTTAAGGTAAAATACTTTTATGTGCAATGAATATGTTGTATTTTTTAAAGCAGATACCTCTTGTTACACATTTTGGTCTTCTGCTATTTTTGGAAATTATAAAGTGGATTATAACAAATACTCTAGTAATGGAAATTTGTACACATCCCAATGTGAAGTGAAAGGCATTCAAATTTTATAATGGTTAAATTATATTTAAAGCTCTTGAAATACATTGCCAACTTCACTCCAGAAGAGTTGGACCAATTTACAATTTTAATGAGAGTGCCAGCTTACCTAAACCCTCATTAACCCTGGTTAGCCATTGTTAAAAAAAAAACAAAAAACAAAAAACAAACAAACAAACAAAAACACCTCTATCCATTGTTAAGTACAATAATAATATTGGTGGTGAAACATTTTCATATTACATTTTTAAGAAAAAAAGCAGATTTCAAAATAGCATGTATGTTATAACCCAGTTTCAAAAGATGTTTGAGTATATGTGTGTGTATTCGAAATACATCCATCTAAAGATTCATATGTGTATATATGTGTGTGTATGTGAGTTATGTACAGTGTTTTCAGTGTTATTTCTGGGTGGTGGATAGGTATAAATATGGATAATTTTTGGGTTTAGGTATTTTATGTTCAAGTACTACTGCAATAAACATGTATTGTTTTAGTACTAATTTGAATTTACCTCTTAAAATTGTTTTAATTAAACATCAACTTTAGCCAGACCATATTATTTTATATGAGAATATAAACCATGTTTTGTATTTGTCTGCTGGCTATATATATAGGATCAGAGGAGATATTTGGCTGTTTTATTAGATGGAGAAGAGTAGGTGTGCAGTAAGGAAGTGTAGGTGTGCAGTTAAGAAGAGAATGATGAAGACAGGGAACAGAAAGAATGAATTCAGGAATATTATTTTCCAAATTAGCTGGAGAAATTAGTCATCAAAGACCAACTGCAGCTCTTCCAGCAGCCATTGTCTTTCTATTTTAATGTAACCAAATATTTCACGTAGACTCACAAAACACTTTTTTACTGCTTTTTATTTTAGGTTTCACAGTTGTTGTTTTTTCTGTTCTAAAAATATGTATTATATTAGATTTAACAGGAATAATTTTCTTTGTTAACAATTTCAAAATGTACCATTTTATACTTCAAAAGTTTTATCTCATTCTTTTTTTCAATTAAAGGTGGTGATGGGAAACCTATGTCTCATTAGCGTTTGCACTTTACAGAGCAGTACAAGCTAAATTGTATCAATTAATTTTAAATGGTACAAATTTTAATTAATGTAATTAAAACAGTTTACAACACTATCAGCTTAAGCTTGTGAAGATGATTTGACTTGTAGATTTATAAGTTCTTTATAGATGAAAAGATCTTGGATATATTTTAGAAAAGTTGGGATTTTTCTCTTTATTGTAATTAATATAATAATTTAAAAAGGAACCTCATCTTCATCTTTCATTAAATGTTAATACTGTTTTGGATCATTTGGTGTTATTGAAAAAGGAATCTTTTTAAAGTTTATATATGCCTTGATGTATAATTATCTTGATAAACCTCATAAGATAAAACATAGCTCCTTTTCACTACTTATTCTTATATCAATCCTGTCATCAAATTTTTTACATGTAAGAAGATTAAAAACGGAATTATATTGCCTAAAAGTTAGATTCTCCTTTTATGAATAGAGTAAGTGTGAATGAGTTACAGATTTTTACTTTTCAAAGTTCAAATTGTTTAATAACCTTAAAGACAAAAAAAAGTTTAAATTTATTTAGCATGTTTATTTTCTTTCCAAATTATAACACATGCTCCAATGCCTCAAACAATGATTACATTTTCTGGAGTTAAATGTTTGAACATCTGTAACTAGACTTCACAGGCAAATTTTTCTTATACATTGCTATGGCTAAAATGCTTAGCCTGTAACACAGAACGTAACTAGATAGATATTTATTTAATAATTGAATCATGGCTTTGTAGAGGAATAAATTGAAATACAAAGGAATTAACTCAATCCAAATGTCATTCAACTCAAAATGTAATTTTGTATGTAAAGGTTGTAGATACATATAGTAATACGATTTTTCCCTTTGCATCACCAATTTATCCAGAATACTAAAGGTTGCCCCTTGATTTCTCCTTCAGCTGAACTTCTGGTCATCTAAGTTGTTATAGATTTCCAGTCCTGGTTTCTATCATTATGATAAATAGTTGGTCTTGATATTGATGTGTCAATAATTGTGTCCTGGTTTATTCTCTGAAGTTCATGTTCTACCACAAGAGTATTTCTTATTTATTCGTTCATTCATCATCTAGTTATTCAATAGCTATTATTGACTCCCTATTATGCCAGACACTACAATAGCAGCACTGAGCCATACAGACTCAGTTCTTTCTTTCAAGGTGGTAACATTGTATGAGAGAGAATCCCTCCCTATCTCCTAGCAGAGCTTCAGAAATATTTCAAATATGCTTCACTTGGGCAGTTCTTGGTAATTTTCCCTATACCTTGAATGCCTTGCATGGTCGTCAGAATTCTAAGATGATCTCCAATGACCCCACTCCCTTGTATATCTTGGGCCCTTGAGTTTGAAGTGATGTGTGGATACAGTGGTTATGTTATGCTATATTAAGCAGTTGATTTTAAATAGAGAGTATCTTTGGGTCTCACCTAATCAGGTGAGCCCTTAAAAAGAGAGGGGATTCTTTCTTGTAAAAAAGATTTCAAGCTCCAGAAAGATTCAGTGTCCTACCGCTAACTTTGAAGATGGAGGAAGCCACGTAGCCAGGAACTGCTGGAGCCTGAAAGAATTAATAGCATTCTCCGCCTGACAGCCAGAAAGGAAATGAGGACCTCAATCGTATGACTTCAAGACACGGAATTCTGACAGAATCAGGTAAGCAGGAAAGAGGACTCCAAGTTCCTGAAGAGAATAAAGCCCAGCGGACATCCCGATTTCAGCCTTGGGGTACCCTGAGCAGGGAACCCAGTCTCACTATGGCCAGACTTCTGATCTACATAATTGTGAGATAATAAAGGGGTATTGCGTTACTCTGCTAAATTCATGGTGATGTGCTGACTCATCATTAGAGAACAACACACCTTGGCCAAGCCCAGCCTCAGCGTATTGTAGTAAAATTTATCCTTCATATTATGGCAGTTCTTGGATTGAATTCAGTAGTCTAAAGGACAATTATGAAGAAAAATATTGAGAATAATCTAATATATAACATAAACTTCTGGAAAATATTCTTTAAGAGATCCATAGAAAAGATAGTTAGGATTTTCAAGAATAGACTTGTCTATGGATATTCACTTCATGAGAAATGGAAAATTCTGTCCATATGAAAGCCAATAACACCAATTATTTTAAAAGAGAGGCATCTAAACCAAATGTTAACTTTCTGAGACATTGGTCTTTTCAAAAGAATGTTTACAAACAATGATAAAATAATATAAAAGGGAGTATTAATCTAAAATAGAAAAAGAAAGTTAAGTACCAGAATAATTTTAGGTTAACAAAAATTAAAAAATAAGAGAGGTAAACTTGTGACCCACATTCAGGCTATTTATTTATTTATTCAAAAGCGCTTCTCTAATTCTGTGCATGATGTATCTATAAGCCATAAAACTTTATACTTTGTTTCATCAACTAATGCTGATACATAAGTCATCCAACTGGCTGAATGAGAGGCAAAGTAGCCTTACTTCAAATTACAGTGAAAAACTAATTTGCATCCCCCCACTCCTCTTGTTTCTGGATCTTCCTTTTTGTAGGCCAGATTTTTTTCTGTCGCCCAGGCTGGAGTGCAGTGGCGCAATGTGAGCTCACTGCAACCTCTGCTCCCGGGTTCAAGTAATCCTCCTACCTCAGCCTACTGAGTAGCTGGGACTACAGGCATGTATCACCAGGCCTGGCTGTTTTTTCGTGGGTTTTTTTTTTTCTCCTGTAAAGACGGTTTCTCCATGTTGCTCAGGCTGGTCTTGAACTCCTCACAAAGTGCTGGGATTACAGGCATGAGCCACCATTCAAGCCCTTTTTTTTTTTTTTAGCCAATCTTAACAACTTTTCTTCAACTTTCTATTTGGAAACCTGAAGAAATCCAGTCTCCCTGCTTTAATAACTTCTGATAAAACTCATGGCTTAGGCCTATGAAGCCACTGACACGACTTTATGCCTTGGTTTCATTTGGACCTGTCAATCCTGGTTATTCCAACATACATATACTATTACTTCCTTGTCACTTTTGGCTCCTGTTTGAAATATCAGTTTCCTCTGCTGATACACCTAAATATTCTGAGATTCCTTTCCCTTCCCTTTACAATGTTTGTCCTTTTCAAGAGTGAACAAATGTTAAAACAAGTTCATCCACATTTACTGGATGCTCAGGCTCCACGTGGACCACCCTGGCTTCCAGTAGGTGCGATGTGGCTGTGACGTCGGGCAGAATATCTTTGCTGGGATAAATGAGTAAGACAGAGTCCAGAAAGGCTGCTGGAGATCAGCTTGGAGCCAATAAACAGTTGTGTAACACAGAAGGGAAGAGGACAAGGTCAGGAACTGCTGGGTGGACCCACCCTCTTTTTCAATCTTATTATGGCAGTTGAGCTTCTGAGGAGCACAAATCAGGCAAGTGGAAAAACATAACTGGGTTGAAAGCAGTAGGGAGAAGCTTCAGGGAAGAGTAGATACAGCAGGGCTGAGGAAAATGAAGAGAGGTAGTACCTTCAGTAGCAGTAGTACAGAGGCATCTGGTCACTGAGCTGGGTCCAGCTCTGATGTTTTTCCGGAAAATCATGACTTGCTAATGCATGCCTTTCAATGTGCTCAATATGGACTTCTGAATGATTCAAGGGGTGACTGAGGAGAAACCCTATTTCACTTTTTACTTCAAGATTGGATTATATCTGTTTACTCTGCCTAGGACCTTGTTGTGCATAGTATAAATAATTTCAAGTGGCATAAAATGTATTGGCAGTATTAGATTAATATGTAACTGACTCAGAGCTAGATGCAACTGTCCCAAATACCAATTTGACTTTTACTAAACTATCTCAGTTTCCATAATATTATAATTTTTTGGTAGTTAAAAAAAGCCTTTGGCCCAATAGACTGGATTTATCTCAAAATGTATTATTGAGCTCTTTCGGGTATTGGCCCAGAAATGTGAACAGCAAGGGAGGCAGTATGGAATCATGGTTCACCATAAAACTCTGGAGTCTAATTTTCTAGGTTTGAATCCTTCCTGTGATAGTTAATAGCTGTGTGAATTTCAGCAAGTCCCATAACCCCTATTGTTCTCAGTTTTCTCATTTGTGAAGTTCAGTTAATAATAATATGTACCTCATGGGGTCCATGTGCCCATCAAATGAAATATTGTGAGTAAAATGCTGAGCAAGAAGCCTGGCCCATGGAAAGTAACCAGTTATTGACTAATATTATTATTAAGTGCTTGTGGGAGGCACTTTCCTATTTATCACATGTGATACTCCTGCTCATCTTGAGAGCAGTAGTGCTCTGGCATTACTAAATATTTAATTGAATAGACACTCTTGATTTCATTAATATCCCCAAGTTCTTTTTATGTGCTAAGAGTCTCCATTTAAAATTGATATTCTCATGCTTTATCAAAATTCTCTTGTGGTGAAAAGTTCATATTCATAAGGGAGAGGGAAAGTTGTTTTTAGCTCTTGGGCCAATGAGAAGAATACCCCAATCCCCCATCCCATCTGCCTACAGACTTATTGAAGTGCAGGTGCCAGAGGAAAAGGAATAGCAAACATTTGGCTTGCAACGATAACAATATTAATATAATTTACTAGCTTAACAACTGTTGACTATCACAATCTTTTTCATCTATACCAGTGAAAAATAATTTTTCAGAGTTGTTTTAATTAATTATTTTAAGTACTTTATTGTTATAGGTTGAACATATTTTCAGGTTTGTATTAGATTATTGCCTACCACAATTTAATATGCATAAGAATCAATGAGGGCTTAGGTTCTGCATTTTTATTTTATTTTATTTTATTTTTGAGACAGAGTCTCACTCTGTTGCCCAGGCTAGAGTACAGTGACGTGATCTCGGCTCACCACAACCTCCACCTCCTGGGTTTAAGAGGTTCTCCTGCCTCAACTTCCCGAGTAGCTGGGACTACAAGCATGCGCCACCATACCCGACTAATTTTTGTATTTTTAGTAGAGACAGGGTTTCACTATGTTGGCCAGGCGGGTCTCAAACTCCTGGCCTCAAGATCTGCCCCCGTCGGCCTCCCAAAGTTCTGGGATTACAGGCATGAGCCACCACTCCCGGCCAGGGTCTGCATTTCTAGTTAAGTTTCTGTGCGAGGCCGGTGCTGCTGCTCCTTGGAGCTCACATTGAGAAGCAAAGTATCAGACTTTAACATTTCTTTATTTATGGGAAGTATTTGAGTCAGAAAAAAACACATCCCTGCTCTGCTACCCTTTAATTGTGTCTGTTGAGACATGTGGCTTTCTGAGCTTCAGTATCCTTACCTGCAAAACTAAGATAACAGCACGTGCACATTTTAGACATTAATTCAATAATATAGTGCATCTAATTTTTTCATGTATGTTTCGAATATAAAATCTCTCTTTTCTGCCATTTATTTTGCTAACATTTACTCCAAAACTTTTAAATATGTGGTTTAAGTTTATGGCATACTTCACAATTACATGGTCAACTTTATCAATATTATTACTCATTGTTTTTGTTTTTTAGTCTTGCTTAAAAAGAGTTTCCCTAAGACAATATTATATTTTTTAAATGCATATTTTCTCCCTGTGTTTTAAGGGTTACTGTCTTTTTTTCTTTAGCCTGTAAGTTCTTTATCCTTCTGGAATTAATGTTGTTTAAGAGAGTGAAGTAGGGATTCAATTTATTTTTCTCCCAAAGATTAGCCAGCTATCACAACACTATTTATTGAATAATCTATTTTTTTCTACTGCTTGAAATTTTACCAATTTTTATAAGCCAAATTTTCTATATATATAAAATTCTATTTTGGATCTCTTTATTTTGTTCCACTTTTTGGTACACTTATCTCCAAATCAATACACCTTCATTGTGCTGGCTTTAAATTATGTTTTATATTCAGTAGTTCAAAATTTTTCTTAACATATTTATTTTAGAATTCTCCTAATTCTAAATATGTAGTATTTCACATAAATTTCCAGAGAAATTTTTCTTTCTTTTTGTTTTTTTGAGACAGAGTCCCACTGTGTCACCCAGGCTGGTGTGCAGTGGTGCGATCTCAGCTCACTGCAACCTCTGCCTCCTAGGTTCAATGATTCTGGTGCCTCAGCCTCCTGAGTAGCTGGGATTGGAGGCACCCACCACCATGGCTGGCTAATTTTTGTATTTTTAATAGAGATGGGGTTTCACCATGTTGGCCAGGCTGGTCTTGAACTCGTGACCTTCAGTGATCCGCCCGCCTCAGCCTCCCAAAGTGCTGGGATTACAGGCACGAGCCACCATGCCCATCTCTCTTGTTGAGATAGTTATAGCTTATTTTTATATGTTCTAACAATATCAAGATGTTGTTATCTTAATCTTGAATTCTATTTGTTTTTCATTTTTTGTAGTACTAATGCTAACTTGCTTATATGTTATCTTAAAATAAGCGAGTAGATAGAACTTCTGCAGTTGACCATAAACTGGAAGAATAAATGAATAAAAAGTGATGTATTAATAGTTAAATTTTGGCTAAATTATATCATTAAATTGGAACATAGTAGTCATCATTGCAAATCACATACTTTTTTCTCAAACTGTGTACAGTTCAAACTTCATATAATAAAATTTATGTAGCTACTATTAAAATACAAGCTTGTTTCAGTAATTTTTTGAATTTCATATAGTCTCTGTTCCTTACATATTCAAGGATTTATAGCATCAAAAACTTGCTCCTGCTTTGGTGGTAACATTGGCTATCTTTGGTTGGCACCAGGCTCCTGCAGTACTTTCTGTGATTAACATCAGAGTTATTAACTCAGAAATCAAGTTCTCTACATTTTACTTGGCTCTAGTGAACAAAAGAGCTATAGCACATAGATGGTTGAAGAAAAAAGTATTCAGTATTAGCCATGAATGATTGTTAAGAAGCAGAGATATCTGCTTCTCCAAATTAAATGTAACATGAGCACACTAATTAATTTAGTATAAACTGTGACCTCTTGTGGCAGGATTCTTGACATTGTTTCATTACATTTATGCTCAGTATTCTCTGGCTAATGATTAGTTTAAAGGGATTTGTCACTATCTTAAGACCAATGTGGCAGAAAACAGTTTTCTTGGCAATTTTGACGCATTGTAAGAATAGAGGTAATGAAACTGTTTCACCCTAATCTGTAGAATCTGTAGGGCTTTGGCTTTTGGCATTTATAAAAAGCCTCCTTCTGTTTGTTTAAGGTACAATATTATTTGTACAGTTCAAATGGAACTTTTAATGATGTCTTTGTAATTATTTATTTTTTACTTCATTTGCAAGATAAAAATCTCTTTTCATGTGCCCAAGCAAACCAAAGTTTGTGAAGGGAAACAGCATTCTTGAATTTCTTTTTCTCCTACTTTTTAAAAAACAGAATGGTCTGTTTTGTGGAACAGCAGGTTTTTGTGCCATTTCAGATGGCATTGCATGTGGCAGAATAGACCCCATTCACATTTTCTGTGGGACAATTTGCAAAGGCACCGTGCTGTGAGAACCTTTTTTAAGAGGAGGGTCTGTAGGGGCAGGCAAAGGGCTATACAACACCTGTAGCAAGACACAATCTGTTCAGGACTCAGATCTGATTTTACACTTTGTTTTATTCCCCATAAGTATTCAGCATATGTTCTTTTCTGTGAAAAATAAAGGGCTCCCTCAGATGGTACATATCAAGTGAGCTCAAGGAGGCTAATAGATTAACTCCAATCAATCTAAACACTCCCTCGTGAGATCTTAATGCTGGTTATTCACTACCCTTGCTATGATGATGTTCATTTTATTAGAGCATATAGCTCAATAGCCAGAGAGCACAATCTTTTTACTGTGAAAATCTTTCTGCATGCCTTCTTTTCTCAGGAAGAAAGCAGCAGTAAAATGGTATGCATTCCCTTTACAAGACTCACAGTGAATCTGGAATAACAGAAATAGGTTTTCCATTTTAAATAGCTGAAGTGAATGTCTAATCTTTTCCTGGGCCTGGTAGTACATTCTGTGGACTGGAATTTTTAAATACAGTGTTTCTAAGCCCCAAGGCTCTGCTGTGTTTCTTTCAGTCTCCTTTTTCCCCTTCTATTTCTAAATTAGAGTAGTTGGGTCTGCACAGAGACACGTACAGTAGTGATGCTCTGTGGTTCAAGTCAAAGAATGTTTAGTCTGGATCCCACAGAGGCCCACAATTCTCAGCACACAAACAGATACAGAAAAGGGAGAAAGCAAATGTAGCATCAAAGAAAACTTCTGAATATAGACACCACCAAAAAAAACCAGCTCTGTGTTAGCCCAATAAAGAGAGAAATAACAAGGGTTTTGAATGCTAAAATATAGAGGATTGTATGAAAGGGAGGGAAACATACACAGAGTAGACAAACTGAATAAAAGTATTTATCTTTAAACCACGCAAGTCATGGTAATTAAATTAGGTCAGACTGGTTACAATGCTACAAAAAGCAGGCTGTAACTAATTTCAAAAGGAACAGAAAAGACTTGAAAAGAAAACAGATTGACAGCTCCTGATTTTTTTTTATCCAATCAAAGCAACCCAACATCAAAAAGTGGGAAGAGAAACCTGATTTAGCAGGAAATTTGTCTCATTATAATATGTAAACTTTGCATATATATTCAAGATCAGCTCAGAAATATGGGAAATTATTATTTGCTCTATGTGAAAAACAAAAGTATACACATGAAGTTTGCCATTTGAAGGAAACTAATTGATTATAAAAAGCCTCTGCTCCTTAATAGCTCAACTTCTATTACAAATGCCACAATCAATCTGTATATTGTAACAACTTAGGGGCTTTCTCCCTGTCAGTATATTCTGCATTCAGTTGTTTAATACAAACTCTGAAAGTATTATATGAACAAGAGAACGTTATGAGGCGTTTCTTTCAAATTGTCTTAATAAAGACCACTTGCTGATGCCTATTACAATGACTTTTAAACATAGTTTCAAATATTTACTTTAAATGTAAATGTGCCAAGTTGTAAAATGACATTTGGAACATGAATTTGGGGATGGGAGAAAATAACAAAGGCAGACTTTTATTTGGAGTGCATTCTATATTTTTAAAAGAATGTTTAAAATGTTTCACATTCTTCCTTTCTTTAAAATAATTAGTACAAGATTGGGAAGATTTTTATTAGTTTAATTCTTTTAAGTAGGAAAATCACTGAATACCAAGCAACTAATAATGCAAAGAAACAATAATAAAATAGCTTATTAAAATCTCTTCTTTTTCATCTAATAATTAGCTTCATTTGTCTTTATGTTTCACTAAGGAGATTGGAATTATGGGGAACATTCAGTAGCTATGCAAGAGTAGATGCTGGATGAATAACAGAAGTAATTGTGCTGTCTGATCACATGTTTTAGGCATTTACTCCCTTTTCTGTATGTCGTAGCCCAGCCTGTCTTCAGCTGCTATGTTAACTGGACCTATTTTCCTATTTATATAATGTTGTGCTCCTATATCGGGGGAATCTGCCCCCAACATTTCAATGTAGGTTCTTTCTGTTTTTCCATAAGTGTCAGCCGGCTGAGAAATAAAGAGAAAGAGTACAAAGAGAGGAATTTTATAGCTGGGCTGCCAGGGGTGACATCACATATCGGTAGGTCTGTGATGCCCACCTGAGGCTCAAACTGGCAAGTTTTTTATTAAGGGTTTCAAAAGGGGAAGGGGTGTAAAACAGGGAGTAGGTACAAAGATCACATGCTTCAAAGGGCAAAAAACAGAACAAAGGTCACATGCTTCTGAGGGAATAGGACAAAGGCAAAGCAGAACTACTGATAAGGGTCTATGTTCAGCCATGCATGTATTGTCTTAATAAACATCTTAAACAACAGAAAACAGGGTTCAAGAGCAGGACCCGGTCTGACCACAAATTTACCAGGGTGGAGCTTTTCCCCACCCTAATAAGCCTGAGGGTACTGCAGGAGACCAGGGCATATCTCAGTCCTTATCTCAACCAAATAAGACAGACACTCCCAGAATGGCCATTTATAGACCTCTCCCCAGGAATGCATTCCTTTCCCAGGGTATTAATAGTAATATTCCTTGCTAGGAAAAGAATTTAGTGATATCTCTCCTACTTGCACGTCCGTTTATAGGCTTTCTGCAAGAAGAAAGATATGACTCTTTTTGCCCAACCCCACAGGCAGTCAGACCTTACGGTTGTCTTCCCTTGTTCCCTAAAAGTCGCTGTTATTCTGTTGTTTTTCAAGGTGCACTGATTTCATATTGTTCAAACACACATGTTTTACAATCAATTTGTACAGTTAACACAATTATCATAGTGGTCCTGAGCTGATGTACATCCTCAGCTTACGAAGATAACAGGATTAAGAAACTAAAGTAAAGACAGTCGTAAGAAATTATAAAAGTATTATTTGGGAACGGATAAATGTCCATGAAATCTTCACAATTTATGTTCCTCTGCGGCGGCTCCAGCCAGTCCCTCCATTCGGGGTCCTTGACTTCCTGCAACATATTACAATGACTTTTAAACATGGTTTCAAATATTTACTTTAAATGTAAATGTGCCAAGTTGTAAAATGACATTTGGAACATGAATTTGGGGATGGGAGAAAATAACAAAGGGAGACTTTTATTTGGAGTGCATTCTATATTTTTAAAAGAATGTTTAAAATGTTTCACATTCTTCCTTTCTTTCTTTAAAATAATTAGTACAAGATTGGGAAGATTTTTGTTAATTTAATTCTTTTAATTAGGAAAATCACTGAATACCAAGCAACTAATAATGCAAAGAAACAATAATAAAATAGCTTATTAAAATCTCTTCTTTTTCATCTAATAATTAATTTCATTTGTCTTTATGTTTCACTAAGGAGATTGGAATTATGGGGAACATTCAGTAGCTATGCAAGAGTAGATGCTGGATGAATAACAGAAGTAATTGTGCTGTCTGATCACATGTTTTAGGCATTTACTCCCTTTTCTGTATCTCGTAGCCTGGCCTGTCTTCAGCTGCTGTGTTAAATGGACCTATTTTCCTATTTATATAATGTTCTGCTCCTCAGGAATTTTGACTTTAGCAGGAAATGCTAGTGCATACAAATACATATGACATCATAGTTTTATTTAATCATAGTTTCACCTTTCTGATATATTTTTAGAGCATGTTTAGTTCTTCTCTATTTGCTGGAGGCCTTTCCTGAAGTGTGATTTGGGGATTTCACAGGGTGGGCCAGTGGCGATTGCTGTTAATGTCATTGAGTTCAGGGTGGGGTGCATAAATGTCTATACCCAGGAAGCATAGATACCATTGTTACTATCAGAAAAGACTGTGTTGAATATAGGTGAGTCAAAGGGAGGTGAGAAAATCCTGGGTAGGAAACAAGCCATGTTTAAAGTCTACTATGGCTACTGATAGCACCAACATCCATTAACTTAACTCTCACTGATCCCACCCATGCATCCAGAGGCAGCAGTATGGAGAACGTGGAGGAGGCAGACGCTGCTGTACTAACATCTCCACATAGTGCCAATGGTGTGTACCCCAATTCTTCATGAGGGTAGGCATCCCATGGGGTTGTGAAAAATCTTGCCGGTGTTTCTCTGCAGCAGTCTTTCCAGTACCCAGAGATCTTAGCAAGATCTACTGTGTCTGTTAGGACACTGGAAGAGATATCTGTGTCCTTGTTAGCAGGATGCAGTTGCTAATTTTCCATCTGCCTCACACAACATCACAACCATCTCAAATAACCATTTGAATTTTTACTATGTGCCTCCTTGCTAAGTTTTGTTTTGCAAGGAAAGCAACATAATAGGGGAAGTGCATCAAGGCAGAAAAGGGTGGATTTGCAGAAGGAAGAGGGAGGGCAAGCCAAGGAGAAAGATGTGGAAATTGAAAGAGACTGCATGTTTTAGAAAATAGGCAGAACAAAAGAGCTAATGTGACCCATGCCCCCTTGTGAAGGTCTGCATCTGTGGTAACAAGGTTCTGTTGTTGGGTATTCAACCTTGTAAACGGAGCACCCGAGGGCCCAGAATGGGGGTGGGTGGGCCAGAGGAGAAGGGGAACAATCTCCTTTCCCCACGTCCATGACCTGGGGCTGACAGGAAACCATTGTGCACACCCACAGTTCCAAGTGCTGGAAACAGGAGGCAGTTTCATTGCACAAGCCAGGATACGATGGAAGAAACATTTTCTTTTTAAAGGTAACATTGAAATAAGTTAGTCATTTCACCCTTAGAACTGATGTATTATATATATCTAGACAATATGTACACAGGTAGAATAGTCCTCTAAGAACTGAATGAGAATATGAAGGAGAAATATCCATTTCACAGAAAGCACATTTCTTCATAGTGAAAACTACAGTGTAATTTTCACACTGAGATACACTCCTGTGTTAGGATCTCCAGCAGTTACATTGACAGTATCATTTCTTTAGCCACCCTATTCCATGTTTCCATGGATCTCAGGGTTAATTTTGTGTGACAGTCTAGAATGAGGACTCTGTACACACACACACACACACACACACACACACACACACACAGAGGCTGGAATTACTAGCTTTGTGATAATGAGTATTTGGTTCACTCTATAGGAAGACACAATAAGCACTCAATAAATGTTAGCTACTGTGGCAATATGACTCTCAAGAAATTATAACTTAGATTGCGGTGTTCAGCAGTTTGGGATTTTCGGCTGTAATCTTGATATTACATCAGATTACGAATCTTCTCAGATTGGAAGGTGCTTTAAGGCAAGGATTATGTTTTATTTATCCTTTTGTGTCCAGTTTTTAATGGAATACCTGGCACTGAGAAGGGGGTTGAGGGATGGCTGAATAAATGATTGGATGAATGAAGGAAATAAAAGTTGTTTTATGCTGACAAATTTATTTTTCAGTTGAGTGATGGTTATGCTTTTAAAAAATTCAGCAGTATTCTGGAGGAATGGAAGTCTTTAGACACACTCTCAAAAAATAGGCTTGGCTCAAAACCTTCTAAAATCCTCAAATAAACCTTTCAACACATTAGTAGCTGTCATCTTTTTTAATCTAAAACACTCTTGGTATTCTTAATTATTACATTAACTTCCACAATCTCTTGGAATGCTAATCTGGTGTACAATCACTTAGCTTACAGCTTTACCAGGCATTTAGAATTAAATCCCTATAGGTTTCCATCATAGAGTGTGTAAGACATATTTGTTACTTGGATAACTCTCAAAGAATAGGAAACTTGTGACAATGTCCTAGAAGCCTCCTTCAAATTTTTGTGGTCTAAATGTGTATTTTGTTTCTTCGTAGTATTTTCTGTTATTACTGTCATGTTGCTCTAAACAGTAATTCTATATTTAACTCTATTAAATATTAAAGCTGGGGTTCCTAACTTGAGATCAAATATTACTCTAAGTTCTATTTTACATTGATTTCTTGGAAACTGGTGCAGATATTTCCAAAGAAATTACATCTTATAATGAATATTGAGTATCCCTACCCAGTGAAAAAAATCCTTTGCTTATTAATAATATGGGAATTCATAGGTGCTATGGTCTGAATGTTTGTGTCTCCTCAAACTTCATATGTTGAAATCCCAAACCCCAAGGGGATGGATTAGGGGGTGAAGCATTTTGGTGGTGATTAGGTCATGGTGTTCAGCGGCATAACAGGGGCAGAACTGTTATGAATGGGATTAGTGCCCTTATATAACAGGTCCCACAGAGACCCTCACCTCTTCCACCATGTGAGGATGCAGTCAGAAGACAGCTGTCCATGAATCAGGAAACAGACCCTAACCAGATTCCAAATTGGCTGGTGCCTTGATCTGGGACTTCCCAGCTTCTTGAACTGTGAGAAATAAATATCTGCTGTTTGTAAGCTATTCAGTTTATGGTATTTTGTAGTAGCAGTGCAAGCAAACTAAGATATAAGAATACCGTAGTGTTTTGAGAGTATGGACAGTGGACTCAGACTGCTGTAGTTATCCTGCCTCTGTCAGTGCTAAATGTCTGTCCTTAGACAAAACAATGATCTAAATTAGACAAAACAATGATCTAAATTATGTTCAATAAATGATATCATTTTAAAATATAACTTTTAATTTAGGTACAGTATACATACAGAAAAGTGCATAGATCCTAAGTGAACACCTTGATACATTTTTACAAATTGAATACATGCATGTAACCAGTAATCAGATAATGAAATAGAGTATCAGCCCCCCCAGAAGCTTCCTTATGTCCTCTTCCAGTAATAAGTCCCTTAGTTTTCTCTTTGTGAACTTTATGTAAATGGAATCATAAAATATGTACACACAGTCCCTGACTTACCATGGTTTGACTTATGGCTTTTCTACTTTATGTTGGTGCAAAAGTGATATACATTCAGTAGAAGCTGTACTTGACTTTTGAATTTTGATATTTTCTCAGACTAGTGATATGTGGTACAATATTCCTTTGCAATACTGAGCAGTGGCAATGAGCTGCAGTTCCAAGTCTGCCACATGATTAGGGTAAATAGATACTTGACTTCCTCTCAAAGAACATCACACCTGCTAAACTATCAAGCGTAGGATGCTCCAGTGCCTTCTACCAGCTGTTCTTGAGACTCCTCAGAAGAGAGATTGATGACACTGTCTCTGCAGCTTTCTCATCATCCAGAAATTAATTTTAGTTCCATGCTTCAAACATTCTTCAGGCACAGTGAGCTTTCGGCTGTGTACGTTAATGGTGAGAACCCACACTACTATCCTGTTTTTCACTTTCAGTATGTTATTTAATATATTACATGAGATATTCAACAGTCTGTTATAAAATAGGCTTTGTATTGTATGCTTTTGCCCAACTGTAGGCTACTCTAAGTGTTCTGAGCATGTTTAAAGTAGGCTAAGCTAAGCTATGATGTTCAGTAGGTTAGGCGTATTAACTGCAGTTTCAACTTGTGATATTTCCAACTTATGATGGGTTTATCAGGATGTAACCCAATCATAAGTTGGAGGAATATCTATGCTCTGTTTTAGCTAACATCTTTTAATCAGTTCATGTGTGTTAGTTCATTTTGTTATGTGGACGTGTAGTTCATTTAATTTCATTGCTGTATATAATTTCACACATGCATATACTAGAAATTATTATGTATTCTACTTTGATAAATGGTTGTTTCCAGTTTTTTAGCCACTATAAATGGCACTGCTATGAACCTTCTTATACATGTCATTTGGTTCATTTGTCTATGCATTTCTGTCAAATATATACTTAGAAGTGGAATTACTGAATCATAAGGAATGCATATATTTAGATTTTATCAGTTTTCCAAAATGGTTAAACCAGTTTAAATCTCACCAGCAATCAATGAGAGTTCTAGTTACTCCATATCTTTGCCAACATTTGATTTTGTTTGACTTTTTCAGTTTTGATAATTTGGTAAATGTGCAAGGGTTTCTTTGTGGTTTGAATTCTCATTTTTCAGCGGTCTTTTTTAAAAAGTTGAGCACTTTTTCATATACTTATTGGACATTTGAATATTCTTTTTTTTTTCTTTTTTTTTTAATTATACTTTAAGTTTTAGGGTACATGTGCACATTGTGCAGGTTAGTTACATATGTATACATGTGCCATGCTGGTGCACTGCACCCACTAACTCGTCATCTAGCATTAGGTATATCTCCAAATGCTATCCCTCCCCCCTCCCCCCACCCCACAACAGTCCCCAGAGTGTGATATTCCCCTTCCTGTGTCCATGTGATCTCATTGTTCAATTCCCACCTATGAGTGAGAATATGTGGTGTTTGGTTTTTTGTTCTTGTGATAGTTTACTGAGAATTATGTTTTCCAACTTCATCCATGTCCCTACAAAGGACATGAACTCATCATTTTTTATGGCTGCATAGTATTCCATGGTGTATATGTGCCACATTTTCTTAATCCAGTCTATCATTGTTGGACATTTGGGTTGGTTCCAAGTCTTTGCTATCGTGAATAATGCCGCAATAAACATACGTGTGCATGTGTCTTTATAGCAGCATGATTTATAATCCTTTGGGTATATACCCAGTAATGGGATGGCTGGGTCAAATGGTATTTCCAGTTCTAGATCCCTGAGGAATCGCCACACTGACTTCCACAATGGTTGAACTAGTTTACAGTCCCACCAACAGTGTAAAAAGTGTTCCTATTTCTCCACATCCTCTCCAGCACCTGTTGTTTCCTGACTTTTTAATGATTGCCATTCTAACTGGTGTGAGATGGTATCTCATTGTGGTTTTGATTTGCATTTCTCTGATGGCCAGTGATGATGAGCATTTTTTCATGTGTTTTTTGGCTGCATAAATGTCTTCTTTTGGGAAGTGTCTGTTCATGTCCTTCACCCACTTTTTGATGGGGTTGTTTGTTTTTTTCTTGTAAATTTGTTTGAGTTCTTTGTAGATTCTGGATATTAGCCCTTTGTCAGATAAGTAGGTTGCGAAAATTTTCTCCCATTTTGTAGGTTGCCTGTTCACTCTGATGGTAGTTTCTTTTGCTGGGCAGAAGCCCTTGAGTTTAATTAGATCCCATTTGTCCATTTTGGCTTTTGTTGCCATGGATTTTGGTGTTTTAGACATGAAGTCCTTGCCCATGCCTATGTCCTGAATGGTAATGCCTAGGTTTTCTTCCAGGGTTTTTATGGTTTTAGGTCTAACGTTTAAGTCTTTAATCCATCTTGAATTGATTTTTGTATAAGGTGTAAGGAAGGGATCCAGTTTCAGCTTTCTACATATGGCTAGCCAGTTTTCCCAGCACCATTTATTAAATAGGGAATCCTTTCCCCATTGCTTGTTTTTCTCAGGTTTGTCAAAGATCACATAGTTGTAGATATGCGGCGTTATTTCTGAGGGCTCTGTTCTGTTCCATTGATCTATATCTCTGTTTTGGTACCAGTACCATGCTGTTTTGATTACTGTAGCCTTGTAGTATAGTTTGAAGTCAGGTACTGTGATGCCTCCAGCTTTGTTCTTTTGGCTTAGGATTGACTTGGTGATGCGGGCTCTTTTTTGGTTCCATATGAACTTTAAAGTAGTTTTTTCCAATTCTGTGAAGAAAGGCATTGGTAGCTTGATGGGGATGGCATTGAATCTGTAAATTACCTTGGGCAGTATGGCCATTTTCGCGATATTGATTCTTCCTACCCATGAGCATGGAATGTTCTTCCATTTGTTTGTATCCTCTTTTATTTCCTTGAGCAGTGGTTTGTAGTTCTCCTTGAAGAGGTCCTTCACATCCCTTGTAAGTTGGATTCCTAGGTATTTCATTCTCTTTGAAGCAATTGTGAATGGGAGTTCATTCATAATTTGGCTCTCTGTTTGTCTGTTGTTGGTGTATAAGAATGCCTGTGATTTTTGTACATTGATTTTGTATCCTGAGACTTTGCTGAAGTTGCTTATCAGCTTAAGGAGATTTTGGGCTGAGATGATGGGGTTTTCTAGATATACAATCATGTCGTCTACAAACAGGGACAATTTGACTTCCTCTTTTCCTAATTGAATACCCTTTATTTCCTTCTCCTGCCTAATTGCCCTGGCCAGAACTTCCAACACTATGTTGAATAGGAGTGGTGAGAGAGGGCATCCCTGTCTTGTGCCAGTTTTCAAAGGGAATGCTTCCAGTTTTTGCCCATTCAGTATGATATTGGCTGTGGGTTTGTCATAGATAGCTCTTATTATTTTGAAATATGTCCCATAATACCTAATTTATTGAGAGTTTTTAGCATGAAGCGTTGTTGAATTTTGTCAAAGGCTTTTTCTGCATCTATTGAGATAATCATGTGGTTTTTGTCTTTGGCTCTGTTTATATGCTGGATTACATTTATTGATTTGCATATATTGAACCAGCCTTGCATCCCAGGGATGAAGCCCACTTGATCATGGTGGATAAGCTTTTTGATGTGCTGCTGGATTCGGTTTGCCAGTATTTTATTGAGGATTTTTGCATCAATGTTCATCAAGGATATTTGTCTAAAATTCTCTTTTTTTGTTGTGTCTCTGCCTGGCTTTGGCATCAGAATGATGCTGGCCTCATAAATTGAGTCAGGGAGGATTCCCTCTTTTTCTATTGATTGGAATAGTTTCAGAAGGAATGGTACCAGTTCCTCCTTGTACCTCTGGTAGAATTCGGCTGTGAATCCATCTGGTCCTGGACTCTTTTTGGTTGGTAAGCTATTGATTATTGCCACAATTTCAGATCCTGTTATTGGTCTATTCAGAGATTCAACTTCTTCCTGGTTTAGTCTTGGGAGGGTGTATGTGTCGAGGAATTTATCCATTTCTTCTAGATTTTCTAGTTTATTTGCATAGAGGTGTTTGTAGTATTCTCTGATGGTAGTTTGTATTTCTGTGGGATTGGTGGTGATATCCCCTTTATCATTTTTTATTGCGTCTATTTGATTCTTCTCTCTTTTTTTCTTTATTAGTCTTGCTAGTGGTCTATCTATTTTGTTGATCCTTTCAAAAAACCAGCTCCTGGATTCATTAATTTTTTGAAGGGTTTTTTGTGTCTCTATTTCCTTCAGTTCTGCTCTGATTTTAGTTATTTCTTGGCTTCTGCTAGCTTTTGAATGTGTTTGCTCTTGCTTTTCTAGTTCTTTTAATTGTGATGTTAGGGTGTCAATTTTGGATCTTTCCTGCTTTCTCTTGTGGGCATTTAGTGCTATAAATTTCCCTCTACACACTGCTTTGAATGCGTCCCAGATATTCTGGTATGTTGTGTCTTTGTTCTCATTGGTTTCAAAGAACATCTTTATTTCTGCCTTCATTTCATTATGTACCCAGTAGTCATTCAGGAGCAGGTTGTTCAGTTTCCATGTAGTTGAGCGGTTTTGAGTGAGATTCTTAATCCTGAGTTCTAGTTTGATTGCACTGTGGTCTGAGAGATAGTTTGTTATAATTTCTGTTCTTTTACATTTGCTGAGGAGAGCTTTACTTCCAAGTATGTGGTCAATTTTGGAATAGGTGTGGTGTGGTGCTGAAAAACATGTATATTCTGTTGATTTGGGGTGGAGAGTTCTGTAGATGTCTATTACGTCCGCTTGGTGCAGAGCTGAGTTCAATTCCTGGGTATCCTTGTTGACTTTCTGTCTGATTGATCTGTCTAATGTTGACAGTGGGGTGTTAAAGTCTCCCATTATTAATGTGTGGGAGTCTAAGTCTCTTTGTAGGTCACTCAGGACTTGCTTTATGAATCTGGGTGCTCCTGTATTGGGTGCATATATATTTAGGATAGTTAGCTCTTCTTGTTGAATTGATCCCTTACCATTATGTAATGGCCTTCTTTGTCTCTTTTGATCTTTGTTGATTTAAAGTCTGTTTTATCAGAGACTCGGATTGCAACCCCTGCCTTTTTTCGTTTTCCATTTGCTTGGTAGATCTTCCTCCATCCTTTTATTTTGAGCCTATGTGTGTATCTTCACGTGAGATGGGTTTCCTGAATACAGCACACTGATGGGTCTTGACTCTTTATCCAGTTTGCCAGTCTGTGTCTTTTAATTGGAGCATTTAGTCCATTTACATTTAAAGTTAATATTGTTATGTGTGAATTTGATCCTGTCATTATGATGTTAGCTGGTTATTTTGCTCGTTAGTTGATGCAGTTTCTTCCTAGTCTTGATGGTGTTTACATTTTGGCATGACTTTGCAGCTGTTGGTACCGGTTGTTCCTTTCCATGTTTAGCGCTTCCTTCAGGAGCTCTTTTAGGGCAGGCCTGGTGGTGACAAAATCTCTCAGCATTTGCTTGTCTGTAAAGTATTTTATTTCTCCTTCACTTATGACGCTTAGTTTGGCTGGATATGAAATTCTGGGTTGAAAATTCTTTTCTTTAAGAATGTTGAATATTGGCCCCCACTCTCTTCTGGCTTGTAGGGTTTCTGCCGAGAGATCCGCTGTCAGTCTGATGGGCTTCCCTTTGAGGGTAACCCAACCTTTCTCTCTGGCTGCCCTTAACATTTTTTTCCTTCATTTCAACTTTGGTGAATCTGACAATTATGTGTCTTGGAGTTGCTCTTCTCGAGGAGTATCTTTGTGGCGTTCTCTGTATTTCCTGAATCTGAACGTTGGCCTGCCTTGCTAGATTGGGGAAGTTCTCCTGGATAATATCCTGCAGAGTGTTTTCCAACTTGGTTCCATTCTCCACATCACTTTCAGGTACACCAATCAGACGTAGATTTGGTCTTTTCACATAGTCCCATATTTCTTGGAGGCTTTGCTCATTTCTTTTTATTCTTTTTTCTCTAAACTTCCCTTCTCGCTTCATTTCATTCATTTCATCTTCCATTGCTGATACCCTTTCTTCCAGTTGATGGCATCGGCTCCTGAGGCTTCTGCATTCTTCATGTAGTTCTCGAGCCTTGGTTTTCAGCTCCATCAGCTCCTTTAAGCACTTCTGTGTATTGGTTATTCTAGTTATACATTCTTCTAAATTTTTTTCAAAGTTTTCAACTTCTTTGCCTTTGGTTTGAATGTCCTCCCGTAGCTCAGAGTAATTTGATCGTCTGAAGCCTTTTTCTCCCAGCTCTTCAAAGTCATTCTCCATCCAGCTTTGTTCCATTGCTGGTGAGGAACTGTGTTCCTTTGGAGGAGGAGACGTGCTCTGCTTTTTAGAGTTTCCAGTTTTTCTGTTCTGTTTTTTCCCCATCTTTGTGGTTTTATCTACTTTTGGTCTTTGATGATGGTGATTTACAGATGGGTTTTTGGTGTGGATGTCCTTTCTGTTTGTTAGTTTTCCTTCTAACAGACAGGACCCTCAGCTGCAGGTCTGTTGGAGTACCCTGCCGTGTGAGGTGTCAGTGTGCCCCTGCTGGGGGGTGCCTCCCAGTTAGGTTGCTCAGGGGTCAGGGGTCAGGGGTCAGGGGTCATGGACCCACTTGAGGAGGCAGTCTGCCCGTTCTCAGATCTCCAGCTGCGTGCTGGGAGAACCACTGCTCTCTTCAAAGCTGTCAGACATGGACATTTAAGTCTGCAGAGGTTACTGCTGTCTTTTTGTTTGTCTGTGCCCTGCCCCCAGAGGTGGAGCCTACAGAGGCAGGCAGGCCTCCTTGTGCTGTGGTGGGCTCCGCCCAGTTCGAGCTTCCCTGCGGCTTTGTTTACCTAAGCAAGCCTGGGCAATGGCTGGCGCCCCTCTCCCAGCCTCGCTGCCGCCTTGCAGTTTGATCTCAGACTGCTGTGCTAGCAGTCAGCGAGACTCCGTGGGCTTAGGACCCTCCAAGCCAGGTGTGGGATATAATCTCGTGGTGCGCCGTTTTTTAAGCCCATCAGAAAAGCGCAGTATTCGGGTGGGAGTGACCCGATTTTCCAGGTGCCGTCCGTCACCCCTTTCTTTGACTCGGAAAGGGAACTCCCTGACCCCTTGCACTTCCCAAGTGAGGCAATGCCTCGCCCTGCTTCTGCTCGCGCACGGTGCACGCACCCACTGACCTGCGCCCACTGTCTGGCACTCCCTAGTGAGATGAACCCGGTACCTCAGATGGAAATGCAGAAATCACTGTCTTCTGCGTCGCTCATGCTGGGAACTATAGACCGGAGCTGTTCCTATTCAGCCATCTTGGCTCCTCCCCTTGAATATTCTTTGAAGAGCTTATTTAATTTTTTGCTCATATTTTCAGTAAGTACAGTGTTGCCTTTTTAAATTGCTGTGTGGGACTTCATTATAAATTCTGAATACAAATCCTTTGATGTATAGATTGCAATCATCTTCTCTTACTACATGATTTGCCTTTAGACTCTCTTTACAGTGTATTTTGATGAACTGAAGTATTCAGTTTTAAAGTAGCCCAATTAATCAATTGTTATGTTATATATATATACTCATATATATGTGTATATATACGTATATATACACATATATATACGTATATATACACTAATATATGTATATATATACTAAAATATGTATATACGTATATATATGTGTGTGTGCACACGCGTGTGTGTGTGCGTGCGCACACAAATTTAAATCTAGAACCCCTCTGGAGTTGACTTGTAATAGTCAAAAAAATTTTTTTCCCAAGAAGGGTATTTACATGACCTAGTACAGGTTATTGAAAAAAATTTCCTCTGTACAACAGTATTGTTATTGTCATAAATCAAGGGATATCAATCAGGATTCAATCAGAGAAGCACCATCAGTAGAAGATAAGCAAATACATAAAGGTTTATTAAATGGATTTGCCCATGTGCAATTGTGGAGGCTGGTTGAACAGCCTATATGAGGTTATTGCTTCTGTGTCTGGTTCCAGATAGCCAAACAGAAAGGAAATATGGTTATAAAGTAGGGAAAGTATTGTCAACTGGACCCTATGAGGATGAGATAAAACCTGAACAGATAAACTGAAACTCAGGTGAGTCTCATTACTTCCAAAACCCCACCTGCAGTGATGGATCTGCAAAAGTGGATGTGCTTCCTATGGAGCTAACACGTCTAGTCCAGGGCTCAGGGAAACCGAAGGAGGAACTGCTGCAGCTGCAGGTCCAGCTGCTGCCCTGAACCAATAAGCGAGCCACCAGGTAAGTGACAGTGTGAATGAGCTACAACAGCACCTGTACTCTGTACAGACTTTGGGAATATGTTTTTAAAAATGTGCCTGCTGCTTCACCTCCAGGCTCCAAATCTCATGCCAAATGTCTCTTGTTGTCCACATCGATAAGGAAATACACAGGAAAGGGAATGTTAAGAAACGTAATTCCAGTTTAGTTATGATACAGTATAAATCCACCTTTTCTTGTATATGTGGGTCTCCTTCAGAACTCCCTGTTCTTCTCTATTGGTTTATTCATCTATTCTTGTCACAAATCACTTTTTAACTAATACAGCTTATAATGGGACTTGATATTTGATAATGTAAATCCTCCAGATATTTTCTTCCACAGATTGCTTTAAATGGGTAACTTTTGCATTTGGATTTAAATTTTAACATCAACTTGTCAATTTCCAAACAGACTAATGGGATTTGAGATTGCATTAAATTTATATATCATTTGGAGCATAACTGAAAAATTTACATTATTGGAACTTTTAATCTAAGAACATGATTTCTTCTTTCATTTTATTAGGTCATCTTTAATGTCTTCATGTTTTTTAATTTTCAGAGTAAAACTGGCATACATTTTATTAGCTGTATGTTTTTTAATGTTATTTGAAGTATTATCTTTAAAAATAATCCATTTTCTATTTTTAAATGATAGGTATGTATAAATATAATTTAATTTGTTGTCATATTCAAAAATCTTGCTAAGCTTACTTTTTTGTTACTGTTTTCTGAATACTTTTTGACGTTTCTACATAAAAAATCATTTTAAAAACTTAGCTAATAATTACAGATTTAGTTCTCTTTTTTCATTCACATGAGTATTATTTCTTTTACTTGTTTTCTTGTACTAGCTAGGAACTCAGCTAAATGTTGAACAGAAATGGCCATAATTCACCATTTAAATAATTTACCATTAAGTCTAATGTTTATTGTATGATTTTGTAGATACTCTATCAGGTTAAGGAACCTTCCTTCTAGTCCTATGTTGAGAAGAATTTTGCTATGATGGATATCATGGTAAAATTCCACTGAAACTGCTTTCCATTGTACTTTATGAAAATTAGAAGTTGCTAATGGAGATGCCTAGAAATCATATTCCCTCCCATTTTAAGTTCTAGCAAACAGACCTTCTTTATAGCCTAAGAACATTACTTACTCTTCTACAAAACCTATTTCTTTCTTGGATACAAACCTATAATGACAACCTTTTTGGTTCCATACACTCATCAATTTATTATCAAGAATGGAAAGAAAGTGAAGTTTCATTAAAATAGTTTTTGACACACAGAGAAAGATTAGGGATCTTTGAGGAGGTGTAGATACCATAGGTGTAAAAATTCTTGCAGATTCTGTTCTCATGTGTTCTGATGGAGCTGGGGCTCTTTGGGGAAAAGAGCAGTTTATTTAAAATAGAGTATATGGCATATTGTTTAAAAGCTTGGGCTCTGGAGCCAAACTCCTTGATTTCAAATGTCTGCTCTGCCACTTGTGGATTACATTATACTGGTAATTTAAATTTCAGTTTTCTCATTTGCTAAGAGGGTGAATGTAACAATTTCTACCTTATGGGATTGTAGCAGGATTAAAAGAGTTTGTATGTAATATACAAACAACAGTGTCTGCAAAGATGGGAGCAATAGACACTGGGAACTACTAGAAGGGGAAGGAGGAAGCTGGGCAAGGTTTGAAAAACTAGCCATCAGGTACTGTGCTCACCACCTGGGTGGCAGATCATTCATATATCAAACCTCAGCAACACACAATTTACCAATGTAACCAACCTGCACATGTACCCCTTGTACCTAAAGTAAAAGTAAAAAAACAAACAAACAAAAAAAAACAGTGTTTGGGATATAAGAATCACTCAGCCAGGCACAATGGCTCATACCTGTAATCCCAGCACTTTGGGAGGTTGAGGCGGGCAGATCACCTAGGGTCAGGAGTTTGAGATCAGCCTGGCTAACATGGTGAAACCCTGTCTCTACTAAAAATACAAAAATTAGCCAGGGGTGGTGGTGCATGCATGTAATCCCAGCTACTCAAGAGGCTGAGGCAGGAGAATTGCTTGAACCCAGGAGGCGGAGGTTGCAGTGAGCCGAGATCGCACTACTGCACTCCAAACTGGGTGGAAGAGTGAGACTCTCTATCAAAAAAAAAAAAAAAAAAAAAAAAAAAAAAATTCACCCAAACAAGTGTTCTTCATCATCATTAAAGCAGCAGTATCACCACATGTTTTCCTGGCAACAGCTGGCCTGTTTTCCACTGATAAGAGGTAAAAAAGGCATTGAAACAGTGAAAGAGGATGATGAAAATTGAATACTTACATGAAATACAATTTTTAGTGAAAAGTAGCACTCAATGTTATACAACTATAGACAAGACTATAAGGTCACAATATTTTTACTTATATCATTAGAATAGCTTATTAACATTCTTATTTCAAACAATGTTCTTTTTATTCTGTTGTCAGCTTTTAGTCAAATATAATCCATGAGCTCAATAGATATCAACAAAATGAACCATTTTTAAATTTTTATTTTATTTATTTATGTTTTTGAGTTTTCGCTCTTGTTGCCCAGGCTAGAGTGCAATGGTGCAATCTCGGCTCACCACAACCTCCACCTCCCTGGTTCAAGCCATTCTCCTGCCTCAGCCTCCCGAGTAGCTGGGATTACAGGTATGTGCCACCACGCCCGCCTAATTTTGTATTTTTAGTAGAGATGGGGTTTCTCACTGTTGGTCAGGCTGGTCTTGAACTCCCGACCTCAGGTGATCCACCTGCCTCGGCCTCCAAAAGTGCCGGGATTACAGGCGTGAACCACGGTGCCTGGCCAAAATGAACCATTTTTTTTTACCACAAGCATTTTACTATTGCTGCATATGATTATTTTGTAGGAAAGATGCTAGCTTTCCACCAAAGATTAATACATTTATTCTATTGCATAGTTTTATTGCTGAGAAGTGGCTGTCCAGCCAGGGACTTACTTTTCTCAGCTCTCCCCACCTTGAATCTGGAGGCAAGGGGGCACGTGAATAATTCTCCAATGTAGAATGATGAGTGGAAGTGATGTGTGGATAAGAAGCAAATGTGTCTTCTCTCAATCTCTATTTTATTCACTGGCTGAAGAAAGAGGAGGCAGCCAGAAGATGAAGAGAGATCTGTTGCCTGACAGATCACCATGAAGTCCTCTGAATCAGAAAAAAAAAAAAAAAAGGGGGATGGTGATGTGAGCAGGAAGTATACT
Organism: Homo sapiens; assembly: GCF_000001405.40. NCBI lineage: Eukaryota > Metazoa > Chordata > Mammalia > Primates > Hominidae > Homo > Homo sapiens. Next base: position 120,260,996 of record NC_000004.12, read on the forward strand.
ACTTTGTTAAGCCTCTGTGACTTCAGGGTTTTTCAGTATAGCAGCTACATTCTTCAATATATGATTCAATACCCTGAAGAATCAAAACTGAGAAGAGAATAACGTATTTATTAAGGTAAGAGATGTAGGGAAGACACATTTGAGTCCATTTTGCTTTAGATGTCTTTATTGATCTGAGTTTTTCAAGCAAATAAAATACTTATTTAAATGATGAGTCTCTGGCCATAATCTTTTTTTTTTTTTTTTTTTTTTTTGACATGGAGTTTCACTCTGTTGCCCAGGCTGGAGTGCAGTTGCGCAATCTCAGCTCACTCCAACCTCCACCTCCCAGGTTCAAGCGATTCTTGTGCTCAGCCTCCTGAGTAGCTGGGATTACAGGCGCCCGCCAGCACACCTGGATAATTTTCATATTTCTAGTAGAGGTGGATTTTCACTGGGTTGGCCAGTCTGGTCTTGAACTCCTGACCTTAAGTGATCCACCGCCTTGTCCTCTCAAAATGCTGGGATTACAGGCGTGAGCTACCACGCCCGGTCTCTGGCCATAATCTTCGCAGTTATATTTTACAACTGATTTGGAAGTGGTAAAGTCTGCTTGCAAACTTTTGTAACATGGTCGGAAGGCGGATGTGGAAAAGCCATTCCTTTTGTTGAGAGCTTTGTATTTGAATAATTCTATCTAGAAGTTGGCTGAAGAGAGAGATAAGACTAAAGGGCATGGGCAAATAACAGAAGATTATTTAAATGCCTTCTCAGAGTTTGGGTTCATTGATGTAGAAGGCATCTTTTGTTGAGATCAGTTATGGCTTTGGGTGGGCGAGTAGTTTGTGCAGGGCACCTAGACAACAAGGGATCTGAGCTTCCTGCAAGAAATATAAGAGAGGGAGGAAGTGCTGCTATACAGACATAGCGTGGGAAGAGTAAAAAAAAAAAAAGAAAAAAAGAAAAGGCCGGGCGCCGTGGCTTACGCCTGTAATCCCAGCGCTTTGGGAGGCCGAGGCGGGTAGATCACGAGGTCAGGAGATCGAGACGACGGTGAAACCCCGTCTCTACTAAAAATACAAAAAAATTAGCCGGGCGCCGTGGCGGGCGCCTGTAGTCCCAGCTACTCGGGAGGCTGAGGCAGGAGAATGGCGTGAACCCGGGAGGCGGAGCTTGCAGTGAGCCCAGATCGTGCCACTGCACTCCAGCCTGGGCGCAGAGCGAGACTCCGTCTCAAAAAAATAAAACCAAAAAATAAAAAAAAGAGAAAAATCTATTTTTCCTGCCATGATGGAATTTTGAAAAACAGAAATGTCTAAAGCAGAAGTTTGAAGGTTTTGTTAGTGAGGCATGCAATGTGAAAAAAGTGTGCATGTTCATGCTTGTGTAAGTATTTTAAAGAAACGAATTGTATTTGTCATTTAATTTGCTTCTAAAGCAGACATAGCATGTACCAGAGGCTGGGAAGGGTAGTGGGGGTGAGGAGGAAGGGTAGTGGGGGTGGGGAGGAATTATGGTTACTGGATTTTAAAAAATGGTTAGAAATAATAAGACCTAGTATTTGATAGCACAGTAGGGGAACTATAGTCATTAATAATTAAGTTGTACATTTAGAAATAACTAAAAGAGTACACTAGGATTGTTTGTAATACAAAGGACAAATTTGTATTACAAATTTGTAATGGATGCTTCATTTACCATTATATGATTACTATGCATTGCTTGCATGCCTGTGTCAAAGTATCTCATGTACCTCATAAATATATACACCTACCATGTGCCTGCAAAAGTTAAAAATAAAAAAACAGATATAACATGTATGGATACAGGGACAGAATGATTCAGGGGCTGTAATAGTGTTCCATTGTGTACATATCCTACATTTTCTTTGTCCACTCATCTGTTGGTGTCACTTAGGTGATTCCATACATTAGTGATTATGAATAATACTTGCCCTTTTCTTTCATTTATTTTTATATTTTTCTTTCTTTTCCTTTCCTTTTTTATTCCTAGAAGTATTTTAATTTTAAAATATAAATTATGATTGTGTTAATTACCTTCATTTTGATGCCTTTTTTGATTAATATTTTTGGGGATTGAAGAAATGAGTATTTTTTAATGTATCTAACATCAAGGCTCTTATTTGTTTCTCCATTATTAGTGACAAAATAGTGACCAAAATCAACCTTGATCAGTGAAACAATTGTGTAGCCCCCAATCCTTCCCTATCCTACACAACATGAAAGCTACATCTTTGTGAGAGCTCTCTAAGTTGGATGGAAGAAGCTTCTGATAAAATTGATCAGCATGGAATTTTGTAAAATTTAACTATTTTTTGGCCTGGAAATTAAACTGATGTATTACCAGAAAAGTTGATTTTTGTTAAGCAGTGTTTTATGCTATCCTATTTAAAATTATTCAGGGAGTCCATTCTGACAAAGCAGGCATCTGAAAAATTTTTCTGGAAATTGAAAATGCTTAAGAAATAACTGTTATAGAAACTAAAACTAAAAATAATTTTGGATTATTAAATTGAAGATAACATCTATCAAGTACTTCATTATCTTTCTCTGACACCAGATATATATTTTTCTTTATTGCTGGAATAGAGCTTTGGCTGTCCTTTGTGGCCTTCTCAATCAAATCCATCCTATTTTGTTGGGCAGTATTTGTGTCATGCATTTACATTTTAAAAGTTGTAGTCTAGGCAGTGTGACTTTCAAACAATTGACAAACCTATTCCCATGTCAAACCCTCTGCTTAATCAGCAGTCACTTTATTCCCACTCTTTTCAAAGGCACTGGAACTGCCTGAAAAGCTAAGGGACAATTCAAGAGAGTGTGCTGGGCTGGTCCCCTCCAGTGTCTGTCTATTCAAATTCACCCTTGTAATCTAGTGAAGAAGGGGTGTGCTTCAACCGCACCGTCACAGCAATAAGGAGCAGACGTCATAAAATAAAAGAAGAAACGTTTCCTTCCAGAAGGAGGAGTTGATTTTCCTTATTCTGTGTATGTGAGTGTGTGGCAGTTGCAAGGTTGAGAATAAAGACTAAAGTTAGAGAAAGGCAACATTTTACATTAGCAGCACATGGTCTTACAAGACCTTCTTGTTTGGCAAACATACCCTGAATGGTTTTATTGAGCATTATGTTGCCCTACCCATCAATTGTTTGACTCTGATGAACATTTTCTACCATGTCGATTTAAATATGCATTGAATATCATTCAGAGTCCTGTCCCTGATGCTTAGGTGCTTAGGCATAAAACTATGAAAATATTATTGATAAAAGATGAGTTTTTATTTGTCTGTTAGTTTTACCAGGGAGCATTGGATACTAGTAAGCTTAAGTCCCTTGGACCTCTGAAAAAATACTTTAGTTTTTACTGTGTTTGGGAATTCAGATTTGATCATAAGTAAATATAACAGGGAACTGAAATACAAATATTTTTAACTATAAATAAAACGTTCGATATGATAAATTTATTTGACTATGTCAATTTCTTAAAAAAATTTTGAATGGATAGGAAGTGTAATGTGGAACTGAAACTTGAGAAAGATGCATGCTTTCATGACAAGTAATTTTGTGACCATTTAAATTTCCAATTTAACGGTGTTTTAAGTAGACTTAATTATAAGATGGCTATGTTAGAAATGTGAATATTGATATATCAGAGAAGTTAATGTTTATGTTAGAGAATACAAAGCGAAGGATGACAGTACTTCTCTTGATGTATTCCCAACCACTAACTCTGAGAGCCAGATTTAACTGTCACTTCAACGTTGTCCACCTTGGGAAAAGCATAATTTTAGAGTTAGACAAACACATTTGAGCTTTATTTGGGTCAGTAGCTGTGTGACCAGGAGAAATTATTTTACAACCTTGGAGCTTCAATTTTCATTATTAATACATACTATCTCCACCCCCACCCAGGCTGTCTTGACTTCTACATGGTAGCTATGAGTAGTTTTCCCTTAAATCGTTGTCTAAATATATTAAACACTTGAGAATAAGAATAAAGTCATTCATATTTCAAAGGTATTTCATTATGATTGGGTAGGTATATTTTGTCATATTTGATGTACTTATCCTTTCTTAAAAATGCCACAATGAGAATTTCACTATTTCCCCTGGAGTAACAGATTTAGGGGTTCTCATTGTTTCTTGATTAATTTTTGCAAATAGTTTTGCCTGCTACCTTGGAATTTAGGTTGAATTTAAAACCCACTGTTGTTTGGCTTGTGGAGTTTTGGGTTCATTTGTTCTGTATATCGGATGTGGACTCTTTGGGGTAACTTGGCTTCATTTCTGCTCTCTTTTTATTAACATCTGGGGGTTTTCAAAATAGCTGGAGTTCAAATTAAGTTTGGTGTTAGGAAACAGGGAACCCCAGAAGAGACTAAGGGAAAGAGGTACTGGGTACTGCCTCTAGATGAGATGTATACATGAAACAGATTTCAATGAAATGCATGAAATCACTGCAAATTTTTTAAAATTAAGAATTCATTGCCTACCATGTGTTAGGCACTAGCTCAGATTCTCAGGGCATGGACAGTTTGGGGAAGCTGACATTACCGAAAAGGATGTTGCTACTTTAATAACATTTGGAACTTACATTAATGTGTTTCTAAACATTCCTTTTAATAATCCTTCCACCAGGGTTCTCAACTCCTGGGCAGCAGACTGGTACCTGTGGCCTATTAGGAACTGGGCTGCATAGCAGGAGGTTAGTGGCAGGCAAGCAGCATTACCACCTGAGCTCTGTCTCCTGTCAGATCAGTGGGGCCATAAATTCTCATAGGAGCAAGCACCCTATTGTGAACTGTGCATGCGAGGGATCCAGGATGCAAGTTCTTTATGAGAGTCTAATGCCTGATGATTTGAGGTGGAAGAGTTTAATCCAGAAACCACCCCCAGCCCCCTACCCACCATCCTTGGAAAAATAGTCTTCCAGGAAATCATTTCTTGGTGCCAAAAAGGTTGGGAACCACTGCCTTAGATACATGTCCTTCTGACTCATTCCTTTTGGCACAACTATTTTTGATCCCAGAGACTCCTTATCCCCAAATTCAAGTCATGGTGTTTTCACTTTTTTATGTCTGTAATTACCCAGTAAGCGTCATTGTTGACATCCTCATATCGGGGGCCTCCAGGCAATCCCTGAGCCTTAGAGCTAACCATCCTGTCTCTCCCTCTTGTTTCCCTTGCTCCAGGATTGCTCCCTTTCACTCCATCTTTGAGCCTTAATGAGGGCACAGTTTAGGGGAACTAGGAGATTGGATTGCCATCTATGTTGGTTTAAGGACTAGGGATGCCATTTACATTTATCACTCTAATAGTACAAAGCAATATTTTTATGGTGTGGATATGTTTCACTCAAATTAAATCTAAATAGTGTAACCAGCATACCTATATTGTTAAAATAGGCTGTAGGAAGTCCACCAAAATGTTCTACTTTAGATTTTCCCAACACAAAGATGAATATGTATGCATTAGTGGATGTTAGATTTTTTGTGTGTGAGATTTTGCTTTTTTTTTTTTAAGATATTTTTCCTCTTCTTCAGGCTGATAGTATTTTACCAAAAATTTAAATAGTCAAATATTAAAAGTGATATTCTAGATCATCTTTCTCCAAGTGATGTAGTTTGCTTTTCAACTTTTCCTTATGTGGTGTAAGGTTATAAAAATGCCTTCCAGTTGATTTCTTAGGTAGCAGCAGAATCTGTTTTCTCAAACAGTAGCGTGGGGATTCTTGATATACCGCCTTCTAGAGGTACTGAAAGCAACTGGATCAATGTGCTGAAATCTGGATTTATTCACAAGCTCGTTAGAGGCTGAGTCACAGCCATACATGTCAGTTCAAGTCATTGTTTCTTTTGTCTAAATCGTTGTTGAGCCACATCCATCTGTATGTGTAACACTAATTTGGTAACAACTTCTTTATACTAAGCCAGAATTCATTTTACCTGCTGGTTTTATTTTAAATGTAGGAGCTGTATTAAATAACATTCAAATAAGTAATCGAAATTTAACTCAAAGAATATGGAATGAAAAGTCAAACAGGCATATTGAGAACAAATTAGAATCTGGCACCTGACAATGATTAACAGGTTGAACAGATTAGACTAGACCTAAATCTCTGTAAATAAAATGAAAGACAGAAAACCTTTTTATTAAACAATTTAATAGGCCTATGAGATTTGAAAAAAAGTTGATTTCTTTACCCATCCTCAGTCAATGTTGAGATAGGCTGGAAGATTTTGAACAGGGCATAGAAAAAAGGAAACAAATTTAGTCAACTATCCCCAGATTTCATCTGATTAAAACCAGACATCTGCATATTTGAAAGCACCAAATTATTAATGAATATCCACTCAATATTGATATTTGATATCATATATATTACTAATAACTAAAACATGATATTAATAGGTTTCATTTATGAAATCTTTGTGAAAGTGTGTCTATCATTATAGTTAAAAATCAAGAAGTTAGTTAAATCTACTGTCTAAATAATTTTGATCAAAATATTTGACATTTTATCCAGTGCCAGCATTCATGTAGTATGGCAAATTACCCATTTCTTTATTTTATTTTACCATATGATAAAATAAGCCTGAATTTGTGGAGGCATTTTTCAAGAAACCGTCTCTTCCAAGAAAGAATTTGGATATCAAAAAGTAGAGATATTAGTGTCATTATATACACAGTTTGCTGAACTCTACAGTTATTTGTAAAATTTGTTTGGATACACCAATTTTAGATTACTTACAACATAAAAGGTCTATTTTTTATGTCATATTGAATATACAATGGTCCAAAATAGATTCAGACAGACAACAACTTTGGCTGCCATTTTAGAAACCAAATGTTTTAGCATAATACACTGTTCTGTGTATATACAGATGGAAACTCAAACTTTGAAAAGAGAACTTTCTTCAAATACTGGTGCTTTCTTAGATGAGCCAGCTTCTGAAAGAAAACAGCTCTCTAATCTTTTATCACCTTGTCTCTTAAATACATCAAGGACATCTATTCAGAATTAGTTGCCGAGGTGGGTGCAAAGAAAGCCTATTAATATGTGTAGACTGCCCATTCCCAGAATAAACCACATTTCCTCAATATATTACTTTCATGGCATTTTACAATATTTTCAAGTTTAGTTGGACATAATTCCAGAGATATGACAAGTCAATAGGTGGAAAAAAAACTAAATAAAATAAACTTGACCTTCAAAACATGCAATTCTTCTTCTGAACAAATCTCTCTTATTGGTGATCTGTCTCAAATTATATGTATATAAAAATATTCTGGGTGAGTAACATGACCAAAACATAGTGTCTGGTTGAGATAAAAGTCTTCTTTGAATATTGTTTGTAACTTGAAGACTTTGCTCACTCATTGGATAGATTCCATTAAACACAGCAGGGAGCAATATATAGTGTGGATTATATGACTTTGCCTAATGGACATGCAAATACATATTTTTCACATACAATATACAAACATTTCAGCAGGACAATTGGGTAATGGAGCCAAAAAATCAGAAAACTGGCAAATGTACAATGGATTACTATGGCTTTATTCCACACTTCAAATATAATTAACATTTAATTCATCTGATGCCTTTTTCTAATTGGAGACACATTGGTAGATGGGGCATTTGAGTTCACAAACACGTTCAATTACTTACACGTTAACCACATTTCACAAACTTCCAACTTGTGAAGTATTTTCTAAAGAAAACTTTATATAGTAGAACTTGCAGATCTGACCAAATGAAATTTTTATCTTTTTTTTTGCCGTTGCTTCTCAAATTATGCTCACCTGAAGTCAGATTTCATATTTGTTTCATCCTTATTTGGCAATTGAAATGTAATTTCAATTGTCAGAAATGTAGAAACTAAAAATTTAATTTATTTTGCCAAAGTGTTCTGGGTTAACATAAAACTTTCAATAATGTTCCCTCAATGTTAAAACTAATTACCTTCTATTTGATTATATCAAATAAACTACAGTAAATAATAAAAAAGTCATGATTTCCATAGCTTTACAGTTTACAAAGGGCATTTATTCATTCACTTAACCAATAAATGTGTGTTGATCAACTACAATGTGCCATACATTTTTCTAGGCTCAGGAAATAAAATGGAGAAGAGAAAATATTAGTCTCTGCTCTCATGAAACTTTCAGTCTGGGCTCATAAAATCCTCTCACATTCCTGTGAAATGAATACCTCTAAAGTCTCCTACTAATCTCCCACCCCAAAGTAACTACTATCTGAACTTTGTGTTATAATTTATATCATCCAATTGTATTTCTAAACAATATACTTTTCAGCATTACCTGTCTTTGCCTTTATGTAAATGAAATCCTACTACAAGTTTTCATTGGTGGCTTGGTATTTTTTTTCATTCATAATTATTTTTAAATATTTTTCCATATTGCTTTAAATAGCCATACTTGTCTATTTTCACTGCTGCATAATATGAATATACATCAACTTATAAATCAGTTCTGTTGCTAGTGGCTATTTGTGAATTCCAAGTGCTCCATGTCTTTACCAACTCTTAAAAGTATTAGACATAACTCTTTGACAAAATGGTGAATTAGAAAGATAGATCATTTATAGTTTTAACTAGCATTTCCATAGTTATGAATGAAGTTAACATCTTAACAAACTTATTGGTCGTTTGTGTTTTAAGACTTGTAATTTGTCCTATTTTTAATGTTTTTATTTTTCATTTTGATTCATACACATTCTGTAATATACATTTTCTAAATACATATCTTTTATAAGTAATATGTGTTTTCTAAATATTTTCTCTCAGCTATCACTTGACTTTCCACCATCTTTATTGAAACATATTTCTATAAGTTTTTGATAATCAAAAGTATTTAAAGTTAATCTAGTCAAATTTACAGATATTTTTATGTATGATTTTTATATTGTGCCATGTTTAAGAAATTTTCTTTACCCCATAGTTAAAACAATCTTCTCCTATATTCTGTTTTAAAAGTTTTAAATCCTTAGTCTATCTGAAAAGAGCTTTGTGTGAGTTGCTTTGTAGGTATCCAATCTCCCAGTGCAGAACCCATTGTCCAAGTATGAATTTATTGAATAATTCTGCTTTGCCAGTCCCATTGTATGCCTAATTTCTCATTTTACCCTGTTGGATAGGATAACATATTCAAAGTTTAATAAAAGGGTTGATAGCAGCATCATTAACATGTTCATGATATCAAAAAGGAGCTTTCAATAATTCATCATGTACATTTGCTGTAGCTTATTTTAGACACATCATATATTCAGAAAGTTCCCTTTTATTTTCAGTTTGGCAAAAGTTTTTTTTAACCAACCTCTTTTTCTATGTTTATTTTATATATATTCGTAGATTTTACAATGTTCAACTTATTCTGTAGTCCTGAGATAAAGTGATTCATGGTTTTATTCATTTTATATATATAGCAAAATTCAGTTTATTAGTAATTGGTTTAGAATTGTTATATCTGTGTTCATAAATGAGATTGTCCTAAAGTTCTTGTTTTGTCCTCAGAAATTGAGTTGTGCAGTGTTTTCACTTCTTCTATTCTTTGGAAGTGGTTATATATGATCAATACTATGCTTTTTATTTTTAAATTTTGAATGTCTTGAGGACTTACCACTTAAGTTTTCTGAGACTGACCTTTGTTGCATATGTGGTAATTTCTTCTGATATGTCTTCCAGTTTGCCAATTCTTGTTGTGGATACATGTTCAAATGTGGCTAACAAGTTTTTAATTTTAGTCATGGTATTATTAATTCCAACATTTAGTTATTTTTTAAATCTTTTTTGCACTTTCTTCTCCTCAGCAGATACTTCCATTTGCTATTTATTTTTTTGAACCTGGTAAGCATAGTTTTTTATTTTAATTTTTTATTATAGATTCAGGGTACCTGTGCAGGTTTGTTACATGGGTACATTGCATAAAAGCATAGTTGTTTTTAATATTTTTGTCTGATAAGTCTAATATTTGATGTCTTTGCAGATTTGTTTCTGTTATTTTTCTCTTCTGGCGTCTTTCACATTGTCTTACTTCTTTGTGAGCATGTTATCTTCTGCTGCTTGCTAGTCATTGCCTAGAGAAAATTATTTTCAAGGTTCATCAAGGTCTAAGATAGATGTGACTTCCTTCAAAGAGAGTTAGCTTTTGTTTATTCCAGTTTCTTGGGGAAGTTAAGTTTTGGGGCAATCACTTGTACAACTTTAGGTAATGTGGTCCATTCAGCATTAACATAATTAATGGATAAATTCATGTAAGACTAATGTGTGGCAACAAGTTTGCAGAAAACTTTTTCCCTTTCTTTTAAATTTTTTGTCTTTATCACTTCTACTCACCTCAAGACTTCTTTGTATGACATTCCTCAGTGTTGGCAGGAAAAGGAAAAAGTTTGGATCATGTATAACCTTTTGAGTAGGAGGTTAATTATAAGAAAGTTTTTATAGTATTTCCCCAGCATGGTGCTAAACATCTAAAAGTACTTAACAAATATTAGAAAACATCATTATGCTGGTAATCCTAAATAAACATTTTTTTTGTAAGCATTCAGGTTCACTACTAGTTCTACAAAGAGAACACGTTTTGTTTAGAACACTTTCCGATGGATAATTTATTATGAACTGTGAATAAGTTTGCAGTATGTATAAGGCAAGAAATTAGTTGTTTGGAATCAATGGTGCATAAGATCAAGCCTTTAAGAAACTTTCTATTATATTTAGCTGGGGAGCAAAGATATGTTGAAATAGCTGACGGAGCTCATGCGTTGCAAGTTTCTGCCTTCTACCCTCACCCCACATTGCTGTGCCTGGCTCCCAGACACCAAGATTATTTTAATCATTAAGGAAGAAATATTCAGAAAGTGAACCACATAGGCTCTTTATATACACAAATATAAAGCAAAGTCCTTCTCTGACATCAGGGATGTGGTTCAGCAGAGGTAAAATGGCTTCAGGGTAAGAATGTATAAAGTTGGCAGCGTGAGAAAGTCTAGCTCTGCAGGCTGGGTTGCCTTGGAAGTGATGAGCTAACATGAACAGCAAGAGAAAGATCAGGAAGGGATGGTTTGATCTTTGTATCTTTTATATCTGTTCTCATTTTTAATTTAATTCAATCCATGGATAACAAAATTACGTGAATTTATTTTGTTTATAAGTGTTTTTAAACGTTATAGAAGCAGTGCTTTGGGAAGCCAAAGCAGGAGGATTGCTTGAGCCCAGGAGTTCAAGACCAGCCTGGGCTACATAGTGAGCTCCCATCTCTACAAAACAAACAAGAAAAATATCACAGAGAATGCTAATTTTCATGTGACCTTCTGCACTCCCAGTCAATTCTAGTGTCCTTTCTGCAGGTAAACCCAGTATAAATTCAGAGTTTAGGCAAATTGTGTGTGTGTGTGTGTGTGTGTGTGTGTGTGTGTGTGTATGTGTATGTGTATGTGTATGTGATTTTATGTATCTTTAGAAGTCGTATTGCACGTGTATTTCCTGTGTGAGGTAGTTTGTTCAATGGTGGGGAGAGCAGGGTCAGACTACCTGTGTAACCTCAGGCAAGTTACTTAACTTCTTTATGACCCACCTGTTACTTGGGGATAATAATAGGGCCAATGAAATCAGTGTTGTTCTTTGAAAAGATTAATAAAGTAGAAAAGTTATTTTAAGAGCAAGAAAGAAATAGAAAGTCCAAATATGAGGAAAAACAACAGGGAATATTTATAGATACAGTCAAGTTTTAAACATAATAAGATAACATTGTAAATATAATTTTATGCCATTAAATTGGAGAATTTATGTGAAATGACAATTTTTCCAGAAAAGTAGAAATGACAAAAAATGACTGAGAAGGAAATACAAGAGGTAAATTGAAAATAAAAAAATAAGTTTTCAATTATATTTAATACATATACTGGAAAGTACCTAAATTATAAAAGAAATGCTTACTTAATTTTTACAAAATGAATATACCCATGAAATACAGTGACTGAAGAGTATGAACAACCTGGAAACCTTCGCTCTTCCTTTCAATCACCAATTCCCCAAGATAATTTATATCCTGGCTTTTTATGCCAAAGATAAGTTTTGCCTGTTTTTGAACTTTACATAAATGGACTCATACAGTCTGTTCTCATTTTTGCCCGGCTTCTTTGGCTCAACATTGTTTGTGAGACTCATCTCTGGTGTTGGCTGTAGTTTGGTTTGCCCATGCTCATTACTCTAAAATGTTCTATTCTATGCATACACTACAATTTATTTATTCAACTGTCTATGAACATTTTGCTGATTTTTGCTATATTTTTCAATGCTTCTCTACACATTCTTGTGCATGTTTTTTAAGGAAAAATTTGTGCAATTTTGTAGATTTATAACCACAAAGATAATTAAAGGATATATATATATATACACACACACACAGACATATATATATATACATATGTGTGTGTATATGTATATGTATATATATATATGTATGTATGTATAAATATATCTCTTCAGCTTGAGTAGGTATTGGCAAAACCTCTACCAGAATTGTAGTACCAATTTATACCAACAGCAATAGGTGAAGGATTGTTTACTCTTTGTTTTTATTTTCCCAAGCCTGCAATGTAAGCTCTGTGAAGATAGAGAGACCTTTTACTCTATTCACTACTATATTTTCAGTCAATTTTTTAATTAAGTAAATCAATTGGATATTGGCATGTAAGCATTTATTTTTTTAACATGGTAGTGCAATCAATTTATTTACCTTTGTTTGAACATCGTTTTCTTTTCCACAGCTCTATTTCTTTACCTACAGGATTCCTCTGACAACAATTGTACTCCCTTCCTTGATCACTCTCAGTCAGGGATATTTCTCCCCAAGAGACATTACAACAAAGCAGATGCAATTACACCACAGTCCTAAAGAAGAGCCTTGGCTGGCCAGTTTTGCTGCTCCCAAAAGAATCAATTAGTAGGCCAGAGGGGGCTTTAATTTAATACTGCAACTACTTTGGGAGGTTGTCTATCCATCTATGCATTTATATATACACTTAACCAATATTTATTGAACAATTACTGTGTGCCAGGACTGTGCTACGTGAGCAAAATCAGTTCCAGCCTCTGTCCTCATGGGGCTTATGTTTGGTGACGTATACTGATATTTTACAAATAATCAGATAAAAATGCAATGCAAAATCACAAATGGGACAAATCCCACAAAGCAGAGGAATTTAGATCCATGAGGAAAAATTGAAAATATTTTCTTAGTCAAGAAAGCCATAAATAATTTTCAGAGAAGCGGCAAGTGAACAGAGGTTTAGAAAGTTAAGCACATGGAGAGAAACAGGAAAAATATTTCAGGTCTGGGGAAACACAAGTACAAAATCCTGTGAAGAGCAAAGATGACTGAAACCAGCAACTGTAAGAAAACCAGGGTAATTGGCCTGGAGAAAGCCAGGGAACACAGGAACAAACAGCCTGAACAAAAAATTAAATTTTGCCTTTTTAAAAAAAAGTATATCTTTATTCATTAGCTGGGTGTGGGGGCACACACTTTGTAGTCCTAGCTACTCAGGAGCCTGAAGCAGGAAGATCGCTTCAAGCCTAGGAGTTCAAGGTTGCAGTGAGCTATGATGGTGCCACTCTACTTCAACCTGGGTGACAGAGTGTGACCCTGTTTCAAAAAGAAAAAAAATAGTAAATCTTTATTCTATGTGCAACTAGAAGACATGGAATGTTTTAAAAGTGTGTGCTGTTGGGCAGGCCAACATGATGTGGTGCATGATCAGATTTGCGTTTAGAGAAGATCACTTTGGCTGAAAGGTTGAGAGTTTCGAAGCAAGAGGCAAGGTGGAAGCAGGAAGACAGACTTAAGGGCTTATGGCAGTGGTCCACGAAGGAGGGTCACTGGGTTCTATTTGGGTGGTGGTGGTGGTGATGAAGATATGCAAAAAACACTCAAGGGAGATTTGTAGGATGATATTGGCAAGCCTGATGATGGGTTGTTAAAGTGGGAAAGAATGGAGAGGGGTCAAAGACAGTATCTGGATTTCTGGCAATGACAACTAGTTGGATGCTCACGCCATTCATTGGGAGAAAAATGGTAGAGGAAGATCCTGAGGTCTGGTTTAATCAGGTAGCCATGGGAAACAGGAGGCTGTTCTAGGCAGAGGGAATGACATGACTAAGACAGTGAAGGGTCATGTGTCTTTAGTGATGATTAGCAAGTAACAAACTTGATCCAATTGTAAGATTTGTACAGCCTAATGTTGGAATTTAAGGAGCAATGTTAAAGCACATCCCTCACTCCATTAAAAAGTACAAATTGGTTAGGAAATAGAGGAGTCAGAGAGAGAACCACATTTACAGTATTAGTGCAAGGGCTAGGTAAAAGTGTTTGGCTTAGAAAAAGCAACCAAAGGGGCATCCTAATAATTCACCTACAAATTGAACTTGCCCCTTGTTAAAACTGCACCCTGTCTGGTGTATGGAAGCAGAGCCTCTTTCGTTAATTTACTCTCAGCAAGAAAAGACAGGATACTTCATGCTCCTTGCAGGTATGCAAATTCCAAGGTTTCCAATTAGATAAGTCATTTTGCATCTTCAGAAAGGAGTGAGAGTATGAAGGAGAGAAGCAGAGGCTGCCATTCTCAAACTTTTTTTCTTACTTAATTAATATGCTCCCAGGGAACATGGGAGAGAAAGAGGGTATTTTCCTTACAAATAATTCTGGCAATGATGTCAGCATGTGAATATTGTAGAGCTAGAAAGGGTTCTAGTTATGGAACTAGTGTAGAATTCAAGTAGGGCCAGATTACTGAGCACCATAATGCCAGGCTATGATATTAGTGTTTTACTTAGAGGAGATTGAAGAAAAGTTACAGGGTTTTGAATGGAGAAGTGGCAAAGCGAAAGCACTGTAAACAATAACTTAGATGACCAAGAGGACTTGGCAAATACTGACCACAGAGGACCCTCAGCTTTGATGCGATTATTATGAACTGATATGGCCTGAATATTGGTGTGACACATTTAGGTTTACTTTGTTTTACTTTTTTAAGGTTTCCAAGATATATTTCACTGCCAGAGTGACCAAAATGTTCTCTAATCACTACAAAATATATGTGATTTAGTCTACTAAGGAGACTTATGCTTTAAGCAAATGTAAATAACTACCTTGTAAATATTATAATTTTTAAATAAACACTTTTTAAAGGGCACATATAGTCCCCTATAAAGATAAGCATTCCTCTCTTTTGCTTTTTTTTTTTCCCTTTCTTTTTGAGTGCCATGCTTTTGGCTAACATCTCTGGCCATATTAGAGTCTATCCATATGATTTTTTTCTGTATCGGCATGCTTTCAAAATTACTCAGTGTTGAAAATTTGAAGTCAAGCTTATTATTTCCTCAAAGAGTTTATTTCTAAAAGTGAGATGGAGTTGTCAGAAAAAAAATTACTAAATGACTAATCAATGAGTTTTAAAATATGAAATAAAATATTAACTATTGTACTATTTGAATGAAAATCAAGCTTAAATTACATAGAAAGTTAAGCCAGTTGATGAGCTTCATATATTTAGTGGTAAAAGTCTTACATGTCAGAAGCTCCAAAGCCAATAGAATATTCTTGATTATTTTTTGTAAAAACTCTGTACTTTTCCTGTAATGAATGATTTATTTTTTACTGCTGGCAATTTAGCAATTATTAACTTCTCCGTAATTAATGAACAGAAATGGAATCACATGTGAGAGTCTTAATTTTTATTATATGAAGTTTTTCATGTTTTCAAAAACAATTGTCTAATTTTTTCTCCAAGGATTAATAATTAATAGGTAATTTTCGACATTGCTGTGTTTCTATCTCTTGAGATTATTAGATGTGAATAACTTTTTATAAAATAATTCTCTGGGGTGGAATTTCTCATTCTTTGTAGCTGAATCAACCTGTCCCAAGAGAGTTGTGAATTTGGGAACTACAAGAACTGAGTCCAGACTTGTTCAGCTTGGAAGTGTTTGCGTGTTTACCATTACAGGTGACTTCACTACCTCTTGACCTTCCGTTGAGCCAGTCTGAGCCTGGTGATTTCAACCTGAAAGAGCCTTACCATTTTAGGGTTAGCATTAAAAACGAGGGAAAGAAATATTTTTCTTATATTCTCCACATGTAATACAGTAAATAGTAATCAAATCAAAGCAAAATGTGAGTGATGAGTCACATTCAGAGGACCTTCTCTATCTTCTCTGGATGCCCTGATATTCTGGATTTCTTTTGAATTCAATAGTATGATGATGTTAATTCTGAGCGCTTGCATTCTACAGTGTAAGTTCCAGCCAGTGACTAGAGTTACAGTTTACTGAAATGATCACTGGTGGCAAAGCCTTCTACTGTTCACTTTTTAAAAGGTAGGCTTGATCAGTGATTAGTGCTATTCCTGCCAAAAATGTGCACAATTAGGAGTTAAGTAAAGGAGTCAGCTGTAAGCACAATTACCAAATAGTGAGGTCACAGCTGGGCTTTTGTTGATCCCACTTTCCCTCTGTAGATGTTTTAAAGGCATCATACTGTGTTTCAGTGTAACATATAGAGCCTATAACTTGAAGAACATCTTGTTTGCTTGTTAGTTGTTTCCTAGGAGTTACATTTTGTTGTTGGAATAGGCTACAGCAATTTGAAGAGCATTATTACTTAGCCAATTTAATCTGCATTTGGCTAGAACACACTTCAAGTTCTGTGGATAGAGTCCAATTGTTAGGCAAATTTAGATTGCTGCCTTATTATAGTTGAGGCAAAGTTGTACAAAAAAGGAGATAGCAGCTGTTTAGATGAAATAAGAATTTAACTGGATTTGAACCATGTTGAAGGCCAGACAAGTTTAGGCAAAAGCACAGTTTTGAACACTATTTCTACGATATTAAAACTTGTGAATGCATTGATATACATCCATTTATTCCTGGAGTATCTAAAGCCCTAACAAAGCCCTGTTAATGCCCATATTACAGTTCCAAATAGAATTGGGCTGACAATAATGTAAAACAAATAAACAAGATTTCTTAACTAAGAAATAAAATATAGTGGAAGTAATCTGCAATGAATTATTAACTATAACAATAACAACAAAAGCAAAGATAATTATTATAAAGACAATACTATGTATCCCATTTAATAGAATATTTCTATTTCTGTATTTCTTTAATTTGAGATTTTTCAAAGACATCTACACCTGAAAAGAAAGAGCAAGAATAGTTTCCAGAGTCTCTATTCAAAGCTTCTTTGAAGAGCTCAACAATTGCTTGTACGTTACTTTTTCTTTATATAGCAAAGATGGAAGCAAAAAACAAATTACAAAAAGTAAAATATTCAAAATGTCTCCACTGAAAAGAATTGGAAAACTTTTCAAAAATAGTTTCAGTTTTGCCTGAGATCACACCTCCCCTGATTATATCAATATTGTGCGTGTGTGTGTGTGTGTGTGACTTTGAGTTCTTGTAGCCTTAGGAAACCATTGAAATTGCATTTAGGAAAATGGGAAATTTTAGTGGAGATTTTAATTCAATTTAACAAATATTTGCAGAATCTGCATAATGTGCAAAGCCATATATTCCAGGATTATCTTTTCATCATAATGTATTAAACTTTCTAAATAGATTTCTTAGAGATTAAAATTTGATTTAGAAATACTTGGTTTAATACCATAGGTAAAGATATCTGAAATTCTGTAAAATTCAATAAATAAGTATTTTCATCATCCTCCACTATGTTCATAAAATTTATAACAAGAGATGCCCAGAATAATATTTGTAGAAAATAGGCTGAAATGTATTATATAGAAAATTATGGCATTATGCTAAGCAGGTACATTCAGGATGAAAGAATTAGAAATTTCTTTTAAACATTATGATGCAATTGATCCCTTATCTCAACTTTTTAGATACATGGAATAGTATATATATAAACAAAGAAACTTTTTCTTTAGTGATGGTGGAAGCTGCATTTTCTTCTTTGCTAGTTGGCATTCCTGTGAAAGCAGATTTTGTTGGGACGTTTATGCCCCACAGAGATTCTGTTAAACTTGGTTCTAGAACATCCCGTTTCACAGCATCGACTACTCTAGGCCCCTTCCCACAATTTAATTCTTAAGATTATTTTCTCTAGAAAATTACTATTTTTATCAAGGTAATAAATGTGCAGTTTACTTTTGTAAAGTCGAATCCTAGTCCTCTGAGGCCAGCACTTTCCGTTTTTAATTCCTTCGTAACTCTAAACCAGATACTACAGTCTCTGACTTATAGGCTCTAGAAATTGCCCTTTGACAATGGACATGTACTTGGGAACCACTTTCCTGTCAATTGCTCTTCCTCACCTCTCCAGCAGTTCAGAACTTGTAGCATAATCTTTACCTAAGCCTGTAGTCAGCAAATACTGTGATTAATTAGCTATTATTCATTACAGACCCAGGTTACATGCTATGATTGTATTGCCTTTTAAAAATACAACTTTCTTCCTTGAGTTCAATAATTATTTCACTCTATATCAGTTTAATTTTCTTTGTACCTATTTGCTCAGTTTTGTTCAAATACTACTACTTATCTTACATTTGCCCCAAAATAGTTTTCCCATTTGTTTATAAAATTTTAAACTATCTTTCAGTTAAGTGTTTTCTCGCCTTGGAGATGTCTCTCCTACAGCCTGGCTTCTTCCTCCTCTGATTTGGTTACTCTCTGGACAGTGTGAAGCTGTTACTTTGTTCTGCTCCATTTTTGATTGCTGCTTCCACAGATAGTGTGCATGTAAGATGCATTTTTTAAGATCTTGAATATCTGAAAATGAATATATTTTACCTCATACGTGAATTGTAACGATGATTTCATTCAAAAGGCTTTTTTGTTATTGTTGTTTATTGAGTTCCTACTGTGTACCATGCACTATTCTAGGAACTGAAGATAACGAGATTAAGTAGGACAAAATGAATGCAAACTAGGTTCTTATCTAAAAAGAGCTTTTATTTTGGGGTTAGAGGTATATAGATAAATAACAACAACAACATGTTATTCATGTATCATATATATGTAGTTGTATGTCAACATATCTATCTGCACACATACACATACATGTATATAAAGAAAAAGTATGGTAAGGAAGTTAGTGATGTTGGAGTGTTATTTTCTATAGAAAAATCTCAGAAGGTCTAGAAAATTTGAGCAGAGATCAAAAATAAATGAAAGATTGAACCATGTTTGTATCTCAGGGGAGAGCATTCCAGACAGAGTGAAAACACCTTACTTCTGCTCCTCTCAGTTAAGACCTCCCATAAATCTCGGGCCTTTAACTTTTGCCTCAGACTCCGTTTTTAGGGAATCCAGATTAATGATAATTAGACATACATTTTTAGGCTGGAAATAATCTTTCCTCAGAACTTTAAAATGATTGCTTCGCCGGGTGCGGTTGCTCACACCTGTAATCCTAGCACTTTGGGAGGCTGAGGCGGGCAGATCGCGAGGTCAGGAGATCGAGACCATCCTGGCTAACACGATGAAACCCCGTCTCCACTAAAAATACAAAAAATTAGCCAGGCGTGGTGGCGGGCGCCTGTAGTCCCGGCTACTCGGGAGGCTGAGGCAGGAGAATGGTGTGAACCCAGGAGGCGGAGCTTTCAGTGAGTCGATATCTCGCCACTGCACTCCAGCCTGGGCGACACAGTGAGACCCCATCTCAAAAAAAAAAAAAAAAAAAGAAAAAGAAAAATGATTGCTTCACTGTTTCCTATCATCCACTGAGATGTGTAAGATTTAGAGAAGAAGGAAAAGCAAATACAAGATGTTTCTTATTGAGCACATCTAAAAGAAAATGGGCTCAAGAGGAGAGCTGCCCAAGCAAATAGAGTAGCTCACTCACATGCAACATCACTGCAGAGATGGAAATGGAACTGCTGAATTTTAGTATTATTCATTGGAGGAGGAGGTCTCCTTCCTCTCTTCCATCTCTCAAATTTCAGCCAACAGATGTCAATTCTGGTTATTTAGGACTGAAATAGGCCAGGCGCGGTGGCTCACGCCTGCAATCCCAGCACTTTGGGAGGCCGAGGTGGGCGGATCACGAGGTCAGGAGATTGAGACCATTCTGGCTAACACAGTGAAACCCCATCTCTACTAAAAATACAAAAAAATTAGCCAGGCGTGGTGGCGGGCGCCTGTAGTCCCAGCTACTCGGGAGGCTGAGGCAGGAGAATGGCATGAACTTGGGAGGCGGAGCTTGTAATGAGCCCAGATCGCGCTGCTGCACTCCAGCCTGGGCGACAGAGCAAGACTCTGTCTTAAAAAAAAAAAAAAAAAAAAAAAAAAAGACTGAAATGAAAATACTTTCTTAAATTCCGTTGTGTGAATGTTATTCTTTGTATGTACTGAAAAACTCATCACCAATATAAAAATGATGAACATATTTAGCACTCACAAAAATTTCCCCTTGCCATTTTGTAAACCCAACCTTCCTGTACTTTCCTACCTTACCACTCTCCCTGGCAATCACTAATCTGCCTGCTATCACTGTAGATTAGTTTGCACTGTTTAGACATTTATATAAATGAAGGGTAGTATGAACCCTTTTTTGGGGGCTGTGGCATCTTTTATGTAGCATGATTATTTTGAGATTCTACTATATTTCAGGCATCAATTGGACATTATTTTTATTACTGAGTAGTACTGTATTGTAAAGTAGGCCACAACTTGTTTATCCATTTGCCTGTTGATGGTTTTTGGGTTTGCTCCCAGTTTAGTACTTACACAAATAAACACTTCTGATGAACATTAATGTACAGATGTTTTTATTACTTTGAGTAAATATTAGGTTAATAGGTGTCAGTCTAGTTTAATAGACTGTCAAAATGTTTGCCAAAATTGTTGTACCATTTTATATTCCCATCAACAGTATATGAGAATTCCACATTCTTGCCAACACTTTGTATGAGCTGTCTTTTTAAATTTTAGACAATTTAATATGTATACCATAGTATCTTATTGTGGTTCCATAATGCCCGATACTGTTTAACATCTTTTTATGTGCTTACATGCTATCTGTACACCTTTGGTAAAGTAGATGTTCAATTTATTTTGCCTCTTTTGTTGTTTTTCTTGCTTTCTCATTATTACATTTTAATAGTATTTTTAATATATTCAGGGTACAATTCTATTATATATGAGATTTGCACATATTTTCTCCTTGTCTGTGTTTTCTCATTCATTCTCTTAATACTGTATTTCAAATAGCAGATGATCTTAATTTTGATGTAGTCCAATTTATGAATTATTTTTGTGTATTGTGCCTTTGGTGTTCTAGCTAAAAAATCTTTGATTGAAGATTACAAAGTTTTTCCTACGTTTTCTTCTAGAAGTTGATGGTTTTTGTGCTTTATTTTATATTTAAGTCAATGATCCTATAAGTCAGTGGTCCCCAATTGTTTTGCCACCAGGGACCAGTTTTATGGAAGATGATTTTTCCACGGGGGTGGGCCATGGCATGGAGCAGGTAGATGAAACTGTTCCACCTCAGATTATCAGGCATTAGTTAGATTCTCATAAGGAGTGTGCAACCTAGATCCCTCACATGTGCAGCATTCAAAATAGGGTTTGTCCTCTTGTGAGAATCTAATGCCACGCCGATCTGACAAGAGGAGCTCAGGCTTTAATGCTTGCTTGCCCACTGCTCACCTCCTGCTGTGCGGCCCTGTTCCTAACAGGCCAAAGACCCATACTTGTCCACAGCTCCAGGTTTGGGGACCCCTACTATAAGTGACAGAACTTTAACTCAAGTAAGTGCCATGCATACCTGGTTCCAGGAGCTTAAATAATGCAATCAGGACATTTCTCCCTCTTTCTGTTGACACTTTTTCTTGTGTTTTAGTTTTATTTCCTTCTTCTTAAGATGACTTTCTTTCTATGCAGCAGGAGACTGTGCTACAAATAACATACTTCACATTGTCCTTACATGCCACAGTGGCAAAAAAAGGAAGTGTCCCCTTGATGATTCCAGAAGAAAAGCACTAGGTCAGTTGCTACGGTCCAAAGATAGGATGATTTGCTGGAGCTGCATATCATGCCCACCTCTAGGCCTGGGGCTAGGAGGTCAGTCAGGCCCAGTTGGTGCCCATGGAAATGGCTCTACAAGAAAACAGGTGCTCAAGAGGAGAGCTGCTGAACAACCCATCAAAAAATGGCCACTGCATACATACCTGCCATTCCCTGCAATTTTTTTTTCTTTTATTATTATACTTTAAGTTTTAGGATACATGTGCACATTGTGCAGGTTAGTTACATATGTATACGTGTGCCACGCTGGTGCGCTGCACCCACTGACTCATCATCTAGCATTAGGTATATCTCCCAATGCTATCCCTCCCCCCTCCCCCCACCCCACAACACATATACACCATGGAATATTATGCAGCCATAAAAAGTGATGAGTTCATGTCCTTTGTAGGGACATGGATGAAATTGGAAATCATCATTCTCAGTAAACTATCCCTGCAATTTTTATAAGCAATTGTTTGGGTGAGAAGTGAGTATAAATTCAGCTGTCATTTACCTTCCTTTTTAATGTTGGTACAACGAGTCATGCATTTGACATTTTCTGGATTACTTCCATTATAGTTATTTCTGTGTATTAGGTACCAATTTGGAGTATCATCTGGAGAAATAAACTATTATTGCAGTCTATACTTAAATTAAGTATTCTTAGGAAAGAGAAATATACAGGGAAAGAAAAGACTCGGATAGAAATGCAAGAATAGAGAAAATGGGACCTGGGTATACTAAGGGAAATGGTCCAGCAGAAAGAATACCTGTGAGAAGCACTGAACTACATAGTTTGTATTACACATACCTCCAGGAAATTACAACTACTGGTGTAAGAACAAATCATTAAAATCATATTTTCTAATACTGGGTATTTTCTGCTTTCTTAAATCAGAAGTGGGGTTGGTAGAGAGGTGGGATGTTGTACATATAGGCCACAACTTGCTTATCTATTTATCTGTTGATGGGTTTTAGGGTATTAACAAAAAGTATTAATACAGGATAATGGGCACTTTAGGTGATCATAATTGATTTCTCCATTTGGTCTGAGGAAAATTTTGCCTACTTTTTTTTTTTTTTGTCAGAGGCTTCACTTTTCTTGTCCCGTTCAATTCTATGGTTTAATAAATGGGTAAATACCTATTTATAGATTCTAAATAGTTTTCTAAAATTCATTTGAAAACACTCTGAAAGCTAATTTTTCCAAGGAAGCGTTGTTTATGCTTTAGAGCTGCCCTGTCAAATATGGTAGCCACTAGCAACAAGTGACTCCTGAGCATTTGAAATGGGGCTAGACCCAACGGAGATGTGCTGTCAGCGTAAAATCCACACCAGATTTTGAAGACTTAGTATGAAATAAAATTCAAAATAGCTCATTAATAACTTTTAAATTGGTTACACATTGAAATAATATTTTGCACATATTTTACATATAAATATATTTAAATATAGAAATAATTTATCTTCATATAAAATATTTATTGATTACAAATAAAAAATGTTGACTTTTTGGTGGAGAAATCTAGCACAAACTTGATTGTGTGGCTCCTGCTGTGAAGTCATCAGAAGAGCACAGCATTGTTTCTGTGATGTATGTATGACCTAACTCTGCATGTGAGGAAATATCAGATAGAAATAGGTGAAGCCCATTCATCAGAAACAGATTATACTGTTTAAAACTCTCAATGTCATGAAAAACAGGAAAAAATAGAGGAACTGTTTCAGATTGAAGGAAACTAAAGAGACATGACTACTAATGCAATGGGAGATCCAGGATTAGATCCAGGACTAGAAAGTAAAAAAGATGTATTTGGAGGACAACTGAGAAAGTTGAATGTGATCACAGCATCTGTAGACTGACATTAGTGTTGCGTCAATGTTGATATCCGGATATGAATGATTATATTCTAGTTAGGTAGAGCCTGGTTTTAGTATCCCTGTTTTTTTCTGTAACTTACTCTAAAATGGTTTGGAAAAATAACATGTCTAATAATTCATATTTAGTACATAATTTTTAATATAGGAGAGAGAGTGCAAATTTGGTGAGAGACTTACAATTAGGGAACTTGAGTGAAGTAAATATGAAAGTTCATTATACTTTACTTGGAACTTTTCTGTAAATTTGAAATTCAAAATAAGTTATGAAAACTTATTGGTCAACCTAAAATGGAACTGAAATAATAGCAATAAGGTAATTAGTAAGAAGACTGAGGAAAAAGATATTTAGAGCTTCATGAGGTAATGCTGTGGAGAGGAAGGGTGAAGTCTTCTGGGACTGGGTTACGGAACTAGATTCTGAAGAGTGGATAGGATTTTGATGACAAGCAGAGCATGGAGAGAAGCAGGGAGGGCATTCCAGTTCAGAGAAACGATAAGAACAAAGGATTTGGGATGGAAATAAAGATGGTGTGCTTGGCAAATAATAAATAGACCTGTTTGGCCGGAGTGGAGGACTCTTGTTGAGAAATAGTGGGAGACGGGTGGCAGATGTGGAAGGAGTCCAGGGTATAGAAGGTGCATCAATATAAAGCAGAACAAATTAGGGTTTGATCTCAGTTTCGAAAGAACTTAGAGACCAAAAGTTCAAGCAAAGCAAAATAGAAAATAATTACTTTGTTTTTTACTTTGTTTATAGAGGTTTTTTTTGTTGTTTGTTTTAAAGCAACTTTACTCAAGAAAATGTGTCCATTCAAACTTTATATCATTGGCTTAATGTTACTCTAAGACAAACTCATTGTTTTGGGAAAACCTCATTTATTTATTAAATAAATATGCATTATTTACTTATTATAGTTTCTTGAACACTTGCAAACCCAAATCCGTCTAAGATCTCTGCACTTGATCTTCCCTCTACAAATCCTTCTTTCCCTAGATAATCATATTTTATTTGTTTTGATTTTGATTTTAAAGGAGTAGCTTTGGTTTTAATTTTAGAACCTTTATTAAGAATGCTTAACTTTTTTTTTTAACGACAACTAGTGTTTTCTCAAAGCTAGTTAGGGATGATCCTTGGAAAATGGCAACGGCCTTCCCAAATATTTTAATACAAAGGTGTTTATTCTCTATAATTTCCCTCACCTGCCACCATCTCTAGGGAAGCCACATGGTGATGGGTGAGGTCAGATAGGGTAGGTCTTGGCTAATAATCAAGCAATAGGAGAGCTTTTTATTCTTGGGCAGTTCATTCACAAAAATTGTATTTAACAATATAATTTTCAGTTTCTATTGGCTTATGATTTTACATATAGTTATTTAAAGAATATGGGGTCTAAGAAATGTTATGAAATAATGTCTCAAACTTGCTTTTTTATTCTTTTTACAAATAGCTAAAATTTATTTTGATAGTACTTGTTGAGCAACTATTTATTTTCTCTTTGATTTCTGAGGCCATTATCATTCTCTACTACATTATTATGTACACTGCTTTCCTTCTGGATTATTGTTCTTTTCCATTGATCTATCTCACAAATGTTATATCACCATACTATGTGCTGATAAAAATTTATAATGTATTTTTATTTCTGAGCCCCTAAGTTCCTTTCATTATTCTTTATTTCCCCATAGATATTCTCACATGTTTGCTTATACAAAAGAACTTTAGAATCAATTTCTTGAGTTTCAGAAAAAAAGTAGATTTTTATGGGAATTATATTTGCTATAAATCAATTTGGAAATAACAATAGAAAATCTGTATTTTTATGTAGTCTTTCCACTTAGGATTAAGTACCTTCCAAAGAAATGTGCCTGCCTGGAATTTGTAAGGTAGACGTGAGATGGAGGCTCTTCTTTCTGTGATGGTAACAGTTGATGGACAGGCTCTCACAGATGCCAGTTTTTCAGAGGCCAGACCAGGCTGCATGTGCTACTCTCTGGTGGAATGGGTAGCTGTGGTAACAGTGCTAGTTTCCAGATATTTCCTAACCTCAGACTGTTTCAAAAGTAATGAAGAGCTAAACAGTTTTCTATTTGGATAGCACTTGCATGGCATGGGCTTGCCGCCTGGTGGCAGTCCCATGACATTCACTCTTTCTTTAATTCCAGTAAAATTTTAAGTACCCAATTCATTTTTTTTTTGGGTGAAATACCTAGGGTGATTTCTAGTTCTTGCACTGGAACTTAGTCCTATAAAATAGACTCACAAGGATTGGAGCCTGGAGTTATTATCTTGCCAGGTTGGGCTTAAAGGTAATAATGATCTCATTGCCAGTAGAAAATGAAACATGGTCAATTAAGAACTATCTCTTAATGATTACCTGAGGCTACCTGGAAGAAATGGGATGTTTAAGGCAAGTGACTGGCAGATAATGTAGCTGCTGTCATAAACCACTATGATGGGACTAAGGAACACCTACCTGCGCTGTGGGTAATTTGGCCACTTCCAAAAGTAATGAGGAACTAAAGAAAGATAATAAAGTGCTCCGGAATTTAAGTTTTGATCTCATGGTATGATCTGAGGGCCTGAGACCTTCTACAACCACTCTACGAATCTCTTATCTTGCATACCCAGAGTTGATATAATTAAAAACATGACAGAGTCTAATCTTGCAACTTACTTTACTCCCACACAGGTTGAATTCACAGATTCACCAGATCTCTTATGTGAAACTTGGGGCACTAATTAGGATAAAGTGTGACTTTAAGAATGAGGTAGGGATAATTGGTAGATTTGGATGAATCTGTGTTGTAGAAATGATCAAGTTCCAATGAGCTTCTTTGCCATCAGTAGTCCTTTCTCACAAACAAAGCTAGTACCGTTTTACTTGAAGATACTGCAAGGTCTTTACCTGAGATAGTCACATACAAAGTGATGTTAATTCTCTTCATCTGCACCTCTCATTGTCATCAGACCCATATTAGAGTCAGAATCCAACATGTCCCAGAAGAACAATTACAAAGTTGGAGACATAAGATATAGCTTCACACCAAAAGGAATTTTAATATCTTGCTAATTTACCTTGATAGAAATTTGAGAAATGGATATGTTAAAGAATTCTAAGAGAACTGATGAAGAAGGCAGAAACTTACGAGTGTGGGACTAATGTATGTATATGGGTATACTTACCAAAGGTGTGGATTCAGTTTGTGAGTGTGAGCATCTGAGACTGGCATTGAAAATCTAATTGATTGCATAATAGAAATATTTATGGTGGCCTTCATTAAATTAAAATGGGGTGCTGGGCTTGTCTGGCATAACAGAAAGTGTGGTAGCCACTGTTTGTTGACAAATATTTCATCTTCTCCTGGGAGCACTGCAGAATTCCAGGCTCCCTTTTTAGTTAGTGGGGGGTATGTGACTACTTCAGTTCAATGAGCTGTAATAGTACCTGACACACATTATTAAATGCCAGGGCATTTAATCGTTAACACTGCACTCACAGAGCATTGCTTCCCTCTGATACAGTGACAGGCAATATCTAGGATGGTGGCTGTTTCATCAGCTTGGTTTATTGAAAGACTCCAGTAGTGGAAACCCCTTCCTGACCTGCAGTGGACAAGTGGTGTGAGTGAAACAGAAACCTATAATGTTTTAAACTACTGAGATTATGGAATGGTTATTGTATAATAATCTATTGTGACTTACACCTAGAGGAAGTAGAACATTCAGAGTTTATTATATGTTATCCATAAATCCACCCACATCACTCTACACCCCAGGAAGTTTCCAAAAATACTTCATCACCAAAGCATTAAGAAATAAATATATTGGTGAGAGAAGTATGAATTCCCTTGGGAAGTTCTATTGTGGCTGCCCTCTGAAAGCTGGAGATGACAGTGGAAGACCTCATGATTGAAATGGGCTGCCTAATTTCAATGGGATGATGGAATTCCAGGGATATGGAATTATATTTCAGGACTTAAGCACCAGGTGCAAAATGCATATAGATGCCATAATGAGCAGTAGGGCCAAAGCATTCATTGGAATCATTTGACCCTCGAGAATCGCAGTCTCCCTAGGACTCACATACATCTACGTGAGCAGCCTGCTGAATCTTATCTGACATATATTTCCAAAAATGAAACTCTAATTGTGGGAAATAGAAACCCGAGTAAGTCGCAATAATGAAGAATCATAGTTCCTCATCCAATTCCCTGACCCGAGTTTGTTCCCGAATTCAAAGTCCCTAAAAATATTAGAGATGATGGGTTGTATAAAGAAAAGGCACTGCAATAATCAAGTCCTGATGCATGACTACTAATGTCACAAATTTTTATGAAAAAGTAATCTATTATTTGTCATCTTGCTATTAGTGAGTGTGCATACTGTCCACACAAGTCTGTCTTCTGCTTTCTGAGGTTGCTGCAGGTCATTTAGGCTTTTCTGGTTCAGTTGTTTTTAGTGCTCCTCAGATATCTTCACTGTGGGAAATTGTAATTTAGTAGTTATTGATGTATTTCCTGGACTCATCTACATAGGATGAGTGCTAAGAGATTTAGTTTAAAAAAGACCGATTTTTAGATACATCAGGAACATTCCTCCTCTTTCTTAAACTTCTCATGTCTATGTGATTTGCATAAGGTAATGATTCTAACATTTTTTAAAAAATTAGAAAGTCTACTGGATGTCTCTTAAAGTTGACTTATTTAGGGAGTACGAGGTAATCTAGGTCAATAAGAACCAAACTAGATCTACTAAGATTGGTTAGGATCATCAGATAATTTCTTAAATAAATTCATCCTTAATCCTGAGATAATTGTGAACCCCAAGTTTCATCCTAAGAAAAATAATATTATAGTAGAGTTGGCTTTGTGTTTTGAAGGACAAAGGAGCACAATGAGATTTCCTGTGACCTGTTGAAATCCATAGAATTTTACATACAAAGTTCATCTTTTAATGACATTTCATTCTACTCATAATAAATTACACCTGTAACTAACATCTATAATCAATCTCTTTTCTCTCCCTTTAAAAAATACTCTGTATTTCTGTTATAAAAATAATGATCATAGTTTCTGAGCTGTAGCCTAAAATGGAACAAAATATTTGAAATCTGAGGTGTTTTAAATTTTATAATCCACTTACAACTTTGGTAATTTTATAATCCACTTATGACTATGAAGAATCATAGTTCCTCATCCAATTCCCTGACCTGAGTTTGTTCCCAGACTCAAAGTCCCTAAAATATTAGTCTTGCACTACATAAGCATGTAAAATTTACAGGAATATTCATACCTAAAATATTTTCAACTTATCGTATTTCCCTTGAAAACATTGTTGACATTTTTTAATTTTAATAAAAAGAAGGCAGTCAAAAATCATTTTGTATCTTGATTTCAGTCAATGACACCCAGCCACACAAATATAGATTTAATGTTGATTAAAACTAGGTTTTTGAGTGGATATAATGCATGAGAAAATTAAAAAATAAATATTGGCTCAGAATATTTTCACTGTTATGAAATTTCTTCCACTTTGGCCTAGTTTGTTGTGTAAAAAGATATGTGTTCATAATAATAACCATGTTGTAATACCAAAGACTCAATTCACATTCTATAATAATGTTAACTTAAGCATTCAAAATATTCAAAAGAAGAATTTTACATTCTATTTATATGGAGCCATTTTTATTGATAATTATATCTTTCTCTAGAAAATAAACAATTAAAACAGTTCAAGTATTTTTTAAAATTTTGCCAATCTTTACAGAGAAGATTGGTTTTGGAAAATGAATCTTGTATTTGTCAGCAATATATGTCAGAATTGTTAAAAGCTCAGCAATTATAGTCAATGTATTTCCTATTAATTTAGACAACTCCTACTTTTGAATGATCATCTTAGATGACTTTGTCCTTTAGTTATTTTATATGAATAAAGACTGTGTGTACTCATCTGCACTTAGTGATTGGAAATCAGGAATGTACATAAACGCATTCTTTAGGATAGGGAAAGAACTTTTAATCTGCTTTAGACTGAATTACGGCAGGTAAGATTAGTAAAATACTCTCTAGATCTGGAGTACTGGGTGTGTTCCTGTCCACTGGTCACAGTAGGATTGAATACGTGAAGGTCAGTGGTTAACAACAAAGATCAACAGAGAACATGTGAAAGATTGGAGGATAGCATATGAGAAACTGGATGATAAAACAGGGCTTGAACAGACTCAGCAAGCATTACAAATTTTAGCAACTAAGGCACACTGATACCTCCATTTTCAATAAACAGGCTTGGTGACTATAAAGATATGTATTCTATTATTTATTTGTTTATTATGTTGTTTATGTATGTAATTTACATTTGTAACAAGATCATTGAATCTGCACATTTGTGCACAAGTTCACATTTAAAACTATCAGAGCACATAATAATAATAAAAAATCTGTCATACAAGTGAAGCATTCTAACCACAAGGAAGACTAAGATAGGAAGAGGAACCACTCTTTATATTCTGCTTCAAATATCTCAAAAAGGTCCCAGAGATTGCAGGGAGCATCTCCCTTTTTTAATAAAATGAAAGCACAAAAGTTTGAGATGGTCTGGGACAAAGGTAACAGTCAGTGGGAGAGTCTTCTAGACTTGTTTTCCACATTCAGAATAAATCCTACAAAAAAAAGTAGAAAGAGCTTAGGTTTCCTTAAGCTTTCCCATGCAAACTCAAACCCAGTATGACATGAAAGCCAAGCAATCTCCTGTTGACTTATTGACGGGAAGCATTTCAGGACCAGTTACCCCGTTTTCAGACTGAGTCATCTGTTCTGTAGTAATCCATGGTATTAGCTCCACATGCGTACACAGGATGCTACCACTGCGTCACTGTGAGGACACAGATGGCAGCACCAGTCATATACTTCCTGGGGGCTCTTCAAAATGTCAAAGACAATTTCGATTGCCAATTTTGGTTTCTCTCTCTTTTTTTTTGACGGAGTCTTGCTCTGTCGCCCAGGCTGGAGTGCAGTGGTGTGATCTTGGCTCACTGCTACGTCTGCCCCCTGGGTTCAAGTGATTCTCCTGCCTCAGCCTCCCACGTAGCTGGGATTACAGGCATGCACCACCACGCCCAGCTAATTTTTGTATTTTTAGTAGAGATGGGGTTTCACCGTGTTGGTCAGGCTGGTCTCGAAATCCTGACCTCATGATCCGCCCGCCTCGGCCTCCCAAAGTGCTGGGATTACAGGCGTGAGCCACCACACCTGGCCCATGGTTGTTTTTAGTAGTTGCTAATAGGTTTCTGATAGACTGAATCAAATTAATGTATTAATTCAGGAGACTATTAAGATAGACCATCTTTTGCATCTATTCATTCTTCCCCAAAGTCAAATGAATACATTAAAAATGTTAGCAATAATAATATTTATTCTGCTCAGTTTTAAAGGGTCCGACCTTACATATCAGGAATGATTCTTCATTGTTGGAATCTAAACTTTTAATTGCCCTGGAGCTGTTCATATTTTCTATGGGTGGTCAGTACAGTTTGGCAATACAGTTATGCTGAGATTATGGAAACAGCTGCTTCATCGTCTTCTTCTTTATTCTCAGGTGTGCTGCTCTCTTATGGGCCCTAGATGGGTATGTTATTCAAAAGAGCTCTTGTTGTACTCTGAGATAACCCAAATTTATAAAGAAAAAGGGAAAATGATAGTAGTTTTGAGCACAAGTTCAAGTACATTTATAAACTGACACATTGTTATTGTTAGTGTGTGTAAGGCAATTTACAAAGGACTTGAGTCACCTCTACCTCATCACTTATTATCTATGCGATGCAAACCACTTCTCTGTCCACTAGCTTCATCTTTAAAATGGGAGTAATTATATACTAACCTGTTAAATTTAAATGAAATAACACATGTAAAATGCCTATCATTGATTCTGGCAGGTAACAAACACAAAATAGATATTAAATATTATCACTAGTAAGTATAAAAGTATGAAATTAAAGGTTATATTTGTTTGTTAATAAATATCCAATATTAATTAGTGTTAATTAACATCCAGTGGTATAGGAAGATTCCGTGGCAAGTTGTATTATTGTTCTCTGATATTTGATGATCCTCCCCAGGGGAAGATTATATTTCCATGACCCACTGACATCAGACTTGGCCACACGTTTCTCTTTGGCCAATGAAAATGGGCTGAAGTAATGTGTGTTACTTCTGAGCATAAAGTTTAAGAGCCAATATGTGGTTCACGATTTATTCTTTTCCCTGTGCCATGATCATCAGAAAAATGTAGACAGAGGCTGCTTTATCAGCCTGGATTTTGGAATGAAGACCACAAGGACAGAAAATGCAGTCCATCTGTGTAACAAGTTCCATGAGCAAGAAATAAACCCTTTTTCTAGCAACTGAGATTTTGAGATCATTTGTTATTTCACCATAACCTGCATTTTAAAACATTTTTGTTGTGTAAGTTAATATCAACATTTCCCCCAACCCTAACCCCGCCAAAAGGAATTATTTTACTTAGGGCCCAATGACTAAGCCATTCCCAAAACAAACATAGAGAAGGCTGCTCAGTTTGGTATCTGTCTTTTCCAGTGGAAGGAATAGTTCATTCCAGAGAACGAATTTTAGGTTTGGCACTAGACCGAAAGCATTTTGTGGGCTCCTGGAGCTTTGCTTTCAAGAGAATTGCAATTGTGGGTACTGATCCTTCACAACTCCGCATAGCAGGCAATTACTACTAGTGTTTCTCAAATGGTCCCTTTCCAAAAACAACTTATGAATATAAAAATCAAAAGCTAAAGTTTCATTGTTCTTTAGTTGGAATAAATCCCAGACAACTGTATTGAATTTATTCATAATACATGAAAAGACTTAAGAAAATCTCAGTGGGAGTAGGAAGAGAAGGTAGGAAATTGGCATGATGATGAAAATGAAACTTTACACAACCATAAGGCAAAGAAGAGGCAAGGTCAAGGCTTTTTTAATTAGAAATTTTATACCTTTGAAAATTAGACTTATTTACTTATAGTGTTACATGTGTTTGACCATTAAATGTCTATTTGAGCTCCAAAATGTTAATTTCAAGGATGTTAGCTACCAGGTTTTTTATGATAAGGCCTTAAACATTTTTTTTTAGTTGGGGTACTGAGTAGTAGTAGAGCCTCAGGTGAAGTTCTCCTGGTGCAGGTTATGGATAATAGTAGGCATGATCTTGGAGATTTGCATGAAAAGAGATCATACTTTAAATGTACCCAGAAAATTTGCTCTTTAATGTTTTATTTTGGACAGGTCACAATGATTTATAGTAATGAAAAACAGCCATTTCCTAATTTATCATTTTTGATCAAACTTGTTATTAATATTAAACTAAAGAGTAAGTAAAGGGTACCAGTATTTAAAAAGCTTGAAAATCAGCTCTTTAAATTCTTCAAGGACTTTTTGTCAGATAACTAATGAACAATCAATTGTATTTTGTTTGTTAAAAGTATTGAGCATCCAGTATATGTGGGGCACTGTCTAGATAATAGGGATGTATCCATAAACAATATAGACTGAAACCCCTATCTTGGTGGAACATACAGTTTTGAGAATAAGTTAATGAATGCACCTTATAAGTAGACCTTTCATTGTTCCTAATAATATTCATGCTTGAACTGAGGTACAGCAAAATGCAATGACTGCCTTAAGCGTGATAGGCTTAAGTGTATCCGCTGCAACTCATATACACAGAAGTTCAATTATTTTTAATAAGTGAATTCAGCCTTCTGCAGATGATGGAGGGAGGATCTAATCTTGCCATTTCAAGGCATCTCAGTCACTTTTGA
Organism: Homo sapiens; assembly: GCF_000001405.40. Classification (NCBI taxonomy): domain Eukaryota; kingdom Metazoa; phylum Chordata; class Mammalia; order Primates; family Hominidae; genus Homo; species Homo sapiens. The sequence goes on from NC_000004.12 coordinate 120,294,754, forward strand.
CTAATAAAGTTAGTCTCTTGTGGCTAAATATTGAGTCAACTTCAACATTTTTCCTTTTCTCCTTCACCTGCCCTTCTTTCAAGGCCTGATCTCAGTGTGGACTGGGCTGACATAATTTTCCGGCTGGGAAAGGATATTTATCCCATACTAGCTCCCAAAGATCTGGTGTAATCTGCTCTTGGGGCATCACCATAGTTTTAGGGTGTCCACTTTTGAAGAGTCTTTGTCTCATATAACTTGTATTATTTTTTCCTGGATTAATATAGTTCACAGGGATCACCCTGGGAAAGCTTGGTAATATCACCCAGCTGGTTGTGAACCCTTCTGGATCACTGCTGGTGTTGCTTGATCTTCTAAGACTCAGCTATATTCTCCAGCTGACCTTGCTCTGTTCTGTCAATCCTGTGGCTTCTGAAAAGGGCTCCCCTTTATTCTAGGGATTTCAGGCCCTGAGTGAAGTGGTGTGTGTGTGTGTGTGTGTGCGCGCGCACGTGCGCGTGCGCTCGTGTGCGTGCATATGCACAAGGAGCAGGCTGTGTGTTCACGTCACCTCCTTTAGGGATTTTTTTGGTCCAGCTTAGAGGGTATTCTCCTTTCTGTTAAGTGGGAACTGTCCCTGGGTCATCTATTGCATCCTTCCTACTCTGTGGCTTAGGGTAAAAACCCTGTGCTCCTTGGTTGCAATCTTTGCTTGTTGCTGTTTAAAAAACTTTCATTTTTTTATTTATAAGATTTTTTCCTTTTCTAAAAAGACTGAATTACAAGCTTATTCTTACAATTGTCGTCTCTGAAGAAAGTATTAAGTGATAGCTTTAGAAGTCAAAATCTGAACTTTATCACCTCTGCTGTTGACTGGCCTCTGCCCTCCTCTGAAGCTAAGGATGCCTCACACAGTAGGTGAAGGACTTTGGGGCAGCAAGAATTACCAGGAATAAACAATCACCAGATAACATTTCAAAACATTTCTCTCCCTCATGAGAGCTTCAAAAGACATGAGAAAATAAAATCAATCCTCACCAACACTATGGCTAGGAAAAATAATTCAGTTGTTTTAGAAACAACAACTGACTACGGTTTTAAAGGTTGTTGCTTAAGTTATTGGTGTCCTGGGATTAAGTTAGCATGTTTTTATGCACACACTATTTCAAACAAATAACATACTTTTGGCCAGTAATAAAAGACATAAAAATTCAGTTTTCAAAGAGACTGAGACTAGCCTGGCCAGCACCTGTAGACTTTGTAAGATACAAACATCAATTTTGGAAAAGATGTAAGTCACACCCAACACTGGTTACTCCAAGGTACAAAGTCTAGTGTTACATTCTTTAACTTTATATGTGATAAATGAAACAACAAATAATGAAAGAGAAGGTGAAACATACTGTAATGATTTTTTCAGATATGTAAAAAAAAAAATCTCACTATCAGGCATTATGGAAATCACCCCAATTAGCAATTTGGCAATTCAACATTTGAGGATGCTGAACCCCCAAGAAGATATGCCCCAGGCCCAATATTTCCTTCACTCTGTGTCTTTCAGGGATCTCTTCACTCAATAACAACTTATGTGACATCTCTTAACTTTCTAATCTCTCCTACTACACTGTGAGTTCTCATGAGAGCAAAGGCAGTGCTTGTTTACTCTGAACCCTGCTCTGTCCCCAGAGCCTGGTATAGTACCTGGACTTAGTGAGTGCTCTGTAAACTTTTTCAAATATTTTAACACCAAAATAGTCCTACTTACCCTCTTTCCATAAAGAAAATCAGTTTGGAGTAGTTTTTAGTGGTCCAGATATTCAAATTTAGATAAAGACTAATGGGAATGTGGTCAAGACTGGGCTTCTTAAATAGATTCTCCTCTCTTCCAAAGGGCTCTAGAAGTCTTCCAGTTGTACATATAGAATATCTTTTAGGAAGGGCCTAATTGGATCATAGACACAATAGCTTCTGGTATTATTTGACCAATCAGATCATAGTAAACTAGCATTCTTACAGGACAACATGAAGGATTTTCATCGCCAGTCCTCAGCATATAGGCAGTCATAGAAAAAAGCATTTGTCCTGAAATGGTCAGCTCTTATTTTTTTCCCCATGTCCTTTACGGTAAAATTTGTGTCCTCACTTTACTAAATCTCCAGCAAGTAATTGCTTAATCTGAGTCTAGAATGGACTTCCAAGTTATTGTTGTTTCTCATAACCAGGGCTTTTACTAGCCAGGCAATATTTTTAATTTGTACTATTAACTTTATCTTCGAATTTGTAAATACATGAACAAACTCTGGAAATTTGATTTAGCAAACATAGGAAGAGGATATTAAAACATTTGAGATTTGAGATTAAAATCTGTAAACTTGACACAATCTCATGGATTCCTTTGTTATTACTAAGGACAAAATGAACAAGATGAGGGTGAGAAATTTACTTGATGTTCTCTGTGTTTGTTTTGCCATATCTCGTTTTCATATGCTTTCTAAATTGTTTCCTCTCACTCCCTCTTGCTCATGCCACTCCAAATCAGTCTGTCCCAAATTTCTGAGGAAATAGGTCATAAAGTAAAGAGCTGAATATCAAAAACGAAAAAACGATGGCCTATTGTAGAATACCATTCTCACCACAAACGACAGTTTTTGAATCCTAACTTAAGTTTGTACAGCAATGGAACCCAACCCAGTCAGACATTAGTTCCATGCCAATGATGGATTTTATTTTGGCTCTTAAACATATTTATCTAACCTAAAACTCAACCATTGTTTAAATTAGAAGGTCAGCAAGTAGTATGTAATTTGGAACAAACAACTTTTTTTTCCTTCTTATTTTCAGGGAATAAAAGAGGAAGTGAGGGTAGAAAAATAATACTTTTTGCTTACACATGGAGGAGTGGGAGTGGGATGGGGTAGGAAAAAACCCAGACAGTTATTTTAGATTGCTTTAAATGTTGAGTAAAACCTGTGCACTATTGAACCACAAAATAAAGAGCCCATGAATAACATTAATTTGCTCTTTGCTACACACTGAAAGATACTACAAATATATTTTCAAAACTAGCCCTTTTCTTTTGGAGTTTTCTAACTAGTTGATAAAACAATAATAGAAGACATGTAAAAGAAATTACGGTGAGAAAATCAGGATAAGTTTACATCATACTGCAGGAAAAAACTACATCATATCTGAGAGCTAGCTATTGCCAAAACAATGCTGACTAACAAACAAAATATCTGTGACATACAATAATATGCACCCATTTCTCACTCACATGTCTGCAAAGCATTTGGGGCCTGCTAATTCTAGGTCAGGCATGGCTGGGTTTGATTTGGTTAGTTTCATGTCTGCCCCACTTTTCTCATTGACGTAGGGCCAGTAGGTTACACAGGGCAGGTTCTTCTAGACAATGGCAGAAGTGTAACAGGATAACCCAAGCACTCCATCATATTTCAAGCCTCTGGCCAAGGTAGAGAAAAAGTATAGAGAAATACACCCTTCCCATCATAAAACTATATCAAGTATATGGCAGTATAGTCTAATTACAAGAAAATAAAGAATTGGGGCTAATAGTTCACTCTATGCATATAAATTATAGTATGTAAATTAATTATAATCTAAAGCGAATAATATTTTTAGTTTAAAATATGATGGATTCTATTTAGGAAAGCAATTTATTTCAGTATTATGAAATGCCATTATAAAATGAGAGCCATAAATGTGATTATTACATATCAAATGTCAAGGACATTATAAATTCTTTCTGAAAAAAATGAACTTATGAAGGGTGAATAAAAGCTGTTAAACTGCATGTTTTTTCATTTTTCTTTATTAGAAAGCCAATGTAAAAGACATTCTTTGGTTGATGTTGGATTCATTCTTCAACAGATTGATTACACCAAAGCACTAACCAACCTAACAAGACCTCTAGTCAATATGCATACCTAACTTAATTTATATTTTGTTGATTTAATGGATGATTCCTGTATTTTCATCTAAGTTGATTATGCCTTTTTTATATTAAAGCACATGTAATCTTTTTTCTTTTCTTTTCTTTTCTTTTTTTTTTTTGAGACAGAGTCTCGCTCTGTCACCCAGGCTGGAGTGTAGTGGCGCAATCTCGGCTCACTGTAATCTCTGCCTCCCAAGTTTAAGCAATTCTCCTGCCTCAGCCTCCTGAGTAGTTGGGATTACAGGCACGCCCCACCACACCCAGCTAATTTTTGTATTTTTAGTAGAGACAGGGCTTAACCATGTTGGTCAGGATGGTCTCAATCTCCTGACCTCATGATCTGCCTGCTTTGGCCTCCCAAAGTCCTGGGATTACAGGCATGAGCCACCATGCCTAGCCACATGTAATCATTTTTACAGCATTTTACTTTTTTGCTCACTCTGTCTTTATCTTCACATTTCTTCTCTTTTCCCCCTTTCTTCTCCTTCCTCTTTCTCCTTTTTCTTCTTCTTGTTATGTCATCTTTATTTTATAGATGAGGAAACTGGATCTTAAAGTGGTGATATGGTTTGGCCGTGTCCCCACCCAAATCTCCTCTTGAATTGTAGCTCCCATAATTCCCATGTGTTATGGGAGGGACTAGGTGGGAGGTAATTGAATCATGGGGGCAGGTCTTTCCCATGCTGTTCTCATGAATAAGTCTCACAAGATCTGATGATTTTATAAATGGAAGTTCCCCTGCACAAGTTTTCTCTTTGCCTACCACCATGTAAGATGTCCCTTTGCTCTTCCTTCACCTTCTGCCATGACTGTGAGGCCTCCCCAGCCATGTGGAACTGTGAACCAATTTAATCTCTTTCCTTTATAAATTACCCAGTCTTGGGTATGTCTTTATTAGCAGTGTGAGAACAGACTAATACAGGTGGTTACATTACTTACCTGAAGTGATGCATGTACTAAGTACCTAGACCTATCTTGGAGAATTTGTGACTTCTTATGTTTAATCCTCTAATGTGGAACTTGAGCGTTATTAAACTTTATAGCTATTTGATTTCATACTTAGACTGTTTACCTAGTAGAGTGGTTTACCTAGAATGTTTACCTAGTAGAGTGGTTGTCAAATGATCATTTGGGGCAACCTGTTAACAGTGTACGTTTCTTGGCTCCATGCCCTGTCATTGTGATTCTCAGTAGATTTATGGTTGTGATGGTAAGTCTCTATTTCTTTTTAAGGTCCATTTAATACTGTACATTATATGCTGTTATATTTTTTCCTCAGCACCTGTTCATTTCTATTCATATTAGATACATACATGTGTGCACACACAAATACATATGAGCACTATTTCTTCTATTTTTAGTCTTCAGTTGACATATATGTTAGTTACTATTTTCCCATTAGAATGCAAGATTTGTAAGGGTCCTTTTATTGACTTCTTTCACTGTAGATTACCAGCACTTTGATTAATGATCATACATGTTTGATGCTCAATAAAATATGTTGAAGTAATAAATACACATTATATTGACTTTCTAATCCTTTCTTCTGTTAATTTTATGGATCATTGATGATTTTGCTATTATAGTATGTTATATATTATTAAAGTTATTTTTCTTTCAGCTAAGTATCCTAGGTTATTGTTATCCTAAGGTTAATCCTAGGTTAAGTATACAGGATTTTGAATATAACAATCTATATTCTAGAATTACCTAGTCAGATACTGGACAGATAGAAATCTGAGGCAAGTATCTTATACTCTCTGAGCTTCAATTTCCTCATCTAAAAATATAAATGAATAAATTCCTAGAAACAAACAACTTACTAGGACTGAATCATGAAGAAACCAGAAAATCTAAACAGACAATAATAAATATATTGAATCAGTAATCAAAAGTCTCCCAGCAAAGAAAATCCCAGGATCTGATGACTTCACTGGTGAATTATACCAAACATTTAAAGAATAATTAACAGTACTTTTTGTCAAAGCCTTCCAAAACATTAATGAGGAGGGAACATTTCCAAAATCATTTTATGAAGTCAGCACTACCCTGATACCAAAGCAAGACAAGGACAAGAGAAAAAAATATAGAGAGCAATATGCCTGGTGAGCATAGATGCAAAAATCCTGAACAAAGTACCAGCAAAGTGAATTCAGTAGCACATTTAAAGGATCATGCACCATAATCAAGTGGGATTTATCCTTGCAATGCAAAGATAGTTCAAAATATGCAAATCACTAAGTATAATACACCACATTAACAAAATGAAGGATAGAAAAAGTATAATCTTCTCAATAGATGCAGGAAAAACATTGGACAAAATCCAACACCCTTTCATAATAAAAACTCTCAGCTTTATTAGATCTAGAAAGAATGTACCTTAACATAATAAAGGCAATGTATGGCACACTCACAATGAACATTATGCTTAATAGTGAGTAGCTGAAACTTTTTCGTTTTAGATCAGAAATAATACAAGAATGCCCATTCTTGCCATTTCTGGCAAGTACTTGCACAGTACTGCAAGTCCAACAAGAAAAATAAGTGAAAAGCTTCCAAATAGGAAGGAAGAAGTGAAATCATCTCTGTTTGCAGATGACATGATTTTGTATATAGAAAACCCTAAAGACTCCACTAAAAAGCTATTAGAACTAATAAATGCGTTCAGTAAACTTGCAAGAGAAAAATCAACATACAAAAATCTATATGCTACCAATAAACAATTTGAAAAAAAATTAAGGAAATGATCCCATTTACAACATCAAAAAAGAATAATATAGGAATAATTTTAACCAATAGGTGAAACATCTATACATTAAAAACTATCAAACATTGATGAAATATCAAATATTGATGAGGTGAATAAGACACAAATAAATGGAAAAGTATTGCATGTTCCTGGACTGGAAAAATAATATTAAAAATTTTATAATACCCAAGGCTATCTACAGATTCAATGCAATCTCTATCAAAATTCCAATGGCATTTTTCACAGAAATAGAAAAAACAATTCTAACATTCATATGAAACCACTAAAGAAACTGAATAGTTAAAGCAGTCGTGAGCAACAATGACAAAACTGGAGACATCATAATTCTGATTTCAAATTATATTAAAATGTTATAGTAATCAAAACCGTGTGGTACTGGCTTACAAACAGACACATGGACAAATGGAATAGAATAAATAGAGGGCCCACAAATAAACACACAGATATATGGCCACTTAATTCTAGACAAAGGAACCAAGAATGCACAGTGAGGATAGTCTTTTCAATAAATTGTGATGGAAAAACCGGATATCCACATGCAAAAGGATGAAATTTGATCCTTATCTTACACTACACACCAAAAGCAACTTCAAATGGATTAAAGACTTAAATGTAAACCGCTAGAAGAAAACATATGGGAAAAGCTCCTTGCCAATCCTCTTGGTAATAAATTTTTGAATATGACACCAAAAACATAGGCAATGAAAGCAAAAATAAACAAGTAGGACTGCATAAATTGAAAAATGTCTGCATAGCAAAGAAAAAATGAACAAAATGAAAAGGCAAACTGTGGAATGAGAAAAGATATTTGCAACACACATATTTAATAATGGATTAATATACAAATATGTAAGGAACTTACACAACTAATAGCAAAAAGAAATTAAAAATAGGCCAAGGACCTGAATAGACATTTTTGAAGACACACAAATGACTAACAGGCATATAAAAAGGTGCTGAAGTAACCAGTGTTGGTGAGAAAGTGGAAAAATGGGAACCCTTGTACATTGTTGGTGGGAATGCAAATTAGAACAGCCATTATAATAAATAGTATGAAGTTTCCTCAAAAAATTCAAAATAGCCCTACCATATTACTTGGCAATGCCTCTGCTGAGTATATACCCAAAGAACATGAAATCAGCACCTCATAGAGCTACCTGCACTTCCATGTTCATTGCAGCATTACTCACAATAGCCAAGATATCAAAAACTACCCAAGTGTCTTGACAACAGATGAATGAATACATTTGTTGGTAAATGTGGTATATATATGCAGTGGAATATTATTTATCCTTCAAAAAAGAAAAAAATCCTGTCATTTATGACAACATGGATGAACCTATTGATAAGCCAGACACAGAAAAACAAACTCTGCATGATCTCACATATCTGTGAAATCTAAAAAAGTCAAACTCATAAAAACAGAAAGTGAATGTTGATTCCAGGGTCTGAGGGATAGGGAAATTTGGATGATTTTGGTCAAAGGGTATATATACACTTTGAATTATAAAATGAATATGTTTTGAAATCCTAATGTACAGCATTATACTTAAAGTTAATAATAATGTATTGTATATTTTAATTTGCTTAGAAAGTAAATCTTAAATATTCTCATCATACACACAAACACACACACACAAAGGGTAACTATGTGAGGTGATGGATATGTTAATTAGCTTGATTGTAGTGGCCATTTCACAGTGTATAAATATATCAAATTATCACATTGTGCATCTTCAGTATATACATTTTGTATTCATCAATCACACCTCAGTAAAGCTAAAGAAATAAAGTTTTTGGGGGTTTTATGAAGCTTTTTGTGGCCAGTGATAAGAAAAACAATTATATCTTAGATATACTTCACAGAAGTCAGCTTTTTGCTCAAAGGATAGATAAAGGATATATAAAAATTGAAAGATGTTTGTGCTGTTAAGTTGTAATCATTTTTTCTTCTTTTTTTTTTTTCTTTGGAGAGGGAGTCTCGCTCTTGTCACTCAGGCTGGAGTGCCATGACATGATCTTGGCTCACTGCAATCTCTGTCTCCTGGGTTCAAGCAATTCTCCTACCTCAGCCTCCCGAGTACCTGGGATTACAGGTGCCCGCCACCACGCCCAACTAATTTTTGCATTTTTAGTAGAGATGGGGTTTCGCCACATTGGCCAGGCTGGTCTCGAGCTCCTGACTTCAGGTGATCTACCCACCTCGGCCTCCCAAAGTGCTGGGATTACAGGCGTGAGCCACCGCGCCTGGCCTGTAATCATTTTTTCTTCATAAATGCTATCATGTTGAAAAGTGCTAAGTCTATCCTACTAGTGCACTGGTGCCCATATATATGGTGGCTTGAACTTGTGCAAAGGCTATATAGGAAGAAGAAGTGACCAGATAGAGTCTTTTGTGCCCCACTCTGACTTCAATCTGAATACCTTTGATTTTCGTAAATTGACTAATTTTCATTCCACATAGGACATTGTTTTACAAAAGTTTTACGATAAAAGTGACATTTCCAAAGCCTGAAATCAGTGTAAGCCATAAATTCTATTACTCTTTCAAAGATAAGTCCCCCCAATGATACAGTATTATTTGAAAAAATCTGAGAGTCACTGCTTTAAGAATTGTAATTCAAAATGTGTCATATCTACGGGCTTCATTTAAACACCAACCAACAAACTCTGGCCTACATAATGGAAAATTGAAGCAGAAACTTTCATTTTTAACTTCCCCTTTCCCTTTAAGCCAGTTTTACAACTTCAATTTATGCAGCCTCATTTTATTCCAACACTTTCTTGCTTTGTCCTTTATCTTGTCCTCCAAATTGTGCACATAAACCATCACCTATAACTTTAAATAGAAATCATACCTCCTCCTAAGAATAGTGTCTCTTAACACAGCATGCTATGGTTTAGCAGTTTTTACCAACAGCACCTCTTCTGGCATTTTAATCAAACATTTACTTAGACCTTTCTGACACAGTAATAATATTACCTTCTATGACAGACAGAATTTTGATGGAGGCTTTCCTCCCTCTATGATTAAAAATAAATAAAGGCAACACTGAAAAAAATTCAAACTGTGACCTTGGGATGCTCGTTTTATAAAAAAGGCTCACTAAAGATCAGAGATATTAGCTGCTAAGGAAAGAAAGCTCAACATGAAAATTCTTACAGACCAAGATAGATAAAATGATTTTAAAAGTTCAGAAAAAAGTCAATTCCCTTGTTACGTTAAACAAATTAACCACCTCCTGCCCCTGGCTGTCTTTGCTAATTTGAATTTTCTGGAATCTGCTGATGCAGGTTTAACATGCTGTATAGAATTAACTTGTTTCCTAATTCCTTTATACTCACACCTTCACCCTCTAATTCATTCATTCATTCTACAAATACAGTATTGATTGAATAACCACTCTGTGCTAGGTACAGTTTTGAGCAAAGGAAACATATCAGTGGAAAAAATAAGCCAAATTCCTATCTTTATAGTGGTTGGGTAACTCTAGTGGGGAGCCAGCCTTTCCGGAGTGAGCCAGCACTGCCCGTATAAGCTCAGACAAATTACTCAGCCTCCTTTGCTTGTTTCTGTTTTTTAAAAGAGGAAGACATCAGTTTCTACTTCACAGGGGTATATAAGAATCAAATGATTTAATACACATAAAACACTTGTTAATAGTCCCTGGCTCATTCTGGGAGCTCAGTAATTAGCTCTCATTATTGTAATTAAATGAGTAAATAGAAACTATTATTTAAGTGAAGATAATGCTGTGAAGAAAAACCAAGTAGGATAAGGAGCTTGAGTGATTACAGTTGGGATGGGTCCTGTTACTTAGATGAGCAGGTCAGGGAAAGTTTCTCTGAAGAAGTAGCATTTGACTTGAGCTCTACAAAGAAATTGGTGATTATGCAAAATTGAAGGCCAGGAGCCAGAAGAGAGCTGTACTTGTGTGTGATGAACAGACTTCTTTTGAGACTGAGTTTCGCTCTGTTGCCCAGGCTGGAATGCAATGGCACGACACCATCTCACTGCAATCTCCGCCTCCCGGGTTCAAGTGATTCTCCTGCCTCAGCTTCCTGAGTAGCTGGGAACACAGGCACATGCCACCACACCTCGCTAATTTTTTTTTTTTTTTTTTGTATTTTTAGTAGAGATGGGGTTTCACCACGTTGGCCAGGTTGGTCTTGAACTCCTGACCTCAAGTGATCCACCCACCTCAGCCTCCCAAAATGCTGGGTCTACAGGTGTGGGCCACCGTGTCTGGCCCGTGTGATGAACAAATTTCTACCCTGTTTTCCTATCTCCTTTGGCCATATTCTGGTGGGTAAAACAGAATGATGAAACCAAATGAAACAGAGACTAGGAAGCCAAATGAAACAGGGATTGGTTGAGAAATCAAAAGTAAAAACATCAATAATAAAATCAACAGCCAATCAAGATTTTAAAATAGTAGTTTGGCATATGAATACCAAATAAATAAATTACACACCATTAACCTGAGAACTAGGATGAACAGATTGTGACAGATTGTAGATTGCCTTAATTGATTGATCTCCAAATTCTGTCCCTAAGAAACTGGTCCTTAGAGGTCCAATAGATGCTTATACCTCTCCTCTGTCACAAACACCATTGGTCATACATCCACTAGTCATAAGATTTTGTGGAAATCAAAAGATGATCCTTTTCAGATTGCAGTGAAATAAGACTAAATCATATTACTAACTCTAGGAACTTATTTTATTAGATCCATGAATCACTCATTTATCATAGAGAGTTTTCTATCGAAGAACAATGTCCAGACCCCACATTTTGCAGGGAAGAAAACAAAACAAAACAAAGAAGAGGTCCAGGTATTGAGAATAAAGCACTGTTTTAAAATGTGAGAAGCAACAAAAAATACGAAGAAAAAGACAGTCTTATAATTTGCGAATCAAATAAATTCATGTTATTTATCTTGAAACTTGACCTAAATTAAATTTGCCTAAGAGCCAAATGTTTTTATATTCACTTTTATTGTTAATTTTTAGTTCTTGGCTATGAAAAATGACTTATTTGTTTTTATCAGAAGCATAATTTTTGATGCTATTACAATTTCTGGTATTTTCAAAGTTTATGCAATTAGACAAACTTCTTATTAGAGTAGAATTTGTTTTAATATTCTCCTGTAACTTAGCCCCCAAATTCTCTTTCCAGCCTACCCTTTCCATGCACCTGTCACATTAGGCACAATGAAATACTCATCATCTCCTAAATATCTGCCACCAACATTTTATTTCTCCTAGTCCTTCAATTCAAACGTATCTGTAGTCAATAGCCTTTCTTTAAGGCAAAGTATCATGAATTTTAAATAGAGAAACCAGTAATGGAGAGCTCAAGTCAGAGTGAAGGAAGAAAAATGTACCCATAAAAATATTTGCAAACTGAGGAAAGAGTGACATAAAGAGGTTATGAAAGATATATAGACTTAGGCAGAGTGGCAGAGTTTCTGCAAGTGCTTGAATGTCAAGGAAGGTCCAGGTATGGCTGTGTAAGTGCTTTTGGGGAGTGAGACTAATTGTTGGATGAAAAAGTGTCAATGGTTAGCAGAGTCATGACTATAAAAATATTTTTACCCTTTGCTTTTATAAACATGTAATTCTGTTAACAGACAATGGTTAGTAAAAAATTAAAGTTGCAGTGCAATTTCCATCAGTCCTGGCACACAGCCCTTGCTTAGCTCACAGGTTTCATTACCACGCAGGCCTCTGTAGTGGGCCAACCTCAGTGTAACAGTCCGTATTCATGTGTATTCATGTGTATTTCATGTGTGCATTCATGTGTATTCAGCATGCTCAGTTTTCACATCCTATTCCAGGGAAGATGTTTGTATCAAAAGACTTTGGAACACCTTAAGAAGATTTCTTTCCTTTTTACTTGATGAAAGAGAGTTGTGTGTATCTTACTATTTTTTTTTTTTTTTTTTTTTTTTTTTTTGAGACAGAGTCTTGCTCTGTTGCCCAGGCCGGAGTGCAGTGGCACGATCTCGGCTCACTGCAAGCTCCGCCTCCCTGGTTCACACCATTCTCCTGCTTCAGCCTCCCGAGTAGCTGGGACTACAGGCACCCGCCACCACGCCCGGCTAATTTTTTTGTGTTTTTAGTAGAGACGGGATTTCACCATGTTAGCCAGGATAGTCTCAATCTCCTGACCTCATGATACGCCCACCTCCGCCTCCCAAAGTGCTGGGATTACAGGCGTGAGCCACCGTGCCCAGCCGTATCTTACTATTTTATGGGACAAGGTCAGTGTTAGGTAGGTAAGTCAAGATCCCAGGAGCTTTTAGTTGATTATTCACTGATACTGGTTAAATGTTTCCACTAAATTCCCTATAGTCTATCCAAAATAAATAGTATTTTGAAAATTCTTTTTTTCTATCATCTTTGTTCTAATACAAATAGTAAGAATTTTAAGACACTATTGTACCAAGTAGATTTTAACTCAAAATGTACTGCAAACTGAAACAATAAGGCCCCAATAGTTTGGAGGAAGCTGAAAAAGATGGATAAATTGAGAATTATTCTTAAAAATGATACTCTCTCTCTCTCTCTATATATATACATATGTATAAAATGAACATCTCATTTATTACAACATAATTAAATGTTGTAGGACCAGATGGAACAGATTGAATTTGTCTTCTTTCCAAAAATACACCTTTAAACAGTGGAGTAAGAAAGTTGTGCAGCAATTCTGTCACTGTTTATTTTCCCCATTACTTTATAACTGTACTACTCATATTTAATTCAGTTGCATTTTTCTTCATTTAAGAACTCAAGTTGATTGAGTCTTTCTAAAGATTGTAACTTAATTTTTATGGAAACAATTTCATATTTTCATTGTTATCATTTCATATAACATTTAATTAAATTTAGTAATTATAATAAAAAACTCACAAACGATTGAAGATAAGCAATTCTTGGTGAACATACAACTGGTGGTAGCTAATGGGCACAGGTAACTAGGAGTTAATGTTCTGTGGGCAGCAATGAATCATATGATCCACTGGGAAAAAGAGAGCCTCAGCTATTCTGGAAACTCAGTTAAACAGGTATTGGCCAAAATAGCAATGTTTTCTAAGTCCTTGTAACATGTTTTTGCTCACAATGAATGCATTTGTAGTGACAAGTGCAGAACTAGAAAGTAAATTCACTTTGATTACAAACTATTTCTGAATGTTTTCAGTACTGTTGTTGATAATGTAGTAGAGCAACATATGAATCATTATACCTTTTAAATTAATTTCATAAAACCAATAAAAATTGTTTTCTTTTCTAAACTACAGAGTGGTCCAAAGTAGAAATTCTGGATTCAGATAGTTTAGAGTCAAATTTCAACTGAACCATTTACAAACTGCGACCCTGGGAAAGTTACTTAACCTCTCTGTACCTTATTCTTCAATGGCAAAACAGAGGTAATAATGGCATTGAACTAATAGGGCCATGAAGATTAAATGATATAACACATGCATGGAGCTTAGCCTTGTGCCTGGTCCAAAGTCAGAATTCAGCAAATGTTAGCTACTATTCTTATTCTTTTTGTTATTATTATTTTCGTTTGTGCCTAAAATGCTAAAAAGATGACCAGTTCTTTCAGAACACTTATGAAACAAATTCTGAGAAGGGTACTAGAGAAGGAATCAACTAGATCTAAGAAGAACATCCAAACGTAGGGAACATAGGGTAAGGAAATGTGGAGATTTTCATGTATTTGCAATTGGAATATTTCTTTTTTTTTGCTTTTATTTCCAAACAGAAATTATATTTTTGACAGTTCTGATTTAAAGATCTTATGAAATAAATTGATCCAATTACTAAACACTTTATGTGAAAACAAACACCTCTTTAGAATAAGTTTTGAAAAAATATACTGAACTGTTACAAATGAAAAATGAATATTCAAATGACTTTTTGTATTAGTCCGTTTTCATGCTGCTGATAAAGACATAGACAAGACTGGGTAATTTACAAAAGAAAGAGGTTTAATGAACTTACAGGTCCACGTGGCTGAGGAGACCTCACAATCATGGTGGAAGATCAAAGGCACATCTTACGTGGCAGCAGACAAGAGAAGAGTGAGAGCCAAGTGAAAGGGGTTTTCCCTTACAAAACCATCAGATTTTGTGAGACTTATTCACTACCACGAGAACAGTATGGGGGAAACTGCCACCATGATTCAATTACCTCTCACCAGTTCCCTCCCACAAGACGTGGGAATTATGGGAGATAAAATACAAGATGAGATTTTGGTAGGGACACAGCCCAACTATATCATTCCGCCCTGGCCCCTCCCAAATCTCATGTCCTCACATTTCAAAACCAACCACACCTTCCCAACAGTCCTGCAAAGTCTCAACTCATTTCAGCATTAACTCAAAAGTCCACAGTCCAAAGTCTCATCTGAGACAAGGCAAGTCCCTTCCACCTGTGAGCCTGTAAAATCAAAACCCAGTTAGTTATTTCCTAGCTACAATAGGGTTACAGGCATTGGGTAAATACAGCCATTCCAAATGGGAGACATTGGCCAAAACATAGGGGTTACACGCCCCATGCAAGTCCAAAATCCATCAGGGAAGTCAAATCTTGAAGCTCCAAAACAATCTCTTTTGATTCTATGTCTCACATCCGGGTCATGCTGATGCAAGAGATGGGTTCCCATGGTCTTGGGCAGCTCTGTCCCTGTGGCTTTGCAGGGTACAGCCTCCCTCCTGACTGCTTTCATTGCTGGGATTGAGTGTCTGTGGCTTTTCCAGGTGCATGGTGTAAGCTATTGGTGGATCTACTGTTCTAGGGTCTGGAGGACAGTGGCCCTCTTCTCACAGCTCGACTAGGCAGTGCCCCAGTAAGGACTCTGTGGGGGAGCTCTGATCACACATTTCCCTTCCACACTGCCCTAGTAGAGGTTCTCCATGAGGGCCCCACCTCTGCAGCAAACTTCTGCTGGGGCATCCAGGCATTTCCATACATCCTCGGAAATCTAGGCAGAGTTTCCCAAACCCCAATTTTTGACTTCTGTGCACTCGCAGGCTCAATACCACATGGAAGCTGCTAAGGCTTTGGGCTTGCATCCTCTGAAGCCAAAGCCTGAGCTCTATGTTGGCACCTTTCAGCAATGGCTGGAGCAGCTGGGATGCAGGGCACCAAGACCCTAGGTTGCACACAGCACAGGTGACCATTTTTCCCCTAGGCCTCAGGGCTTGTTATGGGTGGGGCTGCAGTGAAGACCTCTGACATGTCCTGGAGACATTTTTCCCATTGTCTTGGGGATTAACATTTGGATCCTCATCACTAATGCAAATTTTTGCAGCCATCTTGAATTTCTCCTCAGAAAATGGGATTTTCTTTTCTATTGCATTGTCAGGATGCAAATTTTCCAAATTTTTATGCTCTCCTTTCCTTATAACACTGAATGCCTTTAACAGCAACCAAGTTACCTCTTGAATGCTTTGCTGCTTAGACATTTCTTCCACCGGATACCCTAAATCATCTCTCTCAAGTTCAAAGTTCCACAAATATCTAGGGCAGGGGAAAAATGCCACCAGTCTCTTTGTAAAACATAACAAGAGTTACATTTGCTCCAGTTCCTAACAATTTTCTCATTTCCGTTTGAGACCACCTCAGCCTGGACTTTATTGTCCATAACACTGTCAGCATTTTGGGCAAAACCATTCAACAAGTCTCCAGGAAGTTCCAAACTTTCCCACATTTTTCTGTCTTCTTCTGAGCTATCATAACTGTTTCAACTCCTACCTGTTACCCAGTTCCAAAGTTCCTTCCACATTGTCAGATATATTTTCACCAGTGCCCTACTCTACTGGTACCAATTTACTGTATTAGTCCGTTTTCATTCTGCTGATAAAGACATACCCAAGACTGGGCAATTTACAAAAGAAAGAGGTTTAGTGGACTCACAGTTCCATGTCGCTGGGGTGGCCTCACAATCATGGCAGAAGGTGAAAGGCACATCTCACATGGTGGCAGATGAGAAGAATGAGAGCTAAGCAAAAGGAGTTTCCCCTTATAAAACCATCAGATCTTGTGAGACTTATTCACTACCATGAGACCAATAGGGGGGTAACACCACCATGATTCACTTATCTCTCACTGGGTCTGTCTCACAACATGTGGGAATTATGGGAGATACAATTCAAGATGACATTTGGATGGTGGACACAGCCAAACTGTATCAGTTTTCTACAACTTTTATAAATGCATAGGGTATTACAAATACCGTAAATTAGTTGGTTAATATTTAGTATGGTAGAATATATTCTATCTACATTTTCTGGGGAAATCAAAGTTACTTTGGTGTCATAACTCATTTAAGCCAAATTGATTGGGTTTCATTTTTCATAAAAGATGCTTCTTTTAAGAATAGTAAATATAGCAAATCAATAATATTGATACTGACATTAATTTATGCCACAACATCTAAGAGGGTATGCAGGGGAACATCTGTTACCAAAGAGAGAAATAACAAAATATTTATATATTGTGAAACAGAAAAGATGATTTAAAAATTTAGAATTTCATATACATACATACAAATACATAAATGTTTATATTAATAGCTATATTTTTTCTTACTCCCTGCCTCCATTTTCCATTGAATCAAATTTCTGTATATATAGATACCAATTCCTATGAGCTTCTGGAAATCCCTTCTCTTGCTGTCGGTTTTTTCTCCCTTTATTCTCCATGTTTTGTTTTGTCCTTCCCACTTCTCTGTTTGTAGCTCTCATCTTTTTTTCCCTTAGTAATGTCTGGTTCTTGTGACTTTGATAGTTGTTCCTGTTTCTGTCCAGGGGGTGCTACTCAGATCTATCTCTGATGAAGGATTTACTTCCTTCAGGTTGGCCAGACCCCATCTAAAAGCTAGACCCCAATGAAAAACACAGGTCTTCACGTTTTGGTATTGACCACTTCTCTTGGTATAACTTTAACATCTTTTAGGTTAGCAGTGTCTTTCCCAGAGACAACCCTCCCCTTAGCACTCCATCCCCTGAAACATGGATGGAGGGAGCAAAACAAGTGTCTTGGGTAAAAATAAAATCCCTTTCTATCACACTGGAGTCAATCCAATTCAGACCTGTTGCAAGCTCTGCAACTGAGATAAGTCTACGTGATTTTGGTTGTCAGCTAACAAAGCTAAAAGTGTTCCCTTTAAATGACAATGTCTAAGCTTTCAGAACCCACAAAGAAATTACAAAAAGTTATTACTGTACCTGTGTTGATACATAACACTCTATCCCATAAATGTGTACAAATATTATAAAGCAACTAAAAACAAAATTTTTAAAAGGTTCTTATTTCATAAACTGCTCACCGTTTTAGTTTAGTTCTTTCAGATTTTACTGGAGTTATTAAAATTTGTAACAATAACAACAGTCATTCAAATTAAAAATGATTCAAGGACTAAAAATTCCCAATAAAGAGAGAAAACACAAAGGGAAATTAGGAAATACAAGAAAACTGAAATGACAAGGCTGGTTTGATATGCTTAGTGGTAAAAAACCTTAAAATCTTAAAGACACATATATTTAACCTGAGGGCAAAGAGGAAAATTTCATGTACTATTGCAAGTGGCTTCCTAAGATTTTAGAAATAAGAACCACAGGCAAATAATAGTTAATTGGATTGGAGCTGACATACCATAGTACCAAAAGCCATAGCAATTAGATACCTACTGTCATCGGTAGTTGAAAATTCTACACTGTTTCTTTCTAATTTTTAAACTTATATTTTCCTTTTACTTTTCTTTTCAATCTTGAAGGTCCTTTATTGATTTTCTTATATTTCATTATCTCAAAACACAGTATGTGCTACCTTGAAGTTTGAATTTCCAAGAAATTTACTTTGAGCATAGGTCTTAAGTATTAACATTTTTCTTGAATGAATTGTCATATTTATTATTAGCACACAAGGGGTCAAAACAACATAAATTTATTATGTTTTATAAATAATTATTAAATATCAAAACTGACATTTAGGAATGTTCAAAATGCATTTCTTTTTTCTTTGAACTCTTTATTTTAGAAATTTTCAAATGCACAGAAAAGTTGAAAGAAGAGCACCATGAATATCTTCACACCCTTTGCCTAGATTCACCAATTGTTCATGTTTTGGCACATTTGCTTCGGGGGCGATTAAGTACATATAATACAGAATGGCATTGTTTCCCAAGAGGCCCAGGTTTAGAATGAAATCCTATAAATAAATTATTGCTCAAGCAACCTCTCTGTCTTTTTAAATTTTTTTGTAGGAATTATAGACCAAAAGGCCTCTTACCTCCTCAATTATTCCTGAGATGTCCTTGAAAATGTCTTATACGCACATGAGTAAGCTCCATTGGCTGTCACCTTACATTATCATCTTCTTGCCTTTACATAGACTTCCATGGAGAAACCAATGGTATCTGTGATAGCGTGCAACAGAACTCCCCCAAGTCACAGGTATACCCAAAGGTACCTAACCTTGCCAATAGGCATCAAGATCTTTGACCCAACATTTCCTTAGCATTACCCCCAGTAAAAAATGCACTCTTCACTCACAGACTATTACTGATGTTCTGTGTTTTCTCATGTTCTTGATGCCCTGGAACCAAGTACATTTGTGAATGCTTTCCTGTCCCCTCTTTCATGCTATGTAAATCACATCAGTACTGTGCAGCTTGCCTCAATGCTTTTGTTTTTTCTTTTCTTTTTTTCTTTTCTTTTTTTTTTTTTTTTTGAGACAGAGTCTTGCTCTGTCGCCCAGGCTGGAGTGCAGTGGCGCAATCGCGGCTCACTGCAAGCCCTGCCGCCTCCCAGGTTCAAGCCATTCTCCTGCCTCAGCCTCCCGAGTAGGGACTACGGGCGACCGCCTCCACGCCCAGCTAATTTTTGTATTTTCAGTACAGACGGGGTTGTTTTTTCTTAATTAAATGACTTGCTCTTTAGCCTACAACTTACGCCCATCACCAAAAGACTCAAACATGACTTCATATGAACAGAGTCCTTGCCACCATGTAACACTAAGTGAAATCTGTCTCCCCTCTCTGATTCCTGAAGCCTTATTATTGGGCCTGATTTGTCTGCCTTTCTTCTTTTCTCTTAGGAAAAATTCTCTCCTGCAGGTTTTCAGTCTCTCATGCAAGATGATCTCCAATGATCCTACTATACCTCAATACTAGTTGTAGACGCCACTCAAGCTTGAGTGCCTCTGCCTTCCCCAAAATTCATGCACATAGACAAACAACGCTTATGAAATAGCCAGAAGAGGAATCCCAACTTAACCTATCAGGAAATATGTTAAAACATGGTAATTAAAAATAAGAAAAATTAGTAACTAAAGGATGAATTTAAGAAAGAAAAATATTTATTGATGGTCAACTTGAGTATAACCTTAAAAAGAGAAAAAGTATATGATTTAGGTTGTTGTTGAATTCCAGGAATAAAGGCTGCTAGTATCTTTGGCTAGTATAACTAGCTAGTATAACGATAGCTAGTATAACTAGCTAGTATAACTCAAGACTTTCGGGAGGGGGGTAAACCAGGGATTACCATTTTGATGAAGTTTAAAATTTCTGTTCTTCATTTTGAAACCAATATAGCAAACCCAACTACTTGGTTTATCTCAGTTTTGCAGTTCAGTAGTTTTGGGTTTTGTAGAAGTATACATGAAAGAGCATTTCAACATATTTTAGGTTTCTACTCCTTACATCATTAAACTGGAATGTTTTTAAAGTTTGGGTGATGTTCTCTTTTGACTATACTGCATGAGTGAATGCAGTAACTGTCAGAGGTAACCGATCTTTTTGTGGTTTCTAATGGGTATAATGTCTAGTGCAACCATTTAAAACTTCATTTGCTGCTTTTAAAATAGAAACATAATTTAAAATTTTGTTGTAATTTCACATGCTTGTCCAATTGTGTTTTCTTTCCAGAAAAGCAACAATAATCAGGGGCTGCCTAAAAACCAACAAATTAAAATGACTTTTCTTTAAAGGCTTTTCAATATTACTTTTACCTTATCAAGATTACACATTTAAATAAGAAGAATGCCTTTTTTTTCCAAATTTTTTAAATTTTTGACACACAGTCCCTGGAATCTTGGGAAACATAATTTTTTCCAACTTGAGCATTATATGTTGTAATAATTTCTTAGTTATCACTGTTTATCAATATATTTTAGTAGAAAAAATAACTTTACTCACAAAACAAGTGAACTAGTAAGATATTCCATGAATGTATTCCTTGTTATTAGAGGAGCTGTTTTTAATGTTAAAGTTTTCAACTTCTTTTTAAAAGTAATGACAGTTAAGTTTTCCAATTTCAAGAAAAATAATTGCATTTCAACTTGCATTAGTCAATTGCAACTGGCATTAGTCAGTTGCAACTGGCTAGGAGGCACAGGCTGGTGGGTGCTGTGATGCATCCACATTTTCTTTTTCTCTTTTCATTCTATATTTTTGGGGAAAAGAGGGCAACATTCCAAAGTCTCACATTTTCATTTGTTCCTCTCACTGGCTTCTTGTTCATCCATATGTTACTCTCACTGGCTTCTCATTATTTTATTTTTGTTTCATTTTTATATATTACATTTGATTTCCTCCTATCCTCTCTGTAATGAAATATTTATGTTATTTTCCTTTCCCCTAACTACACTGAAAAGCAACCCTCAAATGAGAATCGGGAAAAGAAAAAGTGGGCCAATTTTCTTTTAATCTTTATAAATAGCACTCAACTGAAATTTCTGGTTTCTGATCTAGTTGTTTCTTCTTTCTTGTAGTTAAATGAAATAAAGTAGTAAAAAGAAAACAATAGAATATTTGCTCTTACTAAATTTTTGAAATATTAGATTAAATTTAATTCAAAACAATACTTAAAAATTTTGTTTTTCAGACATTTTCAAGGACCTCTAGAGAAAGAATTAATTTCTATGTGCCTTATCCATCAACTATAATTAGATGAAATCTGAGTTTGCAGGATATAAAAGATTTTCATTTGACAGTTATTTTATGGGTCATGCATGCATTTGTGTGATACATATTAGTGGCTTAAATATATTTTATATGTAATTTCTAGAAAAGAAAAAACAGGTGCCAAGTTGGTACTAAGCACTCAATAAATCTTTGGCAATTAAGCACGGCTGTTAAGCATTGAAAGCCTTGCCAAGATTTGGGATTCAAGAGAGAGCAAAAATGGGGCCAGAGAGTTGAGGATAAGCATTGATGACAATCTTGTAAGATATTTTTGTTGGAGAACACAGACTTTAATTTTCCTTTATATTTTGACTTTAGAATTCTACTTTAACTTGCACTTTGAGAAAATTTGCCCTATTTCACTCCAGAATTATTTGTTACTCTAATGATGCTATTATTGGCAATATATAATACAGATATATTACATGTAAATATTCTGGCATTTATTTGCAAATATGTTACAAAATTTAATTCCTAATAAGCATACCTTAAATTCGGGTTTCAAATTATATAAGAATGCAATCACCATTTCCTTTTTCCCTATGTGCAATAGTTTAGAACTCTTATGTAAGAATTCCTTAAAATTGAAGTTTCTTTAGTTGGCCTCAATCAAAAGGCAAGTTTGTATTCAGAAGGTACAGGGAAAATAATTTCAATCCAGATGTGAGTGTGTGTGTGTAGGTATGATTTATTTTCCTTAAATACAATTCAAATCAATTAGTTTTCTTAATATACATTTAAAAGTAGAAAAATCATTTGAATCTTGAAGAAAAACTTTCCATAAAACATTCTCATGAAGGAATCTTTACTAATCATTTGGAAAGCTTATTTATTCTTTATTTTTTAAACAAATTGGTAAGGCAGAAAAGGCCTAAATACTGCTCTGGAATAAAATTTCAAGTCCCTTCATAAAAAAATATAATGTGGTTAAATTCATGGGTGGCTTGTTTTGCTTATGTCTCCAAGTGTTTGGTGACTAGTAGCAATTCTGCAGGGACTCCTAAAAAAGCACATGATCTTCTAAGTGCCTGTGCTGAGTTTTAAATGGTTACATGAAAGGCTGTCTGATAGAGCAGACATTGTTTTCACTACTTTCCTGTGCCTTGCTTAAAAAGGTGGTCAGTTTAAGAAATATTTCTGAAAAAAATATGCTTAATGAATTATTTAATTTATTGTAACTGAAATGAGAATGTGGAAATATTTTCTCAGTGCAGTTTTTATATTTGAATTAGATACAAGACTAGGAACAGTTATCTTTTTAATTCTTAATCATCATTGCAAAATATTATCATCCTTGTTTTTGTGGATGAGAAAATATAAGACTAGAAAAGAATAAGCAGCCTGTCCTAGGTCACACAATTAAGAAGTATTCAAGTCCAAGCTTGCCTTTTGCCAAAGCTGATGTTTTTCTATTAAATCACATGGCCCCATCCTTAAAATATGGCACCTATCAGGAAACACTCTAGAGACATTTGAAGGAAGCTCTGGATGAATACATTTTAGGCTTTTTCTGCTAACTCAATGAGGTGTGAAATTGCGCAAGCACTTCACCACCAGCCTATCAAAAATTAGAGCATTTTCATTGTGTCAGATTTGTAATTCATGAAAGAGTCTTGTAAATTTAATGCTACATGTTACTGAATACAGAAAAGGGTGTTTAAAATTGTAGCGTCTTTTATAATGCTATAATTAATCCAGGATCATTCTTCAAAAAGCAATTCAATAAAAATATAAATAGCTTTTTACTATTCTTTTTTTCTCCTTCAAACTACTCATAATTCTGCAGTTAACCAGTGAATGTTTTTGGAGGAGCTGTTTGAAGTAATAATAGAGCTGAAAGTGAACTCAGTGAAGATGTCAAACACTATTAATACAGTATTCTATTGTAAGTATGCTAATGTAACATATCTGGCAGGAGATGGAATTCTTAACATGTAGCATACTGATGCATAATTAGTTTATACTATATAGTTATTTTACAGAGTCCAGCATATCCCTCAGTTTTTGGCAAACTTTAGTGTGAGCAGCCACTTTCTGAACCCCTTTCCATCCTTTAGAAGTATCTTACTTGGATTTGTTTATCAAAGTCCGTGGATCAGAGTACTGGGTGTTAATCAAGACAGAATGAAAGGTTGCAGGTTAGAGACCTGTGGAAAGTGTTAATTGTTCACGTGTGTCTGGCCTGTATAGTATCTGATTAGGCCTGTCACATTCAGCAAAGCGCCTGAGCGCCTGGTGGAGTTTGCCATTTATTGCAAATGCTGGGAATGCCTAGGGAAAACGACCTCTGCTCATCTCAGTGTGGATTTATCTCTTGGTCTCTTTGATCAGGGAAGAAAAATTTTGTTTTCATTGTTAATTTCTGTAATTGGCCCTCACATCCTCCTTTCTATGTTTGTAAACAAACTGATTAACTGTTCCTGGTCATAATTAAACTGGGACGGGAGAGTGAAAGGAAGTCTCCATGAAATAAATCTACAGTCAGGATGTGGTCACTATTTCCAAAACACAGAGATTGTTTCTAATCCCATTAAGTTTTCACCTTGTTTTACCCAAGATGCAAAATAAAAAAAAATGGTTAAATTTTAAAATAGTCTGACCATGTTTCTTCATGGCCTATCCTGAAAATCACTTAAAATAGCTAGGCTGGTGAAAAAGTAAGAGAAACCAAAGATAACTGCTTTTCTCCCAGATAAAAAGGACTTCATGCTACTTGCATTTAGTCTTTTTCCTGTGTGAGGTTAAGCAGCCATTATGAGCTGTTTCTCATTGACTCAAAGAGGAAAAGAAGTCACTGATGGAGTTTTATTTATACAACTGAGGACAGAACAACACAACCTTCAATGGATAGCAAAGATTCATGTTTCATAGACTTAACTTTTTCTTAGAACCATCCAAAATAACCCAGGCCTTCCTTAAGACACAGAGTATGTCACCTCAACCCATAACTCTGGGGACTGAGCAAATGTTTATTTTTACTACTCATTTTGCTCAGTGGGGATGGTCACTTAAAATTAAATAATATATTGCAGGGTTTATTTTTATGGCTTGTTCCTAAAACTGTCCTGTGGAAAGGCCCCTTTCAAGCTAAGATTGAAAGAAAAGGCTTACAGATTGCCCTTTCTCAGTGCTGTTTTCATTGCAGCTTTGGAGTATTAAGGGATTTGGGAAGTTAAGATAAGATCCTCAATCCTAACATGCCTCGTTTTTATCTAAACAAAATTTAAAACCCAAGTAAGGGTGTTCATTATACTGAAGCAAATCAAAGGGACTACTAAACTTTGTTGCTTAAAAGCCATAATGGTTAAGTGGTTAAATGTTGAACACACATGTAAACAGACATCAAGACAAGAATTTTCTTAATAACAATTTTGGTAAGAAATTTGAGGAATAACTCTTAAAGTAGAAAGTATTTATAGTTTCCCACTTCTCTTAAATTCTTATTTCCATTTCATTTCCCCCATAAGTAATTATATCATGGCCATAGTCTCCACCCACATTAAGTTTTGGGGCATATTCATGTTATTTTCTTTCACTCTCTTCCAAGTCAGTTAACTAAATTGCCCCCATGCCCTCTGCTTAAATGCAGACTTGAATGGTATTTACTGAAAACTTATAAGAAAAAGTCATCATATATGTTATCAAAGTGTATTTGAAAATATATAGATTATATGACATACCAAAGACATAATTGTGTATTTAATGGATCTACTCAAATTTGAATTGTTCTTTCCAGCCAAGCAAAGAGAGTGTTTAATGTTATAAAAATGTAGAAAACTTTTCTTGGAGATTCCTTTAAAATGTTTCTTGGTTTCTTTGTAAGACAAACACTATGAACTCATAGTTTAATTTATCAACTTAATAAAGTGATTTTATACACCAAATTGCTTTATATTTCTGACTTCTTGTATGCTTGCTTTTGTAATACCTGTGTGTATATTTTGAATTTCATGAAACCTCTCTTGCTTGGAATTACAAACTAACAAAAACAATGTGTTTAGCTTTTATACCTCACTTAAGTGGAGTGAAATAGATTGTTCAACTATTTATTTCTGAATAAAACAAGAGCAAGTATGGGGAAATCTTTGTTAATGTCTTAGGTTTCCATTGCTTTGGTTTCTGATAGCTGTTTTGAAGTTGCATATGGTAGCACAATAGCAAATCTGGAGTTTTGTTTTAATTTACATTGGAGAGAATTGGGTAAGTGCTACAGTTACCTAAAGGGTTGAGGGGCTAAAAATGATGCATTTATTCTACTCTCCCTTAAAGCTATTATCATAGCATTAAAGAATGGCAATTTATTTACATTTATCATTGCTCCTGGAAGAGCAGGCATGATTTTTTAGAACTTTTACATGTTTTACGTATAAAACAAACATATATAATGTATTAATAAATTAAAATTCTTATAAATCATGGATAATAACTAGTGTTGAAATAACTTTGCTTAATTTTGTTTGATAGGAAAGATTTTTCTCATAACATATGTGTTATTTAAAAAATATGATTCCACAAAAATCCCAAAACCAATAAAAAAAATTCCTGTGGCTTGATGATCTCAGGTGGGTGATGTGAAATGGGGTTGCACATAATTACGGTTTTTTGTTTTTGTTTCTGTTTTTTTTACGTTCTGACTTGTTTTTAGACTGCATTTATTCCTCTTTTTGTAAACAGCAGATAATTGAACTGATTTGTCTTGTTAAACAAAAAGCTACTGAGGGAGAAAAGGTAAATTTTATAGGATTTCTAAATTCACAAACAAAGCTTTACAAGTTAGCATTGAACATTTCATTTACATTAAAATAAGCAAGCATTGAACAAGATGGAATTAGTTTGGCTTCAGGTCATCATCATTGTAAACTATCATAATGTATAAGCACAGAAATGATTGAAGTTCTAGCACAGAACAAAGAACCTGCACAAGGTCTAATAACTAAAATATCACCGGGTAAGATGAATAAAGAAAGTTTAATATTTCTTGTGATGACATTGAATTTTTTAAAGAAAAAAGATCTGTTGACTTTATGTGTTGATGAGTTAGGTTTAGAAAAGACTGCCCGGAAATTTGTTTACTGAAAGTTTATTGATCCATTTTCTTTTCTCTAAATCCCTCCTACTGGAAGGCATTTAAGGGTTACTATTCTTGAAAGAGTTTTCTGGACTATGTGTATCTTCTCATTGTTTCAGTTAAGGATCCTCAGCTGTTTTCCCATTGTGAAGTGAAAAATAAAGAATTAATTGTACTGTTAAATGTCTGTTTTGCAAATTCTGGATGAATTTTCTGTATTCACACAAAAATGGAAGCTTTATGTGAAATGGCTATATTCTTATCTAAGGAAATATGCAGAAAGTATTTAGCTATTGTCTTTATAAGAAAGTGTTGCTGACACTTCAATGAATAAATGAGTATTTGGCTTATGGTGTAGTTTAGGGATGGATCTGGTACTGTGTAGGTGTTTACGAAAAGGCATCCTGTAGTTAATATATGCTCTGAGCACTTCTTTTAATCCTCTAAAATGGTAGAAATGGTCAGTCTTTTTGAAGATAATTTTATGATACTAAATAATAGCCAGATACTACCAAGAAAACTTGTGTCTGGACTGGAGTGAACATATATATAACAAAATGCAAGGCAAGAATGGACCCATTTTAGTCACCAATTTGTATTTTCTTTGAAAAATCAGCACAGGAAAAACAAATGTATTTTTCATGTCTTATATGTTTCATTGTTTATAAACTTGCAGGCTATAAAAAGTGGCGTAAGGAAACTATAGCTTATTACCTTTGATAAGAAAGCTTCACATTTTTAGTAACTTATATTTGATTAAATGTAAAAAATAAAAAGGTTTACATAGGCTAAATGAAGGATATACAACCTGATTGCATAGTGATAAAGTAGACATCATTTATTGTGTCTTTATTCTGCATTAGAAACCTGATAGATTTATATACAATTTTAAAAATCTTTATAATAAAATTGCATGAATGGCAGATTGTTTTTTTCATTTTACTTATGTGGAAACTGAGGCTCAGAGAGATTAAATGATCTGTCTGGGGTCACACCACTAACACCTTGCCCTGCTGGGAAACATAGTAACCACCACCTTATCATATGTCTTAGTCAAGCTTCTTTTACTTATAAAAAGTAGAAAATGAACTCAAAGTGTTTAAGAAAAAAAAATGGGAGGATGTTATTATAAATCTCTGTAAGATCTCCATAAGAATCCAGAACAGGCTGAATTTGAAGACCTTTGGAAGAGCAACTGAGAATGCTCCCTCTTCCATCTCTATCTCTCCTTTTTATGAATTCTGTGCTTCCTACAATGTACTTCTTTTTGCTTTCTTCTCCATCAGTTCCCAGTCAGCTTCCTTCAAGTCTTCTTGGTGTGCAGGACTCTGGCCAGGAGCTCATCACTGCCTGTTAGAAAGTGTTTGCAAGACTGCAGTTGTTCCAGCTCATATTTTGAAGCCAGGACACCCAAGAATAAGATCACAGGGCTAGGCTTTCAATCAACAATCTTATTCATGGTCTAATCAGGAATAATGGTAGGAAGAATCCCACACTCTCTTTGCTCACTCAGAGGGGCACAGGTGCACATTCAGATGTAACTGGTATAGGCTGGAACTATTTTTTCTGGAGTTTAGAAATTTTATTTGCACTTTGTAATTCTATAATCATAAGGAACATGAAGAATTTGTTAAATATAAAAATTTCACAAAAGACACTGCCGAGCTTATGACTCAGAAGATATTTTCCAGTTAGTAGTTGGTAAATATGTCTTTTGAGTTTTTGAATTCTAAGCTAATAGTTTTAGAGAATTAAAAAATATTTTATGGGACTTTTCTCCTTGGGGAAGAAAATGAGGGTTATATTCTCCACTGCTGGTCACTGGAATCCTCTAAAAATAATGTTCTAGGGGGAAAAATGAGAGGATATTAGGACCATTTTCTCTTACCTGGAAAATGGTAAAGATATCCGTGTAAATGAAAACCATAGATTATTTTGTTTTTTATTAACTTTAAGCATTAGTAATTGTTTTATTTTTCAGTTGAGTGGGTTAAAAAAAGAATTCATGATACAAGATAAATTTAATTGATGAAGCATAAGGGGTGATCTTGCATAATAAAGAAACAATTCAAAACACTGCTATACTCTTAGATATACGTCTAAATGAAATGTAAACATTACAAAGCTTGCTAACCTTTTTTTGCCATATTGCAGCAAGATACACATTTGTTTCCAAGGTTTATGTTGAGGGACCTCAATTCTAAAGGACAGCAAAGCATCAATGTTACAAACTGGTTCCACAAGAAACATAGGTTTCTGTCATGAATAGTGTACATTTTGACCCAGTGTCTTTTCTAGTACAAAATATTTCCCCAGAAAAAGTTATCTGCAATTGGAAGATGTGCTTTAATCTGTGATGCCTTTGTGTCATTCATCAATCTTATTGAATATTTTGAATTAACATTACATTTTTAATAGCTGTAGCTGTTACTTCATTAGGTTGCTACTACAACAAATGAATTTGTGTAGAGACTGGATTACAAAACAACCCAGCATCATTTTATTTTTCTATTTCATCACTTTCAATAATGTATTACTTACAAAATAAAGACATATGTCATACCTAGAATTTGAGACTATATATGAAGACGTTTTATTCTGTCTTTGGCATTGGAACGTTTCCAGACATTAAAGAAATATCTACCTTCAAACTATGTCATCATATATCAAGGAAATTATCAGACCATCCTATATTTTATGGTGGATAACTTTATAATTTAAATAGATTTCTTGTCATTCATCAGTTTCTTATTCAAATGTCAATAAGTCACTCCATGGTGGACTGAATTCCAGTATTCTATCAAACATGAATTTTTATGTATTAGTAGTATGAATTAAAATTTGTATGGATTCTTTGAAAAAGAAGACTCTGGAACCTTAAAAAGGGTAAAAGTTGATGAAAATGTTGTGAGTGGTCGTATCCTCAGCCTCAGTGAGAGGTCGTTGCCTCTTTAGAAATGTAAGGTATTTATTATGGGAAAAAAAGAAAGAAAAATATTTTATATAATTATGAGAGAAACCGCCAAATTATTAACAGTTCATGTGTGGATATTGCTATATAGGCCTAAAGCCAGATTAGCTTCAGATCTTAGTCCAGGTGGAATACCAGACAAATTATATATTGGGCCTCCAAAACACAGTGGAACTGTGTGTGGTTCATTGGCTACAATAGCTCTTTATGTGTATCATGTACCATGGGGAAAAAGAACTGGACATGACACATGATACAGCTGAATGAACATAAGGCAAAGCATCAACAATGGGATCTGAACACAGCTTGTTGCTAACCTTTCTGATCTTCAGTTTGCACGTTTGTAAAATGGTGATAATGTCCTGGCCTACTTCACTAGGTTTATACAAAAAGTAAAGTGAGATGGTATATGTGAAAATGCTTTGTTACTTAATCCACTCTCTGCACTACGGAGATACTTTTTGTGGGTGGGGTAGATGAGATATTGAGTTATACTTACTAGTGAATGTAGGACAAAACAATAGTTTGTTGGAGTTATATGAAAGGTAATAGGGTTAGGATCATCGAGGATGGTTTGGAAAGTTAGCATGATGTGTTTCATCTGGAAAGTAAACCCCGCAATCCATACATATTTTCCAAAGTGTGAGTTCTTTATATTATTTAATTTATATCATTTTCCAAGTGATACAAGTAAGTTGGAAAAGTCAAATAATTCAACAAGTTTTATTTTTAAAAGAAGAGCTATCTTCTATCTACTATTCCCCCAAATATATAAAACACATACCTACTTCTCAAAGTGAATTATTTTCAACTTTTAGCTATTTAGTTGATTACATATTTAGTATTTAACTTTATTTATAAAAACATTTAAGTGTTTCTTGATTTTTCATCTTAAATTTCCACAGCAAAAGATGTGACTTTGGCTTCCTTTCACACCATCCAACCTCCTGGTCAGACAGACACAAAACTGCACACTCACATGCATATTGACTCACATACTCGCATACACACACATATGTGCACACACACTCACACAAACACAGTCTCTTTTCCTCCAATCAACCTAATAGAGTTATAACATAAATTTTGATAGGATAAATCATTTTTACGTTATTATGAATATGCTAAACTATTAACTACTGCTGCTTTCAATTCTGATTTTGAGCAAAGTTTTTACTTTCCCTATATTAATTGTGTTATATGTTCATTGGCTTCATTTCCTAGGTGCTCATCACTAATTCGTCCTGAGACTTTCTGCCATTCATGTAATCTTTCTCTCAATAATTTCAAACACATCAGGTATCTTGCTTAATTCGGCTTCCTGGTCTCTCCCCTTGAGCCCTCCATCTTCCTTCTCAGATTCTCCACTGGTGATTCTTTGATCTCCCTTTATTTCCCCCGAAATATTATTCTCTGTCCTTTTTACTATAGTGGCTTTCTTGTTTCCAGGATTTCATATTTTCTTCTCCTTTGATTTACTATCGTTTTAGTGGTGCACACCTCCAGAAATGTCCTAAGAAATGGATGTCCCAACAAATGGATTTGGCTTGGCACGGTGACTCATGCCTGTAATCTCAGCACTTTGGGAGGCTGAGGTGGGCAGATTGCCCGAGGTCAGGAGTTCGGGACCAGCCTGGCTAATATGGCGAAACCCTGCCTCTACTAAAAATACAAAAAATTAGCTGGAAGTGGTGGCACACGCCTATAATCCCAGCTACTTGGGAGGCTGAGGCAGGGAGAATCATGTGAACCTAGGAGGCGGAGATTGCAGTGAGCTGAGATCATGCCACTGCACTCCAGCCTGGACAACAGAGCAAGACTCTGTTTCAAAAAAAAAAAAAGAAGAAAGAAAGAAGGAAGGAAGGAAGGAAAGAAAGAAGAAAGAAAGAAAGAAAGAAAGAGAAGGAAGGAAAGAAAGAAAAGAAAGAAAGAAAGAAAGAAAGAAAAGAAAGAAAGAAAAGAAAGAAAGAAAAAAGCAAGCAAGCAAAAGAAAAGAAAGAAAAGAGAAGAGAAGAAAAAAGAAGGAAGGAATTTAGTGGTCTCTTTTTTTGAGAACTTGCATGTGGTATAAGTACTTCTCCTTTCACATTAGATTGATGGTTTCACTGAACATAGAATCATAGGATGAAACTTATTTTCTTTCAGAATTTTCTTTATTGCTTTCGAGTTTCTATAGTATTACTGCTGTTGAGACATCTGATTTCTAATCACTTGTCTGTGACTTGATTTTTTTTTCTTCTTCTGAAGCTTTTAGGATGCACTTCATATTTTCAGTATTCTAACATTTCACAGTGATAGGCTTTGATGTAATGTATTTTTACCTCTGCTTTATTGAGTCTTTGGTAAGCTTTTTAAAACTAGAAGTATATATGTTTTTCATTTTGTTAATCTTTTTTCTAATAATTTTCTCTCCAATATTTTTTCCCTTATCTCTTTCAAGAATTCTATTACTCATGTATTAACACTAAAATGGTTTATCCAAATTTTTTAGCCTCTATGTCTCCCAGGGAGAGCCCTGATTTTCTTAAATATTTCTTCTAAATCTTTTATGCTTTTTCTGCTATTACTTTTGTAATACTCAAGGGCCACTATTTGTTAATGAATACTTATTTTAATAAGATACAAGTTTTTTGTTTCTCACACAGTTATAGTCAGTAATTCAAACAATATTTTTTTAGCATCTACTATGTGTTAAGCACTGTTTTTGGGACTGGGAAAATAGCAGAGAACAACACACAAACAAACATCTCTGTGTCTTTGGAACTTACAATCCAGAAGAGGTGACAGACAATAAATGAGGTAAA
This sequence comes from Homo sapiens, assembly GCF_000001405.40. Taxonomy (NCBI): domain Eukaryota; kingdom Metazoa; phylum Chordata; class Mammalia; order Primates; family Hominidae; genus Homo; species Homo sapiens. The sequence goes on from NC_000004.12 coordinate 120,327,281, forward strand.
CTACTGAAACTTATGGTAAATTAGATAACAATAAGTCCTTACAAGAAAAACAACTAGGAATGGAAATAGGAACTTGTGTGGTCATTGGAGATAGTGTGGCAAGGGATGGTAATGTAGAGAAGGTGACTCTGAGTCAAGAGCTGGAAGAAGTAGGGTAGCAAGTCATTTAACAGCTGGAGAGGAAGTCTCTAATCCCAAAGGGAATGAATGCTTGGAATGTTCAAGCAGAAGCAAGGAGATTGGGTACAGAGAGAGAGTAAGGGGGAAGGTTGGAGGAGGTGAAATGTGAGAGAGACAGGCAGACAGACAACTCATACAGGCCTGGAGGAATTCTGAATTTTATTCTATATATAAGGGGACATTATTTGAGTATTTTGAACAGATAATTGGCATAATTTGATTTTTAAGGAGTAATTCTTATAGCTATGTAGAGAATAGACTAATAATAAAAATGATAAGAATAATAGTTAAGTCAGCGGGGTGCGGTGGCTCACATCTGTAATCCCAGCACTTTGGGAGGCCGAGGCGGGTGGATCACAAGGTCAGGAGTTCGAGACAAGCCTGGCCATCATGGTGTCATGGTGAAACCCCGTTTCTACTAAAAATACAAAAATTAGCCGGGCGTGGTGGCGAGCACCTGTAATCCCAGCTTCTTGGGAGGCTGAGGCAGGAGAATTGCTTGAACCCAGGAGGCAGAGGTTGTAGTGAGCCGAGACCATGCCATTGCACTCCAGCCTGGGCGACAAAGCGACACTCCGTCTCAAAAAAAAAAAAAAAAAAAAAAAAAAGAAGAATTAAGTCAAGAGCTAGAAGAAGGGTAGCAAGTCATTCTAATATTCTAATAGCTAGAGAGGAAGTTTCTAATCCCAAAGGGAATGAATTATTGGGATGTTCAAGCAAAAGCAAGGAGATTGGGTGCAGGGATAAAGTGAGGGGGAAGGTTGGAGGGGGTGAAATGTGAGAGAGACAGGCAGACAGACAACACAGGCCTGGAGGAATTCTACATTTTATTCTACATATAAGGGGACATTATTTGAGTATTACAAAGAGATTGGCATAATTTGATTTTTAAGGAATAATTCTTTAGCTATATAGAGAGTAGATTAATAATAAAAATGATAAGAATAATGGCTGACATTTATGTATTGCTTACTATTTGCCACACTGAATTCAAAATGCCTTACTTACATTGTGTAATGAAGTTCTCACAACAGCTCTATGAGTTAGATACACTATCTTCATCATTTTACAGGTGAGGAAACTGAGCACTAAGACACTAAATAACTTGCCCAGGGTCATACGACAGGTAAGTGGCTGATTTAGGATGTAAATCCTTGCAATGCACTTTCAAAATCTGTGCTTTTATTCCCAAGCTCTATTGTAGGGGTGACAGAGTGTGTGCAGGGATGTCAGTTTGCAATAGTTTGGGTGAGTGAAGTTGGCAGTTTGGACAAGGGTGGTAGTGGTAGAGTTGTTAAGAAGTTGCTGAATGTGAGAAAGGTTCTGAAGGCCAAGCTGTCAGGATTTGCTGATAGATCTGTGGAAAAGAAAGAACGGGTGTCAAGGGAGACTCCGGGTGTTTTGACTATAACAAATAAGTAAATGAGATTCCATTAATGAGGATAGCAAGCACTGTGGTGTCACGTTTAGAGGGAGCAAATCAATATTTCAGTTTTGAACATGTCGCATTTGGGATGTCTATTAAGAGGTCAGTGAAAATACCACATGGAAATGGGATATCACTGGATGCTGGAATTTAAGATAGGTCAAGAACAGGATACAAGTTTTGGAGCCATCCACATAGACTCAGTATTTAAAACCAGTGGAATGAAGGAATTCAGCTAAGGGGAATATAGACAGAAAAGAGCATTGAGGACTGAACTTTGTGTCTTTACAACATGTAAAAATCAGAATATTCTCAAAGAAGACTAATAAAAGAGTCACCAGAGAAATAGAAGGAAAACCATTAGAACATGAAGATTCAGAGGCCAATTCAAATACACTCCATGAAGGAAGGATTGATCAACAGACACAAATGCTTTTGAAGGACTCAAAGAGAAAAAGACTGAGCACTGATTATAGAATTTGAAAATATAATGGTCGTGGGTGACTGAGAAAAGAGCATTTTTTTGTAAAGCGATAGAATAGATTCAAAGGAACTAGGTGGAGAATAGTGGATGAAGCAGAGTACAAAACTTTTTGATGAATTTTGCTGTAAAGAACAGAAAAATACTAGAAGGGGATGCTGGGACAAGGGAAGTTGTTAAAGGGAATTGTCTAAGAAGTGGATGAAATTGATGATGCAATAGAGTGAACAGATGATTGTAAAAGCAAAGGCCATGAATAGAAAAGATCATATGGGGTACAATGCACAAATGGAAGGACTGACCTTAAGAGGAGGGGTGATTTGGTGGTGGATATGGATGCTCTCTTTTCTTTGCACCTATTTATGCAATAAAATAAAAATGCAAGCTAATCAGCTGAGATTGGTGGGCAGGGAGGGTGTTTTGCCTGTTGGAGGAGAAAAGGGAACGGGTAAACTAATCCTTTGAGAGAATGGGAGAGACAATGGGACAATGAAAAATGGAAGGACTGCTGGGTAGCTGTGATGGTTGTTGTCATGAAGTTCAAGGGAGATGTTAGCAAAGAAATGCATTTTTCTGCAGTCATATCCACCTGCTATAGTGCAGATGGAGAAAAGTCTGAAAGTTGGATTCAACCAGGAGAGTTTGAGAGACGATGAAGATTGGGGCAAGAACATTGAGGGTGGGAAGTGACTATAAGGAGGGACTAAAGAATTAAGGTAAAGTAACAAGGAAGCTGAGGACAGTGAAAAGGTAATAATTCAATAGACTGGAGGCTCCATAGGGGTTCAAAAATTGGTGTAAACAGGTTATAAGAGTATGAGCTAGAAAAGGGACAGTGGACTTGCATTAGCCACATATTGCTCAATGCATAGTGTTGAGTGACCACATCTGAGTGAACATTAAGTTAAACATACCTACATTCCCACAGCTTTTGTACTGTGCAGAAAATATTTGCTCAGTTGAGTGAGCAACAGGCAAACAGTAATATGCTTTTTAGAGAATTGTAGGTATTACAGAGGTGAACAGAAAAATAACTCATGGAAGAAGTGAATATTTCTTGTGATTCAAAACTGATCATTAGAAACTTTCAGTTGAATTTTCAAAATACATCTTCTCTATTGTTTTTTCTGCACAATTCTATTTACCCTGGAAAAAGTGTCTTAATATTGTCACTAATATGTAGAAAATAAATTTGAAATGAAGTGGAGGATTGTATGGTATTGATATTATACTGCAATAAAGTTGTATAAAAATTAAGTGGACTACCTTCCCATATAAATTAGAATTAACCAATTTTTGAATATTTATTTGGTAGGCTCTATCAAGTGTCTCTTTTTATTCTAGTATAGATGAGGAAAAGGAATGTTTGGAGTCAGGAAAGAATATGATGTAGTTAAGAAGCATTTTATCAAAAAATGGATGACAACATACTAGTGTATATTTACAGTAATGGATAGTGCCAGCCACAATAGAGCTTTTGTAAAATAAATTTGAATTAATCATGAAATACAACTTAGATAAAATTTCAAATTCCAGTTTTATCTCGCGAAAATCTGGTTAATTTGAAACAATTGCATAGTCATACCCATATTGACCAAGCTACCTTTCAACCGCTTATGTGTACTTGATCCATCATTATTAGTTAAGTTAAAGGATCTTCCAGTAGCCAACATGCTCAGTATCCACATTTCCAGGGATTCTCATGGCAAGTGAAATGAAATATATTGGCTTAGTTAGTAAAGTTTATTTTACTCAATCAAATAAATATTTAAAGACATAAATCTAAGCATGTTACCTGTCCAGATTAAAGCCTTCTATGGCCTTCTATTACACTTGGAATAAAGTCCGCTCTCTTTTCCATGATTTATTCATACCCACATAATCGAGGTCTAACCTCTCAGACCTATCTCCCTGATATCTGCCTTCCTTTCCACAGGATCCAGTGACACTTGCTTTAATGTTCCCGGAAGACTTACTTCTGCCACCTGAACCAAGCTCTTCCTCCTCGAATGACCTTTTGTGGTCATCAGCCTTTAGTAGGGCTTCGCATGGTCCTCATTTCTGGTGTCCTCGTCTATGTGTAACTCCTCCTCTTGTGCATGAGCTACACCTATTAACTCAACTTCTAGTGAATAGAATGTGGCAAAATTGGTGAGAAGTCCCTTTTGAGAGTAGGTGACTTCTGTTTGGGGTTCTATCTACTTTTCACTCCCACACCTTCCAGTCCTTAAGTCTGAGGGAAGCCCGCTGCTCTGTTGTGAGTAGCCCAGGTGGCAAGGAAATGACGTCTCTAGCTGATAGGCAGGGAGGCCCTGACACCTGTCAACAGCCTGTGAGGGAGTCTGAACACATTCCCTTTTCTCACTGAGCCTGGAGAGGATGGCAGCCTGACTGGCTGATATGTTGCTTGCCTTCTTGTGGGAGACCTCAAGCCAGTGGACCTGGCTAAGCCACACCTGGGTCCTGACCCATAGAAACAATAAAATACAAATGTTCTGTTGTTTCACGCCACTAAGTCTTGAGGTAATCTCTCATGCAGTCATAGATGACTAATACACTTGTTCTTTTCACTTGGGCTTCAGATGTAACATCCATTTCTCTCCTTTCAAATGTAGTCAGCAAGCTTTTTTGATAAAGGCCATATAGTAAAAATGTTAGGCTTTGTGAGTCATATAGCTTCCACCACAACTACCCAATCTGCCATTACAGCATGAACTCATCAGGAGACAATAAGTAAATAAATGAGTGTGGCTGGGTTTCAAGTGAATTCTATTCACAAAAACAGGTGGCAGGCCAGCGTTTGCCAACTCCTACTCTAAGAGACATTCCAGGCTCCTTGATCTAATGTCATTTCTCCCACACTGAAGTCACTCTCATTTTAGCTTCTTTAATTTATTCTTTTATTGCCCTTCTCACTGGAATGGAAAGTGCCTGAGAACATATTGCTCCCTGGGGCCCAGAACAATGACCAGCATGTTAGACAGTTAATACTGAATGGATATTTACATACATTGATTTGGGTGAAGCTGGAGGAGGACTTCCCAGATGAGGAAGTGCCCAGGAACCATGCCATCAGATAAAGACACAAAAAAAGACAAAAACACAGTGCTGCATGTTCATATATGCCATGTCTGTCCTGTCAAAAAAAAGGCATTGATTGATCTGTGCTCTTTCAAAGGTCAGAATAGTGAAAAATCACAGTCTGGTAGCAACCTCTGTATCAAACTTTCCCTGACCCCCAGATATTGTTAATTCCTACCTTCTTTTTTCTATTTAATAGCCACACACATTTTTAAATGTATAATTATTGAAATATTTTTTTCCAATACTAGCTTCCCAACTAGAAAGTGAATTACTTGAAGGCAAGGGCAATGCTCTTTTAATCTTTGTATGTGGAACCTGTTTGCCATTGTGAGTGCTCAGTAAGTGTTTGTCTGTCATAGTATGTGCTCAGTAAATCAATGCTGAAGAGAGGAATGGAAATAGGGAGGGAGCGAGGAAAGAAGGAATTAATTCCATGTAAAGCACAAATCTAAACCTGAGAAATGTTCAACAGTTAGCCGGTCTGCCTCTGCTCTCAGGGAATACAACTTCTTTCATATGATTTGTCAAGATAATTTCCTTTATTTTCCTGATAGAAGGAACCATTAGAAAATATTATTGAATTTTTGCTCTCCCTACAGGTGCCAACCCACTCTTCTTTTTTCATTTACCACATAATCACTGTATTTTACGGTGGCACAGGGCACATAAATTTCCATCTTTCTTATGAAACACTGCTGTTGTTATTCTCTGTAACATTTCAAAATATTAGAATATATAACAGAACAGCTGCACTTGGATAGAACTCTGTATGTTGCAAATGAGTAATAAAAGCATCATATATTCTTTCCAAGGTTATAGTTACACAAAATTCTTAATGAAATTTACTCATAAACAGGAGTCAGAGAGATAAGAATGAGTTGAATTTGGCTTTTCAGCTATGTAGCAATGTATTGGATTATACCTTACAGGGTTGGTGCACATACTTTTATCCAGATAATCATATGTCTGGCTCTACAAATAATATATGTTTGTTCTTTCAGCTTAGCAAATTATAACATGGTGTTTGGGGGCAGGGTATGGTTTGGATACCATTGTAACTAGCAGTTGATCTTAATCTTTACTGTTTTTGATTACATATAATTTATTTTAATTGCAGAGCAGCGCAGTTTTCAAATTTAACTTTGCTATGGCTTTCCTCACAACATAATACAGATAAATCACACTACAATTGGTCTTTATTGCCATTTTGGTCTAATACAGGCCATTTGATTATTAGCATTCTGTGTTATAAATAACACAGAATTTATAAATAAATAAAAAAAGAATGAAAAATTGTGATGACCTCTGTTGGACTTTAAATTTTATATTTCTGCAGGGATACACATTCATTGTAGAACTTATTTTTGAAAAACAGGAAAGACATGTCAACTATGAAATCATTTATAATTATAATGTTCAGAGATAACCACACTTTATATTTTGATGTTTAAGCTTCTGATCTTTTATATATTTCTATAGTAAAGAATTAATTATGAAAATCAAGATCAAACTGACCATAATATTTTAGATATTTAGACATATTATTCTTTGAGAGGTTAAATGAATATGAAAATAAATAGAAAGATACATTTACCTTTTTTATTTGTGTTTCTGCATTTCCTCACTAGAACATAAGCTCCCTGAGGACAGATTTTTTTTTTTAACTCTTCTATCTCCATTATGTAAAACAGGGCTTGGCACATATCTGTTCAATGAGTGAATTCATAACTAACATTTTTGCATTACAATATGTTATCAAGAAATTTCAAGAATATCAAGAAGAGTTTTAGTATTCAAAAAATTTATTTTTAATGGCTGTGAGATTGTGCTGTAATTCACCAAACTGATCTTTATTTGATGGACACTTAAGTTCTTTCCAACTTTTACCTACATAAAAATAAAATATTTGTTTATATATTCTAATAGCATTATTCTTTTGTTCTAATTAAATAAAATTAAAATTGCTCTTCTAATTTTGTTTAATAGATCAGAATGATATTGAATTGCGATAATTGCCTTAGGAATTCTTGAACCCTGAATTAAATAGACTCTGTTTGAAGTTTATAATTAAATTTACTGTTGGCTTTGGTTTCATATATATATATTCTTATCATTTTGAAGAAATACATACCTATTTTTATGCTACTAAAAGATTTTTTTAAAGGTGTGGTATGAAATTTTATCAAAACTCTTTGGCATTTGTTCTATTAATATGATGATATAGATTATCAAATTTTCCTAGTAGTAATTTTTTAACATGTGGATTTACTGATGGTATAATCTATTTTATACACTGTTGGATTAAGTTAGCTGGTATTTGATTTAAATTTTTATCTGTTTATTTATAAGCAAGATTTGCCTATAGTTTTCTTTTATAGAACAGTCTTTGTCAGTTTTTGATTAAAAAGCTTGGCTAAGTTCGCTGAGACGGTTCATTTAAATTCTTCCTATGCTCTGGAATGGTTTATTTATATGAATATTATGTTACTTGGAAGTTTGAAGGAAATTGCCCATAAGACTCTTGAGAACCATGTCTTTTTAAATAGCTGAGTATTTGAAAATATATTTCCATTATTCTATGACAATCATTTTGTAATGATGTTCCTCTTATAAAGTACAGCATAACTGAAAGTTCCTGGAAATAAAGTTTTGCAAAATTGCATAACTTTCTTTATTTTATGACACTGAACCTTTAATCTGCTACTCAACAATATCAGTCTCTAAAAGGCGAATAGAATATACGATGTTCCCCAAACTCATTTACTATAGAATCCCATCTCCATTTTTATATCACACTTTTAACATCTCACAAAATAAAGAAAAACTGTCAAAGCTGCTTAGAATATAACTCTATGGCCATCCAAGCCAACATTGATTCCAGGCTCTGGTGTTCATTTGTTGTGTGACCCTAGACAAGTTACTCAAAATAAGAATATCTAACTGAAAGGATTATGAAAAGAATTAAATTTTCATAGTAGCATGAAATATATCACATTTTTTATTCTTCTTATAGATTATTTTATCTCTTTTCTCATTTCAAGTTTTTTTGTGTCTCTTTTAATGATTAAACAGACATACTTTATTCTTTCAAAGTCCACTGTTGTATTTACCTGTTCTATTGTTTTACATTTCCTACATTTTTCATTTCTGATCTTACATTTTTATTTTCTTCTTCTATATTCTCAGACATGAGAGGTTTATATCAGGCAGTCTCCACCCCTGTTCCGAAGTCAAGAGGCTGACTCGGGTTGCTACTTCTTGACAGACCGGACCCCAGATCGTGAGTTCAATCACTGGCAGGGCAAATTGTTATATTTTCTTCCCCCCTCCTTTTAAAAGCAATATAGTATAAGTTATACCTTTATTTTCCAAGTGCAGTGCTTACCTCAGTATGTTTTAATATCATATATCAACTTAAATTCTCAAAATATTAGTATCATCAATTAATGAAAGTCTCTCAATTTCCCTAAGTTAGATGAGAAAATGAGAACATTTTACTCCTCTTTTGTGCTTTCAACACCAATTCTTATTAAAATTTCCCTTTTACAATTGTGCTGAGATTTGTATTCAGTCTTATACCCGTATCCATAAAAATCATTTTTATTTCTGTATGAAATTGTGCTTCCATCAGCTGTTTCATATCATGCCTCACTCATTTTTGAATACAATTACATTGAAAAGATTCCTAGGTAATTTCAATGAATCTGCATTTATTATTTTAGGGAGGAAAACACATTATTCTTTTCTGCAGAACTGAATTTTGTTGGTTAATATTTTATGTAGAATTTTTTGCGTATGTAATCGCAAGAAAGATTGATATTTAGCTTATTTGAGAACTGAATTACTTATTTTGTAACATCTCTATTGATATTTAACAAAATTTATTTTTGCTTGGCTAAATAAATTAGGGATAATTTTTCTAGGGCTGTACTAATCTAAACGTTATCAATATCATTCCCTTAAAGTCAGACTCAATTAATCTTGGATTTTTTTTTTGTCAATGTTAGATCTTCTATGATTTTTCCAAATTTTTGTCTCTTTTACTCTCTACAACAATGCTTGTAATAGCATAGGTGCTGAATAAACATGTGTTAAATGAGCAAACCAAAGAATCTTTTCTCTTTAACTAGTCTATTAAGTTTTGTATTTTGCCTTGAGTTATTATGCTAGAAAATAATCATTCCTAGACAATGATCTGTTTCTATCTTTCTCTTTTTGTTAGTTGTTGAAGTAGCACTCTTTTTAAAAATTATTTTTATAGTATTAAAATAGCATTCCAAAATTATATATATATTTAAGGTGAACAACATGTTTTGATATACACATTACATAGTGAAATGATTACTACAGTCAAACAATATATTTATCAATTCACATAGTTATTTTTTTTTTGTGGTAAAAGTACTTACAAATCTACTCTTAGCAAATTTCCAGTATATCATGCAATATTGTTAGCTACAGTCCTCATGCTGCACATTAGCTCTCTGGACTTACTCATCCTACATAACTGCAAGTTTATGCCCTTTTACCTACATTTCCCCATTCTCCACCCTTATGCCCCTGTTGCTGGTAACCACCTTTCTACTGTCTATTTCTATGTATTAGAGTTTGTTTATTAGTTTGTTTTAAATTCCACATGTAAGTGAAATCGCGCAGTGTTTTTCCTTTCTGTGTCTGGCTTATTTCACTTAGCATAATGTCCTCCAGGTTCATCCATGTTGTCAAAAATGGCACAATCTCTGTTTTAAAAGGGTGAATAATGTCTATATAAATATACACACACACACTCATACACATACATGCTCACACACACATATATAGTGGATGTATATCACATTTTCTATATCCATTCACCTGTCAACAATCACTTACGTTGTTTCCATATCTGTATCTTGGCTATTGAGAATAATGCTTCAATGGGTGTGAGGGCATAAACATCTTTATCAGGTGGTGATTTCATTTCCTTTGGGTATATACCCAGAAGAGGGATTGCTTGAAACCTCTTCCAAGTATGTGACACATCTCCTTTATCATTTCAAATCATGTATATTTATATTGTCTTTAACAAAGATCTCAAACATTTGATCTGTTTTGTCTTTCCATCAAACCAGCTTTTGTCTTCTATTTAATTTCATCCTTTATCTTCATTAATTACTGCCTTCCTCATTTCTTTGGTTTATATTGTACTTTTCTACGTAAGTTATTTAGGTACTATGTACTTAATTTCTTAATTTATGTCTTTTTTCCATCTAATAATGAAGTAATTTAATTTCTATCGCATTTCAATAGATTGTAATTTTCCTTTTGATATGAGTGTTAGGAGAATGTTCCTCAATTTCCTGGTGATTGGAATATTATCTATGAAACTTTTTCTTTCCCCAGGGTAAAAATCACATAAGATAATCATTTTAAGGTGGAAATTCAGTGGCATTTAGTACATTCACAATGATGTGTAATCACCACTTCTATCCAGTTCTGAAACATTTTCGTCATCCCAAAAAGAATCCTTGTACCCATTAAGCAATCAACCCTCATTCCTATCTCTACCCTCTTCCCCCACTCAGGTTCTGGGAAATACTAATTTGCATTCTTTATCTGTGGATTTACCTGCTGTGGATATTTCATATAAATTAAATCATATAATTGTGTCTTTTTGTGCCCGACTTCTTTCAATTACCATGACATGCTATCTGCAACAACCAGTTCAGGAAACCAAACCATAGCCCCTCTAGCAGTTGGCCCAAAATGGCCAGGACTTCGTGAACAGCTGAAAGCTTTTCTAATTCCTCTCTGTCCCACTGTCAACTTAAGGTCAACCAAGGAAATACAAATATGCTTCCCTAACCAATTATATAGGATGCAGCACTTCTAATTAGCCTGCCTACAGCTTCCCATTCCAACAGCCTCCAATCAGGGCATACCTGAACCTTTCCCTTTTTCTTTTCTCCACCATAAAGTTCTCCCACTCCTCTGCCTGCTTTTGAGCTTCTGTCAAACACAAGTGATGGTAGTTGACCCCCTTGCTGTAGGACGTGCTGAATAAATAGTCTTCACTTGTGCTGACTCTGGTGGTCTTTATTTCCACACTCAAATGTGCTGTATGGATTAGCAGAAACCCAGTTTCAATCTCACTGTATCCTTTCCCTTTTCTCAATCTTGAGGATTCTGCTCAGTTTCATTTATTGTTTAATTAATTCTTTCTCCAGTGTTGCACTCAGTTGAGATACATTGCCAACATCTTTTTAAAATACTTGCCATCATTGATGTCGTCCTGTTCCTTGTAATGTGCATGATGTTTTAATTAAAGACAGGATTCCTTAGGTACAGTCTTCCCTCTTGGTTATTAGTAGTCTTCATCTACTGTCTTAAAGTTTCTAGTTATGTGGATGAGAAATGTAATTCTTCTTCTTTTGGGGGAAAATATTTTTTAACACTTGTCTTAGTTGATTTTGTGTTGCTATAACAGAATACCTGACACTGGGTCATTTATAAATATAATAATTTATTGTTATTTATAAAGATAATAATTTATTTGGCTCACAATTCTGGCTCAAATTTGGCTCACAATTCTGGAGGCTGTGAAGTCCAAGATTGAGCAGCCCATCTGGTGAGTGTCTTATGCTGCTTTAACTCATGGTAGAAAGTGCAAGGGGAAGTGGGCACATGCAAAAAGGCACACAGGAGAGTCTAACCAATTCCCACAAGAGAACTCACTTACTCACTGGAGAGGGCATTCATGAAGGCAGTGCCCCCATCATCCAAACATCTCCCATTAGGCCACACCTCCTAATGCTACCAAAGTGAGAATCAGATTTCAACGTGAGTTTTGGCAGGGGGTGGGGGTAATCACATCCAAACCTTAGCAACATTTAAGTTTTCTCATAAACCCAGGAGCTCAGGCATTGTACCGGGATACACTGGGTATGCATGTCTTCTTATCAGTCTTGAACTCTAACACACTTTCCACCTGTAGGCTCAGGTCTTTCATAAGCCTAGGTAAGCTTTTTTGTTGTTGCTATTTTCTTTCCCTAATCTGTTCCCTTTTTACCTGGTAGCACTTCTATCATTTCTTAAATCTTCTATGCTTTCCTTCATGATTTGTGTCTAAAATTATATTCATTTTAAAATACATTTGCACTTGATCTCCAAGCCTACTAATTTAGTTCCCTATACAGATCACTCTTCCTCACTTTACTACTGAATTATTTATTTAGGAAATTATTATTTTTACCCCAGGATGTCTCTTTAGAGCTTCACTAAAACCTTCATAAGTGTTCTATTTTTTATTATTTTTATAATCAAAATGTCATCTGTCTCCTTCAGCAATCGTTTTAGTAGTTGTGCATTTTTATTCATTGCCTTATTCTTCATATTTTTTACTGGGCTCCCCTGGGCTTCTTTAAGTGGCTTCTTGAGATTTTATAGATCTCCAAGGCACAAATCCTTTGGCCTCTTGTGGGGCAGATTGAAGAGGTACACTCATGCAGAACCAAAAACTACCTACTTAAGGTGTCCAGAAATCTCCTTTCAGAATCCACCACTCTCTGGCCTTTGGCCTGGGGTTATTGATGCTAACCTTAGGTTTTTCCACCCCAATAGAGCCAAAATAAAATCCATGATTTTCACCTACATCTGGAGCCCCACACAGTTTAGCATCACAGTTGTCTAGCACTGCTTAGAAGCGCCAAAATTGTTGACTCAGGATTAATTGGTTTGAAAGCAGACGAGGGTGATTTTCTAGGAACCATATTGCTGGAATCCTTTTGTCTATAAGCAGAAGTAGATCAAGTGTGCATAAGTCCTATCATCACTCACTCTTTCAAGCTATATTAGGGGTACAGTATCATAATCCCTCTCTTACTCTTTCAAGCTATTTTATGTCACTATCACTTCTTTCAGCTCGAATAAACACAAAACCCAGAGAGCACTTAGAGGGAGAAGAGATTGATCAGCAGCTCAATCTCTTTTTCTTTTGCTCAGCATCCTCAGCAGGTTGCTTTCAGCTTCACAGAGTTGTTTACAAAGACAGAAAGGAGAGAGTAGTGGAGAGGTAATGCTGCCCCCATTCCCACGTAGAAAGCTTTCCCCTTGGTCAAATCAGATTCACATGATTACCTTAGCTGCAAGAGAGCCTGGGAAAGAGGGTGATTCACATTTTTAACATTTATCATGGTGAGAGAAGGAAATTGCTGTTAGGCATGCAACTGATATGGCTTGCCATATTCTCAGAGGACTATTAGGGTTTAAGTCATGGGGTGGGAAAAATATGTCTCTGGCTACCTAATAAATCTGTTTTCTTGAATTGAGTGATAGCTGCCTCCTTCTGCTTGTGGAGTGTCCATGTGTGTGGGGCAGTGTTGAAGACAGACATGTCATTTTCCCAATATCTCTTGTCCTGCTACTCTGCCTCAAGGCTTCATCTGTACTTTGTGCTTAAAAATTCCTCCTGAAATCTGGCATATCTTTGATCAACAGTCCTAGCTTCTAACATTGTTGAAAATTTACATTTGCTTTTGAGATTTCCTAAGAATTTCATGGGAAAGTTGATAAAGGGTGTGGGGTGTGGTTTCTGAATGCCCTTGGCTTTGGTGCCAGAATTGGCATCAAGGACTTGGCCCCAGTGACTCCACAGTGAAGCAGGTGCTCCTTTGCATTCACCCAACTGCATGATGTCAGTGGCTGCAGCCACGGACGACTGATGTCACCCAAGGCAAGGTGAGGGCAGATCAGTCCCTGTTAACCACAATTCTATATACAATCTTGAGAAGATATTTTTCAACGTACAGAAAGAAAGCCTAATTGACAGCCAAGAGCTTAGCGGCTTTGAAGTTGTTAATGAACAAGATAATAACAGGTTTTACTTTTTGCAATGGTATAATTTTTCCTCTAAAAATTTCTGCTAATTTTTGGGAATTGTGATAAAAGAATCACCCTTAATGTTAGGTGATTAATTTATGCTACACTAGATCATATGACATATGGTGACTGCAAATGATCTAATACTCAAAGGCAGTTTTTCAGAAGGAGCAGAAAAGGCAAGTCAGGGTTAGCAAAGTCCAGGCAGAGACCTGGACTATACTGAACTATACTGTTTAGATAAAAAAATACTGAATTATTTTAAAAAATGAATGTTTTAGCGAATGAGCACAGTTTTTTATATGATGAGAATGAAGTTAGCAGTTAGTGATTGTTTGGCTAGCCATGGAGAGCCTTCTACTCCAAATGAGGAGTTTATCTAGTTATGATGAAATATTTTGGGGAAGAGGGATAAAATAGAAAAAAAATTAGCAATAGGTTTAAAAAATCTTTCATATGACATATTTTCTTCTTGATTCTTAGAGGATGAAGCACCTATCACCGCCTGTTACATTGATTTAGATAAGCCCCAAGTGTCTAATCCCCAAACATAAAACATTCGGTTGTCTCATGGTATCTTGCCACTCAAAATGTGGTCCAGAGGCCAGCAGTATCTTATCACTTGGGAGCTAGTTAAAAATGTAGAACCCATACATCCAGCAAGTAGCTGGATTGTATGCTCTGAGTGAGGGTCCGAGCCACCTGCCATTTTGCTGGAGGAGCCCCTTGGGGTGTAATAAATATTTATAATGTCTTTCATCTTTGAGTGGATCTGCAGTGGCTTCAGCAGTGTGCCCCAATTCCTAGGACTCAACAAGAAATCTGGAAAACTTTTATTCGTAGGTTTAAACAATACAGACAAAACCATTCTTCTTCACATGATCAAAGATGACAGATTGGGCCAACATATTCCAACACTACATCTGACATCAAAAGAGCTAACAATTGTTGGAATGACTTTTACAACTTTTGACCTTGGTCAGCATGAACAAGCATGTCGAGTTTGGAAAAATTGTCTCCCAGCAATGAATGGGGTTATCTTTCTGGTGGACTGTGCAGATCATTCTTGCCTTATAGAATCCAAAGTTGAGCTTAATTCTTTAATGGCTGATGAAACAATATCCACTATGCCAATCCTTATCTTGGGTAACAAAATTGACAGAACAGATACAATCAGTGCAGAAAAACTCGGTGAGATATTTGGGCTTTATGGACAGACCACAGGAAAGGGGAATGTGACCCTGAAACAGCTGAATGTTCGCCCCGCGGAAGTGTTCACGTGCAGTGTGCTCCAGAGGCAAACCTACAGGGAGGGTTTCTGAAGTTTTGACAGTGAAAATAAGAGTTTCACTTCTCTGGACTGATCCTATTCACAGCTTCCTCATGAACTTTTCTAATAGAACAAGGAAAGCTCTGCAACTATGTCTGGCATTGTGAAGCCTAGAGTCTCTGTCAACTCTCTCACTACCCAGTAGTGATATGTGCCCTTCTCCACACCGTTGGAAGGTAATGCTACCCCACGTGCAGTATTCTGGTCAGTATCCTGGGACTTGGAAGTTGGCAGGATTTGCCGGGTAAAGCTGTGTGCCATTGTGGGGCACCTGAAAAGAAAATCATGTCTCACCACTGTAATTGATTTTAAAAAAAAGCGATTCTATTTTTTAAAGAAAGTGTTGTTAATGTAATTGGTATCCCTCCTCACTTTTTTAGTTCTCAGTTTACTTGGTCTAGAGTTTTCCATTCTTTTTTATTAACTAGTTAATGATACTTAGATACTTCATAAAATTATGCGCAGATACACATTGGAGACCAGAGCTCATTTGGGTGAACTTACTCCTGCTGAGTTAGCAGGTTGGTGAGCGAAACTCCCCTGAGCACATCTGTCTCTCTAACTGCCTTGGAGTAGGTGGCATTATCCTGTCCACACAGAACCAGAAAAGGGACAGAACTCTGGCCTTGCAGTTGTGGCAGGTTTCACTGTGGTAAACTAGGGTCATTCCTCATCAAGGAATGTGTAGCAGATTGTTGACTGTGGAGGAGTTAATTATAGAGTGGGTTATTCTTATTTACAAAGTTACAGATTTCAGCCAGTCTCTGCTTTTGTACTTTTGTGAAATTTTATTTCTCTCTATAGCATCTTTTTCATTTTTGGTTATAAAAAGTGACTTTCGCTTTTTAAAAGAGTTGAGAACATCTCTCATGTCACATACTGCAGGTGTGTCAGTTACTTTTGCATAGATTCGAGGGGGATATTTTTCTAAATAGGAAGACAGGACAAAGTTAACAGTTTAAGGGCTCTTAATTCTGTGAGTTGAGGACTTAAAAGTATTGTAGTACTTGTTTGGATCCAGAAAATTTTACTCAGTGAGCTTTAAAATTTCCATTTGTAGCATTTGGTCTCCATTGGGCTGTGCATGAACTATTTTTCTTACATCTTTTCTCCTTAGATATCTATGTTGTTGGTATTAAAGTATGAGTTAACATCTGTAGCTTTTCCAGGTTTGTTTGTTTGGTTTTTTGGTATGAAATTGCCTTTCTCCATTGCAGAAATAAGCTGGGGGAAACACTGACCCAAAAACTTTCTGTAGAGCTGTTCCTTGGGAGATAGCATCACTTATCGACAGTAAAGACTCTGTATAAAAGCACCAGCATCCCTACCAGGATGATGAGGTTTAATTTTATAGCATTCCATTTTCCTTGTACCACATGTAAAATTGAATTTTGGTGATCTTAACATATATTCTACCCTTGTAGTAAAAGATCAAACAATAGATCTCCTAGGGAAAGATAACATAGGAGATGAAAAGTTGGGAGGATATCTGTATTCTAATGTGAGGGTAGGGAAAGTGCAGATAATATATTTCCAGGGTAAGAGAGTATCCTTCTTTAGTTGCAGTTTTCATTCTCAGTCTTCAGTGCTGACTTGTTGGGAAAGCACACTTCTTCACTGCCGGGTACCTAATGCAGAGGCTCAGTGAAGTGTACGTCTGGGATGTTCATGCATTTCACTTATTAGTAAGCATAGCTGGATTAAGACAATTGTTGGTTTGGAAAGGGGTTAAAGCCTTAAGCGAAAAAATCTACCTAATAGTGAATGAACTATGTAATTAACTTGGATATTTTTAAGTTCCTATGGTTAAAGGTTCCCCATACTTCTCTATTCAGAGACATGAGAAGTATGATTGCTTCAGTGTTAGTTTTCTTACTTTTTTTTCCTATTTGTCCCTAGTCACTTTGTTGCAAGCTAGAAAACTGGGGGTTCTACATAGGGCAGCTCTTTGTGAAAGTGTTTTATCCCACTGGAGAAAGGGGATTGAAAATCAGTTAGGACCAGTGTATTTCTTGCCCCACCGAACACTATTCCTATAATAAAATAGCTGAAAGAAGCTGCTGGGTGGAGCTTCGGCACCTTGTACAGGAATTCCAATGAATTAAGACTTTTCATTCTGTTTTAGCAGTACATATATGTCCTATTTCGGGAAAAGTAAAACCGTCATTTACAAAAGAATGTCAATCTGTATCCTAAGCATTTATATAAAAAGTTAAAACAAAACGAAAGTGTAGAGTCTTAGACAGCACCTATATCTACAGAACCAGAGCCTCATTTTACCAGATCCCCTGGTACATTGGTATTGGAGAAGCACTGACATGGCATCTGAGAGTGGGGATGGTATGAAAGTGAGAAGGCAAAACTGATCATCTTATTTCAAGACACTGTGGCAATTATGTGGTTTAAATTTCTTTATTACTTTATTACTTTTAGGTTTGGCTTACTTGGCTTACTTTTCAGGCTCAGCCTTCTTCACTGAGAATTACACACACCCAAAGCTTTTCATGTACTTATTTCTACCAGAGACTTCACCCAGTGCCTGAGTTTTCAGTATTAGAAGCGTTTTTTTTGCATTAGGTGTGGGCAGAGGTTAAAATATTCATGTGTTCCCTAAAATAGGTAATGCATTATGCTGTTTTCACATGAGGCAAGATTTGTTCTAGTCGTGTGTGTGTGTGTGTGTGTGTGTGTGTGTGTGTGTGTGTGTGTGTGTGTGTGTGTTGAAATAATCATGAAGCAGGGACTAAAGAAGTTGGAATTAAAAGTTTGCATCTAGAAGAGGGACAAATCTGAGACATGAAGCGTGGCTGTGAGGACCGTGGGAAGCAGGGGGCAAGGAGCAGCCTGGGAAATGGAGCTGTGAGGGATTAACACGGGAAAGGTGGGAGGTACATCTCAGAAACAGTTGACTTGGGGTCAGCTCCAACACTGTCTACTTACTGTAAATAAATTGTTCAAATAACACATTTGATTCCCTCTGCAACTCTTTCCTGAGACAAATATCACTCAGAATCTTCCTGCCTGAATTCCTGAAGAGTTAAACAAAGCATCACCTTTCAGATAATTCTTTCATCTAAACAGGGTATCTAAAATGTCTTCTATTTAACTTTTTAGTTCTGTACCAGAGTAATGCTTTAAGATTACTATATAAATAAACAAGCTGAAAACTAGATGTGCCAGTGACAACTTTAATAATCCAATCCTTTTTAAATTTTGTAATGAATTTTTTTCTTCTTTTTTTAGTCAAGGTCTTACTCTGTCACCCAGGCTGGAGTGCAGTGGTATGATCTTGGCTCATTGCAACCTCCTCCTCCCGGGTTCAAGTGATTCTCCTGCCTCAGCCTCCCTAGTAGCTGGGATTGCAGCACCTGCTATTGTGCCCAGCTAAGTTTTGTATTTTTAGTAGAGACGGGGTTTCACCATGTTGGTCAGGCTGGTCTTGAACTCCTTACCTCAGGTGATCCACCTGCCTCGGCCTCCCAAAATGCTGGGATTACAGGCTTGAGCCACCACACCTGGCCTGTAATGAACTATTTTTAAATGTTGGAAAAAGATTGTTTTTTGTTTCCGTTTTTCTTTTTGTTTTTCCTATTTCAACAGTGAGGAGTATTGCAGCATCCACAATATTGCTCTACAATGATGTTTCTTAAGTCTATACGTTTTTCACTGAACGAAGTGACAATTTTATTTAAATGCTTTAATTCTTTGAGATGGAAAGTGAATACTGCCATCTCTGGGTGCTTGCTATGTGCCAGCTCTGGCACTAAGACGATTAAGATAAATATTTTAGGAGGAATAGAAACTATTTCAGAGCATTTTCATATGAAAATGGTTCTAAAGAAAATGTGCTCAGAAATTTTGTAACAAATCCCCGGCCCACAACTTCCCTCCCTGTCCTTGCCTCACAGGCATGTGCAGAATCAGATGAGTTGGGCTCAAGCCTCACTTGGGCATGTCACTGAATAGACTTTTTGTTGCTTGTCATCTAAATATTGAATCCTGAAACTCCTGTGGTAGAAAAAGTTATTGAGCACCTTGAAAAGTATAGAAATCTATCATTAAATGATAGACTTAGATTTTTAAAGTATCTTACTAGTTGTACAAATAGTCGAAATAATTTTCTTGTTAGTAAAAAATGGCACTTTGCTAATCTTATCCCAAATTATATTTAAATACTTTGTGATACAAAGTTATTAATACCTGAGGAGCTACACGACATGAGAATGATTTTTAATCTAATTTCTGTTGCTCTAACCTCTGTACTCCTGTTTATAACTCCAGCCTAACATAATATTCTCTTCTTACATCCCAAAAGCTTATTATTATTTTATTCCAAAATCTCATAATTTTTTCAAGCTTGCCACAAATATCAAATCTTAAAGTACATAAATCTGTATTAAATCTTTCTGGTAAACTAGATATGATCCTTATTCTTTGACCTTTATTAGTTGCTAGGGACATACATTCTCTTCTGATTCTAGTGAAGATGAAATTTTTCCCATACATTTCTTAGTCATTTTTTTATAATTTTTATTATTTTTTGGTAGAGTCTGCTTATTTCCATTATCTTTATATCTATTGATACAATAGTAGCACATTAGATTTGTTGTCACATTTTATGTATTATGGGTGTCAGTTTTTTGGTCATACTTTATTCACCTATTTCCCAGGTTACAATTTGCCTTTAGTTTTTGATTATTTTGTTTGTTTTAATTTTAAATTTTAAGTTTTAAATATTTAAGCATTCAGAAGTCTTTAACTGACCTACATCCAGAACAGTTTCTGAAGCAATTTAATGTGAATGATCATTCAAAGTCAAATTTGTTAAAATATAATGGCAGATATACATCAGGAGTCTCTTTGGAGATCTGAAACTTTCCTGCAAGGGGCTGCTAGGAGACAGAGACATTTAAAATAAATTAATTAATTAATAAACAAAATGCTTTGTTTCCTGAGCATAGTCACTGTTCATTTTGATATCTCAAAATAAACATCTTATAATTCCTATGCATTATTCAAACATAGAAAGATAAGTGTCTGCATATATAATCAAATGGTCTGCACTGGATAAAATCCAGACTCATTTCGTAAACCAATGTGGAGCCATTTTTATAGCTTTTCACTCATTTTCTCTAATTGGAAAGAAATTTACATATAATCACAGTTGCAGCATGAAATAGGAGAAATCCATTTTAATCATTTAATATTTCATTTTAAAAGCCACATATAAAACTTTAAAATATCTGTAGCTTTTTAATTTAAAATTACCATTATTTTTCCAACTATTCAAAATATGAATGAAATTATTTTGTGGTATGCTATTCAAAATGCCTATTGTGTGTGTGAGTGTGCATTCTGTATCATTCTGTCTCTGTCTCTACATTTTTTTGGCTAAACTAAAACTCTTTCTTTTCTCAATATATAGTTACAATTTATTATTCAACTTTGAAGTTGATATTGTGAACTTTAAGATTGTTTATGTAGTAAAGGCTTTGGAAATAAAATAATACACATTATAAGTAACATTTTTTTCTGAGTTTCAAATTGAGCTTTGTTAGCTCAGACCCACCAGTTGTAGATATTATTGATATATTGTGGTTACTATAGAAAACGTATTTGAAACTAGAATTTAGACTTTCTAGATTTATCAAAGGAAACATTTGTTTTCTGAATTTTTCTACTGTGGAATTTTTCAACAGCATAAATGTACATAGGCATTACCAGAATTCTGGTGCCTGTATCACATTGTTGGGTTTAGTTTGAGCATGGTTATCTCCTGATCTGACACCACAAAGTCTCCAGGGGCAGGTCACATGCCTTATACACAGTTCCTAAGTGGGTGTATTTGAGTGTGCTGGGCACTCGATCAATGTTTAATGAATGCATTAATATCTATACAAATAGATGCAGATATGTTTGAATACTTAAGCATAAACGTTAACTGGATATTTTCCCTTTTGCTGCAAAAAATTTGATGCAGTTTTAAAAATTTGTGTAACAGAATTTATTCTAGGATCCCCAACGATGGAGAAGCAGCAGCCTCTGAAAGCAGCACACATTTGGCACAGTTAACTCTCCTCCATGATGTCAGCCCTAATGACAAAGGAGGAAACATTGTGTGTGAGTCAGAAGACATTTCTCCAAATAATGTTCCTAATTAACCAAATATCTAGAGGAGGAACCCCAAAATTATAGCTAGAGTTTCTAAGCACAGTCTGGAAGCTCAGGATGAGAACTGAAGAGGCATGCCAGATGGATTATAGTTCTGCTTCTTATATTGCAGGGTTCCAAAAACTTCTGCACTTGTTTATAAGCCCAGCCTAACATGAGATTCTCTTCTTACATCCCAAAAGTTCATTATTATTTTATTCCAAAATCTCATAATTATTTCAGGCTAGCCACAAATATCAGATCTTAAGGTATGTAAATTGTTTTAACACTGTTGTTCTGTGTATAATTATGTCAATTCCGTCAAACTTTCACAAGAATAAGATGAACTGCAAATTTGAATATGTACATTTGCAAGGAATATGATGAATATTGGTATTTTTAAATGCTGAACCAATTTCTACAAATGACATAGATGAGTACCAATTTTTAGCAAACCAGTGGGGGAGAGTGGTACATTAAATAAAGAGGTGGTATTAAGTAACTTTTGGCAGGAAAAATATGACTATTTTTTTCAGAGCCTTTTAATTACTTTAGATCTTTGGAGCCAAATTTTGAACTGATTTGTAAAGTATATATTATGCCACATCTTTTCCTCCCCACAATATTTAATGTTTCCTCTTCAGTTCCCCCCGCCCCACCCCCTTAGTTTCGCAGCTCTTCATGAACAATATGCACTCCTTCAAAGAAAGAAAAGCAATTTGATCCTCTTGGTAGAAATCTGCCCAAGGTTTGGTATTCACAGAACAGCATGGCTCACCTTTCCCTGAGCTGGGAGTCAAGAATGTTTCATTATTTTACCATTAAAACCTTGTGGTTCAAAAGTCCTAAGATCAAGTAGAGCTACATATTTCTTTCTCTTCAAATAAGCAAGCAAAATAGACATCTATTATATCAGAATGTACTCATTTGTAAATAGAATAGACTTGTATTGTGGTCCCTCATCGATGACTGATCACTTAACCTCCATTGTAAGTGACATTGAATATTATAGATGCTAAGTTTTAAAAACGTTGACAAAAAGCATACTTCTGTTTTCAGGTCAATTTTTCTTTAATCCATGATTTGGCTTAGATATAGAAGCAGCAGGTTTAGTGTAGAGATGCTCTTAATATAGATGGAGAAACACAGTGTCTCATTAGAATACTAATGTTTGAGAATCCTCACAGTGTCAGCAAAGTTAATGGATGCCCTCAGAACTGAGCCTGCTGGGATGATAGCTCACTGACAGAGGGCTCCATGGTTTACAAAACCAATAAGTCAACAGTATCAAATATTCACAGAAGGAATACACAAATCTGGCAAGCAATATGATTTCATTTCATTGCAAATCCAGTAAGCAATATGATTTCATTTCGTTGCTCAGGAATTGTGTGTTTTGAGGGATGTTAAGCTTTAAATAAATTAGTTTAATTTGTTTGTAGTACATATTTTGCTAATACACATTCTGATTAAGCCCATGACCTAAATTAATGCACACCTTGTACTTAAGTGGTAAAGGAAAGCACTTCTGAAAATATCTCCTAATCAGTTACATTTTATTGTGATCCTACGTGTTTTAATCATTATGATTCAGTAAAGAAGAAAACTAACTTGATGTTCTGAAGTCATGATGCTCAGTCTAAATTGCTGACCCTATCCAAAGCCTGACATCCATGTGTCAGCCAAGGTAAAAATTGTTCCACAAATAAAGTATCTCATGAGACCTTCAAGGTTAAGGACACTTTGTCTCTAGCATTATTTAGTGTCACTCTAAAACTGCATATAAACCTAAGAACAAAGTAATTCTTTAGAAAACTCAATTGTTAAATTGAGGCAACTCTAATTTCAATAATCTGAAGGTTTTTTCTAATTTATATATATTAGAAATATCTAATATATTTAAATAAATGTCTAATATATAAAAATATATATTAGATATACATCATATCTATGAATTTAACTATCTTCAATATGAGTACAAATGATCATATTTGCTAATGGACAAGGCCCATATTAGGAGAGTGGAAAATAACTAGTTTATATTTTGCAACACATTCCTCAAGTCAGCAGCTGTTAATGAGAGTGAGTTTGGCAAACACAATCTTCATAGTGAAGCTTGCTCTCTTATATTGTCTTTAGCCCATATAGACTTCTAGTCTGGAGTATATTTTGGGAGAAGATGGGGAGCACAGATATGAAGATAAAAGAGATAAAAGAGACACAAAAGCAGATTTCAATAACGTTATTGTGTCATTTATTTAAGTCTACCTAGCCTACTACACCTTCTACATGGCCATTTCTGCATGCATGGAGTGCTGGGAATTATCCATAATTTGGTTTAGATATCTAACCATGATTTGGTTAGATATAGATTTGCATACAGGGATTCAAGTCACTTTTCCTGCCATCAGGGAATTCAGGCTTAATTTGGGATAAAGACAGGCAAAATTATCATCCCGTACAAAGTGGTAAGTATAATTAGGGCAAGCACTGGGAGCCAGGTGCACGCATAGGGAGAAAGTCTAAGGAAAGCTGTCTGAAGGTGAACGCATCTAAGCCAAGTTTAATGGCCAGTTAGAAATTAGCTAGATTAAAAAAAAAATGGGAGCTGGGGCATTCCAGGCAGTGGAAGTAGCTTGGTGTGGGAAGAAAGAAGCAGGAGCTGAAGCTGGAGATAGAAAAGAACCTAAATGTTGAAGGGTTTTGTTTGCCATTCTAAGGACTTCAGATTTTATCCTGAAGGTGATGGGGAATCTTTGATGAAGTTTAATAATCACTTTTGAAATTTCAAAGGATTACTTTAGAGCGATGGATGGAGGCAGGGGAGAGTGTTAGAAGGTTATTGCAGTCTCGCGTACAGAGGATCAGGACTTGAACTGAAGTGGTGGTATAGTGTCAGAGATTAAGAGGAGTGAGCATGGTTGATAAAGATTAAAAAGCTAGCTTTGATAGGATTTGAAGTTAAATGGTTCTGAAGATGACCTTTGAACAACAATTGCAGTGGCAGTTGAAAACATAGAAGTAGATCATTTCACCCAGTGGAAGTCTGTAGAATAGACAGCAAATAAATTGTTTATAAGAATGACATATCTGATATCTATGATAGCTTTTAAAAAGCCTTTTTTTCTGCTACCTCTACCCATTTTTTGATCACTTAAATGAGTAAACATAATACACAAAACTAGTAACTATTGGAACTCTAGTAATTGAAAGGTATGTAAATTTATAATCATGGATAATAATGAATATAGTGAATGTTAAGTGAATTAATATTTAATGAATAGTCACAGGTACTATGCTAAGCATTTTTACCTATGTTGTTTAATATAATGTTCACTGTAGACATGTAAATAAGAAATATTATAATCTCATTTTTTCAAATAGTGAAGCAGGGTTAGAGAAATTAAAACTCTTGCCCCTGTTCATACATTTAGTATATGTTAAAACAGATACAGATCCTTAGTGTGCTTTATTCATCTTTTTTTCTCATCCAGTTGGATGTACTTGTGATGTGTGAAGTAATAGCCACAATGCTGCACTATTGGTCTCAGTGTCAGCAACCAATCAGCCTTTCTGAAATCTGGATTACTGCCTTGATAAATATCTTAGTTTGATGAACTCTCTCAGATAATTTTACTTTATGTCATTTTATTTTCGGTAATATTCTTGTTATTATTATCTTATGTGGCTTTCAGTGTGTGTGTGTGTGTGTGTGTGTGTACACTAGTACATAAATAGACAAAGTCTTTGTTCTCTTAGATCTTACCTAAACATAGAGGCAGACTAAGAAAGAGATGTAAGACTATTTGAATCTTTTTTAAAAAAATCAAAGTATAATTGAATAGAGAATAAAGCCTTATCATGGTAAGTGTTATTTAGATATACAAAATACATGTTCTTAAGTAATATTTCTGTGGCTCATCTGAACCAGAAATGTAATTTTGTAGAGTATTGGTGGGTGGGAGGAAAGAGTTCACAGGCGGGATGGAGAAGTGGAGTAAAGGTGCAATGAGTGAGGTCCTCTCACTCTCTGCCTGAGATGTCTCCTTTCCACAGAAAGTGAAGGCAACAGGAATTTGGTTCATAAGAATCCTCTCAACAATACATACTGGCTAGACTACAGCATGATTATTCAGGGCCATATTTTCAGAGTGGTGACACTATAAAGATGAGCTAAGCACCATGAATTACTTACAGACAGTCATTTTCTCAATTGACTTTTAGAGTGGACCACTCTTAAATTATAGACAATATGACATGGTTTATCTAATTTACATAAAAATTCTCCTTGGTGCCCTGAAGGATTACCTGGGAAATAATTTTTCTGGGACATTAATAATGCTTAACAGTCTATACCAGTCTGGAGGTTGCCAAAGGCTGAGCAAAGTTTTATTTTACCCATGTTGGTGTCTCTTTAATATTATTAAATATGTTTTATATTGTCTTCAAAACATCAGCAGAATTCCTAAAGTTATATAAACTCCTTGTACTTTCTCCGTCTTTTCATAGCAGAATGTAAAACTAATATTAGTGAAATGAGTCTGTTTTATTTAAACCTTGTGCTCATTAGTAAGTCATAAGGTTAAAAGGGAGGACTAAAATACAGTAATTGTTGGGGAGGAAAGACTTCCTTCTGCCTTCTTAGGTTCTGTGGCTGATCTAAGAACTAAACCAATATGTAACAGATTAACAGGAGAAAAGCATACAAATGTATTTATGTAAAGTTTTTACGTGTGCGTGGGAGACTTCAGAAAGAAAATGAAGATCCGAAGAAACCGTCAGGCCCAAATACTTACATACGTTTTGCACAAAGAATGATAAATTGTGGGGATGTGACAAGACAAAGGAGGTTGGGCTGGGGGCAATAAATTGTGGGAAAGAGATTAGGAAATATATGGGAGAGACTGATGGAAGTTAAGGGTTATTTTAGTAGGTTTGTTTGAACAGGTCTCTTTTGTGTGGACTCCCAGTCTCTAGTGATGAGAATGTTCTCTTCCTGCTATAGGGAAGGGACATTTCCCCTGGGAAATTTTATGATCTGCTTTTATGTAGAAAGGAGAAGATCACAGATCCCTTCCTATGTCTGTTTCTCAAGTGCATTCAGCTCAAAATTATCAATATACCAAAGTGGCATATTTTGGAATGGCATGTTCTAAAACTCTTCCTAATCTTATTCAAAATTTTTCAATAATTTTCAAGATGAAGACTATTTTTTCCTATGATTACTTTCATTTTAGTCACCTGAATCATACTTTTTAAAATGTTATAGGAAAATCATTTAAGGTTGCAAACCTGAAAATAAGTTATCTCATCTTCTACTTAGCTTTATTTTTTTCTCAGTAAAGGGCCGTGTTGTCAACCAAATTTGTTTTCCAATACAGAATCAAATTATATTTCCCCATTATTTTTACTGTTATGGTAAAATAAATGCTAGTATCCCTCATTTTCTATGCTTTATCCATAATAAAGAACAGACTGTGTGCTTATAATGGCAGGGACACTGTTCATTATTTTACCACTTGAATTCCCAGTATCTGTCAAACTCCTGACCCACTGTTGGCCCTTGAATCTTGACAACTATTTCTTGAATGAATGAATTATAAAGCTTGTCACGTTTCAGAAAATACTTTAAATTCTTGGTGTTTCATATTCATTCTGCTCCTACTGAAAATTATATGTGTCATTCTGCTCCTACTGAAAATTATATGTGCTTTTTGACTTACATACCAGTGTACTTCACCAAAGTAAACATATTTGCCAAAAGATACTGTGGGTATCAAATCTATTATGGTAGAGAAGTATTTCTTAAGATGAATGCATTGCTTTGTGAGGAATGTTGTGGTCACTACACTTACCTAGTTTTTGCAGTCAAACCAAAATACATCTGCAGGGTATCCTGGTAATTTTGGTCTCATTTATCACTGTGCACTATCTTTTTTTTTTTCTTTTTTTGCAATAGTATCCTGTTGACTCTTTTGAAATAATGCAATTCTTTAGCCAATGCACTATAGTACCATATTCTGTCTGAGAGGCCAGGGATTTTCTAAGTCTTTGAAATTTATATTTTCAGCAATTTATCCCTATATGGCATGGTATAAGCACATTCCATCTAAAATTGCAGGAAAATCATGAGGCTGGTGACTGAAGATATAACTGGAGACCGTTTAAATAATTTCAAAAAAAGAACTCAAACCAGTAGAAAAGCATGTAAAACATAGTATTTTTTTATCTAAAAACTTACCTTTTGAAATAGTTTGAAATAGTTTTGAAATAGTTTGAAATCAAACATTTTATTTGGGACTAGTATACAGTTTCACATAGCTATTGATTATCATTTTTAAAGGCTTAGCATTTTGTTCCCACCAGTAATGTAACTTAATTATTACAAGTAACAGTAATAGAATTTTGGCACCACGATATTTCCTAGGCAATTGATTTGATGTTATTCAGAAGTCATTTTGTTCATTTGAAGCCATGTTGGGTTACATCTCAGTTCCTGACCAAAGCAATGATTATCAAACTGTTAGGTGAATTACTACGTAAATAAAAGAGATTTTAGAAAGGTAGATAAATTGCTATTTAAAATTTGGACTAATGTATGTGTTTAAACAACAGTTTGTTGCTTTGCTAGGATAATATATGCTTATTCTTTAAACATGCCAGTGATGCAGAAAACTAAAATAAAAAATTAGGCTTATCCCAAATTCTACAAGTAAAAATAGCCATTATTAAAAATATATGAAAATCAATTCAGATATCTCTCTAAACCTATTGATAGATTGAGATTAGAACTCACATCTGTCATGTAACAATTCCCATGCACCTTCCTGTATACCTTAATGCCTTAAAGCATAAGGTTGAAGGAGAAGTACACTGACTATATACATAGCAATGTTTCAAGAGTGCAAAAAGCATTATGATCAGGAATGAAATTATTAAGAGCCTGGATAATACTCTTTGAAACTGTTGGGAGACAATTTTATTTGGGTCTCTTGTCTTTCTCTGTTTGTTGAGAGGAGAGACACTGACAGCAAGTAAAGAACTTAATACAGCTCTGAACACATAGTATGCATTCAATAACTATATGCTATTACTAATACAGTTATATTTAGAATTTTTAAACTTTTGTATATAGTAAAATTTCAAAAAGTATTGTATGTGCCAATAAAGATTTTTAAAAGGCAGGTCCATAAATCAGTCTACTAGTACAAATCCTGATAACAATTTGTAGATTGTCCAGTAAGAGAAAAATATTTTCCACTGGAACAAATCCTAGAATTCCTAGATTTTAGCAGAAAAGAGCAATTGAAAAAAGATGTCAAGATATACACTGACAGCTCATCATGAGATATTAGCTGTTTCTGAATTCTATTTTTTTTCTTAATGCATGCACAATCTCATCACTATTCTTTCTCACTCAAAAGACTCAACTTTCTCTGCTTCAATTTGTTAAAGCCTTAGTCCTTTTGTGTGTGTGTGTGTGTGTGTGTGTGTGTGTGTGTGACAGAGAGTGTGTGTGTGTTTTACAAAAGGTGCCCTTTTCTTAAATAATTGTTATAACGTTCAAGTGAGGGCCATATGGCCTCCCAATTTTTGGATGACATTGACAAGTGCAATGCAAATTTGCAAACAAAATGACATACATCTTGGAGTGATTAAACTAATTCTTTTTTAATGACTAAGAATGCTATGCCCAAATTCCAAACCATTCTCCAACATTGATCAATAACAAGTACAAATAGTTGAACAGTATGTAATAAAGACAAAAGAAAAGAAGTACAATTTTAAATTGTATTCTAAGAACACAGATCATAATCAAGTCTTCATTTAAAAAACTAAAATGTTTTCACCCTTGTAAGGGTAATGAATGGGAATGTTTAAATAAACCATGGCAAATTCTATTATGGATGTTTTTAAAAATGAGGTATTTAAGCATCCAATGACACGGAATAGCTTCTAGGATATAGCAAGTTTTAAAAAGCAGATGAGAGAGTAATTATATAAATTGTCTAATGTGAAAGAAAGATCTAAATATGTGAGTTTTAAGTATTCTGCCTTGAATGGATTTATAACTGTAGAGATTATTCTTTATATATGCGATTTCAAAATCAAGGCAAAGTATGTCTAGTTTTGAGTATCTCTTTTTTAAAAAAATTTTTGCTTAAAAAATAAAGAGCTCTTTTATTCTGTGTGTACAGGATTTGTTTGTTTTTTTTAAATAAGCCTGGAAATGTTTTCTTCTATTCTGTCTTTGATTTTTCGCTTCCTCAACAGTGCATACTAGGCAGTGAGAAAGCAGGAATGAGTAACACAAATATATTTTGAGTTTTACTGTAATAATTGCTAACATTTATTGAGGGTTCTCTGCATGTCAGATTGTTGTAAGTAAAACATCATGCCCTCACATGGAAGGTATTATAATTATATGCATTTTAGAAATCAGAAAGTTGAGCCACAGAAAGGGCCAGTAACTTGCTCCAGGTGCCCCAGCTTGGAAGAAGCAGAGCCAGAGTTTGAACCTAGGTGTTTTGACTTAAGTCCATACTAAATAATTACGCATTTACTTGAGAACTTATTTGTAGTTACTGCATGTGATCTTGTACCTTTCTTAGGATCACTGCATGTGGGGCCTCTATTTCCTATCCTCTAAATTTTCATCTGTTCTCTTATTTGCTTTTGTATAGGAGGGTACCTTTTTCTTTTCAAGTTCAGAGGGAATAGATCAATTATCATTCACATTATTGAGTCAGGTTTTCAAATTATCAATTCTGCTTGCTATTTTCTTCATTGTAGCTTTAAAAATCTGTTACTTTTGTTCTTATTGAAGATTTTTCTTATCTCAACAGCCTCACATTTACTTTCATCCTGTTGTCTTTTAACCTTATAATTAGGCTCCATTTTGATGTAGCAAATTATACTTAGTTATACATGGTACATATGGGGATGAATTGAGTATATTCCTGCTGGAGTAACTAGGAATACCTCTCTGTCTCTCTCTCTCTCTCTTTCTCTCTCTCTGAATGTTAGAAAGCAATATGGTCTTAAAAAAGAGAGAGACAATATGAAATCAACAAGAAAAGCACACACACATATAAACTTATTTACACCTTAGGGCAAAGAGAAACCTAACTTGCACATTTAGGTGTTAGCACCAGTTACCCAGAATTCTAAATTACCTTTGTTCTCCAGATCTCTTGTGTTTCTTAAAATTTTATTTAGGAACTCCACCACCTACAACCATGTTCAAATGTGGTAACCTCTCATATATTAGATATTTCTTGTGCTTCGAGTATCCAGAAGCAGGTACCTAAAGTCAATGTAATTGAAGATATAAAATTGTTCTTTCCATTTTTGTCAGCAATTTTGACTGGAGTCAAATTAAAGTGTGATGGGCAAACTTGGTCTGTTGCATTCTATAATTATTGCTGTCAGGATACTTTCAACTACAGATAGGATTGTTTCTGCATTTATCATTCTCTGTTCCTGCTTATGTATTTGTCAGTGCAGCTGTGATTCATTTATTTTACAATACTGCAGCTAATCGTGTATGGGCTATTTGATTAAAAACAACATTTTAACAAGACCAAAATAGCCAAGGCAGGGGAAAATGTGGTTATATAACAATGTTCGAACTTTTTTTGGAAGCAACATTGAAAAAGATTATTCATTTGTGTAGCAGCTCTGAAAGCCAAATAATAATTATGGTGGCATTGTTCTGTTGTCCATATTGTCCAAATCTGGAATGGTAAACCAGAAAGGGAAAAGAGAATTATCCCTCATTATCTTGTTTGATTTGGCCTCTTAGATGGTCAATATTGCTAAGTTGCCCTTTGGTGGGAAGAAATTAGATTCTATTGCATGCCACTAAAGGTCTCTTTTCATGGTTGGATGTTTTTGTATTCATGAGGCTCAGAATGCCATACTAAAGTAAAGATAATTATGAATGCAATTATTAGTAATTTAGGCCATCAACATAACATACAAATGGATCATTCACTCTGAAATTTGCAAGATACTTATAAACACTGAAAAAAAAGAATAAAAAGAAACTCCAGGAGCTAAAGTAAAATTGTTTGAGACAGTGAGAGTTAAGGTCTATACTCCTAATATTAACCTTTGTGCCAAATATATTTCAATTGTGATAACTGTCCTTTTTTATGCCTTTGTATGGGACCATCAAATCTGGGTATACACTTTGAATGATAATCCTATAGCTTATGCTGAGTGTTATGTGACTAAAAATAGCATAAAGTCAGCATAGCTGGATACATAGATAAAATCATGGGGATTAAATTTTTCTTGTAACAAGTTTTATCATCTTCTAAAAATACTGATTCGATTTGATAAAATAAACACTCTGTTGAAGCAGCAGCCATTTTGGTCCTACAAAGCAGGTTTTTCCATTCACCTTCTCTATAACAACACATTCCATTTACTTTGGGGAAGTATTTCTTCCTTGATTTTGCAGTCTTGATAGTGCTCCCATCACAGTGCCCTTCCTGCTGGTCATGGGATTGATCAAATGTTCCCGGCTGGGCCAGTTATAATTTCTGAATCTGCAAATACACAGTGATGGATGTCAGGTTAAGCATAAAGCCCACATAGTGATTGAGACCAGTTAGATTCTTTTCTGATACATTTCTGAGTGGCTGATGGTGAAATGGTATTCACTCCACCTGATTCAATGATGAACAAAAGTGACCTTAAGTCAGGAGAGTCTATTCCCTGGAACATGGATAGAGACAAACAACTGGTCAGTGGTGGAGTTGTGGGGAGACAGTGAGGAAGAGCAAGGCATTTCTTTCTGGCTAAATTATTGAGTCCTGAGGCTAGCCAACATCCTTAGATATCCTCACTTCAAAAAGTAATAAATCCCTTTTATTATTTAAGTTTTTTCCAATTGTATTACTGTCACAATTTACTGAAAAATGTAACTCATTACTGAAAATAGCCTAATTTAAAAATTGATGTTTTCACAGAAATGAAAATGAAATATTTATTTTGACATCTGATAATATTTCTTATGTTGCTGAAGTAATTTGGGGAAATTAGTATTCAACCCCCTTGGCAATATGGGCATATCCTATAGAGAGATACATAGCTAGCAGAAAATGTAATGGTAACTAATGTTAACTATGCTTTCTAAGCATTAAAGGTATAGTATGAGTATACAAATAATTATATTATGATGTTAGTATATTCGTGTATGAAAAATTTTACAATGCTTCACAGAGTGGGCTGCATCATGTTGAAGATACAGGTAAAGCAAGCACAGTAAGCTCACCAATAAAATGCAAATAATATTGACGTTCAACAAAAACAGGTCTAGGAGAGTGAAAGTCACTAACATTTATTGAATACCACCTAGGTGTTTTCACATGTTATATAGTTTTATCCTCACATCAGCCCTGTGAGATAGACATTATTATCCTCATTTTGAAGAAAATAAGTTGCTGTGAAGACAAGTAATTTTGCCCAGGGTCATAGCTTCTTATACCACACCACATGGCCTCTGATTACAACCAACTAGTTGGTAAGTTTTCAGGTGTTTAATTTAGAGAAATTTTAGACTTTGTGCAGAATATACTATTAATTGAGAAAATAAAGGGGATTTTGTTTGAAAAGACAGTGCAAAATGTCTATGAAGAGTGATCTGATTTCTGGTTAGAAAGGAAGAATCTGAGAATTTTTTAAAGGAAAACTATTGATTTTTGAATACACAAAAATAAATCTTTTGGCTCAAAATAAAATATCACATTCAAAAATAGGTATATTTAAAATAATTTAGGGCAAACGGTTCATATAATGGATATACAAAGAGCTCATATAAATCAGTAAAAAGGCGAATAATTCAATGGCAAAATGAACAAAAGACATGACTAGGCAATTCAAAAACTAGTACATGAAACATACATAAAATCAAGTTACCTAAGTAGTTACTGAAATGTGTATTAAAATAATGAGGTGCCAGTTCTTCACATGCCAAAATGGAAACTATTTTTTTCTTTTTTCTTTTTTTTTTGAGATGGAGTCTCGCTCTGTCGCCCAGGCTGGAGTGCAGTATTGTGATCGTGGCTCACTGCAAGCTCCACCTCCCGGGTTCACGCCATTCTCCTGCCTCAGCCTCCCGAGTAGCTGGGACTACAGGTGCCCGCCACCATGCCTGGCTAATATTTTGTATTTTTTAGTAGAGACGGGGTTTCACCCTGTTAGCCAGGATGGTCTCCATCTCCTGACCTCATGATCCTCCTGCCTCGGCCTCCCAAAGTGCTGGGATTACAGGTGTGAGCCACCGTGCCCGGCCAGAAAATATTTTTTAAGTAATAATATTTCACCTAACTACTCATAAATAGTAAGTGTGGGGAATCAGCTTTGTAACACTGCTACTGGAAGTATAAATTGGTGCTATCCTTGTATAATGTAGTTTGTGTAGTGTGTATCCAACTATAAAATATGCTACATTCTTTGACAGAGTAATTTTAACCGATAGATTAATCAATGATAATATAATAGTTAATGTCATGGGAAACATTCAGACTTTATTTGCATGTGTGAACAAGCAGGAGAGCAAATTCTAAGTAATGGACCTTGTTATTATTTGTATAAATTTATGGGGTACAAGTATAATTTTGTTACAAGCATAGATTGCATAGTGTGAAGTCAAGGCTTTTAGTGTATACATTACCCAAATAACACATATTGTATCCATTAAGTAATTTCTCACCATTCACCCCCTTTACACCCCCTCACCCTTCCTAGTCTGTGCTATACTGTGCAAACAGAACAAAGAGAAACTAATTGTTGTCTGAGAGTCAGACAACTATATATATATATACAAATGTAAAGGAAACATATTAAACAAATGGTGGGATTAACCAGTATTTGCTATGCATATTTCTGAGGAGTTAAAGTGCATGGATCATTTACTGTAATGTCAATTATAGAATTTGTAATCTGAGTGACATCCCTAGTTGTCATCATAATTAAACAATGAGCATTTTGATATTCTGTTTTGTTAGTAGCCAATCCCTAAGGGCCTGATTACCCTAGAAGCAAAAAGTGGGAAGTCAATGAATGTTATGAGATGAATTCTGTCTCTCAAAAATCCATATGTTGAAGCCTGAACCCCTAGTGCCTCAGCTAATGACTTTACTTGGACATAGGGCCTTTAATGAGATGATTGAATTAAAATGAGGCTGTTAGGGTAGGACTTAATCCAATCTGACTGCTGTTCTGAAGAAGAAACTTGGACACACAGGGAGACACCAGGGATGCATACACAAACAGAGGAAAGACCTTGTCAGAGCACAGCAAACAGGCAGCCACCTGCAAGCCAAGGACAGAGGCCTTGGCAGAAAGCAAATCTGCTGGCACCTTGATCTTGGACTTCCAGCCTCTAGAAGTCTGAGAAAACAAATTTTTATTCTTAAAGCTACCCAGGCTGTGTCATTTTCTTATGGCAGCCTGAGCAAATTCGCACAGTTAGACTTTCTTGAATGGCTCACAACATGCCTGGTCACCTCCAGAGAATATATGCGTGGAAAGGTACCCAAGCCTAGGGATGGTTTGAATTTTCTTCTTTCTGTTTTTCTTCATTATAGACAAATATTTCTACAATTCAAACGGGTTTTAGGTACATTCTAAAAAACACCATTTTAAAACAAAAAATCATAGCCTGCCAGTTTAAAAAGTTGAAGCTCAGCTGATGTTTCCTTATGTCGCACAAAAGTTCCTTTGCTTAATAAATCATAAAGTGCAATCCAACAATATCCATGCTATAATAAAATATGTCAGAATAAAAAATGAGCAATTAAGCCACCCTTTCATATGCTTTATCTAATTGTGGTGGTATTCCACATATTTAGACATAACCACATACTTGACTTTTTCAAACGTAATGAAAATAGCTATGATTTGGACATCAGCTCTTGCTTTATCATTTACATTTCTAATGGTTCTTCTTTATATTCCAAGTCTTATAATAATGATAACTGGTACCTTTCAAAAAACATGGCCACTACGAGTTTTTTATGAAATATCTTCAATGTACCTATAAATTGAGGAACCAAATGTTGAGAGACTAATAAGGGGTTCAGAAAAGGATTGAAAGTGAGAATGATTCCAGTGGAAATACAGCTGTGGAGGAACATGGATCATTAGAAGAACCAGCAATGACAGAAGTGATAAAGAAACACAATATGAAGGAGAAGGATCAAATTCAGGATACAGAAGAATAAACTTGGTTTGGAGGAAACAAACCAAGATTTATGTGGCTTTTGATCAAATGTCAAAGTACAGGATACAGACAATAAGTAAGTGAACCCACAAGTAACTGAAATATTTTAGTTTATTCCCAGCTGACATTCCCAATGACATTTCCTCACATGTGATTGGAAAGAAAAACCAATGAAAAATGAAAATGACTTTATAAATCACTTTGCCCTTCACCAATCATCATCTAATCTTGCTAGGCCTGTGTGGTAAAAAATAATGCTTTAAAGCACAAAGCTCTTGGAACTGTAGAAAGACTGGAGAAAGGATTTTTTTTTTTTTTTTTTTTTTTTTTAGAAACCTTTCATCCTAAACGGACTTGAAATATTGTGTTACCCAGGCACATACTGAAATAGTTACTTCACATAGAATTGTGTTTGGATCATACATCTATGCCTTTAGTGGTAAATGAACTGGCTACATTGGCAATGGTAATAAAACAATAATTATTATTATTATGACTGCAGCCATTTATCAGGCACTTTTATATGTTCTGTACATTAAAGAAATTTATAAAAACAACTCGATAGTATATAAATATACAGATGAGGAAAATCAAGTCTCCAGTAGTTCAAATTCTTTGCTCAGTCTCAGATCTGGCAAGTGGTACAAATAGGATTTGAACTCAGGTTTGTGTGACTCACAGCACCAGTGCTTAATTTATATGTCTCGTGTAACCTCCATATCACTACTCTTTCTTGATCACTGAATGCCTGATATCCTGGACTTCATTCTGTTCCCTGAAAATACCAATTTTGTTCCCATCTCAAGCTTTTGCATGTACTGTTTCCCGTGCTCCGAAAGTTCCTACTCAAGTTTTCTTTTTGACTTGCTCCTTTTGCTTCTTAGATCTGAACCCAGATATCACCTTCTCAGGAGGCTTTCTTGAGCACCTCATTTCAAGTTATCCAATCTCTACCACAGTAAACAGTTTTCTTCATGACACTTATCACTGAGAGTTTCTTATTTTTAATTTGTGTATATAGTTATTGATCCCCACTTCTCTCACCAAGGATATGAGTTCTATCCTCTGGGACAACCTCTAACATTTAATAGGTAAGCGCTCAGTAGATATTTGAAGAAAGAATGAATGAATATCATTTAACCCATAGGAGAGTTATTTACAGAAGGCATCATTATCCTTAATTTTTTTACATTTTGAACATTTCTGAAATTTATGAGAGTAAAATATCTTTCCAGTGCCAACTGGGTTAATATGTGGCCCAGCTGATATTCAAAACCAGGTCAGTCTTATTCCAAAACCCCTGCTTTTAACTGGAAAAGTATACTGCCTCCAGAAAGTGTCAGTTCCAAGGGTCACTAGCCTATGTGACTACCTAAGGCGCCTCTTTCAAGAATGTCCTTAGTATAGAAGAAATGCCCTTGAAAGAAAAGTGAATCTCAGATTACCTGAAAGTTGTATCAGCTGAGAGATACAATACAAAGAAAAGGATAGGAAATCATTAGTTACCTTTTAGATTTAAAGTTTTACATCCAAAGGCAAACATACATAAAATTCATAGAGAAGAAAACTACTGTTGCTTAATTTTAGAAAAGTCAAAATATGTGTTTTAGCTAAATTTCAGAGGTTATAGGCTAATACTAAACTATTATTGATACTTTTCTATTTGATTATTTGGAGGACCATTTCCATTTTGAAACTTTGAAGAGAATATTTTCAAAACTTATATAAGCTAGAATTAAATTAAAAGATAATGCTAGCAAAACCAAAAAATAATCAATTCATGAATGTATATATCCAGACCTGTGTGTATATCTATATCTAACACCGGCATGCATTTTCAGGAAGGAGAGTCAGAAGGAAAGAAAATAAAAATCTTCCAATAACCAGTAAGCAATCTTCGTCAAGTTAGAAAACCGAAGTTGTTTAAATTCCAACAACTGAAAAAGAGTATAAGATTATTTGCAGATTGGTGTATTGCTTCCAGAAGGAAATATGTATGATGTTAAAAATGACTGTTGGGTCCATTTTCTGCAGGCCTGGCAATCTCTCTCCCCAGATGGGAGCTCTGTCATTCATACCTTCTTACATTAGTTGTGCTTTCCATCTGTCTCCATCTCAGTCTACAATAGGATTATTTTACTTATGTTTAAGACAACTCAAATGTATGTTGTAAAGTTTTGTACATATGTCCAGGAGTTCCCACAGTTACATGGTAAATGTGCAAAAAAAAAGTAAATGTCTGTATTCATTTGGTCTTCCTAAGGGAGGCATTCAAATTTGAAAGAGAAGTATAAGAGATATTTATCTAAAATCACCAAGTATGGTCTTTAGAATAGTCTAGCCTTTCTTTTTTCTCTAATTATAATATTCAGGATTATTTTTCTTAAGTTTATGTAAAAGTGGTCATACTAAAGCAAATGGAAAGATAATCTACAAAACAAACCGTAGTAAAGGGAAATAATTTCTGGATATTTTCATTAAATTCATTTGTGGTTATTTTACTCTTTATATTTCCTGATGATATCACAAAACTATAATTAATAGAATCATATTATGTGTAATTATATGTAAAAAAGTATGTGTAATTATAACAAAGGGATATAGCATGTGGTCTTGCTGTGTCCCAGGTACAGTTTTAAATACTTTCCACGAATTCCAACAAAATAATATGCTTAGTATTCCTGTTTTAGTGAAGAGTAAACTGAGGCAGAGAAATGTTGGGAAATTTGCACAAAGCCCTATAGTTAAAAGCATCTAACCCAAGCTATCTGGCTCCAGACACCAAGCCCTAAGCCACTAAACTGTCCTGATACATTGTCAAATATGTTTATTTACACTATTATCACCTAAAGAAGAATCCTTATTGCCTGACGTGCTGAGGAAATGAATAATTACTTCAGTATCAAACTGTTCCACATAAATAAATGTTCCCGTTACATTAACTTATTCCATCAAGTAACCAACACTTTTGATGAATATTTATTCACAAAGAAATTTCATACTTTCCTGACTTCTTTGCCAGAGTTCATTAATTAGAAGTTTTTTGCAAAGATTCTGGAACAGCACTAGGAATGTTTTTGATGTTTAAATGTTGTTTTCTAGGTAATGGATTCAGAACTTTTGGAGTATATAAAGTTGTTTATGTACCCTTATGAAACACTACTATTTTCTTTTTAGGTTTTTATCTCCTTTTGGATAGTTTTCTGCATTCCTACTGTAGACATGATTTCACATATTATTTATGCCTATGTTTTATATTTTTATTATGGAATATTTCCTACTCCTCCTAATTTGCTACTCCAACTCATTTGTGGACTACTGGAAAAATCTATAACTGAGCTTATAGGAATTGGACACTAGGAGCAAAGAAACGCTTAGTGAGAAAATGATTTGTTTTCCTTTGAGTTAACTGCTCAAAATTTAATGTTTGTCCTTCTGACATTAGGCCTAGAGGACAATCGTAATTCACTCTTAATTAACTTTATAGCTGAAAGTAGGAGACACCTTCTTCCTGAAACTTTGACTGTAGGTTCACCCTCAAATTCTTCCCCCTTTTCTCTTTCTAGTTTGGCTCTTTTCCCTGAGGCTGCCTACATGTGGACATTCGCACAAGATCCTGTCCTTAATACCCCTTATGTTTGCCATTTCCAATATTTTCTTTCACTACGTTCTCCTATTCCTGTGGCCAAAACTGTGACTTTTCTCTCTGTCCCTTCATCTCTGAAATTAAGACTTTAATTTCCAACTGCTAAATTTCTGGATGAGATTTCAAAGAAAACAGTTTTTAAAATAAGTGATTCATTTTCTTCCATAAGCCAAATATGTTCCCATTTGTTGTGAAGTAATGGAAGGAGCTTCCAATCTGGATTTAGAAGCATGGGGTTTGAGTTTCAGCTCTGCAATTTATTATCTATGTGAACTTTACCAGGATGTATAATCTCTGCATTCCTTGGTTCTCTCTCCTGCAAATAGGTAAAATAATACCAAATCACAAGGGTGAGTGAGGGGAAGGGACATCCCCTCTTAGACTCCAGCTATAGTCATCCAGCCACATGTCAACAGCTGAGCTCCCATCCATCTGTTCTCAGTTCTGATGCAAGCAGGTGCTTCCTTCTCAGTCTTACCTCATGGTTTCTCTAACTTGGCTACATCTCGACCTCATCTCTCTTAACTCCAAGAAACATAGATTATCTTAGAAACATTTTTCTAAACACATCTGTAGCCATTTCCATACAATTGCCCCTGCATCCTATGATGCCTGGGACAGTTTGGGGAGCTTGTAGCTTTCCTGAAGATTATCCAGGAAAGAGAGGGCACCTAGAATCTTTCTTCTTTTATATCCTCAAACCTATAAGATATTCTATTGGCTTGGAAGCTAGAGAAAAATTGAACACTAGGCCCTTTTGGAGAACTCTCCATCATTTAAACCTCTCACTTCCCCTCTGATTCATCCCTCTATCCCCAATCTGTCTAGTATCTTTGAGAAAGGAAAATCAGCTCAGATGGTGCAAATCCTTCCAAGTATTTTATTAAAACTAGAAAGCCAAGTATTTTAATCTTTTTCCTGACTAGTTCTGATATGTCAACCATCAGCTGAGATAATAAGATTTTTTGCTCTATTTTGAATGGGAAAGGCTCATATAGCTTGAAGAAGAAGAAGAAGAAGAAGAAGAAGAAGAAGAAGAAGAGGAAGAGGAAGAAGAGGAGGAGGAGGAGGAGGAAGAGGAAGAGAAGGAAGAGGAAGAGGAAGAAGAAGATGAAGAAGAAGAAGGGCAACAACAACAACATTGCGGCACAAAAAGCATGATTAATCAGCGTATCTCAATATCATCTTGCTACAAGTAGTAAAAGGATGAATCTAGCCAATGGTAGCAGGGACATTCTCAGCACAAGAAACAGGTATTTGCCTCGCACTGTAAGTTTAATAATTTTAATAAAGAAATGGCCCTGATTTCCTGGTGCCTTTATTTTAGACCTTTGGGAAGTTTCTTCTTTCTCTTCCAGCCTTTATTTCTTTCACCAGCCTTTTCTAGTCTTTTCACTACTCTTTTATTTTAACTATGCCTTTGCTTCACACACATTGACCCTTCCCTGTCTTGAGGTGTTGAGATCAACATTCTGAGAGATAAGTGACTCAAATGGCAAGGAAAAGAGAAATGTCTTCTATAAGCATATAAGCCTGGGAAAGCCAACATTGTAAGCACCTCAGCTTACAATGGGGCTATGTTCCAATAAACCCATGGTAAATTGCACATATTATAAGATGATACTGCAGTTAATACACCTAACCTATCAAACATCATAGCTTAGCCTATCCTACCTTAAACATGTTCAGGACACTTACAGTAGCCTACAGTTGGGCAAACTCATCTAACATAAAGCCTATTTTATAACAAACTGTTGAATATCTCATGTAACATATTGAATACTGTACTGAAAGTGACCAACAGGATGGTTGTGTGGGCTCTCACCATTAACATACACAGTTGAAAGCTCACTGCGACTGAATGATGTGAAGCATTTAACCAAAATTAATTGCTGGTTGCTTGGAAAGCTGCAGAGGCCGAGTCCTCAATCTCTCTTCTGATGAGACTTGAGAATAGTTGGTATAGAAGGCACTGGGCATCAACACTTGTTGACGGTTTAGCAGGCATATTGTTCTGCAGGAAGATACCAAGTATGGGTTATTTAACCTCCTGATCACGTGGCTGATTGGGAGCTGTGGCTCTCTGCAGCTGCCTGGGACCACGAGAGGGTATCGTACCACATATTGCTAGCCTGGGAAAAGATGAAAATTCAAAATTGGAAGTACACTTCCTGCTGCATGCCTGTCATTTTTGCATCATCGTAGTCTGACTACCTTAAGTCGGAAACCATCTGTACATATTACACACCTTTCTCTAGATCTACTCCCCTGCACGTTAGCTTAACAAAGATTCTGAAAATATTTGCAAAAAAAGAAGCCTGTTTGAATTTTAGCAACTGTTTTACAAACATCTACTGACAATCTGCATTTAAAGTAAGAAATGTATATGCTCCTTTGGAGAAAGTTGCTCTAGTGGAGAAAGAGGGGTTCTAGATATTTTTCTAGTTTCTTAAACTGATATACTTTACAATTGAAAGTAATTTTAGGGGACTCTGGCAATGGGTAGTAGAGCTCTCCACACTTCCAATGGTGAGGCCTCTATTTTGTTAAACAACAAAAAAAGACATCTTATAGAGGTACTTTATATCAGTTAGGGGCTTAGGAACCAATACTTTCAGAAAGACAAAGTGTATTTTTTTCTTATCTCTCTGTGGGAAAATATATAGATATTTTGGATAAAAGAGGGAGACAAGCTCATGCAAAAAAAATCCTTAAATAATGCATAAACTTCAAAGTCTATTTGAGTTTTATTCAATTCTTTTGTCTCAGGAGGTTTACAATTTAGCTAATGTTTCCCTCTCTCCCAGTTCATATCACATCAATCTGCCCTTTGACAAGAGACTTGCCATTTAGTCTTTCCATAGTCAACATGTGATATTTTTCCTGAAGAACTGAGGAGACTTAGATTTTGAGTAAAACCACAGTGAGGCCATTCTTTGCTTTATTGAGAGCTTGACTCTTTCTATACCTAAAGTTTAAAGTATCTGCAGGTCTGGGACATAGACAAACTGAAATAAAAATTTAAAACCAGATTGTCCTTGGTGCTAGGAAATTCAGTTGGAACGTGTGCGTGTGCGTGTGTGTTTGTGTGTGTGTGTGTATGTGTTTAATCTAAGAATTATCTTATGTCAACCATGTGTCCTTATTAAATGCAGACCGAAGTTTGGGAAGTCTCCATTTCGTTATTATTCTCCATACTCAGATTAAAATGTAAGGAGATAGAAAGAGAAATGCAAGAGTCAGTGGTCTCTGAAGTAAAAGCATTTTAAATGTTAAAGCTGAAATTAGATGTGAAGTTTCTATTAAATGTGTTTCCAAGGGTTTGAAAATAGTGGAACACAGTTCACAGAATATCAAATGCTCTAAACCTGGCAAGATGATTTGCAAATTGACATAGAAAAAAAAAGCAGGGAAGATCAAACCAGAAAAATAATGAGACTCAGCAGCAAACACAATATTGTGTTTGATATCACCCGCGTGTTGGCTTATGAAGGAATTGCTAGCCATCAGTGAATCGGATGGTGTGGGACTGCCAGGGTGGGGAATAAATGCTGTCTAGCAGGTGTTTGATTTAGGCCTTGGCCTTCATTACTTAAACACACAGGCAACCCAGAGTATGAAGTAAAAAGCAAGACGCTGAAGGTTTTGCTGCATGCCCTTACCTTTCCTGGAAGACATCTGGCCAGAAATCCTGGGATTTTATTGGAAAGGCTCCTAAATTAGAGGTCTACTGATTTTTTTTTTTGACAAATCCTGCTCAAATAATCCTGTTTGTCTTAGCAAAAATTGATTAAATTCTTAAATATACACTGCTGCCTTGTTAACATTTTTCTTTGACCTTTTCTAATTGTTAAATCATCAAGTCTACTTATACTATTGTATATACTTATACAAAATTAGTATATCATTTTGTATTACTTACTTCTCACTTTGTCCTTTAAACCTTTATTCTTTCCAAACATCCGTTTTGCTGTAGATCATTATTCTTAACACGTTGTCTTTCTAATAACTTCTTTTCAATTTAAAAATTCTATTTATTGAGACTTGTTCTATGTCATTCTGATAAAAACCACATACGCAGATCTATTTTAATCCTTGAAACATTACAACAAAGAAGTATTATTATAACTATTTTAAGATAAAGAAATGAAGGCACAGAGGGCTTAAGTAACTTGCCAGAGTTTACACAAGTTGGTAATTTCTATTCATACGTAGGTCTGACTACTTTCAGAATCTGCATTTTATATCTAGGTAATAATGTTCATCTCTCATCTTAGCCTATTTTATATTTGTATACTTCCTACTTATTGCTTTGTTTTTAGCTGATATTTGTTAGTTTTTGCCAATACTAAAAATATTAAAATATTAAAAACGTTTGATATATTCAAGCTAAAACTTGCTTTTAGTTCTTGAATCAACAGTTCTTGATTATAGTTCTTGAATAGGCCAGTAGCTCTATCTATTTTCTGATGAAAACATAAAGAGAGAGAGGAGATTTCTGAAATGATTTTTTAGATATAATTTTAGTAAATTACCAAGGGACTCAAACATCCTAACAAAACGTCCAGATGTTGCTGTTTGTGGTATGTGCTCTTTGAGTAATACATGGCAGAGAGCTACTAATTATTAAGTAATGCATTGAAATAAATGTTCCTTTAATTACAATGGATTTCCATATATTTTCAGAGTACAAATTTGTGCAATAATTATTAATTCATTTAGTCTACAGATAATGCTTGGTACACATAGATTCATGGTTCTCTTCCAAAAACTACATGTAACACCAGGGACCTGCAGTCTACCACTGCTCCAAGCATGCAAATTA
Source organism: Homo sapiens (assembly GCF_000001405.40). Lineage (NCBI taxonomy): Eukaryota > Metazoa > Chordata > Mammalia > Primates > Hominidae > Homo > Homo sapiens. The sequence continues at coordinate 120,371,495 of NC_000004.12, forward strand.
TATATTTGTTCTTTAGGGAGTCTATGGCCCGAGTAGAAATTGTTCATGAAGACCTGGAAGCAGGGATCAGTAACTAAGCTGCTACATTTACTCATTCATTCTCTGGTTTTGGAGGAGCCCATGGGTCACATATGCTTGTGTGACTCTATTCAGCAGTGTTTATATTTGACAGTGACATAATATTGCTGAACTTAAAATTATATGTGTGGTTATTTTTTATCGAGTTACTTGTACATTCAAGTGAATAATAGATGATTTTCAAATAAGTCGTTTGCAGCAACTACTCAAAACCTATTCAAAATCTCTCTTTGATCACTACTCTCAGAGCCAGCATACTTACAAAAACCTCCAATCTAGGCAGATTAATTTGGATATAGGTTTGTGCATGTATGTTTAAGTTATTCTTGACTCCTCTCCTGCAAACCTTACAACGAATCCATTATTAGGAACTACTCATTTTAACTTTTCAATATGACCTAAATCCAAGTGTGCTCCTTACCACTTAAAATTAGATTATTAATTTCCTGATTTGTCCATAAACAATTTCCCCCAAACTAAAATGCAAGGTTCGTGAGGGCTGGAATTTGCTTGGTACATAATTCTCAATGAATATTTATTGAATAAGTGATGTACTATGAGCCAAAACATTATCAATGGGATGAAAGAGATCATTAAGCTACTTCTTTTGCATCATACCAAATCCTTAAAATTCTCAAAATTTCTACCTACTATGCTTGATTGACTCCTTGACCTTGAAGGTGAATTCTACAGGAGCCTTGCCACTGATGTCAAGGTAACAAATCATCATTGTTTTTTTCTCCTGGCTTTTATTTTTGCCTTATTGACCTTAGTGTATTTGGCATTTTCTACTGTGCTTTGTTCTTTTGTTTCTAGGTCATGGAGAAAATAACACTTCATTCCTACTTATGATTATCTTTAAATTATGTTGCCTTGACTAATTTCTCTTGACTGATTATCAGAAATTTCAAGTTCTTGCTATTGCTGTTTAACACTCATGATTTTTGACATAATCCTCATAGAAAATGTCTTCAAGTTCGTGTAGAGTTTCAGAGTTAGGTTTTTTCTGAGTCAACGTATTATACATAAATTATCATTGTCACACTTCACAGTTTTCTGTATCCATCGGGTTATTAGAAAACTGTTTCATAATCAACACATGAATTCCCCTACCTTTTAATGCTTTCCAAAAAGTTTTACTCATGGCATTATTTTATAGCTATAGGCCACATTAAATATGTCAGTCATCAGGAAGATTTTATAACATCTTGTTATATTATACCATCTATTACATCTTGGGGTATAATAATTAATATCACTTTATTGTGAATATTATAATTATTTTTACACCAACATGTCTTCACTTTTTTTTTACTTGCTAGAGAAAAATAAGAATGACTAATTTTGAATGTCTCACTTCCAACAATGGAGGCACATTGTAGCATGTCACTAAAACAATCAACTTTCAACCTCTTTCTCAAAAACCTTATTAAATAATTATACTATCCCAACTATATTTGTTCATTTTCACACTACTATAAAGACATACCTGAGACTGGGTAATTATGAAGAAAAGAGAGTTTATTGGCTCACAGTTCTGCATGGCTGGGGGTGCCTCAGGAAACTTATACGATCATGGCAGAAAGCGGAGGGGAAGCAAGGAACGGGTCAATATAAATGCTGGGTTCACATAGCCAAATTGTGAGAACATAGTGGGCAGAAAAAAATCCTCTGCATTATAAGCATTCAGGAAAGTAAGTGTTTGTTCCCTCCCACCTGGGGCAATCTGTGTCCTCGATTTGCTTTGAGCTTGTCTCTTGGATTTGGAGGTTAAATCATGGTCTTTTAAAAATTTTGACATATTCTTGCAACATTTTCTTAATTCATGTTCAAATAAGGTCCCATTTTACTGAGACTTATCAAGCATAATGCAAATTCTGCTATTTAGTAATTTAGAAAAGTGGTGTTTCTTTTTTTTGGGGGGGTGGCGGGGGACGGAGTCTCGCTCTGTCGCCCAGTCTGGAGTGCGGTGGCGGTGATCTCCGCTCACTGCAAGCTCCGCCTCCCGGGTTCACGCCATTCTCCTGCCTCAGCCTCCCGAGAAAACTGGTGTTTCTTTACTTTCTTCCCTCTTGTATATTTCTCCATGTATATTTTATTTCTTAACTCAGAGGCCCAGAAACAATAGACTAAGTTGGACAAATAGTGTGTCTTCATGGTTCTTCCACTCTACCTATTGGCCATGGGCCAAATCATCCAACTTGCTCTGTTGGTACAATGAAATAGATGCATTAGTCTTGATCGATAAAGTTTCAATTAGTTGAAATAATAAAAATGTAACAGTTACATTATTTCAAGCCACCTCAGAAATCTGAATGGGGTACTTTAAAATCCAAATTAAAATGTATAGAGGTTTCTATGTTCATGTTTAAAATGAAGCATAGAATGTACTTGATTTTTTAAAAATGAGTCATGAACTAATTGAGCAAAGAAAGGCTAAGAGATAGAGGAATACATGTTTAATACTCATCATACTGAGGACTAAAAGGTTATGTCCAGAATCATCTCAGTATTCTGGCTCATGCCTTGCCCTCTACCAGAAACCAGAAGAAATAATATAGTTTATTGTGTTTTAAATATTCAACCAAAACCCAGGATCATAAACATGTAAACTGTTAAGTTTCTTTTAAAACATAGCCATAATCAATATTTATTGTTAAAGAAAATTCATCTGAAAAGGAAGAATTATTTATATGAGTAAATTATAAAATAATAAAATCTGAGATACATTATTATGTATTCTCCATGTGATTTTACAATAATGCTGTGTTCTTCGTCTACATTAATAGTTATTATCCTTTAGAGAAGGAGAGGCAAAGCCCGAAAGAGTGGAGCATATTTGGAGAGTGAACAGACAATTTAACCAGAATCTCTAAACAGTGGAAAGAAATCCAATACACAACTGAAACTAGGCTTTATCAAAGGGATTGCATGAAAGAGATCAGTAAAGCAGAAAAGAGTTCAGGAATGTTTAATCCCAAAGGAATAACATTTATCAAAGCAATTTGCAAGAATAATTCTGTCACTTCTGCTTTTATAAACAAAGGATAGCAAATGAGTTTCTAACATTTACTACTGAATTTGAAGCAGTTTTTCAGGAGCAGGGATGTGATGTCATTACTGCTGTAGTCTTTTTGGTAGACAAAAGGGCAAACCTGGCATTGATTTAAAATGTATTCCCAATAGACATTGATTTTGAAAGACATGTAGTTTTACAAAAGAAAGAAAGAAAAAAAAAGGAATGTATGCCAATTCTTTTAATAAAGAGCAAAGAAAACCTGACTTCTATTTTCTTTTTCTACACTTAGCTGTATGACTTGGATATCAGAATTTTGAATAAAAATACAATTTATTAGCTGAAAGTTTGATTAAATGTTATTTTTTACGTTGAAAACTCAATGAAGCCAGAAAAACTGAGGCTAAGATTGGAATGTTTAAACGATTGTTGTTGTTTTTCTAGCCTCTAACATATATTTATGAATGCTTGACTCATATGTCAACAAGGCTAAATAATCTACCAGTTAGTTGGGGGACATGACGGGGGTTAAACAGTTCCCCAGTCTTTTTCACAAAAAAAAAAATTACCAGCTTTCTGGGTTTCATGGGGGTAATTGTGAGGTGTGAAGAAACAACTGCTACATAAGAAGAGGAATATAAAGGTTTTATTATTCAGAATACAGACAGTAGTGAAATAGTGGCTTAAACGAGGTGCAAATATATTTCTCTCTCAAAAATATATTTCTCTCTACTCCAAACATCTGGATATATAGTCCAGGGAAGATGTGATAGCTACTTAATCATCTAGGATCTTCTTACATGTTGTTCTGCTTGCCTTCCTCAACAACCTATTTTTTTTGTTTTGTTTGAGACAGAGTCTTGCTCTATCACCAGGCTGGAGTGCACTAGCGCAATCTCGGCCTACTGCAACCTCCACCTCCTGGGTTCAAGTGATGCTCCTGCCTCAGCCTCCCTAGTAGCTGGGATTACAGGCACCTGCCACCACGCCTGGCTAAGTTTTGTATTTTTAGTAGAGATGGGGTTTCACCATGCTGGCCAGGATGGTCTCGATCTCTTGACCTTGTGATTCACCCGCATCGACCTCCCAAAGTGCTGGGATTACAGGCATGAGCCACTGCGCCTGGCCAACAAATTATTTTTATTTCATATACTTTATGGCTACTACAACCTCTGCCATCACCTCTGTGTTCCACCAGCAGATAGTTAAAGGAGTAGTAGAGAGCATGTCTCCTTTCTTTAAGGATACAATTCAGAAGTTGGACATTTCATGTCCACTTAGAACCCATTAGCAAAATATAGAATTGCACTTAACTGTAGGGAAATTTTTAAAAATACAGACATTGTTTGAGGTGGGCATGAATTGCTAAAATTAAGGAGTTCTATTACCATAGGAAGAAGAGAAAATATGCACTGAGAGAAATTTTCCAGTATTTGCCCCTAGATCATCCTACTAATCTTTGTAAACTACAGCAATAAAATTTCCATCAGCTCCGCAACTTTTCTGTAATTTAAAATTAATTAAGATTAAATGAAAGCTTAATTAATTTTAGCTCACTAGATGTTTGTATAAACCTTTTATAGTCTATTTTTAAAAGGGTAACTTTTTCCAAAACTGATAAAAATTGACTTAGTCATTTTATCTCTCCATTGAAGAAATTAAGGCTAAAATAATAACTAAGACTTCTTTATGTACATAACCTAAAGATCTGTGATTCCACTAAGAATTTATAATTTATAATGTTATTTATCATGTTCTTATATTTTAATAATCTAATGTGTATTTTTGATACCAGATATTTGATCAACTTTCCACAGTTAATAATAGTATTGCATATTGTATACACAAAAAAATTGAAAAAGTCCATTGGGATGATTTTTTTTAAACAAATGCCTTATCAATAATACCTTTGAGTATCTACAATTGCTTATGTGGTGGAAGGAAAGGGAAAACATGTCTTAGAAAAGTTTTTCATGGCCTTTACTTATTTGAAAAGGTACTGTCTGATGGAGGGATGAAGTGCAAATAAATAAAAATAAATACTGCCAGGATCGGAGAGCACTTTTCAGTTTTCATCTACCATGTCTCCTTGTGACCTGATCCACATAACTGAGGCAACGTACAGAACAAAGGCCTTTTTTAATGACTATAGAATAAACTGCTTGGTAAACCTATAGTCTTTTGCGTGCCTAGTATCATAAAACTAGCTCTAAGTTATTTTGGAATTGAATTTCTTTTTAGTAGGATTATAGGGAGAAAAGAATTAGATGTCACTAAATATGTTCAGGTAACCAGAGAAAAGTTGATGGCTCTTTGGCTGCTAAAGCCATATAGTAGAAAGCTTGGTAGCTTCAGGGTGACATGACGTGGTTTTGAATCCTTCAACACTAACTAGGTCTTAAGCCTTGAGCAAGTTTCTTAATCTTGCTTAAACCTCCTAGGGAAAACTGAGATATAATCATGACATCAAGATTTCCATGAGGATTAATGTGGTAAGAAGGGATACCCTTAACCTAGTGATCCTAAACCACAGGTACCAGCTGCTTCTTTCCTTCCCTTCTTTTGTTTGTATTTTTTTTTCATAGTAAGTTACTAACAGATAAACTACTGGTGAGCTATCGTATGCCCACCATCAAATTTCCCTACTATCAAAGCTGATGGATTTTTTTTACAACTTTTAGAATGAAGGAAGAATTATTAAATGAATGATTGAAGAATTAAGCTTTATTAACATACTATGATGTGGTTTACATTTGAAAGTATGTCAATAATGCAGAATTGTAAAGCAAAAATAAAGGAGTTAAAGGGCAAAAATAAAATGTGAGGTGGCATTAGCAATATTCCAGCAGGACATCTTGGTGATTGTTTTGCTTCCTCTGGTCTGGGTGATTTACCAACATTGTTTAGCATTTCTGTTTGCTTTCAGAAATCAGTTCTTCACCAGCTCTGAACCTCACAACACTTAGGACAAATAGAGAGATATAATCTTTTTAATAGCCTAGCAATTCATTTGGTGCACACAAAAGCCTAGTGGAAAAGTGACTCTGATAAAACATTTTAGCATAAAAATATCAATTATTTTACACAAATTATTTAGAAGATATTTTTATTTGAATGTCTTAGTGCAGAAGCAACATTTTAAAACATCTTACTCTCTTGTAAGTAAGATTACACTGCCTCTATTTCTTGCCTGTTGTCATAAAGGTATCAAGACTTGAAGAGCTAATTTCATTATACATGGCTTTATGTTAAACTTGAGATTTTTGCTCCAAGCATATTGAGATAACTTATAATACTAATACCTATAACAATGAAAAAGTGAAAAAGCCCATACAGGCAGCATAATGATTTGTTTCAGTTTCAGATAAACTAATTTCTGAGAATTAAAAAAAGCCAATCATAAAATTCAATATTTTTACATTGTTTAAATAAATAAACATCACAAGGCTTGTCAATGTATTTTATTGTTCTGTTGATTATTTGTTGTTTGTTAGGTATAATCTGGAAGTAATAGATTAGAGAAGAAAAGTTATCCTAGGAGTTACAGATGGTAATTCTGCATCCAGCCTAGGCAGTTCTCTTACCGCCTACCACAGGATCCTGGAAAAGGAAGACTATGAGAGGTAAAGAGAAGCATAGCTAAGAAAGATGAGAAGAATAGGTTTTATAGGAAGATAAAGTTTTTTCTCAAAAAAGAATAAGCAAGAATTAAGCTTCTACCCTCTAGCAATTCATAACTTAGTAAGAAGAAAGTAGACAAACATGTAAATAACAAATTACAAAAAAACAAAAAACTATTTCATGAAAAGAATACACAATATCATTATACTTCAAGGGAAATGCAAATTAAAACCACAGTAAGATATCACCTCATGCCCACCAGAAAAGCTAAAACTAAAGAAACAAAAACAAGAAAACAAACAAACAAAAAACCCAAACAGACAACATCAAATGTCGGCAAAATATAGAACAACTAGGACTCTCATGCAGAATTTGTAGGAGTATATATTGGCATTACCTGTGTATTCCAGACATACCTTTAAGGTGGCATTAGAGGGTAAGAAAACTGATTTTATTTGTTCACTGCTTACTTAAGCTAGGACATGATACTACATGTTTGTTATGTTTTGGTCCAAAGTAGTGGTTTCCTATTTGCCTCAAATTTTACTGATGGAAGAAAAAATCCTTAGCTGAGAAGACTTGATCTCATTCAAATATGTTTTATAAAATTTGGAAGATGATATTTAAGTGTCTCTGACTTACCTAGAAACCACTGATATCTTCCATGAATCCAAATTGAATACTGCAAGTATTTTAGCCTTTTTGAGACAGTAAGTTCCATAAAATTTCTGGTTAAAAAGGAAGAAATGTGTTAACCATGTTCCCAGTAATCAGTCTCAACACGGAGCCTTCTCCGTTTCCAATATTCATCCTGAGTCAATCAAAGGAAGGAGGCAGAAGAAGATGCTGAGTGGAGATGCATCACATTGCACATAAATGCTTTCCACATGCACCTATTGGGATCTGAATCTAATTGGGCTGTCATTTGCATGGCTAGATTCTTGTTGAATCTAGTTATACTTTTTTGTTGTTTGTTTGCTGACATCTGTTACCAATTAGTTTCATACAATGATTTGCTTGGCTGAAACATGAATCTTTCATTAATTTACTTTAAATTGAGAGGTTAGATTTGCAATCTCCAGTCCATCCATGTTAGAGCCAATCAGAGAAGAGCAATGTGTATATGTAGTATGCCTTTTCCTGCCTAACTATTAAAGTTATTTTTGTATTGCCTCAGAAACCCTAGGAAGTTACTTAAAGAAGACTCCCTTCAAATTCTTTAGCCAGGATTTTAGATTTCAGAAGGTCAAGGACTTATAATTCGGCAAAGCCAAAATCTTGTCTTTACTTCTTGTTAGTAAGCTGGCCATTTCAAAGAGCATGGCAATTATGCCACACCAGTGAAAAGATGTAGTTTTGATTAATTTTATTCCTTTTCAAATATTTTTCTCACTGTTACTCTTATTATGTTATTCTAAAAGAAAAGCTATCAATATATCTATTCACACTTTCAAAAATTATCCACATGAAGGTGTTCAAATTTCGATATTGTATTACAGTGTACTCAAAGTCTCTAAAAATAGCAGAAGATGAGATTGTTATTAATAAGTTTATTATTTTTTCAAGGTTCTTCAGTTTGGGAAACAAAGAATTGGGTATGCTTTTTCACGATCAGTTCAATTCTAGGAGGGCTCCTACTGGCCTGCATGGTATCTCTGTCTTGGGATTGTGTGAAATTTGGCCACAAGAATGGTGTAGGTGTGCTGATTCAATCTGAACCATGATGACTTTAACCTTGTTGGTAAACTATCAGTATCCCAGAGACTGATCATACTACAAGGCTTCCTAAGTGTTGCTCCATAATGCCAGTGAGCCCTTCCAACCATGTTGCCTTTTGTCTCCATTGATGTGGTCACGTTGTATTCTCTTCAGTTTATCTTAAGTAGTTCCAGATGAGGGATGATCATTTCTTTCATAAATGAGAACACTTTTTTGTCTCTGCTGTGGGACCTTCCTATCCTCCCTACTGGAAGCAACATGTAAAAGGTAGGGGGAAGGGCAATATACAAGTCCATTGCTTGCTATGTGGCCCCCATATGCAGTTCACAACATGGCTCACCTGAAACTTTGCTTACTTCTAAGCCAGCAGAGGTACCTTCCTCTGATGCATCTCCTTCTCCTAAAGGCTCCTCTGATTTAAGTTTAGCCCACCCAGGATAATCTCCCTTTTGATTAACACAAAGTCAACACATTAGTGATCTAATTACATGAGTGATTTTCTATCATACTCACACATTCCCTCACTCTCAAGAGGAAAGGATTGCACAAGAGGTGTACACCAAAGGGTGGGAATCTTGGGGTCATCTTGGAATCTTGCCTACCCACCTGAATAGATCTTTAAAAAAGTCTTTTATTTTGTTTTCTTTCTAAGTAAATAAACATATCATCTGCACATAATGATTAACTTTTCAGTTTTACTCATTACAAATAGTAACTTAGCTTTTTCCTGACTTAATAGTCTCTCCTTTGTGTACCATATTTTACACAGTCACACACACACACACACATATGTATATATAACAATTACAATGTATCCATCCATTCATTAAGTTTTCCATCCATTCATTGAGTTTTCATTAAGAATGGGCCTTGAGGCTGGGTACGGTGGCTCACGCCTCTAATCCCAGCACTTTGGGAGGCCAAGGCTGGCAAATCATGAGGTCAAGAGATAAAGACCGTCCTGTCAGCATGGTGAAACTCCCTCTCTACTAAAACTACAAAAATTAGGTGGGCGTGTAGCATGTGCCTGTAATCCCAGCTACTTGGGAGGCTGAGACAGGAGAATCGCTTGAATCCAGGAGGCAGAGGTTGCAGTAAGCCGAGATGGTGCCACTGCACTCCAGCCTGGCAACAGAACGAGACTCCATCTCAAAAAAAAAGGAGTCTTGAAAATAATCATAAGTTTTATGTTTTAAGAGGTTATTATTGTTCTATTCAAGAGTGTTATCTCTGGAGACATTTTCCTGAGTTTTAATACGGGCTCTGCTAATAGTTGTGAGCAAGTCACTTTTTCTGTGGCTCTGTAAAATGACGATAATATAGGACCTATTGAGTTACTGTGAGAATTAAATTTACTAATACATATATTGTGCTTACGGTGAGTGCTCAGTACAAGTTAGCTATTATTAATAATAAGATATTTATATGCTGAATTATATTAATAGATCTCTAACACAGAAATATCCTTCTATTGTGCCTAGGAGTTTTTCAATTAATAGATGAATATAAATTTAAATTTAAAAATTTTTTCTTAAAATATGTGATATGTGTACACAATGGAATACATTCAGCTTAAAAAGGGGGCAGGGAGATCCTGCCATTTGCAAAAGTATGGATAAATCTGGGGGATGTTAGGTTAAGTGAACTAAGCCAGACACAGAAAGACAAATATTGCATGATCTTACTTATATGTGCATTCTAATAAAGTTGGACTCATAGAAATAGAGAGTAGAATGATGGTTATCAGAGGCTGGGAGTGGGGGGTAGGGAATAAGGAGTTGTTGATTAAAGGGCGAAAATTTTCCAACAGACAGGAGAAATAGCTTTTGAGATCTATTGCACAGCAGGTGTATTTCCAAATAACTAAAAAAGTAAATTTCAAATGTCTTACCAGAAAAAATGATATGTAAGTGAGGTGATAGATATGCTAGTTAACTTGATTTAACCATTCTACATTGTATACATATATCAAAGCATTACATTGTACCCCTTAAATGTATACAATTATGAATTGTCAATCAAAAATAGTATTACTAATACATTTTTTAAAAAGAGAAATAAACTTTAAAAACATGGGGACAAAGAAAAACATTTCTTACTATCTTAATTCCAGGAAAGATACCTGTAAATTTTTAATTTCAAATGGCTTACTCATTTAGTTATGTAGATAAGGGAACTTTTACTATCACAAATGGCCTGAACCCAACACTCAGGAATAAAATATCTTGAGTTTTAATGCTCAGAATAATATTTTGTAATTCTTTAAAAGGCAGACTCTAGAGCAACTGGTTAGAGTAAAATTTTCTCTGAATAAATGATTTTATTCACTTGTTAGAGAAAAAAGTTCTTTGAATATATGTACACATATTCAAATATATATACATTCAATTTAATTAAATATATATATTTAACTACATTTAAATTTATCAAATGAACATGAATAATTACTTGGCAAAGAAGAATTTATTAAACCAGTAAATCATGTAGTGCCTTCTATGATTTAAAAACTGACAAATCTCCGGCATTTAAGTGCTTATATATCTAGCGTCATTGGAGTGTCAAAGAACAGTACTCAATGAGGAATCGTTCCATAATACTTATATCCGTGCTCCATGTGAATATATAGGAATTTGCCAAGGATGATTTTCAAAATATTCAGGCCAGATGTGATGGCTCATGCCTGTAATCCCAATATTTTCAGAGGTCGACGAGGGAAGATCACTTGAGCCCAGGAGTTCAGGACAAGTTTGGGCAACATAGTGGGATCCCCATTTCTACAAAATAAAAAATAAAAAATTAGCTGGGTGTGGTAATGCACGCTTATAGTCCTAGCTATTCAGGAGACAGAGGCAGGAGGATTGCTTGGGCCCAGGAGGTTGAGGCTGCAGTGAGCTGTGATCAACTGGAATGAACATGGGTTAAAAACCACTGGTGTGTCCACCTTGTTGTGCCCAGGCTAATTGGTCCTGATCTAACAGAATCAACAAAAAACAAGAGCTAATAAATTTCCTGTACACCTACTATGTGTTGGTGGGCACACTTTTGACACCTTTGTTTACATTAATTGCTTTAATTTTCACCAAAACCCTAAGAATCAGGCACTATTTTCCTCGCTGTAAAGCTGAAGAGACAAACACAGAGGGGTCAGGAAACTGTCTTAAGGTCACACAGCCCAATAGTGGCAGAACCAGGATGCAATCAGCATCCCCTTGATACTGGTCTCCAATCTCAAACATTATGCCTAATACCCTCTCACCCGATGCTTATTTTCATTCCTGACCTATCATTTTGGCTTTGAATTTTCTAACTTAGTAGAAGTAAAGAGGAATTTAAAAACCACTTTTTTGATGCTTAGATAGTATATGAAACTTGATTTTTGGTCCAAAGTACATTACTAAGTCTGAAACAAATGTCTTGATGAAAGGTTTCTAACCACTCTCATGACTTAAAAGAGCTACTACTTTTACTTTTGAAATGTTTAATTCTTACATTAAAAGCTATGATAGAACTTGATATGGTTTGGCACTGTGTCCCCACTCAAATATCACCTTGAATTATCTCCCATAATTCCCACATGTTGTAGGAGAGACCCAGTGGGAGGTACTTGAATCATGGTGACAGTTTCCCCCATACTGTTCTCATGGTAGTGAAACAGTCTCATGAGATCTGATGGTTTTATAAGGGAAAACCCCTTTCATTTGGCTCTCACTCTTCTCTTGTCTGCTGCCATGTAAGACATTCCTTTCACCTTCCACCATGATTGTGAGGCCTCCCCAGCCATGTGGAACCATAAGTCCTCTAAACTTTTTCTTTTGTAAATTGTTCAGTCTCAGGTATATCTTTATCAACAGTGTGAAAACAGACTAAAACAGTAAATTGGTACTGGTAGAGTGGGGTGCTGCTGTAGATAACCAAAAATGTGAAAGTAGCTTTGGAACTGCGTAACAGGCAGAGGATGGAACAGGTTGGAGGGCTCAGAAGAAGACAGGAAAATGTGGGAAAGTTTTTAACTTCCTAGAGACTTGTTGAATATCTTTGACCCAAATGCTGATAGTGATATGGACAATGAAGTCCAGACTGAGGTGGTCTCAGATGGAAATGGGGAACTTGTTGGGAACTGGAGCAAAGGTGACACTTGTTATGTTTCAGCAAAGAAACTGGTGGCATTTTGCCCCTGCCCTTGAGATCTGTGGCATTTTGTACTTGAGAGAGATGATTTAGGGTATCCAGTGGAATAAATTTCTAAGGAGCAAGGCAATCAAGATGTGACTTGGGTATTGTTAAAGGCATTCAGTTTTATAAGGGAAACAGCATAAAAGTTCAGAAAATTTGCAGCCTGAAGATGTGATAGAAAAGAAAATCCCATTTTCTGAGGAGAAATCCAAGTTGGCTGCAGAAATTTGCATAAGTAACTAGGGGCCAAATGTTAATCTCCAAGATAATGGGGAAAATGTCTCCAGGGCATGTCAGAGGACTTCACAGCAGACCCTCCCATCACAGGCCTGGAGGCCTAGGAGGAAAAGATGCTGTCATGGGCCAGGCCTAGGGTCCCCATGCTGTGTGCAGCCTAGGGACTTGGTGCCCTGTGTCCCAGCTGCTTCAGCCATGGCTGAAAAGAGTCAACATAGAGCTCAGAGCATGGCTTAAGAGGGTGCAAGCCCCAAGCCGTGGCAGCTTCCACGTGATGTTGAGCCTGCGGGTGCCCAGAAGTTAGGAAGTGACCTTTGGAAACCTCCGCCTAGATTTCAGAGGACATATGGGAACACCTGGAGCCCAGGCAGAAGTTTGCTAAAGGGGCAGGGCCCTCATGGAGAACCTCTGCTAGGATAGTGTGGAAGGGAAATGTGGGATCAGAGCCCCCACACAGAGTTCCTACTGGCACACCACCTAGTGGAGCTATGAGAAGACAGCCACTGTTCTCCAGACCCCAGACTGGTAGATCCACTGACAACTTGCACCATGCACCTGGAAAAGCCACAGACACTCAATGCCAGCCAGTGATAGTAGCCAGGAGAGAGGCTATACCCTGCAAAGCCACAGGGGTGAAGCTTCCCAAGGCTGTGGGAGCCCACCTCTTGCATTATTGTGACCTGGATGTGAAATATGAAGTCAAAGGAGATCATTTTGGGATTTTAAGGTTTAATGGCTGCTCTATTGGATTTCAGACTTGCATGGAGCCTGTGGTCCCTTTGTTTTGGCCAATTTATCCCATTTGGAATGGCTGTATTTACCCAATGCCTGTATACCCATTGCATTTAGAGAGTAACTAACTTGCTTTTGATTTTACAGGCTCATAGGCAGAAGAAACTTGCCTTGTCTCAGATGAGACTTTGGACTGTGGACTTTTGAGTTAATACTGAAGTGAGTTAAGACTTTGGGGGACTGTTAGAAAGGCATGATTGGTTTTGAAATATGAGAACATGAGATTTGGGAGGGGCCAAGGATGGAATGACATGGTTTGGGACTGTGTCCCCACCCAAATCTCATCTTGAATTGTAGCTTCCATAATTCCCACATGTTGTGGGAGGGACCCAGTGGGAGATAATTGGATCAATGGCAGCAGTTTCCCCCATACTGTTCTCGTGGTAGTGAATAAGTCTCACAAGATCTGATGGTTTTATAAGGAAAAACTCCTTTCATTTGGCTGTCACTCCTGTTGTCTGCCGTCATGCCATGTGAGACATGTCTTTCACCTTCCACCATGATTGTGAGGCCTCCCCAGCCAGGTGGAACTGTAAGTCCATTAAACCTTTTTCTCTTGTAAATTGCCCAGTCTCAGGTGTGTCTTCATTAGCGGCATGAAAACAGACTAATACAGACCTAGTTTTATTTTATTTAAAATTTGTGGTCTCTGTGTACATCATCATCCATTGAGTGGTCTATGAATTCTGAAAGTTTCAGAGACACTGATATAAGTTAACAATATATTTTCTTATTGGATGATTAAAGGATATTAAGTTTTCACAGCAACTAGAATGAAATAGACTATAATTACTAATCAGTCACTTACAATGTGGTTTTAAATGCTATTTAATGACCAGCATTAAACTCATTTTAATCACTCATTTTAACAACCTATTTCCAATGCTTCCTCACTTCTATTAGGAAAAACTTAAAATTTCTATTACTATGAACTTTATTCAAATCTAAGCCTAGAGGTTCATCTTAAAAGAGAGATCTGTATGCTTTGCATCATGGAAATCCTATTCTCCATTGACACTTAGAAGATAGACAACTGATTTTCAGTAAACCAAATGCGGCAATTGTGGTTCACAGTCATAAGCTATTAAAATATCATATCATCATCTAGGTGGCACTTTTAGGTACTTGCATGTTCAAATTGTTTTATATTACAAAAATTCAGAAACTATTAATTTTTAAAAGCTATAAAAACTATCAATATAAAGCATTTATCTATCAATGCATTTTCTCAGTTTGAAACTACTTAGCTGTAGTCATTATTTCTAGTTAACATAACAGTAGATTTCAGATGCTGTGGATGTAGAAACTAGAAAGACCATGGTTGCCTCTGCTTCACTTCTTGCCTTCACTTTCCACACTAAGGTAGCAGCACAAGGAGGCCCAGCAATGCTACACCCTGATTACAAACATCCTGGAGCTCTTCTGGGGAGAATATATGTTCTGGAAGATCCATTTGAAGTCATGCTATTTTTCTTTTGAAGTACAGACTTCTGTATGACAAATAACAAAGACAAATAAAGTTTTAACACTGCAATAGAAGCAGCAAAGTGTTCTAAATATATCTTCTGGCCTGTTATTCTTTTTTACCAAAATGGTTATGATGGAATAAAAGTCTTTGCGGTAGTGTGGTCTTAAATCACCCACACTCTTCCTGTCTCATCGTCCTTGGGCTATGGCCATAACACTTTCATGCCTTTACTAGAAAAATATTTTCCTTTCCTAATTCTGTCCCTTAGGCATCATTTCCAAAGCTTCACATTTGCAGAAATGATTCCTTCTAAAAAAGAAATCTAATTAAACCATTTATAATATTCCCCTCACCCCTAAACAGCAGAATAACAAATTAACTCTGTGGTCTACCATACAGTTGATAGATGGGAAATAAAGATGTAGAGTCATTTATTTTAGCTGCAAACTTGGGAATGAAACACTGGTTGGGCTACAGGCTAAGAGTGTTCAGAGATGATAGTTTATAGGATGTGGGGAGACCCAGCATAGAAACGTCTACTTCTACGTCCAAAGGGATAGAATTCTCTGTCTTCCACCCCAAATCACACCAATAACCCAGAACTGAGAAATCTAACAATCAAAACATATGTTTGATTGGCTTTGAAAGATAAAATTAATGTTGCATATGATGGCAAATTTCATAATCATCTTATTATGAGAGAATGAAATTAGTTAGCCAAAAAGTATGACAATAAGCCCATGAAAAATATATGATACAAAGAAATGTAAATGATTTGCTAATTCAGTTAATGTTTATAAATAAAAAACTGAATGCCATAGTTTGTCACTTGTTTGCTGGATTTTATGATTACTTTAAATGTGAAGGTAAATGTTGGGATGGCTGATTAAGAAACACAGAAGTCTAATTGGTTTCATAGTTTATTGTTCTGTAGAATATAATTCTTATTATTCAAATCACAAACACAGACAGACTTAGTTTCCTTGCCAAGAAAGTAACTTTTACATAATTGTTCAATCAACATTAAAATTCAAAATTCTCCCACTTGCTAGTTTATTTTGAAGTTTAGTTTAGAAATTATATTTTCTTATGGAGAAAATAAAAATGTTTTAATCCTTTTAAAAATACAATAAATATACTGAATACAAGCCTATCTATCATAGGTAAAAAGATAAACCAAAATACATGAAAATCCCACTAAAATTATAATAAATGTCAAAAAGCATTATTATTTGTGAAACAAGTGACCAAGGAACCATCACTGAGGGTTACCCAGGTTGAATTTACATAAGGGAAGAAATTGAACTAGGCTTTAAAGGAGGATTGGATGAAAAGGGTAGAAAGAGGAGATTAGATGTGATGAGCAACGTAACGCCAAGGAATTTCAGTGGCTTAGCAGAGAAAAGTTTGTTTCTTGCTCTCATATCACAATACAAAGCTGGTGTTCTTAGTTGCTTTCCACTCTGTGGTTATGCAGAGACCAAGGCACCTTTCACTTATCACTCTGCTATCCTTTAGGACCTTATAATTGTTTGAAATAGGTAGAATAAGGGGGGAAAAGCACCTACAAAAAGAGGCATAGACTTCTTAAAAGCCTTGATATAGACCTGGCACACATAACTTCTACTCACATTCCGTGGATGAAAACTAGTCATGCAGCCACTCCTAAGTGCATAGGAAATGTAATCTCTGGCTAGACACTCACTTCCCAGTGACACAGAAAGAGAAACGCACATGTGTGAGTGTAAGCAACTAAATGTTGGTGTTACATTGGTCTCTGCCTTTGATTCTCTTTCCATTTCTGTCTGCATGCTCTTCCCCAAGAAAGAGAAATTGATTAATCTCCTAAATATAATAGTCTGTATTCTTTTTAGCTAAGAATTTTCTGGAGATCGAGATCTATAAATCCACTGCTTGCTAAACCTATCTTTCCACTTGGGTATCCTACAGACATCTGAAATACAATTTGTACAAATGGATATCACCAGCTTCTTTCCAAAGTCTGTTCTCAGGCCATATTTTCTATCCACTGAATGGATCCACCATCTTACTAATTGCTCAAGACATAAATGGTGAAGACATAGTTGACAACTTCCAATTTCTTGCCCTTTTTTGAAACCATGTGTCCTATCCTTCTTCTCATCCCTATTTCTTTATTTTTTCCATGGATTACTGCAAGAACATTCTGACTGGCCTCCTTGATGTCATTCTAGGTGCCCTTCAATTCAACCATCATAATTTTCTCAGGGTGATATTTTCAAAATGTCTATCATATCTTGTTAATCTTCTGTTAAATCTCATAAGATAAAATTTTAACACTTAGCTTGGCACACCAAGTTCAGCCTCTACTTACTTTTTTAGTCTCTTTTTCCATTAGGTTCCAATGTGTTCACCTAGCTAGGGTAATTCCTAACTGCATGTTTCCATATATCCTTTCTTCTTTCAATAAAAGCTCTTCCTTCTCCTCCTTCTCCCTGCCTCTGCCAGCTGTTCAAGGATCTGCCCATCTCAAGGATCATTTCTCCTAGGAAGTGTTACCCTACCATACATCCTGAGATTGGGGTAGTGTGCTCACCCCAATGCCTACTGACTTTTTCCTTATTGCTCTCCTATGACTATGTCATAGAGGGTGTTTACTTGTTTGTCTCCTGATTCTGAACCCATTAGAATATCCTAGGAAATTTTAAGAAATACCAATGAGCAGCTCTCATTCCACGTCAATGAAATCAGAATCTTCAGAATGTTTTAAAGGCTTTACTAGTGATTCTAATGTGCAGCCACGGGTAAAAACTACTGCTGAAGGTAATTAAACATTGGGCACTGCTATAAGGCATTAACTAATGAAAGACTCATGAAAAAGAGGAAGAGAGAACAAAAGAGGGAGGAATGAAGGAAAGAAGGGAGAACATTTATTAAAACTAGATTACAGAAGAGGAAGAATGGAAATAAATATTTACTAAATACTTAGTCCCAGGTATTATATTGCATGATTTAAATATTGTACTAAATAATTTGAAGTTTATCACAGCCAATGGCAAAACCCTTCAATATTTCTTGAACTCCCTTAAATATTACACTGAAATAATCATTTTGGCTTTAAAAACACGAATTAGTGATGGTGTACTAGATGAATTCAAACAGAGTACAAATAGAATGAAACCAGCAAAAAGTATTAAAAGCTTAATAATAGTATTAATTGAATCAGAATGATAACATAGATTGTTTTTTATTAATAAATGAGTTTATTCTTCCCCAGTATGCATTTCACCAAAGTCTTTTTAACACCAATTTATATGCATGTCTTTGTCTCACCCAGTTCTTATGTGTAGTGGCACATGCATTTACATTTGTCTCTAAAAGTTTGTAAGCAACTGTGCAGATTAAGTAGATGGAGTAATATCATTGTTGCCTCATGCGAGCACATGAGTCCTGCAGGTGAAATAGGTTGGAATGGTATATACTGAGAAAGCAAACACTTGAAATGGAACAATAAAAAAGTAAAAATAAAAGAAAAGAAAATTTTAAAGTGTTTCTGATTTCAGTAAGACATATGATATTTAAATATTAATTTTAAAATTCCGGAAAGATGATTGGCATTTAATATTTGTTGAGTTGCTATTTCAAATCTTTTCTAATGTTTTAGGTTGATTAATTTAAAGGTCAAAAGAAATCAATGTTGATATGTTCAAACACAAAGCCTGAAGCCTGTATCCAACAAATTATAAACGTCTAAGTAGATAAAAAGAATATATAAAATATTGATATTATGAGGAAATGACTATTGGACCTCAACTACAGCTTGCTCTTTATTTCAAATTCTCTAACTGATAGTAATAAAAACCACAATATTCTACTGTTGAGCCACTGGATCAAAGCTGAAAGCCATTCTACCATAGGACTTTCCAGATAAGAGATAAGGGAACATATGACTCCCCTGTTTGTTGAATCCACACTGAGCTGTGGTTTTTGACACTTGCTACCCAATTGCTTCCTGCAAATTCTGAACAGATACTATAAATACTTTTTATTCCAGCCTCATGATGGTGTTGATATTCTCAATAGTCACATCTAATTATAAAGCTGGCTCTCTTTGTACATAAAAGTGGAGGGAGATCTAATAATTCAAATACAAATAACTCTTTCAGTGGTCAGAATGATCAAGGCATGGCTACTTTATTTAAAAGTAAGTTAATTTGGCAGTTATCATATGCTAATATTTCCCTGCCATTTTTCAAAGTAAAGGTAGAGACATATTTGCTTTTCCCATGGTTGATTCAATTAATGAAATATATAAAATCTTCAACACAAGGAAATAAAGAGATGAAATGTCAGGTTGTACTGGAAATGTAGAAGTATGCTAAATAAATAATAAATATGGTGTATTTACTATCCAGCATATTTGTTTACCAAGGAAAGAGACATATGTATTTGCATATATATTACATTCTTCAACTCAGAGCCTTATTATTTCTGTAAGTGTGTGATCACCAGTATTCCTGCAGCAATATCCCAAGAATGCTTAAAGCTGGGAAACAGATAAATCTGTATGTTGGATGGATTTTGAAAAATCAGAGTTTCTGTTGACTTCTGCTTAAGCAAATTTCTTTCTAATATTATTCCCAATAAAAATGCCACTTAGATCCTTATTTTTCTTTTTCTATTGTTTGCTGAATTCACACATTATATAACTGACTTCCCTAAATGTTTATACAACATACCTAGATATAGAAGTATCTTTAAATTCATTTCCTTCTTTTCTGAAATGACATGACATTTAGGGAAGATATATCTAATTATTATCTATTATGAATACCTTCATTAAACCTCAGCAAAATATTGTCAAAAATAAGTATAAAATTTCAATTTCATACATAGTTTTAGGTTATATCTATTAGACAGCCTACAAAATAGGAAAAGGTGATGCTAGCTTATTTTTTTCTTTTTTGTTACCCAAAAGAAAGATACAAAGAATGACCAGTTATGTTTAAAAGAAAAACAAAGAAGCCAGTGATTTGACTACTTCTGCTCTCTGTTATCCATCCACTACCTGCACTGGACAACCTCCTGAGCTTACCAGATTGTCTACCGGAGGAAGCTGTTTCATTAACTATCCTTTTAATTATGCAAATGCAATGTAAATATATGACAATGTATGGGATTCAATACAAAATACACTAGAACCTTCCTCAGGCTTAATCATTTATCTTGAAACACTTGGGAATAGCTCTCGGAGGTCTGACTTAGGGGTAAGGTAGAGGTTGAAAGAACAGTTTTGTGTGGTAGTATTGGGTCCCCTCAGAACACAGCAATCTGAGGTTACCTCTTTATTTTTTTATTTTATTTTAATTTAATTAATTAATTTATTTATTTATTTATTTTGAGACAGAGTCTTGCTCTGTCGCCCAGGCTGGAGTGCAGTGGTGTGATCTCGGCTCACTGCAAGCTCCACCTCCTGGGTTCACGCCATTCTCCTGCCTCAGCCTCCCCAGTACCTGGGACTACAGGTGGCCGCCACTGTGCCTGGCTAATTTTTTGTATTTTTTTTTAGTAGAGACGGGATTTCACCATGGTCTCGATCTCCTGACCTCGTGATCCGCCCGCCTTGGCCTCCCAAAGTGCTGGGATTACAGGTGTGAGCCACCGCGCCCGGCCTTTCTTTTTTTTATTAATTGATGAATTTGTGACTCATCACTGTGCCCAAATAAACAGAATAATGGACTTTTATTCATAACTTGAGTGGGTCTCACCACAGAGTTTTCCTCTGCCTTGAAAGCTGCTTCTGTAGAGCTTCTCTTTGCTCACTGCTGTTCATCATCCACAGTCCGGAAACCCCTGGACACCTCAAATGGCAACCCCTGCATCCAGCACTTCTATTCCCTTACTCTTCTTGCTTTTTTTCACGGTAGTAAGTACTACCTGAAGTTATTTGACTCATTTTTTTCCTTGGCTATTGTCTGTCTCCCACGATTAGAATGTGGGCTACAGGGGAGCAAGTATGTTATGTGGTCCAATTTTTACAGCGCTGAAACCTCCACATCTGTGGTTTCAGGAGATCTCATATTCCTCCAAGATTCTAGCAGTCAAGACCATCTGAGACTGCCTCTAGCACAATGACTAGAGGCATTCTCTAGTCAGTTAGAAAAGCTACCTTCTATGGGTAAATTTTTCACAAAGGCATCCCCTTTTGGTGAGATGACCCCACGGACACAAAGCTCGGGAAGCAACATGAGCTGTTGAACAGAGTAAAAAAGTGTACCTCTTCCTCTGGGCATTCCCCATGCTAGGATGCTCCACTGGTTGGGGAATCTGCACAATCGCATAAGCAGTGGCTGTGGTCCTATGCTTGCTACAGCTGCCATTATCGCCAAGACATTCGGACATTGTAGGGAGTTAGGGAATCACATTCAAACTTAGAGAAGGAAGCCAGTTGTAGTGGTGGAACCTAGGTCCACACTTAACCTCTCCCTCATCCCCAACTCTGGTAATGACAAGAACTGTGTCCTATTCCCTTCTGATTCACCATTGCCTAGCACAGCATCCCAAAGTGTTAAAGAAATATAATTTGATGTTGTTAAAGGGAGGATTGAGGTGAGGGAAGTAGGGTCAATGCAGAAAACAAAAAGAAAGGAATAGAGAAAGACAGGAAGAACATGAGTAAATGTAGGGTCCCGTAGACATTAAAAGGACTTGACTTGCTTACAGGGAAATGTATTAGAACTTCCTCAAATAATCACACAGCCTCAGGTGTCCCTGGTCTTGAGAATCATCAACACAGCTTTATTGAGTGATTCATCAATGGCAGCCTTGCTCTAAGCTCTGGTGATTACATTCTGATGTTATTCATTCGGGCACCCACACCCCATTTGCCTCTGCATCTTTACGGTTATTTTTTTATCCCAAGGCCGAAGACCATTTGGACACACTTCTATCAAATCCTGGCGGTCTCCTTCTAACAGGTATGCAGTTTTCTCTGTAGACCCTTAATACACAGATAAGACTTGAAGGAATTTATCTGCATTCCCTGATTGGTGTGGCAATGGAAGTCCCGCCCTGCATCCCGACACTGAGCACAGCTGCAGCTTTCGCTTGTTCATTCATTCAGTAGATATTATTTTCATGCCTACTCTATGCCAAGCACTGCTGTTCTTTGAAATAAACCTTCGCCTCACCTCTCACCAGTCTTCTGATATATGAGAGTGTCTTTATCAATGGCCACCCTCCCTGAGGCTCAGTCCTCACAGCACTTTGTGGACTCCTGCCGTTCCCCTGAGCATGGTGCTGGCCTGTGTTACCTAGGCCTATTTCTCTGCACCTGTTTAACTGTATCTACTCTTTGTCTCATTCCTTACAGCCTCCATGCAAGGGTTGTATAAAGAAGATACATTCTTTATACACCCACCACATTATTTCTTTTTTCTGAAAATATTACTAAGTGCTACTTTTGCTGTGTATGACTAAAATGTTAGTCAGCACCTCTGTATAGTTACAGATTTGGAAAGAAATATTGTTCTACTTTGGGAAATGAAAATCAGGTTGAAATATTTAGAAGATTTTGTAGC
The DNA here is from genome assembly GCF_000001405.40 of Homo sapiens. Taxonomy (NCBI): domain Eukaryota; kingdom Metazoa; phylum Chordata; class Mammalia; order Primates; family Hominidae; genus Homo; species Homo sapiens. Next base: position 120,394,158 of record NC_000004.12, read on the forward strand.
ATTTGATATTGACCCGAGCATAAAAGATTGGATTGGTGTTGTTTTTAGAAAAGCATCGTTAAAGAAAAACTGAAAATATGTTTAAAAAAAAGAAATACCAATATGAAATTAGAATGCAAGACTATGTTACCCATAAGTATAAACTTTACTTTAAATATTGCTTTGAACTATACTGCTATCCATGTTTGACATGAACCGATTTGTCAATCGAATGACATAATGCTTGCTCTTTTATATCAACTTTCACATAGAAGGAAGGAAAACCATACCTTTTTGAATTACTCTATTACAGATACATATGATCCAAATGATTGGTTTAACTTACAAAGAAATTTTAAGATGTGACACACCTGATACATGATTAGAAGCGTCTCAAAATCCAGAGAAACTGAGGTACTGTGGTGCACCCTGAAGCAGATTTTGAATTTCCTTTAAATGCTAGTAGTTCATAGAAGAAATCAAGAATCAATTTAAATTGAATATATAAAAGACATTTCAACACATTACACTGAAACAGAAGAAATGCCAACTCTTTTTTTGTTTTGTTTTTGAGACAGAGTCTCGCTTGGATGCCCAAGCTGGAGTGCTGGAGTGCAGTGGTATGATCTTGGCTCACTGCAATCTCCACCTCCCGGGTTCAAGCGATTCTTGTGCCTCAGCCTCCTGAGTAGCTGGGACTACCAGTGTGCGCCACCACCCCTGACTAATTTTTGTATTTTAGTAGAGATGGGTTTTCACCGTGTTGGCCAGGCTGGTTTCAAACTCCTGACCTCAAGTAATCCACCCGCCTCGGCCTCCCAAAGTGCTGGGATTACAGGCGCAAGCCACTGTGCCCTGATCAACTCCTTTCATTAAGAGCAATTATGTGTTTAATTATGTCTAGTTTTATAAAGACAACAAATTATTCAAAGGACTCACGAGGGAAGGGATTATGTTATTCATCCTTGCACCGTCCGCATGCACCCACATGAGTTACATCCCTGGTTCTTCTATTACTCTGTTCTGATGCTGCTATGAAGAAATGCCCAAGACTGAGTAATTTATAAAGGAAAAAGGTTTAATTGCCTGACAGTTCCACATTGCTGGGGAGGCCTCAGGAACCTTACAATCATGGCAGAAAGAGAAGAAAACACGTTCTTCTTCAGATGGCAGAAACAAGGAGAAGTGCCTAGCAAAAGGAGGAAAATTTCCTCATAAAACTATCAGATCTCTTGAGAACTCACTCACTATCACTAGAACAGCATGGAGATAACCACCCTTGGGTCTCTCCCACAACATGTGGGGATTATGGGAACTACAGTTCAAGATGAGATTTGGTGGTGGGGGGACAGAGCCAAACCATATTATTCTGCCCCTGACCCCTCCCAAATCTCAGGTCCTCACATTTCAAAATACAATCATGCCCTACCAACAGTCCTCAAAAGTCTTAACTCATTCCAGCATTAACACAAAACTCCAAGTCCAAAATCTCATTTGAGACAAGGCAAGTTCCTTCTGCTTATGAGCTTATAAAATCAAAAGCAAGTTCGTTACTTCCTAGATACAACGGGGATACAGGCATTGGGTAAATACACCCATTTCAAATGGGAGAAATTGGCCAAAACTAAGAGGCTACAGGCCCCATACAAGTCCGAAATCTGATGGGACAATCATTAAACCTTAAAGTTCCAAAATGATCTCCTTTGACTCCTTGTCTCACATCCAGGTCATGCTAACTCAAGAGGTGTTCAGCAGCCTTGGGCAGCTCCACCCCTGTGGCTTTGCAGGGTACAGCCCCGGCTTCTGGCTGCTTTCAAAGGCTGGTGTTGAGTGCCTGTGGCTTTTGCAGGTGCACAGTGCAAGCTGTCAGTGGATCTACCATTCTTGGGTCTGGAGGACTTTGGCCCTCCTCTCACGGCTCCATTAGGCAGTGACCCTGTGGGGACTCTGTGTGGGAGCTTCAATCCCACATTTCCCTTCTGCACTGCACTGGTTCTCCATGCCCCTGCATGAAACGTCTGCCTGGACATTCAGGCATTTCCATACATCCTCTGAAATCTAGGCAGAGGATCCCAAATCTCGATTCTTGACTTCTGTGCACTGGCAGTCTCACACCATGTGGTAGCTGCCAAGGCTTAGGGCTTGCACACTCTGAAGCCATGGCCTGAGCTGTAACTTGACCCCATTTAGCCATGGCTGGAGCGGCTGGGACCCAGGGGTCCAAGTCCCTATGCTGCACACAGTAGGAGGGCCCTGGGCCTGGCTGTTTAAAATAATATTGTATTTATTTACATGAAAATGTCTTCACATTGTATTGTTAAACTTAAAAACAGTGCCAGGTATGATGGCTCACTCCTGTAATCCCAGCACTTTGGGAGGCCGAGGTGGGCAGATCACTTGAGGTCAGGAGTTTGAGACCAGCCAGGCCAACATGGTAAAACCCTGTCTCTACTAAAACTACCAAAATTGGCCGGGGGTAGTGGCTGGTGCCTGTAACTCCAGCTATTCGTGAAGCGGAGGCAGGAGAATTGCTTGAACCTGGGAGACGGAGGTTGCAGTGAGCCAATATCACGCCACTGCACTCCTGCCTGGGTGACAGAATGAGACTCTGTGTCAAAAAATAAATAAATAAATAATAAATAAAACAAATAAAAATAGGTGATTGATCACAAAGTATAGTCACATTTTTGTTTAATAATTATATATTCTAAATTTAGATTATATATATAATTTTAAAAATAATACACATTGGAAAAATATATTATCCCTAGTTTTTCAACATTTTTACAAACAATTCAATTAAATTTTAGTGATATTCTGAGGTATACATTCCTAGTTATGTGCTAGAATATTTAGTGATATTCTGAGGTATACATTCCTAATTATGTGCTAGGATAAACTACTGTAAGTGGAATTACTGGATCAAACAGTTTCTCTTCTCCTTCTTATTCTCTTCTTCTTCTTCTTCATAATTTCTTGTTTGCAGAGAGATCGTAATCAAATAACCTCATTACTAAATATGTATTTACAAAGAAAATGATCACTCTGATGCAAAGTAATGTTTTGCAAGAGCAAATAATGAAAAGAATTTAGGACTTACACAGATGTTCTTCCAGTGTGTACAAGGCCCTGTGGCAGAACAGACCATGGCTTTTTGAGAAGCTGAAAGAGGGCTGAGTGAGAGTTGCTCAGAAAGAAGCATGCAGAGTGTTATGATGTATGTCTAGAGAGATGCATGGAAACCAGATCATGCAGTGGCTTCTGGGCCATGTTAAGGGTTTTGTTCTTTATTCTAAAAGCAACAAGAAGTCCATTATGAATTTTAAGCTGATGTCTTGGGGCATTCGACATATGAGAATGGTATTTCAAAAAGCTTACTCCTGCTGCAATGCAAACTACTTTGGGGAAAGTTTAGAATGGCAGATGTGGACACCAATTCATAGTGAATGTATTTGATTCATATTTAGAAAGCAAATTGACAAAACAAGGTGAAAGACTGGATATGGGAAGTGAGGGAGAAGGAGATATCAATGTTGATGACTGGAATTTTACTTTATGGAATTAGATGGATACTAATCCAATGACTCAAATATGGAATATAGGATGAAATCTATTGTTAAGTAGGTAATTGTATGAAAGGAAGAGTCTGGAGCTCAGGGGAGAGGATTGGACTAGAGATAGATTTGTGTGGGAGTGTTAGGTGTACAGACAGTGATTGAGTCTATGGGAGTTGATGAGATTGCCCAAGGACTGAATAGAAAGGGACACATGAAGAGAATCTTGGCTTGAATCTTGAGGACATCCAACATTTACTGACTGAATAAAGAAGAAAAGGCCAGTAAAGAAGATGGAGAAAGAGAGCAGGAAAAGAAAATGACAAAAGTGTTCTGAGTAATAAAGACTATAAAGAGGTGAAAAAATGATGATGGAAAATGGAAATAGAATTTAAATCCATGAATATTACTGATGACCTAGTTGCATAGCCCTTCAGGAGAGATAAAAAGAGAAGTCTGATTGGTATTACTGGGAAGTGAGTGAGAGTTGAGAAAATAGTGCATGGAGATAATTAGTAGAAGAAATTTGGTTGGGAACATAGGAGGAGAAACACAGTATCTGGAGCATTATATGGGTTCTTATTTATGTATTAACTTCAGATCAAGATATTTGATTAAGCTTATTATTTACTATAAGGAACAAATTAATGTCAAATAGAGAAAGAAAAATTGATAATATGAGGAGCCTGGGGAGACTCCACAGTACAGGAAAGGCATTGGTCTTAGAAAGAGAGGCAATTCAGTGTTTTGCTTTGGAAGCCTCTCTTCACATATGTATTATATATTGCAGCTGACTCTATATTAACAGTTGTATCTCCTTAAGCTGTGATTCTATTACTTCTTAAATCTTTAATGCCGTCAAGGTTAGAAACTCAGAAAAATAGATGTAAAAAATCCACAGAAATTTTTTGGAATTTTCTATCCATGTATTACACTTTTCACTTGGGGATTTAGTAGTTATCTTACAGGCAGAATAAGTTACTGCTCAGAAACTTTTAGTTTAGTTTAGTTTTTAATCTTTGGTCAACCACAGTTAATCTCAGACTTAGATACACACAGAAGTTACTAAGTGAGATTGTGTACATCCCATCACACCCTCCACAACACCACATATTTGGTTTTTCATTTTTGTCAGCTTGACGGACACTTTCTCATCTTCACTTCGATTAATCCCGTTTTTTTCCACTTTAACACAGAATTTAGAGTGGAAGAAACTTTAAATATCTTTTGTTTTACTTCTAAGTAATAGTTAACATTTCCAGTTCTTCCTTATGTTGAATCAATAAGAATGAAATGTTTTAGCCTTGGCCAGAGTGGCCCCATATTTTATCCTCTTAGCACGTACCTGTCCTGTAGAGAAAAAATGTTTTAAAAATATAACACGTTCATTTAAAAAAATCACAAATTTCCTTAGAAAATTCTGTATATTTTATGAAGAACTTTGAAATCATCATGTCCTATTCATATTTTTATCCCTAATGCCTAGTGATATTCAACAATGTGTGTTAAACATATCAGTGAATGAATGAATGGTTTGTGAATTGTTGTGTCTAAATTGACATGGTTCTTGAAAAATGAACATGATGGTATTATTTCAAACTATTATTTTAATTGACCACTAATATAAATACTTAAAATATAAAATCATTCATTCTTACAATATTCTGAAGATATTATTAATCCCATTGGAAAAATGAGAAAATTGAGGCCTAGAGGATTTATGTAAGCAGTGCTAGTTTATTCAGATAGTAACAGGGGAATCTGGAAGTCGATTGTATATCTGACTCCAAAGTACATGTTCTTTGTCATGTCACAAATGGTGATATATGTGTTTGGTCATAAAAACTCGCAATAATGAGTGTATTTATTTCCTATCATTAACTTCTACCCAGACAGATCTGCAGGCAGAGACACTATAATTTTAGGCATTTTGCTTGGATCTATCTTCTAGAGAGAGCTATTCAGTTTTCTGTATGCATGGTGTACTACTATAGAGGTATGGAAAATGGGTTTTCAAGTAAGTTTTTTCTTGGAAAAAATAGAACTATATTTTAAGGCATTTAAGTACTAGTATTAGCTTATTATGCTAAAAATGTTGTAACTGAGTCAGAAACAATTCTATGTAAACACAATATAAAAATTTGGTAATAACTAAATAGTTGTCTGACCCCAAATATTTAACTCTAAGAAACCTAATTCTGGCTTTATCCCAGGGTGATTTGGGAAGAGCTCACCCTGAATTCTGCTATTAAGTAAGAGTCATTTTTTTTTTTCTGAAGTACACCATAGAACACCATCCTGATCTGGGACTTCAGGGCAACTTGGCAATGAAAAAAAGCATACACAGGCAACTTTCTGATCATTCAATGGCCTTCCTGTGACCTAGCCACAACCACTCTATTAATCTACTTTATCATGGGGATTAGTAGTGAAAAATCCTCATCCTTCCAGCGGGCACATCTGTTCCTAACTTTTCTTATCTCTCCATGTTCATTCCATGCAGTACATCTATTCTTCATTAGCCATGAATGTCTCTGCTTTCGAGAAGAAACATTTTCTGTCATTTTATTTCCATAGATAATTTTTAAAATAAAAAAATATTGCTATTCTCTCCTTTCCTGTCTTATATATACTTCCAAACACATAGCATATTTGAGTTTCCTCAAAGAACACAACATACTGCTTTTCTGAGTAAGTTTTACAGCTGTGCAGCATTTACCAAGAGAAATCTGCTGTTTAAAGCTATGAGTGATGCCCACCAGAGCACCACTTTTATACATGCTCTAAATACATGCATGAATGTTTCTTCCTAGCATCTAAGATCAATGAGATGTTTCACAAAATAATTCATGCTAGAGGCAATCTCTTTACCTCTGACTCAGGCACACTTAAAGCAAGAAGGAGGTGCGCTGGGCCTGTTTGATGGGGGTGCCTGTCTTCTTCCCGCAGCCTGACTCAAGCTGGGAACTGTGGTATAGGGAGCAAGGCCGGCTCATCGACACACTCCCTTCTCCCAAGTTCAGTCTAGGGATCACACCAAAGGAAGGAGCTCCATGTTTCTCCTTCTTCTCTGGTCTCTGAATACAGGTAAAAACCTTATAACTTCAATTATAGTGACAAATAAACAGAAAATACACACACAAAAAAACCACTAACCACTTCTGAATGACATATTTATTTTTAAGATTCATTTTTTAAAATTAAATACTTATTTTTACTAGTTTCCACAATGTTTGAGTGAGAGAGAATATTATTTACTTATGCTTTAAATATTATTTTAAAATTAGAAATATGTTGTTCTCTACATTTAATAATAGTATAAAAAACGAGAAAGACATTATTGAAGACATCTTTGCTTTCATAGTTCAGATTTTTATATTCTTATAAATAGCTAAAAATAAGGTGATAAGGGAAATACTGGTGACTTTTTGGCTAAGCACTTCATGTGATATTTGAGATTACATATATGTATATGGGTGTGAACATATATATGTGTGTATGTGTGCATATATACATATATGTATACACACATGCACATATATAATACATTCATATATACACTAAAATGTCAGCTACAAAGTAGCTTTTGATTATTTGTTTGTTTAAATGGCCAAAAACTAATACAAGCTTTTATATGACCAAGGAGCTCTTTTACAAATGCACGGGTTTATCACAAAGACACCAACATACTCCATGGTAAGTCTTCTACAGCAAGGCAGGCTCACAGCTGAACTTGGTTTGGAGTTTGTTGGGCTGGAGTATTTTGATAAATGGAGATAAATGATTAAAATTGTTCAGTCTTTCTAAGCCTTAGCAAAATATGACAGTATATATGCCTCCAAAGAGATTTATGTTTACTCTTACAGCTGGCTGTTCATAGCTGCACCATTCCTTGGGGAGGTCTGCAGATCTACAGAGAATAAGAGTGTTTCGCAGCTGTAAGAGATTTAGATCCCTTTAAAGTACTGCTGGAGCTCCAGCAAACCAATGTTTCAAAAGAAAGTAAAGCTATGTGGTGTTCATAAGCTTCCCAGCCTTAACCTGGGGAAGCTCACCTGTCAAAGCCTGCTTACTAAAAACTTTGCTGAATTGTTGGCTGACATTACAAAATGTCTAAAATGTCATCATGTGTAGCAAACAAATCCCTGCATTTCCACATGTTGTTCCTGGGGCAAGTAGGCAACATACTGAATAAATGCATGTTCATCAAGAAGTTCAGTTGTCTATGAGGAAGATGTGATGTGGGAGGAAGTGACTATATCATTGTTACAGGAGGGAAAGGCTGGGGGAGGAATAAGGGCGGGAAGCAACTGTCTGTTGGATGTCTCTTATGTGCCAGCAAGGTTGACTCCCTGTCCCACACCCTGCTCTGTGGTGGGTCCAGCGCTCTGTGGTGAGAACAAACAAGAAAGGAAGGAGAGATGGCCAAGCAGCAGGCTGCCTGCATGCATTATACTTCTACACAACCAGAAGAGGAAAGAGCATCTACATATTCCTAGCCCTGGTTCATTTCTGGGATTTCCTTTCAAGCAGAGAGGCAACTTCAGGGACCAGGCAACTTGGCTATATTACTACACAGTTTGCAGTTTAACATTGACACTGACTGGGGTTAGCAAAAGAAGAGACAAAGCGGGCGACCAGTAGGACTCATTTCTCCTGTAGAAGGCAATTTGATCAATGTATACACATCATATTTTTGCTTCATGATCTCATTCTTAATCTGTACCACAAGTGATTCCCAAACTTATATTAGAACTTCTTCCTTTTTAATCTTATAATAATTTATTGTTTGGAAGCAACAATAGCTTCCAAACACTGAGTCCCTGAATTAGGAGTGTTTAATTACCAGGCAGTGCAGGAGGATTGCAGGCTTCTGTTGCTGTGGAAGAACCTTAGCCTCGCCACTGATAGCATGGCTAAGAGCAGAAGAGAGTATACGCTCGATGCAGGCAAGTGGATTCCAAAGAGAAGGGGCCCTGGCTAACCTGCTTGTCACCGTGCATTAACCATTCCTACAAGATATTCTTCTTGCTGTGAGGGTAGGTAAATAAAGGAAACATCAGAAATTACTCTACGCCACCCACATCCAAATACAATCTTTATAGTACATATAATTAAACTAAAATGACACAGAAAGACTGAGTATAAAGTGTTGAACATTACTGTATAAAATAACTGCAAAAAACTAAGGTGATAATGTTAACACTCAATAAAGAAAAACTAGAGGAAAAGAAGTTTATCTGAAACAAAGAGGAATTTTATGTCACAAAGTGTCCTGTTCAAAATAAGATAGAGTTAATACTGCCACCTACTAAATAGTATAGATCATAATCCATTATAAAAAACAGATTAAAATAGAAGGACAATTGCCAAGAACACAATGACAATATAAAACATCAGTGTGGGTCAATTATCAACTAACTAAAATTGCAAAATAAATTAGAGGACAGCAAATGACATAAAAGAATGATTCAATAGATTCTCAACAAAGAATATGGCTTCTTTTCAAATACCCACAATATAGCTATAATTTTTTAAAAGTTTCATTTAGTACATCATTAAAAAGTCAACAAATTTTCATATTAGTATTAGCATAGGCCACATTCCCTGAGAAGTTAATACAGTAAAATTAGGAATTAGCATAATATATGTTTTCACAAGGAAAATAACAGTAATACCACAACTATTTAAACATTTTTCTAAAGAAGAAAAACATGTTGCAAAAGAACCCCTGGGTTCAAAAGGGTATGAAAAGATGTCATGGAAGTTGAAGGCTAGCTAGAAAATAACAGTGAGAGTACCAGAGAGTTACACTGGAGGTGGGGGGAGGGGACATGAACTGGAAAACACATATTGCCTAAAATGTTTGCATTTTTGTTCCAGAAATAACTAAAATAAATGAAGTGATAACTCAAGAAATCAGGGGTAGAAACACAAAACAAATGCCAGGTCCACAGGAAGAAGGACAAAATAGAAATAAAGATAAGAAAGGATCGAGACCACGGGAACAAAATGCAGTGGGTCTTTTCGGGAGCAAAAGGAGTTTTTAAAATTAGTATTTTCTAAAACTAAGACTAAATATTAAAAACATTAAGATTGTTCTTATCCACAGGGTGCCTGATAATTCCATTAGTAAAATTTCTTCAATATTAAGTGATATTCTGCCATTGTGTGTGTGTGTTTGTGTATGTGGTGTTCGTATGTGTGAGCATGTGTGTGTATATTCCACAATGCAAATTAACATCAGGGAAATGTACTTTTATTCTGGCAATGCACTTTTAAGATTATATGGTTCAATAAGAACTAGTAATTCAGCCGGGTGCGGTGGCTCACGCCTGTAATCCCAGCACTTTGGGAGGCCAAGGCAGGCGGATCCCCTGAGGTCAGGAGTTTGAAACCAGCCTGACAAACATGGAAAAACCCTGTCTCTACTAAAAATATAAAATCAGCCAGGCGTGGTGGCACCTGTAATCCCAGCTACTCGGGAAGCTGAAGCAGGAGAATCGCTTGAACACAACAGGCAGAGGTTGCAGTGGGCCGAGATGGCGCCATTGCACTCCAGCCTGGACAACAAGAGTGAATCTCCATCTCAAAAAAAAAAAAAAAAAGAACTAGTGATTCTCAGTGTTTAATAGATGTTTGGGTTACATGTTGGGCTGAGAATGGCAATAAAAATTAATAATTCATTCAAACTCAAAGCAAGACCATCAAAATAATTTAGTTCAGAAAACAATGATTATTTGTGTTTTTATTTATTATTTGTGTTGCTAGAAGAATATTTAAAAAGTTTATTGCTTATACCAAATCAAATTTTTAGTGCCTGTAATATGATTCCTTCAACAACTGTATATGGAAGAGCTGCTATGAGAAAAGTACTGGGAAGGCAATGATGAACAAAAGCTGACATGGTTCCTGACCTCCTGGAACTTAAGAGCCTACAGGACAAGAAATCTATTCATCTAATATTGCATAAACAAATACAAAAGTATTACATGAATACTATTCAAAATCATAAGATTATGTAAAAAGGAGATTTGATGTAGTCAGGCAAATCAGGGAAGTCTTTCTTAAGGAAACAATAGTTTTGCAGAGATTTGCGAATTAATGATATCAAGTCAATCAGCAGGTACAAAGTACTCCAGGCGGAGTAATTAGCATATTCATAGGCACCGTGACAAGGAGGGACTAGACCTTTCTGGAACTAGAAAGTGTGGCTGGTGTCCACTGAGGGAGTCCGACAATATCTGGTATATAGTGAGGGAAAGGAGAGACTATGAAGTCTCTGCAAGGGTCTTACCTTCTTACAAAAGAGCCATGGAGATTAAATAAACTTTAGAAACAAAGTGTGTGTGGGTGAGAGAGAAAGAGAGAGAGATCGATCAGATCTGTGTGTTGAAAATCTTCTGGCTGCAGTGTGTGCATAGAGATTTTTGGGAAGAAACTGTGGGCTAGAGAGACCATTTAGGAGGCTGTTTTGTGAATCCTCATGCCAGCTGATGGTGACATGAGTGAAGCGCTGGAGACAGAGTTCAAGAAATGTCCATCAGCATCATCTAACCAATGTTCCAATCCCGTGCAACCTATTTACTTACAGTTTTGTAGAATAAAATAAGGAATTAATCACTCCTAGAAATTAATGATGAATACAAGTAAAAAGATGAGTCAAAGAGAGTAGATGAAATTTGAAGTTTTTTTTGAGATGGAGTCTCACTCTGTCACCCAGGCTGGAGTGCAGTGGCACCATCTCAGCTCACAACAACCTCTGCCTCCCGGGTTCAAGCGATTCTCCTGCCTCAGCCTCCAGAGTAGCTGGGATTACAGGCATGAACCACCACGCCTGGCTAATTTTTGTATTTTCAGTAGAGACGGGGTTTCACCATGTTGGTCAGGCTGGTCTCGAACTCCTGACTTCATGATCCCTCTGCCTCAGTCTCCCAAAGTGCTGGGATTACAGGCGTGAGCCACCAGGCCTGGCCCTGAAATTTGAATTTTAAGTGATCATCTCCAGAGATACTTTTCAAAATGTTGTTTCAGGATAAGACTTCTGAAAAGAGCTTAAAAGTCACTTTATTTATTTATTTACTTTGTAGAGATAGGGTCTCACTTTGTTGCCCAGGCTGGTTTCAAACTCTTGTCTTCAAGCAATCTTCCTGCCTTGGTCTCCCTAAGTGCTGGGATTATAGGCCTGAGCCTCCATGCCTGGCCAGGAGTCTTATTATTAAATCATATCATGTGAAAGGGAAGCAAAGCGAGATGGTAGATTAGAAGGCTGCATCAATCTTTCCCCTCATACCCAACCCCCTGCCGTTAACACCAAGTTAACCTACACAGAAAATAAAAACACCTTCATAAGAACCAAAAATCAGGCGAGCACACACAGTACCTGGTTTTAACTTCATATCACTGAAAGAGGCACTAAAGATAGAAAACACAGCCCTGAATCACCAATGCCAACCCACCTCTCTTTCCCCATGCCAAACAGCAGCTCTAGAGCAGAAAGGAAACCCAGACCAAACTAGCTGATGCCTGCCCAAGGAGCGAGCATTTAAACCAGCCCTAGCCAGAAGGGAACTGCAGATGCCAGTGGTCCGAACTTGAATTCCTGCAAACCTCGCCACCAAGGGCCACATCACTCTGTGTCTCCAAGTAAACTTGAAAGGTAGTCTAGGCCATAAGGACTGCAACCCTTAGGCAAGTCCTAGTGCTAAGCTTAGGCCCAGAGACAGTGGACTGAGGGGGGTATGTTACACACTGAGACACCACCTGGGACAGCTAAGGGAGTGCTGGCATCACCCCTCCCCCAACCCCAGGCTGCACAGCTGAAGGCTCCAAAAGAGAACCCTTCCTTCTGCTTGAGGAAAGGAGAGGGAAGAGTGGGGAGAACTTTTTCTTGTATTTAGGATACCAGCTCAGCCACAGCAGGATAAAGCCCTGGTCAGAGTCATGAGGCCGCTATTTCAGGCACCAGCTCACAGATAACATTTCTAGACATACCCTGGACCAGAAGAAAAGGATCCAGTCCTGACGGCATTCATTACCTGCTAATTGAAGAGCCCTTGGTCCCTGAATAACCAGCAGTGATACCCAGGTACTACATTGAGGCCCTTGGGTGAACCTTGAAGACTTATTGGCTTTCCATGAGACTCAGCACATTACCTGCTGTGGTGGCTACTGGGTAAAACTTCTTCCGCTTAAGAAAAGCAGAGGGAAAAGTAAAGGGAACTTTGTCTTGAACATTAGGTACCAACACTGCCACAGTGGGGTAGAGCGCCAACTGGGCTCTTGGGGGTCCATGATTCCAGATATTGACTCTTGGACAGTATTTCTGAACCTGCCCTGGGCCAGAGGGGAGCCCATTGCCCTGATGGGTGAGTCTCAGGCAAAGCAGCATTCACCACAAGCTGACTTAAGAGACCTTGACCTTAAAGTAAAAATCTGTGGTAGTCTGGCAATACTCCTTGTGGCCTGGGGTGGCAGTGGCCACAGGGTCAGACTCCTCTGCCTTTGGAAAGGGAGAGAAGAGTGGGAAGGACTGCATCTTATGGCATGAGGGCAAGCTAAGTCTCAATATAATAGAACACCTGGTAGACTCATAAGGTTTCTGACTCTAGACCCTGACTCCTGGACAGCACTTCTGGACACACCTGGGGCCTGAGAGACCTCACTGCCCTAAAGGGAAGGACACAGGCCTGGCTACCTTTGACACCTGCTGATTGTAGAGACCTATGGCCTTGAGTGAACATAGGCAGCAGCCAGAGAGTAATCACAGCAGGCCGTGGTTGAGACCCAGTGCTGTGCTAGCTTCAAGTCTGACCCAGCACAGTCACAGTAGTGGTGGCCACAGGGGTGCTTGTGTCACTCTTCCCCAAGTTTTAGGTGGTTCAGAACAGAGAGAGAGAGAGAGAGAGAGAGAGAGAGAGAGATTATGTTTGAAAAGAAGTTAGGGAAGAGAACAAGAGTCCTCCAGGTAATCCAGAGAATTCTCACAGATCTGGTCCAAGACCATCAAAGCAGTACATCTACGAGTCTACAAGAAACACAGAGTTACTGGGCAGATACAGCTTATATTAATATCACAACACCCAAGTCCTTTCAAATATCTGAAAAGATTTCCCAGGAAAGAGCACAAATAAGCCCAAACAGTAAAGACTACAATAAATACCTAACCATTCAGTGCCCAGACACTGAAGAACATCTGCAAGCATCAACACCATCCAGAAAAACATGACCTCACCAAATTAACTAAATAAGGTACCAGGGACCAATCCTGGAGAAACAGAGATATGTGACTTTTCAAACAGAGAATTCAAAATAGCTCTAATGAGGAAACTTAAAGCAATTCAAGATAACACAGAGAAGAAATTCAAAATTCTATCAGATAAATTTAACAAAGAATTTGAAATAATTTAAAAGAATCAAGCAGAAATTCTGGAGCTGAAAAATGCAGTTAGCCCACTGAAGAATGCATCGGAGTTCTTTAGCAGCAGAATGGATCAAGCAGAAAAATGAATTAGTGACCTGAAGACAGGGTATTTAAAAATACACAGTCAGAGGAGACAAAAGAATAAAAAACAATGAAGCACACCTACAGAACCTAGAAAATAGCCTCAAATGGGCAAATTCAAGAGTTATTGTCCTTTAAAAGAAGGTAGAGAAAGAGATAGAGGTAGAAATATATTCAAAGAGATAATAACAGAGAACTTCCCAAACTTAGAGAAATATATCAATATCTAAGTACAATAAGATTATAGAACACCAAGCAGATTTAACCCAAAGAAGACTACTTCAAGTCATTTAATAATCAAATTCCCAAAGGTCAAGGATAAAGTAAGAATTCTAAAAGGAGCAAGATAAAATAAACAAATACAATGGAGCTTCAGTACATCTGGCAGCAGACTTTTCAGTGGAAATCTCACAGGCCAGGAGAGAGTGACATGACAAAAAGTGATGAAGGAAAAAAGCCTTTTTACCCTAGAGTAGGATATCTTCTGAAAATATGAAGAAGAAATACAGACAAAGGCTGTTTCATCAACACCAGCCCTGTCCTGTAAGAAATGCTAAAGGGAATACTTCAGTCAGAAAGAAAAAGATGTTAATGAGTGATAAGTAATCACCTGAAGGTACAAAACTCACTGGTAATAGTAAGTACACAGAAAAACAGATTATTATAACACTGTAACTGTGATGTGTATTATCCTAAATAGGAAGACTAAATGATGAACCAATCAAAAATAATAACTACAACTTTTCAAGACAGAGTAAGTACAATAAAATACAAATAGAAACAACAAAAGATTAAAAAGAGGGCAGACAAAGTTAAGGTGTACAGTTCTTATTAGTTTTCTTTTTGTTTGTTTATGTGAATAGTGTTAAGTTGTTATGAGGTTAAAACAATGTGTTATAAAATAGTATTTTCAAGCCTCATGCTAATCTCAAATGAAAAAACATACAATCAATACACAAAAAATAAAAACAAGATACTAAATTGTATAACCAGAGAAAATCACCTTCACTAGTAGAAAGCAGAAAGATAAGACCATGAAACAAACAGAAAACAAATTTATAATGATAAAAGTTAAGTCCTTACTGATAAATAATAACATTGGATGTAAATGGGCTAAATTACCCAATCAAAAGACATAGACTGGCTGAATAGACAAAAACAAAAAAGACCCACTGATATGTTGCCTAGAAGAAAAACACTTCACCTATAAAGTCACACACAGACTGAAAATAAAGGGATGGAAAAAGATATTCCATGCCAATGGAAACTGAAAAAGAACAGGAGTCACCATACTTAGATCAGACTAGATCGATTTCAAGACAAAAACTATAGGAAGAGCCAAAAAATGTCACTATATAATGATAAACTGGTCAGTTCAGCAAAAGTATGTAACAATTTTAAATACATATGCACCCAACGCTTGAGCACCCAGATATATAAAGCAAATATTATTAGAGCTAAAGAGATAGATAGGTCCCAATGCAATAATAGCTGGACTTCAACATCCCCCTTTTAGCACTGGATGAATCTTCCAGACAGGAAATCTGCAAAGAAATATCAAACTTAATCTCAAGTATAGACCAAATGTGTATATCTAATAGATATACATAAAACACTTTATCCAATAGCAGAAGAATACACATTATTTTCCAGAGCACAAAGAATATTCTCAAGGATAGACCATATGTTATGTCATAAAGCAAGTCTAAAAATATTCAAAAACATTAAAATAATATCAAGCATCTTCTGTGAACACATTGGAATAAAACTAGAAATTATTTACAAGAGAAATTCTGGAAACTACATAAATACATGGAAATTAAACAATATTCTCCTGGATGACCAGTGAGTCAATGAAGAATTTAACAGGTAAATTGAAAAATTTCTTGAAGCAAATGATAATGAAAATACATTATACCAAAACCTATGGGATACAGAAAAAGCAATACTAAGAGGGAAGTTTATAGCTATAAGTGCCTACATCAGAAAAGAGGAAAAACTTCAAATGAACAATCTAATGATGTATCTATAAACAACATTGAATACAAAAGAGGCTTGTGTAAAAACTCAAAAAAAAAAAATCAGTCTTCAAACAATGAAAAAAAAAAGAACTAGAAAATCAAGAACAAACCAAACCCAAAATTAGTAGAAGAAAAGAAATAATAAAAATCAGAGCAGAAATAAATGAAATTGAAATAAAAAATACAAAAGATAAATGAAAAAAATAGTTGTTTTTTGAAGCTAAACAAAGTTGAAAAACTGTTAGCCAGACTAAAAAAAAAAGAGAGAAGATGCAAATAATAACATTGGAAATGAAAAAGGAGACACTGTGACTAATACTGCAGAAACTCAAATGATCATTAGTGGCTACTATGAGCAAGTAAATGCCAATGAAATGGAATATCTAGAAGAAATAGACAAATTCATAGATACATACAACCTACCAAAATTGAACTGGGAACAAATGCAGAACCCGAACAAACCAATAACAAGTAACCAGATTGAAGCCATAATGAAAATCTCCCAGTAAAGAAAAGGCAGGACCTGACTGTTTCACTAATGAATTCCACAAAACATTTAAAGAATTAATACCAATCCTACTCAAACTATTCCAAAAAATAGAGGAGAAGGGAGTACCTCCAAATGCATTCTACAAGGCCAGTAATACCCTGATACCAAAACAAGACAAAGACACATCAAAAAATGAAAACTATAGGCAAATATCTCTGAAAAATATTGATGCAAAAATCCTCAACAAAATACCAGCAAACCAAATTTAACAATACATTAGAAAGACCATTCATAACCAAGTGGGATTTACCCCAAGGATGCAAGGATGGTTCAATCATATGCAAATCAAAATATGTAGTAGATCATGTCAACAGAATAAAGCATAAAAACACCATATGGACATTTCAATTGATGTTGAGAAAGCATTTGATAAAATTCAACATCCCTTCATGGTAAACACCCTCAAAAAACTGCGGAAAGAAGGAACATACCACAACATAATAAAAGCCATATATGACACCCACAGGTAGTAACATATTGAATGGGGAAATGCTGAAAGTCTTTTCTCTAAGATGTGGAACACAATAAGGATGTCCATTGTCACAACTGTTATTCAACATAGTCCTGGAAGTCTTGGCTAGAACAATCAGACAATAGAAAGATACAAAGGGCATCCAAACTGGAAGGCAGCTATGCTCACCACTATAACATCAACGTATCTAGGGCATCCAAATTGGAAAGGAAGACATAAGATTATCCTTGTTTGCAGATAATATGATCTTATATTTGGAAAAACCTAGAGACCCTACAAGAAACTATTAAAACTGATAAACAAATTAAGTAAAGTTGCAGGATACAAAGTCAACATGCAAAAATCAGTAGCATTTCTACATTCCAACAGTGAACAATGTGAGAAAAAAGTAATCCCATTTAAAATAGCCACACATAAAATTAAATACCTAGGAATTAACCAAAGAAATGAAAGATCTCTATACTGAAAATTGTAAAACACTGATGAAAGAAATTGAAGACAACAGCAAAAAAATAAAATAAAATATGTTCATGGATTGGAAGAATCAATATTTTTAAAATATCCATGCTACCCAAAGCAATGTACAAATTCAATGCAATCCCTATCAAAATACCAATGACATTCTTCAAGAAGTAGAAAAGAAAGCTATCCTAAAATTTATATGGAATCACAATAGACCCAGAATAGCCAAAGATATCCTAAGCAAAAAGAACAAAACTGGAGAAATCACATTACCTGGTTTCAAATTATCTTACAGAGCTATAGTAAGCAAAATGAATGGCATGGTACTGGAATAAAAACAGATACATAGACCAATGGGACAGAATAGAGAACCCAGAAACAAATTCACACACCTACAGTGAACTCATTTTTGACAAAGGTGCTAAGAACATACACTGGGGAAAACAGAGTCTTTTCAATAAATGATGTTTGGAAAACTGGATATCCATATGCAGAAGAATGAAACCAGCAATGAAACCTATCTCTCATCATATACAAAAATCAAAATGATTTATAGATTAAAACCTAAGACCTCAAACTATGAAACTGCTACAAGAAAACATTGAGGGGAAATCTCCAGGACATTGGCCTGGGCAAAAACTTCTTGAGCAGTACCTCACAAGTACAGACAACCAAAGCAAAAATGGACAAATGAGGTCACATCTAGTTATAAAGCTTCTTCACAGCAAAGGATACAGTCAACAAAGTGAAGAGACAACCTGCAGAATGGGAGAAAATATTTGCAAACTACCCCATCTGACAAGGTATTAATGACCAGAATATTTAAGGAGCTCAAACAACTCTATAGGAAAAAGTCTAATAATCTGATTAAAAAAATGAGCCAAAGATTTAAATAAACATTTCTCAAAAGAAGACATACAAATGGCAAGCAGGCATATGAAAAGATGCTCAACATCATTGGTCACCAGAGAAATGCAAATCAAAACTATAATCAGGTATCATTGCACCCCAGTTAAAATGGCTTACGCCCAAAAGACCATGATATGGTTACACTTTGTGTCCCAACCCAAATCTCATCTTGAATTATTATCCCCATAATCCCCATGTGTCAAAAGAGAAACCAGGTGGAGGTAATTGGATCATGGTGGGGTTTCCCCCATGCTGTTCTTGCGATAATAAGTGAGGTCTCATGAAATCTGATGGTTTTATAAGGAACTCTTCCCCCTTCACTACCCACTCTTCTTTCTCCTGCCACCATATGAAGAAGGTCCTTTCTTCTCCTTTGCCTTCCACCATGATTGTAAGTTTCCTGAGACTTTGCCAGCCCTGCGGCACTGTGTGTCAATTAAATTTCTTTTTTAAATAAATTACCCAGTCTCAGGTATGTCTTTATAGCAGCATGAAAATGAACTAATACAGACAAGCAATAACAAATGCTAGCAAGGATGTGGAGAAAAGAGAACCCTTGTACACCATTAATGGCAATGTAAATTAGTACAACCACTATGGAGAAGAGATTGGAGATTCCTCAAAAAACTAAAAATTGAGCTACTATGTGATCCAGCAATCCCACTGCTGGGTATATACCCAAAAGAAAGGAAATCCGTATATCAAAGAGATAGCTGCACTCTTGTGTTTGTTGCAGCACTGTAAACAAATCTTTACAATAGATAAGATTTGAAAGCAACTTACGTATTCATCAACAAATGAATGAATAAAGAAAATGTGGTTCATATACACAACGCACTACTATTCAGCCATGAAAAGAATGAGATCTAGCCAGCTGCAACAACGTGGATAGAACTGGAGATCATTATGTTAAGTAAAATAAGCTAGGCACAGAAAGACAAACATTGCATCCCACTTATTTGTGGGATCTAAAAATCGAAGCAATTAAAGTCATGGACATAGAGAGTAGAAGGATTGTTGCCAGAGGTTGAAAAGATTAACGGGGGACTGGAGAGAAGGTGGGGATGGTTAATGGGTACCAACAAAGTTACAGAGAATGAATAATATATGTTGTCTTCCACATCTTACAAATAATCTTGTATAAATATTTTAATTACACTTTCAGCTTATTAGATATAATTATTGATTAATTTTTTAGTTTATTTGTAGTGTGATAATACTCACTGATAATTAAGCAGAAGTAGAAGGGAAAAACTTATGATAAAAATTAAATTAAGAAAGTTCTACCTATTGATATGTTTTCTTTCAAATAATCATACAAAAATAAATTTTCAATCCTATAGTCAAAGTAGTTATTCTAACCTTGCCTAATTCCAGATTTTCTCAGATAATAGTTTGAGGTCCACTGTTTTTAGGAAAATCACATAAAGTGTTACATGAAAACATGGTGTTAACAACTCTTCAGCAGATTTAAGTGAGAATTAATGCTTAGTCACACCATCCTTGCCTTCAAATTGAATGAGTGCTGTTCTTTTCACTGGTTTCAAAATAAGGAAAAAAAAAACAGGTATCTTAAGCCAATCTTTTCCCACAATGAAATATGAAAGCTCTCCTTAACATGTTAAATTTGTGGTTAATCTATTTACAATGTCTGCTATCCCACTGCTTTTGTCAGTTTTGCTGATTTGACTAGTTACATGTTTAATTGAAAAGATCATTTTCTCAAACTGCAGAAACTGTATTGTCAAAAATATATCACCTATGAAGAATGTCTTCCTAATAGATTTACTTACCTCAGCTAGGTTTTTAAAAAATTTACTCCTACTCGCTTATAAATTATTTCAAGTAATGTGTTATTCAAATATATAATGTACAAGTGCACCTGTTTTAGTGAAAAAACACAACTGATTGTAGATCTATTCATATGCATATACACTTATGTAGGGTTACAGAGAAGTATATATCAGTTTTATTCTAAATAGTGCCTAGCAAACTATTAAAAGGCAATGTTCATAAAAGTATGATTGTTGCTATACTTGTTATTTTGTATTATTATTTATTTCTGTTTATTTTATGTTTTAATTTGTCTAATTATTTTAATTGTACTTATGTCTATGAATTTACTATATGCTCATTTTATTAAAAATTTAAAAATCGGTTTTTGTAGATTTTATGAAGGATTTCAAAAAAATGAAATGGAGAATATATAGACATCTGAGGGCCTATTTTATATCTCTTCCTCATCCCAAACTCTTCCCAATACAAATACCTCCTTTACTAAAGAAAAGATCTTAATAGCTCTTAATAGGGGAGAAGAGGAATCAATGAGAGAGATAACAGAAAAGTTGGCAGAGGGTGTCGGATCTGGCAAAAGGAAAGAGCTAAAACAACAATATTATGAATTTACATATTAGAAAGTACACTATTTCTTACTAAAGACCATGTAACTATTTTTCTAATTATTTAAAAACCTTAGGAATCTAAACAGAACCTGCAAATTACATTTCAGTAATTTCATATGTTTAGTAAATACCAACCATGGTTTAGTTTCTCTGTTTTCAGCTCACATTAATATTGTTTCAGAGTCAGCTTTACTTACACACACATATACATGAATAAATAAAAGTGAAAAGATCGCTATTACTTCTTGCATTAATTACTAATTATTTCTGGCGCAAATAGATTTTAAAACAGTGGCCCATGTAAATTAGGTTTTTCCTTTTTTCTCATGTGAGAAATAGTACAGAGAGGCAATCCAGGGCAAGTATAATTGATGTACACTGTCATTATAGTCCCCAGACTCCCTATTTTTTAACTCTGCTATCCATAGAACTTGGTTTCCATTCTTAAAATGCCTTATGAGTTACAGGATAGACACACCAGCACCAGCAATCATATCTGTATTGAGGGAAAAAAGAAGGAGGATAAGGGGCTGAAATGAAGGCTGGGGAATAACATTTTAGTTAAGTACTTTGCTGCTGCTCTGAACAATATATAAATTTTGTTAATTAAGATAAGGAGTAAATGGATTTTGAGTGGGCAACTAGCAGTCTCTGTCAAATCTTTCTTTTGTACATCTCTAAAAATTTTGTAGTTTTCAAATATTTTTAGCCATAAAACTTTCTCCACAAAAATTTTATTATGTAGAAGCCAACTATACATAACAGTCAAAATGTGGAGCTTCTGTGGTTGGAGTAAACTAAAGGATATAAAGTCCCTTTATTCAGTGCCCCTCTCTTGCCTGCATGATGACACTTTTGTCTCAAGGGACCCTCTGAACACAATGTGCAAACCACCAGTCCTTAAACTCTGCAGACAGAATATCCATGTTCTCCTGGATATTTCTGGTTCTCTTCCCTGGCTGCCCTATAAGAGTTGGGTAATATACAATCCTGGCTGGTGATAGAGATTTGGTTGAGGTGACACTTGAATTTCTCACAAGACTGAGTCAATGGAATCTGTAAAGTAACAAACTCAATCAATATGCTGATTCAGCTAGTTGAAATCATGGTTGTGTACACACTTTTAAATACAGATAAAACAAGTGATAGGGTTAGGCTTGGTATCCCCACCCACCCATATCTCATCTGAATTATAATCCCCATAATCCCCATGTGTCAGGGAGATACCAAAGGTTAAGGTAATTAAATAATGGGGATGGTTTCCCTCATGCTGTTCTCATGATAGTGAGTTCTCATGAGATCTGATGGTTTTATAAGGAGCTCTTCTCCCTATGCTTGGCACTTCTCCTTCCTGCTGCCTTGTGAAGAAAGCATCTTGCTTCCCCTTCTCCCTCCACCATGATTGTAAGTTTTCTGAGGCCTCCCCAGCCATGCTGAACTGTGAGTCTATTAAACCTCTTTCCTTTATAAATTACCCAGTCTCAGGCAGTTCGTTTTAGCAGTATGAAAACAGATTAATATAGTAAATTTGTATCACAGGGAGTGGGATGCTGCTCTAATGATACCCCGAAATGTGGAAGTGACCTTGAAACTGTTTAACAGGCAGAGGTTGGAACTGTTTGGAGGGCTCAGAAGAAGACAGGAAGATGTGGGAACGTTTGGAACTTCCTAGAGACTTGTTGAATGGCTTTGACCAAAATACTGATAGTCATATGAACAATGAAGTACAGGCTGAGGTGTTTTCAGATGGAAATGAGGAACTTGTTGGAAACTGGAATAAGCATGACTCCTGCTATGCTTTAGCAAAGAGACTGGTGATATTTTGCTGTTGCCGTACAGATCTATGGAACATTGAACTTGAAAGAGATGATTTAGGGTATCTGGCAGAAAAAATTTCTAAGCAGCAATGTGTTCAAGATGTGATATGGGTGCTCTTAAAAGCATTCAGTTTTATGCATTCACAAGGAGATGGTTTGGAATTGGAACTTATGTTTAAATGGAAATCAGAGCATAAAAGTTCAGAAAATTTGCAGCCTTACAATGTAATAGAAAAGAGAAATCCATTTTCTGAGGAGAAATTCCAACCTGCTTCTTGCATAAGTAACCATTGGCCAAATGTTAATCACCAAGACAATGAGGAAAATGTCTCCAGCTCATGTCAGAGGTCCTCATGGCAGCCCCTCCCATCACAGGCCTTGAGGCCCAGGGGGAGAAAATGGTTTCTTGGGCTGGGCCAAGGGCCTTGCTACTTTGTGCAATCTTGGAACTTGCTGCCCTGCATCCCAGCTATGGCTAAAAGGGGCCAACATACAGCTCAGACCATTGCTTCAGAGGCTGCAAACCCCAAGCCTTGGAAGCTTACACGTGATGTTGGGTCTGTGGATGCACAGAAGTCAAGAACTAAGGTTTGGGAACATCCACCTATATTTCAGAGGATGTACAGAAATGACTGGATGTTCAGGCAGAAGTTTGCTGCAGGGCTGGAGCCTTCATGGAGAACCTCTGCTGGGGCAGTGTGGAAGGGAAATGTGGGGTCAGAGCCCCCCGATACAGTCCCCACTTGGGCACTGCTTAGTGGAGCTGTGAGAAGAGGGCCACCATTCTCCAGACCCCAGAATGGTATATCCATCAACTTCTTGCACTATGCACCTGGAAAAGCTGCAGACACTCAATGACAGCCCATGAAAGCAGCCACAAGGTGGGATGTAACCTGCAAAGCCACAGGGGTGAAGCTGCCCAAGATCATGGGAACCCACCTCTTGCATCAATGTGACCTGGATGTGAGATATGGAGTCAAAGGAGATCGTTTTAGAGCTTTGATATTTAACTGCCTCCCTGTGTTTTGGATTTACGTAGGGCCTGTAACTCCTTTGTTTCGACCAATTTCTCTCATTTGGAGTGGATGTACTTACCCAATCCTTGTACCCCCATTGTACCTAGGAAATAACTTTCTTCCTTTTGATCTTACAGGCTCATAGGTGGAAGGGACTTGCCTTGTCTCAGATGAGACTTTGGACTTAGACTTTTGGGTGAATGCTGGAATGAATTAAGACTTTGGGGAACTGTTGGGAAGCCATGATTGATTTTGAAATGTGAAAGGGACATAAGATTTGAGAGGGGCCAGGTGCAGAATAATGCAGTTAGGCTTTGGGTCCCCACCTGAATCTCATCTTGGATTATAATCCCTATAAACTCTTCATGTCAAGAGAGAGACCAAGTAGAGGTGGTTGAATCATGGGGACAGTTCCCCCATGTTGTTGCCATGATAATGAGTGAGTTCTCATGAGATCTGATGGTTTTATAAGGGACTCTTCTCCAATAAGAAAACTGACTAATACAACTGGAATCCAAAAGCAGGCACATATACCCTTGAATAGGGATAAAAATAGTAACAGTAACCAAAAGAATTGTACAGCACTTGAAAAAGGCTGGTGCAAAGAAAATGTATCCCAGAGATAATATGGCTACTGACACAGGAATATCCAGGTGCAAAGTGTGCTTAGTTTACAATGTTTTTCTTTCTCTTTACATCTGATTAAACAGACACATGCTTATTTGTACTGTGTTTTGGAAAAGAATCAAAACCATTCTAATATTTCTGCTTGGGATTTTTTTCCCCAAAAAATGTTTTCTGAAGCTTTATTGTTGGATTGGCAATATCCATTAAATAAAAATCATTTGAAACAGTACCTTTGCATCATTCTGGTGGTGTTAATCAAACAGGTTAATACTATTTTTTGTTGTTTACATCATTTTGATTGAAATGTGACCTTTTATTTTTGCTTTATAACATTGCAATGAAAGGCAGCACAGCATAGTGTGTAAGAACATGGCTTTTGGAGATTGTTAGAAATAAATTTAAACAGCTGAATCTTTCACTAGCAACTGTGTGTGACCCGGGCAAGTTAAATAATTCTGTCAGTCTTATTGGTAACATAGAGATGAATCTAATCTCAAAATAGAATCATGTTAATAAGATAGAATAGACAGAAAACAGCTATTGATAGATTTAAATTAGTAAGTGAATGTAATGTTCAGCGGACTGCATGGCAATAGTGGATATTCAACAGAGTACTATCATTCTTTCTGCTATTATTCCTAACTTTCTAAATTTCTATATCATCATACATTAGGCCTCTGTTGGTATCAGACTTTTTATTGAGATTAAAATTTCATTTCAACTCTAATCACTATCAGGAAATACATTTTTTTATGTAAGGGCTTTAGTTAGGATCTTACCATCTTTTATGAAAATTTAGTATCTGATATTTTGCCTTCTCTGTTCTAGGAATATGGCTGTGATTTAGCCAGTGGAGGCATACCTGTATCGTGTGATTACTGCTGGCAACCAATCTAATTACCTCTGTGTGTAATCTGATAGGTCACTTCTTCTATGACAGTTGTTGGTCAATATTTGGAATCATACTCTTATTCAGAAATATTACTTTAGAATTTCTGATTAAGACTAAAAGCAAAAATGGGTAAAATACTGTTTTGGTTGAATTTATAAGAAAAAAGCAACTTTAAAAATATAAAGAAATCCATTTTTCTGTTATTGGTGTATAAGAATGCTTGTGATTTTTGCACATTGATTTTGTATCCTAAGACTTTGCTGAAGTTGCTTATCAGCTTAAGGAGATTTTGGGCTGAGATGACGGGGTTTTCTAAAATACAAATCAAAACCACAATGAGATACCATCTCACACCAGTTAGAATGGTGATCATTAAAAAGTCAAGAAACAACAGGTGCTGGAGAGGATATGGAAAAATAGGATCACTTTTACACTATTGGTGGGACTGTAAACTAGTTCAACCCTTGTGGAAGACAGTGTGGCCATTCCTTAAGGATCTAGAACTAGAAATACCATTTGACCCAGCCATCCCATTACTGGGTATATACCCAAAGGATTATAAATCATGCTGCTATAAAGGCACATGCACATGTATGTTTATTGCGGCACTATTCACAATAGAAAAGACTTGGAACCAACCCAAATGTCCATCAATGATAGACTGGATTAAGAAAATGTGGCACATATACACCATGGAATACTATCCAGCCATAAAAAATGATGAGTTAATGTCCTTTGTAGGGACATGGATGAAGCTGGAAACCATCATTCTCAGCAAACTATCGCAAGAACAAAAAACCAAACACCGCATGTTCTCACTCATAGGTGGAAATTTGACAATGAGAATACTTGGACACAGGAAGGGGAACATCACACACCGGGGCCTGTTGTGGGGTGGGGGAAGGGGGTAGAGGAAGCATTAGGAGATATACCTAATGTAAATGACGAGTCAGTGGGTGCAGCAAGCCAACATGGCACATGTATACATATGTAACAAACCTGCACATTGTGCACATGTACCCTAGAACTTAAAGTATAATAAAAAATATATATAAAGAAATCCAGAATAATCTTGGGGAAATGTAATATCTATTAGGTAGGGCCAGAGACTATTCCTACCATTTATTTGACCTCCTACTATATTTTAGGTACTAACTATACTAGATGCTTTTATGTACGTGCCAATTTATTCTCAGAACTATCCATAGAAGTTAATATTATTTACTCTATTTTCCAGGCAAGAAAGGGGAACTTGCGGTAAGTATTTGACTAAATTCACCTGACTAATAAATGTTGAAGATAGAATTTAAATTCCTACTCTACCTGATTAAAAACTATTTTCTTAACTACAGCAGAATATTGATATTTCTTTTTAAGATATGAGGCAGGGAGAAAGTTGGATTAGATCTGATAAGAAAATGGTGGATTTGTTTTCTCATTCTGAAGATGCAGATTAATTATCTTATGAAAATCCAGTGAATATTCTGCTCTCTCACATTTTGACACTCGGCTCTACCTCCATAGACCATCTTCAAGGGAGCTTGGTAATCCTACTAAATAATAAGGTAGAATTTTTTTCCATTTAGATGGACATGGACTTATAAGAGATAGAGAATTCAGTACTTTTGAATTCTGTTTTTACACTTAGAAAATGCATATTCATATCTGATTTCTCATATACAGACATTCTTGCCTTTTTCTTCTCTTAAAATACTCTCTCTAAATCTGTTGCTTATATTTATTGGTCCAGATAAAGTGTCACTTTCCCTAAAATCTTCCCATGGAGGGTTGCTAGATTAAGCAAATAAAAATATAGGATGGCCAGTTAAACAACCAACAATTTCAGATAAACAACCAAAAATTCTGTTACATAAGTATGTCCTGTGCAATATTTGGGACATACTTACATTAAATGAAATTATTCATTGTTTAGCTGAAATTCATAACGGGCCATCCTATATTTTATGTGGCAACTCTAAGTGGAAGCAACACTGTGAAACAATCATCCACAATAGCAATAAAAAGATAACGTCTTTGAGTTCAGAGAAACTACCAGTCAAAAGACACCTTTGCCACCTAAGAAAATGACAAGGCACTGCATCATGAAGCATGCTGGACATGCAGATAAATGCAGACCTCCATTTACCCTTGGGGAGAGAATTCCCAAAAGAAGTGGCTCACAAACTCTGGTATTTTAAATACTTAGGGATCCCTGGAATGCACACTGGAATACTCTGTAGGATAGGCAGACTCATAGATGGTCAGGAAGATGATATTTTAAAAAATATTTCCATGTTTTTAAATGATTTGCAAACAATTGATTTGTTCTGCAGAGGAATTAACACTTTTGTGGCTGCTTCCTGTTTCCTTCATTGAGTTCTAAACTCTAAACAATGTATGGGCA
Source organism: Homo sapiens (assembly GCF_000001405.40). NCBI lineage: Eukaryota > Metazoa > Chordata > Mammalia > Primates > Hominidae > Homo > Homo sapiens. The sequence goes on from NC_000004.12 coordinate 120,421,767, forward strand.
CGTGAGCTATCCTAAAGGTGCATAAAACCTAGGGAAGAGTATACCATGTGTCAAATGTTTTTCCATTTCTCTTTTATACAGAACAAATAAAATAAATATTAAGGCAGCATTAAAACATAAGAGTAAGGAAAATACATGTGGGGGAAGTAATCTCATACTTTTTACCCTCCCTAGGTAATAGCTGTAGAAAAGTTTCCATAAATTCTATCTAGCCCTAGACCCTATCAGCCAGCATCAACTCCATTCATTGGATTCTCCAAAATTAAGTTATGTGATCCATTGAATTCTTTATGCAATTGGCAAAACTGTGTATACATAGGCCATGTCTAACTTATATATGCTTCAACTGATGGCTTAGAATGCAACAGAAACTCAGTGAAATCGATTTATCTGATAAGATCACTTGATTAATTTTACAGAACCCCAAAGGCATGTGTTTTTGCCACTGATTCTAATAGTCAGGTTGAGGCTGGATAGGAGCCATGTGAGATTATTTAAATAATCTTTCTGAGGAAAGATCTCTTTGAATGTGTTTATATAACACACTTCATAATAAAGAAGTAAACACTAATCACCATTCTTTGCTTTATGGCACTTTGATAAAACAACCAACCAAAGCCAATTTTCACAGGACAGTGAGATGAGCTGCAGTGATAAAGAAAGCAGTGGCACCAGTATGATGCTGACCATCAATAGTAGGCAATGGTTTCAGCAGAAACAAATAGAGATACGACAAATCATTTGCAGAACATGATACTCTCCAACAATTGTTTACATAATTTGATATATAATAAAAATTTGGATATTTAAAGTGACTATCCAAGATGGTCAAAAATTCTTAATTGTATAAACCACCGCTTGGGCAATCAGAAAGAAAATACATACTATCATGAGACACCTTAACGATTCTTTAGTCTGTATCTTTCATCACTCAACACCACCGAAATTGGAATTCTCCAATAGCCCAAAAGCTTTACATCTTGAAACAGTTTATGACCAGTTATAAGTGGTTAATCATACTGGCTAATATAATCTTGGAGTTTTATATGCCAGATATTGTTGTAAGTACTTTATGTGTTTTATTTATCTTAATCCTCAAGATAACATTATGAGACAGATACTGCAAGAACTGTGGAAGGTCTGAGATTTTACCCTACTTTTGGGCCAACAAATTAGTCTACTGAAGCTTCATGTATGTTAGCAGAATACATTCATGAGACTCCTGAATCAGAGACAGAGGATAGTTTTAATGCACACAGTAGTAGCAGTTTCCAAAGTGTCTGCATTTTCTTGTATCAGTTCTCTCAGCTCCACTTCCTATAGAATAAAGTGAAAAAATCAGGTTATATTTGTTCATACAATGGATAGAATTACAGGATGGGAATTCTGAGTGTAAGGAAATCAAAACTTCTATCATGGGTAATAAGCGTTATTTCTTGGGAGAGACACACTATCTCTGTTTTCCAAGGCTCTTATCAATTCATATGTCCTTAAAAATATGATCCACAACAGAGATAGTCAGTGCCTCTCTTCAAAACATATGCAGAAAAGTGAGAGACTTCTAGACAATTGTCTCCCAACAGATACCAATACTATTCCCATTTTGCAGATGTGGAAACTGAGGCACAATAAAGTCAAACAAATCACATAGTAAATAGTCAGTGGAGTCATGTTTAGAGCTGAAGTAGTTTGACTCCAAACTCATGCTCAGAACAAAAGATATATGAAGAAAAAGCCAACTTGAATTGTTAAAAAGAAATCAGGAGAATTTGAAGAATCCATACTGTTTCTACAAAATCACTTTAGAAGTTGAAGCTTGGTGTTATTGCTTGCTTAGGTTTTTCCAATTACAGTTGGACACGCTTATACTCATTTTAAAGATTAGGGTACAAATTGCAGGTTTATAATTCTACTTGACATTCTGTATCTAAAAGGGAAAATTTCAAGGAATCTGAGGTACATAAAATATCCACTGTGATGTTGTCAAAATAAGTTTTTGTTTGAACAGATGATGAGATGATGAGAATGTCACCTAAACTATTTAGAAACTATGAGCTCCTTGTGGCTATTTTGATTTCTTTAGCATTTAATCAACCCCTCAAATAAAATAGGATAAATATGACCAAGCTTAGGTCCATAAAAAGCTTATAAGGCTAGAAGTTTTACGAAATCCCAACTGTCATTGCCATAAATGTGTCATCATGATACCTCTCTCAGTAACTTTGTCTCATTCTCTGGTGATACTGTCTGATGCTAGTAGGTGGTTTCCATTAATACTGCAACAAAGGCCAGCTTTTTATTCACATACTTTACCCCCTTTTTATCTCAAAAATATTAATTATCTCTTTATTTCAGCCAAGAATATTAATGAATAAATGATAGATCTATGAAGGTGAATCCCAAAATATTTCTTACATGATGTTATATCAAGTGCTTTTGTTGGTAGTTTTTATAATAACCAATAAGAGTCTGTTCTCTTGAATGAAACCCTCTGTTTTGCCCCTTGTCCCAAGTAGAGTTTTCCCAGGTAGCTCTCAATTTTCTGCATGCTGATGACTTCACTGTATGTTGCTTAAGTATTCTGGTTATCAGATATCACCCCAGAGACCCAGACCTCTAGGCATATTTCCTACTCATCAATATTCCCAGTTAGCTTTTCTTAGCTTGTCTTTTACGAGTGCTTAATACAAAGAGAAAATGAGATTATTATAGCAATGTGACTGAAACTCATGTATTTGACTAGACAGTGTACAGAAATGTCTGCTGGTTTTTCATGGCTTGTTTGTTTTATCTTTTTTAGAAAAGATCCACACAGAGTATTGAGAAAGGGAGTTTAGTTTGAGAACATTCATAAAGAACCATTTAGGAAAAGAGCCTTTTTGACTCTTAAAATATAACTAAAGTCTCTGTGTATTCAAGGTCTATCACGTTAAATCAGTCCACTCTCATTGACCATCATTTCATGGAATTTGCCAAATTATTTCATAATTTTTGGTAGTTAATAAGGTATGCAGTCCAAAATTTCTATTTACTTCTATTTTCAAGAGAATGATCAGATATAAGCCATTTTTACAAGCGCTCCAGAATATGCCCTGGAGGAGACAGGGGAATAAAACACTTCACTTACCTGGAATAATAAACGGAGTTTCCAAAGATACCTAGCTTATCCTGGGATCAGAATTGGCCCCATTTTACAGTTAAAACTATTAAGTTTTAACAGTATTTAACTTTATCTGATGGCAAAATTATTTTGAGTACTTTTGCCAGTTGATCTCTTTCAAAGCCTTCTTTTTACATTTCAGACTGGTCAGAGCAATATATAGAATGTATGAAGATACATTATATCTTGACTCATAGATAATATTTCATTGTCCCATACACTGCTGAGTCTTTTTAATTCTTTAACTTGTGATTTAATTAGATTCCTAAGGATAAATGTTTATAGAAAGAAACTTTTCTAAAATCAGTAAAACCAATAAACAAATGAGGGAGAAAGAACATCAAGCATAAACAAGGTTTCTTTTCCTTTCTTAATTCTTAATTCAGAAATAATTGAGGCCAGAGGTATTGTAGAAAGACCGAGATCAGGAGAGTTTGTGTTGCAAAAGATCCTTTATTTACGCAAGTTTTCTTTTCCAGAACCTCTGTTCTTTCTCATAGTCACATACTAGACCTCTCCAAGTTCTAGACTGACAGTTTTAGGTATTTATTTTTAGTGTCTGGGACTCTAAGCCTTCATCATCTTCTCATGCCACCTCAGAAGTTCTGATCTTTCCGGTAGTTTTGGAGTGCAAGGGAGTCTGTGTGAGCCATGACCCCACATACCTGGACCCTTTCTGGGGCTACATAAGCTTCAGAGGTCTGGAAGGTAGTGATGGGTTATATGTTGCAGGTGGATGGAGTATGGGCCAGAAGAGAGGGGGCAAGGAGGGCAGAGTGAGATGCTATTCTTTCCTGAGTAAACATCACAGCATTAGCTAGGTAATGTTTCCATTGCCTTTATATTTTAAAAGATTTAGAGCTGCTAATGAATGCTGATTCCCACTTTAACAAGAAGACCAAAATGAATTTGTGATTGAATATGTGTTAACATGTTTATCGTCATCATGCCGATTTCAAACTAAAAAGTACTGTTTCAATTCCAAATTACTGATCAGAGTTTTGCACCTTTTAAACTTAGAAGAAACTAAATGTATAATAGACAAATGATTTTTATTTATGTATTTAATTGGCATTCATGGGGCTTCCCACATGCCAGGTGTTGTGCTGAGCACTGTCACCACATGGTAAATAACATCACTCCTGCCTTTCTGAGATGTTCTGTCTTGTGAACTAAATGCAAAGAGTAAAACTGGTTGGCAGAGGCTGAAATAATTATAAACTTTTATCCATGTATCCAACCTAGAGTCCCAGCTGCCAAGCCACATGTAAGTTAGAGAAAGAAAGGAGAAATGATCCACATATGTGTCTCATATGAGGATCCATAACTTCACTTAAAAAGTTTTCTGACTCAAACGTATGTATTAGCTCACATCCTATAGTTATAATAGTAATAATAAATAACGTTGGTACTGTTAATATTAATCATCTCATTTTATATAAGAAAACTGAGGCCCAGAGACATTTCAGTGACTAACTCAGGCCAGACTAGACCCCTAAATAAAAGAGCTGGGAATTAAATAGTCCTCTCATGCCACATCTTCTGTTCCATAAAATTAGTCTCCTTCAAAGCGGTAGAAGGGAAGAGGTCCAGTATAGTTGGGTCTTTCTGACTTGAATAAAAGAAAACTCTGCAAAACCTAACTTTGCATGTTCTGTCAAAGTAAAGAATTTCAGAGTGTTATGGAAACTGGTATTTCAGTTTCTTGAATTTAGCAATGACACAGGGAAAAAAGAAGCAGAATAAAAACGTGGAGCATATTGATTAATTTCATGGGGTGCAGTCTTTTATAATAGAATCTCAAGATTAATGATGAACTATATGTTGAAATAAAAGAATTACTGCATTCCTGTTTTGCTAACTGTGAGGAATATGGTTAGAACAACATTTATGAAACTACAAATCACAGAAATGCATTAAAACGCATTAACATGCTTGTTTTTTCTTATAGATGCTTGAATGATTGACTACTGGACCAGGCAGCAAATCTCAGCATGCCTGTAACATTTACTAATTACTGAAGTGTAGTTAGGGCAACAGAAGAACATGAAAATACTTTGGAGTGCCATTAAGCAAACAGGGTCATTGTTCAAAAGCCAGATGCTACGTTGTCTCTGCTTTTTAAGTTTCTGGTTCATACTCTGTATATTATTTCTTAAATGTTTTGTTTTAGAAAGCCTGTGTAGTCAAGAATTTTTTTCCAGAAAGTTATAAATTCTGATTTACTTCTTCTTTTTTGGCAGCCTTGCCACTCAAAAGCTGTCCACAGCCTGAAATACTGGCATTACCTGGTAGTTGGTTAAAAATACAGAATCTCAGGTCCCACCCAGACCTACTGTATTAGTCCATTTTCACACTGCTGAAATGGACTAATTTATACAGAAAAAAGGGTTTTATGGACTTAAAGTTCCATGTGGCTGGAGAGGCCTCACAATCAAGGTGGAAGTCAAGGAGTTCAATGACTTAGTCACAGCAGATGAAGACTTTTAACGTTGCCATTGGTATTGTCCTTTGAGTCTAGATGGAAACATATGGGCCAGCATAATATAAGTACATACTGAATACAAGATGCATAGAGGACTTCAGATATGTATGTGGAGCAGTGGTTCCTAGTGCTTGTGAAAATCACCTGGGGAGATTTTAATATGCACTAGTGCAGCAGCTCTACCCTATATATTCTAACACAATTGTTCTGGAATAGAGACCTGGCATTGGTCTCATGCAGATGTGTGTGTGTATGTGTGTGTACACACAATATATATGTATCTATATTTATATATATATATATACAATGCATATGTATATGTAATCATCTATATTCAGTACATATGTGTATGTGTTCATATTTTTACAGTACATATTATCTCATTATATTTATAGTTGTAGTTCTCTCTATCTTAGTAGTATATCTATATATAAATACATGTATAGAGAGACAATCATGGCTATTTGGACAAAGACTCTGAACCGTTTGTGCTTAGCTTTTTAGAAAGGACTCTGGCATAAAACTGCACATAATTTTGATGTCTAATAACTTAGCTCCTAGATTGCTGAGGTTACAAGGTACAGTTTACAAAGAGCTTCTTAATCTGGTTCTCCGTAATGCCAAACAGCAATTGAAAAATCTGTCAGAAGTGTAGCTATTTTGTGTATAAGTAATGATATGTGTATGTGCTATGCAATCCAGATTATTGACTAAATATTTGAGTTCCCAGTTGCATTTTTGGCATCAAGTCAGACACAAAAAAAATCTGTTAAAAAGTTAAAAATCAATATGATAGCAATGACATAATTTACTAATGTTAAGTAAACAAAATTGGCCAAAAAATATTACAACCTTGTAACAGAAGGATCATAACCCACAATAAGATGCTCTTTAGCCTACAAACATATTTTTATTCATAATCTTACTTATTTCTAATTAAATCCCTTGAGTTCTGCCTTATTTTGACTTTACTATTGCAGCAACTCAGGTTGTGAGAAGCTATTGGTAACTTGGGGTAACAGGCTGGCAGAGTCAGAACTGGAGTTGAGAATCTCTGGCTCCAAGATCAGTGCCCCTTACATCACTCACAGTTGCCGTCAGTGTAAGGGTCTCAGCCATGTCTCTAACCATGGAGGCCCAAGCAAGCCTCTGGCCTTTGTAGTAGGCATTATGTTTAAAGTACTTTATGTTTCGGTTTGCTGTATGCCATAAACTATGTTGTTCTTAACATTAAAAACCAAACATGGAGGCCCTTTCTTTGTCTTCTGTAAGGGAATATTGCATCTGCTATTAAACTGGCAGGCAATAAGGCTTACTCGACACACTAAAAAACGGCATGTCGGGGATTTTACTATGGCAAACAAAATAAATATTGGTAGAAATTTAGGATTTGGTACAGAACAGCTTGAGTTCCTTCCATCTGCCACACCGATTTCCTCACACTTAACCAAAATCATAAAGCAAACAGCTCAGAGAAGATGAAATATGGAAAAAAGTGTGGAGAGAGCAGGTTAAAGGAGCCCAGTGACTCAGGGATTAGCCACTGGCGTCTCACTTCTAGGATCCCGGACATCATGAAAAGTTCCCTGTTGCAGTTCATAAGCCCACCAAAGATTTAAAGCCTCCTGTCAACGTCCAGAGCATTACCTTAAGGAGGCTGAGCCATGACTGGGCCTGAAAATGAAATACAGCACTGCTATTTATGTCCCTCTGGGTTACATGGTAAGGGACTAAGAGCAGATTTGCATTCAGAGCCTTGAACAAGCTTGTTTCTTTAAGATAATACAAATATTTTTTTCATATCATAAATTTGAGTCTTTTTTGTAAAACAATTCTTAAAAACATATTCTATCTTCAAAGGAAATCCTAAATGACATGGGGAATTTGGAATTTGGGACTTTAAATATTATCAGAACCAAGATAGATGTATCCTTTGACAAAATTATGGAATGATAATTTATATTTAACTATTTTAATACTGCCTCTATATGAACAAATATATATTATTTTCTGTTCATGGTCTTGATTTTTTTTTTGTTCAAAGAAACAACCTGGCCTAAAGTACTGTGGGTTTTCAATTACTTGCTTATGCATCCGTAAATGTAGCTGGTATACCAAATGGATCACTGTTTGGGAATGTATAAACTTACAGGAAAATAGCTTGGGGCAGTGTTAATTGTAGATGATTTGTGTAAGAAGAAATGTTAGGTAGTAAAGCACTCTAAAAAGGATAATTTGGCTAAAAGACCATGTCATGGGCTTTTGGGAAACTCTTTATTACCCCTCTCCTTATTCACTCTATTTAGCATTTGTAATGCCTGTAGCAGGTAATAATGTTCAGGATGTCTACTGTCTTCAAGTTCTGTGCAGTTCTCAAGACTGTACATCTATCTGTAAGTCAAAAATTGTTTGATAAGCTGAGTGGACAGTCCTGATTAGAAGAGTGATGCTTTATATTGAAGGAGTATACATTATCAAGATTTCTTAGTGGAAATAGAGTATGAGAAGTCATTGATTTCAGGAAGACATACAAGTAAATAAAATCTTGAGAATAAATAGGCCAAATAAGAAGGTGGAAGCTGTGGAATGTTTACATTTTTGCAGTCACAAAAATGAAATGAGCTGAAAACGTAGTAAAAATTGAACCAAATAGAATTGACAGCTCATTAACAGTGAAAATATACTTGCACCATTTTTGGTTATACTGCAAATAAGATGCTCACTTTTATACTAATGAGATTATCATGAAAATAATACATGCAAATCAAAGGAAGCATAATTGGAGTAATTAGAGTAATTGATTAGCTCCATTTGGTGGAAAGGCTAGGAAGAAGGTGAGAAGGATTTACGTCACAGAAGAAAGATTAGGCAACATTCTCATGGGTGTGTGTGCTAAAGAGAACGTCTAGTTACAGCACTTACCTGCTGTTCTTCCAACGACCTTAGTCAGAGTCAATGCAAGCACTAAGCCATATAGGTTAATTTCCTCATTGTCTCACCTCTTTCAAAAATTCACCTCACTAAAAGTACTGGGGAATAGGTAGAAACATATTCTGCTTCAGGCATCAGCATAACAAAGGCAGTCTATTATTAAAGTTTGCTCTCTTTCTCTCTCACTGTGGACCTTACTCCTATGGTTTACTCAGAGGAGAGAGTGATAAGAGAAGAGGAGATCAACACAGAGGACTCAGTTTGTTTAGACAAATGTATATAAGTCTAATAGTTTCCTCTACAGTAAATATTACTGTAACTTGGAAAAGTTCTATATGGAAAGAGTGGTGTGGTACAGCAGGCTGATTTAGGTGCATGAACCATTTCCATCAGTTTCACTTCTTTTGAACATATAGCTCATAAGTTTTTACTCCCTTACCTGTAACTTAAATTATATTTATTTTAGAACTTATACTGAATGAGAAGATTATAGAATGAGAAGATAATAGAATGAGAAGATATATGTAATGCATATAATTGGTGGGTATATTTCTGATTTTATTCCTATTGGTTACATGTCTGGGTCTGTATTGTTTGTGTCTTATCAACGCAATAAGGAAGAGCCCAATTATAAGTATTAATCTTGTGCATCCCTACAACCAGACTTTTAATAAATCACTGTAGGGGTAATATTCTCATGTCACAGGTATCAGTAATGCCATCTTTATGCAATATTGGAAAAGATCAAATTGGTTCATCGTTTATTGTCCTTACCAGAGGGATTCATCTTCCTTTAATCTTTTTTTAGACCTAATTTCTAAGTATTTTTTGACTTTTTTTCTTTTTAATTGAGGCAAATTACATATAATGAAATTTCCCATTTTAACCATTTTCAGTAGAGTTAAGGATAGTGACATTGTTGGGCAACCAATCTCCAGAACTTTTTAATTTTGCAAAATTGAAACTCTATATCCATTAAACAACTTCCCCTTTCTCCATCCCCATCTCCCCTGCCAACCACCATTCTACTTTCTGTTTCTGTGAGTTTGACTACTATGTATACTTCACATAAATGGAGTCAGACAGTATTTGTCTGTGTGTGACTGGGTTATTTCACTTAGTATAATGTTCTCAAAGTTCATCTATTGATGAACCTTTATGATTTAGACCACAGGGCTTGTTCAAACTTCCCTTATGGTAGACATTTTCTGTTGCTTGTTAGTTATTAAAATGATCTTAATTTAAATTACTCTATAATAAGCAATTTGATGTGTTAGAATTTCCTTCCTTTTTAAGGCTAACATTCCATTGTATGTATATGCCATGTGTAGCTTATCCATCCATCTGTTGATGGGCACTTGGGATGCTTTCATCTTTTGTCTACTGTGAATAGTATTGCCATGAACATGGGTGTACAGATATCTCTTTAAAACTCTAAGTATCTTTTAAATACCTTAGCCCTCAAATTATATAACAAGGCAAAAAAAAAACCTATTTTTACTTTGACTCAACTTGTCCATCCATAGTTTAAGGACACAGATTTTAGGGATTAAGTTTTTGAATTGGAAAAATTTGTGAAAGGAAAAAAGAGGCATTGTTAGAGTATGTGATGAAATATAAAATATGTCTATGGATTGGATGACAGTGTCTTATCACTGTTACTTCGATTGGGAGGATTGAATGGCAGTAGTATTTGAAGGGTATCTTTGTTTGGGGAACATAATCAAGCTTTCCTAGATTTGAATTCTGGCTGTACTCTTTCATGCCATTATTTTATTGGGTGAGTTGAATAATCTTTCTTAAACCTTAACTTCCTTATCTGAAAAATTCAGACAGCAATGATTAAATGAGGTAGTGCACATAATGCTCTTAGCATGTTGTACAACACACAAACACTTTTTGTATATTTGGTTGTCATCATTATTATCATTCTCTCTCTCCCTATTAATTTTTAGGACATTTGTCTCTCTCTCCTTTTAGACTCTTCTCAAGCCAAGTGGCACTTTTGTTTCTTTATGTGCAGTGAGTTACACAAGCTCTGGCACCTATTAGGGACTTATCCATCTTATCAGAGTGAATTGATTCATCACTGATTGATATTTTCTGCTGGGAGAAGCCTATGAACCAGGATGCTTATGAAGAATATGAATGCAAAACTATGCTGGACATTGTTTGGATTTTTATCTTAAGTCTCGGTCCATTTAGAATCATAAGAGAAATAATGGAAGAACAAAATTTTCTGTATGCTGTCTACTGCCTGCCTTTCAGCTCCCTGCCAAAAAATGTCATAAGGGCAGCATTTCCTAAGAAAGTTTGGCACTTAGGCCTCTAGTGTGGCTGGAAACCATCAGTGGAAAATAGTCTTTGAGAAAAATGTCCTATGCACTTGTGTAAAGACATAAGTTTTAGTTTAGAGGAAAGGATAGGAAGAAAAAAAAATAATGTGACACATCTGAGAATTTCTGGATCACCTGAATTCTGTTCCGATGACAAATTACTTCCGTGTAAAAGGAGAAGCCGAAAACTACATCTGTTTGGTTGGATTTACTTACAAATTTAAAATGAAAAATAAACCAATGGAATAGTAACTTCCTCCATCCTGCTTTCTCACTTTGCTCCCTGGCTAGGCTAGTATGCACAAAATTAGCAAAGAAACTCCTTCTGACTTAGACCACAGGGCTTGTTCAAACTCCCCTTGTAGTAGACTTTGTCGTTTGTTAGTTATTAAAATGATCTAAATTTAAATAAATCTATAATAAATGATTTGATATTATCTGAAATTTTTGAATACATAAGAACTAAGCAGCATTAAAACATTTAAATCCTAACATTAGAACTACTCTACATAAAAAATAAACAACATTATATAGCAGCAATGGACTGCTTGGTGCTTTGATGGCTTTGTATCTGTGTGAAAGCTATTTTGAATAAAACAAACATAAAGGGTTTTCACCTAAGTTCTCAACTTGAAATAAACCACTTCACCTCCCACTGGCCAAAAGCAGATTACAAATGCTGACACACTGAGCATTTGATAGCATCTCTTTCTGCTATCACGCAGATGTGTTAGCTCTAACTGTTTTTAAATGAGGAAAAGAAATCTCAAAACAGTCAATATTCAGATTAAGTTGGAAAAAAGTTTCTTGGGAAGAGTTTACAATTTTTAGGGCTCTGGCTAGATTGATTTAATTCTGCACATATTATACTTATGTATTCTTTATTTTGTAGGAGTTTCTTGAGAGGTGGGATATATGGCTATATTTTCATTTTTGCATTCTGATATTCTTCAAGTAGAGAAATTACTGTTGGTTGATTAATATATGCAGAGTGTGTATAGAATATCACTTGATGTCTGAGATGCTCTCTTGGTGCTCTTTTAGGAGCCTATATGAATTATTTAGTAGAGAGGAATGAACACTTGGCTAGCAATTAAGAGAGCTGGATACCAGTCCCAGCTTGGCCACTAATACACTTTGTGGAACTTACCCAGTTCCTATACATCCTTAGGGAGTCTCAGTTTCCTTCTATAAGGAAAGGAAGTGAGTCTTGGTAGTTTCTCAGGACCGACTGCTGGGTAAAATTTTAATATTCAATATTTGAAGACCAATGTGTAACATTTACCACTCTTCCTTTTCAGGAATACAGGATATTTTTGGTTTATTTCCTTATTCCTTTATTGTAGCATTTACTATATTCTTTTTATTTATTTATTTATTTATTATGATTATTATACTTTAAGTTTTAGGGTACATGTGCACAATGTGCAGGTTAGTTACATATGTATACATGTGACATGCTGGTGCGCTGCACCCACTAACACATCATCTAGCATTAGGTATATCTCCCAATGCTATCCCTCCCCCCTCCCCCCACCCCATGACAGTCCCCAGAGTGTGATGTTCCCCTTCCTGTGTCCATGTGTTCTCATTGTTCAGTTCCGACCTACGAGTGAGAATATGCGGTGTTTGGTTTTTTGTCCTTACGATAGTTTACTTTGTAGTAGCTTAGTGTGGGTCTGCTTAGAGAAACTGGAAGCCACTTGAGAGCAAGGGTTATACTCACTCTCCCAATCCATCTTTACACATTGGCACAAGTAAACATCATGGTGGAATAGACAGAGCTCAGGTGTTGAAGTCAGAGAGACCTGGGTTTCAATCATGACATTACTGCTCTATCTGGCATGGTTACAGCAGACACTAAAAAGTTTTTAATGAGGAGGAGATTCATAAATGTATGATCAGAATCAAGGGAACCAGAGGACTCTGAGGCACCAGAAACCAAAAACAGCCAGGAAATCATTTTTATCCTTAGAGCAGAAAAGGAGATGAGAGGAAGTGAATGGTACTACCAGAACCCTGAGAGAACTTGGGCTCCTGGGAAAGGGACCCCAAACAGGACCTGTAATTGTTGAGAAGCACAACAATGACCAGAAGCATTACTAGGCAGGGAGAGAGCAGAGGGAATAAATATCCCACACAGTTTCTCTTCCCACCCTCTGATCTGCTGGTGCATTCCATTGGCTGAACTCAACCAGAAACCAGAGGGAAAAAGAATCTGGGTGATGGGATCTGTAGAATTCAGATCCTCAGGGGAGAGGACAAGGCAGAGAAATATGGAGAGTACATCTGGGAGAAAAAATGTTGTATAATCGTCTCCTAGCTTTAAGCCTTGAGGACATTTATAAATCCCTGAGCTTAAAGCCCTAGTTTACAATAAAACATCAATACAAATATCTCTCAGGGTGATATGCGAATTAAAAAAGAAAATGTCTATGAAAGTGACTGCTTTTGTGGAGATGCTCAATAAATAAATAGCACTTCCATTTACTTGTTGAATAAATGGACAAACGAATAAAACAGAGAAGACTAACTTTTGTCTATGGGCATGGCACAATTGAGCTGTTAGTATACACATATTCTACAGTGTGCTCAGTAATCATTTTGCTCACTGAATCTTACAATGTTCTCTGAATGGAAGGGGCATGGATCTTCTACATGAATAGCTTGAAACTCATGAATATGGAGCTGAGCTATTATCGGCATGACATGGGATAATACAGACTGCTCCATTACACGGTGCAGTCGGCTGGACTGTTTATACACTGTAACTCGCCTGAGGATGGCTTCCTGTGTAAGAGTTCTGCCTTTTTTTAAAAGCTTTCTTGTTAATTACTAGACACTTGAATATAGTAACTAACAAAAGAAGCAAAATAATGTCATAATCAGGTTGGGAATCACTGTCTAATTAACAGGAATAGTTATACAAAGAAGGGAGAAGATATTTGAGTAACATCAAGAAAATTCATTGGCTCCACTGGTGAAAAGGGGCATGAAAATGAGATTTACAGAATAATCAACCAGATCTAACATTTATGTGTGAACATTTCTCAGCTGTCTGACTAGTTTTTAATGCTTCATGAAATCTTTCATTTTGAAGTTTTTATTAATTGACACATAAAAATATAGCAACAATAAAAACATGTTAAGTGAATAACTATAAAAAACTACTCATAAAATTGATTCAAACCATCTCATATTGTATTTAGTCACTGCAGTAAGAAAAAATAGTTCTATAAGCTTATTTTGATTTAATTTCCATATCTTTAAACAATTACCACTGTATTTAAAATAATTCAATGATCTAAGCCACAGTTTCTCAGCTTTAGTGATATATATAATGTGTATATATATATGTGTATATATATTTATGTGCGTATATAAATATATATATATATATATATATTTTTTTTTTTTAAGACAAAGTCTCACTCTGTTGCTCAGGCTGAAGTGCGGTGGCATGATGTCGGCTCACTGCAACCACTGCCTCCCGAGTTTAGGTGATTCTCCTGCCTCAGCATGCCAAGTAGCTGGGATTACAGGCATGCACCACCATGCCCGGCTAATTTTTTTACTTTTAATAGAGACGAGGTTTCACCACGTTGGCCAGGCTGGTCTCCAACTCCTGACCTCAGGTGATTCACCCACCTCGGCCCCTCAAAGTACTGGGATTACAGGCATAAGCTACTGAAACTGGCTGATATTTTAGACAAGATAATTCTTTTCTGTGGGTGCTGTCCTGCACATAGGATATTTAGCGGCATCTCTGGCCTCTACCAACGAGATGCTAATAGCATGCTTTATTCCAGCTGTGACAGCCAAAAATGCCTCCGGATGTTACCAAATGTCACCTGGTAGCAAAATGTTTCCTCTTTAGGAGCCACTAGACTGCTCTATTGATAAGTTCACTCAAGGTCCATTAATTCAAAATATGCCCATTCATTATAGGAAAGAAATAGTGTATTTTGCAAAGTTTCCTTGTTAATGTCTCCATGATCATTGCTTTAAGAACTAATAAGAAAGGAAGCATGATATAAGAACTGGTGCCAGGGCGTGTTAATACAACTTTGTGGTCAGGTTCCAGTAGGGAAGGCTATAGTCACTGCTTCTAAGTATAATTTTTGCTATACTGAATTTTACCTAATTTTGAATTTCTTTTCAAAGAAGAGTGGAAAGATTTTTCTAAAACATTATGACTGATGGAATTTATCTTTGTTATTTTATTTTGAGTATTCCATCTAGAATAAGACGAGATAAAGATATCATCTAGGGAGTTGACTGCTGCTCAGGCAGCTTTTTACAGGATGACACAAGAGTTTTGAATTGACCACGATACATAATTACTTCTAGAGCATTTCAAACTCATATTTTGAGTGCCTTGATCACCCAGAGTTGAGTAGATTCAGAAGATTGCTTTATGTTAACCAAGTCCAGATGAGTCTGATAGATAAACCAGAAAGCCACTTTTAAAATTCACAACATATATGTTTATAAACACATAAATGTATAAGGTAATTAATAGACTCTAATAAATGCCAAAGTCCTAGGCACAGAAACTTCCATTTTAGTCAGCTCCTTTGGGAAATAAACATGGGAAAGCAATTGCTTCCTCTGATGGTTCCTTGTTGAGAAAGGAATCACAAGAACCATGAAATGGTCTATTGATGGGCATGAAATTACAAGTGTCGTTTTGAGACTTCTACTTTCAAATGGAACATGGTTCTCTTCAGTTGTCTGCATTTAGCACATATTCCCCTTGAAAATGCTGGGTTAAAATGATATACTCTAGATCCATGACTGTCTGTTTTTTTCTGTGCACCATGTACAGCAGTAAACACACTGTATCTTTACATATATAACATCTTTGTTTCAGATACACATACCATAATTAGATTTTCTCACCCTGCTTTTCCAGCTTTTGACCTGGATGGTACTCTGTCATTTAAGATGCCTGCCACAGATTTCTGATATAAGTCCTTTTGTGGCTAGTTTGTTACTTAATGTCATAGAATTATGGGAGGAGTCTTCTCTTATTCCCAAGTTTCACTTACAATATTACAGAGTAAACACAAAGAAGTAATGCATAACATGAGGGCAAAATATTAATTTTTTAGTAGACAATTGTATCTAACCACTCATTTATGAGAAAAAAATGAAGTCTAAGAAAGTAATATACATATATATGTCAGTCAATAATAAATATAATAACTTTAAGTTAACTAAATTGAATAACTTTAAAACACAAAGTAAGGTATTAAATGAAGACTTTGTGACTTGTAAATAGTTCTTTTAAGGGAACATTTTAGGGAATGTTATTTTTACCTCTTTAAAATGAGTTTTATAAACATAGATGAAATGTCAGCTTTGCAGTACAATTTTATACCCTATGTATTTACCTATTACAGTTATATATCATTTATCTGTATTTAGTTTGTATACTAAATGTATTTAACACAATTTTACCTTTTCTATATTTAAAATGTAGAGAATTCTATTTTTTATAGATATGGAAAATTTCATTAAAGTCAAAGGCATATTAAACTCTATTGCTGATGACTTGCTTTTCCCTCCATTATCGTTAATAACCTCATAATTCAGCATAGCCCTAGACCACCACCTGCAGCTCATTACAAACCCATTAAAGAAAACCTATTCCATGGCAGAGCTGTTCTTCTGAGAAGCATTGGTGCTCTTAGATAAATTCTCTATCATTCTGTATGTTTTTTGTCAAGTTTCGGAAGACTAATTTTGCAAAAAAAGTTATCTCCACTAAAGTTTTCTTAAGTGTACTGGCTATCTATGAACATGCAACTTTTCACCACATATACTTTAATTGGTGCTATAAATTTGTTTATATAATTGCTGCTTTTGGCATCCATTTTTAAGCTTGACAGATGTTTGAAACCCAATTGTACCCCATCACCTCTGACTTAGTTAAAACTTTACCTCCCTGTGTGGTTGTTTGCGATATACCATTTGTTCCTCATCCCACACCCCAAACCCAGCACACTCCACAATTGCTGACCACAATAAAACCCAATGGTCAACATAAGAGTCATGTAAAAAGTTCCCCCTTCATGTGTGTTTTCTTTATATATCATTTATATATATTTATTTGTTTGTATACTAAATATATACAATCCACAAACCTGCAGGGAGGTCTAAGGGATAACACCCATGGACTTTAATAAGGGCATAGTCCCACAGGTCCTGTCTGTCTCTCTTCCCACCTGCTGGTTGAGCTCTCTGTCACTTCTAGACTTCCCCTCAGTCTCCCATAAACACCCATTACCTCTCTGGTGCCTGTGAATAACAAATTTCTTCTGTTTTTTACATTTTGGGTTCACATCCTCATAATGTCTCATCTGACTCACACACCTGAACATAACATTCCCCTAGTCAGGGCTCTCCTAGAGAGTGGTTATCTTGAAGAGTGATATCTAGAACAAATTTTTAAAAATCATAATAGAGATTACAACAATTGGTTATTGTTTATTAATGAGCATACATACATTTGAGAATTGTCAAATAAGGAAGGTTAAAAGAGAATTATCAAACAAGGAAAAGAGACTGGGGCCTTGCTTTAGCTTATATGTGCCCCCCCAAATTCATGTGTTGGAAACTTAAGACCCAATGCAACAGTGTGGGGAAGTAGGTTTTAATGGGAGGTGCCTAGGACATGAGGGCAGAGAAGGGCTTTCAGGACTGGACTCTCTTACCTTTCTACTTTCTGCCATGTGGGAATTCATGTGCAAGGTGCCTTCTCGGAAGAGGGGAACAGCCTCTCTAGACACCAAAACTGCAAGTGCCTTACCTTACACTTTAGACTTGCCAGCTTGCAGAACTGTGAGCCAGTAATTTCCTGTTCATTATAAATTAGAATCTCAGGTGTTCTGTCATAGCAGCGCAAAATGGACTAAGATAGAACTTTTAACCCTTTTTTAATCTGTCTGTGACTTGGTGCTCTTTGCTACTTTATATATTATGATATTAAATTCCCCCAACAAACACGTGGTAGATTTGAAACAGAAACATGAGAGGAAAATGTCTTGCTCCTCAGCAAATGTGCTAGTCAAGTAGAAACAGGTGGGGTGACCTACTTTGCATTTTGCATGGATGAAAAGATTTCAAATTTATTTTTCTTGTCTTAGGGATTTGTATTCCCAAAATTGAAAACAGTTTAAAATAGGAAAGGTGTGAGCTTATTAGCACAGTAATACCCTCTAAATTCTCACTCCCTGGTGAAAGTAGAAAAGTGCTAATTAATCAATTGCTCAATTAAGATAGGCTCTTAAGAGCACTTTTGTCCTGGGAAAATATAAGCAGCTGATAATCTGCCTTGAGAAAAATGCATCTTACAGGAATTATGTTCAAAGTAGAGTATTTGGGGTACAACCCTCCAGATGAAAATGTATTTATTACTGACAGATTAACTCTCACTTGAAGTCCTTAGTTTTGAGGATGAATGTTCTCCGATGAGACAATATTATACATAGAAAAAATGAACATAAAGTTTACGCTTCTTTATTTACTCATTTAAGTAGTTATTTGTTGGATGTCTATGCACCTTCATAGGATTTTGTGAGGCTTTGATAATCTACACAAAGTGCTTGGAGGTTGTGATGTAAAGGAAAGATAATATTCAGATGAGTGAATATCATCCAAGTAATGTCTATCTTCAATACCACAAGTGCAGTAGTAGATATAGCCACATATTTTTCATGACCTTATTAACAAGCAGGGTGCTGTACTAGAGATGAAAGAGATGGAGACCTTGATCACAGAGGACAAGCTGGGGCATGCATAGGAAGGGAGGCTGCACAGGTACCAAAAGCCAGATCATCAGAAGACTTTGTGGGCTATGTGAAGAAATTTAAACTTCATTATGGGAAACCATAAATTGTTTTAAATTATGAATTACTGTGATCAGTCCTGGTTTTTAGAATAAGTCTGAGGTCAGTGTGGGGGCATAAGAAGAGTAAGACTTAAGACTGAGACAACAGACATGTGCAAATCACAGAGAAATCTGAGGAGAAAATCTGGAGACTTAAGTTAGAATACTAGAATTCCCATTAACTAGCCGTGTGATCTGACCAATAAACAAACCTCCCTGAATTGCCGTTTTCTAATCTAGAAAATGCTGTGATAAGAAGAAGCAGTTCCACAGACATGAAGTTCAAGCTCACTGGGCTCCCTTCAGTGTTCTGTTTCACAGCTGAATAGGCAGGTTCCTGACACAGTTGGACCCAAGGGGCCCCAGGAATCTGCACGTACCCCATGTTCATCCTTCTGCTTTCATACTTGTCCTCTGGTTGGTTTTCATGCTTTCTCTGACATTTTGCCTTCTAACTGAATCCTGTTCCCCTTTCTAGCCAGTTGCAAAGAAGCTGGTTAGACTACATATTGGCTTTTAATGTCAGAATCTCTCTTTTGAATCATCCTCTGTTCCATGATCAGTAACCGCCTCACCAGCCTGCTCTGCCCTGAGAACCAGCCCACTTCTCCAGAGGTACTTTGTGTCCTTATCAACAGCATTATGCTGAACACATATTAGGATTTCAAAAGATGTAGCTGAACTTGCCACAGTGGTCTGTGATCTTTCCTGTCATCTGGCCCAGGCAGAGAAACTTCTTGCTTCATGTCAGGAGCACATGTGGCATCACTGGAGACATTCATGATAATTCTAGGGTGTGAATTGATATTTGCCAGGGCATCATATTACTGCTGAGCTAGTACCTATTTACTTCTCTTTGCTTTTCTACTTGGTTTTGATCTCTATTTGATACATTTCTTTCATTCTTTTAGTTATCTGTTCTTCTGGGACTCCAGGAATAATGAAAACTAAAATAACATTTTAATGTTATATTTTATTAAGGTTATATTAAATGTCAAGAAAAAGAGTAAACAAAAGATAGAAATTTTCCTCTGATTTCATTAAAGTGATGCTAATAAATGTCACACAGCTCATATCACTCAGTTGACCAAACGAATTACACAAAATAACATGGCCAAATAACTATTCTTTCACACTTATACTTTTTGTAGTATTCTTTAGAGTTAGAACAAAGTAAATATCTCGCCCTGAAAGTCATACTTGCCATCAACTTTTCTCTCTTTAATGTTAATTCAATTGGTTACCAACAAGGCCAGCTATAATATAATTCATAATCAATAAAATAAATACTTGTCATGTGTCTGGTATTGCAAGTAAATCTTCTATCCCCCCTCCTGGTGTTTTCTTCCAAAGACAAGGAGCTCAATAAGCATAACGCTCCTGAGTTTTCTTTCCCTCTTTGTTTGTTGTACTCTGAGTGCTGAAGCACATTAGTGGTATACCTGTATCAAAGTTGGCAAGAATTTCAAGTACATGGTTTTTAAGACTAATGACCCAGTGTTGTGTGTATATGAAATATGAAAGAATGAAAGAAATGTATCAAATAGAGATCAAAACCAAGTAGAAAAGCAAAGAGAAGTAAATAGGTACTAGCTCAGCAGTAATATGATGCCCTGGCAAATATCAATTCACACCCTAGAATTATCATGAATGTCTCCAGTGATGCCACATGTGCTCCTGACATGAAGCAAGAAGTTTCTCTGCCTGGGCCAGGTGACAGAAAAGATCACAGACCACTGTGGCAAGTTCAGCTACATCTTTTGAAATCCTAATGTGTGTTCCGCATTATGCTGTTGATAAGGACACAAAGAAGATTGTGCATTCATGTTTTTCAATACTACTGAGAAGAAAAAAAAAGGTTGAAACCTTTTTCTTTTTTTTAATTTTTCACCTCCTTTTTTATGTAGGATATTGTAAATAGTATAACATAATCGCGTCTACACATCTAAAGCAAAAAAGATGGTTAGCATAGCGCTGACTGTGGCAAAGAGTAGAGAGGGAAAAATGTACCTAGCAAGGAGCAATCCCTTGTACCTGTAAATGAAAAAAATATATATTTTGTAAGTTAAGACATATTTCTTCCTAATCATTTTCCAATATTTTTACTAGCTTTTCATCACATATTTAAAATATTCATCTTTACTTTCCAATTTAAAATGAACTCTAATCTTTGATTTCCAAGATAATTCAACAGAAACAACACATACACTGAAGATAAACTATTTTGTGAGATATACACTTGCGTATTTGTATAAAGAATCCAGGAAATAAAATGACATAAAGATGATATATGAAATAATTTGATGAATATTAAAGGTAATATCGAAAAAGTAAATAGTAAGCAACAATTGTGGTAAGTTGGTCAAGTGGAAGCAAGTGTAAAACTAAATAATTACTAAATGTGATTACAGACTACTAGGGAAGAAGTTGAAAAGTGGATTGGCTACAGATAATGGATGCTATGTGACTAACGACAAAGATTTCTGTTTCTTTAGGCTTCTGAGAACAATGTTGGTCCCATAACCTGGATGGAACTGCGCTTGCATATGGACACTAAGTAATGCCAGCTGTGAGGATTAGAGGGCCATAGGGACGCAAACCAGGGAAGATATTACAAATTCCTTGAAAATTTTGTTGGCACAGCTTCCTGCAGTCAGATTGCTCATATAGCATAACTGCCTTAAAAATGTTTAAAGTTCCATCACAAAAGCCAAAACCTTTTGTTGATAAGATGGGTTTAATGCAGTGAGTCTCACACTTGGCTAAACATTAGAATCATCTAGGGAGCTTTAACAAAATACCAAGGTTCAGATCCCAAGAGATTATGATTTCATTGGTCAGGGATGGGGCCCAGGCATTGGTATTTTTAAGCTGCCCTAGAGATCTGAATGTACAGCCAAAATTGACAAGTCTTGGATTCCTGGTTAATAGCTCAGAATCTAGAGTCATAGTGGTTGGTTTAAATATGTCCCTGCTCAGCCTCTTCCTAGCTGCGTAACCTTGGAAAAGTGATTTACATAGTATTCCTCTATTTATCTCTTTCTCTCTGCAGTGTGGATAAAACAGCACCTATCTAAGGACTGATCTAAATTTTGCAGAGTCAGAATCTATTGCAATTTTGAAAACTCTCTTTGAGAAACAGAATATGTAACATTATTAATGTAAACAGGTACAGAGTAAATTTTTCTTTAGAATGATAAAATATCTTACTACTAATTACACATTTTTAAAAGCTGACACATTCAGAAAACTAACATCAATTTTTACTTAATTACCTAACAGTGTTTTCTAATATTTTTTCTAATTTTTTTGCCTGCATACCCTTTACCTCTTCACATGACAATTATTTTTCATTCTTTTTTTGTGAAGAGTATAAAAGAATTCATTTTTACAATAGCGCAATTCATCAAAAACTATGTTTAATTACTGATAGTTTAGTAAAGTTTCTTACACCATCACAACTCTTTATTGTCAGTCACAGGTAAATATTTAGGATTGCTGTCATAATTGGGAATACTTCTTTCAAAGTTCTGTCATATGGGAGGTGTTAAGAGTTGGGAGCATTTCAAGTTTTCAAGTATTGTAACTAATCTTTAAAACTCTTTTAATAGATGAGTCTTTTAAACTTGTTTTCAGAGTTTTAGGTTGTCTTTGTTGATATCAGTACTTTTTGGCAAATCTGAAGTGATTAGCAAAGACCAGTACCAACGTGAGTAGTGAAACCCATTTAAGACTGAGAGAAGAGCACGAGCAAAGATCTTGTCTAGCAAAGGCAGGCAGTCGAATTTACAGAGTGTAGTGCACAGCCAGGGCAACAATGAGCAGCAAGCTCAGTAAAGCTCAATAAAGTTTTAGAGCCAGAGATGGAGGTGAAAAGTAGTGTCAAATGCTGGCACAGGGCTAAGGATAGAATATCTGCCTTTAAAAAAATCAAATGCCTGTGCTATATATAATGCCTATACTATATATAAATGCCTACATATATAAATGCCTATGCTATATATAAATATATATACATATATGTACATATGTATAAATATATATCTAGCATAGGCATTTGATATAGATATATATGTGTATATATACATATATACATATATAAATAAATATATAAATAAATAAACACATAAATGTATATGTACATATCTACATATCTATATATGTATATATAGCATAGGCATTTGATACAGATATATATGTGTATATATATATAAGTTTCTGTGATATCAGTTGTATATCTTTTTTTAATCTCATTTATTTGAGCCTTTTCTCTTTTTTCTTAGTCTAGCTAAAGGTTTGTTAATTTTGTTCAATTTTTAAAACCCAATTATTCATTTTGTTGATCTTTTAAATTTTTTTTCAGTCTCCATTTCATTTATATTTGCTCTGAGCTTTATTATTGCCTTTCTTCTACCAATTTTGGATTTATTTATTTTTTAAATTTTCTTGAGGTGCATGGTTAGGTTGTTTGTTAGAAATCTTTCTTTTTTGATACAGGCATTTATTGCTATGAACTTCCCTCTTAGAGCTGTGTTCCATAGTTTTTGGTACGATGTGTCTCCATTCTCATTCATCTTAAAGAATTTTTAAATTTCTCTTTAAATTTATTCATTGGCCCATTAATAGATTTGGGAGCATGTTTTTTAATTTCCATGTATGTGTAAGGTTTCCAAAGCTTTTCTTTTTGATTTCTAGTTTTATGCCATTGTAGTCTAAAAAAATACTTGATATAATTCTCTATCTTCTTAAATTTGTTAAGACTTGTTATGTAGCCTGACATTCTCTCTGTTCTGGAGAATGTCCAATGTGTAGTTGAGATGAATGTGTATTCTGCAGCTGCTGGATGAAATGTTCTGTAGATGTCTGTTAGGTCCATTTGGTATAAAGTGCAGTTTAAGTCCAATGTTTATTTTCTTTTTTCTTTTTTTTTTCTTTTTTCTTTTTCTTTGGAAACAGAGTCTTGCTCTGACACCCAGGCTGGAGTGTGGTGGCATGATCTCGGCTCACTGCAACCTCCACGTCCTGGGTTCAAGCAATTCTCCTGCCTCAGCCTCCTGAGTAGCTGGGATTACAGGCCCGTGCCACTACACCCAGCTAATTTTTGTATTTTTAGTAGAGATGAGGTTTCACCATGTTGGTCACGCTGGTCTCAAACTCCTGACCTTGTGATCAGTCCGCCTTGGCCTCCCAAAGTGCTGGGATTACAGGTGTGAGCCACTGCTCCCAGCCTCCAGTGTTTCTTTGAATTTCTGTCTAGATGATCTGTCCATTGTTGAACGTGGGGTGAAGTTCCATTCTATCATTGTATTGCAGTCTACCTCTCTCTCTTTAGCTCTATTAATATTTGCTTTATATAATGGGTGCTCCCGTTTGGGTGCATATACACTTATAATTATTATATTCTCGTGTTGAATTGATCCTTTATGATTATATAATAATCTTCTTTGTCTCTTTTTACAATTGTTTACTTAAAGTCAATTTTATCAGGCATATGTTGCTACCCCTGTTTGCTTTTGGTTTCTGTTTGCATGGAATAACTTTTTTCATCCCTTCACTTTCAGTTTATGTTTGTCTTTAACAGTAAGCAGTAAGGTGAGTCATATAGTTGGGTCTTGTTTTTTTGTTTGTTTGTTTGTTTTGTTTTTTAATTTGTTTGCTTTTTTAGCCATTCTGTCTTTTAATGAGATAATTTAATCCATTTACCCACAAGGTTATTATTGATCAGTTAGGGCTCACTCCTACCTTTTTGTTAATTGTTTTTTGGTGGTTTTGTAGATCCTTTTTTTTATTTGTCATTTTTTCCTCTCTTGTTTTATCCTCTGTGGTTTGGTGGTTTTCTGTGTTGCTAAGTTTTGTTTGTTTTGTTCTTTTCTCTTTCTCATTTGTGTATCTGCTGTAATTTTTTTCTTTCTGGTTACTATGTGGCTAACATAAAGATTGTTACGTTATGTTATGAACTGTATCTATAGCAGGGATGTAGGATGCTGTATCTATATAGTAGGAATGGGGAAAGACAGATGTTGATCAAAAGGTACAAAGTTTCAGTAATAGTGGAGGAATAAGTTTTAGTCATCTATTATCATGCATGATGACCACAGTTAATAATAATGTATTATGTATTTCAAAATTGCTAAAAGGATACATTTTTAACATTCTCACCACACACACAAAAATGATAAATTGGTAAGGTGATGGACATGCTAGCTTGATTGAATCTCTACAATGTATACAAAGACCAAAACTTCACATTATATCCCACAAACATAAAATTGCTATTTTTCAATTAAAAATAAATAAATGAATAAATAAATAAAAAAAATTTTCAACCCTGGGGATTGAGCACCAAAGGTATGAAAGGTCGTATAGTATAAGGTTAAGGTTTACATCTTGAAACACACAGACTTAAATTTTAATTCTACCATTTACTAGCTTGTAATATCTTGACAGAAATAACAACCACACAAAGAGGTAACTGCAAACCACATAAGCCCATCCAACAGAACCCAAATACGCCAACTCAACTTTTCCTTAGCCAGATCCCAAAAATGTATAATGGAGTGGAAGTTGGGGGAAACAAGCAACTTTAGTAAATTAGTGTTATTTCATATTCTATATAATGTGTGGGTCTATCAAATTATCTATCTATGGAGAGAGGTAGTTGAGTAAATTAGTATATAATATTTTTATTATATAAGTATACCCCCAAAAGTTTCTATTTTATTTTAACCATTTTTCACTATTTATTCCCCTAAAGTTTTATTTGCTTAAATTATCAAAGAAATTTTTTAAATCTTTTCATTGGAGAAAAGGAATCAACTTCCTTCAGGTAATCATTATATTTGAGTTTATAGAACATATCTATACCCATCACAGGGATTCCACACAGAGAACAATCCTGTGATTCTGCAATTTGCACACACGTTTACCATGAGGCTTATACTCTGCAGTATGTGTTATTTGGGCATTCAGTCTATCTATAGACAATTAAACAGGACATGATGGAAAACTTCTTACAATTTAAGTAGGAGTAAAGCAGCATGTAGTGGCCGATAAGACTTCTGCCTTCATGACTCAAAGGAGAAAATGCATCTTCCTCTGCATGCTTTCTAAAATGGAATATTAGCTGAAGAATGCCAGCTCGGTGGATAGATATGAAGCTCAGTGTGAAACCTTTGCTTCGTTCTTCTGCTTATGTTCCCATTTTATATATCAGCTGTTGTTGAGTCAGTGTTTCTCCACATTTACAAAACAAATGTATAAGATGAGATGTTTCCACTACTTTCCATAGAAACACATTGAAAAAAATAAATGTTAAATATTTCCTTTCACAAATTTACACACATATATTAGCATAATATATTCATACTCTTTCAAACTCCCTTGATCCTAGGGAGAAATTCCTCTTTATTTTTGTAACGTATTCAGTGCCAAGTTTAGCAGCTCATCCAAACTGTAAAACCACACTTGAAGCCAAAAATGTCATAAGCAATGGGATCAAATTAAGAACACAATGGGAAGCAGGATTTTTAGATGAAATCAGAAAGGTTAAGAGTCCATTTAATTGTTTAAATTTGAAATATACACTGTCTAATTCTCATTTGAGACTTCCTGTATTGGTGATGGGGAGATTATGTTCATTATCACTATGTTTCAAAGATAATTAATATAACTATCTCCTTCTATACATTTTAAGACAGAAAAATTCTGATTTCGAGTCTTTCTACAAACTTCCAAAGTGCAGAAGTATTATCATTTCACTTGACTAATGAGGAAGCAGGTAGAGAGAAAAGTAAAGGATTATCAAATTGCAGTTTTTTTAAAAAAAAAAAAGAATGGGGGACTTTCTCATCTATTTTTTTTCCATGTGTGTCCAGATAGCATTCTATGAACAAAATTCCCTAAAAAGAGGAAGAACTTTTCATCATAGATTTTAGAGGCAATGTGGAAAGGATCAGAAAAATTGTAAAGGGGCAGCTTTCGATGATGTCACTGAAGCTGTTTTATGAATCTTCACGAGACATTCCAAAAATTAAGATACAGCTATATAAATGCACTAAGAACAACACATCATTCTTTAACTTCATTCTCTTTTTAAGAACTGAGATTGCAAAGACAATTTTATGCATATCATTGTGTCTTTTTTTAACACAATTGTGAACACATTGGATCATACTTTACACAGAAAAAGTATTCTTTTCCCCTATCTCTGAGGCTCTTATTGTCTTTTAAAGCATATTAACTTTAAATAAGTTTCTTTCCCCGCACCCCAACTGACATACAGAGCATGTCGATGCAAATAGGGATAAGACAGTAGCAATCACATGGGGGTGAAGAAAAAAACCTCAACTTATTCTGTGTTTTCTTCACTATATGCACTTTATTTTTAAATAAAACTATTTAAAATTTAAAAAGAGAACCCACGAAACAGCATTAGCTTGTGAACTCAGAAATTCCTTTACACTTAGTGAGAACTCCAACCAAGCCGAAAAAGTAGCTTATACTAGAAAGAATGATTTTGCTGGGGCATAGAGGGAAACAGTATAAATTCCTGCAAATAACCTGTGAGACCATGGTGTGAACATCAATCACAAAATGATTTAGAACCTAGAGAAAGTGAATAGTACCAAAAGTATGACTGAGGATGCGACCCCTGCTAAAAATGTCTTTGTAAATTATATCGCATTTCCAGCCTATTCTAGATCCAACACTCCCTACAATATGTCACGTCAACCTCCTCTTGCCTTTCCTCCGAGCTTTTCCTCCCAATTCTAACATCCTTTCCACTCCCTTGCCCCATCAAAATTCTACCAGTCTTTCATAAAGGCTTTTTAAAATGTTCCCATTTGTTTATAATCGTTGTCTCCTTTGAAACCTCATGATATTTTGCCTCTGCTTACATAGATATAATGCTTGTTGTAGAGCTAATGACTATAGATCTATAGATCTGAGGACTCCTCTACCAGGTAGGGTCCTTGAGGACAAGGTTGAATCATCATTATATTTGTGCTGTTAGAACCTTGCCCTGTGTATAGTACATGCTCAGTAAAGGAACATTTAAGTGAATAAACTTCTTAAAACTACAGTAATTCCACAACGCTCATAAGCATCTATCTGTTCTAGCATTCTGTAGAA
The DNA here is from genome assembly GCF_000001405.40 of Homo sapiens. Lineage (NCBI taxonomy): Eukaryota > Metazoa > Chordata > Mammalia > Primates > Hominidae > Homo > Homo sapiens. Next base: position 120,449,705 of record NC_000004.12, read on the forward strand.
GAAATAGGTTTCTCAAAATACTGGCTAGTATGAGTCTACTTACAGCTTATAATAAGTCCAGTTTAAAGAAACAGCTGTGCATAAAAGTAGCAATCAGAAAAGGTAAATAAAGGAAGGAATGAGAGGCAGGGGAATGAAGAAATTGACAAAAGGGAGAGAGAGAGCATGCACAAACTGTTGAATATGTAGGTTAGTCATGTTGAGAAAATAAGTTATAAGGGAAAAAGTAACCACTTCATTTCCAATACTACTCTTTTCTGTCCTGGCTGAACTTTCCCTGTAATTCCGCAAAGTTTTTCCCGAGTATGTGGGCCTCAGAAGTCATAACTGTTAAAAGCTTCAGAGATCTGGCTCCCAGTAGATTCAGTATCATGGAACCAGTAGCTTAATTAATGATCAAATAATGTTATTGAGGCTTATCAAGTATGGCAGCTGACATTCTGAAATTTTACTAATTCAAAACTTTTTAAAAATTTGTCTTAATTCTGCATGTATAACTGCGGTGCTAAGATAGAATTGTAATTATGTTATCTCTATGGCTAGTGAACTTACAATTTGGGAAAATTTAATCATTAAATAGCAAATAGAAATGGTCAAGAAATAGTCAAATGCAAAAGAATTAAATAAACAAAATATATAGTAAATTTGTCTAATTTTGTATGGTAAAAAATAAGAGACTGTGTAACCCAACTCTCTCTCTTCCGCAGATATGCAGAATGCTACGTTGAAGGTCACATAGCCAATGACAGTGTCAGAACTAGACCCAGGTATCCTGAGAGAGTGATATTATCATGGGTCAGGATGATCAGGGAAGACTTCACAGCAGAAATAAAATTTCAGTACAACCTGGAAGGTTGGGTAGGAACCAAGCAGTTTATAAAAGAAGCAATGCAAAACAGGAAGTACAATAACTAGATATATTCAGGGAACAGTACCAATAACATCCGGGCCTGAAAAACAGTTTTTGTTTAATCCTAGAAAGCGATTAGTTTGGAACATTTTTAATTTTTCCCATAGAATCAAGAGTTTTTCCAAGAATATATTTGTTTAAATTCTTGTCACAAAATTGGCATGATTAAAGTCATGTCTTTTTAAAAAATAAATTGGACTCAACTTTTGGTGGTAATTAAGTGAAGAAGAAAAGCAAAATAGTTATGAATGATTATAACAATATAGGCAGAGAAGATAAAGATGAGAATATGTACAAATGAATGTTGGAGGGGAATAAGAGCTAGAGGAATAATTACTCAGGAAAATTTTGTTGAAATTTAAAAGTATTTGTAAAGGAGAGAGATGTTTCAGCCTAAAATACATGTAAGGTAAATCAGGACACACCTTTCTTTCTTTCTTCGTGTCTTTCTTTTTTAGTAAATGGAGGAGGAGATAGGTGTGGGGTAAGCATGGATTCTGTTCAGTATGCAGTGATACACTGGTTCCCAGATGGAAATGCCCTGTAGGCAATTAGAAATGTGATACTGGAGTTCATGATAGCGGTCAAGATTAAAGAAATAGATTGGGGAATTACACAAATAGAGGTGATAATTGAAGCCATGAGACTTGATAAGGTTTGTGTAAAAGAGAAGGAAGGGAATTATAGATCCTGTCATTATAGTTTTCTTATTAAAAATTCAAGAATTAACTTTAGTTACCCTCAAAGAGACACAGGAAATGAAAAAATCAATTTCTTTTGTATAAGCTGTGGATAATGTTACTTTTACTAAATTTGACCCAATTTTGCACACATATCTTCATATATACACATACATAGATACTTATAATTCTGATACACTATCCATATGATGACTGCTTCCTATTCTTATGAATACTACTGATTCTTAAATTAGTGCACTTAAATTGAGTACCATACATTATAATTTTTACATTAAAAGGGTTTAAATTGTTTCATTCTTTTAATGATTGTTACGTGTTGAAACATACTGTAGTGGAGACAATTTAATGTGAGATTAAATTCTAAGGTCAGCACATAAGAAACATAATATGAAAGGCAAAATTGGTGCATCTCTTAAATGGCCCAAAGTGGATAAATTGTGTATGTGAGTGAGTGTGTGTGTGTGTGTGTGTGTGTGTGTGTGTGTGTTGGGGGAGGGGTGTTGTATCAAACACAACATCAGGGTATATATACTTTACATGATAGTATTAAAGTGTGAAAAATATTTTTATACTCTTTCTATTGTTTTGGGGTGAATATTAATGTACCTATTAATTCAAATATTTACTGTATACTTGTGGAAATTACACTCAAATTCAGGGAGAAAGACAAATGAAATAACTGAAATATGCATATAGCAGATGAAATTATGGTTAGAGTTAGAGAGAAATTTACATGGGGAAAGAAATGAGGAACCATTGCTAGGGCTGCATTTCTAAATAACATTGTCAGGGGAGATCCTACTAAAAAGGCAATATTAAAGAAAGAACTGAAGGACATGAAAGAGTGGATCATCAGTCTCTAGGGAAAGAGCATTCTTTTAGACTGCTTCATAAACCATGCCTTTCCTCAGAGTAAGAAAGGGCCTCTAAGGTTTTCAGGCAAAGGAATGATAGGATTTGACTTGCATTCTGCAGGATCTCTCCAGGGCTGTGTTGAGAAGTGTTAACCATGCACTGGTGTGCCCCCACTGTACCAAACACAGGTGAAAATATTTCTTAAAAGTTGTAAAAGAAGAAGAAGGAAGAGGAGAGGTGAAGGAGGGGAACGTGGAGGAGAGGGAAAAGAAGGAGGAAGGGGTGGAATAGGAGGAGAAGGAAAAGAATCTGGAAGAAGAAAGGAAGAAAAACTTTCCCATGAGACAAGAAAATGCTGCCTAGGACATTAAAGCATCATATCCTTTGAACATAAGAAGTCAGCTTGGAACACTTTCTTTATCCCTAGAAGTGTGTGATGAACAGAGATATGAAAGACCTTTAGTATGGTAGTTTCTAATGAGGTTAGTACTAAAGCTGGGCTTGGAGACTCTAATATGCAGAGGCAGAACTGAGTGTTTGATTGTAAAGTCTGTTTAACAACAGTAATTTGGCAAACCATCTTTTCTGGAAGAAACTCAGCAAACTGGCATCATCATTAAGTGCAGTCATATGTGAATGTGTATAGCTGAATAAGCACAAGTAACATGCATCTGGGTCACTTCAAACAAAAACCATCCATTTTATTTTAGAGGAAAGTCAGAGTAAAAAATAGCCATATAGCAATTTAATTATGCAAAGCCGTTGTGGTGAGTTGTTCAAAGTGGAGAAACAACAGACCTGTGTCTCTTCATATGGAAAAATTGAACAGAGTTGGACTAAACAAATTCTTTGTGCTTTTTAAATTAGTTTTCCCTCTATGCCAGTTTTAATTTTAGCATTATTTGGATGCATATGTGTCTCATTGATGCTCTTGAAGCAGTCAAAATACAGTTGTGTTCTCTATAACAGGGCTCCTGGTTGCTAAACTACCATGCATTCTTTAATCGAAGTGAAATTAACATAACATAAAAAGAATGACACATTTTTGTCCTGTTTCATTTCAGTAATATTTGAATCATTCTGACGTGCAAAAAGCCACTATTTCTTTTTTTAAAAAACCTTGTATCTTGTGGAAAACATTTAGTGTTCCCAAAAGAATAGAATATCATGATATAAAGCAGAAATTATTCCTTCAAGTATTTTTGTGAACTTTTCTAAAAATCATGTTTCATGGTTAAAAAAATATAGTATATAGTGGATCCATATAAGCCCTGTATGATGTACTATTATTATAGTTAATTTGAATTATAAATTCATAAAGCCTTAGAAGTCAATAGAAACTTGTAGCCGAACCCCATACCTAAAGTCTGTGGGTAACACTGTATACATCTGTACGCATATTTACAGAGTGTGGTATAGGTTGTTAAATTGCCAAATCAATGATATTTGGAGACATCACAAGATGGGCATATTTATTTCATTCATTCAGTATACACTATTTATTGTATGCCTTCTGTGTTTCAGGCACTATGTGGGAGCTGATGAGGCATAGATAAATAAGATTTAACCTTGGGTCCTTCTAGACGAGCCTTTTAACAGCTTAAATAATTATATGCATTAAAATATTTAGGCACTGATTATCTTCTTGGACATGGAAATAATAATTTCTTTTAGAAACAGCATTTCCCCCCACCAAACATGTTTCCTAACCATGTAAGTAAAAAAAAAAAGTCACCAAAAATTTCCAGTAAGAGGACTTTATGTTGTTTGATTTTATCATATTTTTGGTAATAAATATGAAAAAAATTAAAAGTCATGGAGTTTTAAACTGTAAAGTCACACTCAAGTCTAGGGTTTGGAGAACTTTTTCAAAAGTAAGAAATAAATATTTGGGGGAGTCCAGTGTATTTGTTAAATTATTTACTGAAGTGACTTGCTTGTCCTTTGCCTCACCTAGATACATGCAGAATGATGGACCTTCCCAGACATCCCTTTCTCACTTTTCTAATTGTGTACTGCAAATGACTGCTGGGTAAATTTTCTGTGAATATCATTCTCTCATGTTACTCCCAAGCTCGAAATCCTCCAATGTTTACTTACTACTGACAAACTAAACTCCTTCAAAATCTGGCTCCAACCAAATTTATAACCTCACTTCACTCCTTTCACAAACCTACTTAGTGCTCCAATCAAGCAGATTTTCCAGTTGTTCTGTAGACAAGGACATTTATTCTTGATTCTTACTCTACCCAGGGAAGATCAGAGAGATGTTGTGTTAATATGTGCCCATGCATCAAAGAAAGAAATGCTTAAATGACTAGTATTTACTTTTAATTTGTTGCTATGGAAATGAGAGGTGATGCCCTTCAATATTTATTTATGTTCTAAGTCAATGTCACATGAAAATAATCAATTAAAAACAACAAAGTTTTATGAGCAGGAACAAGACCATAACAATGAAGAAGATAATCTCCACAGTTAAAATAAAAATTTATCTTTAACACTGACAGTAACTGAACACAAGATTGTAGAAGATAAACAAAGGGAAACTTGATTCATTCTTGCTAGTTGGGAAGACAAAAGTTAAAATTTGGACATAACATGTAGTGTTTCTCTCCACTATATTAAAGCCAAATTTCTGCTGGCCTAAAATGTTCACCCCAGCTTTTCTGGCTATTTAGAGCCCATCTTTCTACTCTATGCCTATTCTCCACTATGATGTTCATCCTACTCTGAACTGAACTCTGAGAGTGCTTTGTTTCTGGACAAGTCTAGTAGGGTGTCTGCCATGACCAACCTTCTCCTCTAGTACAAATACCCCTTTGTACAGCCCTCTGCTCTTAGAATTAATGAGTGCACTGTGATTCCACTAGGTGTGTCAGGTGACCAAAGTCCTGTTTTGCCTGGGGAAAGTTCTAGTTTATGCCTGTTGTCACAATGTACTATCAGTTTAGCATTTGCCCCAGATTTCTAAATTTTTTAACAAAGTATTATTATTAAAACTGCATTAAAATGAGCCGTGATGAGTTTGGGCTTCCATATTATCCACCCAACTTCTTCTAGCTCTTGTTTACCAGGAAACAGTTATCTCTTAACACATGGTTAAATCTTTAAGTTGATCATAAATGAATCTCTCATTTTCCAACACTTTTCAAATGCAACATAAGTATAAGGAACACTTCTAAGAAGAGGATATAAAGCAGTTGCTGATCAAATAAACTAATTTCTGGGAGAAGTATTTAAGGGAGTAGCATACAGCTGTGCCATTAGATGCAGAAGTGCCATGCTGCCAACCATAGGTGAGTGAGAAATGTGGAAAATAAGGATAATGGGGTGGTGAAATAAGGAGGAGAAATGGAGGCTGAATGTACTTCCTTATAGCAAACAAAGCAGTCTGAGCACACAGTAGGATGGAGTTATCATTTATTTATAATGTAATCTGCAAATATTTATTCACTAGTATTTAGTTGCTTTTTTGGGGTGTGAGTCATGAAATATCTCAGCAGCAATCTGAAAAAAGGGGGACACATTTAATAAAAATTACTGAATTTCTATTTTCAAAAAGCTTGATTATGAACACATAGCTCACACAAAAAAATTATGAATATTTAATGTCTATCAGGGAACCATCCCAATATCATTGGCCGTGTAAAAACCAAAAGCTATACATCTGCTTAAAAACTCTCAATACCTACTGCAAAAGTTAGTAGTTATTTCTAAAACACTGTTTCCAAAGAATGTTTCCATGCAACATGATCAGATCAAGTTATATATCATTCACTGAGCACTTTTCTAAAATTATGGATCAAATAATTTGATCAAATGATAGTTTTTCTAAGTTAATTTCACTTATTTTTTTATTCGAAGTTTTCCTGTGCATGTATGAAATGTTAAACAATAACTGTCAATATTTTCTAATGTGACAAACATAAATATCAGTTTTCTATCAGCATCTTCAGATGCTTCAGTTAGAAAATTAGTTAAGTAAAATTGTAATTAATTTAGTTAACTAATTGTACTCAACTAATTATACTTAACTGTGTTTAGTTCAATTCTTAAAATGAAAATAAAATTTTGAAAGATTAGTCTGTTAAACTAAAAGTTCCGACATAACTAATAATTCAATTAACGTGCTTAATGTCCTTTTGCTGTGAGAATATACATTTATATTTGAATGGAGTACATTATCACGGGAAAAACAATGTTCTACTACATTAGGAAACCAGTGGAGCAGGGATGCACTTGAGATTGGTTGTGGTACAGTCATAATTCATGGTTGCATCCACTAAAGTCGATATCCTACTAATCAAAATTAAAACGCTGGTTGATAAAATTTATAAAGATTTGCATATACACACAGTTAACTGAATAACAGAATTTGTAAGACAAATTTGAAGTTGAGTTAATTATAATGCATCAGTATGGCAGTATATGCTTTTTTTCTTTGTTGCTTATCATTTGTGGTTTAGAAATGTGTAAGCTTTTGAAGAACTATTTTGTAAATCTACCTAAGTGTTTTATTGTGATATTCATCTTTTGTTTTTTGTGAATGTATCCTCTAGATTTCATTTGCCTTTTTTCAAGCCAGTTAGAAATTTTTAATCAAAACATTTACCAAATGCAGTATTAAAAGTTTACCTTTCAAATCTTGCATTAAATTGCAATTACTAAAAAAAAAATACTTGAAAACAGAAACTTTAAAAATGTTCATCACCAAAACAAGAGACCAACTGAACAAATTATGAGTTCACTTGATGTATTAGATTTAATTTTGAAATTCTATAATTGTGCTTTGGAATATTTTAACTTGAAAGAATATTTTGATGGAGCTTTAATTTTTAACTAGATAAATTTCTATTCTGTACAGAATAAAATAAAATTAAGAAGATCTAAAATACTGCAGCAATTATGGTTATAAATGAGTAATGAATGGAGACAACAAAACTAAGGAGTTTTGTCTTGTAAAAGTATCTCCTAAGGAAAGACACTTGCAGTGGAACAAATATATACATATGTGTGTGTGTGTGTGTGTGTGTATGTATACAAATATATAATAAAATTACTATTAGCTTTCATTTAGCAGGGTTTTCTCTGATACTAATACCTTTAGAGGAGATATTTTCTCAATTAGAATATGGTTTACAGAAAAAAGGGCAATTAAATTGTTACTGATTTTAAATTTATTGGCCATAATGTACCACTTCGAAGAATTTTGAAGGCATTTTTATGACAAAAATAAAACTATTAGAAAAACAATTCTGCAATTCTTCAGCAATATACTGAATCAGATTCACTTAGGAACATTAAACTATAAAAAAATGCTGCATGCAGTGTACATGGATACATGCTATTTTAATTTTAGAAACTTATTTTGAAAATTATTTCTGAACAGAGCTATATTATAAGCCTACCAATAGAGCAAAATGAATTTTTGATAAAACAATTTTTCAAAAATTGTAAATTTAATACTTCATTTCACTTACAAATATATTCTAGTATATATGATAAATTATGTAGTTATCCTAATTATCTGACCCAAGTTGAGGAGTTTCATCTCAGAGGGGTCACTGCAAATTTTAATTCAGTCAGATGAACTTCCACCACAATCTGGAATGAGATACAAGAAGGCAAATCAGGTAGACACAAAGACACATTTATCTATTGCATGGGCTTTAAATATGATATGCATTCCTTATCTGTCCAACCAGAGTGAACACAAATCAAGAGGAAACAATGTTTGCCCCAATATCCATAGGACTTAAACACAGTTGGATTTTATAAATATTTGCTGCAAGAAACAAAGCTCCAAATCATTTTGTCTGATAGAGTTTTAGACCTATATGTGCATGTGAATAATTTTTCTGGTCTCCAGGAGTGGTGGTAGAATGTGGTTCCTAAGCATGCAGATTCTGGAGCCAGACATGATAGGTTCAATCCTATCTGTACTGTGTACATAATTTGGCAACTGATTTAAACTTTGTGCCTCAGTTTCCTCATGTGTATAGTAGCCTAAAAATAATGCCTGACTTGTGTTTTGAAGATTACATTAATTAAAATACGGAAATATTTAGTGACTGGTACATAGTGAGCACCCAATACAGGTTAGTGGTGCTTCAGTTAATTGCATAGACACATGCAAGTAAAACCTTACATAATTAAATGTATCTAGCAACTGCATAACATTTCAGCACCCACTTATTTCTAATGTTGTGTCATTTAAAATCCCCTAAATAGCTAGAATCCTTGCCAATAAGGAAAAACAAAGCAAAAGCATAAAGAGACAGATAATTGTTTTTATAGTCAATGTTATATAAATAACAAAAAGGCCTTTTCCAAATACACTAATAATGTCCCTATGAACAAAGCCCAATATAAATATGCAGTCTGCACCCCCACATTCTTTATTCTTGGAACCCTACATATGCCTATATTAAGGCAAATCTCCCAACATGTCACTCATAAAATTAATAAAAAACATGAGGAAAATTTATTTGAGGTCTGAATATGCAAACTTCAGAGCATCATGATATTCATAAGTGATTCAGAGTAACCAAACATTCACTAATGTTGGCTGCCAGATACACCACTGCATGTTGTTATTTTTATAGAATGCTTTTTCAGACACGTTTTTGTGAGCAGTACTAAGACTAATACATTTAAAAAGTACTTTAATAAATACATCAGCAATTCTCAATTTTCAGAAAGTTGCCAATTAATGATGGAGTTAGTATTTGCTACATCGCAGAATTGACAAAGCATTGAATTTAAAAAGTTGAATTTTTTTAAATGACAATTTCAATAGTCAGCGTAAGAGTAATGAAATAATTTGAGTAGTTGATGCCTGTGTACTTGACGTGTACAACATTATCCTTTCATAGTTGGCAGTACTTTCAGGTGGTTTGGTTGTATTAAATACAGTCTTTTTGATATTTTGTATGTCTAAAAAGTGGAATAAATAAATGCACTCAATGGAAAATGGAGAGCATAGGTTTCCACCTAAAACTCTTATACATTCATTACTATTCTGAGAAATGACTAATAATTTTTCAAATTTTAGGAGTTAGAATTTTACTTCATTGCAGAAAGGGTAGCTGCCTCCTCAAGGAGAGTGAACATAACAGGTAACACAGCTAAAAAACAAAGAACTTTGAGGTTCAGTAGAGCCCTGAGGCAACAAGAAACAAGTCAGAAGTTGGCCCATTATGGAGACTGCCAAGTTCTAGGTTGATTTAGAAAGTCTCTTCTTTGTTATTGGTGTTTGTCCTCGGGGTTTTCTTTTTTCCTCACCAGCTTTTGCTTATGTTTTTCATTTATGATGACAAAACAAAACGTGACTACATGGTAAAGCATTAGACAAGGGTAGTTTTAATAACTGTTACAAGGGTACCAGATGAGATGTGGGTACCAGATGAGATATATAAAATAAAAGCACACAAAATGTTTTAGAACATTTTTCAATAAACAAATGCACACTGATTATGTAGATAGATCATTCAAAAAGTTACACTCAGAAAATTGTGTTCATAAAAAAATGAGGAAAATTTGTTAGAATCTAGAAGTTATCAAATACCCTTTAAATTCAAATCTCTCCAAGTAGCCACCAAAAGCCATAGAAGTCATCGAGGAGAGTATATAAATCCATCTATGGGTTTGATCTAAAAAATATTAATTGAATTATGAAATGCTCAGGGGAGAATAGACTTTATTAAAAAACATAAACAGTATTATTAAAGAAAGGCATGAAAACAGATAAGATAATGACAATAAAATAAAGGAAAAGTTAAAAACAATCAGGAAGACTGTTTAATATAGAAGACGGGCAGAGAAGAGCAAACCCTTATATAGTAACAATGCCTCAGAAAGAAAAACATAAAGATAAAATGTAACATTTAAAACTATAGTTTTTTTAAAAAATCCAAAATAAGTGAAAGTATGAACCTGGACATTTAAAGGTTCAATCACGTACTTAGAAAAATTGACCAGAAATAGTCAATTAGAAAATTTAAAGATGGGGAAAATAAGCAGAAACTCCAGACAAAAAGATCAAATGACTTACTAATGAAAATAAAATCACATTAGCATAAGATGTCTCAATAATAACATACAAATCAAGAGTACAGTGGAGCAGCATTAAAAAAAATAAATAAAAATAAAGGAAATAATTGGAGTTCCCAGCCAAGATGGCTAAATAGGAACAGCTCCTGTCTGCAGCTCCAAGCAAGACCAATGCAGAAGGTGGGTGGTATCTCATTTCCAACTGAGGTACCCAGCTCATCTCACTGGGACTGGTTAGACAGTGGGTGCAGCCCACGGAGAGCAAGCAGAAGCAAGGTGGGGCGTTGCCTCACCCAGGAAGTGCAAGGGGTCGGGGAACTCCCTCTCCTAACCAAGGGAAGCTGTGGGGAACCATGCTGTGAGGGACGGTGCTATCCAGACCAGATACTATGTTTTTCCCACAATATTCGCAACCTACAGACCAGGAGATTCCCTCGGGTGCTTACATCACAAGGGCCCTGGGTTTCAAGCACAAAACTGGGTAGCCATTTGGGCAGACACTGTGCTACCTCCAGGAATTTTGTGTTTGTTTATTTGTTTGTTTGGTACCCTAATGGTGGCTGGAATGCCAGCGAGACAGAACTGTTTACTCCCCTGGAAAGGGGGATGAAGCCAGGGAGCCAAGAGGTCTTGCTCAGCAGATCCCACCCCCATGGAGCCCAGCAAGCTAAGACCCGCTGGCTTGAAATTATTGCTGCCACCACAGCAGTCTGAAGTCAACCTGGGATCCTTGAGCTTGATAGGGGAGAGGCATCCTCTATTACTGAGGCTTGAGTAGTTGATTTTCCCCTCACAGTGTAGACAAAGCCAAGAGGAAGTTCAGACTGGATGGAGCCCAGCACAGTGCCGCAAAGCCACCGTAGCCAGACTGCCTCTCTAGATTCCTCCTCTCTGGGCAGGGCTTCTCTGAAAGAAAGGCAGCAGCCCTAGTCAGGGGCTTATAGATCAAACTCCCATCTCCCTGGGACAGAGTACCTGGGAGAAGGGGCGGCTGTGGGCACAGCTTCAGCAGACTTAAACGTTCCTGCTTGCTGGCTCAGAAGACAGCAGTAGATCTCCCAGCACAGTGCTTGAGCTCTTTTAAGGGACAGACTGCCTCCTCAAGTGGGTCTCTGACCCCCATGCCTCCTGATGATGGAGGACACCTCCCAGCAGGGGTCAACAGACACCTCATACAGGAGAGCTCTGGCTGGCATCTGGTGGGTGCTCCTGTGGGACAAAGCTTCCAGAGGAAGGAGCAGGCAGCAATATTTGCTGTTCTGCAGCCTCTGCTGGTGATACTCAGGCAAACAGAGTCTGGAGTGAACCCCCATCAAACTCTGGCAGACCTGCAGCAGAGGGGCCTGACTGTTAGAAGAAAAACTAACAAACAGAAGCAATAGCATCAACATCAGCAAAAAAGAGAACCATGCAAAAACTCCATCAAAGGTCACCAACAGCAAAGACCAAAGGTAGATAAATCCACAAAGATGAGAAAAACTCAGTGCAAAAAGGCTGAAAATTCCAAAAACCAGAATGCCTGTTCTCCAAAGGATCACAACTCCTTTCCAGAAAGGGAACAAAACTGGGTGGGGAATGAGTTTGATGAATTGACAGAAGTAGGCTTCAGAAGGTGGGTAATAACAAACTCCTCCGAGCTAAAGGAGCATCTTCTAACCCAATGCTAGGAAGTTAAGAACCTTGAAAAAAGGTTAGAGAAATTGCTAACTAGAATAACCAGTATAGAAGAGAATATAAATGACCTGATGGAGCTGAAAAACACAGCAGAAACTGCTAACTAGAATAACCAGTATAGAAAAGAACATAAATGACCTGAAGGAGCTGAAAAACACAGCATGAGAACTTCATGAAGCATACACAAGTATCAATAGCTGAATCAATCAAGCAGAAGAAAGAATATCAGAGATTGAAGATCGACTTAATGAAATAAAGTGTGAAGACAAGATTAGAGAAAAAAGAATGAAAAGGAAAAAACAAAGCCTCCGAGAAATATGGGACTATGTGAAAAGACCAAACCTACATTTGATTTGTGTACCTGAAAGTGACGGGGAGAATGGAACCAAGTTGGAAAACACTTTCAGGATATTATCCACTAGAACTTCCCCAACCTAACAAGACAAGCCAACATTCAAATTCAGGAAATACAGAGAACACCACAAAAATACTCCTCGAGAAGAGCAACCCCAAGACACATGATCATCAGATTCACCAACGTTGAAATGAAGGAAAAAATGTTAAGGACAGCCAGAGAGAAAGGTCAGGTTACCCACAAAGGGAAGCCCATAAAACTAACAGTGGATCTCGCTGCAGAAACCCTACAAGGCAGAAGACAGTGGGGGCCAATATTCAACATCCTTCAAGCAAAGAATTTTCAACCCAGCATTTCGTATCCAGCCAAACTAAGTTTCATAAGTGAAGGAGAAATAAAATCCTTTACAGACAAGCAAATGCTTAGGGACTTTGTCACCACCAGGCCTGTCTTACAAGAGCTCCTGAAGGAAGCACTAAATATGGAAAGGAAGATCCAGTAGCAGCCACTGCAAAAACAAACCAAAATGTAAAGAGCATCGACACTATGAAGAAACTGCATCAACTAATGGGCAAAATAACCAGCTAGCATCATAATGACAGGATCAAACTCACACATAACAATATTAACCTTAAATGTAAATTGGGTAAATGCCTCATTTAAAAGACACAAACTGGCAATTTGGATAGAGTCAAGACTCATTGGTGTGCTGTATTCAGGAGACTCATCTCACATGCAAACACACATGGGCTCAAAATACAGGGATGGAGGAAGATCTACCAAGGAAATGGAAAGCAAAAAAAAAAAAAAAAAAAAAAAAGGCAGGAGTTGCAATCCTAGTCTCTGATGAAACAGACTTTAAACCAATAAAGATCAAAAAAGACAAAGAAGGGCATTACATGATGGTAAAGAGATCAATGAAACAAGAACAGCCAACTATCCTAAATATATAAGTACAGGAGCACCCAGATTTATAAAGCAAATTCTTCGAGACCTACAAAGAGAGTTAGACTCCCACACAGTAATAGTGGGAGACTTTTAATACCGCACTATCAATACTAAACAGATCAACAAGACAGAACAAATCGAGCATATAATCGGAAGTAAAACACTCCTCAGCAAATGCAGAAGAAGAGAAATCATAACAAACAGTCTCTGAGATCACAGTGCAATCAAATTAGAACTCAGGGTTAAGAAACTCACTCAAAACCTCACAAATACATGGAAACTGAACAAACTGCTCCTGAATGACTATTGGGTAAATAACAAAATTAAGGCAGAAATAATTAAGTTCTTTGAAACCAATGAGAACAAAGACACCATGTAATAGAATCTCTGGAACACAGCTAAAGCAGTGTTTAGAGGGAAATTTATAGCACTAAATGCCCACAGGAGAAAGTGGGAAAGATCTAAAATCAACACCTTAACATCACAATTAAAAGAACTAGAGAAACAAGGGCAAACAAATTCGAAAGCTGAAGAAGACAAGAATTAACTAAGATCAGAGCAGAACTGAAGGAGATAGAGACATGAAAAACCCTTCAAAAAATCAATGAATCCAGGAGCTGGTTTTTTGAGAAAGTTAACAAAATACATAGACTGCTAGCCAGACTAATAAAGAAGAAAAGAGAGAAGAATAAAAAAGACACAATAAAAAATGATAAAGGGGAGATCACCACTGATCCCACAGAAATACAAACTACAATCAGAGAATACTATAAACATCGCTACACAAATAGACTAGAAAATCTAGAAGACATGGATATGTTCCTGGACACATACACCCTCCCAAGACTAAGCCAGGAAGAAGTCGAATCCCTGAGTAGACCAATAACAAGTTCTGAAATTGAGGCAGTAATTAATAGCCTACCAACCAAAAAAAGCCCAGAACCAGATGGATTCACAGCCAAATTCTACCAGAGGTACAAAGAGGAGCTGGTACCATTACTTCTGAAACTATTCGAAACAATAGAAAAAGAGGGACTCCTCTCTAACTAATTTTATGAGGCCAGCATCATCCTGATACCAAAACCTGGCAGAGACACAACAAAAAAATATAATTTCAGGCCAATATCCCTGATGAACATCGATGCAAAAAGAGGTTCTGCACAGCAAAAAAACTAACATTAGAGTGAACAGGCAACCTACAGAATGGGAGAAAATTTTTGCAATCTATTCATCTGACAAAGGGCTAATATCCAAAATCTACAAAGAACTTAAACAAATTTACAAGAGAAAAACAAACAAGCCCATCCAAATTGGGTGAAGGATATGAACAGATAGTTTTCAAAAGAAGACAGTTATGTGGCCAACAAACATATGAAAAAGAGCTCATCATCACTGGTCATTACAGAAATGCAAATCAAAACCACAATGAGATAGCATCTCATGCCAGTTAGAATGGTGATCATTAAAAAGTCAGGAAACAACAGATGCTGAAGAGGATGTGGAGAATTAGGAATGGTTTTACAGTGTTGGTGGGAGTGTAAATTAGTTCAATCATTGTGGAAGACAGTGTGGCAATTCCTCAAGGATCTAGAACTAGAAATACCATTTCACCCATTAATCCCATTACTGGGTATATACCCAAAGGATTATAAATCATTCTACTCTAAAGACATATGCACATGTATGTTTATTGCAGCACTATTCACAATAGCAAAGACTTAGAACCAACCCAAATGCCCATCAATGTTAGACTGGATAAAGAAAATGTGGCACATATACACCATGGAATACTATGCAGCCATAAAAAAGAAGCAGTTCATGTCCTTTGCAGGGACAAGGATGATGCTGGAAATCATCATTCTCAGCAAACTAACACAGGAACAGAAAACCAAACACCACATGTTCTCACTTATAAGTGGGAGTTGAACAATGAGAACAAATGGGCACAAGGAGGGGAATATTACACACTGGGGCCTGTCAGGGGATGAGGGGCAAGGGAAGGGATAGGATTAGGAGAAATACCTAATGTAGATGATGGGTTGATGGGTGCAGCAAACCACCGTGGCACATGTATACCTATGTAACAAACCTGCACGTTCTGCACATGTATCCCAGAACTTAAAGTATAATTTAAAGAAAAGAAAAGAATTAGCCTAAGATTTTGCATCCTGTCTAACTATCCTGCCAGTGTCAAGACTACAGAAATTAAACAGTTTTAAACATGCAAGAACTCAAAGAAAACTGTATTCATGAGCCCGTCCTGATAAAATTACTAGAAGACAAATTTTATGCCACTAAAAGTTGACTGGGGAAATCTGGCAAAGGGGCTATTGATGATTATTAGATACAGTTAATTGTAAATGCAAAAGAAAGGTGAGAAAAATGTTACATGCTCTCAGAGAGAGAGAAAGAGAGAGAGAGAGATAACCATATGAACCACAAAGAAAATAGGTCACATAGAGAAAGAGTCACAGTAAATATAACATAAAATAATATAATATGATAAAATGATAGAGTTGAGACCAAATTAGCCGGTCATATCAATAAATGTAAATGGGCTTAACTCATCTGTAAAAAAAATTTCACATGAGTCACAAAGCAAGTCACAATTCCATACTGTATATAAATCTCATACTTAAAGTAACTCAGAAAGTCTAAAACTAGACAGGCAAAGGTGTGACCAGGCAAACGGAAACACAGCTTATGATCCAGATATCAGACAATCTAAATAATCAGGGTTCACAGCTGAAGAATAAAATATGAAAAAGAGAATACTTTTAATGCTGAAATCCACAATGAAGACATGACAATTTTGCATATTTATGAGTCACATTGTGTAGGAAGTAACTTCATAAAGGAAGACTTACATAGGCATAAATACACACTTAATAAGACATCTTAAAATATCACCATCAGTCCAAAACAGGTCAATTAGACCACAAAAATGTGAACATGGAATAATTAAACAACATACTAATGAAGGTAGGTCTTAAGGCTATATCATGATTTTAAGCCCTAATATCAGAGACTCTACCTTTCTCCCGAGTATCAATACACTTCACAAAATAAAAAGAATAAAAACTTTTTCTATTTACAGTGCAAAAAAAGTAGAAATTAACAAGAAAACATTTATAATGACCATATACATGAAAATGTAAATGATCATTCTGCTTAGAAAAGAAATTAACAAAAATTACATAATTGTAAAAATTAATGAAAGCCCTGTACATGGAGGACAAGCCCTAATAGCCCCCACCTTCATGCTCTGTATAATCTCCTCCCCCTTGTGAATGAGCAGAACCCATGACTTGCTTTTAACCCCTGGAATTTGTCAAGGGGAATGGAATGCACTCCCTTGATAAGGTTAGGTTGCATGACAAAGGTCATGATATGCCATTCCCCTAATTAGGTTTTATGTTACATCATATAACGCTCTATCTTAGCCTACCAGAAAGAAACTTTTCTTCCTTAATGGCTTGAAGAAGTAAGCTGTCCTGCTGTGAGAGGGTTTGTGGAGACTGCCATTTGGCAAGAAAAAACTGCAGGCAGCCTGGAGCTGACAGTAGCTCCTAGCCATTAGCCAACAAGAGAACGGGACCACAGTTCTACAATCCCAGGGAAACGAATTCTGCCACCAACCTGTGGGAAGAAAGGAGGAAAGGGAGGGAAGGAGGAAGAAAATGAGAGAAGGATGGAGGAAGAAGAGAGAAGAAAAGAAATAAGTAGCACTGAAGGGGGACACTGTCTTTGACATTAATATATTGAAGCACAAAGAACAATAGAAAATTGCCATTTTGCAATAAACTTTGAGTAGATGCTAAAACCAGTGACTGAAAACTTATTAACTGGTTATTCACAGTGTCTCAAAGGATCACTCCACAAATTACTTATTAATTATGAAAGCTAAAAAGGAACCTCTACAATGGGAAAATCTGGCAATGCCACCTTAATCAAGTGATTAGAATTACCATCACTAATAATGAGACAAACTGATATTCTGTGTCTACAGATGTGATGTTCTGAGAAGGAGACATCATCACTTATGTATTTTTCCTGTCATGTAACCAGAATCTAGTCATAAGGAAACAATCAGACCATTCTGCAAAACAATTGGCCTGGACTCCAAAACCTCTCAATGTCATGAAAGACCAAATAAACAGAAAGGAAAAAAAGTAGAACTTCTCTGGATCAAAGGAAACAAAATAGACATACAAACATAGAAACTAAAAGCAATATGGCAATGTGTGATCATAGTTTGAATCATTCAAAAAAAAAAAAAACCTATGAAAGTCAGTTGGGGGCCTCTTCAGGAAATCTGAATTTTAGTTATTACTAGGTAATATTGCAGCAATGTTAGTGGGTCAAGTGTGATTTTGCAGAAGAATGTCCTCATTCTTAGGAGATAGATGGTAATAGTTAGAAGTGAAGTGCTGTGGTATTTGCAACTTCCTTTCAAATGGTTCAGCCAAAAGAAGTGTGTGTGTGTGTGTGTGTGTGTGTGTGTGTGTGTGTGTATACATATACAAAATGAAAATGTGGCAACAATTGATAGTTTGGGTGGAGAGTTAACTTCATTGTACTGTTCTTTATCTTTTCTATAGTTTGAAATGTTTCAAAATAAAACTTGGATGCAAAGGAACTGTAGGGTCCACTTCAAATGTTAAAAATAACCCCATTTCATTTAATCATAGGTATAAAAGTAATTCATCTTGTTTAATATTTTCGGGGAAATATGCAAAATATAGAAAAAAATGAAATTACACTTCTGCCACCCAGAGATAAACATTATTAATATTGTGGTATAATTGGTCAATTTTTTCTATTCAAATACGTGCTTCACCCTACTAATTGATTTTTCAAAACAGGGATCATAATTTGTATTTTGTTATCTATCTTAATAGATAAGGAGTATTTTTCCACATAATTTAGTAATTTCCCAAAGCTATGATTTTAATTGTTACATAAAGATATGGCATAGTTATTGTATTATAATTTTCATATGTTTCTCCTCCTTGATGTAGTTTATTTTCTTGTTTTTCAGATTCCCAAATTTTCTTAGTTTTCTTTATAACAACCTGTCAAGTTCTTTCTCATCTCTTTTATTAGCTACTTATTAGATACTCAAGTTTTTAACGTGAGAGTTAAGGTTAACTCTGTTCTCTGATTACTCTCACTCTCCTGGTGATCTCATGGTTTTAAATACTATCTCTATTCTGATGTCTAACTGTGTATCTCCAATGCAGACCTTTGTACTGAACATCAGAATCTTACTTCTTTCTGTCTATTCCATGTGAACACATCAAATTTACAGCAAATTCAAGCTTCTGTTCTTACCCTCAAACTCTTCTTCCCCTACAGTCTTACATATCTCATTTAATAGCAAATATATGCTTCTGATGTTTAAGCTAAAAGCATTAGAACTATTTTGACTCCTCTCTTTTATCCATATCCAATCTGTCAGCAGATCCTGTTAACTCTTTCTAAATTCGTCTGGAATCTGGCCCTTTTTTATCAATCTCTCTGGTCTGAAAAACCATCATCTTTGTCCTGGATTGTCAAATTGCCATCTGACTGGTATCTCTTATGTTCCTACCTTCTATTCAAAACATAAAAGCCACAGTAAATTTTGTAAATCATATTTGAGATTATGTCAATTCTCTAATCAAATCCCTCCAATAGATTCTGTCTTAGTTGGATTTACTCCAAGACTTTTACAGTCTGAGAAAGGGCCCCTAGATGGAGGCCCAGCCATTTCTCTGATCTCACTTCACTTTTCTTTCCCCCTCCACACTGACCATATTGCTGCTCCTCAAATGTGAACTCTGTGGTCCTGCTCAGATCCTTTGGACTCCCTCACCCCAATGCCTGGAATGTTCTCCTCCCAGACATGTGCACATGGCCAACTCTTTACCTCCCTCCAGTGTCTGATGAAACATCACCTTTATTAGTGAGGACATCCTAAGTATCCTATTTAAAATTTAAAATCCCTAACCCAGTAATCCCTAGTCTTCTTTTCTAGTTTGTTTTACTTTTTAAATTTTCTATTTTTTGTAGATTGCTAGAAATTGAATTATAAAAAGGTTGTAAATATTTTGAGTATTTAATACATAGTACAAAAATGATGTCTCAAAAGACAACTCCAATGTCAAGACTTGAAAACACTGTTTCATTTCTAAGACTGATATTATAATTATCAATATTAAATGCTAACAGTTTGAAAAAGTCGTTGCTAACTGGGCAAAAATAAATGTTACTTTACTTTTCATTTTCGATTACTAATCGGCATTATTTAATATTTTGATCATATAGTGAAGCTTCCTCCACGAACCAGAAAATTACAAAGAATAACGTATCTCCTCATTTGGGGAAATAAAGGAAACCTGAATTCTATCTTATATCCTCCAAAAAACCAATTCCAGGTAGATTGAAGATCTAAAGGGAATGATAAAACTATAAAACTTCTGTTATAGTCTGAGTGTGTCCCCCAAATTTTATGTCTTGGAAACTAAATCCTCAAAGCAAGAGGATTGGGAGGTGTGTCATTTGGGAAGTAATTGAATTATGAAGGCCCGGCCCTCATGATTAGTTGTCTTTGTAAAAGGGTTTGACTGAGGGAGTTAGGTCTCTTATTGCCCTTCTGCCTTCTGCCATGTGAGGACATAGTATTCCTCCCCTCTGGCAGGTGAATGCCGTGCTCCAGGCTCCATCTTGGAAGCAGAGAGAAGCCCCCACCAGATGCCAGTGCCTTAATCTTGAACTTCTCAGACTCCAGAAATGTGAGAAATAAATCTCTGTTCTTTATAAATTACCTAATCTTAGGTAATCTCTTATAGCATCATGAAACAGACAAAGACAGCTTCTTAAAATAATATTAGAGAATATCTTTGTGAACTTGGTGTAGAGAAAGTTTTCCAAGAAGGACTTATAGAGATTTAACATGCTGCATAATAAAGCATTGAAAATGCTTCTGCAAAACCCACATTCCATCAGACTACTTTCTTGTTCGGAGACTTTCATGTACCTATTGTACACAGTAGAGTCTAAACTCTAGACCTGGCATTTGAGACTCTGTCTGCAAGTTATGTTTCTAAATTCATTTCATACTACATACTTTTATATATTTTATATATTTGCACCTCCCCAAAAGCATATCTGTTACTTCTTTTTATGTCATGCACATTTTCCTGGATTTTGTTCAAACTGTTTCATTCACTGTGAATGCTTTCATCTCCATATAGCATAAGATATATTTCAACTTCCAACATCACCCCCTTTATTTATAAGGTCTCCTCAGATTCCCAGATGACAGTGGCCCTCTCTTCTCTGAACAATAAAGAGGTTACCTCAGGACTTTTTTATATTTATCACTTTATGCCTAATATTTGTGCATTATGTCTTCCACACCTAGTGGGCAAAATCTTTTGAATGTAGAAACAGTCTTTTTTCCGTTTTTGTATCTCCCAAAGTGCCTAACATGATAATATGGTACCGTACATGTAAGAAGTCCTCAATATTATATTAATTTTACTTATATATGTATAGGTTCAAATATGAATATTATATATACATATATGTATAGGCATACATTTTGTGTGTGTGTGTGTGTGTGTGTGTGTGTGTGTGTGTAAGTACAGAGAAAGAGCTTTTAAGCCTACGGCTCTTTTTAGTCTAAAGTATAACATACTATGAAACATATTAAGCTTTTAAATGTCCATGTCAGATAATAAAGCATAATATATGGCCCTAAATTATTTTTAAATAAATACAAATGGCAAAGACTTTATAATTTTTTATCTAGAAATAGAACATAATTTTAATATGTACTTGTTTTGAGAAAATCTTTTTGTTTCTTAAAAATAGTTACATTAAAGCTCACTGCATGCAGTTAAGGTTTCTGTAAAAATTCTAGTTTGACTCTAACCAGTTAAACTAGAAAAGTGCTTTTCCTTGTCTTTAGTTGGCTTTGTTGTCTGGTATTTACCTGTGAATATAGCTTTGTCAATGGCAATTACCTAATCCAATGATCATCTGTGTTTTATATTTTCACATATATAACCTGTTCTAAGATACATGTGTTTAATTCCAAATACACTATAGAGTTTAATCTACAAAACAAAGCAATGACTGTAGTAAACACTCCTGTAACTGGAGAAAAACACAAATAGCTTCATATATGCAATCTCTCAGCTTTTAAAATTCCATTTATAATGAGATCAATGCAAAATTGTAAGTTTATAATTGTATTCACTTTTTAACTTAAGGGACCAAAAGTTTATAAAATCAAATATCTATCCTTGCCTCATTTTAAAAATAAAAGCACAATTCAACTTAATCTCTTCAAACTCTGCACTTCTTTTACTTCACCCCCTCTCAATACTCCTTTATACATATTCAATACATAAAAGTTTTTGTGAAAAAAGAAAGGGAAATAATTTAAAAGGCATGAATGAATGAATTCCTGCAGTTTTAAGAGTAACTGCCTTACTCTTATTCAGAGTAACTAGCTTTTACTCTGAATATTTTCTTTATTGAAAACTATCAGGCCGGGCGCAGTGGCTCACGCCTGTAATCCTAACACTTTGGGAGGCTGAGGCGGGTGGATCACCTGAGGTCAGGAGTTGGAGACGAGCCTGGCCAACATGGTGAAACCCCGTCTCTACTACAAATACAAAAATCAGCTGGGCGTGTTGGCAGGCGCCTGTAATCCCAGCTACATGGGAGGCTGAGGCAGGAGAATTGCTTGAATCCGGGAGGCAGGGGTTGCAGTGAGCCGAGATTGTGCCATTGCACTCCAGCCTGAGGGGAGTGAAACTTTTTTGAAACTTCGTCTCAAAAAAAAAAAAAAAAAACTATTATAGAATGTTTAATGAATTGAAAGAAACAGAATGTGTTCAGTTCATTTTACCCTATAAGGTGGCCAGTTATATTTTTGACATCATGCTTTCCAGATTAGAAAAAATGTTGCACATACATTAAAATACTAAATATATAAAAACTTTATCTGTAAAATTATACTTAAACTCCAAACCCAAAATGTATATAAACAGATGTAAAATTATAGAGAAGGATTTATTATGTCGGTGAAATCTAGAATCATGTGGTTAAATCCTTTTTTCCAGACCTACAGAGTGTGACTTAGAATCCCCTGTGGAATAAGAATCCTTTATTGTTAATAAAGTGCATCTTCACAAGTGTACGTCATTTAAAAAAAATCCCTTGGTCCTTGTTTTCATATTTGAATCTAAAAGGTCTTAACCAAAGTAAACTACATCAAATGTGCTAGAAATGACTAGGTAAGACCAAGATCTTTGTGACCAAAATTAATTGGTTCCAATGATAAGTCTGAAGAAATAAGAAAAGAAAAATGTGCATGTTGAAATATGTAGGCTTTCATTTTAATCATTCAACACCACTGTATTGAAGTGCATACAGACAGGAAAAAATAATTCACTGTCACTTCAAAGAAATATGATTTTACTGCAAGAAGAGAAATACGGCTGACACATTAAGAGTAGTTATTATGAAAAAACAATATTGATCAAATTGCAGTTTGCACATAATTCAGCCAACTTCCTACTTGCATCATAAAATTTGCATTCTTCAAAATTGCAGCTATATGAAATGATGAAGTCTTTTCATTATTCATTTTGCCACTGTCTCAGAATTAAAAGTCTTGTTGCTGACAAAAAGCCAATTAATCATATTTATGGTGACAACCATGACTATTATAAAACAGACATTCTTAGAAAGCATGCCCTTTTCTTTACATCAAAACCTGTTGAACATGCTCTTCCATCCCCTGAGGCTTTGAAGATAGATTATTGTTCCTTCTGGGAAGGAATAATGAGTTAGTATAAATCTAATAGTAGCCATTGTTGATGGTAGAATTAGACCAAAGTCAGAATTTTAAATTTTATTTGTTTTGCCAATCACTCTTCCTGTTTCCAACTTCATTATTTGAAAAATGTGAATATAATTCATTCTTTAGTAATTCACTCATTCAATCACATTCCCTACATGCTTAGAACAAGAAATTCAAATAAAGACAAAATTTGGACAAATGCTCAGTTTACTCATGAACTAATATTTGAAACTAATTATAGTCAAGAGATAGGAACTTAATTATATAATCCAAATTACATTTATCAAACCTGCAGAAATCTGCATGGCATGGCCTAATTAATGCCATTTTTGAGGGATGTTTAGCTCAGTCCTTTAAAAAGTTGTCTTTATATTTATATATATTGAGAAATGGGTCTTTAACAGTTGTACAATTCTTATTTTTTAGTTGGGTATAATTTCTACTTAGTGAATTTAGAGTAAATCTTATAGAACTATAATCTTGACCTTCAGAAATAAAAAAAAAACTTTAGAGTTTATTTAATGAGAAGACTTTTCACTTCTTTTATGCCCACATGCTTTGGTAGTCTGAAGAAGCTTATGGTTCAACCCCCTCTTAGATAATGTTATCAAACCCATAAAATAGAATTTAGAGGCTTACCAAAAAGTCTTAATTAGACTGAAATTGTTTTTAAAATATTTTCAGAAACAACCTTTTGACATAATAATATATAAGCTTATTTATGGCTATATTAAATAGCAAGATTTAGTAGTAGATCTAACAGCTGCTTGAATTCAGAGTAGTAATGAGCAAAACTGTATTTAAAAATATCTGTAACAACTAAATTAGGATATAAAAATATCTATGGTTTCTATTGGGAACAAAGTTATGGTAGTGCTACCACTAATAATATGTACTTGTTGCCCACATCCGTAATTAAAAGTAATGTTAAATTTTAGCCAGGGATGATTGAAAATGAAAATGTAATGTTTGCCTACCTAAATCTACAGTTTCTCTGAAATTTATTCATAGGCGCTTTGGGGGTCCTTGGACTTCAGGTGAAGAACTATTGATCCATATAATCTTACAATTATCCTGATGAGGAAGCAGAGGTGCTTCAGGGATTTCTCACAATTTACACTCCCAAGTAGTGAAAGACCTGGAGGAAGAACCCTGGATATCCAGATTGCTTTTCCTACACTCCTTCTCTAACACCACAAAATGCAATCAGGAACCTCAACATGAACTGTTCCATTAATAGTTTTACTTAATTCTACTTTAAAGTATGTCATTATTTTTTAAAACAACTAATTTGTAAAAACCAATCATTTTCACATGGTTGTAGATCCTCAAAGTAGGTAAACTTCGGGGAAAGCAAGTTTACCACAACCATTTCCTTCCATAGCACTCATAATGGTGAATCTAATGAGCTGCTTAGGCTCATCGTGAAGACCAGCAACACAAGTCCTTTGCAGAACTATTCCTGTATCTGTTTTTCATGGCCGGTGATTCTTTCTGCACATGTCACTGCATTTGTTTTTGCAATAATGAGAACTGTAAAATGGCCAAGGCATTCATCACTTTGGTCAAAGAGATGGTTGCTATAAAGAACCATTAATCAATATGCCTTTACTAAATGAGATTCCTAATTATAAATAGAGGAACATACATTCCTTATCTGGGCAGAAGACCAGGGACTAAGACTGAAGACCAGAGACTGTGATCTGAGAGACAAAAATAGATGCCTTTTTATCAATTAAGTTGGACCTACAGGTTAAGGAAATAAAGCTACCTACAGGTTGAGGGTACAGGGCCTGGCTGGCATGACAAATATCTAAATTCCCATGGCTAAACTCCCTAACAATAGAAAGTATCAGCTCCGATTTACAACCCAGACCACTACAACTCTGATTGGACAGAGGTCCGGACTTACAAACGTTCTTTTCTGATAAGCAATTGTAGATCTTAAGCTAGTTCCAAATAGCTTATAGAGGCTCCCCACAAACTGTATTTCTGTCCTACCACCTTTTGACATAAAGAGCCAATTCCACCTCATTTTAATGCTAAAATCCCAACCCAAGAGAACATGGGATGTATGTTATATATGTTTGCCCATTGCACATGCTCTTTGCTTCCCTCATAAATATGTATAGCTTTTCCTCCAAACTTGCTGGACATATATGATACAAGCCCTGTGAGGAATAAAACCCAATCTGTCTTTCCCTCTTCAAAGAGAGAGGACCTTCCAACCATGCTACAGACTTTCTCTTCCTGAGTTGCAAACTGATATTCCCAGTAAAGCTCTCCTTTCCACTATTTAGCCATCTTGATTGTCTTTTGGAAAACAAGAATATACAACTTCATCAGGTGTTGTGTTTGTCATTGTATTCAGAATACAGGGTGATTAGTGAAGAAATAAGCTTTTTTAAAGTTTCTGGATTTTATTTGCAATTTATATAGTCATTGCTTTTTTAAAAAGTCTTCAAAAATAAACATAAAATTGAAAGCATAATTTTGAAAATGGGGGATGCAACAAAGGAAAATAGTAGGACTAAGAGATGCCACAATGACAATTTACCAAAAAAGATCGGATTAAATTTTCAGAAAGCAGCACAAATAAGGGTTGAAAACAAGTATACATGCTTTATTTCTTATGGGGTTTCACAAATCTATACTTGTTGAGGGACAAGAACTGTATCATTATATTTGTGTTTTCTGTTTGTATATTTGTATTTTCTGTTATATCTGGCTAAGAGGCTTTTTGCTTGCAGCGCTCAACAAACACCTGGTGAAATTAAAAACCTTAGAATTCTGAGCTGAAAGAGACCTCAAAAATCATTTAATCCAACATCCTTCTATATAGAAGGTGAAAAGGCATCTCTAATTTAGTGGTTGAAATGCCCTTTGCTGAGAATATTATTTAAATATTGTATTCATATTGAGTTATTAGGCCAACTGATGAAGTTTGCTCATCTCAGGCTTGACTATATACTAGAAAAGGCATCTGATGAATTGTAGAGTGCCATTTAAAATTACTTTATTTGTGCTACCCACTGGATATATAGTTTTTAAGTTTCAGAGCAGCTCTTTGCATTAGATAATATCATTGCCATTTGCAGATAAGGAAAGTAATGTGTGGGAAGGCAAACCAACTACCCCAAAGATAAAAAAGCAGTTATTGGCAGAACTAGGATTCAAACCAAGTCTATCCACCTCAAAACACCAGTATCTTAAAGAAAGAAAAAAAAAGAAAGGGGAGAAGGAAGACAGATAGAAGAAGGAAGAAATATAAACAAAGGTTCACATCTATCATTAGGCAACTCTAACAAATTACATTGGAACCCTCTATTTTGCACTGAAAAAAATTAATAAACTTATTTATATACATAGGTTTAATAAACTTATAAATATATACACATATATATATATACACACACATACATATGACTAATCAATTGCTGCAGGCTGTGGGAAGAGAAAACAAGGAGTGCCTTTAAATGAATCCAGGAGCTGGTTTTTTGAAAAGATCAACAAAATTGATAGACTGCTAGCAAGACTAATAAAGAAGAAAAGAGAAGAATCAAATAGACACAATAAAAAATGATAAAGGGGATATCACTACTGATCCCACAGAAATACAAACTACCATCAGAGAATACTATCAACATCTCTACACAAATAAACTAGAAAATCTAGAAGAAATGGATAAATTCCTTGACACATACACCCTCCCAAGGCTAAACCAGGAAGAACTTGAATCCCTGAATAGACCAATAACAAGCTCTGAAATTGAGGCAATAATTAATATCCTACCAAACAAAAAAAGTCCAGGACCAGACGGATTCACAGCCGAATTCTACCAGAGGTACAAGGAGGAACTGGTACCATTCCTTCTGAAACTATTCCAATCAATAGAAAAAGAGAGAATCCTCCCTAACTCATTTTATGAGGCCAGCTTCATCCTGATACCAAAGCCTGACAGAGACACAACAAAAAAACAGAATTTTAGACCACTATCCCTCATGAACATACATGCAAAAATCTTCAATAAAATACTGGCAAACCAAATCCAGCAGCACATCAAAAAGCTTATCCATCGTGATCAAGTGGGCTTCATCCCTGGGATGCAAGGCTGGTTCAACATAGGCAAATCAATAAACGTAATCCATCATATAAACAGAACCAGACAAAAACCACATGATTATCTCAATAGATGCAGAAAAGGCCTTTGACAAAATTCAACAACGCTTCATGCTAAAAACTCTCAACAAACTAGGTTTTGATGGGACATATCTCAAAATAGTAAGAGCTATTTATGACAAACCCACAGCCAATATCATACTGAATGGGCAAAAACTGGAAGCATTTCCTTTGAAAACTGGCACAAGACAGGGATGCCCTCTCTCACCACTCCTATTCAACATAGTGTTGGAAGTTCTGGCCAGGACAATCAGGCAGGAGAAAGAAATAAAGGGTATTCCATTAGGAAAAGAGGAAGTCAAATTGTCCCTGTTTGCAGATGACATGATTGTATATCTAGAAAACCCCATCGTCTCAGCCCAAAATCTCCTTAAGCTGATAAGCAACTTCAGCAAAGTCTCAGGATACAAAATCAAAGTGCAAAAATCACAAGCATTCTTATACACCAATAACAGACAAACAGAGAGCCAAATCATGAGTGAACTCCCATTCACAATTGCTTCAAAGAGAATAAAATACCTAGGAATCCAACTTACAAGGGATGTGAAGGACCTCTTCAAGGAGAACTACAAACCACTGCTCAATGAAATAAAAGAGGACACAAACAAATGGAAGAACATTCCATGCTGTTGGATAGGAAGAATCAATATCGTGAAAATGGCCATACTGCCCAAGGTAATTTATAGATTCAGTGCCATCCCCATCAAGCTACCAATGACTTTCTTCACAGAATTGGAAAAAACTACTTTAAAGTTCATATGGAACCAAAAAAGAGCCCTCATTTCCAAGTCAATCCTAAGCAAAAAGAACAAAGCTGCAGGCATCACACTACCTGACTTCAAACTATACTACAAGGCTACAGTAACCAAAACAGCATGGTACTGGTACCAAAATAGAGATATAGACAAATGGAGCAGAACAGAGCCCTCAGAAATAATACCACACATCTACAACCATCTGATCTTTGACAAACCTGAGAAAAACAAGCAATGGGGAAAGGATTCCCTATTTAATAAATGGTGCTGGGAAAACTGGCTAGCCATATGTAGAAAGCTGAAACTGGATCCCTTCCTTACACCTACAAAAATTAATTCAAATTGGATTAAAGACTTAAATGTTAGACCTATAACCATAAAAACCCTAGAAGAAAACCCAGGCAATACCATTCAGGACATAGGCATGGGCAAGGACTTCAGGTCTAAAATACAAAAAGCAATGGCAACAAAAGCTAAAATTGACAAATGGGATCTAATTAAACTAAGGAGCTTCTGCACAGCAAAAGAAACTACCATCAGAGTGAACAGGCAACCTACAGAATGGGAGAAAATTTTTGCAATCTACTCATCTGAGAAAGGCTAATATCCAGAATCTACAAATAACTCAAACAAATTTACAAGAAAAAAACAAACAACCTCATCAACAAGTGGGCAAAGGATATGAACAGACACTTCTCAAAAGAAGACATTTATGCAGCCAAAAGACATATGAAAAAATGCTCATCATCACTGGCCATCAGAGAAATGCAAATCAAAACCACAATGAGATATCATCTCACACCAGTTAGAATGGCAATCATTAAAAAGTCAGGAAACAACAGGTGCTGGAGAGGATGTGGAGAAATAGGAACACTTTTGTACTGTTGGTGGGACTGTAAACTAGTTTAACCATTGTGGAAGACAGTGTGGCGATTCCTCAAGGATCTAGAACTAGAAATACCGTTTGACCCAGCCAACCCATTACTGGGTATATACCCAAAGGATTATAAATCATGCTGTTATAAAGGCACATGCACATGTATGTTTATTGCGGCATTATTCACAATACCAAAGACTTGGAACCAACCCAAATGTCCAACAATGATAGACTGGATTAAGAAAATGTGGCACAAATACACCATGGAATACTATGCAGCCATAAAAAAGGATGAGTTCATGTCTTTTGTAGAGACACAGATGAAGCTGGAAACCATCATTCTCAGCAAACTATCACAACAACAAAAAACCAAACACCGCATGTTCTCACTCATAGGTGGGAATTGAATAATGAGAACACTTGGACACAGGAAGGAGAACATCACACACCAGGGCCTGTTGTGTGGTGGGGGAAGAGGGGAGGGATAGCATTAGGAGATATACCTAATATAAGTGACGAGTTAATGGGTGCAGCACAGCAACATGGCACATGTATACATATGTAACAAACCTGCCAGTTGTGCACAGGTACCCTAGAACTTAAAGTATAATAATTAAAAAAAAAAAGAAAAAATGTGAAAGAAAGGAGAGAGAAGAATAAAGGTTTGGAAGTAGACCTCACCAAATTTTCCTTAGTGACTGAGAGATCAATCTTACATTTCTTTTTTTCACTTTGTATATGTGTTCCTTTATCTGTATTATGTGATAGTTAATACTAGGCCACACTTAATTTAAAGATGTCTATTTGATAAGATACTAAGCCAGAAGAATTTTAATTTTTTTAACTTTTATTTTAAGTTCAGGGGTACATGTGCAGGTTTGTTATATAGGTAAACTTGTGTCATGGAGATTTGTTGTACAGATTATTTCATCATCCAGCTATTAAGTCTAGTACCCATTAATTATTTTTCCTCATCCTCTCTCTCCTCCTACCTTCCACCTTCCAATAAGCCTCAGTGTGTGTTGTTCCCCATTATGTGTCCATGTGTTCTCATCATTTAGCTCCCACTTATAAATGAGTTTTTTATAGGAAGTTAAACAATTGAAATTCTTGCTGGGCATGGTGGCTCATGCCTGTTATCCCAGCACTTTGGGAAGCTGAGGTGGGAGGATCACTTGAGCCCAGGAGTTCAAAACCAGCCCAGGCTACATAGGGAGACTCCACCTTTACAAAAAGTTTAAAAGTTAGGTGATATGGGGCAAGACCACGTGCCTTTAGTCCCAGCTACTCGGGAGGCTGAGGTGGGAGAATTGCTTGAGCCCAGCAGGTCGAGGTTGCAGTAAACCATGATCATGCCACTGCACTCCAGCCTGGGTGACAGAACAAGAGCCTATCTGAAAAAAAAAATTATTAAGATCTATCATATCAGATGTATAAAATGTTTAAAATTATTTTTAATTTACCTATAGGTTTTTGTATTAAGTGGAATTCTGTGAAGCCTGATTAGTTAATATTATCCTTGAGTGAATAGCTTTTGAAAAAATAATTCACCATGAAACATCTCCACTCCCAAATTAGGCATAGTCTACCTAACATCTTTTGAAGCTACTTCCAATCAAATCTTCCTGAATCACTGTCAGTTAATAAATACTTTTATTTGAGTTGGAGACATGTATAACTAACAGTATATTTTTTATATTATGATCAATTGACTATTTCTCTTGGGAGGCTGGATTACAAGAGAAAATAGAATAATGCCTGTTCTTACTTGGCAAGAACATACTTCCAGTCCCTCTAAACTTCCTGTATTGATATTTCATTAATCGATATGAGCCACATGGAGATTCTGGCTCAAGTATGGTTAGGGCCAAGATTATAACATTCTCTGGGTCACAGCCAAAAATATATCCATAATCGGGACTTAAAAAGCAATATACTAGCTGATAAGTTGGTTGCCAAATCATAAAATACGATGTACTTAAAAGAGAGAATATCTTGGCAGTTCCTGTGATGGTCCAAATGTGATTGACAGAGACTGCCAAGATATTCTCAGTCCAAATGAATGGCCCGTTAAGCTTTTAATCACCTAAATAAAATTATTAGACCTTTGAAGTTTAGAATTACCTCAATACTTCATCAGACTCAGTGAGACAAAAGCTTCATATTTCATTTTCTCACTTGGTTAGTTGCTGTTGGCTGTCTATAGTACAGAAGTCCTCAACTATCTTCTTTGCTTATGTAATATAGATTTTGATCATGAATTTAGGGGCCATGTTTTTCAGTAGACACTCGACACCTCCATTGCTCCAGTCTGCAAATTATGATTAGTTTTAGCCAATCACAGTTATTGCTTTCTTCTTGCCCATGATTGGTTTAGTTATCAGCATGTGAGGGAGATAAAAATGAATAAGGTGTAGCTTCTTTCCTCAGGACTCACACTCTAGTGCAGAGACAAATGGTTGAGCAATATGTCATAGAGAAGTACACCAGGTTTGTTGTGAGGGCTATATGTATACAAGATAGAAACTTCAGACCAGTTAGGTATAAGGAAATCAGGAAACAGGCTTTCTCACTAACACCAATCAAGGTCAAAATTCCAGAAAAATATATTATTATATAAATCTTCATAGTCAAGCACTGAGTACCCCATTTCCCCTCTGCCTTGTCCATAAATTGCTCCAGAATTAACGTGCTTCCAAACTGACAGCACCCATTAACAACTCACTCACATAAACCACTCTTGCTCAAACAAGAAATTTAGGAACATCTGGAGAAAAAAAAAAACTGGAGGATTAAAATCTGCCTATGTAAAAAGGCTTTAGGAATTCTTCCACTATGAACACACTGCTTCATATTTTTGTGTTTATTTCTTACTCCTTTCTTCTTAGCTTTTTTCAGTATGTGGTCTTCATACACGCTAGGAGCTTCACTGAGGCATGTGGAATAGAATGCCAGAGCAGCTCTGTGGTCTGCTTTGCCAGGAGTTGTCATGGAGTTCCATCTGCCTTTGGAACTAAGTTATCTTTTAGATCAATTACTCTGTTTTATTTTGCACATGATGAAAATAGGCCAAAATACATTAAGTAACTTCTCCATACTCAAGTAACTGTTAAGAGCCACTGACTGACGTCAAGCCCATTGATTTTTCCACTATGTCATTCTATTAACCATCGTTTTCTGAAAACAGGACATCTCTGACTCCACTTAAGATATTGAGCAATATCATTGGATAATTATTTCATATTTGCCCACATTTAAGCCAACATTCATATAAAAAACACTTCTTTTGTAAACTGTAATAACTCAGTCATTGAACAGCATCTCTCCTGAACAAGCTGAAAAGTATCGTCCACTTGGGGCTTTGCATTCAAAGAAGTGCTGTCCTTTCCAGTTCTCACAGTGGTGTCTCCACAGTTTCCTTTTCTTTTCTTTTCCACTACGCAGCATCAATTTTAACAGGAAGATAAAGACTGTAGGAACTGCCTCTATCAGCTGTCTCTGAAGCTCACGAGTCATGTACTATTGGGCAAATAGTTTCAACCTTGGTTTCCTCATCTGTGAGTTACAAATTATGACTTCTCTTTAAAAACAATCCCTCTTTTGGATATATACCCAAAGGAAAGTAAATAAGTACCAAACAGATATCTGCTCTCCCACGTGTAGCATTATTCACAATAGCCGAAATGTAGAAACAACCTTAGTGTCCACTGATGGATGAATGGATGAAAGAATTGTGGTATATATGTATACAACAGAATATTATTATTCAGCCTTAAAAATGAAAATTATTCCATTTATAACAACATAGATGAATCTGGAGGACATTATGCTAAGATAAATAAAACAGGCACTGAAAGAAAAGAGAAATACTGCATGATCTCCTTACACATGGTATCTAAAAAAAGTCAAAAACATGGAAACAGAGAGTAGAGTGGTCATTATCGGAGTGAGGTGTTAGGGGAATGGAGAGATGTAGGTCAAAGAGTACAAAGTTGCAGTTCTATCAGATGAATACATCTAAAGATATAATATACAGCATGATGACCATAGTTAATAACACTGTATTGTATACTGGAAATTTGCTAAGAGTAGATTCCAGGTGATCTCACCACACACACAAAAAAATGTAACTATGTGAGGAGATGAATATGTTGATTTGCTTGATGGTACTAATCATTTCACTATGTATATGTATATGAAAATACCATGTTGTACCCCATAAATATATACAATTTTAAAGAAAACGTTCAATTAAAACCAATTCCTTAAAAGGCTGTAATAAGGATTAAATGAAATAATGCATGTAAAGTGCTTAATGTAGCATGGACTACTTGGCATGCAGAATAAACTAAAAGAGGATAGATATTATTTTTGTAATAATTACTTGTAATTAAAATCTACAGAGATGAGAAATGGGGGCCAAAAACTTGTCTTTCAAGCTCTTTTTGCCGTGGTTCTCCTAATTGGAGTTCTCTGAAACTCTTGTGTAAGCATTTGCAGTTTTACCTATATTCGTGGATTGTGATTTAGCAAAAAATACTGAATATCAAACATGTCTCTGTTTTCTGATTTCTTGTGGCACTTTCTACTCTGCCTTGTTCTTGTCACTCCTGCTAGACTGTGAGTACTTTCTGAGCATAGACTGAGTTACTCATCACTCTACTCCCACAACCCATAGTAGTAGTCAATATATTGCTAATGATGAATGAATATAGTTATTTCTATGATCTCACTGACTCTTTTTCTTTCTACCCTTGAACATGCTCATTTTTTAGAACTTCATGATAAGGAAAATGCATACTTAAATGCAGCATCAAATATTAACTTTATACAGATTTGATTAACTTCCAAATTATATGTGAAGCCAAGCTGTACACTCTGCAAAATTTCCATCTTTCAAGGGGTTTACATACTGATGTGCCTTCATTTCAAATTATTGCTTTGAAGAGTGAAGGGGGAACTTCAAGGGGTTATATTAGGGAATTGTTTTCTTTACAAATAACGGAAAGTAATTCAACTGCAAGGAACATTAACTTCATTAAAAAGATACAGAAGAACCAAATTTCAGGAAGTACTTGGTTTAATTGGGCTTGGAAAGTCATTAGACACAAAAAATCTCTATCTCTTTGTCTTTGCAACTGAAGGATCACTCATCTCTACCCTTTTCTGTGTTTTATTTCTTTCTCATTCTTGCCTCCTGTTGTTTTTCACAGAAGGTTCTTAGTGTTGGATCCCCCACAATTTTGGTTTGCAAGCTGATTTGGCTTAGTAAATCACCAATTTATTTTAATCTTTGATTCTGAGTACACATATTTAAGAAAAAGAAAATCTAATTGTCTCAGCCTAGAGGTAATTCCCCTTGAATTGGATATTCCTTCCTTCCTTAACCAAGTTAACTGGAAAGAAAGTTATCACATAGTACCAACTGGTCAGCCAGGGATCTGGACAAAGGAGTGGGTATTCAGGAAAAATGTGGTCAAAACATCACTACACCAGTGACTTCAGCACAGGAATTCCCCATTATTGATAGTTTAATAATGAAAAAAATCAAGATGCATAATAGATATTGTATTTTTATTTGGTCAGAAGGGTCTTTATTATATTTTTATATGGTCCGAAGGGTTTAATTCTTCTATGGTTGGAATTCACACCAAAAGACAACATTGCTCACCCTTCACAGGACCCCACTGATAGTAGAGATCGGGTAAATGGAATGACTCTAATGTTATTTGTATGAGGCTATTTCACTTGGGCATGTTGTACTTGTCCAATTGTTCAGTATGATTGTGAATGGAGTTTCTTGTCTCTAGGTAGTCTCGTTCAGAGCATTAACATTTGTGGAACATAATTAAAGTCAAGAGATTTATAGTGGAGGGTATGGATAAGAAAGAAGATGAAGTTATGACTAGTCTAGCAAGGGGAAATGATGTTGTGATATAATGATTATCTACTCCAGTTTTTACATATTGGGAGCTCTGCTTATTCTAGAAATTTGCCTTGCTTTCTGAGTTATCTCATGTAACCACAATACCTGTAAGTGTTCAAGATTACTATCAGTCCAGCACTCCATGGTTTATTTTTCTCAGTCTAGCAAGAGAGGGGAAAAAGCATATATGGATTTTGAATCATTTTTATCTCTTCTACAATATTTGCTGATATCAAAGGCACCATTTTCTTTTGAACTTACCATAGAAGTATGGTAAATTCTATGAAAATAGAACCATCACATTGGGATGAGAATTCTTTCACTACACTGTAAGTGCAAATTTCCATGATGCACAAATGATATTGTTTACCATATCAGGTTACCAAGAATAAACTCAGGTAAAAAAGTGGTATAAAATTTATTTTTATTTGAAAATGGAACATGGGAATGCAAATTAACAAATTAATTAAGAGAAAATTCTCTAAGAAAACCAATACTTTAGTGTATATTATTTTAAAGAAAAAATGCAATAAGTTTATCAGTATGCATTATTGTGAACCATCACTCAAGGTTCATGTCAAAGATTGAAATTTGATACATTGAGATTAATTTTTAATCAGACCAGTGACTTTGGGATGTTTTAATAGACACTCATCAAATGTTTCAGACATCCAGTTATTTCGGTATCAATGTAATGATAATAATAGAATTTTTAATTTTTTCTTTACATTGGTTAAGTTTAACAAAATACAGAAGAAGAGATAAAGGACTACATTTAATGAAATTAAGTATTCATAAATGTTATTTTAGAAAGCATACCCACTATCAAACCTCAGGCATTCCTGTATTCACTTAAAGCAGGAGGTTTTATCACCAGCAGCATTAGATGCCCAGTTGGAAGTTGGGTAACCCGATGAAGCCAAGGAGACATTTTTTCCTCCATAATGATTATTCATTTTATAAAAAAAAAGATAAAGTTTTTTAATACCATAAAATAATTGCAGGTTAGATTTTCCAGCCATTCTATATTTTCAGTGATTATGAAGACATTTCTGTAACTATGATGTTTTCCAGGACAATTTCATCCTTTGACGCTTTCTTTCTAAATACTTTAAAAAGTGAAGCCATTAATTGGGAACCTTCTAGGGAAATCATTACATAAGATGAAGAAGAGTAAAATTAAGACATTACTTGCCTTAAATTCTGACCAATATAAATATAATAAATGTAGGCCATTGAAGGCCAGAGAGAATATTTTATAAGGTTGAGCAATTATTCCTTGCAGCTTGGAAACATTGGTATATTTGTTTGA
The DNA here is from genome assembly GCF_000001405.40 of Homo sapiens. Classification (NCBI taxonomy): domain Eukaryota; kingdom Metazoa; phylum Chordata; class Mammalia; order Primates; family Hominidae; genus Homo; species Homo sapiens. Next base: position 120,486,114 of record NC_000004.12, read on the forward strand.
TCTAAAAAGTCTTGCTCCCCAGTGTGACCTAACCTTACTGTTGGGTTTTTTACCAAATTTAAAATAAATTTCTCAAGCTCCTGAAATGTTACACATTGCTTTGTGCTCCTCAAGGAAGTAAATTCTTGAGAAACTTAAAAGTTGAAGGATAAATGCTTGTTAAATATCAAAGAAGAAAAGTAAATTATCAATGGAAATGCCAGTGAAAGACAAACAACAGGATAAAACTTATAACAGAGAAACTTGGAAAAATCAACTAGAAACTCTTGGTGGTGATAAATATACCAATATAGGAATGGAAACAAAGAAAGAACTTACATCTACAGCTCAAATCCAGTAACTCAAACAGGAGGGAAAAGAGTAATAGGAAAAATATAATTCACACAAATCTTTTTTTTTTTTTTTTTTTTTTTTTTTTTTGAGACGGAGTCTCGCTCTGTCGCCCAGGCTGGAGTGCAGTGGCGGGATCTCGGCTCACTGCAAGCTCCGCCTCCCGGGTTCACGCCATTCTCCTGCCTCAGCCTCCCAAGTAGCTGGGACTACAGGCGCCCGCCACTACGCCCGGCTAATTTTTTGTATTTTTAGTAGAGACGGGGTTTCACCTTGTTAGCCAGGATGGTCTCGATCTCCTGACCTCGTGATCCGCCCGCCTCGGCCTCCCAAAGTGCTGGGATTACAGGCGTGAGCCACCGCGCCCGGCCCTCACACAAATCTTAAAAGGATAATATATGCCTAAGAGAGATGCTCTAGAGAAAGCAAGTACAAAAGCATAATTGTTCTCCTCATCAGAGGAGTTTTCTTGGCTATCCTTTGTGATATGTGGTGTATTTGTTAGTGAAAATAGAGTCCTAAACGTTTATACTTGCCCCAGATTTCCAATATGTGTATTGGCATGGTTTAAGAGATTGCATAAACTTGGGAGAATATGCAATGTTATAATGCATCGCTATTTCCATGCTACCTATCCTAAGAGGTACTTGGATAACACCATAATGCCCTCAGTCAAAGCAGCATTTGCTGAGTGTTAATTATTTGTTAGGCACTTTATTAGGCTCTAAGGCTTCAATAATGGGAAGAAAACAGACAGGAGTCCTGCTTTTCTGGACTTTACAGGTTAATGGGAGGAACCAAAAAATAAGTTATCATTGAACATACAATTTTAAATTGTGGTATGTGCAATAAAAGAAGAGTACAAGGAACAAAGAAAGAGTAAAAGAGCTGTCTGGGCATGGTGGGAGGCTGAGGCAGGCTGATCACTTGAGTCCAGGAGTTCAAGACCAGCCTGGGCAACAGGGTGAAACCCCATCTCTACACATCTCTACAAAATATACAAAAATTAGCTGAGTGTGGTGGCGCGCATCTGTAGTCCCAGCTACTTAGGGGACTGAGGTGGGAGAATCACTTGAGCTCAGGAGGTCTAGGTTGCAGTGAGCTGAGATCGTGCCACTGCACTCCAGCCTGGGGGTGACAGAGTGAGACCCTGTTTCATAAAAACAAAAAAAAACAAAAAACAAAAAAGTAAAGGAGCACACTTGACTAAGTTTTGGCAATTGAGGATTGCTTCCCTGAGCGTGTGCAAATTGAGATGAAAATAAAATGAACGTAACTTAACTATATGAAAGTGTACAACAGAGAATTTTCCAAGGCAGAGGTGTCAGCATGTCCAAAGGCCCTGTCACCAAGGCATGTCCAAAGGCCTTTGATAGAGCAGATTCTTTTGAGAATCTGAAAGACGACCAGCATGCCTTTACTCAGGGAACTTAAAAGAGCAGGGTTGGAAAAGCTCCTGTGCCCTTTTGTCAGCAAGGAGGCAAATAACAGTGTGGTGAAGGTAATGGCAGGATTGAAGATAAAGATCTCCTAGCAAAAGAAAACCAATGCTTTTATATGACCAGCCTCTCATTGGGTGTTCCTATAAGAGTAAAACTGGAAGACAAAAATTTTCCTCTTTTTTTTTAAACTCAGAGGCATACCTATTTAGCAGACAGTACCACTTTAGAACTGTCACTCATAGAAGCTGTCCATGTTCAAAGCCTATTCTAGTTTTATTCCAAGGAGAATCCCCTGGCACAAACAGACTAAAATAATAGAAGAAGCCCTTAAACTCTTCTTGCACGATAATTTGGAGTAACTATGATAAAATAAATTTGTATTTGGCAAGGTCTGATTGTGACTATTTTATCCTGAGATTTGGTTGCTGTGAAGGTTTTCCCCATCCCCTACTGAATATTCTGCCAGCAGGAGAAAAGACTGGGCTAAATTAATGACAACCTGTCTCCTAAACCAAGCACAAAAAGAGACTAGTCAAGGAGGTTTGGGGAAGGGGTGAAAGGAATTAAAAAAAATACTGAAAGGGATCTAACAAAAACAATGGGAAGCATCAGAGGAAAGAGAAGACCCAAGTCAGGTAAGTTTCCCATAGATCATAGACGGGAGAAAGAAAGAAAGGAAAGGAAAGGAAGAAAGCAAGCAAGCAAGCAAGCAAGAAAGAAAGACTCGAATCCAGTGGCTTTTGTTGTTACACAATTTTAAATGACCAGATCTCATGAGGACTCACGATTTATTAGGAGGACAGTACCCAGGATGATGGTGCTAAACTAGTCATGAGAAATCCGCCCCCAGGATCCAGTCATCTCCCTCCTCCAACATTGGGGATTACAAATGAACATGTAACTTGGGTGGGGACATAGATTCAAACCATATTAGTCCCCAAACCAGCAGTATCTGCATCACCTGTGAACTTGTTAGAAATATAAATGATCAGGCCTCACCCCAGTACTACTAAATCAGAAACCCTGGGGGTTGTGCCCAGCATCTGATGCCTGCTAAAGCTTGAGGAGCCCTGTTCTAGAAGTCTAATTACCCTTGAGGACCAATAATAGATTAAAGTTGTAGCAGATTACCATCAGCTGTGGATTCTATGTGGGGAAGAATAACACAATCCTAAAAGGAAAAATATCAGGTTATGTATTATACCTTTTTTCCATTTTTAGTTCTGACATTCAAGATATATCTGCTTTATTTATCACATATTTTATGTTAGATTTACAAGTATTACAAAATAATACAATTAGGGAATGACTGCTCATCTGAAAATATTTTTATTTAATACTTTCATTTGTTGCAGAAAAGACTCTACTTAAACTTATAAAACAATGAGATAGTCATATAGTTCAGGAATTGGATAAAATTATTGGGAAATTCTAATTTGTTATTCTTACTAATATTTCAGAATGTACTTCCATTAAGTCCATCTGCCTATATTGTTCTGACAAGGAATGAATCATGAACACATATTGTATTAGTCTGTTTTCATGCTGCTCATAAAGACATACCCAAGACTGGGTAATTTATAAAGAAAAAGAGGTTTAATGGACTCACAGTTCCACGTGGCTAGGGAGACCTCACAATCATGGCAGGAGAGCAAGGGACGTCTTACATGGTGGCAGGCAAGAGAGAATGAGAGCCACACATAAGGGGAAACCCCTTATAAAACCATCAGATCTCATGAGATTTATTCACTACCACAAGAACAGTATAGGGGAAACTGCCCCCATGATTCAATTATCTCCCACCAGGTCCCTCCCACAATACATGGGAATTAATGGGAGCTACAATTCAAGATGAGATTTGGGTGGGGACACAGGCAAACTATAGCACACATGTACAGATTTCTTTAACTCTTATTCTTCAAAAATGAAGTGATTTGGTGAACTTTGCTGAGTAGTTTAGTATATCCTTAGAATCACAATAGTATGAACTTAAATCCAGCAGGATAATATTGATCTTATTCTAGAGTAAACGGGGAAAAATCATCTAAAGAGCAAGAAAACAGTCTACTTTACTTGGGCCAAATATAACTTTGATGAGATTTGTAAATAATGATCAATAAGAAGCAAAACTTACTACCTGCAAATAAGACAAATTTTATGCAAAGTTATTTGAACTACAATACCAATCCAAATCCTCCAAGCATGGTTTCAGATATTCCAGAGTAAAACAACCCAGTTTCAATGTTACAGTTTTTTAGCTGGACCACCTTAAAAACTTATGTAACGTCTCAGTAATTTTTATCCGTTATCTTCAAAATGGACATAACATTAGTACCCACCATGTAAGACTATTGTGAATGTTAAGTGACATCATACATTCAAAGCACTTAGGCTAGTGCCTTTAATTGTTCTATAGTGTGTGCTTTTAATAAATTTAATTTGTTTGTGTGTGTGTGTGTGTGACAGAGTTTCACTCTTGTCACTCAGACTGGAATGCAATGGCACGAACTCAGCTCACTGCAAATTCTGCCTCCCGGGTTCAAGCAATTCTCCTGCCTCAGCCTCCCAAGTAAGCTGGGATTACAGGCGTCCCACCATGTCTGACTAATTACATTACACCATGTCTGACTAATTACATTACAGACCACCATGTCTGACTAATTACATTACAGACCACCATGTCTGACTAATTTTTGTATTTTAGTAGAGACGAGGTTTCACCATGTTGGATAGGCTGGTCTTGAACTTCTGACCTCAGGTAATCCGCCCACCTCAACCTCCCAAAGTGCTGGGATTACAGGCGTGAGCCACCACGCCTGGCCAAATTTAATATTTTATATTTAAAATGAAGCCCAAGAAATTATATAAAGCTAAAATTAGTTCTTCATTACCTATAAAGAATGTACTGAGCAGTACTGCCTAAATACCTTAGACATGTGATTCACAGCTCATTTTAAAGCTTAGCACATTGATTTGGTACAAGGATGACCATGAATCTGCATGGTAATATTATATGAGATGGATTTAAGCAAGCCATTTGGGCTAATCCAGGCAAATTACTGCCAGCTGATAGAGGGTTTCTGCATATGTAGCTGTGTTTGCTCTGGTCTTCTTGCCTGTTGGTAGCAGTAAAATATCGTATTAATTTTATCCTTCTGGTGTCCACCTGGCTCTCCATTACTAGACCTTGAGTTCCAATGATGTCACCCTTTGATCCTTCCTCTTTTAATGTCCATCTGCTGAATAACTGTCCCTTCCAGCTTGGAGCACAGACCTGTAAGAAAGAACAACCCTTCATTTAATATGAAAACCCTATCATTTCTATTAAATAATGTTTAAAACTAGACACGGTCTAATGCTTTCAATAGATTTGTAGTTAGTTCATCAGAGTTTCAAAACTCTATTTGTTCTTTTGCCTATGGTTGACCCAAAAGAAAAGTAAAGCATATTATACCTCCATTTGTCACCGTCTACATTTCAAAAATAAAAGCAAGTTTTAAATGCTACAATTAATCTCAAATTCTTAATATTTTTTAAACAAGGAAAAAAGCAACTGGTGGATTTTGGTATAAGAGCTGTTATTTAAAAATAGAATTAAAAAGAAAACTAAAAGCATATGAATGACGAGATAAAAGAGTATGAGAAAAAATGTTTGAATTGTGGTGCTTTCTGATGGCTCTACTTCTCAATTCAGCCAAAGAAAAAAAGTAGTTTGAGTTTGTGGTAAATGTTGCAGGCAGAATAGCAGGGTGCGTGTGCAGCTACACACATCTGGCCCACAGGTGTCCAAGTGGAATTTGCCATCACTCCAAGAAACAGTCAGCTATTGTCTTTTTAAATTGAGAGTGGTGTGAGGACTAGTGGAATTCAGTGTTACATGTCAAGCGTACAACATATTCATTTAGGTCAGAGTTGCTTGACATCCTTTTGAGTTAATTTTACTCAATTGAAAATGTTTCATGAAAATGAGACAAAAACCAACTTCTTGCTCTTCCTTCAGAATCACATCTTCAGAGGAAGTAAATGAAAAGAAGTCTGTTTCTAGTTTCCATTGCTTAAAATCTTACTTAAGAGTAACAGAGAGTTTGAGTGCTTTGTTGGTTTGAAGGATGTAACAAGTTTATCAGGAAGATTGTTGTCTTCTGGCTCTATGAATCCCACTGCTTGTATATGCCCTCCTGTCCTTCCTTCTCTCTGGCTCCATAGAACCTAACTTCAATTTCTTTCTTGAAGGTACCTGCTGTTAAACAATTGTTTTTGTTACTATATTTTTTTCCCTGGATGTATCTGTCATAACTATAAATCTCTTTTTTTATTTCTGCTAAGGAAAATGAGTGTTTATCTCAATAAAATCAAGGTTCCACTCCAACTTTTGCTGGTGCTGTGGCTGAGTTTCTCAGCCTCACAATACATCAGAATACTGGAAGTATCATTTGGCATTTGGATTATACATCCATCTTCAGTCTTCTGTCCACAGAGATTTGCCACATTGTCATCCTCATTACTTCTTGCGTGAGTTCCTCAAGCCCAAATTCTCATTTTCTCTGCTACTTTAGTTCTAAAACTGAGGGTTTATTTCCAAAACTTGAAAGCTGGTTCTAAATTTGAGAACCTGAGGGACTGAAAACCATTCTTTTGCTTTGATTCACACTCATTCTCCTAAAACTCTGAGAGGCTGCACATGCTTTTATTTTGACATATTTTGCAACCACAACCTATCCAAGGTCTTCTATTGAAATGACGACATGATTGTTCTTTATTCTGTTGAGGTGGTGGATTTCAATGAACGGTATTTAAACACCAGACCTTACATTTCTAGGACAAACTCTACTTATTCATATTGTCTTTTATGTATTACTGGATTTGATTTGCTAATATTTTATTAAGGATTTTTGTACATACATTCACAAGGTATAAAGTTCTTACACTGAGAGATTTTATATCTCATATTGATTTTAACAATATCTCTTTATGTTACTTTGTAAATGTTGTTCTATGATTACAATATACATCTTTAACTTATCACAAACTTTCTTCAAATAATATTATACTTTTTCACAAACAGTGTAAGAACTTTTATTTGCAATGACTTTGTCTGTTTTTGTATGTTAAGGCTTGAATATAAAATGAGTGGAAAGTATACCTTCTTCTGTTCCCTGAAAGAGTTTCTTCAAACTGACAGTGTTTGTTTCTCAAAAGTATGATAGAACTTACCAGTGAAATCATTTAGACCTGGAGTTTTCTTGAGAGAAATCTTTAATGACAAATTTAATTTATTTACAATATACAGTTGTCCCTCAGTATCTGTGAAGGACTGGTTTCAGGCTCTACCCTCCCAACCTCATGGATACCAAAATCTGCATATGCTCAAGTCCCTTACATATAATGGCCTATTATTTGCATGTAACCTATGCACATCCTCCTATATATTTTGAATCATCTACAGATTATTTATAATACCTGATACAATGCTTAAGCATCACTTTATTCACGTGGATTCAGCATAGTACTTGATGCACAGCAAATTCAAGTGTTACTTTTTATAACTTTGTGAAATTTTTTCCCCAAATATTTTTGATGCACAGTTACTTGAAACCATAGATGTGAAACCCACAGATACAGAGGGCTGGCTGTATAGGACTATTCACATTTTCTAATTCTTTGTGTTTTAGTTCTAGTAATTTCTGCCTTTCATATTGAGAGATTAAGCCAGCTGGACTTCCTGGGTTGAGTAGGGACTTGGAGAAATTTTCTGTCTAGCTAGAGGATTGTAAACACACCAATCGGTGATCTGTAAAAACGCACCAATCAGTGCTCTGTGTCTAGCTAAAGGATTGTAAATGCACCAATCAGCACTCTGTAACAATGCACCAATCAGCGCTCTGGGTCTAGCTAAAGGGTTGTAAACACACCAATCAGCACTCTGTAAAATGGACCAATCAGCACTCTGTAAAATGGGCCAATCAGCAGGATGTGGGCAGGGTCAAATAAGGGAATAAATGCTGGGCACCCCAGCCAGCAGCAGCAACCCACAGAGGTCCCCTTCCACTCTGTGGAAGCTTTGTTCTGTCATTTTTCACAATAAGTCTTGTTGCTGCTCACTCTTCGGGTCCACATCACCTCTAAGATCTGTAACACTGGCTGTGAAGGCCCGCAGCTTCATTCTTGAAGTCAGTGAGACCACAAACCCACTGGAAGGAAGAAACTCCACACACATCTGAAGGAACAAACTCCGGACACACCATCTTTAAGAGCTGTAACACTCACCGCGAAGGTCCGCGGCTTCATTCTTGAAGTCAGTAAGACCAAAAACCCACTGGAAGGAACCAATTCTGGACACAATATGATTTTTCCATTTCAAATATGTTGCAAAATTCATTAGTATAAATTTTTAAATAATATTTCCTTACCGTTCATATATGTGTACATATATATATAATTTCTTAATTTATCTCTCCTTTTTAAAGTAGGTGGGACTGTAAACTAGTTCAACCATTGTGGAAGTCAGTGTGGCGATTCCTCAGGGATCTAGAACTAGAAATACCATTTGACCCAGCCATCCCATTACTGGGTATATACCCAAAGGACTATAAATCATGCTGCTATAAAGATACATGCACACGTTTGTTTATTGCGGCACTATTCACAATAGCAAAGACTTGGAACCAACACAAATTGGAACCAACAATGATAGACTGAATTAAGAAAATGTGGCACATATACACCATGGAATACATGCAGCCATAAAAAATGATGAGTTCATGTCCTTTGTAGGGACATGGATGAAATTGGAAATCATCATTCTCAGTAAACTATCGCAAGAACAAAAAACCAAACACCGCATATTCTCACTCATAGGTGGGAATTGAACAATGAGAACACATGGACACAGGAAGGGGAACATCACACTCTGGGGACTGTTGTGGGGTGGGGGAGGGGGGAGGGATAGCATTAGGAGATATACCTAATGCTAAATGACGAGTTAATGGGTGCAACACACCAGCATGTCACATGTATACATATGTAACTAACCTGCACATTGTGCACATGTACCCTAAAACTTAAAGTATAATAATAATAAAAATAAATAAATAAAGTAGATACCACTAATCTGTCTCTCCTTTTTAAAATCAACCTTGAGATTAAACAATTGCATTATCTTATCTTTGAAAAAACTTTCTTTATAACATCGGTATTTGAAATTATAACTTTTAACAAACACTGCTTTAGCCATATCTCACATTTTAAAAATCTTTTCATTATTTAATTATCATTTAGTGAAAATATGTTCCATTTATTTATCTTCACCCCATGGGTTATTTAGAAGTATGAATAACCACACATGATGCAAACACCAGGGGCAGGAATCACAGGGCTTCTTTAAAATCTGTCTGCCACAGTCTATATCTTAAATATTTTGTGTTTCATGAAGCCTAGAAATATCTGTCTTTTAAGTGTTAATACATTTACATTTAAGGTAGTATTATTATCGTGTGTTTCAGTCTATGTTTATTTTAAAAATACTTTTGGTCCTCATTTTTTTCTTTCTTTCCTGGGATCATTTAGATGACTTATAATTTTCAGTATTCAATTTTTTATCTCATATTGCTTTTAACAATATCTCTTTATGTTACTTTGTAAATGTTGTTCTATGACTACAATATACATGTTTAACTTATCATAGGCTTTCTTCAAATAATATTGTACTATTTCACAAACAGTGTAAGAACTTTATAATCGTTAATTACCTTTATCCTTTGTAACCTTTGAGCACTTCTCATCCTGTATTTTAATTCTATACATGTAAAGTTCAGAAGTTTAACCTATTTGTCACAACCACAACTTTCAAGTGGCATCTGCCTTGCATTATTTGTAAAACTAGTGTACCTTGAAGGATTTCTCTCAAGTCCTTCAAATTAAATAAAGTAATAATTTTTACTTTTAAGAAATGCTGATTCTATATCTACTGGGGTAGGCTTACAGTCTTCTCCTTTCATCTGTTATTGAACTACATTAATATGTTATATTATTTTAAATCATTCTTACATTTATTGTGAATAAAACAATGTGCTCTACACTGTATATTTGTTTATATGGTATTGAATTTGATTTGCTAACATTGTGTTTAGTACATTTGTTTTATGCTTGTGAATGATATTGAGTTGTAATTTTTCTTTCTCTCATTATTTATTTCTGGTTTTGATAGTAAGCTAGACTAAGTTTATAAAATTTGTTGAGGGAGCTTTCTCTTTTTCTAATACCTGCAATAGATGTATAAGATTCCAATTATCTATTCAGTAGAAGTTTTGTAGAACTCTAAAACTTTCTGGGGATGATCATTTGTAATTGAATAGATTACTATCTATTGATTCCATTTATTTATTGGTAATAGGACTATAACAGTTGTCTAGTTTTTTTTTTTTGAGTCAGTTTTGATGAGTTGTATCTTTTCCCTAGGTAAGTTTCCACAATGACTAAATTTTACCAATTTACTTAAAATCATTATTTAAAGTTAGACATAATTGTCCCGCACTTCTAAGATGTTGCTTCATCTAACATCCTATTTTTTATTCTTAAAATTGTACCTTCTAAGACTTTTCTTGATGAATGTCACAAAAGGTATTTATGTAATCAGTCATGTAAAAGAAACAATTTATTTGTATATTCTTTTCTCTTTATATTATTTTTCTACTTTATTTGGTTTAATCTTTTGTTACTTTGCTAACATCTTAAGTTGATTGCTTTGTTCATTCATATAAAGTCCCTTTACATGTAAGGTGATATGTGAGGTAAAAACTCTACTACTAAGTATTTCTTTACCTGCCCCTCGCAAGTTTTGATTCAAAGTATTTTTGTAATTGATCACTTCTCATTTATTCCTGTTTCCATTATAATTTCTTATTTGACCAACGACTGACTTAGTGTGCTCTAAAATTTAATTGTGTCTTTTTAAAATGTAATCTTTTACGGTCAGTTTCTACAGTAATACTAGCCCAGTATTCAGATATGTGGTCTCTATGACAATAAAATTTATTTATGTCCTGGTGTAACATTAAATTATGCAAACTGTCCGTGTAAACTTAAAAATGTGTTTTTCCCAGCTACTGGAATAATGAATTACTCAAGTACATTAAATTGAAGTTGTCAGTTGGATTTTTCAAACATACATCTTTACCAATTGTTTATCTAAATTATCTATTAATTATTGAGAGAAGTGTGTTTAGGTTTTACAATTTCTCTGAGGCTTTTTCCAAATTTTGATTTTATATATATAATTGGTGCTATATAATTAGATGCATACAAGTTTAAACATTTTACCTTCTCTTAGTGAATTGAATCTTTCAACATTATATAGTAATCTCCTTTAATCTAATAATTCTTTTCACTTTAATGGTTACATTGTCTGACATTAATGTAGTCCCTACAGCTTTTTTTAGTAAATATTCACATGGCATATGTATGTTTGTTCAATCCTTCTACTTTTAAATTATCTGTATCTTTATCCTAGGTTCATGTTTTAGAAATAATATATAGCTGTATTTGTTTTTTTCTATGTATCTGAATTTTACCAAATTTGGTCCATATACATAATGTTATTAGTGACATATTTGGAATTACTTCTAGCCTCTTTTTGCACTTTCTCTTTGCCCTTTTTCTTCCATGCATGTTTAATTTACTAAAGTTGAAATATAATCAATGTCTTTAACCTTTTCTAAAAAATTAAAAACACTTTAATTCTAAATTCCTTCCTTCAGTTGTACCTATTGTTTTAACATTTAATTTTGTCATGTTTTAATGCCCCTCTCCCACTGGATATTATTTCACAGCAATCTTTGTTTATTTATATTCCATTTAATTTATCACTATTCCTTTTAACATTTCATATTTTTCTCTGGGTTTATTTTTGAAGTAAATAGAAAACATCTATATTTTGCTAATCAGAAAATGTCTCCATGTTGCTTTTGATCTTGAATGATCATTTAACTGACCTTAAGTAATGAATTCCTTTTTTTTCAATTCACGCAGAGATCAGATTTTTTTGTTTTTGATTTTTCCTCTTGACCTTTTCACTGGGGATAAAAATCACTTGAAGGATTCAATTTCATGTGGTAGTCTTGGTTTCAGCTCCTCACCATGCCTTGTCTTTCTTTCCCAGATATGACTGCAGAAACATGAGGCCCTGGGTTATCCACAGATCTGCAGATGTGGATACATACCCACAGATGTCCCAGTAGTATATTCTGGCTTCATGCCTGATACGGTTTGCTATGTCCCCACCCAAATCGCGTCTTGAATTGTAGTTCCCATAATCCCCACTTGTTGTGGGAGGGACCGGGTGGAGATAATTGAAACATGGGGGCGGTTTCCCCCTTCCCTTCTTGTGATAATGGGTTAGTTCTCATGAGAGCTGATGGTTTTATAAGGGGTTTCTCCTTGCCCGGGGCACTCATTCTTCTCCTTCTTGCTGCCAGATGAAGAAAGACATGTTTGCTTCCCCATCCGCCATGACTGTAAGTTTCCTGAGTCTTCCCCAGCCATGCTGAACTGTGAGTCAATTAAACCCCCTTCCTTTATAAATTACCCAGTATCGGGTGTGTCTTTATTAGCAGTGTGAGAACAGATGAATACATGCTTTCTTACTGTTCTAGTCTGTGCTCACTTTTTGGTTTTGGCTTCTACTGATTGTCTATACTCCCTGTGATCATAGTTTTATATTTTTTAAATGTTTCTTTTATTTTTTCCAGAACTTATGAATGATTATACTGAGAGTATTTTTCAAGCTATGAATGTTATGTTATATTGCCTAATTTAACAATTTTTTAATGTCCACCTCCTTCTCATTTCCTCTGTTATTGAGCTTAAGTTCCACAACCCATTATTATTAATGACCTTCTTGCACACACCATCTATTCCCTTGTTCCCTTTTCTCTCTGTCACAGAGGAGTGGCAAAATCGCAGGCCTGATTACACAAATCCCATCTGCTTCAGCAGCATTATATTTCTATACAACTGTGCTGATTGGGCATGCTTTAAATTTATGACAGCAAGCCTTAAGTAATACATCAAGGCCCAGCAATCTTTCTACATTTCCATAGTCAACTGCCTCTTCCATTCTCTAGAAAGACACATTTGCATGTTCTTCTTCATTTTTTTTCCAAGTCATTAACACACTTATAGCTGATGACTTGGCATCTTCTTTCACTGAATAAAAAGATCAAAAAAATAACCTAATCCTTCCCAGCATCATATCTCCTGATGTTCCTACATCTTTCGCAATTCACACCACCTTTCCTCCCATTACAGCAGGTGAACTTCACTTGTTCCTGCCTAGTGACATTTCTCTCATTTGTGCGTTAGATCCCCTCTCCCTTCAACATTAATATCCCTTTATCTTTACTATAATAGCTGTGATAAACAAGATGCCATAGCTCTCTGCTTAATGTCACTATGACAACTCTCTAGCATAGCATTAAGAAATGAAGGCATATGGCCAGAGAGTATATTGAGATATGAACATGCTCCACACTGCCTAGCCTCAAATATTTATAGTGCAGGAGAGACAATGTCTGCAAAATCTTAAGTAATGTTTGTGCTTTCTTTCTTTAAAAATTTGAAATAAGTTTAGGCCTAGAGAAAATAATAATCTTTTTCTACAGATGCAGCTGAACCTATTGGATATCTACAAAACAAAATAATTTCTTTACAAGAAACTTAGTCTTTTACCCATTGAATTATCTTGGTACATTTGTTGAAAACCAGTTGATAGTAAATACACACGATTATTTTGGACTTTCCGCTATGTTCCATTGATCTATGTGCCTATCTTTGTGCCAAGGCTACATTGGATTAATTGCTGTGTCTATATGATAAATTTGGAATTGAATATTGTAAGTCCTCTAAATTTGATCTCCTTTTTCAAAATTATTTTGGCTATTGTTTATATTTTCAGATATATCAGGGCAGCTTGCTTGTTTTGAAACACACACACACACACACACACACACACACAATGTAGCTTTTCAATAGAGATTTATTTGAATTTATAAATTAATTTTAGTGGAATTAACATCTTAGCAGTATTGAATACTCCAATCCTTGAATATTTTTTGTTTCTCAATCACTTCAGATTTTTAAAAAATTTCCCTCAGCAATGTATTGTAGTTTTCGGTGTATAAGTGTTGCAATTGTTTTATTAAATTTATTTCTAAATTCTTTGTGATGCTATTATGAATAAAATTTTTCTCAATTTTGTATTTAGATTTTTTGCTATTAGAATATGATAAAAAGTAGTTTTTTGTATATTGATCTTGTATCCTGCAACCTTGCTGAGTCCACTTACTTGTTCTAGTAGTATTTTTGTGAATTCCTTGGGAGTTTCACATATAGGATCATGCTGTCTATAAATAGAGTTTTTTTTCTTTCCAAACTATTTGTCTATAGTTTTCTCTTTCTTTATACTTTTTTTTTCTCTTTCTTTTCTTTTCTTTCTTTCTTTCTTTCTTTCTTTCTTTCTTTCTTCTTTCTTTTCTTTCTCTTTCTTTCTTTTCCTTCTTTCTTTCCTTATTTCCTTTCTTTCTTTCTTTCATTTCTTAAAATAATTTTGTGCACTGCTTGTGTTTGAATACTGGCTTCACCACATACTAAATTAGCCTAGGGCAAGTTACTTTACCTCTTGGAATTGCCATTTCCCTCTCTATAAAATTAGTTTAATTAATATTAGAAAATACCTCAAAGTGTTACTATGCAGATCAAATGGTTAAACATATATAAAATGATAGAATAATATGTGTTATTCTGTACCTTCTCAATAAATAATAGTTGTTATTTAACTGCAAGCATGTTGTTAATTGTGTCTATAGGCAATATCACCTGGCTGACTTCTTTTAAATGTCCTTGGCCTCAACTCCCAAAACTTCACAATAGCCAGGTTTATAGCTTCTTTGAGATTAGGCTTCAGGCTTCATCCAGTGTCAAAGTGAGTATATTTGAAACCAGTCTTTTTCAGCTATACCTCTCATATCTAAAATCCACTATCACAGAAAGGCAAAAAAAATTGACAGTCAAATGTAATTTCTCAAGAACATTTATAGTGTATAATAATTCAAAAATTCCCTTTTTTATTATTATCATCTGTGAATAAAATGAACATCTGTGAATAAACAGAGAAAGAAAGAAAGTGAAGTTAACCTAAGAACATTCAATAAATTTTGCTTCTTAGAGCAATGAAAGTAATACATCTAAAATACAAGTGGTTGAATAGAATATAGAAAATAGACATCACATCATGGTATTATTTTAATAAATGGTTGCATTTACTTATTTGGGGAAACATAATTTTAATTAGAAAAAATGTCTGAAGTTGTATTAGTCCATTTTTGCATTGCTATAAAGAACTACCTGAGACTGGGTAATTTATAAAGAAAAGAGGTTTAATTGACCTGTAGCTCTGTAGGCTGTACAGGAAGCATGGCTGGGGATGCCTTGGAAAATTTATAATCGTGGCGGAAGGCAAAGGGAAGCAGGCACATTTTACATGGTTATAGTAGGAAGAAGAGAGAGATGAAGGGGGAGGTGCTACACACTATTAAACATGGCTATAGTAGGAAGGTGCTACACGCTATTACGTGGCTATAGTAGGAAGGAGAGAGAGATGAAGGGGGAGGTGCTACACACTATTAAACAACCAGATCTCATGAGAACTAACTCACTATCATGAGAACAGCAAAGGAGAAATCTGCCCCCATGATCAAATTACCTCCTGCAATATCCCTCCCCCAACACTGGGGATTATAATTCAACATGAGATTTGGGTGGGAACACAAATCAAACTATATCATTCTGCCCCTTGTCCCTCCCAAATCTCCTGTCTTTCTCACATTTCAAAATATAATCATGTCTTCCCAACAGTCCCCCAAAGTCTTACCTCATTCTGGCATTAACTCAAAAGTCCACAGTCCAAAGTCTCATCTGAGGAAATGCAAATTCCTTATGTCTATAAGCCTGTAAAAATAAAAAAGTTAGTTATGTCCAAGATGCAATTGCAATATAGGCATTGGTTAAATAGTCCTTTTCCAAAAGGGAGAAAGCAGCCAAAACAAAGGAGCTACAGGCCCTATGCAAATCCAAAACCTAGCAGGGCAGTCATTAAATCTCAAAGCTTCAAAATAATCCCCTTTGACTCCATGTCTCACATTCAGGCAACACTGATGAAAGGAGCAGGCTCCCAACTCCTTGGGCAGCTCTGCCCCCAAGGCCATGTGGGGCACAGCTCCTATGACTGTCTTCATTGTCTAGTATTCAGTATCTGTGGCTTTTTCAGGAGCATGGTTGCAAGCTGTCAGTGTATCTACCATTCTGTGGTCTGGAGGATTGTGGCACTCTTCTCACAGCCCTACTAGGCAGTACCCCAATGGGGATTCTGTGTCAGGCTCCAACCGCATGCTTCCCCTCTGCACTGCCCTAGAAGAGGTTCTCCATGAGGGCTCCACTGCTGTAGCAGACTTCTGCTTTTCCATACATACTCTGAAATCTAAGCAGATGCTCCCAAGCTTCAACTCTTGCCCTGTGCACACCTGCAGGTTTAACACCACATGGAAGCCTTGGCGGATTCCAGCTTGCACCCTCTGGAGCAGTGGCCTGAGGCATATCTGGGTCCCTTTTAGTCACAGGTAGAGTTTGAGCAGCTGAGGAACAGGGAATGGTGACCCTAGGTTGCACAGAGCAGCAGGACCCTGGGCCCTGCCCACAAAAGCATTCTTCCCTCCTATGCCTCTGGGCCTGTAATGGGAGGGGCTGCCACAAAGGTCTCTGAAATGCCTTTTGAGGCATTTTCCCCATTGTCTTAGTTATTAAAATTTGACTCCTCTTTACCTATGCAAATTTCTGCAGTGGGCTTGAATTCCTCCCCAGAAAATGTTTTTTCTTTTTTTACTACATGGTCATGCTGAAAATTTTCGAAGTTTTATGCTCTGCTTCCCATTTAAGGTCCAGTTTCAAATCATCTCTTTGCTCACACAAATGACAATATATTGCTAGAAGCAGCCAGGCCAGGTCTTGAATACTTTGCTGCTTAGAAATTTCTTCCACCAGATACCCTAAATCATCATTCTCACATTCAACACTCCACAGATCCATAGGGCAGGAGCACAATGTTGCCAGTATCTTTGCTAAAGCACAGCAAGAGTGACATTTACCTCAGTTCCCAGGAAATTCCTCATCTCCATCTGAGACCACCTCAGCCTGGACTTCATTGTTCATGTCACTATCAGCATTTTGGTCATAGCAATTTAACAAGTCTCTAGGAAGTTCCAAACTTTCCCTCATCTTCCTGTCTTCTTCTGAGCTCTCCACGCTGTTTCAACCTCTGCCCGTTACCCAGTTCTGAAGCTGCTTCCACATTTTTAGGTATCTTTATAGCAATGCCCCTCTTCCAGGAACCAATTTTTTGTATTATTCCATTTCCACATTGCTATAAAGAACTACACGAGACTGGATAATTTATAAAGAAAAGAGATTTAATTTACTCATGGTTCCACAGGCTGTACAGGAAGCGTGGCTGGGGAATGCTTCAGGAAACTTACAATCATGGCAAAAGGTGGAAGGGGAAGCTGGCACATCTTACAAGGCCAGAGAAAGAGGAAAAGAACTTCTACTAGGGCAGTGCAGGGAAGCATGCCTGGAGATGCCTCAGGAAACTTACTGTCATGGCGGAAGGTGAAGGGGAAGCAGCCACATCTTACATGGCCAGAGAAGGAGGAAGAGAGTGAAGCAGGGAGTGCCACACAGTTTTAAACAACTAGATCTCATGAAAACTTACACTATCACAGAAATAGCAAGTGGAAATCTGCCTCCATGATCCAATCACCTTCCACCATGCACCTCCTCCAACATTGGGGATTATAATTTGATATGAGATTTGGGTGAGGACACAAATCCAAACCGTATCAAAGGCTGTTCCAAAAATTTGGCTCAGTTTGTTTTCCATTTTTCTACATACTTTCTAATTATAACATATCATGTTATTTTGTAAACCATACAGGAATATAGCACTTGCTACAACTTTGAAAAACTGAAAAATGTTAACTGTATTCCCAACAACAATGTTATAAATGGGTTTTAACCTACTCTCTCTATAGTTTGTTTTGAAAAAATTAAATATTACATAACATCCATAGGATTAAAGAATAGTTTGCAAATTTATAAAATGGAGTTTGGCTCCTAGTTCTATTTTGAAGAAAAATAATTTGTTATCTGAAATTTAATCCCAATTTTGTAAGCTGAGCTATTGATGAGATAAATTGGGAAACACTGTACACTGAAGCGCTCTTCAAAGGTTTACAAAGAGCATTAGCATATTAAAGTAAATTTCCTAGGCAAAATGCCAGTGTTAAAAGGAAAAAAATAAAAGAATAGATTTTCTTGGTGAAATTTCTGGACAGAATAAAATGGTGGGTCAGATTATATTGAATGTCTATCTACTCTACTGTATCACCTAGCTAATCTATGGCTTGATTGCAAATAACATTTTATAATATTAGTAACTGAATATGGGTCCTTGCTATGCTTTGCAGAACATAAATTCAAACATAATTATTGAAATTGATTAGTAGGAATTAACAATCATATAGAAAAAACAGCTCAACTAAATTAAACACATATGTGCAGTTACCAAATAAATATAGTTGCTAAAGCAATGTAGCTTATGTATTCCCAATTCTTCTATTTCCATAAAGGGGAGAAAATTTCCAATATCGTTCCAGGAAGAAAATGTATAAAATGGATCCATTCAATTTCTCCCTGCCTGCTAGTTCATTTCTCCCTGAGAGAGGAAGAATGATTTTTTCATTTGATAAATTTGGGAGAAAGAGCTGAGCATGCTCAGATAATCTCAATCCACAGTCATCTCCCATGTATCCCAGATCTGGCCACTTGCAGATGTGAGTACGTTTAGGGTTGTTGGTTACACAAACTGCATGACTGCACAACTTGTCAACAGTATCTGTAGTTTTTGTGGGCAGCATCTAGGCTTCCTAAGCAACAGCTGTGTGGCCCCATCAAGGTTGATCTTGGCCTGACCTCATAGGTGCATCATTGACCTAGGGAGGCACAACTCCTTACTCTTCTGGTTGCATTGATTTCCACTTCACTATACAATCTTTTGTCCTGAATATATGAAAATTCCATCTAATTTCTGATCCTTCTTGCATAAAAACAAGAGGAATCAGGCATGTCCTTGGTGTGCTATGAACATAGATTATATTAGCCCAAATCAGGGAAAATACCACATGGCATAAAGCCTTGATGTACAGCCTGTCGAATAGCACATAAAAATGGATATATAAATACATTTGAAAGATGCCAGGTGCTATATAAACATAAGACATTATTGTTGTTGTTATTCATACTTTATTTATAAAATTATTTGGGTTATTTTAAATTAAAATATGGGTTTAAATTTTGCTATTTTGAGCTTTCAGTTCAAGAGGATTTTATACATTGGCAAAAATCACCTACCTGGCCCTTACAAGGTTGCTGTGATTGTGCCACTTCGACTCACAGCCAGACTTTATTGAATCGGTTCCTTCATTTGGACCTTGTTTCCAAGGCCCTAATTTTCTGGCTCAGTTCAGGTTCAAAGATTTGTCAGACAACAATATCTGGCAATTCTAGAGCAGAAAAGGCCCAAAGCTAAATAGAATTGAGAAATCTCATAGGATTTCCATGCCAGGGCTTTCTGGAAAGGGAAAAGTTTTTCAAAAAAGAAGAAGAAGGAGTAATGCATTCTTCTCTCCTGGAGACAGATTAGGACCTCCTTGCTTCGTACCTCTTTCTGCCATGCACCACAACAAATACACACACACACACACACACACACACACACACACACACACGCATGCACTTTTAACATTAACACATTGCTTAATAATTAATTCTCCTCTGGATCACAAGCAACCTAAGGGGAATACTTCAAGAAAGAAAAGAAACTGAACACTGATGCTTGTAAGATGATTCCAGCAACATATTAAGAAAAATTGTGTGGGTTTTTTTTTTGTAAATGGGTTTTGTGAAACCATTAAGAATGTTTGAGCTAAGAGGTATTGAAATTCTCAATGTATTCAATGTATTTAGAGAATTTCCTGTTTTAAAAAAATTACTTTAGTACAAACTAAATATACCAATATACTTAAAGGCTAAAATCTTTGAAGTCTGGTTTACAGAAAAATAAACTATATTTATCTTATATACATCCTTTGTGCCTTTGGAATGAAACAATTTTGGCTACATGATACTCTCTTAATCCATGTGGAAGGACCCTCCTCCAACAAAGAAGACAGAGAGAGGGCAATGTAGAGGATGATTCTGAATCAGTTAGTGGTGGCACTGACAAATATTGAGGAACATGCAGGGGAGCGAGCTCTACCTCTCCCCCTTTCTTCACTTATAACCTTATTATTATTATTTGGTTTCATGGATGTAAAGCCAGTATCCACGTTCTGTGTAGGAAGCAAATTGAAATAAAGCATGGGTGGGTGAGGCTCACCATGGGCTGAGGAACTCATTAGGTTTTCATAGATTTTCGTGTTTTAAAAAATTGCTTTACTACAAAGTAAATATACCATGTCAGACTCTTCCATGCTGTCTCTGGTATATAGGAAATGAGATAGATGAGGCCTGGACCCAAACTGTAGTTGGCCCATCTGCTTCTGAAGCTTAAGCAGTGCCTTAAGGGGGCTACTAATTAGTAGGATGAAGGAGAAAATGATATCATTACCTGAAATGCTAGTCATCAGACTCTGCTGCCAACTTGCTATTTTCCTGAAATCACACCTCAGTGTTGATGATGAGCTTTCCTGTTATGAATGCTTTCATACTTGGCAAGTTTCTACACACTCACACAACACTGTTACATGCTATTTCAAATGACCTTTTATCTAAATTCTTGTCCTTCAACAAAAACAGTTGTCATTTTTATTACATGGGCCGCTCCTGTCACTAACTGCTATCATGAATTATAGGGTCAATTTCTTCACTGCATATACCTGTTACTTCTTCACCTTTCTCATGGGGCTCATGTGATTGAGGCCCCCACAAAAGGTAAAAGTACCATCCAACCAGAATGGAGCTCCACCAGAGCTGGGATCTTTGTTTTGTTGACTGATGTAGCTCAAGAGCATGATATATTGTAGGTGTTCAGTAAATATTTGTTGCTGTATATTCTATTGTTTATTTTTAAGTGCATTTTTATTCTATGACTATTTTTTGTTCAGTACTGCGAGGCGCTGCACAGCCAGATTTTGATCTATTCTTCTCCACCAAGCTCATTCCTGCCCCCCCAACTCTGGCAGGACATACACATTACCAAACAGTGAAGTCCCCTCAAAGTTCCTGCTCACTCACACCCCTTTGCTTTGTTAAGGACCTCTAGTCTAAATGGTTTCTAGTGGTAAATATGTTTTAAAATACCAACTCTTACACTTTTTAAATAAATACTTTTCAATGACAAAGAAGTGTTTGAAACAGATTATATGGACTTTAATTGCTGGGAGAACCTTAGCAATCATCTAATTCAAAATCTTTTTTCAGATGAGTAATCAGTCATAGACTGCTTCAAAAAAATTTATTGACTGTCCCATTGTTATTAGTAATTTTTCCATAAATAATTGTTGCTTAATTGATTCTAGAAATAGAGAAGTACCTCATCTTTTTTACATACAAATTCCAGAACATTTATAAAAACATATCCTAAACTGAAACCAGACTTCTTTATAATTTAGTCTAGGAAGGCCAAGAAATAAAGGACTTATATGCCTGGTGTGTGTTATAAGAATGTAAGAATTGAGTTCAGGAAAATTAAGCAAAAAATCCCTCTATGCTCCTGACATTGTAGCTTCTGCTTCCAAGAGCTTCAGGCTATTTTTCTTCCACTGGGAAGACAAATGTTTATTAAATATCTTCAATTAAGTGTAACATGAGGGTTTAAACGGACTCAAATTTTCAAAATTATACCTTAATTTCGTAGCTTGATAAGAATTTGCTTCAATTAAATAACATCACATTTAGCTAGCAGCAGGAACAAGCAAACAAAATTGATGGCGATTAAATGTATATTTAAAAATACTTTCTGTGCCTTCAATTTTTTTGTAAGGTTCTAAATGAATATAAAGATGAATGAGTAAAACTCTGTTTCAGGAAGCCTAGAATATATTAGCATGGATAAAGAACACCTCTAATAGCATTGTAAGACAGAAAATTAAGCGGTATACCATGAGTGGCTTTAACTTGTGGCTCTGATTTGGGGATGAGCTGAGAATGAGTCTAAGCATATGGTTGGTCTGGCTAAAACAGAAGCTAAGAGGGGAAAAAAGAGAGAAGAGAAGAAATCAAAGCCCAGTCCATTACCTAGAGAATATTCACATCACTTCTGCTTATAGTTCCCTGGCAAGAACTTAGTCACATGGCCACTGGTAGCTGCAAGGAATGCTGGAGAATACAATCTCTAGCTGGCAGCCCATGTGCCTGGCTAAAACTCAGGGAGTTTTAAGTTGCATTTTAACTAATGTTGTTTTGTGCATCTATTGAGATGATCATGTAAGTGTTCCCTTTAATATATTCTTGAAGTGAATTGTATTATTATTCTAGTTTAAGCAATTTTGTCTACCTGAAATAAGCACCAAGGCAATATCAATGTTATCTCTTATATACATTCATAGATTTGGCTTACTAATTATTTTAAATTTTTACATTTTTGCTGATTACATTTTGCTGATCAATGTATTTATCAAATACATTTTTCATTCTCAATAACTGCAGTAGACTTTTATTTATACCCTCTGAACTACTTCTATTTACGTTAATATTCTCCAAATTGCACAAATTTCCTTATGATTATCCAGTTCAAAAACTCTGCATGGATATTTTTCATTCCTAGGCAAGATGGCTGAATAGGGATAGTTCCAGTCTGCAGCTCGCAGCGAGACCAATGCAGAAGGCGGGTGATTTCTGCATCTCCAACTGAGGTACCTGGTTCACCTCACTGGGACTGGTTAGACAGTGGGTGTAGCCCGCAGAGGGAAAGCAGAAGCAGGGTGGGGCATCGCCTCACCCGGGAAGTGCAAGGGGTCAGGGAACTCCCTCCCCTAGCCAAGGGAAGCTTTGAGGGACTGTGCCCTGAGGGACGGTGCACTCCGGCACAGATACTATGCTTTCCCCACAGTCTTCAAAACCCGCAGACAAGGAGATTCTCTTGGGTGCCTATAACACCAGGGCACTGGGTTTCAAGCACAAAACTGGGCGGCCATTTGGGCAGACACTGAGCTAGCTGCAAGAGTTATTTTTCATGCCACAGTGGTGTCTGGAATGCCAGGGAGACAGAACCATTCACTCCCCTGGAAAGGGAGCTGAAGCCAGGGAGCCAAGTGGTCCTGCTCAGTGAATCCCACCAGATTCACTGGCACCTAGATAGCTAGGATCCACTGGCTTGAAACTCTTGCTGCCAGCACAGCAGTCTGAAGTTGACCTGGGATGCACGAGCTTGGTGGGGGGAGGGGCGTCCACCGTTACTGAGGCTTAAGTAGGTGATTTTCCCCTCACAGCATAAACAAAGCCACCAGGAAGTTCAAACTGAGTGGAGCCCACCACAGCTCAGCAAAGCTGCTGTAGCCAGATCGCCTCTCTAGATTCCTCCTCTCTGGGCAGGCCATCTCAGAAAGAAAGGCAGCAGCCCCAGTCAGGGGCTTATAGATCGAACTCCCATCTCCCTCAGACAGAGCACCTGGGGAAGGGGTGGCTGTGGGCACAGCTTCAGCAGACTAAAATGTTCCTGCCTGCTGATTCTGAAGAGAGTAGCTGATCACCCAGCACAGCACTCAAGCTCTGCTAAGGGACAGACTGCCTCCCCAAGTGGGCCCCTGACCCCCATGCCTTCTAACAGGGAAACACCTCCCAGCAGGGTTCAATAGACACCTCATGAAGGAGAGCTCCAGCTGGCATCTCAGGTGTGCCCCTCTGGGACGAAGCTTCCAGAGGAATGAGGAGGCAGCAGTCTTTGCTGTTCTGCTGCCTCTGCTGGAGAAACCCAGGCAAACAGGGTCTGGAGTGGACTTCCAGCAAACTCCAGCAGCCCTGCAAAAGAGTGGCCTGATAGAAGGAAAACTAACAAACAGAAAGCAATAACATCCACATCAACAAAAGAAATGACCACACAAAAACTGCACCCAAAAGTCATGAACAGCAAAGACCACAGGTAGATAAATCCATAAAGAGGAGGGAAAACCAGGGCAAAAAGGCTGAAAATTCCAAAAACCACAATGCCTCTTCTTCTCCAAAGGATCACAACTCCTCGC
Organism: Homo sapiens; assembly: GCF_000001405.40. Classification (NCBI taxonomy): domain Eukaryota; kingdom Metazoa; phylum Chordata; class Mammalia; order Primates; family Hominidae; genus Homo; species Homo sapiens. Next base: position 120,510,229 of record NC_000004.12, read on the forward strand.
CAGCAATGGAACAAAACTGGACGGAGAATGAATTTGATGAATTGACAGAAGTAGGCTTCAGAAGGCAGGTAATAACAAATTCCTTCGAGCTAAAGGAGCACGTTCTAACCCAATGCAAGGAAGCTAAGAACCTTGGTAAAAGATTAAAGGAATTGCTAACTAGAATAACCAGATTAGAGAAGAACATAAATGATCTGATGGAGCTGAAAAACACAGCATGAGAACTTCGTAAAGCATACACAATACCAATTGCCAAATCGATCAAGCAGAAGAAAGGCAGAGACTGAAGATCAACTTAATGAAATAAAGCATGAAGACAAGAATAGAGAAAAAAGAATAAAAAGGAACAAATAAAGCCTCCAAGAAATATGGGACTGTGTGAGAAGACCAAACCTACATTGGATTGGTGTACCTGAAAGTCACAGGGAGAATGAAACTAAGTTGGAAAACGCACTTCAAGATATCATCCAGGATAACTTCCCCAACCAAGCAAGACAGCCCAACATTCAAATTCAGGAAATACAGAGAACACCACAAAGATACTCCTTGAGAAGGGCGACCCCAAGACACATGATCGTCAGATTCACCAAGGTTGAAATGAAGGAAAATATGTCAAGGGCAGCCAGAGAGAAAGGTCAGGTTACCCACAAAGGGGAATCCATCAGACTAACAGTGGATCTCTCTGCAGAAACCCTACAAGGCAGAAGAGAGTGGCGGCCAATATTCAACATTCTTAAAGAAAAGAATTTTCAACTCAGAATTTCATATCCAGCCAAACTAAGCTTTATAAGTGAAGGAGAAATAAAATCTTTTACAGACAAGGAAATGCTGAGGGATTTTTTTTTTTTCAGCACCAGGCCTACCTTACAAGAGTTCCTGAAGGAAGCAGTAAATATGGAAAGGAAAAAACAGTACCAGCCACTGCGAAAACACACCAAATGTAAAGACCATCAACGCTATGAAGAAACTGCATCAACTAATGGACAAAATAACCAGCTAGCATCATCATGAGAAGATCAAATTCACACATAACAATATTAACCTTAAATGTAAATGGGCTAAATGTCCCAATTAAAAGACACAGACTGACATATTGGATAAAGAGTCAAGGCTCATCAGTGTGCTGTATTCAGGAGACCCATCTCATGTGCAAAGATACATATAGGCTCAAAATACAGGGATGGAGCAAGATTTACCAAACAAATGGAAAGCAAATAAAAGCAGGGGTTGCAATACTAGTCTCTGATAAAACAGACTTTAAACCCACAAAAATAAAAAAAGACAAAGAAGGGCATTACACAATGGTAAAGGCATCAACACAACGAGAAGAGCTAACTATACTAAATATACATGCACCCAATACAGGAGCACCCAGATTCATAAAGCAAGTTCTTAGAGACCTACAAAGAGACTTAGATTCCCACACAATAATAGTGGGAGACTTTAACACCCCACTGTCAATATTAGACAGATCAACAAGACCAAAATTAACAAGGATATTCAGGACTTCAACTCAGCTCTGGACCAAGTGGACCTAATAGACATCTACAGAACTCTCCACCCCAAATCAAAAGAATATACACTCTTCTCAGCACCACATAGCACTTATTCTAAAATAGAGCACATAATTTGAAGTAAAACACTCCTCAGCAAATGCAAAAGAACATATCATAACAAGCAGCCTCTCAGAAGACAGTGCAATCAAATTAGAACTCAGGATTAAGAAACTCACTCAAAACTGCAAACTACATGGAAACGGAACAAACTGCTCCTGAGAGACTACTGGATGAATAATGAAATTGAGGCAAAAATACATAAGTTCTTTGAAACCATTGAGAATAAAGACACAATGTACTGGAATCTCTGGGACACAGCTAAAGCAGTGTTTGGAGGGAAATTTATAGCACTAAATACCCACAGGAGAAAGTGGGAAAGATCCAAAATCAACACCCTAACATCATAATTAAAAGAACTAGAGAAGCAAGAGCAAACAAATTCAAAAGCTAGCAGAAGACAAGAAGTAACTAAGATCAGAGCAAAACTGAAGGAGATAGAGACACGAAAACTCCTTCAAAAAATCAATGAATCCAGGAGCTGGATTTTTTGAAAAGATTAACAAAATAGATAAACCACTAGTGAGACTAATAAAGAAGAAAAGAGAGAAGAATCAAATAGACACAATAAAAATTATAAAGCGGAGGTCACCACTGAGCTCATAGAAATACAAACTACAATCAGAGAATACTATAAACATCTCTACACAAATAAACTAGAAAATCTAGAAGACACGGATACATTCCTGGGCACATACACCCTCCCAAGACTAAACCAGGAAGAAGTCAAATCCCTGAACAGACCAATAACAAATTCTGAAATTGAGGCAGTAATTAATAGCCTACCAACCAAAAAAAAGCCCAGGACCAGATGGATTCACAGCCAAATTCTACCAGAGGTACAAAGAGGAGCTGGTATCATTCCCTCTACAATTATTCCAAACAATAGAAAAAGATGGACTCCTCCCTAAGTAATTTTATGAAGCTAGCATCATCTTCATACAAAAACCTGGCAGACACACAACAAAAAGACTATTTCTGGCCAATATCCATGATGAACATCAATGCAAAAATCCTCAATAAAATACTGAAAAATCAAATCCAGCAACACATTAAAAAGCTTATCCACCATGAGCAAGTCGACTTCATCCCTGGGATGCAAGGCTGGTTCAGCGTACACAAATCAATAAATGTATTCCAATACATAAACAGAACCAATGACAAAAACCACATGATTATCTCAATAGGTGCCATAAAGGCCTTTGATAAAATTCAACACCCCTTCATGATAAAGACTCTCAATAAACTAGGTATTGATAGAATGTATCTCAAAATAATAAGAGCTATTTGTGACAAACCCACAGCCATACTGAATATAATACTGCATGGGCAAAAGCTGGAAACATTCCCTTTGAAAACCAGCTCAAGACAAGGATGCCGTCTCTCACCACTCCTAATCAACATAGTATTGCTAGTTGTGGCCAGGGCAACAAGGCAAGAGAAAGAAATAAAATGTATTCAAATAGGAAGAGAGGAAGTCAAATTATCTCTGTTTGCAGATGACATGATTGTATATTTAGAAAACCCCATTGTCTCAACCCCCAAACTCCTTAAGCTGATAAGCAACTTCAGCAAAGTCTCAGGATACGAAATCAATGTGCAAAAATCACAAACACTCCTATACACCAAGAGTAGACAGACAGTGAGCCAAATCATGAGTAAACTCCCATTCACAATTGCTACAAAGAGAATAAAATACCTAGGAATACAACTTACAAGGGATATGAAGGACCTCTTCAAGGATAACTACAAACCACTGCTCAAGGAAATAAGAGAGGACACAAACAAATGGAAAAACATTCCATGCTCATGGATAGGAAGAATCAATATCATGAAAATTGCCATACTGCCCAAAGTAATTTATAGATTCAATGCTATTCCCATCAAGCTACTGTTCACTTTCTTCACAGAATTAGAAAAAAACTACTTTAAATTTCATAAGGAACCAAAAAAGAACCCATATAGCAAAGACAATCCTAAGCAAAAAGAATAAAGCTGGAGGCATCACTCTACCTGAAACTATACTACAAGGCTACAGTAACCAAAACAGTATGGTACTGGTACCAAAGCAGATATATTGACCAATGGAACAGAACAGAGGCCTCAGACATACCACCACATATCTACAACCACCTGAGCTTTGACAAACCTGACAAAAGCAATGGGGAAAGGATTCCCTATGTAATAAATAGTGTTGGGAAAACTGGCTAGCTGTATGCAGAGAACTGAAACTGGACCCCTTCCTTACACCTTATACAAAAATTACCTCAAGATGGATTAAAGACTTAAACGTAAGACCTAAAACCATGAAAACGTTAAAAGAAAACCTAGGCAATATCATTCAGGACATAGGCATGGGCAAAGACTTCATGACTAAAACACCAAAAGCAATTGCAACAAAAGTCAAAATTGGCAAATGAAATCTAATTTAACTAAAGAGCTTCTGTACAACAAAAGAAACTATCATCAAAGTGAACAGACAACATACAGAATAGGAGTAAATTTTTGCAATCTACCCATCTGACAAAGGGCTAATATCCAGAATCTACAAGGAACTTAAACAAATTTACAAGAAAAAAACAATCCCATCAAAATGTGGGCAAAGTATATGAACAGATACTTTTCAAAAGAAGACATTTATGCGGCCAACAAACATATGAAAAAAAAGCTCATCATCACTGGTCATTAGAGAAATGCAAATCAAAAACACAATGAGATACCATCTCACACCAGTTAGAATGGCGATAATTAAAAAGTCAGGAAACAACAGGTGCTGGAGAGGATGTGAAGAAATAAGAACACTTTTACACCATTGGTGGGAGTGTAAATTAGTTCAACCATTGTGGAAGATAGTGTGGAGATTCCTCAAGTATCTAGAACTAGAAATACCATTTGACCCAGAAATTCCATTACTGGGTATACACCTAAAGGGTTATAAATCATTCCACTATAAAGACACATGCACACGTATGTTTATTGCAGCACTATTCACAATAGCAAAGACTTGGAACCAACCCAAATGCCCATCAAAGATAGGCTGGATAAAGGAAATATGGCACATATACACCGTAGAATACTATGCAGCCATAAAAAAGAATGAGTTCATGTCCTTTGCAGGGACGTTGATGAAACTGAAAACCATCTTTCTCAGCAAACTAGCATAGGAACAGAAAACCAAACACCAGATGTTCTCACTCATAAGTGGGAGTTGAACAATGAGAACATATGGGCACAGGAAGGGGAACATCACACACTGAGGCATGTCAGGAGTTGTGGGGGAATGGAAGGGACAGCATTAGGGGAAATACCCAATGTAGGTGGCGGGTTGATGGCTGCAGCAAACCACCATGGCACATGTATACCTATGTAACAAACCTGCACGTGTAACCCAGAACTTAAAGTCTAATAAAAATAATTTTTAAAAATCATATATTTTTTAAAAATCTGCATATTATTAGAGAGGAATAGTCCTTCCCTAAATGTATCTGGATCCATGGAAGTGAGAATCCGATGTGGTAAGAGATCTTACCAAAGCCCGGGGGCCTGCAACTACAGAAAGGACACATCATAGTACCTGAGGAAAAAATGTTTGTTTTTTGAGTCACATTCCACAAAGCAATAAAAGAGAAATGTATAAAATCGCTCATTTTGAACTCTTAAGCTCTAAGGTACGGCAAATCCCCCAGAGTGACTGCGTAGTATAGCTTCTTATAGTATCTGATCTCTAGGAAGTCCCTTTATTTCCCATCACTCAGCCATGCATTAATGTGGTGTCATCTTATATTCAAATGTATTTTACATCATTTTCATATGTGCTATCCCAGAATGAGCGTACCTTATGTTTATTTCACTCCAATGCCAGAAAAAGAGGTTTCTCATTCACTCTTCGACTACAGTCAGGTATTTTTCATGCTTTTGTTTCCAAATCCATGAACATATGCCTGTCTTCATTCCACTCAGATTCAGCTGTCCTTGTTTATCACACCCTTTCTCCTGGAAATTCCTCTCTTACCTTCCTAGAGACTCCACTCTGTGGGGAATCTTCTGCCGCTTACTACTCTTTCTCCATTTTCTTTGTTGTCTCTTCCTTCTCAATCTCATTTCTAAATTTTGAAATGCCCCACGGTTGTTCCTGAGGTTTCTTCTAGCCCTATATTCTTCTCCTAGGAAATCTCATCCAGTTTGACTTTAAATGCCATCCAAATTTAAATCTTCTGGGCTCCAAAGCCATATTTTAATTTGTCCATTTAATCTCAACTATATCGTCACAATTAAATATACCCTCAAAATATGTTTTCTCTCTAGGTTCTCTCTTCTCAATAAATTACTCCACCATGAATTCAACTGCTGAAGTAAAAGGTAATAGTAATATATGAATAATTATTTTTTCTTTTCCTCATATTTCATATCCAGTCCATCAGTAATTTCAATTCTATCATCAAAACATATCTCAAAATGCCCATGTGCCTCTACATACTCTGCCTACCCCTTATCCAAAGTATCTTGATGTTCTTTCCTATACTGTTGAAATGTCCTTTTAAATCACCTCTCAGCTTCTATTCCTCTCCCCAGAATCTATTTCCCACAGAGTAGCCAGAATGACCCTTTGAAAACTTAACTCATATTGATTCACGGCCTGCCTAAAATAGTATTTTAATACCTAAAATGCTATTTTACTCCTAATAAAATCCATTATGATAGCATCATCAAGAAATCTCTGAAAATCAGGAAGGCTGTCTTCTCCAACCTCATGCCATTCCACAAATTATTATATTTTAGCTTGGCTTGAATCCTCTTGTTCCTCAATTACCAAACTTTTTAATACTCAGGGCCTTTTCACTTGCTATTTTCTCCTTTCATCCTGTCTGGTTCTTTGAATGGTTTGTTCTTTTTTGTTATTCAAGCATCAACTAAACACCAGTCTCAAAGAATTTAACCCTATCTGTCCTAGCTAAGTAAACCTCTCTAATTAAAATCTATCATGTTGCCCAGTTCAATCCATTCAAAGTACCAATTAAATCTCTAAATCTTTTGTTTACGCACGTTTATTGATTGTCTCCACCCAGTAGAATGTAAGCATCTTAACACCAAGACTATCACTGTTTTGTTATCCATATATTCTCAGTACTAAGCAACATGCCCATTATATCTAATATTCAATAAATATTTACCGAGATGAATAGGTGACTACATTAATGAATGGCATTAACTGCCTATGAATTGTGGGACTAACAGTCTCATATAACTAACAATTGTGGTTGCTGGCATAATGCATAATTTTCACTGTTTTATTATGTGGTTACAGATAAATATGTTTATTCATATTTATCCAGGCAGTTTACAATATGATGATGTGGCTACTAATTTATAGTAACTAAAATTAAGAAACCATATAAAAACTCATCAGCAAGTGAATGCTTAAATAATTTTTAGAACATTCATATTGTATAATATCACAAAGCCTTTTAAAATGTTGATACAACTCTCTAGTTAGGGAATTAAAAGATGACCATCATATGTCATCACATGGAAATAGGTTACAAAAGATCTTTTCTAATATGAACTTATTACTAGTAAAGTACAAAGACAAAGAAGAGCATCTGGAAACAAAATATATAAGAAAATACTAGCAAGGGTAACATCCTGGTAGTGACATTATAAGTAATTTGGTTTTTTTTTCTGCCCTTGTAATAGCACAAATATTCTCCAATTAATATATCCTGGACAGGAATTATCTTATAATTAGAAAAATAGCCTGTACAACTAGTTATAGTTTGGGAAAAACAGAAAAATTAAAGTACGAATTTCCATTATTTATAAAAATATTTGTTCCATTTCTACCTTTAGAAGGAATATAGAAGGAAATGTAATGTAATATAGAAGGAAAAGAAAATTTTAAAACTCCTTAAAGGACTTCAAAATACAAAATTTTCCAGTTTTATCTTATTTTGTTTATTCTTAAATATCATATACTACTTCCACATTCCAACACTCTCTTTTTCTTTCATTTCTCTACACACCCTAGTGCTTCTGTCACAGTTAAGTCAATGAATTTTGAGCAAGAAAATAAACCTCTCATTTATTTTCTTCCACTATAAACCTGACTGAACTAAAGAATAGGGTTTGTGTTTGGAATGGTTATGAAATTTATATTCTTGGGAGCAGAGACCAAGAATCCAAAAGGAAAGAATGGGTGTGAGGGACAGAAGTGGAAGCAGAAACACCTCTGGAGCAGTGTGACCTCTTCCCTTCCTTCCTTTTTTGCTGCCAAAAGCTGTGACTCAGAAGGGACAACACAAATGTGAAGGAAAGCAGATCCTTTCTGCTTACGTATTTCACGAGGGCCAATGAGAATTCTGCTTACATGAGGGCCAATGAGAATTCTGCTTACATGTGATAACAGGGGCGATGGAAATTTACTTTCATTCTTCATACCCTTTCCCCTCATATTCACATACTTGCCCATCTATTTAGATAACTAGAAAATGTTTCAGCCAAAGTATTCTTATAGCAATTCCAAATGAAGTTTAAAAAAAAAGGTGACTTTGTTTTTCTTTCATTTTTATAATACCATAGATCTGAGATTTTCTTAGTTTGAGGAATATTACATTTTAAAAGAAATTAAGGATCAGAAAATTGCCTCAGCCACGTAATTGAGGCTCCATAGGTGAGTTTCAACTTTATTTGGGAAATATTGCTATTGCTGTGCAGTAAAGTGATGCAGAATGTTAAATAGGACTCAGTCTAAGTTTATGTAGTCAAATTTTATTGCTTTCCAAACAAATGAAACTCATTCCTCCTGAATTTTATGGTTAGCTATTTGTCTTCTAAATCAAAGTTCTATGATTTTAGCATGGCAAGAATGTTGTTTAGCGACAACATTGCCATTTGTATTTCTGTGGTAAAGTTAAAAAGGAGAGTGTGCTCCTCTCATTTTCTTTTGTCTTGGTTCTGTCCAGGCCATGAAAGTTCTCTAACTGGTTACTCTGCAACTCTAAAGCACCTTTCTTTCTTAAGAGAGAAAACTAGCAACAATAAGACATATTCTAAGTCTTACATGGAAAGTAAAAACATATCTATTTATGATCAACTTTTCTAGCTTATATTGGAAATACTACTAAACACAACAGAGACCATTCCTCCCTGATTCATATACAAAAGAATTAATAAGTACACATACTGTGGACCTACTACAAGGTATAAAAATGGTGGCAACTCATACTGTCTTTGTGAGCCAATTAAAAATGTCTATTTTAAGTTTAGCAAATTTAATAAAATCAATAACACCAGAGACTAGTATAGGAAATGTTTCTGGCAGTCTTTTGTGATATGTACAGATCACTTTTATATTTGGGAGTAATTATAATGACCATAGTTTTCTAAATTAAGTACCAGCAATGGAAATGATTGAATGATGCCAGGCCTGCACATCCCCCGAGACATTGCATTTTCCCTCATCTCCAAATGGAGTCACTTGACTCCACATTGACACTTGTTTTTCACTTAGATTCCAGGAATAATTGTGATTTTAAGGAAATTAAAAAAAAAATAGAAACTAGATCAACACTCTAGCAGAAAATCATCATTATTTTTTATAAGATGTCCTTGATAAAAATTCATGTACTGTGTGCTAAAGAAAAACTCTCCATCTTATCCCTCCAGTTTGTAACTGATTTCCTGTCTTATACACAAAGCCAATGCCCATGTTTGATGCCATGCTTACTGTCCAGTATTTCTGTCCCTCTATTCCAGCGGTGTCTTATGTTTCTTTGGTAATACCTATCTTGCCTTATACAAAATAAAATGAAAATGGATTAAAACAACTAGAGAAGCAAGAGCAAACCAAACCCAAAATAAGTAGAAAAAAAGAAATAATAAGGATAAGAGCAGAAATAAATGAAATTGTAACAAAGAAAACAATATAAAAAGTCAATGAAACAGAAAGTTGATTCTTTCAAAAGTTAAACAAATTGACAAACTTTTAACCAGATGAAGAATAAAAGAGAGGAGATCCAAATAAATAAAATCAGAGAGTAAAAGAAGACATTACAACTAATACTGCAGAAATTCAAAGGATCATTAATGGCTACTATGAGCTAATACATGCCAGTAAATTGAAAAATCCAGAAGAAATGGAAACATTCCTAGACACATACAAGATTGAATCATGTAGAAATCTGAAACTTGTACAGATCCATGACAAGAAACAGCATAGAAGATGTAATAAAAAGACTCCAAGTAAAGAAAAGCCCAGGACTTATGGTTTCACTGCTGAATCTAACCAAACATTTAAAGAAATCATAAGACCAATCCTTCTCAAACTATTCTGAAAAATAGAGGAGGAAGGAATACTTTCAAACTCATTCATTATCCTGATACCAAAATCAGATAAAGGTGCATCAAAAATACAAAACTACAGGCCAATATTCCTGATAAATATTGATGCAAATTTCCTCAACAAAATACTAGCAATACATTGGAAAGATCTTTTATCATGTCCAAGTGGGATTCAACTCAGAGATTCAAGGATGGTTCAAGATATGCAAATCATACACAGTGATATATCATAGCAACCCAATGAAAGACAAAATCCATATGATCATGTCAATTGATGCTGAAAAATTATTTGATAAAATTCAACATACTTTCAAGATAAAAAGCCTCAAAAACTTGGTATAGAAGGAACATACAACATAATAAAAGTCATATAAAATATACCCATAGCTAGTATCATGCTGAATGGGGAAAAATCTGAAAACCTTTTCTCAGAGTTCTGGAACACAACAAGTATACCCACTGTCACCACTGTCATTCAGCATAGTACTGGAAGCTAGAAAAATCAGACAAGAGAAAGAAATAAAAGGCTTTCAAATGGGAAAGGAAACAGTCAAATTATCCTTCTCTGCAGATGGTCTAATCTTGTATTTGGAAATACATAAAGACCACACCAAAAAACTATTAGAACTGATAAAGAAATTTAGCAAAGTTGTAAGTTCCTCTGAATGGGCTACACCATGGTTGAGCCATTGTGACCCCTGTGACACACACATGCAGGCCTCCTGGAGTCGCAAAGCCTGCAGCAACAGGAGAACCACTAAAGAAGAAACATCTAGTTCCTGCCTTAACTGATTAACCAATCTTGCAACATTCCACCACTGTGATATGTTTCTGCCCTACCCTAACTAATCAATCAACCTTGTGATATCCTGTCTTGTGGCATCCCCCCACCTCATGACTATGCACCTTGTGACATTCTTCCCCTGCCCGAAAAAACTGCCCCTAACTGTAACTTCCCATTACCTACCCCAAACCTATAAAACCAGTTCCACTTCCACCACCCTTCACTGACTCCTTTCTGGAACTCAGCCTGCTCGCACCTGAGTGAATAAACAGCCTTGCTGCTCCCACCTAGCCTGTTTGAGTAGTCTTTTCAATTAGGTGTGTGCATAACAAAAATCAACATACAAAAAGTCATTAGTATTTTTATATGCCAACAGTGAACAATCTGAAAAAGAAATCACGGATGTAATTCCATTTACAGTAGCTACAAGAAAAATCCTAGGAATGAACAAAAGTAGTGAAAGATCTCTACAATAAAAATTATAAAACACTGACACAAGGAATTGAAGATGACACAGAAAGATGGAAAGATATTCCATGTTCATGGATTCAAAAATTAATATTGTTAAAGTATCCACACTACCCAAAGCAATCTAGATTCAATGCAATCCCTATCAAAATACCAATGATGTTCTTCACAGAAATAGATATAAACTATCCTAAATTTTATATGCAACCGCAAAAGACCCCAAACAGCCAAAGCTGTCCTGAGCAAAAAACAAAACTGGAGGAATCATATTACCTGACTTCAAATTATACCACAGAGCTGTAGTAACCAAAGTGGCATGGTACTGGCATAACAGACACACAGACTGGTGGAACAGATTGGAGAACCCACAGATAAATCTAAACATCTACAGTGAGCTCATTTTCAACAAAGGTGCTAAGAATGCACACTGGGGAAAAGGATAGTCTTTTCAATAAATGGTGCTGGGAAAACTGAATAGCCGTATGCAGAAGAATGAAACTCAACCCCTATATTTTGCCTTATACAAAAGTAAAATGAAAATGGATTAAAAACTTAAATCTAAGATTTCAAACTTTGAAACTACCACAAGAAAACATTGGGAAAACTTTCCAGGACATTGGTCTGGGCAAAAATTTCTTGAGCAATACTGCAATACACACATGCAACCAAACCAAAAATAGACAAATGAGCTCCAATCAAGTTTAAAAGCTTCTGCACAGCAAAGGAACAAATCAACGAAGTGAAGAGGCATCTCACAAAGAAGGGAGAAAGTATTTTCAAAGTACCCATCTGACAAAAGATCCATAACCAGAATACAAGTTGAGCTCCATATAAGGAGCTCAAACAACTTCATAGGAAAAAAACTAATAATCTGATTAAAAAATGGGAAAAGACCTGAATAGACATTTCTCAAAAGAAGACATGCAAATGGCTAACAGGTATATGAAAAAGTGTTCAACACCAAAGAAATGCAAATTAAAACTAAAATGAGATATTATCTCACACCAGTTAAAATGGCTTATATCCAAAAGACAGGCAATAACAAACACTGGCAAGGATATGGAGAAAAGGAGAAACTCCAGTACACTCTTGTTGGGAATGTAAATTAGGGCAACCACTATGGAAAATAGTTTGGAGGTTCCTCAAAAAGCTAAAAATAGAGCTACCATATTATGCAGCAATTCCACTCCTAGGTATATACCAAAATAAAGCAAATCAGTATGTAGAAGAGATATCTGCACTCCTATATTTATTGCAGCACTATTCACAATAGCCAAGATTTAGGAAAAACCCAAGTGTCCACCAGTAGATAAATGGATAAAGAAAATGTGCTACATATACACAATGGAGTACTATGCAGCCATAAGAAGAATGAGAACCAGTCATTTGCAACAGCATGGATGGAACTGGAGATCATTATGTCAAGTGGAATACGCCAGGCACAGAAAAGCAAACATTACATGTTCTCACTTATTTGTGGGAACCAAAAATGAAAACAATTGAACTAATGTAGACAGAGAGTAGAAGGATGGTTACCAGAGGCTGGGAAGGGTAGTGGTGGTGGTGGGGTTGAGGAGAGTGTGGATGGTTCATGGATACAAAAATAAAAAGAATGAATAAGACCTAGTATTTGCTAGCACAACAGGTTGAGCGTACTAAAAATAATATGAATTAGTACATTTTAAAATAACTAAGAGAGTATAATTAGATTGTTTGAAACACAAAGGACTAATGCTTGAGGTAATAAATACCCCATTTCTCCTGCTGTGATTATTTCATGTTGTATACCTATATCAAAATATCTCATGTAATGCATAAATACATACACCTACTATGTACACACAATAATTAAAAATTAAATAAAAATAAAATAAAATATCATTATGGTTTACAAAGCACTGAAAAAGGAAGAAAAGAAAAACTAAAATGGAAGGTAACAAACTGTTACAACATTGTAGGAAGAAGGAGACTGCATTGGAATTAATGAGCAATGGTGCAGAAATCTATTCCATAGAAGATATATTTTTCAAAAGTAATTTTGAATATTCCAGAATTCCTATTTGTTGTCATTAGAAACTAAACTTCAGATAAAATGTGATTTCAATTCATACCATACATTATTTAACTTTATGCTGGCTATTTTGATTGCTTCACATTTTCATCACTATAAAAATACTATAATTAACATCTCGGAAAGATATATTACTTTTCATTTCCTTGAAGTAATTGGGTCAAATGATAAAAATATTTAAATATCTTAAACATATATGACCAAATATATTTGCAGAATGATTGTGTCAACTCGTGCTTCTATGAAAAGTATATAAAATGCTCATCTCATCTTTGCTAGCATTAGGTATTATTATTATTATACATTTAACTACTTCTGCATCTGATTATTTATTACTTTGATAGGTAAAGATAGCATCACATTGCACACACTGTGCGCTAGGAATGTGTCACACTAATTTTGTCTAATTCTTAATAACCTTGATAATGCAGCATTACAAACCAATCTTTAAATAGCAAACCTATAAATCAAATAATTCAGAATCTCTTTGGTATTTCAAACCTCTTATGAGAGATAAATTTCATACATAGTGACACAATGACAATAGAAAAACTGTATAGGCACAACTTATATAAAAATATTGACATTAAAGTAAACACAAACAACTAAACTTGCACACACATAAAAATCAAACATTAAAATCCCAATTGAATAAAAAAAGAACCCAGGATCCAAGAACCTCATCACTAACGTATTGCATTTTTTTTTTTTCTGGCCAGTAATTAAATACTGGGGAATTAGCTTGATCATTTCAAGACTTGATTTTAAGCTTTGTTAGGCCATATTTAAATGAGCTCTTAATCTGGGAATAGGGTAGCCCTCTTTCTGAGGCATGGCCTTTCAGATGTCTTGATTGAATGCTTGGGGTGCTCCTCAAGGTCACTTTGCTCTTCACTCTGGCTGTTCGGAACTCCTCAATCTCTCAACATTATGCAACCTCACAAATCAGCTCTCTGGAAGCTGCTCTCTGCAAGGCTTCCTGCGGACTTGCACTGTGTAATGCAAAACTGAGTATTAGCCAAAGACTTCAGGGGACCCCTATGCTAATTTTTAAAATTCCTTTTCTGAGCAGTTTCCTACTTAACAGCTCAGCTCAGGCTCCCACTTCATGAACCATGGTCCAGAAAGTGACTCCATACTGAAAGCTGGGGTGATTATAAGGTGACCATGCATATTTCTCATGAGGCCTGTTGTCTAATACCTGAAAACAGTTGCTTCTTTTATTTTGTCCAGATTTCTATTTGTGAACATCATGAGTTTGCTACCAGCTACTCCATCATTCCTCCAAACAAGTTTCTAAATTTTCTCTTGCTTGTACTCTGAAGTTCTTGTTAGATGTATGCTAGACATTCTCATTCTATTCTTTGGGTCTTTTAATTTCTTTTCATATATTTCATCTCTTGCTCTCTGTGCTGGATTGTAGATAATGTCTTTTGACTTATAATGCATTAATTTTCTCTTCAACTGAGTTTAAAATGCTGATAAACACATTTATTGTATTTTTATAATTTATTGTAATTTTAATATGGAGAAATTAATTTCACAACTACTGAATTACCTTTATGGCTTCCTGCTTCAAACACTTCTCAGTTCATGTTTTTTATTAAACATAGCAAATAAATATAATCTCTGTGATTATTTCAAACTGAAATCTTTGTTCTGCCATCTTTTGTTTCTGCTGTTTCCCACTAATGGTATTTTTGTGGGTTTTTTTTAATGCTAGAGTATTTTTTCCACTGAGCTGTTTATTATTCTAGGAATATTACTGGTTTTCTTTTACGCACATTTATGCATAGTAAGCACTAAATAAAACAAATATTTTTTAGTGCTATGTGGCAGGTAATTATTGGGATACAGTAGTGAACCAAATAAACATAAATCCCTTTGCTCAGAGAGTTTATATTCCAGTGGGAGAAAAGTCAATAAACAAGTAAATTCTCTCTCTCTCTTGCTCTCACACGCACGTGCGCCCACACACACACACAGACAGAATTAATTTGTTAATTAAATTGTGATGTGTGTTAATGAATAAAATAATTAATTTGGGGAAAAAAGAAGAGTATTGCTTGAATGGGTAACAGGATGTCCAGGGAAGGCCTTGTTGAATGATACGAAGCAAATGGCCTTGTGTCATTTCTAGGGCAATAGCACTCCAGACATGTGAGCAGGGACAGCAAATACAACAGCCTTGAGGCTGGAACATACCTGAAGTGTTAAAGAAACTGCAAGGAATAGTATAGTAAGTTGATTGGATGTTTATCTGAGATAAGCATTCAAGTTTATGTTGATCATTTGAGAGTAAAGAGATAAGGTAGGGAGATATGAAGTGAGGCATAGAAGAGAAGGGAGTAAGTAAAATGTGTGTTTTCAAGCCAACTAATACTATGAGTGAGGGAACTTAATCCCAAGGAGAGAGACCTCTGGAACACAGAGTAAAACAGAGACTATGAAGCTTACACACACACACACACACACACACACACACACACACACATACATATATACATACATACGTGTATATATGTATAAATTCATATATATATATATACACATTCTTGTCAGTCATTGGGCATGGCATTTGAAATTGGCCCTGCATGCACTAAAAACATAAGCAAGAGAGGCAATGGGCAGGGCACTGACAGCATCTGCTATACTGAACACATAGGAGAGGAGCAGGAAATGAGGGCAGAAAAGCCAAAGGAGCAGAAGTCTTGGACTCTGGAGGTCATTACAAAGACTTTGGCTTTCCTCTGAATGAGGTAAGAATTATTTAAACTGTTTGCAGCATAAGAATTATGTAATTTACATTTGAACAGGCTCACTCTGACTGCTGCATTGAAAATGTTTCTAGGGAGACAAAAACTGAAGCAAGGAGACCATTTAGAGGACTACTGCAATATGACAACAGAGAAAAGATAATGAGCATTCTAAAGGTGAATAGGTTTTGCTAACAGACTGGATAAGGTTTGAGAAACAGAGAACTGTCAAGGATGACACCAAGGTATTTGATTTGAGTAACTGGAAGAATAGAAGTACCATTAACTGAGATGAAGGAGACTTCAGGAGAAGCTGAGATGTTAAATTCCTCCAAGGAGAATTTGTGATTGTTTCTGCCAGGGCCCTAGTTCAAGACTATTTAAACCAAGTTCCTGATTTGACAGTTTGGTACTTGATATGGTCTGGCTTTGTGTCCCCACCCAAATCTCATCTTGAATTATAATCTGAATTGTAATCTCCATGTGTTAGAGGAAGGTCCTCATGGCAGGTGCCTGGATTATGAGGGCAGTCCCCCATGCTGTTCTTGTGATAGTGAGTGAGTTCTCATGAGATCTGATGGTTTTATAAAAAATTCTTCCCCTTTCACTCTGCACTTCTCTCTCCTGCCACCTTGTAAAGAAGGACGTGTTTGCTTTCCCTCTGCTATCATTGTAAGTTTCCTGAGGTCTCCTCAGTCATGCAGAACTGTGAGTCAATTAAACCTCTTTCCTTTATAAATTACCCAATCTCAGGCAGTTCTTTATATCGGTTTGGAAATGGATTAATAGAGTACTACAGAGATGAACAAAATACATTTAACAAAGTTGATTTGAGCATCAAATAATTCATGGATCAGGCAGCACTCAAAACCAAAAGAGGTTTAGGGAGCTCTGTGTTAGCAGTGGAGCAAGGGGCTTTTATAGGCTGAACATGGAAGAAAAGTAGTTATTTGATTGGCTACAGATAAATATTTACATTATTTCAGTATGATCTGGTAGAAAGTCCCTAGTTAAAGGATAGCTGCCAGTTCTTGATTGGGTTAGCTTAAGTTTTGTTTTGCTGTTTACATTGGGCTTCAGTTTGTTTAAATAAAAACCCAAGGTACAAGTCGTCTTAAGTAGCTTAGGAAGTCAGTCTCTAAAAGGTACTTCTGTCCGTTGCCATTCTGATAAAACAAAAACTATTCATTAACTTAACCATATGTGTATTTTTCTTTTTGCTGTAACACTTAACACATGAACAGACATCTCATAATCCTAGATGCATGTTTCTAATTCATGTAACTGCACATGTGACCTTTGTGAACAGAAATTTGCATGTATAATTTGTGTTTGCTTGTAACTTTCTGGTTGTATACTGCTTATATCTGTGGATTCAAGTTACTGAAGTGAATACCAATAAAAAGAAAACCCTAGGCCATGTTCATTGGTTATACATGTTTGGAATGTTAACCAAAAAAAAAAAAAAAAAAAAAAAAAAAAACCCAAGGTACTGCAGCCATCTCAACCTAATAGCATAGCTTTTCCATTAAATTACTTTTTAAAAAAATCTATGCCAGGGTCACCTTGGACTTGTAGTTTCAGCTTCTTAGAGGAGCTTTGTTTTCTACCTCCTCCTCTTCCCAATGCCATAGCAACTTTTCCTTGTAATGCCCAGGGAGTTGGGAAGTAGTGTTACTTCTGCTTCTCCCCAACCTTGAGGATATAGCACTTGGGGTCCCAGCTTTATGTGAGATATTAAATTGGGATAGGCAAGTCTGAGACTTTGAATTCTGTTTTCAGAACCCCACATGCTCTTACAAGCTCATCCAAGCCAAAGCTTAGGTTGTCCATCTTCATAAAAAATGCTCAAAATGAAGCAGATTTGGTGTCCTAATTAAGTCTATAGATTCCACTTTTATTTATATATATTTAAGAAGATTTTTTAAACATTTTAATTCACTATTTCTAATTGTTTTCTGTGAGAAAACAACCTTCCAAATTTCTAGACCTATCTTTTCTTGCAATGGGTCATTGATCTTTTAGTACCTGACAGTTTTCCATTACTCTTTCACTTAATGAAAAAATACATGTTTTCAAATCTACTCTGAATGAGGGCAAACCTAGGACAAAACAATATTGTACTGTTTGTTTTTTAATTATTTTCAGAGAGAATTCAATTCAATAGGCATTAAGTCTCCAGGAAACACTCTATTTACATATAACTCCTTTGCATAGAGTTGAAAGTCTAGGTAGCAGAGTAGTTAAGAGTCAGACTCTGAAACAGACATTATGGATATAAATTGTTACTCTACCACTTCTTTCTGTGTAGTCTTGGGCAAGTTACCCAACCTCTCTAAATCTCAATTTCCTCATATGTAAAATAGGGTTGTAAGAAATAAATAAGGCAAGTAAATGACTAAGCATTATGTCTGGTACATAGTAAGTACTCAAACAATGCTAGCCACTGTATTAGGTTTCTATTGCTGACATAACAAATTACCACAAATTTAGTGGATTAAAATAACACTTATTTACTTTTTATAGTTCTGTAGGTTAGAAGTCTGACACAGGTATCAATGAGCTACAACCAAGGTGTCAGCAGGGATCTATTCCTTTCTGAAAGCTATAGGGGGAAACCCATTTCCTTTCCTTTTCCAGCTTCCTGTGGCAAGCTGCATCCCTGAGCTCATAACCCCCTTCCCGCATCCTTAGGGCCACCAATAGCAGTTGAGTCCATCTCACACTGCCATCTCTGGTTCTCCTCAGATGGGGCGTGTTCTCCAAATTTTAAGGACTCATGTGACTACATTGTACCCACTTGGATAAGGTACAATACAAAGTTCTTAACCTTAATCTCCATACAAGGTCCTTAACCTTAATCTCCCCATCTCAAAGTCATTTTTGCATGTAACATAACAGGTGTCTGGTATTAAGGTACTGGTATTTTCACAGAGCCATTATTCTGCCTACCACAGCCAGGATTGTTACTAAGTTTACTCAGCAAAATGGCTGAAAACCAAGTGTAAGCCATCACTGTATCTAAAGGTCTAGCACACACACACAAAATCTAAAATGAGATCATTGTCTTAAAGAATAAAGAAGAAATGAACTTTAGTGGGAGGACACGGAGGTCTTAATTAAATTTTCTAATTGGCATACTCCATTTATTTTAAGGTAACTAACATTCTCAGAGATGGGGCTCACAGCTCTTTCCCTCTCATTTCCTTACTCTAGCTTGTACCTCAGTGTCCCTTAGTAATTCTTTATTGAGAAAATGTTTTACAATATTTGAATTTGATTTCAGTTATTAAATACATCTCCAACAGACTAATCACAAATAAAATGAAGTTCTCCATCAAAACACGAGTTAATTTGTTTGATCTGCAGTAGATTGATATCATCTACTTCCTTGTTTCTTTTTTATTAACTTGTACTTTTATTAACATATAGGCTTTGATCATTTAATATAATTGAAATGGAGTTTTGTGACATATGAAGAAATAATGAATATTATATAATTCTAGTGAGATTTTGTGCTGAACAGAAGCTGAATAAATTGGAGTGGTCCAGCAGAAATAACACATTCTCCTTGGACTTTTTTTCCCAAATCACCTGTAATTTTCCAACACACCCATTCAGAAGTAAAATAACCTATGGAACATGGTGAGTCACACAGCATTTGTCACCATGTCTTCCTGCAAGTGAAGTCACTCAGAGACCAAATTCCTTTTCATACCAATAATGATAACTGTGTATGCCTAGGTCAAAGCTGGGGATGCCAGGGTAGTAGCTAGTAGTGCTACCTCTTAAAGGTGAGAAACCACAAAGTCTGTGATGCTAACAATCTCTGAAACTTCACACACTTAAATGTACTATTTTCAGAGTTAGAACATTCCCTTCTCTAGTATCTTCTCTTTGGAAGGAAACACATGTGGGTGTGTGTGCACATACACAATCCTAAGGTGTAAATAAGTACATAATGAAGCCTTGTCCTCTATGTTTACTCTTTGTTTTTGGTAATGATGTTGAAACAGTTTGTCTTGTAAGTGCCTTATTAAATAATTAATAGGTATATAGATGCATTTTAAAAATATGTATTAATCTATTCCCCTTCTAGTGCCCTTCTCTCCCTGAAATTGACATTGAAACATCTTTTTTAAATATATACTTTAAGTTCTAGGGTACATGTGCACAACGTGCAGGTTTGTTACATATGTATACATGTGCCATGTTGATGTGCTGCACCCATTAACTCGTCATTTACATTAGGTATATCTCCTAATGCTATCCCTGCCCCCTCCCCACACCCCACAAAAGGCCCCGGTGTGTGATGTTCCCCTATGTCCAAGTGTTCCCATTGTTCAATTCCCACCTATGAGTGAGAACATGCAGTGTTTGGTTTTCAGTCCTCGCGATAGTTTGCTGAGAATGATGGTTTCCAGCTTCATCCATGTCCCTACAAAGGACATGAACTCATCCTTTTTTATGGCTGCATAGTATTCCATGGTGTATACGGGCCACATTTTCTTAATCTAGTCTATCATTGTTGGACATTTGGGTTGGTTCCAAGTCTTTGCTATTGTGAATAGTGTCGCAATAAACATACGTGTGCATGTGTCTTTATAGCAGCATGATTTATAATCCTTTGGGTATATACCCAGTAATGGGATAGCTGGGTCAAATGGCATTTCTAGTTCTAGATCCTCGAGGAATTGCCACACTGACTTCCACAATGGGTGAACTAGTTTACAGCCCCACCAACAGTGTAAAAATGTTCCTATTTCTCCACATCCTCTCCAGCACCTGTTGTTTCCTGACTTTTTAATGATTGCCATTCTAACTGGTGTGAGATGATATCTCATTGTGGTTTTGATTTGCATTTCTCTGATGGCCAGTGATGATGAGCATTTTTAATGTGTCTGTTGGCTGCATAAATGTCTTATTTTGAGAAGTGTCTGTTCATATCCTTTGTCCATTTTTGATGGGGTTGTTTGATTTTTTCTTGTACATTTGTTTAAGTTCCTTGTAGATTCTGGATATTAGCCCTTTGTCAGACGGGCAGATTGTAAAAATTTTCTCCTATTCTGTAGGTTGCCTGTTCACTCTGATGGTAGTTTCTTTTGCTGTGCAGAAGCTCTTTAGTTTAATTAGATCCCATTTGTCAATTTTGGCTTTTTTGCCATTGCTTTTGGTGTTTTAGACATGAAGTCCTTGCCCATGCCTATGTCCTAAATGGTAATGCCTAGGTTTTCTTCTAGGGTTTTTATGGCTTTAGGTCTAACATTTAAGTCTTTAATCCATCTTGAATTAATTTTTGCATAAGGTGTAAGGAAGGGATCCAGTTTCAGCTTTGTACATATGGCTAGCCAGTTTTCCCAGCACCATTTATTAAATAGGGAATCCGTTCCCCATTTCTTGTTTTTGTCAGGTTTGTCAAAGATCAGATGGTTGTAGATGTGTGGTATTATTTCTGAGGGCTCTGTCTGTTCTGTTCCATTGGTCTATATCTCTGTTTTGGTACAAGTATCATGCTGTTTTGGTTACTGTATCCTTGTAGTATAGTTTGAAGTCAGGTAGCATGATGCCTCCAGCTTTGTTCTTTTGGCTTAGGATTGACTTGGCAATGTGGGCTCTTTTTTGGTTCCATATGAACTTTAAAGTAGTTTTTTCCAATTCTGTGAAGAAAGTCATTGGTAGCTTGATGGGGATGGCATTGAATCTAGAAATTACCTGGGGCAGTATGGCCATTTCCACAATATTGATTTTTCCTATGTGTGAGCATGGAATGTTCTTCCATTTGTTTGTGTCCTCTTTTATTTTGTTGAGCAGTAGTTTGTAGTTCTCCTTGAATAGGTCCTTCACATCCCTTGTAAGTTGGATTCCTAGGTATTTTATTCTCTTTGAAGCAATTGTGAATGGGAGTTCACTCATGATTTGGCTCTCTGTCTGTTATTGGTGTATAGGAATGCTTGTGATCTTTGCACATTGATTTTGTATCCTGAGAGTTTGCTGAAGTTGCTTATCAGCTTAAGGAGATTTTGGGCTGAGACGATGGAGTTTTCTAAATATATAATCATGTTGTCTGCAAACAGGGACAATTTGACTTCCTCTTTTCCTAATGGAATACCCTTTATTTCTTTCTCCTGCCTGATTGTCCTGGCCAGAACTTCCAACACTATGTTGAATAGGAGTGGTGAGAGAAGGCATCCCTGTCTTGTGCCAGTTTTCAAAGGAAATGCTTCCAGTTTTTGCCCATTGAGTATAATATTGGCTGTGGGTTTGTCATAAATAGCTCTTACTGTTTTGAGATACGTCCCATCAAAACCCAGTTTGTTGAAAGTTTTTAGCATGAAGGGCTGTTGAATTTTGTTGAAGGCCTTTTCTGAATCTATTGAGATAATCATGTGGTTTTTGTCTTTGGTTCTGTTTATATGATGGAATACGTTTATTGATTTGCGTATGTTGAACCAGCCTTGCATCCTGGGGATGAAGCCAGCTTGATTGTGGTGGATAATCTTTTTGATGTGCTGCTGGATTCGGTTTGCCAGTATTTTACTGAGGATTTCTGCATCGATGTTCATGAGGGATATTGGTCTAAAATTCTCTTTTTTTGTTGTGTCTCTGCTAGGCTTTGGTATCAGCCTAATGCTGGCCTCATAAAATGAGTTAGGGAGGACTCCTTCTTTTTGTATTGATTGGAATAGTTTAAGAAGGAATGGTACCAGCTTCCTCTTTGTACCTCTGATAGAATCCGGCTGTGAATCCGTCTGGTACTGGATTTTTTTTGGTTGGTAAGCTATTAATTATTGCCTCAATTTCAGAATCTGTTACTGGTCTATTCAGGGATTCAGCTTCTTCCTGGTTTAGTCTTGGGAGGGTGTATGTGTCCAGGAATGTATCCATGTCTTCCAGATTTTCTAGTTTATTTGTGTAGAGGTGTTATAGTATTCTCTGATGGTAGTTTGTGTTTCTGTGGGATCGGTGGTGATATCCCCTTTTTCATTTTTTATTGCGTCTATTTGATTCTTCTCTCTTTTCTTCTTTATTAGTCTTGCTAGCGATCTATCAATTTTTTTGATCTTTTCAAAAAACCAGCTCCTGGATTCACTGGTTTTTGAAGGGTTTTTTGTGTCTCTATGTCCTTCAGTTCTGCTCTGATCTTAGTTATTTCTTGCCTTCTGCTAGCTTTTGAATGTGTTTGCTCTTGCTTCTCTAGTTCTTTTAATTGTGGTGTTAGGGTGTCAATTTTAGATCTTTCCTGCTTTCTGTTGTGGGCATTTAGTGCTATAAATTTCCCTCTACACACTGCTTTAAATATGTTCCAGAGATTCTGGTATGTTGTGTCTTTGTTCTCATTGGTTTCAAAGAACATCTTTATTTCTGCCTTCATTTAGTTATGTACCCAGTAGTCATTCAGGAGCAGGTTGTTCAGTTTCCTTGTAGTTGAGTGGTTTTGAGTGAGTTTCTTAATCCTGAGTTCTAGTTTGATGGCACTGTGATCTGTGAGACAGTTTGTTATAATTTCTGTTCTTTTACATTTGCTGAGGAGTGCTTTACTTCCAACTATGTGGTCAATTTTGGAGTAAGTGCGATGTGGTGCTGAGAAGAATGTATATTCTGTTGATTTGCGGTGGAGAGTTCTGTGGATGTCTATTAGGTCCACTTGGTGCAGAGCTGAGTTCAATTCCTGGATATCCTTGTTAACTTTCTGTCTTGTTGATCTGTCTAATGTTGACAGTGGGGTGTTAAAGTCTCCTATTATTATTGTGTGGAAGTCTGAGTCTCTTTGTAGGTCTGTAAGGACTTGCTTTATGAATCTGGGTGCTCTGTATTTGGTGCATATATATTTAGGATAGTTAGCTCTTCTTGTTGAATTGATCCCTTTACCATTATGTAATGGCCTTCTTTGTCTCTTTTGATCTTTGTTGGTTTAAAGTCAACATCTTAAAAATATTCTGCAAATAAAAGGAAGAGCATTCTTATGTTTTATCACATGCTAAAACAAATATATGAACCCCTTGTTTGCTGAGCAGATTCATTTGTGTTCCTACCTGGATCAAATGACCTTAATTATTTTCTGACATCTGATTCAGGTACAGATATGTAGGCTGATGGTATGATCATTTTTAAAAAGTAAAAATTTGGAGAGATAGGCACAATGACATCAGTGTCAGCAGCACGGATTTTTAAAAATAGATGTGATGGTTACTTTTATGTGTCTAGATTAAAGGATACCCTGGGAAAGCATTATTTCTAGGTGTGTCTGTGAGGGTGCTTTAGGAAGACATTAGCATTTGAATCAATAGACTGAATAAAGATGTGGACAATCTGATGTGGACAGGAACCATCTAATCCACTGAGCGCCCGGATAGAACAGAAAGTGGAGGAAGAGTGAATTCACTCTCTCTTCTGAATCTGGGAGATTCATCTTCTTTGCCATTGGACACTGGAGTGCT
The DNA here is from genome assembly GCF_000001405.40 of Homo sapiens. Taxonomy (NCBI): domain Eukaryota; kingdom Metazoa; phylum Chordata; class Mammalia; order Primates; family Hominidae; genus Homo; species Homo sapiens. Next base: position 120,534,696 of record NC_000004.12, read on the forward strand.
CCGGATTCTCCAGCCTTCAGCCTTAAACTGAGAGTCACACCATTGGCTCTTCTGGTTCTCAAGGCCTTTGGACTAAGACTGAATTACACTGTGGGCTTTTGTTTTTTCTCCAGTTTGCATATGATACATCATGGGTCTCCATAATCACATAAGCCAATTTCCATAATAAATCCCCTCTTATATGTCTATATATATCCTATTGGTTCTGTTCCTGTGGAAAACCCTAATACAATGGATTTTATTTTTAAAAGTGGTTTTAGATTAACAGAAAAATTGAACAGAAAGTACAGGAATTTCACATCTACTTTCTTCCCTTACACATGCATAGCCTCTCCCATTATGAACATTTCCCACCAGAGTGGTACAATTGTTACAACTGATGAACCTACGTTATTAATATATCATTATCATCCAGAGTCCATCATTTACATTAAGGTTCAGTCTTGGTGTTGTACATTCTAGGAGTCTGAATAAATGTGTAATGACAACGTATCCACTATTTTAGTGTCGTACAGAGTAATTTTACTGCTCTAAAAATCACCTGTACTTGTGCTATTTACCACTTTCTCTCCCCAACCCCTAGCAACCACTGATATTTTTACTGTTTCTATAGTTTTGCATTTTCCAGAATGTTATAGAATTGGAAATATAGTTTGTATACCTTTCAGTTTGGTTTCTTTCACTTAGCAGTATACATTTAAGTTTCTTCCATGTTTCCTACAGCTTGATAGCTCACTTCTTTTTCAGCACTGAATAACATCCCATTGTCTGGATGTACTACAGTTTGTTTATCCATTCACTAACAAAATATATATCTTGATTGCTTTCAAGATTTGGCAATTATGAATTAAGCTGCTATAAACATCCATGTGCAGGTTTTTGTGTAAACTGCTAAATTTTGAACTCTTTTGAATAAATACCAATGAGTATGATTGCTGGATCATAAGGTAAGAGTATGTTTATTTTTGTAAGAAACTGCCAAACTGTCTTCTCAAGTAGGTGTAACATTTTCCATTCCCACCAGTGATGAATGAGATTTTCTGTTCCTCCCCATCCTTGCCAGCATATGTTGTTGTTGGTGTTCTAGGTTTTGGCCATTCTAGTAGGTGTGTGGTGGTATCTCATTGTTTTGATTTGCGTTTCCCTTATGACATATGATGTGAAGCATTTTTCAATGGTGATTTGTCATCTTTGATGAGTTGTCTGTTGAGGCCTTTAGCCCATTTTTTAATTGAGTTCATTATCTTCTTATTGATGAGTTTTAAGTATTCTTTGTATATTTTGGATAATAGTCCTTTAACTGATGTGTCTTTTGCAAATATTTTCTCCCTGTCTATGGCTCATCTTCTCATTCTTTTGATAATTTCTTTCAGAAAGCAGACATTTTTAATTTTAATGAAGTCCAGCTTATTCATTTCTTCAAAGTAGATTGTGCATTTGGTGTTACATCTAAAAAGCCATCACCAAACTGAAGGTCATGTAGATTTTCTCCTGTGTTATATTCTAGGAGTTTTGTGATTTGCATCTTATATTTAGGTCTGTAATTCATTTTGATTAGGTTTTATGAAGAGTGTAAGGTCATTTGTCTAGACTTAATCTTTTTGTATGTAGATGTCCAGTTGTCACAGCATCATTTGTTGAAAAGACTACCTTTTCTCCATCGTATTGCTTTAGTATACATTTTTCAATCCCCAAAATAATCAAATAAAACAGAGAAACTAGGTTAACAAAAAAGAAAAATATATATATATGTTAAAACATCTTCAGCCAAATGAAGTGCTGAAGTATCCCACATATCAAAAAGTCTGGCTGGACCAAACCACCAAGCACAACAGTAATCATATGGTATAAAATAAAGGAGTAGAATGGGAAATAGACAAAGTGCTTTCCAAAGGCCCTGAAAGCCAGCAATCTCAAAAATTGCTAACATGATTGCAAATTATAATGAGCAAGAAAACGTTCCTACAAACAAAGCTATGTCTTGATATGCCTACAACACAGATAAAAGCTATAATCCAGTATTTTAAATATAGCTAAAAGTAATTAAGACGACTTGGGGAACCAATAGAGCTATTAAAGAATAGTATGTTGCTGAATTACAAAAACACAGGAAAAATTGGATAACCAAAAATATATAAAATAGTGCTAGCAGATCTCAGGAAAGAATAAGAAGCAAAGGAAAAATCACTTCAGAAAAAAAATTAGAAGGAACAAAAGCCAATAGATATGATAACATCACAAAGAATATAGAAGAAGGAAAGGAAGAAAATGGAGAAGTTCCAGAAATGAAGAGATTAAAAGGATTCACCATAAAGTGATACATACAAAAGGCAGTCAAAGAAGATCCTATCTATGTATAAGAATACCCATTGCACCCCGCCCTTCTGCAAAAAAACAAAAACAAAACAAAACCCTTACTATCAACTGTCGTGCCCCATTTCCCCCATACCGCAGTCCCTGTCAACCACCAGTCTACTTTCTCTATGGTTTTGCCTATTTTGAACCTTTTATGTAAATGAAATCATGCAACATTTGTCCTTTCGTGTTTGGCTTCTTTCACTTGGCATAGTTTTCAAGGTTTATTTATGTTGCAGTGTAGCTTATTTGTAGTGTACTTTATTTATTTATGTTGTAGTGTAGCTCCTGTCAGATCAGCACGGCGTCAGATTCTCATAGGAGTGCAAGCCCTACTGTGCATGTGGGGAATATAGGCTGTCCACTCCTTATGAGAATTTAACTAATATCTCAGCACTTTATTCATTTTGAAAACCGAATAATATTCCATCGTATGGAGATACCATATTTTGTTGGTCTATTCACCAATCGATGGACATATAGGTTGTTTAAACTTTCTGACTATAATAATTAAACTTCTAGGAAGATTCATGTACAAATTTTTGTGTGAAAGTATGTTTTTAATTTTCTTGGGTATATAGCTAGGGCTGGAATCATGTACCATACAGTAACTCTGTGTGTAATATAGAACCTAACGTCTCCTTAGGTTCTTCTTGGCTGTAAAAGTTTCTCAGACCTTCTTTTATTTTGATGGTCTTGACAGTTTTCAGAAATACTTGTCAGGCATTCTGAAGAATGTCCCTTGACTGGGATATGTCTCATGCTTTTTTCATTATGAGCTGAGATTATGTGTTTTTGGGAGGAGGACCACAAATACCAGTTTCACCACATAATTTCAAGTATCTATACTACCAATATGAGTTATCACTGCTGATGTTAAACTTGAACACCTGGTTAAGATAGTGGTTTTCAGGTTTATCCATAATAAAGCTACATGAACTACCTGTTTATTTCTCCTTTTCCATACTGTACACTTTGAAGAAAGTTACCATATGTAGCTCACACTTGAGTGAAGAATTATGTGTCACCTCTTTGAGAGCAGAATATCTAAATTATCTGGAATTCTACATGGAATATTTGTCTATTCTCTTGTTACGTATTGTTTTTATTTAATCATTTATTTATATCAGTATGGACTCATGGATATTTATTTTACACTTTGAGCTATAATCCAGTGGTACTTCATTTTGTTCTAAGGATTGTTCACCGGGAGCTCTTTTAGTTGGCTCCTGTCTCTCTGACACATTCACATCATTATTAGAGCTTCCATTTTTTTTGTTTTTGGAGAATTTACATATTTTCTGGCACTATAAGATAATCTAGGAGTCCGGGTGTGGTGGCTCACACTTGTAATCCCAGCACTTTGGGAGGACAAGGCGGGTGGATCACCTGAGGTCAGGAGTTTGAGACCAGCCTGACCAACATGGAGAAACCCCATCTCTACTAAAAATACAAAATTAGTTGGGTGTGGTGGTGCATGCCTGTAATCCCAGCTACTCAGAAGGCTGAGGCAGGAGAATCGCATGAACCCAGGAGGCAGAGATTGCTGTGAGCCAAGATAGCACCATTGCACTCCAGCCTGAGCGAAACTCTGTAAAAAAAAAAAAAAAAAAAAATGCTCCAGGCTCATATTGTAGATTTCCTGCCCCAGTCCTAGAATGAAGTGTTTCTCCAAAGAGTTATGATTATTTTTCTTGGAGAATGCTATTAGAAAGCAAGATCCAGGCAGTAGGTGCACTTCTGGCTACTGAGGTGTCACTGTTTCTAGGCCTTCTGAGCTGACAGCGCAAGGAAATATGTGCATGTTTACTAACCCCTGTGTGTACATATAGCTACAAATATTTCTATATATTACTATCTATATCTATATTAAACTCAACATGACTTTATAACTTTACATCCATGTCTCTAAATCTAATTCATTACTATGGGAATCATCCTAATCTTTTTCTAATGTTTACTTAATTGGTCAGTCACAATACATATGGATAGCAGTATCAGTACTGTTAATTTGTGCCCCATGACAAACAATTTTATCAATTAGAACAGAGGTTGGCAACTCCCAGGCTGCAGACCAGTACTGGTCTGTGGTCTGTGGGGAACTGGGCCACACAGCAGGAGGTGAGCAGCAAGTAAGCAAGCATTACCACCTGAGCTCTGCCTTCTGTCACATCAGCGCGGCATCAGATTCTCATAGGAGTGCAAACCCTATTGTGAACTGTGCATGTGGGGAATATAGGTTGTGCACTCTTATGAGAATCTAATGCATGATGACCTGAGGTAGAACAGTTTCATCCTGAAACCATCCCCATCTCCCCCCATCCATGGAAAAACTGTCTTCCCCAAAACTGGTTCTTGGTGCCAAAAAGGTTGAGGGCTGCTGAATTAAAATACAAAGCTCATGTGCAGTTTCTTATGCCTTTAGTCTTACAGACTCTGCTCATTTCCAGTTACTTGCGTCAACTTTTTTCCCGCTTCCTTCAGTGAAGTTGTTCTCTATATTCAACTGATCTCCTAAATGATTTTTAAAAATTTGCATATATTCAGTTTCATTTGTTCTGTAAAGTTCAATGTGTTTTGACAAACTCATAGCGTCACGTCATCATTACACTATCATACAAAATAGTTTCACTGAGCTAAAAAATAAAAATCCCTTGTGCTCTATCCATTGGACTCTTTTCTCCTTCCCCTGAATCCCTAACAATGACGGATCCTTTTATTGTCTGTACAGTTGTGCCTTTTCCAGTATGTCATAGCATTGGAATCATACAATATTTAAATATCTTGCCTTTTGAGACTGGCTTTTTATTTAACAATATGCATTTAAGATTTATCCCAGTATTTTCATAAGTTATTAGCTCATTTCTTTTTATTGCTCAATAACAGTCTATGGTATAGATGTACTACAGATTGTTTATCCATTCACTTATTGAAGGTCATCTTGTTTGCTTCTAGTTTTTCGCTGTTTGGATAAAGATGGGATAAACAGTCTTGTGCAGGTTTTTTTGTGGAAATATGTTTTCAAATCAGTTGAGTAAATGTCTAGAGACACGATTGCTAGATACTATGGTAACATTAGTTTAGCTTTGCAAAAAAACTGCCGAACTGTTTTCCAACATGACTATAAGCATTTTGGATTCCCTCCAGCAATAAAGGAGAGCTCCTATTAAACCGCATCTTCACCAGCAGTTGGCAAAGTCAGGTTTTTGGGATGGGGGTTGTTGACTTTTAGTCAATCAGTTAGATGAGTAGTGGTATCTCATTGCTGTTTAATTAGTAATTCTTAAAAGACAAATAGTGTTCAGCATCTTTTCATATGTTTATATGCAGTGTCTTCTTTGCTGAGGTATCTGTTCATATCTTTTGCCCATTTTTTGGGAATAAGTTTAACGGTTACTTATTACATACTTAGAGTTCTTTGTATATTTTGGATCAAGCCTTTTATCAGATATGTGTTTTGCAATATTTTCTCCCAGTCCATGATTTTCTTTTTTTTTAAGTTATTTTTAATTTTTGTTGGTACATAGTAGGTGTACATATTTATGGGACAGATGAAATATATTGATACAGTCACACAATGCTTAAGAATAACATCAGAGTAAATGGGGTGTTCACTACCTAGCATTTATCCTTTCTTTGTGTTACAATCTACTTATACTCTTTTAGTTATTTTAAAATGTCCAATAAATTGTTTTTGACCGTAGTCTCCCTGTGTTGTGCTATCAAATACCAGATCGTCATCGTTCTATCTAACTACATTTTTGTGTCCATTAGTCATCCCCATGTCTCCTCTCTTCCACCGCTAAACTTCCCAGGCTCTGATAACCATTAGTCTACTCTCTATCTCCATGAGTTCAATTTTAAAAAAAATTTTAGCTCCTACAAATAAGTGAAAACATGTGATGTTTGTTTTTCTGTGCCTCGCTTATTTCACCTAACATAATAACCTCCAACTCCATCAATGTTGTTGCAAATGACAGAATCTTATTCTTTTAATGGCTGAATAGTACTCTATTATGTATATGTGCCACATTTTCTTTATCTGTTCATCTGCTGATGGACACTTAGGTTGCTCCCAAATCTTGACTGCGAATAGCACTGCAATAAACATGGAAGTGCAGATATCTCTTTAGCATACTAATTTCCTTTCTTTTGGGTATACAACTAGCAGTGGGATTGCTGGATCATATGGTAGTTCTATTTCTTAGTTTTTTGAGGAAGCTCAAAACTGTGGTTGTACTAATTTACATTCACACCAACAGTGTATGAGGGTTCCATTTTCTCCACATCCTCGCCAGCATTTATTTTCTGTCTTTTGGATAAAAGCCGTTTAACTGGAATAAGATGTCTTATTGTAGTTTTGATTTGCATTTCTCTGATGATCAGTGATGTTGAGCATTTTTGTATATACCTATTTGCCATTTTTGGTTGTTGTTTTTAGATAGTTATTATTTATTCTATTAAGAGACGACCCTTTGATTTGAAGACAATAAGAATATTTTATTGTTCTACCTCTTTTTTCCCAAGAATAAGTGTTGAATCTGACTTTTAGTTCACATTCTACTAATTGTATAATCTTGGATAAAATTATTAATCATATTATCTCTGCTTCCTCCTCTGTAAAATGGAGATCATAATAGTATGTGTCATATCAGGTCATTTTAATTATTTAATGCAATAATGCTTGTAAAACATTTATGAAACACTCACTAAGTAAAATGTTAACTATCATTAGAAGATTGTTTAAACAATAAATGGCATAATGTGGTCTTTAAAATCTTGATTCATTTTTGTGTTATTTCAATAATTTCTTCTTTTGTCCTGTTCCCTTATATTTTTTACTTCATCATCTCCTGGTCTTCTTATAGTTTGTTAATCTTAAGACCAGTTATCTAGTTTTCCTTGATCATTTTGTGGACATCAAGCAGAGATTTTCTATATTGCTTATTTATTTCTTTTAAAAATATTTTTTCAGAAATATATGCATTATCTGACATTTTAGAATACAGCAAACCTCCTCACATTCACCTGCATGCTTGCTAAGAGTTGAAACCTGGGCTTTGGTGTTGAGCTGAAGACATAAATTGGTAACCACCGGAATTATCTGGCCTCACACTTCCATTGTTTATTTCACTCATATGCTAATTTTCTCTGTACCAGCAAATGCCAATTTAATTATGCCCTACAGTACACAGTGAATAATGTAAATTTAGTGGAGTTATGAATAAACTAAAATCATATAAACGTCACAAATATATGTCAGAACATGATGGAAAAAGTTTATTTTCCCCGAGGAAACCTGACTTTAAATTACATGATCCTTTCCTTTAGTGTTAACTTCTTTAGTCTAAATTTCTCTCTTAGTTTTATGTATAATCCTGAAATGAAGAGAAAAGTTAAATCACCACATTTCATTTTCCAAAATGTGAGATTGTACAAATTCTGGAGTGAGGTTGAACATCTAACACATCACACCACAAACATGCCTTGGTTTTGCTTTTTGGTTCTAAGTGACATGTAGAATAAAACTGGCATGAGTCTTAAAATTTTACTTTCTTGTTTAAAATAGCTGCTGACTAAATATAAATCTAGAGATGGAGGCTGTTCTATAACTAGATTTCAGTATGATTTCTATGTCCACTATATATTTTTTAATATACATTTTTTCTTACTTGGCTGACTTTTGTTGGCTTGGGGATGTTTTTTTTTTCCTTGTGATGTCAAGGGATTTTTCTCATGTCAAAATAAAAATCTTAACTTTTCACATATAAATACAATAACATGAGATCTGGAACACAGAGAGAGTCATAATGTTTTGTGGGGTTTAGACATAATCTTTCTTCCAGGAAAAATTCCTTTCAGATGTAACCAAAATCAGAAACATATTCCTATTTTGTCAGATAACAGTGGCGTACTGGACCAATGAGAAATAGCCGTCAGGATAACTCGGGAATAAGAAGCAAAGCAAACACAAGCCCAGGGACTGCATGAACTCTGACTAGGGTTACTCCTTCCTGGGTGAATTTCAGAAACTCACTGACTAGTAGAGTTAGAAGTGACCATAGAGATTAACCCCCATATTTTCCAGATGGGAAAACTGAGACCCAGAAAGGCTGAATGACTTATCCAAAGCTTTGAGGCCAGAATAAGATCTCTGGGATCTTATTCCAGTGTATCTTGCATGAAGCCATTCTACTTCTCATATTTCTAATTTATGCTTTTTTAAAAAAGTCTTTTTAAAAGAAAATAGAATTAAAATTAAGTCAGGAGGCTAGTGATGATAATATTCACATTTATTTATAAATGTAATATTCACATTTATTTCCCCACTTGACAATGCCATTTCAAGGCAATAGTGATGCTTAAGTAAAACCAAATTATCCTTGGGATATAAAAAATGATACAACTATTTACAATTTGGTGTGGGATAACTGGGATCTTGTGATTAGGTATTAACTGTAAAATTAAAATCTTGCTATGAGTTTGGTCTCACTCACCTAGGCTGAAATGCAGCAATACAAGTGCAATTGCTTAAATATGGCCCATTACAGCTACTGTTGTTCTCATGTTTATAACTATATTATTTAAATATATGAATATTCACTTATGAATATCCTTTAGTATTGAAGTTTATTGAGAAGACCTATCCTATGTCACACTCTAGAGCATTCTGGTCAAAAATACGCATAGATTAAATAAATTCTTATTGTATATAGTACACCAGTAAAACCCAACCCACAAAAATGTTCTCAGGAAATTCTGGCAAGAAATAAATTAATAGCTATCTGTAAAAATTAGAATAATTTTTATGCACTGAAAATATGTGGTTATCACCTGTGTTTCACGGGGAAAAAAATGCCCTAATTCAGTGAATTTAACCTTCCATCCATACACTCTCAGGAACATTCCTGAATTCCAATATTAGATAATATTTATCAATTATTTCTTTCACTTGTGAAAGATCTTGAAACTGGAATACTGTATTGTTTGTTTCCAGAGAGTTTGATACACAATCACAGCCTTTAACTCTAAGAACATGTTCCTACAAAACCTTGAAAGTCAGTATCTGCCATTTGTTCATTAGGCACTTTCTCATTGGAAATACTTAGAAATTACTCATTGGAAATACTTAGAATTAAGCATGTGATTTTCACTAAAAATAATAACAACTAAGATAAGTGGTAGAAATAACAGGTTGTATAAGCAGATATGCTTGCAAAAACAAAATCATTCTTTACAGTACATGGAAAATTCCAGACATGGAAAAATTTACATTTGTATAGTATATATTTTTCAGTGTCTGGTCTATAGTATATTCATATGCATATAATAGAATTCATAAAGAACATCAAAATTGTTTTAATGATTTTTATGTATGATTTTATTTTGTCTACTAAAATGCAAACATTTCTGATAGTAAGGATGCTTCTGCAACCTTAATGGAATAATAGTAGTAAAGAACAATATTGCACCTAGTCAATAATTGATCTAGAGATTAAACTTAGATTTAATTTTATAAATCAATATGTCACTAGTAGAGGGTCGTGACTGCAAGTTGCCCAGGTTCTTGGCGTTTTGACCAAAGAATTGGACAAAAAGCCCAACAAAGCAAAGAAAGAATGAAGCAACAAAAGAACAAAAGCAGGGATTTATTGAAAATGAAAGTACACTCCAGTGTGGGAGGGGATCCGAGCAGCTGCTCAGGGGCCCAGATACAGAATCTGCGTGGATCCAAATACCCCCTAACAGTTTCCCATTGGCTATTTCATGATCACCTCATGTAAATAAAGTGGTAGCCCACAATCAGTCTGATTGGTTGCAGAAAGTAGCCAACCAGAGGCTGAAGTTACAAAGGTCACACTCCTGTGCAAATATCTGATTGGTTGCTTTTTGCTAGGGTGAAGTTACAAAGTTACACTTCTATGCAAACGAAGAATTGACCTGCTATCAGTCTGATTGGTTATGGACAGCAACCATTCAGAGGCTAGAGTGAAGTTACAAAGTTGCAAAGGAAGACTCCACCAGCAGTTGGTCTGATTCATTGCAGACAGCCAATTTGCCATCTGCCAACAGAAAAGGTCAAAGGGAATAGAAGCCTCTGGTCCTTTTGTTACTTAGGCGTGGAAATTTAAGGTTTTCCTTTCAATTTAGTCCTAGGAAGTCGGGGTGAAATGGCCTTAGGTTCCCTGCCTCCAGACCCTATTCTGCCTCAATTATTTTAGATAAATTTTGACTTCTTGTTTTTGAAGAAATTGTATTAAAGAATTGATTAATAGAAAAGCAGAACAAAGTGAAAATGATGTTAGTAAGATATATTGGCAGCAAATATTAATTCTCACTTGTTAAGTGCTTTGAGCTTCACAGCCAATAGCACCTATCTAAAATCTAACTAATTTTGAATAAACACCAAAGGATTACTTAAGCACTAAAATCGTTTCCCCCCGAATGACTTTTATAATTATCTTTTCAGCATCTCATCAAGGCATCCTAGTTAGATGTCATGATTTGAAGTAGTTGCTATGAGTAAACTCTGCTCACCTCTGACTGATGTGTAAATAATTGCCTGGTAACATGATGCAAACCGTTACAAGATTGAAGTTATGGGCTTCTCCCATGACATCTCACTTTTTTTTTAATCCTTGCAAAGCCAAATCCACACCAAATTTTTAATGCCTGCCAGAATTAATACTGGTGGTTGGATATCTCTGATGAGATAGAAGATCTTAGAATGGAAAAGTTGTTATTAATCTGTATCAGAAATAGAGATTACTCTTAATAAATTTAAGTCATGCAGTAGTTGTGAGCAAGATAATCATTTTCTGTACAAGACAAGATGCATGTGTAACTAGTACTGTATCTCTTTTCACATATAATTATTAAAGATAATTCAGACCAGATGCAGTGGCTCATGCTTGTAATCTCAGCACTTTGGGAGGCTGAGGTGTGTGGATCACCTGAGGTCAAGAGTTTGAGACCAGCGTGGTCAATAAGGTGAAACCCCATATCTACTAAAAATGTAAAAATTAGCCAGGCATGGTGATGCATGCCTGTAATCCCAGCTACTCAGGAGGCTGAGGCAGGAGAATCACTTGAAGCTGGGAGGCAGAGGTCGGGAGGCAGAGGTTTCAGTGAGCCGAGATCCTGCCACTGTACTCCAGCCTGGGCAGCAGAGAGAGACTCCGTCTTAAAAAAAAATATATATATATATATATATATACACACACACACACACACACACACACACACACACACACACACACAGAATTCAGCCTGATGCACTATTTAATATTAACTTTTAACAAGTTGTCACTTAAGGTAAAATAAGTTCTCAGGAAAAATATTTCCTTAATGTGTACTCTGGAAATTTCAGAATAATCAAAAGAAAGAGTATCCAGCGAACACTATTTTGATCCTTAATATTGTAAAAGCTACTCAAATCCAGTCATTTTCTTTCAGTTTTTCATTCTTTATTTTAGGGGAAAAATATACTTCCATTGTGGTGATCTGAGGAAAGGAATTATAAAATATCACTCAGACCAAAAATGAATGCCAATGACTATTTCTTCCATTGTATATTTTTCTCATTTTTGTCCTTTTTTTTTTTGTCTGCCAACTTTCCTATACTGCCAATGAAATTATCATAAGTTTTTTATGATATAGGCAACCATTTGGGACACTTCCAGTTATTCAGTCAAAGCACAAACAAGAGCAGCTTTTGTATTTGAAGACAATGCTATTGATGACATAGCCTTTACATACTAGAGAAACTAGAGACTTGTTACATAAGAATTTCTTTACTTTAAAACTCAATTTTTACTCAATTGGTATTTATCTTTAATTCTTTTAGATTCATAATTTTTAGATATCAGTTCTCTAAATTTCCATACTTCTATCATAACACTTATGACACTAAAATACTTCTCAGATAAACTAACAAATCCCTCCACCAAACTACCACTTGGTTGAGGACAGTCTTCATCTTATATGACTTTGTCTGCCCATCCCAAGCAAAGACCTTGGAACCTAGTAGGCACTAGAGTAATAATTGCTGGACTAAGTATAACTACTTAAGATAATTTAATAGACATCTACAAGTCTACATCAAAGAGCCCACCTGCAGTGATATTCTGGTTACTATAGAATCTGTGAGGACAATGGAAAAGAGATTATATTATCTATGAGTAAGTATGGGGCTTTGAGAAAAAACTGCCATGTGCTTTGACTGTTTATCTTTTATACAGACAAAATCTTTTAAAAGTGTACCTTAATGTAACATTGAACAAAAGAAAAACAGAAAATTAAGACCAAGGGATCATTTAAATGTTTTACTAGTATTGATGGAGCCAGTAGCCAGCTTCAGATCAGCATATGTTGTTGAGGGATTTGGGTACTTTAGATCATTTTTCAGTGCTGGCTGGCAACAATAGACTTCTGCCTCTTTTCCTTCCTCATCCAATTCACTAATCCCATTCTAGCCCTAGGTATCTGGTCCTTTTAAGGGAATGGAGAATGGAGGCAAAGATCAAGAACTAGGGCAATCATTCCAATTTCTCTTCTTCTAAGCCCATCTGAGGGGCATTCCCATGGATGGAAAGAGGATGAATACAAACTTTTTTGTTTGTTTTTTCCATTTGATTCAAATAGAGAGTTCTAAGATGCCTTAACCTCATACCAGCACATTCTATCACATAACTAGAATTAAGTTAATCCCAACCCATTTTCTTTGGCTAGGATAGATGACAGTTTTCTTTTTTCTTTTCTGAGACGGAGTCTCATTCTGTCTCCAGGCTGGAGTGCAGTGGCGCAATCTCGGCTCACTGCAATCTCCGCCTCCTGGGTTCAAGCCATTCTCCTGACTCAGCCTCCTGAGTAGCTGGGATTACAGCTGCGCACCACCATGCCCAGCCATTTTTGTATTTTAGTAGAGATGAGGTTTCACCATGTTGGCCAGCATGGTCTCGATCTTTTGACCTCATGATCCACCCGCCTCGGCCTTCCAAAGTGTTGGAATTACAGGCATGAGCCACTGCGCCCGGCGATAGATGACAGTTTTCTTACATTCCAATACTTAATTTTTCATTCAATGAAGTCTTGATAGTGTCCATAAGGGAGAACACACATCTTTTTGCAAATCTTTCCTAGAGAATCCCTAGAAACTCCTTTACCCTTTACAGAGAAACCTAGAACCCCTTGAATTTCAGCAACCTTTTTCCATTAAGGCAAGAAGAACCCAGGGGAGAATTCGGCCTGATCTTCCAGAAAACTATCAAAAGAATAAACAAAACATTTGAGGTCACAAACTCCTTGGTTCTATATCTCCTCTAATTAGCAACTGAGTGGCCCCCCATATATACTAGGGGTATTTCTTATGATTCCTTTCTAGTTGAGAAAGATCCAGATTCGGTGAGGGGCATGATCCTTGAGCCCCCTTAAATTGTGCTGGTCAGAGAACTCATGAATATTCATATGAATAATAAATACATTTCTCCATTCAGTCCCAGAAGACAGATCTCTAACACAGTGCCTGCTACATTCTGATGTTTCCGTTTGTTCCTCAGTTGTTCAGCATAATAGTTTGTCATGGAACCTGTTAAATGAACTATTTCCATTTGAAATTTGGTTGATTTTCATGATTTTTGAAATATAGTAGAGACATTGTCTGTTAAACATGTGAAAATCATACTTCACGTTTTGTAACTTTTAAAATGTACTTAAAGTTATGTCAGATAGTAAATCTCTCTCTCTCTCTCTCCCCCCACCATGTATCTTAAATTTCCAATCTTGTATGTGTGTGGGGAATTTAAGCCAGCAAGTTATTGAGTTTTGAGCAACTCCTTGTTGCAAAGCTTGGTCATAATTCTTACACCATTTTTTTTTCTTTTTTTTCCTCAGCATAGAGTCAGCAGACACATTTACCCCTTTGTTATAATGCATTAACTATTCAGCCTCTCTCCATTAATGTGCATATGCCCACTTACATCCTAAGAAGAAGCCATGTCCTTTTCATGAATGAAACTCAGTGGCTACCTGTTACAGTAAAGTCTTATGTACTGATTTTTCCAAAAAAATTGCTTGAGCAGCAAATGCCCTCATTTCTGCTACCAGTCAGGGCAGTACATCTCAGGCCTTTGTTCTTCCCACACAGTTAATCACAAAAGGCATTAGTAGAAGGGAAATGCTAACAGATGGGCAAGCTTTTTGTTCATGGTGTATTTCTTTCTTTTTAAGTAGGAGTACATTGTAATCTGTTGCAGAAAACAGAGGGAAAAAAGCAACTAAGCACCCTTTTCTCCCCCAGATGGGCTGCAAACATCTTCTTGCATGTGCATTTGGTTGCTAGTTCAGCTTTTCTTACAGAGGTCAGCAGCAGGTCATTCACAGAGTGTTGGCAATTTGTGCTAGGTGCTTTACAAAGACAGTCCTCCCTGTCTACTGGACTTCAAACACAAATAAAAATGGAAAATAGTGAAGCCAAAAGTAATGTGTGAAACTAAACAGCCAAACTTTTTTTAAAGCATCTTATGTTAAAAAAAGTATTGTACAGATCAATTTTTACAATTCACTCCCTGCTTTTATTTCCCTTTCTTTCTGTACACAAATTCACCATTTATTTTATAAAGCATAATTTGAGATGAGCTGTCTTGTTTTGATGACAGTACATGAAATAGGCGGACCAAGGTTTATCACCTCACCAAAGATATTGGTGTACTGGTACAAGGCCAGACTTTGTTTTATTAAATCTCCACAGATATCGTAACTGAACTGCTGGGGATACCTAGAAGTATACAGTAATGACATATCTCTAGTGCCACTTGTTGCTGATTAAAAATCAATAGTTTCCATCGTGTGAAATGATCCAGGTGAAAGGTTTCCCAGACATAAAGATTCTATGCACAGATGAAGCAAATAAATACGTGGATGCTGCTGAGGAGTTGTTTCCACAAATAATGAAAATTTTCACACAACTAGGGGCCTTGGTAGCAAATATGACAGTGCGTCCAGAATTGGTGGGTTCTTGGTCTCACTGACTTCAAGAATGAAGCGGCGGACCCTCGCGGTGAGTGTTACGGCTCCTAAGGCAGCGCGTCTGGAGTTGTTCGTTCCTCCCGGTGGGCTCGTGGTCTCACTGGGCTCAGGAGTGAAGCTGCAGATCTTTGCGGTGAGTGTTACAGCTCATAAAAGCAGCGTGGACCCAAAGAGTGAGCAGTAGCAAGATTTATTGCAAGGAGCAAAAGAACAAAGCTTCCACAGTGCGTACGGGGACCCAAGAGGGTTGCCAATGCTGGCTCCCGCAGCCTGCTTTTATTCTCTTATCTGGCCCCACCCACATCCTGCTGATTGGTAGAGCTAAGTGGCCTGTTTTGTCAGGGCGCTGATTGGTGCGTTTACAATCCCTGAGCTAGATACAAAGGTTCTCCACGTCCCCATCAGATTAGTTAGATACAGAGTTTCCACACACAGGTTCTCGAAGGCCCCACCAGAGCAGCTAGATACAGAGTGTCGATTGGTGCATTCACAAACCTTGAGCTAAAGACAGGGTGCTGATTGGTGTATTTACAATCCCTGAGCTAGATATAAAGACTCTCCACATCCCCACCAGACTCAGGAGCCCAGCTGGCTTCACCTAGTGGATCCCGCACTGGGGTTGCAGGTGGAGCTGCCTGCCAGTCCTGCGCCCTGCGCTCACGTTCCTCAGCCCTTGGGTGGTCGATGGGACTAGGCACAGTGGAGCAGGGGGTGGCACTCGTCGGGGAGGCTCGGGCCGCACAGGAGCCCATGGAGTGGGTGGGAGGCTCAGGCATGGCGGGCTGCAGGTCCCCAGCCCTGCCCCGCGGGAAGGCAGCTAAGGCCCTGCGAGAAATCGAGCACAGCGCAGGTGGGCCAGCGCTGCTGGGGGACTCAGTACACCCTCCGCAGCCACTGGCCCGGGTGCTAAGTCTCCCATTGCCCGGGGCCAGCAGGGCTGGCTGGCTGCTTGCAGTGCGGGGCCCACCAAGCCCACGCCCACCCGGAACTCCAGCTGGCCCGCAAGCGCGGCACGCAGCCCCGGTTCCCGCTCGTGCCTCTCCCTCCACACCTCCCTGCAAGCTGAGGGAGTGGGCTCCAGCCTTGGCCAGCCCAGAAAGGGGCTCTCACAGTGCAGTGGGGGGGCCGAAGGGCTCCTCAAGTGCCGCCAAAGTGGGAGCCCAGGCAGAGGAGGCGCCCAGAGCGAGCGAGGGCTGTAAGGACTGCCAGCACGCTGTCACCTCTCAACAGGACTCACATGATTTGGCATTAGTTTCAATACTGGCAAAAAGTAAAAAGACCAACTGTATACTCTAGATTTCAGCTTGTTACCTATTGATTTTAGCTACAATTTTAGATCATTCTTTGAAAAACTGTAACATGAAATGACTGTAGTGAAAGTCCTACATAGTTACTATACCTACATATTCATAATCTATCTTATTAGAGATTGAAGTTTTAGAGACTTTTAATCTACCAAGTTTTTTTTCCTTATTCATCAAGGGAAGCCAAGTAGATTATCGATCTTATTTAAATGTGGAAAGTGATCATTTCAGGTAAAATAGCAAAATCATCATATTAGCTAATATTTATTACTCACCATGTGACAGACACTGTGCTAAGTACCTAATTTAAATTTCCTTCCGTCTTTCCTTCCTTCCTTCCTTTCTCTCTTTTCTCTCTTTCTTTCTTTCTTTCTTTCTTTCTTTTTCTTTCTTTCTTTTCTTTTCTTTCTTTTCTTTCTGTTGTTGTTGTTGTTGTTGAGATGGAGTCTCACTCTGTCGCCCAGGCTGGAGTGCAGTGGCACGATCTCGGCTCACTGCAAGCTCAGCCTCCTGGGTTCACGCCATTCTTCTGCCTCAGCCTCCCAAGTAGCTGGGACTACAGGCACCTGCTACCATGCCCGGCTAATTTTTTGTATTTCTAGTAGAGACGGGGTTTCACCGTGTTAGCCAAGATGGTCTCAATCTCCTGACCTCGTGATCCGCCCACCTCAGCCTCCCAAACTGCTGGGATTACAGGCATGAGCCACTGCACCCAGGCTTAAAGTTTCTTTTTCAAAGAATTATAGGTACTTTATGCTCCCATTATATTATCCCCATTTTACAAATACGAAGATCAGGACACCTATACAAGGTACAAAGCTGAACTCTAGAGGAACTGGGATTCCCTTCACCTTTACCACAAAATAAATAACAAGAGAAAATATTTTACTCTTCCTTCAGTATGGAAAGAGAAAATGTTGTAATGTGTCCCTAGAACGTCTAAAGACTTAAAGAGGAAAATTAAAAATTGGTAAGAAAGAACTTTGAGCTTCATACAGAGCTGGCTGCCATGTCACTCACAACACCCCTTCTCTGAACCAAAGACTTCCAAACTTTTTATCATGATCCATCACATAAAATACAATTTATATTCTAACACAGCACACTCTCATGCACACATAACTTTCTACATAACTGAAAAGCCTATTTTCTAAAGGAATACTTGGCCGTATTCAGATTATGCTTTTTGATAATATTTTCTTCAGTTGTATTCCATTTAAAAATATTTGCCAAGCCCAACTTAAATCAAGTTTATGATTCTATGTCCATAACATTGAAAAAATGCTGATGTACTTCGAGGGTGTGATATCCATGTCTACTTTGAAAACAACATTAGCTATTTCTCTTTCCTGGTAATCATGCTTTTTCTTCCTGTTAGAAGTAAAACAATAAGGAGTGATGTGTATGGAGCTTTGTAAAATACATCTTTAGGCCGGGCACGGTGGCTCACGCCTGTAATCCCAGCACTTTGGGAGGCTAAGGTGGGCAGATCACAAGGTCAGGAGATCGAGACCATCCTGGCTAACACGGTGAAACCCTGTCTCTACTAAAAATACAAAAAATTAGCTGGGTGCGGTGGTGGGCACCTGTAGTCCCAGCTACTTGGGAGGCTGAGGCAGGAGAATGGCATGAACCTGGGAGGCAGAGCTTGCAGTGAGCCGAGATCGTGCCACTGCACTCCAGCCTGGGCGACAGAGTGAGATTCCATCTCAAAAACAAAACAAAACAAAACAAAATATATATATATATAATACATTATATATATTAAAGACATATATATATATTTAATCTTTTTAGGAAGTAAAATAAGATAATTGGCTGGACCAATTATACTTCATACCAAAGATATTTTGCTAAAGATCATCCAAGCAAAGCAAAGAGATAATCCAAACAAAGCAAATACACCCCAATCTAACACACAGGTATGATTGTATCTCTCCTCAGTTTAAAATTTGAAAAATTTGCTTTTTTCGTGATCTTTAGAATATATTAAACTCTGTTTGATGGACTACAAGGACCTTGTGCTCTAATTTCTAACAACATGCCTACCTTTATCCTCCCCTAAAATTTTGCTCACCACCCACACTGAAAGACACTTGCTCCCACAGGGTTCCTGCCAACCACCTCATGCAGGGGGCTTTGCACATGCATGTCCCTCTCCCTAGAATGTCACCCTTCCAGCCTCAGCTCAAATGCCATCCACTCTGTGAACATTTCTTTGAATCCTCCTAATCTCACTCCCTATATACGTATCATACAATATAAATATGTTTCTGAATATATCACCTTTTTTACTGTAAATTTCAAAGGAAGAAAAGAATGGTAGATGATCTTTGGCCTACAATATTTTGCTTCTGATCTTTTTAGATTAAACACAATTCCCAAATTTAAATATCAACTAAACCTATATCTTTATAATAATAAAGAATTCGTGATTGTATACCACATTTCTTCAGATTTTTACACTTTATTATGAAATTAATCAATGGGATAAATAATATTCTGATTCAGATTATATTTTTTAAGTGATTAGATACCAGCAACACGTAAATAAATAGGTGTCACCACAATTCACAATTTTCCAGCCAGACTTCTACATTTGGATTTATTCATTTTGAACCTCACTTTGACATACTGATGAGTCATTTGAAACTCAAGAGATCATACTATCAAAACCCAAGATCTATAGCAAATTGTTCCTAAATAATGACAAAGATGTGATTTTAGAAAATGGAAGATTGTAAAAATAATCCTTTTATAATAATTCTATTTTGTCCATGCTGCTGTAGACTCCCTTTGTGGCCTGTCACCTTACCAGCTGGGGCATAGCCTCCATGCCTGTGAGTGTCAGCTGTTCACTGACCGTAGCTGCCCCCTTTTTGGTGGAATTTCCCTTGGCTAAACAGTAGCCACCTCACCAGGGACACTTCATTTCCCAAAATGCTGATGCAACCTGCCGCCAGCTAATGACCAATGGACATGGGTTATACAAGTTGGTTCCCACTTTTCTTGAGGTGGAATCAATTCTGGGATATAATTCATCCTCCAGAGGTCTGCAAGGGATTAAGCTGTTGCTAGACTCCAATTGAGACGACACCTTTACTTAGCTTCTTCCCTTGGCCTGCCCTGCATCCCTTGTTCCCTTTTTTTCTAAAACCATTTCCTCAATAAGTGGCATGTACCCAAATCCCTGTGTCAGGCTCTACTTCAAAGACGCCCAACAGAAGAAACATGCTGCCCATGTTTCTATTCCCAACAGTAACTAAATAAATAAGTTGCTATGTTTTTCATCATTCTTCAATGGACAATTGGATTTCATTTACCGTGTTATATATATATTGAAAGGTTTGTTGTGGTGGTTTTCTTGAATAAGATTTTCCTTTATATGTTCAATTTAACTCTTTTCCAGTGAAATTGTCTTTGGTCTACTATAAAGCTTTCCTATGGCATAGGGTGGTGGTCAGGTTAAAGGGGGAACAACTGTCCTTCTTACAGGTCGTGTAACATCTTATAATCATCAAATAAATATGGCAGAAAAATAAATATACATCGACCAAATAAATCTTTTTCTTCACGGTCATAATGGCAATGCTTATAATCTATAATTACCTACATACCTAGGCATAGCCCCATAAAGGAATATATGGTGTTCCTGTATTTTTTCTTGGTTCTCAAAGAACTTATGTAATTTTATCCCAATTTTTGTTTTTAAAGTGCTTGTTTGAAAATGGTATTAATATGAATAATTGTCAACAGTTTTCTAAATCTTTTTTTGAGAGTGCCCTCTGTCCTTTGGCTAAAATGCAAAAACAGAGCATGCTTTTTCTATTTTTACCCCTGCTGTGACCCCTCACAAGGTGAAACAGCTGCAAAGAGCTCCCAGGAATTATGTCAACACAACCCCTGGGTAGCTCAGGCTGCTTACGTTCTAGTATTAAATTCAGCTCTTCAGTTTAAAAGACAGTCAGAGGTAGACATATTCATCACACAACCAAATTTCTACGTGTTAATAATTTCTGTTTATTCTCCAAGTGCCTTCCACACTGAAAATGGCACAATACAGCTCAGAAGACAAGAATATAAAAAATAAGCCTATTTTAAATTAACATAAAATAATCAGACAATGCATGGAAATATTTACCCAAACATTAAGTGTAAGTTTTGCCTTCTGGATATTTATTTTATGAACTTGGATTCGAGAATCCCCACAGACACTGTACAATTCAAAAAGTGAGAAGTTGTTTTTAAAATAGTTGTGCTTTTGTACATAAACACTCTTCCATATCCTGGTAATGACTGGAGGTGCACAGGTCTTTTCATTTGTCAAAATTCAGAAAATCAGACACTTTAGTTCTGTGAATTATCTTGCATTATATGCGATCTTTCCTTTTTAAAAATAGATACAAGCAAATACTGAACAAGATAGTTAATGCTAGATAAGTTGAAGTATTTAACCCTATATTAGCTCTGTGTACTTTGACATAGAAAGATGAATTGATTAGTGGATAGAAGGGTAGCTAGAGTGATAGATATGTAATAAAGCAGATATAACAAAATGTCAGTTACAGAATCTCAGAATCTAAGTGGTTGGAATATGGATGTTCATACAAACATTTTTATAATATATTGGGGAACCAATCTGTCTCAAAGAAATGAAGATATATTCTAGTGCAATGAGTTAGAATCTTCTTGCAAAACAAAAGATTTTTACCTGTGAAAATTAAGTTAATCATGTCAGAACACTGTCTAAGAATATTTGGAAAATAATTATATTATTTTCTAATTAATATATTTATGTCAGCTTTGAACCAGAATTATACTAAGTGACTTTAAAATGCAATGATATGACTGTACGTCCATGATGGAACATAGCTTAAGAACAAAATGAGGTCCAAAAATAATCCTAGATTGCTTTATATTTTTCATAAGACTCTATTTTTATTCTGAGGCCATTGTTTGTCTTTCACCATAGGATAAAGAAAATGAGAACCATGTGTGACATTGAAAACTGGTATTTTTCTAATGAGAGAAGATATAGATGTAAGATGTCTGAGGTTAACTAAAATCCTATAATCCAGAATGTAAACTGTAAGATTTATTAAAAAGTTATGAATATTTATCCAAAATCCCACTTATCCTTTAGGTCTACCCACTGAAAAGTTAGAGAAGCATTAAACAAAACAAAACAGAAGGAGGAAGCACCTTGGGAGTATAACTTTGGTTTCTATGTATCATCACTCACTGAAAAGAACCAGAGCTTTTCGGAGAAATGGCTGCTTTCTGGTTGCAGGCAGGGAACATGTGAAATCAATCTAGAGGATCTTGTCATACTGGAAAGCAAAGATGCATTTATATCCCCCACAATGGTAATGTTCATAAGATCCAGGAGGCAACTTGAAGAAGCACCCACTATCTGAACATGAAATAATATAAGCATCAATGATAATGATGACTACAATGAATAGATGCACACTTACGTTTAAATCCTTGAGTTTATAATGACACTAAAACTTACAGGCAATAGAACAAATACAACATGATCCAGATATTGGAATTGGCATAAAAAGACTATAGTAGGCTCCCTTATCTGTGGGCATACTTTTCAAGATCTCCAGTTGATGCCTGAAACCACAGATAATACCACACCCTATGTTAGCACTTTTCACACTATGGCTGTAACTTTTGCAGTTTGAGGTGCAGCAGCAAAATTAGCAAGAATTTCTTTTTCCTTCTTCAGTTTCATGGATAAAAAATTCATTCTTACCATAGATCTTAGCAACCTCAGCATACAATTTTTTTTCTTTCCTTATTAAGTGAAGAACTTTCACATTTTCACTTAAAGGAAACACTTTAAGGTTTCTCCATTGCACATCTGAATTTTCAGCATCTCTACTCTTACATATTGGAGCCAGTATTGAACAAACACTGTTCTACTGGGACAGTTGATCTGATAGCTTCTTCATATCTGTTAGGCACTAGAGAGAATGGGGAATGGGATGTGACTACTAAAGGATACTGAGTTTCCTTTTTGAGATCATGAAAATGTTCTGAAAACAGGTAATGATGATCATGGCACGACTCTGTAGTCAACTCAAGTAGTTCTGTTAGCTACTCAATGACCAACAGGCAGGCGACACAAACAGTGTGGGTCTGCTGGACAAGGGAATGATTCACATTCTGGGGAAGACAGGACAGGGCAGCAGGAGATTGCATCACTCTACTCAGAACAGCACACAACTTAAAACTTATAATTAGTCTATTTCTAGAGTTTTCCATTTAATATTTTTGGACTGAGGTTTAACACAGGTAACTGAAACTGGGGAAAGTGAAACCACAAATAAGGGGCACTACTGAATTATAAATATGTTCAAGGACTTTTTAAAAATTGTCATAAACAGATGTGAAATCATAAACAGCAGAAATAAAAACTAAAAAAATTAAAATTAAAAATTCCAGGGCATAACAATAAAATATCTGAAATGAAAAATTCACCAGATTGAGAAAAGACAGGAAATGATTTCCCAAAATTCAATAAAAAATAATCAGTCAATTTCTAGTTTCTCCGTGTGCATTCTAAGATCCTAGGAAACCAGCTCACAATTTAGAAAACTGGTAAATAAAAGAGTAACTGATAAATAGGAAATAGTAAGTAAAGGGAAAGAATCAAGTATCCTGCCTTTCTCCACAAATAATATCTCAGGGTAACCAAAGAGATAATGAGGAAAAAATCCTCTTAACAGAAGTTTTCTATTTAACATATGAAAAGGAATAATAGAAGTAGAATTGCTTCACTTATTAACCTCTAATTAAATAATGAATCTCAGATTTTATCATCAGTGGTTACTCTTAGTTGGGTTCTGCCAAGAAAACAGCTAATTAAGTATTCCAGAAATAAGCAATTTAATATAGGAATTAATGTTTACATTCATGTGAATGTAATGTGAATGTAACCTGCAGCAGACTGCATTCAGAAAGTTAGAAAAACAACCACAGGCCAGTCACAGTTGCTCTGGTCTGTAATCCTAGTGCTTTGAGAGGCTGAGACGGGAGGATCACTTGAAGCTAGGAGTTTGAGACCAGCTTGGGCAACATA
This sequence comes from Homo sapiens, assembly GCF_000001405.40. Taxonomy (NCBI): domain Eukaryota; kingdom Metazoa; phylum Chordata; class Mammalia; order Primates; family Hominidae; genus Homo; species Homo sapiens. The sequence continues at coordinate 120,558,474 of NC_000004.12, forward strand.
GCAAGACCTTGTTCTTAAAAAAAAAAAATTAATTAACCATGCATAGTGGTGGGTACCTGTGGTCTCAACTACTTAGGAGGCTGAGGCGGGAGAATTCCTTGAACCCAGGAGTTCAAGGCCGCAGTGAGCTATGATCATGTCATTACATTTCAGCCTTGGAGGCAGAGTGGGATTTTGTCTTTAAAACAAGAAAAATAAAAACAACCATAAATGGCATTAGCTTGAAACAGTAGCTAGAGAAAGCAGCAGCTCATGAAAGAGTCCAAGAAATTTCTGCATCCATTATGACTATGAAGTACCAGCTTATCAGAGATCTATGATGGTGCTACATCTGGATGCTAGTGTTGCTAAGAAGATCCTTGTAAAGAGCCCTGCAAAGCTTCCATGACTGGCAGCCAAAATTGCTAAGAACGATTTATGTTTTACTTTTATCTTCCAAATTGTGTGTGAATTTTCCTCATTTGCAAATCCTATGAAGATTCATTCAGGGAATATGATTCTAGAATATAGAGTTCCTAGTTTCAGAAAAGTGTAGTGATACTGCCAGGTTGACAAGAGAATTCAGCACAGCTGAAAATATCGCAAAAAGAAAGACTACTGGAAATCATGTTTGTTTAGGTAGAAAAAACACAATGTTGTATATGACATGTTTCTGAAAAATCTGAACAGTCCCTTAAATTTATATGTTTTGTAATGACACTTAGGAATACATATAACAAAATATTCTAAAACTCTTCACTTAAATTTACAAAACATTTTTGAGAGAACTCAAATGAGACACAAGTAAATAATGCCATATACCATGTTTATAGATTGGAAGGTCAATACTGTTTGAATTCAATTTTATTCAAACTGGTCTACATATTCAATGCAATTCCAATAAAAATTCCAAAAATTTTTTATAAAATGAACAGCTGATACTAAAATTTACATACAAATGCAAAGAAACTAGTATAGACAAAGAATTCTTGATAAAGGAAAACATTGTTGAAGATTCTATACTATCTTATTTTAAGATTTACCATAAAGCTACAGTAATTCAGACAATGGTATTGATACAGGAATAGACATAATATCAATGGAACAGAAGAGAGAGCCCAGATATAGATCCAGTTCTAAGCAATCCATTCAACAAAGACAAAGGCAATACAATGGGGAAAGAAAAATCTTTGCAGAAAATTGTGCTGGAACAATTGGATAAATATATTTAACAAGTGAACATGGATCTCTACCTTATACCAGTATCAAAAAGCTAATTTGAGGTCATTGCAGATCTAAACATAAAAACTAAAATTATAGCATTTATAGAAGAAAATATAGGAGAACATTTTTATAAATTTGAGGTAGTCAAAGATTTTTAAGGCAACCCTCAAGTAATAACTATAAAAGCAAAAATTAGATTTTTGGTTCAAAATTTTAAATTGAATTTAATCATCAAAGTCATAATGTGCTCATTAAAGTTACTGCTTTGTAAATGAAAAATAGAGTCATAAACTGGGATATAATCCTTATAGCACACACATTTGTTAAAAGGCTTGTACCTGAAACTAATAAAATGCATCTGTAAATCTAGAATGTAAAGACAATAACCTTTAAAATTATGGGCAAATATTTAAACAGAAACTTTACTATAAAAGATATACAAATGTCCAGCAACCACTTGAAAAGTAGCTGAACCTCATTAGTTATCAAGGATATACAACTAAAACCATAGCAACTTACCACTTCACCACCCCAAAAATGGTGAAAATTGTAAAGACTGGTAAAACTAAATGTTAATGAGCATGTAAAGTAACTGGAACTCGAATACATTTCTGGTCAAAAGGTAAAATGACATAACCAGTTTAGAAAAACATTTGGCAATTTTTATGAAGATAAATATACATATTCCCTATAAGCAATAAATTATCCTCTAGTTATTTGCCCAAGAAAAGTGAAAATATCAGTCCATAAAAATTAACTTATACAAAAATGGACATAGAGGATATTTTCATAAGGATTCCAATCTAAAAGTCACCCAAATGTCCCCAGAGGAGAATTAATAAACAAATGGTGTTATAGGCATAGAACAGATGAATCTTAGCAATAAAAGCAAATGAAAAATAGGAACAGCAATATATATGAATCTTTATAACCATTATGATATGTGATGAAAGCTAGGTATAAAATTATATACACCGTGTGGTTCCATTTACATGAAGTTAAAAGACAAACAAGATTCTTCCATGGTGATAGAAATCAAAACAGAGGTTGAGAATTGCCTGAAATGGGTCATGAAATAACTTTCTGGGGTGACGGAAGAATAATCTAGGAAAATTTGCGTTAACCACTATCAAAATATGGCAAACCTATAGTAATTAATATAGTGATTTGTTGGCATAGGAATAGACAAGCAAACCAATAGAAAAACTTGACAGCATTACATTTTTTTTAAACTACTGTGTGTGTGTGTGTGTGCGTGTGTGCGTGTGTGTGCATGCTCATGTTTATGGCTTATAATATCTACAAACATTGGCTACAATCTCAAAAAAGGACCCCCAAACCCCTTTTAACCCAAGAGCATGCTTTTGCACTCTGACAACTAAGTAATTCCCAAAATGTCCATGTTTCCCCCTAGTGAACATATTTTTTTCTTAGTTCTAGAGTTTTCTTCAAAAGTAGTTCTTTGATTTTATTTGGCTAGTTTTGATACAACTCTTTCCAACCTTGTATCATATTTGGCACTTTTGGTAAGCATTCTTGTATATCTTGATTTTATTACCTTCTTATATTTTATAAAAGCTGCCTTTTTTCTCATGTTGGCATTTTTGCTCTCTCAATTGAATATATTTGGTTATTTTCCAGGTACCTTGGCCCTTTTGATCATTTTTCTTAGACTTTCTCTGAATCATTTCGGATTGATTTTAGACTTTCTCTCTATACTTTTATTTTTTCAGTTTTACTTTCTTTCCCCAACTATTGCCCACATTTTCTGTTAGTTTTCATTTTCAAAATTACATAATCACAAACTAAATTCCTTTAGATTCCTTCTTGCATTAGTAGAATGTTAACACTGTTGTACACTAAGCAGTATTCCTACTAGTTCACCTACAGTTACCTCTTGCAGCACTTCTGGGTCCCAATTTAGGATAAAAAATTGTCAGATGCAAAAGAAGTTCCTCTCCAAAGGTTTAGCTTGTTCAGTATCCTTGTTCTTTGTTCCCCACTTCCAAGGCTAAACTGACTTCCTTATCCTTTGTGCCTCCCTGTCTTGGTTTAAGTAAACAACTTTCCCACCAGTCCTTGTTTACAGAGCCCACATCTGTTACCCACTCTGTAAATTACCCCTCCTGTTGCAATGGCTCTTCCTGCAGAAACTGCCCTTCTTACCAGTGTAACCACATTCCTGCACCTTTTAAGTTAGCCAATCAGGTTCAGCTTAGATTGTGGAGTCTAACTCCGGCCAGTGGAAGCAGGACACTGGGAGGGAGTAGCTGCGTTAAGAATAAAAACCCCTTCCCTCCTTTGTTTGGTGTGCTCTCCTGGCACCCAGGCTTGTGAGTAGTACCCTTCTGCAGAAGTAAATTTGCCTTGCTGAGAAATCCTTTGTTTCAATGCTCATTTTCTTTGCAATTCTGAGCCTTACTTCCAACAAACACCAGGATTGTTTCCTCTCTTTTATATTAAAAATCCTTGCTCTAAAAAATTACTATTTTACCCAAAACCTTTGCTTCAATAATCACTTTTTTTGGATTATTGAGTTCCATCATAAACATTATACAGCATATCTTTTAATTTTCTCAAAACTCTTTTTCAGCTTAAATTCATTGACCTTATCACATGCTTCATAGTGATAACTGTCATAGCATTTTTATTAGTTAAACTAGGAATATTTACACAATGAGTTTATAATAATTCTTTTACTTGGCATATTATGTTCTCATGGCATTCATATTTTCCTTTACAGGCAATTCTTTTTCTAGCTACTCACATTTACTATAGCATGCATGCATTTCTTAGAAATATCACCAGATTTTTGGTGCGGCAATCATAACACAGAATTATGGAACATTGGAAGTAAAGGTATATTTACAATTTATCATTGCAATCTTTTGTTTTTAAAATAAAAGAACTAAGTGCAAAGTTCTAATACAGGCAACTTTCCACTGTCATACTTCAAGACCTTCTTCTCCCATTGACATGTGTACATATTGTGCTTTTCAAACATTTAATTCAGTGATACATAGTATATTCACAGAGCTGTGCCATTATCATCACCTGTTTTCAGAATATTTTCATGGTTTCAAAGAAGAAAGCCAACACCCTTTAGTAGTTGCACCCCTCTCCCCTCTCTCTCTAGTGCCTGGCAACCACTAATCTACTTTCTGTGTCTATGAAATTACTTGGCCTGAGTATTTTATGTAAATGGAATCATATAATATATGGCCTTTTGTGGCTAGGTTCTTTCACTTAGCATGTTTTCAAGTCTCATGTTTTAATCGATGCTGTAGCATGTACGAATACTTAATTCATCTTTATGGTTGAATAATACTCCATTGTATGAATATATATATATATATATACCACATTTTGTTTTTCCATTCTTTATTTGATAGACATTTGAGATGTTTTTGCTTTTTGGCTATTATGAATAATGTTGCTATGAATATTAATGTACAGGTTTTTGTGGGTACTTATGTTCAATTATCTTGGGGGAATATATCCAAGAGTGAATTGTTGAATCATATAGTAATACTATGTTTCACATTTTGAGGAACTGCCAAACTGTTCTTCAAAGTGTCTGCCCCATTTACAAGCCCACAAAATTGCTCCATTTTTAAGGGCCTCTGGTTTTCATACAGAAGCACTCAATCATGATATCATACAGCCTTTAGTAAAAGTAAATCAAACAATTGAGGATCATTTACTTATTCACCCCATTGACTACAAGCAAAGCCATTCTAGCACAGCCTTTGTAAATCTCAGCCTACTATGCTTTTATTTCTCTAACTTCCCCTATGTTTTTCAAATCCAAACTTTCACTGCCACTATTTCAATCTTTAGCATCATAACCTTGGTGCCACATTGATCTGCTTGGAGCCCTTCCTGTAGAGGTTTGCTTGTCCCTAAATCCCTGAGTTACATCAAAGTTGAAACATTCCTTCATGAATCACTGTGAGTGTTAAACATTGAAGCTCTGGCCCCCTGCCCTGTCCCACATGGCCTCTGTATTGCCAGCCATAAATATAGACATTAAAGTGATTTATAGATCTTGTTACCTTGTTTCAAATTCAAAGTGGAAAAAAAGGAAATTTAAGGAATCGATGAAAATTATCAATCTCTTTTCTTAAATGTAGTTTGTTCTATGTAGGTAATTACTTAGAGTAGCAATTGAAGAGAAAGAATTACCTAGCACTGCAAAAGATATCTCTACACCTCTATTTTAGGAGACTAGTAATTTGAACACTTTTCAATCTTTCTGATCTATTTTTTTTAACTGAAGTTCACAGCATCATATGAGATACAGAAGATGGAGCTAATAAACCTTTGGCCTGCTTTCTCACCCACATATACCCTATAATTCTTTTTTGGTTTTGAATGACTTGAAAAATAGGATCCTACCATATCCTGTTGGTAATAATTTTACAGTTTAGTGGTCCTAAATGTTACACTTATTCATGCCTGATATTCAGTTGGAGTAGATATTAATAATGCTCAATTTCCTTTTGTTTCCTTAATTTTTTTGTGCTAAAAATCACATACTTGCATGCTGTTTTATTCCTGCTTTTTAGTTAATATATGATCATGGTTTTATTTCTTTTTTTCTTCCTTTCTTACATATCTCACAATTTCCTCAGATGTCAGTTTTAAGACTTGAGAAGTGAAAAAAGAAGAGGGAAAAGATAAATACTGCTGAATTCCAGCTACATGGAAAGGTGTCTGACAGAGTGGTTCCCCAAGGAAGGCATTAACTAGCACAGAAGTAGACACAGCATGTGCATGAAGCCAGAGTGCTCCAGACTTGCCACAAGGTTTAGAAGTGAATTTCAAATTCCAAGAGTTGTTTTCTTTGAGGTGCTTCGAGGGATTTGATGAGAGAGAAAACTTTCGACTACAGGTTTGTAAAAAACCCGAGGAGATTTTTTAAAGTATTCATAATTGCACAAGTTGTACATATTTCATGTTTATTTTGCTCTTTTGGCTTTACTTTATTTGTCCCCATGTGTACACTATGGTGCTGCCCAGGAATTTATAAATTTTGATGGGAACCTGGAATTTTTAAAATTAAAAAAAAGTATGTAAATGTTAACCTTTAGGGCCCTTTTTCTTGCATTTAGGATTTACACATTGAAATCTCCTGCAGTGAAACTATATTAGATTCCACAATTCTCACAGGTCTGATTTCTGTGTTTCTCAGGTTGTCACTGAGTTGTTTCATTGCCAAAGCTGAAATAATGGAAAACAAAACAAAACAAAAATCAAAATTATCTGGTTAGGAAATTTTATTTGGAAATAACAAAGAATATTAAATTAAATTATGAGACTCTCAAGATTATGGTGGGTTATATGAGACTTAAGAGTTTTAGGAAACTGGTTTCTAGATGAGAGGAGCATACTTTAAAAATTGTGCTTTCCATATTTCTTTTGATAACATCATTTGAGATTAAATGTTTAATTTTATTCCTAATGCTTTATGATTAGTATATTCAACACTTGAAATTTTGAGATTTAATTATTTAATTCATAAGGATAGATATACAAAAATCTAATTATAAATTACCTATATACTATGTGTGTACATGTCATATTATATATGTCTATATATGCTGTGAAAATACATGTGATTAATTTAGCAAAAATCAGAATAAAAGGTGTTTTCTCTTATTTAATTACCATCTCTATTTTCAGAAAAAGTACATTTATTTCTGATGTAATTACATTCTTTATCCATTATAATGTATCTTGTGGCTCTCTTAGCCATCTGCATATTTCACCACATTTTAAAATGGTTGTTACAGAGTGAAAGAAAGGAAAGCATGCACGGGATAGTATGAATATGCTTATGTCCGAAGATGTTCTGAACCTAAGAATGTTTGGATTTTTAGTAAATGTATATGTGTTCTTCATTTTGAAATGAATAAGTATGTCCAACCTGAGTCTAGTAATAAGCTTTAAATCATATTGCTCTACCATCAAATATCATTTACTCCATCATCTTTTTTATGGGAATGAGATATAATTTTGACAATACAGGTGCTCCTGTGAATGAGTCTGCCCAAAGGTGATGAGAATCTTCCAACCAAGTTTGTCAAGAGAAATACTATTTCAATATTAGTATGAATCAATTAAAGTTCCTAATTTTTTTAACAAGGAAACAAATATACTTGCCAGATTCTTTGAAAGGACCAATTATTGTCTTCGGTACCATAACAAAGATTGGCTTCTAGGCATTTCTAGATAACAATCACAATGTTACTACATTCAAAAGGATATTTAAGGCATGTACTTCAGAATAATCACATTGCTAAAGGAAAAAAATCCATAGTTTTGCATTCTGTCTATATATCATAAGTGAGTGTTACTCATAAAGGATTTGAACTCCCTAAGCATATGTGTCCACTTCCACCATTAAAGTGGATTCAGGTGCTTGGCATGACTGTCTCCAGACAGGCTTTCTTCAAATAATTGATGGCTATGGTCTTACTGCCCCATTGAACTATATCTGGATACACTCATGTTGCTTTTACAAGAGTTTCATACAATTCCATGGTCTGCAGAACACGTGGGAAGTATCTCATAGTTTCTTTTATTAACACAAACTATTTTCACTTTCTCCAATGACAAATTACCCAAAATTAGGTTTTTTACACCTATTATGACTGAACATGATGAGAAATTCATGTGTAGACCACAGGTGTGTATTGCAAGCATTATGAACCCTTCGGTGGCAGGGGAAGTGATTGTTAACAATGCAAGGACCAAGCAGAAAGAGGGAGTCATTTATTTTGGTGGCAGACAGAAATCCTAGTTTTCAAAATATTAAAAAATATAAAGTATTTGTTGTTGATATTCAAAATAGCCATTTTAAGTTCTACCCACAAGTATATTTTTTAAATATGTTATGAAAGCGTGTTTGAAAACATCCGTTGTGTCACTATATTCAAAAAGAAAAAAAGCCTACTCTTTTATTATTATTTCAATATTCATTGAATGCCAAAAATGTGGCAAGCATTGCATGCAGCAGAAGCAATATCCAGTGAATGCACCATTTACAGGAAACAGAGAAAATCGATCTTTGTGAGAGGACAGGAATGTAATTCATGCACACGCTGATACCACATGTCCAACATGTATTTGACACATTCATTTGTAATTACTCTCACCTGGCATTGTTAATATTGTTGGTAATTTTCCATAGATGACAACTGCTCTCCTACAAAATCTACCAAAGGAACATAAAATGGTCTGACAGGTGAAAAGATGTTGACAAGGAACAAAAACATATTTAAAAATTAAATTTATACCAACATCAAACAAGAGCTTTGCAGTAAAAATTGTTGGGAAAGCAAAAAAAGATTCATAAAACTGAAAGGGTCTTAAGTTTCTAGTTTGGTTGTTCTGATCTGTTTACTCTTCTCTAGGAAAAAAAACACATGACTGGTTACTGCTAATAAGTTTTGTTATCCAGTACAGGGTAAAGCCAGTCTCTAAACTGTATGAGTTGTCGGCATTATCTTCCCACATACCAAGAACACTATGAATATTCTAAGTATCTAAAGTATAATAAAATAAAAATAGACTAATACTCCATGAAATAATCATAATAACTCAGCAACATTGCATTTGCTGAGTAACCATTTATCAGATCAATATCTTATTCTTTAATTATAGGTATGGGAATATAACACTGTCCATTGAGATGCATTCCTATGAGAAATACACGATATAGAATAAAATATATTTGTAGAAATTGTAACATATTTTACTTTAATTATAGTCTACCACAGTGTTAATCAAGATAGAACAGATTGCAGTAAGTAATTATTTAGATTTGTCAACACCAATATAAAAGGAAAACTAATTCTCATAATTTTCCTGTTTGTTTAATTTTATTTGAGCATAAGACAACATTTGATATTAAGTGTGCCTTACATTCAAGTGTGCATTAAAGAAAATACTGATTTTCTTCAACTTTATTGAAAACTTTTAAAACTATTAAGTTATTAAATTGATTCACAGACTTTCTCCAAACAATTGCAATTTATTAAATTCATCTCATGACTCAAAATCCTTCCTTTAGAAATTAGCATAGCAAAAATATTTAAAATCCAGCTCAATACTATGTTTTACAAAATATGCAAACACAAAGTATTGAATAGTTGACCCTGTAATAAACCTAATAATGAATTAGTAAGTTATATGGGTTTTTTCCATCGTCATTTCAAAATGGAAAATTTCAATGAAAATTGCAAGCTCTAAAATGAAATAATAATGTCTATCAAAATATAATGGGGTCATGGAACCTGAAATTTCTAACTTAAAAAAATTGTCAAGATACATTTTTTCAGACTAAAATAAGAAATTTCTGTCTTAGTTGTAATTTTCTCAAAATCACAAAAAAACAGACCAAAAAATAGAAATCAATGCCCCAAGAATGTCAAATCTGTTTCAAATTATTTTTTAGAATAAAATATATATGAATAAACAAACAAAACACCATATTCTGCAAAGGAGGTTACACAGATTTTCTTCAGAATATACATAACAAGAAAGCAGGAATAATTTCCTATATATGTTCCAAATAATAAGTAATACCAAATGCTCAATAAATATTCCTTTGATAACAAGCCAGCACAAGTACCAGCTGTTAAACATAAGAACTGACCATAAAGTATTTCAATTAATCATCTTGTAATAAGTTTTAAATAACTATCTGTTTTGTTGGGGTGGTTCTTTGTGAGAGATGCGTGATTAGGCATAAATGACCAAAGTAAAACATTCAGGACTGGAAAAATTTCTATTAAGGCAAAAAATTTTTCCCTCTTAAAGAGATGTAAATCAAACCCTCAGAATGTTTAAAAATCATACTGATGAAAAACCATAAGGCAAATTATTTAAAGGTAATTATATAATAATTCATGTTCTTCTGCCAATTGAACATTTATTAACATTGATTTACGTAATACTTATTAAAATACTTTAAAATGTTGTGCATAGAAATGAAAGCCACCAGAGATCAACAGCCCTTTATTACATACAAAGGAATTTTACTAATAGATTTTAGCCAACATAGTTTTCTATTCAAAATAATCTCAGAGAAATAAAAGATATACCAATGCAAACATTGTGATGTTGTAGTCTAAACTGGCTGGGGGTGTTTCTTCTTGCCTGTTGGTGAGCCTATGAGTAGACTTTCTCATAGATGACACAGCTGTCTGCAAGTGCCTACTGTTTTGTCTCAAAACTTGTAGGGACAGGTGCATCTTGTCATTCTCTGGTATACATTACAGGCCTGCCTTGTTTATCATTCCAAGATGAGCTCCGATGTGAGTAGCACTGACAGTGCAGCGTATAATCAAATGCCCTTTGAACTGAGGGACCAGAATTTATTGGTGTTAACACATTTTACAGTTTATAGGGTCATCAGCCCCTTAGCTTCTGAGACTTTTTTCAAGCTTAGCTTTGAATCTATAAATACAACTGATTTATATCACAAAATTTACCTGAAATATGATGCTTAGTGTTTCATTTCATAAATTCCTTACCTCATAAATGAAATATAATTTTAAAAGTTAATAAGATTATGTTTTTCCTTCCCTCATCCATCTCAGCAAGGAATAGTAGCATAATTCTTCAATAATGACTTTTCTGTATGGGAGAAAAAGATGTTTTAACATAAATATAGTTAATTTTTGAATAACTGCATTATAATTGTAAATGTGTCTTATAAGCCTGAATTAACTTAGAGTTATCTCTGAAAATTATATAGTAGATAAATAATAAGATATGCTATTTTCAAATACTGTAGAAATTTCATGTGTTCTTTTTTATTTTTAGTTATCACATTCTATAACTTTTTTATTAATATGAAGAAACAAATTTAAAATACTGTAAGCCATGTTTCTGCTTAACTGAAGTCTGAAGTTAGAGGCCTAAAACAAGAACAAAGCACAAATAAATGGGATCCAAATCTTAGAAGACATCAAAAAGGGAATGTTCAAGAGTCCTTTCTTGCATAACCTAGCTATTCGAGTTAGCTTTACAATCATTTCAATCTTTCAAAATAAAACTGCTGTTTATAATAAAAATTTTTGAATAAAAGAAAATACTGAGTATTTGCACTTTAATGTGGGATCTTGGATTTAAATTAGTAATTGATGAGAAGACAAATACTTTTAAGCAAAAAAAACTTGAAAGTATTTTTTAAATTATAAGAAGAAAAAACAGTAATTATACCTGAAGTTACCTGATAATGACTTCAGTTGGAGTTGAATTCAATGATATATATAATTTAATCATACCATAGTTCTCATTTGCTCAGACTGAAGTTAGTTACCTTAAACTCAATTAGAAACAAAACCATATTATTTCCAGTAACATGGAATTTGTTCATTGTAATGGCTGTTTAACTTTAAAGGTCTAATTAAAGAATTTCCTGATTTATGCAATTGAATTATTTTCTTACTTTTTAATATAGGATGAACTGAAAAGATATAAAATATCATGAAGTATGTGTACTTGACAAGTTTATTGCTTATACACAACAGAAACCAACTCTGGCTAACTGGAGCCAAACAGGACTTTCACTGGAAAGTTATTAAACAACTCAAGAATTTGGAGACATGTGGGCAAATAAAGCTAAGAGAATTGGAAGGAACCAAGGGAATCTAGGTCATCAAGAACCCAGACAAAATTCAAATGCAATCCCTGGAGCAGCCACAACAGTATCCTCCCCACTGAGCCCCTCAACTCTCAACCTCACTGCCTTCACTTCTATGGAACATTAGCAAAATAGCATCTACCGTAGCAACTAACCCTCCTCCTTCACATTAGTAGATTCAGGCTAAAAGTCTCAGAGAGAAGGCACCTCATATGGGTTTTGGGATATCAATTCCATATTGGAAGCAAAGTCTCAAAGTCTTATGTGTTGAATTGTGTCTCCACAACATCTGTTTGTTGCAGTCCTAATCCTGAGTACTTTAGAATGTGACCTTATTTGGAAATAGGGTAATTGCAGACATATTTATATATAATAATAGTTTAGATGAGGTCGTGCTTGAGTAAGGTGGGCTCTTAATTCAATATGACTCATGTCCTTATAAAAGGGGAAATTTGGAGACAGACAAGCACACAGGGAGAGTTCCATGTGAATATTAAGGCAGACATTGGGTGATTCAAAGTAACTACCTAACAAACTATGACAGAATCAAAGCCTCACATATCAATATTACCTTTGAATGTATATAGTCTAAATGCTGCACTTAAAATATCTAGATTGGCAAACTGGATAAAAAGAAAAAAAAAACAAAGAGAGACCCAATCATCTACTGCTACAAGAGACCCACCTAATCTGTAATGACACCCTCAAGCTCAATGTAAAGGGGTGAAGAAAGATACATCATGCAAATGGAAAACAACACAGAGCAGGGATTGCTATTCTTTTATCAGATAAAACAGATTTTAAACCAGTAACAGTGAATAAAAAGACAATTAAGGGCAGTGTATTGGTCCATTTTCACACTGCTAATAAAGACATACCTAAGACTGAGCAATTTATAAAAGAAAAAGGTTTAACTGGACTTACAGTTCTACGTGACTAGAGAAGCCGCACAATCATGGTGGAAAGCAAGGAGAAGCAAGTCACAGCTTATGTGGATGGCAGCAGGCAAAGACACCTTGTGCAGGGCAATTCCCATTTTTAAACCATCAGACTTGAGAAACCCATTCACTATCTTTTATTATTATTATTATTTATTTTTTTGAGGCAGAGTCTCACTCTGTCATCTAGGCTGGAGTGCAGTGGCACAATCTCAGCTCACTGCAACCTCTGCCTCCCAGGTTCAAGGAATTCTCCTGCCTCAGCCTCCTGAGTAGCCAGGATTACAGGACCACACCACCATTCCCAGCTATTTTTTTTTTTTGTATTTTTAGTGGAGACAAGGTTTCACTATGTTGGTCAGGCTGGTCTCGAACTCCTGACCTTGTGATCCACCCACATTGGCCTCCCAAAGTGCTGGGATTACAGGCATGAGCCACTACACCTGGCCTCAACCCATTCGCTATCATGAGAATAGCACAGGAAACACCTGCTCCCATAAATCAATCATCTCTCATCAGGTCCCTCCCACAACACATGGGAATTATGGGAGCTAAAAGATGAGATGTGGGTGAGGACACAGAACCAAACCATATCATTCTGCCCTGGCCCCTCCAGAATCTCATGTCTTCCCATTTCAAAACCAATCATGCATTCCTAACAGTCCCCCAGAGTCTCATTTCAGCATTAACCCAAAAGTCCAAGTCCAAAGTCTCATCTGAGACAAAGCAAGTTCCTTCCGCCTATGAGCTGGTAAAATCAAAAGCAAGTTAGTTACTTCCTACATACAATGGGGGTACAGGTATTGGGTAAATACAGCCATTCCAAATGGGAGAAATTGGCCAAAACAAAGGAGCTACAGGCCCCACGCAAGTCCAAAATCCAGCAGGGCAATCAAATCTTGAAGCTCCAAAATGATCTCCTTTGACTCCATGTCTCACATCCAAGTCATACTAAAGTAAGAGGTGGGTTTGCATGGTTTTGGGCAGCTCCACCCCTGTGGCTTTGCAGGGCATAGCCCCCCTTCTGACTGCTTTCATGGGCTGGTGTTGAGTGTCTGTGGCTTTTCCAGATGCACAGTGCAAGCTGAATATGGGTCTATCTTCTGGGGTCTGGAGGACTGTGGCCCTCTTCTCACAGCTCCACTAGGTGGTGCCCAGTAGGGAGTCTGTGTGGGGGCTCTGACCCCAGATTTCCCTTCTGCACTGCCCTAACAGAGGTCCTCCATAAGGGCCCTGCTTCTGCAGCAAACTTTTTTCTGGGCATCCAGGCATTTCCATACATCTTCTGAAATCTAGCCAGAGGTGCCCAAACCTCAATCCTTGACTTCTGTGCACCCACAGGCTCAATACCAGGTGGAAGCTGCCAAGGCTTGGGGCTTACACCCTCTGAAGCAACAACCCAACCTGTACCTTGGCCCCTTTTATTCACAGCTGGAGCAACTGGAATGCAGGCCATCAAGTCTCTAGGTTGCAGACAGCAGAGGGACCCTGGGCCTGGCCCACAAAGCTATTTTTTCCTCCAATACCTCCAGGCCTGTGATGGGAGGGGCTGCTGTGAAGGCCTCTGACACACCCTGGAGACATTTTCCCCATTGCCTTGGTGATTAACATTTGGTTCCTCTTTACTTATGCAAATTTCTGTAGCTGGCTTGAATTTCTCCTCAGAAAATGGGATTTTCTTTTCTATGAAATGGTCAGACTGCAAATTTTCTGAACTTTTATGCTCTGTTTCCCTTTTAAAACTGAATGCCTTTAGTAGCACCAAAGTCACCTCTTGAATTCTTTGTTGCTTAGAAATTTCTTCTGGCAGATACCCTAAATCATCTCTCTCTAGTTCAAAGTTCCACAAATCTCTAGGGCAGGGGCAAAATACCACCAGTCCCTTTGCTAAAACATAACAAGAGTCACCTTTGCTCCAGTTCCCAACAAGTTCCTCATCTCCATCTGAAACCACCTCAGCCTAGATTTCATTGTCCATATCATTATCAGCATTTTGGTCAAAGCCATTCAACAAGTTTCTAGGGAGTTCCAAACCTTCCCACATTTTTCTTTCTTCTTCTGAGACCTCCAAACTGTTCCAACCTCTGCTTATTACCCAGTTCCAAAGTCACTTCCACATTTTCATGTATCTTTTCAGTAGCACTGCACTTCTGGTACCAATTTACTGTATCAGTCTGTTTTCATGCTGCTGATAAAGTCATACCTGAGACTGGGCATTTAACACAAGAAAGAAGTTTAATTGGACTTACAGTTCCATGTGGGTGGGGAAGCCTCACATTCTTGGTGGAAGGCAAGGAGAAGTAAGTCACATCTTACATGGATGGTGGCAGGCAAAGAGAGCTTGTGCAGGGCAACTCCTGTTTTTAAAACCATCAGATATCATGAGACCCCTTCACTATCATGAGAACAGCATGGGAAATACCCACCCCTATAATTCAATCATCTCCCACCAGGTCCTTCCCACAACACACAGGAATTATGGGGACTATAAAATTAGATGTGGGTGGGGACACAGAGCCAAACCATATCAGGTAGTATATAAGGATAGACAGTTCAATTCAACAAGAATATTTATCTATATTAAATATATATGCACCCATCACTGAAACACCTACATTTATAACAAAAAGTATGACTAGACTTAAGAAAAGAGATAGACAGCCATATAATAGCCCCTAGTAATAGTTGGGGACTTCAACTCTCCAATGATAGCACTATACAGATCATTGATGCAGAAATAATGAAACAAAAGCCAAATGACCATATACAACATATACCGTGATCATACTCTTAAGATAAAAAAGAAACTCTGGACTTAAACTGAACTCTTGAACAAATTGACCTAATAGATATCTACAGAACATTCTAACCAACTGAAGAATATACATTTTTCTCATCTGTGCAAAAAGCACTCTCTAAAATTGACCATATCCTTGGTCATAAAGAAAGTTTCAATAAACTCAAAAAAATCAAAATCATATCAAGTATCTTTTTGAACCAAAGTGTAATAAAATTAGAAATCAAAACAAACAGGAATTCTCAAAACCACACAAGTACATGGAAACTAAACAACTTGCCCCTGAGAAACTTTGGGGTAAACAAAGAAATTTAGGCAGAAATAAAAAAAAATTGAAATCAATGAAAATAGAGACATAACATACCAAAATCTCCAAAGCAGTGTAAAGAGAAAAATTTGTAGTGCTAAATTAGTACATCAAAAAATAAAAAGATCTCAAATTAACCAGCTAATATTGCACTTCAAGGAACTACAAAAACAAGAAAAATCCAACTAAAAGCTAGCAGAAGAAAAGAATTTTAAAAGATCAGAACAGAACTAAACAAAATTAAGAGCAAATAAATTATACAAATGATCAACAAAACAAAATGTTGGTTCTTAATTAAAAACAACAACAAAAAAGACCAGAAGATTCAACTAAACACAATCAGAAATGATAAGGTGATACAACCGATACCACAAAAATACAAAAGATCATCTTAGTCTCTAGACGACTATAGAGTAGTCATAGACTACTATGAACACCTCTATGTGCATAAACTAGAAAACCTATAGGAAATGGATACATTACTGAAAACATACAACCTCCCAAGATTAAACCAGAAAAAAATTGAAATTGAATGAGTAACAAAAAATAATCTACCAACCATAAAAAGCCCAGGACCAGATGCATTCATACCCATAGTCTACCACACAAAAAGAAAATCTGGTACCAAACTACTAAAATTATTCAGAAAATCCAGGAAGAGTTATTCCTCCTTATCACATTCTATGAAATCAGTATCATCCTCATACCAAAATCTGGCCAGGACACAGCAACCAAAAAGGAAAACTACAGGCAAAATCACCTGATGAACATAGACACAAAAATCCTTAACAAACTACTAGCAAACCAAATTCTGCAGCACATCAAAAAGAATTCATCACAATCAAGTTAGTTTTATTCCAGGGATGTAAGGATGGTTCAATATATATGAATCTATAAATGTGAAACAGAATTACAAACAAAAACTATATTATCATCTCAACAGTTGCAGAAAAAGCATTCCATAAAATTCAAGATCCCTTCATGATAAAACCTCTCAACAAATGAGGCATCAAACATACCTCAAAATATAAAGATACATATAATTCTAATTCTGTGAAAAGTCATTTGGTAATTTGATAAGAGTTACATTGAATCTGTAGATTACTGTGGGCAGTATAGTTCCTAAGCCCACAGCCAGCACTATGTTTAATGGGGAAAATTAAGAGCATTTTCCCCTAAGAACTCGAACAAGATGAGAATGTTTACTCTCACCACTCTTATTCAACATAGTACTGGAAGTCCTGGCCACAGCAATCAGGCCAAAGAAGGAAAGGTGTCCAAATTGGACAAGAGGTAGTCAAAGTACCTCTGTTCACTGATGACATGATCTTATACCTAGAAAACTCTAAAGATTTCTCCAAAAAAATTCCTAGACCTGATAAATGACCTCAGTAAAGTTTCAGGATACAAAATTAATGCTCAAAAATCAGTTGCATTTCAATACACCAACATTCAAGCTGAGAACCAAATCAGAAGCTCAATCCAATTTACAATAGCCACACACAAAAATAAAATACCTACAAATACATTCAACTAAGGATGTGAAAGATCTCTACAAGAAAAACTAAAAAACACTGATGAAATAAATTGTAGATGACACAAACAAATGAAAAAATATTCCATGCTCATGGATAGGAAGAATCAATATCATTAAAATGACTACACTGCCCATAGTAATCTACAGACTGAATGCTGTTTCTATCAAATTACCAAAATCACTTTTCACAGAATTAGAATAAATAATTCAAAAATTCATGTGGAGCCAAAAAAGACCCTGAATAACCCAAACAAAGCTAGAGTCATCACATTATCTGACTTCAAACTATACTACAAGGCTACTGTAACCAAAACAGCATAGTACTGATATAAAAATAAACACATAGATCACTGGAACAGAATAGGAACCCAGAAGCAAAGCCATTTACCTACAACCAACTGATCTTCAACAAAATTGACACAAATAAACAATGTGAAAAGAACACCCTATTCAAAAAATAGTGCTGAGAAAACTCGCTACTCACATGCAGAAGAATGAAACTGGACATCTGTCCCACTCTATATATAAATATTAACTCAAGATAGATTAAAGACTTAATTGTAAGACCTGAAATTATAAAAATCCTAAAAGAAGACCTAGGAAAAACTCTTCTGAACAGTGGCCTAGGGTAATAATTTATTACCAAGACCTCATAAGCAAATGCAACAAAAACAAAAGTAGACAAAATGGACTTAAGAAAACAAAATCAACATTCTACACAGACAACTTACAGAATGAGAAAAAAATTTTTGCACACTATGCATCTGAGAAAGGACTGATATCCAAAATCTCCAAGGAACTCAACAAACCAACAAAAAAAAATAACCCTATTAAAATGTGGGCAAAGAACATGGACAGACCCTTCTCAAAAGAAGACATACAAGTGGCCAACAAACATATGAAAACAATGCTCAACATTACTAATCATCAGTGAAATGCAAATTAAAATCATAATGGGAGACCAACTTATGCCAGTCAGAATGGCTATTATTAAAAAGTGAAAAGAAAAAAAAAGCAGATGTTGGGGAAGATGCAGAGAAAAGGAAATGTTTATACACTGTTGGTGGGAATGTAAATTAGTTCAATCCCTATGGAAAACAGTAAAGAGTTCTTACAGAACTAAAATTAGAACTGCCATTTGGTCCAGCAATCCTGCTACTAGGTATCCACCCAAAGGAAATGACATCATGTCATCAAGACACCTGCACTCACATGTTTATCACAATACTATTGTGATACTATTCCATTACTTACAATGGCAAAGTCATGGAATCAACCTAAGTGTCCACCAATGATTGAATAGCTTAAGAATATATGGTATATACACCATGGAATACTACGCAGCCATAAAAATAATGAAATAATGTCCTTCACAACAATGTGGATGGAGCTGGAGGCCACTATCCTAAGGGAAATAATTCAGAAACAGAAAATCAAATAACTCATATTCTCATTTACAAGTGGGAGCTAAACAATAGGTACACATGGACATAAATATGGAAATAATAGACACTCGGGACTCAAATGGGAGGAATCTGGGGAGGGAGTGAGCATTGAAAAACTACCTATTGACCACAATGTTCACTATGTGGGTGATGGGTTCACTAGAAGTATAAACCTTAGCATTATGCAGTATACCCAAATAACAAACCAGCACATGCACCCAGAATCTAAAATTAAATGAAGTGTCCACAAAAAAGAAAAGAAAAAAGTTATAATTATCTGATAAATTCTTTAATATAAATAATAAGCCTGTCAGTTTAAATCTGCAAGTAGATTTTTCTTGTCCATATTATTTACTTGTGATATGTACCCTAGTATTGTTCAACTACTTACTGTAGAATTAAAACTTTCTATTGTTGCAGACTAGACCTGTTCTTATTATTTCTTTCATTTTTTGGAAGAACTTGGTAATATTTGAGATTTAAAGTCAAGTTATTTATCACCCCAAAATATAAGACTATGTAAATTATGATAAATATCTGGAAAGAATACATTAAACTCACTCTTCTTCATTTCTCAGCCTTTTCTTAAACAAAAGCAATCTAGCTTTCAACTCACCTTGCCTGCTACAATGGCTCTGTTGAATCACAATAGCCTTTCTAGTAACTAAAGGCTAAATACTAAATTTGTATTATTTTTATATATTTCTAATTCTCTGCAGCTTCTGCTGCATTAATCAGTTGAAGCAAGTTTTCTGACACTGAATTAACTTTTTCATTTGCCTTTTGTGGTGTTTTGCTGTAGTCACAAAACTTCTTCTTCTATAAACACTTTAATATAAGCCCATGTCTTTTCTCACATTTTCTGCTGAAGTGATTTCATCTACTTTCATAACTTAAACTTTATCTTTCTTTCCTCCAAATCTCTCACTCTACCAACTTCTCTGAATTCCAGATCCTCATTGCTATTTCCTTTCTATTCAGTTTAGCAGTCACATTCAACATTTTTCATTTTATATTTATCATCTCACTTTATCTTTTTCTTCCCTTTTTTTCCCTCCCATAATGCACCTTGCTTAGAGGTACTTTCAGCCTCTTTGTCACTTAGGAACTAAGCATAAATGATTTTTGGCTTTCCCAACCCTCTTTCACATACAAGTTCAAATGGTAGCTACAACAGATACCAATGATTTCTTCTTTCGTTATTCTGGCAAGAGGATTGACTGTTTCTGAGGAAAGTTCCTGTTTGCCTGTCATCTTTTACTCTTCAGCTTTAATAGATAGGTCAGGCAAGCACTGACTCTCTGTCCAGAGTGATACATTGACGGTGACCAACCTCACATACCAAGACAATGGGATTCCTTCCCACAAGTTTTCAAAACGAAAGTACAGGAAGAAGGTTTTTTTCCTTTTTGATTGTGAAGCTGTGAAAATGTGAGACCAGAACATTCAGCAAACATGTTCCACTGCCCTATTCTCCCGCATCTTACTGTCTACTGTAGGAAGACATAGAGCTCTTACATGAAGGGAGGAAGAGAAGGGAGGTGGCAGGAATTGAACACACTAGTGTCCCCAGGTCTAGTCGTCTTTGAGGTCAGATGTGCTTTCACATCCAAGGTTCAGTTATCTGACCTAGCATTTCCCTGTTTTTACTTAGCTGGAATGTCACTACTAGATGGGCTTTCCTATACATAATTTGATTATGTTACTCTCTGCTTGAAAGCTTCCCGTGTTCCTCCATTACCTACGGAGACATCTTAGTGTGACAACTTAGCAAGACACTCTGAGCCCTACACAATCTGGGCCTAAAATTTCCCCTCTCGTTTCCTATAATAATTGTGTTAATTAGCCCCATCAGTAGTCATCCAAGAGCTTAAGAAATCGAAGCTTATTCTGTGTTTTCTTGTAAATGACTGTGGAAAGCAGAAGCAGCTGACATCTGGGGCTCTAGCTTAAATTTGGTCTCACTAGTGATATCCTGGAAACTTTGTCCATCCACCTAGAATCATGGAATTCCTTGGACTTGCTGGGTATATCCAAGCCTGGTTGTGTAATGAAATCTACATTACTATGCACAACTGTCCCAAAATTGACAGGGAAAAAAATTGATTGCTTCTTTCACAGCTCAGCCTTTTGAGGGTGTCTTCAATAACCTTACAATAACCAGGTGTCCTCTACCCCAGGGGAGAAAATTGACCTATTCAAAATTTTTTATTTGAATCAAAATTAAAGCTTTTCATTGTAAATTTTATTGCTCTTATACCACAAATACTCTGCAGTGAAATAACCATCTTGACCCAGTGGATTGAAGCAACTCTTTGATTTCAATACTTTTTGCCTTTTGGAAAACTTTTACATAGTCTTAGGAAGAGTTGCCAAGTACACTGACAACAATTTTACCACCTCTTGTCTGAAGAAAATGTCTTGTCTATTAGAAAGAGCTATGTCAATTTTAACAACTTGTGAAGAGACAGGTTAATTTTTAAAACCAAATCATTTTTTTTTAAAAAGGTGTTCCCTCCTTTCTGGTTGCCTGACCAAAAGAAATAATTATTCAGAGTTAATGATTTAGGCAGAGGATCTCTGAGTCCTCTAGGTTTTTCTTCCATATGGTAGCAATTGTATTTTAATAATTAAACTGATGGGGTGTTCATAGTTCAAGACTAGGAATCAGAAATAACTGGGTCTACCTTGGCTTGAAATTGTCTATAAGACCTCGGGCAAGTCACTTTGCCAGTGTGCCTCAGCTTAATTATCACCAAAAGTGTGATTTGAGAATCATCACAGTGAGTTCTGAAGTGTCATATAGTTTGATGCTGTTTGTCTTTCTGCTGCCTTTGCATCTCATGTTCCAGAAATTTAGCCCCAGGCTCACAAAAGCACAAGTACTGCCAGAAGTAAACGTTTAGCAAAAGGTTTAGTAGTTTCAGAAGTGAGCTCTGGCAGCTTTTTATTAGAAATGCTTAAACCCTGTCTGTCAGCAAGACTGTGATATTTGAAATGACTTGTTGGGTAACTTAGATTCACCCCTAGACATCTGACCAAAAACTGAATCTCTAATACTTTAACAAAATCAATAGGTGAAAAGATCTCTATTATTAGTATTACTATTTATGTAGTTTAACTCAACAGTCTTAATGTTGCAGTGATTAACAAGGACATTTTCTCTAATCTATTAAGAATTTTCTGGAAGGATTTGACTCTTACTCCTCTTAGAGAGTTTTTTTTTTTTTCTTAAAGGAAGTGATATCGCCAATCATCTCTCCTTCTGCATGCTGGTCATACATAGCACTGAACATTCAAAAAGTTCCTCAGTTCCCTTTTTTATACAACACGAGTTGTTTACAGGTCAGAAGAATATAATTAACACTAGTACTGAGTAGAGGTCTGGCTTTCTCTCACTTACATTTCTTTCTTATTGAACTAGTCACCTTTTTTGGATTCTGCAGTGACACTCTTCATGACTTTCTGCTTCTAAGAGTCCTTTGATGGCTCCTCTACGGCCTGATATTGGAATTTTTGCTTTTTGTTCAGACCCACCTCTGTCAGGTCCTTATTTCTTGTATATCAAATTAGACAATTCATAAACTTCTCAATCTTAACATGGCCAAAACAGAACTCTCCTGTTCCATTCTCTACCTCCAACACAGTTGCTCTTCCTGACTTCTCTGCCTCAGTAAATGGTCTCACTGTCCATTCTGTAGCTCAAGCCAATCTCCCATTCCTATATCTCTCTCAGCAGCAACTATTGGCTGTTACCTCCAAGAGTATCTTGAATCCATTGGCTCTTCTGCGTCTCCCTATCACACTTTTCTGTCCAATCCTTCATTTATGCCTGATCTCCTGCTTCCTTCCTTGCTCATCCCCCATGGAGTCAGAGTGATCTCTTTGAAACAAAAATTAAATATATTACTCCTCTGATTAAAACATTCCATTTCTTTTCATTGTACCTAAAATAAAACCTGTCTTCTTGCCATAATCTACCAGGTCCCGCATAACTGGCCCCTACACAACTCTCTAACTTCATCTGGTCCCATCCTGCCCCTTGGTCATTATTCTCCAAGTACACTAGCCTGTGGCCATCACTAGAACATTACAGTCTTTCTCAATTTGAAGGCTCAGTCTGTGCTATATCTAAGATATGAAAAACTTACCCTGTCACCAGGACAATTATCATGGCTGGTTTCTTCAGGTATCAGCTTAAAAGTCAACTTCTCAGAGATGCTCACTATAAAGTAAATTCTTTCCACTTTATATCTAACATAGCAATTTTGTCTCATAAAATACTTTTTACAACCTTCAGTTATTGTGTTCATTTATTTGCTTGCTAGCTTATTGTTTATCTCCACCTTAGAACATAGCTCTGTGAAAGGAATGCCCATTCCTTCTTCAAACATTTCTTTTCCAACTCTATCATTGCCTGAATATAGTTGATACTCAATAAATATTGATTGATTGATGTTTTTAATGAATAGCTGAATAAACCCTAGTCCTGATTCTTGACTTTTTGTTTAGTTACTACCCGTAAACTCATTAAAAGTATATTATATGGTTTGTGTCTTCCATTTTAGCAATACTTAGTATAAAATAGCCTTTCCTTTTTCCCAAGCAATATTTGTTTTGGTTGAGCACCTTATATGTATGGTTTTACAATTGTGCATCTTAAATTTGATGAACTTTGGTAGATTAAATAGTCACAAGCTTTTTCTATCAATCACACATTTATTTCAATAATACATTTGAACCCTTATCAGTGGAGTCTGCTTTGTTTTCTATTTTTACTCTCTTACCAGAAAATGAGATTGAGAACAAGGGATAGGCTTGTTCTTATTGGCCACCTGACTTTACAGACGTCATGAAGGGATATTAATTTGGGTATAAGTGGTTTGTAATATATATTCTTAATTCTCAATTCTGATACTAAGGTTTTCTATCACCTTTTAAATCTCTATTTCCTCCCCAACACACATAAAATAGTTGGTTTTTTTTTTGTTTTTTTTTGTTTTTTTTGTTTTTTTTTTGAGATGGAGTCTCACTGTGTCACCCAGGATGGAGTGCAGTGGCACGATCTCAGCTCACTGCAGCCTCCACCTCCTGGGTTCAAGCGATTTTCCTGCCCCAGCCTCCCAAGTAGTTCAGATTACAGTCTTGTGCCACCATCTCAGGCTAATTTTTGTATTTTTAGTAGAAACAGGGTTTCAACATGTTGGCCAGGCTCGTCTCAAACTCCTGCCTTCAAGTGATCCGCCCACCTTGGCCTCCAAAAGTGCTGGGATTACAGGTGTGAGCCACCGCACCCAACCATGAAATAATTTTTAATAAAACATTGAACTTTTCATACATGTTTTTATAGGCACAAGGACATAATAATTAATATCTTAATGCACAAATTTGAGCAACAGATTATGATTTATTCATCCCATGCGCTTTGAATACCTACTCTATGTGGACGTTGCATGAGGTATTGGGTTTATGTAGATAAATACTAAATAATCCTGGCCTTGAAGGATGTTGTATTCCAGGAATGCAATTCAACATAACAAATATATTATAGGGATATACAAATTATCACAAAACAGAGGTGACAGGTAAAAGAAAGGTGAATCGAATTCCTATCATATTGTAGGCATTGTTTGAACATTTTCACCTAAAATCTCTTTTAATTTTGACAACCATCCTGGGAGTAATAGAAATTGAGATCATAGAAATCTTGGACCTTGATGAAGATCACATAGCTAGATAATGGTGGGGTGAGTATTCCAAGCCAAATTTGTCTGACTTCAGATCCCTTGTTCTCTCCACTATAGCAAGTTGTTTAATTCTCCCTGGGAGACCAAGAAGGTGCAAACTGAAGAGTCAGAAAAAGACTTGAGATGACATGATATTTGGAATAAGAAGATAAACATCACATACAAGGGTCTTTTCACTAGAATTGTCTTTTGGGGAAAAGAAATCTACTCATAGTTAGAAAGCCTCCAGAACAATGGTGAATATGATATGCCCAATGAATAACAAGCATTTTGGATCAGTTGGAGGTTGGGGTGAGAAGAGAGATTGGCAAGATCTGATGATATGCAGGTTGACTAGGAACAACTCACAAATGGTCTTCAGTGCCAAGCCAAAGAATGATTTTATTACAAAATAAAAAAAAAATTGATGGCTTTGAGTGGTGGGATAATTACTGAGATATACATTTCTGCAGGGATCCTTCTGGTGGCAGTGGAGAGAGGACTAGGATTCAGGGAAAGAAAGTCTAAACTAATTTGCGGTGTTCCAAACAAGAAATGATGATAACTTAAATCAAATAGTGACAACAAAAATTAACAGAAAATAATGGGTTCCAAATATTTTAAGGATATAAACATCACAGGCTTTGGATTTAGACACATAAAGTGAGGTGGATTTAAAAGTTACAGAGTGGAGACTCCAGGTGGTGTAAGATGGCAGAATAAAAGGCTCTACTAATCATCAGGAACACCAGTTTAACAACTATCTACACACACACACAGACATGCACACACACACACACACACACACACATCTTCATATATACCAAAAATGAGGAGAGCACTTACAGGACCTAGTTTTAACTTCATATCACTGAAAGAGGCACTGAAGATATAGGAAAAATAGTCTTGAATCACTGACATCACCCCTCTCCCAACCCCCGGTAGCAGTGGCATGGTGTGGAGAGCATTTCTGGGAGATAGGGAGAGGGAGAACTCAGCAAATTGTAGGCATTGGACTCAGTGCTACCCTTGTTACATCAGAAAACAAAACTGGACCAAACTCAGCTGATGCTCACCCACAGAAGGGACTTGCCTTGTCTCAGATGAGACCTTACACTTCGTTTTTTGGGTTAATGTTGGAATGAGTTGAAATTTTGGGAGACTGTTGGAAAGGCATGATTATGTTTTGAAATGCAAGAACATGCAATTTGGGAGGGCCCAGGGGTGAGATGATGTGGTTTGGCTGTGTCCCCACCAAATCTCATCCTGAATTGTCATTCCCATAATCCCCATGTGTCATGGGAGGGACCCATTGGGAGGTAATTGAATCATGGGGGTGATTTCCCCCATGCTATTCTCGTAATAGTGAGTAAGTTCTAATGAGATCTGATGATTTTATAAGGGGCTTCCCCTTCACTCGGATCTCATTCTTCTTCCTACTATCATGTGAAGAATGACATGTTTGCTTCCCCTTCCACCACGATTGTAAGTTTTCTCAGGCTTCTCCAGCCCTGCAGAACTGTGAGTCAATAAAACTTCTTTCCTTTATAAATTACCCAGTCTCGGGTATGTCTTTATAGCAGTGTGAGAACAGACTAATACAAAAGTAATCCCATTTACAATAGTCACAAATAAAACTAAATATCTAGGAATTAACATAACCAAAAAAAGTGAAAGATCTCTATAATGAAAACTATAAGACACTGATGAAATAAATAGAAGAGGGCAAACAAAAAAGGCAAAGATATTCCATGTTCATGGATTGGAAGGATCAATATTGTTAAGATGTCCATACTACCCAAAACAATCTACAAATTCAATGTAATTTCTATCAAAATACCAGTGGCTTTCTTCAGAGAAATAGAAAAAACAAACCTGAAATTTATATTGAACCACAAAAGACCTAGAATACGAAAGCCATCCTCAGCAAAGAGAATAAAACTGGAGCAATCACAGTACCTGACTTCAAATTATACTACAGAGCTACAGTAACCAAAACAACATGATACTGGCAAAACAACAACAATAAAAAAATAAAATAAAAAACACACCTAGAGCAATGGAACAGAATAGAGAACCCAGAAGCAAATCCACACAACCACACACTTACAGGAAACTTATTTTTGACAAAGGTGCCAAGGACATACATTGAGGAGAAATAGTCTCTTCAATAAATGGTGCTGGGAAAACTGAATATCCATATGCAGAAGAATGAAACTAGATGCCTATTTCTTGCTATATAAAAAAACAATTAAAAATGGGTTAAAAACTTAAATATAAGACCTCGAACTATGAAATACTACAAGAAAACTTAGGGGAAACTCTCCAAGTCATCAGTCTGGGAAAAGATTTCTTGAGTAATACCCAACAAGCACAAGCAATCTAGTTAAAAATGGACAAAAGGGATCACATCAAGTTAAAAAAGATTCTGCACAGCAAAGGAAACAATCAACAAAGTGAAGAGATAACCCACAGAATGGGAGGAAATATTTGCAAACTACCCATCTGATGAGGGATTAATAACCAGAATATATAAGGGGCTCAAACAACTCTATAGGAAAAATTCTAATAATCTGATCAAAAAATGGGCAAAAGATTTGAATATACAGTCTTCAAAAGAAGACACACAAATGGCAGACAGACATATGAAAAGGTGCTCAACAACATTGATTATCAGAGAAGTGCAAATCCAAACTACAATATCATCTCAACCCAGTTAAAATGGCTTATATCCAAATGGCAGACAATAACAAATGCTGGCGAGGATGTGCAGAAAAGGGAATCTGCATACCCTTTTAGTGGGAATGTAAATTAATACAACCACTACGGAAAACAGTTTGGAGATTCCTCAAAAGACTAAAAATAATGCTGCCGTACAATCCAGCAATCCCACTGCTGGGGATATACCCAAAAGAAAGAAGATTAATACATTGAATAAATATCTGCACTCCCATGCTTGTTGCACCTCTGTTGGCAATAGCCAAGATTTGGAAGCAACCTCAGTGTCCATCAACAGATCAATCAATAAAGAAAATTGGATACCGGCCGGGCGCGGTGGCTCACGCCTGTAATCCCAGCACTTTGGGAGGCCGAGGCGGGTGGATCATGAGGTCAGGAGATCGAGACCATCCTGGCTAACAAGGTGAAACCCCGTCTCTACTAAAAATACAAAAAATTAGCCGGGCGCGGTGGCGGGCGCCTGTAGTCCCAGCTACTCGGGAGGCTGAGGCAGGAGAATGGCGTGAACCCGGGAAGCGGAGCTTGCAGTGAGCCGAGATTGCGCCACTGCAGTCCGCAGTCCGACCTGGGTGACAGAGCGAGACTCCGTCTCAAAAAAAAAAAAAAAAAAAAAAAGAAAATTGGATACCGACACACAATGGAGTACTATTCAGCCATAAAAAAATGAGATTCAGTCATTTGCAACAACATGGATGAAACTGGACATCATTATGCTAAGTGAAATAAGCCAGGCACAGAAAAGCAAACATTGAATGTTCTCACTTATTTGTGGAATCTAAAAATCAAAACAGTTGAACCCATGGAGATAGAGAGTAGAAGGATGGTTACCAGAGCCTGGAGAGGGTAGTGGTGGGGATGTGGGGATGATTAATGGGCACAAAAAATATAATATATATTAAAAAAATGAATGAATAAGGCCTAGTATTTGATAGCACTACAGGGTAACCATAGTCAATAATGATTTTATTGTACATTTTAAAACAACTAAAAAAGTATAATTGGGTTGTTTGTAACAAAACAGATAAATGCTTGAGGAGATGGATACCCCATTTTTCCATGATGTGATTATTATATGTTGCATGGCTGTATCAAACATCTAATAAATATATATACCTACTATGTACCCACAAAAACTAAAAATCATAACTAAAATACATAAATGTTACAGAATGCCTCATCTCTTTTTTGTTTATTTCATTTTTGCTTTTGTTTTTCATATTTACTTCATAAATTTTGGTCTATGCTTTTCAATCAGTGATCTGAAGGGAAGATTTACGTATGAAACTGGTCAAAAATCCAAACTTATTTGTTGTTATTTTAGTATAAAAGGAAAATTCTAAATAACTGTAGCCAGATTACAGGCACATTCGATTTTAGCTCCAAGTCAAAGTGAACCAGAATATGTATCATGGTATGTCCAGAAAGGGATACCTTGTAAGTTGCCTTTTGTGCCCTGTTGCAATCAAGTTCTGTATACGGGTACTATGAGCACACTATAAAAATGTGTCACACATGCACAAAAGTATGTAAAGAACCATAAGATCTACTTCTTATGGAAGAATACTATAATATTCCAACTCACTTCTTGCTTCACTCCTCCTTTAAAACCCAACTCCTTTGTTTCCATCTGGAGTATTTTATGAGGCAATTTCATAGCCTATACAGAAATTCATATCAGGTTTCCTGAATTCATAGGAAGTTTGGAGAACATTCCCAAGGAGTAAAGGCAACAAATCAAGTTCACAAATGGATTGAAGTTGATAGAAAATAAATAGAAAGTCCTACACCATTTGTAGGATAGGATAGTGACACATATTGAGATGAGCAGCTAAGCTGTGAATAGAAGCTCACTTATTTCTAAATAGATGGTTTGGATTTATGCTTTGTTTTCTATTGATCAAGTGTTGTGATAGTTGTGAAAACCACTTAAGTCCCAAGGCATTTTCAAAATGTAATCTGAGTAGGAAAGTTCAACTTAAATATAACCATTATTAGCCTGAGGATACAACCATTAGGCAGAATGGCATCACATCAGTAATATTCACTTGATGAGCACCAATGGATTAATTCTATAGATACAGCATTTTGCTCTCATCTCAATAGTATTTGTATGAAATTTCCAAGCTCCAACCCCTTACAAGGTCACCATTAAGCTGAGGAACTTCAGTCTTCCAAAATATCTTCTGCAATCACACACCACAGAATGTTTTGACTGCATGGTACAGAGACTATCTTTGTAAATCACCAATGCCAATGTAGATTGCTGATATTTTCTTTTTTTTTAATTAATTAATTAATTTATTTATTTATTATACTTTAAGTTTTAGGGTACATGTGCA
Organism: Homo sapiens; assembly: GCF_000001405.40. Taxonomy (NCBI): domain Eukaryota; kingdom Metazoa; phylum Chordata; class Mammalia; order Primates; family Hominidae; genus Homo; species Homo sapiens. Next base: position 120,588,162 of record NC_000004.12, read on the forward strand.
CCTTGTGCAGGTTAGTTACATATGTACACATGTGCCATGCTGGTGCGCTGCACCCACTAACTCGTCATCTAGCATTAGGTATATCTCCCAATGCTATCCCTCCCCCTCCCCCCACCCCACCACAGTCCCCAGAGTATGATATTCCCTTTCCTGTGTCCATGTGATCTCAATGTTCAATTCCCACCTATGAGTGAGAATATGCGGTGTTTGGTTTTTTGTTCTTGCGATAGTTTACTGAGAATGATGATTTCCAATTTCATCTGTTCTAACATTATAGGTTTGCCTTTGAACGACTATGAAAACACAGTTGAACGCTTAGCACATGATCTAGTCAAAATGTCTCTTACTTTTCTTCTTCATTTTTTTCCTAACTGGAAAGAGCTTCATCTACTTCAAAATGAATCCTAAGATATGTTCTTGAGTAAAATAATCCAGCATATTTTATTTTCTTCCCACATTTATGTTAATACATATCTTTTAAAAGACAGAATTAAAGTAAGTCCGTCTAATTATTTTTTATCATTTGCACCTTTGTGTCAATGAACACATTTGTCACTTTCCCCTCTAGCAAAATGACATCATCCAACCCTGAACTCCTATGTGAGCTTATGCTGAAAAGCAAGTTCAAAAAATAGTGCTGTGTTAAATATATATTGTATTTCACATGCTTATAAAAATCATAACCACTTCTAGAGACCACTTGGTTTCATTTTTCCTTCCATCTGATATTATCTCACATCTGTGGAAAAGGGAGTGAAAAACACCTTGCTTGGCAATAGAAAATTGTAGAAACCTTTTTGGAATGGAGGATACAATATGAAAATAGAAAAATTGGTCTTAGGGGCAATTCCAACTAGAATTGGAGTTCTGGGAGGATGTGAGCTAATGTAACCATTTTAGAGCTATTGCACACATTTCTGTTTATGAAACTCAGTTGGTGCCTCATGAGAACAGTATCATCTATAGTTCTCCATAAAGATATTTGAAATTTTACTTCTACAATAACCTGTATTCTTACCTTTTGTGTCTCTCTTTTAAGCTTTAAAGTGTAGTCATGCTTTCTTGTGACTCACTGAAGCAAAGAAATCCCCCTCTCTCCCTGTAGGTTCTTTAAGCAGGTATGTAAAAAATGAGCGAATCAGCAGTCTTCCATGGGCAGTTGTACTCACTATCATGCCAGTGCTAAGGCACCCACAGTTTATAGGGAAATGTACTTAAATACCAGATGAACAAGAGCTGGACAAGATATCTCTGTTCGAGTTCTCTGAGAAGGTGGGATGTATTCTACTGATTGCTTTTTACCAATATCTTCCTCTGATCTAAAATCTGTACTTGTGTTTATGATCAAAACTGCTATCCAATCAAAATATGTTCTATAGATTTTTCTCAGTAAGAATAAAGTTCTGTTTACCCTAAAGTTTCTGTGGAACACAAGTTCTAAAACCACATTAACATTTCCTTCTGTGCTTGTTACTTTTTCACTATGAGCACCAATACCAGGCAGAGAAAAAAAGAAAAACACACACGGAAGAAAAAAGAAAAAAACTGCAAGGTAACTTGTAGAAAATATCTTCCATGTAAAAACGGCCTCCATTTCCATGATTTTTTTGAATTTTTTTTTCATCACCATCCCAGAAGATACTTACAAGTAGAATCAAATTTGAATTGGCTTGGAATGTATTTAAAATGTGTTGTATCCAAGCCTCATAAAATGCAAAGCTACTGTTACACGAAAGCATGGGAGTGGGGGAAGATGGGCAGTTGCTTCTTCTGAAAATATTTGCAGAACTTGTGCTGAGTCAACAAAATTTCGCAGTACTATGTGAAATGGTGATTGTTAAAATTAGGAGGAAAAGCATTAGAAGAAGCCTTATGAGTCAGATGTAGGGCACAGAGAGAAAAAAGGCAAAGTGGGATATTCCTTTCTTCCTGAGTGTCCTTTCCCACCAATTCATAGTGCAAGCTCCACCTCCCTACTTTCTCTACTGCTATTACAACATGGATACTAACTATTTTGTTTCTATAATAAGTAGACAAATATTTCATTTACACTATCACAGCAAGCAAGGTGACCTGCTTCAAAACATGTTTTGTCAAATCACAGATATTGCCTGGGTTTATTGCCTTTTAGCTTACTGTACATAAAAGCAATATTAATCCCAAAGTATCAGCATTCTGAATTTTTTTTCCATTTCTTAATAGTGAATTGGTATGGAGTATTTCCAACATAGCTTTGGAGAATATATGGTCAGAGCTTTGGGTGTAGATTTGAGATCTCAGAATAGATATGACCAACCTCTGAGTTCAACACCACCTGCAGATGTGCTTCGGTTTTGCAGCCATGCTGCATGGAATAGAATTTAAGCCCATTCATTTGTTCACAAAAGCAGATTCAAAACACCTTTCAAAGGAGACTCTTTGAGTTGTCTACAGGCATTCGCTTAGATTTTTTTTTCACTTTCTCCTCAAAATAAAGCTCCTGCATAAATGTCTTTGAAGGCATATGACTGTATGTTTAGCTAGCAATAAGAAAAGGGTCACGTTCCAGGCTTCTGACATTGAATACAACTTAGAACAGATCATTACTCAATGTTTATTAAAAGCACTAATATAGAACAAATACTCAGAAGGATTATTTCAAGAATTCACTTCCAAATACTGTAAACTACGCCTGGTCAAGCCCTCATGGCTAAAGTTTGGTCTTCATATTGTTCTCTCAGGAACCAACTTTCAAGAATGGTTCTTTGGAGTGAGCTCGAAGACACATGTTGCATATACCACATCAGCTCTTTGGTTTTGCAGAAGAAACTAAGAGCTCTTTTCTCAGAAGAGCTAGTGGTTAAAAAAACAGGAGTCTGTGACTAGACTGCCTAGGTGAATCCTGGCCTGGCCCCTCACTAATTTGGTAACCTTGAGAAGGCTTCTTAAGTCCTATGGCTCTCTTTCCTGATCTAGTCCTTTGTAGACTATTATGAACCCCAGGTGGAGAAAGCCTAAGTAGTTTCACAATGATAATGGGGGAAATTGCATTAGTCGAGGTCCTTTGGTTTTAAATAAGACAATCTGATTTGGGCCAATTTAGATCAAAAGGGAAGTTATGGGATTATCTCAGCGAATTGGAGGGAATGTTGAACAACCTAACCTGAAGAGGAATAGGAAGCAGACCTTCCTGAGGGGTCTCAGCAGCAGGAAACTGACTTTCCTGAGCACACCATTGACACCATGCTGAACACAATGATCCCCAGTGGCTGGGTAGTTCTGTTCAAAATTCCAACTGCCAAGCCAAGAAAACCTACTGAGCATCACTACATGAGAGGTACTATGCTGAGAACTTGAGATGCATCTGTGAAACTGCTAGGCATAAATCCAGGTTCACAGTTTAACTGGACACTCAGTGTGTAGAATAGTGTCTGGCCAATATATTTTTGTTGAATGAGTGAATGAGTGAGTGAGTGAATGAACAAATGGATACAGGCATTTACCACATAGCGTACTCTGGATCACAATGGATAAATTATAGGGTAATATGCAGGCATTTAGGAGAGACCCATACCACAAAACATTTTTATCTGCTCCTCTTCATAGCCAAACTTTTTTAAGTGTTGTCTTTATTTCTTTCTCTCTTGCTCACTCTTCAAACAACTTGTATTATTTTCACCTCATCACTTCATAAAAAAGTGCATTTGTCAGGGTAACTAATGACCTCCTGTTACCAAATTTAACAGGTAATTTTCCACCTGTATCTTACACAAATTTTCAGTTGTATGTGCCATAGTAAGCCACTCATTCTCTTTTGAAATGTCTACTTTTCTGTAGAACCACAGTCTCAAATTTTCACCTACTTCAGAAGACACTTTATGTCAAATAAGAACACTTGCTCGTTCTCCCTTCCCTCTCCAACCTCTAAATATTGGTTTTCCTCAGGGTTTAGCCTTAGACATGCTTTTCTCTCCTTCTTCTCTTTTCTCCTCCTCCTCCTCCTTCTTCTTTCTCTCTCATACCTCCCCACCGCCCAACATCTTTCCTCCTCCATCCTTGTTCATATATATTTCCTTCATAGGTAATCTCACCTAATGCTATGGCCTTAAATACCACTTTTATTCTGAATCTTACATTTTTCACTTGCTTAGAATATTCTCCCTTTAACATTTTTAATTGCTTGCATTTTCTCATCCTTCTAGTCCTTCAAATCTTAGGTTATATTGTAACATCCTTATTGGTTGTTACAGGCAGCACTGATCACAGTCACTGAATATTCCCTCTATTTGGTTTACTCACTTTGTCACCTGATTCTACCACTAGCCTATAAGCTCTCCAAAGCAGGAGCCATTCCAAACTTCATCACTGTATCCTCAGCCTCTGTCATAGGCCTGACACTTAGTAGACCTTCAGTCAACATTTGTCTAAAGAATGACTGATATCTAACCAGACCTCAGTGGTATTCCACATAGGTATCCACAGGAAGAAGCTAATGTAAGCCTGAAAGAAAATTAAGAATATCTAGTTGCCCCATGGAGGGTGGAGAATAAAGAAAAGACTGTTCTATTACAGGTAGAAGATGCAACATGTGCAAAGGCTTTAGGCAGAGTGTTTACAGAAGAAACTAAGAGCTCTTTTCTCAGGGGTATATACAGGGATACTGTGGATGGGTTGGCAGGTGTCTCATTTTAAACTAGTTGGTACATTATTTCAGTGTTTTAGCTTATATCGGTTTAAAATCTTTTCATGGACACACATCTGATTATTACTTCTCATAATTACATGGTTGCTTATTCTTAATTTCCAATTGATACTTAATCAGTAGTGTCTTACAATTCAGGTTTTAGGCCCTTCTATAAAGTACTTTATCATCTGTAAACAAACCTTTGAGGATATGTTGCTTTAAGGGGTCTTGTGATCACATTACAAAAGGAGGAAATCTTTATGAATGCAAAAAAAAAATTATCCTTTAAATGAGTGGATACAATTCCCAGATACTAATTTAGTTTGACATTGTAATTAATAAAGTGTAAAGCTTCTATGTGGAAGAATGATAGATATCTATATTTTTTCATCCTTTCAGCAAAAGGATAGAGAGAAACACAGGAGGAAAAATGATGGAGGCTGAAAGAGATATGATACACTGAAAGTCATATTACAGATAAGGATTTATATTTTTGTAACAACAGTAAGTTATTAAATAATTTGAAGATTTTCAAGTGTATTTTTGAAATAATTATTGATTTGACTACCGCATTAATTTCCTAGGGCTGCCATGACAAAATACCATGGACTGAGTGGCTTAGACAACAGAAATTCATGATCTCACAGTTCTGGAGCCCAGAAGTCTGAAATGAGGGTCTCAGCAGAGTTGGTTCCTTCTGAGGGCCGAAGGAAATGTGTTAGTCTGTTCTCACATTGCTATAAATAACTACCTCAGACTGGGTAATTTATAAAGAGAAGAGGTTTAATTGGCTGACGTTCCCACAGGCTGTACAGGAAGCATGACTGGGAAGGCCTCAGGAAACTTGCAATCCTGGCGGAAGGCTAAAGGGAAGCTGGTGCATCTCACATGGCCAAAGCAAGAGGAAGAGAGAGCAGGGGCGGGTGCTACACACTTTCAAACAGCCAGATCTTCTGAGAACTCACTCACTAACATGAGAAGAGCAAGGGGGAAATACACCCCCATGATCCAATCACCTCCCACCAGCCCCTCCTCCAACATTGGGGATTACAATTCAACATGAGATTTGGGCACGGACACAAATCCAAACCATATCAGGAAGCATCTATTCCAGTCCTCTCTCCTTGCCTTGTAGATGGCTCTTTTGCCTAGGTCTCTTCATATCTTCTTCCCTCTACATTTTCTCTGTATCCAAATTTTCTCTTTTTATAAAGTTATCAATCATATTGAATTGAAGTCTATGCTAATAACCTCATTTTAACTTGATTACCTCTATAAAGACCCTATCTCCAAATAAGGTTACATTCTGAGGTACTGGAATTTAGGACTTCAACATATATGACAGGGAATTTGAGGAGACAAATTCAGCCCGTATCAACTATCGTGTGGAGAATGGATTGTGGGGAAGAGTTGAGTTGGAGGCAAAAAGATCACTTAGGAAAGCAGTAAGCAAAACAGGTGAGAAATGCTGTGGGTAAACCTTGGATCTTGGACATGGAAGTATAAGAATACAGTCTGGGAAACACAGTGAGACTCTGTCTCTCCAAAAATAAAATTTAAAAATTAGCAGAGCATGGTGATGTGCACTTATAATCCTAGCTACTCTCAGGAGGCTGACATGAGAGAATTGCTTGAGCCCAGGGGTTTGAAGCTGCAGTGAGCTATGACCGTGTCACTGTACTCCAACTTGAATAACAGAGTGAGAGACCCTGTCTCCAAAAAAAAAAAAAAAAAAAAAAAGTATTTCTACAGGTCTCCAGCACAGATAACTCTGTGGATATTGGCACCATTCACAATATGCAGAATACAGAAGGGTTTGAAGATAATAATTTTTTTTTAGCTATGTTGACTTTTAGGTGCCTAGAAAATAGTCATGCAAAGATGACCAAGAAAATTAGGTCAGCATATGAGCTGGAAATCACTGAGTTACAACTTAGATTATTTATTTCCTGCCTTTTTTCTTCCCTACAATAAGCATTTAGGACATAATTAGTTTGTTGAGTATTGTTTTAGTGGCATCTCACAAGTTGTGATATTCAGCAAACTTATACAGAACACCTACTATGTGCCAGGCACTATCTGACCCCTTAGGAATTTCTCAATGCATAAACCAATAAAAGATCTCTGCCCTCATTCCTATTGAGGGAGACACAGAATTACCTATAAATGTATGATAAATATGTCAAGTGTATGCTACAACAGCAAATGACAAAAGTTATTTTAAAAGATTAATTCAATCAGGTAGGTGGGATCAGGAGCGTCACAAGGCCTGGGAGTGTGGGGGAGGTTACAAGATTAAATAGGTTTTTAATGGAGTCTCAAGAGAGAGAAATTTTAGAAAAGACTTGAAGACAGTGAGGTGATTTACCACAGGGGTTCTAGAGTTAAGAAAGTTCTAGGCAGAGGGTCAAGCTAAAGCACAGTTCCTAAGACTACCATATGCCTGATGCATTCTAAGGACCAGCAAAGAGGCTGCAGTAGAGTAAGAAGCAGGTAGAGTAGTAGGATGGGAGAGTGCAAAGGTGATGGAGCAAAAGACCACGTAGAGCTGGATATGCCACTGTAAAGCTTTCCTTTTGAGAGAAAGGCATGGCAGGGTTACGACAAGCAGTGACATGATCCAACTTACCATGTAAGGGATTGTGTTGGCTGCAGTGTTGAGAATAGACTACAGTGGGCCAAGAGAAGACCTATTATAAGGCTAATGTAGAGAAGATAGTGGCTTACACTAGGGCAACTGCAGAGTAGGTGGTGAGAACTAGTTTTATCTGGGATGTACTTTTAAGGGTAGTGTCCTCAGGATTTCCTCACGATTGGAGACAGGTTTAAGAGAAAGAGGAGAAAAAAATTATTTCAAGTCTTTTGGCCTAAAACCATAAAGATAGGGAAACAATAGGTAGAGCAAGTCTGCTAGTGGGAAGTCAGAGGTTCACTTTTAGCTATACTGTGTTTGAGATGTCTATGAATCAGTCAAATGGATATGCTGAGTGGGCAACTAAATAAACAAGCATATGGCATTTAGAGTAAAGATCTTTAATGTAAAATTGAGATTTGTAAAATTTACTTGTAATGTGACCACAGAATTTGATCTTTCATTTATTGAATATTTTAGATTGTTTGACACTCCCTTTATGACCTATTATATGATCATTTTATAAATGTTTCATTCATACTTGAGAAGAATGCATACTCTCTATTGGTTGTTTACCTTGATATCATTACAAATTTTTAATCTACATGACCTATCAACAATTACCCTTTCTTTCATTAAGACCTTGAGGATTTTGAGCAGACAATTTATGTATCAGATTATTACATTATATTTAGTTTGGGAAATGCAAATTTTCCTTATTCGTTCTATGGCTAAACTCCCTATTATGGTGGTTTGTTAGTCGTGGTTGTGAATTACTTTCAGCGAACTTGCATTCAGAAGATGTTGTTTTCCTTGCAAATCCTATACGCCGTATGTAATATAAGAAGGTGTAGAAGCCATTTTTTTGCTTGAGTTTGACAGGATATTCTCAGTTTCACTACCCAAGAGTAATTAGTCCTTCTAAGATTTTTCTGTTTTCAAGTTTTGTCGCATTCCTCTTGAATCCTCACCCTTCTGTTAGGCCCTTCTGTGAACTTTTAGATCCAGATAAGAAATACACTGTTAGGTAGACTAATAAAGGAAAAAGAGAAATCCAAGTAAACACATTCAGAAATGGCAAAGGGGATGTTACCAGTGAACCCACAGAAATACAAAAAGATCTTGAGACTACTATGAACAACTCTATGCACACAAGCTAGAAAATCTAGAAGAAAAGGATAAATTCCTGAACACATATAACAACCCAAGACTGAACCAAGAAGAAATTGAATCCCTGAACAACCCCATAATTAGTTACAAAATTGAATCAGTGATAAAAAGCCTGCCAACCTGGAAAATCTCAGGACAAGACATATTCACAGTCAAATTCAACCAAATATATAAAGAAGAGTTGGTACCATTTCTACTGAGAGTTTTCCAAATAATTGAGGAGGAAAGATTCCACTCTAACTCATTTTGAGATCAGCATCATTCTGATACCAAAACCTGACAGAGACACAACAACAACAACAACAACAACAAAAGAAAGTCTCAGGCCAATATCCTTGATTAACACAGATGCAAAAGTCCTCCACAATATATTAGCAAACTGAACCCAGCAGCACTCAAAAAGCTTAGCTAGCGGGATCAAGTAGGCTTTATACCTGAGATGCAAAGTTAGTTCAACAAGTGCAAGTCAATACATGTAATTCATCCACATAAACAGAACTAAAAGCAAAAACCACATGATCACCTCAATAGATGCAGAAAAGGCTTTCAATAAAATTCAACATCCATTCATGTTAAAAAAAATCCTTAAAAGAACCTGACATTGGAAAAACATACTTAAAATAATAACTACCTATGACAAACCCACAGCCAATATCATACTGACTGGGCAAAGGCTGGAAGCATTACCCTTGAAAACTGAAAAAAAAACAAGGATTCCTTCTCTCAACACTACCATTCAACATAATATTGGAAGCCCTGGTCAGAGCAATCGGGCAAGGGAAAGAAATAAAAGGCAGCCAAATAGGAAGAGAGAAAGTCAAACTATCCCTGTTTACAAACGCTATAATTCTATACCCAGAAAACCCTATAGTTTCTGCGCAAGAGCTTCTTGATCTGATAAAGAACTTCAGCAAAGTCTCAGGATATGAAATCAATGTACAATATTCAGCAGCACTCCTATAGACCAACAATATCCAAGCTAAGAGCCAAATTAAGAACATAGTCCAAAACAGAGATATAGACCAATGGAACAGCACAGAGCCCTCAGAACTAACACTACACATCTACAACTATCTGATCTTTGACAAACCTGACAAAAACAAGAAATGGGGAAAGGATTCCCTGTTTAACAAATGGTGCTGGGAAAACTGGCTAGCCATATGTAGAAAGCTGAAACTGGATCCCTTCCTTACACCTTATACAAAAATTAATTCAAGATGAATTAAAGACTTAAATGTTAGACCTAAAACCATAAAAACCCTAGAAGAAAACTTAGGCAATACCATTCAGAACATAGGCATGGGAAAGGACTTCATGTCTAAAACACCAAAAGCAATGGCAACAAAGCCAAAATTGACAAATGGGATCTAATTAAACTAAAGAGCTTCTGCACAGCAAAAGAAACTACCATCAGAGTGAACAGGCAACCTACAGAATGGGAGAAAATTTTTGCAATCTACTCATCTGACAAAGGGCTAATATCCAGAATCTACAATGAACTCAAACAAATTTACAAGAAAAAAAAACAACCCCATCAAAAAGTGGGCAAAGGATATGAACACACTCTTCTCAAAAGAAGACACTTATGCAGCCAACAGACACACGAAAAAATGCTCATCATCACTGGCCATCAGAGAAATGCAAATCAAAACCACAATGAGATAACATCTCACACCAGTTAGAATGGCGATCATTAAAAAGTCAGGAAACAACAGGTGCTGGAGAGGATGTGGAGAAATAGGAACACTTTTACACTGTTGGTGGGACTGTAAACTAGTTCAACCCTTGTGGAAGACAGTGTGGTGATTCCTCAGGGATCTAGAACTAGAAATACCGTTTGACCTAGCCATCCCATTACTGGGTCTCTACCCAAAGGATTATAATCATGCTGCTATAAAGACACATGCACATGTATGTTTATTGCGGCACTACTCACAATAGCAAAGACTTGGAACTAACCCAAATGTCCAACAATGATAGACTGGATTAAGAAAATGTGGCACATATACACCATGGAATACTATGCAGCCATAAAAAATAATGAGTTCATGTCCTCTGTAGGGACATGGATGAAGCTGGAAACCATCATTCTAAGCAAACTATCGCAAGGACAAAAACCAAACACCGCATGTTCTCACTCATAGGTGGGAACTGAACAATGAGAACACTTGGACACAGGAAGGGGAACATCACACACCGGGGCCTGTTGTGGGGTGGGGACATGGGGGAAGGATAGCGTTGGGAGATATACCTAATGTAAATGATGAGTTGATGGGTGCAGCACACCAACATGGCACATGTATACATATGTAACAAACCTATATGTTGTGCACATGTACCCTAGAACTTAAAGTATAATAAAAAAAATATATATATATATATAAAGAGTCATCCTGAGGAAGATATTTAAAAAAAAGAAGTCCACCCAGGGATCTACTGTTGGAGTTTATGATTATCAAGAAATGGATCAGAAATTTTTACTTACAAAAAGCATCCTAGGTAATTTCAGTGATCTGAATTTGGAAAATTCTGATCTTTTGTTGTTGTAATACATCTTTATTCTAGACCTAAAAAATACTGCATGAGATTTTAATACATGATGGCAAAGATTGAGATAAAAAAAAAAAACATAGTCCTATTCACAATAGCCACAAAAAGAATAAAATACCTAGGAATACAGCTAACCAGGGAAGAGAAAGACCTCTACAAGGAGAATTACAAAACGCTGCTCAAATAAATCAGAAATGAGACAAGCAAATGGAAAAACATTCCATGCTCATGGATAGAAAGAATCAATATTGTTGAAATGGCCATACTGCCCAAAGCAATTATAAATTCAATGCTCTTTCTATTGAACTACCAATGACATTTTTCACAGAATTAGAAAAAAAACTGTTTCAAAATTCATATGGAACAAAAAAAGAGCTCAAATAGCCAAGGCAATCTTAAGTAAGAATAACAAAGCTGAAGGCATCACATTACCCAACTTCAAACCATACTACAAGGCTACAGTAATCAAAACAACATGGTACTGGTACAAAAATAGGCACGTAGACCAATGGAAAGAATAGAGAGCTCAGAAATAATATCACACACCTACAATCCTCCGATCTTCAACAAAGTTGACAAAAACAAGCAATGGAAAAGGGATTCTCTATTCAATAAATAGTGTTGGGGTAACTGGCTAGCTATATGCAGAAGACTGAAACTGGACCCCTCCCTTACACCATATACAAAAATCAACTCAAGATCAGTGAAAGACTTAAATGTAAAACCTAAAACTTTAATGACCTTGAAGCAAACCTAGGAAACACCATTCTGGACATAGGACTGGGCAAATACTTCATGACAAAGAGGACAAAAGCAATTGCAACAGAAACAAAATTTAACAAATGAGACCTAATTAAACTAAAGAGGTTCTGCACAGCAAAAGAAACTATCGACAAAGTAAACAGACACCCTAGAGAATTAGAGAAAATATTTGCAAACTATGCATTCAACAAACGTCTAATATCCAAAATCTATAAGGAACTTAGAAGAATCAACAAGCAAAAACCAAACAACGCTACTCAAAAATGGGCAAAGGACATGAACAGACACTTCTCAAAAGAAGAGGTATATGTGACCAGCCATCAAATGAAACAATGTTCAACATCACTAATCATTCAAAAAATGCAAATCAAGACCCCAATGAGATATCATCCCAGTCAGAATGGCTATTATTAAAAAGTAAAAAAAAAAAAAAAAAACAGATGCTGGTGAGGTTGTGAAGAAAAGGGAACACTTATACACTGCTGGTGGGGATCTAAATTAGCTCAGCATTGTGGGTAACAGTTTGGCAATTTCTGAAAGAAGTTAAAACAGAATGACTACACAACCCAGCAATCCGATTATTGAGTATATATCCAAGGGGATATAAATCATTCTACCATAAAGACACATGCATGTGTACGTTCATTGCAGCACTGTTCACAATAGCAAACATATGAAATCAACCTAAATGCCTATCAACAGTAGACTGCATAAAGAATGTGTGGTATATTTACACCATGGAATACTATGCAGACATAAAAGAGAACAAGATCATATCATTTGCAGAAATAGGGGTGGAGCTGTAGGCCATGATCTTAAGCAAACTAACACAGGAACAGAAAACCAAATATTGCATGTTCTCACTTATAAATGGGAGCTAAACATCAAGTACACGTGGACACAAAGAAGGGAACAACAGACACAGGGACCTACTTAAGGATGGAGGGTGGGAGAAAGGTGAGGATTGCAAAACTACCTGTTGGATACTATGCTTATTACCTGTATGATGAATTAATCTGTACACCAAACCCCCACAACATGAAATTTACTTGTATAACAAACTGCACTTATATTCCTGCACCTAAAATAAAAGTTGAAAAAAAAAAACCCCATAGCATTGCATGTTAATGGTATAATCTTGGTGGTAGATATTCTAGTGTTTACTGTAATTTTTTAAAAATGTTGCTGTTTTGTTGAAAATTGTCATAATAAAAAGTGAAAAAAATAATACTTTGTGATAGTATTCTGACTTTGTAGAAAAAGAAAGATTAAAAGTATAAGAATTTATTCATGTGTATAGGGACTTTCTGGCTCTAGTTTTCTCAGCATACATTAGCAGTATGCGGAGCCCGTGGGAAATATGTCTCTATAACTGAAAAAGATGGCTCGCTTGGATATTCACATCTTTCTGAATTATTCTTAACAGTTATCTTATACTGTTTGTTCTGATTCTGTATTAATTGAATCATCATCTGATTTTAGTTTAATTCTCAAAGAATAGATGGTTCCTATTATTAAAATGTTCCTATTATAAAAATTTTCCCAGTTTAGCTCTGTTAACTATTAGAAAAAAAGCTTTACACATTCTGGAATATTGGGAATATGTTTCTTCCCAATTAGTAATTCCTTATCAATTAAAATATATTTTTCGCAATCTTGGAGACATGTTTTAGAGTACATATAACTTTCTCCAAAAAGAAAACTTGAAAGCAAATTGCTAATTTTAAATATGTTTTCTGAAATTCTGGAGGGGGCTATTGAGATTATGCAAAAACAACGGGTATCCTTATTACTTTCTTTATTACAATTATTACGATGCTCAACTGCAGTTAAACTGAATTAAATTGTTTTGAATTGTTTTTTAATGGAAAAGCCACAGGGTGGCCATGCAATTCCATTGCAAAATTATAGCTCTTTCCCTTTAGCAGAATTTAAGGATATAATGTACAACATATTCCCTCCTGAGCACTGGAAAAGAGAACACACCTGAGTAACAGGCAGAGTGCTTTTAGCTGAAGAAAAATACTAATTCCTGTCAGGATCCATGTTTGTGCTTTCTAAGTTTTCTTGGCACTGTGTTCATGGCCCGTAATGTAGATGAGTGCAAATTTCAAGTAAAGGTATAAACAAATAAATTAAGTATACAAATAAATCAAATAAGAGTTACAGAAAATAGGAAATGAATCTGCAAGAGACAGATAGGCAAAATGTCATCAGAGGATTTAGGATGTCACAATAGAGAAGAAGAGCCCGGATCTCAGGGTCAGGATACTAAAGTTCTCCAGTTTTAGTAATTCAAAAGCCCTTGGACAAATTTCTTAATATTCCTGAGCCTCCTTAACTTATCATAAAATAAAATAGAGAAAGTTCATTGTGAGGATTAAATGAGCTAAACAGAAACACTTGACAAATTGAATGATGCTGTGTAACTGACAATTCTTCTATATTTGAAGGCTTTTTCTCTGCCTCAACATGCCTTAAGATGTATATTCTGCCTGTGTAAGAGAGATTCTGACTGTGACACTGTTCCAGTTCGGGCTGTGATGTGCTTCATGCGCATCCTATGCACTAACAAAAGTACTAGTTACTTAAGAAGTATGATTTCAGAAGTGCTGCAAGGCCCCCTTTATCCTTGAAATGGCTCTGAAGTCATTCTTCCATTGATTAAAATTTCTACAATTAAGATTATTCATTTTGGTTATGATATTATCTCCAAAAGATAAAAACATGCATTTTCTTTCTTCTTTTTCTTCCTTTCCCTTTCTGAGCAATTATGTCCTCAAGCTGCTAGGTGTGACAGAACAACTAAGTATTAGTTTTCTATTGCTGCCATAACAAATTACTACAAATCTAGGTACTCACATATGTGAACAGAGCAGATTGGATGTCAGAGCCCAGGTGGAATGAAGAAGAGGGCCACACAGAAGGGGGACATGACATTGAGTATCAAAGCCTAAGAAACTTAAAATGACACAAATGTATTATCTGAGATTTCTGGAATTTAGGATTCCAAAATGGCACTTGCTGACCTAAAATCAAGGTGTTGACAAGGCTGCATTAGCCGTCTCTAAAGGAAAATCTATTTCTTCACCTTTTTCTGCTTCTAGAAGTTCCCTGCACTTCTTGATTCATGGCTTCCTTCCATCTTCAAACACAGAAACATTGGGCCAAGTCTTTCTCAAGCTGACATCTCTTTAATTCTCCTTATTTTGCCTCCCTCTGCCACTCATAAGGATCTTGTCATTAGATTGGATTTGCCAGAATAATCTAGAATAATTTCTCCATATCAAGATTTCCTGATTAACAGCTTTAATTCTATGTGCAGCCTTAATTCGCCTGTGCCATATTCCCTAACACATTAAACACTTTCAAAGAATAGGATGTGGACATCTTTGGAAAGCCATTATTCTACCTACCACAGTAGATCATTGTTCTGGCAGTGTGTGGGGCCGCAGTGGCTTGGAGCAAGGTGTCACTGCCTCAGCAGAAGCAATATAGTGGTCCCATGGACCAGCAGCATATGGAGTATTAGATCCCAAGCAGAGTAAGGCAAGCATCCCCATAGGAACACTGATCATGCAGGGTGTCAAGTCCAAAGTATAGTGAAGGGAGCATTCATGTGTGGGAGCAGCCTGGCCTGGGGTGTTAGAACTCAAGCAGTGTGCAAAACAGAATCCACACCTAGGGCCAGCCTGACTTACGATGTTGGAGCCTAAGTGGGGTAAGAAGGCCTTTCATACAGGGGAGTGTTTCAATATTGGGTAACAGAAGCCAAGGAAAGTGTGCACACTTGCAGAGAGAAGGAGCTTGGCACAGAGATTCAAAGCTCAAGCTGATTGAAGAAGCAACTATAGATGGCGTGTCCCAGTGCAGAATGTCAGGGCCATAAAAATAAGTCTTCTCTATGAGGAGAAGGCCTGGCAACAGAGCAAGACTCCATCTCAAAAAAAAAAAAGTGAATTTATTACATACAAATAAATGCCTCAGGGCAAGGCTAAGCAAAATGCAACCTATAGGCCAAATCCAGCCTAGTATCTCTTTTTGTATATATCATAAGCTAAGTATGACATTATACATTTTAAGTCGTTGGAAAAAAATTTTAAAAAGAGGAATATTTTGTGACACATAAAATTATATGAAATTCAAATGTCAGTGTCCATAAATATTTATAGAAATACAGCCAGCACCACCATTTGCTTACATATTAGCTCTGGCCTTTTTGTGTGTGTGTTACAGTGGCCTAAGGTATGCAATATCCTCTCATTTACAGATAAAGTTTGTTAAGCCCACCCCCAGAGTATTAGGGCTTAATTTTCTTATAGAACTCTTGGTTATGAAAAACAAATCACCATTAATGAGACAAATTAAAATTATCAGACAACTCTTTTTTGACAAAGTTGCCAAGAACATACTTTGGGGAAAGACAGTGTCTTTAATAAATGGTGCTGGGAAAACTGGATATTCATATGCAGAAGAATGAAACTAGATCCCCACACCTTTCACCATATACAAAAATAAAAATGATTAAAGACTTAAATGTAAGACCTGAAACTATGAAACTACTAAAAGAAAACACTGGGGAAATGCTACAGGGCAAAGATATTTTGGGTAAGACCTCAAAAACATAGGCAATACATTAAGCTAAAAAGCTTCTTCACAGCAAGGAAAAGAATTAACAAAGTGAAGAGACAACCTGCAGAATGGGAGAAAGTATTTTCAAGCTATCCATCTGACATGAGATTAATAACCATAATATATAAAGCACTCAAACAACTCATAGCAAAAAAAAAAAAATCTTATTTAAAAATGGCCAAAAGATCTGAATAGACATTTCTCAAAAGAAGACAGGTATAAGAAAAAATGCTTACGATCACTAATCATTAGGCAAATGCAAATCAAAACCACAAAGAGATAGCATCTTATCCCAGTTAGAATGGCTACTATCAAAAGACAAAAAAAAAAAAAAAAAAAAAACAACAACAAATGCTGGCAAAGGCAGAAAAAGGAGAATGCTTGTACACTGTTTGTGGGAATGTAAAGTAGTACACTCATTATGGAAAACAGTATGGAGGTTCCTTATAAAAGCAAAAATAGAGCTACCATATTATCTAGCAATCCCACTACTAGGTATATATCCAAAAGAAAGTAAATCAGTACATTGAAAAGATATCTACAATCCCGTTTTTATTGCAGCACTATTCACAATAGCTAAGATGGGGAATCAACCGCAGTATCCATCAAAGGATGAATGGGTAAAGAAAATGTGAAAACACACACACACACACACACACACACACACACACAATAGAATACTATTCAGCCATAAAAAAAGAATGAAATCCTGACATTTACAGCAATGTAGATGGAACTGGAGGTCCTTACATTAAGTGACATAAACCAGGAACAGAAAGACAAATATTGCATGTTCTAACTCATATGTTGGAGCTAAAACAGTGGATCTCATGCAGGTAGAGAGTACAATAGTGGTTGTCAAAGGCTGGGAAGGGAAGGAGAGAAGAAGGAATAAAGAAAAGTTGGTTTAGGGGTATAAAAGTACAATTAGATAGAAGGGATAGGTTCTGGTATTTGATAGTACAGTAGGGAAATTATGGTTAACAATAATTTTTGTATATTTCAAAATAGCTAGAAGAGAATTATAATATTCCCAGCACAAAGAAAAGATAAATGTTTGAGGTGATGGATATCTCAATTACCCTGATTTGCTCAATACACATTTCATACAGGTCTCAAAATAACACAATATACTCCCAAAATATGTACAACTACTACATGTCAATAACAAGAAAAAATAAAATTGTGTCCTAACTATTAGAATGCAATGAAGAAAAAGTAACATCACTTCTGTGATATTACTGACAAACATGCATAACCTGAATCTAATTATGAATAAATATCAGACAAATCCACACTGAGGAACAGACTCCAAAATTACTGGCCTAGTAATCTTCAAAATATCATCAAAAGGAAAAAAAGACTGAAGAAGAGTTCCAAACTAAGAAGATTAGAGACATGATAACAAAGTCATGCCATAATTACGACCCAGATCTTTTTATTATAAGGTATTATTGAGACAACTGGCAATTCTAGAATGGGGAAATGCTGGAATGCTAATTTACTGATTTTGATGGTTTTATTTTGGATCTGTAGAAAAACACTGCTATATCAGGGTGGATGGAACATCAGTTGACAATTTATTTTCATATGTTTTGGGAGAAAATGTTTTTTGAACTGTACTTTCAACTACTCTGTAAGTTTTTGATTGGGAAAAATAGCATGAACCTATCTGAGGTAGTATGGCAACAACATTCTCACGCCATTTAACACTAATAATGATTAGTTTGATATATTAGTGAGTTATCATCTTGAAATATGGAAAATAAGTTTTTAACATTCATAAACACATAGAAGGATTCATATGTCAGATAAATTTTGTTTAGAAGAAAGAATGCTTGAAACATGAGATGAATAACTTTATTATGGGTTATATGCAGTATATAAAAGAAGTTCAGGGACACTAAATATTAAAGAAAAAACACAGATAGATCAAATTAGAGATGATTTACATATTAAAATATTAAGTCTTCCAATTCATGAATCTAGTATAGGTCTTCATTCATTTTATTAGGTCTTATTTAAGAAGACCTTCTCTCAGCAATGTTTTCCAGTTTTCTGCATTCAGAACATGCACATCTTTGTCAGATATAAACCTATTTATTTTATATTTTGATGCTATTATAAATGGCATTTTTATATCAAATTCTGACTTTTTGTTTCTAGTAGGTTGAAATACAACTGATTGTTTTACATCAGTTTTGTATACTGCAACATTTTTTAACTTACTTATTAATTCTGGGAACATTTTTGTAGATGTCATTGGATTGTAGAGAGGTGATCATGTCATGTGCAAATAAAGGTAGTGTTACTCTCCTTTGCCAATCTGAATGCCCTTTATTTCTTTTTCTTGCCTTATTGCAATAGTTAAACCTCAAGTACGATGTTAAATCAAAGTGGTAAAAGTAGACATTCTTGTTTTCTTAAAGAAGAAGCAAAATGTTAATTATGATGGTAGCCATAGAGTTTTTTGTATATGCTCTTCATAAGGAGGAGAATGCCCCCCTCTATTCCTAGTTTGCTAAAAGGATTTTTGCTGTTTTTTAAAAAAAATGATGAATGGATGTTCAAATATGTCAAATGCTTTTTCTTCATCTATAGAAATGATCTTTATTTTTTTAATATGGTGAATTATAGTGACTGATTTTTAAATTAATCAACCTTGCTTGCCTGGGATAAACCCATGAGGTCATGATGTGTTATCCTTTTTTACGTATATTGAAAAACCTTATTTGCAAAGTATTCCAAGCAGAGAATCATCTAAACTCTGGGGATTACTCCACCTCTTCTTTCATGTAATTCTATTCCATCTCAGGAAGTTTCTTCCTACATAATCACCTCTGTACACATCAGCACTGGGTCAAAAAACTGAGCTCTGCAAATTTTTTGAGCTCTCTGGGTCTAGCACCTTTCTTCCTGATATTTGCCACTGCTAGTCTAACTGACTTAGCCTCCCCAACTCTGTCTTCTCAAAGCATTGAGACTACTGAACTCTGTTTTGGTCCCCCACCCTTCACTGCAGCTTAGAAACTCTCTCTAGGCAGTAATCAGGGGGCAATTGTAGGGCTCACAGCATTTGTTTCTCTTCTCTTGGGGATGAATATCCAAACTCTGAAAATTATTTGTTCATGTGATCTACTTTTCTGGTTGACTTCAGGTAAAAAAGAAAGATCTAGTTTCTGTTACTCCTTTATGAACAAGAACAGAATTCGTCTTTTAATTGACAAATAAAAATTACATATACTTACGGTATACAATGTGATGTTTTGATTTATGTATGCACAGCGGAATAGCTAGATCAAGTTAATTAACATACACATTACCTCATACGCTTACTTTTTGTGATAAGAACACTTAAAATCTACTCTCTCAGCAATTTTCAAACATACAGTACATTGTTAATTAACTACAGTCACCATGTTGGAAAATGGATCTTTCAAACTTACTCTTTCTGTGTAACTGAAATTTTGTATGTTTTGACTAACACCTATACAGTCCTCCATTCTTTAAGCTATCTTTAAGTTTCTGGTAACCACCATTCAACTCTTTGTTTCTAAGAGTTTATCTTTTTTGAGATCCCAAACACAACCGAAATCACGGCTGTTTGTATTTTTGTGCCTGGCTTACTTCACTTGACATGATGTTCTACAGGTTCATTAATTGGTTTATACTGAATTATTTACTTTCTCCCAAAATACAACCAAGAGAACTTTTTTTAATTTGTCAACAAATATTTTTAAAATCGTATTGAACAAATACAAAAATATCTCATTTTTTAAGACTGGCAGTTCAAAAGTTTTCTTTCTTATTCTTTAGTAAAAGAATGGTAATTTTAAGTTTAAAACATTTTGAGATTCCATGTAAAACCCAAAACTACAAAATGACATACAATAAAAGAAATTCATTGACTTAACATTTTTGTTTTAATTTGTATGAAGAAATTTTCAAAGATATTATAAAACAGAAAATAAAATTTTAACTCACCACCAATTTTGAAAGTTTATAGCTTATAATTTATACAGATTCAATGTCATAAGAGACTGGGCAGAGAGAAAGAATTGGTAGGTTGATTTCATTCTATAAATATAATTTCTAGATACTGATATACTTTATTACCTCTAAAAGAAGCAACATCCACTACCAAAGTAACAGACGTAATACAGCAATTCTCCTTTACCACAAAATCCTTCAATGATAAGAAGTAACTTTTGCATCTGAATGAATGCTTTCCCTCCTAGCAGAAACACAATAAAACACTAAATTAACTTATATTGAAATCACAACTATCATCTCACAAACTGTTTGCTATCCAATATATTAAATTAACAGTGGTGCTCTCATTATATGATACTTAAGACACCTCCACAATCTGTTGAAAGCTGTTTTATTATAATTATATTGCAGTATTAATCCAGGAAAAACAGCTTCAGAACACCTACTGAATTGTAGTTTCCATTCATGTAATTTTGCTACTGAACTTAATAAAATAACTAAAGAGGTTAGTAATTTATAACACCTAATTTTTCATTTTAAAATTAGAGGAGTATTACTCATAATGTCATATTTACTAACTGTTCTAAAAAGCTGAAAAAATTGAACTACCTTGAAAAGGAGCTGTTGCTTTGTGAGTGTAATTGAGTAATATTCTATATTGGGAAGCAGGAGTAGTATTGATGTAAGGAAGTATTTTTCTAATAAATTTATTTTAGGAAAAATATAGTTATGATGTGAATAGTAAAAAATAGAAAAATATATAAAAAATATTTTTTATTTTGATAAATATTAACAATGAAAACTGTCACTAAGGAAAATATCAACTTGAAAATAAATAATTAAATGCACTCGGTACTTTAGATAAAGGAAGAAAAATATACTTTGCTATAAATATGATAATGCTAATGGATAATATTCTAGGACTTAGAAATACATATATTAAGTCACATGATAAATCACATTTCTTTCCTCTGTTATAGCATTCACTGACATTATAAATCTCTCCTCTTCAAAATATGCTATATTTTTCAAGTAAATCTGAGTGTTGTCCATCAGTCTGATTTAGGCACAAGCAAAAGAGGCTTCTTCCTTTGTCTTAATACTTTAGAGGACCCACATATCATTAAAAAAAAAAGACACTAGCATTAGGAAAAATACCTAATGTAGATGACGGGTTGGTTGGTCCAGCAAACTGCCATGGCACTTGTATACCTATGTAACAAACTTGCACTTTCTGCACATGTATCCCAGAAGTTAAAGTATAATTTAAAAAATAAAATAAATGAAGACACATATACATTTACTGAAGATCATATGGGCATTTCTGCCATGGGATCCTGCTTCCAGTGCTGTCTGGATGGGAAGTGGAACTCCAAACATCCTCTCTCGTTCTTGAGACTGTTCAGGCCTGAGCAAACTGTTTGTCCACATCTTGAACCATGAGCCCTTGTAACAGAAGGTGACTGAATCTGAACACCATAAAGATGTGGGTTGTGGATTTGTTGAAATCAGAAATAAGAAATGTTTTAGTTAGTTTTGTACTTTATTCAGTTGAACTACAAGCAATAATTATTATACATTTTGAGTAACACATATTGTGATTTTTAAATTTATTTCTTTTTAGAGACAGGCTGGAGTGCAGTGGTGCAATCTTGGCTCACTGTAGCCTTGAATGCCTGGGCTCAAGCGATCCTCCCACTTCACCCTCCTGAGTATCTGAAACCACAGGGGCACACCTTCATGTCCAATTAATTTTTATTTTTTTTTGGTAGAGACAGGGTCTCACTATGTACAGCCCAGAGTGGTCTTGAATGCCTGAGCTAAACAATTCTCCCACCTGGGCTTTCCAAAGTGCTGGGATTACAGGCATGAGCCATCATGCCAGATATTATTAAATAATTCTGTACATTAATTCCTCCAAACATTCAAAACACCCAGGATGGGAATTGCCATGAATGGTACCTGTCCAGTGGAGAGCAGAATGAGCTCACATCTCTTTTTTCAATCTAAATTCATATTGCTTTTAGTATTTTATCCCACATTTTAACCACCAATTGAAATAAAGGTCTCAGATGTGATGTGTCCTCTCCCTACCACCACAACTGTTGTCAAATGCGTCTTCCCCCACCACCGCAGTCATTGTCAAATAATTATTTCTTATTTAAAATGCTATAGGGAAATTATCTTGGAAATTTTAGGCAAGAACTATGGACCAATAGGTTTGCACATAGCAAGTTGTAGGTTTAAATACAATATGTAAAGTACATGTCAGCTTTAAATATGCACGAAATAAGTATTCTTTATTTCTTATTGGTACAATCTTCACTCCACTTTACAAAAAAATAAGTGGCACTATGAGACCCTAGATTCCAGTTAAGGAATAAAAGGAGCTGGATTTTTCCTTAACGCAGAGGTTAGAATCAGATCCTCTAAGTGGCCCTTCCAGCTTCATTCTGCAAGAATCTACTGAACAGAAGACATGAGGCATTGCTGAGACCACTGGAACAAGCTCTTTCATTCCACACGTGTTCCCAGTTGTGCTTGTCCCCCCAGATAAGAAGGTAATGATTGGGGTAGGAGACAGACAGCCAGGCACAGAGAATTCATAGCAGGTTCACTGTGCCAAGATGCAAAATGTTCTGAAATGCCTCAGATGCTCCCTGAAGCAGCCTTGGAAAACACTATCCACTTGCCCTCATCTGGAAACCACACTGTTTCTTATAGAATGTTCTGTGGCTGAAGCTGGCAGTGGTAAGTTTCCACAAAGCACACAGAGTAAATAAATGAAGTATTTGCTTTTTTAAATGTTAACTAACATACTGACTCTCAACTGCTAGTGGAAACACTCAATCATCAAGATTTCCCTGGGAGAATTGTCATTCTTCTACTTCAGGAAACTGATGATATTAACGAAATTAAAATTCTTAATCACACATCCACAGCATCTGAGTCAGCATCAAAGTGAGGAATCTTTTTTGAAAATAAGTAAAACATTGTTGATGTATTGAGGCTCTTTTTCTATTCATTTCCATTCTCTGCAGTATCATAGATGTCTAGAGTTGGAAGGAATCTTCGAGATTATTTAGGCCTCCTGTGGTCCTTTTCTGAGCAGGAAAAAAACAGGTCCAGAGTAGTAAAATAACTTTCTCAAATTCACAAGCTCGTGGTAAATCCAACATTGGGACTTGAGTCTCTTGATTCTCATGTCACCAAACCAGCATCAGGGCATAACCACATGCTGTTCTAACCATGCAGTGTCCTGCCCTCGGTTTAATTGAGGACTCCACCCTTCACCCACCATGGTTCCCATTACACTGAATTGCTGAGGGACACTTAAAATTGCACATTTTCTTCCATGACCCAAATACACTTCCCTGTTAAACTCAACTCCAGTACCCTGCTTTTGCTTTCTTAGTAGATCTCAAATTCATAATGATATGAAATTTTTAACTTTCCTAAACTCTATCTTACCAAGAGCAACCACATCCCTTCTGATTCTGATGTAGTCAGCAACTCAAGCAACCCAGATAACCTTTTTAGAGTCTGCCAAGAACTCAAGATCCGTCAAAATCGTATCTCCTTTAGAGTGAGTTCCGAAAAAGTTCCAGTTTTCCTGAACAATTTTCTCATCTGTTTAATTCCCATAAAATAACAAACCTTCCAGATAATTTCTCTGCAGTTCTATTTCACTTTCAATCTTTCCGTGATTGCTTCAATGCCATTAGTTTGCCTTATGTGAACCCCTTTGCATCTTCCTCTTATTATGAACTTATTATCTTCTTCTCTGAGAGATTCCTAGTAGGTTAATATGCTGATCTCCATCTTTTTTTCTGCTTTGAACTCCCTCCCCATTGGTCCCAGTGTGAGTTCCTAACCTGCGGCTTCCAGAGACCTAAGAATTGCTAGAAATTTTACACAACAATTTTGTGTTTGTGTATATTTGCGTTTACTTAAAGGATTAGTCACAGTTTTAATCAGATACTCAAAAGCCTGACATCTAGAAAAAGGTTCATATTGATCATGCAATAAAATCAGACCCACACAGCTCATTAACCCTTTGCCTTTGTGGCCTATTCCCTTTGCCTCTGTAGCTGTATTTGCCTCTCCTTCCACTTGCTGCAGCCTCTCCCTTTCCTTGCTGTCCACACAGCTGAAAGATTCCTCAGCCTATAGCATGGAAGACACATGGCCCTCATTTTTCTCTGGCATACATAGGCTTCCAAAAGGATTATTGCTAATTTAGCCTGAAATTGTATTTTGATAATTCAATATAGGGCAATTATGACTTAAAGGGGCTAGCTCTGTAGAACAATACATTTGGTTGATTAGTAAAATCGGGTGACAAGACATCCAGTGAACACATTCTGGGAGGAAGCACAGTCTTTGTTATTATATGCATTACACAAAAGCCTACATAATATCCCCAAAATTAGAAATAAGAAATAGCTCTCAAATACACATTCAGCAGTAGATAACCACAATGCTCAATTCACAAACTTAAGATTAAATAAGGGTGGGGAGGCTGGGTTACTCAAGAAAGACTGAGTTGCCACTGTAGGAGAATGCTACCAAATCTAGCCAGTGAAATAAACATTTTACTTTTCGATAAAGTGTCTCCACATTGTGTGCTATTCTTAGGAAATGGCATGCTGTATTTTACACAGTTCTAATAAACTTTCAAAGCAATTTTCAGAAAGTAACAAACTAAGAAAAGATTGTATATAAGATGGAAGTTTGCTTATTTATTATTTTGGTGAAAGCAAAGACAGCTACTGTATTTCCCCAATAGAGTTATCATCAGCACTGTATCATTACAATGTCATGACACCCCTGCCAATCCGCCTCTTTTAATTTACTTCATAGTGGAAGCTAGAAAATCATGAATAACTTGTTAATATATCAACGACTGATTAGCTACCTAGTATTCAGGAAAACAGTTATGAACATCAGCCTCTGCTGGAATAAAATGTTTGTTTCAAATTTATTTCTTCAATATAAAATCAGTGTAATGAATTACATGCCTTACACAGACAAATGTCAGAGAATCAAAGTGGTTTCAACATGCTATTTTCACTAGAACAATGATTTGAGCAAACACTCCATATTTTGAATGTTTCTTCTAGGTAAGTATCCAAACTTTGAATGTCTGCAACTCTTTACATGAGGTTTAAGGACACCTTACAACAATAGAATACAATTGATGTCCTGGGCACTTCTAGCTCTCTGTGGTACTACACCATAATAACAGTCATAATAACATTTCACTATACATTGCCAACATGTCAGACATCGGACACTGCTATTAGAGGCCAGGTTGAGATCTCATTAAGCTTTTAGGAGGACCTTGGTATTCATTTTATGATACTTAGGGCAGAAATTTAATTTTTGATGTTTTTATCTAATTCTCTTTAGTCAGCAAAATAAATATGCAGTTGATTTGTTAAAGAAAAAAACTATTTTAATTGGCATTGCATGGTTTCTTTAAACAATAAATGGATTTGAATACAGACTAAATATAGAGGTCATATTTTGCATCATTTCAATGGCTATCATTTCATGGTAGACATAGAAAAAAGATCTGTTTTGCTACTACAGACAGTGTCTACCCTAAGGTATTGAGTTGCGATGCATTGATGAATATTCCAAGACTTTCAGCTTTACTAAACATCTGCTTTTCACAACCACATTTTAAAGGGAAAAATCTAAGAGACAGAAAAAACATACAAAATCCCCAGGACAGGAAAAAATTTCCTTCTCATCTCTTCCATAAACCAGCCCCAGATTCCAAATTGAAACCACTGATCACGTGAAAACATTTTAAATGTTGCTTTGTACCAGTCTCTTTTGTGAAGCATAACTCAGGGGTGAAGGTGAGTGTGGTTTTGAGAACATTCTGCAACAATCAGTGTTTCCAAAACAGAACAGAGGGTGGCCAAAGGGATCAGACAAACAAAACTCTTCTCCCTCTTTCAAGGATCAAGCAAATCTGCTTTTGGTCTCCAATGTACACATTGAGTTCTCAGGCTCCTGTGATGTATGGTGGTGGAGGAAGTGGAGTCACCCAGACAGAAAAGTCTGCAGACAAAACACTAGATGTCAATGGAGTGAGAGACGCCACAGCCAGCCTACTCTTCCTCAGAGGAAACAAAAATGGCTCACTTAACTAAAGTCAAGACACTTGCCCCCTCTCCTTTTCACAGGTTATGAAAATTCTTTCCTGAAAAGTGGGGTACACTTCCTAATCCATGCTGTGAGTGATTCTTGTAGATATCAGATCTTAACATAAGTCTCTTTCAGGAGGATGTAACAAGAACCCTGCCTGGTTTATCAGGTATATCTTTGTGAAAATATTTCCTCTGCATTCAAAGTTCTTGAGTAACCTATACTAAAAAGTCTATCATGTTTTATATGTACTAGAGATTTCATTGAACAATACAAAGTCTTATTTTTAGTGATTTGAGACAGATACATTCAATATAAAATCAGAGTAACATCCTATTATATGTTTACTTCATGTATGATTAGAAATATAATTATATTTAAATGTAATGTTACAACAGTTATATAATTATATCCGTTGTAGGATAATAATCCCAAAACAAAAGAATAAAGAGTTATGGAACTACAGGATAATTTTTAACCTAAAAATAACTTTGGTGGCCTTCAATTTCAGATTTTGCAATTTACCAGAAGAGGGAAAAGATGTTTCCTAAAGGTCTCAGGGATTCCTTCTATGTCATCAACATCCCTTTTCTAAATGGACATTTCAATGAATATGCAAACATGTTCTAGAATCCTCTCACTATTTAAAAAATAATAACATCCTCAGCCCTTATATTTCCCATTAAGTACCACCATATTCGTATACTACCTTCACAGCAAAACCCACAGAGAGAGTTGTCTACAGAGTTTGTCATTACTTTCTCATCTCAAAAATCCTTCCTCCAGCCACTGCACTCAGACATCCATGTCCTACCATGCTGTGAAGGCTGCTGTTGCCATATTCTCCATATTCTCAATGATCTTCATGTTGCCATCACCTAGTTTTGATCTATGATCTATGTAAGGGAAAATTGGATATTCATTAAATATCAAAAAGATTGTAAATATCTTTTTCATTAATGTACTTAGACTGCTATTTATGTGACAAAATTAATTTAAGGATTTATAAGGGGTTTACTATGTATTGAACACTGTCAGACTCCAAAAGAACACTAAAAATCATTTTCCCAAATAAGTTTTCTTTCTACTTAAAAATAAAATATGGACAAAAATGAATAATATATGCATGCTGAAGAGAATAAAGAACTAAAGGGAAGTGCAGAGGAAGCCAAGTAGCTTAGGAAATCTTTCTGAAGTAGTTAAATTTTAAGCCAGGGTTAGAAGATAGTCAAAGGGGAATAAAAAAGCTTCTTTACTAAACATCTGGCATTAAATTCCAAATACTATCCTATGATATTTTCATTCCATTAACTCCCACATTTTCTTCAAGATCCAGCTTATACAGAGACAATCTCTTTTATCAGTTCTTCCCTGCCCCATACCTGAAGCATTCTATATTGTTCCACTTTGTACAAGGCATTTTATTCATCAGATAATGAGTCTGTCTGTCCCATGGGACTGTGAGCACTTATTCCTCTTTATACCTACAGTGACTATTTAGCGGAAACTGATGTTTAGCAGCTCTCCAACAATTTGTTTATGTATGACTCAATGTGTACAACAACCCTGAGAAGAAAGTACTATCATTATTTATATTATGGAGGAGAAAACAGAGCATCCTAGAAGTTAGAGTATCCCTAACCATTAAGAAGCAAAACAACAACAAAACACACAGACACAAAAACAAAGATACAAAAAACAACAACAAAATAGCTGGACAAATACAACAACAACAAAATAGCTGGACATGGTGGTGCATGCCTATAATTCTAGCTACTCTAGAGGCTGAGGTGGGAGAATTGCTTGAGGCCAGGAGTTGGAGACTGCTGTGAGCTATAATCACACAAATGTACTCCAGTCTGGGTGACAGAGTGAGACCTCATCTCTAAAAATAAAAAATAAAAATATAAGCAGAGCTCAAACTCTCAAGACCGTATGAAATGAAGCCCAGGCCTGTTATACTATCCTATGTTGTCTTCTCAGCAAGTACTGCTGGAAAATAGCAGGTAACTGATTCCAGGGATATAGGCAGGAATTTGTAAATGACGTGAGAAACAGAAATCAGATTGGCTTGTTTAAAGCACAGCAACCCTACTGAGAAATAATGGAAATTATTGATTCTTCTCAAGTTTTGCCATAAGTGTTCTCTTCTCTCTCTCTGCCTGCTTTCTGGGTGGCTTCAATTACCCCCTTAAATTTAATTGTCCTTTGTATACTGATGATTTCAAAATACATATCTCTAGTCTAGATTGCCCTTGTGAAGCTCTGAACCATATATCCATCTGCCTACTAGACATCTCTCTGAATGTTCCTACAGGCCACACAACCTGACAGAAGCTTAAGGATCTCCATATATTTTTAAAACTGTCACATTTTAAGAATCAGACTATATCAGTGTATCACTGAGGAAATTACTGGGATGGATGATAGAAGTTACAGAAATCAGTTTTTCTTCTATTAATATACAATGAGACACTTAATATGGCAATAAAATCTCACCCTAATTATCCTCTCACTGAACTTTCAGGACATCTCATGCTCAGCTATGCTGTCTAATCACATCCTATTACTTGCCTTCCCTGACCATGCCCCATACTTTTTTATCCTTTGATGTTCCTGCCATGTTGTCTACACAGATAATACACCTGCTCACCCTCATGCTGTCAAAGTCCAGCCAGGAAAACAGAAACTATAATGGGTATTGCAATACAAGGCTGTAATATAGAGATAATATAGAGATTGGCTCACACATGCTCTGAAGTCCTAAAAAAAAAAGCCAAAAGGTACTAAAACTCAAAAAAGATAACTACAAGAAACAGTTCCACTAGGACTAAGGGAATAAAATGGTGGAGATTGAGAATATAGACCCTGGGAGTTTGAAGTAGGGGCTCATAGAGTTGATGATCAGGCCTTTGAAAAGAGGATGACACCTGGGGGCTGGGAACCCCAGGAGCTGAGATGGGGGACCCTGTGGAGCTGGAGGACAGATCTCAGAGGAGCAGGTATCACCCAGCCACTACAGTACCTCTGAAGGAGCATAATGTGATTGGAAATAAGAGGTTGCAATGCATGCTCACTTGGCTTGTGTTTCAAACACAGGTCTGTCTGAAACCAGTGCCTGATGCTCATCCTTGCAAAGCACCACATTTCCAAGTCCTTGTTTTTCTTCTTTGCATTTTATTCTACACACTGTTGCCAAAATACCCTCCCTGATAACAAAACCCTAATTATATCGTGCCCTTTCCTAAATCTTTATAATCATTTCCTGTTGACTAAAGTTTTAAATATGTACTCCTCTCCCTCGTGTCAATGGCATTCTAGAATTTTCTCGCTTTTCTTCACTGCTTCCCTAAATGCCTTCTTTGCTCCCATTGGACCCCATTATTCCTTAGAAATGCAGCAAATTTTTTTTTATCTTCAACATCTTATAGACCACAAATCTCAGCCTCGTATTATCCCTGAATTTATTTTCAAAAAATAATGAAACATATATGCAAAAACCACCTTGTCTTTCATTTCGTAGCAGCCACAACCAGCATGAATGAAGTAGCTGCTGCACAATTAAAATTACTGAGTTTTATTGAAAATTAAGAAGCCTAATTTTAGCCAATTAAAACTTAAGTGACAACAAAATGTGTAACTAAGACTGAAAGAATTTAATGCTGTCAATGTAAAACTTTTACACCTTTTCTGATTTTCACGTACATGGTAGACTGGTTAAAAAGGATGAGTTCTAAATTTTCAGCAATTCAACAACTAAGATTCTGATATGGGGCCATGTGCAGACACTCAGTGGAAGGAGAGTTTCCCGCATGTGAGTTGCAGCATTTCAGAAAATTCTAAAGCAACATTTTTCCTTTTTTGCTCTTTGAGTTGCAAAACTAGCTTTCAACAGGAAAAGAAAATTTGCTACTTACCCTTGGAAGGTGTCTTTTCTATGTGTGAAAATGCTAAGGTGAAAATGTCAAATATTTCACATTTGCTTGAGCCTGTGAAATCTAAAGAGATGTGAGATTTTCTTGTTATTCCGATGATTCAGATTGGAGGTATAGGAGCTTCACCTGCCCATGTGGATCTCCTGGAGCTGCCCTATCATTTTATTTTTAAAAGGCAAATATTAAAAATTTTGCTCTTCTCTTTAAGATATAAAATTACTATTATTTCCCTTTATGTAGAAAAAAATAAAGGTCATCCTGGAACTATGAATTTGTGATAAAAACGGCAAATCGTATAAGACATTTAATTGCTTAGAGCACTTTAAATCCAATTTCTTTGTATCAGTTTCAGACCAGCCTCTGCACAATGAGACTCTAAACACAAGTACTCTTTTTCTGGGCTAGGAATTTGTCTACATATCCAAATTATGTCAACCTATAATTCATTCAACTTCCACATTCATTCCTTCACTCATTTAACCTATCGGGAGTGCTTACCTGCCACCTGCTCTATATTAATGCATAATCCCTTGTGTTATTTCTGGAACTCTTCCAACAGTTATGGGTCACAATGACAGTACACCACCCCAAACGTAGGCTGAGCACTTGTTCGCAGTGATGAGCTACATATGTTGGCCAATACCATCACAATTTAATGCTTCAGTTCCTCCTGTACCCTTGAGAAGATGGCATCTGGTCCAAATTTTGGGTCCCTTTGAAGATCCATGATAGGTAACTGTCATCTGGATAGCAAAGACACTTGACCAGTCAATTAAGTATTCCAAAATCTAGGAAGTTTATGTAGGTGAGGATAATTAGTTGTAAAAATAAACTCAGTATAATAAGCCTTATGAAGTGGAACCTAGCCAGGATCTCATCTAATAAAAATAAATCAAGTTGAATTTTAAATTTTTAGAGGTTCAAACAATCATTTACATAAAACTTTCTTCGAGTTTGGGATTATGTTTTAATAATGTCTATAAAAGCAATGTTGACTTCCCATTGTATTGAAACTTTTTCACTTTGAAGAAATTGAGTATTTAAAACACTAAGTAAGTAGCTCTTAATTTTCTAAGCCAGCTTATGTCTTCCCCACAGCCATAGTCACAATGTATTCCCTCTCTGAGACAAGTGGAGCTTCCACCTTGGGAACATTCACCTTTCCTTCCCTGCAGTCACTTGTTTTACCATAAGATGTAGTAAACTTAACATTTTTTTTAGATCTTCATGGTAACAGCACTACTGTTTGTTCATTATTTACAAAGAGAGAAAGGCATATTTTACCTTCATTTTCCAAATTTATTCTTATTCTACATGTGATTACTTTAGACATATGTTCAAAACACTTAAATAAAGCTAAATTACAAAAACAGAAAGGGGTATATACTTTCCTAACTTTCTAAACAAGATCTTTTGTATATGAATAATAAGTCTGAGTAAAAGTTTCAAGATGTTTATGTGTCCTACCATTGAGAGATTGTATAACATACAAAATAAATACTGACAATGAGAACTGTCAATGCTTTTCTGGAGTTGGAATCAGATATTTTAGTCATGGTATACATGCTTGTTTTGTGCTATAAATTTATTCTAAAAGAACTTTTAATATGAGAACTAACTTGGACATATAGAACTTGACTTAAAAACATAATGCCTATGCACATATTAATAGTGCTACTTCGTAAGTGACAAGTCTGGATTTTTGATGGAAAAGTGTGTTATAAAATAAGCTCCTTGGCTGGGTGCGGTGGCTCACGCCTGTAATCCCAGCACTTTGGGAGGCCAAGATGGGTGGATCACGAGGTCAGGAGATTGAGACCATCCTGGCTAACACGGTGAAACCCCGTCTCTACTAAAAGTACAAAAAAATTAGCCAGGTGTGTAGTCCCAGCTACTTGGGAGGCTGAGGCAGGAGAATGGCATGAACCCGGGAGGTGGAGCTTGCAGTGAGCCGAGATGTGTGCATCTTAAATAGTCAAAATCAAATAATATAAAATATTTTAGATTAAAGCAAATTATATTCCCAATTATAATTCCCAAATTATATACCATAGTATAAAATATTTACCATATAGAGTAAATAACATAAACCTGGGAAAAGAAATAGACTAAAAGATGGGACTATAAGAAGAAAACAGCTATTAGTCTAATTTGTAATATAAAATGCAAAAGCTTTATACCTGGAAATTACAATAACATCAAGTTAAGAATCAATTCCTTATCCAGCTGAGCACACTGACAGGAAAAATGAAGTAAGCAATCAGTTGAATGTGAGAAACAGAAAGAATGAAAGTACTGTTTTAAGTAACTATCAGACAATGTCAAATTGAATATAGGACCTGTCGCTTCTCTTGTTTCAAAAAGCATATTAGGAGGAGAAGATCAAAACAAATATTTTTCTCCTGTTATCAATATACATAAATATTTTATAACCTGGCCTTATCAAAGGATGGAAGAAGTGTACTTGATTTCATTGGTGTTAGATTAGATTACAACAGGAAAACAAGTTTTGGCTGTTGGATTCAACAGCCATATTCCCACAGTTATTCACAAATGTTAAAAAGTTCATTTGAAAATGATCAATAATAATAATAAGAGCTGATTATTTATTATGCTAGGCATTAAGGTCATCATTTTGAATGTGCTATCACAGATTTAATATCAAAAGTAGAAGTAGGTAATATTATGCCTATTTTTCAGATAAGGAAACTGAGGTATCAACAGTTCCTCAAGTATGGATGTGACATATAATTAAGATGGCTTCCAAATTCACATGTGAATTAGAAGATCTTATTCTATTCTGACTTTAGAAATTTGGGTTTAGGCCGGATGCGATGGCTCATGCCTGTAATCCCAGCACTTTGGGAGGCCGAGGCGGGCGTATGACCTGAGGTCAGGAGTTCAAGACCAGCCTGGCCAACATGGCAAAACCTCATCTCTACTAAAAATACAAAAATTAGCCAGGCGTGGTGGCATGCACCTGTAATCCCAGCTACCCAGGAGGCTGAGGCAGGAGAATTGCTGGAACCCGGGGGACAGAGGCTGCAGTAAGCCGAGATTGTGCCACTGCACTCCAGCCTGAGCAACAGAGCAAGACTTCGACTCAAAAAAAAAGAAAGAAAGAAATTTGGGTTTATACCTAATCACAGTAAGATAATATAGACCTTTCTGGTAACTAATAAGGAAGACACACTTCTGCTGGTAATCATGCACAACAATTTTTTTTATCTCTCCTTTTGTCTACAAAACACATTAAAAAGTACAAGGAACTTAAACGTAAAATGCATCTGAGGAGCCACCATTTCTGTCTGTTTTTTTAGATGGAGTCTTGCTCTGTCGCCAGGCTGGAGTGCAGTGGTGCAATCTTGGCTCACTGCAACCTCCGCCTCCCTGATTCAAGTAATCCTCCTGCCTCAGCCTCCCGAGTAGCTGGGACTAAAGGCACGCACGCCACCATGCCCAGCTAATTTTTGTATTTTTAGTAGAGACGGGGTTTCACCATGTTGGCCAAGATGGTCTCCATCTCTTGACCTTGTGATCCGCCTGCCTCGGTCTCCCAAAGTGCTGGGATTACAGGTGTGAGCCACCATGCCTGGCCTAGTTTCCAATGATGATATTAGCCAGCATTTATTAAGTGCTCACTCTGTACCAGCCACCCTTCCAAGTGCTTTACATATATTAACTCTTTTAATATATGACCACCTTGTAAGATAAGTCATTATTTCTCCATTATACTGATGGAGAAACAGAGAAAGAAAGCCACATGGTCATATGGCTCATCAGTGGGAGAGCCAAGATGCAAATCCAGGCATTCTGGTGCCAGAGTCTGCCTTCTTAACCATGACATAAGGCTCCTTTCCCCAGTCACATTAATTTAACCTAAAGAATATTTCCAGAGACCCTACTATTAATATTAAAAAGGACCTGTAGTTAACTGTGTTGAACACATGCCACAGAGAGAAATGAATGGAAATAGCACTTACTCTGTGCTCCAGGCCCAATGCAGGATTATATGGGCCTAAGTCAAAATTTGTAAGTCATAGAATAAGGCTATCTCTTCCAAATCAAATGATTTTAAGAGCCATCATAATCACAGGCTGTCACACAGCATGCTTTACATAAGTACATTGCCTTGATCAAAGTCAACATCTGGCAAATGTGGATTGGATGCCAGATCTCTCCAGCTCCAATACTCAGGATTTTTTTCATTGTGCTTTGCAAGAAGTGTTAAGAGAGGTCCCTGCTTAAATTTATTTAGGGAACTAAAATGTAAAAATAAATGACAAAATATTTGTATACAGATTCAAGACAACAATGAAAGCTATATCACATTACATTTCCTGAAAGCAAAATGATTAATCCCCACAAGTGTTCAAGAAAGTTAATTACATATATACATAAATATTTGTACTTAAAAGGGAAAACTTGCTATTTCTCTTTCTTCTAGATGAATTTTCTGCAGTTTTTTTTCCTCACTTCTTCTACTCATGCCATACCAAACTATTTACTATTTCCTAAATACCCTACATCCTTAAAAATTCTTTGGAATGCCCTTCCCATTGAAAAATCCTGTTCATGCTTCAAGAGAGTTTATGTGCTACTTCCTCGTGAGGTGTCACCCAAATTTCTCTATCATATTAAGCTGGCAATTATCATATTGTGTAAGAATTAATACTCTGTATGTTTGTCTCTTACTAGATAGATTGTTCCTTACTTCATAAACAATGTTCCTTTGCTTATTTTCTAATTTTTGTATGTTGATCATAATATCTCTGGCTCACCTTTTCCTGGAATTAAATTATCTATATTATATATTAAATTATTATAGGTATATCTTTAAGTGTAACAAAGATATTTCAACACATATTTTAAATAACTTTGTTCATTTGCCTATTTTTGTGTGTTTTGTGATTTTGTTTATTTTATTTTATTTTATTTTTGAGACGGAGTCTCGCTCTGTCACCCAGGCTGGAGTGCAGTGGTGCTATCTCAGCTCATTGCAACCTCTACCTCCCAGGTTCAAGCGATTCTCTTGCCTCAGCCTCCCGAGTAGCTGGGACTACAGGTGCCCGCCACCATGTCCAGCTAATTTTTATATTTTTAGTAGAGATGGGGTTTCATCATATTGGCCAGGATGGTCTTGAATTCCTGACCTTGTGATCTGCCCACCTTGGCCCCCCAAAGTGCTGGGATTACAGTTGTGAGCCCCCATGCCTGGCCGATTTTGTTTATTTTTTAAATTCAATACTTATTCCAGTTCTTAGTCTTTTCCTACTGCAGATTTCATTTCTGTTATTTCTACATTTAGTTTCCCAGAAATATTACTTTATCTCATCCAGCTATCTCCTTATCTTATTCATTCATTCATCAGTTTTTGTTAAGCAAGCCTATGGAAATAGAGCAGTAATGAAACAATTATTGCCCTCATAAAGCTTACATTTTTATATTTCAATTTCTTGCATGGCTTTCTGTTTCATACCTCTGTTATCCTACTAAGAATACCAAACAGCTCTGTAAGATTGTTTCCTGTTCTCATATTTCAGTGTTTTTAGAAATATGACTTTGCTCTGAATGTTCAGAGAAACACTGTCTCCCTTCTGCAGGTTAATATGCATAGCTCCTAGCTAGACCACCAGCAACTCTCATCTTTTCAACTACTACAACTCTGCTGCCCTGAGTCAAAATCTGCTACTTCCCTTTACTGCCTCATTGTTGGACACAAAATAGAGACCAGTATCTAATAGCATAAAATGTCCAGATTATACTCCTAAAAGAACACTTCCTTGATCCAGTACCTAAAGGATGATCTCTTCTAGCCCCCTCAGCCTCATTGCTCATCCCCCTCCCTGACTCCTAGTTGAGCCTCTTGTCCAGCAGTCTTACTGAATGTAGGAAGAAAGACACAGATGTGAAGCCCGGGGGTGGGATGAGGGAAGCAGCACTCTGGCAACCTCAAGAAAGCAGTGCCCACACCTTAAAAGGGTGTTTGTCATTTTTCCGATTGGTATAATTTCGGTATTTCTGAGCCAGGAGACGGACATTGAGACTATGATAGGGTTTTCAAAAACTATGTCAAATTCTCTGTTTTCTGGAAATATGGGCTCTGCATTACCCTCTGCAATCTACTTTCATTAAATTTGTTTTTAATGAACATTTTCAGATTCTTGCTATGGGCTAGTTATTAGTTCTAATGTTTATCATGAGTGTTTTCATTATTATCTGTGTCTTTATACTTCTTTCTTTATTTTATTTTATTTTTTTTGAGATGGAGTTTCGCTCTTGTTGCCCAGGCTGGAGTGCAATGGCACGATCTCGGCTCACTGCAACCTCCACCTTCTGGGTTCAAGCAATTCTCCTGCCTCAGCTTCCTGAGTAGCTGGGATTACAGGCATGCACCACCATGCCCGGCTAATTTTGTATTTTTAGTAGAGATGGTGTTTCTCCATGTTGGTCATGCTGGTCTTGAACTCCCAACCTCGGGTGATCTGCCCACCTTGGCCTCCCAAAGTGCTGGGATTACAGGCATGAGCCACCACGCCCCGCCCGTCTTTGTATTTCTTTTAGAGGGAAGTTAGAAGAGACCACATAAGGGTCTGCAGGAAATATACCATTTTAAAACTGAAGATTAACTTTTAAATTTTAAATTTGAAGCATTCAAATTCTCTGATTCCCATTACAACAGTTAAGCTTTAAGAGCAAACAATGAGGAGATGAAACATCTGTACACTGAAACCTATAAAACATTAATGAAAAAAATGAAGAAGACACAAATAAATGGAAAGGCACTTTGTGTTCATGGATCAAAAAATAATATTGTCAAAATATCCATACTATCTGAAGTGATCTATAAATTCGATGCAATCCCTATCAAAATTTCAATAGCATTTTTTGCCAGCATAGGAAAAAGCAATCCTAAAATTCATATGGAATGACAAAAGACCTTGAATAGTTAAAGCAGTCTTGAGCAAGAACAAATCTGGAGGCATCACACCTCCTAATTTCAAATTATATTACAAAGCTTCACTAGTAAACAGTATTGTACCAGCACAAAAACAAACACACAGAGCATTGGAATATAATGGAAAGTCCAGAAATTAATCTGTACATATATGGTCAACTAATATTCCACAAAGATGCCAAGAATATACAATGGGGAAAGGATAGTACCTTTAATTAATGGTGTTGGAAAACTGGATATCCAATTGCAAAAAAAAAATAAATAAACTGGATCTTTATTTTATACCATACACAAAAATCAATCAAATTAAAGACTTAAATGTAAGACCTAAAACTATAAAACTCATAGAAGAAAATATAGGAGAGAAGCTCCTTGATGTTGGTCTTGGTGATAATTTTTGGGGTATGACCCCAAAAGCACAGGTAATAAAGGCAAAAATAAACATGTGAGGCTACATTACATTAAGAAGTTTCTGTCCAGCAAAGAAAACAATTAGCAAAGTAAAAAGGCAACCTACAGAATGAGAGAAAATTTTTGCTAACTATATATCTTATAAGGGGTTAAATTCATATGGAATCACATTTTTAAAATATTTTAATTTAAAAAATTAAAAGCACCATGTGATCCCGCAGTCCCATTTCTGGGTATGTGTCCAAGGGAAACAAAAATACTCTCTAAAAATGATATCTGCACCCACATGTTCACTGCAGCAATATTTACAAAAGCCAAAAAATGAACAATCTAAATGTTCTCTTATGAGTGAATGAATAAAGAAAACGTGTGTGTGTGTGTATGTGGAGGCATATATGTGTATGTGTGTGTATATACATATATTTTAAAGAGGACAATATGGGACAATATTATTGAACCTAGAGGACACTGTGTTAAGTGAAATATGCCAAGAACAAAAAGACAAACACCACATGATCTTACTTATATGTGGAAACTTAAAAAGTAGAATTCATAGAAACAGAGAACAGAAGAGTGGTTATCAAGTGTCAAAGAGTAGAAGAAATGGGGAAATACTAGTTAAAGGGTACACACTTTCAGTTATAAGATGAAAAAGTTCTGGAAACTGAATGTATACCATAATGACTGTAGTTATTATAATATACTGTATGCTTGAAATTTTCCAAGAATGTAGATCTTAAATATTCTCACCACACACAAATGTTAACTATGTAAGATGATGTATATGTTAATGACCTTGATGGCTGTAATCATTTCACAAGGTGTACATACATCAAGACTAAGTGGATTTATTGCTGGTATGTAAGATTGGTTTTACATATGCAAATACATCAATGTGATCCATTACATTAACAGAATGAAAGACAAAAACCACATGATCATCTTAATTGATGCAGAAAAAGTATTCAACAAAGTCCAACATTTTTTCTAGATAACAACACTCAATAGTTTAGGTATAGAAGGGAAATTCTTCTAAATAAAGCAATTTCTAAAAACAACAACAACAAAACAAAACAAAAAACAAACGAACAAACTAAACCACAGCAAACATCATCAACCGGGAGAAACTGAAAGCTTTCCTATTGAGATCCAGTACAAGGGAAGGATGCCTACTCTTGCCACTTCCATTCAGCATCATACTGGAAATAATAGGAAGAGTATTTAAGTGAAGAAATAAAAGGCATCACAATAGAAAGGAAGAAATATAATTTTCTCTGTGTGAAGACAACTTGACTCTATATGTAAAAAAACCGCAAAGACAGCCGAGATCGCGCACTGCACTCCAGCCTGGGTGACAGAGCAAGACACTGTCAAAAAAAAAAAAAAAAAAAAAAAAAAAAAAAAAAAAAATGCAAAGATTCCACACACATCCCGAAAAAAACTGTTAGAACTAATAAATAAATTCAGAAAAGTTGCAGGATACAAAATCAACATACAAAAGTCAGAAGCATTTTTACACAAAAAATAATAACCTAACTAAAAAAGAAATCAAGAAACTCATTCCATTCACAATAGCTTCAAAAAAAAATAAGACCCAAGAATAAATTTAACAAAGGAGATAAAAGATCTGTACACTGAAAACTATAATACATTGATGAGAAAATTGAAGCAGACACAAATAAATGGAAAGATATTCAATGCTCACAGATTGGAAGAATTAATATTGTTAAAATGGCCATACCACCGAAAGCAATATACATATTCAACATAATTCTTACCAAAATCCCAATGGCATTCTTCGAAGAAATAGGAAAAGCAATCCTAACTTTCCTATGGAACCATAAAAGATCTCAATAGCCAAAACAATTCTAAGAAAGAAAGACAAAGTTGGGGGCATCATACTTCTTGACTTAAAGTTATATTACAAAGCTATGGTAATGAAAACAGTTTGGTGCTGGCCTCAAAACAGATATAGAGACCAGTGGAACTGAATAGAAAGTCCAGAAATGAATTCAAACATACATGGTCAACTAATTTTTGACAAAGGCACTAAGAGGACACAATAGAGAAGATACTCTCTTCAATAAAGAGTGCTGCGAAATATGGGTTCCATGCAAATAAATGAAATTAGACCCTTATCTTACACCATACACAAAAATTCCAACTAAACATGGATATAAGACTTAAATATAAGACCAGATACTATAAGACTCCTAAAAGAGATCATAGGGGAAAAGCTCCTGGATGCTGGCCTTGGCAATGAATTTTGGGATACCATACCAAAAGCTCATACCACAGTAGCAAAAATTAGATAAATGAGACTACATCAAACTAATAAGCTTCTGCACAGGAAAGAAAACAATTTAAAAATGACAGGCTGTGGATTGGGAAAAAATATTTGCAAACCATATGTATGATAAGAGACAAAATTTATCCAAAATGTAAAAAGAACTCATACAACTCAATGGTGGAAAAAAAAACAAATAGCTCCATTTAAAAGTGGGTCAATGTCTTCAGCTGACATTTCTCCGAAGGAGATATTAAAAATGTCAAACAGGTATATGCAAAGGTGCTTACCATTATTGATCATCAGAGAAATGCAAATCAAAGCCACAATGAGATACCACCTCACACCCATTAAGATAGTTATTATCAAAAGATAACAAATGTCGGCGAGGGTGTGGAGAAAAGGAAACTCTTGCACACTGTTAGTGAGAATATAGATTGGTATAGCCATTATGGAAAACAGTATGGAAGTTTCCAAAAAAATAGAACTACCAAATGCCCCAGCAACCCCTCTTCTGGACACTTACGCAAAGGAAATGAAATCATTGTCTCGTAAAGATATCTGCACTCCCATGTTCATTGCAACAGCCAAGATATAGAAAAAACCTAAGTGCCCTTAACAGAATGGATAAAGAAACTGGTACATATATACAATGGAATATTATTCAGCCCTAAAAAAAGAAAGACATCTTGCCATTTGCTACAATGTGGATAAGCCTAGAGGACATTATGCCAAGTGAAATACGCAGACATAGAAAGAAAAATATTGCATGATCTCACTTATATGTAAAATCTAAAAAAGAAAACTTCAAATATACAGAAACAGATAAAAAAATAGTGGTTATTAGAGGTGGGAGGGGGAGGAAATGGGGTGATGGGGGCCAGAAGATACAAAGTAGCAGACATTGAGGATGAAAAAGTTTATAGATCTAATGTAAAACATGAGGACTATAGGTTAAAAAAATTATACTGTATATGAGATTTATGCTAAATGAGTAGATCTTAGATGTTCTTGCCACAAAAAAATAATATGAATACTTATGTGAGATGATGAATGTGAAGAATATGTTAATTTGCTTCACTGTAGTAACTTTTTAACTCTATTTTTATCCCATCACGTCATGTTGTATACTTTAAACACCCACAATCAAATTTATTTTCAAAAAACAAAAAATCCTTTTATGCTTTAAATATATGCAATTTTTATTTGTTGATTACACCTCAATATGATGGAAGAAAACAAGTAAAATGGCTTAAATTATGAAGTTAAAATTTTGCTGTATATGACATTGAACCTATGTAGTAGAGAAGTGTAGATGTCAAGCGCTGTAAAGGGTCTGTCAAGAGATTTACCTTACTTGGAAGATAACCAATTAGCTTGCCACAGCTACATGAATGCTGGAAGAAGACATGACAGTCGTGGGTCAGAGACAAAGGAGGGTTTATCACAATAATAGCAGTAGCCATAATTTTATGCATCAGTTTCCTGAGCTTCAATTCCCAAAAGGCAGCAGAATAAGAGCCAGATGACACCTGCTGGAATCTGAAGCTTAGGAAATGCTAATATTTTATGATGGGCTGCAAGCAAGCCTGCTCAACCTTGTCCCCTGAGGGAAAATAATTCTATCAGTTACACTAGACAGTGTGCATGACTGCCCTTTGCTCTGGAAGGAAATGCTATAACTTCCAATACTGAAAACTATACAAACATCCTTGAAAAGATAATCCGGAATAAGAGCTGTCATTGCCTGTGCTTACAAGGTGTGCAGAAATATGAGTGACCAATAGAGAATTACCTCTCAACAGTAGAGAAGAGGGAAAAAACTAACATTTTTTAAACAATTATTGTAGCCCAGGTGCAACAAGAGATACTTTACATACATTATCTAATTAAATCCTCACATCCTAAGAAGTGTGCATTATGAACCTCATTTGACAGAATCTCAGATACAGTAAGTCATCTTCCAAGTCACCTATCTGCTAAATGATATTGTCAGAATTTCAACCCAGATTTATCTCACTGTGAATGCCTTCTACTTTAAGTTGAGATTTAACTTCACAAAGAAAATACTTTTAGAGAAAAAGATGTTATCACATTTTCAATGAAGAAAGGTCAACAATTGAAAGAAAATAATTATTATTAAAGGTAGAGTTTTTTAAAAGCTTAGAAATATAAAAGGTTTGCAAAAAATGTTTATCTGATATTTATGTAGACTTCCACTCCACACAGAGGATGAAGCTGAGTGACTTATGCAGTCTCAATGAGTGACAAGGAGCAACTGGAGGCTGCCCCTTATGGAATTGCCTTAAGCTCAGTACCTTGGACATCTCCCCGATATGTTGGGTGTAGCTTAAGACAGTGTGCACACTGGCATTGTTCTAGGGACTGAAAAGTTCTATTTCTTTTCATTCTTGCACTGAAAAACAGGATGCTACCATCACTATCTGAAATTATCCTTTATATATCCTAAATGATGCTTTTAAAATTATTCTTCAATAATTCTAAAATTTGGGTAAAGGATGGATGTCCAGAAACACACTTTACCCCATTTAAAATAAAAAGTTTTCCCTCCCCGCCTCCCCATCTGTACTTCTTGAAACATATCCCTTATTTTTTTCATAGCATTTATCACCAATATATTATATATTTTATCTGATAATTTGTCTCCCATAATTAAAAGAGAAGCTAATAAGGATAGATAATTTTTATCATTTTTTTCATGTATAGAATATCCTCCATGCCTAGAACAGAAAAACAACTGGAAACTCAATGAATATACAGTTTGAATTGAGTGATATGGATAATGGTTCTAGTGTAGTTGTTTATAAGATTTCTTAATTAATCTGCAATCATATTCCAAATGTTACCATTAATGTATATGTCTCCAAACTGTCTTTTGCTGGTTTAAGAATTAATTTTATATTTACAGGGAATTTATATTTGAGTGTTGTGAATTTCCTTTAATTATATATTTAATAAAGTGGTAAATGTATTATTTTAAAAATCTAATCTCATTAAAACGGAACACGATAAATGAGGTGGTTGTTATTCTTTTGTAAAATAATGGGTTTGGTTTCTTTTGTTCTTGAATATATTTTGGATTCTAAAAAACACAAATGAGATAGTTCCCAACTTGCAAAAAAAAAAATATGTGTAGCACAGAACTAGAAGCCATCAGGCTGTTTTAATATTGGTTATCTACATCCAGCTGCTTCTCTAGAGACCAACCTAGTTCTCTCAAGTTGTTACTCTGCTGGTGAAAGAGGACATGTCTCTCAGATCAGGCTCTTACATAGGGGAAATAATTGCCAACAGATGGTGATAATCTGTTACCAGTCTAATGGAGATCCCTGAAGATATGCTGGGAAATGAAGTTTTCACTGAAGAACACTTGCACAAAGCGAATAAACAGAATATCTGGTACAGCTGGGAAGGGAAGCTGCTTCTGATTAGAGAGAAGGAATATACAGCCAGTTTAAGTTCCAGTGGCAGAAATCACTCTACATCAATTTCTGTATCTACTCTTTGACTTTTAGCCTTGTTGACTATTCAACGACTTACCCTGCTGTTTTCTGAGCATTGGATATACTTAGTGACAGCTGTTGGGTCAAAGGCACCTAACACATGTGGACACATACACCTTGGCCTGTCTCAGGGAATTCACGCTCTTTACTTTTGGCTTTTAGACAGGGAGCAAAGGTTAAGACTGCTCAGGATTTATTTCTTTGCTCATCTCTTTGGTAAGATGTACAACCTGGATGTTATTAAAATATAAGACATTTTGAAAGAGGCTTTTTATTTGT
Source organism: Homo sapiens (assembly GCF_000001405.40). Taxonomy (NCBI): domain Eukaryota; kingdom Metazoa; phylum Chordata; class Mammalia; order Primates; family Hominidae; genus Homo; species Homo sapiens. The sequence continues at coordinate 120,632,120 of NC_000004.12, forward strand.
GTGGTTTCTTCAAACTTCGTCAGCTACTGTCTGTTCTGAACAACAGTTAATGTCACTTTATTCAAAACATAATGAACTAATGTGCTTTATAAACTTGCTACTCAAAGTGTGGTCCACAGATCTGCAGTGTCACCATCATCTGGTAACTTATTAAAAATAGAGAATTTCACTCCACCACAGACTAACTAAATTTGAATCTGCATTTTGTCAAGAGCTCTAGCTCACACAGAGACACTAAAATTTGAGAAACACGGCTCTTACTCTATAATATTTTACATGGACATTCCAATTACAAAAATAATGCTAAAATATAAGGTCTGTATAGTAGAAGGATACATTGAAATATGCCACCATAATGTGATTATGTTGCTATTGTGCAGAATTGTTCTTAGTAAATTCCTCCAGTCCATTTATCAGAGTGATATCATGTCAAGCAAGTTTTATGTTCAGTCAGCAGACTATCTCCCAAACTTCTTATACCCAAACACCTACTGTTATGCTCAACCTTAATGTATTAAAAACTGAACTTGTTACTATTTTTTCCCTTTCTTTCTCACTTATGTCCCCTATCTTGGTGAATAACTTTATCACTAGCAGCACCTGAGTAAGAAAACTTAACGTTTATTATGTGTTTTTCTTCCCTTTTATCTTCTTTGTCTTACAATTCATAATTTCTTATTCATTTAAACTTCAAAATATCTTTTTAATGTCCCATTACTCTCATTGCTGCTGCTATTACTTTAGTTCAGACTCCCATTGTTTCTCACCTGACATTCCTAAAAAATACAACAAGTTGACTTATCTACCATCTTGCCTCCTTCTGGAGAACTTTCTAAAACACAAATTTGATTACATTATTTAATTAAGCCATTAAAAGAAAGCCTTGAAATGGATTATTGCTTTTAGGATGAAAGCCCCCCGAAAATCAAGCTTAAACTCCTTTCCAAATTCATTTTTGGCCCCAATGCTCATTCATTCATTTTGAACTCTTGACACAACCTATAGAACTCCTTGTCATTCCTTGAATATAAGTCCTTTCACAACTGGATGCCTTGGAAGTACTTTTCTATCCATTCAAATATTTTTTTCTGCATAACAAATTCTTATTCATACTTCAAGACTCAGTTCAAATTGCTTAATAAAATAAAAAACAAAATAGGAGAATTTTCCCTGTTTCATTTGTCGGTAAATTAATTTCAGTCTACTCTATATCCTCACTCTTTGCAATATGGTATTACAGATACTGTCATCAAGAAGTAGAGTCTATGTTCTCACCCCTTGAATCAGGGCTGGATTTGTGACTTGCTTTGTTGAGTAGAATGCAGTGAAAGTGACAATGTGCCAGTCTGAGCCCAGAACTCAAGAGGCTTTGCATGCTTCCACTCTTTCTTGGAGACACGCAGCTTCCCCATGAACAAGTTCAGGTTAGCTTGTAGGAGTCTGAGAATAAGTGTGTCACCTGAAGCCATTCAAAACAACCTAATATTAACTGACACCCAAACATTTGACAGACATCAACAAAACCAGCAAAATTGCCTACTCAACCCACAGTAAAACCTCCTTTCTGATTTAGAGATTAATGGGAAACATAAATGCTTATTATTTTAGCTCACAGGTTTTTTAAATGTGATTTTTGCAATGGCTGATACAAATATAAAAATTTTAAATAAAGCTTCAGTAGTGTTCATTAAACTATGGCTTCAGGCCAACTCTGGCCCACAGCTTGTTTCAGTTTATAGTATAGCCCTTGTGCTAGGAATATTTTTTTACATTTTTAAAGAGTTGTTAAAGAAAAAGAAGACAGAGGTTTTATTTGGCCTGTAAAGTCCATCTAGCCTAAAATATTTACTATCTAGTCCTTTACAGAAAAATGTTTGCCAACTCATGAACTATAGTGATGAGTAATCTGTGGTATTTGTAGAGGGATAGAAAAATAGACCAATTGAGTAAATGGAGATCCCAGAAATCCACATGTATATAGGCCTTTGTTATACAATAGAGTTGGTATTACAGATCTATGAGCAAAAGACATATTTTCCAATAAATGATACCCAATAATTGGTTATCTAGATGAAAAGAAAATGAAAAACATAAGACCACTTATAGGTAATTTCAAGCAAAATTATAAAGATTCAGAAGATAATATAGGGGAATATCCTCCCAACCTAGAAGAGAGAAAGATTTCTTAAACAAGGCACAAAGAAACATTAACCATAGAGAAAAACATGGATACAGTTAAGACATTAAAATTTGAATCTTCAAGTTATTGAAGTATATTATAAAGTGAATAAAAAGACTAACCACAGAGGGAGAGAATCTACTTGTAATAACTGTATATAAAAAAGACTAATATTCAAAATAAATAAGTTCTTCCAAACGTTAAGGAAAAGACAGATAACACAATGATAAACAGGAAAAAAACTGAACAGGCATCTTACAAAATATAAATCTAAGTGACCAATAAATATACTAAAATGTGCTTAACCTCATTAACAGAAAAAAAATTAAAACCACAACAAAATACTATTACACACCCACCATATTAGCAAAAATAAGGCCGACAAATCAATGCAATGGGATTTCACATTTTCTGCTGATGGAACAGACACTGATCTAACTGCTTTGGATAACTGTTTGGGATTATTTCATACGACTGAAGATACTCCTACCTTCTGACCTAGAAGTTCCATGCTTTATTATGAACCCTGGATCAGAGATTCTAATGTCGCCCCCAGGACTATCAACATCACCTGTGAACTTAGAAATGCAGATCCCCATACCCCTCCTCAGACCTACTGAATCAGAAACTATGGGGGAAAGTACCCAGCAATTTGTAGGGAAATGAGCTCTCCAAGTGATTCTGATGTTAAAATTTGAAAATGCTGACAAACACTTACATATATTCCTACAGATGCATGTTCACAGCATTATTATTCAAAAGAGCCCAGACTGGAAACAACTCAAATTTCATCAACAGTCAAATGGGTAATAGAATATGGCACAGTCCTATAATGGAATATAACTTAGCAATAAAAAATGATCATTAGCTTCATGTAATAACATGGATCGATCTCACAAATATAATGTTGAGAGAAGAGTAGATGCAAAATAAAACCTGCAGTATGATTCCATTAGTATAAAGTTTAAAAGTGGGCAAAATAAGCACTTGGGGAAAATGTTAAGCACAGATTTTTTAAAAAAGCAAAGGATTTATTTATCATCATTAAACTCTAGGTGGTGTTTATTAGTGAAGAAATATCAGTAAGGCAATGGCAGAAGTAATGTTTTATTTGGGCAATAGAAATGTTCTCTTTCTTGTTCTGGATAGTAATTATTTAGATGTTTGCTTCATAATTATTTTCAAAATGTAAACATATTTATGTACTCTTATAGATAGATAATTGATATATCTCCCAGTTAGAAAAAAGCAGACACATATACATATACAAGGTCTATTTATACACAGAATCTAAGGACACGGCAATCTTCATCCCAGAGATAATACATGTATGTTCTCAATAACTTGATTATCCATATGAGGTGCTCTTTAAATTCTGTCTGTTGTTATCATTATTATATTACAAGCTTTAATTGAATGCATTGAAGTTTTACTGCATTGAGTGTAAATTTTAAGGTATTTTCCTCTGCCCAGAAATATTTTTAAATTGCTCTTTACATTAAGAAAAACCCCAAGAACTCATAGCAAAGAGGAAATTGAAGATGTCTGTGTTTACAAGATGGGTTTTTGCTGAACATCTTGTTAGCGTTCCCCCTTTTTTAACTAACCGTGAAAGCTGTTAAGAATGACTACAATATAGTTGCATGTCTCTAATAGAGAATGAGTTCAGTTTTTCTGCTTAGCTCTGATACTCAGTGGTAGATGATAATGAATCCATAGGTGGGGGTCCCATTGCAATGACTAGGAGTTAGACCAGTGGATAAAAGAGAGTAAAATTTTGATAGTGGATTGGAAACTTTGCTAACGAAGACCTGTTATTAAAAAATAATGCCAGACTCTAGAAACCTCCCAGCAACTCACTCTATCTAGCGTTACATGTTTAATCACCTTAGTGGAGTAGATTTACTAGAATCTTTAGATGAAGTCATGGAAACTTTGATAGACTTTTCCAACCACTCTGCCATTTCCTTCAGCAACAACATGACTCTAAAGACTGGTGACTCGTACACTGACCGAAAACTAACAAACAGGTTGTGTGTGAGTGTAGGGGGTTCTGGATGCCAGGACAGAGAGAGGCCAGATCTCAAGCTAACAAGTTTCCATCTTCAGCGGCATGTGAATAATTAGGTAATGATGCTTTCCTCTGTGGTCTCTGAAAACAGTAGAAGTACAGTGCTAATCTCCACTGTAGAAAAAAATTATGCAACCTTTGGTATTTAAAGCTAGTCTGAAACCAGAAAACAAAAACTGAAATAAAACACACTCCCACCACTTCTTTGTCATCAAGGCTTTAATACGATAAAAATAACTTGCTTGCTCTCTAACGAGGAATGGGCTCTCACCGGATCCTAACCATATATCCCACCCTGATTTTGGACTTCCAGCCTCCAGAACTATGAGAAATAAACTTCTGTTCTTTAAACCACTCAGTTTGTGACATTTTGTTACATCAGCCTGAACTAAGACAGTAATATAAATCATAATATATGCATTTTTGTGTATATATATGTATATTAAGTAACCTGATATCTAATTCAATACACTCGCTTCATAAATGGAAAGCCAGTTAACTATTCTTAGCCACTAAAAATCTTTTCGTATATTATTTCTTAAGAATACACTTTTCTCTCATTCTCTAAAAAGGAGCATTATATTTAGCCAAGAGAAAATTTTGTTCAGAATGTTCAGACTTTTGCTATCCACCCATCTGTTCTCTAGTATTGGTGATCTCTCAGTACCTGCATTTTTTACAATGAAGACAACATTGTTTCATGTTTCTTCAGTGGTGGTTCGTCTCTTTTCACAATTGATGAGTGAATTTGTGTAAAATATTACAGAAGTGTAATATGTTACAGTGGCTTAGGGATGATTTAAAAAAGTAAATATTTATGTACTTATAAAAATGCTGAAGCAATACTTATTTCTTTGCTGACATATAATATTTTTTAACTTATTTCTTGTCTTAGATTTTCTGTTACTCTTGCACCTATGCCCAATGTGGTTTTTAAACAAACAAAGAAAATTGTGAATAAAGCAATATTACATAAGAAACATAAGATCTGATTATCTTCATTAATATGAGGGAGTACATAAAAATGCATATATCTAGAATAATTAAATCACAAGAATAATAATGACAGCCTTAGCATATACTTTACAAATACATCCTCATTTTGTCCTATGATTTAATCCTGACAAGATTCATGTATTAAATACAACATATTATTGGTATCACCATTTGTTTTTTTCCTGAGGCTGAGAGAAGCTAATCACTGCAACAAATGGTATTATAAAATATAATATTTTAATATATTAATGTTTCTGATATCAAATTAACATTAATGTGTATTGTTTATAGAAAGTTTATGCCAAGCTTTTTGGAAATGTTTAGAAGTGGCCTGAGGTAACCCAAATAAGAAATCATCAAGAGTACACCAATAGTTTCTTATTTCTCCCTTCCAAAGCTCATAAGGAAACTTGGAAAAATTTCTTTCCACACTAACATGATACTAGGAGAAAAAGATTTTAGTATATGTGCCTCAAAAGAGAAAACACAATTTTAACATTGACACTCTTCTATCTCTAACAATTTTTAATTTTTTAAAAACTTCAATAGTGATGGTGATAAACAGCTGTTTGAGAAAAATGTGACTTTTGTCTGTCTGGAATGTAATAAGGAAAGGGAAACAAATAAATCGTGTGTTCTCAGTATGTTCAGATTGCCATAAATCTAGCTGATGTAATTGTTTTTGTACACATATAATGACCATAAAATATTAACTGCAAAGTGTTTAACTAAAGTTACAATTTTAACAATATTACCTGCAAAGTGTTTACCTACATCTACATTTTTTACAGCATCCAATATTTAATGCTGTAAGTATTCAATTCTACACCATTCAATGGGAAGATGAATGAGGCATTGTATTTACACAAATTTTCAACAATGTATTATTTCATTTCCCTGTGGTTTTGAATTATTCTGTTATGTGGATGGAAAAATAGTTGATTGAGAAAAAATAATCTGGTTTGACTTTCTGAGTTTCTTTCCTTTCCTTTCTTTCTTTCTTTCTTTTTTTTTTTTTTTTTTTTTTGAGATGGAGTCTTGCTCTGTCACCCAGACTGGAGTGCAGTGGTGTGATCTCGGCTCCCTGCAACCTCCGCCTCCTGGGTTCAAGTGATTCTCCTGCCTCAGCCTCCCGAGTAGCTGGTATTACAGGCATCCACCACCATGCCCGGCTAATTTTTGTATTTTTAGTAGAGACGGGGTTTCACCATATTGGCCAGACTGATCTTGAACTCCTGACCTTGTGATCCACCTGCCTCTGCCTCCCAAAGTGCTGGGATTACAGGTGTGAGCCATTGTGCCTGGCCTCTGAGTTTATTTTCTATGAAATAATAAGTATTGCTTTGTACAAAGAAACAAACTACCCCAAACAGTGCAGTAAAATTACCATTTCATTGGTTACTAGATTCTGTGGGCAGCAGTTTAGACAGGATATATCAAAGTTGGCTTCTCTCTGCTCCACAACATCTGGGACACATTTGGTAAGATTAGAAGGGTGGGGAGACTCGATGGCTGGAATCATGTGGAAGAGTCCCCTCCCATTTCAGACTGATGCCACCTGTCAGATGAGACTCCAGTTGGGCTGTCAGCTAAAGTACTTCACATGATTTATTTATGTGGTCTCTCCATGCAGGTTAGTCCGGGCGTCCTTGCACCATGGCAATAGAGCTCCAAGAGTGACAGCACTGCAAGAAGGAATACTCCAAGAAGAGAACATTCCAATTATCAGGTTAGAACTTAGTTAATCAGACTGAGATTTCCAAAGTGGGAGTTAGGACTGCCAGTGGTGCATGGAAGAGTCTGAGAAAATGCTGTCCTCTTACCTTAGATAAACATGTCTGTGACGTGTAATGGGATCCATCCTGATAATATGAAGGAGTATGGGCAGTTTATTCTAGAAATCAAGGTCTGGGCTTCCCAAATAGAGTGAGCAGTATGGAAGCTTCTGGAGGACTGCTCCTTCTATCACCATAAAGCAGCATAAAAGTGAGCCCAGATGAGAAACACTAGCACCGTTGGTTCCTTGCTCCTCCTTTGCTGTGTTCTCTCAGTTTCTAGTCTTTCTGAGACCCACTATCCTTTTCCTCTCATTTCACCTCAGGCCCCAACTCCCATGGTCACACCCTAGACCATAACTTCTCACTGCTTCATTTAAAAAATATTTCAGGCCAGGTGCGGTAGCTCATGCCTGTTATCCCAGTACTTTGGGAGGCCAAGGTAGGTGGATCACTTGAGGCCAGGAGATTGAGGCCAGCCTGGCCAACATGGTGAAACCCCATCTCTACTAAAAATACAAAAAAACTTAGCTGGACTTGGTGGGGCATGCCCATAATCCCAGCAACTCAGAGGCTGAGGAAGGAAAATCTCTTGAACCTAGGAGGCAGAGGCTGCAGTGAGCTGAGATCTTGCCACTGCACTCTAGCCTGGGTGACAGAGTGTGAGTCTGCCTCAGAAAAAAAAAAAAAATTCAATCCATTTTCCCATTGTCTGGTCACAACCTGTTTCATGGTTAGCTGTTCAGATAACCTGATTATGACCATTCTTTAAGGCAGTCTAACCTCTAGCCTATTGATCTCTTCATTTTTTTTCCATTGTGTATCAACTGCCTCTTGTCTTCACTTCCATTCTTGTGAAGAATACTGTCTATGGTCACTTGCTGTAATCAATCCATCGTAAACACCTACTACTTTCCTGCCCATCTCTCCCTCCATAGCACTAGCTTGCCAATACACTAGCTCTGAAAATCATCAACCATCAACACTTTCTATGTCAGTAGCTAAATATAGCTATAGAAAGGGCGCAGTCAGTCAGACCCATTTTATTCCAAATCCATGATCACAAACTTCCAATTTATTCTTAGCACTATTTGGCAAACCTGCTATTTTCCCATCCTTTGAGGAAACTAGTTAAAATCTTTCTTGTCTTCTCTTATTTCCATAAAAAGGCTTATCCATCCTTCTCTTACCTGTAATCTCAGAATATAATCTGAGAAAATGAAATGCATCAGACCCTCATTTCCCATCTCCAAAACTATAGCCTGTGTTTATAAATGCACTTATCCTCTTTGCTCCATTTGAGAATAGGCCATTTCTTCTATAACACTCTTATAAGGTGTGCTGTAGAGCTCATCTCTACATTCATACACACATTGCCTTTTTGATCATCTGATATATTTCTTCCATCATCCATCTCTCCCTCTCTACTCAGTCATCTCCATCAATATACAGACATTCACTAATATTTGAGAATAACATGATGATTACAGATTGATCTCTGGAGTCAGACTGCCCAGCTTCAGGTCCTAGATTCACCATTTGCTAGGCTAAGCTCCCTCACTTATAAGTGTGGATATTATTACAATATAACATAGCATCATTGTGGAGAATAAATATTCTTATATGTGAAGTGTATAGGAGAAAATACATGGTTTTTAGCTATTATCAACGTAGTATTTCCACTCCTAAAAATTGCCTCACTTGACCACACAAATCATCTCAGTTACAACCCTTTTCTTCTGCCCCTCTCCACAACTAAATTTCCCTACAGAACTGTCAACATGACGCCCCCAGGCACACCTCCCATACACTCTTAAATCCACTGAAATCTCATTTCTATCCCACTATGTCACTGGAATTTCTCTTTAAAGGCCATCAAAAATCTCTTTGTTGCAAAAGTTAAGGCCCACTATTCTGTACTTATTATACTTAATGTAACAAGTCAACAGCATAACAGTGTTGAAAATGCCCCTTTTATCAAACAGTGTTTCTCACTTGGCTTGCATGACAACACATCCTTTTAGCTGTCTTCCTACCTCTCTGGCTGCTCTATCTCAGACTTTTTAAAAACCTCCTTCTCTACCTAATTTCTAACTTTCACATAATGAAATTTCTCTGCTCTATATACACTTCTTACAAGGAGGTTGTTTCTACATACCATTTATATTACAATGACTTCCAAATTTATTTTTCTCTAGCCCCGGCATTTCTTCTAGAACTCTAGATCCATATATTAAGCTGCTCAACAATTCAAAAGTATATAAAACTTAACATGTTCCAAGACTAAGCTTTGACTTCTGTTCCATTCTGTATCTATTCTTCTAATCTTTGTCAGAGTAATAAAGTAACCACACAGCTGCCCAAACCAGAGCTCTTGGTATCATGCTTGATTTTCTCTCTCTAATCCAGATATGAATTAAAGCTCTAGATAAGTACTTGTGTACATATGATTTATTGAGATGATGCTCTCAAGCAAAAGGCAATGAGAGAAACAGGATAAGGCAGGGCAACAAAGTAAATAATACGTGTTCTCAGGTGGAATCTACCTGCAGTCTGATCCCATGCGGAGCTCTGGAGCATAACTTGCTCTCATATTTGCCCCTACCTCAGTCAAGGTGGCTGACCTTAGTTACCACCATGTAAACTTCTTATTGGCTTCAGGCTTCCCTACAGTGGGGAGGGGGCATATAACTTCCCAGGGAAATCTGCTGCCTTTCTGCAGAGGACAATTCTCTGGCAAAGGAGAAAACTGTGATCTTTGCCTGCCAACACTGAATGCAATTGAGGGTGCATTCCTTGGCCCAATAAAGGGCAACTGACTGGGCAAGACAGCAAAAGTATGCAACACAGCTCACCCTTGCACCACTCAGATATGCTTGTGTCTATCCATATAGGTGTAGCTTCACAGGATTCTGGTTCATCACAAGTTCAAACTACAGTTTCTGCTGCGGCTGCTGCTGCTGCTGCTACTGCTCCTGCATTTGGTGTGGAAGTTATAACTGTTATTCATCATCTCCCTCTCCATCACCACCACTCACTCTCATTTCCTCTGCCTTGTAACTAGCACCTCTTCTGGATTAGGTGGTTTATCTAGTGGAGTAAACCCAACCCTCATCTGTGTGGGGTCTGAGGGTTAGGCCACTGTGTCCTTATTAGGCCATAGTTGCCCTACTTGTGCCTTTTCAGTTTAAACTGCAAGGCAAAAACAAAAGATGACTCTGTAGAATACTTAAGTGACAAACACATTCCTCCTTGCTCTCATTATGCAGCAGCAGTCCTACCTAGTCAAAATGAAGGGGCAAAACTCTCTTGCTAACATTGGTAACTCCTTTCTTTGCCTGTTGGCCCACCAGTGTGAAGACCCTAGTGTGATCGGATGACAACTGTAGCTTTGAGTTTAAAGGATGATCTCCATTATGTTCCCCATGTAAGTGTGACCCTTCAGGAAGCCAAGGTTTTTAGTTGTGGACATAAGAAGTGCAAATCCCTCGAATTAGTCACTGAGAGAGGTGGTGAGGGGTCCACTTCTACCTTCACTTCTTGGTTCCTGCACTACTGTGTTCTATCTTATGGAAACATAAGATCATATAATGGTCACGGTTTAAGGAGTATACTGCATCCTAAAGGAGAGAACCTAATTCCTGAAGGCTGTCATCTCAAAGTTTACCTCAGCTATACTTTCAAGAGGTTGTGCTCAAGCTCCTTCAAGCTGATAGCTTCTGATCAGTGCAGTGCATAGGGGACCAAATTGCCTGTACCCAACGCCTCACCTCCTTTGATTGAAGACAATGTTATATGGGATGCCATGTTAGTAGGTCAGACACTCTGTGAGCCCTTAATTGTTAGTTCCCAGATGAGGTGTGGTGGCTAGAAAAGGCAAACCCACATGTGGAATATGTATAAATCCAAGTTAGGGTGAATAATTGCCCATTCCAGAGTGGAAAGGGTCTTATATAATCAACTTGTCACCAAGTAGCTAATCTCCCTGAACAATGATACTATATCAGAGGCGCAATGTTGGTTTCTTTTTTTTTTCCTTTTTTTTTATGATTATTATTATTTTTATTATTATACTTTAAGTTTTAGGGTACATGTGCACATTGTGCAGGTTAGTTACATATGTATACATGTGCCATGCTGGTGTGCTGCACCCACTAACTCGTCATCTAGCATTAGGTATATCTCCCAATGCTATCCCTCCCCCCTACCCCCACCCCACAACCGTCCCCAGAGTGTGATATTCCCCTACCTGTGTCCATGTGATCTCATTGTTCAATTCCCACCTATGAGTGAGAATATGCAGTGTTTGGTTTTTTGTTCTTGCGATAGTTTACTGAGAATGATGATTTCCAATTTCATCCATGTCCCTACAAAGGACATGAACTCATCATTTTTTATGGCTGCATAGTATTCCATGTTGTATATGTGCCACATTTTCTTAATTCAGTCTATCATTGTTGGACATTTGGGTTGGTTCCAAGTTTTTGCTATTGTGAATAATGCTGCAATAAACATATGTGTGCATGTGTCTTTATAGCAGCATGATTTATAGTCCTTTGGGTATATACCCAGTAATGGGATGGCTGGGTCAAATGGTATTTCTAGTTCTAGATCCCTGAGGAATCGCCACACTGACTTCCACAATGGTTGAAGTAGTTTACAGCCCCACCAACAGTGTAAAAGTGTTCCTATTTCTCTACATCCTCTCCAGCACCTGTTGTTTCCTGACTTTTTAATGATTGCCATTCTAATTGGTGTGAGATGGTATCTCATTGTGATTTTGATTTGCATTTCTCTGATGGCCAGTGATGATGAGCATTTTTTCATGTGTTTTTTGGCTGCATAAATGTCTTCTTTTGGGAAGTGTCTGTTCATGTCCTTTGCCCACTTTTTGATGGGGTTGTTTGTTTTTTTCTTGTAAATTTGTTTGAGTTCATTGTAGATTCTGGATATTAGCCCTTTGTCAGATGAGTAGGTTGCGAAAATTTTCTCCCATTTTGTAGGTTGCCTGTTCACTCTGATGGTAGTTTCTTTTGCTGTGCAGAAGCTCTTTAGTTTAGTTAGATCCCATTTGCCAATTTTGTCTTTTGTTGCCATTGCTTTTGGTGTTTTAGACATGAAGTCCTTGCCCATGCCTATGTCCTCAATGGTAATGCCTAGGTTTTCTTCTAGGGTTTTTATGGTTTTAGGTCTAATATTTAACTCTTTAATCCATCTTGAATTGATTTTTGTATAAGGTGTAAGGAAGGGATCCAGTTTCAGCTTTCTACATATGGCTAGCCAGTTTTCCCAGCACCATTTATTAAATAGGGAATCCTTTCCCCATTGCTTGTTTTTCTCAGTTTTGTCAAAGATCAGATAGTTGTAGATATGTGGCGTTATTTCTGAGGGCTCTGTTCTGTTCCATTGATCTATATCTCTATTTTGGTACCAGTGCCATGCTGTTTTGGTTACTGTAGCCTTGTAGTATAGTTTGAAGTCAGGTAGTGTGATGCCTCCAGCTTTGTTCTTTTGTCTTAGGATTGACTTGGCGATGCGGGCTCTTTTTTGGTTCCATATGAACTTTAAAGTAGTTTTTTCCAATTCTGTGAAGAAAGGCATTTGTAGCTTGATGGGGATGGCATTGAATCTGTAAATTACCTTGGGCAGTATGGCCATTTTCACGATATTGATTCTTCCTACCCATGAGCATGGAATGTTCTTCCATTTGTTTGTATCCTCTTTTATTTCATTGAGCAGTGGTTTGTAGTTCTCCTTGAAGAGGTCCTTCACATCCCTTGTAAGTTGGATTCCTAGGTATTTTATTCTCTTTGTAGCAATTGTGAATGGGAGTTCACTCATGATTTGGCTCTCTGTTTGTCTGTTGTTGGTGTATAAGAATGCTTGTGATTTTTGTACATTGATTTTGTATCCTGAGACTTTGCTGAAGTTGCTTATCAGCTTAAGGAGATTTTGGGCTGAGACAATGGGGTTTTATAGATATATAATCATGTCGTCTACAAACAGGGACAATTTGACTTCCTCTTTTCCTAATTGAATACCCTTTATTTCCTTCTCCTGCCTAACTGCCCTGGCCAGAACTTCCAACACTATGTTGAATAGGAGTGGTGAGAGAGGGCATCCCTGTCTTGTGCCAGTTTTCAAAGGGAATGCTTCCAGTTTTTGCCCATTCAGTATGATATTGGCTGTGGGTTTGTCATAGATAGCTCTTATTATTTTGAAATACATCCCATCAATACATAATTTATTGAGAGTTTTTAGCATGAAGGGTTGTTGAATTTTGTCAAAGGTTTTTTCTGCATCTGTTGAGAGAATCATGTGGTTTTTGTCTTTGGCTCTGTTTGTATGCTGGATTACATTTATTGATTTGTGTATATTGAACCAGCCTTGCATCCCAGGGATGAAGCCCACTTGATCACGGTGGATAAGCTTTTTGATGTGATGCTGGATTCGTTTAGTGCTATAAATTTCCCTCTACACACTGCTTTGAATGTGTCCCAGAGATTCTGGTAAGTTGTGTCTTTGTTCTCATTGGTTTCAAAGAACATCTTTATTTCTGCCTTCATTTCGTTATGTACCCAGTAGTCATTCAGGAGCACGTTGTTCAGTTTCCATGTAGTTGAGCGGTTTTGAGTGAGATTCTTAATCCTGAGTTCTAGTTTGATTGCACTGTGGTCTGAGAGATAGTTTGTTATAATTTCTGTTCTTTTACATTTGCTGAGGAGAGCTTTACTTCCAACTATGTGGTCAATTTTGGAATAGGTGTGGTGTGGTGCTGAAAAACATGTATATTCTGTTGATTTGGGGTGGAGAGTTCTGTAGATGTCTACTAGGTCTGCTTGGTGCAGAGCTGAGTTCAATTCCTGGGTATCCTTGTTGACTTTCTGTCTCGTTGATCTGTCTAATGTTGACAGTGGGGTGTTAAAGTCTCCCATTATTAATGTGTGGGAGTCTAAGTCTCTTTGTAGGTCACTCAGGACTTGTTTTATGAATCTTGGTGCTCCTGTATTGGGTGCATACATATTTAGGATAGTTAGCTCTTCTTGTTGAATTGATCCCTTCACCATTATGTAATGGCCTTCTTTGTCTCTTTTGATCTTTGTTGGTTTAAAGTCTGTTTTATCACAGACTAGGATTGCAACCCCTGCCTTTTTTGTTTTCCATTTGCTTGGTAGATCTTCCTCCTTCCTTTTATTTTGAGCCTATGTGTGTCTCTGCACGTGAGATGGGTTTCCTGAATACAGCACACTGATGGGTCTTGACTCTTTATCCAATTTGCCAGTCTGTGTCTTTTAATTGGAGCATTTAGTCCATTTACATTTAAGGTTAATATTGTTATGTGTGAATTTGATCCTGTCATTATGATGTTAGCTGGTTATTTTGCTCATTAGTTGATGCAGTTTCTTCCTAGTCTTGATGGTCTTTACATTTTGGCATGATTTTGCAGCAGCTGGTACCGGTTGTTCCTTTCCATGTTTAGTGCTTCCTTCAGGAGCTCTTTTAGGGCAGGCCTGGTGGTGACAAAATCTCTCAGCATTTGCTTGTCTGTAAAGTATTTTATTTCTCCTTTGCTTATGAAGCTTAGTTTGGCTGGATATGAAATTCTGGGTTGAAAATTCTTTTCTTTAAGAATGTTGAATATTGGCCCCCACTCTCTTCTGGCTTGTAGGGTTTCTGCCAAGAGATCCGCTGTTAGTCTGATGGGCTTCCCTTTGAGGGTAACCCAACCTTTCTCTCTGGCTGCCCTTAACATTTTTGCCTTCATTTCAACTTTGGTGAATCTGACAATTATGTGTCTTGGAGTTGCTCTTCTCGAGGAGTATCTTTGTGGCATTCTCTGTATTTCCTGAATCTGAACATCGGCCTGCCTTGCTAGATTGGGGAAGTTCTCCTGGATAATATCCTGCAGCGTGTTTTCCAACTTGGTTCCATTCTCCCCATCACTTTCAGGTACACCAATCAGACGTAGATTTGGTCTTTTCACATAGTCCCATATTTCTTGGAGGCTTTGCTCATTTCTTTTTATTCTTTTTTCTCTAAACTTTCCTTCTCGCTTCATTTCATTCATTTCATCTTCCATCGCTGATACTCTTTCTTCCAGTTGATCACATCGGCTCCTGAGGCTTCTGCATTCTTCACGTAGTTCTCAAGCCTTGGTTTTCAGCTCCATCAGCTCCTTTAAGCACTTCTCTGTATTGGTTATTCTAGTTATACATTCTTCTAAATTTTTTTTCAAAGTTTTCCACTTCTTTGCCTTTGGTTTGAATGTCCTCCTGTAGCTCAGAGTAATTTGATCGTCTGAAGCCTTCTTCTCTCAGCTCGTCAAAGTCATTCTCCATCCAGCTTTGTTCCGTTGCTGGTGAGGAACTGCGTTCCTTTGGAGGAGGAGAGGCGCTCTGCTTTTTAGAGTTTCCAGTTTTTCTGTTCTGTTTTTTCCCCATCTTTGTGGTTTTATCTACTTTTGGTCTTTGATGATGGTGATGTACAGATGGGTTTTTGGTGTGGATGTCCTTTCTGTTTGTTAGTTTTCCTTCTAACAGACAGGACCCTCAGCTGCAGGTCTGTTGGAATACCCTGCCATGTGAGGTATCAGTGTGCCCCTGCTGGGGGGGTGCCTCCCAGTTAGGCTGCTCGGGGGTCAGGGGTCAGGGACCCACTTGAGGAGGCAGTCTGCCCATTCTCAGATCTCCAGCTGCGTGCTGGGAGAACCACTGCTCTCTTCAAAGCTGTCAGACAGGGACATTTAAGTCTGCAGAGGTTACTGCTGTCTTTTTGTTTGTCTATGCCCTGCCCCCAGAGGTGGAGCCTACAGAGGCAGGCAGGCCTCCTTGAGCTGTGGTGGGCTCCACCCTGTTGGAGCTTCCCGGCTGCTTTGTTTACCTAAGCAAGCCTGGGCAATGTCGGGCGCCCCTCCCCCAGTCGCTGCTGCCTTGCAGTTTGATCTCAGACTGCTGTGCTAGCAATCAGCGAGACTCCGTGGGCGTAGGACCCTCCGAGCCAGGTGTGGGATGTAATCTCGTCGTGCGCCGTTTTTTAAGCCCATCGGAAAAGCGCAGTATTCGGGTGGGAGTGACCCGATTTTCCAGGTGCCGTCTGTCACCCCTTTCTTTCACTCGGAAAGGGAACTCCCTGACCCCTTGCGCTTCCCAAGTGAGGCAATGCCTCGCCCTGCTTCAGCTCGCGCACGGTGCGTGCACCCACTGACCTGCGCCCACTGTCTGGCACTCCCTAGTGAGATGAACCCGGTACCTCAGATGGAAATGCAGAAATCACCGTCTTCTGCGTCGCTCACGCTGGGAGCTGTAGACCGGAGCTGTTCCTATTCGGCCATCTTGGCTCCTCCCCGCAATGTTGGTTTCTGCTGTTGGCAGGTTTTATGCTCAGCAGCAGCAGTAGCTAGATCAACCATGATGAAAGGGAGCCCCAGGCTGTTGGGCCTATTGATAAGTTCTGTCTCTTTCACCCTGACTACTCGTTCATAAGTCCTCTGTGCAAGCATAAGTGTGCAAGCACCACCTCTCTCAGTGTTGGCTGACATCTGGTGACAGAATAATCCTGTCTCATTGATTATTAGTAGCTCTTCTGCAGTGGACACAAATATACAAAATAAACATCATTACACTTTGTGTCACACTTCCATAGATCCATGGGTCCACATGCCTCTCCCTCAGACCTCCTTATCTCTACTATTCCAATGTTGCCTCTTCCAGGCCTTTGACCAAACAAACCAGCTAAACCACTTTGGAACTGTGTATGAGTTGGTATATATGTATATATCTAGCCACTTCTCTGACAAAACAAAGTGGTTTATCAGCCACACTGCCCAAAGCACTATCATTTAGGGGACCTCTCTTACCCCAGTCTTTTCTTGACTAGGGATATAAAGCAGTAGCACTGTATTTTTCACTTGCCTCCATATATCCAGCTGTCAACTAAGCTTGGGTTTTTCCCTCCTCCTTCAGTTGGTTGTAGGGGGACTACTGAAGTCACAGCAACGAGCCAAGGCAGAAAGCTTATATCTGTTTTCTGCACCTGATCCAGCTCAATTCTGGGTTTCCCACTCCCATTTAAAGTGGATCATGCTGGTCTAACCAGACCTTAAGAAATGTCCTCAATGCCTTGAATTCAATCAGTACTAATAATATGATTGTAATGTACTTACACATATACATAATGATAAATAATCTCTTGTGTGCTAAAAAAAAAAGCCTGAAATTCTGAAATTATTTCAGACATTCATAATTCAGCTATAGATTCTTCAGTAATATAAAAAGATTTCATAAAATTGATGCTACATTAATGTAGCAATGTATAACATTATAAATATTAAATATTATGGTGGGTATAAAATGATTTAAAAAATCATTAGAAATGGAAATGACATCTCCCTAAAAAAGTGTGTGCTATCTAGGATTGTGGTTATATCTTTTAATTTTCTTCAGGGTCCAAATATAATGTTTCCTCATTTTAGGCTTTAGTTTAGCAGTGGGAGTTTTGCTATACGAATGTGTACTCTCTCCTTGTTTTGATGCAAAGTGAAATTCATAGAATAATCCGGGACTATTATCTAGTGAACTTGGTTCACTTATACAGCACCATTCAAATGGTGCTTTACATAATGATTACAAAGTGCTGCCAACTTTGTAATCTGAAACTGTTAACTGGCCACTTTAAAGATACTGGTCTTGATTTTTATGACTTTTCAAAAATAAAGGAGAATCCTAGAGCTAACCATGCTTAGTTCAATTCACTAATATATTCATATGAAGAAATGCAAGTTCAGAGGCAGCAACTAACTGACTTAAGCAAGATGACGGTCACAATTGGTGCCAGGGTTTGCAGGGCTACGGAAAAAAATTAAAAAACATTGAGAATTGAGAGGTTAAATATAAAGATAAAGAAGCTTTTCTACAGAGAGAAAAAGAAGTATTTTTCCAAGTATATCAAGTTATAAAATGAATGTAGAATCATTACTATTACTACACTTATTTTCTACTGTATAAACCTGACAAAGGTTAGCACTTTTAAAAACTTCCCCCTCGTATAAAGGAGAAAATGTGTTTTTCAAAATTTGAAGCCCAAAAAGAAAAAATTAAACAAAGTAGGGCAGATTCAACCTACATTTCTCAGCCAGGCAGATTGAAAGAAAGCGGCAAATATTTTCAGGGTAATTTTCCATCCATTGATTGTTAGTGCCCAGCATTACTATCTGGATCGCATAGTGTTATCTCATCTTAGTTCAGCTTCCTTGTCCCTACCAGTCAATTAGTCAAGTGATTTTTTTTTACCTTCTAAAAATGACATGAAGTATTTAACATAGCCATTCCGATTTTTCATTATCTTGAATTTTGTTGTTGTATTTTCAGCAGATCAAATTGGAGAACACTTGTATCTACAAAAAGCCAAGCTGTCAACATTAGACAGATCAATGAGACAGAAAGTTAACAAGGATACCCAGGAATTGAACTCAGCTCTGCAGCAAGTGGACCTAATAGACATCCACAGAACTCTCCACCCCAAATCAACAGAATATACATTTTTTTCAGCACCACACCACACCTACTCCAAAATTGACCACGTAGTTGGAAGTAAAGCACTCCTCAGCAAATGTAAAAGAACAGAAATTATAACAAACTGTCTCTCAGACCACAGTGCAATCAAACTAGAACTCAGGATTAAGAAACTCACTCAAAACTGCTCAACTGCATGGAAACTGAACAACCTGCTCCTGAATGACTACTGGGTACATAACAAAATGAAGGCAGAAATAAAGATGTTCTTTGAAACCAATGAGAACAAAGACACAACTTATCAGAATCACTGGGACACATTCAAAGCAGTGTGTAGAGGGAAATTTATAGCACTAAATGCCCACAAGAGAAAGCAGGAAAGATCCAAAATTGACACCCTAACATCACAATTAAAAGAACTAGAAAAGCAAGAGCAAACACATTCAAAAGCTAGCAGAAGGCAGGAAATAACGAAAATCAGAGCAGAACTGAAGGAAACAGAGACACAAAAAACCCTTCAAAAATTAATGAATCCAGGAGCTGGTTTTTTGAAAATATCAACAAAATCGATAGACCGCTAGCAAGACTAATAAAGAAGAAAAGAGAGAAGAATCAAATAGACGCAATACAAAATGATAAAGGGGATATCACCACCGATCCCACAGAAATACAAACTACCATCAGAGAATACTACAAACACCTCTACACAAATAAACTAGAAAACCTAGAAGAAATGGATAAATTCCTCGACACATACACCCTCCCAAGACTAAACAAGGAAGAAGCTGAATCTCTGAACAGATCAATAACAGGCTCTGAAATTGTGGCAATAATCAATAGCTTACCTGAAATTGTGGCAATAATCAATAGCTTACCAACCAAAAAAAGTCCAGGACCAGATGGATTCACAGCCGACTTCTACCAGAGGTACAAGGAGGAGCTGGTACCATTCCTTCTGAAACTATTCCAATCAATAGAAAAAGAGGGAATTCTCCCTAACTCGTTTTATGAGGCCAGCATCATCCTGATACCAAAGCCTGGCAGAGACACAACCAAAAAAGAGAATTTTAGACCAATATCCTTGATTAACACTGATGCAAAAATCCTCAATAAAATACTGGCAAACCGAATCCAGCAGCACATCAAAAAGCTTATCCACCATGATCAAGTGGGCTTCATCCCTGGGATGCAAGGCTGGTTCAACATATGCAAATCGATAAATGTAATCCAGCATATAAACAGAACCCAAGACAAAAACCACACGATTATCTCAATAGATGCAGAAAAGGCCTTTGACAAAATTCAACAACGCTTCATGCTAAAAACTCTCAATAAATTACGTATTGATAGGACGAATCTCAAAATAATAAGACCTATCTACGACAAACCCACAGCCAATATCATACTGAATGGGCAAAAACTGGAAGCATTCCCTTTGAAAACTGGCACAAGACAGGGATGCCCTCTCTCACCACTCCTATTCAACATAGTGTTGGAAGTTCTGGCCAGGGCAATCAGGCAGGAGAAGGAAATAAAGGATATTCAATTAGGAAAAGAGGAAGTCAAATTGTCCCTGTTTGCAGATGAGATGATTGTATATCTAGAAAACCCCATCGTCTCAGCCCAAAATCTCCTTAAGCTGATAAGCAACTTCAGCAAAGTCTCAGGATACAAAATCAATGTACAAAAATCACAAGCATTCTTATACACCAACAACAGACAAACAGAGAGCCAAATCATGAGTGAACTCCCATTCACAATTGCTTCAAAGAGAATAAAATACCTAGGAATCCAACTTACAAGGGATGTGAAGGACCTCTTCAAGGAGAACTACAAACCACTGCTCAATGAAA
Organism: Homo sapiens; assembly: GCF_000001405.40. Classification (NCBI taxonomy): domain Eukaryota; kingdom Metazoa; phylum Chordata; class Mammalia; order Primates; family Hominidae; genus Homo; species Homo sapiens. The sequence goes on from NC_000004.12 coordinate 120,652,504, forward strand.
TAAAAGAGGATACAAACAAATGGAAGAACATTCCATTATTTTCAAAATACCATTCGATGTGCATGGAATTTAGTTTGAGATGAGAAATAATGTTCTGTAACTTTCAACAGTGGAACAGAAGAGTAGATCTGTTTTTCGTTCCTTGATTGTCCGTTCACAGTTAAACATATTTACACATTGCTCTTGCTGCTTGAGATGCCTGATGGCAACATGTTAGTCATTTTCTCACTTAACTCATTATACCATTTAAGCATCCTGAATCACACTACTCCATCAGCTTACATCATGTCAAGTATCATGTCAGCTGGAACTTTATATCTAAAAGTTTACAACAGTTTCTAAACTAGCCCCAGTCTATGCATCAGAAAACAAACTACAAGTGAGAAGAAAGAGAATAGAAAATAGCTTGTTCTCAATATTGACACATTAATTAAAAATAAAAGGTCTAACTTGTTAAGTTAGAATGTTTTCTTCTGCAAGACTTTTAACATATTAGCCATTTTTGTTTGTAATTATTTCAATAACTAAAATCACAATACATTTTGAGCATTTATGGTGTGCCAGGTGCTGATACTTCATATATTATCTTATTTATTCCTCCGAGAAATCCCTTAAGAAGTCTGAACTTTCTAAGAGACCTGCACTGGTTCACACAGCTCATTGGCAAAGCCTGTATCACATCCTGGACTAAATTACTGCACAGTCTGAGCTATAAAGCACTAGGCTGTGTCCCCTGATGTCTCTGGATATAATTTCAAAAACATTTAAAGTAGCCTCTTATTATTATATGGAAGCTTAGGTGACTACAAGGAGAGTGCTTATGCCTTAGTTATTCATTTTGGCTTGAAGTCCTTAAAATAAGAGTAATAAACCAACAGGTCACAGGCCATATCCAACTCATAGATGTACTTTGTTTGGCCCAAGAAATGCTGCAAAACTGTTAAATTTATGATGACTATTTTAAAATATAAGAATATTTATAAAATCTGGATTTCTGGCTTCTCTTGAAAAATCAGACCACCTATCTTAAATACAGGAAATTGTCACTTAAAAGAATGTACTGATGTTTTACAACTACATTTATGAGAAAGATAAGAAAATATGTCAGGTACTTAATAATCTGTCTACTCTTCTGAGGTTAGCGGATACTCTTAGTTCTGCCACTTTGCATTCTTTTTTTTCCTAAATGTGCAGACTCAACATACATTGATCAGAAGGCTGGATATGTTATGCGTTTTAGAAGCAACTCTGCACACTGGGATATCAGGACTTCAAATGATTAGTAACATTTGCTTTTAATTTAAAAAATTTATTCATTTAATAGTTGGGCCATTAAAAAGTACCTCTGTAAAATGAAGTACTGTGGCTTCACTTTCTATAAGTAAAAACAGTTCCATCAGGTGGCTGTCTGTTACATCAGAAATCAATGTGTTCTGTCTAATTTGTCTCTGTTATTTCCAGGGTCAGGTTCCTTCATCTTCAATTACTTAGTCTTACCGTGATATATAACAGAGTCAAGTGTTATAGCTATTATTCAGAAAGTCTGTTTCTTAAGAAGTAATACAGGGTACATAATATCCTTAAATATGCCCAGCCTTCTCCAACTAAGACAAATTGTTTAAAGCTTCTATAATATTTAAGATTCAGAACACTGGATTTCAACTTCCTCCAAAACAATTCATTAAATCTTAGAATGCATAGGTTAGTGCCATATGATGACTTTTCTGACAAATAATAAAATATTTCAAGAGCTTGATGGGAGAAGTTGGATTAAAATGGTAAATTTAAATATTTTAATGGATTACAAACTACCATTCTCAACAATCACTATGTATGCACATACATAAACACATTCAACTGCTCACCACATTATGTATGCATGTGTGACACATACACATAAATACATTCATACACAACTGGTTGTCTAAAACTCAGATTTAGAAAGCTCAGAAAAGTACCAAGAAAAAAGAGAAGGCACGTCAGGAGATATCTCTGAGTCAGTAGAAGGGAAGATAGAAGTTCAGGGTGCTAAAATTGTATACTCAATGAATATAAACCAAATGATTTATATATTTTAATATATCCAATGGTATCATAACCAAATTCTACCTTATGCTCCAGCCCCCTCACATGAGCCTTCAGACCATAATCAAAACATATTGATTTCATAGTTTATACTTAATTCCATTGACACTGGAAATTTAATTTCTCACACCATAGCAAATTGGAAGTAGTGATCACAAGTCTATAGTTACCTTAAGTAGTCACACTGTCAACAGAGGATTGACCTTGGGAGGAGATAGAATTATTTTATATAAGAATATAATAAAAATCTGACAATGATTTTAGCATATAATGTTTAAGAGATAAAGAAAAACAAACCAAAAGAGTTACATTTTTAATTTTATTACTTCAAAACATACACATACTCACCCTGAAAAATTAACTTGTATGGTTTTCCCAAAAACGCTAAGTATATGAGACATTGCTTCATTTAATTTTCTTTATTTTTCTATGTGGTATATTTTAGTATTCAGCTGTTACTTGATTACTATTTTATGTTTTACAAATTATAAAAAGCTATTTGTAACCCATATTTTAAAGTATTCTCTTAAAGACTACATAGCCATCATGAATCTTTTTGAGAACAATGATTCACTAAGCAGTTGGTATTTTAACTTTCATGTTGCTCTATGGCAAATACAGATATATTTGAGTATCTTATTGTCATTCTGCATAAAAATTCCAATTTTCAGTTAAATTACTCCACATCACTCAAAAGTAAAGATAAATTAGGAACATTAATATCATTTTAAGAAATATTTAAGATATCATTTTAAGAAATATTCTGTCAGTAATAACAATATTATTAATTCAAGAAAGTAGTTAGAGCTCATGGTTAAAGAGGACACATACTTTGAACAACTAAAACCATTTGTGTTTTTTGCAAAGTCTTTTGTGGCAAAATCAGAACAAACACTTGTTAGGGAAGATGACATTAATGATGATTTATAGTGGTGTTCAGGAGCAATCAAAACTAGAAGATTCTAAGAAGTCAAAAAAAAGAAAAAAGAAAGAAAAAAAAGGAAGTAAGGAAACTTTACTCTTCAAATTGGAAGTAAGATCCTATTTGCTGAATGTGTATCTTAAACCCACTATCCTAAGACTTTTGTTCGCATAAATACAAACACAAAATAAAATGAATTGGTTTTGAACAACTGTTAGACCATAATCAGATTAAGCAATTAATACAATTCTTTTTTAAATGTGATGAGAATTAGTGAAAATAAATATGTGGAGGCAATTTGTAAGGAAATATAAAAGTTTTACTAAGCTATATATTTATTTTATAAAGCATTATAAAATATTCATCTTAACTTTTATTGTGGTATTTATGTACACTTTCACTTAACATATTTTGTTAAATCAATGAGTGAATCACAAAACACAGAAAATCTCTTTTTTTCTTAATGTTTTTATATTAAGCACATTGCCTGTGCTGATTATACGGTGCTATTGGCTGAATGTTTGTTCCCCTCCTGAATTCAGACATTGAAATTGAATACCCAATGTGATGGCATTTGAAGGTGGAGTATCTGGGAGGTGATTAGATAATAAGGGTGGAGCCACAACTGTTATCTCATGCTGTATAACAAATTACCCTATAATTTAGTAGCTTGGATAAATAATTGTATTATCTCTCATGGTTTCTGTGGGTCAGAAATTCGAGAGCAACTTGGCTGTATGGTTCTGGCTTAAGAACTCTCCTGAGTTTGCAATCAGATATCAGTCAGGGCTGAAGTCACTTGAAGGCTTAACTGGGTTGGAGGATGTCCTTTCAAGATGTCCCAGTCACATGTCTATTGGTAGAGGGTCTCAGTTCCTTTCCACCTAAACCCCTCCACAGGTCTGCTTGAGTGTCCTGACAATATAGTGGCTGAGTTTCCCTTAGCCCAAGACATCAAGATAGAAGTGGCAGTGCCCCTTTCTCTGGACTCCCTTATTGGCGCTGTGTTGGCCTGGGTGTGGTAGCTTCTCAATTGGTCACTGGAGTTCTCAGAAAGGTAGTCTGGTCCATATAGTGTTGTTATCTCTGTGTCTCTGTGGGGGAATGCACGCCTGAAATTTCAGTCCACCATCTTGCTGCCAGTGTCACTTTTCTAACCTCTCCAGCTACAAAAATGTTTTTAGAAGTATTTACTGATTTGAAGGTCTCTTGCCTTAAGGACACTCATAACTATGTAAGAACAATCTATACCAGAATCAGAATATTGTCACCAAATGAACTACGTTAAGTTGTTTATGAAAGAAAATGTGAGGTCGGGCACAGTGGCTGATGCCTGTAATCCCAGCACTTTGGGAGGCCGAGGTGGGAGGATCACCAGAGGTCAGGAGTTTGAGACCAGCCTGACCAACATGGTGAAACCCCGTATTTACTAAAAATACAAAAATTAGCTGGGCGTGTTGGCACGCACCTGTAATCTCAGCTACTCAGGAGGCTAAGGCAGGAGAATCACTTGAACCCGGGAGGCGGAGGTTGCAGTGAGCTGAGATCCTGCCACTGCACTCCAGCCTGGGCAACAGAGTGAAGAAAGGGGACAACTTGCCATTCTTTATAGATGGTTCTAACTTGGTATTAGTACTGCTGAATATTCTACCTCATGGAGCTCAGGAATATGGGGAAGAGACTAGTGATAATGTTTATGCTTTTACTCAATAAAGATAAAATTACATTAATATTATTACCTAAGCAAGTCTGTTTCCATGTTCAGGAAATGGTTTGTCAAGTTCTGTCTTCAATAGGGTAAACATAGATAGTGTTCAACAATCACGTTAAATTGTAAAATTTAGGCCCAAGGATATTCCTTCATGACTTTAGGCCTTGTAGAGGTTCATATCTGGTTTCATATCAATGAGTTTTATTATTTATCAGATTCTCTACTGTCACACAAAAATTCAAATGCTTAACTTTTCAACCTGTTTTCTTTATTTGTCCTAAGCAAGATTTAAGTCCATATTTTGTTGAGGCAACTTTTTAATACTTAGGATAATGGGAATTAATAGACACATGGATAGTATAAAACCACAGATGATCAAAATTTGTAGTTTCTATCAGTAAAAAAATATGAGTTCTTTGACCCTCATCAACTATGTTCATTTGCCCTGAAAGAAGTCATGAAAAAGTAAAGAGGAGAGATGAAAGAGGGCAGAAATGAGGAATGAAGACAGAGAAAGAGGGAGAAAGAAGAAAGTGAGAGAGAGGGAGTGATGCTGGGGAGTGAAGGGAGAATGAACAAAAAATAAGTAAATAAGGAAACAGGAGGAAAAGAAGAAGATGAGGCAGAATGCAGGGGTATCAAGAAGATTCAGTTATACTACCATCAACAAAAACTGCAAGAAGTTACAGAGAAATATCCCATACCATGATGTGTTATATGTAGCATAGTACAGTCGATAGAGTAGATAGTAGTAGAACATCAACCATTATTCTGGGTGATCATTCATTAGTTCATCTTTTGAACATAGACTTAGTGCAAGGCATTGTAACACGTATGGCTATAGAATTAAGAAAATAGAAAAAAACATTTCTTATTTTGATTCAGCTATATCAGTTTTAGGGGAAGAATGGGCTAATAATTTGACAATAAACATTTTGAATATATCTTTACAGATGACTATTGAAGAAAATCAATATTATAAAATTGAAGAAATATCAATATTGTATGATCATGATATTTATCAGTCATTTCTTCAAATATTTTACATTCATAATATGGCAAAAATGAATCAAATGTCAAAATATTCAGAATAAAAGTATAGAATACATTTTCATGCCACACAACAAATGTAGGGCATTATACTTATGTCAGTCAGAATCATGTTCCAACTAAGCCTTCACTGACACATTTAAATCACATTTGTCTTATTAACGCATCTTTAGAAAACATGTCCAGTAAGTTGCATTTAAACACATTTTTTTTCGCACATGGGGATTTAAAATATAATGCAAAGAATAGTAATTATGCAAACAAAGCCATTTTTAAATTTAAGTTGAAGGCTATATGGGACCATGTAAGAAGTGTCTACAAACTCTATTCACCCAGTGAAGAGCCAGAACAGGCTCTGGGCTTGCAAAAAAAAGGGCCTGTGCTGTTGAGATAAATTGCATTACCTAACACTGTGTGTACTGTAAATGTGGGCAGATAATGTGGGCTAGAAACATTATTTCATCCATGGAGCATATGGTAATTATATCCACATTAAAGCACTTTTGCTCATCAGACACATGCACACATATTTGCTGCTGATGGGGTCCATCTGACACCAAGAGATCCCTCACAGATCTGGGCTCATCAGTACATTTCTCTCTATGTGCATCTCCTACCTACGGGGCTGCTATGGCTCTTCTTAAATGACTTCTCCTCCCCGCAACTCCGTGCACAGAAGATTACAACATAAACACGGCACCAGAACAGAAGTTTACAGTTTCAGGAGAGGAAGTGAGTCTGGTGGTTTTTATCAACTATTGTTTCCTCTGAGCGTAGTCTGAAGTGGCCACTTTTGAGTATTTATCTGGCACGGCCCATGACATAAAATCCTAGAGTGCCACAGAATTAGTGGCCCAAATTCAAACAAAAGACAGACTTCGGGTGTTGAGCCACCCCACAAGGCTATAGTAAATGTTTTCTATGTGCTGTACTCTACACTGAGTATATAAATGTGTTTTCTCTTTAAATCCTTACAACAGTCCTGCATGATATAAATAATTATCTGTACCAACAGATGGGAAGACTGAGGTTCAGAAAGGATAGGTAACTGGCCTACAATCAGTATTCAAACCCTGGACAGTCAGAATTTATGCTCTTTCCACTGGACTCCACAGAGGCCATAAGAATTGAAAAAATAATTATGCCTCCACCCAAATATGTAATTCAAAATAAAATAGTGCTTTTTAAAACATCACAAAATTACCATGTAAGCTGAAATTAAAAATACCTCTATTGTAGATCTCTGTTTATAAAGTCCTGGATAAATTCATTGAAGGTGGGCTTTTAACACTCTATTTCCATTTAGTTCTCCTGTTTGCTGGTGCCCTGAGTTGAATACATGGCAGCCTGATGGGAAGTCTGGCATTGAATTCTTCCATATTGCTGCCTTAGAGGAAGATATCTTAATACGCTGCTTATAAGACAAATAGTCCTGATCCTCATGTGCTCTCACTGGGGTTTTAGGCTTTTCCTGCCTAAGAGTCAACTAAAGTCGCATTTGGCGTGCTTATTTTGATGCTTGCCCAGATCTCTGTGGGGCTTAAACAGATTAAGCCCTCCTCATAGCCAGATTGTCGGTATTTAATGCTCCATTACTCAGCCTTCTGCAGGGGCCCAGAAGTCAGGTTGGCAGAACAGTGCCTAGGGAGCGAGTAACGTAGATACAAGTCCAGTCTCAATGCTCTCCAGAGCCAAATGTGTCAGGGTGACTCCTAAATAGGAAACACATGCTTTCCAGGAAATGTGATGTGGAAAAGTCCATACATCAGACATGTCTTCATGTTTTGTTTGGCCATTAGGGGATCAAAGGCCAGATGATTTTCACAAGCACTGTGCCATGTGCCCCTTTTCAAGCTAAATGCTGACAATCAATGTATTTGGTGGTGTCGGAAGACAAAGCTTTTGCGTTTCTGCACATCTTACAGAGGCACTGACTCCCTTTGTTCTGGAGTATCATTTCAAGAATGTTGGTTTAGCAAACAGTGTGGAAAGAAAGAAATAATGTCTCCCTCCAGAGTAATGGGCAGGTTTGATTACTATCCAGTATAATAAAAATAATGTCTCCCTGCAGAGCTAAGGCAGGCAGCCTTACTGCCCATTATAAAAGATTTGGGTTCTCTAGGGTCAGAATTCCTCTTTAATAAAACAACCTAGTTCTTGCATAGGTGCCACCTGGCTTCTTCACTATGTCCCGTATGCCTTGGGGCTCAGGCATTAGTACAAAAATGATGATATTCTGGCTATTGTTATTGCTGTGAGTAATAAACTTTTGTCTTGGACACAGGAGTCTCAGGTCTTCTACTCACATTTATGAAACTCGCAGGCTAACTTGGTACCTTGCAAGTAGGGTAAAATCTCAGACCTGTCAAAGTTTTTGACAGGTAGTTTTCAGCCCTTATCATTTTATAACGGTGTATGTATATGTTACATGTCTGAATGTGTGTGTGTGTGCTGTTTCTTAATCTACCTGTCAATCTATGTGTTTATGTATAATAATATATCTATACTCTTATGTACAAATATGTGTGCAAAAATATTGTTTAATAATTTGTAATGTGACAGTTGAATCTTCATCACTTGAAAAAAAGTGCCTACTTCTGCATAACCTACTTATAAAAACGTAACTGAGAACTACATTTATTTCCTTTAAAATTTTATCTTTATACGTGCAATTATTACCAATTATCGTAACAATAACTAGCCCTTGGACTTCAAAGAAAATAAAACAATTGAACTTTTTGTAAAATTACAGAGCACATAAATGCCCCTTCAAATTGTGCGTTAGCAAATCCTGTTATAATTTTAAGTCTTAGGCTTTTACTGCTTGTCTTAAAAAACAATTTCGTATAGTGTTATGAGTGGTAGTAATAATAAACACAATCGTGGTATTTTAGAGTAAGGACAGTGAAAGATACCTATTTTCAATCTCTATACAACACCTGAATCCCTCTGTATAATATCACCAAAGAGTAATTTCCAAAATACTCAAGTTCTATCTTCAATATATTTGTTTCTCCAAATTTTACACCTGATTCTGCTTCCATTGGAATCAAATTTCTAATACAGATTCCAGTATCAGAACTGACATTTTTCAGCTTGGTGACTTGTGAAATCTACCTAACTCTTTCAACCTCAGTTTTCTCACCTGTATAACGGGCATAATAATGGTTGCTTCATTGTCTGATGTGGAAGTAAAATGAGATTTAGCACATAGAAAGTGCTCAGGAGGGCCAGGCGCGGTGGCTTACGCCTGTAATCCCAGCACTTTGGGAGGCCGAGGCGGGCGGATCACGAGGTCAGGAGATCGAGACCATCCCGGCTAAAACGGTGAAACCCCGTCTCTACTAAAAATACAAAAAATTAGCCGGGCGTAGTGGCGGGTGCCTGTAGTCCCAGCTACTTGGGAGGCTGAGGCAGGAGAATGGCGTGAACCCGGGAGGCGGAGCTTGCAGTGAGCCGAGATCCCGCCACTGCACTCCAGGCTGGGCGACAGAGTGAGACTCCGTCTCAAAAAAAAAAAAAAGAAAGTGCTCAGGAGATAGAGGGTACAGCCATTCCTCACCTTCATTTTATATCATATTTGCAGGTGATAGTATTGCCATTTCCTAGTGTTAAGGCGATAGTTGGGCCCAATGTGCACCACTCTGCAATGTACCTTATTCCACCCAAATTCAAATTAACACAGCCTTGGTTTCAATACTCTGTGATTGTAGTTTTTGGTTCAATTTTGATTTGAAGACAGTATGACACTTCTGCATGGAAAATGGAGTCTTTAATCTTCGACAAGTTATTAAGTTAATGTTAAGATCCTCTACCTGATTGCCTTTGTTCAATATGACTGTAATTCTCACATGGCATCCTAGGTTTCTAAGATTGAAAAAAAAAGAAAAATCTCATAATTTATTAAAATTAGGTCTAAATTGTTACTAAAAAATACAATTCAGATTGTAGAGCTATTCACGTAGCTTACAATGTGTATACTTAGAATCTTACCAATGCTTTCTACTTGACTATATTTTATGTATTTCAGATATGAAAAAGTCTGTATTTGAGTGCATCCTGAATCTCTTACATTTTTGAACATGTATCCTCAATAAATATTCATGCACTCACTAGATACATATATACCCTACTATATTAATGTTACATATACTATAAAACATATAAAACTGAATTTTGAAAAAAGGAGTTAAATTTGAAGTACAATATTAAGGTTCTAATTTACTAACTATAGTTAATAATGCTGCGTATAAATCCTGCTTTCAAGTTGTCTTCTTGATCATTTCAAACTGCTGTGGCCATTTTCTCAAAAGATTTGATTATTGTTATCTTGCAATGTCATTGACAAAGAGATGGCAGTAGGAATAAATTCAGCATTGTTCTTTCCTTTGTTGGTTGCTTTTGGTTGCATTTCTGGTATTATTGTTAATCATGATTTCCCTGTAGAGGTTGATTTTTATTTTTTAATTTTTATTTTAAGTTTGGGGGAACATGTACAGGATGAGCTGGTTTGTTACATAGGTAAATATGGGTCAAGGGGGTTTGTTGTACAAACTATTTCATTAGTCAGGTATTATGCCTAGTACCTATTAGGTATTTTTCCTCCTCCTCCCATCCCCTGCCCCAGTGTGCATTGTTCCCCTCTATGTGTCCATGTGTTCTCATCATTTAGCTACAACTTATAAGTGAGAACATGCACTATTTGGTTTTCTGTTCCTGTGTTAGTTTGCTAAGGATGATGGCCTCCAGCTCCATCCAGGTCCCTGAAAAGGACATGATCTCGTTCTTTTTAATGGCTACATAGTATTCTATGGTGTATATGTACCACATTTTTTTATCCAGCCTATCATTGATGGACATTTAGGTTGTTTCTACATCTTTGCTATTGTGAATAGTGCTGCAGTGAACATACACATGCTTGTGTCTTTATAACAGAATGATTTACATTCCTTTGGGTATATACCCAATAATGGGATTGCTGGGTCAAATGATATTTCTGTCTCTAGGTCTTTGAGGAATTGCCAAACTGTTTTCCACAATGGTTGAACTAATTTACACTCCCACCAATGGTGTAATGCATGTGTTTATTTTATGAGGTATGGTAATCCAAACTAGATAATAATTCATCTATCAGCTTACCTACAATGCCTGGCAATATGCTCAAACCAACTGAGTGAGGATGCCACAGCCAATCTCTGCATGCTTTGGAACTCTGGAACTCTCACCTCAACTTAATGTGACACATGACCTTCTCATCACCTGAGTAAGGGGATTAGTGCCAATCACTGTACTGAAAATTAACAAGTCTCATTCTCTTTCACAGTTCAAAATGAACTATTGATATAAATTATATTTTCTTCTTGGAATCCCAGTGGGTGAATCCTGTTTCTTAACTTTGTGCTTGTTTCTGAAAATACATGTTGTGTTGTATTACTCAGAGAGCTTCTTTAATCAGGTGTAGAACTTGGAATTGTGCCACATATGTGTAGGATCACACCTTTTATAAGAAGAGAAATGGCTGGACAGTGGTTATATCATCTTTTGAGAGGGAGGACAATGAAGGCTAAGGTTACATGTGAAATAGTGGGAGCTGCGTGTCCTGCAGCCGCAGAGCCAGTGAAGGGCATGCATACATCATTGCATTTCACCAAATCAGACAACTAGTTCGGACATCTCAAGCTAAAAAATAAACCTCCTAGGAATCTAGTTGAGTTATGGAGCCCATCTACATTGACAAAATGCACTGCAGATAAATTAGCACTCTCATCTTGTATCTAGGGGGACTGCACTTGTTACATTAGGTGACACAACACTGCATGGTGAGAAACCAGAAAATGAATGGTTTCTGGAATGTTTCATGGTACATGATTTGTCCCAGAAACCCTTTATGAAGCACCCCTCTGAGAAGCAATTTATAGCATGCATTAATTCAGTAGTAGCTGAGCAAAAATGAACAAGATTTCCCAGGGTGCTAAAGTTCCAGATTGTTTCTCAAAGAATGACATCAATTATTGTCACTTTTTTTTTGTCAGCTGTGAACCATGATTAATTGGAGACATCCAAATTTCTGCATGTCTTATGTCACAAACTTCTTTGTTTCCCATCTGTTTTGTCCAATGTTCACCAACAAGTTCCACTTATATCCTGTCAAAGCTAGGAAAAATGTCTCACAATGGATTGGAGGGAAACACTGAAGATGATGGAAATAATGATACATAAATGAATGGCAAAAACAATGATTTAGCAAAAAGGTAGCTTTGAAGTATTCAAAAGAGAGAGCTTATTAAGTTCTATTTTCTTCAGTAATGTATAAAATACAAAGACCTTCTGCTAGCTAATCAATTTACACATTGAGTCCTGTACCCACTAGAATCAGAAGTGTTCAGATTGCTTTAACTCCAGTAGAAATTGATAAATGATTGACCAAATAATGTAAAAACATTAGTGGGAGTGAAAAGTTAATATGAAGCCTCTGAGCAGAATGAAACCTGTTTTATTTATTTATTTTTGAAGCAAGAAAATAACCCTGCATTATCCAGCAGATTATACATGGAAAATAATTGTCTATCCCAGGCTTTTTGAGGTTTCCGGTCATTTAATACTCTTAACTAACCCCCATCAAACATGTTCACAAATAAAATCCTTTCTAATCCACCTAAATCCTTTTTGGAAAATGGAAGGTTTATTTAAAAAAAAAAATAAAGATGCCATGCTTTGCAGCCCTATATCAATGTTTACTGTTGCTAACGTGTATCCAGGGCACTTGCATCCCAAGCCCTGAGCCTCCAGATGGATGACTTGATGGTATGCACAGGCTCTGAGTTTCGCTAGGTGCTTATGGTATTTCCAGAATTGGTGGTGCCCTCATAAGCTGCAACAAATGGACTATCCAAGGATAAGACATATTTCCCAGGATTTTTGTGCATTTTGTTTGTTGGAATTTGATATTTTTAGCAAAACATCAAAGAAACAGTGAAATTAGCCCTCAAAGATTTCTCAGGTCCTGGAATAAAGGAATCAAAATAATCATTGTTAATATGTGAGTTGATACAGTTGATATTCAAGGGAGATTTTATTTGAAACACACTGAGGTTTTTAAATGATTCTCACTAACTTTCTGCCTTAGGCAGCTGAGCAAATTGCAACTGATCATGGGCTTAGAGCAGGAAGAGACTGAGGCCAAACTCTGCACGACATATAAGTAAGTTAATTACAATAAAAACTAATAAATGAAATTTAATAAGGCTATATCTCTTAGTATTATGAGTATTAAGAAGTTTCCTGTTGTTTTTAAATGTGCTATATTTAAGTGGAAGAGAAAAATAGTGTCTCCCTCCAGGGTAAAGGGCAGGTTTTCCCACAGGGATTGATCTACCCAGAGCTATGGCTCAGGATCAGCAATCACTTACCCTACCACTTATAGATTACAGAAAAAAATAAGGCTGAGAGCTCTTGATATTTAGTTGAATTTCCCAGACTAACCTATATCACTGAATAAGTAAGTGAGATTTGAAACACTTTACTATTACCTTTCATAGCCTTTGAAAAAGTTTTAAGTTAAAAGTGGAAGGCATGGTAAGAGGCTAAAGTCAGAAAACAATCCTTATTCAATTCATTCAAAAAAATCTTTATTGGATGTACATTATGTGCCAGCCACTATTCAATTACCCAAGCTTACAACCTAATTTTATCTCAATCATAAACATCAATAATTTTTCAGTATTTTAATATATACTGAATTTTTCAGAATCATAACTACCATTTTGAGAAATGATTGTTCTTTGTTTCATTTTACGCTTGGTTTGGAAGTTTTCCAAGAGTTGCTCACCATTTCTCAAATCACTTTAAAGATGGCAATGCTGCTCATGGCCTGTCAGCTGCCAATACAGCACACCTGGATCAGTCTGAATTTGAACTGTCCCATTCACATGATTCTACATGGATATCCAGCCGTTCCAGCACAATCTGGAGAAAAGGCAATCTTCTCCCCACTGAATTTCCTTTCTACCTTCAAAAAAAATCAATTGTCCCTATATACGCGGATCTATTCCTGGACTTTGTATTTTGTTCTGTTTTGATCTATTTGTATAATATGTCCATACTACACAACCAGGTAGTGTTAGTCCTCCATTTATTCTTCTTCAGTATTGTTTTGGCTATTCTTGATGATTTGTGTTTCTATATAAGTTTTAGAATTAACTTGTCAGTTTCTTAAAAAAAATTTTAAAGCCTGCTGACATTTTTGTCTGGATTGCATTGAATCTATAGATTAATTTTTTGAGAAGAATGGACATTTTAGCAATACTGTTTTCCAACCCATGAATGAGCATATTTCTTCATTTATTTAGGTCTTTTAAATTTTTTCTCAGCAATGTTTTAAAATTTTCAGTTCTTGCATATCTTTTATTAAGTTTATCCCAAAGGATATTTTATCCTTTTGATGTTGTTTTAAGTAATTTTGTTTTATTTCAATTTCTGATTATTTTTATTGTATGGAGATACAATAGATTTTTGTATTATAATATCATGTCCTACAACCTTACTAAACTCAGTTACTGGCAAGTTGTTTTTTGTAGATTCTGTCGGATTTTTCACAGACAATCATGCTGTCTGCATGACCAGAACCTCCAGTTTATCTTTTTATAAACCTCCAGTTTATCATTTTATTTCTGATCTCAAGATAAAAGCATTCTGTTTTTCACTGTGAACTATTAAGTTAGCTATAGATTCTTGCTAACAGTTTTATTGGGTAGAGAAAATCCCTTTCTATTCCTGGCTTGACAAAATTTTTATCAGAAATTGATGTTGTATTCTTCAAGTGCTTTTTCTATGTCTATTGAGATTATCATATACTTTTTGGGTTTTTTACATTGTTAGTATAGTGAATTATATTAATTGATTTTTAAATTAAAACAACCTTAAGTTTCTTGGCATCAATCCTTCCTCCTGACTCTGAGGTTTGTGAGATATGAGAGACATTTAAGACATCTGTTAGCCAAGCGAAATGTAAAGCACAGACTCAGAAAAATGGGAAGTGGTAGGAGAGCTTTCTGACTACAGAGAGGCCAATCAGAAGGTGTAGGGGAAGAGTTATGCTAGTAGACTACAAGGCCTGGGACGGGCTGATGGTGAGTGGCATGGGCTACACTAGGACAAGAAGGTTCAGAGCATTAAGAGACACAAATATGGTTGAGGATTAAGCCATTTGGAGAATTTACACTATGGACGTTGACTGAAAATTGAAAAATAAAGAAACAGACAAAAAATGATGAGTAGCAGATAGATGGCATGCTCTGAGAGTCCAGGCATTAAAAGCATCATCCCTGGAAGGTGTCAGTTGCAGCAACAGCAATATCTGCAGGATTTGACTGTAGCATTTTCTAAACAGCTCACACCCTGTGGTCTCCATATGTGCAGGTTCTTAGGATAAAGCACATCCCAGAGGTTGTGATATCTGTCATAGTCTAGGCCAGAGATGGTCACAGAGACTCAAGCCTGATTTTGACAGCTGTTGAATTTGAAGTACTAAACTCTTGGTCACTTGTTGTTTCAGCAGGATACCATCTGTTTTATCTCCAATCAGTCTTTGCCACCTTAGCTGTTGATATTTCATCCGTGAACTTTCATTTGGCATCTGGTGATATGCTCTTTGGCAGCACAGTTCCATGAAGTCAAAGGTCTTCCAGTTGCTTCTGGACTCCCATACTGGCTTCTGTCCATCTGCAGTGACATTAAAGCTACTTATGCTGCTCCCAACCTGCCCTACAACACAAGTGGACTAAGCATCTATCTGCAGACTCTCAGAATGGCATAACCTAACTATTGGAAACGTTTTTGCACCATTCCTCTGTCCTGCTGTCCCATTACTGGCCTCCCTACTTTAGTCGGTTGATCCAGCCCCAACCATTCCCACTGAGGTTAACTTTGCTATATCCAATCGCATCCAAAGATAGAAATCACAATGCAAAATGTCAAGGCCTTTTAAACTATTATACTTTGGACAAGCCCTGATACTCATCTTTTCCATTGCTAACATGGGATAGCTATATGATCAATAATATTATACTTATGCTCATTTGCACTTGTGTCTGAACAGATATGTTTAAGTCACACTCGAAGAATTAATATGGTAGCCCGAGTAAAATGGACTAGTTTGACTTCCATTTCATTTGACTACAGCCAACTTTGTTGGCATGTAGAGGTAAGCAGAGGACAAGCCCTAAAGAGTGTGATCTATTTTTGCAATAAAACGCCATCTCCAAATGGGAAGCAATTGAAACACCACATGCCATAGTTTTACTGCAACAGGCCAAAATCTCTAGGGCTGACAGACTATTTAGGATTTCTTGACTTCTCACAAGTGCAGAATATCCCCAAAACTTCTAATCATACTTGCAAATATCTTTTAGATTAGTCCACGTTGACTAAATGATTATTTAAAAGCAATAAAACTTATCAAATAAAATATCATAGAAGTTTGTAGTACGTGTATATTCAAGTTAATGGTTCAGTGGGACATCTTGAAAATGTATGTGCTGAAGACTGTCCTCTGAAAATGGGGTTACAAACAGCTATATTTGCTCAACTCACAGGCAAGATGAGTTCCAATAATGCGAATTGCTCTAGAATTCATTATATTATGCTTTCTTTGAAATCTCAGTGTTAGAAGCCAATGACTCCAAAAGCAGCCCTTTCTCTTTACTAACTAAATGTCAGATTACCAGAAATTTTGAGTTTAGTAATTTGAACTTTCTTAGTGAGAAACAGTTAAAGATTTCTCCTTTTAAACTGTGCATGGCAAATTCTCCTTACCCAAATTCTCAAAAGTTGTAAAATCTACTGTCATATGGCACATGGAAAGGACATTAAAAATAATTTGGGCCAACCTCTTCAGCCTGGATTTTGTGAGTTGTTTAAAAAGACACTTTTAAACTCTTGGTTCTGTGTTTAAAATACAGTGAGTGAAATTCATATTGAGACCACTATAAGTTTTCCAGGGATAAGAACCTAAGAAATGGTTAGAGTTACTTAAAACTCTCTTAGGACATTTCTGTATAAAGCCTGCATACATATACATGCTCACATGACCAACTAGATGACATACGGCCAGAAGGCACTCAAACTGCAGATTCACCTTTGTAAATCTTAAATAGGATAAATTCTTAAATTTGTATTCATCTAACAATAAGCATTTTGGAAAATGTATAAGATTTTTTCTTATTTTATATTAGTGTTTTTATCAACATTGTCAAGAGTATTATATTGGTTATCTATTGTTGTATAACACACTACCCAAAAACATAATGTTTGAAAATGTTATCATAATAAGGATTTATTATTTCTCATAATTTTGTGGTTACTGTGGAGTGGTTCTTTTGTAGAACTTGTGTGGACTCAACCATGTGACCACAATCAGCTGATGAGTTGGCTAGGGGTTGGACTCAGCTGGGAAAGCAGGGTCTCTCTCTGCATGTCGTCTTTAATCTTCAAGAAGGCTACCCTCCTTCATATGATGGAGGGAGTGTTCCAAGAAGGCAAGCCCTAATGCGCAAGTGGTTACCAAATGTCTGTTACTAATCCATGGGCCAAAGCAAGTCACATGGCCCATATCAAAGTCAATGTGGGTGTGACGGTTTTATGTGTCAACTTGGTGAGGCTATAGTTCTCAATTATTTAATTAAACACAAATCTAGGTGTTATGAAGGCATTTTGTAGATGCAGTTACCATCTACAATCAGTTGGCTTTAAGTAAAGGAGATTACTTTTGATAATGTGTATGTCCCTCATCCAATCAGCTGAAGATCTTAAGAGCAGAAACAGGTCTCACAGAGAAGAAATTCTGCCTCGAGACTGTAGTGTCAAATCCTGTCTGAGTTTCTAGCCTTGCCAGTCCCTACAATTGCATAAACCAATTCAATTCCTTAAAATAAATTGCTTTATATATGTCCTGTTACTGTGTTTCCCTCAAAAACCCTGATCAATGCAGAGGGGAACAACATAAGAGAGTGAATATTGAGAGGCACAATACATTGGGGCCATTAATGTGGCAATCTACCACAGTTTGTCCTTGGACTCTGTATTTTTTTTTTTGTCCTCCAATAAGGAGTTTCCAAGGTGGGATCAGATAGGCCATAGGTGTATTAGGGGAAATGCTGTGAAAAATGGAGGGGAGTGAACCAGAGAAGGCATGGAGAGCCTTCAGATGTGATCCAGCTCTGACACCTTGGAGGAAGTGGGAAGAAGGAGGAATCTCAGATTGCAGGGCAGTTCTAACAAAGGTTCATCCAGGCCAATGGGGGGCTTTGAGCCAAAGTTGCCCATCTTAGGCATCTCAAGACTCACTGGCATGGGACTCCATTAGTAATCCTGCAGCTGGAATAGGAAGCATGGACTCACATGAAAGCAGTAGTGGATCCAGACAGGCCAGTAGCTTCAGCTGTCACTCAACTGTGGTCTCCACAGCAGCTCTGAGTGGTACATTTTCATGGCTGCAACAGCCCTTAGTGATTCATGCTCCTTATATATTCAAAATACATTTATCTTTTATCAAGAGCTCCAAAGTCTCATCCAATAGTTGCATAAAGCTTAGAATCCATAATTTCATGATCTGCATCAGGTCCAGGTGCAATTGATGCTCCTCAGAGTGAAGCT
This sequence comes from Homo sapiens, assembly GCF_000001405.40. Lineage (NCBI taxonomy): Eukaryota > Metazoa > Chordata > Mammalia > Primates > Hominidae > Homo > Homo sapiens. The sequence continues at coordinate 120,670,923 of NC_000004.12, forward strand.
CCTTTTTTTTTTTTTTTTTTTTTTTTTTTTTTGATGGAGTCTCACTCTGTCGCTAGGCTGGAGTGCAGTAGCACTATCTTGGCTCACTGCAATCTCTGTCTCCTGGGTTCAAGCAATTGTCCTGCCTCAGCCTCCTGAGTAGCTGGGACTACAGGTGTGCACCACCATGCCAGGCTAATTTTTGGGGTTTTAGTAGAGACGGGGTTTCACCATGTTGGCCAGGATGGTCTCAATCTCTTGACCTCGTGATCTGCCTGCCTCAGCCTCCCTAAGTGCTAGGATTGCAGGTGTAAGCCACCACGCCCAGCCTGAAGCTCCTCTTTATCCAGAGATATGAATAAGAAGGCAAGTTATCTGCCCCCATTAACCCAATAGAAAATGGCAAGACACAGAAACATAACCGCAATAGACATTACTCTTCAAGAAAAGGAAGAATGGGGTTCTGGTTCTGGGAAAGAATTGGGTGGAAGTGTCTCTCCCACTGAATATAGCTCTCAAATCTGGCAGAATGGAATGGCTATTCTAGGAATCTGAAAAGTAACTAATAGCAGATAGATTAGAAAAGGAGGTCAGAATTCAAGTTCAAACAAACCAGTGGTAAATATTATACTTTTTTCCCCCCTTCTGGTATCCCCCAGCAACCTAGAAGTGGGCACTAAAGGACAAATAAAGAGAAGCCCTCTAGTTTTCTGGTGCAAAAAGCAAGGAAAGGAATGTAATACATTCAGAGCAAGGAAATCCCCTTTTTTCCTTTCTTCTTTTATTCTCGAACACTCTAACCCCTAAGGAATCCCATGGTGATGCAAAAGCAAGAAATGGAGGCCTACAGGAGCCAAAATCCTGAGGGAGCTGAAATACCTCCCTGCTCAGTAGCGCTGCTTTAGCACTCGCTGCTTTTGTCTTCCATCCTACTCCTTGACTGTGGATTGAGATGAAGTTGTGCAAGTACACAACAGGGCAGGGTAACCAAAGCCCTGGATTTCTAGCTGGAGGTCCAAAATAAGGACTCCTAGGGAACAAGAAAGTACTAGAAAGATTGTTGAGAAAGAAGAACTGAGAAAAGCAGCCTTATAGAGTTACTAATGAATTCTTAAGTCTACCCCTATGCATCCTTAGATGTGATACACCACCACCCAGATCCAAGACGACTGGGCAGCACATATGTAGTGCAGACTCAAACAAACTGCAAAGGATTTGAAAACTGAATTGGCACTGAAACCACAGCCTACAGAAGGCAGATTGGAACTTGTGACCTGAATCCGGCAGATTCAACTGCCTGCTAAAACAAAAAATATCAACATTCCCCTCAGGACTTAAACAAAATTCAGAGAATCATAACATAATACTCCAAATTTCCAGGATATGATCCAAAATTACAAAGCAAAGAACCAGAAAAGTCTCAATTCACATAGGAAAAGAAAATGAACCATTGCCAATGCTAACATGACACAGATATTGGAATTATCTTACAGCAAGCAATCATGAACACTTGGAGCCAATGGAAAAACAAATTTTCTGCAAAAAAAAAATACATAAAGAAAATTCAAGGAAAATTTTAGAACTGAAAACACAATAACAGAAAAAAAAAAAAACGACTGAATGGTCTCAATAGCAGAATGGCAGAAAGATGATGAGGAAGAAAATCAGTGAGCTTGAAAATAGATCAATAAAAAGTACTCAATTTGAATATCAGAGAGAATAAAGATTTACAAAAATATTAATAGAGATACAGGAACGTATAGGAAAACAACAATAGGACTAACATTTGTGTCAGCGGAGTCAGTCAAGGAAAGAAGAAAGATAAAATGCTAATGGCTATAATTCCCCCAATTTGATGAAAGACATAAATCTACACATTAAAGAATAATGGCTTTTTTTTTTTCCAAGATGTCAGATAGGAGGCAGTGTTAGCATGTCTCTCCTACTTGGAAGGACAGAATTGTGGGTAGAGATTCACACTGTGAACTTTTTTCTCCCAAGAACCGCCACAGGAATTTACCAGGAAAACCAAAAGAATTCACAGATCCTTTGAAAGAAGCAGCAGGCTGCGGCCTATTGTGTGAGACAGGCAACAAATTGTAAGTTACCAGAGTGTGAGAGGGAGTGAGCTTGCCTCCAAACACACATCCGCACTAGGAAATCTGCAAATCTAGATCACTGGAGAAGACCTTAACTTTACCCAGAGTTGGAATGGATTTAGGGAGTGGTGTGAAATATAAAAGTAAAAGCAGCAGCAGGAAGTGTCTTTGTAGGCATTTCCAGTTTCCAGCCTGAGCTCAGGAAAACCAGCCTTGATTATCTCACAGGGGCCCTTGGGGAAGGCAGCCAACAAACTCAAGGAGTTGTGCAGGTTAAAAGAAATTCCTGACTGAATTCTGTGAGATAATTTTGAGTGGGGATGAACTCCCTTGAACAGAATCTGGGGGTGAGCAGGAAGTGTGCTACAGACTGGAGCTGGGTGCCTGGCCTGTGTAGCTCTGCTGGGTGCCTGGCCATACCAGCAGACAGGGAGGGACATGGCCAGAAAGCTGTGCTTGCTATCTCTGCAGGGAGGCTTATGGCCTGGGGTAGGTCTGAGTTCTGTGCACAGGCTGCCTGGATCTAAACCTGGTGTTGCTAGTGGGACACTGTGAGATCAAGACCAGCCTCACCAACTGCACAGGAGCTGGGTGAGGTCTGCTGCTGCTGGCTACTCCCCACTCCCCTTGTGAACTCTTCTGCACAGCAGAGACAGTTATACTCCCCTTTGATACATTACCTCAGCAGCCTGAGAACTACCTCCCATCCCCCACAGTGGCTGCAGCAGGCCCCACCCAAGAAGAGTCTGAGCCCAGACCCACCTAACACAAAGGATGTAAACTTTTGGGACCTTTATGGCTCCGCCCATTAATTGAGAAACCAGAATACTTCCTTTGGCCAATTTAAGGCAAGCTCAAATCCCACAGCTGACACCACAGCTGGTGCTCTCTTGCAAGTGCCACCTCCTGCCTGGAGGCCAACCAACACAGGCCATTACATCACCTTTTGGCTGAATAACACTGCACCCAGGAAGGGGAAAACGGCTTCCAACACCACTGCCTGCAACATCCTGGCTAACTAGACACCCTGAATCTGTCCGCATGACAAGTTTACTATTAGCATAACCAGCATTTGAGGAAGCCAGCACATTAAACCTAATTAAAACCAAGGAATTTCACAAAGTTACATTACTCCCCTGCCGTTTCCATCAGACCAGGTGCTGGTATCCACCGTTGGGAGACTTGAAGACAGGTCACATCACTGGATCCTTTGCAGACATTCCCCAGCACCTGCCCAGAGCCTGGTAGCCCCACTGAGTGACTAGACCCAGAAGGGCAATAACAATCACTGCAGTCCAGCTCTGCAGTCCTTCCCCATTCTTAGGGGAAGGGGGAGAGCACCACATCAAGGGATCACTCCATGGGACAAAGGAATCTAAACAGCAAGTCTTGAGTCCCAGATCTTTCTGCTGGTGGGAAGTTTCTTATAGAAGAGACATAATTGCAGTGCTGGGAGCAGTAGAGAAAGTCTACACCTCTACCCTAACAGGCAGGCAGCTTCTGTGATCATGAAGAGCCTTGGAGAAGCAGTCCTTATTCCCTCTGGCACACCACTGCAGACACAGTTGAGGCTTCTTCCATGGGAACACAGTGTGGAAGCAACCTACAGACAGCCTTCCTGGAACAATTCAGGGTGATTGCAGTCCACCATGAGGAGCACTCCTCAGATTTAGGCCTGCATGAGAGGCAGAGTCACAAGTCCTCCCTACTTGGAACATCAACATTCCTACAGATGAAAAGAGGTGCCTGTCTCATCTGAATAGCCAGAACACTGGGACAAGAGTGAGGGTGTGAGATGGATAGCTTTCCTGCTGGCCTGGAAGAGGAGCTGAAGTATATCCCACTCTTACCATCATAAAATTTCATCTAATTGAGAGCTCCCCCAGCCACTTTCATCAAGGCTGGGACCTCTGCCCACCATTGGGTGTTATATCTCCCCAGCTGCCCTAGCTACGACCAGTGCCTACCCAGGGATACCTTCCCTATTGGTCTGAGGCCTGAATCATCAACTCAGTAAATAAAATACTGGGGAAGAATTAAATAAATAAATAAGTGTACACTATGAGAGAATGAGACACTTCAAGGGATCCCTGCTATTCCAAACCCATAGGAGACAGTTAACTTACCCACAGACCACACACATAACTACTATAACCAGCATAAGGGAAAGCCCCATTGCACAAAGACTGTCTATAACTAAGGAACTCATACAGAGTCTTCACCCTAAAAGCACCAAGAATCAAGTTAGGCTAAAATAAACTATAAACATTAAAGTTCAATCTTTAAGATGGAAAAAAGAAATTTAAAAACAAAAACACAGCCCAACCAAAAATAAATCCAAGAACAATTTGAAGAAACAGTCAACCCAAATGAGAAGGAACCAGAAAAGTATGACAAAACAGGGTTCTATAACAGCCCCAAAAGATCACGCTAGCTCCCTAGCAATGGATCCAAAACAAGAAGAAATCTCTGAAATGTCAGATAAAGAATTCAGGAGGTTGATTATTAAGCTACTCAAGGAGATACCAGAGAAAGGTGAAAACCAAATTAAAGAAATTTAAAAAAAATCCAGGATATGAATGAAAATTTTTCCAGAGAAACAGATATCACAAAGAAAAAATAATCAGAACTTCTGGAAATGAAAGACACACTTGGGGAAATACAAAATGCAGTGGAAAGTTTCAGCAATAGACTAGAGCAAGTAAAAGAAGGAACTTCAGAGCTCAAAGACAAGGCTTTTGAATTAGCCCAAATCAGACAAAGAAAAAAGAATTTTAAAAAATGAACAAAGTCTCCAAGAAATATGGGATTATGTAAAATGGCCAAACCTAAGAATAATTGGTGTTCCTGAGGGAGAAGAGATGTCTAAAAGTTTGGAAAATTTATTTAAGGAAAAAAATAAGGAAAACTTCCCTGGCCTTGCTATATAGATCTAGACATCCAAATACAAGAAGCTCAAAGAACTTCTGGGAAATTCATCAAAAAAGATCATCACCAAGGCACGTAGTCATCAGGCTTTTTAAAGTCAAGATGAAGGAAAGAGTCTTAAGAGCTATGTTACAAAAGCATCAGGCAACCTATAAAGGAAATCCTATCAGATTAACAGCGGATTTCTCAGGAGAAACTGTATAAGCCAGAAGGGATTGGGGTCCTATGTTTAGCCTCTTTAAACAAAATAATTGTCAGCCCCAAATTTTGTATCCAGCAAAACTAAGCTTCATAAATTAATGAGAGATAGTCTTTTTCAAACAAATGCTGAGAGAATTCGCCACTACCAAGCCACAACTACAAGAACTGCTAAAAGGAGCTCTAAATCTTGAAACAAATCCTGTAAACACATCAAAACAGAACCTCTTTAAAGCATAAATCACAGGACCTATAAAATAAAAATACAAGTAAAAAAACACAAAAAACAAAAAACAAGGTACCCAGGCAACAAACAGCACAATGAATGCAACAGTACCTCACATCTCAATACTAACATTGAATATAAATGGCCTATATGCTCCACTTAAAATATACAGAACTGCAGAATGGATAAGAACTCATTAACCAACTATCTGCTGCCTTTAGGAGGCTCTCCTAACACATAAGGACTCACATACACTCAAAGTAAAGAGGTGGAAAAAGACATTTCATGCAAATGGACACCAAAAGCGAGCAGGAGTAGCTATTCTTTTATCAGACACAAAAAACTTTAAGACAACAGCAGTTAAAAGAGACAAAGAAGGAGATTACATAATGATAGACGGCCTTGTCCAACGGGAAAATATCACAATCCTAAACATATATGCACCTAACACTAGATCTCCTAAATTTATAAACCAATTACTAATAGACCTAAGGAAAGAGATAGACAGCAACATAATAATAGTGGGGGACTTCAACACTCCACTGACAGCACTAGACAGGTCATCAAGACAGAAAATCCACAAAGAAACAATTCAAACTATACCTTGGAACAAATGGACTTAACAGATATATACAGAACATTTCATTCAACAACCACAGAATACATGTTCTACACAACAGTGCTTGGAACTTTCTCCAAGACAGACCATATGATAGGCCATAAAATGAGCCTCAATAAATTTAAGAAAATTGAAATTATATCGAGCACTCTCTCAGTGGAATAAAACTGGTAATCAACTCAAAAAGAAACCTTCAAAACTATGCAAATACATGGAAATTAAATAACCTGCTCCTGAATGATCACTGGGTCAAAAACGAAATCAAGATGGAAATTTTAAAGTTCTTTGAACTGAATGACAATAATGACACAACCTATCAAAACCTCTGGGATACAGGAAAGGTGGTACTAAGAGGAAAGTTCATATCCCTAAATGCCTACATCAAAAAGACTGAAAGAGCACAAACCAACATCCTAAGGTCACATCTCAAGGAACTAGAGAAACAAGAACAAACCAAAACCAAATCCAGCAGAAGAAAGGAAATAACCAAGATCAGAGCAGAACTAAATGAAGTTGAAACAACAACAAACAACAAAAAAGATAAATGAAACAAAAGGCTGGTTCTTTGAAAAGATAAATAAAATTGATAAGCCATTAGCAAGATTAACCAAGAAAAGAAGAGAGAAAGTCCAAATAACCTTATTAAGAAACGAAACAGGAGATATTACAACTGACACCACTGAAATACAAAAGATCATTCAAGGCTGCTATGAATACCTTTACACACAAAAACTAGAAAACCTAGATGAGATGGATAAATTCCTGGAAAAATATAACCCTTCTAGCTTAAATCAGGAAGAATTAGATACCCTGAACAGACCAATAACAAGCAGCAAGATTGAAATGGTAAGTTAAAAATTACCAGCAAAAAAAAAAAAAAAAAGTCCAGGACCAGACGGATTTATAGCAGAATTCTACGAGATGTTCAAAGAAGAATTGGTACCATCCTTCTGACAGTATCTCACAAGATAGAGAAAGAAAGAACACTCCATAATTCATTCTATGAAGTCAGCATCACCCTAATACCAAAACCAGGAAGGGACATGACCAAAAAAGAAAACTATAGACCAATATTCTTGATGAGCATAGATGCTGAAATCATTAACAAAATACTAGCTAACTGAATCCAACACTAACTGAATCCAACAACATATCAAAAAGATAATCCACCATGATCAAGTGGGTTTCATACCAGGAAAGCAGGGATGGTTAAACATATGTGAGTCAATAAACAATTAAAAACAAAAATCACATTATCATCTCAATAGATGCAGAAAAAGCATTTAACAAAATCCAGCATCATTTTATGATTAAAACAAACTCTCAGCAAAATCAGCATACTAGGGACATACCTCAATGTAATAACACCTATCTATGACAAGCCCACAGCCAACATAATATTGAATGGGAAAAGTTGACAGCATTCCCTCTGAGAACTGGAACAAGACAAGGATGCCCACTCTCACAACTCCTCTTCAACATAGTACTGGAAGTCCTAGCCAGAACAATCAGAAGAGAGAAAGAAATAAAGGGCATTCAAATCGGTAAAGAGGAAGTCAAACTGTCACTGTTTGCTGATGATATGATGGTTTACCTTGAAACCCCTAAAGACTCCTCCAGAAAGCTACTAGAACTGATAAAAGAATTTAGCAAAGTTTCCAGATACAAGATGAATGTACAAAAGTCAGTAGCTCTTCTATACACCAACAGAGACCAAGCAGAGAATCAAATAAAAACTCAACCTCCTTTACAACAGCTCCAAAAAAAAAAAAAAAAAAGGAATATACCAAACCAAGGAGGAGAAAGACCTCTACAAGGAAAACTGCAAAACACTGCTGAAAAGAAATCATAGATGACACAAACAAATGGAATCACATCCCATGCTCATGGATGGGTAGAATCAATATTGTGAAAATGACCATACTGCTAAATGCAATCTACAAATTCAATGCAATCTCCATCAAAATGCCACCATCATTCTTCACAGAATTAGAAAAAGCAATTTTAAAATTCGTATGGAACCAAAAAAGAGCCCATGGATAGCCAAAACAAGACTAAGCACAAAGAACAAATCTGGAGGCATCATACAACCTGATTTCATACTGTACTATAAGGCACAGTCACCAAAACAGCATGGTACTGGTATAAAAACAGGCACATATACCATTGGAATAGAACAGAGAACCCAGAAATAAAGCCAAGTACTTACAGCCATCTGATCTTCAACAATTCAAACAAAAACATAAAGTGGGGAAAGGACACCCTTTTCAGCAAATGGTGCTGGGATAACTGGCTAGCCACATGTAGGAGAATGAAACTGGACCTTCATCTTTCACCTTATACAAAAATCAACTCAAGATGGATTAAGAACTTCAATCTAAGACCCCAAGTTATAAAAATTCTGGAAGATAACATTGGAAAAACCCTTCTAGACATTGGCATAGGCAAGGATTTCATGACAAAGAACCCAAAAGCAAATGCAATAAAAACAAAGATAAATAGTTGGGACTTAATTAAATTAAAGAGCTTTTGCATGGTGTAAAGAACAGTCAGCAGAGTAAACAGACAACCCACAAGGAGGGAAAATATCTTCACAATCTGTATATCTGACAAAGGACTAATATCTAGAATCCACAACGAACTCAAACAAATCAGTAAGAAAAAAAAACATTAAAAAGTGGGCTAAGGACATGAATAAAGAATTCTCAAAAGAAGGCATACAAATGGCCAAAAACATATGAAAAAAATGCTCAACATCACTAACGATCAGGGAAATGCAAATCAAAACCACAATGCAACACCACCTTAATCCTGCAAGAATGTCCATAATCGAAAAATCAAAAAACAGTAGATGTTGGTGTGGATGTGGCGATCAGAGAACACTTCTACACTGCTGGTGGGAATGTAAACTAGTACAGCCACTATGGAAAACAGTGTGGAGATTCCTTAAATAACTACAAGTAGAACTACCATTTGATCAAGCAGATACTGGATCCAGTAGATACTGGGTATCTACCCAGAGGAAAAGAAGTCTTTATATGAAAAATATACTTGCACATGCATGTTTATAGCAGCACAATTCACAATTGCAAAATCATGGAACCAACCCAAATGCCCATCAATCAAGGAGTTGATAAAGAAACTGTGGTATATGCATATGATGGAATACTACTCAGCCATAAAAAGAAAAGAATTAACTGCATTTGCAGAGACCTGGATGGACTGGAGACTATTATAGCAAGTGAAGTAACAGGAATGAGAAACCAAACATCATATGTTCTCACTGATATGTGGGAACTAAGCTATGAGGACGCAAAGACATAAGAATGATATGATGGACTTTAGGGACTTGGGGGGAGGGCGGGAGGGGAACGAGGGATAAAAGACTTCAAATGGGGTGCAGTGTATACTGCTTGGGTGATGGGTGCACCAAAATCTCACAAATGACTGTTGAAGAACTTACGTAACATAATACCACTTGTACCCCAATAACTTATGGGGTAAAAAAGGAAAAAGCACATGCACATGAATGTTTATAGCAGCACAATTCGCAGTTGTAAAAATATGGAACCAACCTAAGTGTTCATCAGCCAGTGAATGGATAAAGAAAACATGGCCTATATAACGTCATGGAATACTACTCAGCCATAAAAAGGAACAAAATAATGTCCTTTGCAGCAACTTGGATGGAGCTGGAGGACATTATTCTAAGTGAAATAACTCAAGAATATAAAACCAAATATAGCATATTCTTACTTACATGTGGGAGCTAAGCTATGAAGATGCAAAGGCATAAGAATGATACAATTGACTTTGGGGACACAGTGGGGAAGGCTGGAAGGAGGAGGGATTAAAGACTACATATTGGGTACAGTGTACACTGCTTGGGTGACAGGTGTACCAAAATCTCAGAAAATACCACTAAAGAACTTACTCATGTAACCAAAAACCACCGTACCCCCAAAAAAACTATTGAAACTTTTTTAAAAAGAGGATCATGGCAAACCTCAAACTTAAAAAAATCCACACCCAGGCACACAATAATCAAATTACTTATAACTAAAGACAAAGAAAAATCTAGAAATCAGTCAACAGGAAGTAACATTACCTCTAAGGGGAAAACGACACAAAAGAGTACATATTTCCCATCGGAAACCACAGAGACCTGAACCAGTATTTTAAAGTGATGAAAGAAAAGAACTGTCAACCTGGAATTCCATATCCATTAAAAATATCCTTCAGGAATGGTAAACACATTTGCAGATGAAGATAAACCGAGAAAACTTGTTACCAGCAGATCTGCTCTGAAACTTTTGCTAAAGAAAGTTATTCAGAGAAGGGAAGTGACATGAGAAGGAAACCTAGAACTTTAAGAATGAAGGAGGGAAACAGAGTGGCAAAAATCTAGGTAAACATAACACACTATTCTTCTCCACTTGAGTTATTTAACATATGTTTGACAGTTGAAAGCAAAAAATTAACACTGCCTGATGGAGTTTTCAATATAGGTAGATTTAATATGTCAAACAACTATAACATAAAGAGGGAAGAGTAAAGGAACCGATATGGGGTAAGATCTCTACATTCCTTTTGAAGTAGTAAAATACTGATTTTAAGTGGATTGTGAAAACGTAAGTAGGTTTATAGGAATTTCAGAGCAACCACTAAAAAATTACACAGAGAGACATATAAAAATACACAATAGACAAAATAAAATGGAATAATAAAAATATTCAAATAACCTGAAAGAAGGCAGGAAAGAGGAAAGAAAGGAATATAAAGCAGTGGTAACAAACATAAATGAAATGGTTAATTTAGTATTATATAAAGTAGATTTCAGAACAAAGGGAATTACCAGAGATAAAGAGGGATATTACATGACAATAAAAAGTGTCAATTCACATAACAACATTTCTAAATGAGTATGCACTCTGAAGCAGAACTTTGAAATACATAAAGCAAAAATTGCCAGAACGAAAAGAAGAAAGACATATTCACCATAATAATCAGAAATGTCAATACTCCTATTTCAGGAATAGATTAAACTAGGAGACAGGAAGATTGGCAAGGCTATGAAGAATTAAACAGCACCAACAATCAAAGGGTCTAGCTGATATTTATAGAATACTTCATCCATATTCTTCATCATATTATGATGAACACAAAACATTCTTCAAATCAGATCATATCCTGGGTCATAAAACACATACTATAAATTTTTAAACATTTAAGTAATACAAAGTATATTATCTGGCCATAATAGAATCAAACAAAAAATTAACAACAGAAAGATACTAAGAACATCATCAAGTACTTGGAAATCAAGCAATAAATTTCTACATATTTCATAGACCAAAGAGTAAGTCTAAAAGAAAAGCAAGAAATATTTTGAACTGAATAAAAATACAACATATCAAAATTTGTGGGATGGTATGACAGTAATTCAGAGTGAAACTGACAACGTTAAATGCTTATATAAGAAAAAAGTCTCAAATCAGCAATTTAAGCTCCTACCATAAGAAACTAGACAAAGAAGAGCAAAATTAGTTCTAAGTAAGTAGAAGAAAGAAAATAGTAAATATAAGAACAGAAATTAATAAAATAAAATTCAGAAAATCTATATAGAAAATCAATAAAATCAGAAGCTGTTTCTCTGAAAAATCAATAAAATTAATAACTCTCTAATAAGATTGACCACGAAAAAAAAGACACAGTAAACCAGTATCAGGAATGAAGGAGCTATCATTACCAACTAACAACTCTATACACTAACTTGACAGCTTAGATGAAATTGTTCAATTGACCAATGACTAGAAAACCACAAACTACTGAAACCCACCCAAGATAAAATAGATAACCTGAAGAGTCCTACAAGGAAATAAAACTTTTCCTATATGCAGATGACAAATAAAGGAGAAATGAGAGGCACATAATAGGCACATGGAAGTTTTGAAATCCAGCTGGACACGTTTAAAAACATGTTCCCATTCAAAGCCAAGGAATGAGGGCCCAGTCTCGTTCCACAGGAGTTGCTCCCTTCTTCATTGCTCTTCTTGGTTCCGTCCTTAGAGAGGGTCTTCTTTTTTCATAGGAAATGGTCTGTTTGAATAGCTTCAAATAGTGGGAGAGTTTTCCCAGTCTTCTTCCTGCTCACAGAATGTTGGGTGGGGTCCAGCTGCTTTTTCATTCTTTACTGACTCAGTCCCTTTTAATCTGATGCTCTTTGGGCACTTTTATGATTGAGGTTTATTCCACACCCCAAATACCATTTCTATAATTCTTTTACAACAGACCTCTCTAGTTAGCAGGAAATGTCGGGAACAACACTCTTAATATCCTTAGAAATCTTTTTGTCTATTTGAACTGGGGGTCTACTAGGCCATTGCCTTCAATCTTCCTGACATCTTTATAAAAGCTTTTATGAATAACATCCCTGATTTGATTTTGCCCTGAGGCTTTTCCTACTTTGAGAATCTGTTGGCTAAAGAGACTGGAAATGTAAAACCATTCTATTTTCCTCAACCCAGCATGACTTGGTTCATCTATATTTCTTCTAAATTCTGTTTGCAAATTGAACATTCCTTCCTTGGTTAATCTTTCTTTTCCTATACCTTATCATATACAGCTAAAAGAAGTCAATTGCAGTTTCTTCATTCTTTGTGGGAGGCTCTTTAGCTAGGTCTACATATTCATTAGGTACATATTTTCTAACTTTAATTTTACTACAGAGACAAACTGCTTCATAATGAAAAAACATGGGTCGCTATTTTTCAAACCTCCAATAGCAGCCTCAACACTTTTTCAGCATTCACTAAAATGTATTTGCCATTCCTCCAATCTCTATCAGAAGCTCACTTGCTATTTTTTTCCAGCTTATGCCCATTGCCTGGTCCCAAAGACAATGGCATATATTATAGGATTTTGTTAAAGTAGAAACGCTTTTCTATATACTAATTTCTGTATTTATCTATTACTTTGTAACAACCACCCCCACATAATTTGGGCGTTTAAAACAACAGTAATGAATTATTTTTCATGGTTCTGTAGGTTGAGTGAGAGGTTATTCTACTGCCTTGCTTCTGCTTACTCATGTGCCAGGAGCCATGATTTACTGGGAGTCATTAATGTAATAATTTACCACAGGATGTTCTGTGGAGAAAGATCAGTTAATGTCAGACATTTTGGTCGGGACAATTCCTTCTGAAAACACGTCACAACAACAATTATAAACAACAAAAGCTTGATATACAGTGAGCCTCAACATTTAACATTCATATCCAAGCATATCCCCTTATATCAGGGACTACAAAGCATCCAAATAAGATGAGAAATATTTTAATTGATGAAACACACCCCGTCAGATAAGCACTTCCTTGTCAGCAAGAAAGAAGGTCATATTTGGACCAGTTCCATGAACATACCTAATTTGATTAAGAAAACAAATCCACTTCTCCTGGAGTCTCTAACGATAGCAAGACTAAAGAGAATATGAAAATCAGGCTTTTTTTCAGAGATGTTAACATACCCTACTATTCAGATACCATGAAGGCCAAAAGACACTCAGATCTTCAAGATTTGTGTTCTTTATCATTTCTGGCTGCTCAGGCTCCCTTTATCAATCACATTGGGGCACTTCTAATTAATGCTCTCCTTTTGGGGCTTATCTAATTTGCAATAGTACTCATGTCTGACCAACATGATCCTGTATTATAAAATGCCTTTAATTTTATAATATTTCACTACTGTTCTTTTGCTCAGAGAACCAGTATTCAAAAATTATCTCAAAGAATAATTACATGAATAATTACATGAATAAAAATTACATAAATACATGAATTACATAAAAAAATTAATGTAATATTCTCAAAGAATATTACATTGAATATTACATTAATATTATTTTTCAAAGATGTAAACTTGTTTTTCATCTCATAGGATGTCATTTTACCTTTTTCTTCCCCCAAAATATCAGCTGAAGTTAGCCATAATGCATAAATGACAAATTTCGGTTTCTTAATCTTCTCAGAGTATTTCTTCCTTTTCTTTTAATGTGTCTAAAAAAGGAAAGATGTATTCAGATTCATATGTAAACACTTGAATTAATTTGTGGTTTTTGATGTAATTACATTATTTTAATAGCCAGTTTTTATTACTTATGGCAAATTTCATTTTGATATGAGCTATATCACTTAAAATGTGATTAATATAGTAAGGTTATTCCCTCTTTTGAATATTTGAATACTATTATTTAATTTTGTTAATAAGGAGGTAGGTAGCTGAAGGTTTATAAAATCAAAGTTATTGATTAGATTAAGTTTTAAGATAAGAGCTGGATATAGTTCAAACATAATAAAAAATACCTGATAGTCTAGGTACTGATAAAATATCTTCTTTTGATGTTTTAGTTAAAAGAATAGGTATCATTAATAAAGTATTATGTGTTAAATTGGTAAGTACAGTGCTTAAGGACTTTCAAAAATATTCCCAAATGAAATGCTTCTATCACTATAGTTATGTCATGATATACAAATTAAAATGTTATCAATTTGGCTCATGACTATTTTGCTTCAGGGTGTAAGCTGGAATGCTGCGGAGTGGTGGGAGGTTTCTAAGCAGCATATATAGGTGAAATATTTGGAGGAGCTAAGGCAATACCACTTCTTGAACTCGAACTGTGTCAGGCATCCATTGCAGATAGTGTTATGCTTTTTCTGATTTATTTCTCAAAACAAACTCAACAAGTAGATACTATTAAATCTGTTTTGTTTAAAAAAATTGACATCATTCAGTTAAGTAAATGATGTTACAGATTTATCATCTTTTCAAATTTATGGTCTTTCTTCCCTCCTTTTCTTTTTGTCCTTTATTCCTTTTCATATAGTTTGGATATGTATCCTCTCTAAATCTCATGTTGAATTGTAATCCCCTATGTTGGAGGTGGAGTCCTGTGGGAGTTGATTGCATCATGGGGTGGATTTCTCATGAATGGTTTGGCACCATCCCCTTAGTGTTCTCCTTGCAATAGTGAGTTCTTGTGAGATCTGGTTGTTTAGAAGTCTGTAGTATCTCCCCACCCACCCCACTTCTCTCTCTTGCTCCCGCTCTGGCCATGTGATATGCATTCTCCTGCTTTGCCTTTGCCTTGAGAAAAGGTCCCTGAGGCCTCCCCAGAAGCCTGACAGATGCTAATACCATGCTTCCTGTATATCCTGCATAACTGTGAGCCAATTAAACATTTGTTTCTTTATAGGTAATACCTGAGACCCAGGCTCAGGTATTTATGACAATGCAAGAACGGCCTAATACTCCTTTCATTCTTCTTTCCTTTCTCTCTCCTAGGAATAGAGAGAATTGTGGACTTATATAGCTTTGAGTATCAACTAAAATATATTTTGTAACTAAATTTTAAAATTGATGTGTTACATTGTACCTTTGTTAAAGTATTTCCTCAGTTAAAGCAAAACTGTTCAGGATATTTCGTGCTTCTAACTGATAATCTTATATCTGATTTATAACATGAAGTTTATATACTATTCATTTCAATTACATATGTGTATTTTTACTCCTCAGACATTTGTGCATTTGCAATAGACAATCCAGGAAACTAGCTAAAGGTGTAATTTTCAAAGAAGAAGGTAATATATAAGAAATGTGAAAATGTCATTAATTTGGTGTTTAAATAAGCTTTTAAAGATTTTATCTATTAAATATCTATATTAACACTCATCTCAAATTCAAAGTTGGTAATAATTGACCATTCCCTTCCCCTTCCCCAAAATATGTTTTACTTACTTTTCTGACTTAGCTAAACTTGGTCTAATTGAACATTAGTTTTAATTTAATCATCAGATACAAAAATTTATATTATATATAATCATATGTTTCTATACTTAAGTTACAAATCACTCCTTCAAAGGAGTACTGAAAGAAGGTCACATCTTTATCCATTTAGAGATAAAATTCAAACTCAGAATTGAAATTGTATATTTGTAATATGACCTCCAGTAAGAAGAGAGACAAAACTCAGGAGATGAAGGTTAAATCTCAACTCTACATATAACATATATGCCTTAGGAAGGATGTTTTAATTCTTAAATTGCAGTATTTTTATCTGAAATTTTAATTTAAACGTACTTATTTTTAGAAGAGTATTATTGTAACCCTATCTATAGGACATACATTTTCTTTTTTCATCTTAACAATTTTTAAGTGTATAGTATACAGCACGGTAGTGTTAACTATTGCATATTGCTGTGTAACAGACCTCTAGAACTTTTTCATCTCACAAAACTGAAACCCTATACCCATTTAACAACTCTTATTTTCCCTTCTTTGCCTTCCCTGGTTGTTACATTCTATTTTCTATTAGTTTGGCTACTTTAGATACCTCATTTAAGTGAAATGATGCAGTATTTGTCTTTTTCTAACTGGCTTATTTCATTTAGCATAATGTCCTCAAGTTTCCATGTTGTAGCATATGAAATTATTTCTTTCTTTTGTAATGCTAAATATTATTCCATTGTAGGTGTACATGAAATTTTCTTTATCCATTCATCCACTGATGAACATTTAGGCTACATCTACCTCTTGATACTGTGAATAATGCTACAATGTGTTCAAATATCTCTTTGAAATCCAGTTCTCAATTCTTTGGGATAATACTACGGTTTGAATCTTTGTCCCCTCTCAAATTCATGTTGAAATTTAGTTGCCATTGTAACAGTATTAAGAGGTGGGACTTTTAGAAGGTGATTAGGTCATGAGCGCTCTGCCCTTATGAGTGAATTAATGCCACTATTGTGAGAATAGTTTCCTTATAAAAGGATGAGTTCAATCCCCTTTTCTCTTGTGCCCTTTCACCTTCCGCTATGGAATGACACAACAATAACATCCTTGCCAGTGCTTGCACTTTGATCTTGGACTTCCCGACATCCAGAACTGTGAGCAATACATTTTCATCCATTATAAATTATCAAGTCTTAGGTATTATGATATAGCAGCACAAAATGGACTAATACAGATTAGTAACAAGAAGTGGGTTTGCTGGATCATACGGTCTTTTTATTTTTTTCAGAAATGTCCATATTGTTTCCCATAGTGGCTGTACCATTTTACATTCCCACCTATAGTGCACAGTGCTTTCCATTTCTTTACATCCTCATCAATGGTTGTTATATTTTCTTTTTCTTGAAGTGGCCATTCTAATTGGTGTGAGGTGACACTTCATAGTGGTTTTGATTTGCATTTCACTGGTGATTAGTAATGTTGAACATGTTTTTGTATGCTTTTTTTTTTGGCCATTTATCTTCTTTGGATAAATGTCTACTCAAGTCCTTTGTCCATTTTTCAATTGGGTTGTTTTTTATTGTTGTTGAGTTGTAGGAATTTTTAACATATTTTGGATATTAACTTGTTAACAGATACATGGTTTGCAAATGTTTTCTCCCATTGCATAGGTTGCTTCTCACTCTGATTATTTCATTTGTTGTGCAGAAGTTTTTAAGTTTGATGTAGTTCCATTTGTCTATTTTTGCTTTTGTTGTCTTTGCTTTTGGTGTCCTATCCAAGAAATCATTGCCAGATATGATGCCATAAAGCATTTTCCCCCATATTTCTTTCTAGTTTTAAAGTTTTGGGTTTTACATTTAGATCTTCAATCCATTTTGAGTTAATTTTTGTATATGGTGTAAGGCTCCAACTTCTTTTTTTACATGTGGATATCTAGTTTTCCTAATACCATTTATTGAAGAGACTATCTTTTCCCACTGTGTAGTCTTAGCTCTCTTGTTAAAGATCATTTAGCTGTATACATGAAGGTTTACTTCTATGCTGTCTATTCTGTTCCATTGGCCTGTACATATCTGTTTTTATGCCAGTAAAAACTGGCATAAATACTGTTTTGATGACAGTAATTTTGTAATACGTTTTGAAATCAGGATGTGTGAAGCTTCCAGCTTTGTTCTTTCTCAGGATTGTTTTGGCTTATAGAACATATATTTTGTATTCCTCGTTTCATTCTAGTGACTCTGTGCCATCCATATACCCCCTTTATCTAGATCTGTGGTAAACAACAAGTCATCTGCCCTTTACTGCACTGATGCAACTCGGGTCAGATCTGTAGCTTAGAAAACTGTGGAATAGTTTTTATCAGGATAAAGCCAACTGGCTCAACTCACATACTTAGTCTAATAGTATCTTAACCAGCTAAATTTGTAGACCCCAATTTCATATTTTAGTCAGAGCAGAAAGGAAACAATTTAATATCCTAAATATCATAATTTGAGTCCAGGAACAAAACCAGCTTGTCACTCTTAAAAGGGTAGAACTGGAGACTACACCAGTTATACTGCAGCTGAAACAACATAAGAGATGGATTTTATGCGAGGAGAGAAGGAAAGAATGAAAGTGATACAGTTGTACTTGACCCTGCTTTATATTCTTTTTTTTTTCTGGATAAAGCTATGCACTGTGTTTGTCAGGTGGAAGATGAGCAGCAAACAATTATTTTACTTATGTGGTGAGCCTTTTGATTAGAAGTAAGGTCTAGAGAAGATTTCCTACATTTCAGTAATAAAACTAGACAAGTCAAAAGTAATGATTGATTTCCACTAGTTAGATTTTCAAAATTCTTTTTTTTTTTTTTCTTTTTTCTTGAGACAGGGTTTCGCTCTGTTGCCCAGGCTGGAGTGCAGTGGTGCAATCTTGGCTCACTGCTACTTCCGCCTCCAGGGTTCAAGCAATCCTCCTGCTTCAGCTGAGTAGCTGAGATTACAGGCAAGATTACAGGTGCGTGCCACCACACCCAGCTAATTTTTGTATTTTTGGTAGAGATGGGGTTTCGCCATGTTGCACAGGCTGTTGTCGAACTCCTGGGCTCAAGTGATCTGCCTAACTTGGCCTCCCAAAGTGCTGGGAATACAGGCATGAGCCACCGTGTCCAGCCTCAAAATTCTTAATTACTACATGTAGTAATCCACAAAAGGACCCATCAGTTTGCCAATTTAAATAAAAGTGTTATAATCAATTAAATGTCACATTGCTCCCCATCTCCATACTCTTTATATGCCTACACAGAATGAGAACTATATAGTTTGCTCACATGTCATTAACATTTAGTTTCCAACCAGTTTTCATCCATTAAAGGCAATTTTGGTTCTTCAGATGCTAATAATTACTTTAGAAAATAAAAAGTATAGAGTTGGGGTCAATGTACTTCATGTTTTTATGTATTTATCAGATACTAAGGAATGAATAGATAATATATTGTTTTAACACTAATTCCAATAATGAACTCATTCAGCTTTAAATGTATTACTATACATGTGTCCAGATAAATTTCATATGCTACGTATGAAGCACCAGATTTCTCTTTGAGAAGGGCCTCCAATACAAGCTCAGGCCACCATCCAAATGAGGCAAGATGAGACAGTGAGAAAGGCAGGACAAAGCCATCATCGCGGACTGAAAAGCACTCAATTCAGTGCTGTCAGACAGGATAAAAAATAAGAAATCTTAACATCAGTTCATTTAAAAAATGTAAAATTTTCATATAATCACAGAAAAGTTTTCAGTAGAAAAATGAAAAAAGATATGCCAGTCAAACATTAAAGAAAAAGATATCAGATAAAATTAAGGAAAGAAAGCATTATTAGATAGTCTGTAAGAAGACAAAATCAAAAAATAGTAATGGAGTGATTCACGTATCCATTGTGAGCTGGGACTCTCTTCATTTTTATACTATTTTAAAGAGATAAATTGATATTTTTTGAATTTTTTAAGTGTAGCTAATTCCTAGTAGGTCTACAGTTTCCCTTGTCAGGAGCAGTGATATTTTGTTTGAACTGTTTTGCATTGATTTAGATGATCAAGCTTCAGTGGTCCTATATGCTTTCTTAATTTTAAACATATGCATTATTGATATAATTTAACATCTTAGATTAGTTTCCTCCTACCATGTAGTATGCTAAGGTGGCATGGGTTCAAGGACTAAGACCTTATTCTAATTGGCTAAAAGTTTGCATTATTAGGAAGCTAAACATGCTAATCAAATATTTAGGTAACTAAATATATGTTTTAATTTCAGGAAATTAAATACTATATATTTTCTAACTAAATATGAACATTTGTTTCAGTATTGTGTTAAGAATTTTTTTAAAAAAGGAAGAAGAGGAATTTGGACATTGCATCTGCAGCACTATTTTAGTATATAAGTAGTTGTTACATTCCAGACTATTTCCTGGGCCTAGAATATCTAGAATATTTTAACATGCCCACAATGAAGGCTCCAGAGTTAATTTTTTATTCTGTCATACAACAAATTAACAATGTGTAGAGTGATAATACAGTTTTAAGCCCAAGCTAGCTAAGGCTATGAGTCAGCTCCAAAGAACTAGTGCCTCAGCTGATTCTGAAAAATCAAAGTTAAATGAATGCATAATTTCTAAATCCACTACTCAGATGATTATTTTTTGTATCAAGAAAATCTCACAAGATTGGGGCAACATCAAAATGATAAACATAAATTTAAAATAAAAGGAATACCTGAAACATTTGCCATAACTTTTATTACCCTTAAATTATATTTGTGAGCATCAAGTTATTTTTACTTAAGATGCTACTAATCAGGTTTCATTCATTCTTAGTTACCAGGTTTCATTCATTCTTAGTGATGATCCTTTTCACATTGTTCTTTGTATAACCAGGAATGAGAAGAGAGGCAAGGAAAATATCTCTTATAGCCCTGAGACCAACTTGGCTCAACTTCAGAGGTACTTTGCAGATTGAGAAACACTTGGATGTATAAAGTATAAAAGCATGAGGTCTGGAGGTAATGGCAATTACATTTCTTTCATTCATCAAAAACAACTTTAAAGCAATTCATTTGGATTTTACCATAGAATGGTACCATAGTTCTATAGTAAAATAAAATGCTAACACCAAGTCTGGTAGTGATTTATATATATTTATTATAGATTTATAATAAAATAAAAAATGCTATTGGAATTCTATATTTACACATGCTCCATTTATATACACGCAAACAAATGTCAATATCAATGGTAAAATTTTAGGATTTTAAAGAGGCACATTTCCTCCTACCTACCCACTTCCACATATTCATTACTCTAAGATGAGTTTTCATAAGCAACATTTAGATTTGTGAAGGAAAAAAATGAATATTTCTAGTACTTATCCTCTTTCCTTTCATGCTTTTGTTTGAGAAAGGAAGCAGCACATAAAATCTAAAACAGAAACTAAGGCTGTAAGACCTTCTGTAATACATGTTCACACTCATGCATGAGTTGACTGTAATAGGTCAGAAGATATTTGAGCAAAGTAATGCACTTACATGTATATGCACTGCATATAAGTGATACTCTTCAGACACACACACACAGACACACACACTCATGTTTCTTGAAAATAACATGTTAACTATACTATGTAACCCCAAGAATTTATCACCAAGAATACTTCCATGGTGCAACTGCTGATTATAATTTACCAATAAATGCCTCTATATAGCCAACAACACACCATGAAAAGGAAAACAAAAGCCAGTTATTGTGAAACAAAGGCAAATTAAAGATACACAAACATCTTGAGTGTTAATATACTAAGAAGACAGTTATTATAAAAGGGTATCTGAACCCACCTACATTATTGAACGTCTCTTAAATTTACTTAGCCAATTTCTAAGTCTCAATTACTTAGACTTTATAGGCACCTAAGGGTCTGGTCTTTTCTCAAGAAAATACCCCAGCCAAAATCTTTCACAGCAGGAAACAGAAGACATTTCAAAGTAGGTACCTGTACTTCAGCTTGTCTGTAAGACTTTTCCTTATGATTATCTATGCTTTCAATTGATCAATCATGCCTAAAATAGTGTCTTTTTTTGGTTATTACTAAGTAATTTAAAAGTTTTAGCAAGCAAATGCTAATATATCTGAAACTACCCATGAATACTTGTCTTTTGGATAAAAATTTACAGCATACAAATAGTCTACTAAGGACTTGTTTTGGTTTCAGTCCTCTGAAAGGAGAGAGTGGTGTACCACTCTCTGGTGTAGGTCCTTCTACACCATTTTCTAAAGATTTCCATGTCTATAAACCTTCAGCAGGATAAAGCCCAGCACCTCTTGCCTGTCTGTTTACTCCACAGCATAGCGACACCACAGTTTTCAGGGTAATTTCCCCAGCAGCCATGTGAACTGTGACTCACTGAGATTACACAAAATTGGAATTTGGACTCCTTTCAAGTTTTACATTCATCACATAATCGGGATATAAAGCATCCCATATAGAGAAAGCAGCATTCAAAGAAATATACAGGATGTGCTTAAATAATACACACTATCAAATTTTACAGCTGTCTTTTTATATTCAAATGATATTAAACACACTATCATATTAAAATGAAAACACTTTAGATCTAAAAATATATTGTTGAAACAAATGATATAGTGAGAAACAAGACCAAAATTTATTTTTATAAAATACAGTCTATAATTTCAGATTCAAAATACTACATATAACTATACTTAAATATCTTCTAAACTATAATTTTAGGATTTATGTTTTTAAAAGTTATCTCTTCTGAGTTTCAAATTTAGTATTTTACAACATTCAAATGTCTACATTGAATCTTTATGTTTCTTTTTAAAACTGGAACTGGGCATGAATATAATTCTAAAATGAGATTCCTGAAGTCAAAGAACTGTGTCTCAGATAACCTTTCTCCTTAACTCATTAGAACCAAATAACTTCCTTAAAACTATACTTCCTTTCTTTTGACTGGGCTTCAGTTAGAGAGGTTCATGAGTTGGGCTTCATTTTAACGTTTTTCTGGTTTTTGGATATTCCTCCAGGTTATTTTGACATCACTATTACATTGTATCATATCATCTCTCCAAACAAGCTGTTCATTGTATGTTGCTGTCAAGTATTTTGCTGAAATATAACCTAAAGGAAGAAATTATGCTTCTTGCTTCAATTTCCCTTAAGCATCAGTGACAGTTTCAATCATAACAATTGCCAAGTTTGTACTTTGTATTCTGGATTCCTAATTATATGGGATGATTGAAGGTAATTCAAAAGTGTTTCAGAATTACCTACTGCCAAGATTCTGGAAAATGTCTTTTGCAAAATGGAATGTTAATGTTCTGAGGACTGTATCTGCACTAACATGTTCTGTGCACTTTTATGGAAGGAGAGGGGAAAGGGCTATGTTCATCCTAACAAATGTGGAGATGCCACTATTGTTCTGCCACTCTGTTGCCAAATACAGAGAATCTATTTGGTTTCTATTTTTAATTATATATATTGGTATACTGTTAATTTCTAAAGCTAAATGGTCTAAATTCAAGAGGGGTAGCCTGCTGAATATTTAAATGTGATGGTCATTTTTGTGTAGAACTTATAAAAGTATTCCAGACCATGAATGTCTGCATCTGAATGATGAGAATAAATAATGTTTCCTAAGAATCCTCTAAAATGAGCAATATTTTAATAGATGTTTTAGTTATCAAATATCTATTTTAAACTCATTTGTTGCACAGAGCTATTAGATAAGCTCAGCTCTTGGTTTGTCTTATAAAATAGCAACTATTTATTTTCCTATCAAACTTGAGACTTTGATAACTTATTCTTATCCTCATCTGCAAAGAAATAGTTGGATATCTTGATTTATTTCTATTTAAATTGGTAAAACCAGCTGCAACAACTGGCATTTGCAAGTGAGTGCACACACACAGACACATACAGACACACAGACACACAGACACACAAAGAATAACAATAAAATAAAAAGGCCTATTAGGGAAGTATATTATAAACTTCATTACAGAGGGATGGCCAAGAAAGAGAGCCATGACTCCTTTCTCCATTTTTATAAGACAGAGCACAAGTTGCATTTTGCAAGGCTATGGAGTTGTATTTTTTTTCCATTTATACCATTTCTTGTTAAAAGTAAGACTTTTTTTTGGTTGCATATGCATCTACAGACTCTAAATGTAGGCAAATAAGAACTATGAGACCAGTAAGTCACTTTTGGCTACTTCTGTTATGCTGATCAGGTGATAAAAATCTGGGATTCATATTAGGAGCCCTTCTGAATAGTTTAATTCCTTTACAGCCCCTATTAGCTGTCAGCTACACCATGGATATTGTCCATGTGCACTTTGAGGTAGTCATTCCTTGTAAACTTCTTATGGCAAAACTGGCATTCTGCCAGGGGACGATTGGGATTATGAGTCATCTTGTGTCGAATCAGCATTTTCTTCAGGCTAAAAGCCAAATCACAAACCTAGAAAAGACCCAAAGACCAACCATATTATACTGAAATAAACAAAATTTATAAACAAAATTTAACACTCACACTATTGGCAAAGAAAATTAATAAGTTACTGCATTTAATCGGTGTCCTTTGTACCCGAGTCACCCTTCCCTTTTCCCAGCTGCTGGATTTAAACATTTCCAGTGAAACAACTCCCTGGCAACAATACCTTTCTTATCCTAATGGAATGTATTTGCCATTTCATATTAAACTATTTAAGCAAAATGCTTTACGGTCTAGATGGCATCTCTCTCTATAACATAAATGGCATAAGACATTTCTCAGCAGTGATCCCTTCAGTTTAGTACCACTTGTGAAATAAAAAGCTAATGCTGTTTTAAGTATCATAAGCAGAAATTTATTACACACTATTTCTTTTTTCTATTTCTTATTATATACACTTTGTTTAACTAAGGAAGGTAACAAGTTTATTTCATATGAGCTCTGCCACATTCCCACCTGGCTCAACATGCATTAAACAGCCCCATAACTAAAAATATTAACACAGAAAATGCAAGGCACAACTGTCCAAGTTACCAAAAAAAATGGAGTTTAAAGTTTGATGTTATTCAGAAAAATTCCACTGACATGAAACTCTTCAAAATCATATCCGTTGTGAAATAAGACATGTTAAATAATGTGAAAACACCATGAAAAATATAATGAGAGAGGAAATGGCTTGTAAAAATACTGTAAAGAAAGCTGGAGTTTTAATTGAGGTTAGGCTTGGGAAAACCTTACACTGAAACAAAACAAAACAAAAAATCCTTGCCCTCTTTCTTTACGGAGGAAAGAAGATTTACATTCACAGCAATAAGAAACTCAGAAAGGCTCAGGGCCCTAATTGGGTAAGAAGGGGGTAATCCAATAATAATGAATTTTGACACAGAAGTAGCAGCATAGTGTGGTATAAAGAAAATAAGCTTTAGAGTCTGATCACTTTCCAAGGAAGCCTGCTCTGACCTCCCAATTTAAAACTGAAATCTGTCATCCTTTCTGGATTCCCTTTACTCTGTTCAAATTTACTTTTTACACAGTACCTGTCACTTTCTGTCCCACTGTAATTTACCTACTCTCTTGTTTAGTGTCTCTCTCTACTCACTAGAGTCTCAGCTCCATGAGAGCAGGGATCTTCATATACTTTATTCCCTTATGTCCCCTAAAGGGTACAACAATTTCTGTAAAGTAAGCACTCAATAAGTATTTGTTGAAGAACCACCTGGAATTCTGACTCTACTATTTACTAAGGAAATTAAATGACCAAGTATGCCTTTTAAATTTAGTTTCCTCACCTGTAAAATGACAATGTATTTACCTTGCAGGATTATTAAGATTAAATAAAATACTCTGTGTAAATAAGGGCTATACTGCAGACACTCAATAAATGTCAGTGTACATTTTTTTTTTCTCTTTCATCTTCCTCAGCAGATTGGAAAGAATAGACAAATGTTAATGAGAGGGAGGCAAGGCCAGCACAAGTGGAATAGAAAGAAAACACCACTGTTCTAAAGAGTGGCAGTCCCCTGGAATATACAAGTGACTTTGCAAACAAATAATTTCCCAAAACAATAAAATGCAGCCAATTTATCTCAGGAAATGACATTTTCTTTTGGAATAGCTTGTAAGCATAAGGTTTGTAACTCAATACCTTTGAGGCAACTGCAAAACAAAGCCAAGTCCATGTTGCAAAAATCAGAGGAAAAGGGTAAAGACCCAGGAAACATGCAACAGCATAGCATATGATGACAGACTACAAAGTATATAAATTATAATAATCAATATAAAAGTATTAAGTACCCTTATTAAAAGATAAGACTCAATTAGGGTAAAAAGCAAAATGCAAACACACGCATACTGTACTTGAGAAATACATTTACAAAAAATAACACATACACAAACACTATTTTAAGAGAGGGATTAGAATGTGCATGAAAGTGTACAAAATGAGGCTGATAGAGTGTAATGGGTACTAAGTAGTACTTCCTCAGAAGAATCTTGGATAGACAGAGAGAGAGCAAGCCTTTGAAGAACCAGGAGTATCACTTGTATGACTGTCTCCTAGTCAAAGATTTATATACATGATGCTCATACAGAATCATATATAAAAGTGAAAATTACAAATGACTTATTTGGCCAATTAAAATTAATAAGCATATTCATTTTGATATAATCAGATTTAGAAATATTTTTCAGCTGTTAAAAATATTAATCTTTTTTTTTTTTGAGTCAAGATGTCGCTGTCACCCATGCTGGAGTGCAGTGGCATTAATCTTGGTTCACTGCAGCCTCGACCTCCCTCGACTCACATTTTAGCCTCTGGAGAAGCTGGGACTACAGGCCAGATGCCACCATGCCCAGCTAACTATTTTTTTTTTTTTTTTTTTTTTGTATTTTTTACCTATGAGATTTTACCATGTTGCTCAGGCTGATCTCATACTATTGGGCTCAAGGGATCCTTCTGCCTCAGTCTCCGAAAGTGCTGGGAAAACAGATGTGAGCTACCACATCCAGCCGAGATTGTAATTTCAAAAATACTTAAAGGCAAGAAGAAACATAGAGAAAAGAAAGCAGAATAATAAGATCAAGGCAACTTAGTCGACAATACTCAAATAAAAATTATAACTATCTGTATTAATAAGTATACAAATAAAATAAAATAAAAAAAAAGAAAATGTCAATAGATTAATATTAATATTAGCTGACATTGGTTGGAAAATTGGGAATCATTTTATTTGTCTTCTTTTGTCTCCATATTTCCTCATTCTTCTCTAATTAAAAAGTACATTTTTATAACCAGAAAGCAAATATTATTTTGGAATGAAAAAATGCAGTTAGTTGGGTGATGGTTCCATGTTCACTTAAGCAGCAAGTCCACTCACATCAGACTTCTGCCTTGGACTTCTTAACTCTCCAAACAGCTCTCTGAAATGTTATGGATAATCTCTACATTGCCAAATCCTGGCACTTTTGAGCCCTCATTTAACATGAATTCTTAGCATCATTTGACATGCCTTTCCCCTGTCATTCCTTTAGTTTCTATAATGATCTACTCTCCTTGTTTTCCTTCTAATTATCTGGCCTTTTATTCCCCTTTATTTTCCGGAATAGGCCCTTCCTCCATCCTAACTAAGTCAGTCAGGATTTCAGTGCCCAATCCTTGGCTTTCTTCTCCATTCACTAGGTATTTTCTCCTCTGGTGATCTTAATCGTATTCATACCTTTTGTTACCACATATATGGAGATCACTAGCAAGTAATATTTTTAGTCCAGTCCCCCTTCTGATCTCAACAGTGGAGTACTTAACTGACCACTTGGATAGTTCACTGGTACTCCAAACTTACTATGTCTAAAACTGAACTCAGAATTCTTGTCTTTCAAACCTAAGTCTCAAAAAATGGTCCGACCCTCCACCTGGTTTGACTGTAAATGTGGCAGTCAACCTTCACCCAATGTCTCACTCTTCCTCATCTGATCTAATCAATTACAAAGTTCCACCGGTTCTTCTTTGCACATTTTTCTCAAAGACATGAAGACATCTAATCGTCTCCATCTCCACTGCCACCACCTTAGTCAGAGACACTGTTTACTCAGACCAGTGCTTCTCTTTCACTAAGAAAATGTTTCAGCATGCAACTGTAGTATCTGTATTTTTAAATAAAACATACACATGTACTACTGTATTTATATATTATATTAAAGACAGACAAAATTTTGAGGATAAAGACAAAATAAATATTTTAATGCTAAATTAATATTTATGGCTTTATATTTTCACTAGACAAGATTTTAAGATGGGATACATATTTAGGGCCAAAGTCATCTTTAACAAATGTATAGGCAATTATAGGAAATATAAATATATATATATATATATATATATATATATATATATATATATATTTCAGATGTCTCCTTAATAATTTCCATTTTTGGCTTACTTCTCATCACATATGATGATGTCATTATATTTTATCTCAAATTGCTACTGACTAGTAGTATTAACTCTGCTTTCTTTTTGTTATCTTGTGTTTGTATCATTATTATTTTCAATCTGCATTTCTGTACAGGCTTCTTTTAGCAACTTGTTCATTTTGTAAGCATTACTTTATTTAAAAACAGATAATATAATTCTTATCTCTGTTAGCCCAAGAGACACAAACTGCAATCCTAACAGTGCCCTGAAAGCAAACAAGTGCCTTGGGACTGTCAGCCAACCAGCACCAACATGGAATTGGCGTTCTTCCCTTTGATCACATGTGATACTGCACCTCATAAGAGACCAGCCAGCAGTGCCCAAGCCAGGGCACCAAAGTCAAATCATCTGTTTAATGATAATAAAGTTTAACTGTGTTCCTGTTTTTAAAATAGCCACATACAAAAAGTACTTAGGAATACATCTAACCAAGGTGGTGAAAGATCTCTACAAGTAGAACTACAGACACTGCTAAAAGAAATCACAGATGATACAAAGAAATGGGAAAATATTTCATGCTTAGAGATTGGAAGAATCAATATCATTAAAATGGCCATACTGCTCAAAGCAATCTACAGACTCAATGCCATTACTATCAAATATCAAACAACCAATATCATTTTCCACAGAACTAGAAAAAACTATTCTAAAATTTATATAGAACCAAAATAAATAAATAAATAAATAAATAAAAAGCCCAAATAGCCAAAGCAATCCTAAGCAAAAAGAACAAAGCTGGAGGCATCACATTACCCAATTTCAAACTATACTATAAGGCTACAGTAACCAAAACAGCAGGATGCTAGTACAAAATCAGACACATACACCAATGCAACAGAGTACAGAAGCCAAAAATAAAGTCACACACCTACAGCCATCTGATCTTTGACAAGGTTGACAAAAATAAGCAACAGGAAAAGGGCTCCCTACTCAATAAACACCTATTCAATAAGCACTGGGATATTGGCTAGCCATATGCAGACAAATGACACTGGATTCCTACCTTTCAACATATACAAAAATTAACTTTAAGATGAATTAAAGATTTAAATGTAAGAGCTCAAACTATAAAAATCCTAGAAGAAAACCTAGGAAACACCATTCTGGACAGAAGTCTTGGGAAATAATTTACGACTAAATTCTCAAAAGCAGTTGCAACAAAACAAAAAATTCACAAGTGAAACCTAATAAAACTAAAGAGCTCTGCATAGCAAAACAATCAATAAAATAAACAGACAACTGACAGAATGAGAAAATATTCACAAACTGTATCCAACAGTTCTAATGTCCAGAATCTGTAAGGAAATTAAACAATTGAATAAGCAAAAAACAGCCCCATTAAAAAATGCAACTAATATCTGTATTTTTAAATAAAACATATATATGCACTACTGTATTTATATATTATTGCAAGAGACATTCACAGACACTTCTCAAAAGAAGACATATAAGTGGATACAAACATGAAAAAATGCTCATAATCACTGATCATCAGATAAATGCATATCAAAACCACAATGCGATATTATCTCACACTAGTCAGAATGGCTATTGTTAACAAGTCAGCCAGGCATGGTGGCTCACATCTATAATCCCAGCACTTTGGAAGGCCAAGGTGGGCGGATCACCTGACGTTAGGAGATCGAGACCAGCCTGACCAATATGGAGAAACCCTGTCTCTACTACAAATACAAAAATTAGCTGGGTGCGGTGGCGGGTGCCTGTAGTCCCAGCTAGTCGGGAGGCTGAGACAGGAGAATTGCTTGAACCTGGGAGGCGGAGGTTGCAGTGAGCCAAGATTGTGCCACTGAACTCCAGCCTGGGCGACAGAGCAAGACTCTGTTGCAACAAACAAAAACAAAAAACAAACAAAAAAAAAAGAGGTAAAAAAAAAACAACAGATGCTGGTGAGGCTGCAGAGAAAAGGGAATGCTTATACACTGTTGGAGGGAATGTAAATTAGTTCAACCACTGTGAAAAACAGTCTGGAGATTTCTAAAAGAACTTAAAACAGAACTACCATTCGATCTAGTAATCCCATTCATTACTGGGTATATATGCAAAAGAAAACAAATCATTTTACCAAAAAGACATATGCACTTGCATGTTCATTGAAGAACTATTCACAATAGCAGAGACATGGAATCAACCTAGGTGCCATGAACAGTGGACTGGATAAAGAAAATGTGGTGCATATACACCATGGAATACTATGCAGCTATAAAAAAAGAATGAAATCATGTCCTTTGTAGCAACATGGATGCAGCTGGGGGCCACTATCCTAAGTGAATTAATACAGGAACAGAAAACCAAATACTGCATATTCTCTTATAAGTGGGAGCTAAACATTAACATAAAGGTGGTAACAATAGCGACTGGGGACTAGTAGAGCAGAGAAGGAGGGGAGGAGATAAGGGTTGAAAAACTACTGGGTACTATGCTCAGTACCTGGCTGATGGGATCATTCACACCTAAAACCTCAGTATCATGCAATATACCCATGTACAACAAACCTGCAGATGTACTCTCTGAATCTAAAATAGAAATTGAAAAAAAAATGGGAATCAAAGAGGTAATTTTTTCTTCCCATATTCCAATGGATGTCATGTATGCCTGCTGCAATATACATCTCTTCACTCTGAAAACTAAAGCCTAGATTATTGCAATAGCCAGCTTCATCATCCTCAAATAGAGGTGGTACAACTTCCCCTCTCTGCAGGAAATGTTTGGAATTGTGGGGGGTATCTCACTGTCTCAACAAATGGGGAATATTACTTGCATTTTGCATAGGGGCAAGCATGCAAGTAATGCCTTCTAATGTGCAGGACACGCTCATACAAGCCAAAAGTAACCCACTGCTAAATACTTTCTGAATCTCTCTGCATTCCTCCTCATCCTCTCCAGTCCATGCTTCACATAACAGTTGAAATGACTTTTTGAAAACACAAATGTCACAATATTACCTAAAATTGTTCCATGGTGTTTTGCTACTTGTAAGGTAATCACTGAGCTCTAGCCAAACTAAACAGGCCTCCTCTAGGTTCTTGAAGAAACCATTGGGCTTCCTGCCTCAGAACTTTCTCGCTTCTCTTTACCCAGCTTACTCCTACTCATCCTTAGGAAGCCCACGTGACACATCTGCCAGGTGATGGTTGGTCTCTGTTAAATGCTCTCATAGCGGCCTTTACTTTTCCTTAACAACACTTTCCTCAAGTGTCATTCATGATTTGCGTTATTTTTTTATGTCTGTCTCCTTGCTAAACTAAGGAACATGAGGGCAAGAGTAGCCACTACATAAAAATTTCTTGAATTAAAGGAAGAAATAATGGTTGATAGATTCAATGATTGATTGATTAAATCTCTATGGACAATATAAGTACCCCCAAAGACTGCAGAATAATCCTGGAGAAATTGAAGAAAGTATCAATGGAGAGTATTTTCAAGTGAAAGAAATGCTAAATTGTTTTTATAAGTATATATTCAAATTCATAATCATAAAGAAGATCGATTTAACATTTATTCCCATGTTCTATTTCTCTCGCCCCTTCTCCAAACCCAATGTCACCATAAACAACTGATACCAAATTCTTCAATGGCTTCTTATTAAAATTAGATTCACAATACATTTCCTAACTTGGCTGCAAAGCCTCCAATTCTCTTTTTTACTTCACCCTGCATCCCTCTCTTTCTCTCACTGTGCTCCATCTCCACCAGCCTTCTCTTTCCCCCATGCCCATTCCCAGCCTCAATTCATGCTGTTGCTCTCCTGAAATGCTCTTTTCCCTATGGCTGATTCTTCTCATCTTTTAGGTTACTTATAGCCTCATGGCTTTTTTCTTCCTTCTCTTTCCCAGTCTTTATCATGAATTGTAATTGCATGTTAATTCATGTATTTTGTTTTTTGTTTTGTTTTTGTTTTTCTCTGGAGACACGGTGTCTCTCTGTCACCCAGGCTGGAGTGCAGTGGTCTGATCATAGCTCACTGCAGCCTTGAATTCCTAGGCTCAAGCAATCCTCCCACCTCAGCCTTCTGAATAGCTGAGACTACAAGTGTGTGCCGCCATGCCAGCTAATTTTTTATTTTTGTTTTTTGTAAACATGGAGTCTTGCTATGTTGCCCAGATTGGTCTTGAACTCCTGGGCTTAAACGATCCTCCTGCCTCGGCCTCCCAAAGTGCTGGGATGATAGGCATGAGTCACCATGCCTGGTCTCATGTATTTGTTTAATGCTATACTCTACAAGAATGTGAGTTCTATGAGGGCAGGACATGGCATCTTCTACTATTTCATCCCAGTGTCCAGCACAGGGCCTAGGCTTAACTATCTTACAACTTTCACCATGTTCCAGGAGCCACTCTTAGCAATTTCTAAATATTAACTTGCTCAATCCTCACAGTCATGCTTTTAAGTAGATATTAGTATTACTATTAAACCCATTTTACAGAAGAAAATGAACACACAAAAGGTTACCTAGGTTTCCCAGGTTCAAAGAACTAGGTGGTGTTTCCAGAATTTAAACCCAGACAGTCTGGGTTCAGAGTCTATCCTCCCTCCCAAGGGCCAACTATTACTAAAATATCTCATTTCAAACAGAGATATGTGAGCTCACCCTACTTTTTCCATTTGCCTGGCTGACACCATTAAAAATATATATAAAAACCACTGTGAAAATGTAAGAAAGGTTCTCAGACAGTTCAGCTTGCCACTGTGGTGGGAGGGATACAAAGTGCAAGTCCATTTACACAGTTACCATGGGAAAATGAGAGCAATGGCAAGCTGGAAAAAACGGAAAGGAAGTTGAGCAAGATGCTGAAATCATTGATAATGGGTCTGAATTAAGGAAGTCCTAGAAGCTCCACACTAGGGATGAGATGGGAACACTCCAACAGCTTGCTGAATGAGAGCCAGAGTACAGGATTAAATATCAGGAGAGAGTACCTGATGTCACAGTTGTAAAACTGACTACCCAGACATTAAAAGCTGTTTTCATGAACCTGAATGCAGTCAGTAAAAGACTCCAAATGATGCTCTGTATAAATCAGCCAAATTCAAGAACTTTCATTTTACAAACAGGGGAGAGCAAAAACTAGTTCAAGTAGTACAACACGGATGCTTCCTTTTCTTTCCATCTGTGATTCGTATCCAAACTTTCACCCTACTCCAACTTAGGAGTGCATTAGGAAAATATTTATTCTTACTCTAGACTGGAGGTAAACTGATTTTGTTTTAAAATAAAGTGAAATAAGATATTTAACAGAAAGCACCTAAATTCTAGATAAGTATCTTCAGTTAACACATACTTATCACATACAATGTGCCTACCACTTCTGCTAGGAACAAAATGACAAAGAACACACTGTCTAGCCCTTGTGGAGTCCACGTTCTAAGTGGAAACATTTGTAAAGTCACAAGCATAGTACAAAGAGAGGAACAGAGGAGCGTGCAGTCCATGGCTTGGAGAGAAGAAGGCAGGCTTTAAGGGAAAATTGGCAGAAGGCCTGGATCTGGAAGGATGCATCGCGGTTTATCATGTCCTAAGCGGGGGAATGATATGACAGGGAGGGGGAAGAAGATAGTTACAGGTACTGTGAGCGTGAAGAACATGGCTCAGCTGGGGAAGTGAAAAGAATTCACAAAAGCTAAAGATTAGATGTCACTAGAGAAATAAATTGAAAATAATTTAGAGTTGAAAGCTGGAAACAAATCCTGGAAATCATGGTAATCATTTCAAGAAAGTGGACGTATGTTTTGTAAGTGGTGGGAATTCACTAAAGGATTCTAAATAGAGACTGAAACTAAAGTATAATTCAGTTAGCAAGCAAGAGAGTATGAAACTGGAGCCAAGGAGGCCAGTACTATTGTTCCACTCCAGACCAGAAATGATTTAAACATGAACAAAAGCAGTAGTTATCAATTAATTTCTTTATCCATTCAAAATATTGAATGCTTCCCACATGCCAGGCACTGTTCTAGGCTTGAGGATCCAACAATAAATGATAAAGACAAAACCTTGTGTCATTGAGCTTATAATAAATGATAAATAATTAAACAAATTTTTGGTGGATATAAGTGCCATGAAGACAAATAATATAGAATGAGAGCTAAGGAAGTAATGGAGATAAGAGAGAAAGTAATTTGAGCTGAGATCTGAAAGAAGCACATGAGCAGGCCATGAAGGAACCGGAAGAAAAGTGTTCTAGGCAGAGGCAACAGCAGATGCAAAGGCCAAGATGTAGATTCAGGGTAGGTTCAATGTGTCCAAAAAAGACTAAAGAGGCCATGTGACCAGAGTGAGGTGGAGGGTGCTGATGGAGTCAAAGAGAGCAGAGTGGGAGGGTGAGGGCTGCAGGTCACCTGAGGTCTTTCAGACCATGATAAAACTGGTTTTCACTCTAAATGAGATGCACAGTCATGGGAAGGTTTGAGCAAATGAATACTATATTCATTTTACAAATATATAATCTGACTCAGGTTCTACAAAGATTACTCTGCATGAGACTGTTGGGAGCAAAGACAGAAGGAGAGAGAGCAGTTAAAAAGATATTGCAATATTCCAGGAGACTGAGATAAAGCTGTGGAGTTATGAGAAACGTTCAGACTCTGAACTTATTTTAACGTAGAACCAATTGGATATGCTACTGGATTAGATGTAGGGTGTGAGAGAATTAGAGAAATAAAGGTGACAATGAGAATTTAGAGATGGTGGTATGTTTGAAAAACAGGTAGATGCAAAGGCAGGAATTACAGGGTGTGAGTGAAAGCTGCATGGTAAACTGCTCAGAAAGATCTGGGTTTTGATCCTAGATCTTTTTTTTTTTTTTTTTCTTTTTGGAGACAAAGTCTTGCTCCCTCGCCCAAGATGGCGTGCAGTGGCACGATCTTGGCTCACTGAAACCTTAAACTCTAGAATCTTGACTGCTGTGAACTGCAGGCAAGTCACTCAACCTCAGTGAACCTCGACTTCTTCATATATATGCAAATAACACCTATATATTCCTGAGTTTTAGTGGAGATCAGAGAGAATATATGCAAACCATGGATCTCTGTGTATTTCCCATATGAGGACCTTAACTAGAATAATGGCTATCATTCATGACTTAGGGGAAAAGAGGTGTCCAACATGAGGCTCAGATATGTGATTTGGGTTATTTGGGGATGGTACAGTCCTCAGAGATATGGGAAATCAAAAGGATCATGTTGAGAGATTAAGAAATCTGGGAGATCATGATTTCAGTTTGGAGTACAAGAGAGATGTCCTATAGGCAGTTGAAAATATCTGCCTAGGGTTCAAAAGAGAGACCTGGGCAGGAGAAAGAAAGATTTCAAAGTTATTGCTATAGGCATGCTGGGCCATTTGCACAGCCTCGAATGACTGTGCCTAAGAGGTTAAAGTAGTATTGATGAGTAACGTGTCATTTGGGCAAAACTGGTTTTATATATATATATATAAATTATATATATATGTCCATTATATAAATTTTATATATATATATATATATGCCCATTTTATCATGGTTACCCAATTTGCCAACAAACTGGTAACCATGATTAAATGAACAAACTTCTAGAAACACACAGCAATTACCAAAACTGACCCATGAAGAAATAGAAAAATTAAAAAGACCAATAAAGAGGTTGAATCAAATAAAAAGCATACCAACAAGGAAAAGTCCAGGATCAGGTGGCTTCACTGATAAATGCTACCAAACATTTAAAGAAGAATTAATACCAATTCTGTACGTCTTTCAAAAAGACAGAAGAGGAGGAAACATTCCCCAACTCATTCTGTAAGGCTAGCATTAACTTAATAATAAAGTCAGACAAATATGTTATGAAAAAAGAAAACTACAGACCAAAATCTCTTATAAATTCAGATGCAAAAATCCTAAAACAAACAAACAAGCAAGCAAAATACTAACTGAATCTCAGAGCATATTAAAAGGGTTCTAAATCATGACCAATGGAGATTTATCTCAGGACTGCAACAGTGGTTCGAATAGGAAAATCAAACAAAGTAATACATCATACGAACAGAACAAAGGGAAAAAAAAAACATAGTCATCTCAATTGATGCAGAAAAGGTATCTGAAAAACTCCAACATCCTCTCTTGATTAAAAAAATCCCTCAGAAAGCTAGGTAAAAAGGGAGATTTCTCAACAAAATAAAGGGCATTTATGAAAAACCCACTATATTCAATAGTGAAAGACTGAAAAAGAATGCAAAGAATAGACCCTTTCCTTATACCATATATAAGAGCTAAAACTATAAGACTCTTAGAGAAAAAAAACAAAAACAAACAAAAAAAAACAACAGAAGGACAAATCCCATGACCTTGGATTTGGCAATGAATTCTTAGATATAACACCAAAAACATGATCAAATAGAGAAAAAAATGCATAAAGGGCACTTCATCAACATTAAAAGGCCTTATGCATCTCAAGATATTTTCAACAAAGTGAAAAGAAAACCTACAGAATGAAAAAAATATTTGCATGTCATATATCTGATAAGAGCCTAATATCCAATATTTAAAACCTCTTAAAAAGACAATACTATTTCAAAATGGGCAAAGGACTTGAAGAAACATTTCTCCAGAAAAGATGTAGAAATGGTCAGGAAGTATATGGAAAGATGCTCACCATCATTTGTTCTTTGGGGAATGTAAATCAAAACCATGGTCAGATACTTCACACCCACCAAGATGGATAATTAAATAAAAAAAAAGTGTTGGCAAGAATGGGGAGAAATTGGAATCCTTGTGCATTGCTGATGGAAATGTAAAATGGTGTCGCTCCTAAGGAAAACAGTATGTCAGTTCCCGAAAAAGTTAAACAGAATTACCATATGCCTCAGCAATTCAATGCTAGGTATATACCCCAAATAATTGAAAACAGGTACTCAAATACTTGTATGCCCATGTTCACCACAGCACTATTCACAATAGTCATAAGGTAGAAAGAAGTGTCCAACAACAGATGAATGGATAAACAAATTGTGATATAAAAATATAATGGAATATCATT
Organism: Homo sapiens; assembly: GCF_000001405.40. Lineage (NCBI taxonomy): Eukaryota > Metazoa > Chordata > Mammalia > Primates > Hominidae > Homo > Homo sapiens. The sequence goes on from NC_000004.12 coordinate 120,708,303, forward strand.
CAGCCATAAAAAGGAATGACCTACTGATACATGAGAAAATGTGGATAAACCTTGAGAACATTATGCTTAATGAAAGAAGCCAGTCACAAAAGGTCACATATTGCATATTTCATTTATATGAAATATCTAGAATAGGTAAGTCTATAGAAGTGAAAGCAGATTGGTAGCTGTTAAGGGATGAGGGGAGTGAGGTGTAAATGTTTATTGGGTATGGAGTTTTATTTTGTGGCAATGAAAATATTTTGGAGTTAGAGAGGTGGTGCTTGTACAACACAGTCAATATACTAAACGTCACTGAACTGCTCACATTAAAATGATCAATTTTATATCATGTGAATTTCACCTCAATTTAAAAAAATGCAGCACCTTGGTAGGGTGACAGGGTAGAGAACACACACACTGGAGACTGCATGTAGATGAAACAGTAAAGGTCTGAGCTATGTGTTACAAGTAGAAATGAAAACTAAGAGGAATTAATGAATCTGAGAGCTCTTTAAGAGGGAGAGAGATTGGAGTGGGGTGGGAAACAGTGACTTCTATCCACAATGAGTAGGTTAAGAGGACAAGATTTTGGAGCAAAGACAGTTCTATACTGAGCAGTCTGCATTTCAGAAATGTTTAGGAGGCACTTAGAAATATGGATCTCTACACAGCAGATTAGTATGGGCTGCAAATGAAGATTTCAGAATTTTAAACACATCATAGAAATAAATGGGACGGAAGCAGATAGAAAAAAGTCAGCTTGTAACATCATAGTTTCAAAAAACATAACATGATGGTTCAATTCACCTAAGGAAATATCCAACAAAAGCATTCAGCATAGATAAAAGGATGAGTTAAATGTCATGGTAGAAAGATGTCCATATGCAGCTAGCATTTAATTTCTGGGCTGTATATCAGCTACTTGTGTCACAGTACAATTAAACCATCTAAATAGGTTTTGCCTTTATGAAAATCCTTCCAATAAAAGCAGCAATGACTTAAACTAATTGAAATCACTGAACTAGGGCTGTAGCTCTGTTCAGTATAGAGCTTTATATGTGTGCATTTCTTCCTCTACAACTGTTTCTTTCCTTAAAAGAAGTGTACTGTTAATAAAGGTATTTTTATGAGTATGCCCACTGGGAGTACATTGTTGTCTTAACCTTACCACTGAAGTTTCATGGAAGGACAAGGAAAACATCTTGTGTTTGTGAGTTTCCTTTCATATGGACTGCTTACCCTATGCTGTATCCATTGGGACATGATGATGGATCTAAGTTCTGGAATTTCCCTCAATATTTAAGCAGAATTCTGCACTGTGCCATATCACACAGCACAGCTTTAATGTTTTTTCTTACATTGATTCCCTAACATCTGTGTCAATTCTCTGTCAACTGCCAATCCCGCACAAAAGAACAGTGGTTTTTTTTCCCCTAAATTGATCAATATTCAGATTAATTTTACTGTCAACAGTAGTATTTTTTTCCTTTCAGAAATAATGTATGCTATGTCAAATAATTCCATTTCAATCCAAATGTCATAAGCAGAAAACCTAGACACTTAGTAACAGCATTATTTAACACAAAGGAGTTTATATGCATTTTGGAATTTTGTACATGCTTGGCTTTAACCAAGTAAATAATATGTATGACCAGTCAAATCTCTGGTTTAACTGTCATTAATCAGTAAAGATTTGGCCAGACACATGAAAGCTGCCTCAAATCATCATGCTTTTACACCTTGGAAGAACAACTCAACGGTATTAAAACAGGGTACAAGCATGTCTAAAAGAAAATCAGAATTTATTTGCTGCCAGTAAACCAGATGAATAAAATGATTACAATGCAGTTACATGTATTATGCAAGAACAAGCTATAAATAGCATAAGACATTAACAGGCATAGGCACATTCCAGCAATGCAACACACACACACAGACACACACACACACACACATACACACACACACACACCCCTACTTTCTGTTATTGGAAGACACTATGGGGGAAAAAAATCCAAACTCACATCACACTGAAAAGGCTTTTCTCCAGTGTGCGTCCTCTTGTGCTCATCCAGGCCTCGCTTCTGGCTGAAGGCCTTGCTGCACTCTGAGCACTTGTACGGCTTCTCCTGCAGTCAACAAAAAGAGACCACCAAAATTGCCAGTGAATGAATGAATGCAGAGTCCTCCATATTCAGGTGTGTGTTATGGGATCCACAGAATACTGCAGCAAATTTACAGGTATGCTGATATGGTTTGGCTGTGCCCCACCCAAATTTCATCTTGAATTGTAGTTCCCATAATCCCCATATGTCATGGGAAGGACCTGATGGGAGGTAATTGAATCATGGGGCTGGTTACCCCCATGCTGTTCTCATGATAGTGAGTGAATTCTCACAAGATCTGATGGTTTTATAAGGGGCTTTTCCCACTTTGCTCCATGCTTCTCTCTCCTGCCGCCATGTGAAGAAGGATGAGTGAGCTTCCCCCTTCCACCATGACTGTAAGTTTCCTGAGCTCTCCCCAGCCATGCAGAACTGTAGTGTCAATTAAACCTCTTTCCTGTATAAATCACCCAGTCTCAGGTATTTCTTCATAGTGGTGTGAGAACAAACTAATACAGGTGCTATGAGCAATTTTATATTTTCAGGAGAAATAGGAATAACCCACATCTGTCAGACACTGAAAATGACTAGCTCAAGGCAGTTCAGTTTCAACATTGGATTGTGCTACATTTCCTCCAATGATGTCCTGTCTTTGCAATGCTGGATGCTGGATGGTTGCTGTGATGTAACTGCTTAACACTTCTAGGTCATTTCTTTTGGTTTATGGGTACCATAAAAATCTACTGAGATACTCAGGGCATCATGAATGAAGAAAGTTTGAGAACCCTTGATCTAGAGGGTACAAATTGTTTACTTTCTAAGAGGAATTCCTAGAAATAAAAACTTTAGAACTAAATTTTCTACAGATTTTGGGGGATAAGTTTAAAAATGAATCAACTGTGATTTATGTATTTCCTTTTTGTTGTTGTGATGGAGTCTCCCTCTGTCACCTAGGCTGGAGTGCAGTGGCACGACCTTGGCTCACTGCAACCTCTGCCTCCCTAGTTCAAGCAATTCTCCTGCCTCAGCCTCCTGAGTAGCTGGTACTACAGGCACCTGCTGCCATACCCAGCTATTTTTTTTTTTTTTTTTGTATTTTTAGTAGAGATGGGGTTTCACCATGTTGACCAGGCTGGTCTCAAACTCCTGACCTCAAATTATCCACCTGCTTTGGCCTCCCAAAGTGCTGAGATTACAGGTGTGAGCCACTGCACCTGTGTTTTCATTTCTATTACCTCATCTTTTTCCAGTAGGATGTTCTTTTATAAAATCTAAATTACATTTTTAAATGAGGCATTTTTATTATAAAAACAATAAAGAAAACTTAAGGCAAAGAAGTACCTCAAAATGAAGAGAAAAAATAATTTAGAATTCCTTAGCCTTCTTTGATACCAGGAACTTAGTCATCTAAGTTTTATCACCATCTTTTTATCACCATCTTTTTAGCCCGGATTAATTGTGAAATAAATTAATTAATATTATTCCATTCCAACAGCTTGCAAGTTACTACTTAGTGCATCATCAAAAAGTTTCGTTCAGATTTAGGTAAATTTGCAGTGAGATCCATTTTTTTAATCAAATATATCTTCAAAAATATTGCTATAAACATTCTTGGGCTGGGCATGGTGGCTCATGCCTGTAATCCTAGCACTTTGGGAGGCCAAGGCGGACGAATTATCTGAGGTCAGCAGTTTGAGACCAGCCTGGCCAACATGGTGAAACCCCGTCTCTACTAAAAATACAAAAGTTAGCTGGGCATGGTGGCGGGCACCTGTAATTCCAGCTACTCGGGAGGCTGAGGCAGGAGAATCGCTTGAACCCAGGAGGCGGAGGTTGCAGTGAGCCAAGATGACTCCAATGCACTCCAGCCTGGGCGACAAGAGCAAAACTCCCTCTCAAAAAGAAAACAAAAACATTTTTGAATTGAGATAGTGTATGCATGTTTCTTGTTAACAAGCTGTATTTATATTTTCTCTCTAGTATCAAAAAATCTATAACTTTTTTTGCAGACCTATAAAAAACAGTATGTAAATAACCAGAGAGACATACATCTGCCCACCAACTAGCCTAAGAAGTCCAACCTTTTCAATACAGGTGCCGCTCTCAATTGCCTCCTCCCCCACCACCTGCAGCACTCTCCCATCTCCTCAGGGATGACAGCTCCCTCAGATATGTTAAGTACCATTCCCTTGCCTTTCTCTACATTGTTACTACCTATGTATGAATGGAACCTTAAGATAGAGTATTATTTTGCCATTTGAAAGTATGTAAATACTATCATTCCGTATCCACTTTTTGTGTGTGTTCTGTTGAGATGTACTTTATCATTGTTCAACATTATCCTCACAAGTTTCTAGTCCTCGCTTTCATTTTTGTGAACATATGTAGCTCATATTTACTAATTTTCAATGTTGGGCATATGACATTAAATAGCTGTATACCACAATTTATTTATATACATTCTCCAGTGATGGATAGCTAAGTTATTCCCAGTTGTTCACTCTTATAAATAATGTTCCTCTGAAAAAATCTTGTACACTTGAATATAGGTGAAAGCAATTCTCTAAGGCATGTGTACCTAGATGTGGGACTGAATCTTCAACTTTTCTATGAATAAACAAATAACTCTGCAAAGTTAATAAACCAAGCTAATAAACCATTTTATACTCCAATATTCACTGTATCCTTGTGATTCTATCACTTTATTTTAGATGTTTTGAGACTTTCATTAGGTATGTAAGTATATACAAATTTTAAACTATTATGCTATTGGAAAATAGAACCTTTTATCATTTTGACATGACCTTTTCTATCTGTAATAATTCTTTTTTACCTTGAAATTAATATGACTGCCATATAGCTATAAAAGCTTTTTAAAATTAGTATTTGCCTGCTATACTCATCTTTTTGCTTTCAAACAGCCTATATCCTTATGCATGGGCAGTGACTTTTATAAACAGCATATGACTAGATTTTTTTAACCCAAGCTTTTTTGTGATCCAAAGATTACTTCTATCTAAGATGGCAAGTTTTGCCTCTTTACAAATTTGTGATTACTGATATACTTGACTATATTTCCAACATTTATTTTGTGCACTACTATTATCCTATTTGTTTTACAAGTTTTTCCCATATATTTTATTACATGTTTTAGATTGATCCTTTCCCCTGGTACTACTTTAAAAGTTATTATCTCTATTTCTTTCCTTTTAATGGTTATCCTTAAAATATTTTACTTTGTATGTTTAAAACTAAAGTTTATCCATATGTTTTATCTCCTACTGAATAATACAGGTACTGTAGAACGATCCTCTTACACTTAGAGCAGTATTTTATTTATATCTTGATTTTTAATGCTTGTCTTAGTCATTTTGAGCTGCCGTAATAAAATACCATACACTGGGTCACTATAAACAACAGACATTTATTTCTCACCATTCTGGAGGTTAGAAGTCTAAGGTCAGGGTGTCAGCCTAGTCAGGTTCACATGAGGGCCCTTTTCTGGGTTGTGAATTCCCTGTCCTCACATGGTGGAAGGAAAGTACTCTGGTCTCTTCAGTTCCTTATAAGCGCACTAATCCCATTCATGACAGCTATACCCTCATGACCCTATCAGCTCCCAAAGGTCCCACTCTCTAATACCATCACACTGATGGTTAGGATTTCACATAAGAATTTGGGGAGAATGCAAATATTCAGTCCATTGCAATGCCTAATATGAAATCATTATCATTTTATATAATCAACGTGATTTAGCTTTACACATGATTAACAATTTCTTTACTTTTCAGGCTTTTTTATGTATCTGATTTTCCAAGGATCTGTTGGTGGCAAATTGTTTTTGACTGAATATGACTACTTTTCTCATTTGTTGTTGAATGAAAGTCTACAAATCCAATGAGATATATAATAGACTAATTTTACTCTTCATATTTCTTAATATCTCTTTAACATTTCCATCTCTTTCTGTTGTACTCTAATTTCTTAAAGTCAATTGATTTTAAAAATCAGTTGATCAATTCTCTTTTCAGCTTGCTGTTTAATGGGACCCTAGGGCTTTTAATTTCTGTTATCATATTTTTAACCTTTAGAAGTTTTATTTGCTTATTTCCCAATTCCATTTTTGATACAATCTCATTTTTCTCATAAGCAACGCATGTTGTTTATGCCTATTTGAAAATATTCTAGGCATTTATATAATTTACTTTATCTGATAAAGCATTATCTTAAGATGTCTGGAAGTCTAGTTCTCTTTTTTGTGGTTTCTCCTGTCTCCTGCTCGTGGCTTTTGTTTCCTTGGGTGTCTGGGATTTGAAATAGTGAGGACACGTTTGGTGGTCTTTATCTGTTAAAATCCTGTGACCCCTAGGTTGAGGGTAAGTCCCTCCAGACAGCATTTGTGTTTGCTGCTGCCAGGCACTCTGGGATGCTATCAATCAAAGACTGTTTTAAGTTGATTTATTGCCTTAGGGTTTTCTGGTGAGGCAGATATTGTAAGTCTGAACTCCACACTTGAGGGAAGGATTGCGGTTATAAACTCTAAGAAGAAAGCTTTCCCTAGCCAGCAATTACTCCAAAACAGTTAAATGTCTCAAGTACCAACCTTTACCAAAGGCAGATTATGTCTAGTCCCCAATTTTATTTTGAGCATAGCATTTCTAGAGTCCAAGAATAAAAGTGGTATGGGATTCCATCTTGCCCTATAATCTGAACATACAGTTTGTCTCATTTTCCCTGACACCATGAAAAATCAAGTCTTGAGATTACCCTACAGGTGCTGCATCCTCAACTTGAACTTATCACTCACTTTCAGCTCCATTTTTGTTCATTGAATCCTGAGGGCTATCATTACTTTTTTTACAAGTTCAGATGTTTTCTGTTTGCTTTGTTTTATCCAGCATTAATAAGTGCTCCTTATAGGGCCTTTTTTCCGGGATATGGAGTATCTACCATGTTGCCAGAAATGAAAGTAACTATGTGTGTAATTTTAAAGATGTAAAAAAATATGTTTAATGAGTCTTCCCCAGTCATCAGGAAAAATGTTCAATTTTCTTTGCAGTCCAAAAAATATAATGTGCTTTCCCCTCTAGTCTGAATAAACATAATGTCTTTTCACAACTTCAAATATTTCTTCAAATATTCCACAGTTTTTCAAAAACTTGAAAATGAAAAGGTAGTTTTAAGTATTTGGATCAGAATTTGTTTGAAGTTGCTGGGATTTCTTATTAAGGCTTGTATTATATCCAAATATTCTACTTAAACTTTTATTTTAAAAAAACATACAAAGACATTATTATGAAGTATATGAGAAGAAACAAAAAGCTTAATCCCTACACTTTACTTGTAAGACCAGAAGTTGTGAAGACATGATGGGCATGGCACCATGGCAGCTGCCAATGACAGGTGAGGGTTTTGCAGAGAACATCCTAAGACAGAACTGTCAAAATGCCACCCTAAGAGCAAGAAGAGGTATCAGGGAAGAAAAGGCAATGAAAATCAAGACCTGGGCACCAAAGATTAAGAACAACCCTTTTACTCCTTCCCAAATTTCCTCTTAGGAGACACTATCTGGGTGAGTATCCTAGACATTGCTCATACAGATGCTTAAAAGACTGACTCCCTGCTAGTATACTGAGATTCTGGTGAGGCATGAGGGCTTTGCAGTTATCACAAGAGGTTTAAAAATGCAAACACGTATTAATCATTGCTTTAGCTGAATAATGTCTTATATACTTACACACACACATTATCCACTCACATACTGATATTTTTCACATGTTTATACATGCTATTGCTGATTAATTTAATATACTTCACTTACAAATGTCGTTGAAATTATATTACCTTTCCTTATTTTCTCCTTCACAATATACTACAAGTACAACAACCATGTATTTATATATGCATGTTGGCAGAAAAGTAAAGGATAAAATGTGTAGTGTTAGAAAGGTTCTTCCAATTAAAGAAGTTTGAAGAGAAATCCATTTGATTAAGTAGTTTTCAATCTGCCTGGACTCCCTCTTCTCTACCTAGAACCATTTAAAGCCAGGGAGTCTTTGGGGTTTTGCCCTAAGAGAAGCACATGAAGGCCCCACGAGCATACTTCTATGTTAGTCTGGCAAGAAAGGCTCTCTGTCATAACTAAGTATATCAACAGGCAGCTGTGTTTGTCCTTCAAATGCCTCTCTTCTTCATCCCAGATCTTACACAGAGCCTGCACTATTCCTGAAGATATCACAAGAAGATATATAATTCATGGCAGATACTAGTCAGACTGTCTATAGTGCTCCTTGAAGGAACTTCTAATGCCTACCATGGAAAAGGATTCCAATTTATAGTGAATGTCATCAAAGCAAGTCTTAGAGAATTCTTGCTCTAGTAAATGGCTCTTATACTAGAGGCAGAGCCAAGAGGTCATAGGCCACTCACCTCTAAAGTTAAGAGAACCAAATAAACCAAAATAGAAGAAAATAAACGCATTTTCTTTCTCAGAGAGTAAACCCTCACATAGACCCTCCCTTACTAATTTCTTTTCATTACCCCTAATAAGCCATGCCAAAGAAATACCAATCAGAACATGGTCAACACAGTTAGAAGAACAGGCTGAGTGGTACAGGGGATAAGATTGGAGAGGCACTGACTTCTGTTCCTGCTCCTTTCTTTGAACATTGTGAAAAAAAAAAAAAAAAACTTCATTGCCTCTAGAGCCTTCCTGAGTGGAATATGTAGTATAAATTATACACTTTAACTCATTAGCTGAATTTCAGTAGAGAAAGAATGATTAGGTTCTTGATTAATTCTGTTTCTGAATGATTACATAGTTTAACTGACAAATAGCTTGTCCTTTGTCATCACAACTTGGGAATCATTACTAAATGGAGGCAATGTATTTGTCAGTTAAACTGTGTAATCTATTAGAGGCAGAATTAATCAGGAGTCTCATCAGTCTAGCTTTAATCAAACAATACTTGGCAGATTTCATTCAAAAGGTAGGATTTACACAGCTCTATGTGCTGCACCTTGTAATCTAGGTAATAAAAAGTCGTATTTTGTGTAGTTAATGCCCACCTATATAAAAGAACAGTATCTTCAAATGTTACATTTTTTTGATAAGATAAACTGAATTAATAAATCTCAACATCATCTGAGAGGGTTCTACAGAAACAAAGTTAAATTTTAGATATACTTTGGAGGACTCTGAACATGAAGTCTTTAGAAATAGAAATTGATTAGAAGCTTTCTTTTAGTTGAGCTAAGAATTCCTGACTAAAAGATTAGAGGTATGACCCCATCAGACAGGCTACCAAGGATAAGGATGGGTCAACCTCGGATCCCTGGATGGATCCATCCCAGAATGGATCACAGGTGGATGATCCACATACAGTAGGTACATAATCCAAAGATTTCCTGTGGTTGCTGTCTATGGTTTACATTAGACCACAATCAAATAAAATGGAAAATAAAATCAGTGAGCTCTTTCTCTTATAGTCAGAGGCCAAGGTAAAGGTGTCACAAAATCATAGAATGATGCTTAATAGTTCTCTTTCATGACCGTGATAGCTGACTCTACTGAAATTGAGAAAGGGAAACTTGTAGGCAATGAAAGAAAACAGGAAGACTAGTGAGCATGGCGAGGACTGTCAGAGCCTGTGGTCTTCTGAACATATATAATCATGAGTTTGCTTAGGAGAAGGTTCAACTTGCGAGTGAAACACTAGCTCCTCTGTGGTTATATCTTCTGTGAATGCACTAGGGATACACCTTTTCTCTATTTGTCTTGCTCAAAGCTGTAATAAAGCCACAGTGTATGCACTTAATGAAATAATTTCCATGTGACCAACCTGGATTTCATATAAAATTTAGAGAAGCTTATCAAAGAGGAATCAGATGTGGAAGACAGTCTTTGTCTCTCTCTCACACACACAGAAAGACATTTTAGGACTTAAAGGGTACGCATACCTTTTGTTCCAAATTAATTTTGTTTGGCTACTTTTTCTAGATTAGATTATTTTATAGCCATTAATGTTTACTCTATTAAAACTCACAAAAATGACATATTTCATCAGATAATTATTTCCTATTTCTAAATTTAAAAGAAAATCTAAAAAATTCATAAGGGACTCTCACTAAGGAGAGACCTTGAGAACACCACATCATCAATTTACACTTAGACCTTTCTGCAAAAGTGGAACATTTTAATGCCTTTAATTGTATATCATTGATTTTAGAGAAGTTTGCCTTAACAAAAATGTTAAAAACAAAGGTTCAGCTGAAAGCAAAATAGTGTTTTATTTAAAAAAATCCATGAGGCACAGATTTGGTGTGAATTTCTTAAATATGAAATTTCTACATAAACTAAATTTTATAAATTCCTAGTTTCCCATCTTCTCAGCTGCTACCATAGTGGCTGATCTGTCAGACACATTACAAACTGTGGCATAGATGACACTGACTTGTAAACAAAAAAGGCTTGTGTTATATTTTTAAAAGATGTGGGGCAGGTTCACTTAACCCTCAAACTTTCTCTTCTGCAAAATGTCTCACTAATTTCCACTGTGGAATATGGAGCCTCAACTGTGAGGAAGATTACAGACAGTCAGTTGTTGACTTACTTTCTAGCCTGTACTAAGAAACTATTTGCCAAACTTTCCTTAGACAAGGCACAGAGTACTTAAACTCCCCACTCTGGTCCAGAGCAAGGTTTCTGGATCTCAGCAAAAGGGCCAGATAATTCTTTGGTGTGAGGACTGTCCTGTGCACCCACTAGATGTCAGTAGTACACCCTTCCCCACTCCATCTTCCACCCAGTTGTGACAACCCAAAATATCTCCCGACATTGCCAAACGTCCCCTGGGGGGCAAACCACAGAAACACTATAGACAGTGCTTCTCAAACTATCTGTAATTAAAGACTTTTTCCCAGTCTGTTGCAGAGTGATGCTTTTATAAAATATATTAAAAACGAATTACTAGAAAAATTATCATGTACTTGAATGTCACAGCAATGCCAAAATGCTGTAAGAGTTCTAAACACTTCTTCACGGTTTCTTTATTTATCATAGACCAGAAATAAAGAGTTTGTGGGCTGCCACTGGTCTGCGAGCCACACTTTTGAAAAGCACTGGTCTAGAATGAAAATATCTTTGATCTTAGGATGCCCATAATTCAATTTTATCATAATCTAGATGAACAAATTCTACAATAGACCTTATATAAAGATGTCTACGTCATAATTACACTTACACCTTGAATTAGATATAATTTTAATTTTACATATAAAAATTCAAGTTTTATGGCTAGGGTAGTGAGGAAGTTATAAATGGAAAAAAAAATTAATACTTGTTGAACTGGGCTGGGGCTACTTGGGGATTCATTATCCTATTCTCTGCTTCTGTAGATTTCACATTTTTCTCCTAAAAAGTTAAATTTGTTTTTCTAAAAGCTGCTTTCATGCTATTCTAAAACTTAAAAATATCGCCATTATCCTTCTGCATCAGGGGTTTTGTCTTTCTCTATCTAGGGGAACTATTTTTGATATCAGGAAGATGGATCATGTAAACATTGAACCATCTCAGAAGTCAGAAACTGTCTTGTATGCCTGCTTTGAGACAACCCAGCGCTCCAGGGACTGGCCTCACTGTGAGCCACAAAAACGCAGACTGGTGAGCAGTAGATTCCCAAAACCTGGCCCTTCTCTCCCCAACCCCAGCATAGCCAAGCTGTTCACATGTGTCTGGAGTAAAGGGCTTCTTGTACTCTTATATGATAGGGTATGTGTATAACTGGGCCAACATCTGTACTTCATATGGCAATCCCACAACAGATCCTCCAAGAATAAAAGAGAGCTACAGACAGGGGCCTGTGGTGGTCCTGACCACTGATCAGAGGTCAGACTGATGTGTGCTCCTCACCATGGCAGAGGCTGTGAAACCCATGCTGTGATTTTCGGAGTCCTCCACTTTTCTAGGAGTCAGGTAAGATTAGTAATCTTCGTTTAGCATGATGGGCTTTGAGACCAAAAGATGACTACTTGCTTCTATAAACCAAATTCGCAACAGAATCGTGGGTGAAATTTAGAGGAGGGTTTGCAAGTGTGGCCCCATGGGTTTCTATTACACACAGCTGAGGGAACAGAGCTACAGCCCACAGTACGGCATGCCATATATCTAACAGTTCCTCTTAATGGGCCCCTTTCTGAAAGTGCATGTGCCACCAGCTGCATACAATCAAAATGCATTGAGTTTCCCTCTAACAAGCAGCCTTGCTTAGAAAACTTCTTTTACAGATGTTTATAGCTTTTGTGGCTTTTTATTCACCGTCTTATTTTTATAGCCAGTGTGATCTTTCAACATATGACAAAACATACCCATGGCCTAGTAAACAATGCATCTAAAAATTATAACTCTTAGGAAGCTAGGAGAATATTTAAAGCAGGTTTCTATATAACACATCCATAATTGGTTTTGCATTGTAGCTAATGAAAAACACACTTCTATAAATTAGGAAAATGAATTGCACAAGCAACACATAGAACACTAAAAACAAGCACAGTGAATAGGATACAATTTTTATATTAAAGTGTTGCATACAGTCTTTAAATAGAAACAAGGAGGCACCTGGTCCCTTTTAATTAATCCACTCTGAGGCCCACAGAATAGTGTGTATAAATGAAATGGCTGGGCAGCCAGAAAGTCCTGTCACTTGCATAGAGGTGTTAAAAGAGCTTATCTGGCATAAAGCATGCAAAGAATCATCCAAACCAGCTCAAAAGCCTTGTTTTCCTGGGGCTGCAGGGTGACTCAAACTAGTCCATTTGGAATCGTGAGACAAAACTGATGAAACTAAACTTTTCCCTAATATTCTCCTAATTTCTAGTCCAGTGGACTTCAACCCTGCCTGCACATTTAAACCACCTAGGGATCTTTTTAAAAACATTGATGCCTAGGGCCCACCCTCACCCTGATTTAACTAGTTTGGGTAGGGACAGGCACTAGCTTTTTAAAAGCTCCCAAGGTGCCTCTAATGCGCAACCAGAAGTGAGAACTTCTGATCTAGTTCACCATCCTCTACCATAAGCATTGTAATGATAATAACAATGACAAAAACAGCATCAGTAAGAACTCCTACTCTTTCTACTACTACTATTATACTCTACCACCCCGACACTGCTGCCTATGTTCACAAACTGCCTACTTTCTGCTGGCTGGCAAAGTGCTAAGAAATTTAGAGACTGTTTTCCCATTAAGTTGTTAAGCAATGCTGCAAATTTGCTATGGTTATTCTCACTTTACAATGAAGAAACATTTGTTTAAAAACGTGATCAAGGTTATTGTAAGGCAATGGCTGTGCTTTGGTAAAGGATAGGTCGAGGTAAACATCCAGAGTGACTCAGCGAGTCTACAGCGCAGGTGTAGAACTCCACTTGTTATCACAGCCATGTAGCCGTAACATGGGAAGGCCATCACTTGGCTCTAAGCCACTATTATCTGTAAAAGGTATAATTGCCCTGTTGACAGGCTCAGCTCAACATGGCTTGACATGGTGGGCACGCGGGTGCCCAGAGAAAGAGAGAGACAGAGTTGTCCGTCTTTGCAGAGGGACAGAGGGGAGCCAGGACACGTTCGGCTTGCTTGTGGCCAAAGAGAGAAAGAGTTAAGCCACTGCCCCTGAAGGCAAGGGAGAGCCGGCTACGCAGATGTGTATGGGGGCTGCCGGACTAAGCAGCCAAGACAGGGTGGACAGTGTGAGAAAGCTGTTGATGAGAGCTGCTGCTGAATAAAATCATCTTTCACCTGCCTACGATCCCCCGAGTGTTCTTTCTGCTCATCCACCCACTCCCTCGAACCTCAGCACGGATCAGAACCTGACCCTGGGCGTGACATTTAGCGTAGTCATGACCCTGACAGTTACACAATCAGAGAGAGCAGAACAAAAAATAAGGCACTTGTAATCCCAGGCCTGTGTCTTGGGTGACTCTGCTTCCTACCTGAGCCTCTTCCCTAGTCTATATCACTGCTAGCAGAACCCTGATTCTATTTGGGTGTTGCCTTCTGCTTGGTTAAGCACCCTGGAGGAGGACCCTTCCCAGCCCAGCCAAAAGAGTGACCCTTGATCAGGCTAAGCCTTGGCTCCACACTTCCTACACATTGTTATCACCCGAAGAGCTTCAAAAAATGCTGATGCCTACCCCCAGAGATTGTGATTTCATGGTCTGAGGTATGGCCTGGGCTTTGGCAGTTTTGAAATATTCCCTGGTGATTCTGATTTGCAGACGCATTTGGGGACTGATGGGCTAAACCAATGACAGCAATTCCACTTCCCGTGCAGTGATGGGTTTAGCTTAGAGCATGCGACCTGGCTGCGATTACTGAGAAGAGAAGGTAAGTCTATGGGAGATTCTGGAAAAGGCCTCTTCTGCCTGTTGATACAGACCACATAAGGAGAGGCTGCTGGAGCTGCTGCAGCCATGTGCTGAGCACGCGAGGAGCTGGCTGAGGACAGCAGGAGACATGAGAAAAGCTGGGGCCACTAACGACCCTGTTGAGCTATTAACCAACCATGGATGGCCCTTCCTCTGAAATTCTTGTCATGTGACTTAATATAAATCCTCATCTTTTAAGGCCCTTTCAGTTGGGCTTTTGGTTAGTTTGGGATAAAAATCATCCTACTGCCTACATCTTCCCAATCATTACACCATATTCTAATGGCCCTATCCTAGTGACACAGAATACTTCCAGCTTACATTGAAGCATAGCACTGACAATGAACGAAAAATTCAAAGTCAGTGACTGGCTATTAAAAATGAAAATACACAACACAGTCTAAGAATCCTGACTCTAAAAATGGGAATGAGTTCTTTTACACAGCAACATTTTTCTTACACACATAACAAGAGTTACAAAGGAAGCCGAAAAAAATCTGCTGATAAGAATTCTGAGAACAACGTACTTGTGCATTGTAAAGAATGTCCTTTGTAATCCTTGAAAGAAAAGGAATGCTGGTTAAGTGAAAGAGTGTTATTATTTAAAGTATCTAATGGGAAATTACTTCTTTCCCTGCATAATGACTAAGTGTTTAGATTTTATTTTAATCTTACAAAAGAAGAATAATCATATGAAAAGGAAAATTTTGTTACAAGAAAAAAGTTATGCTCACCATCTTAAAAAATTATGATGCAAACTTCGAAAAATCAATGCAAATTGTAAAGAAAATATAAGGAAGTACAAATGAAAGAGAAAGAAATATAAGGGAAGTAAATATGATAAAAAATATAGAAGATATACAGAAAATATAAAAACATATATATACACACACTTATGCCGACTGATATATATAGTGTCCAAGGCAAAAATGTTGAGTTTCAAATAACATTCAGAATGGAAGTCAACTAAGAGAATAATAAATTGTCAGAGTTGGGAGAGCAGGTTTCTGATGTAACTGTCTTTTTCTCTTGTCATGTATCATCCTCGTTGTTTTATCTTAAAAAATTGCTAATGAAAATCAAAGTAAGTCTTACAAATTTAAGATAGCTTGAATTTTTTTTTTTTTTTTTTTTTTTTTTTTGCATGTTGCTGGGAGTTTCCTTTACCAATGGAACATTCCTGACAAGTGTATAGTCTCAGACCCAGTAATCCATCACCAAAGGTAAATTTAGGAAGAAAAATATTAAATACTTCCTCTAAAAAGGTCTTTTCCTATATTTGAACCAGTACTGTAAGCTTACATACCAATTAATTTAAGTGTTCCAAGCTCTATTTACAAAGGATCTGACAGCAATCAAGATAATTCCCATGATTAGATGATGTCATTGAGAGTAATTTCATCAGCAAAAGTCTCCATGCGGTATTAGGCAAGACACTGTGTTAGAAACCAAGGGAAACACAAAAAGGTTTAAAATGGGGTCCTTATCCTCAAGAAGAGTACAATGGATTAGTAAAGAAAATCCTGGCGGGTGGAGTAGATCAAGTTGAGGTGCACTTGTCCATCACCTTCAGCTTTTGTTACTACACAATTTGAAGTATGGTATGCAGCAAATACAAAGTATCCTTGTCGATTTAGGCAGATAATATAGGAGTACAGAGAATGAAGTGAAATGAGAATTCAACATAGTCACAGACTCTTACATTTAAGAAGCAGATCCAGCCAGTCCACATAGAACTGAACTAATTCAATTTGGTCACTTCCAAAAATAACAAGCATGCTTTCTGACATATGTGATGGTGGCAAGTGTAATCCATCTTTGAATAAAACCATAAAGTTTATTCAGAGGTGTGCAGGAGAAAGGAATTATGTACATGTAAAGCCTTAGAAAAGGGATATCTAATTCTAAAAAAAACATACTTATCCCATTACACAATTTTGAAAATAATAAGAACACAGCAGAAAGGTGCTATCACACATGCAGCTAATTCACCCATGACTAACAGAGCATTCATTTCAGCCAAGTTTATGTCAACAGGTGAAACAAAACCATCAAGGAGCGGGCAGAAGTCAGAGGAAATCATATCAATATAAATTACATCTCTGAGTCAACACCGCACAGATGCAAGGAGGTAGTAGCATAAACCTGCCCCAGTCAAACTTAAAAATGCTGAAAAAACAGCTTATTTGCACAGGTGAGGATTCTATAGTTGTCCTGGCAGAGATCTTGCTAGATTTTAGTTTGCTCAAAAGTCATAAAATATTCTGACAAAAAGTCATTCAGCCTAAAAGATTAAAACAAAGAAAAAGATGACAACAGTATTACTGTAATAAACGAGAAATGTTTATTCTAAACTTGAACACCATTAACATTTTAAAATTCCAAAGGTAACTGCAGAAGTTTTTTTTTTTTACTTAGAAAATTAGCATCTTTACTATTTACACTTTTCATCTGATATACAGTTGTTTTTTTTTTTTCTGTAAGCAAATTTGAGTTCAATCTTCTTTCACAAATGGGTGTTTGTGAAAACTTTTGTAATATCTGATGATGCTACACAGACTTCATCAGGCAGATATATACTTCACACCTCTGCAAAACACCACTCCTACCTCCAAAATAAAATGACCCTACTGTCATCAGTAGTAACCAGAAACAGATCACATTTCACTTTTTTTCCTAATAGGCCTTGGTGACTTTTTACCTACTAGCTTTTGGCTGTTTTCAGTTCAGTGTGTTCCTTGAGAAAGAACACCCATTAACTTATTTCAAAAACCATGGAAAGAGTGATGAACCATCCCTTTTTGCCCAGGACTAGCCTGGTTTTAGCCCTGAAAATCCTACACCCTGGGTAACCCCTCCATTTGGTGCAAACCAGAAAGCTCATGTTAAGAACAAGAAAATGCCAACTCCGTTTCTATATTAAACAGCATCATCTGAATTCAGGAATCACAGCTCATTGTAATGGTCCATTTAGATACTATCTAGGAGACACACTGTATGTGTCAGCCTGTAAATCCACCCAGCTGTCACAGGGCAACGTACTAGATAAGAAGAATTCTGCTAACACAATCTCCCCTTCTTCCTATGCCCTGATCTCTCATCTCGTATCTAAATAGTCACAGTCTAGCATCCCACTGGCAGAACAAGCTTAGTTACCAAGGAAAAGTACTGTCAAGACCTCTAGCTAGCCCTTTCCCATCACACACTGCCCCACTGCGAAGAGTGGCTGCTCACCCGAGTGGGCACAAGGTAGAGTGCTACAGGGGCAGGGATGGAGGGTTGGGCTAGGGAGGGAGAAGGGCAGTGCTTTGGACTGAAGTGCCAAGTTTTGCCTCAGGCCAAACAAAATGCTTTCTCCCTCAAGAGGATGATATTTTGTTATTTTAAGAAAAAATATTTTTACAGAGAGAGCTACTTATAAGCTGTCTAGGTTACTAAGAAATCATCCAACCCATTCTCAGAATATATTAGGTAAAACAAGGCTGAATTGAGGTAATTTCCTTGTTTTAATTATATCCAAAGACATAGAGAGCCTCATGGACTCACGGATCTCAGTGCTGAATCATTCCTTTGCATGCTTAGATGATTTTGTTTTGCTGTAATTCTTTACATTGGTTATTTGGTTTAGACACACTGGTGCCTTCAGAGAATGTTAACCTGTAAGAAAAGAACTGCCAGCACAATCTCCCAGTACTTTGTTCTCTCTCCTTTTACAATTGCAGTTGCAGTTGTTTTTCTACTAATAGCCAGGTATCCTCTATGTCAAGTCAACATAAATAACACACCCAGAAGAAGATTCGATTAACATAATTCTTATTTTGTACATAAAGAAACTAAGCCTGAATGCTCAGAGAGAATTCAGTGAGTACACATTTCTCTCCCCTCAAAGAATGTCCACAAACAATCTCCAAAGGGCCTCTCTCCAGGCAGGGATGAAAGAAGATACACTGGGCACTTGAAGACACAAATGGGGGTGGGATGGAGAGTGATAGAAGCCTCTGGGGCTTTGAGCCTAGTATTGCAAGAAAAGGAACAGACACTTAGCATGCAGCAGCCACAGCATTGGCAATGGCTCCTAATGGGACAGATGTGGAAAACTCAACTCATGCTCTGCCAGTGGGGAGTAGAAACATAATTCAGTATTTAAAAAAATTTAAAATTCAGCCATTGAGTCATATATTTCTTGGTGATAAACTGTCCCGCATGTTAAAGACTATATTCTAGGTGGAATGTCATTTTTTTGGCAATGACATGGGAGACTGCTTACATGTCTGAAAACACATGTTAATTTTAGTCCCTTCACTCTGTTGCCTCTACAAAGCCAAATATATGTAATAGATCCAAAGCAGTCAGGCACACCACATTCCAGTAAAATGTTCATTTTAACTTACACTGGCACAGTGAACATTTGACTGGAGTACATTCATTCACCGAATAGAAGGAGTAGCTGAAAGAGCAACCTACAGCAGCATCCAAGAAAGATGTATGTATATATGTGTGTGTGTGTGTGTGTATGAAATGAAACATATAGATATGATTCATAAGGTAATGAAAAAGGTTTGACTTAAATGGAATTCAGTGTAATGCAGATTGACACTAGTCCTGGGAAAGCCTCTAGAACTGCCCCACTGATGTGCTGAGTTTTTGGATTACGATCCAGTCTGTGTCTGGCATGAAAACTCCAGAATATTTGAGACTTGGGTCAAGTCCAGTGCTGCAAGACTGGATCACCAGGCACTCAGTGGGCCTCAAGAGTGGTACTAAAGCTTAACAAGCATCTCCAAATGTCTACCACTTTTTGCTGAAGCAGAAAAGTATTTTGCATTTTGAAAGTACCAGTGAAGGGCCAGGCACGGTGGCTCACGCATGTAATCCCAACACTTTGGGCGGCTGAGGCGGGTGGATCACTTGAGTTCAGGAGTTCGAGACTAGCCTGGCCAACACGGTGAAACCCCGACTGTACTAAAAATACAAAAAAATTAGCTGGACAGTGGCTCACGTCTGTAATCCCAGCTACTTAGGAGGCTGAGGCAGGGGAATCGCTTGAACCCGGGAGGTGGAGGTTGCAGTGAGCCAAGATCACGCCACTGCACTCCAACCTGGGTGACAGAGTGAGACTCCATCTCAGTAAGAAAAAAAAAAAAAAGAGAGAGAGAGAAAGTACCAGTGAAGAACATCAGATCACTGTCAGTTTTCTGTCATGATCACAGCTGGTCCTTAGATGAGTGGTTTATATCACTCACAGCTTAGCCTGGCCCAACTGCTGACCCCGGGGTGAAAGGCTTCCGGTCTCATTGCCAGTCCCCAGACCCTCTTGCCCTTTCCTCCTGCTTCAGGTTTTCTAGACAACAAATCTCAGATCAGTTGTCTACCCTATTCATCTGTTAGAATCTAGTATCAAGGCCACAAGCAATCAGCACCATCATAATCACTGTAAATCAGAGATTTATAAAAGACAGGAAAAACCTTAATAATCCATCTGTCTGATATGTCATTACAGTATAAATAAATAGCATTTGGTGATGAAAATGTATTTGGGAAATTGTTCCCACTTCTGTTTCCTATTATTTCCATTTATAATCTTGAACACATAATGACATAGGAAACTAAATGATGTATGTATGTGTGTGTGTATATATACATATATATATTTTTTTCTGATTTGATTCCAGACAATTATTATTTCAGAGAACATTTACACTTAAGAATATACAATATTCATAAAAAGACTCGTCAATTTTTTCTTTAGGTGAATGTTTGCTTTCATTTTGCAAGGATATGACATCATGGAACCTGGTGTACTAATTTGTTTTGTACCAATTATTACCCTCCACTTTCCCACCAAGCAACATCTACCCCGCCCCCTGCCCCTTACATACGTCGCCTAGTGTTGCGTTAGAAGCATGGTATTGGCCTTTTAATATTCATATTTTAAAATGCTCTAGAAAAGAACTGAGGTTACAAGAAAGGGTAACATCCACACTACAGAGCTTCCATAATGGAGAGGTACACCAAATAGAAAATACACACAAGAAATATGATTTGTCTGAAAAATATCCAAATGTGTGATAAAGAAATGTAATTTACAATTGAAAGCAGAACTAAAGGAGAGACAAAAACTGAAGGTAAAGAATATAATTTTACAAGTAGCACAATTAAATATTCCTCAGAAGCTAGGAAACTGAAGCCTGCCTAGAAAGATATGAATCTAGGACCCCGCAGGAGACGGCTTTCCCTCTAATGAATTATGGTTGACACAGTGTATAGAGATGAAGTCTCAAGCAGGAAGTGAAGAAAGAGAGAGCCAGAGCCTTGATGTTTCTCAGGATAAGCAGGTTTTTACTTCAGCATCAGCATGGTTTTGGTCAAACTGAAAATGATACCATGTTCTTAGAACATATAACTGCCTCCATTAGAGTAAAAATAAAGAAATCAAAGAATAACAGCTTTTTTATGGAGCAAAAGGAAAGATCCATAACTCTATTTTAATGAATGACCTTTACCCTTAAGACTCTATTTCCTTCATGATTTTAAGAATATGTTTTATTATAATACCTAGAAATACTGAAATCAAGCATTTTTTTAAACCCCACAACATCCATGAGATGAAGGCAGCATGACTGAGAGGCCCCATAGGTCCTTCAAAGCAATAATTCACACAGCCTAAACACCAATCTTGATATAAACTTGCCATGTGACCTACTGTGAGTCATCATTGGCCTAGACGTATCTCCCTGAAAAATTATGGTATCAAAAATAGCCATCTTCAAGGATATGAAAGACTCATATTGAAAATGCTGTTTTGATTTCCTACGATAAAAAGAAACTACAATACAAGGAATTTAGGTAAAAATGTGGACAGTAAGTCTCTCTACATTGAAATTTCCCTTATTATAATGTATTACAAGGGACATGAAATATCTCTTCCTGGTGGCTTTCAAAGTTTTAAAAATATTTCAAAGAAAATAGCTTCTAAGGTATAAGTGAAGGGAAAATGGTGTTGAGGTCCTAGTGGCACCACTAAATGATTTCCTGCGTGGGGTGTCCCCATGCCAGTCATCTTGGTGTGGTCCCAGCAAGAAACATCAGAACAGGAATCCTGAGGACCATGTACTGAGGGAGTCCGGTAGACCCAAGAGATACTGTAGCAGCAACAAGTTGTTATTGAACTCAATGGGAAATTGATACCAGTTTTCTTATGATTTTTCTAAAAGATTAGTTCATTCAATACGGAACATAATACTTTAGAACATCTTGATGGCTGCATATCTAGGAATGAAGAATACGGTTTTTAAGATAAGCTAATTTCCAGTCTTGGGCTGCCTATTAATAGTCATTGTAGTAATGACTACCTGGAATTTGGACAAGCTACTTAAGCTCTCTAAGCCTCACTTCCCTCTTCTGTAACATGGAATATTATATCTATGTCATAGCATTTTGCTTATCTTAATGGTTGGCACATAATATGAACACAATAAGGATATTTTACGTATTATATTAACCTTTCTTCTCTTCACCGTTGCAATATGCATATAAATATAATGTTACCCAAAATTGAAAAAGGCACATGAATCATGTAAATATAACTGGGTAACTTTATGTAGAAATAAAATTATTTAGGAATCTCAACATAGCATAGTTCTTGAAATCCATTAATGGGATCTTCATACAGATAAGTCTTTATCCCAAGATACCTGTGATACCTTAGTAATTAAAATTCTCTGAATAGAGAACAAGATGAACATAAATTTCTGTTCCAGAAAGAAAATAGTTTGGAAATACTGTATTACTTTTCTAAGAATAATGGCCTCATTTCTTTTAAAAATTAATTGCATATTGCCTATCTTTAAAACAAAGAAAAACTCTCTTTATATATATATTTCAGACAGCATGTACTTTCTTTTAAATCCTGAAGTATATTATTAAAGTCTAAAGATAATACAGTGGTGGTGAAGCAACAATCAGCTTCAATGCTAAATATTTATAGAGGTTTATTTTAGCTAAATCTGCAATCTGCTGTACACACACTCTTTGTGGATATACCAAGTTCATAAAGGAGTTTAGTAGACATTCCTGAAACAACTCTACTGTATTATTGTTACAAATGGGGCTGCCCAAGCCAGAGAGACGAAGTTGTTCTCTGACACCACTCTGCCCAGGCCCTTAAAAAAAGAGGTGCAGATAAGATACAAAAGCCCTTAAGAGTTTCCCTTGCAGCAGCTGTGAGAAATAAAGAGACAGGGACTAAAACAGTACTCACCTAAAGCCCTGCTATTTACACTTGAATATTGACTATGACACTTTACAGTCAGTTCAGCAAACAACCTAACAATTTCCCACCGTGTGCTAGGCAGTCAGCTAGACCCTGAAGTTCCGCCCACCATGAGCAAGAGATTTTTACAGGTGTAATTTGAGGGAGAAAGTGACACCAAAAGAGCTCAGTGCAGTGCAATGTACAACAAGTGATGATAGCACAGAGAAGGGGTCCCTCACCCGGCTATGAGATGAGATGGTCAGAAAATGATGGAGGAGGCAATTTCAATTAAACAGAGGTCTTCTTTTTTTTTTTTTTTTTTACAAAAATTTACTTATGGGTAAGAGGCCAGGCAGTACAGCAGAGAAGGAGATGTCAGTTAAAGCAATAAAACTAACAAAAGTCTAGAAAAAGAATGGTATAATTTTGGGCTGGCAAATGAGACTGGAGAAAAATCTGCTTTATATTTATTCCCTTGTTTTTAGTAACAGAAAGTAATTCTATTTAGTGTGGCAACAAGCTTAAGAAAAGATGATAATTCCGGAATTCCTCACCGCCAAGTGTGGTCATGTGGAAGTTGGTGGGTAGGACTTCCAGAAAGCTCCTTAGTGGAAGTGTAATCAGCAGGGGCGTATCCTGTTACCTTCTCTTGCCTCCTCCTTCCTGTTGCCTGGAATGAGGATGTGATGGCCAGAGTGGCAAAATCCATCTTGAGTCACACTGGAACCTTGACAATGGAAGCCACATGCCTGGATGACTTTGTGGAAGTGTCAAACTATCCCTGGAATGCCTACTTCTGCACACTTATAAATAAACCCCTTCATGTTTAAGAGACATGGCTGGGTCTCTGTGATTAGCAAGGCAAGGAATTTCTGACACCAAGCTGGTTGAAAATATTAAGGGTATAATTCTGTGAGTAGGTGACAGAAGTTGTAATGGTTCCTATAGCTAAGATAGTTAAGGAACTGTGTGTCTGATGAGGTGTTCAAATTAATGTTGAACCATCTCAGGATAAGGGTAGGCATTTGGGTGGCTTAAGAGGAGCTCCTGCAGTCTTTACCATATGGAGGTCATCTAAAAGACTGGTAGCTGAACATAAAAAAGGGAGAATTTGCAGGGTCTATTATCTATTGTTTTATTCTTAAGACTGAATATATTATACACAGTTCATATGATCATTAGGAAGATTTCTTGATTAGAATATAAGTACTTAACTCAGTACATAGTATATAATGATCAATAAAAAGTTACTCATTCTAAAATATACTTCTTAACATCTAATATTAAGTAATCAGATAATATTATTTGTTTTATGCACTTTCAGAAACTTTGTCCTTTTCACATTAATAAAGATCCACTTACAAGATCTCCAATTTTACAGAAAAGATAGACAAATTCCAATAGTAATAACAATATAAATTCCTAACAAGTAAATTTTATATTCATTGTAACTTATCTCTTGAAATCAGATGTATTGCTTGAAAATAACTGATCTCTGAGGTTGTTACCTCAGGACAATACAACAGGTTACTTCACAATAAAATTTTTTAAACAGGTAATAATTTTATATAACATATTACTAAAAATAAAAAACTATAAAAACTAAAAAATGGTATAATACTCCTGCTCTCTAACCTAACCTGTTATTCAGTTTCCCTTTAATTTCATGACCAAATGAATTTGAGGAAAGATAATGTCATCGAAGTGCTTGCAGAGAGAGAAATATTCCTGCTATAACTAGCTATACCCAGTCTTTACGATATTTTGACTTAAATTCCCTCATTTTTAAATAAAGGGGTTGGATCAACTGACCTCTTATATGCTTTGCAGCTGGGATATTCTGTGACTCTAGACTGCACTCAAAATAGGTCACAAATAATGAAGACATTTTAGAAATGTTGTGCATTGTATTTTGTTCTAGCTAGTAATAGCAAATACCTACAGCCTTAGCAATTGTTATAGTTTTACTAGTCTCAACCTACAAGACCATTTGTGTGATATAAAAGAAAAAAGATATGAAAGAAAAATAGGTAAGTTCAAGGGATAGACAGAGCTGCTTGGACTGAATATTTTCTTTATTTCATAGGTTTGTGTTTCAGTAAAGAGGGAACACCTAGTCTTATTGTTCATTTTATTACTCCATTCTCTCACTGGGAAACAAATGAAAGCCTGTTCTGACTTACTGTTATCAACACAATCAATCCTATCTTCCTGTCCCAGCACCTGGGACTCCTCACAGTCTTGCCATGCCTGCCTGACCCCCACCTCATGCTCCAGTTCTCAACAACGCACACCTTGGGCTCTCTCCTACAGTGGGCTTCTCACCCACCCACAAATCACAGCTTCACATCCTTGCACACGACACTCAGTTGGTTTGCAATGCCCTACCCCCAATCTTGTTCCTTTTCCTAGAAAACTCAGACTCATACTTTCTGATCCAATTCAGACTTCCTCAGTGGACCCTACCTGGTCTCCCTGGGGCAGAGCCAGATGCTTTGTTTTCCATGTTCCAATGTTGCCATCACACATGGTTCTCTTTCACTGTAAGAATATCTAATGCAACAATGCCAGCTTCCCACTCCCCTTCTGGGTATGCAGAGAACTCCAGGTGGCTGAGACCAGGTTTTAAACACACTGTCCTTTCGATGTTAATAATGTTAATAAAGATCTATTTAGAAAGTCTCCATTTTTACAAAAAAGATATATAAATACCAATGAGGATGAGGATAAAATCATACAACATGCAGTTATATTGTGGAAAGACTGAATGAATACGTGAACTAAGCTCTAAGAAAAAAAGAAACAGAAGAAAAACAATGACACAAAAGTAAAAAAAAAAAAAAACAAAAAAACTGGGCTAATATAATTAATGTACCAGTAAAGTATGCCGATGGCAGAGGTGGCAGGGAAGAATGTATAAAAAGTGAGACCTGACCAGGAGAGGGACTGCTTTATTTGTAGCCTCAAAAAGTATTGAAGTGGACCTAGGCAAGCATGGTCATCCTTAGGAGAAGGACACATGGTCCAAACTGGCTGAGGCCCAGAGTGTCCAGGAGGAAGGGGGCACGGGCGGGGCAGACGGCAGGCAGCACAGCCAGCCTGGCACAGGGCACCCAGGCTAAGCCACCTGGGCTCCATTCTGCAGGCAGAGAGGAGCCGCTGTAGGGGATGGGGGAGGGCTTTGTTTGTTTGTTTTTTTTTTAGCAACTGAGACAGTTGATCAAAGCAATCTTTATAAGTATTGATGCAGCCATACATGGGATGCATTAGACCAGAGATTCTTGAATTGTGTTTTGTAAAAGACTAGCTCCAGTGAGATGTTAGTGGAACACACACACACACACACACACACACAAATACACACACACACACACACACACACACCCTTACTCACTACGTTCAAACTAGCCTGGCAAACACTAGCCTAAACAAACTATAAGAAATGCCTTTATTGCTGGATTTCTCAGAATCTGGAATATGGTTATATGTATCATAAAACTGCAAGATTCAGACAGAGCATGTGATTTTTCCCAGAAATGCTGAAACGCTTCCCTTCCCTTGGCTTCAGTGCCACCTCCCTGTTTTCTCCTGGTTCTCCTTCAGCCTCTTTGGCTGCTCCTTCCTGGTTTCCTTTTGGACAATATTCTGGGGCTTAGCCACTTTTTTTTCCATTCCACATAGATGTCTCCAGTGTATTTTCTACTTCTGCAGACTAAACGCTCCTCTGTTTCTTCCGACACCTTTCCTTGCCTAGCCCTCCTCCTATGCTGAGGTAAGTGATCTTCCTATGTGCACATACAGCACCCTGGGATACTTTCAGCGTGGTCTTTGCCATGCTTTATCTCGTTGTCTTCTCCCCCAGACTCTGCAAGGGCTGCAGCCTTTTCTTAACTGTTCCTTCAGTACACGGCACATAGCACAGAAGCTGACTCTGTAACAGTTAGTTGGCCATCTGAGACCAAATGCATGTTCTTAAAGAGTTACAATTAGAAACATAACACATTGGTCAAAGAAAGTCCCTTTAATCAGGAGTTCTCTATACATGTAACAACTGTTTGAAGTCATTGTTAAGTGAAGTTAAATAGAAACTGTCATGGAATTCCCTAAGATCAATTCTTTTGCTTTTAATTTTTGACATTATGTGAGATAATCAAGAAAGGCCCTGTGTCACCATGGTGTCATCCAACTTACACTACAGGGAACTGATTTTATTCCTACTGTTCAGAATAACAGCAATATAAATCAATCTGTAAACTAAAAGTTCCTTAAATAATCCTTTCAAATGAAACTCTGTCTAAATTTTACATTATTCATATGTTCAAATGATAATGAGCTCATAAGTGTCTCCAATACCTCAGTTAAAACACTGATTCCAGCTGTGGTAACAGTCCCTGAGAGTTATGTGATAGACAGAAAAGGAGGCACTTACAGGACACTGGCCTTTGTGCTACTGTACCCTACTGGGGCATAAAAAAAAAAGCTGTTCACTTAAAATGCTGAGATTTCTCCTGCCAGGTCTGGAGGCTGGATGGGAGATACAGTCTTTTGATTTTAACCACAGATGTTTTATTCCTTGCTCTAAAGCAGTGGGAGAAAGAGGGAGACCAAATGGAGACTAGGAAAAGCCCACTGGAAAGGGCTCTACTGATTCTCAAGACGATGACTGGGGGCATCGTCTTGAGACACTCCCTTATCTCTGCCCAAAATCACCTGGACAGGATAACAAAAAATTGTCAGCAGGCTGAGGAGAACCCAGGCTCAGGCTCAAGAAAAGAGATGTCTAATACTTTTTAAATATATAAATGTATGGGGTACGAGTGCAATTTTGTTACAAGCCTAGATTGTGTAGTAATTAAGTCAGGGCTTTTAGGTTGTCCATCCCCCAAATAATATACATTATACCCATGAAGTAATTTCTCCTCATCCTTACTCCTCTCACTCCTCACCCTCTGAGTCTCCACTGTCTATCATTCCATTCTGTATGTCCATTTTTTTAGCACCCATTTATAAGTGAGAACATGTGATGTCTGGCCTTCTGTGTCTGGCTTGTTCCACTTAAGATAATGGCCTCCAATTCCATCCATTTTGTTGCAGAAATCATGATTTCATTCTTTCTATGCTTGAATACTATCCTTTTGTGTGTGTGTGTGTGTGTGTGTGTGTGTGTGTGTGTGTGTATCACATTTTCTTTATCCAATCATCTGTTGATGGATACTCAGGTTGATTCCACATCTTTGCTATTGTGAATAGTGCTGCAACAAACACGAGAGCAGGTATCTTTTTGATATAATGATTTCTTTTCATTTGGACAGGCACCCACTAGTGGGCTTGCTGGATCAAACAGAACTAATCGATGATTGATGATGCTGGTAGTGGCCAGTAACCAGCGAGAGACAAAGTAATTAGCAGGGCTGAAAATGCCAACACTCTGAGATCACTGACCTTCAAAAGCTCCTCAAGAGCCCTGAGCGTAAAGCCCAAACATGTTTATCCAGCATTCAGAGACGACCTTTTATCATCTGCCCTCTGTGCATCCCAGACGCCTCTTTTTTAGTACACCTTCTATTTTACTCCACGACCCACCCATATGAAGTTATCGGACACTCTCAGGCATCTTGTACTATATATTCGATCATGTATCCCTAACACCTAGCAGAGTGCTGGCATATAGTTGGCTTACTAAACATTTGCAGAATTAGTGAATTTTCCTATCCAGGTATCCAAGAAACACAGTCTTTAGATCAATGAGCACAATCTCTGGCACAGTGACATATTAATGGCACACAGATAGTGACTAGTTGTAAAGTGATCTCTTATTAAAAATAAAATACTATAATTTGCAAAAGTCTACTTCCTTTTCACAAATGAGGTGGGTTTTAATCTTAACCCCTAATAACACCATTTTCATTCATTTCCATCCCAGTATGCTGTCCTACAACAGCAATAAGTAGGAGAGTTAAGGCTTGAGCTTGAAGAATTGTACATAGTCCATGCTGTGGCCTGAGGTGTCTGCCCACCTGAGCTTCATCTGTCAGGCGTGTCAGGCAGATAACTAGGGTGAGAGTGGCTTCATCAGAGGATCACAGATCTCTGGCTTCCTTCTGTGGCAAGTATACCTCTAAAAACAAACTCTTCAGAGCCAGATGACAAGAATGGTCCAGACAGGCAACCAGGGAAGGCCGGGCCCAGTGTACATCAATGCAGAGCATCAAGTTCAGAGTAATAGGTGTACAGTTGCTTATTCCTGCCTAGACAGATAGAACTGCCTCCCATATGGTAAAATGTGGAAATGCAGAGAAGCACATGCAACTGAAGAAGACAACCACAGCAACAAGGAAGGGCAACTGAGAGCTAAGAGAGAGCCATGCCAAAGACTCCAGGACCTCGGAGTAGGCCTGGTACCAGTTATATACTTGGGACCCAGTACTTTCCCACGCCATCACTTGGCATACTTGGGATTATGTGTTACTTAAAATAATGTCCTTAGTGTCCGTCTTTCCTGACAGACACAAGCAGGGCCTGTGACACTACAGCTGCTGGCACACAGTTGGGCACATCACAAACATCTGATGAATGCACGCACTCTTGCCTTCTCATACCTTCTTGTCAAGTCTTTAGTGAGAAGGAATTGCTGATTAGAAAAGAATTAAACTTATGAGTGACTCCCAGCTCCACTGAAGGTAGAGACAATGTCTGATTTGTGTACTGCTATAGTCCCAGCTCTTAGCACAGTGTAGTCATTTAATCAATGTTTGTTGAATAAATAAATGAATGGATTCATATATCTTATCTAGCTATATATTTGCTCAGTTAATTTGGTAAATTTAATAATTCGCTTCTGACATAATTTCACTTCATTCCTTCAACAAACCTAATAACTCACTAGATGCCAGGCACACAGCTGCTAAGGAAAAAGAGATGTGAGCTACAATTCCTGTCTACATGAAAGTCACAACCTAAAAAGGAGAAACATATAAACAAATTATAAAAATAAGTTTTCTAAATTCAAAAACAGAGGTTTGTGTATTTAAAACAGCTTTAGTCAGAGAGCATTAACAAAGAAAGTCCCAAATAGGGAACGTCCCAACCAACCTCCTAATCTTAAGCAGAGATCACCCACGCTTGAGTTTGCCAGACCATCAGCCTCAACAGCAAGAATTACCTTCCTGATGCCCCCAAATAAGTATCATTCTGATTACAGTAGTACTGCTAGATAACTCAGTTTCAGACTCTACCGTTGTCATTCAATGTTCTATAAAGTACTAAGGAGAAAATCGTATAATGGTGATGAACCTATTCACTTTAGCCATCCTAATATGACACCAATTATAAGGCCAATTACTTAAAAGGAAAGCTCTTAATTTAACTTATTTATATAAATTTCAGTGTTATGTAAGCAAATTTGCCATCAGATTTTGAAACTACAGATTAAATAGTATGTAAGTATAATGAGAGCCTTTAAGTTCACACTTTCCTGGGTCTCCCAAATCTTTTTTAGAATACTATAAGCCTTTCTAAACAACTGATAGTATATTTTTTTAAACTGAATTGTAAGATGTGTATTTTCCAAAAACAAAATACAACTCCCATTGGTAAATGGTGATATTGAGATACAACAGCTAACTTCTCTTTGGGAACATTTAGTAAGTGCTCACTTTAGAGCTCTGTCCATAAATGTTTATCATTTAAAATATAGAAGAATATTACACAATTAAAATTGTACTTATTCAGCATTATGTAATATTTAGTACTTGTTCTAGTTATCTATTACTACATAATAAACCATCCAAAACTTAATACATTATTATTGTTTATGGTTTAATATTTGTTTATTTTAATTATTTTGTTTAATGATATAAAATAACATTATTTTTCATGGTTTTGTGGATTGACTGGGTTCTGCAACAGTTTTCACTTGGAGTCTTTCTTGCAGTTGCAGTCAGTTGGCTGCAGCTGAAGTTATCTGAAGGCTCAACTAAGCTAGAAAGCCAAAATGGCTTACTCAGATGGCTGGCAGTACACGTTAGCTATTATGTGGCATGCCTATCTGGCCTCTCCACATTACTTGAGGTCCTCACAACATGGTGATTGGTCCCAAGAGATACAGACAAAAGTTCAAAGCTTATTCTGTTCCAGCCTCGGATATCCTAGAACATCACTTCTGCTGTATTCTATTATCCAAGCAAGTCATTGTGCCCAGCTTAGATTCAAGGAAAGGAAACTGGACTGTACTTCTTAATGTAAAGAGCAGCAGGTGCATACAGGGAGGAAAGAGATTACCAGCACCACCTTGGAGACTACCTTACTACACCATTATTCCAACTAATGCACATTATGTTCTAGATGGGTAGTACCAGCTTCCCCTCCCCACAAAAAGTTCAAGTTAGGCAAAGACATATAGAATGAGAATGCAGATACCATTTAAAAAACTGTAGAAAAATCACAGCCAATGCCTCTAGTCAGTTCAATCCCTCACATCAATGTAACTCTACTCTTGTAACCTTAACTATAGTAAAACAGAATTTTGTTCCACAAAGACTTTTGTCTATTTTCCTATGGGATAATTAACCAACCCAAAAAATTTGTCAAGAGAATGAAATCAAGCTTACTTTAAAATTTCACCTTTTACTCTCAAAGCCTATCAAAATCCAGAGAACCATGATCTAGCATGCCTGGACCCAAAGTCCTTATTTCAGGAGCATCATTTGGTATGCCAAAAAAGTATTCCTAACTGGGAAATTTAAAACTTTCTTTTCTGGTGATATTTAAGATAGCTGACTGGCTCATGGGCAGAAGTTACACAGAGATTAAGAATAGAGGGCACTCTGCCAAGTGGGTTGATGACCATCAGAAAGAATTTTCACAAAGGAGAAATGAAGAAAAAGAAAGGGGGTAATGATGCTGTCGGTCTCTGAAAGGAAAGTGATTTTTCAAGTGGTCTGATTTTCCCTTTTACAAAAGAAAATGCCTTATTGTGATAGAATAAGAATGCTCAATTTCATGCAGGTATATATTTGGAGCCAAATAAAATACAACGGTATTTTGAAGTCATTTATCTTAAATGATTCCTTGGCAAGGCATATAAAATTCCCCAAGAAATATATGGGTTCTAGAAACAATAAAAGATTCACTAATTCCAAAATCGAATTAACGATATTTTCAAACAGTGACAATGAGGCATATTCTCTTGTTCCTATAGGACAAAAGCTGATGAAGTTTAGAAATTCTAAAAATGTTAAATTTTCTCCATATTCATAATAAACTATTCTTAAAAGTTATTAAATTTGTACATCTCTTCTTCTTATCCAGACATAAAAACAGAAATAGCTATTAGCACTCCTCAGGCACTTAACCCAGATAATTGTGAATCCAGTATCCGCTCCTCCCCTCCTTCCTCTCTAAACCCACAAGCTGCTCTTCCTGTCTCTATGTGGAAAATCACAATATCCCAAAATGCCCCTGGTAGGCGTCCTAGATTCATCTGTGACTCCTCCCTATTCTTCACCACCTATACTGAGTATGTCTAAACCTTGTCCAAACTTTGTCAATACTTATCTCAAAGGTGTCCCTCATATATGTGCCTGACTCTCAGATCCCATGGCCATCTCATGTGGGTCCCTATTCCTGCTCACCTGGCTCCATCGTGTCTCCTGAATGGGCCTCCCTGACTCAAGTGCTACTTCCTTCAATTCTTGCTGGAGAATGATTCAGAGCAACCTTTCTAAGAGATAGAACTGATAATGTCACTCCTCTACTCAAAACCAAACCAAACACACACAATAAAATGTTTTCACAATTCATACCAACTGCTCAATCTCAGCCTGTCTCAACATAAGTCATCCTTCAACATGTATCCTCAAACTCAGTTACAGTGGACAGGCCACCCTTACTGTATCTGTAGGTGTGCACTTTGCTTATGCAGTCACATTTTTTTCTGGCCTGCCCTCTACCATACTCCTTCAAACACAACTCAAATATCATCCTCTATCTCTAGTCCTGGAATCCACCAGCCCTCCCAATCCGATTCAACCAACTTGCTTTTGCATCTGTTTCCTAAGCTTTTTATGCATGCCTCCTAATGTGTCCATGAGGATTTCAAGATGATTCTCACCCTTAAAAGACTCCTTTCTGTTCTCAACCAACGCTGCATATCCTCTATACGATGCTTCTGGAGCTAGGAAAATTATTCTTGCCTTTTGCTCCCTTTAGCATACAGCAGCCCTCACTCCTCCTGCCTTAACATCTTAATTCAAATAGAATGAACCTTTTTCTTTTTCCTTCAACATCATGCTTACACTCACTCACATGGTTCATCAGCTTGATGTATTGGTCAAAATTTTTGGTTATCAGGGGGGAGGAGCCAAGATGGCCGAATAGGAACAGCTCTGGTCTACAGCTCCCAGCCTGAACCACGCAGAAGACGGGTGATTACTGCATTTCCATCTGAGGTACCGGGTTCATCTCACTAGGGAGTGCCAGACAGTGAGCGCAGGTCAGTGGGTGCGCGCACTGTGCACGAGCCGAAGCAGGGCCAGGCATTGCCTCACTCGGGAAGCACAAAGGGTCAGGGAGTTCCCTTTCCTAATCAAAGAAAGGGGTGACGGACAGCACCTGGAAAATAGGGTCACTCCCACCCGAATACTGCGCTTTTCCGACAGGCTTAAAAAAACGGCACACCACGAGATTATATCATGCACCTGGCTCAGAGGGTCCTACCCCACGGAGTCTCGCTGATTGCTAGCACAGCAGTCTGAGATCAAACTGCAAGGCAGCAGCGAGGCTGGGGGAGGGGTGCCCACCATTGCCCAGGCTTGCTTAGGTAAACAAAGCAGCCAGCCAGCTCAAACTGGGTGGAGCCCACCACAGCTCAAGGAGGCCTGCCTGCCTCTGTAGGCTCCACCTCTAGGGGCAGGGCACAGACAAACAAAAAGATAGCAGTAACCTCTGCAGACTTAAATGTCCCTGTCTGACAGCTTTGAAGAGAGCAGTGGTTCTCCCAGTACGCAGCTGGAGATCTGAGAACAGGCAGACTGCCTCCTCAAGTGGGTCCCTGACCCCTGACCCCCCGAGCAGCCTAACTGGGAGGCACCCTCCAGCAGGGGCACACTAACACCTCACACTGCAGGGTACTCCAACAGACCTGAAGCTGAGGGTCTTGTCTGTTAGAAGGAAAACTAACAAACAGAAAGGACATCCACACCAAAAACCCATCTGTACATCACCATCATCAAAGACCAAAGGTAGATAAAACCACAAAGATGGGGAAAAAACAGAACAGAAAAACTGGAAACTCTAAAAAGCAGAGCGCCTCTCCTCCTCCAAAGGAATGCAGCTCCTCACCAGCAATGGAACAAAGCTGGACGGAGAATGACTTTGACGAGTTGAGAGAAGAAGGCTTCAGATGATCAAATTACTCTGAGCTACAGGAGGACATTCAAACCAAAGGCAAAGAAGTTGAAAACTTTGAAAAAAATTTAGAAGAATGTATAACTAGAATAACCAATACAGAGAAGTGCTTAAAGGAGCTGATGGAGCTGAAAACCAAGGCTTGAGAACTACGTGAAGAATGCAAAAGCCTCAGGAGCCGAAGCGATCAACTGGAAGAAAGGGTATCAGCAATGGAAGGTGAAATGAATGAAATGAAGCGAGAAGGAAAGTTTAGAGAAAAAAGAATAAAAAGAAACGAGCAAAGCCTCCAAGAAATATGGGACTATGTGAAAAGACCAAATCTACGTCTGATTGGTGTACCTGAAAGTGATGGGGAGAATGGAACCAAGTTGGAAAACACTCTGCAGGATATTATCCAGGAGAATTTCCCCAATCTAGCAAGGCAGGCCAACGTTCAGGTTCAGGAAATACAGAGAATGCCACAAAGATACTCCTCGAGAAGAGCAACTCCAAGACACATAATTGTCAGATTCACCAAAGTTGAAATGAAGGCAAAAATGTTAAGGGCAGCCAGAGAGAAAGGTCGGGTTACCTTCAAAGGGAAGCCCATCAGACTAATAGCGGATCTCTCGGCAGAAACCCTACAAGCCAGAAGAGAGTGGGGGCCGATATTCAACATTCTTAAAGAAAAGAATTTTCAACCCAGAATTTCATATCCAGCCAAACTAAGCTTCATAAGTGAAGGAGAAATAAAATACTTTACAGACAAGGAAATGCTGAGAGATTTTGTCACCACTAGGCCTGCCCTAAAAGAGCTCCTGAAGGAAGCACTAAACAAGGAAAGGAACAACCGGTACCAGCCGCTGCAAAATCATGCCAAAATGTAAAGACCATTGAGACTAGGAAGAAACTGCATCAACTAACGAGCAAAATAACCAGCTAACATCATAATGACAGGATCAAATTCACACATAACACTATTAACTTTAAATGTAAATGGACTAAATGCTCCAATTAAAAGACACAGACTGGCAAATTGGATAAAGAGTCAAGACCCATCAGTGTGCTGTATTCAGGAAACCCATCTCACGTGCAGAGACACACATAGGCTCAAAATAAAAGGATGGAGGAAGATCTACCAAGCAAATGGAAAACAAAAAAAGGCAGGGGTTGCAATCCTAGTCTCTGATAAAACAGACTTTAAACCAACAAAGATCAAAACAGACAAAGAAGGCCATGACATAATGGTAAAGGGATCAATTCAACAAGAAGAGCTAACTATCCTAAATATATATGCACCCAATACAGGAGCACCCAGATTCATAAAGCAAGTCCTGAGTGACCTACAAAGAGACTTAGACTCCCACACATTAATAATGGGAGACTTTAACACCCCACTGTCAACATTAGACAGATCAACGAGACAGAAAGTTAACAAGGATACCCAGGAATTGAACTCAGCTCTGCACCAAGCGGACCTAACAGACATCTACAGAACTCTTCACCCCAAATCAACAGAATATACATTTTTTTCAGCACCACACCACACCTATTCCAAAATTGACCACATACTTGGAAGTAAAGCTCTCCTCAGCAAATGTAAAAGAAGAGAAATTATAACAAACTATCTCTCAGACCACAGTGCAATCAAACTAGAACGCAGGATTAAGAATCTCACTCAAAACCGCTCAACTACATGGAAACTGAACAACGTGCTCCTGAATGACTACTGGGTACATAACGAAATGAAGGCAGAAATAAAGATGTTCTTTGAAACCAATGAGAACAAAGACACAACTTACCAGAATCTCTGGGACACATTCAAAGCAGTGTGTAGAGAGAAATTTATAGCACTAAATGCCCACAAGAGAAAGGAGGAAAGATCCAAAATTGACACCCTAACATCACAATTAAAAGAACTAGAAAAGCAAGAGCAAACACACTCAAAAGCTAGCAGGAGGCAACAAATAACTAAAATCAGAGCAGAACTGAAGGAAATAGAGACACAAAAAACCCTTCAAAAAATTAATGAATCCAGGAGCTGGTTTTTTGAAAGGATCAACAAAATTGATAGACCGCTAGCAAGACTAATAAAGAAAAAAAGAGAGAAGAATCAAATAGACGCAAGAAAAAATGATAAAGGGGATATTACCACGGATCCCACAGAAATACAAACTACCATCAGAGAATACTACAAACACCTCTACGCAAATAAACTAGAAAATCTAGAAGAAATGGATAAATTCCTTGACACATACACTCTCCCAAGACTAAACCAGGAAGAAGTTGAATCTCTGAATAGACCAATAACAGGATCTGAAATTGTGGCAAGAATCAATAGCTTACCAACCAAAAAGAGTCCAGGACCAGATGGATTCACAGCCGAATTCTACCAGAGGTACAAGGAGGAACTGGTACCATTCCTTCTGAAACTATTCCAATCAATAGAAAAAGAGGGAATCCTCCCTAACTCATTTTATAAGGCCAGCATCATTCTGATACCAAAGCCAGGCAGAGACACAACCAAAAAAGAGAATTTTAGACCAATATCCTTGATTAACACTGATGCAAAAATCCTCAATAAAATACTGGCAAACCGAATCCAGCAGCACATCAAAAAGCTTATCCACCATGATCAAGTGGGCTTCATCCCTGGGATGCAAGGCTGGTTCAATATACGCAAATCAATAAATGTAATCCAGCATATAAACAGAGCCAAAGACAAAAACCACATGATTATCTCAATAGATGCAGAAAAGGCCTTTGACAAAATTCAACAACCCTTCATGCTAAAAACTCTCAATAAATTAGGTATTGATGGGACATATTTCAAAATAATAAGAGCTATCTATGACAAACCCACAGCCAATATCATACTGAATGGGCAAAAACTGGAAGCATTCCCTTTGAAAACTGGCACAAGACAGGGATGCCCTCTCTCACCACTCCTATTCAACATAGTGTTGGAAGTTCTGGCCAGGGCAGTTAGGCAGGAGAAGGAAATAAAGGGTATTCAATTAGGAAAAGAGGAAGTCAAATTGTCCCTGTTTGCAGATGAGATGATTGTATATCTAGAAAACCCCATCGTCTCAGCCCAAAATCTCCTTAAGCTGATAAGCAACTTCAGCAAAGTCTCAGGATACAAAATCAATGTGCAAAAATCACAAGCATTCCTATACACCAACAACAGACAAACAGAGAGCCAAATCATGAGTGAACTCCCATTCACAATTGCTTCAAAGAGAATAAAATACCTAGGAATCCAACTTACAAGGGATGTGAAGGACCTCTTCAAGGAGAACTACAAACCGCTGCTCAAGGAAATAAAAGAGGATACAAACAAATGGAAGAACATTCCATGCTCATGGGTAGGAAGAATCAATATCGTGAAAATGGCCATACTGCCCAAGGTAATTTACAGATTCAATGTCATCCCCATCAAGCTACCAATGCCTTTCTTCACAGAATTGGAAAAAACTACTTTAAAGTTCATATGGAACCAAAAAAGAGCCCGCATTT
The DNA here is from genome assembly GCF_000001405.40 of Homo sapiens. Lineage (NCBI taxonomy): Eukaryota > Metazoa > Chordata > Mammalia > Primates > Hominidae > Homo > Homo sapiens. The sequence continues at coordinate 120,745,971 of NC_000004.12, forward strand.
CCAAGTCAATCCTAAGCCAAAAGAACAAAGCTGGAGGCATCACACTACCTGACTTCAAACTATACTACAAGGCTACAGTAACCAAAACAGCATGGTACTGGTACCAAAACAGAGATATAGATCAATGGAACAGAACAGAGCCCTCAGAAATAACGTCGCATATCTACAACTATCTGATCTTTGACAAACCTGACAAAAACAAGAAATGGGGAAAGGATTCCCTATTTAATAAATGGTGCTGGGAAAACTGGCTAGCCATATGTAGAAAGCTGAAACTGGATCCCTTCCTTACACCTTATACAAAAATTAATTCCAGATGGATTAAAGACTTAAATGTTAGACCTAAAACCATAAAAACCCTAGAAGAAAACCTAGGCATTACCATTCAGGACATAGGCATGGGCAAGGACTTCATGTCTAAAACACCAAAAGCAATGGCAACAAAAGCCAAAATGGACAAATGGGATCTAATTAAACTAAAGAGCTTCTGCACAGCAAAAGAAACTACCATCAGAGTGAACAGGCAACCTACAAAATGGGAGAAAATTTTCGCAACCTACTCATCTGACAAAGGGCTAATATCCAGAATCTACAATGAACTCCAACAAATTTACAAGAAAAAAACAAACAACCCCATCAAAAAGTGGGCGAAGGACATGAACAGACACTTCTCAAAAGAAGACATTTATGCAGCCAAAAAACACATGAAAAAATGCTCATCATCACCGGCCATCAGAGAAATGCAAATCAAAACCACAATGAGATACCATCTCACACCAGTTACAATGGCAATCATTAAAAAGTCAGGAAACAACAGGTGCTGGAGAGGATGTGGAGAAATAGGAACACTTTTACACTGTTGGTGGGACTGTAAACTACTTCAACCATTGTGGAAGTCAGTGTGGCGATTCCTCAGGGATCTAGAACTAGAAATACCATTTGACCCTGCCATCCCATTACTGGGTATATACCCAAAGGGCTATAAATCATGCTGCTATAAAGACACATGCACACGTATGTTTATTGCAGCATTATTCACAATAGCAAAGACTTGGAACCAACCCAAATGTCCAACAATGATAGATTGGATTAAGAAAATGTGGCACATATACACCATAGAATACTATGCAGCCATAAAAAATGATGAGTTCATGTCCTTTGTAGGGACATGGATGAAATTGGAAACCATCATTCTCAGTAAACTATCGCAAGAACAAAAAACCAAACACCACATATTCTCACTGATAGGTGGGAATTGAACAATGAGATCACATGGACACAGGAAGGGGAACATCACACTCTGGGGACTGTTGTGGGGTGGGGGGAGGGGGGAGGGATAGCATTGGGAGATATACCTAATGCTAGATGACGAGTTAGTGGGTGCAGCACACCAGCATGGCACATGTATACATATGTAACTAACTTGCACAATGTGCACATGTACCCTAAAACTTTAAGTATAATAATAAAAAAATAAAAAATTAAAAAATAAATAAATAAATTTTTGGGGGGATAATTTTCAAATCCTACATCAATAGACCACCCAAACCCTCTAGATAAATTCAAAAGCGTCTGATACCTAGGAACTCTGAGATACCCACCCTCGTTTGGACTCAGAGACTCACAGTCTCACTGCATGGTGTCAAGGCAAAGTGCAAAAGGCACAGGTCTGTTAAACCCAGACCTACATCTGAACAATCTGAGGATCAGGGATAAGAAAGTTCATGAAAGAAAATTAATAAAATATAAAACAATATAACAGACTTGCTGTTACTTGTAACCACTGGCAATTCCATTTTAATTTTGTAAGAACTAATTTGGCTGTTTCTGCAAACAAGGCTGGAGAGAACTGCGATCTTAGAAACTTGAAACCTGTATAAGTTAATTGGGTTTTTGAAATGTGTTCAAAAGGCAGAGTTTCTGAAATAACTTTCTAATTGGCCCAGGTGCCTTCCATGTTGAAATCAAAAGGGGTTATACGAGACGTGAAGTTTTCTATCGTAAACAGTTACAAACAACAATTTCTTTTGAACCTAATGTTTATAAAATGGGTATTTATGAGCTTGTGTCCTAACTCAATGAGTGACTGTTTTGGCTCAATGTGTCTAATGCAATAAAAACATAAGTTCTATAATTTCCAGATGATCCATAGTTCCTAAGACTAAAATGGGTTTGAGGCACTGGACACAAAGAGTTCAGCAACTGGCATTTCTCTACCTCAGTGTAGTTTGGAGTGGTAAAGCAGACCTTTGAGACAAAGACAACAGAGATAAGAAGGGAAAGGTCTGGCAGCATACCTGGGGTACCCCCAAGGCCCAAGGCCTTGGAAAAATTCAAATCTTTAAACCAAATCTTGGTTTAAAGCTACAATGTGAAAACTAAGATAATCTTGGCCAGGTGTGGTATTTCTCACCTACAATCCCAACACTTTGGGAGGCTGAGACCAAAAGATCACCTAAGCCTAGGAGCTCAAGATCAGGCTGGGCAAGATAGCAAGATCCTGTCTCCACAAAAATTTAAAAACAGCCAGGCATTGTGGTGCATGCCTGTAGTCTCAGCTACTCAGGAGGCTGAGACTACAGGACCACTGAACCCAGGAGTTCAAGGTTGCAGTACACTATGATTGCACCACTACACTCCAGTCTGGGCAGCAGAGCAAGACCCTCTCTCTCAAAAAAAAAAAAAATTCCCCAAAAGAGGACCTGCTCCCTCCAAATAGCTCTCTCCTCCACCACACAAGCAAAGAACAAAGACCATGAATGGGACAGGAAAAGGTAGATCTAGAAAGGGATGAGAAATGGCTCCAAATGCCAGTGCCCTGAGGGTGAGTTTGCTGAGGCTTGCCTGAGGCCGCCAGGGTCTGACTGCATCCTAGGAAACAGAACCCCTTTAGAGAAACCATAGCAAAACGGCCTAAGTTCACATAGGGCCTCTAAATAGGGGTGCTTCCCTGACTGAATGGGGGAGCTAACTGGACATGGAATATAAGAAGTTCCACTTTTATCAGCTCCTGGGCAGGAAATTAATCTAGAATTAAGTGGGAAAAGTTATCCTCAAAAACCCTACACAGTTAAAAATAAATCACTATTCATAGGATGTGGAAAGCCACAAAGAACATCACCCCCAACTTAATAATGACAAAAAGCTGAAAAATTTACAGTCATTCTTTTAAGCTTAAGGTCATGAAACATTTTGTGAGCCAAGGTCACAAAACAATCAGATGAACTAAATGTCAAAAAAAAAAAATGGAACACAGAATAGTCTCACCTTTGTCAGAGCAAGAGAGAACCCGTCACAAAATGGGTAGGAAGAAAACAAGTGATGGTTAATTCCTTAAGGATTGTGGACTAGCATTTAGGTTAGAAACCTGGGGGCCCTGGCACATGGAAAGTCCACAGCCACTCATCTGTTTTCCACTGGCTCCATCAGGGTTCGTAAGAAAGATTAGAGGCAGGGCAGGATACCTTAGAGAGCCCCCAGGTGGCACAGACAAGGTCCGAGGGTGGAGTAGGAGTACTTGAAGGAACCCATCTGCTTTCTGTCCCTGTGCTGCATGAATACAAGGTGATGAGCAGTGGCTGCCAGGGAGCAGCAAAAACCACCCAGGCCACAGACCTGCCTCACACAGGAAACAAAAGCCTTCTGCCTCTGAGTGAGGAGGGAGACACCTGCCACGTCCCATATGTCACTCTGCTTTGACAGGAGGCAAAAGCTACCAGCTGCTGGGGGTGGAACATGAAACTCGCAGGTGTTCTGTTCCAGGCAATGACCCGTGGCCTCTGGAGAGAGACAGAACCTGACTACGTATCCTGCACTGACACCAAGGGGAGGGGCAGAAAACCTGCTCTTGCCCAAGAACCCCAGTGATCCACAGGAGAGGTCTGCTGCTGCGGGAAGAGGGGCAGAAACCTCTTTCTCATGCCCCAAACCTTCTACTCTAAAGATATGAGGTGGAGCTCACCTGCCACAGCCAGTAGGGCCAGGAAACCATCCACCCTCTAGGCCTGTGCTGTCCAACAGAGCTTTCTGTGGTGACCATAATGTCCTGTATCTGTGCTACAGAATACAGTAGTCACCAGACACATGTGCCTATAGAGCACCTGAAAGTGGCTAATATGACTGAAAAAGTAAATTTTTAATTGCATTTAATTGGATTTAATTAAAATTTAAATTTTGATAGCCACATGTAGCTAGTGGTTAGGACACTGCCGCTGACCCTGAGTGGTGTCAGAAGCAGGGGCCACCTAACACTAGGGTAGAGGCAGAAATGCTGATAAACCCACAACCCTGAGACTCAAGTGCAGAGCACCTGCCCAACTAATGCTAGAGCAGGGGCCCCAGGAAAGCCCTCTGGCCTACTTAAGTCTTGTGCCTAGTAACAAGCACCAGCGGGCTACTGCCAGTGGCGGGACAAAGGCAGAGAGAGAGAAACATGTTCTGTGGCAAAGGTACACAGGATCTGCCAAAACCTGATGGTGAGGAAGGATCCTTAAGAAAAGCCTGCTGAGCGTCCAGGCCTCGCATGAAGAACACAGCAGCAGCAGCCCACCCCCTGGAGAAGCTTACAGCAACAACAAACCCCAAACCTAGCTTAGCCATTGACCAAACTGACTCAAGCCCTCAATCACATTAACGGCCTAGCAGAAGAAGTATACCTATTTCCAGGCATAAGCAGTATTTACTTTAGTCTCCTAGACTTAGAGACTTAGTTTCTTTTACACACACACACACACACACACACACACACACGCGCACACAAAACAGACATTCAATCAAAAATTATGTTACACTTGAAAAGCAAACTCCTGCAACCTTCCCACTCATTATCAAGAGATAGAATAGTCAAAACAATGAGATTCACAGATGGCCCTGATGGTGGAAATACCAAAGAAAGAATTTAAAATAATTACAATTAATATGTCAAAGAATCTAGTGAAAAAGGTGGGCCACACAGATGAAAAAATGGGCAATTTCAACAGAAATACAGAAACTATTTATTTTCTTATCTATCTATTTATTTATTTTTAAATGCAAATTTGAAACTGAAATGTGTTATGGCCCAAGTGTAATAGTATCTGTTTTGAACTGAGTCTTACAGGGTCTTACCCTGTCATTTAGGCTGAAGTGCAGTGGCACAGTCATAGCTCACTGCAGCCTTGAACTCCTGGCCTCAAGCAATCCTCGCACCTCAGCCTCCCAAAGTGCTGGAAATACAGGAATGAGCCACTGTGCCAGGCCTTATGGAAACTATTTTTAAAAATCCAAGTGAAAATGCTAGAGATGAAAAACATAATATCAAAAATGCACTCCTTCAATAGGCAGACTGAGCACAACAGAGGTAGAAAAATCAATGAAATTGAAAATATCAATAGAAATTAGAAACAGAGAAAAACACCGAGATTTTTTTAAAAATGCAAATGAAACAAAAATTGAATACGGCACTCAAGAGCTCTGGAACAGTATCAAATAGTCTAACATGTGTAACTGGTGTCCCATAAGAAGACAGAAAGAAAGGGACAAAACAAAGTTGAAAAAAAAATGGCCAAGAATTTTCTGAAATTTAACTAAAGATAGCAGACTACAGATCTAAGCTGCAAAAATACAATGAAAAACACAACTAGGTACAACACAGTAGAAGCTGAAAACCAAATATAAAGAGAATATACTGAAGGAAATAAAATCCACCAGCCTTCACCTCAAACCCTGGTCTCTCCATGAAAGGTCAATGATTAATTGGATTTTGGCAAAATTATCTCCCACATCTGGGGCTCTTACTGCACCCTATAGGCAATAACCAGAGAGTAAATGGCTTTGTGTTCCTTTTGGAAAGCATTCGTGCAGTCACCATAGAATGTAAACCTGGGGGTATAGGCCTGACACAGCATCTTGGGTTGTCTTACCAAAACTTCCTAAAGATGTACCTTACTGAATTAGATAGCTTATTTTTTTTCTGTTGTTGTTAAAATGGAATTAAAAACTTTTAAAATAGGACCAAAAATGTCTGGGAATTAGAGCTATCTAAATGCTCATGTAATGTGAATGCAAAATTGAAACTGAAATGTGTTATGGCCCAAATGTAATAGTATCTTTTTTGAATGGAGTCTTACAAAATGCAAATAATACTGGGAAAATATGACCTTGCAGAGGTTGTTCCTCTAGCACATTTTTTAAATCTCTTTTGAGTTTTAATAATAGTTTGATTGTACTAGCTGATAACCTTAGTAGGCTTTTGAAAATTTGAACTAATATGCAAAGATTATCTGTATTTATTCAATGCTTAGGAAACAGGATTTTCAAAATAAAACTGTCTGGGTAAAATATTTTAAAAATGCATGAAAAAGGAAAATTAAAAAAGAGTTTGAGGTAAAACCCAAAAGGCTTACACATATTTACCCTGTTCCTTGGATCTTCTACTCATTACTCATTGTGGGGGATCCTGCCTAAAATCCTGGGTGCTTCTGGTCTATAAACTCTCTTGAGTTCCCTTAGTCAAAGCCTAGAATTTGTTTTCTTTTTGTGCAGTTAATGTCAGAAAACTTCTGACAAGGGACCATCTGCAGCTGAATACTTTGGAGACAGTGTTGGGATCCTTAAATCGAGGTTCAGAAATTCAAAAGAATATGGGACTTTTAAATTTGGGGTCATTACTGTAATTTGCTTAGTGTGGAAATATACCAGAAAATATATGAGACAGTGGAATGAGAAAATATTCAATTAAATAATAGGCAAAAAAATGCAAATGGTCTTTGTAGCCAGTCTCCCTAGGTTCAAATCTCAACTCTGCCACTTACTTGTTTGTGCCTCAGTTTCTTGTTTTACAAAAATAAATCATAATAACAGCTACCTCATAGAGTTGTTGTGAAGCTTAACTGAATTAATAAATGTGAAGGCCTAAAAGAGTACTGGCATGTAATTAGTGATTTTTGTGTTTATTTTTATTCATCTTAACTATCTGTATTATTCTCATTAATAACTTTATATTAAAATGAAGTAAAAAACAAATTAATTGAATTGGAAATGTCTCACCTTCTTGAGAAAACCCAAAAGATATTTTTTCCTGCAGTGATTTAAACAGCTTCTTCTGTGTTGTAATCATGTCTATCTTCAGTAATCAAGTAAAACAACATCATATGTAAATTTCTGTCAATATCACTAGTTTCTATTAAGAGGAACCAGGGCCCCTTTGCCTTTTTGTCGGCATCTTTTAAATAAATACATTATTGATACATCTGTGACAACTGCTCACATGTAAAATAACCTCCTAATCTCAAGCTAATTTAAACCTCTTTCATAATACTCATTGTGAAATATTTTGGATATTGTACATTTAAATCATACTATTATAAACAGGAATATCTGTCTAATCCTTTATGGTTTATGAAGTACTTTTATATCTAGGAAGTACTCCAATTCCTAATATTCATATAATATGAATGAATATGATACTACAAACTAGAGTGAGAAACCTGCTATAGATTTGCTTTAATAAGTGGAGAAGCTCCCTCTCTTCACCACAAAGACAAAAAGAGTATTTTCTTAAGGGGACCACAGAGGATAGCTTTTACGTGCTGCAGAACTGAAGTGGAAGGCTACAGTATTATTATACCGGGAAGAATATTATTATTATGTGTTTTCTCTAAAATTTTTATTTTATAGCTAAGGTAAAAAGTAAAATCCAGGAGAGGTTTAAATTAGAATTGTTCTAAAGGGGATTAGATAAGTCTCTTAAAATTTGAAAAAAAAAATACATCATTTACATACAGACCATACGCACTTTAAAAGGCCAAACTGAAAAGAAACTGTGAAAGATAATGCAGTGAAAAGTTGTATAGAGCAAAATCAACAATAGCTATTTAAAACAATATAAAATTTCCATGTGGAAAGTTCATTTAAAGTGTCTAATTGTGCTTAAATCGAATAGTGAGCTATGAAATGGTGGGTGATGGTGAGTAAGCTGCTTACATTTTTTTAAAAGCATGTGAAACAGATGCTTGAGTCTGGAAAAGGCATAGATAACAGAATGACAATAGTCCAGTGAGAGTGTTGACAGCAAAGGAACAAAGGGCACCCTGGGAAGAATAAGCCACAGCACTAGGCATGCCCTGTGAAGCACTGAGCTACACTTCCTTATTTTCCACCTGTCCTGGTAATTTATCTGCAATGTCTTTCTTGCAAATATACTTGCTCATCAGTATTACTTAATGGCCAAATGCTGACAAACTTGCAGACTCTATTAAAAAATGTTCCTATTACTGGTGAATATTCTGCAAGAAAAACCTTTAAATATTGTAGTATTAAAATTTTAAAATCTATTTATCTTGAAGTTCATCATTTATAACTCCTGAAAATTGAGTCCTGATTCAAAGAATAAAAACCTTTTTGAGGTTTCAATTTGTGTTTTTTTTCTTCTTTTCTTTCATTGTTTTATCTTTAAAAAAAATTATCCTGAAATATCTGTCATAAATATAGATATACAACTTCCAGTGTATTGCCTTTATTTTGTAATATAAAGTTAAATATATTTCTTTTAAAATAAGTATGGTTTTCATGATCAATATTAATGAAACAGAATATAATCTTACCCTGGTGTGAGTACGAATGTGCATCTTCAGTCCATCATTTTTACTGAATCCTTTTTCACAGTAAGGACATTGATAGGGACGCTCACCTACAAATAAAGGAAGCCTCCATGTCAGAAAAACATGAAGTAGCAGAACCAGTCCTGTGCTATCACTTCTCACACACTCAGATCCTGGCCACCGCATATGCCCTGTGCTACTTCAAGAAGTGGCTCCAGGCACAGCAGGGCAGATCCAAGCATGGGTCGTGCAGGACAGCAGTGGACTGTGGCCTCCCCTCCTGTGGAGAGGGCACTGAGCCCAGAGCACTTCCGATACTCAAAAATAAACATTTGCCAGTAGCATATTTGCTGCATATTCCTTTTAATACTTGAGACCAAATTAAATCTCCTCATTTTAAGAATTTGTTAAAAATATTTTATGTTAATCAATTTGCTCTATCACTGTACTACTCTTTAAAGGGGAATTATTTAACTGATTCATTGACACCTTGTTCTGTTTAATTTTTTTGTTTCATATAAATGAATTTGACTCAGTTAAGGCTGTGAGTTTCAAAAGAATTTCATAAAATTGGTATATGTTCAAAAGGACCATTGGTAGTTAAACTAAATAATAATTAATCCATACTTTCTGATATAATCAAATATCTCTCACCTAGAGGCTATAATTTTGAAAACAGCCAAAATGTTTTTCAAGACAAGCACACATATACACAGCACATTTCAAAAAAAATTCTACTGTGAAATGACAAAACTGTGACAAAATTTAATCTCCAAAAGGGATCTGAAGATGCCCTCTTGTCAAAGCCAAATCATTTAGGATGGACAGTAGCTCAAAATCACTAATTGATTTATTCTTTCATTTAACAATGTACTTACACAGCAGGATGCTAGACCCTGGCTGCAATCAAAGATCAATATAATAAAATATTTTCCTTCAGCTAATGTAAAACTTTTGTCTTCCCTTCAGAGCCAGGCCTTCTGACTAGCAGTGTATGTTCTTCCTCTACTCTCTCATGTTCCATTTGGTTCTGATCTTAATTCAATCTGGATATCATGTGCATTATCCCAGTCAACTCTCTCATGGGGTCAACAATGCCCCTTGTTGCTTGATCCAGTGACTACTTTTCAACAAGGCCTTCCTTGACCTCTCCCCTGTCCCTGACACTGCTTCATGAAATTGTCAGTTACATTCCTGGATCTCAAGGCTGGCCCCATTGCACAATGGCCTTGCACTGTTCTCCCCAACTTTGTTTCCAGCAGAGACATCATACGGAAGCACCTGCAGCGGTGTCCCCTGCCAAGCGACATTTTCCAGCCTCTCCTCCTTGGGGAGAAGCACCCAGGATTCTCCCTTTGGACCAGGCACTGTAAAATGGTGACAAACACCCAAAGTAGCAATAAACTAAAAACAACAATCACAACACAAACAGGAACAGGTCCCTTAAATGAGCTATCCAGACTTACCAACTTCTCTGAGACAAAATCAACCTTTGCACTAGGTAAGCTGACCTAGAATTATTGACCTTAGGATCATCGTGACTCTGGGAAGGTGTGGCTTTTCCAAGTCAGTAGGACAAAGGCTTGGCAACATCTAGGAAAAGATCATCTTATTTTAACCCTGAGTTGATAACACATGCTTATCAGAATTCCAGATCTCTATTGAGCCCCAATCTCCATGTACACATATGTCTAACAGGTACCCTCCTTTGGGTATCTCACAAACAGCTTAAATCAGTGTGCATTGTTTTGAATTTGCGGTATTTATCCTTTGGTCTTATGCATGCTATAAATCCTGTCCTGATTAGTTGTACCACATTCACCTAGTTAGCAAATTAAAAACTTGGGAGCCATCCAAGATAACCCCACACTTTTTTACTCACTTCTCCCTCCATCCAGACTCTAAGTCATAATGATTTTGCTTCTCTGATATATCTAGAATTTTTCTATTTCAGGATGATGATAAAAAAGAACATTATAGTAATAGCAGTAACAGCATCAGCAGCAATAGTAGGAGTACAGCAGGAGCTATCATTTACTGAGATCTTAATCATTTAACCTTGAACCACAAAGGAAAAGGACAGGAAGAAAACATAGCAGAATGTGACTGCTAAATGGTGGTAGCTCCTGCATCACACAATTCCAGATAATTTTTTCATTTTCTTCTTCATAAAGTATAAAAAGTCATTTTTTAGATTTTCAAAGTTTATTTTACTTTAGTGATAGATAATAAACAAGGCTAAAATGTTTCCTTCTTATTTATTAACAATGAAATCCATCAACATATCAAATCTATATTAGGGATAAAGCATGATAAGAATAGTAACATGTTATTTTACACTTACGTAAAATTATTTTTCTAGCAAGCCTAAGATAATTCAATATTCATAGCTATTCTCTTTGTATCACATAGCTTTACGTCTGGTTTTGTTCTCCAAATACCAACAGAGTCCAGCAAACAAAAACAAAAGATTTGCAGTTATCAGGTAAATAATTATATGTTAATCCTAATATAATATACCAGGTTACTATTTCCTTTCATAACAGCCAAAATCCATCAAGCAAAGAAAGAAATACATAGTTAAAGACTAGTGAGGAATTTTAAAGAAGGGAACATAATAAATCCATTTCCAATTTTACCTACTGTTATAATATAGGAATTCTGTCCATAGACTTAAAAAGGCTAACTTCTTTTAAGACATAGCTTTTTTCATACATTTTTTGGAATGTGATTGTCCTGAGTTTGAATACTGTTCATCCTCCATCCAGCTGTAACTCTGACAAGGTCATCCAATGCCATTGAACCTTTGAAAAACTGGATAAATTATACCTATCCTATGAGTACAGTGACGATGTATCCAGATTCGTCTAAAGTAGTCTCAGTTTATGCCTGTTATCCTAGAATAATATAGTAATAGCTGGTTAATTTTACATGTCAACTTGACTAGGTTAAGGGATGTGGCCAGGTAGCTGGTAAAACATTATTTCTGGGTCTGTGAGGGTGTGTCCAGAAGAGATGAGCATTTGAATTAGTAGGCTGTGTAAAGAAGATCCACCCTCACCCAATGTGGGCAGGCATCATCCAATCCATTGAGGACCCGGATAGAACAAAAAGATGGAGGAAAAGTGAATTAATTAATTCCCTCTCTTTCTCTCCTCCTCCTCCTCCTTCTTCTTTCTCTTCTCTTTTCTTTTCTTCTCACTCATCTTTCTCTTCTTTCTTCTTCTTCTTCTCCCAGATAGAACAAAAAGATGGAGGAACAGTGAATTAATTAATTCTCTCTCTTTCTCTCCTCCTCTTCCTCCTCCTCCTTCTTCTTCTTTCTCTTCTCTTCTCCTTCTTCTTCTTCTTCTGTCTCTCTCCCTTCCTCCCTCCCTCCATCTCTCTCCTTGATCTGAGATGACATCCATCTTCTGCCCTTGGATATGGAAGCTCCCAGTTCTCTGGCCTTCATACTCCAGTACCTACATCAACAAACCCCTGCTCCTGGTTTTCAGGCCTTTGCTCTTGGACTGACTTACATCATTGGCTCACCTGGTTTGCAGAACTTCAAACTCAGGCTATATTACACCTCTGGCTTTCCTTGGTCTCTTGCAAATGGCATATCATGGAACTTCTTGGCCTCCATAACTGTGTAAGCCAATTCCCATAATCAAGCTCCTCATATATAATATATCTATAAATATGCTATTGGTTCTTTTTTCTCTGGAGAACCCTAATACAATATTACTCCCTTTCACTCTCACAAGTGTCTCAATTGGGACAATAGATACATGGTCACTTGTTATGAATGGAATTGTGCCCTCCCATACCAAATTCGTATGTTTAAATCCTAAACCCCAGTACCTCATAATGTGGCCTTACTTGGGAACTGGGTTGTTGCAAACGTTACTGGAGTAGTGTGGGCCCCTAATCAAATATGATTGATGTCCTCATAAAAAGATGGCCTTGTGAAGACAGAGACACACAGGGAGAATGCCATGTGAAGACTGGAATTATGCCGCCACAAGCCAAGAACTATCAGAAGCCAGGAGAGAGGCCTGGAGCAGATCCTTCCCTAGCGCCTTCACAGGGAGCATGGCCATGCAAGTGCCTTGATCTCAGACTTACAGCCTCCAGAACTGAGAGGTGACACAGTTTTATAGTTTAAGCCACTCAGTTTGCGACACCTTGTTACAACAGCCCTAACAAATTAACAGTCATCCTACTCTTTTTTTTTTTTTTGAGATGGAGTCTCGCTCTGTTGCCCAGGCTGGAGTGCAGTGGCGCGATCTCGACTCACTGCAAGCCCTGCCTCCCGGGTTCACACCATTCTCCTACCTCAGCCTCCTAAGTAGCTGGGACTACAGGTGCCCGCCACCACGCCTGGCTAATTTTTTGTATTTTTAGTAGAGATGGGGTTTCACCTTGTTAGCCAGGATGGTCTTGATCTCCTGACCTCGTCATCCACCCACCTCAACCACCCAAAGTGCTGGGATTACAGGCGTGAGCCACCACGCCCGACCCAGTCATCCTACTCTTAACGGTGGCAGTTACTCTTATCACTGATATCTACACATGTTGCCCATGAGGTCTACGTAAATCACTCAGAGCACCTCTAGTCTAGATGATTGGTATTTCTACCCCATGCCACCCGCCAACACTGAGCTGACATATCTGGGAAACTTGGGTAAGTTCAACTCCATTCCTTCATTCTATCCTAGAATGTACTCCAGCTTTAAAGTGCATCACCATGTAAATGGCTTTTATAAGCAATTTATTTGAAAACTATAATGTGTAGTTTGCAAATCAGCTTAGACTCTACATTAAATTTCTACCCTCTTGGTTGGAGGATGTTTAGGGCAATCCTGCCTCTCTTTTGGACTCCGAGGACAAAGCTATCTGCTGTCCCACACAATCGGAACCTGAAGGTTACCTGTACAGTCAACAGGTTAATAACTACTAAAGTCATTTTCCTAATTTGCATATTAAAGATAAATTGTTATTCTTAGGTTTTCTTCACATTATGCATATGATATTTGCCTTCATTATTTCAAATTACTGTGAAGAATGTTTCTAGGAAATATTTTCACCTACACATAAAATGATCCTGTGGAGAACAAAAACTTATCTTCAGTTTTAGTCAACTCTAAGAACACAGGTCACAGTCAGTACATGGGCTCTGATGTACAATGTGATCCAACTTCAAATAACGACTATGTTTTAATAGCTCAGGTATATTTAGACACTATCTTTATTTTGCTTAGGCTAGTCACAGTATTCAAATTCTAACTAACATGTAAATTAATTAATCTGAAAATTAGCCAAAAAAGTAGCTAAAAACAAATCTAAATGGAAATAATAACAATAGCTAAAATGTATAGAGTCTACTATAAGGTTCTGTTCTACAGTTCAGAATGCTTAACACACATTAGCAATTTTAATTCTTGCAACAATATTATAATCTAAGTATTCATATCCCTAGTTTACAAATGAGGAAAGTAAGGCACAGAAAGGATAAGTAATTTTCTCAAGATGACATAGCTTCTCATATAGTGGAGGCCGAGTTTGAACCCACTCTTAACCTCATGCCATCACATAAATTAGTAATATGGCTAGCATTTTGTGTAAATTGGGTTAGACTTTCTAAAGTTAATGACAATAACTCTGCTTCTGACAATAACAGTTTACATTAACCAGATCTTTCTGGCTGGTAGATTCCAGCATTCTTTTGGTTATCAACGCTCATCAAGAAAAAGTAGGGGGCAGGTTAGGAATGTGTGTTATGTCTTAAAGCAGTTCCCAAGTGAATCCAAACACTATCATAATAATAAGCTGTGTCTTGAGAACTACATACAGGTAGTCACTTGCAACATTTAGAAGGGAAATACTATATTGGTAAATATGTCATACCATCCTATGAGATTTAGGTATTAGATTAATAAAATAGATTTAGTGAACACAGCAGCATAAATAATAATATTTACATATATACACAGAATAAAATATTTTTCATTTAACTAAAGGAAAATAGATCTCTTTCTTTAAATTATGTGTTGACACTGAATAACACTGAAAGCCACAGTGTTTTCTTTGAACAACACATCAAGGAACAAACAGAAGCATGATGGTAACTATAAAAAGTTGATTTTGGTTGATTTTTAAAGGTGCCACAAAGTGGATACTCCATGAAGCTAATGTATTCATTCATTAAATAGACTTTTTTTTTTTTAGCACATACCATCTTCTAGTTACTGTCCTGGGCTTTGAGAATGCAGTTGCAAATAGTTTCACAAAATCACTGTCTCTTCAATTTTACTAGTGTGATGAGAAAGACAAGAAAAAGTTAAAGAAAATATATAAGATAATTTCAGATGCTGATAAATTATACAAAACAAGGATATAGGTTTAAGAAAGATCCCTGGGCTGGAGAAGTGGGCAGGTGAAGGACTTAGCTAAAGTCATTAGCAAAGGCAAAATAACTGAATAAATGCAGTTCCTTAATGCCAATTTAACATTATTCAGGCAGACTTCTTGTAGCTCTTCATCTCTGAATTGGAGGTACTTTAACTTACTCGGCTTGAAGTAAGTGTATCCAAATTCTCACTGCTGGAACACCCGAGATGGAAGTAGCTTAAAAGCTACACTATTTGAAATGTGTGTGGGGAATATTCAGAAAACAGCTCCAGAAAATTGGAGCTAGCTTTCCAAAGGCAGCCAGTAGTAATGAAAGGGAACATCTGGATGCCACATGGAACACCTTACTTGACTTGAGCCCAGCCTGGCCCCAACAAGCTACCTTGAGCCTTTGACAAAGAAAATGTGTTATGATGACAACCACCCACTAGCAAGTATGGCTAATAACAATAGGAAAAAAATCAAATCCTAGTTTAATATATGCCTTTCAGATTAAAATTTATGTATGTTACCATATAGATGTTCCATATAGATGGAATATAATTTTAATTAAAGACGTCAGAAGAATTCTAGCCCTCACCAAAGGATTAACATACTGGTATTAAAAGAGCATCTTAAGAAAATTTGTGAAGGCAGTTTAGGATAACATGAATCTTACTGATAAAACGATCCTAAAGCCACATCACTGAATATCCATCTACTACTATGTAACCACCTCAATATTCAACATCTTGACACAAATCCTTTCGAAAAAATCTATGTTTACAATACATGAAATTAATAAAGAAAAACCTTGCAAATCACTTTAATCTTGATAATCTTAAATTAGAACATGGATCTAATTTAAGAAGTGAACCTGACCACTCTAGCAGAGGCACAGAAATCAAATTTTTGTTCATGCTACTAAATACACTGAATTAATATGTTAATAATGACCATGATCAAACTTGAAGATTAAAAAATGCAAAATTTTGAAGATGATAAATTATGTGTCATGTATATATTACCACAATTTTTTAAAAAAGTGTACAGCCAATGTGCCCTATGCTTTGAACATTTTATAAACAAGCAGCAAAGCTTAATATGTAATATACATATATTTAATTATCTGGATTAATATAAAAAGACCATTTTCAATAAGCATTTTAATAACGTTAACTTGTCATTTAATATATTTCAAAAACCAACGTAGATTTCAAAGAACTCATAATTCCTTGAAAATATGAAAAGATGTACACACAGAAAATGTAATTTAAAATGGAATAAAGTCAAACTCATTTATTTTCAATGAATCCAAATTAAATAATGTTTAAAGATTTTGGAAGCATAGCTTTACTTCTTACTTTGAGTTTTCTAACAAAAATCAGTTTTAGAGATGGCAACACTTTCAAGTGAAAAAGCAAACCTCAAAAGTGTATGTTTCATGAAAAATACCTGATATCGTTCCACATGGTTGAACTTTAAAATATATGTATTATATGGGAATTCTTTAGAAGAACTTTACATTTTTTTCCATGAATATCAGGGGACTGGCTTATTTTGCTTTTGTAGACTAGGAAATGGTTACAAAACAGCAAACTGAATCATTCTAGGTGAAAATTAAACCAAAAATGTAATTGTGAAAGCACCACCCAATTACTTTTCCAATCTCACCCTTCCAATCCCTTCAATTTATGGAGTTTCTAATAAATTAGAAGTACACCATAGAGAGAAGTGAAATGCTACACTGACAAATAGGAGTAGCTCAAGTTCATTCTTGGCATCTTTCTGTAATTGAAATACTTTTTTTCCCCGCAGCAAAAAGAGCCATGAAACCCCACCGACCTCACGGAACCCCACCTTGTTACTCTTGGAATGTTCCCATTAATCAAATTCTGAGGAATCTCACTTAACCTAAACAAGTTAAACCCAAGGACACCATCTTTGAAAGAAGGACAACAAAAACCTGAACTTGACATTACTCCTTGAATATTTTAGAGATCCTCTACTTTTAAAAGCTTAACAGAGTTTACAGTTGTAAGAAAGTGGGCAATAAAATGTAAAAATCAAATAAGAGAACCCTTACTTATCAAAACAATTTTATCATCTGATTCAAAACAAATGGAGTCTGGTTTTCAAAATCTATTTCTTTAAACGATGCTTTATTTTCCTTAAGAATCTTACAGTTACAGTATCCCTCCCTCATTTCTGAAGAGATGCCAACTCAAAGGACATGAGGTTCATTGGGAAGAAGGAAAAAAACAGGACAGCCACGTGCTCACGAACTTTTCAGTCGGAAATCATAAAAAGCCAGATTGGGTGGATTTACTGAGGGTGAAACAAAAAGT
Source organism: Homo sapiens (assembly GCF_000001405.40). NCBI lineage: Eukaryota > Metazoa > Chordata > Mammalia > Primates > Hominidae > Homo > Homo sapiens. The sequence goes on from NC_000004.12 coordinate 120,763,273, forward strand.
GAATTTTACTGATGCAAATTTTTTTAAAAAAGAATACGAGATGCAGAATGAAAAGAGGTGAGTTAATGAAGCAAAAGTAAAAGATTCCCTACTCAGGATGCTCTTGCTTCAGCCAACCAGGAGCATAAATTACCCTCATTACATGTGACTTGTCTAAGGGAGCAAGACGACAGACAATAAAGGGTCTTGATGTGAGTGCTGGCAAAAGCAAGGGGACTGTTCCACAAACAGCAGAAAGATCTGAACAATCCAGACACTGGCCAAGTTTTCAAGGTTCCCATCCACAAACAAAAACTCTTCCATGAGTGTTCCACACTGCTATGGTAGGGAACAATTTAAGTCAAGGAAGAAATGTTCTTTATCATTGATGTGGTTTTGTTGTTAGGGAGTCAGAATTTGGTGAGAAAATTATTAATCATTTCACCCAGTAGTTTTCTATTTTTAGGAATTTCTACCAAAGTTTTATTTAACCCAATATTTATGAGTATAGTTGGTGAACCGTGGTCATGGAGTAACTAAGCAGTTAAACCTTAGGTGCCTGCACAAAGAGGAGTTTCCTATAAATAGTGCCAGCAAGGAAGTATCAAGAGTATATAACGTTGAGTAGCAAGAAACCCATAAAATTATTGTCTCTCCCATAAAACTAGAGAAGATTAAAAAAAAAAAACAGCTAGAGAAGATATAAAACCTTCCCCAGCCTAGAAGCATAGTGCCGATTTGCAGAAAAACAACACAGAGAGTTATTCTTGGTGGAAAAATGGTAGCAACAGCAGAAGAAAGCACAAATTAGGGGAAATCAAATCTCCTTTTATTTTCCAAAGGAAAAATGTTGGTGATGCAAGTTTAATAGAGGTATGCTATTATCTAATAATTTACCAATAGATAAAGCTGTTCAAACAGTTGATGTAAACTGTGGCCTAGGCCATATCCATTTTTGAGGACTCCAGTATATAAAAAAAAGAAGAAATGATAAAAATATGAACTACGTAAATGACAGTATATTTTAAATGATCTATCTTATTAGTCTCTGTGATGATATTATTAATTCATTTGGTTATTGTTCATAGCATTATATTCCAGGACAAATGTCACTCTCTCACTTTTCACTCTGTGCCCCTTAATCCAACCTATGACAAACTTTGACATAGCACTATAATTTTTACATTAGAAAATTAGGGCCTCTGATATTTTTGAAGAAAGAAAAAATAGATAATCATATTACTAATGAAAGCCAAAATGAATGTCTGTCTCTTAAGTTGTTAGATATACTTGTCATTAACCCAAAATCAACTGAGTAGGAGCTGAGTATAGAAAAAAAAAACAGTGGAAGAAAGGGTACATTCCATTGATGTGGTTGTGGATCTGAAATTATTTAAAGTGTCAACATAACACTGAGACATCTAAAAACATGCAGTTCAAGACTTTGCTTATAAGAAAATTCCATTCAAACATTTCTTGGGGAAAACCTGAAGCTTTTGAAGTGTGATGCTAAGGAAATCATTTATTTCTATGTCAATTCTACTCAACGTTTCTGTTAACTCTTAGATTATCTGCAGGTAAGAGAATATTTGATTTGGTTTAATGTTAGTAATGAGACAGAAAATAAATATAGCAAAATAAGTTCTCTCTCAACATATGGAGGTCATCTAATTCTTATTAAAAATGTGCTAAAATGTTGTTTTAAAATGTTTACATTTTCGTTTGTGTTTATAATTCAGTAATCATCTAATTTTTTAATAATTTTATTATTGCTCTATAATTACTTATAATTATTTAAAGCTATTGTTTTTATAATGTTGGACAAATATTCTAAAAAGAATAAATTATTTCCTTTAAAAAAGCATTCAAGGAAAAAGAAAAACAGTGGCTAAAATCCAAATACGATCAAATAATAATATACTGATTTTTTATATCTAAGCTGATCACAGGTATTTATCCAAAAAATTACATGTTTCCTAAGACAGTGATTTATTACTATATTCAAATAACAATGTGTAAGCAAGCCTAGAACAGAAGGGCCTACACAGTCGGTATCTATTAACACAGAAAGCTGGTTGGAACTGTAGGCAAGTAATTAACCTTCTGGCCCAGAGCTTTAAAAACCCAAAAGCAGTTCCTAGAATTTCTTCCATAATTTATGAACAACTGATGGAATTCATGTCACAGTCCGTGGATTCCCTTGCTGAATTAACCTCAGCTCTCACTGACCCTAAGAAGCTATAAACCAACAGGAGACTGTGCTCTACTATTTCAGCTGACCCACAGAGTGCCATCTCTGTTGTTTCAGCATAGGAAGCCGGATGATAAATTACAGAGCTGCCCGCCAGGCACAATCCTGAACATTCCCCTTCAATGAAGATGACAGCAACACACTGTACATGCACATTCACTCACCCTAAACCAGCCCTGTTTGACAGCAAATCCTCATCTACATTCTATAGATGATCTATATTCTGTAGCTAAAGTTTATGAAAAGATAAGCATAATGACACTGGGAATAGAGGGTCAAACAGTGTATCAAGGGAGTATGAATACCTGTGACTAAATACAGAAACAAACACATCAGCAATGTTAGCAGCAATAGCTCACAGTATCACATGCTTACATTGTGCAGGCACTGTGCAAAGTTATTTATATCTTCATTTGTTCCTCAAAACAACACTATGCAGTTGGGACTTTTTTTTTTCTTTCTTTTTTTTTTTTTTTAGACAGAGTTTCACTCTATCGCCCAGGCTGGAGTGCAATGGCACGATCTCAGCTCACTGCAACCTCCACCACCTGGGTTCAAGCGATTCTCCTGCCTCAGCCTCATGAGTAGCTGGGATTGCAGGTGTGCACCACCACGCCCAGCTAATTTTTGTATTTTTAGTAGAGATAGGGTTTCACCACGTTGGCCAGACTGGTTTCGAACACCTGACCTCAGGTGATCCCCTGCCTCGGCCTCCCAAAGTGCTGGGATTACAGGCATGAGCCACCACACCCAGCTGGGACTATTATTATTCCATTTATCAGAGATGAGGAAACCAAGCTTCAAGGAAATTAGCCAACTCATTAATGTTCATTCAAGAAGGAAATAAATAGAATGGAGTTTGAAGCCCATAATCTGACTCCAGAATCAATACTCTGGATATAAAGGTGGCATTAAATAACAATGTATTACAAATACTAATTTTACGGTAGCAAAGTTTCTCCATAGCTGGAGTTAAGTTCTCAGTTGACCATAGGTAACAAACTATAGTTTCTATGTTAAAGTTATCTTCAATTGGTTGATATATCAACAAGAAAATATTGTCAAACATGATGAAAGGAGTGTATGTAGTTCTATGGTATGTTCAAGAGTAACAGCAGGGGTCAGGGGGTATGTCAAAGAATAAGAAATAAAAATATCAGCAATGTGATATATTGGAAAAAGTTTAAGCCTCGGTTTAGTTCTAGCTGAACCACATACAAGTTTTATGACCTTAGGCAAATCATTGCACTTTGCTTGGCATTATTTCAAATAAGAGGCTTGAACTAGATTTCTGAAACCCTTTCTATTCTAAAGTCAAGAATATTATTTTTTATTCTAAAAAAGCAGATGCCTTGTGCACACTTGCCACATTCTCATTCTAATTACCAAACTGTGCAGAATGAATGGACTTTAGAAGGTGGATACAAGATTTATAAAAAATAACATTTTCAAGGTTAATGGAAAAAACAAAGTCTTGTCAGACTACAGAATGGTGGTAATGCGAACAAGGGGGAAGAAGGAGGATGCAGAGCGGAACGAAGGGGAAGCAAGGATACAACCAGTTGGTTATTTAAGGTAGTGAAGGATAAAATCAATCATAAAATGAAGGAATTGAAGGATGTTTTTAATTTTAGGCACTATCAACAAAAAATAAAAACATAAATACTAAAATTCCTCCCACGACTAACAGGTAATAATCCAATAGCTAATTTATCACTGTCTTGTAGAATGACCGTTAGTCATGAGCCAATTAACAAAAACACTTGTTTTAAAAAAAAAATAATATGTATGAAGGAGACTGCCTTTAATGTTCCATAAAAGAATACTGTCACTGTACTGGACAGGAAATGTTGAAAAACGCCAACTGGCAAATTGGAAGGAAAAACCATAAACTGGAGTCTTATTTCCTCTTCATAAAACTGAGTGTTATTTGATATCATAAAAAAGAAATTTGATTTCCGAAATTGTTGATGGACAGTTTGAATACTATAAAAACAAAGTTAAACTGACACCTTCAGGCATACTTGGTATGGGATTAAAAGACTAACTCCATAAAAATCTCATCACATTGCAGTATATTCAAAGGTCCAACTGCCAATTAGTAACCATTTCCTAGAAATAAAAAAAGGGAAATTTAGTAAATATAACTTAATCATTATTTCCTCTGTATGTTACTGCCCACTATAAAGCTGACTAGCAGAAAATGAACAAGTGAATGTGTGATATGGTCTGGCTGTGTCCCCACCCAAATCACAAATTGTAGCTCCCATAATTCCCATGTGTCATGGGAGGGACCCGGTGGGAAATAATTGAATCACAGGGTGATCTTTGCTGTGCTGTTCTTGTGATAGTGAGCGAGTGTCACAAAATCTGATGGCTTTATAAAGGGGAGTTCCCCTGCACATGCTCTGTTGCCTGCCGCCATGTAAAATGTGACTTTGCTCCTCCTTTGCCTTCTGCCATGATTGTGAGGCCTCCCCAACCATGTGGAACTGTGAGTCCGTTAAACCTCTTTCCTCTATAAGTTACCCAGTCTTGGGTATATCTTTAATAGCAGGGTGAGAACAGACTAAAACAATGTGAAAAGATCAATCAATAAATAAAAACATCATTTGGCTCTAAAGCATAAAACTTTCACAGTACTAAAATGATATAAGACTTTTATTTCCTCATCTTTTATACTGGGGGACTTACAGAATTTCTGTAATTCTTGTGGTAATTATAATAGCTATATAGAAAAAAAAGAGATAACTTAAAACAGAATTTGAAGTCAAAAGACCTGTGTTTTATTATTTTGATAGTGAATAGGTCATTTGCTTCTCTGAATCCGTGCTTCCTCATCTAGAAAATGAGAATGGTCCTAGAAATGGCTGAATCCTTTCAATGGCCGTGAAAGGATTAATTTAGATACTATATTTGAGAGAACGTTCCTCTTTCAACAAATTTAAAGATTAAAGAGGTGAGTCTGATCTGCCCTGTCCTTCAGCTTAGAATCTAGTCATGGGAAACTGATAAGCAAAGTACAGTGTAATATAGCTGAAAATAGGTATTTATATATAATAAACAATGAGAGCCCCCAGATCTCTACTAGATGAGATTTGCTACACAACTGCAAAAGACTATAATGTACTACATAATTGTTTGTAATTATTCCAGCTCCAATAGCACAGACTCACCCTTGTCAAACAAAACAGATAGAGCATTTGTCAGGACCAATTTCCTCTACGTTCTTTCTAATGAGAAACTTTAAAAACTAGGAAACTCCAAGCTGAAATCAAACAGTAAGTTTGGTGCTGGTTGACCACATGTTGTTCTTTATTCCCTCATTTAAGCACTGTAAGTTTATAGGCACTAGTGAGTTAGATCTTGAACCATGTTATTAATGATCATTTGTTATACAGTTTGTTTTCCCACCAATTACATGACAAAGCAACAGGATAAAAAATGGAAAGGGAAGCAAATATGGGTGGGTCCAGCTCATAGATTGGGAAGTGTAGCATTTTCTTCTTTAATGCCAGCACTTCTCAAAGTGAATGTTACGGATTTTTGTATGTAGTATGTGAAAAAATAATTTTATGGTCAACTAAATTTGTATTCAAATCTGGAACTTCTCACTCTGAACCCATGCATCCTTTTTACTATCATACAGGTAATGCAACCCACTTGTAAGTTATTTTATCTATTGAATAAGCATTCACAAGTTCTCTTTCTAAGCCAGGCAGTGTGCTGAATGGTAAAAAGTAAGGTATCAGTTATGGGCATGGCCCTAAGAAAACTGAGGACCCACAGACTACTGAAGATGGCCACAGGTGCAGGCAATCAGAAGTGGGCAGTGCTGAGGAGGGTAAAGGAGCATGGATATGCTGACCTAACAAGGCAGGGGTAGGGGACAGGTCAGGGAACACGTCAAGGAGAAAGTAACACGTAATTGGAGACTGGAGAAAAGCGAAAGAAGGCCAGTAAGCAGCCTGGAATGTAAACAGTGAGGGGTCGGTAGTTGATAAGTCTCATGAGAAAAGTCTAGGGCATTCATTTTGTACAAGGCAAGGGGAAGCCACTGAAAGGTTTTAAGTAGGATAATAAAATGACCCAGTGAGCCTTTTTATCAATTGTTTAAACCTTCTTTTCTAAGGCTTACAAATACTTTCCAATGCATTTCAAAGAAAATGTCTGAAAAACCCATGAGAACAGCAAATTTTGTGGGATTCCTTTTTCAAGGAGATAAATCTAGCATCCTTAAGAAGGATGAAGCATGAAATAATGACATTCAGCTTCTTCAGAAGACTGCTTCTCTAAGCAGTATAACTGAAAGAAAACAAAAACAAAACAACAAAACGTCTGTTTATATTTAGGGAATAGAAGTCTTCCTGTTGAAAGAATCAGGCTCTGGTGGAGATGTGCACAAGACTTAAGCTATGAAGCTAGATGTTAAAGTAACAATTCTCTGGTCCACTTAAGTGGCAGCTGCATCTACACGGTTGCTCTCATTGGAATAAAATATCCCTATTTATTTATTTATTTGTTTGTTTGTTTGTTTGTTTATTTTTTGAGGTGGAGTCTCGTTCTGTCGCCCAGGTTGGAGTGCAGTGGCGTGATCTTGGTTCACTGCAACCTCCGCCTTCCAGGTCCAAGTGATTCTCCCACCTCAGCCTCCCAAGTAGCTGGGATTACAGGCACCCATCACCAAGGCTAATTTTTGTATTTTTAGTAGAGACGGGGTTTCGCCATGTTGGCCAGGCTGGTCTCAAACTCCTGACCTCAGGTGATCTGCCCACCTCAACCTCCCAAAGTGCTGAGATTACAGGCGTGAGCCACCGCACCCGACCCCTATTTATTTTTAAATATGAAAATTTCAAACATGAGGAAATGTTGGAAGAATAGTACAGTGGACACTGTATAAACTCACTTAGGTTTAATATTTATTAACATTTCACCAAATTTGCTTTCTCCTTCTCATTTCTCTTTTTTTTTTTTTTAATGGGAGAAAAGGCAAACAAATTTATTTGATCATAGTTTTACGTGACATGGGAGCCTTCAGAATGAAGATCCACAGATGCAGGGGAAACAGTTCAATTGTATGCTTAGGTTCAAGAAAGTATGGACAGCTGTTTTAAAATATGATTGGACAAAAAGGTTGTGTCCAGCCTGGACAGAGCAAGACTATGTCTCAGAAAAAAAAATTAGATAATTTCTCTTTTTTAACATGTATTTTTATATGCACTTCTTCCTGGTCCATTTGAGAATAAGATGCAGAGAAGTTTCACACCTAAGTATTTTAGCACAAATCTTATAATAACAGTTACCTGCACAATCATGATATACACACTAAATATTTGTATTATTCAAGAGAAATTATTATAAAAATTAGAAAACAGAAAATCATAAAGAAAATTAAAACCAAACATATTTATAACATATAGAAATAAAAGCAGTTAATAATTTAGTAGATAACTTTTCAATTATTTAAATACAAATGCTTTATTCTTACAAAAATATATCCTTCTGTTTTTGTAACATCTTTCTCATTTCTTTTCATGTTATTTAGTATATATCCATATCACTTTTGTTACCTATATAATATTCCAATTTATGGATATACCATGAATTATGAGTTCTTTTAATGTTAAATATGTAGGATCTTTTCCAATTTTTTGCCATTATAAACAGTTTTTCAAGGGACATAACAATGTTCTTTTTATAAAACAAACATTATTGCCCGCAACCTCTCTTCAGACTTAGGAATCAAGCATACTTTGGATTTATGCCTAATAAATAAGGCAGTGTAAATATTAAAAGCCTAGGATAAGTTTTATATGGCAAGGAGAACAATTTATTAAGCGTATTTTGGAGGTTACTATGATTTAATTTCAAGGAAAAAATTGGTGGGACATACACAGTTCAGAATTTTAAATACCACCAAAAATATTTTTTCAACTGAGTTATCATTTAAACATGTATTAAAAAGAATGCTTAGCCTTCTTTTAAAAAAAGTCTTAGTTAATCAGAAACATAGCCATCTAAAATGCATTTTCCCCAAATTAATATATTAAGAAAATTCCATGATTTTAAGTATGCCAAACACCATGATATTAATTCCTTATCAATAGTCAACCAAGATTATATCTACGAAACTAAGTTATGAAAATTTCAACACGTTCAACAATTTAAGATCTTGATAAAGCTGGAAGAAATAAAAGGGAAAGGTATTGAACATGAAAATTCTCAATATGATGTCCTGTAAATAAACGTAAGAAGAAAAGTAGAAAATAATATAGGAGGTTATGTCATTCAGTAAAGGCTTGCCACGGTATATTAATAAACACAATTCATTTAACTTTGGAAAAGTACTCTTAACAAGGAGTGATATTATAGAAGAATTTTAGAAATTATACTTATGACAATGAACTGGCCATCTACTATGAACTAGCACTGAGTATTTTACATACATGATTTCATTTATTCTTCACAAAAATGTACAATGTAAAATGGGACTTAGAGACATGAAGAAATTAGCTCAAAAGTATATGACTAGCTAGTGGCAGGGGGCTAGGGTTTGAACTCAAGCCAGCTGTCCCAAAGCCCCTGCTCTTTCCATTATGCAAGACTGACTCCTATGGCAGAGGAGGGTATAACAGGAAACACCCTGAGACCTGTTTCTACTAATCACGGCAACTCTCTAGGCGGGAAAAGTTATTTAATCTCATGAGAACTCAGAGTCCCCTGAACCCTGACTACAAAATTTCAAATATCAGCAAAAACCTTACTGATAGGATGATCTTTTATCAAATTTCTATCTTTTGCTATCTGCAGGCAAGTTTTGGAGTTGAGTTCTAGACTATATCTACAAGTAAGCCCAAATTTAGAAAGCCTTAATGTTTTCCTATTTACAGTCATAAACATAATATCAGCCCAACAGTGAACAGTTCCTATGCAAAAGTAGAGTCAAAGCTGGCAGACCTACTCATCAACTGACTTTTGCAGCAAAGGCAATGCCAATGGACATTAACGTTGCAGCGGCGGCAGCAGCAGTGGCAAAAGCTTGAAAATTTACTATGAAGAATGCTGCAGCAATAGTTGGAAGCAATACCAGTCTGAGAAATCAAGACGGAAATGGCCCCAGTTAAACAGAATGGCCTCTGTCAGCCGGGCTCTTATTTACATGAGCCAACACATATTTCACATGAATTGCTTTTCCCTAGGTATTTATCATTGGCCAGGGGGCCCTTCAAGAGTATTTGTTCCCTAAATATGGCCTGAGTACTCCTGGGAATCACCAAGACTCTTTACAACGTCTGCAAGGTCAAAACTACTTTCATAATATTACTATTACATTATTTGTCTTTTTCACCATGTTGACATTTACACTAATGGTATAAAAGTAATGGTGAGTAAAACTGGTAACTGCTAGTGACTTCAATTTGTAATACTAGTCACTGTAGCCTTCACAGCCACAAAATCATGGTACATATAAATGGCAGTTTCACTTGAGAACATCTGTGATAAAGTAAAACATATTAATTTTATTAAGTTCTAACCTTTGTGTATAATCTTTTTAATATTTGGAAATTAAGCTGAAAGCACTTGTAACGCATGCTGATGTATGAAAGTTGTCTCAAGGAAAAGCACTTGTGTGATTGAGTTGCAAGCTGACCTGGCAGTTTTTTTCATGAAACATCATTTTTATATGAAACAAAATGACTGACAGACAAATTATGGTTATTAAACATTTTGTGAACATTTGTTCTTTGCATATAAAAGAAGTGAGCCTGTCATTGAAAAAAATAAAGAAAAAAGGAAATGATAGGAATTGTTAGGAAATATAGGAATTATAGCAGTCAAACAAAATTTAGAATGCTCCCAAGTGCTTGAAGGCTTCTGAATATTTAGGCTATTTAATGAGATCAGCTATGATATTAACATATCATCCCCTGAATAAGATAAAACGTTCTTCCTCTAAGTAAAGTAAACATAAAAGATCTGCATAACTTAGTGAGCCAATATTTTCCAAGTTACCTGTAACATGATGATGTTACAGAATCACGCATGGGTAAAAGATCATTCGAAGTGCAACACAGTCCAACTGATTTTACTGTCACAGAATAGGCAAAGCTCACTGAGATAATTTTAGGTTCCACACAACAATAAGCCTTTAAAAACACTAGCCCTTTTTGAGTTTTAGTGTAGTAATAATGTCCAAGGTAATATCATCCACTGTAATAACACCCAAAATTATTTAACAACTATTAAAATACTTTCCCCTTCTAACTACATATCTGTGAGGCCAGATTTTCTTCAAATTCTGCAATCAAAAGAACATATTGCAGCAGGATGAGTGAAGAAACAGATACGAGAATCCAGCTGTCTCCTCTTAAACCACAGACTTTCAGAAATGTAAAACAACTTCTCTTTTCACACTAAATGATTTCTAGTTTAGCAAATGCAGGTATTTTCTATAAAAATATGTATGCTAACATGTAATGGGTAATATTGTTACTTTTAGTAAATTAACAAGTAAACATTTTTAAATTTTCTAATATGGTAAACAGCTTTAATTTCTAATATGGCAAATAGTTATAGATATAACCCACATAAATAAAAGCTTTCCAGAATCCTCGATTATTTTTAAGAATGGTATGGAGTGATGAGGCCACAACATGAGCATCAGTGATCCAAAGAACACTGCTCCACAGAGGAGCTGTCCTCTTCTGACTGTCCCCACCCTGCCTTCACTCATGGTCCTCGCCACTTCATTGTGTCCTCCCTAAATAATGTACAACTAAATACTTCTTGACGAATAGGTCGTGACTGTCACCTTGCTCATGTGATAGCACACCCATAAATTGCTACACCTAGCACTGAAAAACAGCTGAATAAAACCAGGTGACTTCATAAGGAAAAGTAACACAGGGAGAAGAAAACACTGAATTTACAGAATCAAAACATTCGGAGCTCCGCTATCATACTAGTGAAATAACTGCATAAAACCATGTGATTACTGAACCAGGCTGTAGCCTGGGAGGGCAAATGGATGCTTATCATTTGAGGGACAGGACAAAGCAAATAAAAGGGAAGCGAAAGCATCATTTGTCCATGCAGGAAAACAAATTTGTGCCAGGGCCGTTATGGAGGCCCAGATGCCAGCCACCAACCACTTCCAACACAACCCCAGCCACACTGCTAGACAGTGGTCACTGAGGGCATAGGCTTGACATCAAAATAACCCAAAGAAGAACTGTAAAATGAGAAAGTATGGTAAGTTTTATTTTAAACAGAAAAATCTGGTTAGAAGTAAATAACTAGATAGACAATTAGAATTAGAGTTTCTGTGTGGACACACAAACACATACACCACTTTCTCCTTCTCTGTCTCTCTCTCTCTCTCTTTCTATATATATATATATATATGTATATGTATATGTATATATATGTATATGTATATATGTGTGTGTATATGTATATGTATATATGTGTGTGTATATGTATATGTGTATATATATATACACAAACACATATATATATAATTTCTTTATCTATCAATCAAATTGTATGTGTTAGTTCATTGTGCCTTACCACTGCTGTCTGAATTTAGATAACCAGTTCTCTTGATCAGAAGCCAAATTTAATAGGCCAGAATCTGTACAACAATTTGGCCCAGACTCGTGTATACAATAAATAACCAAATGATACATAAAGTGATTTGGAGTGTAGAATACACTTTAAATTATACATAATATAGAACATAAGACAACAAAAACCATGACATATATTTAATAATTTTATCAGAGAGAATTCTTGGAACTCTAAAAATCCTCTTATTATTGTAATTTTATGGAGGATAATACTAATTAAAATTTTAGAAGCAATTACTAGTGTAAGTGCTTTATTCTTCTCCACTGCCTAGCCATACTATGAGTAAAATAAAATGTAGGCATACAATATCCTCAAGGATGGAATTATTTTGAATAATCAAGGGTTCTACTGGATTGGGTTCATCTTTTCTGTGCTGGTAGCTATGTCTTAATGCATTCTGAACAATGTAAGTCCCTACCTTTTAAAAACACACTATACCAAACATAACACAATTACATCATGTCTTGGGGCATTACCATAAACTGACTATTCTGATATGTACATATAATACATGTTTCCTATTCTCTACTTGCCCTCCTCTCATACACAAATTATATGTACATGCACACTAATACAGCATGATATCTGCTAAGCAAACTAAGTCTAAGTATGGCACAAAGATATCTTCTAAGAATTACTGATATCAGAGTGAAGGGCTGTTGATTTCACCCTTGCCCTTACTCCATCCTAACTCCATACAGCCACAAATACACATAAAAGAGGGCTGCCCAGTGACATCAAAGATTACACCACTAGACTGCAGTGCTAGCCAGGAACTTCAAAACTTTCTGTTCCCTCTTCATTAGTTCCTTACTTATGTACCATCAGTACCTGGTGCCACCGGCCGTTGGCACAATTTTAAGTACACCTGCCCTCAACATGGTTCTCTGCTTCTCATTCCCATGTGCTGCCCTCTGCTTTTCATTTTGGGGCTCTCTGCTTCTGCAACACTTGATCCTAAAAGCCTCACTTTCTCTAGATGACTTCTAATTAAGAAAAATCTTCCTTTTCTTCTTTAGAGCACCCATTATTCCACAGCTATCTGTTCTTGGTTATGTGTTTCATTTAAAAGTATTTAAGTACCTATTCTAAGATAACAAATACTAAGCTGACCATATGTCTTTAAGTTTTAGTCAGAAAATTAAAAATTATGCTCCAAGGGTGTCCCTTCCTCCACCTATATCTAATATTCACTGTATTGATTCTTTGGCCTACTTTAACATTTCTCCATTGACAATACAGTTATTGTGCTAGACATTGAGCTAGGTACTGGGGATACAAAGGTAAAGAAAGTCATATACTACGGCCCTTGAAGAGGAAGCTTCAGCTGTATAATCCAGTCACATAGTTATCCATGTAATTAGAGTCTAGGTACTGAAAAAAGTTTTCAGACTAATGTAAAATCATCTGGCTATCAATATTAATAGTATTCTTTCAAGTCTTTTTCAAGGGCTTATCTATGTGATAGGTAGAATCCAGACAAGGTTTTTGAAGTATATTTAGTTGTTCATTCACCCTTCACTAGGGCACAGCTTTCTTTCATTGGAGAAATTACACAGGAAGTGCTAAGAAAAGAAGGGGATCTTTAGGAAGTAACCTGTGGCATAACAGATATTACATTCACATCACCCACTCTGGTATCCAATAAAATCCTACAGCATTCAAGCAACATTCCAAGGTAAAAAGGCCACATTTGACATGGGTTACAGGAAGGATTATAAATCAAGTTGATGCCCTTAACTATCTATAAAAAGTAAAACTGTTATTCTCTAATTCCATCCATTAGAATCATATAGATGTTAATCACAGTTATATCACAACCAAACATTAAAAACATTATTTCCACTTTAGATGTTTTACTTAGTTTAAGAAAATATACTCATTCCAAATTCTTCTAGATGAAAAAACTGGGTTGTACAATGCTTTAAGAGAGAGAAAACAGCCAAGATTAATTCTTAATCTGGAAGATATTTGTATTATTACAATATTTCCTGTCTTGGAAGCATGTGATTTCTCTAAGTGGTTTTTTCACTAGTCTAATTACAATCTCCATACCTGTGTGGCTCCGGATATGAACTCTGAGTGTACCACTGCTGGCAAATTTCTGGCCACAATATGGACAGATTTTCTCCTTTTCTCCTGTATGTGTCTAAAAGGAAAGGGATAAAAAGGCTAAGGATAAATACAAAGAATTAGGTAAAGATGATTAAATGCCTCTGACAATAGTAAATCCTTATTTTGTAGGATTACATTTCATTAAAATGATTTAATTTCACAATGAGATTTTAAACAATTTATGATGGATATTCCCACTGGCTCAAAAAAATGTGCCTTAGAATCATGCATTAGTGTTAATTTCAAAATCATTCTGCAGTTTACTTTTTTAAGCCCTCATGGAGCCCCAACTAAAAATGATTAAATTATACAAACCAGTATATTCTAGCAAAAGCACATAATCAAAATAGGGCTATAGCTACCCTTCCCAGCTGCCAAGAAACACTTCATTTGAAGCATTTTTCACATTCTTTGTGTATATTTAACTCTTGAGGACAGAATTAATCTTAATAAAGTCATCTATTACTTGTGTTATGATGTTTGACTAGACTGGTTTTACTGCAAAGCAAAAAGGAATATAAATCTGATTTGACCTTTAAAATCACCAGGTGGTAACTGAGCAGTCAATTTGAAAGCATATTTCTGCCCTCAACATGCCTTTAATCTAGGCATAAACAATCACATGAGGAAAGGTGAATAAGTATAGTTAAAAGCAAGTTTCGATAAATGCTGGAGAGTTCAAAGAGAAAGGAGTGACCCCTCCCCAAAAGAGGAGGGAGACAGAGCATTTTAAACTGGCCCTACAGTCTCATTAGGAGACCAGTTTTGCTCCCAACATAAAAACAGATAATTCCAATAAATGAAGGGTCAGAGCTATTTCTCAAGTCCCAGTGTTTCTCAAACTTAAGAGATTGGAGAAAAGGGGAGGTGAAAGCAATTCCTTCAGGTATGTACACATCCTTTCTAAGACTACTTTTAGAATTTTTTTTCAATGTAACCTAAAAATTAATAAAAGTATTAATGTTATCATCTAGGTTACAATCATCTAGGTTATAATCACAAAACAGAGCTTCCAGGGCCTGTGTTTGCCTTTGTTGTTAAGAACAAATTACTGACAAGTGGTATTTGAACTGACATAGACAAATGAAAAAAGAATAGAAAAAGGTTTTTTTAAATGACATTTCTCAGAAGACAACACTGGCTGTCATAGAGAAAAAGGGGTGGGGCAATTACCTCATCACCTGACAACATCAAAGAACCATCACCATAGCAAAACATTTTCATCTTCCATATTAACTTGTTAACATTAACATAATTGACTTTGCAGCCTTATTATTTAATTAGCGAATTTGCATTTTGGTATTAAAATGTGTATTTGGATATGTACTATCATATTTATAATTTTTAAAGAGCTATAAACTAAAGACCTTAGTCAGTATCAGTGTCTTTTGATTTTTTTTCCTTGAAACAATTTATATTATACTCGAGTTTGAAAAACACAATCGAATCAACTACCATGCTAGCCAACAACACTGTGTAAAACAAGCATCTCCTGGATTTTGTATTTGGCAAGCACTTAACTTTCCATTTTTACTACAAGCTGATATACAAAATAGTTATTTATCTTTACATTTCAGTAAGAGCCTTTACTCCCCAGGTCCACATTATGGTTCAATCTAAAGTAAAATATATAACATTTTAACTTATAACAGACCTCTCTTCTTTCCATTCCCTGACAGAAGGGGCAAAATATGCCAATTTGTGTTTCATTATTGTTTAGAAATTATATATACATATCTATTGTTATAGCACTGAATTATTCCAAACAGATAATTACTAATTTATTTGTAATTTATTTATAAAATCACAGCATTTCTTTTGCTGCTATGTATTTCATTGTTCATTTATATGACTGCCATTGGTTCCAAACTGAAGAAGTTCCAAACTAAAGGATATTAGGGTTATATTAATGAAAAAAATTAAAATATTCCTTTCACTTAACTCAAAAATATATCTATTATTAGGTTCCAATTTTGGTTAGCTAGTTTCAAAAGACATTAAAGGTATAATACTAAACTACCTTAAATATGAACAAGAAAGCATGGAAACAGCTCACTTTAAGAATACTGAATAAATTTATGAGATTAAAATGAGCAACACACTATGAATATACTGTGTGACTATTATTGCAGACAAAGTAATCTCTCTTGAAAGCTCACTATACTTTTCCTTTATTTATTGAAAGTCAACAAAAAATGTGTTAAATTCATGCAAAAAGTAATTAAAGCAAAGAAAGTTGAAAGACTAGTTTATTCAGAGAGCTAAAAACACCAGATAATATCATTATTACTCAGCATTAAAAATACAGGAACCCATATGCCCTAGATGTGATTATTATACACTGAATACCTGTATCAAAATACAATATCTCAGGCTGGGCACAGTGACTTATGCCTACAATCCCAGAACTTTGGGAACCCAAGGCGGGCACATCATTTGAGGTCAAGAGTTCAAGGCCAGCCTGGCCAGCATGGTGAAACTCCGTCTCTACTAAAAATACAAAAAATTAGCCAGGCGTGGTAGCAGGCACCTATAATCCCAGCTACTTGGGAGTTTGAGGCTCAAGAATTGCTTGAACCCAGGAGGCACAGGTTGTGGAGAGCGGAGAGCCGAGATGGCACCACTGCACTCCAGCCTGGGTGACAGAGTGAGACTCTGACTCAAACAAACAAACAAACAAACAAACAATATATATATATAATATCTCCTGTATATAACTATATCTACTATGTACCCATAAAAATTAAATATTAAAAAAATACAGGAAAAGAAAGTTACTCAATTCAATCCTTTTGAAACAGTTGTATTAAGGACAGATAAGATAGATAGATACTGAAACAGGAGTTATTTCTTCACATTCATTCAGTATCACACACTAATGGCAGAAAACTACCATACTTCATGGTTACTTCTAAAGTTAACACTGCCTGAGTGCAGTGTCTCATGCCTGTAATTCCAGCACTTTCAGAGGAGGATAGCTTGAGCCCAGGAGTTCAAGACCATCCTGGGCAACATAGCAAGACCCTATCTCTACAAAAATTTTAAAAAATTATCTGGGCATGGTGAGACATGACTAGTCTCAGCTACTCGGGAGGTTTCAACAGGAGGATCACTTGAGCCCAGGTGTTCAAGGATACAGTAAGCTATGATGACACCACTGCACTACAGCCTGGGCAACAGAGCGAGACTCTGTCTCCAAAATAAGGAAAAAAGTCAACATTAAAACCTTTAAGTGTATTTGTTACAATACAAATTTTACTATTTAAAATATATACTTTAAAACGCATTATTGAGCACGTAAAAAATAAACTTGATTCCCTTGAGGTAATGACCCAAGTAGCATAAGACACACACAAAAAAATCTCCAAATCACTATATGAACATTTTCTTTGAGTTAAGCAAGTATTTATCGAGTCCCCATTCTGTACCAGAAACTTCCCTATGCTCTAGAGAGGTAAAGATCAAAGCCTATCCCAATAACAAAAGGGTTCAGTCTATTAACTTGCCAATAAACATAAGAATTCACTTTGAAATATAAAATTATTAAAGTACTACTCATATTTCTTAGAAAGAAACAGCCTACATTAATTCAAAAATATATAAAAATTGATAAGCTCCTGCTCATTGAGTACTTTTTAGAAGCCATCTATCAGCAAAGCTATGGGTTATGAAGAGTCTACATCTAACTCAGGTTCTCATTCATGGAAAAAAATAGGTCTATCCTGAAAGATGAAGAAAGTGAACATTGTCTGAAGAGCTGATATAAATCATGCATTTGTCATTTTGAGTAAATATTTTGATAGATTAATATATAATTATCACATGTTAGTTAACATATATACCCATACTGCTTAAACACGTAATCTGTTCAAACTAACAGAAGACTTCCACTTACTTTCTTATGACTTCTAAGCACTGAAGGTGTAACAAAGGCCTTATTACATAGCTCACACCTATACTTCTTGTGTCTTTCATGAACCACCTGGACATGAACATTTAATGTATCCTTCCTCTTAAAGGTAGCATCGCAGTGATGGCACTTGAAAGTCCTCTCACCTTAGAAACAAAGAGAAACATTTAAGAAGCAATAGCAGGGTCCTATTAATTTCCTCCCATGTATGCCAGACTTAGTTGCTTTCTCCAAAATGTTGGCTTTGTAGCTCTAAGAATGTTAACTTTTTATTTTTTACAACAAATTCCAGTTCCATTATTTGCTAATTCACTGTGTGACTAGGCAGAAGTCCTTTCATCTTACATCTTCAGTCTTCTCAACTGGAAAACGTGGGGACTGAATTAGCAGAATTCTCAAAGTTACCATGAACATTTTTTAAAAGTATGTACTTCTACAGCGGGGGCTGGGATTTGAGGTAAATAGACTCCAGTGACACAAGACCTCTGTCAAGCAAGGTGAGTTGCCTTTGGGCCCCTCCCAAAGTTCCCTCAAATCCCACCACGGTCCCTATAACCTCCTGTGAATAGATAATAGGCAGAATTGGATTGTAGGTAGAGAGCTGAGGAGGAAAGCCTCTGAGGGCAGAGGGTGTGCATCAGAGCTCAGGCCCTCCCATTCTGGGAGAGGGAAAGTTACAATGCCCCTGCTTCCTGGACTGGAGGCTCCCTGATTCAGCCCTTGGGCAGTTGGAAAAAGTCTCCAAGGCTTTGAGGGATGGGGTCTTTCAGAGAGGAATTAAATTGGGATAGCAAGACTATTAGCCACCCTGGGTATTTCACTTTCTTCTCATTATCCAGCCTGGGGCTGAGGGGAAAGCAACCTCAGAAAACATATATAGAAATCTTATGGTACTTTCTAACTTTCATATAATGCTATTTTTATAGTTCTTCTTAACACATGGGCCTAAGTTTTAGTGGCCATTTTAAATACAATTTCAGCAATGAATGTGTGCAATGAGAACACGATGTTTAATAACAATACGGTATAAAATGTATGTAGTATGTGACTATATAAATAAGACAGACTAGTATTTGAATATAATTTCCCTTTTTAGAAAACAATCATATTAACATAGATTCCCATATCATATTGATAACAAGGCAAAATTAAGAATAATTAAATTTCTATATCTAAATAAGAGATTATCTCAATTTTAGCCAAGCTCTTCTAAATTCCTTCCATCATAACTAGCACTAAATTTAGAAATATGAAGACTCTATTATTTCTTCACATGAAAGGAAGGAAGAAAGGAAGGAAGGGAGGGAGGGACAAAAAGAAGGAGAAAAGGAAAAGAAAAATTACCTTCTCTTTGTCTTTCTAAATAGAATTATCCCTCTCTAACTTAAAGTCTCTTAGAGTCCTTTTGAAATTTAATGTCTGAAACAAAGTCACGTCCATACAATGCATGAACTATGTGGATTCTGAGAGCTTGGTTTTTTGTGTGTTTTTGTTGCAGAGTATTATTCTTATACACTATCTTTATACTTTCTGTTTTATTTAAACATTCTGTTTGTATAAGTTGTATAATCAGTGATAGCATAAGGAAATATCAATTGATAAAAGACTGTAAACATTAATGTTAATATCAAATCGATTCAGGTACTGAAAGAGATCTTTTTAAAAAAACCTCTAAGATTGTTCCTATCAAAGCATTTTCATTAAACTATCAAGTGAATAAAAATGTTGGTCCCTGTACAAAATCTCATCAAGCTATAGCAAGGAAGTTCTTACCTTCCTTCTTTCATACTTTAATTGCAGATTTCTTTGTGTTAAATTTATCAGATTTTTTCCCTATCTTAGTACCTACAAGCTAGCCAGCAACTTGCCTTTTGGTTTTCAACATATTGGGAAATAGCAACAATTTCCAAAATCATTACAAGTTATTCTTCACATTTTGAGCCAGAAAGCTGATGTAAGTTTCTAACAACAGCTTTCATATTTTAAAGTTAAATAAATGGGTTTTAATTTTCATATTGCATAAGACGTAGTATTTTGTCCTCCCTATTTTAGCCATTTCTGGTTTTCCCATTCTTTTCACTAACTGATATCTAACTTTATTTCCCTAAAATAACTCATTTACTCACTCAGTTATCAAAGTTGATTTTCCTGGCCAAATGTCAC
The DNA here is from genome assembly GCF_000001405.40 of Homo sapiens. Lineage (NCBI taxonomy): Eukaryota > Metazoa > Chordata > Mammalia > Primates > Hominidae > Homo > Homo sapiens. The sequence continues at coordinate 120,783,321 of NC_000004.12, forward strand.
GATGCATCTTCATAAAGCCTGTGATTAATGTGCTGATCAACATCATATTAAATACATACTCCACAGCACAGTCTACACATAGTCACTTTAATCCTATTTCTCAAGTGAATGAGAACAAAAAAACTGAAAGCAAAGGTGGTAGATTACTTCTGTTAAGAATTCCTTGCTGTTATTAGAAATAAAATTTCATCATTCCCAAGCAAAATTTCCCAAGCATCAAGTCAAATTTAGCCATATTTCAATAGTATGAATGAGGTTTACTTGTCCAAATCTCTATTCTAACATTCATTCATCTCATAACAGTTATTTTTCTAAATCAAACTGGTAATGAACTATAATAGAAATTCCTGCAATTGCACAACAAATTTTATTTTTAAACACATAATTCTTTTTAATAAGAAAACTGGTAAGTTGTGCTAATAACTTCTTTAGACCTGTAAGCTGAATGCAGAATGACCTGAGAGCATAACACTGCCTTTTTTTACAGGAAGCAGATTGCATTTCATCAGAATCATTACCACTCAATACTTATTTTAAGAAATCTTAGTATCTTTATTATTTGGCATTTTAAACACTTGACCAGAGGAAAATTCTCCAAGATACTGCCTCTGTATAACCAACTGTCAAAATTAATTACTTTTTTCTTTCCTCAGGAATATTAAAAGTTTAAGCAGCAGTAGGAACTTCATGTGTATAGAGGATTTTCTACTGATTAAGCTAATTAACTTAAAAGTAAGAAGTGTAAATATTACCCATGGTACACAATTTTTCCATTAATTTTAGATATAGTACTGTAGTAAGTTTCTGGCTACTTCAGCATCTAAACAGAGAATCCACTTTAAAACTCAGCTTGGCAATAACATGTTCTTCTCAATGAAGGGATATCCTTTAGTGATATAACTGGACATTCTGTGGTGTTGTAAAAAGAGCTCTAAGTGTAGGCGTTAGACTTTCATGGTGCGTATGTATGAAACTTAATCAGAAAGAAAAAGAATGTGACTGCAAAAAGAAGAAATCTGAGACAGTAGCAAGTAGGAAACGCACCTCATGGTGTGTATGTATAAAATTAATCCAAAAGAAAAAAATTGCCTCTGACAAAAGAAGAAATCTCAGGCAGTGGTAAGTAGGAAAAGCACCTATCAGGGACCTGTTTGCTACTCCTTGCGCTGTGAAATCTTGAGTATGTCATGGTGCTTTGGAGCCTCAATATTTTGTATCCTCCTCAAATTAAGGTGTCCGATTAGATGTGCACTCTGATCCTTTACAACTTGAAAAGTTTGTGAGCTCATAAAACGATGCCAGATATCTGCATATTTTAAAGAGTCTGACACGTTTTCTTAATCATTATATTTGAAAGGAAACAAAATCATGTGTCAAAACAAAACTCAAAGATGTCTTCCTGAATATGGAAAATGCTTTTATATAGAAACTTTAAATAATGGGAAGAAATTATAGAAAATAAAATATCTCATAAAATAATTAATATTACTGTGGAAAAATAAAGCAAATATAAAGCGAAAAAAAGTGAAAGGCAGAATTTTCGGTCTTTCTTATGTTTACAGTCAGATTATATAAATACTTATAGGCACACCTCTGGGATGTCTACATTCTCAAAGGTTATAAAAACAAAGTATGAGATAATTCCTTATATTCTCAACTGCCTGAATCGTGACTTACTGTTATGTATTAGCAGGTGTCTCTGTAAAGAAAATGGGGTCCGGAACAAAGCTTTACATTCTTCACATTGGAACGGTCTCTCCTCAGAGTGGGTCTGCAGAGGAAAAACACTGAGTCAGGAGGATCTAGAATCAACCAGTCATTACAATGAACGAGTGGAGCTTGGATTCATGATGCGAAAGAGGAAAGAAGGGAAGGTGGACAGTATCTGTTTCTTCTAGTGCCATTCTTCCACCGTAAAATTGTAAAGACAAATGTGCTGTGTTTGCAAGAGGAAAAATAACTTTTGAATGCTCACAGTAATTATTAACTTGATAAATAGTAAAAAAAAAATATTCCTATTATCTCAAACTGCTAATCTGAATACACACTGAGATTTCTCAGGGCCTACTTTGTAGTGAAACTGTGCGTACTTTCTCTGAAAACTAAGCCTCCCCTATCACTGGCCAGGCTTTTACTCTGCTGGTACAACATTTGCAACACAGATAAAAGAAATTATTAAAAGAGAAATTGTTTTCACCCTTTTCTCTCAACTTCACTGAATCAGTTCAAATAATTCTAGTCCTAGGTGCTGCTTTTCCCCTAAATTACACTAGAGCACTTATTCATGTTATAATTAACCCTAATTAACATTCATTAAATATTTAATTTGTGTCAAATGCTATTCTAAACACTTTACATAAATCATTTCACTTAATTACAACAGTAACTGGATTAATAAAACACTATTACTGACTCCAGTTTACAAATGATAAAACTAAGGCTCAAAAAGTTGCGGTAACTTGGGAAGGTCAAACAGCATAGATTTCCCAAACAATATTAAGCACCCAGGTACATAAGAAACAAAAATATACTGACAAACAAGAAACAATGAAAAGCCACTAACTAGATCTAAAATTCAAAAACAAAACCAAAACAAAACAGCAAACACTGCTCACTCCACCTCTTTTACATTACACACCAGTATAAACCCATTCGGCACAAATCAGTAAATAAAATCTTATTCTACTATAGATGGCATGATAATAAGTCTCATAAATGCTAAAAAATCAAAAATTAAACTATTATCTCATATTACATAAAACAAATCATAACTGATGGGTTTTTATAATACATGTGACAAAAACAAAAAAGTAATTTAAAGAAAAGTCACTTTATTTATAGCCTATTAATTTATATATTTTCTTAGTTTAGCAGACATAATATTAAACATACAAGCATAATCTATTAGCATAATGTTGGTGAGAAAGACATTTTCATGTTTGGTTTTATTTGTGAAAGATATAGAGAAAGCATGAAAGAACAGATATTTAAGATTAGTCAGGATAAATCACAGATAATCTAATGTGCTATTTACCCAAAGAAATTAAAATGACAGCATGGAAATACATAGATCAATAAAACAGAAAAACAAGTAGGTCTCTTGCATTACATAAAATACATGAACATTTAGTACAGGAGAAATATGGCATTTAAAATTGGTGGGAAAAGAGTAGAAAGTTTAGTAAATGGCTTTGAGGCAAACGTCCAGATATTCGGGCAAAAGTAATGTTGGATCTACCACTCACCTCCTACAATAAGATAAATTGCAAATCAATTTAGGTATTTTTCTTAAAATGAAGAATAACACTTTAAATGTACTAGAAGAAAATCCGAGTAAATTTTTAAATAACTTTTGAGTCTGGAAAGGCTTTCCAAGCAAGGTAAACCAGACATTGAAATGACAGAAATAAACTTAAAGCTCCAAAGCAAAAATCTTTGATGACAAAATAAATATCTGCAACATAAAACAGAAGTGTAATGTTGCTAATATAAGAAGTTATGGCATCTTAATAAGAAAAGATGAAAATGGACAAAAGGACTCCCTTCCAAATAGCACTCCTAAAATTTCATTCATCGTTTTATTTTATGCCAGGTCTACGCTATGCGTTTCATGCCTCTACTAGCAAGTCCTATTTTAGATGCTGAGCCTATAGCCATGAACCAAAAGACAATGTCCCTGCTATCACGAAGCTTTTACACTAGCAGAGGAGAAGGACAATAAACAAATGAAAAAGTATGTACTATATTAGGAAGGGATAAATGTGATGGAGAAAAATAAAGCAAGAAAGAAGATAACAAACATTTCAGAGAATGGGGTAGCAATTTTAAATAGGTGGTCAAGAAAATTCTAGCTGAGAAGGTGACCTATGAGATAAGATCTGATGGATATGAAGGAGCAAGGGTGGGTATTCGGGTGACCTAGTCAAGAAACATCACGGAAGCCAGTGTGGTTGGAGCCATGTGAAATGGGCAGAGAAGTGGAGAGATGCAGTCAGAAGAATGGGAGAAGTGAGGAGGAGAAGCAAATCGTGTACGGCCTGACTGGCCAGTGCAGGAATTTTGTCTTTTATTCTAAGAGAGATGTAACTTTCTGCAGGATTTTGAGCAGATGAGGGACACAATTCACCTGACATTTAACAGGATGCCTTGATGGCTGTGTTGACAACAAAATGTAGGGGAAAACACAAAGTGGAGAAGCAACAGCAATGCAGCAGGAGAGAGATAATTAGAGCTTATCCAGGTTGGTAGCCACAGATGTGAAGAGAAGTAGTAGAGTTCTAAATATCTTCTGAAAGTGAACAGGTTTTGAGAAAGTACCTGGATATGAAGCATGAGACACAAAAAGAAGGAGGCAAGCATGACTCCAAGATTTGTGATCTGAGCAATGCAATGATGGATTAGCCACTAACAGATATGCAGAAGAGCAGCAAGAAACAAGTCTGAGTAAAACATCAGGGGTTCAATTTGGGGCAAGTTCAAATAAATATTACGAGATGTCTAGCACTACAGGTACTTGAATATTTCAAGTCTGGATAATAAGGTATAAGATGGAGATGTCAGATTACATATGGTATCAATATTTAAAGCCATGAATATGATAAAGGAATGAAAAATTAAAAATAAAGATACTATCTGTGATTAATCAGACTGCCAAAGATGAAGATGATGGATACCATTCAGTGTTGACTAAAGAGTAAAAACAGGCAATCCCACATACTGTAATTGGGAATAAAAATTTTCTGCATAACAATGTGGTTCTATGTACCAAAATGACAAATGTGCACATCCCTTGACTAACCAATTCCCTTTACAGAAATACAACTGACAAATTTTTGCAAAAACTACTTTTTTTTAAATAAAAGGAAAATTCCTAAATGCCCATAAAAAGATATAAACCTGGTTAACTAAACTGTAGTAGATATTATAATTCTATATTTATTTTCTTAGATATGAAAAGTCATGCATATCATACTTTAGGTGACAAAAGCAGAATGCAAAACATAATATAAAGAATACCATTTAAGCCGCATACATATATGCACACAGAATGGAGTCCAGGAAGACATTCTACAAAACATTGAGGAGGGTTTTTAAAGGAAAGACAGTGATATTTGACAGAATGTTTGCTTTCTTCTTTATACCTTTCTTTGCTACTTAGATTTTCTACAAAACAATAAGTAGACAGCATTATCATAAAAAGGTAGAAACTATTTTGTTTTTAGAGCATCCAGGTTGGAACACAGGATTGCTCCCATCTTCTAAAAATACTATATTCCTCCCTAATTCATTTTTTCTCTTTCCAAATTTGGGACATAACATGACTTAAGGAACATGACTTAAGTTGCTTAATTATGAAAGAACCTGGGACAGCATAATGCCTTTTAACTATGTTCAACCAAAGCCACAACATCTAGATATTGGCCTAAAGCCAATGACATATTTTAAGTAGTAAGATGTCTGTGCATAGCCAGGTGAATAAATACTTTTGTCAAGAAGGATGCCAATGTCACCATCTGGGTTGGGATGGCAGAGAACCCATGCATTCAATCAACTGGAAGACATTGAGAAGCCACCTAATTTAAGTAAGGCACAGTAAGATGCTTGCATGTTGCAAATAGAGAACTTCTGTCTCCAAGATATATTTTACAAGTATCAGATGAAATCAAGCTTTTTTAAAGGTACTTGTCCTTCAATCTTTCACCTCTAATGAATGCCAAGCTTTTCACTGATTTATTGATCAAATGATCCTTAATAACCCTATGATGTTCTGTAGAACATCCCATTTGTATGCCAAGTCACTGATGACACTAACATCTCCCAATGTAACAAATGAACTAGTCCATGAACAAGTACTATGAAACATATCTTTTTATATACCAACTCTTTTGCAGATATAAAAAATACATAAAATCTGTTGCACTATTTATAACACCTACTAGAATGTCTCGAAAATGCTTCAGAAGGTTTCTGGCGTAATGTACATTAATTACCAGATTAATACATTTCTAGCCACACAGATCAAATATTAATTCCATGAGAATAAAATGAAATTAAGGACCATTTACAATTAAAAATTATACTACTGACTATCAAGAATATATATTACTCCATGGTAAAAGTATTTCTTGGTAATGGTATTTCTTCTTTGGGGTATGTGCAAACCAATAAAACTACCTTAAAATTAGAAGAAACAACTAAAGATAAAACAAATTTGGAGAAAATATTCCAGAGGTATGTTTGCTAGAACGATTATTTTTATAGAGTTTTATTATTGAAGACTCAGGTTTCATGTCATAGCACATTACCATCCCAGTGGGCCACACAATAAAGCTAAAGCTACATAAAATACATGTCATCTGGATGTTTACAAGGTCTGTGGATTAAATTTTTACTGTCAAATTTATAACTGACTTCTTGAAAAGTACTCCTCCTCACAAAATAAATTGAAACTGGAAAGATATTGAAGAAGTCAGTTACTTTAAGCTCAGTAGAGAAATGGGTAGCTCACTCCACATAGAGAAGTTAAAAGCATGAAATTTAGTTGATGTTCCTACATAACTATAGTCTTGCAGAGCCAAGTCCAACCTTCCCACTGCTTCAAAGCCACAATTCCATCAGTACAAAGCCACAATGCCAGGGAGCCAACTACTGAGTCCCCACAATCCTGATTAGGGCAAAGGGAAGTTGCTAAGAGAAGAAATAACCACAGATTTTCAGATGAAGTTATAGAAGGTAGCAACAAAGATTCCAAGTCAGGAAACCTTCCACTCAACGACACTGGTAAGAGCCATAACTCATGTCTCTAATTAAGGACGCTTCTCACAAACACTGCTTTGAACAAACACATGACCTCCTAGGCTGGCTGACTTGACCATTAACTGAAAAGTTAAGCCTTTTTACAACAGCTACCATTTATTACAGCTAACTTAGAGCGTGCTGAACAAGTGTATTCTCTCCTCTGCAATGTAGCTCCTGAAATAGATGGAAATGACAACCATGTGGCTTCACAGAAATAACCAGATAACATACACCTGTAGCTTCACTCATGAAGATACAGTTTTCACACTCATCACAGTTATTGTACAGGAGAATTTTCTGCATAAAAATAGGCAGCCTAATATTAATAACTCATATGTAACAACTCTTAGTAACTATACTAGCTCCTCTAGTAGATAACTTGTTTTCTAGGCAGGCTGGCTAAAGAAATTGGTAATTTTTTTAAATTGAGATTTATGTACCATCTATACAGAAATACGTAAAGATTCCTAAAGTTCAAAGAGACAAACAACAAGGGAGCAATTTTAGTCCTATGAAAAAAATCACGTTCTATAAATATTAAAGCCAGTTCCTGAGTAGCAAATAGTTTTCTACATAACATAAATCTGTAGAATTTTTACAGATACTAAAATGGTAATAGGATTTCAAATATTTGGTGAATACTGGGTCAGGCAAGATAAATAAAAAAACAGTTGGATGGATAGATAGATTTAGCCAAGCATGGTGGTGTGCACTACTCGGGAGGCTGAGGTGGAAGACTGCTTGAGCCTTGGAGGTGGAGGCTGCAGTGAGTGGAGATCGTGCCACTGCACTCCAGCCTGGGTGATAGAGCAAGACCTTGTCAAAAACAAACAAACAAAAAAACAGAAAAACACACATACAATTTTACTCATCACTGATAAAATGTAATGAGAATCACTTTTTAATTCTCAGACTGAAAATAGAAGACTAACAAAATGAAATATTGGTGAAGAGTAAAATGGCATTTTATACACTGTTAAGAGAAAGTAGAGCTTTTCAGAAGGCAGTGGGTAGGAGGATCTAAACATAAAGTAGACTTCCTATTTGACCCAGAAATTCCACACCTGAGATCTATGCACAAAAATACTCTTAGCATAGTTTTAAAGTTTTATATAAAAGGATGTTCACTGCATTATTGTTCAAAATAGCAGTGGTTACAAAAAAAATGAGTAGATTTATATGAACTAACATAAACATCCCTGCAAATCATATGTTAAGGCAAAGAAGTAGGTTCCTGAATGATACATATGTGTCATAGTACTAGTTACTTTTAAATATACTTATCTCCCAGATGGGCAGCTGGAACTCTGTTCTTCTCCAAACTCACCTAAAAGAACTTCCTCTTACACAAAAACATTAGTGTGAAATGCAAATGTTACTAAAGATTTTACAAGAGATATGAAAGAGGTGCCTTCTATGGTAGAATACTTCGCTTGAAAACTTCCTGTCTGATCTAATACTTTGAAATCTCTTCTCAGCCTCAGGACACTGAGTGACATCTCATTCTCTCTTTTCCATTCCAATGCCCACCTTTTCCAATTCTGACCCTCACCCCCTGGCTCTGCCACCCAACCACCACCAACTCTCACTGCTATGGACTCAATGTTTGTGTCCGACCAAAATTCATAGGTTGCGTCTTAACCCCCAATGTGATGGTATTAGGAGTTGGGACCTCTAGGAAGTAATTAGGTTCTAAGGGTGGACGCTTTGTGAACTGGATTAGTGCCGTTATCAAAAGAGATAGGAGAGCTTGCACTCCCTCTTTCTCCCTCATGTGAGGATACAAGAAGACAGTCATCTGCAAACCAGGAAGTGGGCCCTCACTAGATACCAGATTTGCCAGCACCTTGATCTTACATTATCCAGCCTCCAGAACTGTGAGAAATAACTGTTTGTTGTTTAAACCACCCAGCCCAAGGTATTTTGTTATAGCAGCTTAAACTGAAGACACCCACCATCTCATCTCTAATCTTCTATGTGCAAACCCATTACAAACTGTGACCGAAAGTATGTCAAAGGCATTATAATAAAGATAAAAATTGTGTTTTCCTCAGTCTACAAAATATCCTCCAGTTAGGATCATTGGCCTTCATATATATTGGCACATGTGGTAATAATTAACAAATAATTTGTACAAATAATGAGTACAGTTTTTACTATATTGAAGAAAGTCACTCCACTGGTGCGGAGACTGAAACCATGACAGGCAGGAGAAGGTAGCTGTTGGGAAGGTTCACAACTCGAGCTCCAAAACTGACTACCAGACATGCATGTACGATTTTAAAGTTATTTTCATAAGATATCTACTAAAACAGCAAGAACTATTGGAACCCCTGTATACTGTTGGTTGAAATGTAAATTAGCATATCCATTGTAGAAAACAGTATGGAAGTTTCTGAAAAAGTTAAAAATAGGACTACCATATGATCCAGCAGTCCCACTTCCGGGTACATCTTCAAAGAAAGTGAAATCAGTTTGTCAAAGAGACACCTACACTCTCAGGTTCATTGCGTAAAAGCCAGGATATAAAAACAACCTAAGAAGCCATTGACAGATGAATGGATAAAGAAAATGTGGTATATAGACACAATGTAATACTATTCAGCCTTAAAAAAGAAAGAAATCCTGTCATTTTTGGCAACATTAATGAACATGGAGGACATTATGATAAGTGAAATAAACCAGGCACAGAAAGACAAATACTGCATGATCTCACTTACATGTGGAATCTAAAAAGGCTGAACACACAGAAGCAGAGGGTAGAACGGTGGTTGCCAGGAACTAGGGGTAGAGGTAAAGGGGCAGGGGAAGGGAGGAATGGGAAGATGTTGGTCAAGGGATACAAAGTTTCAGTTACACAGGATAAGTAAGTTCTAGAGATGTATACTACAGCAGGGGGTCCCCAACCCTGCTACAGCAGGATTATCCAACCCCACAATATCAGCCCGTAGCCTGTTAGAAACCAGGCCACACAGCAGGAGGTGAGTGGCGGGCAAGTGAGTGAAGCTTCATCTGTATTTACAGCCACTCCCCATCACTCACATTACCGCCTGAGCCCCACCTCCTGTGAGATCAGTGGCGGCATTAGATTCTCACAGGAGGGTGAATCCTATTGTGAACTGCACACACAAGGGATCTAGGTTGCATGCTCCTTATGAGAATCTAATGCCTGATGATCTGTCACTGTCTCTCATCACCCCTAGATGGGACCATCTAGTTGTAGGAAAACAAGCTGAGGGCTCCCACTGATTCTACATTATGGTGAGTTGTATAATTATTTCATTATATTTTACAATGTAATAATAATAGAAATAAAGTGCATAATAAATATGATGCACTTGAATCATCCCAAAACCATCCCCTGCCCAACACTGGTCCATGGAAAAACTGTCTTCCATGAAACTGGTCCCTGGCATCAAGAAAGCTGGGGACCACTGTAGTATAGCCTTGTGGCTACATTTAGTAATAATGTATTGTACTTGAAGATTGCTAAGAAAGTAGATCTTCATTGTATTTAATTATTTTAATTGACAAATAAAAATTGTATCTATATGGTGTATGACATGTTTAGTGAAATGGCTAAATCAAGCTAATTAACATATCCATTATTTCACATGCTTATCCTTTTTGTGTGGTGAGAACACTTAAAATTAACAGAGTAGATTTTGGATATTTTCACTACAAAAAAAGATAACGTGTGAGTAATGAATACATTAATTAGGTGGTAATCATTTCACAATGTGTGTGTGTGTGTATACATATAAACATTACATTGTACACCATAAACATACACAAATTTCACTTGTCATTATGCTTCAATAAATAAAAAAATAAGTAAAAAATATTGTTTGAAATTGTACATTGCTATCTCATCATCCACTTAAGAGAAAGAACAATTAAAATAAGGCAAGCAATTTGCCATTAGCTAAGTATTTAGATAATGACCTGTATCTGTGGTTCCTTCTGTCAGATTCAAATCCTGCATGTCCCTCATAATGTGTGCAGCTCATTGTGAACGTGCTTCTAGCATACAAAGATAGGTGATTTTGTACAATATAGCAACACCTTAAATGAATGGGTACTACCTCTCCTGCAGCATCACTGAAGAGTAACCTGATGCAAAAGCTAAAGGAAAGAGTGGCTGTGCTCTAACTGTTGAGTGAACATCACTCAGTCTCCAAGATGACATCTTTCCAGGAAATTTTCAAGAACTTTTTTTTTTACTATGTTAAACTTACACCATATGTTTTGGTTTTAGATTCTAATCCATGATATTTTTAGAAACTTGTTACTGTCTTTAAGGTCTAATAAAATTTATACCAGGCAAAGAGTGAACTGTATTGCCTTTTAAATTGTTTGGCTATGACCAAATAAATAATTCTGACTCCAAAATCTAACACACACACACACACACACACACACACACACACACACACACACATACAAATACACACAAATACATGTATTATCTTATTGAATGACCCTTTACTCTATATTTTATATTCTACTTTTTTTTTTTTTTTAAGACGGAGTTTCGCTCTGTTGCTCAGGCTGGAGTGCAGTAGCACAATCTTGGCTCACTGCAACCTCCACCTCCCGGGTTCAAGTGATTCTCCTGCCTCAGCCTCCTGAGTAGCTGGGACTACAGGCGTGCGCCACAACACCCGGCTAATTTTTTTGTATTTTTAGTAGAGATGGCATTTTGCCATGTTGGCCAGGCTGGTCTTGAACTCCGGACCTCAGCGGATCCACCCACCTCATCCTCCCAAAGTGCTGGGATTACAGGCATGAGCCACCACACCCAGCCTTCTATTCTATTTTTTAATGGCCAGTCATCACTCAGTAAATTGATTTCAAGACCTACACAGCAGTCATGGCCCAGAATTTGAAAAAGACTTGATGAGACATTAAGGCCCAATGGAATTATTCCAGGAGAAGTTGTGACTAGATTTCCTCATAAGCCTCTAAAGTTTCATCCCTGGAAGGCTAAGTAAAGGGTCAGGAAAAAAGATTCTTTTTTTGAATAGGCACACACCTGTCCCCTAGGAGTTTGTTTGTAAATTCATGAGGGCAAAACCCCTCCATACTCACTTCCATCAGCAAGTAAGTGGTGCCAGCTCTAGGATCCAAGATGGTTCACTACATCTAAACATGTATCCTACAGCAGGAGGAGGGAAGCACTGTACAACTTACCCAAATTTTGCTTTGCATTATATATGACAGGGAACACAATGGAGGGTGAAGAGTAATTGAACGGTTTCTGTCTCCTCTGGCTCTGAAACACTGGTTCAATTGTGATTTAAAGAATCGAAGTATATTTGAATTGAGATAAATGAGATTTTTTAGCTAGATCCTAAAATACAACTGTAATTCAGATCAAATGATTGTCAGAAAAAATGAAGAAGAAAAAGTAACCTATTGAACCCATATAACTGGCAAGATGATGAAATAAATGAGTAACTAAATTTTCAAAAAAAAAAAAAAACACCCCTTTAAAATTTCTCTATATGCTGGCCAGGCACCGTGTCTCTCACCTGTAATCCCAGCACTTTGGGAGGCCGAGGTAGGCAGATTGCTTGAGGTCAGGAGTTCTAGACCAGCCTGGCCAATAGGGTGAAACCCTGTCTCTATTAAAAATACAAAAATTAGCCAGGCATGGTGGCACATGCCTGTAGTCCCAGCTACTTGGAAGGCTGAGACACAAGAATCACTTGAACCTGGGAGGCAGAGATTACAGTGAGCCAAGATTGCGCCACTGCACTCTAGCCTGAGTGACAGAGTGAGACTCTATTTCAAAAAATAAAAATAATTTCTGTATATGCTATCATAATCACAATGAAAAATAATATTCTATTTTTCAAGCAAGTCTAAATGTTAAGAACCAACCCAAAATAACTCAAATAAGTATAATAAAAATGTATATATTATATTCTCAAAAAACAAAAGAATAATTAATTAAAAGTAATAACCCTTGAGCATACTAAAAGATAAAGATCACACTGACTCTTAACGTTTTTTTCTAATTTCTGTGGCATATCCTTACTTCTATGTTTCTCAACTAGCCATTAATGATTGTGATGGAAGAAAAGGTTGATCTTCTGTTTTTACATGATTCTTGGAGAATATTTCAGGTATTTTCATGTAACAATGCCAAATATATGCTAGGATCATAACACAGTAAGAAATACATTTGTCTAGTGCAGAAGGATTGAGTGTTGCTTTCCAGTTTGGAAATTACAAGCATCATTGTTTCTATGCTTCCCAAGACATCATTATTACTTTTATATGATTTATGGCTTAAAGTATGAGAGATGGTGCAAAGATCCTGTGCCAAATTCCCATATGGCATATAACATGAGCCAAACTGTGAAAAACTCATAAATGTGGATAGATCAGTTTCATCAGAGAAAGGAATAAGAGGGTTCCAGAGACTAAACAGGAACTAGCCAGATAATTTTTTACAGTCACGTAATTCCAAAGCAGCAGTAATGAACGCAGTCCTGCCCCGAATGTACAATGCTTGAGGTAAACATAAAGATGGTAAGGAAGAAATTAGGCAGAGACGATTTAAGACACTATAATCAACACTGTTTATTCTTTGGTAAATCTGCCTTTTTCTTTCTCTTTTTGGACTAAAGTTGAAATTGGTATCATAATTTTTAAATGATTTCAAAAGAGATAAAATGAAGTCTTTGGAAGTATCCCATAAATATTATAATAATTATAATCCCCATGGAGTATAATAACTGAAAAATTATTTTTAAAAGATCATATACATGTTATTTAACAGCATGCTATAATACATCAACTAAAATCAATAAGCAAGTATTTTGTATCTCATGAAAATGTTTTTACATGCATTTCTAAGATGTTGAATATCTTTGGACCAATTTCCTGAATTCAATTCAAGCATGATGTATTATCTACATGATACATTCTGAAACAAGAACTTGAGCAAAGGTAAAGTATAAGAAATGCAAACCAAAATCAACAGAAGAAACTAGGACACTATATTAATAACTTGAAGAGAAAGAAGAAGGTAGAGAGGTCACACAGAAGGCAGGCAAATATTTAGTTGTTTTAGGTATGGTTAATGCAGATAAAAGGATAAAAAGCTGGAGAAGTAGGCTGAGGTCATGATGTAGAGAACTCTGAATGACAGGTGAAGGTGTATATACTATTACATATGTAGACACTGGCAATCTACTTTTAATATTAGAGTATGAGAGTGATATACCAGAGTGATGCTTTGGGATGATTTGCCTTGTAGGATGGATTGCAGCAGGAAGTGATAAGCCTAATTAGATGAGTATTAAAGGAATCCAGGGGAGAAATAATCAGGATGTTGGAATGGTAAAGGAAGGGATGACTGTGAAAGTGATGAGATAATGTAAAGGGTAGAGTCTTTATATTTGGCTTCTAATTTTATAAAGGGACCAATACTGAATAAAGAGACTAGGATAATTACATGCTTTTGTCATTAAGACAAAGAGGAAACTCCAAAAGAGAAGCTATCTTGGGCAAAGAGAATGAAAAAACCATTCTGGGGCATGCTGAATTCATTATGTCGAAAAGATGCCCAGTTATAAATGTGAGTCTGAAACTTGGGATTAAAGAAAATAAATCATTTGGAATTCATCAGTATGGTGTTGATAGCAGAAGTCATGGATGTAGTTGACATTTCTTAAGGAGAGAGAACACAGAAGAGGTTCACAGGCAAAGGATCCAGAATAACCTCCTGAGGGGAAAGGAAGTCAAAAATGTTCAGAGAAATTGGCAGAAGACCTAGCAGAGCATACTACAAGGATCCCAAGGATGAAGAGAATTTCAAAAAGCTAACGTAAATAAAAACATCAAAGTTTATGGAAAGAAGGAAGAGAATAAAGACTTCACAATTAGTAAACCCCATAAAATTAATCTAATAGCGGTGTTAAGAAAAACTAGGCACTCTGCTTATAAGGACAGTTTCAAAAGAGAATGGAAGACAGGAAGGAGGCTGTGAGGGGTTATGGCCCAGGTGAGTGATCTTCTCTAGTTGTTGCATTATATACAGTAGGCCCCAGATGTACAAAAGCTTTATCAAAAATAAAAATTGAAAATCACAGCAGCAAATTCATAAAAAATAATAATAATATTAATAAGTTTTACCTTCTTATGATTCTTGTAAACATTTCTGTGGGCAAATCCCTTTCCACAAAGTTTGCATTTGTAAGGTTTGTCTTCGCTGTGTATTACTTTGTGAGCACCCACTTGATCAAGCCTCTTGAAAGACTTATTACAAATCTCGCAATTATAGGGTCGTTTTTCTATTAAAAAAATGAGTGGAGACAATCTCATATCTATATAAAGGTAAAGGATAAAAGAGAAAACACCCTTACCTTATATTACTTCTTACGGTAAGAAAACTAAAGGATGGTCAAACAACTAAAAAACATCTACCATCCACATAATAGACACATAAATGTGTCTACTCCTAAATGAAATATGAGCTTGTTCTCTTACAGACGTATTTTGAATTTTTAAAGTAGCTTAGATATAAAGAAAAGGTTTACATTCAAGGAAGGACTCCTATTTCCAGATGAAAACCATGCTGATATGTGACAGTTTAAATCAGGGTCAGGGCCCCAAATACAGAAAGTGACCTGACAGAGATGGAGACAAAGAACAGAGCTGCCTTCCCCCAGGGCCACAAAGGCCTCATGGAGGCAGAGCTTCCAATGCTCGGCAGGAACCAGATATTTACACTGGTATGTAAAATTCGTATTTATGCAATATCCATATAACATTGACACCTAAATAAAAAATATATAATATGTATCAAATAAAGCATACCTAAAAGATAACAGGTTTTGATCTGATTTTAATTTACTAAAATATTCATATGTATCAACAACTTGCATATTCAAAAACATTCTGACTTCAATCGCCTCAAATTACAGATATCTTAAACTCTAGAGACTCCATAAAGTAAAAACTATTTTCAGAGCTTATTTTTTTAATCTGCATTAGTAAAACAGAGCTATTCATAAGACTTGCTTAAATGAAACTACCGCTTTAAAAACTTACATACTCAAAATGTATTTATAGATTTCTTACTAACATGTATTAGTAACTTAGCTAGAATATAAAAGTATCTAAAAATGCAAGAATTATAATTTTTGAATATCTACTAAATGTCAGACACTATGCTAGCACAGTACCTAAATGATCTCATTTAATCTTTGCAGCTAATTTGAAAGGTAGGCACCAGTATCCCATTTCACAAATGAAGAATAAAGAAACTGAGGCTCAAGGAGGAGTAAGTGACAAATTACATGGTGATTCTGAAGATCTTCAATATCATTTACTCTAAGCACCTTTGCTCTGTAAATAAACTGAGGACTAAAGAATTAAATAACTTGTTCAGAATCACATGACTACTAAAGGTCCAAAGCAGAATTCATAGCTAAGGCCCCTGATTACCACTCTTAGAGTTTATAAAAAGTGACAATGTAATTTTTTTGTAATGATATCACTATAAACAAAAAAAGTATATAGTTTACCTGAGTGGGTGATCATATGACGTTTTAGCTGATTAGCTGAAATAAATTTCTTCATACATTCTTGACAATCAAATATCTCATGAATCTGCAAAAGGTTAAATAGACAGTTAAATCAACTGTCAAAGCCTAGTAAATTACACAGCTCTCAAGCAAAAGTGTAAACATGTGAACAGCTGCCACTGCAATACCCAAACTATATATTACAATTCAGCCCTAATTTGTTCACACTAACCTATATACACTGAAAATGCAGTGGACATAAGTTATGTAGTAAAAAATATCTTTTGAGACATAATACTCACAGTCCTTAAAAATGTAATACAGCTGTCCTATTTAGTACATATTAAATTTATACTCTGTAAAAAATTACACCTAATATATAGTAACTCTTCTGTTATGCACAAATTTAGACTTGGAAATATGTAGCATGCAGTTAATAATATTCCCTTTACAGTAGCCAACAATATTTTAAACTTAAATGTACATAGTAGAGAGTGCAACATTAATTACAGTAAAAGATCAGAAGTTACAGGATTCTGAAAAGCATTTAGTTCACAATAGAAGTTTCACATGAGCCAGATGCAGTGGCTCACATTTGTAATCCCAGCACTTTGGGAGGCCAAGGCAAGAGGATTGCTTGAGCCCAGGAGTTCGAGATCAGCCTGGACAACAAAGTGAGACCTCGTCCCTACAAAAAATTTTAAAAATTAGCCAGGTGTGATGACATACGTCTGTGGTCCCAGCTACAAAGGAGGCTGAAGCAGGATGATTGTTTGAACCTGGGAAGTCGAGGCTTCAGTGAGCTGTGTTCATACTATTGCATTTCAGCATGGGTGACAGAGTGAGACTCGGTCTCAAAAAAAAAAAAAAAAGTCTCACATGACAGGAGGATCACAACTTTTAAAATGAGGAAATCTAGTCAAAGGATCCAAAGTAGCAGGTATGCAGGATGAATAACTCTAAAGATCTAATGTATAACACGAAGATTACAATTGATAATAGCGTATTATATTCTGGATTTTTGCTAAGTGAGTAGATTATAGTTGCTCTTGCCACAGGAGGAAAAATGGGTAACTATGTGAGATAATGGATGCATTAATTTATTTCACTAAAATAATCATTTAACTATATGTGTATCTCATCACATTATGTTGTATAACTTAAATATACAGAATAAAATGTATTTAAAAAATACAATAAGGGGGGATATAACTTCAGTAAACAATTGGCTAATATAAATATTAAAACTGAATATTAAATTAGTTATTTCCCTCCCAGACACTAACACAGAGAAACTGGATAGGTGGTATGAAAAGTAAAAGTCTAGGTTTTCAGAAACAATGTATTCAATTCTAAAAGAAATGTATTACATATCATATTATATTAGAAATGTTGATCATCCCAATGAACAACAGCATCACACAATGTTGTTGAATATTCAAAAATGGTTGTGGTGAAGTCATGTTTTTGTTTCAACCTCACTAAAGGTCCAGCTCACAATACTAAACCCCAGAGAAGTAAACGCCCTTGTGCAAGAAGCCAAGACAGTGTCCCTGCAGAATAACTAGGAATAACAGTGCAGAGTGAAAGATCTAGGCAAAAGTCCCTGAACTGGTACAGCACATGAGTAATGAGTGGAGGACTCGGCTGGCCCCTGATAAATGGTTCTCTTGATCTAAATGGCCATAGAAGGCTTCAAGGCAGGGAAACAGATGCAGGGGCAAGGCTGACAGATCCCAGGCCTGCAGCCCACGGCTTAATTCAATGCCCAAGCACGTGGCAGTTTGAAGGTTGCCAACCAGCCTCTGCTTCTGTCAGGTCTGACTCTTGGTGAGTCATTAAATTCAGTTATGTAAAGCAGGGAAAAAGTAGAGAAACAAGGCAGAAGCCAAAATATGTCATTCCACAAGAGTCTGACTTATCTCCCCGCTTAGATGCAATGGCATCTATGAGGGGATATCTAGAATCCAAAGAGTTCCTTTAGAAAGCATGTGGGATCTGTATGACTGCCTGCACAAGTGTTTGGAATGCTAGTGCTCCAGAGCAGACAAGAAAAACTTCCAGCCTGAGGCATGTTAAAGGCAGCCTCTTCAATCATCAAAGACTTCCACAGCGGCTTCAGTTAAACACCTATGTTTGAGGACCAATGATATGATTTGTAATGTTTATATAAAGATAGTAAGAGCAGATTTATATTCTTAAACTCTATGTTTCTGTAATATATATAATTTTATAATGACAAACAAGATACTCTAAAGAGATGTCATACCTTCTGAGTTATACATAAATGAAAACTTTTGTTATCATTTTTAATGTTTAATTTCTATTGATATATAAAATTATAAAAATTATTCATCCACATATAAAATGGAAATCGTTAAATGAAACATTGTTCATTTGTTTCATTTTTAAGTGAAATATTGTTCACTTGTTAATTCTCATGGCTTCAACATGAAACATTTTTCAAGGTTGAATTGAACTGATATTCCCAAAACTATAAAGGGAACATCGACTATATATTTAAGCATTTGTGCATTGACTATCTCATTTATAGTGAAAAATTCAAGCTAAAGCCATGTTCAAAATTCCTTAAAATGCTTAATAAAGAGGGCAGTTCCAAGATCGCTGAATAGGAACAGCTCCAGTCCACAGCTCCCAGTGTGAGCGACGCAGAAGATGGGTGATTTCTGCATTTCCAACTGAGGTACCGGGTTCATCTCACTGAGGCTTGTCGTACAGTGGGTGCAGGACAGTGGGTGCCTGACTCCCAAGTAGCCTAACTGGGAGGCATCCGCCAATAGGGGCAGACTGACACCCCACATGGCCAGGTACCCCTCTGAGACGAAACTTCCAGAGGAATGATCAGGCAGCAACATTTGCTATTCAGCAATATTCGCTGTTGTGCAGCCTCTGCTGCTGATACCCAGGCAAAGAGGGTCTGGAGTGGACCTCCAGCAAACTCCAACAGACCTGCAGTTGAGGGTCCTAACTGTTAGAAGGAAAACTAACAGACAGAAAGGATATCCACACCAAAACCCCATCTGTACGTCACCATCATCAAAGACCAAAGGTAGATAAAACTACAAAGATGGGGAAAAAAGCAGAGCAGAAAAGCTGAAAATTTTAAAAATCAGAGCGCTTCTCCCCCTCCAAAGGAACGCAGCTCCTTGCCAGCAACAGAACAAAGCTGGATGGAGAATGACTTTGACGAGTTGAGAGAAGAAGGCTTCAGACGATCAAACTTCTCCGAGCTAAAGGAAGAAGTTCAAACCCATCGCAGAGAAGCTAAAAACCTTGAAAAAAGATTAGACGAATGGCTAACTAGAATAAGCAGTGTAGGGAAGTCCTTAAATGACCTGATGGAGCAGAAAACCATGGCACAAGAACTACATGACAAATGCACAAGCTTCGGTAGCTGATTCGATCAGCTGGAAGAAAGGGTATCAGTGATTGAAGATCAAATGGATGAAATGAAGCGAGAAGGAAAGTTTAGAGAAAAAAGAATAAAAAGAAACGAACGAAGCCTCCAAGAAATATGGGACTACATGAAAAGACAAAATCTACATCTGATTGTTGTACCTGAAAGTGACAGGGAGAATGGGACCAAGACGGAAAACACTCTGCAGGATATTATCCAGGAGAACTTACCCAACCTAGCAAGGCAGGCCAACATTCAAATTCAGGAAATACAGACACACCACAAAGATACTCCTCAAGAAGAGCAACTCCAAGACACATAATCGTAAGATTCACCAAAGTTGAAATGAAGGAAAAAATGTTAAGGGCAGCCAGAGAGAAAGGTCGGGTTACCCAGAAAGGAAAGCCCATCAGACTAACAGTGGATCTCTTGGCAGAAACTCCACAAGCCAGAAGAGAGTGAGGGCCAATATCCAACATTTTAAAGAAAAGAATTTTCAACCCAGCATTTCATATCCAGCCAAACTAAGCTTCATAGGTGAAGGAGAAATAAAATACTTTACAGACAAGAAAATGCTGAGATTTTGTCACCACCAGGCCTGCCCTACAAGAGCTCCTGAAGGAAGCACTGAACATGGAAAGGAACAACCAGTACCAGCCACTGCAAAAACATGCCAAATTGTAAAGACCATCGATGCTAGGAAGAAACTGCATCAACTAACGAGCAAAATAGCAAGCTAACATCATAATGATAGGATCAAATTCACACATAACAATATTAACCTTAAATGTAAATGGGCTAAATGCTCCAATTAAAAGACACAGACTGGCAAATTGGATAGAGAGTCAACACCCATCAGTGTGCAGTATTCAGGAGACCCATCTCACGTGCAGAGTCACAAATAGGCTCAAAATAAAGGGATGGAGGAAGATCTACCAAGCAAATGGAAAACAAAAAGGCAGGGTTGCAATCCTAGTCTCTGATAAAACAGACTTTAAACCAACAAAGATCAAAAGAGAAAAAGAAAGCCATTACATAACGATAAAGGGATCAATTCAACAAGAAGAGCTAACTATCCTAAATATATATGCACCCAATACAGGAGCACCCAGTTTCATAAAGCAAGTTCTTAGAGACCTACAAAGAGATTTAGACTCCCACACAATAATAATTGGAGACTTTAACACCCAACTGACAACATTAGACAGATCAATGAGACAGAAGTTAAAAAGGATATCCAGGAATTGAACTCAGCTCTGCACCAAGCAGACCTAATAGACATCTACAGAACTCTCCACCCCAAATCAACAGAACATACATTCTTCTCAGCACCACATTGCACTTATTCCAAAATTGACCACATAGTTGGAAGTAAAGCACTCCTCAGCAAATGTAAAAGAACAGAAATTATAACAAACTATCTATCAGATCACAGTGCAATCAAACTAGAACTCAGCATTAAGAAACTCACTCAAAACCACTCAACTACATGGAAACTGAACAACCTGCTCCTGAATGATTACTGGGTACATAACAAAATGAAGGCAGAAATAAAGATGTTCTTTGAAACCAAAGAGAACAAAGACACAACATACCAGAATCTCTGGGACACATTTAAAGTAGTGTGTAGAGGGAAATTTATAGCATTAAATGCCCACAAGAGAAAGCAGGAAAGATCTAAAATTGACACCCTAACTTCACAATTAAAAGAACTAGAGAAGCAAGAACAAACACATCCAAAAGCTAGCAGAAGGCAAGAAATAACTAAGACCAGAGCAGAACTGGAGGAAACAGAGACACAAAAAACCCTTCAAAAAATCAATGAATCCAGGAGCTGGTTTTTTGAGAAGATCAACAAAATTAATAGACCGCTAGCAAGACTAATAAAGAAGAAAAGAGAGAAGAATCAAATAGATGCAATCAAAAATGATAAAGGGGATATCACCACCAATCCCACAGAAATACGAACTACCATCAGATAATACTATCAACGCCTCTACGCAAATAAACTAGAAAATCTAGAAGAAATGGATACATTCCTCGACACATACACCCTCCCAAGACTAAAGCAGGAAAAAGGTGAATCCCTGAATAGACCAATAACAGGCTCTGAAATTGAGGCAATAATTAATAGCCTACCAACCAAAAAAAGTCCAAGACCAGACGGATTCACAGCCGAATTCTACCAGAGGTACAAGGAGGAGCTGGTACCATTTCTTCTGAAACTATTCCAATCAATAGAAAAAGAGGGAATCCTCCCTAACTCATTTTGTGAGGCCAGCATCATCCTGATACGAAAGCCTGGCAGAGACAGAATAAAAAAAGAGAATTTTGGACCAATATCCCTGAAGAACATCGATGCAAAAATCCTCGATAAAATACTGGCAAATCAAATCCAGCAGCACATCAAAAAGCTTATCCACCATGATCAAGTGGGCTTCATTCCTGGGATGCAAGTCTGGTTCAACATACACAAATCAAAAAATGTAATCCAGTATATAAACAGAATCAAAGACAAAAACCGCATGATTATCTCAATAGATACAGAAAAGGCCTTTGACAAAATTCAATAGCCCTTCATGCTAAAAACTCTCAATAAACTAGGTACTGATGGGACATATCTCAAAATAATAAGAGCTACTTATGATAAACACACAGCCAATATCATACTGAGTGGGCAAAAACTGGAAGCATTCCCTTTGTAAATTGGCATAAGACAGGGATGCCCTCTCTCACCACTCCTATTCAACATAGTGTTGGAAATTCTGGCCAGGGCAATCAGGCAGGAGAAAAAAATAAAGGGTATTCAATTAGGAAAAGAGGAAGTCAAATTGTCCGTTTGCAGATGACATGACTGTATATCTAGAAAACCCCATCATCTCAGTCCAAAATCTCCTTAAGCTAATAAGCAACTTCAGCAGTCTCAGGATACAAAATCAAAGTGCAAAAATCACAAGCATTCTTATACACCAATAACAGAAAAACAGAGAGCCAAATCATGAGTGAACTCCCATTCACAATTGCTTCAAAGAGAATAAAATACCTAGGAATCCAACTTACAAGGGATGTGAAGGACCTCTTCAAGGAGAAGCACAAACCACTGCTCAGTGAAATAAAAGAGGACACAAACAAATGGAAGAACGTTCCATGCTCACGGATAGGAAGAATCAATATTGTGAAAATGGCCATACTGCCCAAGGTAATTTCTAGATTCAATGCCATCCCTATCAAGCTACTAATGACTTTCTTCACAGAATTGGAAAAAACTACGTGAAAGTTCCTATGGAACTAAAACAAAGCCCACATTGCCAAGACAATGCTAAGCAAAAAGAACAAAGCTGGAGGCATCACCCTACCTGACTTCAAACTATACTACAAGGCTACAGTAACCAAAACAGCATGGCACTGGTACAAAAACAGATCTATAGACCAATGGAACAGAACAGAGGCCTCAGAAATAATACCACACATCTACAACCATCTGATTTTTGACAAACCTGACAAAGACAAGAAATGGGGAAAGGATTCCCTATTTAATAAATGGTGCTGGGAAAACTGGCTAGCCATAGGTAGAAAGCTGAAACTGGATCCCTTCCTTACACCCTATACAAAAATTAATTCAAGATGGATTAAAGACTTAAATGTTAGACCTAAAACCATAAAAACCCTAGAAGAAAACCTAGACAATACCATTCAGGACATAGGCATGGGCAAGGACTTCATCTCTAAAACACCAAAAGCAATGGCAACAAAAGCCAAAATTGACAAATGGGATCTAATTAAACTAAAGAGCTTCTGCACAGCAAAAGAAACTACCATCAGAGCGAACAGGCAACCTACAGAATGGGAGAAAATTTTTGCAATCTACTCATCTGACAAAGGGCTAATATCCAGAATCTACAAAGAATTCAAACAAAGTTACAAGAAAAAAAACAAACAACCCCATCAAAAAGTGGGTGAAGGACATAACAGACACTTCTCAAAAGAAGAGATTTATGTAGCCAACAGACACATGAAAAAATGCTCATCATCACTGGCCATCAGAGAAATGCAAATCACAACCACAATGAGATACCATCTCACACCAGTTAGAATGGCAATCACTAAAAAGTCAGAGAACAACAGGTGCTGGAGAGGATGTGGAGAAATAGGAACACTTTCACACTGTTGGTGGGACTGTAAATTAGTTCAACCATTGTGGAAGACAGTGTAGTGATTCCTCCGGGAGCTAGAACTAGAAATACCATTTGACCCAGCCATATATGGGTATATACCATTACTGGGTTATACCCAAAGGAATATAAATCATGCTGCTATAAAGACACATGCACACGTATGTTTATTGCAACACTATTCACAATAGCAAAGACATGGAACCAACCCAAATGTCCATCAATGACAGACTGGATTAAGAAAATGTGGCACACATACACCATGGAATACTACACAGCCCATAAAAAAGGATGAGTTCATGTCCTTTGTAGGGACATGGATGAAGCTGGAAACCATCACTGTCAGCAAACTATGTGTCCGGAATTGGTGGGTTCTTGGTCTCACTGACTTCAAGAATGAAGCCGCAGACCCTCACAGTGAGTGTTACAGTTCTTAAAGGCGGTGTGTCCGGAGTTTGTTCCTTCTGAGGTTCGGATGTGTTTGGAGTTTCTTCCTTCTGGTGGGTTCATGGTCTCGCTGGCTTCAGGAGTGAAGCTGCAGACTTTCACGGTGAGTGTTACAGTTCTTAAAGGTGGTGTGTCCGGAGTTTGTTCCTTCTGAGGTTCAGATGTGTTTGGAGTTTCTTCCTTCTGGTGGGTTCATGGTCTCGCTGGCTTCAGAAGTGAAGCTGCAGACCTTCGCGGTGAGTGTTACAGTTCTTAAAGGCGGCACATCTGGAGTTGTTTGCTCCTCCCGGTGGGTTCACGGTCTCACTGGCCTCAGGAGAGAAGCTGCAGACCTTTGCAGTGAGTGTTACAGCTCATAAAGGCAGTGTGGACCCAAAGAGTGAGCAGCAGCAAGACTTATTGCAAAGAGCAAAAGAACAAAGCTTCCACAGTGTGGAAGGGGACCTGAGCGGGTTGCCACTGCTGGCTGGGGCAGCCTGCTTTTATTCTCTTATCTGGCCCTACCCACATCCTGCTGATTGGTCCATTTTACAGAGAGCTGATTGGTCCGTTTTGACAGGGTGCTGATTGGTGCATTCACAATCCCTGAGCTAGAGACAACAGTTCTCCACCTCCCCACTAGATTAGCTAGATACAGAGTGTGGACACAAAAGTTCTCCACGTCCCCATTAGCTAGATACAGAGTGTTGATTGGTGCATTCACAAACCCTGAGCTAGACACAGGGTGCTGATTGGTGTGTTTATAAACCTTGAACTAGATACAGAGTACCAATTGGTGTATTTACAATCCCTTAGCTAGACATAAAGGTTCTCCAAGTCCCCACCAGACTCAGGAGCCCAGCTGGCTTCACCCAGTGGATCCTACACTGGGGTCACAGGTGGAGCTGCCTGCCAGTCCCGCGCTGTGTGCCCACACTCCTCAGCCCTTGGGTGGTCGATGGGACCAGGCACCATGGAGCAGGGGGAGGCACTCCTCCTGAGAGGCTCGGGCTGCACAGGAGCCCACGGCAATGGGGAGGCTCAGGCACGGTGGGCTGCAGGTCCCGTGCCCTCCCCTACAGGGAGGTAGCTAAGGCCCTGTGAGAAATTGAGCACAGCAGCTGCTGGCCCAGGTGCTAAGTCCCTCACTGCCCAGGGTTTGCGGGCTGGCCGGCTGCTTCAAGTGAGGGGCCCACCTAGCCCACGCCCACCTGGAACTCACGCTGGCCCGCAAGCGCCGCAGGCAGCCCCGGTTCCCGCCTGGCCCTCTCCCTCCACACCTCCTGGCAAGCTGAGGGAGCCGGCTCCGGCCTTGTCCAGCCCAGAAGGGGGCTCCCACAGTGCAGCAGTGGGCTGAAAGGCTCCTCAAGCATGGCCAGAGCGGGCGCCAAGGGCCGAGGAGGCATCAAGATGGAGCGAAGGCTGCGAGGGCTGCCAGCACACTGTCACCTCTCATTATCGCAAGGACAAAAAGCCAAACACTGCATGTTCTCACTCATAGGTGGGAACTGAAAAATGAGAACACTTGGACACAGGGTGGGGAACATCACACACCAGGGCCTGTCGTGGGGTGAGGGGAGGGGGGAGGGATAGCATTAGGAGATATACCTAATGTAAATGACAAGTCAATGGGTGCAGCACAACAACATGGCCCATGTATACCTATGTAACAAACCTGCACGTTGTGCACATGTTCCCTAGAACTTAAAGTATAATAAAAAAATACTTTTAAAAAAAACAAAAAAATGCTTAATAAAAAGATCATATTTAAAGTGAAAATGACAAGTAATACTATTTAATTATGCCAAATGCTAAATAAAGT
Source organism: Homo sapiens (assembly GCF_000001405.40). Taxonomy (NCBI): domain Eukaryota; kingdom Metazoa; phylum Chordata; class Mammalia; order Primates; family Hominidae; genus Homo; species Homo sapiens. The sequence continues at coordinate 120,809,499 of NC_000004.12, forward strand.
ATATTTTTATGAGATTTTATAAAATTTACAGTGTACCAAATTAATTTGGAGGGTAATATTTTAAAATTTGAACTCCCAAATTATTTTCAAGAAGAATCATAATATACCTTATCATTATAGGAGATAATAAATAGTAATTTAAGATACTAGACTATAGTATAATTTGGCATTGTCATATAGCATCATCTACTGGCAAGGTGAAATACTGCAACCTAACTCTATTAGACATTAGACATTCTCAACTATAGGAAAAGTTCCAATTGGAGTCAATAAAAGTTGACTATGGATTCGGAAAGGCTGAATAGTGAAGGACTATGGCTGAAATGGAGGAAGGGCTGCATTGAGCTAGCAACTTATTAACATTCTGCAAAGACCACTCAGGAGGCATGAGTTATAGTTTCTGTATTCCATTACCATCACATAGGAGTGTCTGATGCCTGATGATCTGTCACTGTCTCCCATCACCCCCAGATGGGACTGTCTAGCTACAAGAGAACAGGCTCAGGGCTCTCACTGATTCTATATTATGGTGAGTTTTATAAATATTTCATTATACATTTTAATGTAATAATAATAGAAATAAAGTACACAATAAATGTAATGTGCTTGAATCATCCTAAAACCTCCTCCCCCACCCCCTGGTCCTTGGAAAACTTGTCTTCCAGGAAAACGGTCCCTAGTACCAAGAAGGTTGGGAACCATTGCTCTATTTGGTAAAATAGCTTAAATTTCAACCTCTAAGATTTAAATGGGTCAGAAAAATAAATCATAGAATTATAAAAGAGGATGCTTAGAAGAGATCTATTCCAGTAGACTTAATTGTTTTGTCTCTGCAGAAGATGAACTGCTTCAGCCATAAGGGTTCTGCTTCAGAAGCCATAAGGGTGAGGGGGAAGGAGGAAAAAAGACCTATAAAAGGGTCCTCTGGATTGGCATTCTGCATAAAATTTTTCCTTTAAAAGTAATCTCAGTGCTCATTTTAGCAGCACCGAAATTGGAATGTAACAAAGAAGATTAGCATGGCCTCTGCACAAGGAGGACACACAAATTCATAAAGCATTCCATATCTCTAAACAATCTAATAAGACTGCCACTTGAAAACTGAAAACCAAAAAAAAAAAGTAGTTTCATGGTACATAGAGAACAAACAAACAAGAGAATACTGATCAATTCAGTGTCCCATTTTATAAATGGGAGAAGAAAGGCCTAATGTTACATGGAAGGTTAGTGATAGAAAAAGAAACCCACTACCCTGATTCCTGGTCTGGTGCTTGTCCTATTATTTCTCCTTAAGTATCAAAATCACTAAACATACAAGATATAACCTCAGACATATCAACACAATAATTTAGCTGCCTCACATGTTATAAGTTAAACCCACAGCACATGGTTGGAGCTACTGGATTAAAAATCATATAAATTTTAAGTCCTGTCAAATTACTTTGTAATACATCTATATATAAACAGAAACAAAAATTCATTTTACAAACCATAACAAAAGTAAAATTTTATTTTCACGAATACCATCTCCTTCTCTTTTGTAAAGAAAATATCTCATGCTCATAGCTATGCTAAAAGAAACAATATGTGAAATTAACAATGATCATTTACATCTTTGTTATAATAATAAAATATAGTATGAATATATTGGACCTTGTCATAACAAGAGCAAAAATTAAAACTCCATTAATTCTATTTTATTACAAATTATATTAAATAGTTGCTAATGTTGTTAGAGTTAATAATTGCCATTGATTTTTCAGATTATCTTTTCACATCAAAATAACTTGGTAACTTTTATACTTACTATAAAACATATTAAAATTATTAAAGATAGATATTAAACTGTGATGAATTTTTATCTTACTGACCTTTCTATGTTCCTGTAGGCTTGATGCTGAAGAACACTTTTTATTGCACACTGAACATATAAGCTTTTTCTTAGGATCTCCTAAAATAGAAATAAAATACCATGATGATTTAAATGAGACTATTAAGAGGAAAAACAAATAGTGTTTCGAGGTGATATGTAAGTTCATCTTCATAATTTAGAATTCTAAACAATTCAGTGTTGTAGATATATTCATTAAACTTAAAGAGTAAGTTATATTTTAAATCTTTTTAATTATTTTTAATTAGAGAAAAGACATACAAATTAATTAACATGTATATAGGGGAGCCTTCAGAATAAAGACCCAAGCTCCCAAGAGAATGCAGAAGCTTATATACCTTTTCATAATTTTTATTATTATGGGTACATAATAGGTGTTATGTATTTTTCGGGTACATGTGATGTTTCAATATAGGCATGCAATGTGTAATAATCACATCAGGGTAATTGGGGTACCTATCACCTCAAGCATCTATCATTTGTGTTAGAAACATTCCAATTCTATTCTTTTATTTTTAAATATACAATAAGTTATGTTGACTATAGTCACCCTGTTGTGCTATCAAATAATAGATCGTATTCATTATAACTATATTTTTACACCTATTAACTATCCCATTTTATTCACCCCCTCCCCGCTACCCTTCCCAGCCTCTGGTAACCATCATTCTATTCTCTATCTTCATGAGTTTAATAGTTTTAATTTTAGCTTCCATATATAAGTGAGCACATGTGAAATTTGTGCAGCTGTGCCTGGCTTACTTCACTTAAGAAAATTACCTTTACCCATTCTCTCATTGATGGACACTTAGGTTGATTCCAAATATTGGCTATTGTGAATAGTGCTGCAATAAACATGGGAGTGCAGATATCTCTTCAATATACTGATTTCCTTTCACTGGGGTATATATCTACAGTGGAATTGCTAGCTCTATCTTCAGTCTTTTGAGTAACCACCATACCATTACCCAAAGAGGCTGTACTAATTTGCATTCCCACCAACAGTGTACAAGCATTCCCCTTTCTCCACATCCTCTCCAGCATTCGTTATTCCGTCTTTTGGATAGAAGCCATTTTAACTAGGGTGAGATGATATCTCACTGTAGTTTTGATTTGCATTTTTTTCTGATGATTAATTTTGCTGAACATTTTTTCATATACCTGTTGGCCATTTGTCTTCTTTTGAAAAATGTCTATTCAGATATTTTCTTCATGTTTTCATTAGATTATTTGATTTTTTTCCTATTGAGTTGTTTGAGCACTTTATATATTCTGGTTATTAATCACTTGTCAGATGGGTAGTTTGCAAATATTTTCTCCCATTCTGTGTAAATGCTTTCTTTTTAAATTTGAGACATCTTCACAGCTTCATATACCACCTTTCTCATATATAAAACAGGCCTTTCACTTTTCCATGTACTAATACTGTATAGTATTAAAAGAGAAAGTGATATATCCACAAGGAATTCAAAGCAAAATTAAAATTAACCAAATGTGTTTGTAAAAGAAAAAACTAAATTTATTAATTCATAAAGTGATTGTGTTAATTCTTTTACATTTCAACAGAATATTTTATTTAATCAGCTGGGTTTTTTAAGATAGAATTTATAGATTATTCTTTCCAGCACTAGAGTTTTATAAAATCTTTAAGTATATGCTTATCAAGTTAACATTAAGAAATAAAGTACAATAAAACAATATATTGGCAATTCATACTATTACTCAAAGCCAGATTCTGTCTTCTTATGTAGTGATTATGTTTACAGTAGCTCATTTCATATTTCAAATTTCACAGTTGTTATAGAAATGAAGAGGCAATCAAACATTATTAAATGTGATATAATAATATCAAATGCACCACAATGAATAACCATAAAATATGTTTTCAACTTTTAATTGGTTTATTTCAAATATACAAAAAGTAAGCATATAGTATAATGAATCACCATCTATCCATCACCTGGCCCCAACAATGACTCACCATGACCATTCCTGCCTCAACCTCAATCCCATCCACTCTCCCACTTCTCTATATTTTGAAGCAAATCTAAAACAAGTAAAATCAATATTACAAAATGATTTCGTTTTATTATAGGACTGCATTTATGAAAGAAATATACTTTCAAATGGCAAATATGAATTTTTGTCTTATTATTCAAGATGCCTATTCCATTTAATGCACTGTTTTTAGCAGGCTAAATATGATAGCCAAGAAAATGCTTCTCAGTGATTGAAAAGTAACATGGCTACTAAAGGAGAAAATTCTCCCAGGCAAAATGAATATCTGATAGCATATATTTGGTCATCAATTTCCTAAACATATCATACCTGAGGCACCATTCAGAAAGAATATTCCCTCTTTTCCAGGTCCTACTAGTTGGGATGGTCCATCTTCCACCAATAATCCTTTATTGCCCTGTCCTAGCCCTCATAGCAACTACTCCTTGATACTAGGCCCTACTCCTTCCCACTGGATGGGTCCGAGGAGGAGAGAGGAGAGAAAGAAACAGATTTCTCCACCCACCACTCTCACTTTACCCCTGCACTCCTGCCACAACTCTGCCTGCAGGTATCAAAGGGTATACATCAAACCCTCATCCCCAATCTTCAGTCTTCTCTCTCCTTTTCATGGCTTCTCCTCTTTTTCACCCTAGAAGAATCCTAGCTCCTCTGAGAAGACACACAGGAAAAATGTATGACTATTCATCTGAGAATGTAGATAAATGTTATCTCCCATTAATGCAAAGTCTCTTTGTCAGCAACCATGGAATCTAAGCAAAAGGGAAAGATGGGAAGTGACGGAGGAGCTTAGCCCCTTCACTCTGTTCCCTCTTAAGTAACTGTGAGGAGCCTCACCACTCTACCAGCTCCCCTAGGCTCATGGATAACAGCACCTGCAAAGCCATAACTAGATGTTATACTGTCTTAACTTTCCTATTTAGGTAAATCTGATATTTGACTTTCAGATTTAAACTTTCAAAAACATTTAGGAACACATTACTTATACCAGTAGGCCATGTGAGGAAATTAATACAACTGTACTGAATACACAATCACTTAAGTACTCAACTTTCAACACGCTGTGAGCTAAGTATGCTTCTAGGAGCTGGTCTGAGAACCTACCTACCCATGTTATGGTTGCTATGGAAAAATGTGATCCATATTGAAAAATTCAGCTTCTCTCTAATCATCATCCTCAATTCATATCACCTTAACAAAAAAACATTTGCCATCAAAGATCTCTTTCTTTGAGTGCCTTTGCCTTTCTATAATAAAGGATTCTACAACCATGTATATGAGAGCTGCTTTGCTTGCTATCTCCAATAGGGAATATTCTTTCCTCCAATGCCTGTGCAGCCCATGGAGGAAAGGGGAGAAGCAAGAGACATACTGTGAATGAGAGAATGACATCATGTACCAACCCCAGCAAAACATATGGCATAGTAACCGTTAGCTAAAATACAGCAAGATTTTACACTTTATATGGTCCACAAATTAAAAAATATATATAAAACAAGATTTCCTTTTATGAATTATTTCCTACAAAATCACCATAAATTTCCAGAATTAATAATATTACAATATGCAAGGCCAACTACAAGAAGCCTCAAAGACATTGTGCTTATAGCACAGCCTGAAGACAACATGCCCAGTAATAAGAATGCAAGTCTCCAGAGTTTCGTATGCATCTGGTTTTTTACTTAGTTCAGCAAACTTAAGCTTTAAAACTGACATGAAAGTTCTATTACAATATATTGCAGACATAGATGAAGAAAATTAAGAATAGCATTTTAACTAGAACAGCATTGAAAATCAAAAAACTACGAAGGCAAGTCTATCAAAAAGTTATGCTTGCCTTTTGCAATCATAGGGAAGACCCCAGTATACTGAATTCAGAAAAAAATCCATCTTCCCTAAGTCAGCTGTGTATTCTTCAAAAGGAAAGAAAGAAACCAGAACACTGTAAAAGCCTAGTGAAGGGCACCAAGCTGGAGGTGCATTTCACAAGGCCCTACTTCCACCACACAGAGCTTTCACCATAGGTTGCACTTAATATGCAGCCCAAACCAATGATGCAAAGTCGCAGCTAGCAGTTGTTCACGCTAGCCTCTATAACTGTATTATTATTAAAGTGAATACTTTTTGGACAATGAACAAATACAGGATACAGATGCTGGGTGCAGATTATCATCTTCTCCTGAATATAAGAATAAACAACTGAAGGGAGAAAAGAAATCCACTTTCCCCCACATCCAGAGACACATAGCCACCCATTTCCCAGAAGTCAAGGGCAAAAATAAACACATGAACAAAGAATATGAAGAGAAGAACACACAGGGTTTCATAAATCTCAACCTCCTTTAAGGAGGAAGTCTTTGGAGGTAAAAAGACAAGAAGTAAAAAGTTAACTGAGACAATACAGCCATCTGTTCAACTCACTGCAATAGATTTAATCCCTAAGCCAAAATATATTTACTGACAGTATACCATGTGCTAAGCAGATAAACCCAAAAGACAGTCAAATTTTATATTTGTTTTATTGTTTAGCTAGCTATCAGATGGAATTCAAATAATATTTGTTTTGTTAATCCATACATATTCAATTCCAATGTCAAAATGTGTTAGCAATTTTCTCTAACTTAGGAGAACTGTATTTTCACAAGTTGGATTTTTACTGTAAAAATAATAAGGCAGAAGGACATCACTTAATAATGATAAATTTTAACAATTTATAAAAGAAATGTCACATGCCAAAACATTTAAAATTGTTACTTAAAAATATTAATTCTTAATGCATCTGACCACCCAAACATAACTAGACTTTAACTAAGGCTTACAGTTATAATTAATTCAGGAATGGGAAAAAGAACAAATGCTGCTAAATTCAACCTGAGAAAGAAATAGTGTTCAGTGAAAGAAAAAAATCCACTGCCAGCGCTCCACATCTGTGTGAAACACAATGGAAAAGCCAGCTCTCTCCTCAAGAGCGAGAATTAAAAACAGATCGCTGCAGCCTGGGGAAAGGAAGCCCCTTCGGAAACGACCCTCCAACGACTCCTCACCAGTGTGGACATTTTCCTGGTGTCTTTTCAGGGCATCCTTGCTCTTCAGCCTCTTTCCACAGCTGTCAGCCTTGCACACAAACCTGGCATCCCCCCGGCAAGTCTCCTGGTGCTGCTCAAAACTACAAGACAACCAGCAAAGCGGAACAGGAAGAAATGGTGAAGACATACCTACAAAACTCAAACATCAGCAAGATTTTGTAATACATGCTCCCTAGTAGAGTTTCGGGGTCATTCCATGCATTACCTATGCAGGTAAGAAGAAAAGCATTTAAATTCTGTAGGTATGTGAAACTGAATTACTAAGAAGCATGAAAGTATGCATGCAAAAAATGACCCACAATTATATAACAGCCATTTCATAACTCAGACACAAAACCTCGATGCTGAACTGAAGGAAGAATTGCAAACAGAGCACTGAAAACTTCGCGAAGACTCCTTTAGACTGCTTTTCGCTGTGCACTGAAGAACACTAAAGGGAAATAGGAAAAAGAGAAAGAAAAGAAAACAAAAACTGGAACTCTAAGACAAAAATGAAACTACACTAACTCTGAATAAAGTCATGTTCGTGATCCCTTTTTTCATTGTCTTTTGCCTTTTTAAATTTTTAGCAGTACCTTAACTATAAGCTCTTGCTCAGCAGTGTCTTTTGTATAAATATATAATACTAAATGCAATAAAAGCTAACCAGAATGCAACTTAACATCTATTTATTTAAAAGCATATAGTCCTTGCTTGTTTTTTAAGGAAGTACAATAGAATTTCTAAATATGTAGTATCCTGCTATTATAAAAGTTTTGATATTCTGAACATTTATTAAGTTTTAAGCACAATTTTCATCTCAATTTTTATAAGCAAAAGTTGATGCATATAATAATATTCATACAGTCTTAGTATGAAATGTAGCATATTTCAGAATTTTAGTTCAATGAAACACAAAAATGTAAAAATGTAACATTAAAGCCTATGTTAAAGATTTCTTGCTCATAAGTAAGGTAACATTCTGTTAAAATGAGAAGCTAAGGTTGGAGAAAGAAAGTAAATGGCAGGATGGGAGCACATAAGAGAAGAGATATGTTGATGAGATGGGACAATTTACATTACTTTCATATTGGAAGTAATTGGCTTCAACACAATGAGAGTCTACAGTTGCATCCAATATGTAAATATGCTTTTAAATTACTTAAATTCAATTATCTGATTAAAATTACAAACTTTAATGAGTAAAAAAATAAAACTTTACAAATGCATATACCTACTTTCTCACTTTTAACAATTTCTGATCCTGTAAAATATTTAAATAAAGATAATTTTATGTTGTTAATATAAATTGTTAAAATAAAAAAGGGTACAGAGCTATGTGTGGGATCATCTAATTAATCATATTGTTATAACTGGGACCTATGCATCTTTAAATTATTCCTCCAAAGTTGCTCTCAAATAAACAGTGCTTCCCAAAATGTCCAGGAATTCTTTATACTTTGAACTCCCCATTTCTTAAACTTTTTTTTAAACAGATTCCAGAAGGAATATAAAACGTAGACAACTAAAAGTCTGTTACCTCAAAGGAGTAACTAAAGTAGGCATATCTGAATTTCAGATTAAACCAGTAAGCTTGATACATAATGGCAAATTAATAAATGGACAAAAACTAATTACCATAAACAGTGTTTATGTGTTAAAATCCATAATTTGAATATTTTAATAATCAACATACTATACTAAGAAAAGATGAGTTAATGACAATACCAATGTAAAATGCTTAATCTCTCATTCACACACAAAACATGCGCGTGCGCGCGTGCACACACACACACACAGGTTAAAAACTATGAGTTAAGCTGAATGGAATAAACTGTGTTAGCTTATAATTTTAAAGATATTTCTTTAATATACGCACTGTCTTTGCAAAGCCTGCTTAACTGGGAATTTCTTCCCACAGTTCTTGCACTTAAATTCTTTCTCCTCTGTGGGTTTCTGGTGCAATGTCTGGAGATGCTCAGCAAGAATATCCTCACTGGTAAAACTCGATTCACATTGAGGACAAGCATAGTCCTCTTTACAGCCAAGGCGATCTGCACATTCACAAGGAAACATATTCATGAGACAAAAATTCAGAGCCAAGAAATGCTCAGTTTTGCTCTCATTTTAAATTAATTAATTAATTGTGCTTAATGATACCATATGAATAAATTCTTATTATCACTATAAATATTAATAGTATTTGGCCACAAAAAAATAATAGCAAGTGTTACTAGAGAGAAATACATTATTTTCAAAATCACTTGTATTTCACCAAATTAATACAAAGTCAAATTCCTTATTTAATTCATCCTATAATGTTAACTTTTCAGATCAAAATGTTAAATTAGAAAACAAAAGCTATTCCTGAAATTGGTCATTTTTAGCTCATTTTTACCTTCACAAGGAGAAAAATCCAACTGATGCAAACTATATTGAATTACCAAGGAGAATCTCACATACATGTGAAAAAAGACCAAGGTCATAAAAACAGTGCTGATTAAGCTAGTAGAGTGAATTATGCTACACGGTCCCATATAGACTGGTGCAGGTCTGACCAAATTTCTCAGCGTGCTATTTAAATTACACATTTGTTTCTGATTATAAAATAAAATTAGACTTAGAAAATGCAGAAAATAAAAAACACCAATAATCCCATCAGGAAGAGACAACTGTCATAATATTACTGGCAAGCCTGACTTGCCTTTAGTGCATACATATTTTATGCGCAGTCTAAGAAGAGGTAAATTTGGGATCATACTTTATATACAATTTTATATGTTTTCCCATTTAACATCTTCTCAAGTCAAATGTTGGCATATTTTTAAACTTAAAGTACCACAATTTATTTAACCAAACTCTTCATTGTTAGACATTTGGGTGGCTTGTTTCTTTTGCTGTTTGTTTTTATTTTGTTTCTTTGCTTTTCTAAATAAAACTAAGAATTCTAAAATAAAAATAGCCATGGCACATGGCACATGGCACATGTATACATATGTAACAAACCTGCACATTGTGCACATGTACCCTAAAACTTAAAGTATAATAATAATAAAATAAAATTTTAAAAAAACCAAAATAGCCACAATGCAAGTGCTTGGTTCATGTGTTTAAAAAATTCTGTTTAAGTTTCTGTTGATTCTTTTTACAAAGATAATGAAAACTGGTATTTTAATAACTAAAGCAGAAATCAGGGCAGTAATAGGTAAGTAGATTACTTATTTTTAAATTAAAATAATGGATAAAATAACTTGCCCTGGGGACAACAGGGAAAAAATAAAATACAAAAACAAAGAAAACACAGAATAACACAGAAATAATTCCCATCACCCAAAATATGATATTCCAAATAGCATAATGCATATAAGCCTGTCCTTATCTTCCCCTTAAATAATTCAACTAAAATAAAGAAACAGAAGCATAAGCTGGCAATGGTGACAGAATGTTCACACTTTCTCAGCCAATAACATGCAGTTAGAACAGAAAAAGTACAGGAAAAGCATACTACCACTTTGACTAATGAAACCAGTATCACTTCTGAAGTGGCTTTGCTACACAAAATGGAAAAGTACTGTATAGTAAGTATCAGCCTGCTATGGTCTGAATGTTCGTGAATCCCCAAAATTCATACGTTGAAACTGAAACCGCAATGGAATTGTATTAAGAGGTGGGCCCTTTAGGAGATGATTAGGTTATGAGCACTGTGTCCTCATGTATGGGCTTAATGCCCTTGTAAAAGAAGCCCAAGAGAGCTTGCTTGTCCCTTCTGTCACATGAGGACACAGCTAGAAGGTGCTATCTAATTAGAAACGGGCCCTCACCAGACACCAAATCTGCTGGCACCTTGATAGACTTCCTAGGCTCCAGAAACGTAAGCAATAAATTTCTGCTGCTTACCAAGTATCTAGTCTAAAGTATTTTGTTATAACAGCCTGAAAGGATAAAGACGAGGCCTATTACAAAATGTGAATACCTATAGCATCATTCATATATCCCTTAAATTTCCCTTAGGAGTAAAACACAACATAATAGAAACAAGGCCAATAATAATTGATTATTCCCTGGCAGTTAACAAGCAAGTGGCTGCAGTATTGACTGAGGAAGGTCTGACCTACGGTCACTGAAAGTTTTTGGTAACCACACTAGGGCAACCTAGCAATCCTCCAGGCTTCTGTGATCAGAACAGAAAGAGATGCCAAGAAGCTGCAGGTTCCCAAAAGATCCCAAACAAGAGGAATCAATCCCCTTCGGATCCAGCAGGCTCTCTTGTGTACCTCACCTCCACTCTCACCTTTTCCTATATGCAGATGAGAAAGTAAAGTCTCAGAAAGTCAGCAACTTGCCCAACGTTACAAGACTGATTAGTGGCAGAGCTATGGCAAGACTATAAAAATCCTCACTACTCATTACCCCAATGCGCCAGTGAGAGCAGTGAGAGCCGGGAGCTGCCCTAGCAATGCAGCCCTGCCTGCGGCCTAGGCAGTCCTATAGGGTACATCCATCACCCACTCCCAAAATACTTTTCCTGCTGTAACAAAGATGAGTCCACCACAGGATACCCTCGAGAATAATTTTGACAAAAACTAACTTTATTTGAGAATGCCATATTACAAGGCAACTATAATTCAACCACAGTTTAAACTACACTTTTTTCTACAACTTTTCTTCTCCCAGATCACCAATTAAAGATGCAATACCTTTTCTGCCCGCTGTTGATTGTCTTCTAGAATTTTCAACTTCCCCTTCTTTGATGACTGTCATAATTTGCTGTTCTTCCTCCTCAGCCTCCATGTCACTATCCAGGTAGCCAATCAGAAGCTCCGTGTCTGTTTCTATATCTTCAACTGCCAAATAGAAAATGTTTTCTCCTTCCTGAAACAAATTTTTTTAAATGCTGAACCATTCATTTGTTTCTGATAGTAATTAAGAAATAATTTTAAGATACATTAATGGAGTACTATGTGTGCATGAAAAGTTATTACTTTTTTTTATTTCTAGTTGATCTGGGTGCTGAAAAAGGCAGGTGACAATATTCAGTTACCTGGCAAATAAAATACAAATACATATGACAAAAAGTGACATTTACACATGTCAAATGAAATTATGTTCAATTTTTAAAGTGAATTTTGCATCACTAACTGGCCTTATGCAAGCAACACTTTGTGGTGGCCTATAAATGTAGTTGTCATGCAACAGTGTCATTCACACATGCAGACAGAGAGCAATGAGATATCAATGATTTCGTTATTATTAACACTAACACAAAACTTAAAAAAAAAAAAAGCCTTTCAAGTTCTAACACAAACCAGAGGAAGTGCAAATAAGTTCGTCCCCTGAAAGAATTTACTGAAACCTGGTCCCGAAATAGAAAAAATACTAGACATCTGGGAAGTTCAAGGTGTTGATGGAGCCATCATGTGTACCTCACCTCTTTGGTCTCTAAATCCCACAGAAATGACAGACACGAGAAAAAGAAAAAAAAAAAAAACAAGGTCCACCATCAACATATCAAGATATTTTAGAAAGTCCTGGAAAACAGAAATCAGACATAGTCGAAATAATAGATAACTAATGCAGAGGAAACCTCGACCAATAACAGACACAGAAGAGGAATGCTACAAAGAACCTTCTTTCCAAGGAAACCCCAGAGAAACTTCACACTTGGAATCAACTGATACAAAAGCCATGCTGGGCCTTGGGCCAATCACCAGGGAAGCCAGAACTGAAGCTGTAAAGCGGGCTGTCCCCAGGAGAAAGCACCCAGAATTGCTCTCTTTTACATAGTTAAGGATTTGTTCTGGGAGGGTTCCTAGTGAGGCTGCTGAATATAAAGAAAAGCAAAACAGAGACTGAATTTATTGAACCTTCATAGTGGCAAAGGCAGGAAAGGACAAAGAAAGTAAGGTCCACCAATGAATGAAATTCAATAAAGCACAGAGCACAGAACAAAGCCTTCTCTTCTTTGGCAATATCATAGCACTTATGTTTAAAAGCAGGAGGAGGAAGACAAAGGAGAAGATGTGAGAGGGGAAGGAATAGGAGAGAGGGGAGGAAGGAGAGTGTATGCATGCATAGATTTATGTATATATGTAAACACAATTAGAACCTTCATGAAAAATTGCAAAGACATGCATCAAATTGTACATACAGTTATTTTGAGGATGGGAGAGGGGCTATATTCAACATTGTCTTAGTTTGGGAGGGCTTTTTTGAATAATAAGCATGACTACTTTGTAATTTTAAAACAATATATATTAGAAAATTTCATGGAAGAGACAGAAATTATGATCATATGCATCCAATCCTATGGAAGGAAGGCTTGATTCAAAAGTTCAAAGCACTGAAGCAAATCTAATCATGTGCTACACTTAATGTATAGACATTCCTATAACATTTTGAACACTCTTGGAAGTTTTTAAATTTTATATATCCAAAAACATTAAAAAGGTTATTTCTAATTAAGATCACTGAATTAACTTATATACTATTGGTATTCTTAGTGCAACAAAAGCAAACAAGCAAAAAATATATAGACACTAAGCAAGAGGTCTCTTTAACTCAAAAGCAGCATTTTCCAGGTCTTTATTAGATGAGTTTTTAACTGTTTGGGTAACCCACTAACCTAATAAAGACTTCAGAATGCAATAATAAATATTAGTGTTTATCTGATCAATATCCATGAAAGTTAATTGAACCGTCATCCTAGTATATTAGTGATTAATTTTGTGATGGTTTTGATAGCACCAAGGAAAGATAATAATTTTTAATTTTAAAACATGATACCATTAACTTAAACTGTAATCACAGGATATGGCATGTCTGTTTAGAGGCTCTGTAATAAAAGAAAATTTTCATATACCAGCTAAAACTTTAATTTAATGAAAGTAATGGCAGCATTCCAGGCTCCACAGGACCAGCTGCATGGTTTTTCTCTGTTTGCCAAAAAATGTGATATAAAGAGGAATATAGTTACAGGTATTACTTCAATCTATTTATTTAATGGGAATGTCTGGATATCTCTGTACATATAATTCCAACCACTGTGCAGACCAACAGTCTCTTTCCTTTCATTTGCTACCCCAATACTATTAAGAAGTATCCTCTTAAGTCACTTCCTTGCATACACTGCACTAATTTTTGATCATCCTACAAATCCTGCAACTCTTCATGGTGTTGTTCTCCTCCCTACAAACCTCAGATTGACAAGGCCTGCCAGATCCCTAATTTCTGGAGCCATTTTGTCCACCTGGAGGCTCATCCCAGGCCTAATCTCATGCCCTTTGGCAGGAAGGATTTACAGTTGCTATAGTTTGGGTGTTTGTGCCCACAAACCTCATGTTGAAATGTGATCCCCAATGTTAGAGGTGGGGCCTGATGGGAAGTGTTTGGGTCATGGGGACAGACCTCTCATACATGGCTTAGTGCCGTTCTCAGTATAATGAATGAGTTCTTCCTCTATTACTTCCCCAGAGAGCTGATTATTAGAAAGAGACTGGCACCCTCCTTATCCCCTCTTTGACCACTACACATGTTTGTTTCACTTTACCTTCCACCATGAGTAGAAGGAGCCTGAAGCCATCACCAGAAGCAGATGCTGGCACCACACTTCAGTACAAGCCTACAAAACTGTGAGCCAAATACACATTTTTTAATACATTACCCAGTGTCAGGTATTCCTTTATAGCAACACAAATGGACTAAGACAAGGGTGTTGCCCCAATGCTCTGGGACTCAGTATCAGCTTCCTGTCGTCATGTTACTGTTAGCCTAGCAATAACCTTGTGGTTCAGATTTGATCACTGGTTTAATATTCTCATACTGAGATTAATTCTCCTTACTATATCTATCATTTCTGGTCTTAGGTTATTCCCTTGAGCACAGTCCCTCCTGGACGCCTTGTATATACACTTAAGATGAGCCACATTCCTGTGACTCTGCCTAAGGGCTGAGATCCTGCTTGTGATTCAAGTCACTGGCTCCAGGTGATTTTATTAAAAACACTTAGAAACTTGTTCAACATCAAGGCCTGCTCAAAAGCAAATATTCCCCAGCCATCAGTTTTCAAAGCATTATAATTTGAATACAACATATTTATAGAATGAATGGTTTTACAATTGTTATTCATCTCTTGCCTATTGTTTTGAATTTTTTGTCTTTTTTTAGTCTCATTTCATTTTGCTTTATTTTATTTGCATGTTGTTTTTTGGCTCATTACTTCTACTGCACAGTGTTTGTAATATCAAAAAGTCACCATAGCCTACTGGCCCAACAATATAAGTTGAAAAAAAGTCAAATCTCTAACAATTGGTTTTAAAACATTTATCAAATATCATTTTAATTTTTAAAAATGTATGTAAATCAATATGCCCAAAAAAGAAAATAATATGTAAACAATGGTGTTAATAGGGCTGTTTCTAATGGAGGAAATCGTGAGTACTTTGTATAGTCATCTTCTGCTCCTCTACATTTTATAATTTTCCTAGAATTAATTAATTTATTTTATTTATTACTTTTGTAGTAAAAGATAACAATGGATAATTAATGAACCCTGTTCCTTGATACCAGGAAGCAGTACTATATGGCAACCAAAGAGAGCAGGACTTTGGGATGCTCAGGGTTCAAAGTCTCACTCTAGATTGACTAGCTATGTGACTGAGCAAACAGCCTAATCTCCCAAACCACCAATTTCCTCATCTGTAAAATGGAGAAAATAGTAGTGCCTATCTCATAGGATGGCTGTGAAGATTAAAGATGGTAATATTTGCAAAGTCTAGCCAGATGCCCTACATGTGGAAAGCATTCATGAGTGGTAGTTACTATCATTACTATTTAATAAAAACTTGAATGCCAGTGGTTAACATATTCATTTTGTGTCCAAAGTCTGTTTCAACCAAACTATCACACAAAGTTGCTTTTACCGTGCTGCTTTGATTACAATTCGTTTGGTCAAAATGCTCTCAGCCAAAATATAAGACATCCAGCTCATTACCTTGGACTCATCCTTGACCCTTCCTCTCTCACACTCCATATACAATCTATCAGGAAATGGCATCTGCTTTCCCTTCAAAGCATGCTCAGAATGATTACTTCCCACTGCCTCCACTACTCACTGCTACAGTCCTCATCGAGTCACCACTATCTATGACCTGGATTAGTTTAATAGCCTCCCAGCTGTAAATAAATACAGGAAAAGTTGAGTAAGCTTTTAATAATATGTGTTGTTTTTCTTACTTATTGTTATTTATTACTTTTGAAATAAATCTGCCTGCCTAGTAGAGCTCTTAAATGCTCTGCCCTGGATCTCCTGTTGTCATGCTCTCTTCCACTGTTAACATGTTAAAGTGTTGCTCTGGTTTGGACCTCAGATACCAATCAATTGTCTGAACCATACCCAAGGTGTCCAACCATGAAGTCTGCCTGCAATTGAGGGGTTTCCAAGGATAGGGATTACTCAGTGCTAAAACTGAGAGAGTCCTGGGCAAACTAGGATAGTTGGATACCTAACTACACCCATCATGCTCTCCAAAATCACATTCTTAACTCCACTTAAGATTTCCTAACAACAATATTGACTGGGTCTACCTCCTTCACCATCTCCAGGTCCACATCAGGATTCTCAACATTTAGGACCAGTCATATTCCCAGAGACGACTCCAACAGCTTACCAAGTGAACTCCCATCATCTGAATTTTCATGTCATTCTCTTGTCCCCAAATCTCCTTCAAATGTACCTGCTCCTCTTCTTCCATCAAACTAGTACACTTCTCAGAAAACACAGAGCTAATTCCCACCTTAGTACAACTGCAAAGATGCCACTTGGCCCCTTGCTATAACTCCTCCATGTGCTCTGAGGCGCAGCTCACTTTCATCCTCCTTCAAGAAACTTTCTCTAATCTACTAAATTCATGTAGGAACTTTTAATTAGGAGTTCTCTATATCAACTGTCTTAACTTCAATTGGGCACATCATTTACTTCTGTGGTTTTTGTCACTTAATTCATGTGATCAATGAATTTCTAATATGTGTTGCTTTTACCTCCCCAAAAGATGATTTTCTCAAGTGGAAAAGAATTATCAAGTGCAAGCTAATCTCATAATACTTGCTCAATATTTTTAAAATAATAGGTAGTAAAATACTTGTGCCAGAAGAAAAACAACACATATTAATAAAAAGCTTACTCAGCTTTTCCTTTATTTATTTACAGCTGGGAGGCTATTAAACTAAGCCAGGTCACAGATAGTGGTGACTCGATGAGGACTGTAGCAGTGAGTAGTGGAGGCAGTGGAAAGTAATCATTCTGAGCATGCTTTGAAGGGAAAGCAGATGCCATTTCCTGACAGACTGTATATGGAGTGTGAGAGAGGAAGGGTCAAGGATGAGTCCAAGGTAATGAAGTTTTCCCTGAAGCATTCAAAGATGCTGCTGTATTTAATAATGATTCTTCTTACAGATTCGAAACAAAACACTAACTGTGAATTTTTGCTTTAAATCTATCTCTTCTCTGTACACATAAATATAATTTCATGTGGACCTTCACTAAGGTACCGTAGAATATTAGTCAATTCAGTCAACAAATCTACAAAGTGAGTCATTCATAATCCCCAACCAAAAAAATTATTTTAGATGACAAATCGACTCGCAAAGCCCTTCCTTCGGACAACGAATGCATTCTGATAAGAAAAGAAGAGAGTAGAATTTTGCTTCTTTGAACAAAGCTGAAAAACAATAGCAGTGGCTTAGATTGTATCAGACTGGTCATTTTGGTAACATCATATAATATGGAATTCAGATTTGCTGGCAAACACACACACAAAAGCTTCTCCAAATATGATGGTTGTCATGGTTTTCAAAAAAACTTTTGTAATAAAGATAAACAAATCCAGAAAAAAAGCAATAACCTGGCTAGGTTGCTTCAGCAGAAAAGTCAGAGGTAGTGCCATGTGGTGTGGCCATTACAGAGCATTCTCTAGAGGCAGGGGCACCAACAAACTTCTTATGCATCAAATTAATCATTGCTAAATTCAGAAAGTTTAGAAGAGTAGTCATATAAATACAGTGATATTCAAATAACATTTGGACTTTCACAAATTTTGAATGGTTAACTTTATGTAAATGGTCTTAACACTATAAGAAAAAACTACTATCATCAGTATCTCACCTCACACTAGTAACCTAATTCTTAGATTCCCAAGGTATCTCAGCACACTGGGTGGGAAGTTCCATCACAGAAAATCAATCCGTGGGTAACAGAATCCCAGCTCCTATGCCAAGGGCTAATATCAAGGCCTGAGGCAAAGTACTGTAGAAGCCAGCCAGATGGTAGGCTTTGGAACCCGATTAGGAAGTGCTCTGTCACTTCATGGCTATGTGGGCATCTTTCTTATCCCTATGGGCCTCAATGTCCTCATTGTAAAATAGAAAATACAATGCCCCTAGACTTATTAATGCTTTGGACTGGACTCTACTGCTAATTTCTGCTAATTACGTAGCCAAGAACACTTAGAAGAAATAACAGTATCCCTCTTTTATATAGCACTTTGCAGTTTCTAGTTTTTCATGTACTTTGTCTCATCTTACCTTCATGGAACCCTTGGAGATAGGAATGGAAATGTCCAGTACACTGGATAGATACTGGCTTGGGAGTCAGATAGACTTGAATTTGTATCCTAGTATATAACTTATTAGTTACAGATCTTAAGCAAGGTTATCTTAACTTGTCTTAGTCTAGCTTTCCTCATCTATAAAGTGGGTTCAATAGTATCTACTTCAAAGAATTGTTTTGAGGATTAAATAATATAGAATATGTAAAGTATATCTGGCAGACAGGAAATGATTAGCATCAAGGTCTGTCTCCAATAGGAACTTCTCCAAAGGAGCCCCTCCAACACACCTGCATTTTACATATGGGAAAACTGAGGCTCAGAGATGAAAAATAAAATGTAAAGATCCCACAAATAGTAAATTCTAGAGCCAATCTAGAACCTGAGGCTAGGACTAGCATCATGAGAACTAGAATAATCAGGTCAGGAATGAAGTAGAATTAGTTATCAAATTATGCAACTATAATTTTAACTTCACTAGATAAAATATTTTCCAAATGAGCCTAAAATAATCCAATGCATTTATGGGCTGAAGGGAATTTGGCCCCATATAATTTTTTATTCTTTCTCTTTACTTCAGTGACTTACAAAATTATTCTTTTTTGGTCAAGCACTGGGCTCAAAACATACAGTTAACTTTGTGGCCTCAGTCTCAGGCACAGGAGAAGCTTACATTCCATTACCTAGCTACATCTGATATTAATATATTCTTAGAGTAGTTCCTTATATGTGGTATATGACAGGAAGAACACTTTATCAAGACTATCTTCTGGCTTTGGCTTGGCCGCTCTGAGGCTCTGTCACCTTGGGGAAGCCTCTTATCATCAGTACTCTTATTTTATCTGTAAAATGATAGAGTTGGACTTTATAATCTCATCCCTTCTAGAGCTAGACTCAATCACAAGTGAAATAAACTCATCTTTAGGGGAGTCTAGTTAATGAATTTAAAAGGAAAAGTACATATAGAGGCTGATCTGATTACTGCTTTCCCTCTCAGACCTCACCCTACTAAAGCAAAGCATGGTATGGAATTAAGAGAAATACTTAACTAGGATTCCTATGAAAAGCTGGAATATACAACCTTGTAAGGTTGAGAGGCCCATTCTCCAAAATTACATAGCGTAACATAAGCCATGCTTTGATAAGATTTTATCAATGTGACTACTTCTGTACTGTGGTAATGGTTAGGACCAAATGAACTCAAGATGCCTTCCAGTCTAATTATTTCTGCTTCTATCACTACACAGAAACATTTACTCCTAGATATCTAGGCAATAAATCTAATTTTCAAATTCTCTATGACCCTTCCACATCCGGCATTATGTGTACACCTCAACCTTCTCTGATAATTTGCTCTTTGTCTCTTCTCAAGTGCCATGCCTCACTAGGATAAATCTATCCTAATGAACTCATGCATCTGAGGTTCAGTTCTGCTATTTCAAAACAGTAAAAGTCTCTTGTTTCACAAGGAAATACTAGTCCCCACTGTGTGCAAATAAATATAACTCCAGGAGAGGCCACGGGTAATTTGGTATTTCAGCTGTATCTGTATGTCGCTTAACTCAGTTTTTGTTTACTTGTTGGCAGGCTGCTATCCACATGTGGACACTGTAAGAAAAACCATGATTGTGAAATTGGCAAAGGTACAATTCATTATATTGAAAAGGTAGTAAATTGTGAAAATCCACACTATCCAGCTAACATGACTAATGGGTAATCCATGGAAAAGGGAATTATCTTCAAAACAATGCAAGGGCTTATAAATGAACAACTTATACCAGTGTAGAGGAAAAAAAAAGTCTCTGGACTGCTATCCAATAATCAATAGAAATAAAAGACAAGCGATGAAGGTGCAAAAAAGAAAACAGAATGAAACAGTAAAGATTTCATATTTAATATCCTCTCATATAAAGCTTCTTTACTAAACTCCTGAATCAGTCTTAACCTGTGTATCGATATGTCTATAGCACTCAACATACAAAGCTGACAAACATCAAGAAAAAAATCATTTCCACATTAAAATTCACAAAATGTATCTATAATCCAACAATAAAACCAAAAGTCTTTAAGACATAACTGTAATAGACAGGATTCCTGTTTATTCACTCTCTTCCCAGTAAGAGGACTTTCCCAACTTGCTATGTGACTCAGAAAGTTACCTTTGGGGAGTGGGTATACCTTATGAGTTTGGCCGGGTGACTTGCACTAACCGATGAAATGTGAACAGAAGCAAAGTGAACCACGTCCAAGTGAAAGCTTTAAAAATCATCACATTTTGGCCGCCGCTCTCTTTCCCCTCTGCCAGGAAAACACATGTCCCTGATAAGGGTTGTATCTTCAGATGCCATGTGGAGCCAAGCTGTGGACAGAGTCATAGCCTCTGGCAGCCTATACTTTGTCAGCAAGAAATAAACCTCTGTTGCTATAAACCACTAAGAGTTTAGGGTTGTTCGTTGGAGCGGTCTTCTGAGCAAAAATTGACTGAAGCAGAATAATATTCTTAAAAATTATTTTATTTGAAAATAAGAAGCAAGTGACTTGAAATCAAGGAAAATAATGTGAGGCAGAAAATGACAGATGTATTCAAAACAAAGAACAGGGCAGGATACACTGATTCATGTTCAGAGTGCATTAATCAGGTCATATAAGAAAAATGAAGTTTCAAACAACTGCAAATAAAATCTGGTTTGCTAGTCATAGCTTATAATCAGCCATACAGGGAGGAAACAGTTTAGTATGATTCCTAAAAACAGAATACTATATTAAACAAAAAAATCAAGTCTATAAGCAAAGAATATCAATCACAAATTACTAACATATATGTGTATGTATACACATATCTTTCTCTGAGGGGCTCAAGCAGAGCTAGTAATGTTTGAACCATCTCATGACACAAATCTGATATTGTGGAGAAAAGAATCAACAAAAAAGAACATAAACAGAAAAAGTTGCTACTTTTTCTTGTGATGTGAGCTTGGGAAGCAGTGGCTTTTGAAAAAAAATATATATACTTCACTTTTTTATTTAAAAATAAGTTATCAATATTGACAAACCATGAAAGTGTTGAATCAGATAGTGCTGTGGAGGAGAGGGCAGCCGTTTTATAAACAAGTGATTAGAGGGCGGACATGTTCTTATTGCAAATTTGCTTTATTTACATCAGAAGCTCTTTTAACTGACCTCCCCTTAATTAGGTCCTAAACTTAACTGACACTCTGCATACCACAAAATCTACTGAATGATGCCCCACCTGAAGTCTTCTCAATTAGGAAGCTGCTGTCTTCTTGTTTGCCCACACATTCTGTTCCTACCACCTAACTGTCAGGCATGCTTCCCACAGTCCCACGCATTCATTCCTACACCTGTTTAAAACACTGGGGACAAGTTACTTTAATCATATAATTGAACTACATTTCAAATAAAATAAAGACAGCTGAGTAAGAAAAATTCAATTGTTTCTAAGAAAATCAATTGAATGTTTTGAAAAGTCTCAACGATAAGTCTATAAAAGAAATAGCCAAATTATATGAGGCAAAACAATTATAAAAGGGGAAAATCACAACTCTAGAAGGACTCTGAACTTAGGATGCTTTGCAAGAGTCTACTTATACTACTTATAAAGAGTAAAACTGGATATTGAGTGGTTATGAAAAAATATGACAGCAAATGCTAATGAGAGAACCTATACTTAGAACCAAGAAAGCTTTGGTCATAGATCAGTAAATTGGTAAATAAATATAGATTTATAAAACTTAAGGTAAAATAAAATGTTTGAAGTATCAAGTCTATGATCCCATACTGGGGCCAACTTTTATTAACTTAACATGAATTGGTCCACATCACATCAAAAAAGAGAGTGTCAACTAAATTATTATATAAGCAAGTGTGAGGAACAGGCCCCCCATACATACTTCCTAACCATCTGTGCTGGTCCTATCAGAGTCTTTTCCATGTTCATCTGTATTTATTTAGCTGAATCCCCAACTGGGTTGGAAGCTCCATGGGGAAGGGATCATACACCCAAATTCTATTAGTCCATTCTCACGCTGCTATGAAGAAATACCTGAGACTAGGATATTTATAAAGGAAAGAGGTTTAATTAACTCACAGTTCTGCATGGCTGGGGAGGCCTCAGGAAACTTACAATCATGGCAGAAGGCATCTCTTCTGGGGGCAGGGGAGATAACTAGTGCCCAGCAAATGAGGAAGCCCCTTATAAAACCATCAAATCACGTGAGAACTAAATCACTGTCATGAGAACAGAGTAGGGGAAACTGTCCCCATGATTCAATTATCTCTACCTGATTCCTCCCACAGCACATGAGGATTATGGGAACTACAATTCAAGATGAGAGTTGGGTGGGAACACAGCCAAACTATATCACAAATTACATATAAATTATTCCCCAAATATTCATTTACGCTGTATTGCATGAGAATTAGCTAAACACAAACCTCTCTTTTCCCTGGCCTCCTCACTTCCCCATGAGCTTGTGAGCCCCCTGAGGGCAGGCACTATATCATATTCACCTTTGTGCAACCTCAGTACCTGATGTGACACTTTGCTCACTGAAGGCTATCAACAAAGTATCTGCTGAATTGAATCAAATATGAGAAAAAAATTGTCATTTCCTTTTGAATTAGTAAGACAGTAAAGGCAAGAATGTCATTCAGAAAGTAGAATGAGCTACAATGGGGTTGTAGAATAAATTTCCTATTCTCAACAAATTCTTAAGAAGTCAAAAGTTGGTCAACAGTTGAGAGGGTGAGAGGGTTTCACTCAAATCTTTAAAAAAGATTAGACAAGTAACTGTGCTCCCTGGAAAGAGAACCAGCATTGTGCCAAGCATACACCCATTTGACATACCAGAAACATATTAGATAGCTGAAAGTTTATTCAATACATTTACTACAGTATATAATGTGCAGAGTATTGAATACCCACACACATAAGGCTGGTCCTTTCCCCCTGGACTTTATATGCTCTCAGGGGAAACAGAAAAAACAGGCTGAATAACAGTACAGTAGCCCCCTTCTTATCTGCACTTTCGCTTTCTGCTGTTTCAGTTACACTTGGTCAACCCTGATCCAAAAATATTCAATGACAAATTCCAGAAATAAACGATTAATGAGTTTTAAATTGGATGCCATTCTGAGCAATGTGATGAAATCTAATGCTGCCCTGCTTCATCCCACCCGGGACAGGAGTCCTCCCTTTGTGCAATGTATCCATTCTGTAGATGTTACCCATTCATTAGTCACTTGGTAGCCTTCTCGGTTATCAGACCAACTGCCACCTGTCACAGTGCTTGTGTTCATGTAACCCTTATTCTACTTAGTAATAGCCCCAGAGTAGTGGTGCTAACAACTCAGATATTCCCAAAAGAAGTTGTAAAATGCTTCCTTTAATTGAAAAGGTGAAAGTTCTTGACCTAATTAGGAAAGAAAAAAAAACATTAATATGCTGAGATTGATAACATCTATGCTAAAAATGAATCTTCTACCATAACATTTTGAGGAAGGAATCTATGCTAGTCTTGTTGTTGCACTTCAAACTGCAAAAATTATAGCCACGGTCCATGATAAGTGCTTAGTTAAGATGGAAAAGGCATTAAATTTGTGGATAGAAGACAGGAACAGAAATGTGTTTCCAGTAATTATAATCAGACTTGGTACTATCCAGTTTCAGGCATTCACGGGGGATCTTGGAACATATCCCCGAAGAGGGGACTATAAAGTGTAAAAAGGACCAAGATAGTTGTACAGAGAATGGTAGTTACAGAATTTTTGGAGGTAGTTTCACGATGATGTTTGAAACGCACTCTGAATCTGTGAAAGCTAGATAAGTCCTAAACAAAATAATATTAGTAGGGAATGGGCTCATTAAAGTAGGGAAAACAACATTAGCAAAGTGAAAGCACTAAGAAAAGTAGATTTATGCTATAAAAAGCAACAAATCTAGCTAAAACATTGGTTATTACAGGAAATTTGTAAACGATCAGACTAAAAAAGTAGCTTCAACACGTGGAGGGACTGAAAAATCAGGCATAGATTAAACATGGCCTATGGATTGCACATTTGAAAAAACTAGTTGAAAGCAGCCTATAAGAAATGTTCATTTGATCAATGTGATGGTTAATTTTATATGTGCTGAATATTTGTGTCCCCCCAAATTCATATGTTGAAATCTAATTCCCCATGTAATGGCATTTAGAGGGAGGCTCTTTGGGAGGTGATTAGGTCATGAGGATGGATCCCTCATCAATGGGATTAGTGCCCTTATAAAATGGGCCCTAGAGAGCTCCCTTACTTTCTTGCCCCACATAAGGTTACAGCAAGAAGACAGCTGCCTATGAAACAGGAAGCAGGCCCTCGTCAGACAACTGAAACAGCAGGCACCTTGATCTTGGACTTCCCAACCTCCAGAACCGTGAGGAATAAATTTCTGTAGGGTATAAGCTACCCAGCATCATCTATTTTTGTTACAGCAGCCTGAACAGACTAAGACAATGTGTCAACTTGACTAGGACGTGGAGTGTCCAGATATTTGGTCAAATATTATTCTGTGTGTTTCTGTGGAGTTGTTTTTAGATGAAATCAACATTTATATCAGTAGAGTAGACTCAGTAAAGCAGATTACCCTAAAAAGTGTAGGTGGGCCTCATCCAATCAGTGGAAGGCCTCAATAAAACAAAAAGGCTGACTCTCCTCCAAGCAAGAGAATTTCAACTATCATCAAGCAAGGAATTTGGCTTTTCATGCCCTCAGACTCAAATTCAGGTCTTTCTGTGTCTCAAGCCTGCCTGCCTTTGGACTGAAACTACACCATCATTTCTCCTGGCTCTCATGCCTTTAAATATGAACTAGAATTACATGTGGGCTCTCCCAGTTCTTCTTCCTGACTCACCTGCACATAATCCTTCAATGTCAACAATTTTTAATTCTATGATTGTTTTCACTTAAGTAATCTGAAAGTAGTTCTGATAAAGATAAATCATTTGAAAAAATTGTTGAGCACTTATGAGCTCTTAGGACTTGAGCACATAAGGTGAAGCAATTAGGACTAAGTATAACATAATGCAATAAAATACAGTACCTATTCCTAAAGAGTTTACAGTATTCCTAAAGAGTGGAAATAGCCATTAATCAACCACCAAAGAAATAAAAATAACTTGATGAATGTGACGACAAAGAGCAGCACAGTACTACTGAAGTATATAATAGAAAACTGACCTAGTCTAGAGTTCAAATAGGAGAAACCTAGTAAAGAGAAAATGTGTCTGTGTGTGCATGCACATGTGTGCCTATGCCTGTGTGCATGCATGTACACACATATTTGAAAGAGGTAGAATAAAGGAGATATGGTTTGGTTGTGTCCCCATCCAAATCTCATTTTGAATTCCCACATGTTGTGGGAGGTAACTCATAGGGGCAGGTCTTTTCTGTGCTGTTCCTGTGATAGTGACTAAGTCTTACAAGATTTGATGGTTTGAAAAATGGGGGTTTCCCTGCACAACCTCTCTCTCTTTGCCTGCCACCATCCATGTAGGACGTGACTTGCTCCTCCTTGCCTTCCATCATGATTGTGAGGCCTCCCCAGCCATGAGGAACTGTAAGTCAACTAAACCTCTTTTTTTTCCCAGTCTCTGGTACATCTTTATCAGCAGCATAAAAACAGACTAATACAAAAGGAAAGGAACTCGCACATTTAATAGCTGAGTAAAAGAATATAAGCTATAAAGGCGAAAGAAAAAAAAAGTGACTCAGAGGATAGGTGGTTTCAGGAAGCCAAAGAAGGGTGAGTTGAAAGATGGAGGTAGCTGTCCACAACACCTAATGTTGCCTTGGAGTCTGAGAGTAAAAGGAAATCTGAAAAGCATCAAGTGGCTTCATAATGAGGGCAGAACTAGTGACCTGAGAGAGAACAAACAGAAGGCCAGAGGGAAGCAGAAACCAGGTTAGTGTGGGTGGCAGAGAACGTTGGAGGTAAGAAAATGAAGACACAGCATACAGACAATTGAAGGAAGGAGAGGATAAAGATCAAATGGAGAGAAGGGATAACCTACAAGGTAAGTGTTCATCAGAAAGAGAAACAGGTAGGAGATTTGTTCTTAAGAAAGAGAAGGGGATATTTCTCTATTTTAGGAAAAAAGAATGAGAAAGTGTGCATTTGTAAGGCAGTGTGAATGTTGATGTCAGAAGTTCAGGAATATATACGTATTGTTTATTATCATCTTTCCTAATATTCCAAAAAATAGAAAAATATATCTTTTATAATATCTTTTTAATTTTAATATATTTCCAAACATTAACAAAGGCTATTACATCTCTTCTTGGTCTTTTTACTAAGATCAAGTATAAAACAGGATACTTGTATTCTTCTATAGAAACATCCTCTTAAGCACTGAGAGTGCCCTCAATTCCAAATGACTTTTAACCCATGATTTCTCCTGTAAGACTTACAGTTAGATACTTTATTAGCTTTGGTGTTAGATCAACTGTAAACATCACCACAACTCATATATTTAAAAGGTACTTAAAGCACATATTTATCATTGCTGTAAAATGTACAAGTATTCATCTGAATCTTCTAGATAAAAATTGATTATTATGCTCATCATCTCTAACTGGGGGAATCTAGATACCAAAACTGCATGTTAGACTGGCTAGGGTGAAAAGCTCTTTGTTCCACCACTTTCAAGCTCTATATACTTGGGTTCAGTTTTTTCATCAGCAAAATGGGAATATTACTACTACTTTAGGGGGGGTTGTTAGAATTAAATAAGACAATATATCTAAAGTGTTAAGCATAGTGCCAATTACTATTAGTCACAATGACTATTTTTATCATTATTATTAATAAACCCAATATAAAGGGCTATGTGCCACAAGATTTATATAGAGTGAAAGTCAAATGTTCTGAGGCTATTCTACCCACCTGCCTATCAAATTCACCATGCTCTGGAGGTGACTTCCAGCACCATCTCCACCAATCTACCACCAACATGCTCAGGAATTGCCATGCCTGACTGTCAGTCCAATACTAAGTCTAAAAGGACAGGATACTACAACTACCTGATTATTATAAGGCTAGTGATACTGTTATAAGGCTAGATTTCCTGAAGGATATATTTAATCTCTGAGGTGCCTGCTGATGCAAAATTTCAATAATTTGATACATTTGTATGATGCATCAAAGTGACTCCATTTGAAATCTCATTTCATAAGCATGGATAATAAAAGTTTTTTATGTTTTTTCTGTTTTGTTTTTACTTATTGACTGACTTTCTAGAAGTAAAACATTATCATAGAGTTTCCCTATGGGTTCTAGATTATGTCAACAGAATTAAAAGTCATCAACTTTATTCAATAGCAAGGTGCAAAGTATTTCAAAGGATTGTGATATTAATCTTTTACATACAACTTACACTTTTACATACAACATAACATTATTCCAACCAATGTCATGTTGCATGTGAAATATTTGAAACCAAGCAGGTTATACTTACAAAAGTTTAATATAAAAATATAAATGTTCGATAATGAGCATTTTAAATTTGATAAAGTAAAAAACAAGCTACATAGATGCATGCTATATTCCAAAGTCCAGAAATGGGCATGGAATTAATTAAGTCACTGAGGGAAAGTTCTCAAAAGCCTAGTTGAGTTTACATTCTACTGCTTGGAGAAGTGTAGGGTTAACTCACAGCAAGAATGACTATGCCCCTTTTTGTTCCTGTCTACTGTCTGCAAAACTAATAAAACAGACATGTGTAAACCACCATAAAGTGTATACAGCCATATCTCAAAGGACTTAATTAACCACAGGAAAAGGAACCAGAAAATGACTCTGTTTTAATCTCTGTCCACTGAGGTGAATTAAATAATATAACCATTAAGTACCAACTTACGAACTCATAGACACACTAGTCAAATGATTACCCATTTAATTAAGTATAATAAGACAGTATGTATAGTTTTGACATAAACTAACCATGATAATGATTCTTATATCTACTTTCTAGACTTCTGTTAAACAAAGCTCCATGTGAAAGGAAAGCCCATACTCCAGTTTTACAACCCCTCTTCCATTCAGCCTCTGTACCTTCTTCATGCAGTAAAGTACCATAGACAATAGCCTACAACTCTGCTAGTAATCTTCCTTTTTCCTTTCCTCAAGCTGTCTTTTTTTGGGGAATAAGATAAAGCTTTTTATTTTATTACTTATTTATCTTGACACATAATTGTACATATTCATGGGGTACCTAGTGATGTTACAATACATATCATGTATAGTGATCAGATCAAGATAATCAGCATATCCATCATCTCAAACATGTATCATTTCTTTGTGTTGGGAACATTCAATGTCTTCCTTCTAGCTTTTTGAAACTATATATTATTGTTAACTATAGTCATCCTACAGCGGTATAGAATAGCAGTGCCCAACCTTTTTGGCATCAGGAACAGGTTTTGTGGAAGACAGTTTTTCCATGGACAGGGATGGGGCTGGGGATGGTTTTGGGATAAAACTGTTCCACCTCAGATCACCAGGCATTAGCTAGATTCTCATAAGGAACACACAACCTAGATCCCTGGCATGCACAGTTTACAACAGGTTTTGCACTCCTATTATTATGGGATCTTTGGGGTGTTGCTTTTCTGGCTGGAAACCTCTGTGGCCAGTCGTGCCTTTGCCCAAATTTTTGCTTCAGCCCACTGAGCTCATTCTGCTCACTCGACCTGGCAGGCTGTGTTCAGCTCACACTAATGGCCTGGATTCCACACCTGCCAAGGGAGACTGCATGGAGCGGCAAGGGGTGTGAGAGTGAGTGTGGGGTCTGGCCAATGCACAGTCAGATATGCCGGCTGCTGCAGAAGGGTGGGCAGCTCCAGGTGCCAGCACAGGTGCCAGCTCTCTGCCAGGCTGCAGCTGGGACAGGCACACCGCAAGTAGCTTCCACAGCTGACACCAGGGAACACAGTGGCATCCAGAAGCTCGGAGACACCAGGAACTGCAGCACCCCAAAGAAGGAGTCACAGCCCTGGCTTGGGGAGCTCCCAGGTCTGGGATCCCTGAAAGGCTGCAGCTCTTCTCTCCTTCTCTTCACTCGCAATGTGGCAAGCAAGGAGCAGGTCTCAGTCTTGTCTGTGTTACAGCTCTTTTAGCCTCGCCATTCGGCGGGTCCCAAATTCTTGTCCTGTGACCAGGAAAAATGAGGTATACAAACAAGTAGAAGGTAAGCAAGATGAAGAGGAACTTCATTGAGCAACAGAACAGCTCAGAGGAAACCTGCAGGTTTTCTTTCCACAGGCAGGGTATACCAATGAGCATTCAGGCTGCTAGCAGAGAAGGTAACTCCTCTCTCTAGGCAAGTCATCACAATAAGCATTCAGTTCTCAGCAGAGAGGGTAGCTCCTCTCTGCAGCTGGTCATTCCATCATCTGCTCTGCTCTGGCTGAGCCTGAGGCTTTTACAGGCCTCGGAGGGGAGGAAGTGTGCATTCTTTGGTTCACAGGCAGTCATGGGCAGGCCCAGAAAAGGCACCACAAGTTCCCATTCTGGTCGACCGGACTGTCAGCCTGGCCCCCAGCCTTCAGGCAATCCCTAGCCTGAAGGTGGGGCCTCACCGGGTACCTGCCCCCTTTTGCCCAGGAGCCTATCTGCCTCCTGCCACCCTCCATGGAGCCCAGGTGCTTGTGCCAAGGGGCACCTGCAGGCCACACTGAGCTGCCCTCAGCTCTGCATCGGTTTCCAACCCCCCCACACTCATTGGTGCCCAAGTCTGCAGCGGGGGAGCTGAGGCAGCGGGGAGCTGAGGCAGCAGGCAGCTGGTGTGTCAGCACTGCCCCAGGTGTATGCACCCCCAGCCAGGCTGTGACAGCAACCGGGCTCAGCCCCACATTGCTCTGAGATCAGAGTAGGCGCTGACAGCTGGGAGAAGCCAGGGAGCGGGAGCAGGCATTTCAGAGCCTGCAAGCAGCACAGGGAGGCCTGGGTCCACAGCGCCAACTTGGGTAGCTGAAGCCGCATCTGGGAGGGTGCGGCTGCTACCTGCTCCTGGCTCCCACTGGCTCCATGGAGCATGCAGTCCTGGCTGTGCCCCTTCACACCCTGGGGCAGGGCTCCAGGTTCTCGCCGGGCTGGGGCCAGCATTTGGGGTAAGAGTGACATTGACACAAGCTCTCCCCATTGGCCCTGTGCTCAGGGACAGCCTGGGGCTCCCCGTCATTTGGCTCAGGGCCCTGCCTGGGGAGGGGCTCCTCTGGGAGTGGATCACGGGCCCCAGGCCCAGCCGTTGGGAATGTCAGGCTTGGCAGTCACCCCAATGCAGGGTGGACCCCATGGACATGGCCCTGGGCAGCCCCACGCAGAGCCTCCTCCCAAGGCATAGGAACCCAGCACCCTCAGCAGGGTGGGTACAGTGACTGCATGGCTGGCCGGGTCCTCAAAGCAAGCACTGCTCCCAATTCCCACCTCAGGCCCCAAAAGTGTGGCCCCAGCTCCGTGACCCAGGCCCAGCCCCTTCCCCCCATGGGCAAGCACAGCACCACTCCAGGCCCAGCTTCATCTCAGGGCCCCTCTCTGCCCAACCTGGGACCGCAATATGGGGCCCCTCTGTCCATCACAGGTCACGACTCTGCCCACGATAGGCCTGACAGGCGACCCAGCCCGGACACATCATGGTGGCCCCTAGGGCGGCAGGCTGCAGGGGGCTATCTGCCTCCTCCCCATACCCTCCCTGCAGTGGCTGGCATGATGGCAGCGGCCACTCGAG
This sequence comes from Homo sapiens, assembly GCF_000001405.40. Lineage (NCBI taxonomy): Eukaryota > Metazoa > Chordata > Mammalia > Primates > Hominidae > Homo > Homo sapiens. Next base: position 120,840,853 of record NC_000004.12, read on the forward strand.
ACAGCCCTCCACTGCCATCACTATAAGAAACTAATGCCACTGCTGCTCGGACAGGAGGCAGAGCTCAGGCAGTAATTCTCGCTCACCCATGGCTCACCTCCAGCTGTGCAGCCAGGTATGGGTCTACGGCACAGGGGTTGGGGACCCCAGTGAAAAAGTCTAGAACTTATTCCTCCTATCTTGCTGTAATTTTGTATCCTTTAACAAATCTCTACCTATCCTTGTGTTTTTTAAATCATGTGAGATTTCTACGGTGACTAAGACTCAATCAAGGATGATTAGATTAGGGTCTAAGGTAACATTTTCCTAGATTTTGTGACATAGTAGACTTCTCAAAATTATCAGAGTGAAATATACTTGGCTTAATACAGTATAACTTTGTTATACAAATTACATTGAGTACAGTATATAAAGTACAAGGTAATTTTTATACCTTCTTTTGAGTAGTGAATTCAGTGATAGAATGCAGAACTTCACATTTTACTTCGTATTGCTCAACAGTGGCTGAACCTTTTATGACAGTCTATTCAGGCACTGGATGTAGTACAGTCTTCTTTGAATAGAAATTTCCCTAGACTACTCAACTTCCATTGATAAAGACCTACATGTGGCTAATTCTACTGTTTTGTGTTGTATCCATTACATTTACTTCACTTTGTAATTTGTTTATTGACTTCTTTAATGCCAACCATTAAAAAATAGTTTAAAACTTACCATAAAACATATTTCCAATTTTGAAACACAAAAACAAAGTCATTTCCTTCTTTATGTTCATACACCAAAAATCTTGCCTGGCAACAAGTAGTATATGTGCTTATTCTGGGTGTCTAAATTTTAGTTTTAACACTTCAAAAATACACACCACACACCCACGCACTCACACGTACATGGTTGTTAGTTTAATTTCCTCCTCTGGTAAGTGAGCTTTCATGTTGTTTGCTTGGCTCCATATATAACAAATGTTTCATTATATTTTCTAGTGACTAAAACATTCCTAAGATTCTTCTTTTTAATTTCTAACATACCTCCTAAATCTTGTAATGATATAGCCCAGTTCCAGTATATTTAGTGCAATATTGATTAATTCTCAAATACTAATCTTTCATTACTACATTTGTTACGTATGATTTGAAAGCACACTACCACTTCATAGTAAATACTTCTTTTCTCAGTAGCCTTAGCTATTTCATTATTCTATATCCTAGTTTTCTGAGTGAGTCCAGACTGAACTCTCTGGTTGTTAATCAACAGAGTATCTGAATTAAAGGTTCTGCTTGTCTGTGGTTATATCTGTAAAAAGACTTTTGACATTAACGATGAGGTGCTGTTGGCTGCACGGCAGTCTGGCTAAGATAAAACTACTTAGCAGTAGACTGAAATGTGTACACACATACAAGTACATACTCAGCACTCACAGAGTAAAAATGTGACACTTTGCCAGACCAAATACTCGCATGCACATATATTTCAGGCCAGAGTTCAAGTGGAAGCATTTGCTTTCTGTTATTTTAAAGGAAACAGATGTAAGCCTTTTCCCAAGTGACAAGGTACATTCAACTAGGTGTACCACATCAGGAAAGAGGCAGAAGAGCTGCCAAAGGAGGCCAGTTCAACAAGCACTTACTGAGCCCCCACTAGACGAAATGAACACTGGGAAACAAACATAACTGACACAAATGCCACTCTTGAGAAATTCAGCCTAGTGATAGAGATGACAACATAAATAAATAGTTTATCTAAGTGTCATCATGATATTAAGTATTTTGGATTTCAATTCTAGGAGTCTTGGGAATATTTCAAATTAACTATTTTTAAAATGTTTTAAATTTTAAAATTTTTAAATTAAACACTATAATTTAATCTAAATATGAAATGTAAGATTTGCCACTTTCCCCCCATGACAGCTTCACAGAATTTCTATTTTCAATTCTACTTCACACTTTCACTATCACCAATCCTATTACAACCAAAAGCCCCAAATCAATGAGGGAACAAACATTCTTCAGCCCTCTAGCCTTCTTTTGGTTAATGTTACAGAGGTAGGCTTTGTTAGGTCACTAAATATGGAAAGAATATATGAGCCCCATAAGGCTATAATTTCTAGGGACACAACTTTCTAATATCCAGCATTACCCAATCTGCAAAAACATCTGAGAGCAGGCAAAATTCAGAGGATTTCTGTAAGAAACAATCAGTCAGCTGGGCATGGTGGCTCACACCTATAATCCCAGCACTTTAGGATGCCGAGGCAGGTGGATCACTTGAGATCAGGAGTTTGAGACCAGCCTGGCCAACGTAGCTGGTGAAATCCTGTCTACTAAAAATACAAAAATCAGCCAGGCGTGATGATGTGCACCTGTAATCCCAGCTACTCGGGAGGCTGAGGCAGGAGAATAGCTTGAACCCAGGAGGCAGAGGTCGCAGTGAGCCGAGATTGTGCCACTGCATCACTCCAGCCTGGGCAACAGAGAGAGACCCTGTCTCAAGATTAATTAATTAATTAATTTAATTTAATGCCAATGTCCTGCACAAGACTACCATAAATGAGCACATAAAAGGTGCTCTATAGGCCAGGCATGGTGGCTAATGCCTGTAATCCCAGCACTTTGTGAGGCCAAGGCAGGAGGATCACTTAAGTACAAGAGTTCAAGGCCAGCCTGGGCAACAATGCAAGACCCCATCTCTACAATAAATTTAAAAAAGTAGATGGGCATGCTGGCACATGCCTGTGGTCACAGCTACTTGGAAGGATCCCTTGAACCCAGGAGATGGAGGCTGCAATGAGCCATGATCAGGCCACTGCACGCTGGTCAACAGAATGAGATCCGGCCTTAAAAAAAAAAAAAAAAGAAGAAGAAAAGAAAATAAAGAAAGAATCAGCCTGCACAAAACTTTCTTCTTTAAAAAAGCTGAAAAGTGGTTTGGCACAAACATATAGGCATAATGATTTTAATCTTATCCCTAGGGTCACCAAGCCACTATATCTAATAAAGATCTCAGCACACAGTACAGTAAGACTTCTTCCCCACAGGGCATTTCTTGTGTCTATAAAGTCTTTATCTTTCCAAAGAGAAGAATGGCCACAGAGCACAGCAAGCACAATGTCATCCACAGTAAATACTACTCAAGTGGCCTAAGAGGATGCTTCGTGCACCTAAACACAGAGGAGCTCAGTAGCAGGGTGCATAGGCCGCTGCGGCCACTGTGGGGCAGGCTCACTAGGATTCAGTCACTCCACACAGCAGGTTGTCTCTTGAGTAGTGGATAATTACTGAGAAGTCTTCTACATGCACAGAATTATACTAGATACTCTGGGAAAGCTTTATAAGAAATAAAACAGATTTTACTTTGTTTCATATACAGACGATATTATAAAGACAAAAACTACAAACCTGGCAAGGGGTGGTGATAATGAAAATTTAAGCTTACTATATCAGCACTTACAGGCGTACTTTGTTTACTTGCACTTTGCTTTATTGTGCTTCATAGACATTGCATATTTTACAAATTGAAGGACTACGGCAACTCTACATCGAGCTAGTTTCTTAGAGCCATTTCTCCAACACCATGTGCTTACTTCATGCCTCTGCTACTTTTTGCAATATTTCTAACCTTTTTATTATTATTGTGTCTGTTAGGATAACCTGTGATCAAGGGTCTTTGGTGTTACTATTGTAATTGTTTAGGGGGCCACCATAAACCATACGTATATAGTGGCAAGCTTAACTGATAGTGTGTTCTGACTGCTCTACCAGTAGCCCTTCCCCCATCTCTCTCTCTCTCCTCAGACCTCCCTATTCCCTGAGACACAACAATACTGAAATGAGGTCAATTAATAACCCTACAATGGCCTGTAAGTATTCAAGTGAAAGAAACAGTCACACGTCTCTCACTTTAAATCAAAAGCTAGAAATGACTAAGCTTATGAGGAAGGCATGTCAAAAGCTGAGACAGGCTGAAAGCTAGGCCACTTGGGCCAAACAGCCAAGTTATAAATGCAGAGGAAAAGTTCTTGAAAGAAATTAAAAGTGCTACTCCAGTGAACACACAAATGATAAGGAAAGTGAAACAATCTTATTGCTGATATGGAGAAAGTTTGAGTGGTCTGGATAGAAGATCAAACCAGCCACAACATTCTCTTAAGCCAAAGCCCAAACCAGAGCAACTCCCTAATTCTATTCAATTCTGTGAAGGCTGAGAGAGACAAGGAAGCTGCAGAAGAAAGGCTGGATGCTAGCAGAATTATGAGGTCTAAGGAAAGAAGCCATCTCTATAACACAAAAGTACAAGGTGAAGCAGCAAGAGCTGATGGAGAAGCTGCAGCAAGTTATCCAGAAGATCTATCTAAGATATTAATAATTAAGAAAACTGGCTACACTAAACAACAGATTTTCAATGTACAAGAAATAGTTCTATTGGAAGAAGATACCATCTAGAATTTTCATGGCGAGAGAGGAGAAGTGACACCTGGATTCAAAGCTTCAAAGGACAGGCTGACTATCTTGTTAGAGTCTAATGCTGCAGGTGACTTTACATTGAAGCCAATGCTCATTTACCATTCAGAAAATCCTAGGGCCCTTAATAATTGTGCTAAATCTACTCTGCCTATGTTTTATCGATGGAATAACCAAGCCTGGATGATGGCACTGTCATCTGTTTACTGCATAGTCTACTGAATATTTTAAGCCCACTTCTGAAAACTACTGCTCATTTGAGAAATTCCTTTCAAAATAACACTGCCATTGACAAGGCACCTGGTCACCCAAGAGCTCTGATGGAGTGTTCAAGAAGATGAATGTTTTAATTCCTGCTAAGACAACATCCATTCTGCAGCCCATGGATCAAGGATAAATTTCGACTTTCAAATATTATTTCTGAAACACACTTCATAAGGCTATTGCTGTCACAGTGATTCCTCTGGTAGACCTGAGCAAAGTAAATTGAAAACCTTCTGGAAAGGATTGACATTCTAAATGCCATTAAGAACATGTGTGATTCATGAGATGAGAGCAAAATATCAACATGAACAGAAGTTTAGAAGTCAATTCCAACCCTCATGGATGACTTTGAGGTGTTCAAAACTTCAGGAGAAGTAACTGCAGATGTGATGGAAATACCAAGAAAACTAACTAGACTTAGAAGTGAGACCTGAAGATGTGAAGTGAGGCCTGAAGATGTGACTAAATTGATGTAATCTCATGATAAAACTTGTATAGATGAGGAGTTGCTCCTTACAGATGAACAAAGAAAGTAGTTTCCTTCGATAGAATCTACTCCTGGTGAAGATGCTGTGAACATTGTTGAAATGACAGCAAAGAATTTCAAATATGACATAAACTTATCTGATAAAGCAACAGCAGGGTTTGAGAAGACTGACTCCAATTTTTAAAGTTCTACTGTGGATAAAATGCTATCAAAAAGCAAAGCATGCTACACAGAAACCTTTTGTGAAAGGAAAAGTCAATTGATGCAGCAAACTTCATTGTTGTCTTATTTAAGAAATTACCACAGCCACCCTAGCCTTCAGCAACCACCACCCTGATCAATCAGCAGCCATCAACATCAGGGTGAGACACTTCACCAGCAAAAAGATTCTAACTCATTGAAGGCTCAGATAATCATTAACACATTTTAGCAATAAAGTATTCTTTAAAGATATGTGTATTTTTTAGACATAATGCTACTGCACACTTAATAGACAACAGTATAGTATAAATATAACGTTTACATGCACTGTGAAACCAAAGATGTTATGGTGTTTTACTGAGATACTCACTTTCTTGGAGTGGACTGGAATGAAACCCAGAGCATCCCCAGGTGTGTAGAGGCTAAGTGTTTTGCATATATTATCTCATTTAATTTAGTCCTCACAAAAATCCAATAAAGTAAGCATTATTACAATCAACTCATAAAGAAGAGCAGTTTTAAAGGTTATTTTTACTGCTATGAAGGCAAGAGCTAGATCATCTTTTTAGTCATAGTATCTCCAGTGCTCAGCATTGGGCCTGGTACGTAGCAGATGCTCCATAGCTATGGGTTGAATGAATGAGTTAAGTAACTTACTCAGCCAGCAAAAGTCAGAGCCCGGGATCTACTTAAAGTCCTTCAGACAACAAAGTTCATGCTCTTTCTACTGCTTGAAACTGCCTTTCTTAATATTATCCAAACTGGGTTGGGTTCTGCATTCCTTCTGAGTCTGTATCAAGTGTTTGCCTTTTCCATTTACTCTAACCTTATTCCATCCTTACATAAAGTATATTCTCCCCACTGATCACTGCTGTAGCTTGAAGACAGATGTCTCAACCTCTAGGATGTCTCGACTTCTGGTATCCAGACCATCATGTAGTCCCTTCCTACACTGTGCCAAGGTTGGCCTGTGTGACTAATAGTATTCAACAGAAGTGATGCTGTGGAACGTTATTTCCAAGATTAGGTTATAAAAGGTTGCAGCTCCCCCTTTTTCTCTCTTTCTCTCTCTCTCTCACTCATTTTTGCTCTCACTCTTTCTCATCACCCTCTCTGGGAGAAGCAGGCTGTCAAGTCCTGAGCAACCCCAGAGAGAGCCCCAGTTCAGTGGTGAAGAACTGAAGCCTCCTGCCATGTGACAGACCTTGGACACAGAATCTCCAGCCTAATCAAGTCTTCACAGACTTCAATCAAGTTTTCCCTGGCTGACCACTTGACAGCAACCTCATGAAAGTCCTTGAACCAGAACCCCAGAACCACTCAGCTAAGTTGCTCCTAAATTCCTGACCCTTACAAATTGTATAAAATCATACTGCATGTTTGTTATTTTAAGCTGTTAAAATTTGGGGTAAATTTGTTACATAACGATGGATAACTACTACAATCATAAATACATACCAATAAGACAGGCTAGATGAAAGTCATTCTGCAAATAACTCAAAAGTCATACTCTAATAAACGTGACTGACAGAACCTTCATATTAGTCAAAGATAAGGTTATAAAAGATTCTGTTTTACCGCTGGGTGAGACATGGATACTGGGAAGCAGGATTGGTCTTCAATAGAAGTAGAAAAGGTAACTTCCTCTATGGTTCCTAGGACGAGAGGCACAGAAAGTCCCACCTAATTAAAACTTTCCTCTACACCCAACCTGACAGGCTCTGATTCTGAAATTTTACTACAGTGTATTATAATAATAATTTCAAGAGATCTAAATGTTACCTTTATCACATTTTTAGCACATTAGCTAGCAGCTAAAATGAGGCAAGAGGAGACAAAAGGAAAAAGAAACAAGAATAGATGTTGCCTAGGCATGATCTGTATATGAAGAAGAAGCAGGTGCAATGCTTTATAATGGATTAAGGACAGTTTGGGAACATAAAAAAATCAAGGGATACATAACATAAATAACTTAAAATATATATTTTAAAATTAACCTGCTTTGAAAATTGTCAGTAGTTTCAAAAATATCTAATACCAAGTTCAGAAACATGAAAGATTTTTAAGATCTGAATTTACATTTTTAAAAAGTAATCTCAACTTTAAGGCATTACAACACAGGGGTTAAAAGAGTGGACAATGAAGACATATAATCTGGATTCAAATCAAACCCAGTCACTCACTTGCTGTGTGGTCTCAAGCAAGTTACTTAGATGCTCTTGAGAGTCAGTATCCTTATCTGACAAAGGAAGATGAAAATTATATAATAATATCTTTCTCATACAGTCACAGTAAATAGTTAATAAATACATTAATAAGTGAATAACTGCTAACTGGCATGCAGTAAGCATTCAGTAAGTGTTAGCTGCCATCATCATCATTTTAAGGATTAACACAGATTTCAACTTTACCACTATAAATAACTTAAGAATATTCCTATAAATGCAAATTTGCCCTGTCAATAAGCTACAAAATTAATGAAAATAATATTGATAAGTAATAAAATTCCCCACATAAGACCAAAGTAGAGCAGGTATTTAAAAACTCACGGGACCAATTGCATTTTTACTTTAGTTTAAAATGTTACCCTAATAAAATACAAATGCAGACCTTACTGGAAGATAACCTATTAAAAGATAGATCTGTAAGTTATTTAACTGTTATTTTTATGTTATTATTGAAGAAAATCACTAGACAGCTGTACTTTATCATTTTGTGACAGATTCTTAAAAAAATTCTAAAAATGCCACTTGTATAAATCTGGTAAGAAAAAACAGAAATAGGAAAGATAGAGAACTGGAAAAGCCATCATTTTGCACATAAGTAATAAATCCTTTTGGTATTTATTTTTGTTGGTTGCTTAGTTGGTACTGCTGCTATTTGAATTCTGTATCAACATTATTTGTTACTCCTATGGATCTTGGTAGCTTAGTGACAATGGAGAATGTCTTATCTGTGCTTGGAAAACAAAGTTGCTTCTCTCTTTAGAGATCCACATGTGATTTTCCAGCTCTGTCATATTTAAATTTCACGTGTCGCCAGAGAAGACCCCAGGATAAATTGTTTATGACTATCCATCCTCAGGCAAGGCAGAGAAAGGAGGTTCAATAATCTGTGACAAAATAACTGCTGGTAATGAGCATTCTAAACTGACAGCAGAATTGGGGCAGAGCTGTGAGAATATCTTGGCTCAATACCCAGTGCCTTCTCACCTCATTTAGACCATCCTCACATCCTGACACCCCTCATGAAGTGCACCAGGACCCAAATGTTTTTACCCAAATGTTTTTACCTTTTTATGTAAATCGATAAGTATGGCAACTAGTCACAGAAAAGACATGCCTGAAAATATGGGCTTAAGAATATGAGATGTAGCACTCCATCTCTGAAATGTTCAAATAATTAATAGTTTCAACTGTAAGTGGCATAAAATATTCATCTTCTATCAAAAGAACAGAAATTTTTAAGAGCCTGCAAAACACAAACTAGGTCAAAAATATTTTTAAGCTACATATACATTTTTTTCCTTTAGTGCAACAAAATTAGCATTTAATAAGAATCACCCACTTCCTATGGAGCTTAAGGATATTTTAGTTCATTTTAAGCCACAACTTTCACATTTAGAATTTTCTAGCCATAGTTGGAAACTTTTCAGAAGTCTGAACATACAGTTAAATGATTATTCTGAAAAGTGTGCATGTGGGAAGAACTGTTTGCTTACTAGATCCGTCTTTGATAATTCAGATACTTAAGTCATCATTTGCAAAGCAAATTTTTCAAAATCAAATAAATTGCAAAACTAGAAATATAATCAAGTCTCCAAGAAGGAGTTCCAATTATCTGCCAAAACAGACCTCAACTTCATAATCCCTTGTCCAAAAAAGTTGGACCAAGTATTGACGTTTTCCACCGAGCAAGCCACATAGTCACAAATGTTTCTCATTTACTCCACTCCTGGGATATACAGCTCAAATAAAAAATTTCCTGAATACCCCAAACTTCAGATGCAATTTGGAATGCAAGTGATTCATAATGTTATGCAGGAAACATCATGACCTTACCAACTCAATGTTTCTGGAATGCAATCTTTAGGAGATCATTCCAACCAATTAGAAGGCTGAAATCTCTTTCAGCCACGTGACCCAACTATTATGCTCTCTGCCTTTAGCTCAGATGTGATTTTGAACCCTCAGCAATCCTCTACTCCAGCTACTGTTCAAAATAAGAAAGATGTTACCTCAAGGGAGCTAACAAAGATCCCTATTGTAATCTATGACAAAAAATATGGTAGCAGTGCACTGCATCCCTATTAAGAAAGTGCAAAACAGTGTTAAAAGAAATGAAAGCCACTGTCATTGCTCTGCACCAAAAGCCTCTCAGAGTGGCTTCTGAACATACTTAGATTATAATTCAAGAGTGAAATTTCAGAGAGCCCACCAGTTACATAAGTCCTGTTCTAATCCCCCCTCACTCCTCTTGTTAAGTCATTAATAATTTCTTGGAGTACCTGTCATCTTTTGTGATTTATATTTTCTTTCAAGGAAAAAACACAGTTGATATAGAGGAAGAAAAGTACTGCGTGGAATGTACTAAATGAACATGAAAACTGTAAGTCTTAGACAATGTGATTACTGAAAATGAGCGAAGTGCCTACAATATGATAACATACAGGGCATAGTAGAGTAGCAGAGTAAATGGTGAAAGATCAAGGTATAAATACTTATTGACACTGTTTTCCATTAACTAAAGGGATCATTACAAGTAAGATGTTCAGTTAAGGGGAACTCCTAAACAAGTATTACCTAAGTAAATATAAGATGAAACTCACATAACACTTTGTAAGTTTAGGCAAAGAAAGAGACCTACTGATTCTACAGAAATAATAGGCAATAGGAAGACATTTCTGAAACTGAAGGAATTTGGAGAAGGCTTAAAATCATTATTTACACCTGAAAAGAAAAACCATCTAGCATAAATAATATTCTCCACAATCACAATGATGGAGAACCTACCAAAACAATGGGTTGGCTTAAGGTAAATTCATGGCTCTATAGGCAATTTTAATAATAGTAACATTTACAAAGAAACAAACTGAGTCCGTAAATTAAAATATTGACATAAATGATGTTCTCATGGATGAGTTTGCCTCAGAAAGCCATGAAAAAATATATAAACACTTGGAAAAAAATAATGTCTACATGTTGAAAAAGAAAAAAAAAAAAAACATCAGTTTAAACTTGTGGTTGGATCAATGGCCATCATGAATAATTGGAAAAGTGGCTTGAATATCCCCGGCTGCCAGAGATCCTATTTTCCATGTCACCTCAGCTGTTTAGTAAGAGTCATCTCTCATGTATCCATGCAAAAAGGGACAGTAGTCACATTGATTATCTAATACTCATTTGTACTGAAAAAAATTGTTTAGATGACATTAGGAAATTAAGTAGTCTAGATGACTGTTTGCTAGTTACTTTAAAACTTAATTCTGTGCCTTTTCCTTCTTGCTACTGTTGATTTTATATTGAGAATTGAATGAAATCAGTGTAATGTCAACAAATTGTCAAACTATCAGAATTTCTACGAATAAATGACCACATGTATATGAAGCTTCTTGAACAGTGTACATGGTAGATTCTCAAATACTGTTCATGTCTTATTCTTTTCCCTTCCCCTCTTACTTTTGCCAACCATAGCTTTACTTCCTCTTCTGAAGTTTAGAATCCAGGAAGATGAGCTTTCACATGTAATCAGTCAATTATCTGCCAGAATTTAATGTTTCCTTATTCTTTTGGTCATCTGATCAATGTGTTTTAGAGAAGCCCTAACTATAGGGCTCCTCTAAAAACTATATCGTTTTCTCTTCTTGCCTTATTTTCCACTGAGGGATCACCTAAGTTCAACTCATAGTTTGTATCAAAACCTAATGTTTTGTCCAGCAGTATGCTAGGATACAGGGAAATGGAATTCAATAAAACACGGTTCCCACCAGTGATGGTTAACTTTACATGTTAACTTGACTAGGCTACAGGGTCCCAGATAGTTGGTCAAACATTATTCTGGGTGTTTCTGTAAGGGTGTTTTTGGAAAAGATTAACATTTAAATCAGGAGACTTGAATAAAGTATATTGCCCTCCATAATGTGGGTGGGCCTCATCCAATCATGCTGAGTCCTGAATCAAACAAAAGGCTGACCTACCCCAGAGTAAGAGAGAATTCTCCTAACAGCCTGCAACCTGGAACGCTAGCTCTTCTTGCCTGATGGGTTTCCAAGTGGGATATCAGCTCTTCCTGGTTCTATAGCAGCTTCTGGCCATTAGACTTAAACTGGTACATCAGCAATGTAGATTTTAAACTTACCAGCTCCTATAATCATTGTGAGGTAATCCCCTATTTTATATATACGTATATATACACACATACATAAACATATACATGTATACACACATATATACACACATATACAAATACATATATACACACAACCATATATATATTTTTATATATTTTTTATATTAAAAAAAGGATATATAAGGATATATCCTTTCTTTTTTTTTTTTTGGAGCCATAGTCTTGCTCTGTTGCCCAGGTTGAAGTGGAACAGCATCTTCATGGCTCACTGCAGCCTTGACCTCTCGGGCTCAAGTGATCCTACCACCTTAGCCTCTCAAAATACTGAGATCACAGACGTGAGCCACTGCACCTGTTTCTCTGGGAAACCCTGACTAACACACCACCTCCGACAAGCTCAAAGCCTGGTCACAGGGAATATCCCCAAGTAAACCTTCTCCATAAAGCCTTTCCCAAACACTAACAGAGGGTATAGTACTATGAACAAAATAAACTATCAAACAAATTAAAATATCAATGAATATTCACTGAATGAAATAAAAGTACCTGAAAGCGAGATCTGCCAAGGACAATATCAGACTGTGTAATTCATTCCCTCAGGAATTCTCATAAAGTAAGTACCCTGGTGTTAGTTTACAGCTAGGCTTGCCCTTTCCTACATATGCTGACTAGATGAGATTTCTCTGCTTTTATGAGTTACTGTTATTTGAAGGAGGTCATTGGGAAACAAATTTAAAACAGGGAGTACAGTCATATATTAATTCATCCCCCCTCACAGTGCATAGTACAAATGAGAAGCAAATAAGCTCACTTGAATGGCAGCCAAGTTCTTCTGCTCCTGAGATGGTGCCTCATGAACGAAGCGAAGCCAGTTGGAGTGCCGTGGGTTGGTAGCATCCAAAATGTACAAAACTTCTCCCTTACTCCCACGAACCTGAAACATTAAAGGCTCCTGAGTTTACAATGGAAGTCAGAATATTAGCCTTTAAACACATCAAGGTTAGGACATGACGTTTTTTCATAAGTATATACCTTTTTTATTGATGGGTGATAAATAGAAGTTGGACTAACATGCATTCTTCTCTTAAACACATGTAGAAATACAGCCTACTATTTCATTTGGCAGATGTCTAGATGACTCACAATTGCAATGAACTCTCAGAAACATCCTACGTTGATAGTTGTTTTCTGGTCAAAATTATTTCGGTTTGTAAGTATATTCCAGTATATGTATTGCAATCACAATTGTTCAGAGAATAATCATTATTGCAACCTTCCCCTTTTCTCCAAAGAGAAGGGTCATACTGCTTATTTCCCAGTTGAGAGGGGTAGAACTGGAGCAATCATTTCAATTCCTCTCTGGACCTGCTTACAGAATCATCTCCATAAAAGGAGAACCTGCTCATCTAGCCAGCGGGAATCTGACATCCAATGAAACAAAATGTTATGCTCTTTACTTGTGAATGAATGAAACAATCCCATTTTATCCTTTCATGGCCCACTCATGGATTGCTGAGGATGGTGGGCTCTCTGATTTTTGTCTCAGACCATACGCTCTCATTGCTCAGGCCTACTCTACATTCAACTGGAGAGAGGAGGGGAGTAACTCCAAAAGCAGGTAACCCATTGGACATTCTTGAACCCAAGTTACTTGAAATCTAGCTTCTCCAAAACCCCTGCATTATCAGTTGCTAGGGACTTGCCCAGTTTATAAAACTTATATACCAATCACCATTCAACTCTGATTTCATGTTTCTATTCCATTAGAATCCAGAAAAAAAAGGAAAGGAGTGAGTGATTAGCACTCCATATCTCCAACACCAAGTAACACGAACATACAGGTTACAAATTCACCTTGGCAGACTTGATAAGAATTCTAGATTTCCAAAATTTTATTTTATAAAATAAAAGACAATCAGTCCAATAAGGTATGTATTTTCATGCTACATCTGAACAATCATTTGTTCATTCAACAAACAATTATTGGGTCCTTAATGGCTGAAGGCATCAAGAATCTTTCAGTGAACAAGACAAAGCCCCAGAGCACATGGAACTTAAAAGTAAACAAATGTAGAATATAATTTCGTGTAAAGATGAGTACTATGATGACAACTAAAACAGAGCAGGAGAAAATAGAGTACTAAGAGAAGGGCTCTATTCCATGAGGCCATCAGGAAAAGCCCTTTGATGAGAGGACCTTAAGAGTTCTAAAGGGAGGGAACAGGCCAGTAGAGAGCTAGGGGAAGACTGTTTCCAAGCAGAGGGTACAGCAAGTGAAAGGCAAGGAGAAAGGCCTTCGGTTTGGAAATGAATTAGGTGCATTCAAAGAACAATAAGAAGGTTATGAGGCTGGAACAGAAGGAGCAACCGAGAAAGTGGTGGGCATTGAGATCTAACAGATTGGCAGACACCAGATCATGCGGGGACCAACAGACCAGGAATCCATCTAGACAGTTACTTTGGGCAGGTACAGTTATTTTTACCCAAAAAACATTTTAAAGACACATCTGTTACAGGCACTGCAAAAACTGATATTTAAAGATTCTCATATATAATACCCAGGAAAGAATACAGTCTGCCTGTTCCTTATATGTGACATACTGCCATGTTTCTCAAACAATTCCTGTTTTCTTAAGTGCCCAAGGATCCTCAATAATGAATGCCAGACCATCACTGGGAAGCACGAATTTAATTTTTCATATTGTAATTTCTAAAAGAGCAATTTAGGACTATAAATACCTCATATTTACATACTTAAGATGCTTATATGTGAAGGTATGGGAATTTGTAACACTTCTCACTAAATAACAAACTCTCACTGAAAAGATCTGCTTTGGGAGGTGCCTGAAAATTGTTCTGCCTCCCTACTTACACTTCGACTCAGAACACTCACTGCCCACTGGGAAATTCCAAAAATGTCCAGCAACACTGATATGGTAAAGAGAATGTACACTCTACACCTCTGCCTCAATGGGCATGTCAGTTCACATTTTTTTGGCAGAGTAAACAAATAATTTTAAATATTTGGATATAAAGTCCTTCCTTTCAGGTACCCTCACAGCAATAGCACCAAAACTGTTTATATTGACAAAAAGCCAAATTAAGCACAGCAGGTGGCAATGCCACCTAATACTTGAAAGAAAAATTTTCTCAGTAGAATTGAAACTGAAAATCTATAACTGTTACTGAAATCCACACAAGCTAACTAACTTTGTGTAGTGAAACACAAATGGGTTTGCCCAGGCATATCTCAGTTTGAGAGGACAGCACTACTTAGAGAAATTAGTTTATGGCCCTTCTTAATCATACATTTGTCACTCAGTAGTAAGCACAATATATATCAGATGTGTTTAACATCTGGAATTCTTTCTTCAAAGATACGAAACAGAAGAAATATTTCTCTGTGACTTATTATAGTAAGAATATTTGAGTTTTTACCAGGGGCATTGTTTGTTCTTTGTGTATTTCAGCTTTTTCCCAGGCCCTTTAGCCCCAACTATGTTCAATTATTCAGTATTAGCAACTTATTTTCCTTTTCAGTCCATTAGACATATGCACTTCCTGTCTATCACTTTCTCACACAATATTCCGTCTTAAGGGAAATACATAATTTGATTTTATACTAAAACTATTCTGAAATGTATCACTTTTAATACACACAAATTTATGTGCTGATTTATCTTTATTCTCAGAACAACACTATCACAACCAGCAATATACTACATTACCTACATATTCATATTTGAAATAACTTTCTTTGTTCATTAACAGAATCACTGCCCATTTTATTCCAAATATGCTTACCCAAACAACTTTTAAGTTCTTAGAGAGTCTTTGCTCTCTGGGGCCTGCCTGTTTTCTCCAGCTTTCAAGTGGCTGGCCATTTCCTCATTGCACCAGTCTAGTCTTCAACACTCCACCAAAGCTGGTAGATTACCTGTGCACACGACTTTTATCTCACTACCCTAAACACAGAGTTCGCCTTGCTGACATATCATCTGAAAGAGACATCCAAAAGTAATCTAATCCATCATTCCTCTTCCCAGAGACACCAAATCAAAACAACTCCAGACAGCTGGCTATTATTAAAGTCTCCATTTATCTATTTTAATTTGATACTGAACCCTGAGGTAATAAATTGAACATTTTTTAAATCTAAGGAATAAAAAAGACTGAAAATTCCTCCTAGTACCATGTTTCAGCATCTCCCTAATTTTTGCTGCCAAAGTGTATTATGTTACTGTCAAGACTTAGTCTTCCAAATACCATCTTCTTTTATTTGAATTTTCTTGGAAATGAAGTGTATTTGGTTACTATCTGACTTAGGATCATCTTCTGCATACCTGGGGCCAATGATGAAGTCAACAGTCTCATCGTGTAGTAAAAACCACCTCAGTTCGAAAACCTGTTTGATTTGCACAGGCTTCCTACAGTAGTTACACAAAAAGGTTAGCTAAAGTAGGAAACATGCCAGGAAGGTGGCTCACACCTGTAATCCCAGCACTTCAGGAGGACAAGGTGGGCAGATCACCTGAGGGTAGGAGTTTGAGACCAGCCTGGCCAATATATAGTAAAACCCCATCTCTATTAAAAAATACGAAAATTAGCTGGTGTGGTGGCACATGCCTATAGTCCCAGCTATTTGGGAAGCTGAGGCAGGAGAATCACTTGAACCCGGGAGGCAGAAGTTGCTGTGAACCGAGATCACGCCACTGCACTCCAGCCTGGGAAACAGAGCAAGACTCTATCTCTCAAAGTAAAATAAAATAAAGTAGGAAAGGGAAAGATACCTTCTTGTGAAAATGAAAACTTTTATGCTTCAATATAATTGTTCATGTCTGTATGACTTTGCTGCTTCACATTTAATGAAATTATTCCCTTATGGGAACTTGGCAGGGTCTAGCCTCTGTTGAATGCTACTGACGTCACTTTTCAAGTATCTGAGAGAAATAATGTGCTGGTCATTGCTACCATGTATCTGTACCTTTTTTCAGCCTAAAAGTTCACAACATTGAATATGTCATAGTTGATTTTGTGTTTCCACCCAGAAAAAGACAGAGGAAACCACAAAAAATCTCAGCTCAATTACAGAAAACCCTAACGTGTAAATGAAAGAAGAAAGTGGAAATAGGGAGCAGGGGAGAGAGATACAAATCTTCTTTCCCTAAACTTAAATATTTTATTTGTTAAATTGGGTCAACTATAGACAGAGAAGCTCAATTATTATTTGGATGGTTAATTTTCAAAGACGAGTCTACAATGTTGCTTACTCTATTATTTTCCTTCAATCATTTCAAATGCCTAAGGAATTTTTCACTAACTATATACATTCCATCAAGGCTCCAAGAGCAAAGCCAGTCAGCCAGATTTGCCCCCCAGAAGTGGCAAAATGTAACTGATAGATAAAATTTGATTTAATGTATGGTAAAATGTAATGGCAGCAAATACAGTCAGTTCCAAAAAAGACAGCAATAATATCCTTAATGAAAAATTACAATACGTTATGTTACAGTATTATTTATTAAATAAAACATATTTCCCTTTTTGTCTTTCAACAAGGCTCTTCAAAGAAAGCAGTTTTAAGCACTAAAATTTAGAGTATGGATGTCTTTAGAGTATAAAATGCCACCATGTTTTTGTATTTAAATTACAGGCATTCTTTCTGCAATTGTTTTTAACTAAAGTAAGGCCATATGCCTTGCCTTCAGTGTTTAATTATCCAGACTTCAGGATATCTTTAGGAGCACAAAAAAGCAAGTGTGCTCAAGTAGTCAATTCTGACGGCACATTGTTTGTCAGATTTAAACCAAAGGGAGACACACTTTCAGAAATCAGCAATGATCATAGCTAGGAAACTGTAGTGATTTATAGTTTCCAAGAAAAGGGCATGGGTTTTATTCCCCCACTGATTGTTCAAAGGATTCTCTCTAAAATTACTATTTGCTTGTGTGTGCTTATGAACGCGTGCGTGCGCGCGCACGCACGCACACACACACACACCATTGTAGCTTATCTACTTATAACTCCCTTCTACCTTCCGTCCCTCTGCCTCCCACCTGCTAATTGCTATCTGGTAATCCTAACCCATGGATTCCTCTGCCCTGGGAAAGCAGATGGAGAGGAAATACAGGCATTTACAGATAACTGTTTCTTTACTAAATAACATCCATCATATAATACATACAAAGTTAATATAAAAGTACTGATGAGAAAAATAAAGTCACTTTTTGTGACAAATATTTAAATTTCAAGTGGAAGAAAATCATTCTGGAGTGGTAAAGATGCTAAACTAGGAATCAAAAACCTAGATGTCATCCAAGGCTCTGACTACATCACTTTGGGTGAGTCGTTTCCTCTCACTGAACTAAGCCGTGATCACTTGACCTCTAAAATGGGGACAACAGTTTCTGCCCTGCAAATTCACAGAACCTGTGAGAGCATCAAATGAAATAAAATGCATGACAGTTCTTTATACCAGTGGGTATTTTGCAATCATAAGGTATTAGTAAAATGAGGAAACTGGGCCCACAACGGCTACAGGCACCTTAAATATAAACATTCTGCTTTCAATGGCACAGCTGGGAACATACATACCATGTCAACTTTTTTTTTTTTTTTTTAGAAACAGCATCTCTGTTGCCCAGGCTAGAGGGCAGTGGCACAGCACCATCATGGCTCACTGCAGCCTCAACTTCCTGGGCTCAAAAAATGATTCTCCCATGTTAGCCTCCCAGATAGCTGGGACTGGGACTACAGGTGCATGTCACCTTGCCCGGCTAATAATTTTATTTTATTTTTTATAAAGACAGGGTTTCCCTATATTGCCCAGGCTGGTCTCGAATTCTTGGGCTCAAACAATCCTCCTGCCTTGACCTCCCAAAGTGCTGGGATTACAGGCATGAGTGTTCACACCCAGCCATGTCAGCTTTTTCAAGGAACAAACATAGTACTTTCAAGGAACAAAGATAGTGTTAAGGATATCTTAACACTATTATTCAAATCCAAATACATATTCAAATAGCCTCTAACTGAATATTATAAGGTAGTAGCAAACCCAGATGTCATTTTAGCTGTATTGACACACTTTCTTATGCCAAACTGAAACACCTTGCTCTGTGACCCACTGCCAGTAACTGAAGCTCTGCCCTCTCAAAGAGTTTTAATTTCTCTACCATCTATAGCCCTTCAAATTTCTGAAGGCAAGAATCCCTCCCTCTCTACGTTTCTCTTCCACAAAACAAATAACTCCTTCCTTTTTGGACATGATTTTCAGTTCCATTACTGTCCGGGTTATCCTCATGGGTGCACACAAACTTGTCAAAACCCTCCTAACATGGGACAGAATCCAGCCTGGAAAGGACGATTATGACCTCTGACCTAGGCACTCTTTCTATTGAAGCAGCTTAAAAATCACAAAAGCAATTTTTGGTTGCCACACCTGACATTTAGCTGAGATTACCTTTATAAACAATCCATATTAAGAAAGGTCTCATGATACTGTCAAAGACACAAAGACAAGTATAACTGAAGAACTTGGTCAGGTTTCTGTAGCTAAGCAAATCCTATACCTGGACAACTGACCACTCAGAGAAGGAAGCCTGTTATTTGATACAGTCTCAATAAATATTTTATTAACTAAAAGCTCATATAGTGTGTCTTTTCTTTAACTCTCATTGCCTTTATTTCCTTTAAATGTTCAAAAATATTTTATAAGACACTTAATGTAAAATATTTTAAAGCACTCCATGTCTTTGCCTTTCAAAGTACTTTTTAAATTGGGCTAATTTTTTTTAAAAAAATAAATACCTGACAAAAAATGAAACACATAGTGAAAACCACATCATCTTTTCCACAGCAAATTTATGAAAGCGCCTAAACAGCACAGAAACTGTCCTTTTCTATAGTTTTACGAACCTGTTCAGCTACTCAGATTTCAATGGCATTTCTGGACAGATAGGCTTTTTTATCACATGAAGAATACAACAGTGACCACTTTCTCCCTTCTTGGAAAAAAAAAAAAGAATAAAGTTGAGTTTAACTGACATTAGCTTATTGTACCCATTGTTTTAGGGGTTTTCTGTAAAACATGCTGGTTTTTATGCACGAATGTTACAGCATTTCTCTTAGCTACTTAGTGGCTTATTTGTTTACTTTTTATTTTGTCAATATTGTTAAGCAAGTGACTTCCATAAGCAAAAAGTGTTATTTCACCAAAGTATTAGAAAACCATAATAATAAGGCCAGCATGTCTTCTGACAGTTTGGCAGCATCCACCAGATCCCTCAGCAACGATTCATAAGACTTTAAATCCTGTTAAAGTTTTATGAAGCCTTAGCGTTGCCCAATTTTTAATATAGATTTCAGACCTGCAAAGACTTCTAGCCTTATAGTCATCAGTTATCTCTTTGTTGTTGTTGTTAACATGGAATCTCGCTCTGTGGCCCAGGCTGGAGTGCAGAGGTGCAATCTTGGCTCAGTGCAACCTGTGTCTCCTGGATTCAAGCAATTCTCCAGCCTCAGCCTCCCGAGTAGCTGGGATTACAGATGTGTACCACTTCACATGGCTAATTTTTATGTTTTTGGTAAAGATGGGGTTTTGCCATTTTGCCCAGAATGGTCTCAAACTCCTGACCTCAAGTGATTTGCCGGCCTCAGCCTTCCAAAGTGCTGGGATTATAGGCATGAGCTATCATGACCAGCCTGTAGTCAGCTTTTGGAGAATTTTCCCTACAGCATATTAAAAGAGTTTACAAAAGGTATTAAATATTAATAAGCAATTTTTGGTAGCAAAATTCTAATCATAAAACATGAAATTATTTTAAAGAGTTGGTGGTCATACATAAAGCAATGGCAATATCCCAGATCCAGAGATCACAGTCTTGATGGTGTTTTTAGAAAAAGATGCTTTGGGCTGGGTGTGGTGGCTCACACCTGTAATCTCAGCACTTTGGGAGGCCGAGGCGGGCATATCACTTGAGGTCAGGAATTTGAGACCAGCCTGGCCAACATGGTGAAACCCTGTCTCTACTAAAAATACAAAAATTGGCCAGGCTTGGTGGAGCACGCCTGTAGTCCCAGCTACTCAGGAGGCTGAGGCAGGAGAATCACTTGAACCAGGGAGGTGAAAGCTGCAGCGAGCCAAGATCGTGCCACTGCACTCCAGCCTAGGTGAAGAGCAAGACTCCGTCTCAAAAAAAAAAAGAAAAAACAAAAAAAAAGGAGAAGATGCTTTGTATCTGAAAACTTCTGTGCAAAGGTTATAGAAACACTAAATAACAAAAGAACATCATGTAATCCACAGGGAGAAAAAAATTTTTTTAATCTACTTTTCCTTTGATCTTGATCTCCTAATCCAAATTCCTCTCCTAACTGCATAGTTTTCTAAAGCTATTAAAATTGAATCCACCCAACCCATTTAAATCTAACAGTATTCTCCTCAAAATGTACATAACTTGACAGAGAAACCAATTAATGATCTTAGCATAAAAATGCACCTAAGGCAACCAAATACTTCCCAGTTACTAAGGTAATTCTCATAATCATCCAGCAATCATAGTTCTGTGCTGAAAAATTCTAAAAAGTAACATCCTTTGTCAGTAAACATTTACTGAACAACATTTACTATACATTTCTTTATTGGTTATTTTCAAATGTGCTATGAAAAGCCACAGATGAAATTTTTGAACACAGTTCCTTTACTCAATTTATACCTTCAGTATGAGGAAGCAGAAAACACAATGTTTAAAAAGCTCACAAAGCAATGTACTGATCACTATAAAGGACATACAAATGAACTGCATTCATTTCCAAAATGAATTGGTACAGAAGGGTGTAAAGTAACATACAATGCCAAGTCCTGAGGATGGACCAAGATGAAAAGTAAGAGAGCAGAGAAGAGTGCATTATGAAAAGCTTCCAGTAGAGAGGTACGTCTCTAGAATAAACCTAGCAGGCCTGAGACTGCCAAAAAGTCCTGCCTGTAAGTTTGGCCTTTGGTGGGCATGGGAGAACTTGGCTCTCAGAGTGTTCCCTGTCAATAGTTAACATATCAAGGTGTTTTACTGTGCCTAGACTACTTGTGTAAACAATATGGGTTATGTTGAACACCTGTCTTCCTTCCAGAAGTCTGGAATTTTGGTATATCCTAGGGAGAAGGCATCTATGAGTTTCTAATAAAAATCTTGGGCATTGAATGTTTAATGGGCTTCCTTGTACAGAAACGTCACACATGTATGGCTGCATTTTTATTTGCGGGCAAAGAGTATGCTCTGGCCAAGTGCAGTAGCTCACGCCTGTAATCTCCGCACTTTGAGAGGCCAAGGAGGGTGACTCGCTTGAGCCCAGGAGTTCGAGACCAGCCTGTACAACATGGCAAAACCCTGTCTCTACTAAAAATACAAAAATTAGCTGGGCATGGTAGCACATGCCTATAAACTGGCTACTTGGGAGGCTGAGGCATGAGAATTGCTGCAACCCAGGAGTTGCAGGCTGCAGTGAGCCAAGATTGGGCTATTACACTCCAGCCTGGGTGACAGAGCAAGACTCTGTCTAAAAAAAAAAAAAAAAAAAATATATATATATATATACACACACACACACACACACACACACACACACACATATATATGTATATATATATTTGCTCTGTGTGATCCTTCACGGGAGGGAGACAGCATAAGGAAGACTGCACACAGGTTCCTCCAGACTCTGCCTATGCCTTTTCCCTTATGATAGGGCTGTACACACCTACTACGTACTGTAATAAACCTTAGCCATGAGTACAACAATGGGCTGAGTCCTGCGAGTTCTTCTAAAAAATCAAGTGTTGGGGCAGTGTTGGGAACCTCCAACACACAAGGTGAACTTAGTTCCATGTGCTGAAAATGGGATACAAATTTGCAAATAGGAGAGGCAGAGGGTCATTTCAAGATTAACAAAGTTTTATCATACAAATACTTAACTTACAGAAATTAAACCATACCAATTCAACCAAAGCATTTAAAAAAATGAGAAAAATCAAAGAAAGAAAATAAATTGAAATAATAAAGACCATTCCCTTTTGTGGCCAAAAAACAAACCAACTCCATCTAGCGATCAAATAAGGAAGAATATTCAGGAGTAATTATAAGAAATTATTGCCTTATAAATTGGCTTCAGAACGTAAGTTTTGCAAAGAGGTGAATCCACTGTAGAGAAAATTATAACAATGAAAGAATGGTAAAGTAACTTAGTCATTTTGTGTGGAGGAGACATAATGAACGACAGAAGTAAATCTGGTTGGGAAGATGCAGTTAGTCAAGGACAATAGGACTCAAATTTTGTGGCTGGAGCAGCAAAATCAAAGCAATAACAGGAAATAAATGGTGACTGTATGAATTAGGATATTCTATCCTCCAACTAACAGAAATTTCAATGGCTAAGACTAATCAGGGGCCACCCCTGTAAGGCGTTAGCTTCTCAGTAATAATACACTGCTGCATGGAGGAAGGGTGGAAACTCTGCCAAATCTCGATTCAACTGCGAAAGATGAAGGGGAATAGATGATGGGTGACCAACAACCCTACTGTGCATGATGAATTGTGTATGGAGGGAAAATTCTGTGAAAGGTGAAAGGACTAAATATACTATGACAATAATTGTATTAATTTATTAATCTACATCTTAGGAGCTAAGGAGAAAAGCATAAGGATGGGAAGTACGATCTACAGGCCTTGAACATAAAGTTGATATCTGATATCTAAAAAGCACAGTATCAAAGATTAAAAATCAGACAGACCAATATTCTAGATGTTTTTAATCCAAGGCAGGTGAAATCAGGACAGGCAAACTTAATGTAAACAAGAAAACAATAAAAACACAAAATTAAGAAATATTGATGTTACATGCAACCAAAGAGGAACACAGCAAATCCTTTCTAAATCCTCTTCCCACACATCCAGCCATCAGATAGGTTGGCTGAGGATTCCCAACTCTACATCTCCTAGCAGTGTCATCATAGAGTGGAAAGATATTGATATCTCTGAGTGTCATTGATCAGTATCAGAAAGGGTGATTTACAGAATATCCTTTAAGTTAAGGAGTGTTCAGAAAAATTATTCTCTAAAAGTAAACATTTTATTCATAAAAATAAGAAATTGATCTGTACTTGTTCCTAAAAGATTTTGTTTCCTCACTCAGAATCTGACTAAAGCTCTTATGTCCTAACAATTAAATGGGAACAGAAGCACCAACTCAGAAGAGCCCGTACATCCATGTTGTACACACTTCTCTCTTACTATAGGTCATTTTCTAGAATTCTGCCAAAAGGCTCATGCTGCCAGGAGGTAGGATCACTGGCATAGGAATATCTCCCTGCTACAGACACAGCTGTGTCTCGCATCAATAACTGCTCTGGCAACAAAAAATCTGGCAAGAAATGCCATCCAAACCTAGAACACAAATATTGCAGCAGAAGACATTTTCTACAAAGAAAACCAGGGCTTCTTCCCTTGATGTGATTTTCTTACACCATCAAGTGCCTGAACCAAAGGAACTGAAAATGAGGCTGCACGGGAACCTTTCAAGAAAGGAATTTGGGACACTCCAAGTGGGGAGAAATTCTTCAGGAATGTTGTCTTTTCCAGAGATATGGGGCTTAATGGTCTGTCTGGGTTCAAGGACTCTACCACTCAGGACATTTAATAATCACTCTCAAATCTCCTCACTCTGAGAAAAACATATGGCCTGTTTAAGAAGAGTAGGGACAGACACTGAGATTATTCAGTCCTTGCCATTGCTGAGTCAGCCTTGATATCAATCCTGCTCCAACTCTAGTACCACAAAATCTTAAAACTCCATTTGTGATTTGTTCTCCTGTAGGATAATCTGATATCTCCTTCCCAACCAAGCCTTTAAGTGACTGGGTTACCACCAGCTGCTCTACACCCCACGGAGTCACTCTACTCATCAAACTCTTTCTTCAATCCCGACATTTTGGTGACAGGGTTATAGCGATGCATGGTTGGATTTGCTCGAGGTCAGATGACTGCTAGCCCAGATCTCTGCCAACTGGCACTCCCTGGTCCTCAACATGTCCACAGTTCCACTCCTCTGAGATGGGTAACCTGAATGGTGAATTATAGTTCCTGGGCATCACTTACACTGTCCTCATACACTGATCTCCGGGGTTCTCATCTACTCTAGAAATTGAATCTCACTCAAACCTGGTCTTGCTTCTAATTCTCTGCCTCTTCCTGACCAAGAGTATCCACCAGGACTTCTCCAGCCTGACCCAGCCCCCACCCCCATCAGAGCTTCCTCAACTTTTCTTGTTAAGATGTCAAGAAAAACTCTTAGATTTGGGGCATGTTATGACAATCAATGATCCACCATTTGAATAACAATAGCATTTTTGTAATTGACTCTTTTTCTATATCAACTCAAAATCTATCTTCGAATTCATCTTTCACACTATTGCCAGAGTACTCTTTGCAATTCTTCCACCTCCTCATACCAATGCTGTTTGCCAGAATTCCAAACTCCTTTGCATGACAAAAGAGGCCCTTCACATGCTGACTTGTCTGTCTCAGCTCAGATCACTGTACCTCCTCCCACTTCACTGCACACTTCATTGCACACACACCTGGCCCTAGCCATCTAAGAATGCACATCCACTGCCTGGAGCAGGGGAACAGTGCTTCACACTTTCATCTGAGAGATTCTCACATGAGTCAGATTCCATAAGGATGAAAGATTCCTATTTGGGTCAACATCATGTTACTTTTACAAACATGTGCTTTGCATTTTATACTCATTTATTCTATGAAAAGTGAAACATGAAAGAAAAGAAATCTGCTTTAAAAAACAAATACTAACAGTATAACTGCTAATAGTTATTGAGTGTTTATTATGTGCCAGGCACTTTGTTAAACACCTTTATATATATTATATAATTTACTCCTCAAAACAACTCTATGAGGTAAGTGCTACATATTAAGCACGTTTAACAGATGAGCGAACTGAAGCAGAAACAGAAATGAATAACTTTCCAAAGGTTTCACAGCTGTTACTGGAGCTAGGGATTGAACCAAGATGATGTGATTCCAGAGCCCACCATGTTATACTACCTTAATACACTCACTACCTTGGTCACTAGTTTGCCAACTGGTAAGCAGAATTCTAAGACTGACTTCCCATAACTCACACCTTTGTATAATGCCTTCCCATTTGAGTATGAAAGAAACCTGTGAATATGATATCACTCCTATGATCATGTTATATAGGGATAATCTTTGGGGAGCCTAACCTAATCACATGAGCTATTTAAAAGCAGAGAATTTTCTCTGGCTGGTAAGTATAGAAGTTAAAGATATTAAAATGTGTAAAGGATTTGACATATTGCTGAGATTGAGGGGCTCACAGGGTGGCCTGAGAGGGGCCATTCGCAGACCTAGGGACTGAAAACAGTCTCTAGCCAAAAGCCAGCAATAAAATAAGGACCTAAGTCCTACAATCTCAAGGAACCAAATTCAGCCAGCAACCTGAATGAGCTTGGAAGCAAATTGATCCTCAAAGCCTCCTAATAAGAACCCAGCCCTGCCACTACCTTGATCTGGCCTTTTAAGACCCTTAAGCAGAAAACCTACCTGGACTTCTCACCCACACAACTGTGAGATAAGAAAAAAAAATGTTGTATAGGGAATATTAAATGATCTTCATAAATTTTAATACTAACTCATATTACAAATAGAGAAAATCAGTTCCTCTTATAAAATAAAATTTTAAAAAACCAAAACATATGTTTCTACATTTCCCATTTCATCAGTTTTCTCCAAATCTTAAGGCTTAAATTATATATTTTTTTCATTTATTACTGAATGGTCTGAGTACACTTTCACCAGTGTATATAGAGACATCAAACTTGTATCAAGAATTTAACACATAAGGAAACTATTGACCATAAATATTTTTTCTATTGCTCTTTTCACCTCATAAAGACATAATAAACCATTAAAAATACAGATGTAGAACACAATAAAGGGAAGCAGTTGGGAAAACTGATGCTCAAAAGGTATTATGTAACTTTAGTTTGAGTTTTTTAAAGTATGCTTACAAATCTGGGGCTTTCCCCAAGGGAGTGTTTTTAATTTTGCAACAAACTACCCTTTAAAATAAGTCATCTAAAATTACAAAGTGACAAAAACACCTTCTTTGTCCAGAGATATCTCACTTCATTGGCAGCTGTTAGCACAAAAGTGAGAAAAACTTGGCCTGAGCACATACAAAAACCCTAATATTAAACTCTAATGACAAGCAAACTGGACCCAACTTCACCTTCCAAATGTGTTCACTGAGTGAAATGGGAACAACATTGGGCGCTGCCAATGAACTCCTTCAAGACAGATTTTAAATATGGGTATTATGCTGTTCTGTATCATGAATATGCATAATATTTTACTTTCATTAACAGTTTCTTACTGACTCTAACATCTACTGCTTTATTCACATATTGTAACCCTATTATACTTTCCTTTAATGGGTCTCTCCTATGGAAATATCTATAGTTCTTGGGCTTTTTTACCTAAACAAGAAGTGGAAATGTTCCTATATAGTATCAAAATTCCTTAATCAGAGGTTTTGCATAGCTGATTTTAAAAAAACTTATTGGAAAAGAAAATATGGCATATATACTGTGTTTATATAACATTTTCTGCAGGGTTTGGGACACCATTCCATAATCAAGCACATTCACATTTCTGCAACTAAATGTATAAATAGTAATGCTAGCTAGGTAGGATAAAAACAAAAAGCTACAAACAACTTTACATAAGTACAAGTCAGGATTTGCTTCTAAATGAGTTATTTTTTTCTAAATGTGGTTTTCAGAGCCTCTTGGATTTCAGATTTCTAGATTAAGGGCCTATGAACCTAGAGGTTAGAATGAGTGATTAGATAATCCATTAAAGTCCTTTTCCTCCAGAGAGATGATACAAACTTAGTAGAATGATGACAGGTCCTCTTGCAATGGTAACAAGGAAAAGTGCAATGCCACAGAATTAAAGAAAAACCTGTTAATTTATTTGGGACCAAAGCTTCTTAATGTGTTCTGTCTGTAAAAGGTGGCATGGATAGTAGGTAACACAAAGGAGTATTAGATGATTAAATGTCCTGACACTACTGTTCAGGACAACTCCTAAGAAAACAGATTTTGTTTATGGAGAACTAATTCTACACTCTCTTTGACCTAAAAATGAAGCCTATAGATAAAAATAAGGCATTTACAGTCTCTTCCATACTTATGAATATTATATTCTTTTCCATGTCACCTACAATCTACTCATTAATATGCAAATTGGAAACAACTTGCAAGTCCTGGGCAATATATCAACATAGCCCTCCTTTGGGATTTGAAATGTCTGAGATTTATAAAATATAAAACTACTACCTTAAATGCAGACAAAAGAATATACATATATATGTTTCCATCGATCTCTATGGCCTGACAGATTTTTTTTAAAAAACATGATTGTTAAATCAAAAGTTAAAATGTAACAAATATACACATCAAAACATTAATTATCTAAGCTGCACTAAAAATTCTTCAAAGTACTTCTGAGTAGTCATTTATCATAGGGCAAGGAAATTATAGACCAAATCATTAAATGGAATTTATTCAAGTCCATGAACATTAATCTTCTTTATATAAAAAGAAAACAAAACTTCTCAGGTAGAATATTATGCATACTTTTTCAGCAGTGTTTGCAGAGCCTCCATTGTGCAATGTAGTTACATTCATGCAAGTGGTTTTCACTTGTAGAAAATACAATACCTAACTTTTAAAAAGTTCATTGAATTCACTTTTTTACATTAAACATAAATTAGACCTACAATTGGTTGCTAAACAGACCAAAAGGTAACCTCCTGACAGCTTATATAATCTGATACAAATAAATCAAGCTGCTCATAAAGACACTCATAGCCTGCCTGTTGTCCTCACATTTAATTTAGTACATAAAAACAACAAAAGGTCTTGGCAAACATAAAACTGTAAACTACCATGAATACAAACAGAGCCTGTGTTGCTATAATATTAAAGAATCAACAGATGGTTGGCATCAGGAGACTGGCACAGATACAGAAAAACTAGAAAGACAAGTAAATAAAAAGGCAAATGTGTAGAAATTGAACAAGGTGTCTTTGATCCTCCTTTGCCATGTTGAAAAAAAACCTCATGTCAACACACAGAGGTCTGGAATCTCTGTTAGCACTCATGCATCTGAGATCTTGTGAAATACTCAGCCTCAATTAACCCATGCATGAACTACAGAATTTTTAAAGTCTGCCAAAGTCTACATGAGAGCACTGTGTAAGGAGACTGCACAGTTCAAAAAAGAACAAAGAAAAAAAAAGAGGAGGAAGTAGAGGAGAGAGGAAGGAGGAAGAATAGGAGAGGAGGACATAGGAGGAAGAAGCAGAGAGAAGGACTCGGAGGAGAAGGGGAGAAACAGCGAGATAAAGGACGAGGAAGGAAGGGAAGACGGAGGAGACAGAGGAAGGGAGGGAGAGGCAGGAAAGAGGAGGAAAGTGGAGGCCTGCTGGTCTCAAACTCTGATTCACCAGGCACATCCCAACCACATTAAGGTTTCTGAGAGCCATATGATGATTTTATGACCTCGAGTGAAAGAAATACAAATATTTAAGTCTTCTATTACTCCAAAAATCATTAAGCAACTACATGTTAAGCACTACACTAGGCACTAGGACACACAAACAAAAGACTCTGCCCCATTTTATTTCATTCGATAAACATTGTTTGCACTAATAAAGATCAACATCTAGGACCTGCTTGGAAAGAGCTCACAGTCTAGTGGGAGGTGGGGGAACAGCCACCTAGTGGGGGGTGGGGGAAAAACCTCACCTGCCTGACCTGCCTTGGGTATTCAGAGAATAGCAGGGAGAGGCCCCTAAGCCAGCCCAGGAAAAATAATGAGTGAGTACGGATGAGAAAAGAGCTGACAGTCCAAGTAAAGGGACCAGCAAGAGGAAAGGCACATGTGTGAGTGTGAATTAAACGTGAAGCTGTAAAGAGTCAAGTGTGAGGCAGGAAACTCTGAAGAACAAGGTTCAGAGAGGTTTGCAGTGGGTCAGACCTTGGGCTCCGTGTGACATTTGGTGGCAGTGTGGAGCGGACGGTAGCTCAGCATCACCCCTGAGTGGATTCTCAGCAGTCAGGACAGAGTTTCAGATTCCTCCTAAGAAGGAGATTTATTCAGAGTCTAGGTAGGGTTGAGCCTGGGCAGGCAAGAATGACCACCTACTATATGTTAGAGGTTTTGCCTCTGGAACTATGTTTTGTCTACCTTCTCCTACTCTCTTGTGCACAGAATATAGATTCATCTTGCCAGATTTCCCCTCCAGTAGAAGACTATACTTTACAGCCATGCTCCCGCCATCATCCAGCCTATCCTTGAACACCTCCCTCTCCACATGGGAAGAGGGAACTCTCTAGGCTGTGAATCAGCAGGTTTCACAGTTGTACCCTTCTGCCTGCCAGAAAGTTTTTCCTCAGGTTGATTAGAAACACACTTCTCTCTAGTTCCACATAATGTTTTGTTGTTGTTGTTGTTGTTCTGTCATCGAACAGGAAAGCTAAGCCTTCACCGTCTTCCACATGACACCACTTTAAATCATATGAAGACAACTATCTGCTTCTGTTCTTCCTCAGGTTGAGCCCTAGTTCCCTCACTGACTGACAGGTCACAGCTTCCAGACCCTTTCTGGGTATGGCTCCCTGTGGCACGTCAGATGTTTATCAACTTCCAGGTCTGTGTCTAACAGGCAGATGTTGACACGACCCTCCTGATATGGTCTGACCAGTACACAGTACCAAAGCACTATTCTCTCCCTGTAATCTGACCACTCTACTTCTTTTATTGCATTCTGAGTTTTTGTTATTGCCACCAAATAATATTGCTAACCAAAATGTCCGTATAAAATCAAGTAAGATATTTGCATATAGGTCAATATTAAGTCTAGTATCCTCCATCGTAAACTTAAAAAATTACTCTGAATTTCATCATATATGCATTTAATCCATCACTCTAGTTACTAAAAGCTTTTTGAATGCTAAGTATCTTAAAATATTATCGATCCTTCAAATACATTAG
This sequence comes from Homo sapiens, assembly GCF_000001405.40. Taxonomy (NCBI): domain Eukaryota; kingdom Metazoa; phylum Chordata; class Mammalia; order Primates; family Hominidae; genus Homo; species Homo sapiens. Next base: position 120,871,752 of record NC_000004.12, read on the forward strand.
GGTGGCTACTGTTTCAAAAAAAAAAAAAAGAAAGAATTGGTGAGAATATAGAGGAATTGGAACTTCTGTGCCATGTTGATAGGATTGTAAAATAGTGCAACTGCTATTGAAACAGTACAGAGCCAGGTGCGTGGCTCACGCCTGTTATCCCAACACTTTGGGAGGCCGAGGTGGGCAGATCATGAGGTCAGGAGTTCGAGACCAGCCTGACCGACATGGTGAAACCCCATCTCTACTAAAAATTCAAAAATTAGCCAGGCGTGGTGGCACACGCCTGTAATCCCACCTACTCAGGAGGCTGAGAAAAGAGAATTGCTTGAACCCGGGAGGCGGAGGTTGCAGTGAGCTGAGATCACGCCACTGCATTCCAGCCTGGGCGACAGAGCAAGACTCCATCTCAAAAAAAAAAAAAAAAAAAAAAAACCTGTACAGAGGTATGATCCAGCAATTCCACTTCTGGGTGTAAATCCAAAATAATTCAAAGTGGGATCTCACAGAGATATTTGCAGACCCATATTCACAATAACCAAGAGGGAGAAGCAACTCAAATTTCCACTGAGGAATGAATGGATAAACAACATGTGGTATATACACACGAGGGATTACTATTCAGCCTTAAAAAGGAAGGAAATCCTATTGCACACTACAGCACAGAAGAATCTTAAAAACATTATGCCAAATGGAATAAATCAGTCATGAAAAAGGACAAATGCTGTATGATTATACTTATATGAGGCATCTAAAGTAGCCAAATCCTTAGAGGCCGAGGCAGGAGGATGACTTGAGGCCAAGAAATTGAGACCAGTCTGGGCAACATACCCTAATCTCTACAACAAAAATAAAAGATAAAAAATTAGCCAGTGGTGGTGGTGCACACTTGTAGTCCTAGCTACTTGGGAGACTGAGCTGGGAGGATGGCTTGAGCACAGGAATTTAAGGCTGCAGTGAACTATGATCGCACCACTGTACTAAAGCCTGGGTGACACAGTGAGACCCTGTCTCTAAAAAAATAAATAACTAAAGTAGTCAAATTCCTAGAATTTGAAAGTAGCATGGTGATTACCAGGGGCAGGGGGTAGTGGGGAGGTGAGATGTTTAAAGGATATAGAGTTTCCGATCTGCAAGATAGAAAAGTTCTGGAGATCTGCTTGATAACAATGTAAATATACTTAACACTACTGAACTCTACACTTAAAGTGGTAAGTGGACAGTTAAGATGGTAAATTTTATGTTATGTGTTTTTACCATATTTTTTATTTTATTTTTTTGAGACAGAGTCTTACTCCATCACCCAAACTGGAGTACAGTGGTTCAATCTCTGCTCACTGCAACCTCTGCATCATGGGTTCAAGCAATTCTCATGACTTAGCCTCCCAAGTAGCTGGGACTACAGACATGTGACACCATATCTGGCTAATTTTTGTATTTTTTTGGTAGAGGCAGGATTTCACCATGTTGGCCAGGCTGGTCTCGAACTCCTAACCTGAAGTGATCTACCCATCTCGGCCTCCCAAAGTGCTAGCATTACAGGCGTGAGCCACCACGCCCTGACCACAATTTTTAAGAAGAGAAAAAAACAGTATCTATCCCCTCCCTTCACTCTAGTTGTACAGACAGTGGGCTCAAGATATGTGCTCAATTTTCATGAGTCTTTGATAGAAATAATTGAACAGGAAGAGCCAAGACAGAGCCTGCTTTTCAATTAAAATTCAACACTCCGGCTATAAGTGGCCAACTATCCATCAGTACTTCAAAGTTTACTATCACACAATCCACATTTCTTCACCTCCCACAAAAATTTACAATAGTCATTGTCAAACATTTCACTCAAATCAAAAGTCATTATATCTATTGGACTCTCCTGGGTTTACATGACCATTAAAAACATCCTACAGATTTCTCATGTTTACCAGTGTTCTGAATACTCTCCAACAATATGTCGGTTATTTCATTCCAAAATTTTGTAACTGAAGAACTTCATAATTTCCAAAATCTACTTTTTCCCCACTAGGGGCTTCATTTGCCTTTATTTGCCATGATTTCTCAAAAAATAATAGAAAGTTTCTGCAAGAAAAGGTACTTATTTTTTCAGCACCCATGTATATAATTTTTCTGGGATAGTAGATAGAAACTATTAAATAGCTGTTTTTTTATTAGCTCCTCATGCATTTTGGGCTATTATGTACACTTTATTAAATGTTTATCCAGTTTTTTTATTTAATTGACACATAATAATTGTACATATTTATGGGGTATGGTGTGCTATTTTCATACACATATATTAATGTGTAATGATTAAATCAGGGTAATTAACATATACATCACCTCAAACATTTATCTGATATTTGTGTTTAGAATATTCAAAATGCGCCCTTCTAGCTATTTGAAAGTATACAATATACTGTTGTTTATTATAGTCCCTCTATAGTGCTACAGAACACTAAAACTTATTCTTCCTATCATTAATGAAAATTTCACAGTCAATTGTCCAAGTAATCAAAATCAGGAACTCCAAAGTCCAGCAGCTTCTATTATTGAAGTAGAAGATGAATATGTAAAGTTAATAATAATGACTTTAATCACACATTAACAGAGCATGCAAAGTGGGAGTAGAAAGCAGTGGAGGTGAAATGTTTTCTGTCTTTATTTAATAGATAAAATAGAGATTTAAGTCAAATATGTGGAATTTAAAATGGATTTCTGCTTCAGAATCACAAGAGAAGATTAAAGCAAATGAAACATTCAGCTTAACTGCATGTGATTGGTTTCAATTTTCACAAGATTCCTGAAAAAAACTCTTAGTTCACTAAGAAAAAAAAATCATTTTAAAATGCAAATAACAGCCAATTTAAATCAAAGCCAGTATGCTTAGTGGTAAAACACATAAACATGACATTGAAATCAAGATTAGGACAAGATTGATTACTATTAGCTTTATTATTTAACACTATTGTGAAAAAAATCTAGCCAAAGAGGGGGAAGAAGAAATTGAGTTTCTTTTTCTTGCCCAATACTGATACTGTGGGTATACTGAGGAAACTGGTCCCAGATTGCAGATTTTGTCTATGTCTCTGAAGCATCTGAGCTTCTGGCTCTGACAGGAAGTATATGTGTGTCCTATGGCCTGGGACTACAGCCACTGCTCAGGAAGCAATTGTAGCACCTTGTAGGGAAGAGGTGGTGGGAGGCTCCTGTTCTAAGTGTGGTCTGCGTGCCAGCTGCATAATCACCTGGCCTGGCTCTCAGCAGCAGATCACAACACTGAGCTGAGAACAAGCTCACTTTTCTGATGGGCGGTGGACGGAGAGTGTTCCCCACCTGTGGTGATGTCAAGAAGGCCTGGCCTGGCCCTCCCTGATGAACTGGCTAGGATATTTAAAGAGAGTTTCCTGGCCAAATTTGGTGACCTAAAGCATGCGGCCAATCTTTTCCATCTATTTGTTAGCCAACCCAGGGCCCTGACTCAGGCCACCCTAGAAGCCAGGGCCTAGACCACACAAATACAGATTAAAACAAAGACAGGAAAACAATTTCAACTTGAGTGCCAATTCCAATTGATCAGTGGAGTTTGCCTGGAGCACTGTGCTGAGGATGACTCTGAGACTGCCAAGGAGCCAGCAGCCTCTGTCTGCACTAGCTGTTGAATTAGTGTACAGGAGGGGAGTTTATCTTCAATCCAGTGTCAGATGGTCATGGCACTTGAAATACCTCACAGGGGCAACCCTGAAACCATCAGTTCATTTATGCCCTGGAAGCAGAGCTGTTAGGAAAGCTGACTCTGGTCTCTGAGGACCAGGTCAAGTCAGAATGGGAATCAGCCAAGTTTCCACAAGAAAACTGGCCATAGAGAAAAAACAAGCCAAAGCTAGATTTCTGAGGAAACTATGAGAATATGATTAACCCAAGGGCATGGGGAGAGTATGATGTGAAAGAAAGCAGTGTAGTTAGTGACAGATTTCACAAAAAAAGTAGTAGAGTAGTAGACAGGGGGCAAAATACAAATGACTAGGCATTTTGGTAGCTATTCCTTAAATAAGAAATTGCTTCCAAAAAATTCTTTTTCACAGAAAAAAGCTGCTTACAGGATAGATGCCATGTTGGAGTGGGTAAGTAATTCAAGCCACGTTGCTTCTAAACAGTATTTTATAAAGCTATAAAATCATCATTATTTCAAAAGTGTATAGAGTTTGTTCTGCTAGAATGCTTGTTTGTAAAATGACAACTGGCTCCAATGCTATTGATATATTAGGGAACAATCTGAGCACAATAAAATTTCTGATTTTGATCATGCACAATTTCGTCTCCCAGAAACACTAGGTGAATGAAGAAAACTGCATCTAGCTGAGCTACAGAGAAATACAAATGAGCCACAGAGAAATGCACAAAACACTCACACCTCAAATATCTACCACCTTCCTTGGTTCACCACATGTATTGTGAGACACGCACATCCACATCAGGAGTTATGACCTTCCATCTGTTTTCAGATTACCCTCCTTCCACCACTGCAAAAGAATCACAACCTGCAGCTCTTCTTGCTGGAGACTTCCCCAAGAAAACTTTAGGTCTTTTTTAAAGTAAACTGAAATATTTATTGTACTATTCATCATTCTTAATCATTTAACATATGTAAAATTGTGCTATCATTTTTATTAGATGCCTATCTTTTATTTTGTGTGTCAATTACAAAGATTTTGTGTATTGTGTCCCTAACCCCATTTTTCCCATAAGACTTGTGATTTTTATTGTTTGATTTGGCATAGTACAGTGACTTTTAGGAACATATATTGCATTATAACAGAACTGACTGTATAACCAAACAACTAAAGAGAAACAAGGTCTAAAAACATAAAGACCTTACAAAGTAAAAAAGTTGAAAGCACTTCAGACTGTGAAATGAATCCCACATCAGATATATTCCAGGGTGAAATTAAAATTTTATAAGCTTTATTTACCAGAGATACATTTGATGAAAAAATATAAGGATTCTATTTACCACAAATCTCAGGAATTCCCAGGACATGAAGGAATGCATGCAAAATTTTAGAAAAATAAAAACCACCTTTATTCTCTATTGCTATAGGAACTAGGATGTACTATGTTTTATATAACTTGAGTAAAATACTGACAAAAATTTACAATGTGGGCCATGGGAGAGCAGTCAAATCCAGAGGAATCCTTAAAAACAAAACAAACTCTTATAGGACATTCTCTTGTAAAACTCTAAATAGGTGTCTTATCAAAACCTATCCAGAAAAATCTTATCTGAGAAACAGCACATATTATATTTTTTATTACAAATAAAAAATAACTTTTTCTCATGAGAAGGATAAAGACTAACTTGCTGAAAAATAACTCCAGTGCCAACTCTGAGACAAGGTAGGGTCAATCAGCCAGAGTTCAGAATCATAAACTTAACAAGGAAGAGAGCATGAGGTAAGTTCAGCTATATTTTTACGGCCTTGAATAAACGAAGACTTTGTTTCTGAAACACAAGTGACCTTTAGAGTAGCAAATAGTTTCCTCCTCAAAAACCCGTATTTCTGACCATGGCTATTTCCATGTACCACATCACTTAGGTTGAAATTTTAACTGAATAATCAAAGTAACACTTATTTAGCCTAGCAGTTATTTATTTGGCCAGCTGCTGTGATAACCACATCATGTTCCTGGGATAACTGTGCAATTTAACAATTCAGTTGCTTTTCCATTCCTGGACTCAATTTTTAACTCCAGGCTGCTAGAAGAATAATTTATATTAAAATAAACGGGGCCGGGTGCGGTGGCTCACGCCTGTAATCCCAGCACTTTGGGAGGCTGAGGCGGGTGGATCATCTGAGGCCAGGAGTTCAAGACCACCCTGGCCAAGATGGTGAAACCTCGTCTCTACTAACAATACAAAAATTAGCTGGGCATGGTGGCACAGTCATTTGATCCCAGCTTCTTGGGAGGCTGAGGCAGCAGTATTGCTTGAACCTAGGAGGCAGTGGTTGCAGTGAGCCAAGATTGTGCCACTGCATTCCAGCCTGGGTGACAAAGCAAGACTCCGTCTCAAAAATAAATAAATAAACAAACAAACAAACTTATCTTTCAGCCAACTTCGTGTTTACTGCCCAGGAACTCATAAAATGTGGCATGTAAGAATCTCTTTTTACTGGCCACACAACAAAGATAAAAGAAGAATAAAATAATAAACAACTAGTTTTGGATTATTAACAAAAAACTAACCACCTTGTTTTCAGATTGGAAGTCAGTGAAATCACTCAGATATATCCAAAATCTCAAACAGATATTATACGTCCATATGGTAACTAAACATTCAGAGAGAATAATACAATTTTTGAGCAGAAACTAACTGCTATAGGAGTCTACAGAAGGACTACAGAAGATCTAATTTCTGTAGACTTTCATTTCTGTATTCTTACACCTATGACCTTTCTCCCTAAGAAACAAACTTGTTGAACTTACCTCCTGATTAAAAAGTACTCTGTAGAAATATTCATCAAAATAAATAAATAAATAAGCTGATTAACAAAGAAGGAAAAGCAATTCAATGGGAAAAGGATAGTCTTTTCAACAAATGGTGTTGGAACTACTGAATGTTCACACACAAAATACATATGTAGACACAGACTTTATATTTTCCACAAAAATTAACTTTTCAAAATGAATCACAGATCTAAATGTAAAATTTTCTAAAACTAAAAAATTCCTGGAAAATGACATAGGAAAATATCTAGGTAAGCTTGTGTTTGGTGATGACTTTTTAGATACAACACCAAAAGCACAGACCCATGAAAGAAATATTGGTAAGTTTGACTTTATTAAAATTAAAAATTTGTGCTCTGTGAAAGACACTGTAAAGTGCACAAAAAGATGAGCCACACAGTGATACAAAAATCTTTGCTGGTATACAAAAGATACAAAGAACTCTTAAAATAGGAAAACAACTCAATTTTTTAAATGAGCAAAAAAAATCTAAACAAACCCTTGGCCAAAAGATGAACAAATGACAAATAAGTATAGGAAAAACATGTTGAATATCATATGTCATTAGGGAATTGCAAATTAAAACAACAAAGAAATACCACTACACATCCATTAGAATGGCCAAAATCTAAAACACTGACAACACCAAATGCTGACAAGGACATGGGGCAACAGGAACTCTCATTCACTGCTGAGTGGAATGCAAAATGGTACAGCCTCTTTGGAAGACACTTTGACAGTTTCTAACAAAACTAAACATACTCTTACCATGTGATCCAGCAATCACGCAATTTGGCATTTACCCAAGTGAGTTGAAAATTTATGTCCACACCACACAAAAACTGCCCACAAATAATTATAGCAGTTTTGTTAATAATTACTAAACTTTAGAAGCAATCAAAATGTCCCTCAATAAGTGAATGGATAAAGGAACTGTGGTACATCCATACAATGGAATATTATTCAATAATAAAAATAAGTGAGCTATCAAGCCTCAAAAAGACATACAGGGGAAAATTTAATGCATATTTCTAATTGAAGACAATCTGAAAGGGCTACATACTATATGACTGCAACTATGATTGACCCTTGAATAACACAGATTTTGAACTGTGCAGGTCCACTTATAGGTGGATTTTTTCAAAGCTACATCAAATATGCCTGCCTCCCATTCCACCTCCTCCACCTCTAAAATCCCTGAGTTAACAAGACCAACCACTCCTCTTACTCTTCCTCCTCAGTCTACTAAATGTGAGGTGACAAGGATGAAGACCTTTAATGATGATCCACTTGCACGTATTAGATACAAAATATATTTTCTCTTTCTTAAGATTTTCTTAGTGAAATTTCATTTTGTCTATCTTACTTTATTGTAAGAATACTGTACATAATACACATAACATACAAAATATGCATTAATCAAGTATTTACATTAAGCTTCTGGTCAACAGTAGGCTATTAGTAGTTAAGTTTTTGGGGAGTCAAAAGTTATACATCAATTTTCAACAGCACAGGGTTCAGTGCCCCTCCCCTGTGTTGTTCAAGGATCAATTGATTATGAGATTCTGGAAAAGGCAAAACTATGGAGATAGTTAAAAAAAAAATCAATGACTGCTGGGCACTGGGGTGAAGGAGGGAGGGACGAATAGAGTACAGGAAATTTGGGGGCAGTGAAACTATTCTATATGACACTGTAGCAGTGGACATATGTCATTATGCATCTGTCAGAACCCATAGAATGAACAACGCAAAGAGTGAATTCTAATGTAAACTATAGATCTCAATAATAATGTATCAATATTGGTTCATCAAATGTAACAAGTGTACTGCACTAATGTAAGATGTTAATAATAGGGGAAAATGGGGGTAACACGAGGGTAGACATGGGAACTCTTCTGTAATTTATACTTAATTTTTCTGTTAATATACTTCAAAAAACAAAGTCTATTAATTAAAACTCACACACAAATAATTAAACTGAAGCTAAAATCAACTGCTAAATGTCACAATACAAGTAAAGAATATATAAACTAAAATATTAAAGTTCACTTTCTCCATAAATATGACCTATACTTCTCTCTAAATTTGCCATGAGCTAATTCCCGAGAAGGAGCTCAGGGTACTCTTGACACTCTCTATGCCAGCACTGTCCAACAGACATATAATGTAAACCACATATGTAATTTTAATAGTAGTAACATTAAACAGAGCAAAGGGAAATATACAAAATTAATCTTAATACCTATATTTAAACCAATATATTCACAATATTATCAATTCAACCATGTAACCAATACAAAAATTATTAATGAGACATTTTACCTTCTTCAAAATCTTTGAAATCTGGTTGTATTTTATACCTACAGCACATGTCAACTCATATACTACATTTTCGTCATTAATATTTAATCTCAGTTTAGGTTTTATAAAATTCATAATTAAAAAAATAGATTCACAAAAGCAAGTTGTTCCAAAGATACTTAAAATATTCCAATATGTAAATAGAGTACCAAAAAATCATTGTCCTTTAATACATTTACATCTACATTGACAAAGCTGGTTCGTCTTTTTTTAGAATTGATTTGACTTTGATGAAAACGCTCATCAATTTCAAAATTGCATCAATCCAAGATAAGTAAATTTATCAACTCTGGGTGTCAATGAAGTATTAATGAAATTAAGTTCAACGAAATATTGTATAAATTGAAAAACAACACTAAGCTTACCATTATCAACATAGCATTCATCAAATTGTTCTCCTGGTTTTTCACATCAAGTTTACATAACACTGTACTATAATTAAAATCAACTGAATTTTTTTTATGTGTAAAAACATAATTATTGATTTGTATTGAAAGTTTCAACAACCAGCTAGGTTATAAAATGTTTTTCCCTTCCCTGGAGCTTCAATTTAGCTCATTTATGTGCAATGTGATATTGGTGAGAAAACACAAATCACACAAAGATTTTTTTGTCTTTGATTATTTGTCAAGTATTTATTTCTCAAGAAAATCTTCAGAGTCAGCAGTATGATAAATCCTTGTAAAACTCTTCTGCAACTCAATCATAGAGTATTGGCAAACGGCACAAATCCATTAAATTCCTTGTCTTCTATTCCTTTTAATAGTTCCACAAATTGGCAATAAGTAAAATCGCTGGCAAATAAACGAATGAATTTAACAATTAAATCCATGACATTTTTCACAGAGTCTACTTCAAAAAACTAAATGCAAATATTTTCATTATGTGTCATGAAGTAGAATTAACCAGTATGGGAAACATTAGTCTCACACTTTAAAAATTTTGTGTCTGGATTTTTTGACTTACCATAGCCAGAGCACCATTCTCTATGAGAAAACTAACCATATAAAGAATTTTTTAAAACTCTACACCACAAGTTCATTTATTTAGGCCATGAATTGACATTTCTTTGTACATCTTGAAAACCTTTGAAAATAACTGTATGGAAAGTATTAACTGGGTGGTGTCTCATGTAATATGACTCACCTAAAGCCAAAAAATAAAAAACCTACTTGCAATTTTTCAAACTTTGACTCAATTGATCTTCCTTATTGTTGGAAAGGCCATGTATTCTATTGTCTAATGTTCACTTTTAGGCTTTTCCTCATACTTCTGCAACAAAATTTTGATAACTGAAATAATTTCTTTTACAATCCCTCTGACCAAAAATGGCTCTTTCTTGAGGCAGGAACCAAGCTGACCAAATCTACAGATCCTGTTGAAATCATATGAAAAATATTTATTGTGGGCCTCTTGGACCACATGCACAGCCCCAGAGGGCATTCTCCCAGATTCCTTGCCTCCTTCCTTCTCTCCCTCGCTCAGCGGGGTCCTAAGCAAGCCAGGCCCTGTGACAAGCTGCTAATAAAGTTGCACTGCAGAAAAGCACAGCAATGGTGCCAGGAGAGTGTGTCCAGCAAGCCACTGAGACTTGAACCAATGAAGGAAGCATATGGCTTCATTGCAACCTCCGCCTCCCGGGTTCAAGCGATTCTCCTGTCTCAGCTTCCCGAGTAGATGGGATTACAGGCACCTGCCACCACACCCAGCTAATTTTTGTATTTTCAGTAGAGACGGGGTTTCACCATGTTGGCCAGGCTGGTTTCGAACTCCTGACCTCAGGTGATGCACATGCCTCGGCCTCCCAAAGTGCTGGGATTACAGACGTGAACCACCGCACCTGGCCACCTTCTTCCATCTTCATTTTGTCCTTTATTGTTCTGGTACTAGCTTCTGTATCTCCACTTAATTCTGCATCAGTAGTATATTTTCTTTATATAAATTTTTGCCACATTTGCATTTTTATATTAGAAAGCTACGCAATACAGTAATTGAAATAACCATTTTATAATACATAAATACCATGTATATAATGCATGTATAACAAATCTCTATATTATTACTAATCTACAATCTACAAAGGTATTATTGGAAATCATGTTGTCTGTATGAAATATTCAAATGAACACATTACAAAGTTACATTCGTGTGTAGAAAAAATTTATTTTCAAAAAATCATTTGAATTATTCCATTGACAATTAAATCAGTGATAGATATAATTTTCAAAACAACGTACGTGCCTCATACACACCCTACAATACAGTTATATCTCACACAATGCAACAGTAAACTAAAATGTAGTCCTACCAAAGAATAAAGCTGTTTGGTAAAAACATATTTTACATTGCCTCAGTTTTTAAAATTAAATAAAGCTAAAATAAAGTTAAAAATTCAGTCCCCTGTAGTACTCGCTGGATCTCAAGTGCTCAATAGCCATATGTAACCAGTTGCTACCATAGTGGACAGTGGCCATTTGTATGCTTAAGGTTAAATTAGTTTCTTTTAAAGTGTTATTGTAGGAAACATGAAAAGTTTAAATGCAAGCACATTACTTACATTTTCCCCTTCTGCCTTCATTTTTTTCTCTCAATGTAAAGCAAACAGAATTATTAAGTATTATAGTGTTAGAAGGTACAATAAAGATCAATTAATCATCTCCACATTGCACTTTCTTAAAGTTGATTTTCGTTTATTTTGCTAAATGTTTTCTTTTTCTAGTATACAATTAGAAATCTAAAAACATAGGAAACCTGACTACCACTAGTTTAATGCAACTCTTATTTTTATTTATGCAATAAATACTAAAAACTGATATCAATCCACACAAAAATTTTCTGCACTGCTAATGGTTTTACTTCTAAAAGTACACACATTCATCTCTTGGAGATCCTTCTAAGAATCCAAAATACTTATCTGAAACTGGTTCTAAGAAGTTAACAAGGACACAGGAAGGGCAACATCACACACCGGTGCCTGTTGTGGGGTGGGGGGAGGGGGGAGGGATAGCATTAGGAGATATACCTAATGTAAATAATGAGTTGATGGGTGCAGCACACCAAGATGGCACGTGTATACATGTGTAATAAGTCTGCACATTGTGCACATGTACCCTAGAACTTAAAGTATAATAAAAAAAAGAAGTTAACTGAAATTTTAATATAAGGACTTAATGTGTTTAGAAGATTACTTAGAGAATCATAGCTCTTCAAATGAAACTTTGCACAAGATATTAATGAAATATATAAAATATTCAAAAATAATTGCTAAAGGGTACAGGGCTTCTTTTTGGAGTGATGAAAATATTCTAAAATTAGACAGTGAGGGTAACTGCACACTCTATAAATATACTGAAAACTAATGAATTACACATTTAAAAGGGTAAATTTTGTGGTGTATAAATCTTAATAAAACTGCTATGAAAAATTCACAAATGCCCCCTGCATTTATGCCCAATCTATTAGTGAAAAAACAAATCTCTTCATGACCACATATCAGAGAAGCAATATTACTACTGCATATATTGAAATAAGAGTTACTTTAAAAGATTTATATAGGGATCCCATTGGTCTCATATATACATAGAAATGCACACAAAAATATCAGCAAGAGTGAATACACAAAAAAAATAATGTGGGACATTAATGTCGTATGTATTGCTATAATTTTTTACATCATGTGTGATGATATGTAATGAAAAATAAGCATTTTTGAAAACATAACCTGGTTGATATTTGTATCTCCCTTAATTTACACTTTTCCTACCTTCATTTACACTTTCTCTCTACTTGAAACACTTGCTTTAACCCCTAAAAATGCATAAAAGAAATGTTCTTTTATAGTTCCTACAACTAAAAACACTTTCATTAAGTATGCTTTCTATGCTCCCCAATCAAAACATTTGTATAACATAGAAATAATGAAAGATACAAATATTGGACTGCTTACCAGGCTTTAAGCTTTACCTTCTCTGCCCGATACTTTTTATCTTTCTAAGTAAATCCAGCACCCAGTACAAAATATCTAAGAAAGAGTAAACATCGAAGACATATTTGTTGAATGAAAAATAACAAATGTGTTCATTTTCATGGGGGACACTACTTCTGAGTGTACACCCTGACCATCCTCCTCCTTCAAAGAACATTAAATTTATTCATATACCTACTCTTTCCTATGAAGTCTGATAAAAAGCTGACCTTTCCCAGCTCTAGGTTATGCCTGACTGGAATAAAAGCAATCTCTTTCATCTCTTTCCCTTTCCCAGTTCAAAAAAAGAAACACTGGCCGGGCGCGGTGGCTCATGCCTGTAATCCCAGCGAGTCGGGTGGATCACGAGGTCAGGAGATCGAGACCATCCTGGCTAACATGGTGAAACCCCCTCTCTACTAAAAATACAAAAAATTACCCAGGCACGATGGTGGGCTACTCGAGAGGCTGAGGCAGGAGAATGGCCTGAACCCGGGAGGGCGAGCTTGCAGTGAGCCGAGATCGCGCCACTGTACTCCAGCCTGGGCGACAGAGCAAGACTCCGTATCAAAAAAAAAAAAAAAAAAAAAAGTAAAAAAGAAAAGAAAAGACATACGACACATTACCCACCTCTGGCATATTAGAGGAGATCTACTAGGAGAAGAAGATTCTTCAAAAGGTACCCCTATTCCTTACAGACACTATCTTGTCTGCAACCTACCTGATACCTGCCACTAGCTTGAGGATTAAGCCTCCACCAAGGTAGAAAGGTGAAGAGGTGGAAAAAACTTGGGTAACATTAAGTTATTAATCCACCAGCCCTGAAGCCTGCTTGACTACTGAACTTCCTCTTATTTGACATAATGTCCTTCCTCATTATTTAACAAGTTGGAGTTGGAGTTGCAATCAACTACATCTATCTGATAAAATTCCTCTAGTTCTACCCAGCCAGGCATGGTGGTTCATGCCTGTAATGCCAGCATTTTGAGAGGCCGAGGTGGGCAGATCATTTGAGGCCAGGAGTTCAAGACCAGTCTGTCCAACATGGTGAAACCCCATCTCTACTAAAAATACAAAACTTAGCCAGGCATGGTGGCACATGCCTGTGATCCCAGCTACTCACGAGGCTGAGGCAGGAGAATTGCTTGAATCCAGGAGGCAGAGGCTGCAGTGAGCTGAGATCACACCACTGCACTCCAGTCGGGAGACAGAGCAAGACCCTATCACCGAAAGAAAAAAAAAAAAAATTCCTCCAGTTCTATAAGTTGTGATCAGAACCACAAAGGGAATGGAAGTACTCCAATAACACAAAAGTTATGTGTTTTTTTTTCTTTTAGTCAAACAATTTGGCTTCTAATTCCAAGCATTCTTTAATCACACCTCAGGTTTTGCTGAATGACCAGAAATTGGCTGGCATATTTAGGTAGGACCCATCTTATGAATGGCAGATAAAGGACAACCACAAAACACAGAACTTCCAGAAGACATGAAACATTCGATTGCTTTGCATTTTCCCTAACTAGAGGACTAATGTCAGGAAGAATGCACTATGACATTTGTTTTAGGAGTTCCAGCATTCTATAAGGCTTCATAGGTGGTATTTTTCCACCAAGGTCTACACTAAGTGGTTCCATTTGGACCCCATAACAAAATGTTATCATCTGCAAAAGAAAAACATTTGGTAAAAAGAATTATTTGTTCCAAACACCTAAAAGGACTTCCATAAACAATAAAGAAAACAAAAGATTTTAAACAATTGAAAACATTTTTTCCCAAAACTAAAACACATTGGAAACCTGGTACTGAACCAAGTTCCCAACAGCAGGACAGCTGTAATCACATAATAACTGCAAAGAATGAGAAAAACATGTAAACAAAATGTCCAGTTTAATATCCAACCAATCTGCTCCTTTAAAGACTATATTTCAGTCAAATCAACATCATCATGAAAAAGAAAAGAAAAATCTCTATAAAGTAGGCAAGGCTCAGAGAATTAAAATACTAAGGAAGTTAATCAGTTGTTTCCTTTTTTTAACCTTTAAGTAACTTATTTTTTAAGAACGCCAATGGTAAAAATAGCTATACATTTATGCAATGTATTTATTCAATATGAATGATTTGTTGAATAATGAATATGAAATGAACTTTTATTCAATTATATTTATGTTCTAGATACTCTGCAAAGACCTGGGGAGTAAAGATAATAATAAGGTAATAAAAAGACAATGCCCTTCCTTCAAAAGTCTACAACATAGTCTACCCCACCTTGTCATCCCTCTCAGTCTCAGTCTTATATAACTGCCCTATCTCAGACATGTCATCACCTTCCACTCATATAGCTTAAGCCAAATACTTAAAAGTCATTCTTGACTCTTCTCTTTCTTTTTTTTTTTTTTATGAGATGAAGTCTCACTTTGTTGACCAAGCTGGAGTGCAGTGGCCTGATCTCGGCTCACTGCAACCTCCACTTCCTGGGTTCAAGCGATTTTCCTGCCTCAGCCTCCCAAGTAGCTGGGACTACAGGCGCCCGCCACCACGCCTGGCTAATTTTTGTATTTTTAGTGGAGACGGGGTTTCACTATGTTTGCCAGGCTGGTCTTGAATTCCTGAACTCGTGATCCACCCGCCTTGGCCTCTCAAAGTGCTGGGATTACAGGCGTGAGCCACTGCGCCTGGCTGACTCTTCTCTTTCAATACACAATCCATCAGCAAGCCCCATCAGTGTTAGTTACCTTCAACACACAACTGGAAGCCAACCACTTCTCACCAAATCTACTGTTAGGGCCCAACTCCAAGCCACCATCAAATCACTCCTTGACTACAGCAACAGACATCTAGGTGGTCTCCCTGCTCCACTCTTGCCTCTCTACCTGTTCTCCACGAGGCAGACACAAAGACCTTCTCAAGACATAAATCAAATCTCATCAGTCTCCTGCTCAAATCCCTTAAATGACTTCCTTCTACCACCAGAATAAACCTCATTATCTAATCTAGAATTGCCTCTCTAATCCTACACACCACTACTGGTCTCTCATCCACTAACCATTAGCCTAGCTGCTTTGTTTCTGTCCTTTGAACAATCTGACTTCATTGTCATCTCTGCTACAATCTGGTTTCTTCACCTAGTTCTTCTTCAGATGGCCGCTACACTTATTATTTAGGTCCTACCACAACTTGACAGCCCAGCTAAAGCAGAAACCCACAGCCTAGACATTTTATCCTTTTTTTTTTTTTTTTTTTTTTTTGAGACGGAGTCTCGCTCTGTCGCCCAGGCTGGAGTGCAGTGGCGCAATCTCGGCTCACTGCAAGCTCCGCCTCCCGGGTTCACGCCATTCTCCTGCCTCAGCCTCCCAAGTAGCTGGGACTACAGGCGCCCGCCACTACGCCCGGCTAATTTTTTGTATTTTTAGTAGAGACGGGGTTTCACCGTTTTAGCCGGGATGGTCTCGATCTCCTGACCTCGTGATCCGCCCGCCTCGGCCTCCCAAAGTGCTGGGATTACAGGCGTGAGCCACCGCGCCCGGCCGACATTTTATCCTATTGTTGTTCTGTCTTATTATTTTAACTAAACTTTTTATTGAAGTGTCACACAATTACTGAAAGGCGCAGAAACTTGGTGCATACATCTCAATGAATTCTCACAAAGTAAACACAGCCATATAGCTATCACACAGATCAAGAAACAGTCTCCCCAGATATCTACTTCTAATCACTACCCTCACAGTGAGGTAACCACAATCCTGATTTATAATTTTATAGATTAGCTTCACCTGCTTTCAAACTTTAGCTAAAGGGAATCAAACAGATGTATTCCATTTTCTCTAGCTTATTTCACTCAAGGCTTTGTTACTGAGATTCACCCATGTTGCTAAGCATAATAGAAATATTATCATAAAATCTTTATAATATTCCATTTTATGATAAACCAGAATGTATTTGTCCATTTACTAGTATACGGACATTTGTGTTACTTCTAGCTTGAGACAACTCCTGATACTGCTGCTATGTAGGTTCTTGTACAAATCTTTTAGTAACGTGTTCTAGTTAATATCTGTCTAGTGGAACTGCTGAATCATATCATATGCATATATTCAGCTCTAGTAGATACCACTAGATAGATTTCCAAAGTGATGTGACCAATTAAAAAACCCAGAAGCAGTATATGAGAGTTTCAGATGATGTTTGCAAACATTTGACATTGTCTTTTTAATTTTAGTCATTTTGGTGAACATATGGTGGCATCTTGCGCTTTTGATTCGCATTTCCCAGATAACTAATAAAGTTAAATATCTTTTCATGTTCATTGGCCATCTGGACATCTTCTTGTATGACATCCTTGTTCAAGTATTTTGCCCATTTTTCTTTTTTTTAAATTGATTTTTATAGTTCTTACTATATTCTGGATACAAATCCTTTTTTCAGAAATGTATTACAAATATCTTATCATCCTCTGTGACTTGCTCTTTCATTCTCTTTGTAGTATCTTCTGATAAAGAGTTCTTAATTTTAGTGTTCACCAATTTATCATTTTTCCACTTAAGGTTAGTGTTTATTGTGCTTATTTAAGAAACCTGTCTTTACGTTCATAAAAGTATTCTCTTAGAAAATTTCTTTGAAAGGTTTATTGCTTTCATCTGATATGTTTACATTTACAATAATATTAAGTTGATTTTTCATATATGATGTGAATTAGGGGTCAAAATACTATTTTTCCATGAGGATATAATTTTGATCTAATATAATCCTTGAAAATGACATACTTTTCCCACTATATCATTAATGTTATTTTTGTCGACAACAGTTTCTATTTGTCTATTCTCATGACAATTCCAAAGTCCCTTTATAAATCTGGTTGTATAAGTCCTCCAGTTTTGTTTTTTTACTTCAAAGCTGCCTTGATGGCACCTTAGCTTTTTACATAAATTATAAAATCAATTTCCATACCATCACCCTCCTTGCAAAAAAAATTAATAAAAATAAACTTTCCAGGATTTTTATGGAGATTGCATCTTTTTTTAAGTTTTATTTTAGGTTCAGGGACATATGCACACACAAGTTTCTTATATAGATAAACTGTGTGTTACACGGTTTGGTATACAGATTATTTTGTGGCTTGGGAAATAAGCATAGTATACAATAGTTTTTCAATCCTCTCCCTCCTCAAGTAGGCCCTGATGTCTGTTGTTCCCTTCTTTTTCTCCATGTCTACTCATGTCTACTCAGTGTTTATCTCACTTAGAAGTGACACATGTGGTATTTGATTTTCTGTTCCTGCATTAGTTCACCAGCTCCACCCATGTTGCTACAAAGGCATGATCTAGTTCTTTTTTATGGCTGCATAGTATTCCATAGTGTACATTTTCTTTATCTAGTCTACCATTGATGGGCATGCAGGCTGATTCCATTACTTTGCTACTGTGAATAGTGCTGTGATGAACATACGTGTGCATGCATCTTTAAGGTATAATGATTTATATTCCTGTATTAGTCCATTCTCACACTGCAATACAGAAATATCTGAGCCTGGGTAATTTATAAAGAAAAGAGATTTAATTGGCTCATGGTTCCACAGGCTGTACAGAAAGCATGGTGCTGGCATCTGCTTAGCTTCTGGGGAGGCCTCAGGAAATGTACAATCATGGCTGAAGGTGAAAAAGGAGCAGGCACCTCACATGGCCACAGCAGGAGCAAGAGAGAGTAGGGGGAATTGTTACACACTTTTAAATGAACAGATCTCAGGAGAACTCACTATCATAAGAACAGTACTAAGGGGATGGTGCTAAACCATTCATGAGAAACTCACCCCATGATCCAATCACCTCCCACTAGGCCCTATCTCCAATTGGGAAATCACAAATTGACATGATTTGGGTAGGAACGTATATCTAAACCATATCAATTTCTTTGGGTATACACCCAATAATGGGAATGCTGAGTCAAATGATACATCTGTTTTTAGTTCATTGAGAAATCACCACACTGGTTTCCACAATGGCTGAACTTATTTACATTTCCACCAGCAGTGTATAAGAATTCCCTTTTTCCCACAACCTCACCAGCATGTTTTTGTTTTTGTTTACTTTTTAGTAATAGCCATTCTGACTGGTGTGGGATGGTATCTCATTGTGGTTTTGATTTGCATATCTCTAATGATTAGTGATGTTGAGCATTTTTTCATATGCTAGTTGGCTATGTGTATGTCCTCTTTTGAAAAGTATCTGTTCATATCATTTGTCCACCTTTAAATGGGGTTGTTTGGTTTTTGCTTGTTAATTTGTTTAAGTACCTTATACATTCTGGATATTAGAATTTTGTCAGATGTGTAGTTAGTAAATATTTTCTCCCCTTCTGCAGGCTGTCTGTTTACACTGTTCATAGTTTCTTTTATGGTGCAGAAGCTCTTTAGTTTCACTAGGCCCCATTTGTCAATTTTTGTTTTTGATGCAATTGGTTATCACATCTTCATCATAAAGTCTTTGACAGGGCCTATGTCCAGAATGAAATTTCCTAAAATTTTTTGTAATAGTTTCAGTAGGAATGGCACCAGCTCTTCTGTATACATCTGGCAGAATTTGATTGTGAATCCATCTGGTCTCGGGCTTTTTCTGGTTTTTAGGCTTTTTATTACTGATTCAGTTTCTAAACTCATTATTGAATCTGTTCAAAGATTCCATTTCTTCCTGGTTCAATCTTGGAAGATTATATGTCTCCAGCAATTTATCCATTTCTTCTAGGCTTTCTAATTTGTGTGCATAGAGGTTTTCATAATTGTCTCTGAGGGTTTTTTGTGTTTCTGTGGGGTTGGTGGTAATGTCTCCTTTGTCATTTCTGATTGTGCTAATTTAAATCTTCTCCTTTTTTCCTTATTAGTCTAACTAGTGGTCCATTGACCTCATTTATGCTTTCAGAGAACCAGCTTCTAGACCCTTTGATCTTCTGTATGGTTTTTCACATCTGTTTCCTACCATTCAAATCTGATTTTTGGTTATTTCTTGTATTCTGCTAGCTTTGGGGTTGGTTTGCTTTTGTTTCTCTAGTTTTTCTAGATGTGATGTTAGGTTGTTCATTTGGGAGCTTTCTAACTTTTTTTTTGAGACAGAGTCTCACTGTGTCACCCAGAGTGACACGTTCTCAGCTCGCCGCAACCTCCGCCTTCTGGGTTCAAGTAATTCTCCTGCTTCAGCCTCCCAAATACCTGGGATTACAGGCACCCACCACCATGCCCAGCTAATTTTTGTATTTTTAGTAGACACAGGGTTTCGTTATGTTGGCCAGGCTGTTCTCGAACTCCTGACCTCAAGCGATCCACCTGCCTCGGTCTCCCAAAGTACTGGGATTACAGGCATGAGCCACTTTCTAACTTTTTTATTTGAATGTTTAGCACCATAAAGTTCACTCTTAACACTGCTTTAGCTGTATCGCCAAGATTCTGGTATGTTGTATCTTCGTTCACATTAGTTTCAAAGAATTTCTTGATTTTGGCCTTAATTTCATTGTTTATACAAAAGTCATTCAGGAGCAAGTTGTTTAATTTCCATATAGTTGTGTGGCTTTGAGTGATTTTGTTTGTATTAATTTCTACTTGCATCGCACTGTGGTCTGAAAGTGTGTTTGCTATGATTTTAGGGTTTTTTTTTCTTTTTTAATTTGCTGAGGATTGTTTTATGCCTATGTGGTCAATTTTAGAGTATGTACCACCTGCAGACGAGAAAAATGTATATTCTGTTATTTCTGGGTGGAGAGTTCCATAGATGTCTGTTGGCCCTATCTGATCAAGTGTTGAGTTCAGGTCCCGAACGTCACTGATAGTTTTGTCTCAATGATCTAATACTGTCAAGTGGGGCGTTGAAGTCTCCCAGTATTATTGTGTGGTTATCTAAGTCTCTTTGTAGATCTATAAGAACTCATTTTATGAATCTGGATGTTCCTGGTGTTGAGTGTTCTGGTCCACAGGGCTCTCTCAGGTAGGAACCACAGTTGGCAGACAGGCCATATCCTTGCCAGGTCAGCCCTACTCTGCTGTCTGAGTGCTTCACAGGGGCGCACCTGCCCATAGAATTTAGGCAGAAGCAGGACCACTGGGCCGGAAGTTCTAATGGGTGTGGCTCATCTGGCTATGAGAGGTGGAGGAGGGTGAAGTCACCTGCCCTGCCTGCTGTCTCATTGTTTCTCAGGAAAACAGAAGGTTGTGCCTGCCAGCTAAGTTCAGACAGAAGTGGGACCACTGACTAGCTGGCAGCTCTATCACGTATTGCCTGACTGGCTACTAGTGGCAGTGGTGGGTGGGGGCTCCCACCCTACCATCTGGGTACTTCCGAGGACAGCAGAAGGTTGCAGCTGCACCAAGTTCAGGCAGAAGCAGGACCACTGGGCCAGAAGTTGGCACTAAGCCCCATCCAGTGAAGGGGGAGTAGAGCAATCTTACTGCTCCCAGGCCCCATGACTGAAGCCTCTATTGAGGCTACAGTGCCAGTGGTGGTCTGCTCCAGGACCCGAGGTTTATTAAAGTCCCCTTGGACTCAAAAGAGTTGCCCATGAAAAACATCCTGACGGCTCTCTGCCTCAGTCCAGAAGGAAGATGGCAGGCTGCTGGGAGTCCAGGGGGATTCTCCCGTTTCCAGTCTTGCAGAGGTCCCTATGGAAAGTGTGAATTCCTCAGGGGGCTCTCATTCACTCACCCTTTTCCATGTCCGAGAGGTTCTCCTGCACTGAACCTAGACAGACTGGTGTCCAGCTTTATTCCTCTCTACTCTCTGTGTCTCCCTGCTGCCTTGATGGATCCCCACATGGCTTCTCAGATGGCTGGCCAGCAGGGTCAGTATTCACCAGCCCTTTTGTTTCCTTTCTGTCAATGGTGCACATGAGCTGTCTCTAGTCCACCATTTTGGCCCATCCCCCAAGACTGCATCTTTTGATGCAGTTGACTTGCACTCTATGACTCAGCATATAGTTAATTTGGTAAGTGTTCCATGTGCGTTACTTGACCAACTGTCACTGGACACAGTATTCTGTATCTGTCAATTAGGTCTTTTGTATTAATTGTATTGATTGAATTATCTATATGTCCTTTCCAGGTTATTTGTTCCTGTTTATTCTATCAGCAATTGAGAAAGTTGTGCTTAAGTCTACCATTAGGATTATTCATTCGCCTATTTCTACTGCTAATTATTTTAGTTTTCGCATTCACATTCGGAACATATCTATTTTCGAATGTATTGACCCTCTTTATTTCTAGTAATGTTTCTTCCTTAAAGTGCATTTTATCAAATATTAATAAGGTTAAACCTAATTTCATTTGTCTTTGCATAATATATTTGTTTCATTCTTTTATTTTCAGGCTTTCTGAGTCTTTAAGTTTTAAAATTGTCTCTAAAGAGGCATCAGCTTTGCTTTGTTCTTTGGTCCAATTCATTAATAGTATAAGTCTTTAAATTGAAATACTTAGTCCATTTAAATTTAGCACAATGATTGATCTAATTGGGTTTATACTTACCATGTTACTATTTTCTATATGACACAGTTGTCTTTCTCCTCATTCCTTGCCTTCTTTTTGGATTAATAAAATGATTTTATCATCCTATTTTTCCCTTGTATTAACTTTTTAGTTAAAACCATATTTTAGTATCATTTTAGTTAGATAATCTAGTTAAATTTACTTAATAAATTTACTTACTAGAAACCCGCAATGCTTTAATTACAGTTACTTCCCTCCAGCCATTCAAATTGTTCTTATTATATAAATTGCATATATTTTTAAACCAACATTATTATTGTCCAACACCAACAATATGTTATTCACCAATATGGTTACCCTTCACTGCTCTTCACTCCTTTCTGCATTTCCATGTTTCCATCAGGATTCCTTTTCCTTCTCCATGAAGAGCTCCCTTTACTTTAATATTTCTTCTGGCGCAAGTCAGCTAGTGATAAAGTCTCAGTTTTTGCTTGTTTGAAAACATCTTTATTTGCCTTTAAAGTTTGACAACACTACTTATAAATGAAATTTGGAAGATCTCAAGTTTATCTGTTCTGAGGAAAACAGTATCAAATCTTTTGTGTATACATTTAACTTTATTGTAAAAACAAAAGAAACATATATGTATTTTCAGGGTTTAAAACTGAGAATCTTCTTTCCTTTCCCATAAAAGAAAAGTAGAATTTACAAATGAAAAGGGACAAAATTAAAACAGAGAATGTCAATTTCAAGGATCTTATATATTTTGGATGATTTTGCAATTAGTAGAGCTCAAGTCATCACTAGAAGAGAATTCTGTTTTAAAAATATAAGTTCAACTTCAATTACCCATGCACAAGAAGAAGCCATGTCACCAAAATACCCACTTAAAGCCATTATCATTTCTGCTTCCGCTCCATTCTTTCTCTCCTCTCCTTGTAACACTAAACACCAAAACATCGGAAATCCATCCTTTCCTGACTTAATTCCATTTTGTAAGATTTTTCTTTTTTATTTAACAAGAGAAAGTGCATGTACATGATAATGTTAAATGTCCATAATCACAAAGAGACAAAGTGTAATCTCTGAATCCTTTAGAGAAAGTAAAATCAAGAATTTTGTGCACTAATGCAAGGGGGATAAGCACCCTCCAGCTTCCAGCAAAGCAAAGGGAGAAAATTTCTTCTTTCCCACAGTGCAGGTTGATGTGTTAGTTCCACATCACTACATTCACATTTTTTTAAGGCAAGAAACTTGGAACAGAAATGGGTAGAGATGTTTTTTCCACTGTATTTTGCTCAAGAGTCTCCCACAAAGTAAGTGAAGAACCAGATCAGGGAGAGAGAGAGAAAGAGACCTTATTAGAACAAGGCAACTGAGTACAAAAGGGGAAAAAATAGGAGATGGCAACTGGCTCCCAAAGAATGCAAAATTTCTAAAAGTAAAAAGAGGGTCAGAATCTATTAGTATTCCACTAGTCATCTTCCTCTTCAACCTTCCTCCCTCTTCCACATCAACACCATCTTCATCTTCTTCCCCTCTGCCCTCATCTTCTTCATCAAAATATGTTTCAAGTCTTCTTCATCATCATTATGAACATCAGCTTCTTCTCCTTCCACTTCTTTATCTATCATATAAGAAGCCAATCTGCGCTTTAATAGCAGGTTTTTGTTTTGTTTCATTTTGAGACAGGGTCTTGTTCTATAGCCCAGGCTGGCACCATCATAGCTCACTGACACCTCAACCTCCTTGACTCAAACAATCCTCTCACGTCAACCTCATGAGTAGCTAGGACAACAGGCATGTACCACCATGCCTGGCTAATTTATTTTTTGTAGAGACAGGGTCTTGCTTTGTTGCAATCTCTTCCCTGAGTCCCATTTAACTTCAGTCAACACTAAAAATGGGCCACCACTCTATCTGAGATGAAATCTGTTGGTGAGAATTTTATTTTAAAATAAGGTTTTTCAGCAAAATAAAAATCTTGCTTTGTGGCAAGACACTGTCTCTACAAAAAACAAATTATGGCTTCAAGCTATCCTCCCACCTCAGCCTTTCAAACTGCTGCAATTATTTGCATAAGCCACCATGCCCAGTCCCAAAGAGCAACTTTGATGAGCTCTCTTAATTCACCTGCACCTGCATCAGAATCATTGGTGAATCAAGTGAAGAAGGCCTGAGATTTTTCATGCTTCCTCTTCTAGACAGCTTTATTTTACTTCTGACATGATCATTTAATCAAGTCCTTCTCAGATTCCCATTTAACTTTAGTCAACACTGAAGATGGGCCACCACTCTACTTGAGATGAAATTTGTTGCGAGGAACTTTATTTTAAAATAAGGTTTTTCAGCAAAATAAAAATCTATTCTATAATATCATTTAATATCTTTAAATTCTGTCACTTTCATTCTAAAGAGATAGCACAGCATCTCTTCATTCGCATTTCAAGCAGGGAAGTCACTTGCACATAGTTGATTAACAGTACCTCTAAATTTGAAATTCAGGAGATCAATTACAACCTCTTTTAAATAGTTTGAAGTTTGTTACATTTTTGTTCTACTTTGGAAATTTCCTCACTGGCTTGTTTGTAAAGTCTGTCTATTTCAATTTGTGCAACATCCCTGTGCTTAAATATTTCACACACACACACACACACACACACACACACATAATTTTTTTTTTAGATGGAATCTCGCTCTTTCACCCAGGCTGGAGTGCAGTGGCACAATCTTGGCTCACTGCAGCCTCCACCTCCCAGGTTCACGCCATTCTCCTGCCTCAGCCTCCCGAGTAGCTGGGACTACAGGCACCCGCCACCACGCCCGGCTAATTTTTTGTATTTTTAGTAGAGACGGGGTTTCATCGTGTTCGCTAGGATGGTCTCAATCTCCTGACCTCATGATCTGCCTGCCTCAGCCTCCCAAAGTTCTGGGATTACAGGCGCGAGCCACCATGCGCAGCCTTCCTATAGTTTTTTTTTTTTTTTTCCTCCTTTCAGTAAATCCAAAGTAGCAAAGTTTTCCTCTGGGTAAGATCTGGAGGTGGTCTTAGTACCCTCATTTGAAGAATGAATGATGTGAACAATGCTGTTAGCCTTAGCCTTAAACTAAAGCTAATTCTTTGACAAATCCAAAGAACCAGTCACATAGAAGTGACTCAAAGAATCAGGTCACATTTGGAAGAGATGGGAAGAACTAGGTCATTTTATTAATGATATTTTTACTGGATAAAGCATTCTAGATTGGCAGCTATTTTCTTTTTGCATCTTAAAAATATTATTCAGTTGTCTACTATCTTAATTTTTCTGTTAAAAATCAACTCTCACTCTTACTGTTTCTTTTTTAATGTCTCCTTTTTTTTCTAGCTGCTTTTAGGATTGTCTTGGTTTAAGTAGTTTTACTAAGATATCTGTAGGTGTAACCGTCTTTCTACTGACACTGTTTCAGGCTCATACAGCTTCCTCAATTCATCAGATAATGTTTTTAAAAAGTCCTGGAAAATTCTTAGCCATTACCTCATCAAAACTGCTTCTGTCCCATTTTCTACATCCTCTCCTGCTAAGCTAAAAGGTCCTAACATTACAGATGTATTAGATATTTTCACTGTCTCACATATCAGTTTAATCTCTGTAATTCATTTTCAATATTTTCTACTGACTTCTTTTCCTTTTCATTCATTCTGTCTTTTGCTTTGTCATACCTACTATGTAATTTGCACACTGAGTTCTCTGCTCTAAAATATAAATTTGCTCTAAATGTATAAATTTGCCATTTATACATTTCAATTTGTTAGTAAAATTCTCCATCTCTTCCTCTTTTTGTCTCATCTTTTCTTCCATGTGCTAGAGTATAACAGTCATGGTTATTATAAAGTCCACATCTGCCAACTCCAATCAACATTTGAAATATCCTTAAGTCAGTTTCTATTGTCCAGCTTTTATCATTTTTAGTGATATGGTCCTATCTCTTCATGTCTAGTCATTTTTTATAAAATGCTGGATATTTTATATTGAAAAGTTTAGAGGATCCAGGTATTATATTTCTCTGGAGTAGATTTACCCTGTTTTCTATCAGGCAGAGCAGAAACTGTTCACCTTAAACGCATCAGGGAGTGAGGTGATTCACAGCTGGGCTTCAGTTGTGGCAAGGCTCAGTCTGTTTCAGTGTACTATATTCCTACCCACAGCCCTATGGTGCTTCCAATTCAAAGTATGGCATGCACTGAAAGCCTCTCCTCAGCAAGATGAGACCACAGAACACCTTGCTTTTCAAAGGCATGTGGCTTAACTTTATAATAATCTGCCACGCAGCTTCATAATTCTGCAAATGTCTTGAGAAGGAGACAGCAATATTTTTTAGTCCTTTTGGGTCTCCAATATTGTTGCTTCACACGACAAGATTTCCAAAAGCTCTACCTATTTCTGTGTCCTCAAAGAGTAACCCTCTAGACAGGCTGAGCTCAGATTTTTAGCCTCTTGCCTATACACAGAATCAGCAGTCTGACCACTTCCCCAAGAGAAAAGCAACTGCAGATTATCAGTTCATCTCTCCAAAATTATCACCTCTCTGGAGCTTTAGTCACTCTAGGACTCCTTGCTTTAACACCCCTTGAAGCTGTTAAACAAATTATTTTTATATTTAACCTGTCTTTTGGAGTTGTTATCAGCAGTAATATTGATGTGTTCAAGTTCGTATCAGACAGAAGCTTTCTTGCCCTATTTTACTTTCTTTATACCATATATCACTACCTTTCACTATATTATTTATTACAGATGTTTTAATTCTATCTTTGCTACTAAAACATAGGTCCCAGAAGAATAAAGGCTCTACTGCATCCTAGGGGCAGCAATCAGACTGAAGACTGTCTGACTGTCTGATAGCGCTCCTCTTTCCATCCCGCTTCACTCACCATGCCTATTTTTGTTTTGTGAAGAATTCCAAACGAGCACATCATTTTTTTCTGTATGAGAAACGAGAAGAACATAATTCTGTATGTTCTCATAAAGAATCCTTATTCTCCTTTTTCATATTTCCTTACTTCCTCCTCCATGAGAGAAATAGATTGGAATAAATATACTTTGGGTTTCTTTCCTTCATGGTTCCCTCTCTTCAGCTGATTACTGAGACCCTGATAGTCATTGGGTCTGATACTTACTTTGGTTACCATACCTCAGAAAAAAAGCAGGGGCCAGAATTTCCTGTGCCCATCCCCATGCTGTATAGTAAGCAGACATACCAGCTGACTCAGGATGTGCCTTCTACACAGGCTGGAGACCTGTCTCTCTCCAGTGCTCTCTGTTATCCTCCACTCCAATTATGCTGTGAAGTGAGTCTGAATTAGGCCATAATTCGTCACACAGCTGATTGGCAATAGATTTTGAATCTACTTTCCTGACTCAATTCCTGCCACAGGTGGTACACACTTCAAGATTTCAGAAGCCAGGCATGAAGGCCTGGGCTCCTAGTCACCAATCCAGCTTTTCTGGAGCTAGGTACTTAGAAAATTATTGCATGCTGTAGGGATAGGAAAACAACAAACTCAGAATCTCCTACTTTATTCTCACAACACAGTCAACTCAGAACACTTCTACTACCACATGTGGTAGGGTTTCCCCCATCACACACCAAGCAAGCAACTCTCTGGTGGATTATTCAGATTATTCAGTACCACACCAGCTGGGTGTCCTCTAATTTAATTCAATCCTTATATTATCTATCTGGAGATAACGTCACATCCCACAGGTTGAAGGCTCAGTCTCATAAGACTGTCCTGCACCAGGCAGTGGCAAGTCCAGGCCTCTGAAACTTTTAACCAACTTGCTATAGACTGGAGTTCCCATGACACACTCCCCAGGTTCAATTAATTTGCTAGAGAGGCTAAAAGTATTCAGGAGAACACTTCACTTATGTTTACAGGTATATTAATAAGGGATATTCCAAAGAATACAGGTGAACAGCCAGATGGGAGAGATGCATAGATACAGAAAAAGGCATAGGTATAGAAGAGATAAATAGCTATAAAAGAAGGGACGCAAAGCTTCCATGCCCTCTCCGGGTGCACCACCCTCCAGAAATCTCCATGTGTTCAGTTATCTGGAAACCCTCAGAACACAGTTCTTTTGGGTTTTTATGGAAGCTTCATTACTAGGCATGACTGATATTAGTCACTAGTATATCAACCTAACCTTCAGCCACCCTCCTCTCCCTAGAGGTGAGGGGGACACAGGGGGCTGAAAGTTCCAACCCTCTAATCACCACGTGGTTGCTTCCCCTGGCAAACAGTCCCATCCTGGAGGCTATCTAGGGGACTCCAGCCTCCAGTCATCTCATTAGCAAACAAAAAACACTCTTATACTCTAGGGATTCCAAGGATTTTAGGAGTTAAATGTCAAGGAAGTAGATGAGGACCAAATATAGATTTCATAATATCATACATGCTCATTAATAAAGTAGATATTTTATCTTCATCTGGTTCCTATCTGTTCTTCATTGGTTCAAATTAATAACCAAGGACAAACAGAGGTTATTAACTAAGAACCATCACCAGTGTGTAAGTGAAGAGGGGAGTCAAGGGTTGGAAAAGAAGTTTCCAAAAACAATCCATATATATTTTAACTGATAAATGGATGTCTTAAACCCCATCAATAACAGAAGGAGCCCCAACTCATCTGCTATGTACACTTATTTTGAAATAATAATTTGCTATAACTGTAAGAGATTCACAATCATACAAAAACAGCTGCAAATCTTATAATGATGTCTTTTAATTGCTATATTTTGTGGAGTTTTGGGGGGTATTTATTGCTTAAAAAAAAGTTTGTTTCACACAACAGGTAATGCCCATACACAATAAAAATTTAAAGGTAAAAAGATTATATAGTAATAAAAAAGTCTCCCTCTCTCCTCTATTTCTTG
The DNA here is from genome assembly GCF_000001405.40 of Homo sapiens. NCBI lineage: Eukaryota > Metazoa > Chordata > Mammalia > Primates > Hominidae > Homo > Homo sapiens. The sequence goes on from NC_000004.12 coordinate 120,900,935, forward strand.
TCACCCATTCCTTTTCCTTAGAGACAGCTATTGTTACCCATTCACTTCTATTTTAGGTACATTAAGCACTTTTATATATGTCCTCATGTATTTAAATAAACGAGTGATAGATTATGTACAAGCTTCCATCCTTTTTTAAATTTTTAAATTTTTTGTTTTTATTTCAGTAGCTTTGGGGGTACAAGTGGTTTTTGGTTACATGGATGAATTCTACAGTGGTGACTTCTGAGATGTTAGTGTACCTGTCAACCAAGAAGTATAGACTGTACCCAATATACAGTCTTTTATCCCTCACCCTGTTCCCACCATGATGGCTATATTTTGAAAACATGTTATTTATCCAGTCCACAAAATCAGAAACTGCCCACAAAAATAAATAAAATCATGATAATTTGATCCTCTGGATTTTGTAATATGCAATTTTCTAGTAGGTTGTAATGACTAATTACCCTGGTAATACACTAACCTCAGATGTAAAACATAGAGTTTTCTCATGAATGATCCAGGAGACAGACGTAGGAAAATAAATGCATGTAAAACTTTTTAAATGCCATTAAGTCAGGCTGCTGCAGGTGACGCACACGGCTCTCACAGTGCTCTGGGTATCCCACATTGTGTTACATCTGGAACCCTTACGAGGCCACAGACTTTTTAAAAAAGCAAAGTTCAACCTCTATTTGTTTTGGTTTTGTCCTAATGTTCCTTGTGTTGAGATAAATACCTTTTTAGCATAAGTTATGGATGATATAATGTATTTAAGTAAAAGAGGCTTAAATTTTTCCTATGAAAATGCCACCCAGAATTAAGATATTTTACTTGAAATTTTAGTTTGTATCTGGTTCTTTAGGATTCTGCACACAGTAAAAGCTGTCTTTCCAGAGGGACCACCCAGTGTACTGAACTGTGGCATAGCATATGACTCCACTTGCATCAGATCACACCACTGAACACCCACTGCATCCACAGAAACGTTCAAAGACTAAGAGGCAAATGCAGACTCAGCATGAGTGAGAGAAAAAGAGGAGAGTGAGGCAGAGACCTTGTGATCTTGGAGCAGTTGTAAAGTTCAAGAATGAATGACTCCACTGGAAATATAGGACAACACCAAGTTTCTGAGAACTTATCAGGGCAGTTTCTACACAAAACCTGTTGCAAGCATCCCAGAGAATCACTTTTGAAATGGAAAGAAAGGCCCAGAGCCAATAGAAAAGAGCTGTTTGGAGGATTCCAGCTGCTACTGGATTCACCAGTAGCCACTTTAGAACAACTAAATCATGGTCAGAACAGGTAGCAAGGAAATGCACAAACTGTGCTGCATTCCACAGGTGCCAAAATGTAAAGTTATATGCTGGAAGCACAGAGCCAGTGCCTGGAGAAAACGTACTTGAATTGTGGTTTGAAATATCTAAGAAAATATTATAGAAAGAGGATGTCTTGGAGACGTAAAAACAAAGAATTATTGAGAGTTTAGCAAATAGAACATAGGTCATAGGTCATAGAATGAGTCTGAATTAGTAGAGAATTGAAGGAAATGTATCTCAAGCTCCAAACCACCTGGCAAAAAGTAGACAGAAAGACTTCTAATTAAGAGAAGAATGGAATACAATGCAGAAAACTGGGTATATTCCACCAAATTGTCCAAGGGAAGCATTTACAGTCAAACACTGGTTCCTAACCTCAAGCTTTGTAATATGCCTGAGGCCCAAGAAATCCAGAGTTCTTCTGCTTAAGCACTTAATTTTAAAAGAAAAGTAAAAATCTGAGGTGATCAAGAAGGATTAAAGACCCACAACACTCAGTCTATTCAGAGACCAAGCTCAAAACCTGATGGCCAATACAGAAAGTAACTGAGGTACTAGTGAGCACTCTGAAGCAGTGGGCATCAGTAAGTTCTAAGCTGCACCTTTGGACAAAGAGAGAGAGGTGGCAGTAGATATTATTAGTGCTCCCCATGACCCTAAGATCCCTTCATACCCTGTCCCAAGCTCACAAAGGCTCACACCTACCAGGAGGCTCAATCCTGACTGGTAACTCCAAGTTCTTTGGTATGAAATGGCTCCCCAGGGGCTCTTGGCCTTGTCCACCACAACCACTGGCATCATAAGCAGAATACAGGTATAAACTGAGAAGGAGTTATGCCACATGCTCTCTCACATGACATCATTTTCCAGACACTACCACCAGGTTCTGGTTCATGTTCCATAACCACAACATATGTAACTATTTTTTTGAGAAGGACTACTCATTTGAGAGCTTCATTGTGGTTAGCACCATAGATATGGGGCATAGCAGAAATGACTCCCATAACCAATCTAAATTTACCCACCAGAGGAGGGAAGGCTCATTATCTCCCTTTGGAAAGACTCAAACAGTTCCACAAGGGGCAGAAGCAGGACCAGTAACAGGACCAGTTATTCTCCTGTATCTGTGCTCTTTCTGAATCCTAGCACCTCCAAAGCTAAAATAATAAAAAAATAAAGGACTTTCAATGGTATAACTCAGGGTTTGGAAGCAGCTTGCTCACTCAACATAATAAGGGACAAGATTAAAGATAGCAAGCAATAACTCTGCAATTCTAAAAGTGTTGTTCTTGAAATGTTCCCTCTAGAAGACCTACCACAGAATCTGTCCCTTCCCCTGTCCAGCTGCACAACTGGGCAGAGCAGGGAATGGCTGATATGGTTTGCCTCTGTGTCCCCACCCAAACCTCACCATGAACTGCAATAATCCCCATGTGTAAATGGCAGGGCCAGCTGGAGATAATTAAATCATTGGGGCAGTTTACCCAATACTGTTCTCGTGGTAGTGAATAAGTTTTACAAGGTCTGATGGTTTTATAAACGGGAGTTCTCTTGCACAAGCTCTCTTGCCTGCCACCATGTAAAACATGCCTCTGCTTCTCCTTTGCCTTCCACCATGATTGTGAGGCTGCCCCAGCCATATGGAACTGTGAGACCATTAAACTTCCTTCCTGGCTGGGCATGGTGACTCACATCTGTAATCCTAGAACTTTGGGAGGCCGAGGCCAGCAGATCACTTCAGGTCAGGAATTCAAGACCAGCCTGGCCAACATGGTAGAACCCCGTCTCTACTAAAAATACAAAAATTAGCCAGGTGTGGTGGCATGCACCTGTAATCCCAGCTACTTGGGAGGCTGAGGCAGGAGAACCTCTTGAACCCAGGAGATGGAGGTTGCAGTGAGCTGAGATCGTGCCACTGCACTCCAGCCTGGGTGACAGAGGGAGACTCCTTCTCAAAAAAAAAAAAAAAACAAAAAAACCTCCTTCCTTTATAAATTACTCAGTCTCAGGTATGTCTTTATTAGCAGCATGACAACAGACTAATACAATGGCTGACAATCCGAAATGAAGACGAGACCAAGAGGAAAAAGAACCAGAAGGGGAGGGGGAAGGTATATGAACTAAGGGGTTAAATGTATCAAAAGGTCTCAGGTGAAAAAAACAGGCTGGAAGGGAACAGAGACTTTTCATCAATTCCCTTTTGTACCTTCTGAATTGTGTAACAAGTAAAAATATTACTTGTTCAAAACACAGACATAAAGGGTGAAGTAAAATGAAACAGAGAATGGCAATCGTGTGAGTGTACCATTACCTGAGCATAAAAATGTATAAAATCAATAGCTCCTTGGGTAGCAGAGTGAGAGAGCTGGAGACAACTAGTGTGAAAACAAAATAATAATGCAAAGACATTAAAGAACTACAGGAATAGATAATGCAAAACTAGATGATGTACTGTGGAACTGTCAACTATATAATAGTACAAAAATGACTTTGTTTCCTATATGCAAGTCTTCCTTTTAAAATAAAAATTATTATCTGTTTAACACTACCTTATAGCTACACAAAACATTAATATGATCATCACACTAAAATTTTCAGATAACAAAACAAGTAACATAAACTATTAATAACATGTTAAAAATTGAATTTGTACCCCTTAAATTTATACAAATAACATTTTTAAAAAAGAAAAAACCTGTTAAAAATGTAGCATTTTTATCATTTTATGACTTACTAAGTTATCAGGTTTTTTTGGTTCACATAAATGTATGGTTTCTGAAAAACCTTCATAGTAAAAGAATTAACTGCTGAGGAAATTAAGACCTTGTAGAAACATAGTGAAAGCCATTAAAATGTTTAAGTACATAAAAGTAAACAAAACAGCAGGCTAAATTCAGACAATATCAATAACATTTCCCACTTAAATTATAGTGAGGACTATATTATGAATTTCCATTTTTTATCACTTGCACTGAAGAAACCTTTCAGAATCCTTTCTCAGTCACCTCCACTCCTCACCCCCAGCAGTTTCAACAATACGGGTGATGCTTAAAAATGCATTTTGCTTACAGGTAATACACTGATAGTTTTATGTATACTATGGATAGGCTATAGTACCCAATTATTTAATCAAACGCTGATATAGCAGTAAAGGTATTTTGTAGATGCGGTTAACATCTAACAATCAAATACTGATATAGGAGTAAAGGTATTTTGTAGATGCGGTTAACATCTACAATCAGTTTACTGTAAGTAAAGGAGATCACCCTCCATAACATGTGTGGCCCTCATCCATTTAGTCACAGCCCTTAAGAGCAAAAACTAAGGTATCCTGGAGAAGCTATTCTGCCTCAAGACCACAGCATCACCTTTCTGCCTGAGGTTCCAGCCTGAGGACCTGCCCTATAAATTTCAGACTTGCTACCACCACAATAACATAATACCTTAAAATAAACAAATATATATACTATCTCCTTGGTTCTATTTCTCTGAAGACCCTTACTGATACATGCAAGAGAGACTCTCTATGTGTGGAAAACTCCAGTTTTCCAACCTTTTCTGATTGCATAATCTCTACCTCCTACATGTATCTCAGCTCTTACCCTTCTCATAGAAACTATCAAATAGTCTTGGGTCACAATGCAATGTTTCAGTCAACAGTGACTATACATACAATGGTGGTCTCCTATGATTATAATACTATATTTTTATTGTACTTTTTCTGTATTTAGATCTTTTTCAATTTCATTTGCTAGAGAAGGGGTCTCCTTCTGTTGCCTAGGCTGGAGTGCAGTGGCAAGATCATAGTTCACTGCAGCCTTGAACTCCTAGGCTCAGGCAATCCTCCCACCTCAACCTCCTGAGTAGCTGGGACTACAGGCACGTACCACAAGGCCCAGATAATTTTTTATATTTTTTTAAGACATTGGGTTGCTATGTCGCTCTGGCTGGGCTCCAACTCCTGGCCTCAAGCAATCCTCCTGCCTTAGCCTCCTGAGTACCTGGAATTAGGCACAAGCCACTGTGCCTGGCTTGTATAGATACATTGGATCCACAAATGCTTGCCACTGTCTTCCAATTGCCTCCATTACTCAGTACAGTAACATGCTGTACAGGTTTACCGTCCAGGAGCAATAGGCTATACCCTATAGCTTAGGAGTACAGTAGGCTATACCATCTAGGCTTGTACAAATATGCTCTATGATGTTCACTTGATGACGCATTTCTTAGAATGAATCCCTGTCATTAAGTAACACATGCATATATAATTCCTAGGACTGCATTTTCCAAATTTTTGTTTCAACAGTCTACACCACTGCTTTCCTATTTTGATACCTTAGGTCCTTTTTCTAATGCCTAGAAAAGAACAGCAACGAATATAATTGGCATAAACTAGGATGAAAATTCTCATAACGTGCAGACATATACTGGCATATACAGATCTCTGCTTAAGTGAAACTTTAGACTGCAAAAGACTGTCTCTAGTGTTACAACTCCTTAACTATGTGTTTTTAAAGGTAAAGTACATTTTAAGGCGGGATTTTTGTTACAACATGAAACTGAGATTTGTTTCTATACAATTAGAACTTCAACTAGTAAATAAAAAAAATTAAGTATAATTTTATTTACAGAAGTCAAGTTCTAAATTCAGGGCATGCTTATTTTGAAAGTCAAACATCACTATACCTGAAAAACTTATTTTTCAACGAAGAACTTCAGATCTCTAAAAGAACTGTCTAGTAAGATATCTCAACAGTCCACTTTCTCTAAAAAAAAAAAAAAAAAAGCTGAACTTTTTTTAAAACCTAAAACATTTTGGCTGGGCACAGTGGCTCATGCCTGTAATCATAGCACTCTGGGAGGCCGAGACGGGTAGATCACCTGAGGTCAGAAGTTCAAGACCAGCCTGGCCAATGTGGCAAAACCCCGTCTCAACTAAAAATACAAAATTAGCTGGACATGTTGGCATGCGCCTGTAATCCCAGCTACTCGGGAGACTAAGGCAGGAGAATCGCTTGAACCTGGGGGGCGGACGTTGCAGTGAGCCAAGATCGCACCATTGCACTCCAGCCTGGGCAACAAGAGCAAATCTCCATCTCAAAAAAAAAAAAAAAAACCTAAAACATTTCAATACTTAAATACTTAACTGGAATCAATATCAATTAATGTAGCCTTAAAAATGCATTAAATGGTACAATACAAATATATTTTTAACATTAAAATAAGTCATATCCTCACCTCCCACATCAACCTGTAATCCATATTTTCATCCAAGTCTTCAGGCATTCTCTTCTCTCCAGCAAAGGGTCCGAACTTTTCACCCTGAGTAGCAATGATTATATTGAACAAGGATTAGTACAATAAATCAACATACTAAAATAAACGACTTTTTTCTTCTGGAATGTTTTTCTGCAAATCTTCATGCCCAAAGAAGAGATGCTTTTGAAATATTAACTAATTTACCCAACACAAAATGTTTATTTACAATCCAACTTAATCTGTTTTTAGCCTAAAACGCTAAATCCACAACATAGGAGCAACATAAAAGGGTTAAATCATTTACTTTCAAATTCTGACAAGGCACTGGACATTGTATTTCATATGTTTCAATCCTCTTCATAGCCTCTGGCAAGCGATGTTGAAAAAAGCACTGAGTTTTGTCTGACTTGAGAGACAAGCCCACCAGGCAGAAAATCACCTGGTTTCCATAAAAATCATAAATTCATCCATATTCTGGACAAGAAGGACGTGGGCTTGGCATTCTCAGAGGAAGAGTGTTCATAAATAAACTTTAAATTTGCCTGCCAATCTTTCAAACAGGCAAATGGGCACACTTTAAACCATGCTTTCTTGAAGTGTGTGCTTTGAAGCCCACATGCATGAGAAACACCCGTGTTACTAGTTTGAGATACAGAATTCTGGTCTTTGTTAAAATCAGAATCTGGAAATGGGCTGTCCTTCAATCTACCCTGACGGGACTTTTAAGGACATGTTCAATGGGCAAGTAACACTCTTTTCTCTCTAAAGTGACCAAAGCAGGGACTGCAGAGACAGTGGGAATGAGTTGAATTTGTCCAACCAGACATTTTGTTGAAATGTGTGCAGAGGAGACACAGAGCCACTCATGCTTCTAAACCTGCCTATGACTATTTTTCAGCAGAATCCTTCCCTTCACATGGAGGTGATGCAAGAAAAAAACCAACAAAATCTCTTTTGATGAACATTGTAAGGAGAAAAGATAACCACTAAGGCAATATTTCAAGGATATAAATTACTTAATGAACAACAGAACACCCAACTCCTGAGAACAGTAAAATTTTAAAGCTTAAAGAATTACAAATATTAATAGTTAACCCAGCCCCCTCATTTTACAGATGAAGAAAAGAGGTCCGGAGAAGCCATAAATACTGGCAGAGCCAGGAAGACCATTTCTTTAATGTTAACTTAGGGGCAGAAAATACCCAGAGATTCCTCAAATCAAGACTATAATTGTAAGTAATTTAAACACAGGCATAGCAAAGAAACAGGGAGATTGCTCACTATTCATAACATTAGAAATATTAATACAAAGTTTAGACAGCCAATTTCAGAGAAGCTAGAAGCCTACTCTGCTTCACAATCCTCTCATGCCTCACTAGTCCCCTCATGCTAAAATGGGCATTCAACATCACACTTAAACACAACAGCCCCAAAGAGGCTTTCTTTACAAAGTAATCACTTCTCTCCTCCAGATGGGACCTAACCAGGATTTGATGGCAGGTAGGAAAAGCTCCACAAGAACAGGGGAGAAGAGTTAACACTTACTGAACTACCATGTGCTGCATTCCAAATAATCCTATGTGGGAGTTTCCCCATTTAACAACTAAGAAAATTGAGCCTCGGAATTTAAATAGCTTGCTTGATTAAGGTCAATCAGGTGGCGATGATTAGACATAGTATCAGGAACCAGTGGTTTATTCTGAGTGGAGTGCTCAGGCAACATCCACTTCACCAAGCCAACACTCAAAACCCTGACAGACAGCTGCATGGTCCACTGCTGAGGCCACCTGATGCCACCTCCTCAGCTTTCCATTGACTACAATTTAGCAATGACCTGGGCCGTGCAATTGCCCAATGTACACACTCAATACATTGACTACTGAATTGAAGAAACTGTGAGCTTATGTTAAAGCCAATCTAGAAAACAGACCAAAAAATAAGGTGTGTTTTCTGTAATAAATGTGAGGGTTAAATATGAATGAATGTGGTTCCATTTTCGGTCCACTCTGTCATGTATTTAGCCTTTATCAACTATTACAGAAAGTAATAATAATCTAAGTACACACTTTCCAAAGTAACTGATCTATCCAAACCAATCAGTTCCTCTTTGCAGTACAAATTTGGAGGGGAAAAAAAAAAGTGAATCTATCAATTCAGCAGTGTTCAGAGGACTAAAGAGGAAAGAATAGAAACTCAAATAAATGCAATGGGATCGGGGGGTGGGGGGTGCGGGGGAAGCCTGCTTGGATGCAGGCCTAGTAAGATTATTAAAAGACTTAAAGCTCTGAAAATTCAGATTAAGCAGAATGCTGATTTTAAAGCTTCACCATTAATAGAGAACAATCACTCTCTATCATAAACTCAAACCACCAAATTATAATAAATAGTGGTTTTTAGCTTTAAGAAATGTATTTTGTATCTCAACTTAGCACATTCACACATACACAGAAACACACACCTATAAAACTGAGATACTTAATATTTCAGGAATATCCTTCAAAGAAAAGACAAAAAAAACCCTGTGATACTGTATAAATTTCTTCATATTTTCTACTCTGTGTTATTTCATATGCTTTAAAAAAAAAAAAGAGTTTTGACCCACTAAATTAATTACAGAACTCATTGATGGGCTGCGATTCACAGCTTGAAAAACACTGACATTAAAAACACTGATAGGGGAGGTAAATTAGCTTTCTATCTTTGATGACATTTCTTCAAAGTACCTTACCGGGTCTGTTACAAAGAGTTCATCAAATAAACTTGAATTTTCATGGCTGCAAGATTATAAAAATGTAAATAGCCAACTCTCAATTATCCATACTACTGTGGTGAGAAACAATGCAGATATTGAAAACCTAATTTATATTTGGCTTTAGATGAAGATTTTATACTGAGTAGACCCACTCTTAGGAAGCCTTCCCCTAGGGATTCCAGCACCAGCTACCCAATCCTTCTCTCTCTCTTTGTTCACTGTTGTCTCTATCATACAAACAGTAGTTTCTTAAAACTGTAATTACAATTTTATTTTTATTCACTAACCACATTTCCTACAGAGATTCTAACTTCAGTATAAGCCTCTTCTACCTCAGTGGACTTCAGATCTGCTTGGGCAGCACATCTATGAAAGGGAAGTTTGGGGCACATACCCCATACATATATAATTCTTTTTCTTTTAGTGGAATTATATGAAATTGCCAATATTTGACCATTTTTGACCTACAAAATGAAAGTTTTTCATATGATTCATCATAAATGAAGTATATACATGTGCCTTAGTAAATTAAACACCTAGGAGGAGGTTCAAAATTAATGACAGGAAGGAAACCTGTATTTCAAACACTCTTCTTGAAAACTTCAAAAATTTCTGGCTGACTTCCTGATATCATTGGTTTTACTTTTTGTAATAAACCTGCTGAAGATTTCACACTAGCAGATAGGAAAACTGTCCGCTCTTCCATTTTCTTGCTGTCCATTTGTGCCTGCATTATTGGTATTACCTTTGACTTGTGATTTCTTTGCAAGAACTTTCCTAGACTTCTTCACTTCTATCTCAAGAGTCACCACCTCAAACACTTACAAGTTAGGCAGTAGGGCAACACAACACCAGATACCCAACCATAAACATGTAAATGATATTTTAGAGAGTAGCCAGGAGGTAAGGTGGAAAGAGCATGCCACCTAAAAACTTTTCCACTCCAACTGAATGTTGCTGTATCACCATGTGGACCCAATGTTGCCAGATATATACATGATTTTTAGAGAAGCTAATAACTCAAATTTGTGTGTGAAATCACTGATTTTTTACACTGTCAATGAATTCCAAGAACTCAACACTTTGTGCAGGTCAAATAAAATGTGACTTCAAGATAAATTCAGCCTGTACACACCAAACTGTCTGAGTCAAACTCACTTCTCAGACTGATCCAATGTCCAGCCCATAATGGAGCATCTTTGTTTTTATTCAAACTGTTTCTGAATAAAGCAGATAATTAATCCATTCAATCTTCTATTCACTGGACTAGACAGTAACTTTTAATAAACAAAAACTGTATGATTGCAAAAATGTGGGCCATTTTCTCTCATTTTGCTGAATGTTATTAGTGAGAAGTTAAAAACAAGATTCACTGCAGATATCTCTCTCAGAATTGTGGGGAAAAGCACTATCTTCTAAGCCTCAGTCTCCTTATCTACAAAACTTAGGGATTTAGATTAGTTGATTCTAAGATTTCTTCCAGCTTTTAAATTCCAATAGAAAGAGCTTCCACAGACCAAATTTAGAACAATCTGAGACTCAAACAGGACAAGAGGATAACTGATTGAAACACATTAACAAATTTGTAAGCCCATACTGTCAGTGAGAGAAAATGTTTTTAAAATCTCATTTGCTATCATTAGAGGATAATAAGTTATTATTAAAATTAGTAAAGAAAAGGAATTAAGCATTTTATCCTGCCTTTTCAATACTAACCATAGTTCAGGCTAACCAGACAGCAGAAATTGATGATGAAAAGCTCCTCTTTACAGGAGAATGCTAACTTATAAATAAAGGGGGAATATTTGAGTTAGCGAATCACCATTTTGAAATCCCTAATAATATTACTGATTTGGCAAGAATTCTCCATGGATACTAAAACCATTAGGCAAAAGGTTGATGGTGAAAAAATATATATCCATTTAGCAGTATCAGCTCACAGATTACTTGCTAAGAACAAAGGGGAAACAGGACATTTACAACAGAAAAATTACCTTAACCCAATGTTGGCATCAGTAACAGTGGGAAGCCAGATACATTATATGCCCCCTACTGTTATGCAGCACAAATAAACCAGCATCACTCCATAATGTATTTTTGCCAGAAATATTTATATCTAACTTCCAGACTGCAGGAATTATAGAAGATAGAGAAACAAGTTAAATAAAGCCCTGGGAATGTAATCAGGTAAATCCAGATGTGAGATATTCTACAACTGACATGATCTCTTCAGAGAGTCACTGTTATTAAAAAGGGGGAGGGAGGGATTAAAGAGATATTTAATAGACATAACTAAATGTAATATGTAGTCTTTGATAAGATCCTGGTTCAAAAATAAATAGCTATAAAAACATTTTTAGGCAATTGGAGTAATTTAAATATGGACTAGCATTAGAAGACATTAGGAAATTACTGTTATTTTTGTTGGATTTGCTAAAACAGCATCATGGCTATTTAGGAGAATGTCCTTATGCTAAAGTATTGAGGGGTGAATTGTCACAACATCTGTAATTTACTTTGAAATAGTTCAGAAATAAAAAATATACATATAGATGAAATAAATACATTAAAGTGAATCAATCTGCAGTTGAGTCATTTATATTTGAAATAATGATGTTTTTCACAGAAGGAGACTAGAGTCCCCACTTAGAACATAATTATGTTTCAATGTTAAACTACTGTGCATGGATGTGCCTTTGCAATATAATTAGACCTTCAATAGTGTATTAAATGTGTTTCTTAAAAGTTCAATGTGAAAAATAACCAATCTTCCTTCCCCACTGTAGGAAGTCTGAGGCAGACTAGTTGCCTCCCTATATCCATTCCCATTAGTACTAGAACACTGATCGTGTTAAGGGTACTAATGTATCCAGGTAAAATACTATATTTATCTCGAAGAGAAGGGAGCAAACAACCTGTGAGTAGAAATCATTGTATGGAACTATCACACAAGTTCTTAAATGAAGCTGAGTCAACTAGAAAGTATACCTAATCCTGTTTCTCCCTACCTGGAATATGAGCATGATAGCTGGGGCTGAAGCAGCCACCTTGAGTCCAAGAGAATTGCAAAGACTTCTGCCCTGACATTTTGAGCCACTGAACTAATGGCCACAAACATCTTGTTCCATCTGCCAGCTTCCTGTTAGAGGGAGAACAAAAACTTCAAGTTTAATTACTGCAGTTGTCTCTCTTACTCCAGTTGATATAGCAGAGGTCAGGGGAAAGAAATGTAGTGGTGCCTATAATAAAATGGAATTATTCTTTATGAAATGCATCACTTATGAAATAATACAAAACGGAAATGCAGAAGAGATGCGACAAAAAGAATTGTGGGTATATGGTGACCTGAATGCAACACCTTTCCCCTTCACCCTCAAACCTGTTACTTTCCTCTCTTGAGCAAAACAACTACTACTAGCATCTGTGGGCAAATGGATGCAAGTGAAGCCTTAGGTTCTGGCAGAAATCTGGTGTGAGGTGTTCTCTCCAGTAGACTTAGTAATAAAGTAGAGGACAGCAGAGTAACCAGGGACAAGGACTGAAAACCAGGGAATCCCAAAAAGAATTTGAAAGTCAGAGATGGAGGGGGTCACAGCCCACAATCTTTCCTGCTCTTGATGCCCACAAAAGTACAAGGAGACCAGAAAGCTGACTGACAGGGAACTGACAGCCTATCTGCCAGTGCAGGCCCACTGAAGAGAGACCCATTTGCCTTCTACCACCTGCAGGACTGACGCCACAGAGGACTATTCAATAACAGTCTTGAGCTCCAATGAGTCAACCAAGGGATACAGCCCATACAAAGGAGCAGAGCTGCTAGAAAAAGGAAGATAAGGCAGAAGAATTAGACCCACGCTCTGTGTTCTGCAGCAGACAGAATACCTCAACTAAAGGGAATACCTGAATTATCTAAGAAAATTTAAGGAGATTCAAATACAGCACTCAAAAAAAAAAAAACTTTTAAGAGTTAAAAACCATTAACTTCCCAATTAAATATCTTTACAGAATGAATTGAAAGAAAGAGATAAGAATCAAATTCAAAAAAAAATCTCAAGTGAAAACTACGAACAGATAAAAATATGATATTTAGAATCAAATTCAAAAACAAAATCTCAAGTGAAAACCATGACCAGATAAAAATATGATATTTAGAGAACAGATCCAGGAAACCTCACATATAAAACCATAACTCCAGAGTATTTTTTTAAAGGGATGAGAAGTGTATTAATCTATTCTCACACTGCTATAAAGAACTTCCCTAAGTCTGGGTAATTTATAAAGGAAAGAGGTTTAATTGGCTCACAGTTCCACATTGCTAGGGAGGCCTCAGGAAACAGAATCATGGTGGAAGGCAAAAGAGAAGCACGCACCTTCTTCCAAGGGCTGCAGGATGGAGTGAGTGCAAGCAGAGGAAATGCTTTGTATCAACTGCATTGTATCAAAAAGACACCTGCACATGTATGTTTATCACAGCCCAATTCACAATCATAAAGAGATGGAATCAACCTAAGTGCCCATCAGCCTATGAGTGGATAAAAGAAAATGTATATATACACAATGTAATACTATTCAGCCATAAAAAATAACAAAATAATGTCTCTGGCAGCGGCTTGGATCTAGCTGGAGGCCATTATTCTAAGTGAAGTAACTCAGGAATGAAAAACCAAATACCACACATTCTCACTTACAAATGGGAGCTAAGCTGTGGGTACACAAAGGCATACAGAGTGGTATAATGAACACTGGACACTCGGAAGAGACAGGCTAGGAGGGTTATCCAAACTCCATATTGGATTTAATATACATTACTCAGTGAGTGGTACACCAAAATCTCAAACTTCACCACTATACAATTCATCCATGTAACCAAAAACCACTTGTACCCCTAAAGCTATTGAAATAAAAAATATATAAAAGTTCAGTTTCCACCAAGAAGGTTAGTAAGAGTATCACTACTATCCTAACAATGAGAATGATAAACTGCAAAATCATAACTTTTCTTAAGGAGAGCACTAGCTTACCTGTGGCCAGTGCCCTACTCCATCCACCATCCAAACAAGTAAAAAATCAACTAACATTTTAACAACTTGCTAAAGGAGGAATGTGAGACAGAATGAAGGTATAGAACTACAGCAAGCCCCAGACCCAAGAGATGCTCACAGGCATGTTCACATTATTTTCCAAGGACCTCCCCATGTGAGAGAGGTTTGGGAACAGATGGGAGAACAAAGAGACTTCCTCAGTGATGCTGTCATGCAAGAGCGGAACAGCAGCTGCTGCAAGAATGGCATGACAGTGTACACCTCCTGTCCTGACCTTTTTCTCATATCAGAAGAAAGCCTTTAGCTACTGAAGAAAAGCAATAAACTATGTCATCCCCAGGATGACCCCAGTAAAGATCCACCACTGCGGGGAGAAGGGAAAGAAACAGTACAGGCTCAAGCACTTAGACCACAACCATCAAAGGACTCCTACCACTGGGGAAGGGACAAGAAATGTTCACCCACAAAAGACCAACCACTGACACAAGTTAAAAGATTAGCTCTCCTAGGGAAGAGGAGCAGGCATATTGAGAAAGCCCAACTCCCAGTGCCCAGGCAGAGAAACCCTACATAAGAGGGCGAATGGAACAAGACAACAGAGATCCTTCTCCCATACCCCTCACCATCAGCCCACCCAGCACCAAAAAATAACACAGCGAAGTCCACTGTGGGGAGAAGAACAAGAGCAGGGCAGAAGGGCAGATAAAGGCTGAGAAAATTCATTGCCAGAAGACAAGTGTTATAAGAAATGTTAAATGAAGTTCTTCAGCATTCAGAATATGATACCAGACAGAAACTTAGTTCAAAATAAATAAATGGGCCAGGCACGGTGGTTCATGCCTGTAATCCCAGCACTTTGGGAGGCCGAGGTGGGCAAATCACTTGAGGTCAGGAGTTCGAGATCAGCCTCACCAACATGGTAAAACCCTGTCTATTAAAAATACAAAAATTAGCCAGGTGTGGTGGTGGGCACCTATAATCACAGCTACTCAGGAGGCTGAGGCAGGAGAATAGCTGGAACCTGGGAGGCAAAGGTTGCAGTGAGCTGAGATCGCACCTCTGCACTTTAGCCTGGACGACAGAGCAAGACTGTATCTCATAAATAAATAAATAAATAAATAAATAAATAAATAAATAGCTAAATGTAATGGTAAAAAGTAGAGGTACATAACAAAGACAATTTGTCTTCATTTTAATTGCTCTAAAAGATCACTGATGATCTAAAGAAACAAGAGTAAAAACGTACTGTAAGATTTATAACATAAAACATAAAATGTGTGACATTTTAAAGAATGGGAAGGAGGAACTGCATTATACAATTGTATCTCACTGACACTTTGACATATCCCCTTGCTGTCTAACAGACATCTCAAAAACAACATGCCTTAAACTGAACCCGTGATCTGCCCTCTTCAAACCTCCTCCACCCACAACCTTCCCCATCTCAGTTGTTGGCTGACAATCCAATCCTTCCAATTCCTCAGGCTAAAATCCGTGGAATCATCCTGAATCCTTCCCATTCTTTCACACTTCACATCCAATCCTATCAGCATGTTCTGTTACCCCACACTACCAAAGTAGCCACTATCTTGGTCTAAACTGCTATCACCTCTCACATGGATTACTGCAGTAGAATCCTAACTCTCCCAGTTTACACACTTGCCCTGTGGCAAACTTTTCTCAACAGAACAGCCAGAGTCATGCTTGATAAACTTATGTCACTCCTTTGTTCAAAACTCTGCAGTGCCCTCTCATTTCACGCAAAGTAAAAGTCAAAGGCTTTGCAGTGGCCTAAAGGGCTCTAAGCAGTGGATCTTCCCCTAACACTCATCCCTTCATTAGCCCTCTGACCTCCTCCTCAACTGCTTGCTCATTGCATTCCAGCCACACTGACCTCCTTGTGCTTGGACCACAACAGGCAAACTCCCGTCTTAGGTCCTTTACTGTAGCTGCCTCTTCTGCACTTAGAATGCTCTTCCCGTAGATATATGTTTGGCTAATTTCCTACCACCCTTCAAATAATTGCCCAAATCTCTCCTGTTTAGTGAGGATTAACTGACCCATCTAACATGTATAGCATCCCACACACACACCCACACACCTTTTCTGCCAAGTCAACCATACCTAGCTCTTTTTCTTTTTTCTATAATTCTTATAATATTTAACATAGTATAAAATTTATCTTATAGGTCTGTTATCTTGTGTCTTCCCTCACTGGACTGCAAGCTCCCCAAGAGCCAGAATACCTATTTTCTTAACTATTGTACCCCAAAGTGAATAGTACAGGTCTTGGCATATAGAGTGATAAAGATTGTTAAATGAATGTGTAAAACAAGACCTGAATAAATAAAAATTATGGCACATCCACAGCATAGACTATAGTCAGACATTAAAAAAAAAAAAAAAACAGAGCCAAGGTAGATACAGGAATTTCCACAAGATACCGTCGAAAGAAGTGTGAGATGATGAAGTGAGTTTACTCTTTTCTTATTTTTGTAAACTTATGTTTTTTTTAAAAGTGTGCATGTGTTTGTATATTTGTGGATATAGCATTTTATCAGAATAGAGAAAAAACATTTTTAAGGAAAAGTGTATATGGAATGACCTGAGTTCAAATTTTCATTAATCCACTTATGACTGATGTAACCTTCCTCAACATCACCTCTCTCATCTATAAAACAGGGATACTAACAGCCCCCTTGCAGGTTTATTGCAGGACTTCACTAAAAACTGTGTAAAGCATCTAGTGACTGTTGTCTCTGTCACTCGCTTTTCTGCCACTAGTAACTAAAACAGTGCCTAAAAACTGCCATAGTTCAATAAATACTTATTGAATTAATTGTAGCTGCCATTATCACAAAAAATATAGTTTGGAGAAAATGTTAGAGTAGTTACATAGTTTAAAAAATGTTTAATAACACCAGGAAATACAAAGCTGCCTTGAGTCACTATGGAGAAGTGTGAATGTGTGAACACAGGGAAGAGATAGCATATACGGCAGGCTTCATGATTACTTTTCCTCTGATTATGTTTCCAGATTAGTTATCATCGGCCACCAGGAAATGTAAGCAAACATTGGCTGGCAGATTTTTAGCCCTAGGATACAAATCCATGTTTCTTCAGACAAGTCACCTTCTACACTGATCAACACAACACCTTATCCCACAAAGTCTGCTCTTCCTGTATTAACATTTATGCATGGTGATTTTTCCTCTACAGGCTTTTATTTACTTATCTGTTTCAGCTTTTTTCTTTCTTTGATTTTTTTTAACTTTGTAAAATTTGACTTTTGTTTTAAAATCTTACTGTATTTTTACAAACTCACCTTTAAGCCTTTACGTCAGGTATTTTTTTTTTTTTTTTTTTTTACTTAGGATTTTACCTCACCAAATGACCTTAGTACAAATCCCTCAGTGAGAATCAAGGTGTGTGCCTTGGTTTGGAAAGGAGGGAGTTGACACTGTGGAAGGCATAGGAATCTGAGAGGCAACTGTGAGCTGCAAGACTCCCTGCAACTCTCTGGGCTTCAGTGTTCTCACCTGTAAAATGAGGATGTGCCAATTAGATGATGTCTGTTAACTCAGCAAAAAATTACAAGATATAATTTTAGAAAAGGAGAGGCGGAGACAGGACTTTATTTCTCCTAAATGGTTGCAGCCTGCCAAGTGGCCAGCCCACAGGCTGGGAAGCATGCCTCTGGCCAAAGCCCAGAGACAGGCACTTTGAAAGAGGAAGAACTTTATACTGAACAGGCTGGCTCTCTGCACTTCTCTTCCTAGAGAATCTCCTGGCTGGCTCAGCGACTTCAGCTCTCTGCTCAGAAGTCATTTCCTCTGAAAAGTCTTCCCTGCTGACCCTCCTAAAGTAGACCCACCCCTCATTTACTCTTTAATGCCTCATCCTGTTTATTTCCTGCAATTAATTTAACACTTGCCTCAATCATTTTGGTAATCTTCCATTTTATACTTGTTTGCTGCCTATCTCCCCACATAAGAAAGCAAGCTCCTTGCAGAAAAAGACCTTGTCTGTCTTGCTCACCTGTGTATTCCCAGGGCCTAGTACAGTACCTGCCACATATGAATGATTAAATGACTGAAAGTCAGAGAAGAAAAACCTACAGCCTAAAATATCCAAAGGGAAAGAAAGCTGAGAGCAGTGTATTTCCACCTTAATCTTTCCCTTAAAATCACATAATCTGAGAGCTTGAAATAACCTTTCCACTTTGCAGTTTCAGGTACAATATCAAAAAACACCACCCACTGGTGGTTAATCATATAAGCAAGCTAGGAAAAAAATGGTCATGAAACAAAAAATGTAATGTAGTAAGGTGTCTGCTTAACTTTAAATTTTTATTGGATGTATACTTAATTTATGAGTTTTGAGTAACTAATATTAATTTTAATCTGCATAATACTTTGCAACCTAAAATGCCACATTTTCACTGAAGCATTCAACTGTGCTCCCGAGAAAACACAGCAAGCATTAGACAGGGTCTGGCACACAGCATGCAAAAAGTGTCAATTTCATTATTTTTCCTTATTCTGATTATTAGCAAATCACAATGTGTAAAAGTATGAATGAACTCAGGTCTCCTTTTTCTTCTCAAAAGCTTTCTAACTGACTCTTTTCGTTTTCTTGAGTTGTCACTATACAGATTTTTATACTGGAAAAAAAATCAGAGGCAACAGACCAGCAAAAAAGGATAATTGCCAAGGAAAAATCTAGTAGGACTAAGGTAAAGCCAGGGAATTAGGTGATTCTGCTGCAAAGACACCACCACTCTAGGAAGCACTGCACGAAAAGGGGTAGGACTAGAGGATTAAGAGGTACCACCAGCAAGAAAATCCCATCTCAACCTGGTGAATGTAATGAGGGTGGGGTTTCTAGCAAGATTCCCCAACCTCAGTCTGGATTAGATTCTCTGAATTTGAAATCAACAGATGGCTTGAATTGCAAGCACTTTTTAAAACAGGAGTGTTATACAAGCATATGTGTTATAAAAGTGTGGCAAAACATCTGTAATTTCCAACACATGTATTAAAAGTGGTATCTTCCAAAATTTGTTTAGAATAGAGAGCATAAAAACTTTTAAGTAAGGTTCTTAATGTAGCTGCTGATAAATCTCTCTTCTCAGATCCCTTGATTTATGTCCAGAATTAGGCCTAGTACAAGGTTACTTGGAAAATACCTAAGAATTGAGGGACTGTTTGCCTTCCATAAGCAGGTAAGGGATGCCTTGATACTCAGCTGCAGCCTCACAATTCAGCTAAAGTCTGCTGTTTGGCTTTAGCTTTGTCTTCGTCCTCAGATTTTGGAAGGAAAAGGAACTGAAGCTTGCTTTAAGGTCATTTCTGAGATCAACAAACCTGTCCATGACCTTGTGACTGAATATTTTGGGATCATAACTAAACATCGATAATAGTTTGGATTCATAGCAAACATCTGCACATTCACTTTGAAATACAGCGAAGCATTCTAAATATGATCTGGATGAAAATCTGTATGTGTTTTATTTATTAAAGTTAAACTGGCCAGGAAAAGATAAGCATTTATCATTGCAATAGTAAAGTGATGCAATAATATATGATGATTTTGGAAGCTGTTCATTTCATTGCATGCCCAAAAATAAAATACTTACAAAGAATCAAACACATGAAAAAAATAAACTGAAATTAATAAAAATCTCAAAAGAAAGTAGGTTGGCCAGCTGTTTCTAAAAATCTATATGGTAATATAAGGAAACAACAAGGATTATATAATAATTCTAATCTTTGCAGAGTTGTTTACAGTACTCTTCATAACATTAAATAAAATGATTTTTAAGATCTGTGTTTAATTTTTAAAGTAATTAAATTTAAGCCAGAAACCTTTAAGGAAGGTCTGTTTGAGAATTTTTCACATCTTTTAAGAATGAATTAAAAGGAGAATTTCAACTCTGTACAGACGTCATTTGGTGATGGTTGTATTTGGCCTTCAAAAAATGTTGATTTTAACATTTGGCCATTTGGCAACTATTCAATACACCTCTAATTCAGATAAATTATTTATTCCTGTTTTTAACATTTGAACATTCTCGCCAACTCCCACTTGAAAAAATAAATAAGTGGTTTATTTTCTCCAATTTTGCCCTGAAGGATGACTGGAGATCATGTTGTCAGTGGAGCCCTTTTTGGGGATTACTAGCACTTTCTACTACTCTTCACCAGCTCTTTAGGTCAGAGGCAAAGGGGAGAGGGTTATATGCAGATGAAAGGCACCCTAGTGTCTCTACTGCATCCTCTGAACCTCTTGTTAACATACCTTACCTGAACAAGCCTGTTCTTGCCCAAACCTCCATCTTACAAAATATCTACTAAGAAAAGGGGGCGAGGACGGCTAGGACGACTCTAACAAGTTATAATATTATAAGATCAAATCCAAAGAGCTGGACTTTTCCTGTGGCCTCTCTTCCTAGGCCTTTGCTTTCAACATCCAACACTTTCAGGCCCTTCCTGTACGAACTGAGCAATGTGCTTCCTCTCATCACATGCCTGTAACTTTCTGGCTGGAGAGATCGAACCGATGTTGGAGACAAATTAAAAAAAAAAAGAGCGGAGAAAAAAGGTATAGACACTCAAAGATCATCTGGTTGGCACCTCCCTGAAGGCACATATAATACATTCCAGAAGGAGGGAAGGAAATCCTGGGCGTATGAATGAGATTCTACGGCCTGCGTGGAGCGGCGCTCTGGGCTGCTCCTCCCATCCCCGCATGGAAAGTTAGGCGTTTCTAGCCACATTAATTCATCCTAAAGGAAAAGAGGCGACAGCGGAGCAGCGTGCGCGCGGGGGAAAACACCCGCCCACGCGTGCCTTCGCCAACGCAAAGACGCAGCTCACACCCGTAACCGAGGAAGAGGGAGGCTCCCGCCGCGCTCACTTCCTGCGGGAGAGAGGAAAGACATCTTGCGGCAGGGAGGCCGGTGGCAGTTCCGCCCCTGGACCGGCCGGCAGCGGAGCGCACCCCGCCGCCACCTACGTGGCGCTGCCTGCTCGGGTGGCGCAGCGAGTAAAGGCCACCCCCGCCGTGCCCCGCGGTCCCCGGCCTTCCCACGGACGCCTGGCCCGGCCCGGGCGAGGGGCGACCGGGGTGAAGCCCGCCGCGCCCCGGGCCCTGCGGCAGGGCGACTCCGGGAGGCACAGGGCGCGCGAGGTGCAGGGGCGCGCAGGCCGCCGCCGGGTCACCCACCTTTCGCACTCTGCGGGCCGTGTAGAGCCCCATGCCGTCCTGAACCCGGGAGGACTTCAGGGAGAACCTGTCCGGCACGTACATGCCCAGCATTTTCCCGGGCGCGGCGGCCGCCGCCTCTCTCAACACCGGCGCTTAGCGCCCGGCAGGCGGCACATCGAAATTTGGGGTGCCAGGGTAGAGGGGAGAAACCGGCAGGGAAGGAGGAAATGGAGTTTTCCTCCCAGAATCCCCACCTCCCTGCCGATTCCAGGATCCCCCGCGGCTCAGCCCCTCCTCGTCCCGGGTCGGGCTCGGCCCGGATCCGTTCCTGCCATTCCTGCTGCGGGGGCGCGGGGGGCGCGGGCCTGGGCGCTGCGGGCGCCGGGACGCCGCTCGCTGATTGGCCCGAAGTTGGCGGCTCTGACCCGCGCCCGGGCGCGAAGCCCGGAGCAGGGCTGACCCCAGGGCCTCAAACCCGGAGGCCCGCGAGCTGCGCGGGCCGTCAGCACCCCTAGCCCCGGCGCGGCGGCGTGCGTTCCCGCCTTTGTCCAGCTCTGGGTTTTCAAACCTTGCCCCGCTGAACCATTACTCCCTGTAGGGGAGTCTCGCTTGCTTCTCTTCAGATGCAAAACGAAATGGACCTTCACACAGCTGGGGCATCCTCCAAAACAACTTTATCAAGTTCCTGACTCTGAAAGCCAGCTTATTGCCGACTACTGAGAACGAACCCTGCGGTCTAGGAAATTTCCGTGCTTCTCACATTTGAGTTATGCGTCTTTGCTTTTTTTCACGTTTGTTGCAGAGGCTAGAACTTAATAAGGGATCGCAAAGTATGTTGATTAACGTACGGAAAAATATGTTGCAAACAATTTAATGTTTTAAGCACTAGAAACTAGATATTTTATGGTAACATAACCTCTGGGAAGTTCTTATACTTCTCAAGGTACAATATTCCTGAGACCTCCCTTGCTTGATAATCATTAGACGTATTACGGATTTTCAGACATACGGAAGTGGATTTGTGGGAGACAGGAGGGGACACCCAAACAATAGCATCTGGTGTCACAACAATGCAATAAAGTCACAAGTCTTGTTTTAGTGTTTTTAATAAGCTGTTAGGCTGTGCAGTGTGCCCAGGACCTTTAAAAGCCTGTTTCATCCTTCAAAGTGATCCTGGGGTCATCTACTCATTTCTCTTGATATTTATGGTAATTTTCTACTCTAGGGTCTTTTCTCGGAAACCATTTGATGTTCTTAATTGATGTTCTCATAAACCATTAAAAGCACACACAAAAGTTTGACAAAATTACAGACTACACACACACACCATGGAAACGATTCCTGTTTCTGCAGGAAACCCTTGGAACATAGTTCCTAAGCAGATTTTTTTTTTTTTTTTTTTTTGACAGGGTCTAGCTATGTCTCCCAGGTTGATCTTGAACTCCTGGGCTTAAGGGATCCTCCGGCGGCGTTGGCCTCCTGAAGTGCTGGGATTACACACTTGAGCTACCACACCCGGCCCCTATGTAGATTTTGATTCAAGTTTGGAAAAAGGTTTAAAAAACAAGAACAAAAGGCATTATGGGAAAAAAAAATCATGTAGTGGCAATATTCGGAGACTTTAAGGAACACAGTAAATGATGACATGATCCTCTTTCTAAGAAATGTAAGTTTAGCTTTCACAGCAGGGAGAGGAACACTTAGCCACTCTGTGAGTTTTGATACCTTTGACTTCCCATGGAAGATCTCTAACTTCTCTAGGGGAAAATAAATCAATAAAAACAAAAACTCTCTTTTGGGGGAATTGGGAGTTCCATGGCCTTGAAAAATAGTAGGTGTTCATTAAATATGTCTTGAATGAAAGTCACTTCTGAGGCTGATCTGAGATGTTCAAAAATTCTATGGTGAGCCTAGAATTTACTTGACTTTTTGTTGTGCTTCACAAGGAACTGGACTAAGTAGGTTTTCCAGGGTTCCTTAGAACCAGGGCTGAAACCATGCCAGACCAGATCCACTGGGCCCACAGTCCAGAAGGTGGGGCCCTGGCATTTTCCTGGAGCATTCAGCTCTTTGTCAAACACAGGCTTCCAGCCACCCTTAAGCCATCCAGGGCTCTCAGTCAAATGCTCTGCCACTGTCTCTTTGGGCACGAGAATTTCCACAGCTTTTGATCGCTGGAGAGGAAAACGTTTTTTGGTTTTAGTCTGAAACAATCCTTATTTAGGGATCCTTATTTAGGCATATCTCTCAAATATTTGGTTGCATGCTGTCTTTCTGGGGAGCAAGGCTGCAGCCTTGAGAATGCCCCTCTCTGAATGTAGGCTTCTTTACTAATTAGAAAATGGTGAAAGTATATAAATAAAATTTTAAAGATAAATCTGAAATCAATAAGATGAGAAACTTTCCAGATATTTTATGAAGCTTGGTCAGATATTTTTGTTACAATTGACACATTCAGTGTATTTCATTAAAGCATGCAATGTTCTTTTTTATCTATTTAATGGAGTGTTCTGAAGATCTACTAACTAAAACATAGGAACTAGCAATAAAAAGTTCTTAATAATAAGTTCCATTACAACACACAAAAAGGATACATGTTTGCCAAATCAAAATGCACAGTATTGACCGGATATTTGATTTTGAAGCCTGTAAGACAGTGATAGTACAATGAGTCATTTCTTAAAACTTTAAAAGCTAGAAAGCGACCTTTCAATATTATCTTTGAAAAACGGGAAATTAAAAGTCTGCTTTATATCAGGAGTTTAAATCCAGTCTTTAAAAAATAAATAACAAAATCAAAAAAATTGATATTAAAGTACTACCATGCACCTGATTTACTTATTCTAGAAAATATTGCACTGTCTTGACAAACAAGAAATTATTCAAAATACATTGTTCCTTACTTTCAGATTTGCTTTTGGAGGAATCTTTTTCATTGATATGTCTAAAGCAAGCTCTAGTTATTGCATTTAAACGTATGTACTTGAGTGGGCCTTGTTTTTAGGGAAGACTTGAATTATGACTGTATATTAATTAATTATTTTACCATACTGTCAGTATTTATACATACTGTCGAACTCTTTTAATTGTGCCTTGGTTATTGATGACTGATTCCAAGCACCATGGTAGACTAAAAGCCTGATTGATAGAAAAAAAATAATAATAACCTGAAACATATTTGTCTTCAGTTATCAGAGAACCAGAGGGCTTTTGTAATAATTGAATATAAAACCAAGTTTCCAGAGCAGAAAAGAATAAAGATTTAGTTGGTGTGATTAAAAAAAAAAAGTTTGTTAAAATAAAATGGAGAGTAACGGTGTCAGATTCTTGCTCTTAAAACATCTATCCTCAGCATTGATTCTACAATAGCAACAGCACCATGAAAAGATGTCCCTGAAACCTAAAAAAGTGTGAACACTAAATTTTTCTTAATGTCTTGAGTTTTGGAAAGGTACCATACACTTGTATGTGGTACCAAAAAAGAATCATAAATTTTAACTAGAAGAAAACTGAAGGTTGTTGTGACTAAATTGAGTAACATTATGCTACAGTTTGGATGTGTCCCTCAAAAGTTAACGTGTAGGAAATTTAATTCCCAAAGCAACAGTGTTGGGAGGCAAGGCCTAACAAGAGGTAATTGGTCATGAAGGCAGAGCCGTCGTGAATGAATTAATGTCATTACCACAGGAGAGCGTTAGTTATCTAGAAAGTGGGTTGTTATAAAAGCAAGCTTAACCCCATTTCCTCTCTGTGTCTCTAGAGCTTGCTTCTGTCTTCTGTCCTTCTGCCAAGAAATAACCCTTGCCAGATGCCAGTGGTAGGCTCTTGAACTTCCCAGACACCAGAACCATGAGCCAAATAATTTTTTTCTTTTTTTCAAGACTAGAAACTAGGTCTTGCTCGGTCTGCAGGCTGGAGTGCAGTGGTATGATCATAGCTCTCTGCAGCCTCCAACTCCTGGCTTCACAATCCTCCAGCCTCAGTCTTCCAAGTAGCTGGGACTATAGGTGCATATGACTGTGCTCAGCTAATTATCTTATTTTATTTTATTTTATTTTATTTTATTTTATTTTATTTTATTTTATTTTATTTATTTCATTGGTATAGATGGAGTCTCACTTTGTTTCCCAGGCTGGTCTCAAACGCCTGGCTTTGAGTGATCCTCCAGTCTCAGCCTTCCAAAGTTCTGGGATTATAAGCATGAGTCACCATGCCTGGCCCCAAATTTCTTTTCTTTATAATTTAACCAATCTGTGGTATTCTGTTATAGGAGAAGAGAACAGACTAAGACAGAAAATTGGGACCAAGAAGTGGAGTTATTTCTGTTACAAATACTTGAAATTGTGCAAGCAGCTTTGGAATTCGGTAATGAGTAGAGGCTACAAGAATTTGGAGGAGCAAGCAAGAAAAGGTACATATTGCCATGAACAGACCATGAAGGACAATTCTGATGAAGGCTTAGAAAAAGATCCCAGAATTAGGAAAGTCTAAATCTTCCTAAAAATGTTGAGAAAAATATAGACAGTAACAGTCATTCTGACAAGTTCCAGACAAAAATGGGGAACAAGGTATTGGAAACTGGAATAAAGACCATTCTTGTTATAAGATAGCAAAGACCTTGGCTGAATTATGCCTATATCCTAAGACTTTATGGAATGCAGAACTTAAAAGTGATGAACTTGGATATATGGTGGAAGAAATATCAAAGCAGTGAGCCATTCAGACTTCTGTCTGGCTACTTTTAACTACATGCAGTGAGATATGAGAGCAAAGGTATTAACTAATTTAAAGGGAAGCAGAGTGAAAAGATTTGGAAAATTTGCATCTTGGCCAGATAAAAACTGAAAAGCCTGTTCAGGAGAGAACACTAAGGGTGTGGATGGTGACCATTTGTTAAAGAGGTTAATATGAATAAAGGGAGCCAGGTGCTACTCATCAAGACAATGGGAAAAGATCCTGCAAGCATTTCAGAGATCTTCCAGGCTAACCCTGCCAACACAGATCCAATGCTGTAGGAGGGCAGAATGGTTTTGAGCAATGGGCCCTGAGTGCCCTCCATGGGCTTGCCACCCAGAGCCACCTCACGTCTCTGCTCCACCCATTTCATTACAGTGCTCCTCAGACACCCTAGGTGTGACTTGACCTGTCACTCCAGAAGATTCAAGTGGCAAATCTTAGTGGCATCCACATGATGTTAAGTCTGCAGGTGTCCAGAATGCAAGAGCTGTAGGGGCATGATTTTCTCCATCTAGATTTCAAAGGATGTTGCATACGGCCTTTGGAGACCCAGACAGAGACTTGTCACAGGGCAGATCTGCCAAAGAGAGCCCCCACCAGGGCAATGCCTAATGAAGCTGTGGAAGTGGGACTGCCACCAAGACCCCAGAACTACAGAGCCAACAGCATACATCATCAACCCAAGAGAGCTGAGTCATGGGCTGAGCCCAGCAAAGCTGTGGGGCTGTGGCTAACCAAGGCCATGGTGGCCCAATCCCTACATCAGTGTGCTCAGGATGTGGGATATAGAGTCAAAGGAGATTGTTCTCTGGCTTTATGACATAATGCTCTCTGTTGGGTTTTGGGCTTACTTGGGACCTCTTATTTCTTCTTGCCTATTTATCCCTTTTGGAATGAGAATTTCTGTCTAATGCCTGTCTCACCATTGTATTTTGGAAATAGATTTTACAGGCCCACATCTGGAAGGAATTTGCCTCAAGGTGAATCATGCTGTAAGTCTCATCCATATCTGATTTAGATGAGACTTTGGACTTTAGATTTTTGAGTTACTGCTGGAATTAGTTAAGGCTTTGGGGGCCACTGGGATGGAATGAATGTATTTTGCACTGTGAAAAGTATATATATTTGGGGGGCCATGGGTGGAATGCTATGGTTTGAATATTTCATGTGTTGGAAAGTTAATTTTCAACGCAACAGTGTTGGCAGGTGGGGCCTAATAAGAGGTTAATTGGGCCATGAGGGCAGACCCCTCATGAATGGATTAATGTCATTATCCTAGTAATGGGATACTTTTTCTGAGGGTAAATTATTATAAAAGTGAGTTTGGCCAATTTGCTGTCTGTCTCACATGCTTGCTTCCACCTTCTACCCTTCTACCATGGGAGGACCCTCACCAGATGCCAGTGCAATGCTTAAACTTCCCAGCTTCCAGAATTGTGAACCGAATGAAATTATTTTCATTATAAATTACCCAGGTTACAGCAACAAAACATGAACTAAGACACATTATAAAAAGAAAAGCTGAAGGATAAATTAGTAGTCATCTCACCCAACAGGCAGTGCTATTCTTGGAGCAGAGTATGGAAAATTAACAGAAAGCCAAAGAAACGTGAAAGAAACCAAGGTTAAGGTTCCAGGTACTGAGTGTCTAGTACATGCCAGAAAGCAGACTAGGTTCTTTATATCTACTATCTTAAAGCCCTAGCAGCCTTACCAAAGTTCCTACAAGAAGAAAGTGGAAGCTTCCTTTGGTGGAGCCTATACGACAGCTTTGGTGAAGCATATACTCAGCAGGGATTCTGGAAGAAGGTTGTGGTCAGCTGAGAAGTTCCCATGAGATAAGTGCTATCCAATAGAACAAAAACGCCTTAAATATATGTACAGTTGACCTTTGAACAACACAGGGGTTACAGATGCCAACGCCGATGCAGTGAAAAATCTGAGTATAACTTTTGACTCTTCAAAACACAATTACTAATAGCCTACTGTTGACCAGAAGCCTTATTAGAAACAATTAACACATACTTTGTATGTTATACATGTTATATATTGAATTATTACAATAAAGTAAGATGGAGAAAAGAAAATGTTATTAAGAAAATCATAAGGAAGAGAAAACATATTTCCATTGGAAGTGGATCATCATAAAGCTCTTCATTTTCATTGCCTTCACATTGGGTAGGCTGAGGAGAAGGAAGAGAAGGGGTTGGTCTTGCTGTCTCAGGGGTGGTAGGAGTGGAAGAAATTCCATGTATATGGACCTATGCAATTCAAACTCATGTTTTTCAAGGATCAACTGTGTGTGTGTGAGAGAGAGAGAGAGAGAGAAAGAGAGAGAGAGAGAGATAGGGAGTGCCTTTAATATCAGCTTCCAATGAGCCAACTTCTGACTATAGAGCCCTAAAAAATACATACTTTCAAATCCTATTGTAAGGTTTCAGCTGGGACAAATAGCAAATATTTCTAGAAGTATTGAACTCCTTTTTTTTGTCTTTTTTTTAATAAACAAAAGGTATCTCTCAGATGACTCAGAACTGAAACCAATAAGCCTTTTATGACTTAATCATGGACGCCAAAGATGTCCTCAAAATAAGATGCAAAAAGATATAACCCTCCCATGATCCAGAACCATTCTCAAAGATAGCCAAAAGAAACAGAGACACATATAACACCCCCACACCCAAGAGCTATCAATAATCAGTATATTAACCAAAAAGGGATGCAATCCACATTTCTGCCTGGCCATATTCTTGGGGCCTCCATCCTGAAGTTGGCTGCCTGCAATGCAAAACCAATAACTCATGCACCTCTGACAGCCAGAAAGTCAAGCCAAGTTTTCAGAGGAAAAAAAAAAACAAGACAAAAAGGAAAGCAATAGCTGTTTCTGAAGAGAAAAGATCAGTAACTAATGGGTACCCCAATCCAAATTTAACCAGAGTCATTATCTCACTATCCAAACAAGTAATTCATCTGCTAATCTAAATTTGGAAAGGAAGGAACGAGGAGAAATTTCTACCTTCATCTCTCAACTAGGCATTTCAGATAGAGATCTGAGAGAGGTGACCCTGGTAAGAATTCTTACCTCTCTCCAGCACTTGTCATTTTTCCCAGGATCTCACCTGCAATCTCCAGAACCAGTGGGGTATCCCGGCCATCTCCTTCTGGCCACCAGAAACTGGGGAATGAAAAATTATTTGTTCCTTGCTCATCCCTGAGGCCCCATAACAAAAGACCAATTATTAAAAAAGACAGACAAGTTTATTTAATAACTTTTATGTGACACAGGAGCCTTCATAAAGAAATGACTCAAAGAAGCAGGTAAACTTGCGTGTTTTTTATGCTAGATTTGATGAAGAAGTGGACAGTTGTGGAGAAATAAAATTGGACGAAAGGGGTATGAGCTAACAGTGATAAACTTGGGGACTTAGCAAGGCCTGTGCGTTCAGATTCTTCTCTGTGTCCATGTGTCTTCAGAGATAAGGATGTTCTTTTCCTCTAGATATAGGGAGGGTACCTCTGAAATGAGGGTCTTATAATCTTTTTCCAGGGAAGATTAGAGAACTCCTAAGTTTCATGACCTGCTTCAAGAGAGAAGGGTGAAGGAAGGTCAAAGAATGACCTTGTTTGTGCAGTTTCCTCAAATACCCAAGTGCCACGTTTTGGGGTTGTACGTCCTGGATTTCATCACCTGTAAAGTAATTTCATAAGCCTCATTTTACACACAAGGAAACTAAATCTTAGAGAGACTATTAACCTTGTTAGTCAATTTCATATATTCACGAAGTGGTAGGGATGATTCAAGCCCAGGACTGGCTGATTTCAACATCCTGAGCCCTTGATTCTATATCCTGCCTACTTTGTCCTGACCACTTTCCGGTTATACTTCCCATGGGGCTTAGCAGTGGCTCTAGGACAGGTAGAACTTTCCATTTCTCTGTCTCTCCCCATTTCCCTCCGACTCCCCCTCCCATTTTTCCTCTACAAATTGGCAGAAAATTTGATTGGCCAAGCTCTTTGTTTTTGTCAGTACAAACAATAAACAGTAAAAAACAATAAAATGGTTGCTCTGTGGTCAGTTCAACTTTGGTCTAGTCAACTGTGTCTAAGAGAAGACAGTTTCTCCAGGGACATATCTTCATCTGGGAGGGGCTCTAAGGTAGGACCTGCCTTTCCAGAAAGTTTCTCTTACTCTAGCAGCTATTTTGTGGCTTGACCTATTTATAACCACAGCCTAGCTCATCCACAAATTTTTACTTCACAGAAATGATAACATTAAAAGACATCAGTAATTAATGAAAAAGCAATACCAAATATTTGTCAGAACCTCCCAATTTGTTCCACTTGTTTTTCTTTGCACTTATTGAAACAAAATGGCAACTTCAAAGCTAAAGTATTTTAAAAACAGACGGCAGAGTGAGGAGGACTCTTATTAGTTTAAGTGATCATTTTCTATAAACTCTCTGAAATTATGTAGACAAAGTAATAATAATGATATAATACTAATTACTTAGCATAACAGTAAAAACCATCTTTTTTTTTTAATTATACTTTAAGTTTTAGGGTACATGTGTACATTGTGCAGGTTAGTTACATATGTATACATGTGCCATGCTGGTGCGCTGCACTCACTAACTCGTCATCTTTTTCCTTAGAAAATGATGTTTCAAATAAACATTACAGTTGAGTGCTGATGGATTGGTGACCTCTCAATAAAACGGGGCACTCACACCACAAAGACCAATTATCCCCTACTGAATTAGGATCACATAAGACCTTCTCTCTGCCAACTGTTTATTTCTTCTTTTGCTTGGCAGCTTGAAGTTTCAGGTAGTATTTTATCATCAGAAAGGTAAGTTTCTAACTCCATCCTGTTACACTGAGTGGGAAATCATGGTAAATTAACCTTGTTTGAAGATCATTAATTTTAGAATTCCTCCCTGTAGTTTCCAATTGTAACTGGACACCATATTAATATGTCTTTACATATGAATCAATAATTTTTTAACTTGATTTCTTCCAGAAGTTCAAAACAGTATTTATTGACATTGGTTTTCTGTGTTTTTAAAAGGTTTTTTTTTAAAAAAATTGGGCAACAGTAGAGTAATGTCACTTATTTCTACACAGCAGCAAAATTTTCTATTGCTGAAACAGGTCTGTAGATTTTAAGTTCTTATATCCAACCCTAACTTATGAAATAAAGTATTTAAATTGTATATGTGGCTGAAATAAGAAGCAATATATAATTTTGAAAGTGACTGGTACTGTATGCCCTGAAGGTAATTTAAATCCTTTATTATAAGAAACTTGTCAACATATGGAAAACCAAATTGGAAGACTTCTGGCTGTGTGACAGGGGTATTCCCTGAAGAAAAGATACAAATTAATAATAATAATCAAATACATAAAAAATAACAGATTCTGTTACATGATTGAGTCAAATGTTTTCTCCCTGAGTTAGAATCTAGTCAGCCTTTGCACTGCTGTTCTCTGTGTAAGGAGTTCAGTTATTATATATCTGTCTTTATTAAAGACACTATGCAACTGTAATGAAAAAAATGGCATTGGGCTGATCTCTCAAATCATGAGTTCTGAACTTTTCTGCAAAATTTTACCATAATGAACCTTAGACCAGAAGGAAACAAAAAGACTTTTTTAAAAAAAATTGCATAGGCCATACCAGAGTCTGTGCTAAATTATATAGGCTACCCACAAAAATGGCTTCTTGAAACTTCTTCTTCCAAATACAACTACTAAAATAGACTCTACTGCTCCTAAGGGGAATTCCCATGTATTAAGAGTGCTTCCCAGTCTCAGTTGGAGTGATGAGGAGCCATGGAAACAGCAGACATTTTGGAATCAGGGAGTATGAGGTTTAAATCACAGATCTGAGATGTATTAACATGAGACCGTGGGAAAGGCTAATAGCCACTCTGAGATGCTATTTCCCTACCTAGGCAATGAGGATGATAATGCCTGCTTTGCAGAGCCCCAGACACAAAACCTGTTCAAAATAAATGGGTGCTATTGTTATTATTACCATGGATTAGAACTATGTTTCATAGCTGTACTTCAATGTTCTTCACCAAGCCATCTGAGTTTTGCTTTAATTATACAGAAGTGAATCTATTACTTAGTATTGTGGCACAAGGCAGCCTCCAGTCATCCCTCCAGGGCAAGAATGATGTCTTTAATATCTACGTGAAGCTCACTATGGGCCAATGATGCTTTCAGAGAGATAGCCAGTTTCCCAAAAATTGTTAGTAAGAGCTTGTAGGAAACGTTGTTTTTTTTTTTCTTTTCTGGGCTTATAGATCACTTGTATCTCCAAAAGATGTGAAAAATAAGTTTAATAGTAGTTAAATTGTGTTAAACATATTTTGTCATTTTAAAGTTCTTGATTATACTCCAAATTTACTTAAAACTGTGTAAGAAGTTCTTCATTTTTTAATTCAAATTATGTGGTATCTGGCCAGACATGGTGGCTCATGCCTGTAATCCCAGCTCTTTGGGAGGCCAAGGTGGAAGGATCACTTGAGGAAAGGAGTCTGAGACCAGTCTGGGCAATACAGTGAGATCCTGTCTCTACAGTTTTCTTTTTTTAAAAAACAGCCAGGTATGATAGTGCACTGTAGTCCCAGCTAGTGGGGAAGCTAAGGCAAGGAGCTCACTTGAGCCCAGAAGTTCAAGGCTGTAGTGAGCCATAATCACACCACTGCACTCTAGCCTGGGCAATAGAGCAAGAACCTATCTCAAAATAAATAAAATAAAACATGGTATCTGTACAAAAATAAACATTTAAGACAATAATGTATTCCTGAAAAGTTCATATAGAATTCCTAATTGTGCACCAAGCACAAAGAATAAGCAACACTAGTTATCAGATTTCGTAAATACAAGGGTGCATGAAAATATTCCTATAATTGAAACTACTTCAGGGTAGGGAAGAAAGACAGGGGAGCCTGTTTAATGTGTTACAAAGAATGTCTCATGCAGTCCATATTACTGCTCAATTGGAGGTAAATTTGGGTGTCAGGGTGGGGAGAAATTACTTCTAACAAGGAGGCTTTAGCAGCACTTCTGTCACTATAGCATTTGTCCTACTAATAGGAGGAGAACACAGATATTGAGCAGTCAGACTGGAGACAGAGCACTGTAATCCTGCGTAGCAATACAGACATCTTGCAGACCTCACAGCAAAGAAGCAAGGCCTTCTAAGCATCAATTGGTAAAACTCAGCATTAACATATTGCATTTGAGCAAGTGCATAAGCAAAGACGAATTCTTTAGCAAGTTTCCAGAAGGTAGAAGTTGACATGACATCTTAACCTGAAATGAGAATTTTAAGGGTGTGTTAAACAGGGAGGCTGAGGCGGGCAGATCACTTGAGATCAGGAGTTCGAGACCAACCTGGCCAACATAGTGAAACCCTGTCTCTACAAAAAATTAGCCAGGTGTCGTGGCAGGCACCTGTAATCCCAGCATCCTAGGAGGCTAAGGCAGGAGAATCGCTTGAACTCGGGAGTCGGAGTTTGCAGTGAGCCAAGATCATGCCACTGCACACCAGCCTGGGTGACAGAGCGAGACTTTATCTTGGAAAAAAAGAAAAACAGGACTTAAACATGATAGACACAGAAAAGGATCCAAAGGGCCAGAATTGCTTAAGGTTTGTACTTAAGGTTAGGAAATGGGGAAACATGGGACAAGACACATATGTCCATGTAGTAAATTCTAAATAGAGATTTATAAATCATTATGAGGAATCAAGTGCAAATTGCTCTCACTGAGAGCATGGGTAATATCATCTCAAACAAATCATTCATTAGGTGTTTAAAAAGTTCCTCCAAAACTAATTCAATGTCAATAGAATTGAATGACCTCTGTGTTTTGCCACTAAAATTATGTTGCTCAGAGTGGGCAACTCACAATAGACAGCATCCCTTGTAGGACTCTGTATACGTGAGTTTGAATTTTGTCTGGGCATGCTATGTTATCTAATACTTAGAAAAGATCATTAAAAACACCAAAAAATGAAATCTTTAAAATCTTTGTAATAATTTTTACACAATGAGAATGTAGAGATGAAACAATGTGAGTTAATCTTAAAATTATTTAGTTAATTTGTTTTGGACTCCTGGGTCCAATATTTGACACACATCCCTCCCTTCTTTCCCCCCTATTTCCTTTCCCTTTTCCTGCCAATCTCCTGAAGCTCCACTGTTATTATATGCTGTAAAAAATATTTTACTCGTGCAGTTGCAATGCTTCTCAACTTTCAAGCTCAGTAGGGGGAAATGTGAACATGTTCAATTCTCCAGTTTTACATTTTTTTCATGGGAAATGAAAGTCGAAATCTGAAAAGTAGCAACTTGCAGTAAAACATTATTTTTCTTCTTTTCTCAATATGTCTCAGTGACATCAAGTTCAAATACTTTATTACAGATAATTCCAACCAATTTCAATGTCCAATCTCTCAATAAAATATGAATTGGGGAAAGTCAATATCTTTGCAAATGTGATTTTAAATTTTGCCCTCAGATAGTCTGGCTCCATTTCCACTATCTTCAGTGGGATTTACAAAAAATAAAAATAAATCTGAGAAGAGAATTTGACCCATGAAATGTAAAATGATTGTAGAGCAGGAAGGGTAGGTAAAATATTTCTTATGTTCATGACTATATGGTAGCTGTGAACTTTTAAAAGGGAAGACATTACAAAACTTAGAATTAGTAAAATTCAATTAAAAATAAGTTGTTAATTTATCTAACTTTGGAGACTTATCGCTTATTTTAAAGAATATACCTAATAAAGAATGCTTTATTTATTCAAAAATATTTATTCATACCAACATCATTTTTTTCCAAAGGATAAATATTTTCTA
Source organism: Homo sapiens (assembly GCF_000001405.40). NCBI lineage: Eukaryota > Metazoa > Chordata > Mammalia > Primates > Hominidae > Homo > Homo sapiens. Next base: position 120,936,113 of record NC_000004.12, read on the forward strand.
GCCCAATACTATTTCATATGACATTTAGTTCTAATGTAAAATGGGAAAATGCTCCAAGTACTACCTAAGGTATAGTATAAAAGAAGCATTTGATCCATGGAATATATTTAGCTGCAAGCAAAAGATCCTAGCACTGTTTCTAAGAAAAATAGAGATAAATGGTAAGATAATTAAAGAGGAAAAACTAACTTTAATTTTTTTACTAAATTCATGAGTCAAAAGTTTATTTTAGACCTTTAGAGACATAACCACAATATGTTTAATTATTCTGATTTTCCTACTCTAGAAACAGTTCTGCCAGCATCTGTGCTTGAAATATGGACTCCCTGTTTACCAATTGCCTTTGATTTAGATTCATTCCATTCTTGTTTTGCCTCTGTCCATATGGCTAGCACTAATTATAGTTTAGACCCTAAAGCCCCACATCTATTACAATATTTATATTTCCCTACTCTAGCATCTTTTTGCTTGAATGCACTGTCAGCATCACTGATAGATTAATAGTTCTAAAATATTCTCTTGACAATCCTTTTTTCTAGCAGCTTGAGTAAGTCCACATACCTACTGGTTATTCCCAAATCCTTATTCTGAAGTCAAAAAGCTGTTCATGGTCCAGTTCCATCCTACTCCTCTGACCCTAACTCCTATCATTCTTTTAGAATCCCTCATTCAATCAAACTCATTTGTTCTCTCTTCCCTCATCATACCTGGCTCAATGTCATACTTACATTTTACCCATTGCGTGAAATGTCTTCTCTATTGTTTTCTTCTTATTTAACTGATACCATCCTCCATAGTATGATCTATGCTTCATCTTTTCCATGAAACTATTTCTGGCTACCATCATTGGAAGTGATCTTTTATATATCCATAGTTTCTGTTGTCTGTTCATTCTTTTGGCACCTAACCATCACTATCTTCTTATACTTTGTTACATATTGAAAGAGGAACAGAGCACATAGCTTACAAGAAAATGATAAGCAGATTTGTGTGAGTTATCTGATTAGCCATACTGAAACAGTAAAGCAATGAAGCAAAATCTTAAAACTGATAGCCAATAAAGGAAAAGAAAACTGAACCTAGAATTTTATATCCAACCAAACTATCATGCACACCCAAAATCCTATAATGACATTTTCAAATGTACATGGATTCACAATATTTATTACTCAAAAACTCTCTGAAAGAAACCAAAAGATGAAAACGAGCAAGAAGAAAAATAAAACTAGGTTGAAGCAATGATATAATGAACAAAGATAACCAAAAAAAAGTAAATTTACATAATTGTGGGTTGCAAAACTTCAAATATTTTCAAATATCTTTTAATATGTCACTCTTGACCTTTAATTCTAGACATTATTGACATGGAAAGTACAAGGTATAAGTCTGTTTGGAAGATGTAAAGGGAAGCAGAGGCATAAAAGTCATGTTGATATTCGGGAGCTTCATTCGATCTGCTGACTTTAGAACTTGCCAGAGAAAAAGTTTAGGCGCATATGTTAAAATTTTTAGGATACAATGAAGAAATAGAAAAGGGAAAAAAAATAGGTAGGGAAAGAGAATAATGAAGATAAAATACTAAATAAAAGAAAAAGTCAAAACATAGAAATAATCACAATCCATGCAGCTGGTTTTTAAATAATCTATATGAAATAGAAGCAACCTAGATGTTCGTCAAAGGATGAATGGTAAACTCAAATGTAGTATATACATACCTTAAAGGAAATCCTGTCACATGGTAAAACATGGATGAACCTTGAGGACATTATGCTAAGTGAAATAAGCCAGTCACAAAAAGACAAATACTGTATGATTCTACTTACATGAGGTATGTAAAGTAGTCAAATTCCTAGAAAAAATGTACAATTGTGGTTATCTGCAGCTGAAGGGAGGGGAAAATGTGGAGTTATTTTTTAATGGGTATAGAGTTTAATCTTGCAAGATGAAAAGGTTCTGGAGGTCTGTTGCACAACAATATAAATATACTCAGCACTACTTAACTGCACACTTAAAAATGGCTAAGATGGTAAGTTTTATGTTATATATTATTTACTATAATTATAAACTTTTGAATTATTTAAAACAATCTATATAAGACAGAGTCACTGACTGAGTTTTAAAAATGAAGGCCAAAGCATAGCCTTGTAAAGCACAAGTATTGAAACAGAGTTTGTGTTGCAAGGGCCTAAGAGCTAAACTGGCAAGACTGTATATTAATCTTAAAACAAAAAACAATAACCTGAAATTATATCACACAGACTGAACATATTGAACAGAGCAATAAAACTGAAAATCAATAGTAATCAAATATTTAGAGCTTATCAAAAAAAGAGAAAACAATACAAAACAAAACCTGCAGGGTAGATGCAAAGTGATAATTAGTGTGAATAGTATACAGCCTTGACTATTAATTTTAAAGAGGGATTGAAATAAATGAACTATATCTTATAATCAGGAGGCAAGAAAGGGAAAAACAAAAATTAACTCAAAGTATAAGGAAGAACACAATAATAATAAAAGTATAAAGTAAGAAAACAGAAAACAAAAAAAATGAATACAATTGATTATAATAATAGATGGTACCTGAAAAAAATCTAATAAAATAGACAAATTTAGGGCAATTACATGTAATTAAAATGTGAACATAAAACTATTAGTAATAAGGTAAGTAAAGGGGGGACATTACTAATTCAAAAAGGTTTGCAAAGTTACGAGATTTTAGTTGGTACTATCAGTAATTTTCTACCAATGAATTTGGACATGTCATCTACATAATTGGATAACTTCTCCAGGATGATATAAATTATCGAAACTGGTCCAGGAAGTAGTAGAAAACCACCCAATAGAACAACAATAAAGTTCAATAGGTCATTAAAAACGTATCTATACAGAAGTTGTTAGACTCAAGACAGATTTAAGATAAGGGAGCAGGTAATCCCCCTTTTATGTAAACACATAAGAATTTAGAAAAATAGTAAATCTAATCATCTATTCTCACAGCCTTCGGTATCTTGATAACACAAATGGACAATAACAATAAAAGAAAAAAATATAATTCAATTTCACTTTTGAACATGAATACAACAGTATCCTAAATAATACATTAATATGTTAGCAAATGGAATCCAACAAGTTATTAAAAGAAAATGTGTGGCCAGGTGTGGTGGCTCACGCCTGTAATCCCAGCATCTGGGAGGCTGAGGCAAGCCGGTTGCCTGAGCGCAGAAGTTGGAGACCAGCCTGGGCAACTTTGTGAGACCCCCTTCTCTACAAAAATGCAAAAATTAGTCGGGCATGGTGTCATGTGCCTGTAGTCCCAGCGACTCGAAAAGCTGAGGTGGGAGAATTACTTGAGCCCAGGAGGCAGAGGTTGCAGTGATCACACCACTGTGCTCCAGCCTGGGTGACAGAGCTAGACACTCCCCCCTGCCCCAAAAAAAGAAAAAAATGTATAATAATATGACATATTTAAAATAGGCTACAAGGGTAATTCAGTATTAGAAAACCTATCATTTTAATTCCCTGCATTAACAACTTTTTATCTAAATAGATGCTCCCAATTTTCCAAATAAAAGTCAATAACCATTAATCTTTATATATATAGTAGCCCCTCCTCATCTGTGGGTTCACTTTCTGCAGTTTTTGTTACATGCAGTCAACCAAGGTCCAAAGATATTAAATTAAAAATTCCAGAAGTAAACAATTTATAACTGTCCAAGTGCATGCCTTTCTGTTAATGTGGTGAAATCAGATGCCATCCTGCTCTGCCCAGCCAGATGTGAATCATTCCTTTGTCCAGCAGAGCCACACTGTATATTGTGCCCACCCATCAGTCACTTAGTAGTCATCTTGGTTATCAGATCCAGTGGCAAGTGCTTGTGTTCAAACACCCTTATTTTCCTTAGTAATGGCCCCAAAGTGCAAGAGCAGTGATGCCAGCTTATTGTTATAATTGTTTTATTTTATTCTTAGTTGTTGTTAGTGTCTTACTGTGCCTAATTTATAAATTAAACTGTATCATAGATATGTATGTGTGTGTGTATATGTGTGTGTGCCCATGTGTAAGTGTGTATACACAAATTAGAACTCAAAGGAAATATTCTTAATCTGAAAATGAGTATAAGCAGGAAATGTGAAGCAGAGATCATACCTGAGGGTCACACGTTAGCATAATTATTAAGAGCTCAATTTCAAAGCCTAACTGCCTGAAATCGGAATCTGGCAACTCCACCTCTTAGCTGTTGGATTTGTGTCTCTGGCATCAGGGAGTGAGGAAGTGGATATGCTCTGCTTCCTTTGCCTCCCGTATCTTTCTTTATTTGAAATTCTCTCTCTAACTCTTAATACTAGCTCATATTAGCCTCTTTCCAGGTGGCAAGTGCAGCAAAGAGGCATAAGAGATTCTCCTCATGTAACTGTGCTCTGACTGATGTAATTTGAGGTTGGTTTTCAGAAGGACTGATTCAGCTTTACCTGGGCTGCCTCTGTTACAAATGAACCCCTCTCACCCCAAGAGTGTTAGCCTTACTCCATGTAGCACTCATATGGGGTTCACCTGCCAAAAGGATTTCCAGGTTGGGTGTACCATCCCTTGGCTGAGGGGCCACCTGGGCAGTCTCATGGCCTTGGTCTCCCTCTGCTGTTCTCCGTGCTCTGCCCACAGGGAACCACTAGAGTTCTCTTCCAGATATTCAAAGGCTCACAGGAAAATACGGTGTTGGTGTGGCCCTTCCATATTGAACCTTTGGAGCAATACATACTGCACTTTTCTCCCTTCATGACCAGCAAGGAAGAAGCTATCTCTTCTTCAGTCTTCAGACCAAAAACAAACAAAAAAACACCCTTAAATATAAATTTCACTGGACATATCTCTTTCACTGCCCCCAGTGTTTAAGATTGAGAACAAAATGCTGTACTTCTAAACATATAGAACACTTTCCAGCAGGCATGATCTCCTCCAAATTCTCTCTCATATATCTCATTGGTAAAGGCTGTCAGAGCAGGTTAGCCCCACTGGTAGCTGAGGTCAGACCAGGAATCTAATGGCAAGGGGCAGGCCCTCTTTAAACTCCACCTTAGAAAAATCAGTAACTTTGTTCTCAACAGAGATCTGTTTCCACCTTTACCCTTGCAGTATTTGGCAACCTCAAGGGACAGGAAAAGATTTCAATCAGTAGTTCACACTATAATAAAACTTTGCAGTTGATAAAAATGAAAATTTTAAAATTACTAGGAGAAAATGTAGAAGACTATGTTCATAACTATGGAGCGGAGAGAACTTTCCTGAGGAATAAAATTTTTTTTAATGTAAAAACTTGATACAGGGCACTGCCTTATGATCCAGCACTTTGGGAGGCCGAGGCAGGCAGATCACTGGAGGTCAGGAGTTCAAGATCAGCCTGGCCAACATTGCGAAACCCCATCTCTACAAAAAATACAAAAATTAGCCAGGTGTGGTTGTGTGCCCCTGTAATCCCAGCTACTTGGAAGCCTGAGGCAGGAGAATCGCTTGAACCTGGAAGGGAGAGGTTGCCGTGAGTTGAAATCACGCCATTGCACTCCAGCCTGGGTGACAAGAGCAAAAGTCAACCTCAAAACAAACAAACAAACAAACAAACAAACAACAAAAAAAAAACTTGGTATGGGAAAGCACAACAAAATATAAAATTCTGAATGGTTCAAGAGATCATTAAAATGATGAAGGACAAGCTACGGACTAAGAACAATTTTTGTAATATATGTAACAGACAACATATCCATAAGAAAAGACAAATACCTGAAAGACAAATGGACAAAAATGAAAAAGTAATAAATAAAAGTAAAAATATAAATGACCATTGAAAAGATTATTAACTTCTGTAGTAATCAGGGAAAGACAAATGGAAGTAACAGTGAGAAAACTTTTTTGATCCTATCAGGCAAAAAAAAAAAAAATGTAAAGGCTGAACAAAGCCACAAATGTTGGTGAGATGTGGCAAAATGGACACTATTACATGCCGTTCATACAAGTAAAAAATGGGAGGCCCACTTTGGGGAGAAATTGAGCAGCATCTTTTAAAACTTAAAAATGTACATACACTTTGACCCAGCAGTTCTACATGGAATCTTCTACTCTTACAGAAAAACTAACACATACTCAAGGAGAATTCTTGAGTCACAATATTCATGTAATTGAAATCACTACTTCCTCCCATATAGGAATAGAAAAACAAAACATGATAAAATCACAGATGGATAGAATAGGCAAAATGAGAACAAATTACTGTACTAGATTATAGTACAGCATTAGGTGCTCCACAGAGGGCCAGTTTCCTTCTCTTTCCATTCAATAAAAATAGAGCAAGCTCAATAGTGTTTGAAGCCTTTTTATGAGGGTATGCCTAATTTATGGGTTCATAGTCTACTTTCAGTCTATCTGAGAAACACTTGATAAAGAGGATGGAGGAGAACCCAAAACCTAAATTCAAGCATAATTTGTTAACCTGTATGTTATGATTTCTCTTTAAAACTCATCTGACAGTTTTAAAATACTTTGTTTTCCAGTCAAAGGAACTGAAGCACTATTATACTAATTACCTTAGGAAACTGGAGAAAAGAACCAAAGTTCTTTGAAAAGACATTTTTGCCTCTTTGACAAATATTTCAAGGCACAGTAAAATTAAATATCTCATTGTAAAAAGATAAAGTGCCCCCTATTGGGATATTACTTTCTGAATAATCCTGTAGATATTCCAGTTTGAGTACCAAATGGTAACTCACTCTTGGAGGTTTGTTAGAATCGTAAACTGCCAGAGTACAGTTTTATGAAGGAGAGAAGGACCTCAGACTGAACTCGCCCTATTAAACAGATTAAATTCTAGCTGTGAATTCAGGCCAGGACCATGCATTATTGTTTTACTACAGAATAAACATAAATTTACCAATGCTGTGAAGTTTGCAGCTGGTGAAAGTCCATCATTTTCCCAATGGAAACGTTTATTTATTTAACTTTGATTATAAAGTTAAAAAAAATCTAATGCATCTAAGGCAGAAAAATGAGGAAAGAAAACATCTGTAACTTAGAGATAAACATTTGGGACTAAATTTATTCTCAGTTATTTATGAACTATTTTAATTTGAGTTTGATGGTAGTACTTAAGGTGCATAATTCCACAGGTTAATAAAACAGACCCTAAAAACACAACGTACCTACCAGTGTACAAGCTGCAGTAAAGATAATATTCCTAGAAAAATATATGGCCTTATGAACTGTACCTAACATATGTTTAAATGCAATTATTGATGCAAGATGAAAAGTGTTGGTTTAAATTGACCCACATATTTTATTTTATTATATTTTGAGATAGAGTCTCACTTTGTCACACTAGCTGGAATGCAGTGATGTGATCTCGGCTTACTGCAGCCTCTGTCTCCTGGGTTCAAGTGATTATTGTGCCTCAGACTCCTGAATGTCTGGGATTACAGGCACCCACCACCACACCTGGCTAATTTTTGTATTTTTAGTAGAGACAGGGTTTCACCATGTTGGCCAGGCTGGTCTCAAACTCCTGACCTCAAGTGATCCTCTCACCTCAGCCCCACAAAGTGCTGGGATTACAGGCATGAGCCACAGGGCCCAGCAGACATCCACATATTTTCTTTTAAAAAATTGTGGAAAGATTTCTGGCAAGATGGCTGAATAGGAACAGCTCTAGACTGTAGCTCCCAGTGAGACTGACGCAGAAGGTGGGTGATTTCTGCATTTCCAACTGAGTTACCCAGTTCATCTCATTGGACTGGTTGGACAGTGAATGCAGCCCACGGAGGGTGAGCCAAAGCAGGGTGGGGCATTGCCTCACCAGGAAAGTGCAAGGGGCCAGGGAACTCCCTCCCTCCCCTTGCCAAGGGAAGCCTTGAGGGTCTGTGTCGTAAGGAACAGTGCACTCCAGCCCAGATACCGCACTTTTCTCACAGTCTTTGCAACCATAGACCAGGAGATACCCTCAATCTCATCACCAGGGCCCTCAGGTTCAAGCACAAAACTGGGCGGCCGTTTGAGCAGACATTGAGCAAGCGGCAGTTTTTTTTTCATACCCCTGGGGTGCCTGGAATTCCAGTGAGACAGAACAGTTCACTCCCCTGGAAAGGGGGCTGAAGCCAGGGAGCCAAGTGGTCTGGCTCAGTGGGTCCCACCCCCACAGAGCCCAGGAAGCTAAGATCCACTGGCTTGAAATGATCACTGCCAGCACAGCAGTCTGAAGTCGACCTGGGACACTCCAGCTTGGTGGCAGGGAGGGGCATCAGCCATTGCTGAGGCTTGAGTAGGCAGTTTTACCCTCACAGTGTAAACAAAGCCACCCCACCTGCAAGTTAGAAATGGGCAGAGACCACTGCAACTGAACAAGGCCACTATGGCCACACTGCCTCTAGATTCCTCCTCTCTGGGTAGGGCATCTCTGAAAAAAAAAGGCAGCAGCCACAGTCAGGGGCTTATATATAAAACCCCCATCTCCCTGGGACAGAGCACCTGAGGGAAGTGGGGACTCTGGGTGCAGCTTCAGTAGACTTAAACATCTCTGCCTGATGGCTTTGAAGAAAGCAGCGGATCTCCCAGCACAACGTTAGAGCTCTGCTAAGGGTCAGACTGCCTCCTCAAGTGGGCCCTTGACCCCCGGGCATCCTGATTAGGAGACATCTCCCAGCAGGGGTCAATAGACACCTCATGCAGGAGAGCTCCGGCTGGTATCTGGCAGGTGCCCCTCTGGGATGAAGCTTCCAGAGGAAAAAACAGGCAGCAATCTTTGCTGTTCTGCAGCCTCCACTGGTGATACCCAGGCAAACAGGGTCTGGAGTGGAACTCCAGGAAACTCCAGCAGACCTGCAGCAGAGGGGCCTGACTGTTAGAAGGAAAACTAACAAACAGAAAAGAATAACATCAACATCAACAAAAAGGATGTCCACTCAGAGACCCCATCCGAGGGTCACCAACATCGAAGACCAAAGATAGATAAAGCCACGAAGATGGGGATGAAATGCAAAAAGTCTGAAAATTCCAAAAACCAGGATGACTCTTCTCCTCCAAGGGATCACAATTCCTTGCCAGCAAGGGAACAAAACTGGATAATGAGTTTGATGTATTGACAGACGTAGGCTTCAGAAGGTGGGTAATAACAAACTCCTCCAAGCTAAAGGAGCATGTTCTAACCCAATGCAAGGAAGCTAAGAACCTTGAAAAAAGGTTAGACAAATTGCTAACTATAATAACCAGTTTAGAGAAGAACATAAGTGACCTAATGGAGCTGAAAAACATGGCATGAGAACTTCATGATGTATATACGAGTATCAATAGCTGAATCGATCAAGTGGAAGAAAGGATATCAGAGATTGAAGATCAACTTATAAAATAAAGCAAGAAGACAAGATTAGCGAAAAAAGAATGAAAAGGAATGATCAAAGAATCCAAGAAATATTGGACTCTGTGAAAAGACCAAATCTACATTTGATTGGTATACCTGAAAGTGATGGGGAGAATGGAACCAGGTTGGAAAACACTCTTCAGGATATTATCCAGGAGAACTTCACCAACCTAGCAAGACAGGCCAATATTCAAATTAAGGAAATACAGAGGCTAACACAAAGATACTCCTCAAGAAGAGCAACCATAAGACTCATGATCATCAGATTCACCAAGGTTGAAATGAAGGAAAAAACATTAAGGGCAGTCAGAGAGAAAGGTCAGGTTACTCACAAAGGGAAGCCCATCAGACTAACAGCAGATGTCTCTGCAGAAACCCTACAAGCCAGAAGAGAGTGGGGGCCAATATTCAACATTCTTAAAGAAAAGAATTTTCAACCCAGAATTTCATATCCAGCCAAACTAAGCTTCATAAGCAAAGGAGAAATACGACCCTTTACAGACAAGCAAATGCTGAGAGATTTTGTCACCACCAGGCCTGCCTTACAAGAGCTCCTGATGAAAGCACTAAACATAGAAAGGAACAACTGGTACCAGCCACTGCAAAAACATACCAAATTGTAAAGACCATCAACACTATGAAGAAACTGCATCAATTAACGGGCAACATAACCAGCTAGCATCATAATGATAGGATCAAATTCACACATGACACTATTAATCTTAAATGTGAACAAGCTAAATGCCCCAATTAAAAGACACAGACTGGTAAATTGGATAGAGTCAAGACCCATCAGTGTGCTGTATTCAGGAGACACATCTCATGTGCAAAGAAACACATAGGCTCAAAATAAAGGAATGGAGGAATATTTACCAAGCAAATGGAAAGCAAAAAAAAGCAGGGGTTGCAATCCTACTCTCTGATAAAACAGACTTCAAACCAACCAAAATCAAAAGAAACAAAGAAAGACATTATGTAATGGTAAAGGGATCAATACAACAAGAAGAGCTAACTATCCTAAATATATATGCACCCAATATGGGAGCACCCAGATTCATAAAGCAAGTTCTTAGAGACTTACAAGGAGACTTAGACTCCCACACAATAATAGTGGGAGATTTAACACCCCACTGTCAGTATTAGACAGATCAACAAGACAGACAATTAACAAGGGTATTCAGGACTTGAACTCAGCTCTGGACCAAGTGGACCTAATAGACATCTACAGAACTCTCCACCCCAAGTTAACACAATATACATTCTTCTCAGCACCACATCCCACTTACTCTAATATTGACCACGTAATTGGAAGTAAAACACTCCTCAACAAATGCAAAAGAATGGAAATCAAACAAACAGTCTCTCAGACCACAGTGCAATCAAATTAGAACTCAGACTTAAGAAACTCCCTCAAAACCTCACAACTACAGAAAAACTGAACAAACTGCTCCTGAATGACTGCTGGGTAAATAATGAAATTAAGGCAGAAATAAATAAGTTCTTTGAAACCAATAAGAACAAAGACACACCTACCAGAATCTGTGGGACACATTTAAAGCAGTGCTTAGAGGGAAATTTATAGCACTAAATGCCCACAAGAGAAAGCAGGAAAGATCTAAAGTCAACACTTTAACATCACATTTAAAAGAACTAGAGAAGCAAGAGCAAACAAATTCAAAAGCTAGCAGAAGACAAGAAATAACTAAGATCAGAGCAGAACTGAAGGAGATAGAGACACGAAAACCCCTTCAAAAAATCAATGAATCCAGGAGCTGGATTTTTTGAAAAGATTAACAAAATAGATAGACCACTAGCAAGATTAATAAAGAAGAAAAGAGAGAAGAATCAAATAGACACAGTAAAAAATGATACAGGGGATATCATCACTGATCCCACAGAAATACAAACTACCATCAGAGAATACTATAAACACCTCTACCCAAATAAACTAGAAAATCTAGAAGAAATGAATAAATTTCTGGACACATACACACTCCCAACTCTAGACCAGGAAGAAGTCGAATCCCTGAATAGAAGAATAACAAGTTGTGAAATTGGGGCAGTAATTAATAGCCTACCAACCAAAAACAGTCCAGGACCAGACCAATTCACAGCCAAACCCTACCAGAGATACAGAAAGGAGCTGGTACCATTCCATCTGAAACTATTCCAAACAATAGAAAAAGAGGGAATCCTCCCTAACTCATTTTATGAGGCCAGCATCATCCTGATATCAAAATCTGGCAGAGACACACACACAAAAAAAGAAAATTTCAGGCCAATATCCCTGATGAACATCAATGCAAAAATCCTCAGTAAAATATTGGCAAACTGAATCCAGCAGCACATCAAAAAGCTTATCCACCATGATCAAGTTGGCTTCATCCCTGGGATGCAAAACTGGTTTAACATAGGCAAATCAATAAATGTAATCCATCACATAAACAGAACCAATGACAAAAACCACATGATTATCTCAATAGATGCAGAAAAGGCCTTCGACAAAATTCAACACCCTTTCATGCTAAAAACTCTCAATAAACTAGGTATTGATGGAATGTATCTCAAAACAATAAGAGCTATCTATGACAAACCCACAGCCAATATCATACTGAATGGGCAAAAGCTGGAAGCATTCCTACTGGGGGAACCAGCCCCCAATATTTCAATGTAGGTGCTTTTCTATTGTCCCTAAGTGTCGGCCAGTCTGATAAATAAAGAGAAAGAGTACAAAAGGAGAACTTTTAAAGCTAGGGTCCAGGAGAGATCACATATCGGCAGGTTCCATGATGCTCCTTGAGCCGCAAAACCAGCAAGTTTTTATTAGCGATTTTCAAAAGGGGAGGGGTGTACGAATAGGGTGTGGGTCACAGAGATCACATGCCTCAAGGGCAATAAAATATCACAAGGCAAATGGGCAGGGCAAGGTCACAAGGCCAGGGTGAAATTAGAATTAGTAATGAGGTTCCCTGTCCCACTGTGCACGTATTGTCATAGATAAAAATCTTAACAGGAAACAGAGTCCAAGAGCAGAGAACCGGTCTGACTAGAATTTCACCAGGCTGGAATTTCCCAATCCTAACAAGCCTGGGGGCACTGCAGGAGACCAAGGCGTATTTCATCCCTTATCCACAACTGCATAAGACAGACACTCCCAGAGCGGCCATTTTGGAGGCTTCCCCCTGGGAGTGCATTCTTTTCCCAGGACTGTTCCTTGCTGAGAAAAAGAATTTAGTGATATTTCTCTTATTCACTTTTGCAAGAAGAGAAATATGACTCTGTTCCGCCTGGCCCTGCAGGCAGTCAGACTTTATGGCTGTCTCCCTTGTTCCCTGAAAATTGCTGTTATCCTGTTCCTTTTCTAGCTGCCCAGATTTCATGTTGTTCAAACATACGTGCTCTACAAACAATTTGTGCAAATAACGCAATCATCACTGGATCCTGAGATGACATACATCCTCAGCTTACGAAGATGACAGGATTAAGAGATTAAAGTAAAAACAGGCATAGGAAATTATGAGTATTGATTGGGGAAGTGATAAATGTCCATGAAATCTTCACAATTTATGTTCTTCTGCCCTGGCTTCAGCAAGTCCCACCGTTCAGGGTCCCTGACTTCCTGCAACACATTCCCTTTGAAAACTGGCACAAGACAAGGATGCCCTCTCTCACCACTCCTATTTAACGTAGTATTGGAAGTTCTTTCCAGTGCAATCAGGCAAGAGAAAGAATAAAGGGTATTCAAATAGGAAGAGGGAAAGTCAAATTGTCTCTGTTTGCAGATGACATGATTGCATATTTAGAAAACCCCATTGTCTCAGTCCAAAATCTGGTTAAGCTGATAAGCAACTTCAGCAAAATCTAAGGATACAAAATCAATGTGCAAAAATCACAAGCATTCTTATACACCAATAGCAGACAGAGAACCAAATCATGAGTGAACTCCCATTTACAATTGCTACAAAGAGAATAAAATACTTAGGAATACAACTTACAAGGGATGTGAAGGACCTCTTCAAGGAGAACTATAAACCACGGCTCAAGGAAATAAGAGAGGACACAAACCAATGGAAAACCATTCCATGCTCATGAATAGCAAAAATCAATATCATGAAAATGGCCATACTGCCCAAAGGAATTTATAGATTCAATGATATCCCCATCTAGCTACCACTGACTTTCTTCACAGAATTAGAAAAAAAACTACTTTAAATTTCATATGGAACCAAAAAAGTGCCCCCACAGCCAAGACAATCCTAAGCAAAAAGAACAAAGGTGGAGGCATCATGCTACTTGACTTCAAACTATACTACAAGGCTACAGTAACCAAAACAGCATGGTACTGGTACCAAAACAGATATATAGACCAATGGAACTGAACAGAGGCCTCAGAAATAACAGCACACATCTACAACCATCTGATCTTTGACAAACCTGACAAAAGCAAGCAAAGGGGAAAGGATTCCCTATTTAATAAATGGTGTTGGGAAAACATATGCAGAAAACTGAAACTGGACCCCTTCTTTACACCGTATGCAAGAATTAACTCAAGATGAATTAAAGGCTTAAATGTAAGACCTAAAACCCTAAAAACCCTAGAAGAAAACCTAGGCAATACCATTCAGGACATAGGCATGGGCAAAGACTTCATGACTAAAACACCGAAAGCAATGGCAATAAAAGCCAAAATTGACAAATGGGATCTAAGTAAACTAAAGAGCTTCTGCACAGCAAAAGAAACTATCTTCAGAGTGAATAGGCCACCTACAGAATGGGAGAAAATTTTTGCAATCTGTCCATCTGACAAAGGGCTAATATCCAGAATCTACAAAGAACTTAAACAAATTTACAAGAAAAAAATAACTCCATCAAAAAGTGGGCAAAGGATATGAACAGACACTTCTCAAGAGAAGACATTTATGCAATCAACAAACATATGAAAAAAAGCTCATCATCACTAGTCATTAGAGAAATTCAAATCAATACCACATTGAGATACCATCTCATGCCAGTTATAATGGAGATCTTTAAAAAGTCAGGAAACAACAGATGCTGGAGAGGATATGGAGAAATAGGAATGCTTTTACACTGTTGGTGGAAGTGTAAATTAGTTCAACCACTGTGGAAGACAATGTGGCGATTCCTCAAGGATCTAGAACCAGAAGTACCATTTGATCCAGTAATCTCATTACTGGGTATATACCCAAAGGATTATAAATCATTCTACTATAAACACACAGGCACATGTATGTTTGTTGCAGCAGCACTGTTCACAATATCAAAGACTTGGAACTAACTCAAATGCCCATCAATGATAGATTGGATAAAGAATATGTGGCACATATATAAATACTATGCAGTTATAAAAAAGGATGAGTTCACGTCCTTTGCAGGGACATGGATGAAGCTGGAAACCATCATTCTCAGCAAACTAACACAACAACAGAAAACCAAACACCGCATATTCTCACTCATATGTGGGAGTTGAACAATGAGAACAGATGGACACAGGGATGGGAACATCACACACTGGGGCCTGTCAGTGGGTAGGGGTCTAAGGGAGGGATAGCATTAGGAGAAATACCTAATGTAGATGACGGGTTGATGGGTGCAGCAAACCACCATGGCACATGTATACCTGTGTAACAAATCTGCACATTCTGCACATGTATCCCAGAACTTAGACTACAATAAAAACAATTGTCATAGTCCATCTGAGCTGCTATAACAAAATATCATAGACTAGGAGGTTTATAAACAACAAACATTTATTTCTCACAGTTCTGGAAGCTGGGAACTATAAGAGCAAGGCTCCAACAGATTTAGTGTCTGGTGAGGGCCTTTTTTCTGGATGATACGAGTGCCTTCTGGCTGAGTCCTCAGACAGTGGAGGGAGTTAGGAGTTTCTTTCCGGTCTCTTTCATAATGGCACAAATACCATTCATGAGGGCTCTGTCCTAATTACCTAATCGCCTCCCAAAGCCCCCACCTCCTAATCCCATCAACTTGGGGATTAGGATTTCAACCTATAAATGTTGGGGGACACAAACATTCAGACCATAGCAAAAATAATAGTCTGAAAAGAATTAGCATAAATCAATATTTATAGAATCTTTAGCAATTTGGGATGGGAAGGGAAGAGGAAGAACAGGCATTATTTATAAAGTGTCATTGCTTTACCTTGAGTTTGATTGGTCTTTGATTCAGAAAATAATTTTCCTTTTGCTTTTCATTCAAACCCAAAAATTAAGACAAAGCACAAACAAGATCTCTCTCTTTCTCTCTCTCCCTCCCTCCCCTACTCTCTCTCTCACACACAGAGTTTCCCTACTTTCCCTGTTAAGCCCCACCTTGATCATCCCAGAAAAGTGGCCTTTGCATATCCTGAATTTCAGATACATTCATCTATCTTGTCCATTTTATTTATAGTCATCCTTGTGTTTGGTTATTGGTACTTTCTCTTCAAGTAATAAAAAGCAACTAAGAGAAAAGGACCGGTAACGGGAACCTGTCTTATTCAAATAATACTTTATGTGTACTACAGAGATCGCTCTATAATTCAGTTCCTCAGGTGCAGGAAAAAAAGAATTGGATGAGTACATCTCTAAGATCTCTTTAAATTTAAAAAATTCATAACTTTGGCTTGGCGTGGTGGCTTATGTCTGTAATCCCAGCACTTTGGGAGGCTGAGGCGGGTGGATCATGCCTTCGAGACCAGCCTGGCCAATATGGTGAAACCTTGTCTCTACTAAAAATACAACACTTAGCCGGGTGTGGTGGCACGCACCTGTAGTCCCAGCTACTCGGGAGGCTGAGGCAGAAGAAATGCTTGCACCTGGGAGGCGGAGGTTGCACTCAGCAGAGATCATGACACTGCACTCCAGCCTGGGTGACAGAGACTCTGTCTCAAAAAAAAAAAAAAAAAAGAAAAGAAAAACAAATTCATAACTTTAACATGTTGCTGGAATCAGTAGGTTCTCATTTCTTAATTTTATATTTTTTACTAATTGTATTCATTTGCTAGGGATGCACTTATGAAGTACCACAAACTAGGAGCTTAAACAATAGAAATATATTGTCTTACAGCTTGGGAAGCTAAAAGTCTGAGGTCAATGTGCCAACATGGTTGGTTCCTTCTGAGAGCTGTGAAAAGAACCTGTTATATGCTTCTTTCTTAGCTTCTGGTGGTTAGCTGGAAATCTTTGGCATTCATTAGCTTCTACTGCATCACCCTGATTTCTGTCTTCATCTTTACATGACATACTTCCTGTGTGTCTCTGGCTTCACATGACTGTCTTAAAAGGATGCCAGTCATATTGAATTAGGGGCCCACCATTCTCCACTATGACCTGATCTTAACTAATTACATCTGTAACAACCTTAATTCCAAATAAGGTCATGTTCTGAGGTACTGGGGGTTAGAACTTCAACATAAGTGGGCCTGGTGTGGTGGCTCATGCCTGTAATCCCAGCACTTTGGGAAGCTGAGGCGGGTGGATCACCTGAGGTCAGGAGTTCGAGACCAGCCTGGCCAACATGGTGAAACCCCATTTCTACTAAAAATGGAAAAATTAGCTGGGCGTGGTGGCAGGCACCTGTAATCCCAGCTACTCGGCAGGCTGAGGCAGGAGAATTGCTTGAACCCAGGAGGCAGAGGTTGCAGTGAGCTGAGATCATGCCACTGTACTCCAGCCTGGGCAACAGAGCGAGACTCCATCTCAAAGAAAACAAAACAAAACAGAAAAGAACTTCGACATAAGTGAAGCCACCTTTGCAAAGGTTATGGCAGTGAAAGAAGTCTAGCATGGCTGACTCCATCTTGCCTCTAGCCTCACAGACTGGCTGTCCTTGCTGATTCCTGGATCTAGGCTGAGCTAACCACGGGAGGAATTTATTTTATAGTTTAACTTTAAATTAAGGATGATACTAGTCCCTACCTAAAACTGATCCCATTTTTGGTTGGGGACTAAAACTGCCTTTGTAAGACTTATGAAAGTCCACAAGGTTAAGATTATAGAAGGGGCCTGAATTCTGCTACAAAGTTGATGTAGCTAAATGATAATCAGCCATTGTCCTCTAGCTTGCTTTTCTATAATCCCTTATTGCGCAGGAGTCATGTGGCCAGAGATCACAAGATTTGTCACTTCCCCATTTGTTCCTATAGATAACATTACTATTGTAGAACCTAAGATTGGTCTTTTGAGATGCTTTTCATACTTTTGCATTCCAGCAATCAACAGACCCCACTGGGACCCATGACTCATGACTCAGCCAGTCCTGTGGCCCCCACCCAGAGGCACATTCAGCACCTGAGGACCATTTTCCACACACTATGATTTTATTCCCAACCAATCAGCAGTACTCATTCCCTAAACCCCTTGCCCACCAAATTATCCATAAAAACCCTGGCCTCTGAGTTCTCTGGGAGACCAATTTGAATAATAATAAACTCCTCTTCTTTCACTTGGCCAGCTTTGCACTAATGAAACTTCTTTTTTAACTGCAGTAATACTCTCAGATAATTGGGATAACTGTGCAGCAGGCAAGAAGAATCCATTGCATGAATACATATGTATTTTGGGAAGACACAATTCAACCCATGGCATTCATTCTGCCAAAAGTATAACCTAAACCCAAGGGCTGGAATAGGCCATTAAATTCACATCAGTTAGCCCAAACCTTTCACCCAACTATGATACAAGTCTCTTGTGGAATGAGTTTTTTGGAGCTGAGATATTATTCCAACCATATTTTAACCCCATAGACTTTAATATTGTCAATAACATTAAACTATTATGTGACTTTAATGATTTTCTAAAGCCATAGTTTTTCTGACCTGCTCAAAAGAAAATCTAGTTTTTCATTATGAATTTATGATGACCATAGATTGTTCAAGTCTCTTTGCTCCCAAGCACTACCATAATTGTCAGTGGATGAGAAAAACAAGAATCACTCGGACAAACAGTTTAATGGAGAGCACCTTCTTACATACACTGACATATATGCCACCTATGTATATGATTTGATTGTTGACTATAGTCCAGACACAGCTAAGTGCTTCTAAAATACATTTTTTCTTTTTTTGTCTTTTTTTTTTTTTCCTTTTTGTGGAGAGTGGAGTCTCACTATATTGCCCAGGCAAGTCTTGAACTCCTGGGGTCAAGCTAACCTCCCGCCTCTGCCTCCCTAAGACCTGGGATTACAGGCATGAGCCACCATGCCCAGCCTAAAACATGTTTTTTCTAATCCTCACAATTATCTTGTAGGGAGGTAAAATTTATTATTATCCTCATTTTTCACACAACCAAATCAAATTCCAAAATCACATAGCTAGACTTGGGGAAGACAGTCTACATTTAAATCTGTACACTTAACCATGATTCTATATTACAAAATTAATAACTACATTGAATTGCTTGTCTACTTTGTAGATTTCAATTTTGTGTGACCTTAGCTTTTCATTGCTAAGTATAATTGACAGTTGCCCATAATCACTTGGCTAAAAAGAATGTAATGAGAATATAATAAGAAAGAGTTTAAAGCACACTGAAGACCATTTATCAGGCACTACCAAAAAGTAGGGCTATTCATATTTCAAAGACATATTAACTCTTTCAGGCCATATTAATGTGACTAGTGATGTGGGCCCTGATCTTAAGCCCAACTCTAATGATACTTAACCAAAAAGATTTCTTTGAAAATCCGGTTCTCTATGAAAAACAAGTGTCAAGTTAGATTGCATTTCTTTCTCCAGTCTGGATTGCCTCCTTTTAATCTCTTGGAATTTGTAAAATGCAATATCTTTGTGGAGTTAATCTGGTGATGAAGATTTGAGAATGGATTTAAGCCAAATATGAAGTACATTTCTTATGTAATAAGCATAACATTGATAGATTTCATAATAAACTTATTGTTGAACACTATGATTTCTGTCTTTCATGTTTGTTCTAAATCACTCAAGCCCATCTCTAAGCTTGTGGATTTCATACAACCACATTGAGATCTAAACCTAGAGAAACCCAGCCAAAATTCATACTAGTGTCTGCCAGTGTTCCTACAGCCCTCACCATTCGTAAAGACACAGGCAAATTTTGATGTCAAATTAAGGAAGCAGTGTAAAACTCTTATGGAAGTATGGACAGATTGTCACTGTTTTCTTAGGGAAAAAAAATCTGCATTCTGAATTATATTCTGAAAATAAATTACCCCAGAAATTCTAAGGGGCCAGAGAAAGTAGATAAACCTGGTAAGAGTAGTTGATGGATTCCACCACACATCCCACCCCATCTTAACACTCGCTCCTTACTTTCACAGACAAAACTGAGGGGAGCTTCCTTTCCATACTCCACACAAGTAGGGTTCTGTCCTCTCTTACGGGGTTGTTCAAGGTGCTGGTATTCCTTCAGGAGGTCTTTTTTAAGTCATTCACTCTGGATTCAAAGAAGTTCGTTAAAAAAAATGAAATATACATTAACACGCTCAAATATATAACTGAGCATTTGAGTTTTACTAACCAAACAAGTACTTACTGATTTTTTAAATGGCATAAGAGTCATCTATTATTTCAATGACTAAAAACGTAAAATTGCAAACTTTTTTTTTTTTTTTTGAGACCAAGTCTCACTCTGTTGCCACTACCTGCAAACTCTGCCTCCTGGGTTCACACCATTCTCCTGCCTCAGCCTCCCGAGCAGATGGGACTACAGGCACCCGTCACCATGCCTGGCTAATTTTTTGTATTTTTAGTAGAGATGGGGTTTCACCATGTTAGCCAGGGTGGTCTCGATCTCCTGACCTCGTGATCTGCCTGCTTTGGCCTCCCAAAGTGCTGGGATTACAGGCATGAGCCACCGCGCCCAGCACATTGCAAAATTTTTTATTCAAATAGTTTAATTCTAATAAATGTTTTATTTCAATATTAAATTATACAAATGAAAGTACCTATGAAAATTGTCAACTAGACTTTTAAGAATGACCATCAAAATCTTTTTAAGTTCATAGTTAAGGTATACTTAACTTTGAGGCTGATTTTCATTGCTAATTAAAACTGCAATATGTATAATGTGTAATGGTTTCAAAATTCACTTCTTCATTGGTAAAGAGACAATTAGTATCTAGTGATTGCTAATTATATTGATTATATGTAAAGCTACTAATAATTTTTCTTTGTTTTCTCATCCTCAAACTTTTTTTATTATTAAAAGTTTTAAAACACAAAATTGCAGCACCTCTTTTTGGAGAAACAAAGAAAACACTTTTCTCCAGAAAATCTTCTTTCTGGAAAAATACCGTTGAAGAGTTGACAAAAGTCAACTATTTCTTACTGTTGAGCTGGAGAAATGGCTCATCTCCAGATGAAGTGGTATGCTGTAGAGAATCATTTTTTATAGCTTTGGTTTTTCTACATTTACTTCAATGTAATAAGTATTGCTTGATAAGTAAAAAATGGCGATTTTGTTTTTTTTTTTTTTTTTTTTTTGTAGAGATGGAGTCTCACTACATTATCCAGGATGGTCTTGAACTACTCGGCTGAAATAATCCTCCAGTCTTGGCCTCCCAAAGTGCTGGAATTACAGGCATGAGGCACCATACCTGGCCTGGTCTTTTAGAAGTAGATTATTCACTAGATCAAGTAACTTAAACCAGATTTACAGGAGTTCTTATCTCTTTAAAACTAAGTTCTTCCACATTTTCCCTCTAGGCATTAGGAAGCAATTTCAGTAAATACAGTACTTAATGGGTTTGCAGGTAAACATCTACCCCAAAGGTTCTACTTAGAGCCCTCATCACCCAGTATACTAACTCAGGTTTATATCCTCTGGAAAGCACAAGCCTTCCAAAACTGTCCATGGCTTCCACATTTGATGACATTCAACAAACTTCTCAGAACATGAGAAAATACAGCTTCCATATATTCAAGTGTAAGAATGTTGGAGAAAATTAATTGCAAAGATGAATTCATCTGTTTTATCAATCTTTATTGGACAGATAAGTACTCATTCAATCCATCGTTCTTCAATTAAACTATTACAAACAGTATTTATAAATACAAATATTAATAATATTTAAAGGATTCATGCATTAATATAATTGGAGTCATAATCTCTCTATAATTGCTTCTTTTTTTTTTTTTTTTCAGACACAGTCTTGATCTGTCACTCAGGCTGGAGTGCAGTGGTGCCATCTCGGCTCACTGCAACCTCTGCCTCCCAGATTCAAGGAATTCTCCTGCCTCAGCCTCCCAAGTAGCTGGAACTACAGGCAAACCTTACCAAAGCCTGGCTAATTTTTTGTATTTTTGTAGAGATAGGGTTTCACCATTTTGGCCAGGCAAGTCTCCAACTCCTGACCTCAAGTGATCCACCCACCTTGGCCTCCCAAAGTGCTAGGATTACAAGCATGAGCCACTGTGCCCGGCCTATAATTGCTTCTTAACAACTCATTTGAAATTTCCATTCCTTTTTTTTCCCTACTATACATCTTTTCACAGTTAAGTTTTCACTCTTCTTGACTTTGCTCATCAAAATCCCCCAATCTGGAACACCCTCTCCATTTCTCTTTTCCAATGTAAACCTTGAAGACTTCCTTGATTCACTAGCCCATGTTTCCTTTTTTACACACAAGTGTCTTTAATATTAAAACAGCTACTAAGATAAGAAGCTTATTTCACTACTCTAATTCTACTGCAGAGGATCAATTTTCATGATAAAGAATGTTTTGATTACAAGTATTTTTATATTCATATAAATGTTACACAATCATTCATAAATAAAAGTATAGAAGATCTCTGAGGAACAGCTCACTGTAACTTGGAATTTGGTTCTTCACTAATTTCATCCTGTTGTCTACAAAACCAGAGGTGGATTTATTAGTACAACATGATATTAAGTATGTTTATTAACATTTAAGAAAGTTATCAAAAAAACACTTAATCACTTAAAATATTGCACTTCTGTTCAGATTAACAGTCCCAAATATTTTTTATGCTCCTTCCAAAAGAAAGTTTATAACCATGTTACCTTGCGTAAGTTACTGGAGCATGTATACACTTCCTCAAATGTCTCCATATGTTGAAAACCCAACTTCATCTTTGGCCAGAATTTTAAAACACAAGTAATTTTGTTTTAAAATGAATTGATACTTCTTTTTCTCTTGCCTAGTCAATAGCTGCTCTCGTGGCCAAACATTGTACTTTATCTTCAAACCATTAAACTTTAAACTGAATTTTAATTTCTTTATATAATGTTGCATACAGTTTTATGACCCTAAAAAAATTATAAACCAAAAGAAAAATGTTTCTCACAGAAATGAATGAAGGATTCATTTGTTTCCGAATCTTTCTTTCATTCTTTACCCATGTGGGACAATCTGTTTAGGTACCAGATAGTATGCCCATCCACCACCAGCCATCCGTTAACGTTCTTTACCTAGCAGGTTTCACTCTGCCAACCCTTTCCACTCCTAGTCACCCTTTATAAATTTGTCCCATATCTAATGCACCCCTCTCCCCATCCCAGACCACTAATTCATAAATCAAAGTATTTAGGCTCAGTGTCTTGTCTGAGTCTATAAGATGTCTGTTCTGTCCTTTACTACTTTGAGAAAAAAAGCGATGTGGCCAAGGGGCATTACTCAATGGTTCAAAACAAGGCAGTGTCACAAACTCACCAGGAGCTCCTCTACTTGACTCCTACCAATTCTTGGATGGTCAAATATCTAATGTATGACTGCTCTCCGACCCATGACGGGTGCTGTGCATGAAGCGCTGTCACCTTTTCTTTTTCTTTTTTTTGCTTGAAACAGAGTCTCACTCTGTCACCCAGGCTGGAGTGCAGTTGCGCAATCTGCTCACCGCAACCTCCACCTCCAGGGCTTAAGCAATTCTCCTGCCTCAGCCTCCTGAGTAGCTGGAATTACAGGTGCCTGCCACCGTGCCCAACTAATTTTTGTATTTTTAGTAGAGATGGGGTTTCACCATGTTGGTCAGGCTAGCCTCGAACTCCTGACCTCAGGTGGTCCACCTGCCTCAGCCTCCCAAAGTGCTGGGATTACAGGTGTGAGCCACCACGCTTGGCCAAAAAGCTATCATCTTTTCTGACTTTGGTTGGAAACAGTTGGTATCAACATGTTGGGTATTTCCCCCTTGCTCTCCCTTAATTATGTGTCTATGAATAACCTTTCTGTATTTAAAAATTATTAATGCAAAGTTTAGTGCTGTTCAGTGCTAAATGCCTCTTAATTACTTTTAGAGGAATAGCTAAATTATAGTAGGCACTCCATAAATACAGCTGAATACATAAAAACAGTAAAAATTTTAAAAGAACTGTCAAGTTGGCTAAAATTACAGACATCTAACAACACTTACAGCACCTGAGAGAAACATAATAATAAGGAATAAAAACAAGAAGCATTATTTAGAAGTTGCTATTATTGTGAAAACTGGCTCTAGTCTAGTCTTATCTTGCAAAATCTTCTCACATTATTCAACATTATACAGGGATTTCTCTCTGTTTTGCTCACTGTTTAATCTCCCACTACTTGGGTCATAGAAAGCACTCAATAAAACTATTGAATGAATGAATGCATAACAAAACAATAGAAGCTATTATTGAGTGCATATTAGCAAAATACTGGTTAAATTCCCACATAGACTTTCTCATTTATCTTTACAAATACAAGGAACTTTATATCACTTAGAAAAATGATCCCTATACAAAAAAAAAAATTGAACCAGAATAATTACTTAGAGTCTGCAAACACCCACAAAGGTGTACAAACACACCTATACAAAAAATGATTTATTTTAGCTAGAACTGTGTAATTCAGCAAAGTATAAAATAGGTGTTTTGTCTAAATTAGCTTGCTAATTGTTTGAGGTTTCCATATTATTATCTTACTTCATAGCAAACCCTGATTAACTTGTGGAAGGCTTAAATATTTGACCTAAATTTTACAGTATTTATTGAGGCTGTTGTGGAGAGTAAATGAGATGATGAATATACAACATAGAGAGATAGACTAGCATATACCAACTGTTAAATAAGTGTTAGTTATACTTATTTACTAAAACATTATTATCTCACAAAGACATAACTCTAAGGCAAATCAGTGGTAGATTATTGATGTGTTGATGTCTGTTCTAAGACCTTGGTTCTTGTTTCCTTAGTTTAAAAGAATTTAACCAACATACACACAGCAAAGGAGATGAAATATAAGTAATTTATTGCAAAAGAAAAATAATATTTTGGAAGTTAAGTGCAGAATAGGCATACACCCTGAAAGAGAGAGAGTTCAGGGCAGACTACTCATCAGGATGAGACAGCAAAGACTGGCACTAGGGAGACTCTCTTTATGGGACTCTTACATGATTATTCATAAGGAAGTGGGAAGAGGTGTTACCAGTAAGCATGTTCTGGGTGGTCCTCTGGGTGCACATGCGCAGTAACTATACAAGCTTGTTCATATGTTTCATGTCTCATTAGCATCTAAAATCTCCACCCAGGGGTGTGTTTTTATACCATTATAATGAGCAAAGAGTCAGTTTGAGGGCAGGTAAAATCAAAGTCCACATGCTCTCTAAACAGGAAAGTACCTAGTGAAGGTCGCTTTGTTTGAATGAGCTCAATTACAGTGTGAATGCTGAGGCTTTTTCTGTTGACTCTATAGGCACCACCATTGCTGAATCCCAAAGACATGGTTATTTCATTGACTACCTCTCCTGTCTCAAATGGTCAAGATTTGTATTTCAAAGAACAATATATGACTGTAATCATACTGTATTTTCTTCAAAAATGATTCATGCTGTTCACTTGAGAAAAATCTTGAAGACTTTAATCATAGGCAGTCTATTACTTTACTCATGGTTGGTCCATTACAAGTTCCCCATGGAAGTGGAGAGGAGTGTGATTATGGAACTCAATGGAAATATAGACAAGTAAAAATAACCCACATAAGTAAATTTGGATAAAGGAAAACGTAAAACAATGTGCAATTTTCCCGTGGAAAGATCAGCTTTCCTTAGGTGTAGATAAAATTATGATGCGCACATGCCAACCCTTCTTTTGCAGAGGACAAATATAAGAAGTGTAACCTCTCCCAAAATGTGATCAACATGTTCACAAGTGTACTCAGGGTAGATAAGACACAATACTTAATGTTTGGCTTTAAAATATGTTTCTTGAGAATTAAATAAGAAGCCCTGAAATCTCAATTCTCTTGCCCTTTCAGAATCTGTTGCCAATGGACAACATTTCTTAAAGCAAACTAAATATGGTCTGAGAATGACTCTGTATTTGAGTCCTTGTGGATGAACTGTAACCTAGCTTAATAGCCAGACAAAATTGACAACCTAACTTAGGAGTATGCACCTGTAACAATAACCAAGTCTTAGCCAATCCCAGCGGCCATACTTCAACCACTCATAGACTGCTAAGTGTTCAAATTGTGTTCAAATAAGGCAAATGCCAAGCTGTAACTAATCCAACTGCTTCTGTACTTCACTGTTAATTTCTGTACATCATTTCCTTTTTTTTTTGTATATCATCCACCACGTGGCTGCGCTGGACTCGCTCTGAATCTGCTGTGATTCTGGGGGCTGCCCAATTCACAAATTGTTCATTACTCAATTAAACTCCTTTAAACTTAATTTGACTGAAGTTTTTCTTTTACCACATTTATGAAGATGTGATAATAACATTAAGGGAACTAAAAAGTAAGAAGGGTCTGATGATTGTGTCTTTGATCTGCTGAAAGCAAGTTTTCTTCTCTTAAACGGAGAACTATGTTAAGCTGAAAGCTCCTAATGCCCCCTAGATTTTATTCAGGTAAATGAACCATTACACTCCATAACATTCCAACCAATTTCTTAGGGAGTATATTCACTTGGAGTTAATGATAAGGAAAAAAAAAAGTGTGAAGAGTTTCCAGAGTTGAATTCAGTTTTAACTTGCTATTCAAATTAATTTGCTTATGAAAAGCACATAAAAAATACTCAAAGCAAGACAGAAATCTCAAAAGGTCAAGATTTTTAGTATATGTTACCTTATCTTTTTACTGTTATTAATATTCACTATAGAATCGACTTGATGGCCAAAAAAACTATACTCCAGAGACAAGGGGTTCAATAACAAGAACTATAAGAAGTCTTAAGAGACATCCCACTTTTTTCCCTCACTTATGCTTTCCTTTTATTTTAGTGCCTGGAACAATGCTGACAAGAAAATCTGGGGCCAGGCACAGTGGCTCATACCTGTAATCCCAGCACTTTGGGAGGCCGAGGCAGGTGGATTGCCTGAGGTCAGGAGTTCAAGACCAGCCCGTCCAACATGGTGAAACCCCCATCTCTACTAAAAATACAAAAAAAAAAAAAAAAAATTAGCCAGGTGTGGTGGCAGGCACCTGTAATCCCAGCTACTAGGGAGGCTGAGGCAGAAGAATCGCTTTAACCTGGGAGACAGAGGTTGCAGTGAGCTGAGATCACACCAGTTCACTCCAGCTAGGCAACAGAGGGAAACTCTGTCTCAAAGTAAATAAATAAATAAATGTATAAATAAGAAATCTGACAAGGAGTATTTGATTCATATTCTTGAAACAAAGGCAAGGATTCTCAGATAAGTACATTTCTTTCACAACACAACAAAAGCGACAGGTCCATGACTTGTGAAAAACTGTTGGTTCTTTTCTGACATAATCCAAAAGAGCTCTATAAATAATATGTTCATCAAATATGTGAATACTGTTTCTTAACACCGAGTTATGTTTTCACTCATTGTTTATTAAAATTGCCAAGCAAGTAAAGCAGGGTCAAGAAAATTGCAAACCTGGAAGGAACTCCCAGAAGGTTTAGGTGAACATTCAAAAGAACAAAATTGGAGCCAGAAGTTGCAAGACAAACCTTCGCTAAGCCTCTGTAAAGGGCAAGTTTCCTTGGGTGCAGGTGAGAGTATGTGAAACTACTGGGCTAGTTTTTGGCTAAGTCTCAGGGTGAGGGTCTGGAAGGTGACAATCCACTTTATTAAAATTGCCTTTGACAGTTCTTATACTTCCACAGCAATTGCTCAGAATTAGAAGAGTCCCCTTGTGACATTAGGAAGGATAAGGATTAAGACGAAGACGTGGTATCACTGCAGGGCATGGGCAAGGTCATATAATGTCCTATGTACTACATTCTGCTTCTGAAAGGTTGAGCTTCTCGACTCTCTTTTTTCCTTCACAGTCTGGTGTTGACAGCAACAGGACAGTTGGGGATATAAGGCCTGGAACAAATTGCATTGACATGAACTCAACGCAAACCACATGTTCACTACTGATTTTGAACTTTGTGTTCCTCAAAAGAAATCAAAGACATAATCTACTTTCTTCAACAATTAAATGAGCCTTTTGTCAGTATTTAAGAAGGCCCTCCCACCCTTAGAGGGAAAATGCTACCCCTTCACCACCTCCTCATTTTATAATGCTGTTTTCTTTGCCTACACTTTTGATGATTTTAAAAACATATTTTTTTCTCTAATATATTTTAGTTTGTTATGATCAAATGATTTATAAAGATAAAAGTTGGTAACATTTGCTTCTAGATGTTATTTCAAAACCATTTTACTTTAATCAGTATCAGTTTAGCCTATTATTTTCTTAAGTCTCAGAAATTATAAGAGTATCATCATACCCAACTAAGTTAAATTTAGGTTGGGTCAGACCTGGAAAATTTTTTTTTGATCACCAGGAAGATACTTATTAAAGTGACATTATGCTGTAAGTTTGCTACTTTACATGGAAGTGGCTTTGATTAAAATTATTTCTGAATTTTCCAGTGTGTTTTCTCCCATCCTATTCATATTTTAAATAACATTACATGGAATATTGTCTTCCCTCTCATCCTAGGTTCCTCGATCCTCAATCAACCTCAAAAATAAATAAATAAATAGAATTTTTATAGGAATCAACTATATGGGTACTGGGGAAAGGACACACGCTCTGCTGTTTTCCTCTGACTTTTATTTTCAAACATGCCTGCTCTCATCCACCAAGCTATTTTGCCTCCATTCCAAGCCTTTACCATGTACATTACTAAAGTTCTGTTTCCTCTTACCATGTGAAACATAGACACATAGGATAATAAATTACCTTCCTCATTGTTTCCTTAAGTAATACTGAAAACTACAAAGGTATTTAAGGCAGGGATTCATCTTTAAAGCACGTTACAAACCTAAGCTAATTTGCCATTGTAGTTCTGCAGAATGGCTATTATCCTCTCTTCACAAAGGGTAAGCTGAAAGGTTAAGTGAAGAGCTTAAGGCTACAGAATAAGTTAATACTCTTTCTCAGAGTAGATCACAGAAATGCCAGGTTCCTGCCTTTAAGCTCCAATTAGAAGATCACATTCATAAAAATGACCCATTGAAAAGTCTGAATAAGAGCACATTTTATTGAAGGCACTTTCTCTTCTTTAAAAAAACTACATAAAATATGTACCTGAACTACTAAATTTTTCAATATAGTTTTCTGAACACGTTTATTGTAGAATACTCGAAATATATGAAGAATTTTTTTAAAAGCCACACACCATTCAGAGATAATCATAATTAAACATTATGTAAATGTATATTTGCTGTACATAATTTTTCTATTTTACGAAGTTGAGGATATGCTTGAGTTGAGGTTTATACACTGCTTTTTTTCACTGAAATACGTGTGTGTGTGAATATATTTCCATGCCAATTGATTTTTTCCTAAATCATAGCAAAGGCAAAGTCTCAGAAATAAACAAAAAATAGGCAGACTAGAACCAAGGATACACATTGAGGACAAGAGCAAATGTTTGCATAAAAGGGAGTTTGGAACCAGAAACATGAAGGCTTTGAAAGCTGAACCAAGGAATTTGGATTTGATGTTTTCACTCTGAAACGTGAATATCTCTACCTTTGAGTGCATAATTTCACCCAATGCTAAGAAATTAAAAACATGAAGGACAGCCATCACAGCAAACATTGATTGAGATCTTCCTATGTGCCAGGCACTCCCCACAAACCGCCAGGGGTGGGACCAGGTTCTGTGGGGCCTAAAGCTTATCCAGTTGAGATGGGGGAAGGGAGTACTTTCAGGAAAAAGAATACAAAATTACAAATACAACATTAAGTTTGAAAGTGAGAATTTATTTAGAATGAGAAAAGAAATAATATATTTTAAATTGTAAATAGCTGAAAAAACAGGTATGTGCATTTTACAGTATATAAATTATATCTCAAAACTAATTTTAAAAAGCCAACAAAACTACAAACATCCCAAAATCCAGAAAAAAGATGCAATATTTTGTACATACTTATGTAATAATCTTGTTGCCTTATTTTTTGGCTGTACTCTTTTTGATTGCTGTTTCCAATGACAAAGATTTAGTGATACTGTTTTCCACAGAGACAAAAGAAAGATAATTTAGACTTTTCCCTATCATGATTGCTAGAAACTTGTTTTCATTATGTCAAAAAACAAAATTTAAACAAATTTTCAGTTTAGTAATCTAATTGGCTGTGATTAGTGATTCATGATTCAGGCAGAATCCAATCTATGAAATAGAAAGGCACTCCTCTGAGCTGGCAGAATAGTTGATTTTGTAAAGTATCTTGAGCAGGAACAAGGAAATAGCACAGTACAAAAAAGTGGATTGGTTAACATTAGGTTACTTCAGGTTGCTTTCCTAGTAAGGGTTAAAGCTTACTAGGGGGACTTCCTTATCATGCCAGCTTAAGTAGACGAGGTCCCTTTTCTATTGATTGTTGCGAATCTCCTATATTTTTTGAAAACTGGCTAGTTTTAAAGTTCGGTTTGATTCCGTGGCACTGAGCACACGTGACTCCATTCTGGTTTGGTCTGGTCTGTTGGACCTAGTGCAGGGTCTTAGTCCAAAACAATGACCAACTGTAAATTTTATTTAATAGTTACTGACAGTTTAGAGAAGTAATTTTAGCATTACAAATAATTATTGGTATGTCATATAAATATTTGGAATTTTTTGTCAAGTTTGAAGAAAGACCTACTTAAAAAATATTTATCAACTTCACTTCAGGGCATTTGAAGTTGTGTGTGTGTGTGTGTGTGTGTGTGTGTGTGTGTGTGCATGCAGGGAGTAACCATATGTATTAAACTGACTGTTAGCCAGTTTGTTATAGATATTCTTGGTTGTAGTGGTGTTTATTGCGTTTTTTGTCACCTTTGTCACTGTCACTATTTAACACCCAATCAGCAAGAAATATAAATCCTTTTCCAGAGCGTACATGATTTACTTCTCTTCATTAATTTGATTATCAAACAATCCAAGAGCCTGTTTATCCTAGTGTTCAAACCTTATCTCTTCCTTTTAATTTCTGTTTTTGAAATGATATTATGTATTTTTTGCTACAACTTGTTTCTAAACTTCAGAAAAATTTATGTTAATCTCCTTACT
Organism: Homo sapiens; assembly: GCF_000001405.40. Lineage (NCBI taxonomy): Eukaryota > Metazoa > Chordata > Mammalia > Primates > Hominidae > Homo > Homo sapiens. Next base: position 120,966,941 of record NC_000004.12, read on the forward strand.
CATCAATACTTCTGTTTCATATTTCATTAATTTGTGGGCAAAATTTTAATTACTTTTTAATAAATAAATTTAAAGATAACAAAAGAAGTATCCCCTTTATATATGTCCAAATTAGAAGTTCATAAATTTTCACTTGCTTTATTGAAACATTCCTAAATGTCTTTCCAACGTGCAGTTCAAATGACATATTAGAGCTTGATGAAATATGACATATACATGAAAAAGAAAAAATTATGGTATACTTATAATTGTATATTATATAATATATATAATTATGTATTATATATTATACATTACGGAGTAATGCATAATACCTATAGATTGGCTTCTGGTTGTGTGAATTTCAAACCTAGTCCCTCCATCATTATAGACATACTTCACTGCTGGGCACTATAGAACATCCTCACATTATGACTGCCGGTCCTGCAATGTTTTGTCATGGTAGAGGTGGAGGTAGCTGTAGTCCTGAAATTATTTCTACACTAGGGACAGCTGGTGATGACTAAACCATGTAGGAAGTAGTGTGAGCCAGTAAAAATTTCCCCATAACCATAGACTAAACGGATTTCCACCTTAGCTTCCTTTACTGAATCTCAAAAATGCCACGGATCATTCTAACCTCATCCAACCGGAGGGAACAGTGATGGAGGGCAAGTTGGATTAGAACCATCAATCTTATCCACAGAAACAATGCAGATAAAACATTCTACTTTTTAAAATTTTATAAAAAACATATAACCAAATGAATAGATTTATACCAGCCCCGCCCTACCTCCCAGAGTCTTGGAAGACTCCTGTGGAATGAGAGGTTCTGAAGTTCAAACTTCATTAGTTTTATGGTAAATCTGCCTCTGATTAGTTCACTTACCCTTCATAGTAGCCCTATGAGAAAGCACTTTCATCATCTCCAGATGAGGGAATTCAGAAATGTCAAGTGACTTGACCAAGGTCACATGGTTAGCAAAGGCTGGAACCAAGATTTAACCCCAAGTGGTTGAGTGTGGAACCCAAAACATATAATGAGACACCTACGATGGGCCAGAAGGTATGTTGAGCTCCTTACATTCATGGTTTAATCTCCTAAGAATATTACATTATACAAGTAACCCTTGAACAACATGGATTTGAATGTCACTGGTATAATTATAGGCAGATTTTTTTCATTAAAAGTTACACGAAGTGTGCCTGCCTCTCCTGCCTCCCCTTCTACCTCCTCCACCTCTACCAGCTCTGCCATTCCCTGAGACAGCAAGACCAACACTTCCTCTTACTCCTCCTCCTCAGCCTACTTGATGGGAAGACAATGAGCATAATGAGCTTTATGATTATCTACTTCCACTTTATGAATAGTAAATATATTTTTTCTTTCTTATAATTTTCTTAACATTTTCTTTCCCTAGCTTACTTTATTATAAGAACACAGTATATGATACATATACCATGAAAAATATGTATTAATTCAACGGTTTATGTTATTGATAAGGATTCAGATCAACAGTAGGCTATTAGTAGTTAAGTTTGGGGGGAGTTATATGTGGATTTTTGACTGCATGGGAGAGTTAATGCCCCTAACCTCCATGTTGTTCAAGTGTCAACTGTGGGTATTACTATTTTCTGTTCAAGGTCACCTAGCTGATGATGAGTGGAATGGGATTCAAATGCTAGTCTGTTTACAGAGCCTGAGCACTCAACCACTTCAGTACACTGCCCCAAACACTGTCCTTACATCACGGTGATTATATGGGTATATCATGAAGTAAAGTGGAGATTTCATTCTTAAACACTTTTTAAATGAATTTTGTCTTAAAACAAAATAAGAGAAATAATGTTTGCATTTGCAGAGAGTTCCTTGGGCTAGGCTTTTGAACCTCTTATAAGAGATATGCACATACTTTTCCTGATTTGGTGTACTTTCAGGAAAGTTAACATAGACAATATGAGCATTGTGGATTTTTGCATAGAGAGTGGCCTGAAAAAAAAATCATTGTTTTAAGACAGTTATAAGAAAAGTTTGGGCTTGGAGGAAAATAACTAAATTAGAGTAGAATTGAAGTGGCAGAGGAGAGTCAAAAGGCAAGATACATGTTGAAGAGAAAAAAATTGGTGAAAGACAATATGAAAGACAAGAGTTCAAAAATAAAATGGAACAGAAACTAGAGGGTGGGATAAGAATAAGTTTTTTGAGGGAGAGGAAGATAAATTCAGTTTTGGAAATGAATTAGCATGGAGTCTTTCGACCTGCATGAAACTTTTGAGATCATCTAGGATGATCCCTAAATCCAATTTCCTTATTTGATTGTGGAGAGATACTGAGACCTAGACAGTGAAATGACTTATTCAAAGTTATCGAGTGGTAAGAGTTAGAGCCAGATCTTAAGCTATAGTGGTGTTCAGGTAATATTAAAAACTGTCAGGACAAATGTCCTGTTGAAACTTAGGAAATGAGGACCTGAAGTGCAGGCAAAAGACAAGAAATTTCATATTTATTTAGGAATTATTTTAAGAGATGTTGGTCAAAATTCTGCAATTAGATAAGATCATCAAAGTTGAGAGTTCATAAAAGGATGAACAGATGTACTCAGACACAAGTGGGTACAAAATTAAGGTAGGGGATGAAACCAGAGTATTGGGCAAGAGGAGGCAGTGTCAGTAAGGGGATAGAAGAGTGAGACTCAACAAAACAAAGAAGAAACTTAAACAGTGGAGAGAACTAGAAGTTAAGGCAAGGAAAGAAATTTTAAGATGGTCTGGGAAGTCCAAAGAGCCAAATGCCTAGGAAAAATCAAAGATGAGGACTGAGAAAGAACCGTCTGAATTTTTCAAGAAGTAGTGAGAGCTGTTATAATTTTGCTAGGTTTTTTTTTTTTTTTTTTTTTTTTTTTTTGATGGAGCCTGGCTCTGTTGCCTAGGCTGGAGTGCAGTGGCGCAATCTCGGCTCACACTGCGAGCTCTGCCTCCCAGGTTCATGCCATTCTCCTGCCTCAGCCTCCCAAGTAGCTGGCACTACAGGTGCCCACCACCATGCCCAGCTAATTTTTTGTATTTTCAGTAGAGATGGGGTTTCACCATGTTAGGCAGGATGGTTTCAATCTCCTGACCTTGTGATCCGCCCACCTCGGCCTCCCAAAGTGCTGAGATTACAGGCGTGAGCCACCGCGCCCGGCCAATTTTGCTAGGTTTTTAAGAGTTGAAGAGAAAGGAATTTGAGAACCTATGTGCCAGAAATTATGATAGGGATGTTCATGCAAATATTTATTTATTTATTTATTTATTTATTGAGACAGGATCTTTCTGTGTTGCCCTGGTTGGAATGTGTGGCTATATTCACCGGCACTATTGTAGCATACTGCAGCCTTGAACTCCTGGCCTCCAGCAATCCTCTGCCTCAGCCTCCCAAGCAGCTGGGACTACAGGTACATGCTACCATACCCGTCCATGCAAACTTTTAAATACCTTATCAGTCTTTAAATTTCCCACTTCTTTAACATTTTTGTTTCAATTTCAAGAGATGTGCAGGAAGTATTTTCAATAGATATGCTTAATGTGAGGCTAGCAGTGAGAACAACACAATCTTCGGTTCTTTGAGGGCAGGGACTGTTTTGTCTTTGTCCAACACACAACTAGGTATATACTAGGACCCTAGTGAATAGAAAATAAATAAAATGTGCCTGGTTAGTAATGGAGCGGTTAGTGACAGAATATTTGATTTCTTGGCTTGCTGACCCCTGGCACTTCATTTAGCACCTTCTTTAGGACAGCCACTGAAGTTGAAATCAGTATTTAAATGTTCTGTATACAGAGTACCAGAAAATACTACGAGATTCTGGGATGAAAATAGTCTGTTAAGCTATGTAATGAAATGCATTAAGTCTGTCTTCTCAGCTTCTTCTTCCATATGGTAGCTATTTGGTTTGGGTGAACTTAACTCCAAACTCCGAGAGTGAATCCTGATTGATAAATCAGTGAGGTTAATTACATCTCCTTTGCCACAGGGAAGCTAACTCGTGCTTAGGCCAGCTGAGTGCAAGACATTTGCCTGGTCATAGAGATTATTTAAGAAATGGTCTTATCAGTAAAAAGTCAGGCATTTTCTGGGAATTCAGGCATCTCTTTATCCTCCTTTTCGGATTATGATTCATGTTATAAGTCAACAATCACAACTTGCCTGCTTGATGCTTCCTTTTGTGGCTCCATTTTCCTAAAACTTAAGCCAGTAAACAGTATCCTGGAAAAAAGGACAGGAGAGAAAGTGATCCTTTTAGACTGGGACGGGAAAGGTGATCTGTGGGGCACAGGGGAACTACGCTTTGCTCTCTAAAGAGCCTCTGGAAGGAATGGCTGCACAGTACACTGAGAGAGGCCAGTCTGAGCCACTAGAATTTGACCGAAAAAAACGTCAATACCAAGGGTGGCACAGCAGGATCAGAATGATCCATCCTGTTGGATCCTTTTACACTACAACCCTGTGTGTATCATCAGTAACTAGTATAGAAAAATGAACCAGCAGTGACCCATAGGACCTCTCTGATATGTCTGAACTTATATGAAAGTCTAGGGCCTTTGAATAGCTTTGCTCAGGGAATCCTAGTGAAGACTGAAGCTGAATTATCTCCCAGCTTGACCTTAAAGAAAATAGAGAAATACAATTTTTGATTTTGCTTACCTGAATTTGGGAACTAAGAATCATACTGCCTTAGTGATCTTCTATATTATGATAAAATCCATAACAACTAACATGCAATGGCTTAAATATAGAAGTGCCCAACACATGTATGATGAATGGATGGATGAAAGGATAGCATTTTAAAAACTAGATTTGACAGCTAGTGCTATAACAGAGGCTATAATAGTCCCCCAGTGAACAACTTCGAGAATAATGAGCAATAATCAGAGATCATCCAGACTCTAAATAGGTCTGTAAGAATCAAACCTAGGTGGGTTATTTTTCAGTTGTACTAAATATTATTAAAGTATATAAGCTTGGCATTAGCCTACATCTGGGTCACTGAGGCCAAACAAAACTGATAGAAAAGAAAACAAGAGAACACCAAGCTTCACAGAGCTCTCCATGATTTGAGTTAGAGCTGTCTGCTTTGTCATCCAAGCACAACAGAAGTGCAGGTGCAGGCAAGAGGATAGCAGTCAGTAAAAGAGCCCATGTGACCTTGAAAGTCACAGAATTTATTCACTGCGTAGAACAGTTAAGCAAGTGATTGAGTGACTCTAGTGTGTTTTAGAAGCCTTGGCTTATTTTCCCCAGTGTTAGGATTGTCCTCTTGGAAAACCCTATAAATTAGGTTTTGATCTAGAGACTATGGTCTATCAGTAAACTCCCCAAATTTGGCAGTAAAACAATACAGCAAATTCATTATGAATTCCTGAAGGAGTTTTAACAGTCTTAAGTGTTTTTGTAACGCTATTGAACAGGACACAAAGTTTATATTCTGCGTTGAATTTTTCTGTAAGCACAGAAGTGTGTCCATTGTAGAACTGAAGTTTCCTAATTGATCCATGCTAATTGACTCATATTCAATGTGAAGTGTTGTATTTGGATCACTTAATCTTTATTAAATTTTATTGGAAAAATGACAAATAGCTACATAGGATGGTTATAATTAGTAAGAGACCATGTTCAATTTAACTGCCAGGGAGGTAATACTGACACAAAGATGGACACATTCTGAGTGTTTTTATAACTATCAGTACATTGTAAAAATAGATCAAACATGTACTTTATGTAAAAAAAAATTATTTCATACTTTTGCAGTTCTCTTGTTCATATGATAAAGTATCATACAAAATTGACCCCAAGACATATTTCTTTTGATGACAGATGAAGTACAGAATCACTGCATATTGACAGAAAGAAATACTTTGAAAATATATGCCTCCACAACAACTTTGGGGTGGTTGATAAATGTAAAAAGAACTGACATTGAAAAGCAAGCTTATAGGCTGCACAGTGTTAAGGACTACTTTTCATTTCCCTGGGTCCATGGGGAATATGTCAACAAATTGTATGTGTCTTCCATTGGAATGGTGTGTTTTTTAATCAAATAGGCACATGTCTATTCAGCTATTTGCCTCTAAACCATCTTTGTGCCATTCTTCTCCATTACTTATAAAGTTCAAGAGATAAAGGTGACAGAACAAAAGTACAAGAACAGGAAAAATTGTATTATGACAGCAGAACTAGTTCTAATGGATCATTTGGCAGGGCTGCCCAGTGTGCTTTGAGTGTGGACTTTAAAATTGTCATTTAATAGGGGAAATGACAAAGAGAAAGGAGAGACACATAGATATATTTTCCTCCTGTAACCTTGCTTACAAAATTTGTCAAGGGCCAAGGACTTAAGGTCACATTGCCTCTATTTTCCTTGATGTCACTTCCCCCCCTCTTTTTCCATGGTAATAGAGGAAAGCTTGAACTCACCCAGAATGCTGCGAATGTCTCAGAACAGGGTAAAGTCATCTTGGCAAAAGAGCAACAGTTCTCACTTTTTAATGTTCTTTCTGTTATGACCTGACTGAGAGTTCCTGAAACTCTTACAAGTCATGCCAGGCCATTATGTTTTCTACTTTCCTTTACTAGAGTCATCCTCTTCAAAAGCACCCTATGGGTTGAGACATCACCCAAATTATTATCCAAGTTATCCCTGAAAGGAATATATTCATATACGACAATAATGTGACATAGCAGAAGATCTTCCTATAGTCACTAACAGTGTCCTAGTAGCAAGAAGATGAAAGACTTCAAGTCATCTTTAAGAGCCTCATTTTATTATGTGCCTGGGTTTGTCTCAGGTCCTATAGTTCAATAGTAAGTGCTCTTATTCCACTGAATTCTCCTTAACTGCCTCCACTTTTCATCCTGCATTCCTTTACCTATGATGGGCTTCAGGACACACAACCCCACAATATGGCACCTTGGTATTTGAGGAAACAGCAGAAATCAGTCATAGACACTGGAAAGAATTCTCTTCACCCTTTCTCCCCTGAAGTGAGGCTTAAAAGCTAGGTGACTTTCCCCCAGAATGGGTCATAAGATGCCATTCCAGAGATGTCTTCCCTGTACCAAGAGGAAAGGAATGTTTTTACCTCTGAAGACACAGAGACACAGAGATGAATCTGAACAAACAGGCCTTGCTCAGTTCCCCTAGCTTATCAAATGCCAGATAAAGAATATTGATTACCCTAAAAGGAATTTAAATTTTTTATTGTTAAGTAATTTAAAATATTATTTTAAAATAAAGATATTTGTACTATGATATAGAAAGTGCAACTAACCTATATGTTAATGATCAAACAAGAGATTTTAGATTTTTTGTTATTATAATGAACCCCACTTTGGGTATGTCTATAGATTCTCCCCAGAGTGGACTTATTTGATAGGATATGCTTATGGAAGTAGTACCTCTGTTGTGGACAGAATGCATAGACAGATGAGGCTGTGGGTAAATGAGATAATGTTAAGTGCTTCACACTGTGCTTGGTGCATACCAAAAACTTGGTTAAGCCTAATCATTGCTGCCACTACTACTACTGTTACCACCATCATCATCACTGTCCTTACTATTATTATAGTAGAAGAAATTACTTTCAGGGTGGGTTTTAGCACCTTAAGTTTGGTAATTCTCTCACTCTCCACTGAGGGAAAAATTTCCATTGTCTTTTAGATCACCCATCCACTTCTTGTAATAGTTTATGTCTGTTGCAGATGAAGACAATGGGAGTAAATAGAATGTAGGTGATGTCGTTTCACCCTAAACTTGGAAAGGTACAAATAAATATTATCTTAAATTTTCAGGAAAGAAAGAGAATTTCCCTTAATAAACACATCCAGAAAATTAAAATCAAGTAAACACATGTGGTTGTGGCCTGAAAATGTGTCCACCTTACCATTAAAAATTGTAGGTATGTGTACAAGATTCTCTATACTTATAGATATCGCTGACAAAAGTGAAGTTGTTTCTGATATAAATATAAGATATAAAATTGGATTCCAGAACTGTCTTTGCTTTAAAAAAATCCATGACATTAAATAAAAGTATTTTGAATAACTCATTTATTTAATCAACATTTTTTATGTTTTAATGAAGTTAAATCTATCTTAGATAATGGCAAATGCTTTTTATTGAAAACTGTACCTTTTACTTTTGCAACATAAATACTTCTTCACCAGTACAGAATTGCTCCAAGTTCCTTGGTCTTCTACGCTCTTGTGAGGAGGTACCATTTTGTTTTTATAAATGGCCAGTGGAAAATGGCTTTTGACTATCATCCAATAAATTAACTTGTGAGGATGACTTAGGTGTCTGCCACAAGCCAAATAAATAATTTGAGAATTTGGATTATTTGCTAGAGTTGTGTGAATTTAGCAAGAAATAGTTAATTTTCTTCTGCCTTTTGCATTTGTTTTACCAAGAAGAGAAAGAGAGTTGGGCCTTTGAGCTTACTTAGTAGTAAATGACAGACAAATCCTAGCACTGGGAGTAATTCCATTTCCATTTCCCAAGTCTGATACTACAGAGTGATATGGCCTCCTTCCCACCTTATTGTATGAAACTGCCTTTGGGAGTTACCTTATCCAAGTTCACAATAGAACACCCCATTAGTCATGAACAACACCTATTAAAAAGCCAAAGAGTCTTAGAATTCCTCTGTAAAGTTATTCATCTCAGGATTTTTATTTTTGACATTCAAAATACATTTTCAGGAATCCAAATTCCCAGCCAATACTAAATCCCCATGATTTGACTCCTTCACCTCCCCAGGAAAATACATTCCTAGCTTCTCCTAATTGCTTAGTGGAACATCACAGCCATGATGCTTACTTCTCATGGCTGGGACTTCCCACTGGCAGGTTGGATGGATAATGATACAAGTTCCTGCCCACAAAGGTATGCTTTGAGAAAATGTAAAAGTTCAAAACAAATATGGAATACTAAAGCAGTTCATTATATATGCTTTATAATTAGTCACATAAGAGAAAATCTGTCCATAAGTCTGACTGTTAGATGAGAAGAGCATTAAGTTTACATACACAGTACAGTTGGTGGTAGAAACTGCAATCCTGTTAAGCTGTTCTTCAAAAAACTCTGGTCAGCATTTCAGTTCACGGCAGGACACATTCAAATGATGAAGCTGCCAACCACGCAAGCCTAGGTCCTATGAAACAACTAAGGAAAATGTCCTTAAATCTTGCTTTTGGCTGCAGTAGGGCATCATTAATTTTGCTCTCCATTTTAAGAATAAGAGTATTTTTCCCACCACAAATTTGAGTTTAAGTACTTAAACTTTTGGATTTAAAATAAATTTTTAGTGAATATCCCAGAAATGGAAAACATACACTTAAAATCCGAAAGGAGTGTTCTAACCATTATTATATGTAAAACTCGCTTTCCACCTGATACTGTTCTTATGCCCAAGCCTTCTTCTGTTTATCCCTCACTTGGATCTGTATATGACAGATATCAGAACAGAAATAAAATGATTATAAATCTAGATTATGCTGAAATGAGCAATCCCCTTTATTATACTTATGGGACAGCATAATGTACCTAACAGAAAAATTACGTGAAAGTTGAAATGGGCAAAAGAGATTATTGGGTGTTCTTTCAGTGCAGCAGTGGGCTTGATATTTGTTTGTTTGGAGCACATTACAACTCTGTAGGAGCGAAGGTTAACTTACAGATTTTGTATATTAGAGATGTGGATAGTTTTTATCTAGTAGAGTGGATAACCCCAAAGCTAATCACCTTGTAAGACATTAACCAGTTTAATATCTAATCTAACAATTTTATCCTAATGTTAAAAAAATTACAAATAGATGAATACATAGACAGATAGATGACGGATAGAGAGAGAGATGATAGATACATAAATAGATTATATACAGATACATATCATAAGTATTCTTTGAATCAATAACATTTTACTGGTTCTTCATTTATTAGTGAGTTAAATAGTATGTTTATGTATGATCATTATATATTTGCCCAGTAGTCACGATTTTAAACTTTGGCAATTATAACTGATATATCATAAATTATAAGTTTAAAATAATAATAATGAACACAAATAGTAAAGCTATCAATGCATAAGTTTAACATTAAAACATTATGGAATAGTAGAGGCCTCAAGAAACTCCTATTCCATTTTTTTCTAATTTTAGTATCCTAAACACTATCTCCTTAACACTTCTTAAACTAGATTTCACTGAAGTCACTGAAGCCCAAACTACCATCATCTCTTTGCAATACCATCATATCCTCCTAACGGGTCTCCTAACTTCCATTTATGTCTCTGTCTTGTCTGTTTTGTACATAGAAGCCAGAATGCTCTTTTAAAAGACATTTACCTTGTTATGGCACTCCCAGTTTAAAACCCTTCAGTGGTTATCTATGGCCCAAAACATAAAATCAAAATACTTTAACTCCCATTTTCAAGGTCCTGCATGATTCAGGTTACATTTCACAAACCATTTCTCTGGTTATTGCCTCTTCATTCTCTAGGTGAGGGGGTCAGCAAACTTTCTAATAAATATCTCAGGCTCTTTAAGCCATTCAATCTCTTTTGCGATTACTTACTCTGCCATTGTACCACAAAAGAAAATCTTTAGCTACCCTCTGCTCTAGGACACATGGGCCTTCTTTCACCACCTTCAATTTGTTCAACATTTTTCCTGCCCCAGGATCTTTGCTCACACTGCTCCTCACCTCCACCTGGAGTGCTTTCTTTCTCCCAACTTACTTTGCAATCTGAGCAGCTTGCTCATACTCTTAAGACATGGGCCTGCTTCTCACATTTATGTACTTTACTCCCCCTACAGGCATCTGAGTGTGTAGCCTTTGTGAGAAGCTTACATCTGGAAGGTTCTAGGTGAAGTCCTGTCCTTCTTCCTCCTCAGAGACAACAGTACTTCCCCAAAGTCCTGGGGCAGATCTAACGTGAAGAATGTTCTGGTACCAGGCTGAGCAGAACAGAGCTTTGCAATGACTGAGTATCTCAGGATTTCCAAAGGAGAGATAGCTTTGGGCTAGGAAACTGGAGCTAATTTGCTTAGCTTCTGCAAACCTTTCACAGCGAGGATGATCAAACTAGTGCAACCAAAGGTTTTCGTTTGTTTGTTTTCTCTTTTAAAAAACTGTCCTTAAATTAATTAATGGCGTTTGCAGTGACCTGGATGGAGTTGGAGACTATTATTCTAAGTGAAGTAACCCAGGAATGGAAAACCAAACATCGTATATTCTCACTGATATGTGGGAGCTAAGCTATGAGGATGCAAAGGCATAAGAATGATACAATGGACATTGGAGACTTGCGGGGAAGGGTGGGAGGGGGAGAGAGATAAAAGATTACAAATAGGATGCAGTGTATACTGCTTGGATGATGGGTGCACCAAAATCTCACAAATCACCACTACTCATGTAACCAAATACCACCAGTACCCTGATAACTTATGGGAAAAAAAAAAAAAAAAACTGTCCTTAGTGTTAAAAAAAAAAAATGCACCACATCTCCTTTTCTACAGATACAGCTGGTAGAAGATCCTATTCTGTGGAAACCCTTTTGAGAAAATCAAAGTTAAAACAAACAAACAAAATCCTTTCCAGAATTGAAGGTTTTTTTTTTTTTGTTTTTTGTTTTTTTTCTCTGAGACAGAGTCTCTCTCTGTCACCCAGGCTGGAGTGCAGTGGCGTGATCTCGGCTCACCGCAACCTCTGCCTCCCAGGTTCAAGCGATTCTCCTGCCTCAGCCTCCCGAGTAGCTGGGACTACAGACATGTGCCACCATGCCCGGCTAATTTTTTTTTTGTATTTTTAGTAGAGACAGGGTTTCGCCATGTTGGCCAGGCTGGTCTCGAACTCCTGACCTCGTGATCCACCCACCTTGGCCTCCCGAAGTGTTAGGATTACAGGCGTGAGCCATCGCGCCTGGCCCCAGAATTGAATTCTTAAATCATTTCAAAATTTATCTATTTTGATGTGAATTTTCTAGTTCTCTGCTCTTCTTTCACATAAGGTGCTATCCAAAAGGCAACCATAAAAGTAAATGCTAGTTACTTGATACTAAAATCTGGTCCCTCTAGAGAAATTATAGCTTCTGGCATCCATACTTAAAGCACAATGCTAGTTTTTACATGTTCATTGTTAGCATCCAAATTCTAGCCATTTCTTAGAAATACACAAGAATGAAATACTGTTTTGACTTTTATGCAGAACATGAAACTGTCCTGAAAAGTACTGCAGCAAAGACTCTAGCCTATTTCTTAGAGTAGTAACAATGGACTTGCCCTGGAAGGTCAAGTTTCTTTCTATGGTAGTCCATGAGAGGTTGAAGATTTACCTCAGAGGGCTCGGTGCTGAAGGTTTGATAAATTGGAGCAAAAGCCTAGGGTCATGTATTCTTCACTAGAAAAGGAAAGTGATGCTGCTATAGAAACCAGGAGGACATTAAGGAGGAGGAAAGTAAGTGAGGAGAGCAGTTGGTGTTAACAAAAGACTTCAGGGACTGATGTCCATGTGATTGACATGTTAAAGCCCCTCAAATAACAAAGCTTTCTCCATTTCTCCCACCATTCTTAGATGGAGTGCTGCGCTTCTGAGACACCTCTTTTGGAGGTCTATTTTTCTTCTAAGTTTGATATTATTGCTCATTGTTTTTAATCAAATTTAACTTATAATATTTCAGAGGTAAAGGAGTAAAGATATTTTATAAATTTTCCTAGATGCCCTTTGAAGTAGGTCTCCCAGTTCAATGCTGTCCACGATCCACTCACTCCTACCTATAATCCATTAGGAAATGGACTCATTAATGTCTTTAACCTGAGTGGTCCCAGATTAGACAACTGTTCCATTTTTAGCCTATTGTTTCTATTCCTATTCCAAACCTGTGATACTACCAATCTTTTGCTACCTTTATGTGTGAGGTGAGATTTGATTTTGGCATGCTTTGGGATTAATAGGTGTATTGAATCCCCACACCCCAATAGCAAATTTCTAGTTCTGTTACAGCGCACAGCAGAATACCACATGTGGCAGGTCCTCAGGGTATCATTCTTAATTCAATTTCATTGTTTTATCTTGAAATATTAGTGTTTTGCATATTCATTACTTCAACAATCCTTCCTACATCCTGAGCTCTGGGGTTTCATTTACAGGATGACCATGAGTTCCTTTTCCCCCTCTGCTTTGTGAGTTGGAAACTAGAGTAAATTCAGAAAATATGTGTAAGTTGGTGTTTTCTGGATGACACTAGTGGGTTTCTTTCCATTCTTTTAGCCACTTTTACTTATTTTGTAAACAGGTATTCACAAGTTTCACAGTCAGAATGCTATAAAAATATTTATATAGAAAAATCTCTCTCATCCTCTTAGTTCACATTGTTCCTTGGTGCTAATACCTTCTCATTAGTTTATCATATATACTTCTAATATTTATGCACATATATATTCTTATGTGCCCTATTCTTATATAAAGAATAGCACACTGATAACTCTGTTCTCTAACTTGTTCTTTTCATTTAACAATATATCTTAGAAATCTTTCCATATCAGTAAAAAGAAAGGATCTACTTCTTTTCTCTTTTTCCCTCTCTTCCTCTCCCTCACTCCTGCCTTATTTCCTTTTTTCTCTCTTTCTTTTCTTTTGGTGTGACTACATAGTGTTTCATTTTGTGGCTGAACCATAGTTTATTTTACCAATATCCTATTGATGTACTCCAGGGAAGTTTCTAAACTTTTGCTTTTACAAATTACTATTAATGATCTTATACACCATGCCATTTTCTGTGATTGTAGGTAAATTTGTATTCTACATTTCCAGAAGTAGCATGACTGGTTTAAAGGATACGATTTCGGTAAATTCTGATAAATGTTCTCCATAGAAGTAGTAACATTTTACACTCTCACCAGCAATTTAAGAGTGTATTTGTTTTCCAATAGCATCACCAAAAGAGATTGTTATCAAACTGTCCAGTTTGGGCCAATCAGGTTGCATGATATCCCAGCATCATTTAAATTTTTTTCTTTTATTATGAATGAAGCTGAACATATTTGCATATGTGTATTCATTCATTTATTTTTAATAAGTGAATGGAGCACATTTTTTGTTTTGTAAACTGTCTATTCATGTACTTTGCCATTAAAAAAAAAAACTGGCTTGCTTATCCTAGTTTTTAGGAGCTCTTTTTATAATATGACTTTTGGGTTTTGAATCACTGTAAGCTTTGGCAAGATTAGGAATTCACCTTGTAATATATAGGAAATTCTAAAGTTTCATATTTTACAGTTAAAATCTGTTTGGAATTATTAATTCCATAGATTCCTATGAGGAAAGGATTCTTTTTTTTTTTTTTTTGCCAGATGGCTACACAATTGTTCCAATACCATGTCTATCTTGACATATCCTAAACACCTATATATATTTGAGTCTATTTCTGGACTTTTCTATTTTGCATTATTAATCTATCCATGTGTTCCTGCCCTAGTACCATGTTGTTTTACTTTTGAAATATTACACTTTATTTTAATAACTGATGGGGCTACCCAATTCTCATTGCACTTTTTTTCAATTTTCCTTCTTCCTTGATTTTTATATAATGTCAAGATAATAATTAAGTTATCCAATTCTAAAGACAGACACATTTATAATTTACTTGGGAATTTATAAATTAATCAGAAAAATCACATATTAACGTTTCCTACCAAAGAGCATAATATGCTTTTCTATTTATTCACATCTACTTGGTATCCTTCAAGAGTCTCATAAAGTTTTTCTCATATGAGCTTTTAACACATTTTTGCTCAATTTATTTCTAGGTAGTACATTGTTGAAGCTATTACAAATGTTAGCTGTATATTTAGAGATATAATTTTTACATCCTACTGGGGCAGTGGGGGAAGAATCTTTTCCTTTTACCCTCCTAGGTTCTCTGGCTAAAGCCCTGTAAAATAGATGAATGAAATACAGATTAATAAGAGAAAAACATACATTTATATAACATAAGTCTTACATGACACTGGAGCCTTCATAAGGAAATGAAGATCCCAAGAAGCAGTTAAGCCTGAGTGTTTTTATGTTAGCTTTGACCAAGAGTGGAAAGTTGTCGAAAAATGTGATGGGACAAAGGGTCTGAATGAAGGTTAGGAAACTGGAGGGAATGGCAAGGTCTGTTTACTCAGACTGCTCTCAGAGCCCCTCTGTCGTTGGAGACGAGGATGCTCCTTTCCTCTGGGTAGAGGAAGGGCACCTCTCACATGAGGGTCTTATGACCTGCTTCAGGGGAAGGTCAGAGAGTACTTCCTGTACCTGGCATTTCTCAAGTTCCTTCAGCTTAAAAGAATCAATATGCCAAAGCACCATATTTGGGGATAGTGTGTTCTACACCTTGTCACCCTTATCTTATGGAATTCTCTTATTCTTTGCAGTAGTTTTCCAGTTGAAAGTGCTTAGGCTTTGCACTTTTATAATCATATCATCTATACGTAGGAATAGATTAGCTCCTGCTTTCCAACTTTAAATATCTAATTTATTTCTTTAGTTGCATTGGCTAATATCATCAGTATAATATTAAATGGCAGCAATGTTATTAGGCAACCTTTTCACTGACTAGCAAAAAATGCATTTAGTCTTATATACACACATCTTATTACAATATATGTAGCTCCTAGTAAGGAAGTACCCATCAATTCCTGTTAATTTTTTCTTACCAATTCCTATGTAATTAAATGTTTATTTTTAAATCAAGAGTGAATGTTGAATAATTGCTTATCAAGATATATGGAGATAATTTTTTTCCTCAAATTTATGTAATATATTTTATTAATATATTTTCTAATATTGAGCCATCCTTATATTTCTGGGGTTGTTTCAGCTTTACTGATTTTTAAAAACTGTTCTGATTCAGTTTTGTGAATCAATTTTAAAATCTATAAAAACGTAAGTGAGAATAATCAATTTATACTTATTTATATGTTTGGTCTTTGTATTATTTCTTTACTTATAAATGTTTTTCAGTATGTTTGCTTTTTAAAAAAAATATGTAGTTCTAAACCTTAAAAAGTTTTATTTTTGTTCTAGTGGTTTTCTGAGCTCTTGCATGTTCAAAATTGTCTTTGATCTCCAGGTCCACTTCAAATTCTCCAATTATGTAATCATTCTCTCCCTTTATCTGTACTGAATTGCTTCTCCCTGAGTTATTATACTTGCATTTTGTGATCTTCCATTAACTTTCAAGATTTCTGTAGAATAGATGGTTTAAATTTTTTATATTCTTTATGACAATATTTTTTAGTGAGTTTTCATCATCTGTGGGAAAATTGAGCCACTTTTCCCCCTACATTTTCCTTTACAGTATGTTTGTTTTTTATTTTTTATTTTTAAATGGCTTTTATTACCTTCAGGTATGTCCCTTCTATGCCAATTTTGCTGAGGGTTTTAATCGTAAAAAGATGCTAAATTTTGTCAAATGCTTTTTCTGCATGTATTGAGGTGATCATATGGTTTTTGTTTTTACTTCTGTTTATGTACTGTCTCACATTTATTGACTTGCATATGTTAAACCAACCCTGCATCCTTAGTATGAAACCCACTTGATCATGGTCTATTATCTTTTGGATATGCTATTGAATTCTGTTAGCTAGTATTTTGTTGAGGATTTTTGCGCTGTGTTTATCAGGGATATTGGTCTTTTTTTGTTATGTCCTTTTTGGTTTTGGTATTAGGTTAATACTGGCTTCATAGAATGCTTTAGGGAGGAATCTCTTTTGCTCCATTTTTTGGAATAGTTTCAGTAGGATTTGTACCAATTCTTCTTTGAATGTCTGATGGAATTCAGCTGTGAATCCATCTGGTCCTGGACTTCATTTTGTTGGCAATTTTTTTATTACTGCTTAAATTTTACTACTTATTATTGGTCTGTTCAGAGTTTCTGTTTCTTCCTGGTTTAATGTAGAAGGTTGTATGTTTCCAGGAATTTATCCATATCCTCTAGGTTTTCTAGTGCGTGCACATAAAGATGTTCATAGTAGTGTTGAATAATCTTTTGTATTTCTGTGGTATCAGTTGTAGTATCTCCCAGTTTGTTTCTAAATGAGCTTAATTGGATCTTCTCTCTTCTTTTCTTGGTTAATCTCACTAATGTTTTATCAATTTTGTTTATCCTTTCAAAGAACCAGCTTTTTGTTTCATTTATCTTTTGAATTTCTTTGGTTCAGTTTCATTTAGTTCTGCTCTGATCTTGGTTATTTCTTTTCTTCTGATGGGTTTGGGTTTGGTTTGTTCTTGTTTCTCTAGTTCCTTGAGGTGTGAGCTTAGATTGTCTATGTGTGCTCTTTTAGGCTTTTTGATAGAGGCATTTAATGCTATGAACTTTCCTCTTAAAGCTTTTGCTGTGTTCCAGAGTTATTCATCAGTTGTGTCACTATTATTGTTTAGTTCAAAGAATTTTTAAATTTTTATCTTGATTTTATTGTTGACCCAAAGATCATTCAGGAACAGATTATTTAATTTCCACATATTTGTATAGTTTTGAGAGTTCCTTTTGGAGTTAATTTCCAATATTATTCCACTGTGGTCTGAGAGTACTTGATATAATTTCGATTTTCTTAAATTTATTGAGACTTGTTTTGTGGCCTATCATATGGTCTATCTTGGAAAATGCTCCATGTGTTGATGAAAAGAATGTATATTCTGCTGTTGTTGGGTAGAATGCTCTGTAAATATCTGTTAAGTCCATTTGTCCTAGGATATAGTTTCAGTCCATTGTTTATTTTACTTACTTATTTTTATTATACTTTAAGTTCTGGGATACATCTGCAGAATGTGCACGTTTGTTGCACAGGTATACACGTGCCCTGGTGGTTTGTTGCATCCATCAACCTGTTATCTACATGAGGTATTTCTCCTAGTGCTATCTTTACCCTATCTCCCCATCCCCCAAAAGGCCCCAGTGTGTGCTCTTCCCCTCCCTGTGTCTGTGTGTTCTTGTTGTTCAACTCTCACTCATAAGTGAGAACGTGCAGTGTTTGTTTTCCTGTTCCTGTGCTAGTTTGCTGAGAATGATGGTTTCCAGCTTCATCCATGTCCCTGCAAAGGACATGAACTCATCCTTTTTATGGCTGCATAGTATTCCATGGTGTATATGTGCCACATTTTCTTTATCCAGTCTGTCATTGATGGGCATTTGGGTTGATTCCAGGGCTTTACTACTGTGAATAGTGCTGCAATAAACACACGTGTACATGTGTCTTTGTAGTAGAATGATTTTTAATCCTTTGGGTATATACTCAGTAATGGGATTGCTGGGTCAAATGGTATTTCTAGTTCTAGATCCTTGAGGAATTGTCACACTGTCTTCCACAATGGTTGAACTAATTTACACTCCCACCAACAGTGTAAAAGCAATCCTAATTTTCCACATTCTCTCCAGCGTCTGTTGTTTCCTGACTTTTTTTGTGATCACCATTCTAACTGGCATGAGATGGTATCTCATTGAAGTTTTGATTTGCATTTCTCTGATGACTAGTGATGTTGAGCTTTTTTTTATATGTTTGTTCAGTGCATAAATGTCTTCTATTGAGAAGTGTCTGTCCATATCCTTTGCCCACTTTTTGATGGGGTTGTTTGTTGTATTCTTGTAAATTTGTTTAAGTTCCTTGTAGATTCTGGACATTGGCCCTTTGTCAGATGGATAGATAGCAAAAATTTTCTCCCATTCTGTAGGTTGCCTGTTCACTCTGACGATAGTTTCTTTTGCTGTGCAGAAGCTCTTTAGTTTAATTAGATCCCATTTGTCAATTTTGGCTTTTGTTGCCACTGCCTTTGGTGTTTTAGTCATGAAGTTTTTGCCCATGCCTATGTCCTGAATGGCATTGCCTGTGTTTTTTTCTAGGGTTTTTATGGTTTTAGGTCTTATATTTAAGTCTTTAATTCATCTTGAGTTAATTTTTGTATAAGGTGTAAAAAAGGGGCCCAGATTCAGTTTTCTGCATATGGCTAGCGAGTTTTCCCAACACCGTTAATTACATAGGGAATCCTTTCCCCATTGCTTGTTTTTGTCAGGTTTGTCAAAGAACAGCTGGTTGTAGATGTATGGGGTTATTTCTGAGGCCTCTGCTGAGTTCCCTTGGTCTATAGATCTGTTTTGGCACCAGTACCATGCTGTTTTGGTTACTGTAGCCTTGTAGTATAGCTTGAAGTCAGGTAGCGCAATGCCTCCAGGTTTGTTCTTTTGGCTTAGGATTGTCTTGGTGATGTGGGCTCTTTTTTGGTTCTATATGAAAGTTAAAGTAGCTTTTTCTAGTTCTGTGAAGAAACTCAATAAGAGCTTAGTGGGGATAGCATTGAATCTATAAATTACTTTGGGCAGTATGGCCATTTTCACAATATTTATTCTTCCTATCCATGAGCATGGAATGCTTTTTCATTTGTTTGTTTCCTCTCTTATTTCCTTGAACAGTGGTTTCTAGTTCTCCTTGAAGAGGTCCTTCACATCCCTTGTAAGTTGTATTCCTAGGTATTTTATTCTCTTTGTAGCAATTGTGAATGGGAGTTCACTCCTAATTTGGCTCTCTGTCTATGATTGATGTATAGGAATGCTTGTGATTTTTGTACATTGATTTTGTATCCTGAGATTTGCTGAAGTTGCTTATCAGCTTAAGGAGACTTTGGGCTGAGATGATGGGGTTTTCTAAATATACTATCATGTCATCTGCAACCAGAGATAATTTGACTTCCGCTCTTCCTATTTGAATACCCTTTATTTCTTTCTCTTGCCTGATTGCACTGGCCAGAATTTCCAATGCTATTTTGAATAGGAGTGGTGATAGAGGGCATCCTTGTCTTGTGCTGGTTTTCAAAGGGAATGCTTCCAGCTTTTGCCCATTCAGTATGATATTGGCTGTGGGTTTGTCATAAATAGCTCTTATTATTTTGAGATACATTCCATCAATACCTAGTTTATTGAGAGTTTTTAGCATGAAGAGGTGTTGACTTTTTTCAAAAGCCTTTTCTGCATCTATTGAGATAATCATGTGATTTTTGTCATCTGTTCTGTTTATGTGATGGATTATGTTTATTGATTTGCATATTTTGAACTAGCCTTGCATCCCAGGGATGAGGCCGTCTTGATTGTGGTGGATAAGCTTTTTGAGGTGCTGCTGAATTCGATTTGCCAGTATTTTACTGAGGATTCTTGCATCAATATTCATCAGGGATATTGGCCTGAAATTTTTTTTTGTTGTGTCTCTGCCAGGTTTTGGTATCAGGATGATGCTGATCTCATAAAGTGATATAGGGAGGAGTCCCTCTTTTTCTATTGATTGGAATAGTTTCAGAAGGAATGGTACCATCTCCTCTATGTACCTCTGGTAGAATTAGGCTGTGAATCCATCTGGTCCTGGGCTTTTTTTGGTTGGTAGGCTATTAATTACTGCCTCAATTTCAGAACTTGTTATTGGTATATTCTGGGATTCGACTTCTTCCTGGTTTAGTGTTGGCAGAGTATGTGTTTCCAGGAATGTATCCATTTCTTCTAGATTTTCTAGTTAATTTGCTTAGAGGTGTTTATAGTATTCTCTGAGGGTAGTTTGTATTTCTGTGTATATCAGTGGTTATATCCCCTTTATCATTTTTTGTTGTGTCTATTTTATTCTTCTGTCTTTTCTTTTTTATTAGTCTGGCTAGTAGTCTATTTTGTTAATCTTTTCAAAAAAAAAACCAGCTCCTGGGTTCACTGATTTTTTTTGAAGGGTTTTTCATGTCTCTATCTCCTTCAGTTCTGCTCTGGTCTTATTTATTTCTTGTCTCCTGGTAGCTTTTGAATTTGTTTGCTCTTCCTTCTCCAGTTCTTTTAATTGTGATGTTAGGGTGTCAATTTTAGATCTTTCCTGCTTTCTCCTCTGAGAATTGAGTGCTGTAAATTTCCCTTTAAACACTGCTTTAGCTGTGTCCCAGAGATTCTGGTATGTTGTGACTTTGTTCTCCTTGGTTTCAAAGAATTTATTTATTTCTGCCTTAATTTCGTTATTTACCCAGTAATCATTCAGGAGCAGGTTGCTCAGTTTCCATGTAGTTGTGCGGTTTTGAGTGAGTTTTTTTAATCCTGAGTTCTAATTTGATTGCACTGTGGTCTGGGAGACTGTTTGTTATGATTTCCATTCTTTTGCATTTGCTGAGGAGTGTTTTACTTCCAATTATGTGGTCAATTTTAGAATAAGTGTGATGCGGTGCTGAGAAGAATGTACATTTTGTTCACTTGGGGTGGAGAGTTCTGTAGATGTCTATTCAAGTTCTGAATTTCCCTGTTAATTGTCTGTCTCGTTGATCTGTCTAATATTGACAGTGGGGTGTTAAAGTCTCTCACTATTATTGTGTGGGAGTCTGAGTGTCTTTGCAGGTCTCTAAGAACTTGCTTTATGAATCTGGGTGCTCCTGTGTTGGATTTATATATATTTAGGATAGTTAGCTCTTCTTGTGGCATTGATCCCTTTACCATTATGTAATGGTCTTCTTTGTCTCTTTTGATCTTTGTTGGTTTAAAGGCTGTTTTCTCAGAGACCAGCATTGAAACCCCTGCCTTTTTTGCTTTCCATTTGCTTGCTAAGTATTCCTCCATCCCTTTATTTTGAGCCTGTGTATTTCTTTGCACATAGATGGGTCTCCTGAATACAGCACACTGATGGGTCTTGACTCTTTATCCAATTTGCCAGTCTGTGTCTTTAAATTGGGGCATTTAGCTTGTTCACATTTAAGATTAATACTGTCATGTGTGAATTTGATCCTGTTAATATGATGATAGCTGGTTATTTTGCCCATTAGTTGATGCAGTTTCTTCATAGTGTTGATGGTCTTTACAATTTGGTATGTTTTTGCAGTGGCTGATACTGGTTTTTCCTTTCTATATTTAGTGCTCCCTTCAGGAGCTCTTGTAAGGCAGGCCTGCTTGTGACAAAATCTCTGAGCATTTGCTTGTCTGTAAAGGATTTTATTTCTCCTATGCTTATGAAGCTTAATTTGGCTGGATATGGAATTCTGGTTTGATTTTTTTTTTTTTTAAGAATGTTGACTATTGGCCTCCACTCTCTTCTGGCTTTTAGGGTTTCTACAGAGAGATCTGCTGTTAGTTTGATGGGCTTCACTTTGTAGTTAATGCTATCTTTATCTCTGGCTGCCTTTAACATTTTTTCCTTCATTTCAACCTTGGTGAATTTGATGATTGTTTGTCTTGGGGTTGCTCCTCTCAAGGAGTAACTTTATGGTGTTCTCTGTATTTCCTGAATTTGAGTATTGGCCTGTCTTGTTAGGTTGGGGAAATTCTCCTGGATAATATCCTGAAGAGTGTTTTCCAACTTGGTTCCTTTCTCCCCATCACTTTCAGGTACACCAATCAAACACAGGTTTGGTCTTTTCACATAGTCCCACATTTCTTTGAGTTTTGTTAATTCCTTTTTATTCTCTTTTGTCTAATCTTGTCTTCACACTTTATTACATTAAGTTGATCTTCAATCTCTGATATTCTTCCTTCTACTTGATTGATTTGGCTATTGATACTTGTGTATGCATCATGAAGTTCTCATGCTGTGTTTTTCAGCTCCATCAAGTCACTCATTTTCTTCTCTAAACTGGTTATTCTAATTTGCAATTCCTCTAATCTTTTTCCAAAGCTCTTAGCTTCCTTGCATTGGGTTAGAACATGCTCCTTTAGGTCACAGGAGTTTGTTATTACTCACCCTCTGAAACCTACTTCTGTCAATTCATCAAACTCATTATCTGTCCAGTTTTTTTTTCCTTGCTGGTGAGGAGTTGTGATCCTTTGGAGGAAAAGTGATGTTCTGGTTTTTGGAATTTTCAACCTTTTTGCACTGGTTTTTCCTCATCTTCATGGATTTATCTACCTTTGGTCTTTGATGATGGTGACCTTCGGATGGGGCCTCTGAGTGGACGTCCTTTTGGTGATGTTGATGCTATTCCTTTCTGTTTGTTAGTTTTCCTTCTAACAGCCAGGCCCCTCTGCTGCAGGTCTGCTGGAGTTTGCTGGAGGTCCACTCCAGACCTTGTTTTCCTGGGTATCAACAGCAGAGGCTGCAGAACAGCAAAGATTGCTGCCTGTTCCTTGCTCTGGAAGCTTCGTCCCAGATGGGCACCTGCCAGATGCCAGTCAGAGCTCTCCTGTATGAGGTGTCTGTCAACCCCTGCTGGGAGCTGTCTCCCAGTCAGGAGGCACAGGGGTCAGGGACCCACTTAAGGAGGCAGTCTGTCCCTTAGCAGAGCTCAAGCACTGTGCTGGCAGATCTGCTGCTCTCTTCAGAGCCAGTAGGCAGGAATGTTTAAGTCTGCTAAAGCTGCGCCTACAGCCCCCACTTCCCTCAGGTGCTGTATCCCATTGAAAAGGGAATTTTATCTATAAGCCACTGACTGGGGTTGCTGCCTTTCTTTCAGAGATGCCCTGCCCAGAGAGGAGCAATTTAGAGAGGAAGATTGGCTACAGTGGCTTTGCTGAGCTGTGGTAGGCTTCGCCCAGTTTGAGCTTCCTGGTGGCTTTGTTTACACTGTGAGGGGAAAACCACCTACTCAAGCCTCATTAATGGCTGATGCCTCTCCCCCACCAAGCTTTATCATCCCAGGTTGACTTCAGACTGCTGTGCTGGCAGTGAGAATTTCAAGCTAGTGGATCTTAGTTTGCTAGGCTTCATGGGGGTGGGATCCACTGAGCTAGACCACTTGGCTCCATGGTTTCAGCCCCCTTTCCAGAGGAGTGAACGGTTCTGCCTTGCTGACATTCCAGGCACCACTGGGGTATAAAAAAAAAACTCCTGCACCTAGCTCGGTGTCTGCTCAAACAGCCGCCCAGTTTTGTGCTTGAAACCCAGGGCCCTGGTGGTGTAGGCACCAGAGGGAATCTCCTGGTCTGTGGGTTGCGAAGACTGTGGGAAAAGCATAGTATCTGAGCCAGAATGCACTGTTCCTCACGGTACAGTCCCTCACAGCTTCCCTTGGCTAGAGGAGGAAGTTCCCCAACCCCTTGTGCTTCCAGGGTGAGGTGATGCACTACCCTGCTTCGGCTCACCCTCTGTGGGCTGCACCCACTGTCTAACCAGTCCCAGTGAGATAGACTGCGTACCTCAGTTGGAAATGCAGAAATCACCTGCCTTTTGGGTTGATGTTAGAAGCTGCAGACCAGAGCTGTTCCTATTTGGCCATGTTTCCAGCCATCAGAGTCCATTGTTTCTTGTTGATTTTCTGTCTTGATGACCTATCTAGTGCTGTCAGTGGAGTATTGAAGTCCCCCACTATTATTTATTCTATATTGCCATCTATCTCATTTCTTATATCTAGCAGTAATTGTTTTATAAATGTGGGAGCTCTAGTGTTAGTTGTGTATATATTTAGTATTGTGATATTTTCTTGTGGGACTAATCCTTTTGAATCCTAATGAATTGTATCATTATACAATGTCCCTCTTTGTCTTTTTTTTGTTACTTTAAAGTCTATTTTGTCTGATATAAGAATAGCCACTCCTGCTTGCTTTTGGTTTCCTTTTATATGGAATATCTTTTTCCACCCCTTTACCTTAAGTTTCTGTGAGTCCCTATGTGTTAGGTGAGTATCTTAAAGACAGAAGATACGTTTTATCCATTCTGCCATTCCATATCTTTTAAGTGCAGCGTTTAGGCCATTTACATTCAACATTAGTATTGAGTATTCTATTCATCATGCTTGTTGTTGACTGAATAACTTTTCTTTTTTTTTATTGCATTATTGTTTTTATAGGACCTGTGAGATTTATGGTTTAAGGAGGTTCTATCTGGGTGCATTTCAAGGTTTTGTTTCAGGGTTGGGGACTCCTTTTAGCATTTCTAATAGTGCTAGCTTGGTAATGGCAAATTCTCTCAGCATTTGTTTGTATGAAAATACTTTATGTCTCCTCCATTTACGAAGGTTAATTTCACTTGATACAATATTATTGGCTGATAGTTATTCTGTTTAAGGAAGCTAAAAATAGGACCCCAATCCCTTCTGGCTTTCAGGGTTTCTGCTGAAAAATCTGCTGTTAATCTGATAGATTTTCCTTCATAGGTTACCTGATGCTTTTGCCCTGCAGCTCTTAAGATTCTTTCCTTTGTCTTGACTTTAGATGGCCTGATAACTGTGTACCTAGGTGATCTTTTTGTGATGAATTTCCCAGCTGTTTGTTCCTATAAAGGAATGTTTTCTAGAGATCTCTGAAATCTGCCCTCACCAGAAATGTAACACTGTCCTGAGGCACGATTTCCTGCCTCTGATTGGAGCCACACTTCTTACTCATCGTCTGCAGTTTTGGAGTTGTATACATTTTCTAGTGTTACATAAAATGTTGTTTGTGGGGATTTTTTTTTGTTGTCATATTTCCACATTATTTCTTTGTATAGTATTCAAGAGAAGTGGGAGGTTCAGAACAAAATTTTTTATACTCTTAATAGAACCAGAAGTCCTGCAAATGTATTTTAAACATTTATTTCTTTACAGAAAAATTCTTCTGTGTAGATATGATAGATTGACACCTTGCATCCCTTCCAACCTTCTTCTGGCGCATCTTCCTGTACTCCTGGATCCCTTGCAAAAGGGTTCTTTCTGGTTGCTAGCTTGAAGTTCTGGCTATCAGAAGTAGTCATACAGGATTTTGAAGGCCAGTGAGGCATAGGCCATCTGCCTGCTGTTCAGCTTTTCAGCTGGGAAGCACAATCCTTGAGACCTTTGGGTTTTTCTTCATCAGAGATTTAGCAGCCAGTCACTTGCTTTATTGGTGGTGAGATGCAGCTATGGCAGCTGCAGCATCACGTCCTCTTCTCTGGATCTAGCTTAAGGTGGTGTGCTTTTGGGTTTTTTGTTTGTTTGTTTGTTTGTTTTGTTTTGAGACAGGGTGTCTTTCTGTCACCCAGGCTGGAGTACAGTGGGATGATCAAAGCTCACTGCAGCCTCGACCTCCTGGGTTCAATTATCTTCCTGCCTCAGACTCCTGAGTAGCTGGGACTACAAGCATGCACCACCACACCCAAATAATTTTTGTATATTTTGTAGAGGTAACATTTTGCCATGATGACCAGGCTAGTCCTGAACTTCTGAGCTCAAGCAGTCCACCCACCTTGGCCTCCCAAAGTGTTGGGATTACAGGCATGAGCCACCATGTCCAGCCCAGCAGTGTGCTTTTGAAGTCAACAATTTCACTAGCAGCCTCCTGATTCTAATCTTCCTGATTATATGGTGGCAGAAACTCTTTTGGCAGGCCAGTTCTGCGGTGTTGTTCCGAAGTGTGCTTCTCTGGCCTTTCCTAAGATTTTTAAGCAACCGAATGCCTTTCTTTTTGTAATTGCTAATTTAGTTTTGGCTTTCTGCACTCGGACCTTGTTTTGTGCAGTTGCTACTTTCAAAATTATTTCAGGCACAGAAGCCTCAAGTATGAGACACTGAGTTTAGTTTTCTTACCTACTTGAGGACAATTCATTTATCAATAGAAAATAAGACAAGGCACACAAGGGCAAAGTATTCATTTAAATTATCCCCTGTGACTCCCTGGAATAAAGGCCTATTGAAGGCAAGGTTTGGGAAGGCTGAGTGGCAACTCTGGTGGACCATTATGGCAAGAATGTGAAATACCAGGACTTGAGAAGAGGTGGCTTTTTTTTTTTTTTTCAGATTTCTATAAAGCTTTAAAGAAAAAAAGAAAACATAAAGCTTAGGATTTTAAGTTCTTACTTCAATTAGCACAAAGAACCAGCAACCTTCTGAGTGCCTTAAAAATATATATATAAAATATATATATTATATATAAATATTTTATATATTTTTATATATATAAATATTTTATATATATATTTATATATATATATAAATATATATATAATCTCTTGAAATTTCAGAGCCAGTATGACCAAAAATCAAATATGGTGTCCGATCTTACAATGTAAGTTGAATTCATTGTCTTTTTAGTCTCTTACATTAAATTTAGAGTATTAATTGGGAAAGAGAGGGACTGAGAATTGGAAAGAAGACATTTGGTGGGGATTTAGATTAATCTTAGCACTCTGCACCCAAGCTTCATAGAATCTTGCTTGTTAAAAGAAGAGGAAGCTTCTCCTTCCTTTCTCTAGAGATCAGGGCAAGAAATGTCTCTATTGAAATGGGATTCTTTGTTTCAGTGCAGATGATGATAGCAGAAGCTGAAAAGCAACTCTCAATCATCAGAGCTAAGGTAGGCATGGTTACCATAGTAGGCAGCAGGGTTAGGAGTGGCAACCACAATGGTTTAGAAAATTTTGGCAATAGATACTGGGGATAAATGGGTATCCTCAAACTGAAATAGAAGGGCAGCTGATCAAGATTCTAAAATACTCTGGATCTAGCAAACACAGCAGCCTGATTTGACTTATCACAGGAGAAGCATGGTTTCTCATTCAAATTCCAGAGGCCCATTAATGAAGAACGCTTTTGAGAAAAAGCATTGTCTCAGTGTGTTTACTGCTGCTACAGAGTAATACCTGAGGCTGAGTAATTTATAAAGAAAAGAAGCTTATTTGGCTTATGGTTCTGCAGGCTGTACAAGAAGCATGGCACCAGCACCTGCTTCTGGTGAGGGATTCAGGCTGCTTCCACTCATGGCAGAAAGCAAAGGGAAATGGATAGGTGCAGAGATCACATGGCAAGACAGGAAGCAAGAAAGGGAGGGGAAAGGTGCCAGGCTCTTTTTAACAACCAGCTCTCATGAGAACTGATAGAGTGAGAACTCACTCATTACTGTAAAGATGACACCAAGTCATTCATGCGGGATCCACCCCCAGAATCTAAATACCTTCCACTTGGTCCTACCTCTGGCATTGGGGATCAGATTTCAACATGAGGTCTGGGGGAACAATCAAATCATAGCAAGTACTGTGATGAGGCCCTTTATTGAAGTCACTGTGTACCTAGACTTTCAGGGATTACTGGGCTCTGCTCTCATGCTAAGCCTTGTTGCTTAAATATCACTGTGTGCTACCAATTACATTGGTGCTTATGAAGCTCATGGGATAAATACAGTTTTGGCTTGAGACACAATGGCTCCACAAACATACCCTTGTTATTTTTTGCCATTTATGAATATAGATTTTAAATTGGAATATTTGGCAATTGGCAGAATATATACATTGGCTTATTAACTTAAAGGGCAATTGCTATTTTGATCAAAGTGCAAAAAGGAAGCATCTGAAAGTACACTTCCATACCAAAAGAGTTAATCAAAAGCAATATAGTTTTTCTGGAGAAATTACAGACATTCACGTTATCCCCAAACATTTGAAAGAAACAGAGGTGGTATTTCCTATCATATTGTCTTTAAACTTGGTTTTTGGTCTTTCAGAATAAAAAAGGATTTTCCTGAAATTAATAAGGTGGTGACTCAAATTGTAATGGCTCTTCCAGATGTGTTATATTTATAAGAGCAAATCAACACCATCCTTAGCATATGGTATGCAGCCACTGATTTGGAAAATGCTTACACTGAACCAGCTGGAAAGACTTCTCATGCTTAGGGTCAAGCAAAGCTGGCAGCTTTATGGATTATCTGGAGGAGAAACACACACACACACACACACACACAATCTATGTTACTTTCAAAATCAAAATCCTTTATAAATGCCCTTCAAGCCATATGCCTCTTCTTCTTAGCAGTAGTGGGGAGTGGGACAAATGCAGCAGTTTATGCTTCATTTGGAAGTCATGTTCTGATATGCCTCAGATTCCACAAAACATTATTGAGTTAAAAGAACTCTGAACTTTCCTATGTTATATGTCTTTCTGGCATATAACTGTTTTACTAAGGCATTCAGAATGTCTGCTACTTCCTGCTCACAAAGGCCTATCATCATGAGATCATCAATAGACTTTAAGTTTACCAGCAGTATGTTCTGCAAGGTTGGTAATTCCAATAAAATGTGGTTACAATTTTAACGTTGAGGAGTAGATTTTACCTGCTTTATTTTTGATGAATATCTCAAGTACTTAGAATTTTGCTGGCATGTAATAGGCACTCAATAAATATATATGGAAGAAGCCCAGACTTTACCACTATACTATTCATTCATGTAACCAAAAACCACTTGTACTCTTTTTTTCTTTTTTATTATACTTTAAGTTCTAGGGTACATGTGCACAAAGTGCAGGTTTGTTACATAGGTGTGCATGTGCTATGTTGGTTTGCTGCACCCATCAACTTGTCATTTACATTAGGTATTTCTCCCAATGTTATCCCTCCCCCAGGTCCCCACCCCCCGACAGGCCCTGGTTTGTGATGTTCCCCGCCCCATGTCCAAGTGTTCTTATTGTTGAATTCCCACCTATGAGTGAGAACATGTGGTGTTTGGTTTTCTGTCCTTGTGATAGTTTGCTAAGAATGATGATTTCCAGCTTCATCCATGTCCCTGCAAAGGACATGAACTCATCCTTTTTTATGGCTGCATAGTATTCCATGGTGTATATGTGCCACATTTTCTCAATCCAGTCTATCATTGATGGACATTTGGGTTGGCTCCAAGTCTTTGCTATTGTGAATAGTGCTGCAACAAAAATACATGTGCATGTGTCTTTATAGTCGCATGATTTATAATCCTTTGGGTATATACTCAGTAATGGGATCACTGGGTCAAACAGTATTTCGAGTTCTAGATCCTTGGGGAATCACCACACTGTCTTCCACAATGGTTGAACGAATTTACACTCCCACCAATGGTGTAAAAGCGTTCCTATTTCTCCACATTCTCTCCAGCATCTGTTGTTTCCTGACTTTTTAATGGTTGTCATTCTAACTGGCATGAGATGGTATCACATTGTGGTTTTGATTTGCATTTCTCTGATGACCAGTGATGGTGAGCATTTTCTGTTGGCTGCATAAAAGTCTTCTTTTGAGAAGGGTCTTTTCATATCCCTCACCCACTTTTTGATGGGGTTGTTTGTTGTATTCTTGTAAATTTGTTTAAGTTCTCTGTAGATTCTGGATATTGGCCCTTTGTCAGATGGGTAGATTGCAAAAATTTTCTCCCATTCTGTAGGTTGCCTGTTCATCCTGATGGTAGTTTCTTTTGCTGTGCAGAAGCTCTTTAATTTCATTAGATCCCATTTGTCAATTTTGGCTTTTGTTGCCATTGCTTTTGGTGTTTTAGACTTGAAGTCCCTGCCCATGCCTACGTCCTGAATGGTATTGTCTAGGTTTTCTTCTAGGGTTTTTATGGTTTTAGGTCTAACATTTAAGTCTGTAATCCATCTTGAATTAATTTTTTATAAGGTGTAAGGAAGGGATCCACTTTCAGTTTTCTACATATGGCTAGCCAGTTTTCCTAGCACCATTTATTAAATAG
The DNA here is from genome assembly GCF_000001405.40 of Homo sapiens. Classification (NCBI taxonomy): domain Eukaryota; kingdom Metazoa; phylum Chordata; class Mammalia; order Primates; family Hominidae; genus Homo; species Homo sapiens. The sequence goes on from NC_000004.12 coordinate 120,997,308, forward strand.
GGAATCCTTTCCACATTTCTTGTTTTGGTCAGGTTTGTCAAAGATCAGCTGGTTGTAGATGTGTAGCATTATTTCTGAGGCCTCTGTTCTGTTCCATTAGTCTATAGATCTATTTTGGTACCAGTATCATGCTGTTTTTGTTACTGTAGCCTTGTAGTATAGTTTGAAGTCAGGTAGCATGATACGTCCAATGTTGTTCTTTTGGCTTATCATTGTCTTGGCAATGTGGGCTCTTTTTTGGTTCCATATGAACTTTAAAGTAGTTTTTTCCAATTCTGTGAAGAAAGTCATTGGTAACTTGATGGGGATGGCATTGAATCTATAAATTACCTTGGGCAGTACGATATTGATTCTTCCTATACATGAGCATGGAATGTTTTTCCCTTTGTTTGTGTCCTCTTTTATTTCATTGAGTAGTGGTTTGTAGTTCTCCTTGAAGAGGTCCTTCACATCCCTTGTAAGTTGTATTCCTAGGTATTTTATTCTCTTGGTAGCAATTGTGAATGGGAGTTCACTCATGATTTGGCTCTCTATTTGTCTGTTATTGCTATATAGGAATGCTTGTGATTTTTGCACATTGATTTTGTATCCTGAAACTGCTGAAGTTGCTTATCAGCTTAAGGAGATCTTGGGCTGAGACGATGGGGTTTTCTAAATATATAATCATGTCATCTGCAAACAGGGACAATTTGACGACCTCTTTTCCTAATTGAACATCCTTTATTTCTTTCTCTTGCCTGATTGCCCTGGCCAGAACTTCCAACACTATTTTGAATAGGAGCAGTAAGTGAGGGCATCCTCGTCTTGTGCCGGTTTTCAAAGGGAATGCTTCTAGTTTTTGCCCATTCAGTATGATATTGGCTGTGGGTTTGTCATGAATAGCTGTTATTATTTTGAGATATGTTCCATCAATACCTAGTTTATTGAGAATTTTTAGCATGAAGGGCCTTTTAATTTTGTCAAAGGCCTTTTCTGCATCTATTGAGATAATCATGTGGTTTTTGTCATTGGTTCTGTTTATGTGATGGATTACGTTTATTGATTTGCATATGTTGAACCAGCCTTTCATCCCAGGGATGAAGCCCACTTGATCATGGTGGATAAGCTTTTTGAAGTGCTGCTAGATTCGGTTTGCCAGTATTTTATTGAGGATTTTTGCATCAAAGTTCATCAGGGATATTGGTCTAAAATTCTTTTTTTTGTGTGTGTGTCTCTTCCAGGCTTTGGTATCAGGATGATGCTGGCCTCATAAAATGAGTTAGGGAGGATTCCCTCTTTTTCTATTGATTGGAAAAGTTTCAGAGGGAATGGTACCAGCTCCTCTTTGTACCTCTGGTAGAATTCAGCTGTGAATCAGTCTGGTCCTGGACTTTTTTTGGTTGCTAGGCTATTAATTATTGCCTCAATTTCAGAGCCGTTATTGATCTATTCAGAGATCCAACTTCTTCCCCCTTAAGTCATGGGAGGAGGTATGTTTCCAGGAAGTTACCTATTTCTTCTAGATTTTCTAGTTCATTTGCATAGAGGTGTTTATATTATTCTCTGATGATAGTTTGTATTTCTGTGGGATTGGTGGCAATATCCCCTTATTTTTTATTTGAGTCTTCTCTTTTTTCTTCTTGATTAGTCTTTCTAGCAGTCTTTCAGTTTTGTTGATCTTTTCAAAATACCAGCTTCTGGATTCATTGATTTTATGGAGGGATTTTTGTGTCTCTATCTCCTTCAATTCTGCTCTGATCTTAGTTATTTCTTGCCTTCTGCTAGCCTTTGAATTTGTTTGCTCTTGCCTCTCTAGTTCTTTTAATTGTGACGTTAGGGTGTTGATTTAGATCTTTCTTGCTTTCTCTTGTGGGCATTTAGTGCTATAAATTTACCTCTACACACTGCTTTAAATGTTTCCCAGAGATTCTGGTATGTGTGTCTTTTTTCTTATTGGTTTCAAAGAGCGTCTTTATTTCTGGCTTCATTTTGTTATTTACCCAGTAGTCATTCAGGAGCATGTTGTTCAGTTTCCATGTAGGTGTGTGATTTTGAGTGAGTTTCTTAATCCTGAGTTCTAATTTTATTGCACTGTGGTGTGAGAGACAGTTTGTTGTGATTTCTGTTCTTTTACATTTGCTGAGGAGTGCTTTACTTCCAATTATGTGGTCAGCTTTAGAATAAGTGTGATGGGGTGCTGAGAAGAATGTACATTCTGTTGATTGGGGGTGGAGAGTTCTGTAGATATCTATTAGGTCCACTTGGTGCAGAGCTGAGTTCAAGTCCTGGATATCCTTGTTAACCTTCTGTCTTGTTGATCTGTCCAATATTGACAGTGTCTACAATTATTATTGTGTGGGAATCTAAGTCTCTTTGTAGGTCTCTAAGGACTTGCTTTATGAATCTGAGTGCTCCTGTATTGGGTGCATATATATTTAGGATAGTTAGCTCTTCTTGTTGCATTGATCCCTTGATCCCTTTACCATTATGCAATGGTCTTGTCTCTTTTGATCTTTGTTGGTTTAAAGTCTGTTTTATCAGAGACTAGGATTGCAACCCCTGCTTTTTTTGCTTTCTATTTGCTTGATAGATCTTCCTTCATCCTTTATTTTGAGCCTATGTGTGTGCTCTGCACATGAGATGGGTCTCCTTAATACAGCACACCGATGGGTCTTGACTCTTTATCCAATTTGCCAGTCTGTGTCTTTTAATTGGGGCATTTAGCCCATTTACATTTAAGATTAACATTGTTATATATGAATTTGATCCTGTCATTATGATGTTAGCTGGTTATTCTGCCCATTAATTGATGCAGTTTCTTCATAGCATTGGTAGTCTTTACAATTTGGCATGTTTTTGCAGTGATTGGTACTGGCTGTTCTTTTCCATGTTTAGTGCTTCCTTCAGGAGTTCTTGTAGGGCAGGCCTGGTGGTGACAAAATCTTTGAGCATTTGCTTGTCTGTAAAGGATTTTGTTTTTCCTTTATTTATGAAGCTTATTTTGGTGGTATATGAAATTCTGGGTTGAATTTTTTTTCTTAAGAATGTTGAATATTGGCCCCCACTCTCTTCTGGCTTGTAAGGATTTTTGCCGAGAGATCTGCTGTTAGTCTGATGGGCTTTGCTTTGTGGTAATCCGACCTTTCTTTCTGGCTGCCCTTAACATTTTTTCCTTCATTTCAACCTTGGTGAATCTGAGAATTATATGCCTTGGGGTTGCTCTTCTTGAGGAGTATCTTTGTGGTATTCTCTGTGTTTCCTGAATTTGAATGTTGGCCTGCCTTGCTAGGTTGGATAATATCCTGAAGAGTGTTTTCTAACTTTGTTCCATTCTCCCCGTCACTTTCAGGTAAACCAAACAAATGTAGATTTGGTCTTTTCACATAGACCCATATTTCTTGGAGGTTTTGTTCATTTATTTTTACTCTTTTTTCTCTAAACTTGTCTTCTCGCTTTATTTCATTAATTTGATCTTCAATCACTGATACTCTTTCTTCCACTTGATCGAATCAGCTATTGAAGCTTGTGTATGTGTAACGAAGTTCTCATGCCATGGTTTTCAGCTCCATCAGGTCATTTAAGGTTTTCTCTACACTGTTTATTCTAGTTAGCCATTCGTCTAACCTTTTTTCAAGGTTTTTAGCTTCCTTGCGATGAGTTAGAACATCCTCCTTTAGCTCAGAGAAGTTTGTTATTACCGACCTTCTGAAGCCACTTCTGTCAACTTATCAAAGTCATCCTCCGCCTAGCTTTGTTCAGTTGCTGGTGAGGAGCTGTGATCCTTTGGAGGAGAAGAGGCACTCAGGTTTTTAGAATTTTCAGCTTTTCTGCTCTGGTTTCTCCCCATCTTTGTGGTTTTATCTACCTTTGGTTTTTGATGTTGGTGACCTACGGATGGGGTTTTGGTGTGGATGTCCTTTTTGTTGATGTTGATGCTATTCCTTTCTGTTTGTTCATTTTCCTCTAACAGTCAGGTCCCTCAGCTGCAGGTCTGTTGGAGTTTGCTGGAGGTCCACTCCAGACCCTGTTTGCCTGGGTATCACCAGTGGAGGCTGCAGAACAGCAAATATTACAGCCTGATCCTTCCTCTGGAAGCGTCATCCCAGAGGGGCATCTGCCTGTATGAGGTGTCTGTTGACCCCTACTGGGAGGTGTCTCCCAATTAGGCTACTTGGGGGTCAGGGACCCACTTGAGGAGGCAGTCTGTCTGTTCTCAGAGCTCAAATGCTGTGCTGGGAGAACCACTGCTCTTTTCAGATCTGTCAGACAGGGTCGTTTAAGTCTGCAGAAGTTTTGGCTGCCTTTTGTTCAGCTATGCCCTGCCCACAGAGGTTGGGTCTACAGAGGCAGTAGGCCTTGCTAAGCTGTGGTGGGCTCCACCCAGTTCAAGCTTCCCAGCCACTTTATTTACCTACTCAAGCCTCAGCAATGGTTCACACCCCTCCTCCCACCTGGCTGCAGCCTCGCAGGTCCATCTCAGATTGCTGCGCTAGCAGTGAGCAAGGCTCCGTGGGTGTGGGACCCACTAAGCCAGGCACGGGAGCAAATCTCCTGGTCTGCTGGTTGCTAAGACTATAGGTAAAGTGCAGTATTTGGGCAGGAGTGTCCTGTTTTTCCAGGTACAGTCTGTCACAGCTTCTCTTGGCTAGGAAAGGGAAATCCCCTGACCCCTTGCACTTCCTGGGTGAGGTGATGCCCCATCCTGCTTTGGCTCGCCCTCCATGGGCTGCACCCACTGTCCAACCTGTCCCAGTGAGATGAACCAGGTACCTCAGTTGGAAGTGCAGAAATCACCCGTCTTCTGCGTCAGTCAGGCTGGGAGCTACAGACCAGAGCTGTTCCTATTTGGCCATCTTGGAATGGACCTCGGCATTATTCTTATAATGAACTCACAAAAAACTTTGTCCCACTGCCCTTGCCATGGGAAGATAATCATGAACAATCTGTGAGTAAAAAATAATTGGCCCCACAACAACCTCTAGCTTAGGACTCCCAAATTATATGGTAACCACTTGTACTCTTAAAGCTATTCAAATAAAAAAAATTTAAATGCATGGAAAGAAAGAGAAAGAGAGAAAGATAGAGAGAGAAACAGACAGAGAGGGAGAGAAAGAGAGAGAGAGAAAGTTAGAGAGAGAGATAGAGGAGAAGACTGGCGAGATGGCCAAATTCTCTATATACTAAATTATCACAAATATCTGGGTAGACCTAGTCCCTGATACAAGATAGGGGAGGTATACTCTTTGGGAAAAGTAAAGGTCTAGTGCTCTTTACTCATTTGGACAGAGAAAAAGGATTTCCCAGATCAATATCCAGAAGCTGATTGCAGTAACATTACCCCGCACTAAGTCTTGGCTCAAGAAGGAGGGTGGTGAATAGAGATGCTCACACTAATAAGAGAGAAGAAGGGTGGAGTGTGATCCATTCTCCAAAGGTGCACACCATCACTTTCACTTTTCTTCCCCAAGTACAGCCCAACTTCCAGAGAAGGAGATCAGGCTCCATTTCTTAAAGGAATAAATATAAAAGAATTTGTGGAGATATTTTAAACCCACCACGGACAAATTATGAATACAGAAATATAAGGCACATACTGAGAGAAAATATTCACAATACCTATATCTGACAAAGGATATATATGTTATATAAGAATAATATAATATTCTTAATATAATATAGTACTATTCTTATATGAACACAATCAACCCAATAAAATATAGGCCAGAGTTTTGTACAGATACTTTGCAAATAAAATGTATGAATGGCCAATTAGCACAAAAAGAGATACTTAAATGTGGTACAACTACATACCCACCAAATGGCTAATGTAATATTCTCAATATTAAATTTTGGTACATGGAGCACCCGGCCCTCTATAGATTTCCTGTGTGAGTGTAGCATGATATAACCACTTTGGAAAACTTTTTAGCAGTTCCTTATGAAGTAAACATATACTTACATCATGATCTAGCAGTTCTACTTCTAGGTCTTTACCAAGAGAAATCAAGACTATGTCCACAAGCAAGGTGTGGAGCTCACATTTGTAATCCCAACAATTTAGGAGGCTGAGATGGCAAGATCACTTGAATCCAGGAGTTCGACACCAGCCTGGGCAACATGGCAAGACAGACTTTACAAAAAATAAAAAATGAGTCAGGTGTGGTGGTGCACAGGCAAGACAGACTTTACAAAAAATAAAAAATGAGTCAGGTGTGGTGGTGCACACCTGTAGTCCCAGCTACTTGGGAGGCTGATGTGGGAGGATCACTTGAACCCAGGAGGCACAGATTGTGGTGAGCTGAGATCGCACCACTGCACTCCAGCCAGAGCAACAGAGTGAGACCCTGTTTAAAAAAACAAAAAAAAGACACAATACAACCTACTTTTTTGAAATAATAAAATAAAATTCAAAAGAAGAAAAGAATACAACTTTAGATGATGAGTAGGCTGAACACTCCTAGGGACACTGTGGCTGCAGAAGGGAGCTACCCCCTGTGGGTCTCCTCTGAGCTGTTCTACTATTCAATAAAGCTCCTCTTTGTCTTGCTCATTCTCCACTTGTCTGCTTACCTCATTCTTCCTGGTCATAGGACAAGAACTTGGGACCTGCCGAATGGCAATGCTGAAAGAGCTATAACACAAACAGGGCTGAGACATGCCCCTTGCTAGCCACCATGTGGGTGAAGAGAAGGAGAGAAGAGCTGTGGCCCTTCGGAGATCCCAGACCTGGAGCTCCCTGAGCCAGGACTGTGACTTCCTCTTTGGGGCCCTGTGGTTCCTGGTATCTCCAAGCGTCTTGGTGTCACCATGTTCCCTGGTGCCAGCTGGGGAAGCTGCTTGTGGTATGCTTAGTCCAGCTGCAGCCTCACAGAGAACTGGTGCCCATGCAAACACCTGGAGCTGCCCACCCTGTGGCAGCAGTTGACATGTCTGACTGCACAGTGGCTGGACCCCACGCTCACACACCCCTCACTGTTCCACACCTGACTTGTAGTCTCCCGTGGAGGTATGGGATCCAGGGTGGTAGCATGAGCTGAGCATAGCCTGCCAGACTGAGTGGGGAGAACAAGCCCAGCGGGCCCTAGCAACACTTGGGAAAAGATGCCACTGACCACAGTGGTTTCCAGCCTGAAAAGTGACCCCCAAAGATCCCACAACACCTTCTCTGCTGGTTCCATTTCTTTTGACAACATACTTTTATATACCATGTACTACAAAACCCAAATAAACAGACAAAATGTTTTTATTTACTGATCCTTAGGCTCCCTCATACTATCTCTTAATATCTCTGTACTATCCTGTAACATTACTATGTTAGTATACTTACCCTTCCCTCTTTATCCTGCTGTAATCTGCTTTTCATGCCTACTCATCATCTAAAATTGTATTTTTTCTTATTTTGAATTTTATTTATTATTTTAAAAAAGTAAATGTATATATTTGAGGTTTACAACATGATATTATGGGATGCATATAGAAACACAGATACATATAGAAACACAGATACATATAGATAGTAAGAAATTGTATTTTAAAAAAATATTTAAATTTATTATCTTTATTATTTGAGATAGGGCCTGCCTCTGTTGCCCAGGCTGGAGCACAGTAGCACAACCATAGCTCACTGCAGTCTTGAACTCCTGGGTTCAAGTGATTCTCCTACCTCAGCCTCCTGAGTAGTTGAGACTACAGGTGTGTGCCACCACACCCTGCTATTTTGTTTTATTTTATTTTATTTGTAGACAAAGTCTCGCTATGTTGCCCAGGCTGGAGAAATTGTATTTTTAAAGGTCAATATGGCTCCATTAAACAAAAATATTTCCTCCTGTGCTCATCTTCTTGCAAGTGTTGACACCATGGACTACTCCTATTGTTGATTCCCTCTGGGCTGTTTCTCTCTTCCCATCTTATCAATGTGCTCGCTGACTTACATGAATGATAAATTGCAGCAATCCACGTTGCTTACTTACTTGCTATTCTAGTCAATATTCCCTTCTGAGTCATCCTATACTGGTCTCCGCACCACAAACGTCTCTCTTCTCTGTCTTTCAAAGACCACCCCTTTCATGAAAACTTTGATACCAACCAGGGTATGTGAGTCCTCATCCCTCCTTTAAAAGAATGCACTGATAGCACTTGTACATTTTTATGGCTTTCTCTTTGTTTTTGTTCTCATAATCTACTAATGTGCTTATCCTCCCTTTAGTTTTTAACTGATTTGGAGGCAGGATATCATTCTTTTATATAAGACTTTCACAGAAAACCTCATGAATCTGGGCATATGATAGGTCTATAATCTCTAACCTATACAAATATAAATACACCTTAAAATAGATGCTGTAAGGAGGCATGGTATATCTGATTTTCCCCACTTGTGAGCATGAAGGGGTGCTCAGTTGTACTGTACATGATAGTATAATTAAGGGATATATTTATACATGAGGCTCGGTATACTTAATGTATAATGAAAAAAGAAGAATCCACTGAGAATGACTCATATCATATGGTGAGATTAAAAATATTTTACTATAGGTAGTTCTGAAATGGTGAGCCTATATTTTAAAATTCCATCATATTATGTTTCAGGTAATACATTCTCTGTCATAGGATGTAAGGCTGAGAAAGCTATTGCTTCGGAAAAAGTTAGTCAGGCCAGGACAGAAAGCCAGCAAACAAAAGACAACCCTCAACTCTTAAATTCTAGATGGATGTTAAACTCTGGGGTGAGATAAGAACTTGAAAGAAAAGGTTTCTAAGTGTGAAAGGCCTGTTGTTTTTGAGAATAATCAGCTCAAAGTTTGTTCCCTAAAGTGTATTTTTGAAAGATTATATGATGGTATGAGGCAATTTTATGGCTAAAAATGAAACAAAAATATCTCTAGTGCTGAGATGAGGAAAGAGGGCATGAGAGGTAAAGTAAGAGTTAGTCTTTGATGAGTGTTTCAGCACAAGCTATCCCCATCCCTGGGCTAAAGTCTGCAGAGTTGGGGCAATAAATCAGTAAAATATCGACTATCTGAGAGCAGAAGAAACTTGTGTTCTATCTGGAATTTGGGTGTGAACAGCTGCCTTGGAGTTTTCCCTGTGCCAATACCGAGCAGGACAGTAGAACTGGCTCTTCCACGGGAAGAGGCTGCACACCTAGTGTAGTTTCCACATCCCCCAAATAAACAAGGTAGGGACATGCGAATCTCTGTTCCATGAGGAGAGGTGATGACTCTGGAGCTATAGACACAACATGGTTCATATAAGATGAGTTCATTATAGGATATAAATGCCCTCCTATGATGCTATGATGTTCTGTATGTAAAACTTAGAATACTTGTAACTTTGGCATTTTCTTAGGGAGAAAGAAGTGACTCAGTCTAAACCTTAAATGACTGAGAAGAACTGGGATTCCTTGATCATATAATCTGCCGTCAGGATGAATGGCATTATGAAGTAGACAGGATGTTGTCTAAAAATTTTTGTAAAGCAAAATTTTTATACAACCGTATATATATGACTAAAATGTCACATGGGAGAGCACAGTATGCAACAAACATTGGTTGCAATTCCTTAGTAGGCCATCAATTAACTTAATTGCATCCAGCATTTTTTTTTAAAGGCAGAGTCTCACTCTGTCACCCAGGCTGGAGTGTAGGGGCATGATTTTGGCTCATGGCAACCTCCACCTCCTGGGTTCAAATGATTCTCCTGCCTCAGCCTCCCTAGTAGCTAGGATTACAGGCTCGTGCCCCCATGCCCAGCTAATTTTTGTATTTTTAGTAGAGACGGGGGGTTTCACCATATTGGCCAGGCTGGTCGCGAACTCCTGACCTCAAGTGATCTACCTGCACTTGATCCCAAGTGATCCCAGCACTTTGGGAGGCTGAGGTGGGTGGATCACTTGAGGGCAGAAGTTTGAGACCAGCCTGGCCAACATGGTGAAACCCCGTCTCTCCAAAAAATTAACTGGGCATGGTGGTACACTCCAGTAGTCCCAAGTACTTGGGAGGCTGACGCACGAGAACCACTTAAACCGGGGAGGTGGAGATTGCAGTGAGCCAAGATCGCACCACTGCACTCCAGCTTGGGTGACTATGCAAGACTCTGTCATAAAATAAAATAAACAAGTGAAATAACACAGTAATGGATAACCAAATATTGTGTGTTCTCACTTATAAGTGGGAGCTAAGCTTTGAGGACACAAAGGCGTAAGAGTGATATGATGAACTTTGGGGAATTGGGAGGATATATGTTGGGAAGGGGATGAAGGATAAAAGACTACACATTGGGGGGTATAGTGTACACTGCTTGGGTGACAGGTGCACTAAAATCTCAAAAATCACCACTAAAGAACTTATCCATTTAAGCAAACACCACCTGTACCCCAAAAACTACTGAAATAAAAAAAGTAGGATTCTAGGAAAGCACAGATTATCATAATAGCAGTGAGTTGATTACCAGTCCCCGGCACTGGCTGGCACATTTATTGAGTGGAAGAAATAGTTCCTGCAAAGAGGCTGGAGAATCCTTGAAAAAAAAAGAAAAAAAAGAAAAAGTAACAGACTGACTACTGCTGAAGCCAGAAAGGATAGCACAATATTTGCTTTTGACCCTGGTGAGGTCAATGCCACTGACAGGGCTATATATTATAGATTTCAGTAGAAGTGTTGATTTGTAGTCAGGGTCCAATTTCCCTAAAGCTGAAGATTGGCTTGATAATGTGAGGAAAACTCATGTACCTAAAGGGACCTGTGAAAGGAAATATGCCTTCTGATGTTTCAACTGAACAGCCATTAAATTTTTGTTAGCAGGATCAGGTAGGGCAGTGACAAATTCAGTATTTCATTAGATTCTCTTTTCTTTGGTGATAAAGGAAGGCTATGGAAGGTTAGCTTTCTGAAAATGATTAACATGTGTAAAAAACATTGATAAACCTTTTTGAGTAATTTCTAGGGTTCACTGAAGTACAATAACAAGTAAGATTAACAATACAGAACGATAAGTAGGATAGGAAATATATTAGATAAATAATCTTGTTTCAGCATTTTAGATGGAAGCTGTCTACTTTGTGCTTTCCTCAGCTTGATCGAAAGATCTTTGGTTAGAAAACTTGCTCTATTTTCTGTCTTTGAAAGATTCTTAAGAATTCTTGGCTGAAGCTCTCCCAATAAAATAGATGTCCAATTGTCCAGGTAAGATGGTTTGAATTTTTTTTAAATTAGAGAACATAGATCCAAAAACAATGCCTTAGGAGTTTACCATGGTACTACTGTTGATAATACCTGGTAAGGTCTTTTTATCAAGGTTTGTGGGTGGTCTTATTTCAGAGGAACAAATCTTACTTAGGTTCTGTTTAGTGTGATGTTATGGGCAGGCCACTTGTACTTGCTGTAGATAAGACTGGGTATATGCATTAATCCATTGCAATACTTGGATTGCAAGTATTGCAACAGAGATTAAAGGTGTAATTCCTAGATACATGGGATGGCCTCTTATTAATTTATAAGGTGAAAGCTGATGGATGCCAGAAAGAGTTGATTTTAATGTCATTAAAGCTTAGGAAATACCTTAGGCCAGAAAAAGTTGAAGACACCTGGATGCATTGCTTAGTTCAGTTTTAGAGTTTCATTTATTTTCTCTACTTTTTCTGAATATTGAGGATGAAATTTCTCTTAGTAAAACCTAAGGCTTTGCAAAGTGCATTAAGAAGAGTCCCAGGGAAATGTGTGCCCTGTCACTGAAGTGAAGGGTTACATTTCCCCATGTCAGAAGCAAACAAACAAAAAAATCAAATAACTTTTTCACTACCATCACAGCTTTTCCCTCCAGCAAGAAAAAGCCTCAATCCATCTTGAGAATAAGCAAACAATAACTAAAAGATATTTATTGTCCTGTCATGGGAATGATTGGGGTTGAAGGTATTCAAAGGGACTTGGAACCTTCTTTTCAGTCTTGGCAGGATTAGGCTGTTGGCAAGTAAGATATACACTGGAAACATCTTTGGCAAGACTCTTAAAATTACCCAGGTAATGATGTTTCAATATCATGTCCAATTTTGTTATGTTAATTTAGGTTAACTTATTTAGGTAACAATTTAGGTAAAATAACAAAGCATTTTTGCTAAACTCCAGAAGATAATTTGTTATGATCAGACAACAGTTTTATAACACCATATTATCTTTAAGTAATGTGCATTCTGACCTCCCCTAATGCTTTCCATCTGAATCAGGGGCTTATCTTTGGCAATTAATGATAGCATCTTTGAATCACTCCAGAGTTTTTCCTATTTGGGAGGTGATGGGTACAATCATTTTAGTAAATGCTGCTTGTTTAGCATAGGCCAGTTAGGTCATTATCATAGGATTCTGGATCATTATGCTTTGAATGAGTCTCTACTTTTATTATGGGTAAAAGCTTAATTTGTTTTCATTTTTATGTAAGTATCCGCAGAGAACAGGAAACCTCTTTTATTCTAAAGCATTACCACATCATAGACCACCTTACAAGCATACTTACTGTCTGTACAAACATTTGCTCTTTAACTCTTGTTACTTGGCTGTCTCAGAGGCGTGATAAATTCAGCCATTTGGCTGATTTAACTTTTTGGTAGAAGCTCAGATTTCAGTTGTGAATTTAGATTTGTGATAGCCTGCTTATCATTTTCCATTTCTTATTTTTAGGTACAAACAAAATTAAATCAGGATTGTCCAGGGGTGTTTCCAGAAAATTCTCCCACAGAGGTCAAACAATAAATAATGAGATTTTCCTTCCTTAGGTAAAAAAATGAGAGTTGCTGGGTACCTGGTGTTATAGCAACCGATAGAGATCTTTAAAGGGGAAAGTAACAATTTCATAGGAAGTAAGGTATCTAGCTGAGGAATGCTGAATCTGCACATTATGAGGAATCATCACATTGGTAGAGACAATAGAACCTTGTCAGCTGAAGCTTTCACAAGCTCTGCTACCACATCTTTTACACAGGGTAGATATGCATTGGCCAATGGACTGAAATAAAAAATGGGTTTCTGATTGTTTCCCTGTAGTTGAGACAGTATTCTATTGCCTGCCCAGAACATTGGGTATAAAAAGACAAAAGGGTTTGTAATAGCTAAACAAAAAAGAAAGGGGCCTTCTTTAGTCTAGTTTCCCAGGAAAAAGGTTCAGTGATCTCAGCAGAATTCAGCATCCTGGGCTCCAATATCCAGATATCCTTAAAAGGCCTAGGATTCCTTTTGGTAACTGCACTAGGAATTTCCTAGGCTGTAGAGATGATTCATTCTTTATAATGGTCATGTCGATCCATTGTACAAATAGTTTATACTTTTTCTTTTAACTAGTCCTCTGTTGGTAGACTACTGGGCTGTTTCTGGTCTTTTGCTGTTGAGATAATGAAGCTATAAGTAGCCAGAATATATGTCACACATGTGTGACCCTATCTACGGGTGGAAATGTCTTTGGGAATAGCTGGACATGGGGTAAAAGAATGCTGGCAGAACTTGCTTCTCTGTTCATCCCTAGCTTCCCATTCTGGGTTGTCCTTATTCTCAGGCATGCTCTTCCTTCATTGCCTGGCAAGCACTCTGTAGGCAGACTGACCGCATTTAAACCCTGGATCTATTACTTACTGGTAGTGTGATTTGTGAAAGTGAACCTGTAGATACATACATCTATATGCCTCATATATCCCATTGTCACTACAAAATACAACATAAAATTAAAATCTAAAAAAAAAGATGCATAGTGAAGAAAATTCAAACCAATTTATTAAAATATAATACTGATTATGTTTGGTTGGATATTGGCACATCATTTCAATGCATACATTTTGAAAAAATATCTATGCAAATATGTATTGCCTTTATAATAATAAAATAACCAATAATCCATTCAACAAACTCTTATTGAGTGTCTACTTAGCTAGACACTCATCTGGGCAGCAAGGATAGAGGAGTGAGCAAGAGACAAAACTCCCTGCCCTGTGGAGCTCACATTCTCATGACAATAGCACTCCATGAAGAATGCAACGGAAGCAGACCTGGATTAGACAAGAGAAATGTGGGCTTTGTCCTAACTGATACCTGCAGCTGTGTGACCTTCAGGAAGTCACTCAACGTCACTGAACCTCAGTATTCTCACCTAAAATATAGGGATCCAATACCTATTAACAGGGTTACTGTGAGAATTGAGTAAAGTCATGGGTGTGTGAGTAGTCTGAAATGTAAATCATTGTACAAATATGAGGTATAATAATAAGGTATAATTATTGTGGGCTTTTCTAAGTAAAGAACAATATTGTCAAATTATTTTTTTATTACTGTGTCTGTAAGAAGTATTAAAGGATGCTATATTTAAATCCTTTCTACTGGAATTGCTGAAAAGTATGAAGAGCTATCTGAATGTAAAATTGTGCCTTTAGTTTTACATGAGGAATAAAATGTGCAAAATCTCTTTTTTTTCGTTTAAATAGAAACAGAAAAGAATTTTTAGGATCAAACTCATGGTCAAAGTTTTTATCATCTAGGGAAGGTATTACATTTTTACCACCACTTAAAGTGCATTTGCTAAATTCTGTCCAACTTCCAAAAAATTCAATTAAATTTAAGCCATAATTACGTTCTCTTGATTTAAATATTGTTGAATGCATGCAATGTTATTTTTTGGTTCAGCTATTTCATTTTCACCAAATATTATTATTGAGCTATCTCATCTAAGGAAAGAGTGTATGGAGTTACTTACATTGTGAGTCATAGAGTTTTAGCAGTAGAAAGAACATTAAGGATTCTCCAACCCAATCCCCCATTTTACATTTGAAAAAGTAGAGCTCCTAGAAAGCTAAATGGCTTTCACTCATAGCCAGTGAGGTCAACAGCTGGGCAGGGCCTCCTGGTTTTTGGCTCCCAGTTCAGCCCAACCAGCTTAGTGATCATTCCAATATAGTCAAGTCTCTCAACACTGTATGTCTCCTTTATAAGGTCCCATGGATCCCTGGAGCAGAGTGTCCAGTGATACAGGAAATGAAAACTTAATAGTTTATTGTTAGATAACATCAGTGTCATTTTTCTATTGTATACTGAATATTCCTGTAGTTGAATTTTTAAAATGTTTACTTAGTTGAACTCGTCCTTTCTCTTTCTTTTGGTCCAAGTTGCATTGTCACTCCAGTGTTTCTCTTCTAACAATCAAGCTCCAGAATTCAAGACCAGAGCAATAAAAAGTCTCACTCTCAACTTTTCCTTTCAAGTTAGATTTATATCTTCATTTAGAAGGATACAAGAAGATATCTTTTACACTTTAAACCTTTATACTTACTTTTAGAGCAGCCCATGCCTTTGGCTTTTTGCTACAATTCTGTTTTGACCAACTATTCTTATTTTATTTTATTTTTAGAGATGGGGTTTTGCTCTGTCACCCAGGCTGGAGTGCAGTGGCACCATCGTGGCTCACTGCAGCCCCAAACTCCTGCACTCAAGCAGCCCTCCCACCTCAGCTTCCCAAGTAGCTGAGGCTATAGGCATGCACCACCACTTCAGGCTAGTTGTCTTATTTTTTGTAGAGATGGGGTCTTGCTCTGTTGACTAGGCTGGTCTCTTGGACCAAAACCTTGGCATCCTAAAGGGCTGGGATTATAGGCGTGAGCCATTGTGACTGGCCTGATCCACAATTCTTTGAAATCTCAAACATCTATCTTAGAGGCAGAAAAACAAACAAGCGAAGCAAACAACAAAACCTTGCAGTTGTGCTCCTGACTGTTTACAATGGTGTAAGAAACTAGCACTGTCCCATTTCATGGCTCCCATCAACACTACTTGTAATGTAGAAGACTCACACCCACCCCCAAAGAGCCCTGTGCTGGCTTCATCCTGCTTTTTCTCTGCAAGTGTTGGCTACTCTGGAAGGCCTTTGAATTATTTCACATGTGACAAAATCCATCATCAGCATCCTCTCTGATAAGGCCACCCTTCTCCTTTTCTGTTGTTCGTGACTTGTTCTTACTTTAAAGGATGCAGGGAGGTAGAATTTCTGTTTCTGCACCAGCTCTGGCATTTATTAGTCTTTATTGCCTTTAGCTCTGGCAAGCAGTGTTTTTAGCTCCATCCAGAGGCCTGCAAACAATAGGTACCTCATAAGTTTCACAAGGTCGTTACTAATGATTACCGCTCCTCAGCACCTTGGTTAGAGTTGATCAAGATTTGTTTTCCAAAAGAAAATGGCCTTTGATTAGGCATGGGCTGTGTTAAGTGCAGCTAAAAACAATAGGCCGATCCTTATTTTTAATGTTTTTATTACCAGTGAGTAAATGTTATTTTTGAAGTAAGACTCTACGTAAGTATTTTGAATGATCAATGTTCATGCAAGTTGGAAAAATGTAGCAGTGAACATACTTCTGACCATCACTTTTGCCATTTGAATCTGAAGCTTATATTTGCCTGCACTTTTGATCATTAAAAATAAACACTTGAAAAATAATTATGACTATCAGGTCAAAGTTTGCTAACATATTTCGACATTGTGTCAGTGAATAGAGAAGCCAAACAAAGGAAATATGGTAGAAAAAAAGGACTTTGAGTAGGAATCTAGGAAGAGCCTCTGTAACTTGCTGTGTGACCCTAAGCAACCTACTTCATCACTCTGAGTCTGTCTCTTTAAAGTGAGGCTGTTGACTGGATTAGCTGATAGAGCGCTTCTGGCATTAATTATCTATAATATTCTACATCTCTGTGGTTTTTTTACTTACTAGGAATTACTAGGTGTGGAGGGGTGAGATGGTTTTCATTTTGTTTCTGAATCAACAAGGTATATTGTTCATTTCTCATCATTTGAGACCATCTGTTTCATGACACTGCAGATTTACAGCCCATGTTTCAAGGCACCCACATTATCTATATTGCAAATGTGGAGGGTCACAGAATGTTTTTAATAAGTTAGAACCAAAACAGCAGGACCATTACATAAGCTTCTCAGAACAGGCATGTGTTAAAGAAACTAATCACAGAAGCTCAAGTCATAACATTAAGCAGAACCCAAAGAGGAATATTTACCCTCTATTGCAAACAGTCATTTTTAGTTGGCCCATGGTTGAGTGTAATGTTTCGATAATACGTTTAAAGGGCAGAGTTTGCAAGCTCCTGATGCACAGACTGTTATTAACATACATTTTTTCTTCTTTTATCGAAGTGATAAATTCTCCATGATTATTTTGTGATGTAGTCAGAGGGAAGTCATTGAATTTTTACAGTTTCACAATGCATGTGCTTTCCAAGACCCTGTAGAGCCATGGGACTTCATTTTGGTTTATAAGTAGGCAAAGGCGGAGTAAGAGGAAACTTGAGTAAAACTAATGTCAACAAAAAGAAAAAATTTGAAGGCTAAGGTTTTCTTTTATCTGAAATCAGGTTTAGTTTCAATGCAATTTCCTCTTTTGATCCTGCTGTCTGCAATAATGTCAGCAACCTTGAGTTTATTTATGGCTCCTTGGTATAATCTCACTGTGTGTGGAAGCCTGGTACCAGGCTTCCCTAAATACTTTGGTGATAAAGGTCAGTCCAGAGCAGAATTATGAGGGGAAGCAGCTATCTTTACTCTCTTCATTTGATTTAGCAGTTACATATAAACCCAGAGTTAGAAGTGGGCCTCTATAAAAGAGGAAGACTTAGAGGTGGATATGTAGATTTGTATTTTATAGACACACACACATATATATCTAAGTAGGCATTCAAATATGGCCTGGTAAGTTGAATTTAGGAAGAGATAGCTGAGCTCAAAATAGCAAAAATCAGAAGGATTATAATGACCATCAAATAGCAGTTTCCACTTGTATCTCCAGGTCTGCAATCAAGGCTAACACTCAGTCATAATCAATGAAAGAAAGTCAACAACACAAACGGGGTCTCCACATTCTTGAGTTTCTGACACTTTGGTTCTACACCCCCCTAGTAGGAAACTCAACTGACTCTCTTAAAATTTTGACTTAACAGTTGTGAAAACGTCTTAAATGATAGGGAATTTACCTAAACTTGGAGATCAAATATTAATTACAGCTGAAATAACACCCTTTACAGCCTGCTTTGTTTAGCAGCATCTTTCTTTTATCCATCAAAAATGATGAAGAGATATTTGTTTGGATTTTCAAATTCCATTTGCTCTGTTAAAACAGCATTGCAGCCAAAAGACTCTAATGAAAGTTTCCCTGTGACAAGCCTAAACAATGATCCAATAGGAATTAAAAACCAAACTAATGAGAAAATGATGTAAAAGGCCAGCTTTCTGCTCTCCCCACAAGGATTTTAATTACAGAGAAATCAACAGCTGTGCCAGGGGTAACACAGGCGTGCTGGCCATGCAAAATAACACCTTGGAAGGAATGAGTTTGAAGTAAATGGGCTGGAAATATTGGTTTTCCAAGCAATCAACAACAACACATGAGGGGCAATATAGAGCCTTTAATTTGGTTAAGTGTGCTGATCCCAAACTTAAGTATAGCAAATGAATTCCCACAAGTGTGTGGATACATGTGACCCTTGATTAAATGGAAAAATAATCTTCCACATACACTGCCAGTCACAAGACCTGGGAAAGCAAGATGAAGTCCAGCCCAGGAGGACTTCAAAACCCACTGTATATTTTCCCTATGTATGAAAGTAAGTGTTCTTCTGACCCTATCACTCACTGTAGGAATATAATGTTATTTCATATTGTTGTTTGTTTCCTGTACAGCTCACCTTATATAGAATATTTTGAACAAAAGTTTTTTCTCTCACTTCAGGAGGGCTTATATCTTTTTCTCCTCCTGCCCCTTTCTACATGAAGGTTATGGTTAAACTGAAATTACCTAAAACATGCTTTTATTAGTCAGCTCACTAATGAGAAGCTTAAATATATCCCTGGATACTAGAAATACTACTGTGTCAACCAATAAAGTAAACCAAAAACCAATCTCAAATAGGTTCAAAATAGTATAATAATGCAAATCCAAAGCAAATAGAAAATATTTTCAGTCTTTGTGATTAGACAATAACCTTGAGCTTTTATTACTTTTTTTTTCCATGAGTATTGTGTTACATTTGACCCATGACTTCAGTGTTCTATGACAGCGGTCCCCAACCTTTTTGGCACCAGGGACTGGTTTCCACCTACAGAGGTGGGGAAGATGATTTCGGGATGAAACTGTTCTCAGGCATTAGATTCTCATAAGGAGCACACAACCTAGATCACTTGCATGCATAGTTCACAATAGGGTTTGCGCTCTGAGAATCTAATGCCGCCGCTGATCTGACAGGAGGCAGAGCTCTGGCGGTAGTGCCCTCTTGCCTACAACTCACCTCCTGCTATGTGGCCTGGTTCCTAACAGGCCACGGACCGGTACAGGTCTGTGACCCTTAAGTTGGGGATCCCTGTTCTATGACACATCACAGAATGAAAGACAATCATTTTTGTTGAGGAAAGGAAATAAGCACTTCAGTTCACCAATTAGGGGTGTGGCAAGGTGCAGCTCTGTTTACTCACTCTGGACATTCTTTTCCTGGGGACAGGCAGCTGGACACGCTGACCATGTGGGATGACACAGCTCAGTCTCTCAGGGCTTCCTGCACAGGACGGCAGCTTTGGGAAGTGGAAAGAGCCAGTGGTTGGAGTCCCACTTGAGTTCAAAGTTCATTTAGCTCAGCTGTGTGATTCAAGTAGCTTGCTTAACCTTTCCGAGCCTTGTTTTGCTTAATTAAGCAACTTACCCGAGGTAGCCTTGTTAGAAGGTAGAAGAGCCAGCATTTGAATTTAAGGCTGTCTGACTTTAAGCCTGTGCTAACTTTATTTCTGTTTTCATGGTAAAGATGCATGTCTCACATGTAGCCAATATACAGAAGATTAAACATATATTGATTTCATTAGAAGGATCTACTTCCTTCCTGAATGCTTCGCAAAATTCTGGCTGCTGCACACTTTATAACAAGATAGTTCTGTGAGGCCATGGCTCTCAACCCTAACCGAGTGTTCTGTGGCTGTGTTCCACCTGCAGCTCTGCTCTGCTCCCATGCCCCCAGGTTCTTCTCTGTGCTGTGCCAATGCTAGAAACTGCTGAGGGAAAGAAAGTCTACATTTCAATGTAGAAGCCCCATCTTCAGAGTCAGTGATAATGGTCTCCTGATCTGCACAAAAAAAAAAACAAAAACAAAAAACAAAAGAACAAAAACAAAAACAAAAACAGGAAAACAGGGCTACATTCTGGCAGTGTTTTGTTTTTTTGTTTTTTTTTAATTTTTGAGACAGGGTCTTGGTCTTGCTCTATCACCCAAGCTGGAGTGCAGTGGAATGATCATGGCTCCCTGCAGCCTTGACTTCCAGGGCTCAGTGAATCCTCCCACCTCAGCCGCCTTAGTAGCAGGGACTACAGGCACGTGCCACCAAGCCTGGTAATATTTTTTATTTTTAGTAGAGACAAAGTCTCGCTCTGTTTCCCAGGCTGGTCTTGAACTCCTGGGCTCAAGCGATCCTCCCTCCTTGGCCCTACAAAGTGCTGGGATTATGGGTGAGAGTCACTGAGCCTGGCCTCTGGAAGTTTTTGTTTGTTTGTTTGTTGGTTGGTTTTTTTGCTCCCTTTCTTATTTTATTTTAGATTTGTATTGAAACTGTTTCTAAAGTCCTGGGTACCTCCTTCTTCCTTTGCTCCCCATGCTAAAGACTCAGAAAATATCTGGGATTCTATCTGTTGGCTATACATTGCTACTGCTGGAGCTGGAAGTCACCTCGATAGGCATTGCCTCCACTCAGCTGTCAGAAAAAAAAGTTTAGTATTCAGTAGACTAGACTTTCTGGGAAGGCAGTGACCATGTCTGGTTTTTCCCTATTTTTGGCCCATTACCTAGCATGGTGCCTGGGTCACGGGGAGCACTTCATAAATATTTGCCAAATGCATAAGTGAATAAACTATTATAAAACTTGTCACAGGTTGTCTTTCCTCTCAAGTCTTCACTATTTGTTTCATATCCAGTAACTTCATACAGTGGATACATTTGTCTAGATGCTAACGGGTATATTTACAACTAGAACATTCTTGTGAATTTATAAGAAACCATGTTTTTCAATATTAGTCATGTGCTGGTAGTGTTTCCCAGCTTTTTCTAAGGTCACACAGGGCAACATGTATTGTAAAATAATAACTTTATTTTTTAGACAATATTAGATTGATAGAAAAATTGTAAAGGGAGGACAGAGGGTCCTCATCTACCCCATAGCCGGTATCCTATTATTAGCATCATATGTTAGGATGGCACATTTGTTACAGTTAACGGACCAATACTGATACATTATTATTAAACAAAGTTCACACTTTACTGAGATTTCCTCAGTTTTTACCTAATGTCCTTTTTCCTTTCCAGGATCCCATTGAAGTTACCATGCTACATTTAATAGTCATGTCTCTTGGGCTCCTCTTGGTTGAGATAATTTCTCAGGCTATCTTTGATTTTGATGACCTTGACAGTTTTGAGTAGTACTGGTCAGGCATTTTGCAACAGGTCCCTCAACTGGAATTTGATGATCTTTATCATGATTAGATTGAGGTAGTAGGATTTTGGCACCCAGAAAGATCATAGAGATAAAGTACCATTTTTCACCACTTCATGTGTCAGAGTAATTACTATCAAGATGACTTATCATTGCTGATGGTGACCTTAATCACCTGACTGTGATGGGGTTTTGTCAGGTTTTTCTTCGGTGAAGTTACTTCCTCCACTTGGCTTTCCTTACTGTACGCTTTGGAAGGCAGTCACTGTGCACAGCTTACACTTGAGGAGTGGAGAGTTTTGCTTTCTACACCCTCCAGGGAGAGTATGTACATACATTATTTGGAATTCTGCCTGGAAGATTTGTCTCTTCTTCCCTACTTATTAATTAATTTATTTATTTACATTAATGTAAAACCATGAATATTTATTTATGGTTTAAGTTATAATCCAATACTACTTTATTAATTTTGTTGCTCAAATTTTTCCTGGTTTGGCATTGGGAGCACTTTCAGTTGGTTCGCGTGTTCTAATGACATATACTTATTGTGGGGTTTAAAACTTTTTAATTATTTTTTAAATTATTTTCTTACTTTCTGGTAGTATAAAATGTTCCAGACTCATCTTGTGTATTTCATGTCCCAGTCATAGAATCAACCATTTCTCAAAGGAACGCTGAATCCTTTTTTGGAGAATGGTGTTAGAAACAAAGATTTGGGTACTAGATGCGCCCATTGTGATTAGGGTCTCATTGCTTCTAGGCCTTCTCAGCTGACAAAGCATAGGAATATGTGTATGTATACTAACCTTTGTATATACAAAACTGATAAATATTATATTTCTACATATAAATATTTATATTTATATTAATCAAAACATGAATATATACTGGCATCTCTGACTCTAATTCATTATCACATGAATCATTCTAGCCTCCTGTCCTTACTTACCTGTAAACTCCCACTCTAACAGCGAGAAACCTGCCTTCCACCATCTGTAATCCATTTACCTAATTGCACAGTTTCATTATACATGCATAGCATTCTCAGAATTGTATAACTTTTGCCCTCATTGGGAAGAACTTTATCAAGTAGACTACCGTGCTTACATACAGCTTATGTTGGCCTGAACCTCACAAAATTTATTTACCAAGTTACTGAGGTCAGCAACTTTTTTCCATACTTTCTTCAGTGAGATTGTTTCATACATTTATAATACGGTAAGATTCTATGATCAAAGTCTGCATTCTATTCTGGGATCCTCCGAGCTCCTAAATGATTTTGTAATATTTGCATATATTAAGGTATACATAGTCATTGTGCTGTAAAGTTTAATGGATTTTAAAATTGAAAAGTGTGCAACATCTACTTTTTTAACATGGCCAAAATCATTATGACCACGTTATACACTGTAAAAATGTGTATTTTTAAGCAATTACTTCCCATGTATAAAATGGACACCTTTTTTAAATCATATTGTTTGTGTTTGAACACTGTATGTATAGTTGAGATGGCCCTCCATTCTATGTGTATTTTTGCTTAGATTCTTCAATTCCATGAATTGAATTCCATGTAATTAACACATCTTCATGTTTTGCTTTTAATGTGCATGGAGTAATTGCAATCCGCAATTCAAAACCTCAGCTCCTCACCAGAGAATTCAAACTGAAGTGACTATGCTATTCTATCTTTATCAGAATCCCACCTTAGAAAAATATTCATGATCAGACTAAATCAAGGCTATGTTTTGTGGAACACTGACTCCTTTGATAAGATATTCTGAAGTTCTATCAAACCAGATTATCAAGTACATGCTGGTGCCATATTGTCTTGGCCCCAGGTAGATTGTCTACATGGACCTTGTGTTTTAAGGTTAAGCCTTAGGCTTTTTGTTGAGGGATTGGAACAAACAGCCACATTAATAGCCCTCACTGCACTTGCTATAGGAAGACTGTTGAATATATTTTTTATTACATAACCTCATCTCTCTACCTTCCAGAAAGGAGTTCCAAATGAGAAATGCAGGCATTTTTTAATGAAGAGCTTTTTAGATATTCACTTAGGGGAATATAATTACTCATATAAGCTTTTCAAAGAAAATCATCCTCAGCTAGGAAGATAGCTCCTCATATGATTGTTCAATTTTGCACAAACAGGAATGGGATGAATACAACACACATTTTGCTGGTCAGGTCATATAAATAAGCCGTGGTAAATAAATGTGCTGAGTTAATGCCAGATCACTCTCACATCCAATTCTATTTAAAATTTAGTGCTAGGAAACACTTTATTTCTTTAAGGAATTGGCATGATACCATTCCTCTACGGCATTATGATCTATGTAACTGGCCACGTCTTCTTTTTAACTTGGCCATCAAAAAGAGTTTAGAATTTGAAATTCGACTTGAATAACTACCTAGCCTTTGTAATTAACACATCACTGTTACTAATTTTGTATTCTCATGATGTATTAGTCCACTTTCATGCTGCTGATAAAGACATACCTGAGACTGCATAATTTGCAAAAGAAAGGGTTTAATTGGACTTACAGTTCCATATGGCTGGGGAAACCTCACAATCATGGAAGAAGGCAAGGAGGAGTAAGTCACATCTTACATGAATGGCAGCAGGCAAAGAGAGAATGAGAACCAAGCGAAAAGGGTTTCCCCTTATCGAACCATCAGATCTCGTGAAACTCATTCACTATCATGAGAACAGTGCAGGAAACTCTTGCCCCCAAAATTCATTTACCTCCCACTGGGTCTCTTCCACAACACATTGGATTTCAAGATAGATTTGAGTAGGGACACAGCCAAACAATACCATTCCACCCCTGGCTCCTCCCAAATCTCCTGTCCTCACATTTGAAAACCAATCATGCCTTCCCAACAGTCCCCCAGAGTCTTAAATTACTTCAGCATTAACTCATCCACAGTCTAAAGTCTCAACTAAGACAAGGCAAATCCCTTCTGCCTATGAGCCTGTAAAATCAAAAGCAAATTACTTACCTCCTAGATACAATGGGGGTATAGGCATTGGGTAAATACAGCCATTCCAAATGGGAGAAATTGGCCAAACCAAAGGGGCTACAGGCCCCATGCAAGTTTGAAATCCAGTGGGGCAGTCAAATCTTAAAGCTCCCAAATGATCTCTGTTGACTCCATGTCTCACATTCAGGTCACACTGATGCAGGAGGTAGGCTCCCATGGCCTTAGGCAGCTTGAATTGTGGCTTTGCAGGGTATAGCCCCTCCTGGCTGCTTTCACGGGCTGGCACTGAGTGTCTGTGGCTTTTCCAGGCACATGGTGCAAGCTGTAGGTGGATTTACCATTCCGGGATCTGGAGGACAGTGGTTCTCTTCTCACAGCTCCACTAGATGGTGCACCAGTAGGGACTCTGCATGAGGGCTCTGACCCCATATTTCCCTTCTGTACTGTCCTAGTACAGGTTCTCCCTGAGGACCCTGCCCCTACAACAAACTTCTGCCTGGGCATCCAGGCATTTCTATACATCTTCTGAAATCTAGGCAGAAGTTCCCAAAGCCCAGTTCTTGACTTCTGTGCACTCGCAGGCTCAACATCACATGCAAGCTGTCAAGGCCTGGGGCTTGCATGCTCTGAAGCCATGGCCTGAGCTCTACACTTCCCCCTTTCAACCACGGCTGGAGTGGCTGATATGCAGGGAACCAAGTCCCTAGACTACACACAGCATGGGGACCCTGGGCCTGGCCCACTAAACCATTTTTTCTGCCTAGACTTCTGGGCTTGTGATGAAAGGGGCTGCCAGTGAGAACTCTGACATGCCCTGGAGACATTTTCCTCATTTTCTTGGGGATTAACATTTGGCTTCTGGTTACTTATGCAAATTTCTACAGCCTGCTTGAATTTCTCCTCAGAAAGTTGGATTTTCTTCTCTTTTGCACTGTCAGGCTGTAATTTTTTTGAACTTTTATGCTCTGCTTCCCTTATAAAACTGAATGCATTTAACAGCACCCAAGACATCTCTTGAATACTTTGCAGCTTAGAAATTTCTTCCAACAGATACCCTAAATCATTTCTCTCAAGTTCAAAGTTCTACAGATCTCTAGGGCAGGGGCAAAATGCTGCCTGCTAAAGTCTTTTTGCTAAAACATAACAAAAGTCACCTTAGCTCCAGTTCCCAAGAAGTTCCTCATCTCCATCTGAGACCACCTTAATCTGGATTTCATTGTCCGTATCGCTATCAGCATTTTCAGCAAAGCCATTCAACAAGTCTCTGGGAAGTTCCGAACTTTCTCACATTTCCCTGTGTTCTTCTGAGCCCTCCAAACCATTCCAACCTCTGCCTGCTACCCAGTTCCAAAGTCGCTTCCACATTTTTGCATATCTTTTCAGCAATGCCCCACTCTACTGGTACCAATTTACTGTATTAGCCCATTTTCACACTGCTGATGAAGACATACCTGAGACTCAGCAATTTACAAAAGAAAAAAGGTTTAATTGGACTTGCAGTTCCACGTGGCTGGGGAAGCCTCACAATCATGGCAGAAGGCAAGGAGGAGTAAGTTACATCTTACATGAATGGCAGCATGCAAAGAGAGAATGAGAGCCAAGCAAAATGGGTTTCCCCTTATCAAACCATCAGATCTCGTGAGACTCATTCACTATCATGAGAACAGCACAGAAAGACCTGCCCCATAACTCAATTACCTCCTACCAGGTCCCTCCCACAACACATGGGAATTCAAGATGAGATTTGGCGGGGGACACAGCCAAACCTTATCACATGCGTATTTTACCGTTATGCTATTCAAAAGAAATGTAATTTAAACATATTTGTAAGGGGGCAAAAAATAAAAAAAGCCATACCAAAGAATTACTAATCTAAAGAAAGTTGGGGTAGAAATAAAAATATTAGACAAAAAACTTGATTAAGGAAATGAATATTTAGTATAAATATTATTCTTTAATGATATAAGGGAAATTCATTGAAAAGTTATAAATAATGAGCTTGTATGCACATAGCAACACGACTTTATAATATATAAAGCAAAAACTAACAATATTACATGGAATATTTGATAATTCTACAATTGTTGGAAATTTTAATAAACTTTTCTCAGAAATGATGTATCAAATAAACCAAAAAAGAAAGGATATAGAATTTTATTTATTTATTTATTTTTTTGAGACAGAGTCTCACTCTGTCACCAGGCTGGAATGCAGTGGCATGATCTCAGCTCACTGCAACCTCCATTTCCCGGGTTCAAGCAATTCTCCTGCCTCAGCCTCCTGTAGCTGAGATTACAGGTGCGCCACCACACCCAGCTAATTTTTGTATTTTTAGTAGAGACGGGGTTTCACCATGTTGGTCAGGCTGGTCTCGATCTTGTGACCTCGTGATCCGTCTGCCTCGGCCTCCCAAAGAGCTGGGATTACAGGCGTGAGACACCACACCCGGCCAGGATATAGAATGTTTGAAGCACACAATTTACAAGCTGTGTGAATGGGCATATTTTCTGTGGAAACTTAATGGTTTGAGAATACATGTTCTTTACAAGCTCTCATGAAACATTTATACAAATTGAACGCGAATAAGACACAAAGCAAATCTTAATAACTATAACTCCCACAGAATTAATTGCACGCAGACCACATTCTCTGACCACAATAAAATTGTCTATATAAATAACCAAAAGAAAATAATACTCCAATTCTTGAATAATAGAAGTAATCATTGTGAGAATTATGAATGTCTTATCACTTAACAAAACATTTTATATAAAAACAAATAGAACACTAGTGAGTTATACTCAAAGGGAATGCTATTGTGGCACTCACAAGGAAATGTAGGGTTGGAAAACCATGTATTAGAAAGTAAAAACATAAAAATAAGTAAGCTAAATGATTAACTCAGGCAATTGGAAAAATAGTAAAAATGCAAAGAAAGCAGAAGGAAGAGAATAATAACAATAAGATTAGAAATCAACAAAACATAAGACAAAGAAACAGTTTAGAAGACTAGCAAAACTAAATGCTGCTTCTGAAAAAATACAGCAATAGGTAAGCTCTTGGGAAGATTTTTAAGAAAATGATAAGACACAATTTAAAACATAATAAAGGAAACAATGCTATAAATAGGTAAAATATTTAAAGACCGTAACATAATACTATGAACAACTTGAGGGCAATAAATTTGAAAATTTAAGTCAAAACTGCAAATTTTAAAGAAAAATATAAATTAAAATTTTGACTCAAAAAGAAAAAACTTGAATAGAATATAATCAGTAATGAAGTAGAATAATAAAGTAGTCATAACACCCCAAATGATAATAAAATATGATAAAACACAGCTGTGTTTTATCAAATATTCAAGAAAACAATAATTCCTAATATTATACAAATTTTTTCTTAGAGAAGGAATGCCTCCCAATTAGTTTTGTGAGGCAAGGATAACGTTTATAAGAAAACCAGACAAAGGAAGTATGAGAAGGAAAAATTAAAAATTAAAAGGCATTCTCATTCTGGAACATGAAAACGTAAATCTAAGTCAAGTATGTCATGGTTAATATATGCCATATATAGTTTTTATACATAACCTTATATCCTCTGTTTATTCATATAAAACACACATACATTCCTGTAAATACACATAAAATCAGGACATATACAACAAACCAGATGTTAGCATTAACTGCATATTTTATCATACCTCAAATGCAGATGCAATAAAAATTTTTACTATATACTGCTTAAATATAATTTTCAAGTCTTAGTCCTCTATGGATCCCTTGAAAGTAGTTTCAGTTTACTTTTTTATTGTCACTTCACTTAACCAGAATTTGGAATGAGCATGAAATGGAAATTTTAAAAGTATTTTTGCTCAAGCTCTTTACAGAGACAACTGTTGTGACATTTAATCCCCAGACAGCAGAGACACTGAACCCACATCTCTATCTTCTTTTGTCCCTGCCATGTGTCAGTCTTCTGCCTGAACATTCCAAAGAGCAGCATGCAAAGGAGAAAGCCGCCAGATAGCGTGAAGATGTTTATCTTTTTCACCTATGCCAGAATTGTTTGGCAGTAATAGATGAAAAGGTAAGAGTCTTTCTCTTCCCACTACCCGCTACCCAACCAAGAAACTATCAAAACCTTCAGAATATTTAATTGTGATTCAAAAATACATGTAGAGTGAAGATTTACTTTGAAAGGTCATGATATGACACCAAAAGCACAGGCAACAAAATAAAAATAAACAACTGGGATTATATTGAACTAAAAAGCTTCTGCACAGCAAAGGAAATGATCAACAAAGTGAGAAGGCTATGGTTCTATGGAACCTATGGGAGAAAATATTTGTAAATCATATATCTGGTAAAAAGTTAATCTTCAAAAGGTATTTTAAAACTCCTATAACTCAGTAGGAAACAACTAATAACCAGGTAGTGGGAAGTGGGGGATAGGAAGAGATTGGTCAATGGGTACAAAGTTACAGTTAGATAAGAGGGAAAAGATCTGGTGTTCTATTACACAATAGGATGACATGATTAACAATGTTATATCATACATTACAAAATAGCTAGAAGAGAGGATTTTGAATGTTCTCACCAAAAATGATAAATGTTCGAGGTGATGAATATGCTAAATATCCTAATTTTATCGTTACACAATGTACACATGTATCAAAACATTGCACTATACCTCATAAATATGTGCAATTATTGTGTGTTTAAAAACAACATTTAAAAAATGGGCTAAGGCCATAAATAGACATTTCTCCAAAGAAGACATACAAATGGCCAACAAGTTTATGAAAAAAATGCTCAACATAGCTAATTATCAGGGAAATGCAAATTTAAACCACAATGAGATATCACCTCACACCTGTTAGGAGGCCATTATTAAAAGAAAAAAAAAAGACAAGTGTTGGTGAGGATGTGGAGAAATTGAAACCCCTGAAAACTATTGGTAGGAATGCAAAATGGCAAACTACTTTGGAAAACAATATGGAAGTTTCCCCCAACATTAAAAATAGAGCTACCAAATGATCCAGAATCCCACTTTTGGATATTTATTCAAAGAATTGAAATCAGGATATTGAAAAGATATTAGCATTCCCATGTTCATTGTAGCACTATTCACAGTAGCTGAGTTATGGAAACAATCTAAATGTCCATTGACAGATGAATGGATAAACAAAATGTGGCAAATACATACATTAGAATACTATTCAACCTTAAAAAAAGAAGCAAATTCTGCAATATGCAACAACATGCATGAAACTTGAGGATATTATGCTGAGTGAAATGATCCAGTTGCAGAAAGACAAACACTGCATTATTCCACTTATATGATGTATCTATCATAGTCAAATTCATAGAGTAAAAGTGAGGAAGTCTGAGTGTGGTGGCTCACACCTGTAAATTGCAGCATTTTGAGAGGCTGAAGTAGGCGGATTGTTTGAGGCCAGGAGTTTGGGACAAGCCTGGGCAACATGGGGAAACTGCCTCTCTACAAAAAAATTCAAAATTAACTAGGTGTGGTGGCACACACCTGTAGTCCTAACTACCTGGGAGGCTGAGGTGGGAGGATCACCTGAGCCTGGGGAGGTCAAGGCTGCAGTTAACTGTGATTGTACCACTGCACTCCTGCACTTGAGTGACAGAGCAAGATTCTGTCTTACAAAAAAAAAAAAAAAAAAAGGAATGGAATGGTGATTGTCAGAGGCTGAGGGGAGAAGACACAGGGAGTTACTAATCTATGGGCATAAAGTTTCAGTCAAGCAAGATGAGTAAGCTCTAGAGATTTGCCATACACATAGTACTTATAGTCAACAATACTGTATTGTACACTTAAACTTTTTTATTAAGTAGACTTCATGTTAGGTGTTTTTACCACAATAAACTAACATTTTTTAAAAAAGAAAATACTTGGTTCCTTGCTTTGATTAGATCAAGTGGTTAGGGGGTAGAGGTTTGTGGGGAGATAGTAAAAGAGACACCAGGTGATGACCTGCTTTTTAAAATTTATTATTTTTTATTATTATTATTTTTGTTTCCGATCCCACTCCACCGGGATGGATGACCTGCTTTTAACCCAACCTCTTTGTCACATGTACTCAGGAAAAATTTCTACACAGAATGTCATCTTTACTCGCCAAATATCAACTTGATTAGTGTGAGACAGAAACAGTATTCAGTAAAATTTTGATGTAAAAAATACCTAATTGGGCTTTAAGAACATTTTCTTTGAACTTACATTTAAATATATTTTTCCGATTCTTAGACTCATATGTCCATGAACCCCTAAGCAATATCCCATATTATCTGGGAAACACCTCCACAAAGATACTGATGAGCCTAAAGATGAAGACAAGTTCTAGAATATGTTACTTGTTGGGAGAGGAAGCTCATATGCAACAGTGAACATAGAAGAGGTAGGTGATGCTTCAGCATTAAATTTGAGGATGGTTTAATATGTGTGTTCATAAGACACACACCTTCACAAATCATTGGAGAATGTCTGAGAATAATTGATTTTTTTTAAAGGTCAAGTTGGCAGGGAATGTAACTCAAAATATCAAATTCAATGAAAAAAGCAAAACTGTGTATTCAGTATAATTCCATATTTGATAAAAATGAAAGATATTATTTTATGAACAGGAAAGGAAAAGTACTGGAATGCAAGTAGAATTGTTAAAAATAGTTTTCTTTGGGGAAAATAATCAGGGCCAATGTTCAAGTTTCATGTCACGTGTTTCAGTAATTTGTAGTTTATATATATCTATAATATTACTTTAGCAATTAGAAAAAATATTTTCAAGTTGGAGGAGGACCCAGAGAATCAACACGGCCATCATTCCTCCCTAGCGCTGTCCAGGATGGAGTCCAACCAAACAAGCCCTGCTGATGCTACCTGAATCCTGTCATCAGCCCGCTCCTTTCCCATGCAGGACATGAAGATCACTAGCTCTCAGCCTGGGACTGTGGAAGTGGCTGTGTGAACTCCTTCACTTTGAAGTACATGAGGAAAAATTTATATAGAAACAAAAGTGTAATAAAGCAAATCACAAGAATGTCAATAGTAAGTATCTGATGTGCCATCAAAACAAGTGCTTTGTAGAACGAACACAAGTCTAACAAACTTTAAAAGTAGATTTGTGCCGATGAGTTCCTTGGAAAGCAGTCAGAGGATCTTTCCCAAAGGCAGTAAATAAGTATCATCCCTTCCTGCACTGGCGTTATCTAAAACCCTGAATTGGACACAGAACTGCACCCCATACTAGCTGCATGAAATTGGGGAAGTTACTTAACTTCTCTGACCCTTGGTTTCTTCATCAGTAAAATGTGGAAAATCAACAGTGTCTACTTCATAAGGTTGTTATGTGGATTAAAGAGATGCCTCAGCTCAGGCTATAACTATCATATCAGGATGTGGTATCTAATGAAGGCCCAGTAAACATCTGCTATTAAAAAATGATAACAGAAGTCAAACATGTGCAAGGGCAAAGCAGAAACAAAAACAAAGACAACCACAGACAACTCTTTATATGCTAAAAAACAAAAGCATTAAATAAAGGTTTATTAACATCATATTAAAGACACATTATGCCATATGTAAGCATTACATCAAACTCTATATAATAAGACACAAACAAATACCAAACAAAGTTTTTATGGTAGTATGAGTCACCATTAAAATGGGAAAGTTCTACACAATAAGAGCAACTTAGCAATACTTTGTCAATTATTCGTCTTCTGTCCCTAATGCTTGATATTTATCTATGTCAGAGAAAACTTGTTTATAAATATGCAGGCCAAGCTTTAATATACTTTGACTTTCTCCAGTTTTAGTAAGGGACTTGTCATGTATTCTATTCTGGTGAGATTCACTAAGTAGCACTAGAACTCACAAGCATACAGGTGGATGTGGAAAAACGCATTCATTTGGTACCAGATGTATCTGTGTTTAAATTCCAGCTCCATCTTGTATTAACTTTGTGACCTTGAGCACATTATATAATTTCTTTGTTCTTTGGGTTCCTCCTCTGCTTAATGAGAATACAATAATGTCTCCATCTCAGGGTTGTTACAAGGATTAAATAACGGTATTTCAAATGCTTGGCACTCAGTATGTGCTTAAAGGTTGTTAGTTTCCCTGCTTCTCCAAAAAGGAATCTAGGAGATCATCACCCTTCTCATTTTACAAATGAGAAAGCTCAAGCCCACAGAAGTTTAAGAAAATGCCCAAAGTCCCACTTCTGCACTCTTTCCTCTGCTGTCCTCTTATTAGCTTGCTTAACTTCAATAGAGAAGAGAAAACTCAGCAGAATCAAAAAGAATTCTTTTCCTCTTTTTAATATAGGTAAGCCACCAAGAGACTTTTAAAGTAGGAGTGAGTTTTATGAAAGGTAATAAGTAGTCTAAGAACTGTTTTAAATCCTCAGAGATATTAAAAACAGAAGTTCTGTTCTTCCAGTATTTCCATAGCAGAACATAAGTATTTTGTATGCTTTGGCACCAAAAAACTCCAGAACTGAGTATTTATCTGCACATTTTAACTCAAGCCTCCTGGAATGCTTGCCCATGGAATTGGCAAAGGAACTGGCATTCAGTATTTAGAGCAGCCAAGTTTGCTCAGACCACAGCTGTATTTGAAGCACAGCTCTCTGCCATTAGTCAATGGAACTTGCACAAAATTCAATTTAGATGTAAATGTTGTGATTCTTACCCAGCTTTCATATCTCTTTTATCTTTTTCCATACCTGATGATCACCCCAGGACAACCCAACAGAACCTGGGATCCTGTGCATAATAGAAGGCAAAATTCCGCAAGCTGTAATTTACAGCTTGACCTCTTTATTTGAAGAAGAATGACAAGCTTTATTCAGCAGGAAGGAGATATTCAATATTACTCTTTTAAAATAGTCAACCAAGAATCTGCTATTTCTTTAAAAATGTTTTTAAAGTTATATTTTACCATAATAAAACTGGTTGAATTTTATTTGGTTATTTAAAACATGTAAGTATGCTTGTTTGTCCCTCTCACTTAAAGTTCTTACCACATCCAGAAGAGCTGGAAACATCAAATGTTGCTGAAGCTACTGTAGCTACTGTGATACACGGAAACTCAACCATTGGAAATGGGCCATATTTGTGACTAGATCAGTTGCTGTTACCAAACTGCTCATGTAGCAATCTATGTCTATTGTTATAACTGTGACATTAGTTGAGCCACAATCTTGTTACTTCAGCCATATGGACCCACAGAGCGCAAACCAGGTCAGACAAATTCAGATGCCTGTGAGACATTTACCAGTGGTTCTTGAGGGTGGCATGCTTCTTCCAAAAACTGTTTGTTGGTCTGGCAATGTGGAAATTATCAGGCCTGCATGGTGAAAGGAACTAATATATTAATCCTATTTAAATAGGTCTGAGTTCATTTTATAGGAAAAGATGAGAATGAACAGTCAGTCAGACTTCTATGCCTATGATGTATTCATACACTTGGTTCTGTTTATTATAAACAATTTTTCTCAGAAACACACTACTGTCAGAGTTATAATTAAATATGGGCATTTTGGGTTTTTCAGTCTATCTTAAAACAACTATTGGTGTTATTCTGTTATATCCTATTTACACAAGTTGAAAGGATTACACCAAAAGGTAATTATAGATAAGAAATGAATATTTGTTTATTTCCAAGTCATGGCATTTGATTGGGTATTAATCTTGGCAGGTATTTACAAGAAAGACACAAATAACATTTTGAAGTTGCCCCTAAAAACTGACCAGTTTCAGACAGTAATACTACTAGACTCAAAAAAAACAAAATAACACATCCATCACACCCCCTCGTTGTAAGACAGTTATTTTTTTGGGGACTGTTCTGTCTGGATCTCATCACCCATAACCAGTATTGATCTGCTCTGACCTCTCTGCTTTACACCTCTGTTTCAATTCAAAACATTATTCCCAGTTCTGAAGAGGCTTGGGGCCTGGCTATATCCTGAAAGGTTGCTTGATTGTGTTCCTGGCTCAACGTCTAGATGACATTTCTAACAAGTTCCAGGGAAACCTTACACTGTCTTGCAAGTTTTCTTCTGTAGCATAAAGGGATGATAAATTACGTTCTGGTACTTCATTCTTATTTCTGTTTTTTAATGGATCTTTTACTAGGAATCAATGTCCTTTCCTGCACTGCCCTCCTCCCCGCTATACTGTGGGATAGCCAATCCCACCCTCTCTTTCTTGGGATCTAAATAATGACAGCGTAAGATGAAACTGTGCCTAAGACTGTGAGCTCTTCAATCTTGAGCTAATGGTTTTTCTGTAATGAAGATCTACAGCTTTTTATTTCTATTACATTTAGAGTGAATATTTACAAATATCTTTGAAAGAGTTCTAAGGGTCCATCTGGAAAGGCATTTTAAAAGACTTTACTTCTACACTTTGATGACTGTTTCTCAAAGGTCAGGAATGGGGACTGTAAAGAGAAATGAGGGAAATTTGCCAAGATGCATGATCAACCACTCCTGGGAAATGAAAATGTTCATCAGTGAGACGCAATTCTGACAGAGAGGATGGTGATCCAGGTCCAATACTCCAGCGTAAGGTTACATGAAGGACAGAATGCAAACATTAATAAAATCAAGTTACACTGGATCTCTTGTGTCTCTTGACTTCTTAGATCTCTCAGAGAAAGAAATGAGATAAAATTATACTTCTCTTCACACCCTACCTACTTCTCTCCCTGTTCTTTCTCCTACTTCCCACTTTCAAAACAACAAAGGCCCAAATCCCCAAAGACTCTGTATTTTTCTGGCTAAAACTCTCTGGGGAAACACAGTTGTGAGGGTGCCTTGATGCTTCCCAGGTCATTTGGTCGACTACATATAGAGATCAGCTAAAGTCTGGCAGTGGTCACTCTACTTGGTCATAGGGAGAGGGCCAGAAGGCAGGCTCCCAGCCAGTTGTACCTCTGTCACACCATATCAGAGTGGGGGAAGGAAGTGGCTGGAGATGCTCCAGATGACATTGTCCTCCAAGTTAGATGCTTTTGTGTTGTTTTGAAGCCAGCCAGTGAATAGAGACAAAGAAGTATACTCTGGGTGAGTTGTCCCATGCTTTCTATAGTGAAGAAGTGCTTAAGATGAAGTCCTGAGTGGACATTAAACTGGGAGTAAGAGAATCTAGATTCTAGTCTTAATTGGGCCTCAATTTCCTCATCTGTAAAATGAGATGGTAGAACTAGATAATCTCTAGAAGGGATTGGTAAAATATTGGAAGAGATATTGGATTGGTTTCAGCTACAATGGATCCCTTGAATATATACAAAAGTGTAGGTGTGTGTGCACGTGCACGCATGTGTGGTTTCATTCAAACTGTTGAGAATTATTAAGCCTTTTTCAAACTCTGAAGTTCATCTTTGTCTTTTTTTAAGTCTCTTCATCATATCAAAATCATTTTTTCAAATGTGTTGAGTAATGAAAATAAGTGCTTTTCAGAACTAATCCTTTAATGCATGTTTAAACATTTAATCTAGAACTTGATTACAAATTTAATGAAGAAAATAATCTGTTATAATTCTTATAGATGTTTATTAGTTTTTAGATTTAAAAAAAAAACAGGGCTTATAATTAAAGCAATTGACTAATGATCTCACAGCCTCAAGGTTGTATGCAAACCTAGATTAGAAATACTTTGTCTCTAAAAATAACAAAATGACCATAACATTTTTTTTCTTACAAGTTTGAAGTGGTCAATTATGGGTAACACATACATTCCTAAGGAAATCTGAAATGGTCTTGAAGAATAAGTTTCTTTGAAATGGTAAGTAACACAAAAAGTGTACTTCTTTTTTTGGAAAATGATTCACAAATAACCCCTTTAAACCAACAATTGGTGATTTATATTCTGGTCAGGATTTTGGAGTCTGGGCAATGCCATTACTTAGCTGTTTTGACTATGAGAACTTTTACAAATTTATTCTGACTTCTATGATCTTTAATCTCTTTTCTACACCTGAAAAATAATAAAGATTGTAAACTAGATGTCCTCAAAGATTCTTCCCTCCCCAGTGATACATGACTATACTTGGGACTCTCTAAATGCCCTGCTGTCAACAGAGCTATCCTGAAGCTTACTGAACACAAGGTGGTGCTTTCATATGAGCTTCTTTCTAGTTCTTTTGTTAATTAAGAACAAGTTTTTGTTTTTTGTCCCCAGTTTAGCCAAATGCTCCTGAAATAGAAATGCATTAGTAAATAAGAGCTTCATTTTTAATAGGTTTTCCCCTTTCTTTAGGAGTGATAGAAGTTTCATAATGTGTATTTCGTTTTCCTAATAATTTCAAAAAGGCAAATTTCACTAGGGCCATGAAAGTATTCTTGGATTTATCCAGACTATGTAGAAACCACCATCACAGCTGGCTAAAAAGCAAAAGCTTGGTTAAATTGACTTGGCGTGGTTCCCAGGGTTTCCCAGGCATTAAGCAATATCTGAAAGTTAAAAGTCTGTCACCTTCAGAAGCTGCAATAACTCTTTGATTCACTGTAGTCCAATTTAACACATTGTTATGTAATAATATATATATGTGAGTAATATGAGAAAGCTGATTTTTCTTCAACGGCAGCACATTCATAACTTAGGATATAACATCTCTGGGATGTTGTCAATTTTAAAGTCTCTCCTTCCTAGTTGGTTGGTTACATAACCATGGGAGTACTGTTCTTTATCTGTTAAAAAATTCTTTCAGGTGTCATTACTGTTGTGTATAGATGTGGTCACTTTTGTTTAGATATCTTAACACTGAGGAGTTGGATGAGAACGTTTTTAAGGAACTATTTTCCCCTAAGGCAAGCAGAGCATATTTTATAAGGACCACCACTTACACTACCTTAGTCATAGCCATCTATACTCCACAGGAATGTTGCTGTTGAATGCCCACCATATGAAAGGCAGTGTCAGCATGCAGCGGGCAGTGTAGAGGTAAAGTGATTACACCTGTCCACACTTGTAGTCACAGCACTTTAGAATCATAGAATTCTACCAAAGACAACCTCTTATAATAGAAAGTATCTAACAATGTCAACTCATCTAAATCTATCACCACCAAATGTTAACAGATGGGAAAGGGAGATGATGGGAGGTAACAGATTTTCTTAAAGTCATATTGCTTTAGGTGATTGTAAATTCCACACTTTTCTGATTCCTGGACCAATATTCTCGTAACACCTCATGATTTATGTATAGAACCTGTGGAGAATGAAGCTACCTAAAAGTGCCCTTTGTGCACAGTCTCTGATAAAATATGTTATGATTTGCCTAAATTGTCTCTTACACTTGAAATTACTTTTAAAAAATCCATGAAAAATCAAAGTTAAAAGTAGCAGACCATTAATGTTATAAAACAACAGCTTTCCTAGTTTTCTTCTTACTAATAAAAGTCCTGATTGGTGTTTGTTAAGTTGCATCAGCTAGAGATTAAAATAATTATTAACTATTTTGCTAAGATTCAAACAGATGGAAAATGCTTGAAATATCTCAATTTTGTACTTAAAATAAATGCTTATAAAGTGATATATTTTAGGTTATTAAGGACAATTTGTTGAATACTTGTCGAGTTAGTGTTTGGCTTGTCCTATTCTTTTAAAACAAGTCTATTGTAGCTCTCTTAACTCTCCTAACAGCTGGCTCCCATTCAACGTCAAAAGTACAAATTTTAATAACTATTTCTAATGCCATAGTAACTTTAGAGAGATGGGGCATCCCTTTTTAATTATTAAAAAAGGGTCTGTTTTGGTGCCAAACTACAGAAGGTGCAGTTTTGAGGACAGATTAGAAATTGAATACACCAAGGTAGCTGCTTGGGAAAATGAACAGTATATAATCTAATCTCTTTAATTTTATGTACATGAATATAATGTATGTCAACTTTGTACATGAGATACATATAGTATTTAAACATTTTACTCAACAAACAAGAATTTACAATAGCAATATAACTGACTAGAGGGCTATCAACTTAATAATACTTAGATTAGATCTGTACTTTAATAGGAAAAGAATTTAATAGTTTACAATCATAGAAACACTGACATTTAAAACAAGAATTTATAAAATAATTTATATATATCCTAGCATCTACAGAGAGGAATGATTTGCATTTGTGGGTGTGTGCAATGAATGGCATATTTTAAATTTTTAGGTAATAAAATAATTTAGAAGCAGTTCATGCAGTGGTCAAAGCAAGGAATGGCAAGTTCCTTCAAGAAGCCCTCTATCTTTGACACCAACCGGCATCAGACACACACTAGGTACCATGGGGCACGCTAGAACAAGTCTCCTTCAAGAGTTACTTATATAAACATCAATATACACACGTTGATATCCTTCCTTCCATAGTACAAGTACAGGTCACAACTTCTCTCAACTGTGGGAGTAGTCAGTTTATACTTAAAGTGATTTAATGTCCCTCCTGGAGTTCTACATAATATATCTCTATAAGAAGGTAACTAACAGAACTTTCTAGTTTTCACAACCTTACTCTGATACTTTACAGAGTGCCCCCCATGTCCTATGACATAAACATCCAGCAGGTAAGATTTGCCAGGCTGAAGACCTTTAATTGTTTCTGTGGTCACTGCTTTCTGCAGGTTTTGACTGTGGAAATATTTACAGAGGACCTTTTCTGACTTCTTCCTTATATCTGGTCCTAGACATTGGTTTTGCTCTCTTTTCTTCTGGTCTTCATTGTAGTTATCATCCACTTCTTTTTTGTAGATGCAAAACTTGTTCCTTTCCTGAGTGCCTAGCCAAGCCACGGTGGCTGAGGAACAGGTACGGAGCTTGTCAAAGGCTTTGATTCTTGTGTCTTCAGGAAGAGAGGGAAATGACTGCTTAGTAGGCCTTGTGGTAGCTAGAATTTTCAACATAGATGCTCCTTTCTTGTTTCCTTTCAGTCGAACGAGGTATTTAGCTTTAGGTTTTCCTCTAAGCTGAAACTGCTGAATGCCTTCCACATTCTGAGACAGAAGAAGTTTCCCATCTCTTCTCACTTGGATTTGGACAGCATCCAGACAAGAGTGAATAAAGAAGGTGACTTTTTGGTGAGAAGAGACTGGAGCAAACCGTAGAAACTTTGCTCCCTTCCTTTTAACAAATACATCTGTTATCTTCCCATCTTTTAGCTCGACTGTCTTCTGTTTGGCTTCTTCCTTGGTCCTGGCAAAGGTACCTACATAAGCGGTGCTCATGTTGCTGTTGATGTTGACCACAAATACATCAAAGTAGTACTGCGTGTCGGGTTTCAGATCAGAGACGGTGAAGATGTTCTTGTTTCCTATGCAGATTTTCTGAATATCAACCTTGGGCCTGGAGTAGACATGACGCCCCAGTTTTGGAGAAGGCTTTGCCTGGAAACTGCGTTCTTTACCTGAATTATCAGAAGGAAATCCAAAGTGGGCAAAGTCAAAGGGGCTGAAGTCCAGACCAGGTTTCGGTGCCATCATAAAAGCATCATCTGCACTCAGTTTTGCTTCCACTGCACAGAGACTTTTGAAATTGTGCTCTTTGTTGATGACCACACAGTACTGAATGGGTTGTTTCAGCAAAGAGGCAGTGGGGCTTGGTTTCCAGGCCAAAGTGACCGTGGTGCGCCCCAGTGAGGTCACATCTACTCTTGGGTCATAGGGTAACTCAGGGTATGGCTGATCAGATTCTGGAGTTGTGGTGGCATATACTTTGAAATGTGTGTCTTTCTCTGTTGAAAGAAGATCCAACTGATATAAACCGGATGGGGAACTAGACGATATAAAATACTCAACATCATTGCCTTTGTAGGAGAATAACTCAGTGCCTTCCTCATTAATGATCTGCTGCTTCTGCTGCTCAAGAGGTTCCAGATCACCTAGAAAATACAGGAGAAGCACAGGCTACTGTCAGGGCATACACTGTGGCTTGCCAACCTTAAGTTATCCTTTTATCTTATTTTTTCTCCGTTATGAAAATAGTACATGTTCATAAGTAAAAATATTTATAAATGTATTCAAGATAATATTTATTTTGACCATTATACATAATGTTCTTATATATGTGTAAGGCTTCTCTGAATATAAATTATTTCTTCAGAGCAGAATCCAATTAGTAAAAATTTTAGGTCAGAGACTGTAAACTTTTGAGACATTATTAATCCTAACTGTCAATCTGCTTACCAAAAGAATTGTATCAGTTTGCATTTGGATGGCCAGCCATTTTGCTAATTTCACGGCTGTTAGAAGGACTAGACAATCTGATTAAAATACACAATATAAAGTACCAGTAAGAATATTTGGCTGGGTGTCATGGCTCATGCCTGTTATCCTAGCACTTTGGGATGCTGAGGCTGTAAGATTACTTGAAGCTGAACCTGGACAACAAAGAGAGACCCTGTCTCTGTAAGAAATAAAGATAAAAAAATTAGCTGGGCATAGTGGCACATGCTTGTAGTCCCAGGTACTTGGGAGGCTGAGGCAGGATTGCTTAAGCCCTGGAGTTCAAGGCTGCAGTGAGCTATGATTGCACCACTGTGCTCTAGCCTGGGCAACAAAGCAAGACCCTGTCTCAAAATAAGATAAAATAAAATAAAATAAAATAAAATAAAATAAAACAAAACAAAACAAAATAAAAAAAGAATGCTTAAGGTTCAAAGTATAGAACGTGCACCCAGGAATAACACAGGAATAGTGGTAAAGCTAAACTAATTTTTTCCATATTTTGTTACCGTAAGTATCAGATATCACACAGATATCAGTGTATAGCTTAGTCTCCAGGGCTTGGTGAATGACTGGGTAGCTACAGTGAGAAGAAACCTTTTCCAGCTTATCATTGCAGGTTGAAAGTGAGCTATACAGAATTTCCTATTCCTAAACTATGGGATAAACACAATCATCAAACAGATATATTAACATCAAGATTTGGCCAGGTGCGGTGGCTCACACCAGTAATCACAGCACTTTCGGAGGCCGAGGTGGGCGAATTGCTTGAGCTCAGGAGTTTGAGACCGGCCTAGGCAAAATAGTGAAACCCTATCTTTACAAAAATACAAAAAATTAGCTGGGCGTAGTGGCATGCACCTCTGGTCCCAGCTACTTGGGAGGCTGAGGCAGGAGAATTGCTTAAGCCCAGGAGGTGGAGGTTGCAGTGAGCCAAGATTACACCATTGCACTCCTAAGCGACAGAGCAAGACCCTGTCCTGAAAAAAAAAAAAAAAAAGCCCATCAAGATTTGTTTTCTGTATCTTGGTCTCTTTACTCCCCATACACACTTCCATAATTTTCCTAATTGCGATGTTTGCCCCTCTTTGAAACTACTATAGCTAGCCTTTGTAGATACGTATACATAGTTATATATATATGTGTATATATATATGTATATATATATATAAAGACTATGTGTGTGTGTGTGTATATATATATATATATATATATATATATATATATATATATATAAAGACTATGTATATATATATAGTCATTTGTAGGGCACCCATTGTCAAGCCTTCACCTTTAACCTATGATGCCCTTAAAGAGCTTTCAGGGTGCCATACAAACTCTTCTCATTTCTCTTTTATTTTATTTGCTCTCTATCATCTGTCTTCTTTAAATGCTTAGCCCACTCATCCTACTAACTTTGTTTTCATCTTGGCCTTTAACTGCTACTAAATGCCTCTCTGCTTCTCTGTTTCCATCTGTTATTCCCTGGAGATCAGAGGTTCTTAACCTTGGCTGTATATTAGAATCACCTGGGGAGTGTGGCTAAAAATCCCAAAGTTTGGACCTCACCCCATTCCAATCAAATCAGACCTTTGCAAGATCTAGGC
Organism: Homo sapiens; assembly: GCF_000001405.40. Classification (NCBI taxonomy): domain Eukaryota; kingdom Metazoa; phylum Chordata; class Mammalia; order Primates; family Hominidae; genus Homo; species Homo sapiens. The sequence continues at coordinate 121,039,608 of NC_000004.12, forward strand.
ATCAGCAGTTTTTAAAGCCTTATACGTACGTGATTAGGATGTTTAGGCAAGATTGCAAACCACAGCCATAGAGGCTAGTCCAAACCTCTCCCCTTCTCCTCAAGCCGTCAATCCCTGTACCTGTCTCTCCTAACCTTTTATTTTATCAGGATCAGTGTCATCTGATGCCACCCTCCCACTTCCCTTATCTCCGTCTCATACCTCCAGATTCACTTGTGCACCCATGCTGCCTTTTCTTACTAACACATAGAAGGTTGTATGTTTCACAAGCATTAAAACCATCCATTCAAAGGTCCAGGGGCAGATCTATCCTGCTGCTTACCTGAGCCTTCCCCGCTCCTGTCCTCTGGCAGCTCCTGGAGGCTCAGCTTCCACTCCAAAGGCGCATCACAGGGCGTCACTGTGACTGATAATGGAGTATTGTCTTCTTCAACCACAAAGAAATACCTGTGGGAAAGTGGACCACTTTAGACCGTGGTAATTCTTTCTAACATTTACAATCAAGACTTACCAGAAAAATCATTTGGTTTTAATTTTTTTTTCATTTTATAAATTTTATAAAATTTTCATAAAATGTCATTGTATTTTCCCTTAACACAGTTTAATAAAATTGGCTATTTGACACAAAACATGATACAGCATTAACTGTGGAAGTCCAACAGCCCCAAGGATCTGCAACCAGATTTATCATCAACAAATACAGCGTGAAATAAAACACATTGAACCCAAAGTATTTTGAGTTAAAAATCAACACTGACCTGTTGCCTGGTATTATTTAACACAGGCCCCGCCACTGCAAAATAAATCACAACCAAGAAAATTTCCAGGTTTGTTGCCCTATAGGTGCCATGCTTTCCATACATTTGGTGATAAATTTGTACATTAACTTGAGGGCACTCTGACATAGTTGCAACTATTTCAAAAGAACATTTTCACAGCAACCTAGTTCTAAACTGTGTGTTTGTCTCTGGCAATATAACGCTGTATTCACATTTTTACATTAGTGACTTTTATTCACAGCTTTACTATTTCATATCTTTTTATTTGTTTGTTTTGAGACAGTCTTGTGCTGTCTCCCAGGCAGGAGTGCAGTGGCGTGGTCATAGCTCCCTGCAGCCTCAAACTCCTGGGCTCAAACGATCCTCCCACCTCAGTTTCCTGAGTAGCTGGGACTGCAGGCGTGTGCCACCATATCTGGCTAATTTTTAAATTTTTTTGTACAGATGGGGGTCTCACTGTGGTGCTCTGACTGGTCTCAAATTCTTGGCCTCCAGTGATCCTCCTGCCTCAGCCTTCCAAAGCACTGGGATTACAAGTGTGAGGCACCATGCCTAGCCCATTTCATATCTTTTGGAATCGCATTATCTAATCACCATTTGAGAAATACTTTAAAAAGTAAAGAGCACTGTGTCAGTCAGTAGAAAGACACATTTCTCTAACACAGGTTTTCTGTTGAATTAAATAACTTAATGATTTTAAAACAAAATTTAAAAAATCAAATGTTCTACTCTGTGCTTTCCCCTGAGCCTTTATTGTAATGCCTTAAAAAGAATAAAAATATTGCTTAACTATAGAAATACCATATACTCTTACTCCAAATGACTTAGATGGTTTCATTTAATTATCTTTCAAAACCTATAATCTTGCCAATGAGGAAAGAGTGGTTTCAGTTCCAGCAAGCCCAGAGTTGCTCATTGATTCCATGCAGAGAAAAGCAGGCTTTGCCTCCTGTGGATTGAACCTCCTGGATATCTCTTGCCTTCCTATTCTCTCCATAACCCTGACCAACACTGACCACCAGAGCCTCCGACCCCAGCAGTCTCTTCTGCTGGTTCCTTCTCACCTCCCTGAACTCTAATGTTGGGAGTGAACCACAGGACTGTGCTTGAACGTCTCTTTTCTACCTATGCTCACTCCCTGTGTGACCTCATCCAGGCTCATACAATTAAGGAATTTTTCCCTAAGGCTAAAACCTAAAGCTCCGATAGGACTCTCAGCTGGAAATCACATAGTACATTTGCTTTTTTAGGAGATTCCTCTTGCTGCAGTTTTAAGGAATGATTCGGAGGTGGTGAAAGTGGAGGTATGGGAAACTACTCATTAATTCATCCAACAAACATTCCTTGAGATTTATTTTAGTCTTTGAGACTAAAGAAAAAGCATCCCCGAAGAAATGACTTTACATGTGAGTTGGGGCAAAGGAGTTCTTTTCAGGCAGAGAAAACCACATCCCATAGACGGTAGGGTGAGTAGGGTTCAGAAACTAGAGAAGTACTTTGTGGTTTGAGCACAGAGTTAAGTGGGTAGTGACAGGACAAGAAACAGGTGAGGTAGGCAGAGGCCCTGTCACTACAGAGGTTTGTGACTCATACTCACATTTAGAGTCATTTCTTCAGGGATGCTTTTTCCAACTCACTCTGGATCAGGTCCTCTGATGCATTCTCAGAACGTCCTATACTTTTTACTTTCGGGCACTTATTGTTACTTGTGACTATATAATTGTATTATCATTTGATTAATGTCATTTTCCTCACAAGGGCCCTGTTAGGGTTCATTTATCACGCCTTTGTATTCCCAGCAATTAGCACAGGTTTCTGCATGTATGTACTTGATCAACATTTTAAAATAATTGAATTACTAAATAAGTAAATAAAACCTAAGAATCCTAACACCACACTTCTTGTTCTAGCCTGGTTCATACACCTAGAGTCTCCTTCTATCTGAAGATATAGAATCTGAATTGAAATACAAGTACTTCCCCCAGCCACCACCATTCAAAGATGCTTTTGGAGATGGAGAATGGGAGTGGGGCTGTGGGCAGACAAATAAAGTGAAGACCCTATAAATGCAAAAGCAACTTATTCATATAACAGTAAAGTTAAACAATCATCTAGACAAAATAGATGATTGAATTGTTTACTGTATGTGAAGTTTAATGTACCATAAGCATTCCTGAACAGTGTCAGAAGGCTTAATTTTTAATACAGTCTACTTTTTGTGAGTAGAATTTTGTCCCTTTGGCCAGATTGCATGGGAGTTATTAACCACATAAACATAATTGAACCTATCTATATTACAAAGGAATAGGTACAACAATATAACTAGTTTGGCATCATATAAGTAAAAGAGTGTTCAAAACTTCGTGTTTGATTTTAGGTTTTATGTGAATAACAGAGCTAAGCAACGGCACAGAAGAAAACAATGTACAAGTTTGTCTATTACCTTCTGTTCTCATTTCACACAAGGAAGTAGTTTATTTCCAAAACTGTGTCTTAGTAACTTAAACGTAGGTCATAGGTGACCAGTTACAAATAAAACAATGCTTTCATTCCACAAGATAATGATTATGCATATAAAGCAGCAGGGAGACCCTCTAAGTTAACATTTTCATATGGAAGCACTTATGATTAGGGATAAATGATAATTTGAATATACTTAACAATTTGACAGATATTTATTGTCTACCATGCACAAAGCAACTGTAGAAGAGAGTGACAATCAGAGATGACGGGACATAATCTACATGTTCGAGATATTTACTGGCTAGTGAGGGACACAGAAACATAATTAATAACTAAGGAAACATGGCCCAAATTATAGTGCCAAAGCTGAGGGATAAGCACACCATGAGCCATTTAGCCTTTGGAATTTATGTATAAACGTAAGAATAATTAATGCATTTGCTGTCTTTTTAAATTTACTGCTGTGCAACTTTATCTGGAATTTCTTTTTTTAGTTGGAATATCAACAACATGTTTGTGTGCTTATCATTACATATTTCACCCCTAGAAATGAAGTTTCTACTTGTGGTTATAATCCTTTACTAGCATAAGTCTGCTTTTACTAGTGTATGTTAACATTTTTTCCTATTGTGGATACCAAGGGCCTCAATAATCATTGGCGGAAAAAAGATAAATATAAAGAATGAATAAATGAGAGAAATAAAAAGAGAAAATGTTGTTTTATAATGTCTCTTAATAAAAACATGGCGCTTTACTTTAAAAGTGTAATTTCTAAAACAGCTCTTACAGGCAAAACTTATTTAATTTTTAAGAAACTGGAAGACTAAAGAAAGATGAATCATTTAATTAAGTGATTGGATTACATAATGTGGAATGCTGTATTTAAAGTATATTGCAAAGAAGGCAGTGCCCAAGTGCATTTGGGAAATGAAAGTAATTTCTACAGAAAAATTTTGATTTGATTTCACTCACACGTAAATTTCAAAGGACAAAATAATATGAAAAGCCAAATGTGCCCAGCAAGAACTCAGTTAATAGTTAAGATTAACTTGAAGTATTATGACTGCTTTGTATGCCTTTTACTGTTTTCACAGACTCAATTTTAGTCAGGACCAAGAGAGCAAGTTCCTTCAATGTAATCATCCTTTCCTTTTCTGCCTTCACTCCCATGAATGTCATTTAAAGATTCAAAATTATTTTATATGTTATTGACAAGTCAGTTACTAGTCTAGTGTGTTCATGCAAACAAATAATTTTACTCGAGCAGTGCCAAAATGATAATCCGAACAATAGTTCACTCTAGTTAATGTAGGAAAACTGATCACCTATCATCATTTTGACTAACCAGATGGAGATAAGACTGGGCCATTGAGTGGAAGGGGTTCAGACCACCATCTTCCATGATTACTGTTAATCAAAACTGAAAAGATGACTAATGATCTGATATATCTCAATCTCTAGAAAATGGGTTATTGATGTTCTGAAACAGTTTAATCCTTTGGAATTTCACTGTATCCCAGGTTAGAAGGAGCAACTGGTTTTGAAATATAATTATCCAAAGATTAACTGTGTGTGCTAAACTTACAAAGGGAGAAGAGTTTGAGCACTACAAAATAGGTAACTTTAAATGTAATTAATTTATAACATATTATTTTTATTTTATATATATATATATTTTAAAGGTCAAAATATTTAGAAACTTTATGTGAGCCCAATTTGTTGATGTTGGAGTAAAGGTAAATAAACCGTGTCAGTTTTTATGACTGTTTAGTTTGATTCTCTCAGAATATGATAATATTTGTTGAAGAAATATTATACTCATAAAACATAATGCATTAAGTGTGGTGTCTCATGCCTGTAATCCCAACACTTTGGGATGCTGAGGCAGGAGGATCACTTGAGCTCAGGAGTTAGAGACCAGCCTGGGCAACATAGTGAGACACCATCTCTACTACAAATTTTAAAAATTTGAGGGGAAAGGTGGCACACACCTATAGTCCCAGCTATTCATGAGGCTGAGGTGGGAGGATTGATTCATCCCGGGATGTTGAGGCTACAATGAGCCATGACCGTGCTACTGCACTCCAACCTGAGCAACACAGTGAGACCTTGTCTCAGAAACAAAACTTAATGCAAACTCTTGAAGAATCATACATATTCATGAAAATTGATTTCACTTTAATCCTACAGAATCCTTCTTAGAAATATCCTACTGTACTGAGGCCGGGCGCAGTGGCTTACGCCTGTAATCCCAGCATTTTGGGCGGCCAAAGAGGGCGGATCACGAGGTCAGGAGATCGAGACTATCCCGGCTAACATGGTGAAACCCCGTCTCTATTAAAAATACAAAAAATTAGCCAGGCGTGGTGGAGGACGCCTGTAGTCCCAGCTACTCGGGAGGCTGAGGCAGGAGAATGGCGTGAACCCAGGAGGCGGAGCTTGCAGTCAGCCGAGATTGTGCCACTGCACTCCAGCCTGGGCAACAGAGCGAGACTCCGTCTCAGGGAAAAAAAAAAAAAAATCCTCCTGTACTGAAAAGAAGAAAATAATCATTCCAAAATGTAAGAAATGCAAGCATTGCCTCCTACACGCAAAAGGAGATGACAATCAGCAAGAATCAAACAGCCTCTATTTCATAATTAGAAGTTGCACTGCCATGTTCCCCCTTACTTACAGAAAATCGGTAATGCCATTCATAGGTTGATTTGTAAATTACCTAAACTAAGTCTAAAGGTTACTCTCTTTTTTGGAGGCATCCTTTGTGAGCTTTTTAATAAAGAAAATACTGCAGGGAGAATACCTCTTAGGTGTATCTCTAAAGAGATAACTGCTAATTTCAGCTCCATCTGGAATTACTGACGAATCATGAAAAAATGCCTTGTCCCGGATCTGCATCTGAAAAAGTTCCTCATCCCGGGTGGGTAACTTCTGGGTCCTTGAGCTGAGTGGAAACAGGAGCCACAGCAGGCACCAGTGGAGCAGCACCATCCTGAGGCAACAGAAATGACTACTTTATTAGTTCTGCAGGCAGACACTCAGGCAAGTCACAGACTTTCTAAAGGGTTAACACTATTTTAGCTTTGATGGAAATTTAGGGACGCATCATGTATTTTGGATACATACACATGATCTTCAAGGCAACTTTACTATATTTTTTCTTCAAACATTTTCATGATGTTAAAAATAAATTCACTAGAATTTCAGACATTAAAAAGATTTTGAAATGAAAAGACTCTTGCTGCATTAACTTCTCTGGGTATTCAGAGAGAAAATCCTCACTTCATTACAGCAGAAGCCTATATGGACATTGTAGATAACGCTATATCAATGTCTCAAAGCTTGCACGAAAATAATCTCTTAAGGTCAGTTTTTTGAACTATTATAAAAGTTATACCAATGGTTGGTTGGTATCATTGCTCAGCAGTCAAGTTGCTAATTGCTGATATGGTTGAACTATTACATTCAACATAAATCACAGAGACTCATTGAGAACCAGAAAATTATCACTGCTCAATTATTTTTATTCTTCCCTAAAATCTGACTAGGGGTTATACATATATAACTCTCTACGTAGTATTATGCTTTTTCCAAGATCAAATTTTCATAAGTCAAGGATTTTTATAAATCATAAACTTCATCTCCTTCACAGATTAAGCAATTTGTCCAGAATCACAAGATGAGTTATTAGTTGATGTTTAGTTGTTATCAGGTACCAGAGTCTTCAACACAACGTTGACATATACACCTCTATCATTTTAGAAAATGGGCTTGAACCTTCACTCACACATCAAGCCAGAAAGGTGTATATTTAGAACATTTGTCTTAACCTCCAGCAGAGAGTACTTTCACTGAGTTACATTTTGGCATTTGTCACTGACTTTCATCAAAGATCCTCTAAGTAATGATGGATCATTCTCTACTGCACATTGCTGTAGGGGTGTTGTCAAAGACACTGTCTTCCACATGTCTTGGTGTTCCCAACAGGAAGCCCCAGGTAGGCAAGTTCCTTGACATGACAGGTCTCATGAAAAAACTTTGCTTCCTCTGACCATTTGGTATTTTTTTTTCCTCACAGAAAGAAATATGTAAAGAATTGTTTTCCTTTACCTCTTTGACTTAACATACATCAGGGAATTAAAGCATTAGAGAAATATAGTGTTTTTACATTGAGGTACTTTAAATAGCAAATATTTGTGATAATTCAAGATGAAGTGAATGCCAGTTTTATTTTTAAATGGACATTACTATAATCAACCTCTACTTAAAACATCATTTGATTTTAATTTTATCTTTCTTTGAATGCTATCAAAAATAGATTCAGATTGCAAAAATATATAGTTTGAAAGAAATAACATTCTCTTTTTTACAATGTGGACATGAGAGTTGGATTTTTCACAACGAGCTTGTGCAAAATGCATTTTACTTTTCTCCAAATATTCTTTGCTGTTCTGTGTTCTGCGGTTTTCCATACAAAATATCTGCAGTGATCTAGAGCTACTATGTGCAAAGCACTGTTCTAAGTTCACGAGTTGCATTACTACTTTTAGTCCTCACAATAAGCCTGTGAAGTAGCTGCTATCCTATGCAAAAACAAAACTCCATTAGGTAAGCAGAGAAAGGATACAAATACAGGTGGATCTGACTGCAGAGCCCAGTGTTCATCCTCTGTAATATCTCTCCAGAAAGCCATAATAACTTATTATGAGGCTTTTCTTTCCCACTCTTATTTCTTAATTGTATTGCAAGTGTAAGAAAATTCAACTGAGAGCTAAGAAACTTGATGTTTAGCTTCAGTTCCTTACTAGATGTGTGATCTTAGGCAATTCACCTAGCCACTCCGGACCTCAGTTTTTTGAAGAGTTTGGATGGGTGATCTATAATCAGCAATGCTTCTGAGACTGAATAAACTTTTCTTCCTAAAAAGCTGGCAGTTTAAGAATAAGACCAGGCCTTCTTAAGTTGCCTGAAGTAATCTCTCCCTCAGATATCCAGATGATTGTCAAGGAGAAATCCAAAAGAACTTGGGGATGTCAGTGGGAGCTCATGAGAGTTGCTAACAGTAGACAAGGGCTATGTCTGCAAAAGATGGCTGGATGGATCAAAATCAAGACTAGGTTGATATAATCTAACCAAGCAAGGACATGGTGGACTGACCTGAATGGGACCTCCCTCACTGCTGTCTGTCCCTCCCCTCTGCTCCTCTTTTGTTTGGAGCTAACAGAAACTGAAAATCCAAATGGCATTTGCTATGCTGCCTCTGTTTAGAAATACCATAGACATGCCACATGCAATTCTACAAGTTTATTTCTCTTTGTAGTACCATCCCCAAAACTTGCCTTGTGAGAACAGACGAGGCCAAATAAAGAAGAAAATCTCTTTAGAAATAGCTAGAATTTCGCTTTCTGTACTTGTTAGAAATTTAGCAAACATGCTATCAGAGCACTTGAAAGCGAGATACACAGGCATATTTGCCTCAGAGCCACTCAAGGCTTACCTCCTTAGGCCCCATGTTTGCCCACAAAGCTGCCAACCACGGTGCCACAGTATGACTTAGCAGGACAAGCTGCCTAAGGACCCAGGGTATCTGGGATATTTAGGTCAGCCCGAGTTGGAAAAATAGTGTCGATTGATAGGAACTTTCCCTGCATCCTCAACTGCCCTAGGAAAGAACTCTCTATTAAATCAGATACTTATAAAAAATGAATTCTGGCTGGGCGCAGTGGCTCACGCCCGTAATCCCAGCACTTTGGGAGGCCAAGGCAGGTGGATCACGAGGTCAGGAGTTTGAGACCAGCCTGGCCAACATGGCAAAACCCCGTCTCTACTAAAAATACAAAAATTAGCTGCGTGTGGTGGTGGGCGCCTGTAATCCCAGCTACTTGGGAGGCTGATGCAGGAGAATCGCTTGAACCCAGGCAGCGGAGGTTGTAGTGAGCCAAGATCACGCCACTGCACTCCAGCATGGGCGACAGAGCCTCCGTCTCAAAAAAAGAAAAAAAAATCTGAGATAAAAACAATATTAATAAATTTTGTTGTATACATGCCACATGCCAGGCATTCTTCTAAGTTCTTTATATATATTATTTCATCTAATGCTAGCAACAACACTATAATGTAGGCACTATTCTTTTTTCTCATTTTAAAAATGATCAAAGTGAGACTTAGATAAGTAAGGTCATACAGTAAATACTATCTGATGTAAAAAATATGAACTATTTATTATAGGTGGCTTAAAATATGGTAAATCTGATTATTATATATTCTCCAGTTCAGCTACTTAACAAATTAATATTAGTAAACAAATTCAAGTTATAGGATTATGCAGAGTAAGTGTTGGGAGGCAATTCTCCATGGGTCTCTGTGTTTGCTTTTGCAAGTACTTGGGAGCAGAAGTACTGACTGCTTTTGTTCCACATTATCTTTTCAAGGATATTTGTATAGTGAGCAGTCTTGGCAGATAAAGCCTCTGGAGCAAAGAGCAGGCATGGCTACCACCGATTATAGAAGATTTTAGGTCCCTAAATTCAGGGATCCTCTCTTGTAATAAAATCCAAACATGGCCCAGTGCCCGCTGGCCCTCTTTGCATCATCCTGTGGGAAGTGGGGGTCAGGGAGCCAGTGGAAGAAAATAATGATACTCTGCCTGAGTAATACGTCACTCTGAGTAATAAAGTCCTTTGTCTCTGACCCAGGAGTATCTTGCCTTCTTCTAGCATCCATGAAACTATGACAGACTAATTTATTAGCTTGCAAGTGGGCTAAAATCTCAAGTCTTTCATAGTCTTTGACACTAAGCTTCTATTTATTAAACTATTTTACTGGTTTACCTACTTTATTGGCTCAGGTAGATATTTTTATTTAGACAATCACCAATAGATAATGGACTGAAACTTTATCTTTTGCTTTATCAAAAACATCATATTTCCCAAACTAAAATTCCATCAGGCCACATTTTTTGTTTCTGAAACAGTTTTAACCATCTCAATTGCTATGCCAATTATGGGCAAAACATACTTTTCAAAAAAGTTTTAAAAATTTGTATGGACCCCAAACACAGGAATTTATACTCTGTCAGATTCTGGTTCTACAAATATTATCTAATAACATGCAACTACTGTTGGGGAAAAACTTAAATATTAGGGAGCACTGATGGCTTGTTCAATTTGGTCAGGTTACAGGCAGAAGTTAAAATGTATTTACAAGGAGCATTGAATATAGCTAATCAAAAAATGACTGTGTAGATACATTGTATATATTTTTACAACTTATATTGACTGATAAAAAATTGAAGCTTTACATAAATATTATTTAAATGGTGGTTTTAAGATTTTACACATTTTTCCCTAACAATAAAATGTTCTGTCTCAGATATACAATTTAAGAATTAGTCATTGAGAATAAACAAATGAAAATTCATTCTTGTTAAGCATAAGCCTTAAATTGCTTTATAAGAACAGACTTTTTTTCTAAGATTACAAAAGTGCCCTCTAATGGCATAACTTTTCCTCTCATTTCTTTTTGTTACTTCTAGGTAGGCAGAGCTTATCTAGATTTAAACTTTACATTAAATAACATCAATCAGAGTTTCACTTTAAGCACTTTCTTTTTTCATGGCCATCTGGTGGATGATGTAGGAAATGTGTTTGCACAGCAACAAATCTTGCTATCTTTCTACAATTGAGGCTTTAGTTCAAACATAAGCTGAAAGTTGCTAGGATAATTCCAAATATTTTTATTTTGCTTGGCAGATCAACTTGGTTGCACAGTATCCACAACCCAAAAGAACTTGGTAGTGTTACTCTGATACTGAAAAAATTGACTTTGTTTCAATTGAAAAGTTCTAATGAATAAAAGATATAGATGCAATCTATAATTCTGCTATTTTTGTGTTGTCAAAGGCCTTCTTCACATTTGGCACAAGTCCTCAGATCCTGCTAAAACTGAGGTGAGAAAATAAAAATGACCTAATGATTTGATACAACTCAATCTTTAGAAAATAGATTATTGGTGATATGAGATTTTTCTTTGGAATGCCAATATCCTACAGGGGAAATAAAATTGTCCAAAGGTTAACCATATAGTCTATACTTACAAAGGTAGAGATGGGTTTGGATAATCCAAAGTAAATAACTAGTTTATATGGTGTATGAATATATACACACACATATTTTTAGATCAAAAATGTGGAAACATTATGAGTTCAATCAGCTGATATTGGAGTTAAGGCAAATAAGTAGTAGTCCCCAAAGAGGAAACTTTTAAATATAAAAATGGAACATCTGCTGCCCACTTTCTTGCGAGCAGGTAAATACTATACAACCCAAGAGATATGGAGAAGGGATTCTTTCTAATGTTTTAGGACTATGGTGATGGGAACTTGCTTCTCCCCTTCATTTCCTCCAGTTTTAAAGAAAATGTCAGTGAATAGATTTAAAGCGTTTTTATTGTTCTGCAAGGAGTAGGGAGTGGAGCACATGATGGATAATTGAACATGTACAGACAATTCTAAGCCTTTCTTTAGCATTAATTTAAACTTCATATTCTATGGAACTTTTAGATAAAATAAACTGTCCAACTGACCTGGCATATCTTTTTCCCACAAACCTGTGGAAATGCTTGTAAATTATAAAATGGTCAATGGTAAGCAAAGTAAAAATTTAAAGGGAGTTTGAGTAATTCATTGTATCAATTAAATACCCAGAATTACCTCTATCATCACAAAAAAGCACAACATACCCTACAAAAATTCAACTTGCCCCAGAATGTCTATAGCAGTTCTACTGCTGTCATTTTGCAAAATTTATCTGCAATTACATAAGATCAACTAGTCAATTTACCCATCTGGGTTAAACCACTGGTTCAGTTAGTTAACATTTATTCTTTGAAATTGTATGAACAGTGATAAGAAATAAATCTGGCTAATTTTTTTTCCTTAAAAATCCACTAAATGGTTTTACCACATAAAACAATTAAGACTTTTAAGAGCAGACTCTTATTTCAACCACTAGAAAGCTTGTCTTTAATAGTTATAGACTGCTATTTGGCTATATTATCTGAGCAATTCAAACAATTGCAAATCTGGTAGATAGAAAGTTCTTTTGGGCTTTCATGTAAAGGTCCAAGGCTCTCAAAATAGAAGACGTGATATAAATTAATGCACTGTGACCTTTCTCATCACTGTAGCTTCCTCAGAACAGCAGCCAACAGCTTTACCTACCTGTGATAATATGATCAAAACAAATTCCTCCATCCCTCTATCACCAACAAGTTCTTTGCAGAAATGTATAAATGTAGTTGTGAAAAATGTCATCAAGCTCTTACACACTTTACATATTATAAAATTTAAGATCAGATTCATCACTATAAATATAACATAAAGTATAAAATTTGAAAAAATATATAGTATCACTGAGATTCGCTTAAAAATTATCTAATGTGCCTGATCATGTGCAGGCCACGAAGTTGAAATACATTTACAATGACAAAAAAGGATGGGCATTCTGATTTACTTGAAGCAAATGTATAGAGAATAAATGAAATCTAATGTTTAATTAAAGAGAGTGGAAAGTGCATGATTATAATTTGGCGAGAATAATTTCAAGGAATGGTCTGCCACAGAGATTTCTGTTATTTTCTTTTCCTTTCTAAATGCAAATATTTAGTCTTTTAAATTTCTATTTTCAAACTCAAGAGCATTTGTTTTTGTTTGAATCATCCATGTCACATTTGATAATAAATCTGAAGCATTTGGTCCAGGTGTAAGAAAAAAATATATAGCTTTAGTTAGGGGAAGAGCCGTGTGTCTGCCATGACTTGCTGGGCAGCAAGCGAAGAGGACTGCACACTTTAATACTGAATGTCCAACATGTGCCAGCGTGGATGTACGGATTCCTTCGAGGCAAAAATGCAGCAATCAAAAGTTGAATTCCCAAAAGGTGTTTTATTTTGTTTTCTTTTGCAAACAATGAAAATGTCTGAAGTTAGTTGTTCTTAAAAATCCAAATCTGTTAAAAATTTGAAGGAAATACAGCATATTATGGGCTGACATTTCCATACCTGAAAAGGGAGAAATAAAGCAGATGGAAGTAAAGGATTCCTGGTCTGCCCTGACGAGTGGTCTCTGGCACATGCTAGGTGAGCTCTCACTCTGCGATAACATGCCAACTTCTACCCAACCCAATGAAGTAGAGCCGACATTATGTACAGAACTCGTGCACTAAAGCTCTCTAAATGCAGGCTGTCAGTACACAGTGACATGATTATTAAGAGTTTTAGAGTTCATTATGTCAATAATCTACAGATTAGGGACCTGCACATGCATTTCAACTGCAATGATTCCAACCTCCCTTAGCACTTCTCTAAATGACTGCCAACTTTCCTTCTGGAAGGAAATTAAATTAATATAAAAAAGCAATGTGAAATTAAAACATGCCAAGGATTCGAATAAAGTTTCCATTCTGTCATGCGCTCCCTCTGAGTCTCATGATGCAGAGTTCCTAACAGGGATAACGTTAGGGCATTCTAATTTAAAAGATGGCCAAGCCTACACAATCAGAATTACTTCAAAGAGGATCAGATTTTAAAGTAAGTAATCTTGTATTCCCATCAATATTAATGCCAATGAGAAGAATAATGAATAACAGAACTGGCCGAAATAAATGTCTCATAGATAGGAGTAGTCTGTAATTCAGGAAGCCAGACCCATTTTAGTAAAGAAAGGAGTAGAACTCTTAAAATGTATCAGATGGATGGTTAGAAGATATGACAAAGTTCAAAAGCAGTGTATGGGAGAATGCAAAGAAAAACTGGAACAGAATACTAAATACCTTCTTCCTATCAAAATGTCCTCTATATGTGAAACTGAGATAGCTGGGATAACTTCCACTGTCTTAGGTGATGCTAATGATTCTTAGAATAATGAAAGCCCCAAAGGAAGGAATAATATGCTTGGTTGCTTTTCTTGCTTTTGTTTGGCAACTAAGCCTTATTTCCTGTTGATCTGCAACCAAATGAAAATGACTTCCTGTGCAACATTCCCCAAAGCAGTTTACAAACTGCATACCTCATTCTCTACTGAAATTTAGCTAAGATGGAGCATGGCAGCGCGCCAGTAGCATTCAGCAACAGCACGTATCAGCCTGGAAGGTGAGGCATGAATTGTTGTGGTCAATAAAAAAATATTGAGTCACTGCAGTGTGTAGCACCATAAAAATTTGATTTTTTATAGCCATTTATCCAAGAAGTTAACTCTTCAGTAAGTCACTCCATGGATTTCTTAGGATACCAAAACCTAAATATGGCCAAAAGAGCAAAAAATGAAGAGAATAAGAGTTTTGTCAAATATCGATGTCATACTCCAAACTCAACTGGGTAATGTGAGGTCTGAAAAAATATGTATCTTAGGAACTTAGAATCTATTTATGGGGCAAAATGTACCTGCCCAGCCAACAGAGTCCAATGTCAGCATTTCTACTCATTCATTATTTTTTTAATTCAATATCTATATAATACATTTTTGCTACATGCCAGGTACTCTTCTAGGAACAGTGGTGACCTCAGGAAGTGAGTGTTCTAGTGGGAGTGACAGGCAACACATAAACAGATACACAAGAAAATACTATTGCTGCTAGCTATGCTAAAAATTAAAATAGGCTTCTGTGAAAGACAGTGTGGTGATGGGCATTTTAGATTGAGTATTTAGAGAAGTTTTCCTTGAGGAGATGACATTTATGCTGTCATCTGAATGACAAGAGGAAGCCAATGAAGCAAATAAATGTCAGGAGAAAAAGCATTCTGGGCAGAGAAATAGCTGGTGCAAAGGCACCAAGGTTGCACTAAGCTTGAGGTATTGACAAAAGGAAAGGACATCACTGTGGAACACAGTGGGTGAGGGAAGAATGGAAGACCAAGTGCCAATCACATAGAGATTCACATCCATATTAAGGGGTTTGGATTCTGTTCTAAGCGTGTTGGGAAGGCCCCCATTGCCAACTTTTTTGAGACAGGGTCTTGCTCTGTTGCCAAGGCTGGAGTGCAGTGGTGCAATCATGGCTCACTGCAACCTCTACCTCCTGAGCTCAACAGATCCTTCCGCCTCAGCCTTCTGAGTAGCTGGGACTACAGGTGTGTGCCACCTTACTCAGCTAGGTTTTTTTTTTTATTTTTGTATAGAAGGGATCTTGCCACGTTGCCCAGGTTGGTCTCAAACCCCTGGGCTCGGGTGATCCTTCCGTCTTGGCCTCCCAAAGTGCTGGGATTACAGGCATGAGTGGAAAGCTCTTTAAGCACAGAAAGGCCATGAAGTGATCCAAGCTTTTTTAGGAATAACCCTGTCTATTGTGCAGAAAATGGATTTCAGTGAAGTGGTAGTTTTAAAAGCAGAAAACAACTTCATCTTTCTGAAACAAAAAGATCAGATGAAGGCTACTGCAGTTGTCCATGGTAGAGATGGTGGTTTTTTCAGCTTTGTAGAGGAGATGAGGAATAATGGAAAAACTGGGGATATGCTTTGCAGTTGGATTGCCAGAATGTGCTGGTAAGTTGGAGGAAGGAAGTGAGGAAAAAAGAGGAATAAAAAATAACACATTGATTATAGGAACGTGCATATGATAAAATGACAAACAGAAAGTACTGCAAAGGTGGAAGAAATGAGAGAAATAAATTAGTTAAGCAGAATTTTCAGGTGGCATCAAATAGCCTGAATAGCTGTCTATCTTAGATGCAGTTTTAAAAACTGGTTATTATATTTAAGAAGGTATTAGAAGAAAGGAGAAAAAGAGGAAGGCATTCTCTTTAAATGATGAGAAACATAAATGAGGAGAGGCTACAGTGGAAATTAGTAGGAAGTGTGGCTAAAAAAATAAAAAGACTGATTTCAATTATCATGGTGGGAAATGGGATCCGCCAGATACATGGATGGTTGAAGAGACATATTAGAGAAAGGCAATACATACACACATACACACACACACACGCACCCCAGAAGTTGCTTCTTTGAACTTAAATTTTAAGTGAAGGGATGCATATTATTTGAGGCCAACCCATTTGTTGAAAGTACCCAGAGAAGAAAGAAGTCCAAAGGCATATTTTCGTCCTGGAAAGTGGTTGTTATGGTAAATGAGCAGGAAACAGAATTAAGAAAGACAGATACAGAAGGTATGAAGAAAATCTGACAAGAAAATATTACTATTTGGTATATGTGACCAGACCTCTTCATAAACTGTATCCAAACAGATAGGCTAAATAAAACCTGTGAGCCTTCCTACAAACTCACACCTGCCAAATACCATATAACTTATGCTACTGGGCACTTATTTGGAAAGAAGCACCATCCCTGGAGGAATTCTAAAGGCAATGGAATAATCCGGAATGTAGCGAACTACACAGGCACCAGCAGGGAAGTGGCAGATGGTGAGCTCAGTGAAGAAAAGACCAGGAGGGAATTGACTGCAGTCACTGAGACAGTTGAGAAAACCAGGCTAGAGAGAGTAAGGAAGTGACTGGCAGCGTCTTTAGGATGGACACCAAGCTTTGATGTATAATACTCTACAGGGCAGGTCAGCAATCTTTTCATACATTTTGCAATACACATGTTAAATGCTCACTAAATACTGATGGATCAAATCGAACCATCACTATCTCTTCTGAATTGAGATAACTACTGGTTTTGTTTGCTAGTAACAGCAAGGATAAAACTGAAAGACTAAAACAGAATACTACAGCAAGAAAAAAAGATTCTAAAAAACTATCAATCATTTCATTCAGGCACGACCTTGAATTTCTGCATATTTTCCATCTATCTCAGGCCATATGTACTATCTTCTTAAAGGATCTTCAACATTCAAAAGGTGTTTCTAGTTCTACTTACCATATTAACAAGACAAGGTACTTAACATGATTCAAGTTCAAAGATGTTTCTGTTCTTATAACAAACCTGGTTTTAAAAACTGCCTTGGTGATTCTACTGGCAATGTCTGTTAAACACATGGGTTGCATCCTCCCTAAAGTTTCCATCAAAGAAATCTTTTATAACCCAGCTTCCAGTGATGTAGTAAGCGATACCCACCAATAAGGCAGTGACAACAGAAAAGAGCAAGTGTGGTGGGATTATGGAGTGGGTAATTCCACAAATACAAGTAGGGCATTTACTGTGTACTAGGCACTGCCTGACGTGCTGCGAATGAGGCAGCGAACAAGATGTGTGAAGATCTTGAGCTCGTAGAGCTTATACTCAGTGGATAAGAGGGATGAAAAACAAGTAAAGAACAAAGTATAATTAATATAATGATCCCAGAGGGCACTCTAAAGAAAATGATACAGGCTAAGGGACTAGAGAGGACCTGTAGAGAGGTGAAGACTGGGGAAGAAGGGGCCCTTCTAGGCTAAGTAGTCAAGAAACCCCCTCTGAAGAAGGAACATTTCAGCAAGGGCTCACGTGAAGAGTAAGCCATACAGAGTCATGGGATTTTGGAACCAGAAGGGACTTTTAACAGATGAGAACACTGAGGAAGAGACAGCAGAAAGACAAACACTGGTCTCCCAGTCTTTGCACCTGGGAACCTGCCTCATCTGAGTTAACTGCAACCATCACCCACTAAGAGGGACACGCTGCCAAGCCACAGGGACTGGAAGACAGGCACTGGCTCACCAAGACCCGGCAGTCAGGTCAGGTGAGGAATAACTGGCCAGTGTTAAATCCAGGGAGGACACCAGATGCTCTGACGTCCATTATCAGATGAAACGGATTAGAGGCTCTCCGGCTCGCCCAGCCAGTCCCCATTGTCAGCATGGTTTTAGGGAAAGGAGCTTGGAGCTCAGCAACATAAAGGCATATCTGACAAAGCCATTCCACTGAAGGAAGCAGTTTGAAAAGTAGGAAGTGTTCCTACAGAGGGAGGATGCTTCCTGACTTTCCGGAGTGAGATACCCAAAACAGAGCGCTATAAAATCTCCGGGGAAATTCTTAATAGGATTGCGACAGTGTGGTGTTTACTTAGATGGTTTGCTATCTGAGCTCTCCCTGTACACTGTCAATAAGTCAACCAGTGTTTATTAAGTGCCTACTGCAAGTCCCCTGGGAACCTTAGAGGCCAATAAGGTGGAATTACAGTCCTCTGGTGAAACCAAAGACTTTGTTTCTTATGTTACTTTCTCGTCTCACTTGAATTATAGTTATTTTTTTATTTTTCTTGTCCTTATAAAAAAGCTCTTCATGGGGCTTATATAACACAAGTTTATGAACAAAAATTACTTTTTACTCCCCTTTATATTCCCTACATAGCTGTTTTTAGTTTTCTTGTATAAAGTAGGCATTAGATAAATATTTGCTGAATTATACTGTTTTCAAGAAGCTAACAGCAGACAGCAAAGCAATCTGAAATACTCCCATCAGAAAAATTCCTAAGATTTCTGTATTGTGCAAAGAAGTTAGGGGCGGCTGTTTACCAAACCCTCAAGGCTAATTCTTAGCTTCAAATTCGTTCTCCTTCTGAAGCCCAGGCACCTAACCCTCAAGAGTGTAAAATAACTCAGCGGACACCTCTGCAAGCCAGACTTGAGAGTCAGGCTTGAATTTGAATCTGGGCTCCACTCCTTCCTCTGCCAGAATGCTTCCATGCCACTGTGACTGTGGGCAGATGATGCAACTGCTCCGAGCCTCGGTTTCCATGTTTGTTGACTGAAGTGAACAGTAGGTCCTGACGAGGCGGCTGAAGCATAAACGAAGATGCTGCATGAAAATCAGGACATGCCAGTGCAGCAGCGCAATCTTTCCAATTATGAAACTAGGGACTTCCACACTATCTGACTTTTCAATCCCCATGTCCTATTAATCCTCAAATCCTGCCACTCTACTTGCTGCGTATTCTCCCAAATTTGTTCTCTTTTCTATCCAAATTGCCAAAGCCTCAAATTATCCACTTATTGCATCTCACCTAACTGCTCTCATACCCATTTCCAATATCTCTCATTCATTTTCTACAGTACTGACACTGGCATCTTTACAAACAAAAATCTGTTTCACTCTTCGAAAAAATTAAAAGTAAGATGGCTTCCCATTACCGAGAGGATGAAGTCTACGGCCCATGAGGTCCTTCACTCTCAAGCCCTGCACTCTACCACACTCATTTCCTACAAGCTCCTCACCCTCTGCTTCATATTCCCAGCAAGTGCCTCTAGCCTGGGCACAGGCTACTTCTTTTGCTAGGATGCCTTTACTGCCTCTCTGGGTGGCAAACGTCTACTCATTCTTTAAGACTCAGTCCTCAACAATGACAGAAAAATTTGGCTGTGCACTTTTTTATGCTCATATTTCTATTGAAGACCATCTTAAATTGTTTGTACATATTCTGGAGTTTCCTAAGGGTAGAAAAGGAATCCTACATATATCTACAAGTACTATAACTGATAGATAGTATTGACCACAGAGCCCAACATTAAGTAGATACTCATGACATTTTGTGGGTGCACAACGAATAAATGAAAAAGAACATTCAAGTTAACTATTGTTGCTGATGTGTAGAATTTGTTTCAAGAGAATATAGGCTTAATAGCAAATAAAATATGAATGCTTTTGACAATTTTATGGGTGCTAAACTTATATATAATAGGCTATTGTGTGAAACCTAAGTAGTCTGGAAGCATATCTCTAATCTGATGAAGGGGACATCACGGATATCCACTGGCATGGCTGCCATACAGTGATGGCATGTGCTGGATGGTCCGGGAGCCTGGTATAATTTTTCTGTCTTTAAGAACACAAAAATGTCCTGATAAGAAAAATAGCGTATTACTCAGGAGGGCCTCTTTCCTCTGAAATCATGTAAATTTTGGTTTGGTTAGGATCTATTCTGATCTGAGCACAGGAATGGCATAGACGGGTGCTTCTCAAATCTTTATGCGCACAGAAATCGCTCTTTTCCCGTTAAAATGAAGATTCAGGTTCAACAGGTCAGGGGTAAGTCCTGAGAATGGTCCTTTCTAACGGGCTCCCAGGAGACGTTGATGCTGACAGTTCATGGACTGCACTTGAATAGCCAGGTGATGGGTGGGTCTGTCTCTTCCAATCTCGTGATTCTCCTGTATTTTTATTTTGAAACTCCCAAACTATGAAGACCTATAATCTGGTAATAGCAGCAGTAGGATTTTCATCTCTAGGATTTTGTTAGAACTTTCTAATCTTTAATTTTCACTGACTACCAAGTTTTAATATTTTAAACCTCTATTTAGGGAGAGGTATGAATGAAAGACATTGCCCATATCCTTTCTTTTTCTAAGAACTATTATTATATCCATACTATTTCAGTTTTCTCTTTTCTCTACCTTCTTTAGTTTTTTTATTTTTTTAGTTTTGAGACAGAGTCTTGCTCTGTCACCCAGGCTGGAGTGCAGTGGTGCAAGTATGGCTCACTGCAGCCTTGACCTCCCAGGCTCCAGCAATCCTCCCACCTCAGCCGCCTAAGTAGCTGTGACTACAGGCACGTGTCACCATGTCTAGCTAATTTTTTTAGTTTTGGTAGAGATGAGGTTTCCATTGGTTGCCCAGGCTGGTTTTGAACTCCTGGCTTCAAGAGATCCTCCTGCCTTGGCCTTCCAGAGTGTTGGGATTACAGGTGTGAGCCACCGTGCCCAGCTTACCTTTTTTACATTAAAAAAAAAAGTTTATTCCCCCAAGCAGTTTGTGTTTAACACAAAGCCCACTAATGGACCAGTGGACTATTTAGGAGACGGTGACAAGATTCAAAATTACACCAAAGTTTCTAGTTTGTTCATATACTTAACAGAGTTTGCAAAAACACTACCAATAAATAAAATGAGATCAAGAAGAAACCATTTATTACTACTACAGAATAATAAATTGAATAGAGTAAAAAAAGTGATGCTTCATTCTGTGGGCCTAATCCCACATTTACCCAAATATCTGATGGTCTGGAAGCTTCAACTCTCCCTCATCTTTACCCCCAAGGTCCCCAGCAGTTCTTTTGATGGGTCAGCACTAAAGCCTAAGTGTTTATACTATTAAAGAATGTGTGGTGGCCTCCAGTGCCAAAGTACAAGACAAAACCAAAATAGTAATTTTTAAAAACTGTAATAAAGCTAACATAATCCATAGATAGATGAGTGAGTAGATGTACCAGGGACCTTAAAGAGTTAAAAGGGTTAAACTCTTTCCACGCCCTGGAAATATTATTTCCAGAAAAAAGGGGAGGGCACACAAGTATGCAGTTAACTTGTTTTTGTAAAAGAAAGTAACTTAAAAGGAACAGTCTTCAAGTATGTATTTATTCTACCAGCCCTCTTGTAAAATCCAAGGCCCCCCAAAACACACAAAAACACCTCCGGAAAGGTTAGAAAATATTCTCCAAAGACAGTGGTTCCTGATAATTTAGTAATTTGAGAGCTTGTTTGGAGGTTCTGGCAGGGGAGCGCAGCTACTCATATACCGTTGACCAAAGACCGGTCCTCCTTCATCGGGGATGGTCATTCTCTTTGGCCAAGTGCACAGCTTCGGGAGCGATGCACATGGAGCAGGGAGGAAGGAAGGGGACACCCGCCTAGCCAGCCAGATCAGCTGAATCAACCCTGGCGATCAAAGGGTTGACAAATGTCGCAGCCAGATCGCCCTCACGTCCACAATCTCACGATTTGGAGAAAGAATAAACATATCATTTCCTTTTCCTTCTCTGTCTCTTCTCTCCTAGCTCATAGCTCAATGTCTCAGGTGACCTCTTCTCATGTCTGAGTTCCTCTTCAATTCAGGATTGAGTCTTCTTGCAAACACCTGAATTTATTTTTTGGTCTGTTCTTTACTCCCCCACCATCCCCCCACCAACGATTATGTAATTTTTATTATTTATTCGTGTATTTATTCATTTATTCATGCATTTATTCATTTATTCAAGTTTTGAAACAGTTTAAAGGCTGCCAAAGCAAAATAGAAAAAGATCACTCAACTTAGAGTAAGATCTGAGTCAAAGATCTAAGTTGAAAAGGTCCTGATTAAACCATGATCGGCTTTGGTACTTTGAGTGAGCCTCTTAATCCCCTTCAAGCTCAATTACCTCATCTACAAAATGGAGACAATTATTCCCAGGATTGTTATGAGATTAAATGAAATAATTGATATGAATGTTCTTTTAAAATTAAAAAGGTTCTATTTATCTTCAAATAGTGTAAGCCAGTTTCTCAGACTGGTTGCAACATTTTATTCGGCAGCAAAAAACACGTCTTGACTTGCTCTTAAAACAGAGATATGTGAAGGAGTTTCAGCATCAGATTATTCCATCTTTATTTACCTATCAGGTAAAAGATTAGGACCTTATTCAATTAGAGACTGATTAGAAGCACAGAGTTAAAGGCCAAGATGTCGATTTTAAAAAATAATCTCAAAAATAATTGTAAATTCTTAATATGCTTTTTGTTATCCTTCATACACCATATCTGAGGACATCAACATTGTTTAATAAACAAAACTGATCAACACTGGTTCAAAGCCGAGCGTGCTTGGGCTTTTTAGGCACTATATCTAGCAAAGGATTTAAGATGCACGTGTTGAGATCAGAGCACTGAGGATCAGGATCAGTTCCTGGGATGTTCTGCATTATTATTTCTGGATTAAGAGATGATTAAAGAAAAGTACACTTTCAAAAGGCAAACAACACAGACAGATCCCACAGTCATTTTCAATAGTTTATAGCAAATTGTGATGAAATAATACAAGCATGTAAACTTACAACAATTAGAGAGATGACAAACCACAAGTACTGATACAATATGGGAATTCAGACCCACAATTATGTAATCCTTTCCCCCCCAAGGAAGTAAGATACACAGTTAGGTGTGGTTTTTCTTCTCCTATTTTTTTTCTTTTCTCTTTTTTATTTTTTTAAGGGAAGCACTAAGGAAAAGGCTGCAGCTGGTGAGTGTCGCGGTCAACAACGTTCAGTGATCATTACACAAGATAGAGCCTGCCAAGAGAAAAAGAGATCTCGAAAATGCCTGGTGGTTGTCATTGCTTTGTACGTGTGAATAAACTTTAAATGTGGAAAATGTTTTAAAAAATTATAGACTGAGTTTGGCTGAAGTGTTGAGTGTATAAATACTTTCATTATCTGAACTTATTTTTCTTATTAAATTTTAAAGGGTTTTAAACTTTGGAATTTTTGGAGTATCTTTTTTATATATGTTTATAGGCGCTCTTGTTTTGCTGAAATGTACAGTTTCATCCAATTTTTAAAAACTAATTTAAAAATAATTTTAAAAATCTTAGAACTGATCTAACCTCAACTCTTGCCTCTCAAGAATGCCACATAATTAACATTATAATGGAACAACTTGATAGGTAAATTACTAATTGCTACTAATTTCACAGAGGATTCTGCAGCTTCTTGATTTTTCAGTGATTGCAGCTACCATAATAATTGGAATATGTTTCAATATCATGGGTTATGTGTCTCTAATAAACTTTTGAGTTATTTTTCTAATCCCAAATTTTCTTATTGGGCTCTATTTACTGAAGAAAATATGTTTTATTATTTCCTTTTTCCGATAACTTGTCTCTAAGGTATGTGAAAGGCTTTGTCTATTACACATATGTGCACATAAACACACACACACACACACAGAGTGAGAGAGGAGAAATCAAACTCAACAAATAGCATATCTTAGAACATTGTAATACCCGGATTTGAATGACTGGGTTAGTAGGACTAATTAAAAGGAGGGCTGAAGAGAGAAAATTTGACTTCAACAGATGATTTCAGGCTATAAGTAGACTTAATAAAGTAAACTGATAACCTAGTTTACCTTTTATGATTAGAGGAGAATCTATGCAAATGGTGATTGGGGGTGTCGGGGGGGCCATGGGAGGTTTACATCAGAACCTGCGCGTGTTCAGAGACTGATGTTCCACTTCACTTTCAGTGATTTCCCCTGTTAAAAAAGACTAACCTTCTAGAAGGAGAGATATGGGGATTATTTATCACTGTTAGCCCTTTGTGCCATTTAGAACTGGTGCTTTTTACTCTCAAAGGTAAGTTTTGTTTCTGTTTTACCTGAAATAATTATCTACAAGTGAAAGAGTTTAATCAGTTTCCCCTTTAAAAATTCCCTAAGAAGTTAACTATTACCAAAAACAAACAGTGAGTGCATAGACAGTCTACAATTATGGTCTTGTGGATTTAGGCTAAATAAGTGGTATTCTGAATAATTAAATTGTAAAAAACTTCTAAGCAAATTGTCCAGACAAATTAATGTGGCAACTAATCTCAGCTTAAGCTTTTAAACATTTTCATCAATTTTGCTTCTAAAACCAAAGAGTTACAACTTTATTTAAAAAGTTTATGTGAGTTTAGGTAAGTCAGATTTATCAGGAGTAGAAGGATAGAATATCTTCCTCACTGGGTTGCTGTGAGGGTTAAGGAAAGTGATGGATGTGGAAGTACCTTGTAAACAATCAAGGGTTATACAAAGATATATTATTATTATTAATAAATAGAATCATTTCTGCTTCCATTGTGAAATTCAAAGCATGGAAACAACTTTAACATTAGTTAACAACTGACAACATTACTAAGAAAAAATATAATTTCAAAGAAAAACTTCAAAATATAACACAATATACATAAAAAATGTTGGATGGAACTTTTTAAACTCTCAGATTACTGATATTTTCAAAACATAATGGGGCACAATATGCATTTATACATAAAAGAGGAATTATGAAATACCTCTACAAATAACAGAATAATATTGAAAATAGTGACTAATTTGAGAGCTTTTTCAGCTTCTTGCTCAATTCTTTTCAACGTCTCTCACTCAGTAATGTGTGGTCTGAGGTCTGAGGTCTCCAAACCTCTTAGAATTGTGATTTAAAAAAGTGTGTATGCGTGTGCGTGGGTTTGTGTGGGTGTGTCTGAATACACACATACATACTTATAATACATTAAAAAATACTTAAAAGCTCTCTACACTGGGATGAGTATCATAGACAATTACAGTAGATATAATTGTACATTTCAAATCTTTTTCTGGTTAATTTCAGGGGTGTTTTATAAACAGGGCTGATTATAATGTCATTATTATTATTATATTTTTAGAGATGGGGTCTCAGTATGTTGCCCAGGCTGGACCGCAGGGGCTATTCACAAGGGAGATCATTGTGTACTACAGCCTCAAACTCTTGGGCTCAAGTGGTCCTCCAGCCTCAGCCTCCTTAGCAGCTGGGATTATAACTGTGCCACTGCACCTAGCAGAATGTCATTATTTTTATCTTGCATTAATTTTGCTTCATACATGCTGTCACCTCTGCCGTTCTTTGTTGTTCCATGACCATCTGATATCCTGAGTAAGAGTGCTTTCGTTAATTGATATAGTATTAAGTAATATTCACAAAACTTGATTTCATTCTTTACAGATAAAAGTGACTATAAATAGATCTTCTGGTATTTCCTTCTTACACCATAATGAGGCAATCTTTGCCCCACAATGAGGCAAGGAGGGCACCCCCTTTTAAAGACCTCTGCTTTACAAGGTTGACACTAACAGAAGCTGAATATCTGTTCAGTACGATTTTAGAGGCAATGGGCAACCTTCGATTGTTTAAAAGAGTATCTTGTATCCTCCACTTTACTGTAATTAAAAGACAAGCTTTTAAATGCAAATATTCACTGGGTCTAACCTTGCAAAGATAATTTCAAATGTCCTTTTCTAATTCCTGGACAGCTTCTGATAGTGTCAACCTTGTAAAGCAGAGGTCTCTAAAAGGGGGTGTCCTCTTTGCTTCATTGTGGGGCACAAATTGCCCATTATGGTGTAAGAAGGAAATACCAAAAGATCTATTTATATTCACTTTTATGTGTAAAGAATGAAATACACACACACACACACACACACATATATTTTACATATGTTTTATACATATATATGTATAAAATAACCCCTTCTAAAATGTTGTCTTAAGTGATCTGGCTTTATCTAGTTATTAAAATATCTTTGTAAAATGTTAGCTGGTATCAGTTTACCCATTTCCCATTGCAGAGATATTTTCATATTTATAGAGGACACTGAAAAATAAAATTAATTTAAAAGTTAAATATAAATTAATTAATGTAAAAGTTAAAAATAAAATTAATTTAAAAGTTAAAAAAAAGCATATTTTTTCAGGTAGTGTTTTGGTACCCTGAGAGGCCCTGGGAGCAGGGTGGCTTCCCTGGTACCTCTAAGGCCATCTCTCATGTAACCCATCTGTTAGTTCTATTAGTATGGTGAATCCTGCTATTGCTATCATTAGAGTGTTAAATGTTTATCTCTCATTTAAGAGGCAGTTTTCTTTTTCCATAAAAAGTAACATATTTTCATAGCACCCGAAGAACTAACAATATCAGAGACTCAGGGAGGCACAGAGTTAAACGACTGATGTTTTTCCCCAGTTTACTACGTGTCTTAGCTAGCGCTGGTGTTTCTGATCTGTCCCACTGTTGGCAACAAATCTCTCTTCAATTACAGGATCCAGCAGTATATATTTCTAATATATAAATTATAACCATCTACACTCCAGAAGTCACCATACACTTGTAACAGCTAAATTGGACAAAGTAATCCTAAATAAATCAATCAGGCCCTATTATACTGGTTTTTCTCTCTTAAATATAGTATTTTCAAGTAAGTACCACAACACTACCCCTAACTGTCTGCCAACAGTTTGTTTGCCAACTGCCAGGATAGGGCATTGTCTGTCTTGTATATACCAATTTGTTCATAGTTCCTACATTATAAATTTTAAAAACAGTCATGGTGATTTCAAAAACAAGATGTCATATTTTAGAGGTCTAATTATGAGTTCAGATTTTACTGCTTATTTTAGAAAATGTTAAATTTCAGGCTCATATTCTATCTACATCTGTGTATATAACAGCATTGCCTCAGAAGACAAGATATGGTGATTTTCAGTTGTTGATAAAACACATATTTGAATATAGTCCATATTTTTGGCTATGTTTTTAGATTGTGGAATATATGTTCTCAGAGCACACAGCTGGAAGAAGAGGGTGTTTACCTTGATTTCCGCTTAGAGAGAAGAAACACTGACAGAAACTTGTACAGTCTCCATTTACTTCAGCTGGTCACCACTATTTGTGATATTAGCTGAAATCATTCCAATTAGAAAGCAAACGTGCATGCATGTTGTGAATTGTTTTTATAATTTGGTTTTTATATTTAAAAGTCTCCACGCTGTGGAGGCAGTGTCTAAGAGTTCCACTCAAATGAGTTGATTCCCAATCACGCGTAATCATATTTTTATTGAGTACTCTCCAAACTTTATATAACCTTACCATTATTCCTAAAAAAGTTTTTCTTTTAACTATAAAAAAGACGGCAAATTATTTTAAAAGAAGAATTAAAAGAGACATTTGATAAATTATACATTTATACTACTACCTCTAGCCACATTTTTTTAAAGAAAAGATTCATTTTAGAGTTTTCATAAGTGAAGCTAAAAATAAATACTTCAGAGAAATATATAAAATATTAAATGTGTCATGTTCAAATTTGTTACAGAAAAAATTAACAAGCGAAAACCAAGACCTATTAACTAACTTACTAAAATAAATCAGTTTCCAAAGGATATGGAAGTTATTGAAAGAATGATGACATATATCTTGAAAGTTTCTATACTTTTCTCATAAACTTGAGGTTTGTGGACTTTAAAGTGAAGTTTAAATCAAAGTTAACTCAATGAGTTCCTTGAAAAAAATTGGCATTGTAATAGGGCCAAATACCCAGCTGTTCTGTGGCCAAATTTGTCTCTTTATCCCAAAGTGAAAAATCTACAGACCATTTTGCTAGTTTGCTTTTATACCACATTGATCAAATTTGTTACCCTTAATTTTTAAAATCAAAACAAGCCACAACTTTTTTTATTGGGGGAATTAACATTATATATTACATGTTTTCCAAATATTTCAAAAGACTAAAATTCATGTGTTTGTTGGTTTGCAGTTTTTAGTAAAGTACCAGAAGGAAGGGGAAAGGTGTGGATATTGCTTCTTTGGGTTGTGTGTTTAGGAAGGAAGCAGCCAAGGATACACCTGCTTTTGGCACTGGCTTAGGCACTGGTACAGCAAATGCCAGGTGTCATCTCAGAAGAGGCAAGAAATACGTGAAATACACACAGCCAAGCAAACAGACTTACACTGAAATGGTGTGATTTTCAACAAAAATATAACTGAGTTTATGGTCAACATACCACCATGTGATACAATAAAGTATTAGCATTCTTGTTTTTCTGTCTCATACTACATGATTATTTTTTAACAACAGCAGCAAAGTATTTACTTTTTTTTTCTAGGAGGAAATTAACATGGAAGCTTGACTGCATGCATGCTGAGTGTCACGTAATGTTACATTTGTAATACAGTGGAAAAATACAGCAGAATTTATCCTAACTTCAGGGAATAAAATGCAAAGTATTTTAAAATAGAGTATTTAAATCCTGGAGGATTTGATTTTAAAATCAGCTTTCAAAGCAAAGATTTTGTGGGGT
The DNA here is from genome assembly GCF_000001405.40 of Homo sapiens. NCBI lineage: Eukaryota > Metazoa > Chordata > Mammalia > Primates > Hominidae > Homo > Homo sapiens. Next base: position 121,068,390 of record NC_000004.12, read on the forward strand.
TTACTATTTACTATCAACCACGCTGTGGCTTCTATTAAATGATTATGAGCCCACAGGGGAAGAATAAATTGTGTTCTTTAGAATAATCATTCTAAAATAAACATTTAGAGGTTCTAGATATTATTTCAGGGTCAAATGAATTAGTTGAACTATTTTGTTGGTTATATTGGGTATCCCTGCCTTTGACCCAATACAGATGACTATGAGACATATTTTCTTCCAAGTGATTAGCTGATGGCCACTGACTGGCAAGGTTCAGCTGCTACTATAGGTGTATAGGTCCCCAAAGCAAGACCTGACAAGAAGGCAGGTAGCAAAAAAGTGAGACAGAGAGAGAGAGAGAGAGCACTACTTGGTCACTATCGACCACCTTATCATGGAGAAACTAAGGAAAGGAGATTAAAATAATCTTAATTAGCACATATGATGTGTAATTCACACTCTGTTCCTATGCTCTCGGTTGATTCAGTCATCATTATTCCATTTCCAATATCTGCTCATCCATCATACCAAAATGATAAGTCCTAACGACGACAACAAAAACACATTCAGTTTTAAAGTAAAAATTCTGACCTCTAGATAGGCTGAAGAGAATTGCTATAGAAATAAATATAGGAAGAGAAGAGATACACTTTATTTCTACTTTTCTCCCCTTCATGTCAAATAATTTGTTAGAGTTTTAAAATACATTTTTCTCCCTTCCACAACAGAGTCTGGTCGATAAATCCAAGTGAGAAAACTAAAATCTGAAACAACAAGGTTCACGCAGCCAACTAGAAAAGTCTCTACATTAAGCTGACGACTGACCTACTGTGGCTATTTCCAAGGTAGCATTCCATCGACCTGGTATTGGCAATGTTGTGACAATAGTCTTTACTCTTTAACATTCATACTTCACCATATGAATGTTAAACAGACCCAGGACAAATAAGCTGAGGGTGGGGGCTTCTCTTGTCCTTAGAAGGATATTTTTCAATTACATATTTTGTTACATCCTAAGAGATAAAAGCTGTATCTGCAAGTGATTAAAAGATGTTTTATATTCATGGTTTCATTTCTGCTGAAATAAATGCGTAATTTAAACCAAACATAATTCATAGCAATTTAGGCCTATTACAGAGTTCTAGCTTCTTTTTTATGATAGTTACTAATTAAAACAGAGTGTTACTGCCACACTAAGCCTAAGTCTTTGACATACAGGTTTAATGAATAAAATGTCCTGACACAAAAATGAAAGCAATAATGCAGACAAGGCTGCAAGCTGTTATGTTTCAAGTGTGTGGTAAAGATTAAGGGCATTCACTGAAGTGATGAACTGTGCAGAGAAGGACCTTGTAATTTCTTTCTCTAAAGGAAGAAGTAAAGGAATTTTTAGAGAAATCTGAAATAGTACTAATTTATCTAACTCCTAGGCCCCTCATTCCCAGTTGTCCCTCTCTCCCCTCCAAGAGTTTAAACTCATAAGAGTCACTTCTGAGGAATAAATGATGGGGTATTTTAATATAATCCTGAATATAGGTTTAGATTGAAAATGGGAATTGGGACCATAATTAATTATGTTGCCAAGTTTTTTAAACTTTAAGAAGACAGATGGAGGCAAATGACATTTTATAAGAGTGCAACCTTCTAAAAGATCATAGATTAAAACTGTGGTAAAACGACAGTATCTTTTTTGACATTTGATTAATCCCATATGCAGAATGACTGAAGAATTAATACGGTTTTGGTGTTTTCACTTTCTGAAACCACTGTAATAAGAGACTGACATAAACTCAAACCCCAGTATAAACACAGTCTGAGCGAAGGTTGCGGCCTTATTATCACTCTTAACAAACAATAATGAATAATCATACCGATCGCCCTCACTACACTCTGCTTTATATACATATTCCCTCTCGGATCCATCCATCACTTCTTTCAAGATAATAAAACAATTCAATCCCATCAAATCCCCTGCAACCGCTCCCTTGGGAGGGATGTTTTATCTCTACTTCTCCGAACCCAGGGAGGATTTTACTTGTTTGAAGGGGGCGGAGAATGGAGCGGAGTCCTATTTATTTCCATTGATGACTCCCCTGGTTCTCACAGGCGCTCAGGGACCGGGTGGGAGGAGGAGAGGAGGAGGTGCGGAGATTCCCTCCGTCAGAAAAGAAAAAGGGTTCAGGAAGCGAGGCAGCAGGAGGAGGGGTGGAGGGGGGAAAGAGAGGGTAGTGTGTTTGGGGAAAGCAGCAACTAAATGAAAAAATAAACTCTTCTTTGTGATTTAGCGGGATCGACAGATGAGAAGCAAATTTATCAACCCAACAAAGTTGCTAAAAAGAACTCTGTAAATAAATTTAAAGAAAAGAAGGAAAAAACATAACAACAACAACAAAACCCAGACATACACTCAGGTTCATTTCCCGCTCAAGGTCTTGGTTTTAGGGAGCCACCCGTACCCAAGAGCAAGAAATGGACAGCGCCCCGAAGGGGGCCAGGAGGGGAACCGCAACTTGGCCGGAGGGACAGCTCAGAGACAGCGTAGAGGTGCCCGCGGCAAACTCCGAGGAGCTGATGCGGGGCGGGTCCGGGGAACTGCCGGGAGCTCTCACGCCTGGGCCTGGGATAGGGTGCGGGCAGAAAGGTGAACCGAGAGCGCACAATGCAACGAAACCGCACTCCAAATTCAGCAGTTTGCAAAGTGCCTCCAAGAAAACAGCTGGGACCTGCAATCACTCGTTCGGACTCCTAGGTTATCGGGGCCGCGGCGACTCCGCTCAGTTAGAAAGGTAGCGCGGGTGAGAGCGAACCCCAACTCACGCACAGACAGGACGAGGGCACGAAGCCGAGTCTCCTGGCTGGGGCCGTAGGGGGCGTCACCTCGGTGGCCGCTCTGCTCTCCGGAAGAAAGTATGAGCCGGTCCCAGGCCACCTCGCTCAGCCCAAGGAAGTTTCTATAACGATGCTCGCCTACCACGCAGAGGACAAATGAGGAGCCAGAGCGGTTGGGGGTCGGGCCAACCGAACTCCCGGCCCCGGCTGCGCAGCTCCCAGACGCCCACCAAGAACTCGTGCGCTGCCTGGACCTCTAGCTTTTCGCCCTACACGCAGACGCCCTCTGCAAAACCCCAGTCCCGCAGACTTTCCCTAGCGGCGGGCGGAGGGCATGAACCTGGAAAGGGAGGCAACAGCCCTCTTGGCAGGCGGGCAAAGTAAGTGTCCAGGCTAAGTCCGGGATAAAGGCTCCGCGGCTCCCCAGACCCCACTGCACCCCGAGCTCCCGGGTCCCAGGTCTTCCCCGCCCTTGCGCTGTCTGTCCACCTCCTCACATCTCTCCGGGCCGCCCAGCTTCGAAAGCAGCTAAATTAAAAACAAACAAACAAACAAACAACAACAACAATAAAAAAAAAAAAACGAGGGAAACCTGCTCCTGCCCCTCATGCCCTCAGCTCCTACGGATAGGGCGCCCTTGAGAAGCTTCTTGGGCCTTGAAGATTTGGGGGCGCGTGCCTCGAGCCCCCATCTCGGATGACCCTTCGGGCGTGAACGCTCCTTGTGCTAGGTCTCAGGGTGGCGGGCTAAGGCGTCGGGTCTCTGGGGCATTGCTTTCCTCTCCCCACTTACCTTAAAAAGATCTGTTTTTCGTAGGGAAAATAGAAAAAAATCCCTCCCCGTGGTGTGGTGTGCGAAATAGTCCACGTCCCCGGACCCTGCCAAGATGCTAAGCACCAATATCCAGGAACGAGAAGCCTGGAGGGCGGGGACGGAGGCAGATAAAAGAGAAAAATTCAATCCGCTGAAGTGTCCCAACTTTGCGGTCGGCACAGCAAACTTCAAAGGCGGGCGAGGGCGGGCGGCGCGCGGTCGCCGAAGTTGCTGCGAAGTGGAGTAGGGAGCCGCGCGGGGCTGGGGAATCCCGGGGCAGCGCCGAGAAGCGGCGGGAGGTCCTTTTAAACTGCAGGGAGCGTGCGGGGGCTGGGCGGCGGGAGGATGCCGCAGCGACCCGCGGGGCTGGCGCGGGCTTCGCCGGCCGCCGCTAGTCGCACAGGCGCCTGGCTGGAGCGCCGCGCGGGGTGCTGGGAGAGCCGGGCGCACGGGGCGGCAGCGGCCGTGGCGGGTGCGCTGCTCAGTTAGCTCCACTCTCTCGCGGCTGGAAGTGGGGAGTGTGTGTTCGCTCCCGAGTGTCACTGCTGAAGCCCGGAGTCTCTTCCCCTCCCAGCCCTAACCCCTCCCGCCTCACCGCTGCCCGCCCGCCCCCTCCCTCCTCTGCCCGTTGCCTCCCCCTCCGTCCCTCCTTCTCTCCCTCCCGCTGCGCGCCAGCGCGCACGCACACACACACACACACACACACACTCATACACATACACACACTCACACACAGACACCCTCTCCCTCCTTTTCTCTCTCCCTGTAGCCCTCCCTCCCTCTCTTTCTCTCACACACACACCACCCTGCTCAGCGACCCAGCGCTCCCCAAACAGGACCCTCGCGGGCGGCATCGCGAGGGACACGCTGCTGTCCTAACCTTAGCGCCACTCGGGGAGAATGAAGGAGGCCCACCGAGCCCCCGACAAAGCTGCAAAACCCAGGAGACGCGCACGCGGGACCATCACACTGTCAAGCAGACCGGGGTGCACAATAGAGGGAAACTCTGGGGTTGATCTGGGGGCAGGGAGGGGGACGTGTTAAATCCAGAAGGTTGGTGGTTGGAGGCGGAAAGCAGAGTGTGCAAACTGTGCATTCATGTCCCACTTTTCACCCGAACGCCTGCCTATCACAGCCTTCACTCAGGGAGCGCTTCCCCCTCGGCGCAGACCGAGCCTCCTCCGATTTGAAACTCAGCAGCTGTTTTAACAATTGAAAAAGCGGCCCTACAGGACCAGTGAAACGGAGCAGAGTGTGTGAAGCCATTAAGGCTGACTAGGTAATTATGATAAAAAGTTACCTAATTAGCAACCTGGCCTGGGCTTAGGAAAACCAAGAAAAAAAAAGTACCGAATGATTTGGTGATCTCATTTTTGCAACTGAGAACCTGATTTCCAGCAAACCTGGTTTTATATAAGTTCTAATAATATATAATTATTTATTAAGATATAGTGTCAGTATTGAAAACACTAGTTCTGTTATTGCCACAATGAAATTAAGGTAGGTAGGATGAAAATCAGCCTTATCCCGGTCATATTAAGAACTATGATCTTTTTTGCTAAACAGTTGGTCACAGAGGGTGGACCAATGCAGCTCCTAAAGTTTTGTGGTTCCTAGATGAAAACACTGCAGGAAATGGATTTATAAAACCGTTTACACGACATAAAATAGTTTTGTAAAATTTTTAAACACTGAAAAGGACATTTCAGATCACTGTGCAAGCATATTTTTTGCAGATGAGACAATGAGGTGAGAAAAGTCCTCATTGTATCTCCACTTAGGAGATACGATCTAGAGCAGATCCCTGGGTCATTCATTAACAAAGCTTACGAAGTCCCTGCTGTGTACCAGGTATGTCTTATGTGCTGAGATTTAGAGGTGATGGTGCTGCCTTTAAGGAACTCACCGCCTGGTGAGGAGACAGAGGCATAAATGAAAATGTGATTAGCACTATAATAAGTGCAGGTACCTGGTCCTGTGGAAGCATGGAAAAGGAAACAGCTAACTCCCCTTCAGAAGCTTCTCTTGGTAGAGATTTCAGTGTAGAGTTCTGAAAGACAAGGAAGAAATACAAGGCCAACAAGGATGTGGTGGAGGGGGGAGGGCATTCCACAAACAGAAGCAAGTGAAGAGGTTAGGAAAGTGTCAAAGTACATGGTGTGTCCTGGAAACTAGGAGACTAGGTGCGGCTAGACTGCAGGTGAAGTAAGCAAGGCCAAGCCACACAAGGCTCTCTGGGTGTAAGGAGCCAGAACTTGCCTGGAGGTGGTGAGTAGTTGGGAAACTGTTAAAGGTGTTAAGCTAGGACAGATTCTAAGGTTTGTAAGTATTATTAGATAATGTGTTTTAGAAGGTTTCCTCTGGTTTCACTGTGCAAGACAAATAGAAGAGAGATCACAGTGAGGTTATTTCCAGAGGAAAAATTAGGTCTGAACCAAGGCAGCAGAAATGCTGTTTGGGAGGTTAGGACAGCTCTAGAGATATTTAGGAAATAGAATAGACAAGGCTTAGTGATTGATTGGACATAGAGGGTAATGGAGAGAAGAGAGTCTAGACTGACTCCCAGTTTTCTGGCTGGTGCGCTAAGGCAGGGATGGTGCCACTAGCCAAGAGAAACACACAGAGAGGAGCAGTTTTAGGAGGAATGTAATGAGTTCTGTCTTAAACTTGTGGAGTTGGGGGTGCCTCTGTGACATCTGAGTGCCCTGCCATTTAGGCAGCCAAAAGGAAAGTTCCTAGGAGGGTAGACAGGAGCTGGAAGGATACATTCAGGTGTCTGGCAAGCATGGGGGAGGAGTAAGGCAGCCAGGAAGAGAAGACTTAGGATGGGACATGGCAGACACCAATGTCTTAGACATGGATGAAGGAAGAGGACCCTGCAAAAGAAAGGGATGAACACCAGAGAAGAAGGGCAACAGAGTAGGACCAATGAAGCCAAGGGAGGACAGGGCTAGTGACCAGGGTAGAAAGAGGCAGACAGATGGAGACAACTAGACTGAAAAGCTGCTGCTCTTATTTACAAAAAGTCTTGGTATTCTTGACCAATGCAATTTTAGTTTATGCTGCATGTATATGAGGATCACTTCCCTCTTTGGTACATTGGGGCAACACTATCTACCCCCATGCATTTCACAGGGTTGATTGGGAATTCAAATGAACCAGTGATTGGGGTATTGATTTAAAATTGCCATTAGGAAGAAACTGAGTGCTAATGATGTTAGAGAGACATCATTAATTCAGGCAATTAATGACAGACCTGAGTCTGTAGGAAAGTTCTGTAAGGACTCTGTGAATTTCATAAAATTCATCAAAATATCTGTGTTTTGAACATCAGGATTTGCATATATCAGTATACTCTGTCTTCTAAAAAAACAAGCCACCGATAAAACCAGTGGCATTGTATATATTTATATTTATATATATATGTAAGTTATCTTCAGTGTTTTGAGAGACTTGGGTAATGTGCCATATTAGATAGAACATATGTTATTTAGCCAAACAGGCTTATATTTAATTCTAGACTCTGAAAATTATTTGCTGTAGGACAAAACCTCTTTGAGCATCAGTGGCTTTTTTCAAATATAAAAATGGAATAAATTATAGTTGACTTACAGATGTTTTGTGAGGATTGGATAGTATAACATATTCAAGTGTTTGCAAGATATTTACATATTTATATCTGCATTTACTTTTAAACCAGGCAATTCTTAAATATGCAATTGGAGGAAAAAGCCAAAAACTATTATAAAACCAAGAGTGAATTTAAGTCTATTTAGGAGAACTACTGGTTGAAACCTATGTTTTAAGGCAGCAGTCATCAAACTGGGGTTCGTAGACCCATGGGGGTTTCTGAGATCCTTTCAGGGGAGGTCTGCAAGGACAAAGCTAGTTTCATATTAATTCTAAGACATAATTTGCCTTCTTTGACTGTGTTGACATTTGCACTGATGATACGAAAGCAATGGTGGGTAAACCTGCTAGCACCTTAGCATGTTCAAAGCAGTGGCACCCAACTATCCTGGTAGTTATTGTATTTTTTACTGCCCCAAATATGAGTTTCGCTTAAGAATGTCTTTGATGAAGCAGTAAAAAATACTTATTTTATTAAATTTCAACTCTTGACTATGTCTTTTTAATATTCCGTATGGCAAACTGGGAGGCACAAATAAAGCTCTTCTGTGGCATACTAAAGTGCAGTTGTTTATCCTGAACGAAGACATTTATGTAATTGATTTGTGAGCTAAACTACCTGCTTTTTTATGTGACATATTTTTACTTGAAAGAACAACTGACAGACAAACTATGGTTACTCAGACTTGGATACTTAGCAAACACTTTTTTAAAAAAATTTTTTAACAAATGAATGAAGTCAGCCTGTCATTTCAAGGCAAACAAACAGCAATATTTATTTCCAGTGAAAAACTTGAACTTTTGAGTAAAAAATTAGAATTTTTAAAACTTGTTTTTGTCACCATGAGCTTGACAGTTTCCCAGTACTTAAAGTCTTTCCTAGTAAGATCGTGATCATTTAAATGAATGTGGTTTTAGATATCGTACAATGACATATATCAACATTTGGAAGAACTGCATAGCTCAATGAACAAGTATTTTCCAAATGACTAATAATGCATCATGATCTAAAATCACGCATAAGGATCCATTCAAAATGCAAAATAGACGAACGGGTTTTAATGTAACACAGTATGAAAAGTTAACTGATATGGTTTCATATTCCATACTGCAATTATAAGGTTTAAGAAACTACCATTTGTTGAGTTATGGTGTCACGTTAAAGAAGAATATCCAGAATTGTTTGAAAAGATTATTGAAATGTTTCTTCATTTTCCAACTACATATCTGTGAAAAATTGGATTTTCCTTTGTTTGAAGATATACTTCAAACAAAATAAATTGCAACAGATTGAAAACAGACATGATATGAGAATTCAACTGTCTTTTATTAAGCCAGACATTAAAGAGATTAACAAAAATGTAAAACATTTCTTTGGAAAATAATGTTACTTTAATGTGCAGTAGGTTTACTATAGTTATTTAAATGAATTAATAAATATTTTAAAGATTTCTGTTGTAATTCATAGGTTGACTATTGAAAGAAATAACCTATATAACAAAAACTCCTTGGGGTCCACAATAATTTTCAGACTGTCAAGTGGCCCTAAGAACGACTGTCATATGAACTAGGCTCACTCATGAAAGAAGGTTGAAAGATCATCAGAAGCTTATGATAATATTCTGCCCATGGATTGGCCATCACCTCAGTTGTATTGTATAATACAATTCTCATTTTACACAAATGTAAATAGATCCTTCTATACATAAACTTCTAGAGTGTTATAGTCGACATCTCTACATTGGGGGCTGGGACAACAGAACCGATAGAAACCATCCTGCAAATCTTGAAGCTTGGATAAAACAGTATCACATCCCGGATCATACTAGCACCAGATAGTCTTTTGTCTGTTGGTTCAGTTTCAGTCTCTTCTTTAAACAGTTCAAGAAGTAGTTCTCTAAAGTCTCTTAAAAATTAATGATTATCTGTAATTTGACACCTCTTACACACTTAGCCAATGTAAAGTTGAAACATCAAGTCTGAGTCACCTTTTATTCTTCCTGAGGGTGTTTATTCCCTTAATAAACATTTGCTGAGCACCTGTTATATGCCAGCCCTCTGCTCGCTGCTGGGAACAAAGGAATAAATGAGGCCCTTGCTCTGAGGAACCTGCGGTGTAGTGAAGAGTTAAGCAATTAGCAGGTGATATCTTAAGGGAATGGGGCAGTGTGTAAGTCCATGACCAAGGTGAGAGTGCGGCCTTAGGGCAGGATTCTTGGAGAAAGTAACGTCTAAATAGAGATCCGAAGGATGGGTCAGTCATCCTAGGCTAACGGAGGGAAGTGTGGGGTAAATAAGGGTTTGAAGGAAAAGGGAACAGCATAGACTATGACATATTCAGGAAATGTTATGAAATTAACTATTGCTTTAAAAATCACCCTAATTTTAAATATGTACATAAGATCAACCGATTTTCCTTGTTTTAGTTTGTTCAGGAAGTAGAATGGGATGTTTTAAGATCATTATGGTACGTTTAACAATGTCTTACTTAAATCGGAATTGCCACTATCTTACAAAAAAGCACTGGATTAAAATAAAAGATTAAAAATTATATTTAAGCCCTCAAATGCAATTTGCTTGAATTTCCAACGATTAATTTAGGACATTGAAAAAATAATGTAATTCTTACTTTGTTCAAGTCACTGAGCACAGTGCTAAAAGAGATTTAAAAAAATCTAAAACTTAGTATTTGCCCAGAAAAAGTCTGTAAGATGAGTTTAGATATGTTTTCTTTCTTTCCTTTAGACACTCAGTAAATATTTATTAAATGCCTGTTATATTTCAGATGTTGAAGATACATTATTAAAAAGACAGATATTATTCCTGCCCACAGTATGATAGTGACTAGTTACTTGGCTTTTAAATATTACTCATAGCATCAGATGCCAAATGATAACAGCCAAAGGAGTGTTAAGAATTATAGGATGTAACTTATTCACCACTGGGAAAGGTTTGATTTGGTACAGAAGAGGATGAGAGCATCAAAACCACAGAAATGGCGTCCAGGAAAGGTTCACAGGAAGGAAATAACCAAAGTACATTTCAGAGGCAGTGAATAGAATCATTTGGTGAGATGGATTTTGCTAACGAAGTTAACAGAAGAAGAAACTGGATACCTAGGTTGGGCAAATTGGAGAGACCATGTTAGTAGAGGTACAGGCTTCATCCTCTTGGCAGTGAGTAAAACCTAAAGGAATAAAGCAATGAGGCAAATGCCATTTGCCACACTTAAGAAGGACTCTGGTGGTTTGTAAAAGAGACATTCTCTTGATTGCAGTTAATGGGTTCCTCTGATATAAAAATCCCTGTTTTGTTTTCACTTCAGAGTATATATCCACCCATCATCCCATTTCTTGTGAACATTTTTACTAATTAGTGTATTACACTATATCATTTACATGATGGAAAAACTGAGGTATTTTTTAAAATGTCAATACTGAAAACATTTCCTAACCGCCTCCTGTGTTCTAGAAGAAGGAATCCACTGATAACGTTGAGTCTCAGCCTGTGATCCAACAACTATTCTGTGGTCCAGGTTCGTTGACCAAAGCAGCATGGATGGCTGTTTCCAGGAGCCTGCACTGTATCAATCATGTAGCAATGATAGTCAATGCAAGCCTAAGCTAGCAGCAGTGTTGGGAGGGTACTAAAGCTATGCATACATGAAAATAAAGAGAGAGATGAGAAAATACTGGGCCAGCCTAGAGTATGAAAAGGGCTGAAAGAAACGGGTGGAGATAGATCCTTAAATATAACAGAGAGTTTGAGATTGTGTGATTAATACATTCCTATAATTTGAGTTCATTTAATAATTGCTTTATTTTCTACATCCCATGGCTTGTTTAGGCACAGCTAAAGAAGAACACTCTTTCATGTGAGCAGTTTGGCCCAAGTTCCTGATAGCTATGTGCCAGTGATATCATACAGCCTTAAGGCCACACAGACATAAAGCCTGGTTATTTTTTTAAATGTTTTGAAGCTGAATGGCATCAGATGTAGTGGAAAGAACACAGACATCGGAGCCAGAGGTCTTGGGTACAGTTTCCTGCACTGACATTTAATAACTTTGTGACTGTGTGAACTTGGAAAGTTATTTAATCTTTCTGAAGTTCAGTTTCCTCATCTGTAAAATGGGGATAATAAAATTTCTCTGATAAGGTTATTGTTAGGGTTAAACTATTTTTAATATGTAAAGCATGTGATATATAATAGGCACTAAACAATTGCCTATATAATAATCACCAATTTTTACTCCCTGGATTCAATTTCTGTTCAAATAAAACATTGCTTCTCCCTAATCAGAAAACCGTACTTTGTAAGTGAAAAAATAAAACAAAAGGAATCACTTAGACCTTGCTTGTTAGGATGGCCAAAATGATTAATTTCAGGTTTGACAAAATGTAACAAATCAAAAACTCTTTCCTTTACAAATTTATTCCAAAAACAACCAGTGAAAAAGACATTATTTGCATTTCACAGATGAGAAAACGGAGGTTTATGGCCATCAGTGGCTGAGCAGGGATCGGAGTCTCATTCTGTCAAACTCTAAAGCCTGCGTTCTGAACCAACTCAAGCTGCCCCAGGATATTCCTTGGAGCCTCTATCAACTAATTTCACAGATTCTTTTTTTTTCCTTTTTGCTGCTGTCATGTTAATGGGCATTATTTAAAAAGGGATCTTACCACAGAATTTGATTTGGTGTCTCCTTGTTGACACCATATAAGAGCAAATCTAACCACATGTAGTGTTTTCACAAAAGTGTACCTATCCATCAATTCTAGCCACAAACCTCTAAGGTCAGAAATCTCAAAGATTAAGCCAGAGGGAGGTGGAATAGTCCAAACTGGTTTAGCTGCTTGAGTCTTCTCTTTTATTTGAAAATCACTTAAACTCTGTCATTGACACAGTATGAGTCCTTTCCTAAAGACATTTTAAAAACTAACTTCTCTATGAAAAGCAGTGAATAGGAGGGCTGACACAATTTTTAAAACTCTCAACATGTGCAGCTCATAAAAAGTAGGCATATGATTATATATACCTTTGATTCAACCAGTTTCTATTACAAGTAACCTGTGAACCCTAGAACTTAGTTATTTTTTTTTTTAAAAAAAAGGAGGGGAATCTCCACCTTAACCTTTTGGCCATTTAATCACTTATTTATTGAGTGGTTTCTAAGTGCCTGCTGTTGTCGCTCACTGCTTATTAGTCCTTGTGAGAGCAATCTTCAGTAGGAATTATTAGAATTCCCATTTTGGAGATGATGCTACTGAGGCTGTCAGAACTTGTCATATTTCTAGCCAAGAAATTTGAACCCAGGCAGTGCTTTCAGCTATTATACTCGCTCCTCCCCTTTTGAAATGGATTCAAGGTAGTCACTCACAAATGTGGAGAATAAACTGAAGAAAGAAATAATAAGCCAAGTCCAGTCATCTTAACAACCATTTTTAACTGTTTCCTAGTAGTTTGGCATATAAAAAAATTTCCCTCGAGAAAATAAAACTTTAGTAGAATAGCATTATTTTAAAATTATGTTAAGCTTTTCAGTGTGTGTTATCAGACTCAAATGTATTAAATTCCTTATTGGATTAGACCAGTTAACACTGGATTTTGTCACATTTCTACTTTTGAATACCACATCTAGGAAAGAAATGTGTTAATATTTACTTCATTGTGCCAAATCAGATTCTATTGTAAAACTAGATCAAAAATGAATCACTACACTATAAAATGCAAAAATCTGTACGTGGATTGTAAAGAGAAACAGGGACTGTTCTCATTTTCTGGCGCAACTTCTCAACCCTCATTATGCTCTGTTGTAGAAAAAATGCATTATTTCCGGTCATTTAAAAGAAGTAGGGCCATTTTTTCTAGAAAATAAATGGTAATTGAATCACTGAAATGATTTTGGGAAAACAGTTTCCATACCAATAGTGTCTAATGTAACTCTGAAAACTCTTGGTGTTATAAAGGAAAAATTTGAATTTTTCTAATGTAAGCTTAAATGTACCCAGTCGAAATCCTCTCCATTCCTTCCATGTAATCCTTCAATGTTTTCTTGTCCAAAAAGTATAACCAAACATAGAGCCTTGAATATTTCTCTTTTGTCTCCATAGCATTTTATCCATAGCTCTCTCTATTTCTAAGACCATAATTTCTATTAATGTGATAATCATAGTGGTATTCTGTCACTTTCAATCGCCTAGCTGAAACTACTCAGTGAAACTCTGAGGGAATTCCTATTTTGAAGAAACTGCAAATTTAGAGGGTGGACTTTTTTTTTTTTTTTTTTTTTTTTGCAATTAGAAGAAGAGAATAACATAATGAAAATTCAAATAGGCTTGAAACTCAAAGGTCATTTGAAACACTAAACTCAAAAGAACTCATTTGTACATCTGTCAAAACATGAGAAAATCACTCTGATTTTGAAAGGACTTTTCAAAGACCTTATCTATGTGGGAAATTGCACACTGACCTGTAAGGAATATGTAATTTGTGTTAAACAGAGTCTCATTCAAAGACTAAGGATAATCTTATATCCAATCAATTTTAGACCAGAATTTTTGTAACTTATTTTGAGTAAGAATGTTCTTAAGGGAATCAGTCACACAAATCAAGTGGGACTCAAATGCCAAAAGAACTTCAAAAGCACTAGAAGTGTCTGGCTCCCTTTATCTTTACATCAGCAACACATTTACAAACCTTCTATTTGCTTCTCCTCTGGATTTCAAGGTAAGTGCAACAGGTCACAATGTAGAAGAAACACAATAAAATGAAGGATAAAGGCATTGAGTAAGAGGAGAAAAAGGAGAGAAAAGAGTGAAGAGAAAAGGAGACAGTGGTTAGGGCTTAAAATAGTGGTGGGATAATAATGACAGGTAAAATCATGAGGGTTAAGGATAATTAGTAAAGAGCATGGAGGCAGAGCATGCAAGAGATGAAGAAGGCAAGAAAATAATGAGAAGCAGTGTAAATGCACTAGAAGAGTTGAGAAATCTAAGGGAAAAAAGGGACAATATGTTACTCTGCACTAAAACTAGAAGTAATGCCAGAAAAGTGGGCTACATAGGGTACGAATTATAGAAAAATGGGAAAGGCTGAAGATGAAAGAGAAGTTCCCAGAGCAGTGAGATGAAAATGTTTTGCAATTTTCTACCACAATACATATTTAACATAAAAAAGCCACAACTTGTGTGATGAGAAAATATGAATAGAATGGAGAAGCACAATAATATTGATGGGGGGTAAGAGTAGCATATTTCCAAAATTACCATCTTGCTACTAGTTAGTTAGGAAAGCTTTAAAAAGCTGCTTGATTTTTTTCACTGGCAACAGAAAGCTGAAGCAGGGTGGATCTTAAAGTTAGAGGGATCCTTTTGGTGAAAGGAAATAAAGTGAATTGGATAGTGTATTTGTACCAAGTGAGACTTGAACCAATTTGCCTTAAAGCAGGATTCCCCAAAAGTTTTCTGTGTTTGAACACAGCCTCTACTATTACTCAGTTTAAGCTGTAGATCTTCTTTTAACTAAATAGCTTATTTAAAATTAACAACTTAAATAGTAATATCTGTTTTATGTGTGGGTTACATTTTTTTACCTCATACATATTATACAAAATATTTGCTATAGAACCACCTAAAATAATATCTAATTCTCTTCTTGTTTTGCATGCATGGGAAGTGTGATATTCCTAGGCTAATATGGAAGGCAGGAGGGATCTTGTCTTATCCTTCACAGTAGAGGGAAGCCCTGAAAGATTCTAAGGAGGGAAGAAATACAGTAGAGGAACGGGCAGTGTTTCCCAAGGCCTGCAATGGGGTAGGGCTGGAGAAGGGGGTGCAGAGATGAGGAAATGGTCTCTTGAGGCCTGGTATGGAGGCTGAGCACTGTCACTTCTGTCTCGTTTTATTGGTCTCACAAAGCAACTCACAAGCCTGGTTCAGATTCAAGAGGTGAGGAATCAGTCTCCACCCCTGATGAAAGGAACTGCAAAGAATTTGTGGCCATTTTTAACCCACCACAGCTCTATAATTACATGTTCAAAAGCTCAACAGACAGTCATTGACATAATTCAAAAGAGGTGATGTTAATTTGGAATGCCCCCAATTTCATGTACTTTTGAAGATATAATATGTGTAGAACTGAGCTTTACAGAATTAGGTCAGATAGAAAAGGAAGAAATCTACAGTTTTACTTTAATTCTTCCTTTCATTTCTCTTAGACCCTAACATAGGTATACACATTCACAGAAACACAAACAGCTACTGGGCTAGTGTGGGTTTCTTGTACTATCTTTGTTCATGTGAACTAGAACATTTTTATAATATGAATGAGAAGAACCAAATTAAAGGCCATCTTAATTTATTTTAACCTAAAGAAAACACACAATTTCTTGGTTTTGTATGGCATCTCTCAATGGGTGAAACGACTAATTCAAGCATCTGAACAGAAAAAAAATTCATTTAGGATAGCAGAATAGTTCCATTTTAGAGTGGAGATGGAGAAATGATTTATATTCCACTTAATTAATTCTTCATAAAAGTAATATGACAGTGTTTTGTTTAACTCTTCTAGCATATTGTTGTTCCCTCAAAAGTATACAAGACAATAATGTCAACATTCCATTAACCAATGTTTTAAGAAATGGGAAAGTTCACAGGTCTCTCTAAAACAACGTAGAACTTTTCATTTTTTTGTCTCATTGCTAGGGTTCAGGTTTTTTTTTTCTGTTTGTTCACCTGTTTTTTCAAAATCTGAACATGTATGAGGTTCCCTTTTGAATTTTATGTAACATTTTGTGCCCAGGGTTAAGCTATTTTCACTTAATTTTTAATGCGCTTCTCCCTACCCTGCTTTGTGGTGTTGGGGATAAACTCTACAAAACACATTTCTGTTTTGCCAGCTGCTCCTGTTAGGCTCTGCCAGTCAGCGATTATGGAGGGAGAATGCAAAGGTGGAGGAGAGACAAATAATGCATTTCTTCCTCAGTGCTTCCTAGTTTATTCCTACTTCTGTTTTTGCATCCTCTTCCTGTCTCCCTCAATGTAGCTATAGTTATTTACTTGGCAGTGGCAGTATTTTGTAGAAGCGGCTGTTGACTCCAGTTCACAGTTTTCCCAAGCTTTAGAACTAGCTTCATCACAGTCCCTCAGAGACGTCGGTGCCAATTTACCAGTGCCCTGTCCTCGAGGTAGAAGTTTGTTTTGCAGCTCGAAGGCAGTAACACTAGCCTACTCAGGGCCTCTTCCTCAGATACCAGTTTCAGCTCCACAGAGCCCGTCCATGGTTCTAACTCTAAGTTTCTAGGTTTTGACAATTCCACCTCTTCCCTTTGTGCTCCAGGACAGGGATTGTAATTGCTTTCTCAGTTGCTACCTCTGTTCCCATTTGCTTTTAGTTTTTGATAATTGGTTATATAAAACTCTCTCTGTTTAGATAACAGATATGGTTTCTCTCTTCTTTTATACAGGAAACAAAATACATATTGTTTCCTGTATAAAAGAAATTCAAATTTTTAGATTGGCTTTATTCTTATTGGTGAAATTTCATTCATAAAGTGACTAAAGATTCTACCAAACATTTAAAGAAGAATTAATGCCAATCCTTCTCAAAGTCTTCCAAAAAATTGAACAGGAGGTAACATTTCCAAATTCATTTTATGAGGCCAGCATTACTCTGATACCAAAGCCAGACAAAGGTACTGCCAGAAAAGTATAGGCTGATATTTTTGATGAACACAGATGTAAAAGCCCTCAGTAAAATTCAAGCAAAGCAAATTCAACAGCACAGGAAAAGGATTATAAACCATGATCAAATGGGAATTATCCCTGGGATGCAAGGATAGCTCAACATATACAAAGCAATAAATGTGATACAACACATTAACAGAATAAAGAATAAAAAACCATATGGTCATCTCAATAGATGTAGCAAAAGCATTTGATGAAATCCAACATCCTGTCATGATAAAATGCTCAACAAATTAGGTATTAGGAATGCACCTCAACAAAATAAAGGCCATTTATGACAAAGCTACAGCTAACATCATACTCAATGCTGAAAAACTGAAAACTTTTTCTCTAAGATAAGAAACAAGATAAGGATGCCTAGTCTAACCCTTTTATTTAACCTAGTACTGGAAATTCTAGCCACGGCCATTAGACAAGAAAAATAAATAAGTGGCATCTGAATTGGAAAGGAAAAAGTTAAACTGTCCCTGTTTGCAGATGGCTTGATCTCATATACAGAAAACCCTGAAGACTCCACCAAAAAACTCTTAGAGCTAATAAATTCAGTAAAGTTGCAGAATATGAAATCAACACACAACAATTGGTAGTGTTTTTATACTCTAACAATAAACTATCCATAAAAGAAATCAAGATAGCAATTCCATTTACAATAGCTACATTTAAAAAATATTTAGGAATAAATTTAACCAAGAAGGTGAAAGATCTGCACCCTGAATATTATAAAACATTCATTAAAAAATTGCAAAAGACACAATGGAAAGATAGTCCATGTTCATAAACTGGAAAAATTAATATTATTAAAAGGGCCATAGAACCCAAAGTGACCTACAGATTCAATGCAATCCTTATCAAAATTCTGATGACATTTTTCACAGAAACTGAAAAAACAATTGTAAAATTCATATAGAACTATAAAAGACCCTGAATAGTCAAAGTAATTTTAGGCAAAAAAAAACAAAGCTGGAGGCATCATACTACCTGATTTCAAAATATACCACAAAGTTATAGTAATCAAAACAGCGAGGTATGGCTTTAAAACATACACACAGACCACTGCAGCAGAATAGATAGCCCAGAAATGAATCCATGAATTTATAGTCAACTGATCATCTACAAAGTTTCCAAGACAATATAATGGGGAAAGAAGAGTTTTTTTCAATAAGTGATGTTGGGAAAACAGAATGTCCATAGGCAAAAGAATGACTTGGAACGTTATCTCACATCACATACAAAAGCCAACTCGAAATGGATTAGAAACTTAAATGTAAGACTTAACACCACAAGAATGCTAGAAGAAAACAGGGAAAAATCTTCTTGGCATTGCTCTGGACAATGATTTTTTGGATATGACCCCAAAAGCATAGGCAGCAAAAGCAAAACTAGAAAAATGAATGGAATCAAACTAAAAAGTTTTGGTGCAGCATAAAAAGCAGCCAACAGAATGAAAAGACAGCCTATGGAATGAAAGAAAATGTTTGCAAATTATATATCTGATAAGGGGTTAATATTCAACGTATATTAGGTGTTTAAACAACTCAATAGCAAGAAAACAAATGACATTAAAAATGGGCAAAGGACTGTCTATTCATGTCTTTAGCCCACTTTTTGATGGGTATGCTTGTTTTTTTCTTATTGATTTGTTTGAGTTCGTTGTAGATTCTGGATATTTGTCCTTTGTCAGATGTATAGATTGTGAAGATTTTCTCCCACTCTGTGGGTTGTCTGTTTACTCTGCTGACTGTTCCTTTTGCCATGCCAAAGCACTTTAGTTTAACTAATCCCAGCTATTTATCTTTGTTTTTATTGCATTTGCTTTTGGGTGCTTGGTCATGAAATCCTTGCCTAATCTAATGTCTAGAAGGCTTTGTCCAATGTTATCTTCTAGAATTTTTATGCAAACGGCCAATAAACATATGAAAAAAATGTTCAACCTCACTAATGATCAGGGAAATGCAAATCAAAACGACAATGCAATACCATCTTACTCCTGCAAAAATGGCCATAATCAAAAAAATCAAAAAACAGTAGATGTTGGCGTGGATGCAATAATCAGGGAACACTTCTACACTGCTGGTGGTAATGTAAGCTAGTACAGCCACTATGGAAAACAGTGTGGAGATGCCTTAATGAACTAAAAATAGAACTACCATCTGATCCAGCAATCCCGCTACTGGGTATCTACCCAGAGAAAAAGAAGTCATTACATGAAAGAGATACTTGCACACGCATGTTTATAGCAGCACAATTCTCAATTGCAAAATCGTGGAACTAACCCAAATGTCCATCAATCAACGAGTGACTAAAGAAACTATGGTGTGTATATATATATATATATATATATATATATATATATACACACACACATATATGTATATAATGGAATACTACTCGGCCATAAAAAGGAATGAATTAACAGCATTTGCAGTGACCTGGATGAGATTGGAGACTATTATTCTAAGTGAAGTAACTCAGGAATGGAAAACCAAACACCATACTTTCTCACTGATATGTGGGAGCTAAGCTATGAGGACACAAAGCCATAGGAATGATACAATGGACTTTGGGGACTTGGAAGGAAGGATGGGAGGGGGGTGGGGTATAAAAGACTACAAGTAGGTTCCAGTGTATACTGCTTGGATGATGGGTGCACCAAAATATCACAAATCACCACTAAAGAACTTACTCATGTAACCAAATACCACCTGTACCCCAATAACCTATGAAAAAAATATAAAAATAAAAAATGAGCAAAGGAAATGAAGACATTTATCAAAGGAAAACATACAAATGGCCAACAGATATATGAAAAAAAAAGTTCATCATCATTAACTATCAGAGAAATGCAAATCAAATTCACATGAGATCTCACCTCACACCAATTAGAATGACTATCTTTTTTAAAAAAAAGCAAATGATAACAAGTGTTGGCAAGTATGTGGAGCAAAGGGAACCCTTGTACCTTGTTGGTGAGAATGTAAGTCAGTACAGCCATTATGGAAAACAGTATGGAGGTTCCCCAAAGGAAATGAAATCAGTATGTTGAAGAGATATAACTCTCCCATATTTATTGCAACAGTATTTACAATAGTCAGGATATGGGATCAACCTGAATGTCTATTGGTAGGTAAATTGATAAGGGAAATATGAAATGCACATGCATGTGTGTATAAGATAATGTGTGTAAAATAATGGAATATCTTACACACATTGTGTGTAAGATGACAGAATACTATCTAGACTTAGAAAAAAATCCCATCCCATCATTTGCAACAACATGGATGAGCCTGGAGTACATTATGCTAGGTGAAATAAACCAGGCACAAAAAGACAAATACTATATGATCTCACTTACTCTTGGAATCTGAAAAAATTGAACTCATAGAAACAGATAGTAGAATGGTCTTTGCCAGGGGTTGGGGGTAGGGTGAGGAATAAGGAGATGTTGTTTAAAGAGTCTAAGTTTCAGTTAGACAGATGAATAAATTCTGGAGATCTACAGTGCAGCATGGTGACTATAGTTAACAATAATGTGTTGTATACGTGAAAATTGCTAAGAGATTAGATCTTAAATGTTCTTGCCACAAAAAAAGATAAATATGTAAGGTAATTAATATATTAACCAGCTTGATGTAATCATTTCACAATATATACATATATCAAAACATCATGTTGTGCAATATAAATATACACAATTTTTATTTGTCAATTATACCTTAATAAATCTGGTGGAAAATGTGATGAAAGAGAAACACGGACGATAAAATAGCAACATATAGTTAATCGTGATCAACTGAAGTGTGGTCTTAAAAGTTCAGACTGTATCTAGCAAAAGGGTCTAAAGAATATAATCTTTAAGAAATTTCAGGATTTACAAAACTCACTTGAAGCGGTTTAAAATTAGAGAGACTTTTAATATTGAAATCACATACTTAGAGGATGGGATTACAAAAAATATACCATATAATTAACATAAATGTAGACTTTTCACCTAATGATTTGAAAGAACTTTGTAATATTGACACTTTTAGCTAATTTGTACAATATTCTCATGAATATAGTAGGATGCAAATATCACACATATGAAACAACCAAAAATTAAGATTGTTTCAAGTGTACGAGATTCAAGCAAATATTGCAGAAAATCCAAATAAAACATTTTATATGTAACTAAGTTAAGCAAAGGTATGTAGAAGAAAAAAGTAAAGCAACTGATTTTCAATGGATTGCAGCTTCAGCTGGAATGTGCGAGAATAGGGACCATCAGGGTTCTGAGCAGAAGATGTAGCAACTTTGGGCCTCACCATGCCCTGTGCTCCCCGGGGGCATTGTGTACTGAGAATGATGGCTTTTTCAGACTTATGACAGAATCTTTCTCAGTGACTGAGTGACTCTTAATTGTAAATACAGTTAACAGTGCAAGTAGGCCAACTGTAGGTGTTAACCCTGGGTGTTGCTGGCTTCAAAAGTGTTAAGTGGAGCCTTAGGCTGGAGGAAAGTATGGGGGCAGTTGGAAAGATTTATAAAAAGTTACATAATAACTTGCATGTAAGTAGAAAAATCTATGGAAGGATAAGCAAAAAGTAATAGCATCTGTTGTCCCTATGGGGGTGATTTGAGTGGCTGGGGGACAGGATGGAGAGAGTTGCCTTTCATTATATACCCATTTGTACTTTTTGAATTTTGTACAAAGTATATATATTACCTATTCAAAATACAAACAAAATAACCAAATGTTTAATTCATATTTGTATTGTCCTTTACAGTTTCCAAACAGCTTTCACTTCTGTAATTCCCTCTGGTACTTGCAAAAAGCCTGTGAGGCAAACATGACAGGTATTCTCATTTTATATGTGAATTAACTGAGGATACAGGTGTCTGACTTCCTC
The DNA here is from genome assembly GCF_000001405.40 of Homo sapiens. Taxonomy (NCBI): domain Eukaryota; kingdom Metazoa; phylum Chordata; class Mammalia; order Primates; family Hominidae; genus Homo; species Homo sapiens. The sequence goes on from NC_000004.12 coordinate 121,090,276, forward strand.
CATATCATACAATCAATTAAAGCTTAGGTTTAACCAAGGTTTTCTGCCTCCAAATCCAGCGTTTGTCCCATCATAACTTGCTTTCTTGGGTATGCCGAGGACCACGAAACAAATTGGGTAGAAAAAAAAATCTGCCTGTACAAGACAGAATTGATGGGCCAAGCTCTGGGCTACGCAGCCTTCTAGGTCTGGCAGAAAGACTATTACTGTAGCCATGACAATCTACAAACCAAAGAGCAGACCCAAAGCTCCATGCCAGTGAATTAGAATAAATATGTGTTGAATAATGATACTGCAGGCATTATTTACAATATTTACCAAGAATTTTACCTACCTCTCCAAGACAGGTATTATCCCCATTTTGCAGATGGGAATATTGAGATACAAAATGATTACATAACCAATATGTTAAGATAAAAAAATGCTAAGACTAAAATATATTCTCAATTCATCTTTCCTAAAGTCTCGTCTTTTTCCAGGTACTGGGCTGGTTGCTCTTTTGGATACGTAGATAAAGAGAGCAGCTGCCTCAAAAATAGAGGTGTGTGTTGTGGGGTAAGGAGAGAAGAGAATCGTTGGGCAGAGAGAAGGGAAGTCCTGTGAAGACTAGTTCTGATGAATCTAGGTATTACAAAAGAAGTCTGAGCAAAACGCTGTAACAATTTAAAGGAGGAAGCAATCTTGGCCTCCTTTAGATGAGTTAGACATGGCTTCACAAAAGAGCTAGGATAAGAAATAGACATTGAAGAATTACTAGGAGCTTGAAATATGGAGTAGGCCTGTGTGAATAACTTAATGACTGACGTTGTCTAGAACATAAACCATATTTTAAAAATTGCCTGTTGCATCCTCCATTTCAGATCTTTACGTTACTGGAGCACTTTGGACACTGCCAAGATATTGGTGACTAATGCTCCTTAGGGGAAACAGTGCAAAAACCAGAAACATGATTTGTTAAAATGAATGTATGTAAGGTGGAAAGGAAGGAAAGAAAGCATGGGAGGACCACTCCTACTGCCCAATTTTGTATCATTCTGTCTTGGCTGAGCTCTGCTTTACACTACTATCTCATTGTGGTAATTATTTAGTGCACTGTTAAGAGACATAAGAATGCCAAAGTAGGCCGGGCACGGTGGCTCACGCCTGTAATCCCAGCACTTTGGGAGGCCGAGGCGGGCAGATCACGAGGTCATGAGATCGAGACCAACCTGGCTAACATGGTGAAACCCCGTCTCTACTAAAAATACAAAAAATTAGCTGGGCGTGGTGGCGGGCGCCTGTAAGTCCCAGATAGTTGGGAGGCTGAGGCAGGAGAATGGTGTGAACCCGGGAGGCGGGAGGTGGAGTTTGCAGTGAGCCAAGATTGTGCCACTGCACTCCAGCCTGGGTGACAGAACGAGACTCCATCTCAAAAAAAAAAAAAAAAAAAAAAGAATGCTAAAGTAACCTTTTGCTGTATCTGCCAGCTCTGTTCAAGTCCAAGGGGAGCATTAGGTTGATTGAGTGGCCGAATTCACAACTCCTGCTACCAAATGTGCCCTTCCCTCAGTCTCAAGTAGTTTTCAAACTGAGCTCCCCAGATATTTTGGACCTTTGAAAGGGCATGAGGGGTTTTTACAATGGAAATTTTAATTGCCTAACAAAATGATTCCTTGATTCTACCTGTTGCATGTATTGTAGTTCCAGATAAGATTTGATTAATTTTAACAAATACAACTTCAGCTGGAAAACATACATCATTGAAATACATTCTCAGTGTTGCAAGATTTGGAAACTCTGAGCCAGGCCAAGGGTTTCTCATGCAAGCTACAAATGAGAAGAAACATGGTGAGCAATAACACTGTGTAATGAAAAGAGCACTGGGTAGGACACTGTGACAAATGGGTTCTTCTATGGTCCTATTAACAGGATGGGAGGTTTACCACTATGTGGTGGGATGACCTTAAAATAACACCTTACCTCTCAAGACATCTTTTCTTCCCATCTATAAGATGCAGGAATTGAAAAAGATGACCCTCATTTGTCCAGCTCTTGCCAGTTAGATGCTGAACACTTTCTACAATTAAAGCATCCTGCTATTTATTTATTTATGGTAGGTTGTTAGCCATTTTGGACAGTGAAAAAATGTTTCATTTGATGTGAATCTGTAAACAGAGCTGAAAAATTCACTTCAATTTGTTAATGACTAACATTATCCAGCAACAAGTGATTTCTCTAGGAGTTCAGTATAATCCATGCTAAATTACTTCTTCAATATAAATGTTACAATATGCCATTATATACAAAGACTGAACATATGGACGTTACTCTGACCATTCCATTTGTTCTGACTTCGTTAAAGATCAACATTGATTACCACAGGATGACTTTAATATTGTGCATAATATAGACACTGCATGCCAATTCATAAGAATGCAGGTGTGTAAAAAGCAAAAAACAATTAAGCATCATCTGTAAGATGCAGGATGCTACTAGACATGCATGGGATGCATGCTAGATCCAGGCGCAGTAAGTTAATAGAGATTTTCTGGAGGGAGACATGTAAGCTGAGAGGCTGGGTGGATGAGAAGGAGTTAGCCTTGCAAGGGGTTGAGAGGTGGAAGTAAGAGCATCTAGACATAGGAAACAGCATATGTAAAGGGCCAGAAGTGAGAGTGACCAGAACATGTTGAGGGAACTCGAACAGGTTAAAAGAGTGAGACTAGTGGGTTTGAAGGGGGTATGACCACATGAGGCCAGAGTAGTGAGTGGTGGCCAAGTTATGCATACCATTATAAACTATCTTAGGGCAGTGTGACATTATCCTATAAGTCATTAGAGTAATTGATGTGTTCAATCAGCGGAATAATCTGATTTGTATTTGTCAAGTTTACTCTACCTTCAGTGTGGAAAATGGATGGCCGGAGAGCAAGACTGGAGGCAGAGTGACAATTTACAAGGCCATGACAGAAATCCAGGTGGGAAATTATGATAGTCTTAACCAGGGCAGTGGGACAGACATTGGAGCAGAGGGAGCACATTCAAAAGCTTTGTAGATGATAGAAGTGGCAGGGTTCAGTATTTGATTAAAATATGTAACATAAGGGAGAGAGATAATCCAGGGAAGATACTCTGGTTTCTGACTTGGGAAACTTGATGAATAGTACTGCCTTTCAATGTGATGAGGAACAAAAAATAGGAAATGAATTTAGGTTAAAAGAGGAAATGTGATGAGTTTGGTTTGGGACACATTGTACTTGGGTGCATATGGGCCATCCAGAAAGAAATGTAAGAATAAGTACCAGGCCCAGCATGGTACTGTAATCCCAGCACTCTGGGAGGCTGAGGTGGGCAGATCACTTGAGGCCAGGAGTTCCAGACCACCCTGGCCAATATGGAGAAACCCCATCCCTACTAAAAATACAAAAATTAGCCGAGTGTGGTGGCCCATGCCTCTAATCCCAGCTATTAGGGAGGCTGAGGCAGGAGAATTGCTTCAAGGGAAGAGAGTGACTTAAAGAGGGAAGAATGATAAATAGTGTTAGGTGATGTAGAGAGCCCAAATAAGGAAAGATTTAAGAAGTGGGCCAGGTGTATTGCCTTACCCCTGTAATCCCAGCATTTTGAGAGGTCGAGGTGGCAGGCAGATTGAGACCAGGAGTTTGACACCAGCCTGGGCAACATGGTGAAACCTCCTCTCTACTAAAAATACAAAAAATTGGCTAGGCGTGGTAGTGTGCACCTGTAATCCCAGCTACTTGGGAGGCTAAGGTGGGAGGATCACCTAAGCACAGGAAGTCGAGGCTGCAGTGAGTTGTGATCACACCACTGCATTCCAGCCTGGGTGACAGAATGAGACCCTGTGTCAAAAACAAGAAAACCCCAAAACGGTCATTGGATTTAGCAAGCAGGAGGTCATTGGTGTCCTTTGTGGGAACAGTTTCACCTAGGTCATGGAGGTAAAAGGCAGATTACATAAGGATGAGAAGTTAGTGAAAGCTGTGGCTGTGGTGACAGCATGTGTAGAAAACACTTTCAAGAGGTTAGCTATTAAAGAGAGTCGAGAAAGATGGTGCTAGACTGTATTAGGGCAAAAAGGACTTGAGCATGTTAATACGCTAATGGGCAGAAGCCAATGATGAATAAGAGGATAGTCAGTGGGAGGAGATTTTTAAGGATGTAGGAAGGAAGATTTGAGGTACAGCACTGATGGAAGCCTTAGCCTTTGCCAGAAAAAGAGAAGGAAGTAGTGATGATAGTCCAGTCACAGGTTGGGTAACAGGAGGTAGTGTGATAAGAGTTTTGAGATGCAAAGATGAGTATTACAGGATCCCAGTCTTCTTTCAGTTTGAGAGAGAGACAAAAAACAACACAAGCAAATAATTCCACTATTCAGGTCAAAGTAATAAATAATGTAAGAAACTTATAAGTCAAAGGCAGTGACTGGTACCTCAGAGACTGGAAAGGTTGTTTCTGATTGGGGTGAAGTAGAATTGCATAAGGAAGTGAAAAACTGAGATGTGTCTTGAAATATGTGAAGAATTTGGAGGTGTAGGCCATAGTATAGCACGAGAGTACTTTCAGCAAAGGAAACATATCAGTAAAGTGAAGGTGTGCAGAAAATGGTGAGTAGATAAGATTTGAATGAAATGGAAGATATGTAAAATAATAGCCAATAAATCTCAAAATATAAGTTGGAGCTTTATTGAGGAAAGCCATGCATATCAGGCCAAAGAGTTTGGCCTTGTTTTCAGCAGGCAGAAAGAAGTTACAGAAGAATTTTTTATAATGTTTAAAAAATGGAGCATTTGGGAATCAAATTAGAAAGGTTTGACAGCACACAAATATAAAGGCACGGAAAACCTTGACTGCTCCAAAAGTATACTCGGCATTCGATAAATATTGATTAATAAATATAGGGCTAGTTGGATGGGTGAACAAAGAAACACACAGACAGTCATTCTAACACTGGAATCAAGGGTTTACGTAGTCTTGCATTGACTACTTAATTATGTGAGCAGGCTGACTTCAGTTGCACCTCTGCTGTTTATGTCAAACATCAACAACATGTTCTCATTTATATAACAAACTGGTTCACAGTCCTTTAGTAGGCCAATTTAGTTGTCTAGCTTTACGACGGGAAAATGAACTTCTAGACTTGTCAAAGTACACAATTTTCTAAATACAATTTACAAAGCGTGAACTGCCTTTGTATTTCTACATAATATAATATTAAATCAAAACAACGTTTGAAACTTCATTTTTTTTGAATGATTTAAAGGAGGAATAGAAAATTGTTATGTTAGTTTTTGAAAACCTTCCTTTACTTGCTAACTTTTACTAAGTTAATATACTTAGGAAATAATACTAAGGAAATATGTAAAAAAACAAACCATTTACTCTCAAAACTTTATAAAAAGATTTTTTTTTGTCAATTGTGAGAGCTTAGAAAAAACTTTAAGAAAGTATTACTGCTATTCCAATTTAATTTTAAAATGTCCCACAGCTTTTATAGAGAAAAAAGAACTACAGTATTTTCAATGGCATCATGATGACTCAGCCTTGCTTTATGAAATACATACTCTTTGATATTTCCAATTATTACCTCAAAGAGCTTGCAGAGGGGGCTGATTGATTTCCCTTTATCAGTTGTTGAAAGTGTACACTTGTGGGGCAATGTGTGGAAGAAGCTTGTCATTAAGTTGGAGGTTTGAAGCCTCCAACTAAAATGCTTTTATATTGCATTAAAATTTTGCTTCCTCAGAATTGTATTTCTTAAAGATAATGTTAATAATTAATTCCAAAGCCATATTTAATTATAAAGCATAATATGCCATAAGAGGTTGAGTAAATACTTTCAAAAATATTAGTCATAAACATCATAGTAAGAAAACAAAAAATTGCTCAAGTACTGCCTTAAGTATACTAAAATAATGGCAAACCATGACAAATTTAAGTTAATAAAGATATTTTTATATTCAGGTCAGCAACTGCAAATAAGAATGGAATGTAATTTGCAAATTTACTATGCCATTTGCATTAGCAAATATTAAAATATGCACTTTAAATACAGTTGTGTAGACTGGGCAAGAATGTGTGAATACACAATGATACTGTTTCTTTGAGAACTTTAAGACACTCACATCTAATCTATGTGTGTGTATTTTTCCACACTTGAGGGTTTTATAATCTTTTTGTTAGGCACTTTATGTTTAGGGTTTTTATTTAACCCTCTACAAATTTTTTATTTCTGACTCATGAAGCAAGTTCCCAGGATTCTGATTTTAAGGCATGTTTTTTAACTAAGATATTTTCTTTGTTGTCATTAAACCTATGAAACATATAGAAAATAAACTTAGAGAATTCAGCACTGAGACATCTTAAGTCTTTACAGAGATGCAACAATTTTCACAATATAAGCCTCCTAATGACATGGATTTTAAATGCTGTCATTTATATAAAAATAAAAAAATTAGGAAAGTAATAAAGGAATTGTCTATCAGTTTTTATGATGTAACTTTCACTGGGTAAGTTTTAGAAATAGTTTTTTAAAGCCATCACCCTCGTTCTTTTGAAACAATACTTCCATCTAGTGGACATTTTACTTAGGAAAAAACCTTTGATTTCAAATGTCAGTTTTTTCTTGTTATGAAATCAGCACTAAAGGAAAATAACAGGGACAATAGCAGAGATAATTTGTTCAAAATATTAAGCTCGCAAGGAACAAAATAGAAATCAAATGATTAAATTGTAAAACAAACCAAAGTATCTGCCTATATAAGACTTTCCTATGTTTAATACACTAAAAATTTGGTAAAAAATTGGCTAATTTATTGTAGAGAGCCAAACTAGATAACACAGGCCCTGGAGTAACTGTAACCAGAACCAAACTAAAACTTGGATTTTTTTTTTTAAGATCTGGTATAGAAGCTTTGAAACATACAGGCCAATAGAGATCATTCATTCATATATCAATTTTGGCAGCAACATTAACTGGGCTTCCATTACGTACTAGTCACTTTCTAACACCTGGCGGTACTGAAAATTGCTTCATTCACATAGTTCAAGAGGCTACCTATTAGTATCGGTAGTCTAAAATGAACTGTTGGAGGAATTTAAAGAAACCTTGGCCTCTGATGATACCTCTAACTTGAAACACAGTAGCAAAACAGCCAATCAGTTCAGATGCTTCGTTCAAATATTAACCATCCGGATCATTCCAAAATGTTAGCATGGTTGGATATTTTTAATTGATTGTGCTGAGTGTTAGTTTTAACTGCATTATCTCTAAAAGCAGGTTGAAGGCCTGCAGTATAAACTTCTGAAAACATGGAATCACAGTTCTTGTGATTGTTATCATGCTTTTCATGAACTTAAAACCAAAACCTCTACAAATGGTTCTTTAAAGTAGATTTAGAATTGATTTTATTTTATAAAAAGACCAATTTATTGATTGGATCATTATTTACATTTATTTTGGTTTAAAATTAAAATGACTAAACTGAGTGAACCTTTAACAATGTGAAATCGGTTTGCAGATGCAAGGGTGTTGGGGTTGAGGAAGGATGTTTCTGAGTCTCTTTTACCCATTACATTCCTGGACAATGGATGGCTCAACCCAGAGCAAACAAACTGGCTACCAGGGCAGTCTAAGGTTAAATGGAATCTCTTTACCTCTTTTGCACACTCTGAGGCTTCCTAATTCTAGGGCTTCCTAATGTTTTTTCCTGGATTTAGACATGTGAGCTAGTATTCCTCCATTGATTCCCATATATCTTTCTGGTGACAAAATGCCACTTTGTAATTATAAAACAGTAGTTTAGTGATATGGTCCTAGAATGTCTTCTCTGTAGGCTTAAAAAGTTAATCATCCTTGCTCTTTCACTGGGATGGAGAGAGTCTTACCAAATGTCGTTGTTATCATTTCAGTACTTTTTCTTATATGGGCCGCAAAATAATTCAGATATGAATAATCTTTAACCTCTAAAAACATATTCTCACTAATAGAAGTTATAACACAGATCTAAAGGTAAATCTGGTAGAATAGACCTTTTTGAGAATGAAATATTAAAAAGGTTAACAAACTGGGGAATGGTGTTGTGATCTATGTAAGCAATTGAAGTAAAACTCTTAAGAACCATTAGAGGAAAAAGTAGGAACAAAGCCCCAGTGTGAGATAATGGGGTGAAGGAAGCAGCTTGAGATGAGATTAAGTCTTGTGGTTGAAATATGTGGCCATTTGGAAGTATTACTAATGGCTAGCATTTACTATCCTCTTACGACGTGTCAGGCACTACACAATGCCTCAGACACTACACTAGTTGCTTTATTGTCTCATTCATTTTCACAACAGTGTGTGCAGCAGAAATTATTATTGATCCATTTAAGAGATGAAGAAACTGAACCAAGTTCACACAGAAATAGAAGCAGAAATGGTCACTTGCTGTCTAACTTCAAACCCCAGGCTCATTCTACTTCTACAGCAAAACTACTTTTTAACCCTACGATGAAATGCTGATACTTAGAACAGATGAAAAAATGCTTCATGGAAAGTAGTTGAAACTGTGAATTACTCTACATGGAAAAGGCTTTTCTGCTCATAGCAATATTATTCCCAGTAGTTAAAAGGTGGAAATGACCCAAGGGTCCATAAACAGAAGAATGGAGAAACAAAATGAAGTGTATACATACAGTGAAAGATTATTGAGCCTTAAAAAGGAGTGAAGTTCTTTATATTTTTTACTTCATTAGTAAAATTATTTCCTGCCAGACTTTAAGGTTTATGAAGGCTCACTCAACAACGTACACAGAAATGCACTCTAAAAAGTTGAAAAAATTACAAGTTTGTGAATAATATGTATCACTTTTCCATTTTAGTATGAAAACAATGATATGTAACCTACAGATAATGAGACAAACCATTTTACTGTGGTACCTTCAGTCCAATGAAATTGTAATGTGTTATCAGGTAATGTGGGAAAGTGCCTGTCAAGTCATTTCAAAGAGAATTTCCAAAGTTGCTCCAAATGGGGTAATAGGAAACCCTTCCTCTATTTGCAGAAATGATATTATTTTATTAAGGCTGGCACACAACAGTGACAGTTGAAACTTGATTCTGGGACACTCTAGTTTCTTTCTCTCTTTTTCTGGGTGTATTAAAGTACACTTGACAAATAAAAATTGTATATATTTTAGGTATACAATGTGATGCTTTAATATACATGTACAATATGAATGATTACCATAATAAAGCAAACTAACATATCCATCATCTCCCATAGTTATAATTTTGTGTGTGTTTGGTGAGAAAACTTAAGATCAACTCTTTTAGCAAATTTCAAGTATAAAATACAGTATTTTAAACCATAGTCACCATAATGTTGTAAGATCTCCAGAACTTGTCATCACAAATAATTAAACCTTTGTACCCTTTAACCAACATCTCCCCAATTTTCCCCAATACCCAGACCCTGTAAATTACCATTCTACTCTCTGCTCCCATGAATTTGACTTATCGGATTTCACAAATAAGTGAGATTATGCAGTATTCCCCTTTCTGTTTCTGGCTTATTTCAGTTAGCATAATATCTTCCATGTTCATCCATGTTGTTGCAAGTGACAGAATTTCCTTCTTTTTAAAGACTGAATAATATTCCATTATACATGTATACTAAGTTTTCTTTATCCATTCGTCCATCAACAGACACTTAGGTTGATTCCATGTCTTGGCTATTGTGAATACAGCTGCAAATAGGAGCCTGCAGGTATCTCATCAATATACTGATTTTACTTCCTTTAGACATATACCCAGAATTGGGATTATTTGATCATATGGTTATTCTATTTTTTTTTTTTGTAAAACTTCCACACTGTTTTCCATAGTCACTGTACTAATTTGCATTCCCATAAACAGTGAACAAGTATTCCTCTTGTTCCACATCCTTGCCAACACATGTTATCTTTTGTTTTTTAATAACAGCCATTCTAACAGGTGTGAGGTGATATCTCATTGTGGTTTTGATTTGCATTTCTCTGTTTAGTGATGTTGAGCACTTTTTCATATAACTTTGGCTATTTGTATGTCATACTTTGAGAAATATCTATTTAGGTCCTTAGCCCGTGTTTTAATTGTATTGTTTGTTGCTGTTTTTGCCATTAAGTGTCATAAATTTTTTTATATTAACCCTTTATCAGATATACAGTTTGCAAATATTTTCTTCCATTCTTTAGGTTGCCTTTTCGCTATATTGATTGTTTCCTTTGCTGTGCAGGAGCTTTTAAGTTTGATGCAATTCCACTTGTCTATTTTTGCTTTTGTTACCTGTGGTTTTGGTGTCATCTCTCAGAAAATTATTGCCTGGACTCATGTCAAGAAGCTTTTTCTCTATGCTTTTTTCAAGTAGTCTTATGGTTTTTGTTCTTATCTTTAATTTTTTAATCTATTTTAAGATGATTTTTATGCATGGTGTGAGGTAAGGATCCAATTTCATTCTTCTGCATAGGGATATCCAGTTTTCCCAACATCATTTATTGAAGAGACTATTTTTTCCCTATTGCTATTAAATATTGATGTCCCCTCCAAAATTAATGTTGAAAGTTAATCCCCAAATGTGAGAGTATTGAAAGGTGAAGCTTTTAAAAGGTAATTAGATGATTAGGGTTCATGGATTAATGAGTTAATGGATTAATAGGTTTTCATGGGGTCAGGGAAACTGATGGTTTATAAGAAAAGACAGAGAGACTTTAGCTAGCATGTTAACATGCTTATCCTCCTCACCATGTGATATCTTGTACCATGTCAGGACTATTCAGAGAGTCTCTACCAGCAAGAAGCTCTCACCAGATACAGCCCCTCAACCTTGGACTCTCAGCTTCTATGACTGAAAGAAACAAATTGTTTTTCTTTATAAATTACCCAGTTTCAGATATTGTTATAAGCAACAGAAAATGAGCTGAGACATCAATGTAGTAATATTAAGAGGTGGGCCTTGCAGGAGATCATTAAGTCATGAGAGTGAAGGTCTTATGAATGGGATATAGTGCCCCTACTAAAGGTCTTAATGGAGGGAGTTCTTCTCTTTTGCCCTTCCACCTTCTTCCATGTGAGAACACATTATTTCTCCTCCTACACCCCAAAAGACACAGAGTTCAAGATGTCATCTTGGAAGTAGGGACCAAACCCTCAACAGAAAAAGAACCTACTGGCACCTTGATCTTGGAGGTCACAGCATCTAGAACTATGAGAAATAAATTTCTATTCTTTATAACTACTCAGTCTGTAGTTTGTTATAGCAGCACAAATGAACTAAGACACCCATTGTGTGTTCTTGGCACCACAGTGAAATCATCTACGGTCATTGTAGTTGACCTTAGATGTATGGATTTATTTTTGCCCTCTCTATTCTGTTCCATTGATTTGTAAGTTTGTTTTTATGCCAGTACAATGTTGTTTTGATTACTATAGCTTTGTAATATATTTTGAAATCAGAAAATGTGATGCCTCCAACTTTGTTCTTTTTGCTCAAGAATTCTTTGGCTGTTCAGGTTCTTTTGTGGTTCTATATACATGTTAGGATGTTTTTTCTATTTCTGTGAAAAATGTCATTGAAATTTTGATAGAGATAGCAATGAATCTGTAGAATGCTTTGGAAGGTATGAATATTTTCACAATGTGATTTTTTTCCAATCCACAAACACAGCATGTCTTTCAATTTATTTGTGTCTTTAATTTCCTTCATTAGTGATTTATAATTTTCAATGTGAAAGTCTTTCACCTTTATGATTAAGTTTATTCCTAAGTATTTCATTTTTTGTTTCTATTGTGAATGGGATTGCTTTCTTAATTTTCTTTTAGAAAGTTCCTTGTTTGTATATGGAAATACAACTAATCTTTGTATGTTGACTTTGTATACTGTAACTTTACTGAATTCGTATATTAGTTCTAATAGTTTTTCTGTTGAATCTTTAGGGTTTTCTGCACATATAATCATGTCATCTGCAAACAGGGATAATTTTACTTCTTCCTTTCTGATTTGGAGGACTTTTATCTCTTTTCTTTGTCTAATCGCTCTGGCTAGGATTTCCAGTAATATATTAAATAGAAGTGATGACAGTGGGCATCTTGGCCTTGGAATGAATCTTGGAGGGAAAGCTTTCAGATTTTTCCCATTAATTATGATGTTAGCTCTGTACTTTCCATATATGGCTTTTGTTGTGTTAAGTTTCTTCTATTCTTATTTTGTTGGGAGTTTTAATCGCAAATGTCTGTTAAATGCTTTTTCTGCATCTACTGCTTTGATTATTATAGCTTTATAATACATTTTGAAATCAGAAAGTGTGGTTTTATTCTTTCATTTTGTTAATGTGGTGTATCACATTGATTAATTTGCATATTTGTTACCATTCTTTCATTGCAGGTGTAAATTCCACTTGGTCATGGTGTATAATCCTTTTAATGTGCTGTTGAATTTGGTTTGCTAATATTTTATTCAAGATGTTTGCATCTGTGTTAATCAGGGATACTGCTCCGTATTTTTCTTATCTTATAGTCTTGGTCTGGTTTTGGTATCAGGTTGATCCTGGCCACATACAATTAATTTGGAAATGTTATTTCTCTATTTTTTGGAAGAGTTTAAGATGGATTGGTATTAACTCATCTTTGAATGTTTGATGGAATTCACCTGTGAAGCCCTCTGGTCTTGGGTTTTCCTTCATTGGGAAGGTTTTGATCACTGATCCAATCTCCTTGTTTGTTATTAGTCTGTTTGTGTTTTCTATTTTTCCTTGAGTCAATTCTGCAAGATTGTATGTTTCTAGGAAGGTATCCATTGCTTCTAGATCATCTAATTTGTTGGTGTATAATTTTTCACTATAGTCCTTTTTGATCCTTTTTATTTCTAAGCCATGCATTGTAGTGTTTCCTCTTTCATTTATGATTTTATTTATTTGAATCTTCTCTCTTTTTTTCTTAGTTGATCTAGCTAAGGGTTTGTCCATTTTGTTTAAAACACCAACTCTTAGCTTTGCTGATTTTTTCTATTGTTTTTGTATTTCCTGTTTGATTTATTTCTGCTTTAATCTTTATTAATTCTGTTATTCTGCTAACTTTGAGCTTAGTTTTTCTTTTTTTAGTTCCTTGTAATGTAAAGTTAGGTTGTTTGTTTGAGATATTTCTTCCTTTTTAATATAGCCATTTATTGCTATAAGCTTCACCTTTAGTACTGCTTTTGTTTTATCCTATATGTTTTGATATGCTGTATTTTTGTTTTCATTTGTTGTGAGATTTTTTTTTTTTGACAGAGTCTCACTTTGTAGTCCAAGCTGGAGTGCAGTGACACAATTTCGGCTCACTGCAACCTCCGTCTCCCAGGTTCAAGCAGTTCTCCTGCCTCAGCCTCCCGAGTAGCTGCGATTACAGATGTGCGCCAACACACCTGGCTAATTTTTGTATTTTTAGTAGTGATGGGGTTTTGCCATGTTGCCCAGGCTGGTCTCGAGCTCCTGACCTCAAATGATCCACCTTCCTGGGCCTCCCAAAGTGCTGGGATTACAGGCACAAGCCACTATGTGCAGCCTATTGTGAGATTTTTTAAAAAATCCTCTTTGATTTCTTTTTTGACTCCATGGTTATTTGAGAATATGTTGTTTAATTTTCATGGATTTGTGAATTTTTTCATCCCTAATTGTCATTGATTTCTAGTTACATTTTAATTTTGTTAGAAAGGATACTTGGAATAACTTCAATCTTCTTAAAATTGCTAAGACTTGCTGTGTGACCAAACATGTGATCTATCCTGAAAAATGAGAAATAAGGTTTTTGTTTGTTTGTTTTCTTGAGATAGGGTCTTATTCTGTCATGGAGGTTAGAGTGCAGTGGCACAATCACTGTTCACTGCAGACTTGACTTCCTCAGTGCAAGTGATCCTCCCACCTCAGCCTCTCAAGTAGCTGAGTACCTGGGACTACAGGTGCCTGCCATCACTCCCAGCTAATTTTTGTGTTTTTTGTAGAGACAGGGTTTTGCCATGTTACCCAGGCTGGTCTCGAACTCCTGGGCTCAAGCAATCCTCCCATCTTAGCCTCCCAAAGCGCTGGGATAATAGGCATGCTCACACCCAGTGAGAAATAAAGGTGTTTTTTTTTTTTCTTTGAGATATATTGCACAGCATGGTGGAAATAGTTTAAAAAATGAATTGTACATCTCAAAATTGCTAAGACATAAATACCAAATGTTTTCATCAGAAAAAAATAAGTATTTATGTTAATGGACATGTTAATTAGCTTGCTTTAATTATTCCACATTGAATAACATCACTTTGTAACCCATAAATACATTCAAGTACAATTTATCATTTTACAACTCAATATACAAGTTTTTAAAAAAGATTATGTGATTCTTCTGCTGTTGGTGGAAAGTTCTATATAGGTCTGGGAGGTCTATTTTGGTGTATATAGTGTTGTTTAGTTCTGCTGCTTATTGATTTTCTGCCTGGATGATCTATCTGCTACACAGATTGGGTTATTAAAGTCTTCTACTATTATTGTATTGCTCTTTATTTATCTCTTCAAATCTGTTAAAGTTTGCTTTATGTATTTAAGTGCTTTGATATTGGGTGCATATATTTTTATAATTCTTATCTCTTCCTCTTGAATTGACACTTTTATTTTTATGTAATGACCTTCTTTGTCTCTTATGACATTTTTTGACTTAAAATTTACTTTGTTTGATTTAAGTATAACCACTCCTGCTCTCTTTTGGTTACCATTTGTATGGAGTTCTTTTTTTTTTTTTTCCCACCCCTTCACTTTCAGACTATGTGTTCTTAAAGCTAAAGGCAGTCACTAGTAGGCAGAATATTGCTAGATCTTGTTTCTTTTTAAGTCCCTTAAGCTACTCCATATTTTTTGATTGGAGTATTTAATCTATTTATGTTTGAAGTACGTATGGATAGGTAAGAACTTATTGTTGCCATTTTTTGAATTGTTCACTGACTGTTGTATTTTTTTTTGTTCCTTCTTGCTCTCTTTCTGTCTTTGTGATTTGAGGAATTTTTGTGATGATATGCTTTGATTCCTTTCTCTTTTGAATATTTACTAGAGTTTTTAAAGTAGTTACCGTAAGTCTTACCTATAACATCTTTTAGTTATAGTTGTCTATTTTAAGCTGATAAGAATTTAACTTCAATTAGATACAAAAACTCTACACTTTTGTATCTCCCCCCTCATATTTCATGTTATTGGTGTCACAATTTACATCTTTTTATATTGTGTATCTATTAACAAATCACTTTATCCATAGTTATTTTTACTACCTTTGTCTTTTAACTTTTATACTAGAGTTTAAAAGTAATTTGTGCACCACAATTACAGTATTGGAATATTCTGAATATTCTGAATTTGACTATACACTCATACACCAGTGAATTTTATATTTTTATATGTTTTCATGTTACTAATTAGCAGTTTTTCATTTGAACTTGAAGAACTCCCTTTAGCATTGCTCGTAAGGCAGATCTAACAGTTATGAACTGCTTCAGCTTTTGTTTATATGAAAAAGTCTTTATGTCTCCATTTCTGAAGGACAATATTGCTGAATATAATTTTCTTGATTGGCAGTTTTTTCCAGCACTTAAAATATATCATTCCACTTTCCCCTGGCTCACAAGGTTTCTATTAAGAAATTTATTCATGGCTGTATGGGGGTTCCATTTTAAGCGATGAATTGCTTCTCTCTTGCTGCTTTCAAAATTCTCTCTTTGGTTTTAGCTTTTCATATTTTAATTATAAGTATTTTGGTGTCATCTTCTTTGGGATGATTCTATTTAGGAACCTCTGAACTTCATGGATCTGATTGTTTATATCTCTCCCATGATTTGAGAAGTTTTTCTCAATTTTTTTCTTTAAATAAGTTTTTTTCCTTTCTCTCTCTTCTATTTTTTGAGATTCTGATCATGCATACATTGATTTCCTTGATGGTGTCCCACAAATTCTATGGACTGTCTTCTTTTTTCCTTCTGACTGGATATTTTCATATAATATGTCTTCAAGTTTACAAGTAATCAAACTACCGGTAAGCAAAACACTGGACAAGAAGAAATGCACATTATTTCATGCACAATAAGGAAAGATTTTTTCTGAGCATGGATTTTTGAATTGATTGGAATTTTATGCAAAGAAATCTGCTTGCCCACAGTCCTTTGGGCAGGTAAAATTCCAAGAAGATGCAAAGAAGATGAAAGTGACTACTTTATTCTTTGCCTGTTTATTTGCTTGCATCTTCTTCCTTTGCTTTCTCTCATGTGAATTGTCTCTATTCACAGTGGCACAGGCACTGTGCTGGGGACTGCAAAATTAATTTCGGTGAACAGATTCTATGCTCATGAAATGCCCGTGTCATGGAAAGAGCCAAGAAAGGAAATGATTTTGCATCACGCATTAAATCTTGCTGCACAGTGATACGGAGTGCTGTGAGAACACAGAAGATACAGCCACACAGAGGATATAGAACAGAAGATGGGGGCTGGGAATGGGGCTGTTCTCAAGGAGACAATGCATGAGCTTAATTTTGAAGGATAAATTCATGTATTCTTTTAACAGTCAAACATTTACTGAGGACTTGTATGCCAGGTATTTTTGGTTTTTTTTTTTTGTTTGTTTGTTTGTTTGGTTTTTGGCATGCATCAGTATCATCTGGAGGATTTGATTCAACACAGACTGCTGCTTGCTGAATCAAAAGGTCTGCAGTGGGGTTTGAGAATATGTGTTTCTTGTATGTTTCTAGGTGATAGTGATATTGGTCCAAGAACCGTGCTTTGAGAGCCATTGCTTTAGACAGAGTAGTAAGAAAGGAGGGAAAGACAAGCAGCACCATGGATCAGGTTGTGCAGTTCTGGCATGAAACAAAGGTACTAGGCTGGGCAGTGGGGTGGGAATGGGGCTTGCAATTCAGTCCAGACAGCACTTGCCAAGCCTTGAGGGCTACATCCACTTAAGGGAAGGACCACCTGACTGTATTTTGTCTACCCAGAGAAACTCTTACAACATTTTCTGCCCTGTGGGTATGTCTTTTTATCATTGATCTGCCCAGAGGGACCATTTTTTTGTGGCATTGGTTTTTACTGCTCTGTCTAAAGCCTCTCAAAGTGCGGTTTTTGGACTAGTAGCACACTACATACGAGAAACACAAATTCTCAAATCCCACTGCAGACCTCTTCCACAAGGGCATGGGTATGCCAGAGTCTGGAAGAGACATGCAAAACAGAAGATTAACATGGAACTGGAGATGGCGAGATGGCTCGGTATGCCCAGAAGAAACGAGTGATGGTAAAGACATGACTCCATGCTGGCCAACCTGACTTCTATCTGTGGTCTCTTGCACTCAGGGACCTTGATTCTCCTCCACAGAGAGATTCTATGTAGGCACTGTCCTTACTTCACCCTGCCACTATGGACAGCTCCTCAGCTTACCTATTTACCAGGCAATACTGTCTGACATTAAGTAGATGGCAGAAAAAGTCAAAGATAGGACACTCAAAAGGCAGGTTGAATAAAACTAATAAAATAATGGCATGGGTGGAAGATAGTGAGCGAATAAAAGAGAGGACCACACAGGACCAAAAAGCCAAATGAAGATGACTGAAAGACATGAGTACTCAAGATATGAACCGAGAAATTAACGGAAAAAAATTAAAGAAAATGACCAGCATGCCACATCGATCAACAACAACAGAAAAGATTACCTGAGTGGCTAAATTTAGCGTTGACCTGAGAGGATTAAAAATAAATTTGCTTGAGAAGAAAGCCGATTAGGATAAGGCTACAGAGTTCTCAAGCAAGATAACAATGTTCTGAACAAGAGATTTAGCTTCAGTAGTAAAGAAAGAGAAAAATCTTATAGATGAAGATTCTTTTTAAAAAAATATTTAAAACAGGCATAACCTGTGGGTTACTTCATGAGAACCATGCCAGCTGTACATACCTATGGTGTCTCTACTGCCTTTTGGCCTCGTAATTGTTCATTCTCTTCTTTTCAACAGGGCCTCCCACTTCAAAGAATATGATTAATGTGGTACATGGATTTGGGTGAGAACAACAAAAAATTTCATCATTTCTTTAGTAAAGGCAAAAGGCTTTAAAAGGATTGGTTATTTAAGGTCTTCTACAGCATACTGACCATGGTATCTTTGGGTTGTGATTAAAAGAACGCACAGCAAGTGGGAGATTGTTTAGTGAATGTTACAGTGCTTTGTTAAGACTTCCAGGAGCACAGGACAGCTTCTCCTCTGTGTTATCCAACTAGTGTGCAGGTAAAATCTGCTCTTCTGCTAAGTATCTCTCAGTGTGCAATGAAGCGCTGGGAAGGTTGTTACAACAGATTGGTAGGCCCCCACTCTTCCAGTTTCTGATTCAAATTTTGGGGTGTGGCCTGAGGATTTGCATATCAAACATGTTCCCAGCTGATGTTGCTGCTGCTGATCTGAGGACTATGCTTTGAGAACCACTGTTTGCAAACATGAATCATCTCATTTCTTATAATAGGAAATCAGTGTTTAAAATGGCAAAAGTCACAGATTTTGGACAGTTTCCAAAGCTGTGTGATAAAGCCCATGAGTGAAGAGCAACACCTGAGTAAATGTGTGTACCTCTCACTCTGCGGCTGAGAGATATTGCCAATTTTGCCCCTGCTGCTTACCAAAGATGTCATACGCAAAATGACAGGTGCAATACAGCAGCATTTCAAAAATTCTACCTCAGTGAAAGAGAGCTGGTTATAAAGTTAAACAAGGCTGATTGAGTCAGGCTGATTAAATGGAGGAGTTGAAAAAAATAGACTTTAAAAAATTTTCTATTAAATATTTTAAAAAAATTTCCTAGAGGTAAATTTGAGGGCATATATTCATGAATCAAAGAGATACTTGTGCTACATATATCTTTGAACATGCCACTCTGTATTTGAAGAACTCTGTCAGTTGGAAACAAAAACAGAGAATAGCACAGAATAGACTTCCCGGGGATGTCCACAAGCAGGTCTGGGAACCCGTACAAATCTTTCTCAAATCAAAAGAACTACCACTGAGATTCAGCAAGCTACCCCTCACCCAGGCATCATTTAAGCAATTATTTAAGCATTTCTAGATTAAGTGGCTTATTTAGCCCCAAACAAGCCACTGAAATAATTGGAAGCAGAAATAGCCCTTGCACGCCATCCTTCCTTCTTTGAGTGCCGAACACCTCTCTTCAGCAAACAGGTTTCAACTCATGAAGCAATAATGGATTCGGAATTCCGGTGGAATAAGCTCAAACTGATGATGGCATTTTCAATATTTATCGGTGAGTGACCATGCTTTTCATTAGTCTACAGTACTCATGGAGATTGGTATATTAATAGGTAACCTTCGGCCTGTAAGCTCATTTGGGAAAGCAGTAGGTGACAGGGTCCTCTTTCAAATGTGATAAGTTCACTGTTTCTCTGAAAAATAGCACCGTTGGTTCTGAAAATAAAAATGTGTAGGCACTGAATAAGTATAGGAAAACATTACAGAGTCTTATTAGGAATGCTGTTGGAAGTAGCTGTTGTGGGAGGGTGGAGCTCATTCCTTTAAGAGGAAGGTTGGGACTATTGAGTTAGCTCTCAGCTCCTCTCATTAAAAGGGACTTAAATGAAGACTCCTGACTGCGAAGGGGAAGCCAGCCAGGCTGGGTGAAGGAGGAGGCTTCTGCTAACAAGCCTGGTGTGGGGGCTTACACAGAAAACTAGCACAATCAAATTCCTTTGTTGTTTCTACATGGACTGATGTATGGGAGAGAAGGCCCTGATGGGTTAGTTAGGGATATCCCTTTTGAGGGAGCCCTAGAAAAAAAAACAGATGCTAAAGTAAAGACCAGCTGAGATCAGTGTGACATAGCTTCTGCAGCACCCTTTAGTTACGGCCCTGTCATACCAGGGGGGAAAAAACATCTGTTTGTTCCCCTTCTGCTTATATGCCATGCTTGTGTGGTGTGAGTATCTTGAATGTGCCCATATAAATGCAAAAGGCTAAGACCAAGGTAGAACATTAACCACACACTCAAAGGAACCTCCATTAGCCCTCTTTCCATGATGTCAGTATTTTGATGGCTCCATTCTCCTCTCTGAATATGGGGTAGACCTAGGTAACCACAAATCCCAGATGGAGTGATCAGGAAAGACTCACTCTAGCCCACTACGCTCAAGCAGCTAGTGTTCTTTTAAGCACACACTTTGAGCTCAGCACCTTTGTGGTATTAGTGCTTGTGAATATTTGGGACTTTCCAAACATGGAGAATAAATTGATCCCTACAGTTTATTCCTTATTGCTTAGCCTTCAGAAATTGAACCAAAGGAAAAGATCATATTCAAAATTGGAGAGTAATTATTGCAAAACTCTTCTCATAAGGCAAGTTTTAAAATGTCATGCATAGATTTGATTCTGTCTTTTAGACCAACAGTGTCTTGAAAGTGTGGCAGAGCCAATGGGAAAGGACCTAGAGAAAAAGCTGCAGGATAAGGATCCTGGGGACCAGAAATGACACAAACAGCGATGCAGATTTTCAGTCTACCTTTATAACCTCATGATTGTGTTGCTTTGAAGCGATTTCTACAGAGATGTGTTTATTGCATCAACGCAAGACAGCTGATTTTTTAGAATATCTATTAACAACACTAACACTGGCCCTTCAGTTTTCCAAACAAGAATTCTTGCCATATGTTTGGCATTTGTAAAACAGTTTTTCTCTTTGTTTTCAATCATGCCAGAAGTTCCGTGATCTGATGCCAATTCATTTACAAGGCTCTTGTGGTCATGATCTTGGTCTTGTTGGGTAGTATTGTGACTAGCTATCCAAAGCATATCTCCTGTTTTCATTTCAACTGTATTTCAATGCAAAGCTTATTGTCAAGGTAGCCTATTTAAATTGTTAAACAACTTTCAACCTTTTTTTGGTCAGTCTCGAGAACTGTATGTGCAATTCTTTTGTGAAAGAAACATACTGAGTCACAGCCATCATGACATTATTCATTGCCCAGGCGGACTGCTTCTCAAGACCCAGGCATAATTGTTAATTGTGTTCTAGACAAACTTAGGTGTATGTAGAGCAAAAACTGCCACCATCAGTACCACCACCACCACCACTACCACCAGGACACTGGACAGGGAATGGGGAGATTTCAAGATACTGAGCTAAAAATAAACAAGGTCTTCCAATAAGAAGATTCTGGAAAGAATTAGAAAGAAAGAATTTGTTATAAAACACCAAAAAATCTTTTTCTTTTCTTTTCCACAAAACCTAGAACAATATAAAATCCTGTAAGGCACGCACATGGCTTTTGTTTTCATGCCTCCAAATTATACTTCAAGCATGGAGATCTTAACCATTCATCTTTAAAGCATTTCTCTCTCTTTTTTTTTCGTTTTTCTTGAGACAGAGTCTTCTCTGTCCCCCAGGCTGGAGTGCAGTGGCATGATCTCGGCTCACTGCAACCTCCACCTCCCAGGTTCGAGCGATTCTCCTGCCTCAGCCTCCAGAGTAGCTGGGATTACAGGCGCCGGCCACCATGCCCACATTTTGTATTTTTAGTAGAGATGGGGTTACACCATGTTGGCCAGGCTGGTCTCAAACTCCTAACCTCAGGTGATCCTCCCGCCTCAGCCTCCCAAAGTGCTGTGATTACAGGCATGAGCCACCATGCCCCACCCATTTTTAAAGCATTTCTAAAGACATCTGAGAAGACTGTTGAATAGAGTATTACAGCACTTCTAGGAAACTAACACGAGAACCAATGCCTAGCAGTGCTTTATTCATGCTGATGCTACACTTAGCTGAAACATGACTGCTACTGATAGCTACTGTTTCTGAACGCCTACTATGTGCCAGGTGATTTACAAAAGTTATTAATCTTTCAAAAAGTCTGTATAAAAAGAGAAAAGATTGATTAAAATTGCTTAAGATGGTCCAAATAGTAAGTAGAAGAGCTAGGATCAAATAGGTCTGTTCAATCACAAATCCCATGTGTTTTCCACCATAACTCTTTGCTAGTATTATTATCTTTTTTTCTTTAAGAAGAAGAGAGAATTGTGTTAATGTATTTGTGAACAGGCTTATCTTTTTATTTTGAAAACTTCCAAGGGCATGATCTATTATAATAGGAACTTTGGTATTCCAAACTCCAGAAAGATAATGGATGCCTTTCCAAAGGATTGCATTCATTTTCTCCATTGATTTCACTAAATTTCACATAGCCTCTTTTTTTACAGCATTCTTTTACAGAATTTAACTTTTTCTAGATTCCTAAGGAAAGTATTTCTATTTCAAATAGAACTATGCATTTTCTACATTTATGACATTAATTGTTAAATGTACTAATTAATTATGAACATTGAACTAAGGAATAGTCATATTCTGAAATTTATGTTAAGTGGTGGCACCTACTGATGACACATGATATTGCAGTCTAATGTCAATATAAAAATTCTTAACATTTTAGAATAGAAACTGTTCTGTCAAATTATAAAATTACAAGATATATATTACTAGAGTAAAATGGTGCATCTGAAGTATAAGTAGTCACAGAATATGCATGGCACATTTTTTTGGCATATCAATTTTATTCAATATTTATGTATGAAAGCAAATCTATATCATGACTTTAACTGCAAACTTGGCCTCAATTTTTCATTTATGATGGAGGTCTTCCAAAAGAGTCTATGTTCTTAACACATTCATTATCATCTTGCCATTAGAGGTTCTCCAGTGGAAAACTTTTAGAAATATTGGGTCTAGCTCATCTCTCTTGTGTGAAAGATAAGGAAGTGATGTTTCCAGCTCTAGGTCTGGGCTTAGAGATAGGTTCGGAGAAGATAGAGTTTCAAACTTTTATATTCTTTTCATCAGAATTAATCACAGGATTTTCATTTGTATAGTATATTTCAAAATAACTAGAAGAGAAGAATTGTAATATTCTCAACACAAAGGAAAGGTAAATGTTTGAGGTGATGAATATCCCAATTACCCTGATTTGATCATCACACATTGTATACAGTCATTGAAATATCACATGCACCCCCAACTATGAACAACTACTGAATGTCAATTAGAAACTTAGAAGAAAATGTTAAATTTGGAATATGATAAACATTTCAAAAGGATGTTGGGAATGTAAGAAGTTCCATGACCCTGAAAATTGATAGCAATGCTAGAATAAAATACTCCATCTGAGAAACCTTTGCAAGTTCTCAAGCAACTATGAATGTCATCCAGTGGTACACTGGTGAACCTGATAATCTCTTTTGCTGGAATATTTTAAAATTCAATTTCACTTGAAGGAACTGTTGATTGCAAATATGCCATTAGTTTCTTCATATAAGACAACAGATAAATCACCAACACTAGCTTTATAATGCAGTCAACATTCTGAAATACATTTATTTCATATAATAAAGACACTAAAATTTAGGCCAAATTTAAAGTTCAAAGAATAGCTTTGAAATAAGACCATAGATGAGGGTCTAAGGTTCTGAAGGTCTAAGGGATTAAGATGTAGCCTATGAATAGGCAAACCACTTCAAAAATGCCAAATGATTGCTCAAACTGAAATCGTAGACTGAGGTTGGCAAAAGTGAGAACTGAAAACATCTAAGGTTGCATTACTACAGCAAACAACCAAGCCTGACTTAAAAATGTGCAGATTGGCTGCTATCATATTGCTGAAGAGGCAGGCTTTTGATTTTTAGTCAAAATGGCTTGGCCAACATGGACACTTTATTGTCACACATAACTAGGGCTTCTGATGTAGGGAGGCGCCAGGATTGATTGATTCAGCAAATCAAGAATGTCATTAAGTATCCACAGTCATTCTTTTTGTTCTACCAGCCTTCAGCCTTGCTCTTTTGTTACTCCTTTTCATGTTTGCAAAATGACGTTATCTCCAAACCTTATATCCTCATACATCAATGTCCAGAGACAAAACAAAAAAACAAAAGGGTGCTCCCTCTCTCTCTCTCTTTCTCTCTCTCTCTCTCTCTCACACACACACACACACACACACATCTCTTTTTAAGAACTTGGAATCTTTCCCCAAAAAATACCCCATATATTTCAATGTCCACTCATGTATTACTACTTAGAATTGGATCAGGAACCTCTTTGCAACCCAACCTCAAACTGGCAAGGGAAATGCAATTCCTGTACTGTGTTATGATTGGTAGAGGATAATTAAGGTTCCATCTGGGCTGAGACTAAAGCAGGACTGGACTTCTCTGAGAACTCTAATAATACCTGCATCAAATATAAGTTCTATAATAAGGAAACGGGCTCCTTGGGAAGAAAACCAAGTGTCTGCTACACAGCACAACATAAAGCAACAGAAATTGACATCACGAAGGCCAACAGAGAAACTGTTAGCATGGAAGATACCATGCTAAATAGAATGTATAAATAAAAAAGAAACACACTCAGAGGGGCTAAAGGAAGGAAAAACATCGGAAGTATGCTTCCATCTAATCCTTCTGTATCTGGAAACTTTATTTCTGACTCCAGACCACCCCAAGCAGTGGCAGCCTAACATCTTAGGGCCACTTTTCACAGGGAGCGTATACAAAAGTAGAAGAATGATAATGACTTGCTCTGCAGAATAGTGGGAGAGCAAAAGGGTTTTGTTCTGACTGCATCTTTCCCCACCATAATTCTGTGGGTTCTTTATGCTTACACATACACAACTCATGCAGGCTCTATCTAACCTTGCTGTGTGGCTGATTCTGGAGTTGTTTTATCCTGTGAGAGGAGGGCATGGTGTCAATGTAGGTTATGTAAATAATAAGATGGAAGTTTATGTAGATAATTTTGTCTGTATTGCATATTCATTCCTATAATGTTCTACATTATCCTCAGAAACTAGATGATAGGATATTTTTTCTCAAACAAGATTAAAGGGGTCAAAGGAATATTATTTTAATAAACCACTAAACCAGAATTACATCACAAAATAATTAAGAGGAGTCCTGAATCTTCTCTTTAGAAATGAAAAACATCTTAAAAAGGCAAACTTTGAGAAGACTTTTTACTAGAAAACTGGTTATAAATGTTTCTTAGTGTAAAAGAAATACCGTACTTGGATATCCTATCAAATAGTAATTAATGGCCTAAAGTCACATTTAGATAAATCATATTTAGTTCGACTAAAGAGATGTCAGGCTTCTTTCAGATCTGGTATTCTATGATCCTGAAAATTCAGAGATTCTATGAATCACTTAATGTGTGTTCTTCTCTATGTTATTGAGTATTATTCAAAATTATATGTGTTCACTAATTCAACAGATATTTCTTGAATACCTAATATGTGTCAGAAGCTGTTCTGGGTGCTTGGGATGTTTGTGAAGAAAATAGACAAACATTTTAAGCCCTTGTGTGCTAATACCCTACAGGGAGAAAGATAAACAATAAATGATCAGCATAATAAATTAATAAATTTACTATGATAAAATAGGTAGACTAAGTCAGATGTTCCTAGCTTAAAGAAAAGATAAATATTTAAGGTGATGGATATCCCAGTTATCCTGATTTCATTTGTACACATGATATGAATGTATCAAATCATCACATGTTCCCCCCAAATACATACATCCGTTATGTGTGTATCAATTAAAATTGAAATTAAAATAAATGAATGAATAAATAAATAACAAATATACTATGATAGAAGGTGGTAAGAGTAATGGGGAAAAATAGGGCAGGCTTAGAAAATCTAGAGCACAAGAGATGTTGCGTTTTTAAATGAGGTGAACAAGCTAGACCTAATTGAGAAAGTTTTATATATATGCATATACTTTATATGTGTAAATATTTACATATATGTGTGCATTTACATGGGTACGGAAGTGCAAGCTAAATTGAAGTAAATACCAACTACATAGATATGTGTATATGTATATATATATTTACACTAAAATCCGTTAATATATCTTCCACTAAGTTTAAATTTGTCATAATTTAAATACAACCTTGGTTAAGCATTTCTTTGTGTTTTTCATAAAGAGTTTCTAATAGTGAAAAATGACCTTTAAAATGATATTTTTATAGTATTTTTTGTTTTAATTGATTCTAAAAGCTTGTTTATTTTAGAAAATTCAAAATATTGAAAAATAAACAAAAATCACCTGTAATTCCACTTCTCATAGATCACTACTAATATTCTAGAACACTTCCTCCATTCCTTTATCCCTGAACTCTTTCCTTTCTCTGCCTTTCTATTTCGCACCCTTCTAACTACCTAGATAGAATTAAGGATTATTATATACAAATGGATAACATTTTTGAAAATTAAACCCTCAATCCCTTATCTGAAACCTTTGGAACCAAATGTGATTAAGAACTGAGAAATGATTGAATATAAAAAGGTAATTTGGTAAACTGTATATTGTATGATACCTCCAGTATAATCTGGGATTAGACTGTATAATCAAATACATTAATTATTTTTACAAATAATTAATGTTCAGCTATTCACAATAAATAAGATGAATAAAGTCTATAGTTTTATATTAGTTAAGGTCATGTTTTGCTGTTTAATTATAGTTACAGAATAGTCTTTTGGTTTTTGTAAATTTCTTGGATTTCAGAATTGCAGATAAGAAATTGTGAACCTGAGTACATTTTTTAACATGCTGGCTTTTTTAAAAACTTAGAGTTATGTTAATATTTTCTGATGATAAATTTTTGTAAAAAATTTTAATAACAAAATAGCTCATTTCATGAATGTTTCTTGATTTTCTTAACTATTCTTATATTATTAGACATTCTTTTGCATAAATCTTTGATCATATTATTAACTCTTATTTAGATTTCTAGAAATGGACTTTACTGGATCAAAGAATAGAAACATGTTAAGACATGATATGTGACGTATATTGCTTTCCAGAAAAGTTGAACAAATTTACACTCTCATCAGCAGTACATAAAAATTCCATGCTCATTTTAGCTAGTAGATATGAGTGAATGTCTACCAAATATTTCTTAAATGTGTTAAAAAATTATTAGAGTAATTTGCATATTAAGCATGTTAGCTAATTGTTTATCATATTTGATGCATTTGTTTTTCTTGTTTATATATTATATTGTTTAAAAAATTTACATGTAGATACATGTAAATATCACATAAGGTATTATGACATTTACATATTTATTTTTCTGGTTTATATTTACATATATATGTTACATTTTGTGGATCAAGTTTATTGATGTTTTCTTATGTTATGTTGAATATAGCTTTTAGGTATTTATTTATTTATTTATTTATTTGAGATGGAGTCTTACTCTGTTGCCCAGGCTGGAGTGCAGTGGCACCATCTCAGCTCACTGCAACCTCCACCTCCGGGGTTCAAGCGATTCTCCTGCCTCAGCCTTCTGCTCCTTTGTAGCTGAGATTACAGGTGTGCACCACGATGCCTGGCTATTTTTTTTTTTTTTGTATTTTTAGTAGAGATGGGGTTTCACCATGTTGGCCAAGCTGCTCTTGAATTCCTAACCTCTAGTGATCTGCCTGCCTCCACCTCCCAAAATGCTAGGATTTCAGGCGTGAGCCACTAGGGTTTTATATTTTTAATTTACCATCTATTCCATCTATAATATGTTCTTCAGCTACAATGTATCTTCAAAACATTTTTTTTTAGAACTTCACATGAGTGATATATTTTCTGAGCTCCTATATACAGTGTGTGTGTGTGTGTGTGTGTGTGTGTGTGTGTGTGTGCGTGTGTGTGTGTGACAGAGAGAGAGAGAGCATTCACGCATGTTACAAGATTTTGGCAAGTACATTGGTTCACAATATTTTTTCTGCAAAACTTTATGGGACTTCTCCCTCACTTTTGGGAGCCAGTCTGGCCACAGAGGGATACTGTTTCCATGTGGAAGGCTCAGTGATGCATCCCTGGCCCTGTGAGGGCCGTGCAGTCCAACATCACTGGTTCTGGATCAATAAGAGGAGTTCCACGTGAAGTGTAATCTTCAAAACACCCAAGGCAGTGATAGCCAGTGGAAAAGGAAGAAGGAAAAACATCTTTTCATCTTAGGAAAGTTTGTGAAGAGCAAAAAACAAATGTAGTGATTTTGATGAATGTCAGGAGCATAACAAAGCAAAGACAAGCCCCTTTCCCTTGTGGGCTATTGGAGCTGATTTGATGCAATTGAAGAATACTGTACAGAGAAGCTTCTTCTGCTGTGAACTATGTGCTAAGATCCAGAAACTCAAGAAAACAACTTAATGACTCTTATTCCAGGAAGAGCATGGCAATTTTCAGAAAAGTGTTCTCTGCTGGCCTGGTTGAGGGTCATGATGCAGCTAGAGTGGCTGCTAATTTACCAAAGATGGCTTCGATGCTTCAAAGACATTGACACTAAGGCTGGTTTCTGGCTGCGATATTCCTGGGGTTCCCAATGAATGAAGCTAATTGGTTTTGCTCAGAGTGACAGGTGATGACTGCTCTTTGATGTCTTCCTTTCTCCACCTCACCAATCAACCTCCTACCTTCCCTCTTTCTGCCTACTCCCTCTTCCTCCTACTTCCAGACACTTGTGAAAACAGGAGATTGTGAAAAGACCAGCTTAGATGAGAGGAGGAGAAAAAGAATTTGTTTTTAAGCTTATTACATTCTGAGTTCAGTTTCTTATTCTAGCAATCCACAGTGCAAGAACATGAAAATGCCACACCTGTCTGGCTGTTGCTAACTTTTCCAAGCTGCCATATTCTTAGTAGTGAATTTGGATATCTTTTATAAAGAATCTGAAATGCACTTAGATGTCATGTTTATAGGTGCAAAAACACTTTCAGAAAGTTATCTGAAGAAATTTCTTTTTATCATAAGCTTAGTTCTTTCACTGTTAAATTTCTGTTAGGATACTTCAATTGTCCATCTGACTATTTTATGGTATACTTAGAATTGAACAAATACGTTAAATTAGGATTTACTAGACAAAGTAGAACGTTTGTTTTAAAATTGTGAGATTTATAAAAGTTTTCACAGATTTAGCTACAAAGGAAAGAACACTTGGAGTATATACTTCCTATCAGTAATTTCCTGTCACTTAAACAACAGTTTCAAGTATATTTTTGACATATTTGTACTTCCATTTTTTTAGGATCTGAGATGCATATTTTGTGAAAACTGATTGACAGCCTGATTGTCTCTTGAAAATTGTAGGTGCTTTGCAGGCCTTAATATCAGGAACATTCCTGAAGCTAATTTACTCTGAAATATTGTCAGACCTTCCAAATTTCTCTATGTTAACATGTAAGTTAGGCTTCATCAGGATGCCTAAAAACTATAATATGAGATCAAAAGCTGTCATTCTGCTAGATTGCTAACTCTATAACCACATTTGTGATTTAGCTTCTCCTTAAGTGATATAATTTGCTTTTCTAAAGGAGATAATCTTAAAAACACTGGAATCAGAGTTTTACTTAAAATTCTTCAGAACTGCAAAATGAAAATTATAAAAAGGATTTTGTGTAATGGCCAAAAGGCAAAATGCTCTTAGTTTTCAAAAGTAAACACTTCTGACTCAAGTGGTCCTCAACTTTGAATTGTGGCCTGTAGAATACGAAACTGATAAATCTTCAGAATTTCAAAATTGAAAGATAAACTCTCAGAGAGGCAGACTCCTTGAATGTGCCATTGCTACATTCTAACTAACCCTAGATATGGTAGTACTTTGATGTATTTTTTTAAAGTGCAAGTACATTACTAAGAAATAAGGTACTTCTAATTGCTTACCATAAATTAAGATATTTTGGGACCATTTATATAAATTTAATGTAATTTCAATATTTTTCTCTAATTTAAACTGCCAAATTGTGACAGCTTTACTACTGTGTTTTATATAATGAGGGCAAGACTACTAGAGGCGCTGAAAGACCAAGGAATATATCGAAAATTAAAAGGAGCTTCAGTCTCCCTTTGCTTCATTGCATCGTCTCATGGCTGCTAATAATTTTCCTCTGACAATAGAAAACGTAGGAAATATCTCTATTTCTTTCTCATCACCCATCACTGTACATACAGTATAGTTTTCTGAAAATGAAAGAAACTTCTAATAAATGATATTGACAAACAGTAAGATCCAAAATAGATAAGTGACCAAGAGGATACGTGTAGAATTGACCAACTGTCCAAAAAGATACTAATTTACAGAAAATTTTGAAGCCATCAGGAATTTTACCTTAACCTCCCATTAAGGAGCTACTCTGTGTTTGAATTAACATTTTATGACAGAATAACTGGAAGTTTATAATGCTAGAATTTAATTTTGCTGGAAAGAATCACCATCGTCCCACTGGTTTTTAAAGCAGAATTCATTTGGTATAGCTCTTACACAAAGGAATTCCATTTCCTATGGTTTATTTATTAATAACTGATTAACATATAAATTATATGCAAGTAAGCACTTCAGAAAAAGAAATAAAGAAATTAGACATGGGCTTTGGTGGTCTCACTTTACTGTAACTTTTTCCAAGTTTACTTCATTAAAATATCTTCTTAAGGGGCTTTGTTAGATTTCCAGAGAAAACTCAAATGAAATATTGTTTTATTCCTTATTACAGTGTTTTCCACTTTAAAATATATTAAAATTTACTGCACTATGATTCAGGGTAATATTCTGTAAGACTGCCAATCATAACATTTGAATTGCTTAACTCATCTGATTATATCATATCTGATTATATTCTTATAAGGCTACCTCCAGTTCCACTTTCCATTTTCAAACATATTGTGAGGAAAAGAAAAAAATACATACACACACACACAGACACACGCACAACACACACACACTTATATATATTCCCCACAATACCCTTGACATAAACTCTCTGAACTTTAACTCCCACATTTCTGATTAATCAAGACTCTTTCATTTAAAACTAGAGAAACTAACTCTCTGACTGAAAGAATTGATTGGAGAGATACTGATTGATTCAGAGATGACAGGGAAGCTGTAGGACAAGGTGCATCTTAAGAGGCCTAGGTAGCAACCATTACCTTACCAAGGTGCTCTGCCAAATGGAAGTTCCAATTCCAGCAAAGGAGTGTCCAGTTGGCCTGGTTTGGATCACATGGTTTATCCTTTGCCCAGGAAACCAGGAGAGGGTAGACAGTACTTTGGATCAAACTGGGTCCAGTGGGGAAGCATAATTTTTCAAAAGGATGTTGAGTTGAGTGTATAAAAACCAAGCAAGCAACCAGCCTCTCTGGGGACTTTTAATGGAGTATTAAATTAGAATAGCTTTCCTCAAAGAACAGGAAAACTCTTCACTTATTTTTTTTATCATTCTTTGAGTATGCACATACAATACAAACCAAAGATAAATAAGGAAAGATATTCCTAATAACTGAGTTTAAAACTTGTAATTGACAAAGGGTATCAGACTATGTCTGAGATTGAATTATTAATAGGAAGTATTCCTATTTATAAATGAAGAAGTTAATGTATCTGTAACCCAAGTTTTAACCCCAGGCTCACATAGATAGCACAATTTATTACAGTATTTGAAAGTTTTGTGGTTTTATTCATAACTATCTGTTGGGAGATAATTGTTCCTCTTCTGCATGTCCTGCAAGCAGAGGAATTGGCTGCCTTAGTTCTAGACTATATTTGCAAAAAAAATTTTGTGGTGAACAGACTTAGAAGATAGTGTCTCCTTCTGGAATTAATGGCACACAGGCTAAATGTCCAGCATAATGAAGATAATGTCCTCTTACTGCCCATTTCAAAGACTTGGGCTCTCTAAGCTCAGGGTCCCCTTCCTGTAATGCGGCCTACTGCTTATGTAGGCATCCCTTGGCCTTCTTTACTCACCCCGTGGAAGTTGGGGGTCAGATAACTGGCCCAAGAAAATGATGACACTGTGACTACAGCCATCACTATGAGTCACGAAGTCTCTGTCTCTGATCCAGGAGTCTTCTATCCTCTGCCAGCATTCATGAAACCGTGGTGGGCTCACCAGTTATCTTTTAAGTAGAATAAAGTCTCAGACATTTTACAGCTCTTGACAATATCTTATTAGCCTTTTCAACATTGACCTTTGTCTTTATAGATACAGAAACCAAAGGATTTATTGAGCCCCTGCCATGTGCTAGCCACCATGTTAAGCTTATATGCATTTTATAATTGAACCCTACATACTCCTACAAATTCATAGCCATTGTTTTCATTTTAAGCCTCAGCCCTTGAAAAAAATTACATTCATCAGAATTCATCTTAATGAGAGCCCTGCAATATTTTTGGTTTGTTTTCTGGTGATAGGTTGCATTGATAATTCTTTTTGGTGGAGGGTAAGACCTCAAGGACACATTGAAAAATAAGTGATGGCCATTAACCAGCTATATTTATCACAAAAGGAGACAGTTTTATTACTATTGAGGAGAGGGAAAGAGTAGGAAGTTAGAGAAAGTGATGAGAGGCCAGGCACTAAATGGAGATAAGCAGACGAGAAAGTAATAATAAAAATAACCATACAACAAAGTTGTGGTGGAGGGAAAGGCAGGATACACGAATACTAGATAGGAGCTTTTAGTGGAATTCTATGAATGCAAGCCTTTCCCATGGCTCCACAAATCTTCAGGACAGACTGTACAAACCACAGGAAAATCACTGCAGAGGGCAGATGACTTTTAGCACCTCTGAAAGGCTCTGGTTTTCACATCCAAGTTTACATCCAGATTGATATGAGCTTTGGAGGTTATGGTGAGATGGTGAAACAGAGAGGACAGGTCACATCAGAGGGGCTGGAAGCCTCCAACTAATGTCTGGGATACTTAAGGAAAATCTGAAGTTCACAGAAATTAAGTGCTCTTGTCAAACACCTAGAGTTACTTTCAGTGCTGCACCTTGGAGATATAAATAAGGCTCCTGTTCTTGAGGAGCAAACAGATAAGCAAGGGAAACAGGCGCGGAAACAAAATAGTTGATAAAACAATGTTATTGGTATAATAATGACTAAACATACGAAGTTGGTGTAATTGATAACATGGGAGAGGAAATGAATAAATGGCTTGGGGAAGACTTCTCTGAGGAAGGAAGCTCTTTTTTATGTTTTTTAAATTATTTATTTATTTTTTATTATACTTTAAGTTCTAGGGTACATGTGCACATCGTGCAGGTTTGTTACATATGTATACATGTACCATGTTGGTGTGCTGCACCCATTAACTTGTCATTTACATTAGGTATATCTCTTAATGCTATCCCTCGCCCTCCCCCCACCCCACAACAGGCCCTGATGTGTGATGTTCCCCACCCTGTGTCCATGTGTTCTCATTGTTCAATTCCCACCTATGAGTGAGAACATGTGGTGTTTGGTTTTCTGTCCTTGCAATAGTTTGCTGAGAATGATGGTTTCCAGCTTCATCCATGTCCCTACAAAGGACATGAACTCATCCTTTTTTATGGCTGCATAGTATTCTGTGGTGTATATGTTCCACATTTTCTTAATCCAGTCTATCATTGATGGACATTTGGGTTGGTTCCAAGTCTTTGCTATTGTGAATAGTGCCACAATAAACATATGTGTGCATGTGTCTTTATAGCAGCATGATTTATAATCCTTTGGGTATATACCCAGTAATGGGATGGCTGGGTCAAATGGTATTTCTAGTTCTAGATTGGAAGGAAGCTCTTTACTTGGCCAGGAAGGGGTTTGCTGACTATGACTGGCAGAGGATGCTCTGGATAGAGCCGCCGGTTGTAAATGTCTTGAAAATCATAATAAGGAGTTTGTCCTTTATTCTATAGCCTATAGGTTTTTAAATTTTTAAAAACAGGACCCCCTTTTTGTCAGATAAACTTTTAAATGGAGCTCTAGTCTACAAATCAGATGAAAGTGGAGCTTCTGCCTAGGTGCGGTGGCTCACACCTGTAATCCCAGCACTCTGGGAGGCCAAGGTGGGCAGATCACCTAAGGTCAGGAGTTTGAGAGCAGCCTGGCCAATATGGGGAAACCCCCTCTCTACAAAAAACACAAATAATTAGCCAGGCATCGTGGCGGGTGCCTGTAGTCCCAGTTACTCGGGAAGCTGAGGCAGGAGAATGGCATGAACCTGGGAGGCGGAGCTTGCAGTGAGTGGAGATTGCACCACTGCACTCCAGCCTGGGTGACAGAACAAGACTCTGTCTCAAAAAAAAAAAAAAAAATTAACCGAGTGTGGTGGTGGGCGCCTGTAATCCCAGCTACTCAGGAGGCTGAGGCACCAGAATCGCTTGAACCTGGGAGGTGGAGGTTGCAGTGAGCTAAGATCGCACCACTGCACTTCAGCTTGGGAGAGAGAGTGAGACCTAGAAAGAAAAAGAAGAAAGAAAGAAAGAAAGAAAGAAAGAAGGAAAGAAAGAAAGAAAGAAAGAAAGAAAGAAAGAAAGAAAGAAAGAAAGAAAGAAGGGAGGGAGGGAGGGAAGGAAG
This sequence comes from Homo sapiens, assembly GCF_000001405.40. Classification (NCBI taxonomy): domain Eukaryota; kingdom Metazoa; phylum Chordata; class Mammalia; order Primates; family Hominidae; genus Homo; species Homo sapiens. Next base: position 121,124,711 of record NC_000004.12, read on the forward strand.
GAAGGGAAGACAGAAAGAGAGAAAGAAGAAAGAAAGAAAGAAACAGAGGGAAGGAGAGAGAGAAAGAAAGAGAAAGGAAGAAAAAAGAAAGAAAGAGAGGGAGGGAGAGAGAGAGAGAGAGAAAGAAAAGAAAGAAAGAAGAAAGAAAGAAAGAAAGAAAGAAAGAGAAAGAAAGAAAGGGAAAGAAAGAAAGAAGAAAGAAAGAAAGAAAGAAAGAAAGAAAGAAAGAAAGAAAGAAAGAGAGAGAGAGAAAGAAAGGAAGAAAGAAAAAGAAAGAGGAGCTTCTCTGTGAATTAGGTAGAGGACCAGGGCCCTGAGCACTTAACTCTCCATTGCCCCTGGTGATGGCTCTTTGGACTGCTTCTGGGGACTTCTCTTTACACAGGCTGGAGGACAAAATAGCCTGCCTCTGCCAGCTTTACTGGGCTGCCGAAGGGTGGAACATAAACGACCTGATTCTTGATTTGAATTTTGTTCTTTCCATTTCCCCATCCTTTGCTCTTCTTTGTGAGTGTATGCCATCTGTATAGGGATTTACTTTTCACCAACATGATTTGTACCTGCCCACTCTCCCTTTAAAAGGCCTAAGCAATTACAGAGAACCTTGGTTATACACAGTTGTTTTCTTCAGCATATACTAGAATAGTGAGCTCTCCAAGTATTCTACTGCATACACATATCTTGCGTCAGGGACGGTAGAGAGAAGACTTTGCGTTCCATAGCTGGAGCAGCTCAGTGTGGAGCCAGAGCAGCACTGAGATCATCTGCAAACCTGAACTCATTCAGCAAAAGCCGCAGTTCGGGGCCTAGTGCTTCTGGAACACTGTAAGCCACTCCTGGAGAGAGTCGCAAGGTTGCAAGACAGGGCACCCAGCTGGCATGTGGACCACAGTTGTGGGCCAGGTGAAGGTGGTGCAGGTGTGGACCATGCCCAGGGTGAAGGCTCTGGAGAGGAGCAGGGGCAGTTCAAGAGATGTAGAAGCCAGAATGGGCACCTTCTGGCAGAGGGTGGAGGGGCTGCTCTCTCATAGGTCTCTGGTTTGCAGGAATAGATAAATGGCAGTTGTGTACATAAGAAGAGTGAATAAACAACAGAGCAGATAAGTTTAGAAGGAAAATTCCATTTGGGACACTGAGTTCTCTGTTAGGAATCATGAGAGGTCTGGACTGAGAAATGAGAATCTGGAGATCACAAATAAGTTACCACATCTCCTGAGAGAATTTTGAGATTATACTGTCTACATCCATTCTAACATCCATCTTGCCTTTTTGAACCTTCAGTTACCTGAAAGGAATATGAGGACAGTATGAACAAAGAAATAAAGGTCAAAGGGAAAGACGTGGTTTCAGTCTAAAGAATTCAGGAGAGGTCAGGAAGTGAGAAGACATTAGGTCCTCCTTTCCAAGAACAGAGGAAAAGAACATATATGGTTTAAACAGCATCAAAGGAGGAAAAGAGTCCATTCTCATTCTTTACCTGCCACATCTTGCCCAATTTTTCGAACCCCTAGAGATAAACGCAAAATACCTCTGATTAGGCCAGACTCTGAGATCTCACACATGTTGTTTCTCAGTTTCCCTTCCCAGGGCCATGACGGAGCCACGAGGGTGGCAAATGAGCAAGAGGCGACCCACGAAGCAGCATAGCCAGCGCTGATGCCTCCTAAATCCTCTCTAAATATGAATACGTCAGGATTAGGGTGCTGCACTAACAATTCTCACTCCCCTGTTCTTGTTCTCAAGCCTAATTGTTCCTGTGAGATGCTGCATGTGCCAACTGAGTGTTGTCTTCCTTTAAATGCCCGATGAACCAGGTTTGCGGGGAGGTATTAAGGGAAAGGTTTTCTTCTTTTGCTTCATTTTTCCATTTTTCTTCTGCTTCAGCGCCATCCGCAGCCCTGCCTGCAGAGGCAGCTGTGAGTGAGGAGCTGCATTCTTGCCAGCTCCGTGTGTGGCTGTGGTGGATGGATGTGGGTCATTATCCTATGGCCAAGAGGCTTTCCTACAAATGTGGAAATGGAGTGTCAGTTTCATCGAAGCATACTCATACCCAGCAAAGAGCAGACTCAGGAACAGCAGTTAAAAGATGGAGTCTTCCAGAAAATTAATCTTAATAAGTTAAGTACATTAGGAAGCCCCAAGGGTTGGATCTGGTTTACCACAATATGTCAGCAGCCTCATTCATTGTACTCTTCCTTCTGATACTAGTATGGAATAAAGTGGAAGGAGGGCAGACAGAAATTATTTTAGCTTCTGAGCACAATACACAAAGCAGTGAGATTCACACACTCCCACCCCCAAACATTAAAAGTTCCGTCACATTACTTAGCAATAACTGGCCAAATTAATGGGGTCTAGATCTCAACATTATTACTTCCTGAAGGAATCTTTGCATGGAGTTAGTCAGTATTCTTGGCAATATATTATACACACAAGGATTTGAGACAAAATGAGAAAAAGTTAGCTTTATTATGCAATTTTTTCAACTGGAATCAATTTCCCCAGTCACAAATGGAGAAGCCAGGAACCTGTAGCGTTGCCTTCAAGACTGGGGAGGCAGAGGCAGAGTATGTGCCTGGTGTGTTTATGTGGGGTGTGTGTGCATGTGTGGTGAGTGTGGTTTGTGTCTGTGGTGTGTATGAATATGTGGAGTGTGTGTGCTGACAGAAGCTTCCTTTTCTTTTCTATGGAATCACAAAGATAGTGAGCATAACTGTTCCCCATAACACCTTTCTTTCTTGGAGCAAAAGATTGATGAAAGTAAAGAGGTAGAATTAGGCAAAAGAAATTATTTCTAAAATTATTGAAAAGTAGGGATTATAGCAAATATTTTCTTCTCTTTTGTGCTGTGTCATTGGGACTTCAGCAAATTGGAGCCAGAGAAAGAAGGATCATAGTGCGGCCACAATAGCAAAGCAATGGATTTTATCTCTCTAGTATGTAATCTTGTTAGGATTCCCCAGGGAGATGGGAAGAAAAATAGCAGAAATAAAAAAAGAGCAAAGGGACCTTCAAGTTAGGGGAATAATGTTTGGTAAACAACTCTGTCCTCCACTCTCAGTGTGCATTCAACCAAGCACAGTGCATAGAGACAGAGGCAGTATGAGATGTGGGCTGCCTAGACATTTTTAGAAATAAGTAGGTATTTAAATAATAATTGTTAAATTGATTTACAAAATTGGGAGGTCATATGTCTTTTAGATTTGATTCTATTAGCGACTTAGCCACATTAAAAGTGTTGACACAGTAGCCTTGTAGTATAGTTTGAAGTCGGGTAGTGTGATGCCTCCAGCTTTGTTCTTTTGGCTTGATACTGGTACCAAAACAGAGATATAGATCAATGGAACAGAACAGAGGCCTCAGAAATAATGCCGCATATCTACAACTATCTGATCTTTGACAAACCTGAGAAAAACAAGCAATGGGGAAAGGATTCCCTATTTAATAAATGGTGCTGGGAAAACTGGCTAGCCATATGTAGAAAGCTGAAACTGGATGCCTTCCTTACACCTTATACAAAAATTAATTCAAGATGGATTAAAGACTTACATATTAGACCTAACACCGTAAAAACCCTAGAAGAAAACCTAGGCATTACCATTCAGGACATAGGCATGGGCAAGGACTTCATGTCTAAAACACCAAAAGCAATGGCAACAAAAGCCAAAATGGACAAATGGGATCTAATTAAACTAAAGAGCCTTCTGCACAGCAAAAGAAACTACCATCAGAGTGAACAGGCAACCTACAAAATGGGAGAAAATTTTCGCAACATACTCATCTGGCAAAGGGCTAATATCCAGAATCTACAATGAACTCAAACAAATTTACAAGAAAAAAACAAACAACCCCATCAAAAAGTGGGTGAAGGACATGAACAGACACTTCTCAAAAGAAGACATTTATGCAGCCAAAAAACTCATGAAAAAACGCTCACCATCACTGGCCATCAAAGAAATGCAAATCAAAACCACAGTGAGATACCATCTCACACCAGCTAGAATGGCAATCATTAAAAAGTCTGGAAACAACAGGTGCTGGAGAGGATGTGGAGAAATAGGAACACTTTTACACTGTTGGCGGGACTGTAAACTAGTTCAACCATTGTGGAAGTCAGTGTGGTGATTCCTCAGGGGTCTAGAACTAGAAATACCATTTGACCTAGCCATCCCATTACTGGGTATATACCCAAAGGACTATAAATCATGCTGCTATAAAGACACATGCACATGTATGTTTATTGCGGCACTATTCACAATAGCAAAGACTTGGAACCAACCCAAATGTCCAACAATGATAGACTGGATTAAGAAAATGTGGCACATATACACCATGGAATACTATGCAGCCATAAAAAATGATGAGTTCATGTCCTTTGTAGGGACATGGATGAAATTGGAAATCATCATTCTCAGTAAACTATCGCAAGAACAAAAAACCAAACACTGCATATTCTCACTCATAGGTGGGAATTGAACAATGAGAACACATGGACACAGGAAGGGGAACATCACACACCAGGGCCTGTTGTGGGGTGGGGGGAGGGGGGAGGGATAGCTTTAGGAGATATACCTAATGCTAAATGACGAGTTAATGGGCGCAGCACAGCAGCATGGCACATGTATACATATGTCACTAACCTGCACATTGTGCACATGTACCCTAAAACTTAAAGTATAATAAAAAAAAAAGTGTTGACACATGAAGGCATCATTTATGCCCATGCTTGCATTATTTTAGTGCATTTTAACATTAGTATACACTTTTATTTTCCCACGTAGTAGCGCAAATGAGATACTACTTCTCTTAATTCAGGAGGCAACTTACAATTCCCATTCAATTTATAGTATTTTTAATCAAAATATTTTCTCCTAAGAAGTGTGCTCCTGTAATGCTACTTGATGATAACCCAAAAGAATCATAAAAATAAGTTGAGCTTTCCAAGGTAATCTACAAAGCAGAATTGTAGCACGCCAAAAACTGGGTGCTCCCAGGTTCAAGACAGTTTTGAATCTTGGCTCTACCATTTACTTGCCATAAGAACCTAGGGAAATTACTGAATCTCTCTGTGTTCTTGATTAATCATCAAGGCGGTATTTATACCTCTCCTGCTGGGTGAGAAAGCTCAGTAAATAAACTAAGGGAGATCATCTACAAGTTAGTTCATGCTCAATAATGCTAGCAATATAGTCCAAAATATTCTTTTTGTTGGTGAGAAAAGTGGAGCCCAAAACAAAACATAGCAAAGAGAAGTAGAGGCTGGCCTAACTCCCAGTTCTAACCAGACCCTGAAGGAAGGCTTTCACCTAACCATATCACAACCAAGACAAAGTAAAGACAACTTTCTCTTCATGTGAGACCTTCAATCAAAGATCAAAATCTTCATGATTACCAACAACCTAAAATACGCTTAGTTTTACATTTCCTAAGAACAGATCACGTGACTTCCTCTCCTTTCAAAGGGACATAGCTATTCTTCACACAATTTCCACAAGTTGTGTATTATTAATAATGAAGTAAGAGTCACAGCTCAGGGTATAACTCTTATAATGAGTTGAAGCAGAAAAGTCCCCAAACAAATGGTGTGGGTAGAGGGACACAGGAGAGGCTGGGTCACTCTCAGGACAGGGTTGTGAAATCCATCTTTTGGGAACGGCAGTTGCCCTGAGCAAGGGCTCCTCTTTCCACATTTGTAGTCCCCCACTGGAGTTCAAATTAAATTAGGTCTCACTTAAATTGGGTTTTCTCCCATTACATTAGCATTTCCACAATCTTGCCAACGTTTGGCAACTTGCTAATTAGTAAGAGGATGACTTTGGACTGGAGAGTTAAATCACATTTGCCTGCTGCTAAATAGGCCTGGGCCTGGCCTCTCAAGGAGTACTTTCTTGGGTGTTCGTTCAGTTTTTATCCCAGTGGGCGTACCTCAGTTGGCAAATTAAATCCACCACAAGAAATTGACATCACAATGACTTTTTCACTAATCTGAAATGCCAAAATGTTTCCATTCCTGGGTATTACTTCAGTATAGGTGAATCAGGAAAACAACAGTTAACAAGTCAGCAGCTGACTTATACTTACGCTTATACTTATACTGAAGTAATATCCAAGAATGATTTGTCTCTTTGATAAAGAGTAACAGAAACAAGATTCAGAAAATTAATGTAAGACAAGGATAATTCTTTGTCAAGAATTATGTTCCAGGGTTGCAAAGGGCTGAACCTGAAAATATTTATTTTCCTAAGGCTCTTTCATCTTCCCATTATACAGAGCTTCAGGTGTATCCAGATACTGGAATAATAATAATTTGAGCTGGAATAAAGTAGCATAATTTTTGGAAGCTGAAACTGGATAATTTTAGCAGTATGTTTGGATTGTTTTCTTCAACTGCATTTTCAGCTTTGCAGTTGCTTTAGGTTTACTTCTAGAAGCATAGATATCCAAGGATCTCACATTTCTTGTTATATGTATATATATATATATGTATATACATATAAATGTATAATTTGAGATCATATTTGTGAGAATATACATATATACACACACATATATATGTATATATGTATACAGAGGATCACGAAGAGGATCTCAAGTTAGTCCTAGCAGAATTCTTATTAAATGGATAAACTTAATACTTCTAAATCTGCTTAATCTTTAGACATCTGTCATGTCACTATAAGATTTAATTGCAATAAAATTTCAATAAATTCCATTTTCATTTTAATTGGCTTGAGAAGTCAGAATTAAGTTTTTCATTAAAATTAATCAAATCCAAGGGAAGGAAAAACACAGATTTAACTATAAATCCATATGTCTGAAATATTTCTGTAAGTATATATGGACACAGCATAGCCATATAGCCATCATCATCCCATCAGGACTTTGTCTTCCTTTTTTTTTTTTTTTTTTTTTTGGTGGTGTGGAGTGGGTGGGTAGGGGGCACTGAGTCTTGCTCACTCTATTTCCCAGGCTGGAGTGCAGTGGCGATCTCAACTTACAGCAACCTCTGCCTCCCTGGGCTCAAGTGATCCTCCCGCCTCAAGCCTCCTGAGTAGCTGGGTTTATAGGTGTGTGCCACGAGCCTGGCTAATTTTTGTATTTATAGTAGAGATGGGGTTTCACCATGCTGGCCAGGCTGGTCTAGAACTCCTGGCCTCAAAGCAATCCACCTGCCTCAGCCTCCCAAAGTGCTGGGATTATAGGCATGAGCCACTGCACCCAGCCCAAGACTTTATCTTTCATAATCAAGTCTTGTGATGCAGGCGCACAATTTCTCATCATCTTAAAGAAATGATCTGTCTAAGGAATAGCTTCCAATTAACCATCTTATTCAGATTGAACCACTTATTTAATTTAATGAGGTATATACACCTCTTCAATTCTACGTTTAGGATCACTGAGGTCAACAATATGTAGTCAAATAGCTAAAGAACTAAGGCCCTGTGGAAGAAGAATGGGAGCAATGTTAAACGTTTACAACTGCAGAAATTTTTACCCCAGGAAACACACACACACACACACACACACACACACACACACACATATGCACTTTAAATCAACATACAATATCCCTGCAGCAAACACTGAGTTGCCTAAATCATAGAATCATTTTTGTGCATCCAACAGCAATATGCTGAAGAGATTTTCAGGGAGTCGTGCATCATCCATCTGCCAAGTCTCATTTCAAGGAAACTGGAAGTTGTATTTGGTTGTATAATAACTGGCTCCTCCAATTTGATCAGGATCTTAGCTGTCAGAAGCCTTTTCCTGTATTCATACCAAAGGAAAACATGACCAGGCACAAATAACAGGGTAGATGATGTGCCTTTGTGGCAGAAACAAGCCTCAGTATAAACAAAGAAGAGGGTCCTCAGCCACGCTCCCTCGTTGCCTGTTGTCTCTCTCTGTTAGTGTGTACTTCTACGGATGGACTTTCTTTACTGAGGATAAACCTATGGAAAACAGTAGGAAAATGTTTTAGATTAAAAATTAACATTTCATTTCTCTTCTTCTGGCTTAAGGCTGACATAAAGTTCCAGGATGGCAAAAAAAAAAAAAAGTTATGTTATATTCATAAGCTCCCCACAAGTTTACACTGAGAAATCAAGAAGCGGGAGATGGAGGGTTATTATTTTAAGCATTGACATATGCTTACCATTTTGTGAAATAAGTTGTGGCCTCGTTCTAATTATGCCTGAGGAGGAATGTTCTATACTAATTCTCACTCTTGCTGGCATTTTGGCTTGGGCATGTGAAAGTAAGTCATATATATGACTTAGGTTAGGTTCAGTACTTACCCCAGAGAAAGAAAACTTGCCAAATATGATCTTTTAATATATGGTACTGGGTACATTATTGCCAAAGCTATGGAAAATATCCTATAGAAAGACTTGTTGGTGTATCATGAAGACCAATATGAAAAATCTGGAATATTTTGATTGAGTACTATTTGATAATGAATACTACATGAAAGACAAAGTCAAATAAGTTTACTCATGGCAACAGGAAAAAATAATCATAGAAATGCCAAGAAACAAAGAGTTATCCTTATCCCTGATAACTTAAAAATATGCTGAATGTTTTGTACTTGTTGTCCTCATTTGGTATACCAAAGATGTGCTAAACTAACATTTTGGTAACAGAAAAAGCAAATAGGAAGATAATAAGTTACTTTTCCAGGCTGAAAAATTATGTTGCTGAGGACTGTGGTCACTATGTTAAAAAGGTATCTAATATGTTGAGAACATAAATTTGAACTCAGAAGCATAAATTAATTGATCTAACCAATCTGAAGTTAACATTAAATAAATCCACTAATGATACCTCTCCCTAGGTATCTTAAATATTTTAAAATTAACTCCTTTTCAATTTGTACAGTGCTCTTGTGAAACAGGCATAGAATTAAAGATCAATAGCCTGATATTTTAGATGGAGAGAGGCTGTGGCCAATGAGATAATCCACGGCAGAATGGAAATCTGAACAAAAACAAAGATAGGTCTTTAGGTTCTTGAAGGGAAGGCAGAATTTCCCTAAATGTACAGTGAAGGTGGGAGGAGGGCCTTAATCCACTGTAACTGGTGTGTGTGTAAGAACAGGAAAATTTGGACACAGATGGAAGATGGTCATGTGAAGACCGAGGCAGAGATTGCAGTGATGCTGCCACTAGCTAAGGAATACCTGGAGCTACTAGATGCTGAAAGAGGCAAGGAAGTCTCCTCCCCAGAGGATTTGGAAGGAGCTTGGCCCTGCCAACATCTTGATTTTTGGATATCTAACCTCCAGAGCTATGAAAAAAAAAGTTTTTCTATTTTAAGCCACCCAGCTTGTGGTATTTTGTTATGGCAATCCTAGGAGACAAATCCAGTCAGTATTTAATTGGTTAGTATTAGACATTAGTAAAAGCTAATCATAATATTTAGGCTTTGATCTTCTATATTGTAAAGAAGTAATTTCACAACACAGTTTCACATCCCTACATTTTATGCCTTTCTAGATACATTAATAATCCATCTCTGGCTCATTAGACAAAGCATAACTCTGTACCCTATGAAAAATTTGGAATGTACAGAAGTGACTGGCATGCAATGCAATCAGAAACCATAGCTTTTTGACATTTCAGAAAGGAAGAAACAAACAACATGTTTTTCAAGGTTAAACTAACTCTGTTATGACATAATTGTTCTATAAACATGGAAGTCATTTTGCATCTCGTTCTGATAACAGATGAAACAAGATGAAAATGTTCTTTGTAAAATCACGTTTCTAAACAAAAGCTGTAACTCATTAATATCTGTGGACTTCAATGTATTAAAAACATCATTATTTAATGCTATACAGAGAGAAAGCCAAGTCTCAAATGACTTGAAAACATTCGAAACCCTTCATTTAAAATCTTTAGTTTTTGAAAGAAGGGTTGATTTTCAATGTGTCTCCAAAGCATTCTGAAATAACCACAGACAGTAACTGAGAGCAAAGCTGGAAATTAGTTGACTGGAAGTCTGTGCACCATGGTACTCAGCACCTACCACCCTCAGTCCCTAGTCAGGAAGCCCTTCACTGATGTCCCCATCTTATAGAGGACTCTGCTCTAGCCCTCCTCCAGCCACACCCTTCCTCACAGTGTGAGCGACGTTTCCTCCAGAACAAGCTCCTCCTGGCACCCAAATGCACATCCCCGAAGTCCCTGCCCAGGTGATTCTGGGCCTGCTTCCAAGATTCATGTGGTCCTCTTCCCAGCCTGAAGGCTGTCGAAAGAGTGTTGTGTGTAGAGTGGTGAGGGGTGTATGGACAAGGGTGGGATCTCCCAGCTGGGCTGTCTTCAAGTCTGCACTCAAGAGTCCTTATGATGGGAAGGTGGGGAGAGAAGGTCGAGGGTCCCAGGCAGGAGGCCAGGGCTTAGGTCTCCCTGTGCCACCATGTCCTGTCACAGACTGGTTTTGAAACTGAGCATTGTAAATTGTACTTTGGTTTTCCATGTATGTTTATCAAGGTAGGAGGATAGATTATACTTTAACAGTTTCTATGCTTGATTCATGAGATTTACACAGATAGGATGTAGCTCTCCACTTATTCTTGCTCCAGGCCCCAGAAATGTTAGAGGAGGATTTAGTGGTATCATTGAAATTTAATCACTCATTATCTGCCATACCTTTTCAAATGCATGAAGTTACTTCTTCTTCTTTTTTTTTATTTTTTTTTATTTTTGAGATAGAGTCATTTTCTGTCACCCAGGCTTGAGCGCAGTGGCGTGATCTCACCTCACCGCAACCTTGGCCTCCTGGGCTCATGTGATCCTCCTACCTTAGTCTCCCAAGTAGCTGGGACTACAGGCACATGCCACTAGACTTGGTTAATTTTTGTATTTTTTTGTAGAGACAGGGTTTCACCATGTTGCCCAGGCTGGGCTTGAACTCCTAGGCTCAAGCAATCTGCCCACGTTGGCCTCACAAAGCGCTGGGATTATAGGCATGAGCCACCACTCCTGGCCTTAAACTAGTGATTTCTTAATAGTCAATACCACAAAATTATTTTATGAGAATTCTGAGCAATTCAGTTACACCAACAGATTAAAAGGACCGTTTTAATTAAATGAACCCCAAACCAGCAAGAACCACTACTGAAATTAAATAATGACACATCCATCATTTATGACAAGAGTGATGTCAGAGTTCTGCCAATTCTTATGACATGGCTTAAGCTATGAAATACATCAACTGTGGAAGCTAGTAAAGGAGGCATAGGAATCCCAAACAGGTAGACTTTTGAGTGAGGAATTTTTTGGTGGTGCCCTAACCATGATCAGCCCTCTTCTCTGCTGCTGGCCAGCCATAGTTAGTTGCAGAGCTGTGTTAGTATGGAAAAGGATAGGTTTCAAATGACAACATATCCTGGTCAGGTTCCACCAGGGCTGTCCATGCACAGGTTAGTTCATAACATATTTATTACACACTTAATCTTACATAGTACCGTGCCTTTTACTTGTGATATTCTAAATGTCAAATGAGTAGCATGCTGTGAGTTCACACAAAGATGAGATTATTGAGGGTTAAATGCTAGTCATATTATTATCTATGTTAGAGTCCCCTTCTCATTTTTGTATCTATACTTTCAGAAAATTTCAATAAAGTGAGAGAGGTACAGTAAGAGGGGCACTGTACTATATAATTCAAACCATATGTTTTAGAATCCTATATATCAAATAATCTAATCCCCTTGCTAAATTTTATTAACTGTGTGATTTAGGCGTGTTACTTAAATTCTCTAAGCCTCAGTTTCCTCATGTGTTAAATAGTGCAAAACAAAACCTATTTCATAGCTTTGTTGTGAAGATTGAAATAATGCTTTAAAAACAGGCCGGGTGTAGTGGCTCACACCTGAAATTTCAGCACTTTGGGAGCCAGAGGCAGGAGGATCACTTGAGGCCAGGAGTTCGAGACCAGCCTGGCAACAGACTGGAGGTGGAGCAAGACACCATCTGAACAAAAAATAAAAATAAAAATTAGCTGGGCATGGTGGTTCATGCCTGTAGCCCTATTCATGAGGCTGAGGTGGGATGATTTCTTGAGCCCAGGAGTTTAAGGGTACAGTGAGCTATGATCACACCAGTGCACTACTCCAGCCTGGGTGACAGAGTAAGACTGTCTCCGAAAAAAAAAAAAAAAAAAAAAGCTTAGGTTGGTACATCATGGAGATTTTTTTGTTGTAGTTTTACATCTGTAGACACTGTTACATGGTATGTTTATACATCACAAAGCTCACTACATTTTTCCTAGCTAGACAAAAATCAGTAAGTCTCATACACTGACTACAACATTTCATTATTGCATATTCTATTTAGTTTCTGAATGTCATCACAATTCATTTCTATTTTATGTAATCATTAGCTTGTGTAATATTGGTCCAGCAAGAATCTAATAATGATATATAAATGACCTTATGGTATTACTAAATTCTGTACTAAGTAATTTTATTTTCCAGTTATTAAACTCCAATTCAGAAAGAAAATATCTTTAATAGTCATTCCAGAGCAATATAAAATGGAAAATTATAATTGGGTAGCAATTCTGTTATTATACCATAATAGATTTTAAAATTGCATATATTATGCAACACACATTCCGGTTAATGGTATGCCTTTCTAATAAAACAACTCCATTATTGTTGGAACTCAAGAACTTCATTAAAACCACTGGCTATATTTGTAGTAGAAAGCAAAGAAAAAAGAGAGTCCTATAGTGTTTTGATAAATACCTGGATATTTTATTATGGAATTCTCACATTTCATATTTCTTTTCTATGATGCTGTTGTAATCTATGGCCTTTGTCACTCCCATTGCTGCTGTGTACAGCTGTCCAGATTGCGTATTGTACTTCAGCAGGCTCCATTCACATAGAGTACCATGATGAGCCCCTCAGACTTGTAAAGTTCACAACCTGCAAAACTACATGTGGTGTCCCTGACTCCCTATTTACACTCCATAACAGACTCCTTGTATTAAAAACTAGATTTCTGTGATCTCAGCTCTGACTTCAAACGAGATCAAATTTCAAGAATGGCCTGAAATTAGACTACATAGCTCATCTTCAGCATTTTTAGATAGATTCAAATCTTTGGAAATTAACAAGTTAGAGTCCCAGGTGTGTGTCATATGAGACTTTAAACATGTAGCAGACATTTCTAACTTTTGATTATGTATACTTGATGAGAATAGAAGTGGGATTTTGATTATAGCTCAGTTTATACAGCCCGCTTCTGGGTGGCCTCACAAGACCATAGAAACAAGCAGTAGAAAGTATAGCAGATTCTAGAAAGAAAACAGAAAATGTTAAATCAATAAAAAATAAGATTTAAAAAAGTACTCTTAGTTGTGAGTACTTCATAAGTGACTTTTAGTTTTCCCCAGCATACTTTGAGGTGGGCGTTGTGGGCAACCCTGGCCTAAACTAAGAGCCCTGCCTTGGAGTCTGACATTTAGTCATAAGGGAACACAGTTCCGAGCCTTTGGTTTCCTCTGTCTGTCTGCCAGTGACATTTAAAACATCTGTCTAGCAAACTCAACCTGGAATAGTGGGTGTGCATCTGTGCTTTGTAGTACAATTGCAGAGCTTTGTTGTTGTTATAATACAGCTCTGCTTACAGTTTTCATTTCTAACCCCAGATGGAATTCTGACTCTGAGACTGAAAAAGGAACAGAAGCCAGAATTGAGGTTCATGCATTTCTGCATTCGCACATTTTCTTTGTCTTAAGGAGTTCAATTTAACCCCAGGTGCATCAAATTAAAGTTATGTATGTAACACAACTTTATAGTAAGTCCTCCCCAAGTACGAATGAATGTATGTTGAGTAAACATCCCCAAAAGATCCCATTAAGATGTAAACATGAAAGAATGCTCAATACAGCTGTGGTCTCACCATTTGCCTTGTGTTGTACATCTGGCGGAAGCTGGTCAAGAGCATACCACTGATAGTCTGGCTGTGTGGAACAATACAACATTATTATAGCAATATGGACTTCAAATATAGTGGCATGTCAAAAATACAATTAGGCTATGTGGCTTTTATTAAGCAGGCAACACAAAAGTAATTTCTATCCAAACCTATTGCCAACCTCACTCATCCTGCTTACCCCCCATCACTGCCATCATCTCTCCCTACCCCCTCTTAAATCCACTCTGTGTTTGGCCAGAATTTCTACCACTTTGAGGTTGTGACATATTTTCTTTCTTTTTTTGAAACAGATGTGTTTTGAATATCTGCAGAAGTATAAACACTTGTAAAACTTACTACAGCCCATCAATAAAACAAAGCAACTTAGCATCAACAAATACTCTTTTTGAGACCCTCACACTAGAGGCAATGAGAAGGCCAGGAAAAAAAGTTTAATACAAGTTTTCTAATGGTTTAAGGAAGAAATTTAAGCTATTAAATGGGGATTTGGCATTGACAGAAGTTCAGGATGGTGAAGCAGGGCAAATCTTTCCCTTTTTGCTGTTGTGAAGAACCGATCCAGCAGAACCTATCCTCTAAATTGCTCATATAGTTTAGTCTACAGAGACAAGATTTTTCTCTTGGGATTTTCTCCTAGGTTTACACCAGTTAAGAACAGCTAGATATTGAATGTCGAACAAATTGCATTGAATAAATAGTAAACCCATAGGCCTGAATCATCAAGATATCTCCAAGGCCAGCACCTCTGTATTTAACGCTTAGGAATGGAGCAATCTCAGCTTTACCTGCCCACAAAGCAGGTCTGTCTTTCTGCTCTGAATGCTCACCCCTGCCTCCTACTTCTCCACAAGACACAGAGAATATAGATTTTTTTGTTGTTCTGTAATTCAATTATCTCCTAAAAATAACTTGAGGAAAATTTTTCTAACATGAGCCAACAGAGAGCATTTACAAGGCTGCCAGACCACTGAAAGTAGCCCAGAAAGTTCAATTACTCAATAAGACACTGAGAAATGCTGCTTTTAGTGCAGTTTGACCCCACTGTACCCCTACTCTAGACACCTAGGCCCTTGGCTCCTCTGGCTTATGAAAAAGCTAGAAGAGGAAATGAGATCACCTCTGTTTTTTATCTTCTCGTTTATTTTTAGATGTCTCAAATAACACATAGGATAAGTGACGTGAGCCTCAGTTTTATATTCCAGGAGAGTTGCCAAGAGAAGGTAAATATCCTGTAATGTTACCAACACTATAGCATGTGACTTAATTCAGCCTTCGATATAGACAAGAAACATGAAATATTATTTTTAAATTAACTTTGAGGATTTGGTTGTAAACTCTACTGTTATGCTGAGATTTTTTTCATCTGACTACTGCTTGAAAATGTAGGCCATTCTGGCCAGGCGCAGTGGCTCATGCCTGTAATCTCAGCACTTTGGGAGGCCAAGGTGGGCGGATCATGAGGTCAGGAGTTTGAGACCAGCCTGGGCAATATGGTGAAACCCCATCTCCGCTAAAATTACAAAAATTAGCCACGTGTGGTGGTGTGTGCCTGTAGTCCCAGCCAGTCGGGAGGCTGAGGCAGGAGAATTGCCTGAACCCAGGAGGTACAGGTTGCAGTGAGCCAAGATCGCACCACTGCACTACAGCCTGGATGACAGAGCGAGATGCCTTCTCAAAAAAAAAGAAAAAAGAAAAAAAGAAAGAAAATGTAGGCCATTCTACATGGCTTGGAGTCCTTTTTCAAATATAGGCCTTTATTTGGTGACAATTTTATGTGACCTGGACTGCCTTGCCTTTTTTAATTGACATGGACTGTTTGATGAGCTATAGTAGGTGAATTCCTTCCTTCTTTCCATAAAGAAATATTTGACTGAAACAATAATTTGTACTCCTAGGTAAATGTGAATGACTGATTGGTTTTATAGTTAACCTTTCATAAGAATATTTCTCCAATCCCCCAACCTGTAGAAGCCAACTCCTATAGGTTAATTCACTCCTACAGTAAATTTCTCTTTATGTTTCTCACAATCTGAGTTGACTTCTACATTCTTGAAAAAAAAATTTAATGTTATTGGTAAAGACTGAAAAGTAAGCAAACAGGTAAAGAAAAAAAAGGAAAAGGGGGAGGGAGAGCAGACAGAACTAGCAACCCGCAATAACATGAAAAGACTCAATTCTTAGCGGTGTGCTGTGTCATACCAGGGTCAAATAAGAGATGCTCATTAAATCCTCACATTCCTTCAGCCACCCAAAGAGTCATTATCTCCTCCCTTGGGAAAAGGGTTTTGAGTCACACTCGAACAAAAGTATGAGAACTTTCAGGAAGCCAAGAGAATCATGTTCTCTGTAAGCATTCTGGTAGGAAAATCCCAGTTAAAAATCTTAGATTTTTTCATCATGAGAAACACAATTAATCAAACCTAAAGGGTAGCGGGATTTGTCTGGGTAAATCCAAAATGCAGAAAATGCATATTTTTTTCCTGGATAAATTTCTATCTATGTAGGCAAAATAAAAAGTAGAGGAGGGTAGGTGGAATACTGCTATTGAGAAGGAAAAAAAGGGTGCTTTGGGCCTCACTAATTCAGGTTGACTGTCCAAATCAATTCCCCTCACAAATAATTGCTCAACTCTGCATTTCATTTTGTCTGGGAAGACACAGCCATGGAGAACAACTTAAGTGGGTCACTTTTTCTTGGATCCTTTAAGAAAATCCTTTCAATTGGAAAATGTCAAAATCTATTTTGCACATATGTAGCAATATCCATAGTAGTTCAATATAAATTTACAACCGAACAAAAGCATCTCATTTTTCTTGTTTTGCCATATCCACTTTCCTTTATACATAAATACACTTTATACAGAAAATGTCCTTTGGGTAGAATGAAGTATGCCAATTGAAAATGTTATATGTTGTTCAAGGAATTATTCCCAATTTAATACCTTTCAGTTAATTTATTCGTATCTATGTGTCCTATGGATTCAGTGTCCCAAAGATAATTCTAGTGTACATTGACCACTCCAACTTTGCAAGTTAGAGGCTGAGAGAAAACAGAGGCTCTTGCTGTAGATAATATAATGTGCTGAAATTCCAGAGATGCACATAATTTCTACCAAAACAGTATACTAAGCACTTTTTCAAATGCACTCTTACTTACTGGGTGCTCCCGTTGCTTCTGCACAGCTCCAGGGCCTGTTGGTACCCATGGATCTTGCAGGTGGAAAACCAAGCCGCAGTTACAGGGTGGGCAATACATCTGAGGAGAACAAAACTGTGGGGTCACTACCAGTGGGAGAGACTGAGGAGTTGCAGTGACATTGCTTTATACAAAAGGTTTGGTTTCAATCTTAAGGTTCCACTTAATCTGGCATAATTATAACTCAAAATAGTAAACATGTCAATAGACTCAGGACCAATACAAACGAGGCTCACAGGTCAAGTTTTACCTAAGGTGAAACTATAATCATTTCCCCATTTTGAAGAAATTAGACACACTTGAAAAGTATATAGAGTTAACTTTATGTTTTTGAGTTATCTTTATTGAGGGCCCTCAATGAAGAAAATCTATTCATTGAGTCATAAAATAGGTTTTCTTAAATTGTAGCCAGGGAAAACTAAAATCCAGAAAGGAAATTAGGAATTAGGACAAATAATATTCATTATTTAAGGCTATTAGAGAACCCATGGGATAGAATGCTTCAGTGCTCAAGAAGGCATGTTATTTTTTCAAAAGAGGCAGTATTTGATTTAGTTTTCTACTGTTAATTGTGTCAGCAACTGCATGAAATACCAATGAAATCTATTTCCAGGTGCTTGTGGGTCTAAGGAGCACTAAGACTTGTGCTACTGGTAACATGCTCTATAAAGCATATGCTTTCTATGAGTGTTAGGGTTGAAAGGCCTTGGTGGTGCCTAAGCACTGTCTATCCGTTGATGGTGTAGTCAGTAATGAAAAGCATGGGTTGTTGTAGGTCACCTGTAGCAGAGCTTGAACATGTCTTTAATTGGGACAATGAGAAATGCTGTACATGGGAATAAATGTATGCGTGAAAATTAGATCAACATACCTGTTTTAATTGCTTTTCTAGTTTTTCTTTCTCCATCTGACAAGCTTTTATCTAAAGACAAAACAAAGGCATTTGTTAATCAAGACAAGTTAAAATCATTAATTCCCAAGCCACTCTTGACCTACTCAAGTGTCAGGCATTGACAGCAGTAATACCAACAAAAATAGCCACAAGTTGGTTTTTGCAGACATGCATTGATTCTTAAAATTTCCAGTTGCAGTTTGAAAAATGTGATAGTTTTAAATTGCTATTCCAGTTTTTTGAGGCCATTACAATTCTGTTTTAGGTAGATCTATTTAGATACAGATATAGAAACAATTTCCATTGCTTACTGAATGACATTGGAATTGTCAACCTGACATTCAAAGGCTTCCACAATAAACGTTAGAAGTTATATATGCACTTAATCCATGTCAGAAACTTATCTAAATTTTTTACATGCAATAACTCACTGAATTCTCCCAATCCCTCTATGTGATACTTAATACTATCTCAATTTTATAGATGAGAACACTAAGACATAAGATTCTGAGTAACTTGTTCAAAGTCACACTGCTATATCCCACAGCTTCTCACTACTTAAGGCCCAGCCTCATCTAGATGAATCACCTACCCTGGGTTCCCTTAACTTAAGACACATTTAGAGAAAGCTGGCTTTTCCTTGACTGTTCATTCACATCATTGTCATTCCTACACTCCATGTCCCACATTCCCATAAGGGATGGTCAAATATCCCCTTCTGAATGATACCTTTCCAAGTCCCACTTATCAGAATTATTCTGTCCTCTTATGTAGTGTTGTATATTTACTGTGTGATTTTTTAGACCAATGTGTACTATTTACAGGCAATTCTTGCTGCTTGTGGTGGTCATATTCCATAAAGTCACCACGGACACTGAATTAGTGAATATTGAACCACTGCTCCTAGGAGAAATGTTGGGTTAAGTTTCTGCTAGCCTCTTGTCACAACATTTGTGTCAATGGATCAATACATAACTTTGTTTCATGTGTGTTTCTGATTAAAGACAACTTATTTAATATGTATTGTTGATTAACTCTGAAGTCATGGTCAAGAGTACTATAACATGTCTTAATGAAGCTTCTCTAACACACTTTTTCTCTATAAGGCACATCACATCCTTCATGCTTAGGAATACTAGAGAGCATGACAGCATATACGTGTGGGCCATTCTAAACCATGAAATCACCAACAAATAGCACAAAAATGCAGGAAACATGGCACTAAATAGATCACAAAAAGAACACTAGGAATGTGTATATGTCAGGAAACAACTTTGCTGCTCTGCTCATATGTAAGGATGTATCACAAAGCACCACAAGTATTGATTTGGGGATGACAAATGCATTTTAGTCAGTAGGGAAATTCACATATGCAGAATTTGTGATGATGAGGATAGACTGTACATGTCTCTTTTACTATATTGTGAGTTATTTACTAGCAAGAACCAGTTTTCGTTTTCTCACAGCATATAGCAGAATGCCTTGCAAAAAGAAAGCATCAAAATTAGATTACAAAGAACTGAAAGTACCATGCTAATTATAAACTAAATGAAACTATTAAACATGCCCCCTCTTCTAATAGACTAAAATAATTTATAAAATACCTCTGAGCCATGACTTGACTTGAGCTAAATGTTTTCTAAAGCGTTTTTTTGTTTTTTTCTTTTCTTTTTGAGACAGAATCCCACTCTGTTGCCCAGACTGGAATGCAGTGGCCCAATCTCGGCTCACTGCAACCTCTGCCTCCTGGGTTCAAGTGATTCTCCTGCCTCAGCCTCCAAAATAGCTGTGATTACAGGCGCGTGCCACCATGCCCAGCTAATTTTTGTGCTTTTAGTAGAGACAGGGTTTCGCCATTTTGGCCAGGCTGGTCTCAAACTCCTGATCTCAGGTGATCTGCCCGCCTTGGCCTCCCAAAGTGCTGGGATTACAGGCATGAGTCACCGCACCCGGCCTGTTTTTGCTTTTTTCACTTAATATTGAGAACAACTTAGGAAGTCACAAGGTAGGTTTCATTATCTATATTTTACAGGCAGGTATACTAAAAGAGGTTAAGGAACTTATTTTTTAGAGAGAGATTTTAGAGTAATAAGAAGCATTTTAGAGATCATCTAGTTCAACTTTGTCATTGTACAGATGAAGAAAAGGAAGCATAGAAAAGTTAAATAACTTGTTCAAGGTTACCACCAATGGAATATTAGAGCAGGCAGGAACACCAAGTCTTTTCCCCCTAAATTCTCATATTTCTAAGTACCCTAAGCATCTTTCACTTTACCACATTACTTATTTTCACTGACTTAACGCATCCTCAGTGATAGAATGAATACATTCTGGTAAGAAAGCAACTCAGAATGCCAGAATGATTTGACCTAAATATTCCTCTAAAAGTCCACTTGGACAACAAATAATATGTTATTCAACTAAGGTAATGTCAGTTCTTTTTAAAATATCATAGCATTTAATCTGCTGTTAACACATTTAACACAGATCATCAAACCATCTATTACATCTCTGTGAATTCTATCATTCTCCTATTGAGTAAATGAGACTTTAAAAAAATGATTGAGCTTTCATTATTTTAAAGAAAAAATTTCATAGCTTTAATCTATCACTTTAGATATCATTAAGATTGTCCTTTAGGTTCAAGGCAGAATTATACCATACTGCATTTAGAAAATACATTTATTTTGTTGATACCAATCAACTTTACAGGTGACACAGTTAAGGACTTGTGGATTATAGTATACAACGTTAAGTAGATAGATATACATTCCTGACAAGACTAAAAGTTCTGTAATGGCAAGGACATTGCCAGTCTATCACCAATCTTAATATAGTAGAATAAATAAAATTATTTAATTAAATATAATTATATATTGATATATAATTTATCATATAAAAATAAATTATTAAAAATTGTTTTAAAATTAAAGTTGTTTTACTTGCTGTTTTACTGGCAGCAAATTTTAAAATTGCTTTAAAAAACAAATATTTTTTGTTCTAAAACTGTTTTACTGGCAGCAAGTAAAACAGTTTGTGCAGAGACAACTTAAAAGAAATTAGAGTAGTTGGGCATGTAAGAAACACATTAAAAGAATAAAAATACAAAAAAATTAGCTACTTGGGAGGCTGAGGCAGGAGACTAGCTTGAACCTGGGAGGTGGAGGTTGCGGTGAGCCGAGATCATGCCATTGCACTCCAGCCTGGGCAACAAGAGCAA
The DNA here is from genome assembly GCF_000001405.40 of Homo sapiens. Classification (NCBI taxonomy): domain Eukaryota; kingdom Metazoa; phylum Chordata; class Mammalia; order Primates; family Hominidae; genus Homo; species Homo sapiens. The sequence continues at coordinate 121,145,967 of NC_000004.12, forward strand.
AACACCATCTCATAAAAAAAAAAAGAGAGAGAGAGAATATACAATATATACTCTTTTTTTTTACCAAGAGTAATCAGAACATTGTCTTACCTATTATTGTATGAATTATTTATTAGGTTGCCTGAATTACTTTCATAAAATTATTTGATTTTTTACTACTATTTTATTTTTTCTAATTTCTTACAGAGAAAATGGTTCTGCAAAACAATTTTTTCCATGTAAAATTAAGAATTTCAAGTTAATCTTAAAAAAATCAGAGATAAAATTAAATTTAATTCACAATCCACTTTGTATTTGGAAGAAAATGATGACTGTTTTAAATTTTTTTATGACGAAGAATCTTGAAGCTAAGTGCTGCCACAGCATTCTCATAACAATGTTCTATTTATTTAAATGTATTGCAATATTTTACAAATAAAAATGGTGCAGTTTGTTTTATTTTTTAAGGCAAAATTATGTTAGCTACATTTTCCTTCATTAACATCACTATTTACCCATCGTGGCAACTTCCTGAGTCTACTTTAATATGTTCAATTACACTTAATTTTAGTATGCTTACATTTAATATATTCTATTTTAATAAACTGGTGACCATTATCTGGCTTCCTTCAAAGTACTCCAGTTACATTACATCTGGGAACCACTGAACAAAATCCTCAGTCTCACATATAAATGGCATTTAGAAATACGTATGTTTTTGGCAGACAGGAGCATTCCAACATAGCCCTTCAAAGAAAATGACAAGAATTTTAAAAACCACTTCACTTTATTTGAGTACTAGGTAGTTCAACTCTCATTCTACCAAGATAAATATTATGAGAAAAAGATCAAAAGGACTGTATTTTATTAAAAAAAACTTTGGAATGCAATTTCTTGGGCAATTCCTTAATATACTTAAGTTAAAAGAAATTTCCAGTCATTTTCATCTCTTTACAAGATTGTTTAAGAATGACTTCATCCCAGGTGCTGACCTTTAAAAAAAAATTCAATGTCAATTAACAGAAGTCCAAACGTCTTGAATTTTTTTAAATGAAAAAAATATACATACATGCTGGCAAAGATTATTTTGTTTTGACTTGTACCTGGGAATTCAGCCTGTTCAACTGGGATTGGGAAGTTTCATTAATTTGCTGTAGCTCCTCTTTCTCTTGATTAAGTCTCTCTCGATCCGATCGTTCCTTTTTGAAGTCTTCTTCGTATATTTGCACCTAAGAAATATTAGCTTGCTGTTACTGTAAGCTTCCTTTTCACTTAAGCCATTTAAATGACTTTATTTTAAATGACTGCTGCCTACTCCATTATTGTAAAGAACCCTCCCAACTAGTGTTCAGTGTCACTGTTTTGGAGCAAGTCATCCATCCCTAACACAAGGGCTTTGATGTATGAATACTGCTTGAACTTCTAAAAGACAGTTTACTGACAATAGATGTTAAGTGATGCCACTAAATACTGACATGCCCAAGTTTCCAGACATAAATTATAAGTTGAATGCAAAAAAGAAATGAAACCCTTACATATGTGGAAAAGCAAAGCATGATTGTTAAAAGGTATTCACAAATTTTCCTTTTATAAGTTATTTTGGATGTATCTCATAAATAATAGTAATATTTGAGTGGAACACCTCTTGAGAGGCACTCCAAATATTTGAGAAAAGTGACTAAACTAAAAACAAAAACAGGTTTAATTATTGTTACTGTTTTCAACTGACTTACTGTTGACTGAAGGTTAGCAGACTGGTATATAAAGCTATGAAAACAAATGAAAGGTAAGGAATGAAGTAAAAACATTCCTCTAAGATTCTGATTTAAATTACTACTTATATTGGAACCTATAGCTAGATTTTTATCTATTAAAACTAATGCACATTACACTTTCATCACTAACAGCCCAACAAATTTTAACTAAAGGTTTATCAATTTTATTGTTCTAAGTCGACAGCAATAGAACAAAATATGCAAGGGAAGAAATTAAAAATTTTGTATAGATCTACATGCAGATACACATATTACATTTTTAAGGCTTTATTCACCAGAAGCACTGAAGGGAAACTACATCCAGCCACATTGACATTTTGATGATTTTTTTGGTTGAGAACTGACATTCATTTCCAGAGACAGTTAAACTGATGCTCTGTAAACAATTACCAGAGGCATTTTAAATGGGAGGAGCCCATCTGATTAGAATTAAACACTGGCAACATCATCACTTTAGTCAGGTAGGGGCCAAGATTCCAACTCAGTTTCTTTGTGCATTTAAACCCTTTAGTGTTTCATGCGGCACTTGGTGATGTAATGATTGCGGGTGCCTGATTAGAAACGTGCACAGTTAAAATATTTATGGAGAAAGTCAGCAGTAGAGGCACTGCAAAACTACGGAGATGGATTTTGGTCTTCCCACAGGGTTTATGAAAAAAGAGTATCTGTCACTGTAACAAATATGAACCAAATCATTATTATAAACTTTATGTGTAAAAGTGACTCTTGCATGTGGTGTACCTTATATGCGAGTTCCGAAGATGTCAAGTGTTTTGAACATAAGCAGTGCTTTTGGTTTTTGAAGAAATCCTGGCTAGCACCAACAGTTACTTTAGGGGTTGAGAGTTTGACAGAGCTTTAAGACTGTGCATATTACCCTTATTCTCTTCGTCGGTTTATTTTTCAGCTATGTATTTTACCCTGAATGTAATGAAGCAGATTATTCAAGTAAAATTGACAGAACAGAAAATCCAACTTCACCATCAAATGCTATAAAATTTTTAGATCTATTCACAGGCTACTTCATATGAAGCAATAACAATAAAGTAAATAGCAACAATCATAACACAATTGCTGAATTTTTCCATGTATTGCAACAAAAATCTTTGTACTTAGTACTTGCTCAGGGCAAAACCAGTCAGTAAATCATACCCAGGGACATCAGAAAAATAATGCTTTCCAGCCCTTTGTTCTATGACACCCTGTCTCCCATTGCTAATATGTTACTGACAATGTGTGCCTCAGGGATTGAGGTTCCTTTATGTATCCTGTATTTATCATTATTGCCATGAACCATTCCAGATTTTTCTCTACATTAATTTAACCTCTCACATAAAAAGAGACATGATATGCATGGTCGGCCCCTCAGCTAAGTGAATTTCAGCAGATTGATTAAATTTAGACACAGGTAGTTTAACCAATGCAGTATCTCCACAGCCCTATGCTGCCAATAGATACATGCGGAAGTTGTAGAGAGTGCATCCTTACTCTTGCTGTCCACTTGGCAATAGCGCGTGAGGTTAGGTGAGTGGGGAGGAGAATGCTCTTGTGCATCAGTGAATTGCTAAGTGGTGCCATCCATACACGGGACTAGCTGAGAAACCTGGTTTCAGTGATTATAATAAGTACAAAGTATTTTCTTTGAAACTGCTCTTATTGTGCGAAGGCCTAGAGGCTAGCAACTACAGAATCACCACTCAGCTGCTACCATTTTCTGAAAAAGTCCAGAGTTGGGATTAATAGTGTTCTTAAAATAAACCACGTGGCTGGGTGCTGTGGCTCACGCCTGTAATCCCAACACTTTGGAAGGCCGAGGCAGGTGGATCACGAGGTCAGAAGTTTGAGACCAGCCTGGACAACATGGTGAAACCCCATCTCTACTAAAAATACAAAAAATTAGCTGGGCATTGTGGTGCATGCCTGTAATCCCAGCTACTCGGGAGGCTGAGGCAGGAGAATCACTTGAACTTGGGAGGCGGAAGTTGCGGTGAGCGGAGGTTGTACCACTGCACCACAGCCTCAGTGACAATGGGAGACTCTGTCTCAAAAACAAAAACAAAAACCATGTCTACGTGAAACTCCCTAGCCCCAGTGCTAATAGAACCTCACCCAAAGGTTAATTGGCGTGCCCCTCTTTTAATTGTGTGATCTTGGGTAAGCATTTAATCTGTCTGAAACTCAGTTCCCTATGTTCTAAATGGTGGGACTGAACTAGCTGATCTGTATTCTTTCTATCAAGCTTGAAAATTAGATAATTCTACTTAAAATAAATGCAAAAACCTTTGACATATTTCTAGCAGCAAGACATCTAAAAATGCCCAAAGAAGCATGAAAAATGGGCAGTATGTTCTCCACAGGATCATGCCACTTCCAGCTTCTCACCTGCTGCTTCAGAACTTCCATTTCTGTTCTCATCTCCTCATGGCAGAATTCCACTCGAGACTTCCTCAAACAGTCCTCGGAAAATGAACACTTGATATTCAAGGCATCCTGAAGAGCCTACGTAATAAGATAAGTACACTGTTGATCTAAGATTTACCACATGGAATGAATTCTTTTATAATTGTTACAATCATCTCAAATGCACCCACAAATATGCATTTCATGTTTAACGCTGCTTACATAACCAAGTAACTTTCTTCTTTCTGATTTTCTCATATATGTATTTTTTTTTTCAGAATCTCTGTCTTTTTTCCATGATGATGCTTATGTTAGTCAATCCTCATTATTATTTAGGCTTTGATATTGGACCCTCCTCCTCCACCTAGCCAACTATGAAAACAAAATCTGTATCTATAGACTTTCTCCAGATTCTCTGCTTCAGTCAAATGTATACCCTTTCAATGATGCTTAGCCTTAGGGAAAATCAGAGGCAGCAAATATGCCCATCCCTTGGTACTGACTCCCAGAGATGATGAATCAGTAGGCTGGAGGGTATGGTTTGAGAATTTGCATTTCTCAGAAGCTGGTGCTGCTGGTCCCAGGTGATGTTTTGAGTAACATTCTACTATATAACTATGGCATGCCTCCAACAAGAGAGAGGGACATCCACAGAAATGAAAGCCCATGCAGATTCATTATCTGTTAGCTCTGTTGCGTTGCTCTTCTGCCCTGGCCTAGCCACAGTCCTGTTTATTTTCTGTTAAAACATTCATTAACTCACTACCGAGTGGAGAGAGTGCCCTGCTTTCTTGACATCCAGTATAAGTTGATGCTTTTAGCATGACATGAGGAGAGGAAAGAAAGAAGTAATACCTGTATTCACCAGAACGATTATCATCTTTAGTCATTAGCTCATGATGGGCATATCATTACATTATGTTTGGTAATATCATATGAAAGACATTGCCTCTATTTTGAAGACCTTTGGTTCATGATAAGTTCAATAAAAATTACTTCCAAATATTGTGACAGAACACTTCTCATCCTGGTGTGGCCTCAGAGACCATAAAATGACTACTTGCTCATTATCAAATGAGTCCTCTGTACAAATAGAAAAGGTTCATTTTCAGAGATCTAAGAATAATTTGCTTCTGTATTTCTTTAGTAACTTCAACAGTGTCTATTTGGTGATATTAGTGGTAACTTACTCCACTGCATTACTATATAATATGGTCATAAAGGTAGGAAAAGAAAAGCAAATGTGTGGTTTTGAGTATGTGAATAGGCTGGGAATTTCCTAATAGAATGTCTTAGAATACACAAATACTGTCTAGCCTGATATGAATATCATTTTTTTTCAGGAAGTTGTAAGAGAAAAAAAGAGCTTTTTTCATCCTTCAGGGAGAATTTAAAGAAGCAACAAAAGTAGTTTAATAATTTATGTTTTTTGAGGATTTGTGTTAAGCTCTAGGAAGTGTCAGAATAGTTCAATTTTTTTTTTTCAATTGGTGAATAGTAGTAAAGAGAATCTAGGGTGGGGTGGGCCAAATGGATTATGGCAATGGAATATGCTGGTTCCTTATCCTACACCTGGGAATAGACTACTTTTGTAGATCTTGTTATTTGAATTTTCTGATCTACTTTTCATGCTATTTGGGATCCTAGAAATTTTGTAAATGAGTCATAAATGAAAGATGAGTCTAATAGATATTTATTCCATTTTGGGCTTTCCCAACTTCCTTGAACAAACACCTATAACCTATTCTAGAATATTTACGATTAGTATGGATATCCTAAACAGATCTACTGAGATGTTAGACAAATCAATTTTGCCCACGGGTGGCACGAGCTGAGTAGCCTTAGGTAATTGTTTTCACTTTGGTTAAACATCTGGCTTCAGGAGCCTGATAAAAACAAACTCCTAGGTATATTTCCCCATTTTCTTCAATGCAAATAAATTGAATAGAGTACACATAATTGTGTGAACTTCTAAAAACAGTATGTTAATTACAAGGCTGACATATTACAAATTTTTTCTGAGTGAATGGGTCAGCAAGCATTCAGCTTGTACATAGAGGGTAGGCCCTGGATTCCATGCTGTGATGGATGGTGTGCAAAATCAGCTACCAAAATCAACATTTTGAGTAACTTTTGTTTATCACATTGGTAAGAAGGAAAAGAAAAATATTCATTGTAAAATAGAAGAACAATAATATCTTACATTAGGTACCAAAACCCATCTTAAATAAGACAAAAATCTACTGTCATAACTCATCACTTTATATCTATACTTTTAAGGGACAGCTTAAAGTATAGATGTGGGATGAAGTCTTTTCTGGCTTTAAGCATCCTTTTATTTTTTGCTCACTACCCATAAGTAATGCATTATGCCTGTTAAAGCATGAATTCTGGGTCCAGAATTGTCTACCAAACATATTATATACTAGCTAATTAAATTCATCCATTCACCCATTCAATAAATATTTAAGAACTTACTCTGAGCAAAGTCCTGTTCTAAGTATTCAAGATAAAGCAGTGAACAAAACAGAAAAAATTCAGAACCACATTATGACATTGCCTGAGTCCCTCCCTCCCTAAAAATACATGTTAAAATGATATTTTACAAATGTGTTGTTATAAAGATGGATACATAATATATGAAAATGTGTTTTCAACCCCAAAGTTTATTTTTTCTTCTAATTTTAAGAGAAATTAAACATAAACATACTTATGGGTCCCTAACAGTACTGTAGGCCTGGCCACTGTGCCTCTGGTGCCTAATGGAGGAGTTGGCACAAAAATCCTACCTTCATGGAACTAACAACCAAGATTAGTAGCTAGAAAACAAATAAAGTCATAAAAGTTAGACATTATATATACATTAGATAGTAATAAATTCCAAGGAAAAATTAAACCGGGAAATACCAGTAGTATAGTATGTAATTTTAATTAGGACAGCCAGAAAAGTCATCTTTGAGAGGTGACATTTGTATAAAGATCTGATTTTACTCAAATTATTTTTTCTCATTGAGATTTTATAATTGTAAAATCATAAAATTTTAAAATGTAAAATTTCGTGTAGAATTATTAAATTATATAATCACCGGAATGATGAAAAATTGTATTTTTCTAACTTGAAACAATTTTCTGTGAACTACAAATATGGATACACAAACATGAAGAGTGCACATGGACATGAGCAAAACTACAGCATTCTTGGCTGTTCTAATATCTACAAGGTTTATATCTTTGTGTCTACATTTAGGGAAATTAACTAGACAATGTAAGAAAACTTGTAATACGGTATCAAAAATGGGAGGATTTTAAATATAATCTCAATTATTTATAGTTCCTTTAATGCATTTGTGCAACATTTTCTGGAAAAGAAAAAAAGGGAAAAGATAGATTTTGCCCCGCATTTGTATGTCTGAGCATGGTTTTTCTGTCTTAGAGGATAAAGTATATTGTTTATGAAGTTTATCCTCATTTTCCCATTTTCTCCTGAAGAATAACTTGTCCCACACACAGATCTACTACAGGATCACATTTGCAAAGCATCCTATCAACTATGCAGGCACATACTTAATACTTTGAGGATCTTTAAATAACATCTCTGAACACCAGTTAACTACAATCATGGGCATGTGGTCCAAAATACAGGGTTTGAGCACCTGTTTCAAGTCCAATCACCTACTCTTGTTTCAGAAGACAATTTCTGTTGCTTTTATCATGAAATATCTAGTTGAGAGAGGCATATCTCAACTCAACCATGTGCTAGCGCATTCCTATGTTCCACATATGGGTTGGCTCTTGGAAAAGTCAACAGTATAGGATTATTTTTCCTGAACTAGTTAGCGACCCATTCCTCCAAAACATGAATGAACTAGTCCATAAAACAACACACACACACACACACACACCCCTGCATGCACACACGCACACTTTTCCTCTCTCTGACTTTAAAGTAGGTTTAAAGTAGGTTTTAGGCTTGCACTTGAGAGAGCTATCATCTCAGCCTTGGATTCTGCATTTAGCATGCTTCCTTAGAGTGTGTTTCACACCCAACTCCATAGTGATCATTTTAAAGAGCAGTTTGTTTCCTGAGGAAGCTTTTGCGGTTGACCAAGAGATACGTTATTGTTCGCAAACACCCACTTGCTTTATGTGGTTCTTCAAACTAAGAAATGTTCTTACTGTCTCTGTAATTCCTCCTCATTTCTCTTTCTCATGATGAATCTTTGTAGGGACAAAAATTCTCTAAAGCCTCCTTAGCCAAGTATGACTGAAAGCTGCAGCTAGGAGTGATTTATAAAATCACAGATAATTTCTTGTGCAAGCCTCCAAGGCTGGGACCCACACTGCAGCCTAGATTTTGTTGCGACTGTCAGTAAGAATGTTTTATGCAGGGACTTCTCATTTTAATCTCCCATGCTTGACCTGACTGATACCTTATTGAGGCGTTTTATTTCACATTCGTAATGTTCCTTTTCCTTGTTCGCAAGAGTATTTTTTCCCTTTAAAAGTTTATTCTCTTCTTTCAATTCATGTAATTCTTCATTTAGGCGTTCCTTTTCCTTCTGAAGTTAAGACCAAGAAAAGAAAATAAAAGTCAGTACAAGTCAAATGAGATGATATTGTAGGAATTCTGATATATCAGCCATGGCAGGCAGATTGAGGGGTCACCCTTCTGAAATACAATAAAAACAGGACCTGCAAGACTTTAAACTTAATGTTCCATTTGAGCAATATTCTTTGGATGCACACTAGAATTAGGATTGAAGGAATCTTTCTTTTATCAGAATTTACTGAAGTATCTTAGAAATTTTGTGACCCCAGGAAAAAAAAAATCAAAATTCCCAATTCTTTTTTTTTTTTTTAAAGACGAATTCTCACACTGTCTCCCGGCCTGGAGTGCAATGGTGTGATCTCAGCTCACTGCAACCTCCGCCTCCCAGGTTCAAGCAATTCTCCTGCCTCAGCCTCCCTAGTAGCTGGGATTATAGGTGCCTGCCACCACGCCCGGCTAATTTTTTATATTTTTTAGTAGAGATGGGGTTTCACTATGTTGGCCAGGCTGGTCTCAAACTCCTGACCTCGTGATCTGCCCGTCTCAGCCTCCCAAAGTGCTGGATTCCCAATTCTTACTTTCAATTATCAGACAAATGGGTCTGCAGGATAAGCAAGTCCTTATATACTGTCACTAGGTGATGGATAAGTGATTAAGAAAAATAGCTGAAAGTCTTAAAAAGAAAAAACTCTCATTGTGAGAAAACAATACTAAATATCTCAAAGCTCATTCCTGCATCATTCTGTATTAGAAAGAGGGAAAAGAGAATAATCCTTAGGCCAATAAGACCTTTCATTACAGATCATTATTTAGAGCACTCTATTGTTGTGATTATTATTTTTAAAAGGTAGAAATCAACTAGTCCAACTGCCACCACTCCTCCAATTTTAGATGACAATCTAAAATTGTCATCCAGAAGTGCAGTGTTTTAAACAACTGAAGGTTAGCTGCGTAAACATCAACAGGCTCTGGATTCAGACAATATCTCCTACCTCTTAATTTTGTATAATAGATAGCAAACATTTTGTGAAGTAAATTGGATTCTTAATGAGATTGAGATTTTAACCCAGTAAAATAAATATTGCAGAAAATAGGTAACTTGACATGCAAAAATAGCTAATATATGTGTTAAAGTGTGTTATTTGAGTAACTAATATTTCCCAATATGATTATTAAATTTAAGAAATCCGCTTTAGGTAATTCATTTTCTTTAAAAGGGAAAATATTTCTATTTGCTTTTATTTAAATAGAATGAACATATACACTTAGAAAATAAGCCAATTATTTTCTAATTTAGCATAATTTAAGAGAAAATTATTCCAATAAGATAATGGTCCCAACTGCATTGAGGGAAAAATTACTCAGATTCCTGGCTAGAGTGTAATTGGAAAAGGAAATGACTGCTACATGGCAGAAAGGGAGTGTTGCTAAACTCTGTTTTCCTGACTCACTGTGACAAAGACATCCTCAGCAAGATAGGAAAACCTGGACTGGCATTGTCTGCGCGAATTTCAGACATTGCCTTAAGATTTGTACATGTTTTAAAATATTGCCATTGCCTCACGATATCAGTGATAAGATTTCCCCTCAGAGTCTTTACACTTTGTTTTTTCTTACTATACCTAAAATAACGAGGGGCCATTAGAGTTTAAGGTTTCCTCCCATTTTCTACAATATTCATGAAGTCCAATAATTGAAAGTAAAACCAGGAAGAAAAAGTGTTCTTCAGGAAAAGCTGTCATCTCAATTGTCACCATCCAGTTCTCAGCAAGGGACTGATAGAGCTTTAGAATCTGGAGGTTGGGTTCAAGTCCTTTTTCATCAACGTGGGCAATTCAATTTGTTTACATCTCAGCTTTCTCATTTTTAATATAGCAAAAATAATATTTTGCTCACAGGTGGGCCAAGAATGTTAAATGAGATAATGAGGACGAAGGCTTTAAAAAATGTCATAAATTTATGGTGACAGAAGTAAGACCTCATATATAAATCTCTCTGTAAGCTTGAAAAGCTACTGCACAAATACAAGGTATTGCCATATTATTATTATGAACACTACTAATAAAAATAATAAATACGAATAAAAGCAAAAGAAAAAAAAATTTCTCCTAGGCTGAAATGCCCTAGAGAGTTAGCAAATTTATGGATCCGTTTTCTTCTTCCTGGAAGGGACTGGGGAATGACTGTCTGCCTATTTATGCAAACCAGGAGGAAGCCGGCAGAGAATCTCCTTCCTTCTTATTCTAGAGAAGTGACCCTTGTTCATGGCTCTTGGGGACTTGCGTAACCCATGCACCCTTGCACATCGGTCGTTGCTCAGTAGTGAGTTGATTTTAATAAAACGGTAGGTTTTCTACAGGAAATCCCCCCGCCCCTTTGCTTTTATTTGGATCCTCCGGGCTCGAGGACCCGGGCCCCGCCCACCTCCTCCCGCTGCAGCCGGTCCCGGGTCAGGTCGCGCTGCCTGTCGTCCTCTCTCTGCCTGTCGTCCTTTCTCTGCCTCTGATGCGGATCCTTCTCCCGCGTGCTGAGGAATCTTTCCGCGGCGTCCAGTTTCGTCTTCAGCTCTGCTACCTGAGGAGGTCGTTCAAAGACAGCTGCAGATACCTTCTCTGAAGCTCACAAGCCCCTGGATTTATTCCCAGGCTATGAACTTTGGCAGAAACGCCCCACCCCAGGACGTCCCCTAAGGAGAGGTTCTAGCTCCCACCGTCCCGAACACAGATCGGGATACTCGCGTTTCAAAGGGAGCTTGGCCTTGCACCAAAACAGCCTTCTTTTCTCCAAACCACCCAGCTCTTCCTTCTTTTCTCCAAACCACCCCTACTTCAGAGGGGATAAAAGACTTAGACCCCACCCAGGGGAATCTGTAGGTTTGTCATTCTATTCTCAACTCTCCAGGTGAGCCTAGCCTGGTCTGGAAAGGGCAATGAGGGGCAGCAGGTTAAGTAGCATATGCCTACACCAGAGAAAAACAGACATGGCCTTTAATTTATCAGTAATTTGCAGCACTTGACCTCCTACTAGGTGCCAAATCACTCTGATGACAGAGTGACAGGTCCTCAGAGTGGCCACAGTCCAGAGGGAGAATCTTAGAGATGGATGCATCTTCCAAGATGGAGATTATAGCCATCACTAACACTGTCTTCACACACCTGCAAGCCGTTCGAGAAAGCAGCTTAAGCATTCTCTCTGGGATCATCATCTTTAACATTTACAGATCCGGATTGCCCCAGCAGGGATATTGCAAGGCTGCCTGACCATTGCCTGGTGCAGCAGGAACATTATCCTGCACCTTCTAAATTCAATACTTCTGGGTAACAAAATGAGGAAGAAAGGAAAAATGCTGCTATATTACAATACTCATGGTCAAGTTTCTTAATACTGAATTATTTAGGGGAAAGTACTTGCTCTTTTTATCTCTTTTTGAAAATAGAATAATTTTAAATTATAAATTGTCTTTTATGTATTAAAGGAGGTTTTCTTCCAAAAGCCCCTTTCTCACCAGAGCTTCTTGAGAGCAAATATGCTTTAGATGGAAGAGGAGGTTGCTCCATTTTTACTCACATTTTCACTGTTACCACCATTTGTTTCTCTATTTGTGGAAAATAGGTCATGCTATCTAATTAAAGAATTAGGGCTAACCTGGCGTAAACAGTATGGACTTTAAACCATATCTCACCTCACATATAACTTTGTGTATTTGTGGCTTCTAGTGACAAAGGTAAGGCTGGGATACTCTGTGAGCCACGATAAATGTGCACAAGAACTCTTGAGACATCACTGGGGGCCATTTTTGCACCTTTCTTTAGCTATTGCTCAAGACAACTCACTGACACCGTTCATTAATTTTCAGTGCCATGAGACCAATACTACACTTAGCACCCTTCCCGTCATTTTCCAACAGTTGGCTATCCACAAAGCTCTTTGTAGCTGAAATGAATGAGACTCTTCACACAATTGGCCCCACCAGGATAATGGCTTTAAAGAAAATACCGAATAGAGAGAGGTATTTACCTTTCTTTCATATAACTCTTTCATACTTCTAAATTGCTGATCCCATTGCTGGTTAACTTCCAGGAGCTGAAATCATTAAAATTTGGTGAATCAACAAAGAATTTCTGCCCATTTGGAAGTTTGGTCAAAAAGAAATTACTTTCTGAGCTTATTAAGGTTTTAGAAGCCATGGATGAAGACAATATTTTTTTCCATCAAGTTCTGATTGTGCTGGGATGATTAAATTGAACACACTCTCACTGTTTATAACTGGTTCGTATATGAAAAACTACTGGCTGGGTCCGGTGGCTCACGCCTGTAATCCCACCACTCTGGGAGGCCATGGCAGGTGGGATCACTTGAGGTCAAGAGTTGGTGACCAGCCTGCCCAACATGGTGACATCCCGTCTCTACTAAAAATACAAAACTTAGCCGGACGTGGTGGCATGCACCTGCAGTCCCAGCTACTGGGGAGGCTGAGGCAGGAGAATCACTTGAACCCAGGAGGTGGAGGTTGCAGTGAGCCGAGATTGTGCCACTGCACTCCATCCTGGGCGACAGAGTGAGACTCCATCTCATGGAAAGAAAAGAAAAAAAAGAAAAGAAAAGAAAAGAAAAACCAGTAAGTCTCAGGTATATCTTGACAAGTCAGCTGAACAGTTTATCAGTAACTTTTAACTTTTTTTAGTTATTTGGATTTTCATTTTCTTTGTTTAATCCAACCACAATCTGATAAAAATTTGTAAGTATTGATGATTGTCTGTAAGATTTCTTAATGCATGGAGGTTCTTTTCCCAAACTTTTTCGTATTTTTCTTTGTGCTTACACTGATTATAATGAAATATTTTTTCCAGCTCTTTTAAAGCAGAATTTATGCTAACAAAGCCTAGGCTCCATTAACTGATCACGATTTTCTTGCAATAATGTGTTTTAAAAGATTAACACATGATTTATAATAAATACTCAACAAATAGGTAATATCACCATTTTGAAAATTTAGATTTTCAAGAAATTATAGTTTCGTCATAGGACAATATTTAGATGCATTTTAGGCTACAAATAATTTAAAGATCTTAAGACTATCTGCTAATTAGAAGGCAGAAGAAGTGCTATGATATGTGGTTGGCTTTTTGTTGGGGAAGTTTGTAGTTTTCTGCATTAAGAGAAATTCCAACGCTTATCTATAGGGAACAGACACTGAGAAGACAGTCATAATGACTAAAAAGTAGCAAAACTTTCTCCTAATTAAAAAGCAAACTACTGAATCCAGAGTGGCAGTTACTAGGTAACTCTTATGCTGAAAATACATATCATTATTTAGTATGAAACTGTATAATATTATTATATTGAGAGTTACTCTGTTGGCATTTTAGGGATTCCCATGTGTATACTATAGTAACATTACTCTGCCATCGTTCAATAATTTTCCAGAAGGTCACAATATTCTTCAAGTATCAAAGAAGAGTAGAAGGCACCATGCAAGAGAACATGAAAGATGTAGTACACAGAATGAATTAGAAAAGGAATTACAGGCTGGGCACGGTGGCTAACTCCTGTAATTCCAGCACTTTGGGAGGCTGAGGTGGGCAGATCACTTGAGGATAGGAGTTCTAGACCAGGCTGGCCAAAATGGCGAAACCCCATCTCTACTAAAGATACAAATATTAGCTGGGCATGGTCGTGCACGCCTGTAATCCCAGCTACTTGGGAGGCTGAGGCACAAGAATCACTTGAACCCTGGAGGCAGAGGCTGCAGTGAGCTGAGATCGTGCCACTGCACTCCAGCCTGGGTGACAGAGCAACACTGTCTCAAAAAAAAAAAAGAAGGAATTACAAAATTGACAATATACAGAGTGCTAAAATTGTTATACTTTTCACTACTTCCTCTGTCAAGAAGAGTAAAGAGGTTCTAACATTCATTAAGCTCAGAAAAATAAAATTCCAAATAATACCCATTAATTCCCAGGAACATTTTAGAAACAAACTTTATTTATGATAATGCTTTTTAACTCCCATGTGTTTGGATGCCCAGTTCATGAAGTCATAGCACCTAAATCAACTATACTTAAAGACTTTTCAAGTAACTCAAGAAACCTTGAGTTTCAAGGTGTGTCAAGTTGCAAGGCATAAAGGGTAAAGGTCATAAGGCACAAACGATAAAGGCATAAAGGATAAAGTAACTTGGTCTGTGTGGAGGAAACATCTAAGTTTTGAGAAAATTAGGATTATATTACCAGACTTATGACTTTGTCGTTTTTCATTCGTCACTGCACAGACACTGAGACAACAAGTATGAAACATACAGGTGAATAAGAAAGAAGGCGTTTGCTTTCAAAATAGTGCAGTCCAGTATCTTAAAGATAAATACTGTGACCTGATAACAAAAATAAAAGGCACAAGGATAATACATTATTTTATCCTCAGCATTAATCCATGGCACCTGTGGCTTTAGCGAATATTTCTAAGTTACCTCTTTTCTTTGTTTTTCCAAACACCTTATCTTTTGTTCAAGAGAATTCATCAAGTTCTTTCTTGTTGATGGTTCAGCACACTTAGAAAAAAAAAAAGAGAGAAGATTGAAACAAAGCTGTTTACAAAATAAACAGAAGTACTGTTCCTCAGAAACCCCATGCATTTGGCCAACTCTCCTGTTGCGATTTAAAAAATACCTGATTCTAGCAGTAATAATCCTCATACCCTAAGTCCTTCATCATGGCTGGTGGATGAGTCAGCTTCATATTATGTTTTAGAATGCTTTACATAAATTAGTTACCAATATAATTCTTTAATAAATTATAAATATATCTGTATACTATAACGGGTAAGTCAGAGATTAAAATTTTATGAATTTGGATTTCAATCCTTTTCCAAAAAAATGACAATTCAGAAATCAGGTAAGTTTCATGGATATATTTTAGGTATTTTTATAGTAAACATTTCATAAAAGTCATTTTGGTAGCTGTGCCCATGAACATGTATGTGAGTAATATTCTGAAAAGTAGACCCAGTAAACGTCAGAGGAACGACAAAATCATCGAGAAAAAGACAAACACATACAGCCATTACTGTGTAATTACTGTGTAATTTTAGCCAGCTCTTTGAATAAAGTCACTAGGTTACTAGTTTAGATTAATAATAAATTACTGGCATAATGAAAATTTACCACCTTTCTTTTCAGTTATTTTTTTCAGGAGTGAGAGTATTCATTTAAAGATAACACAAAAGCTGTGGAAGCTGTCTGCCATCTGCCTAAATCGACTAAGAACAATATTTACTTAAATAAAGGACTGGATCCTCTATAATAATTCAATAGTCTTATTACTATCTCATCTCAGAGTCATATAAGTAATACAATTTATTGGATGATGAGAGTAATTCCTACATCTGTAATCTGTTTCAGGCTTAATAGTTACTGTGGATCACTAAGTTGCTTAAAGCTATTTGTGAACCATTAAGAAATATTTTCAAAACATGTTGTTGGTCTTTGCCAGAAATGTGTACAGGAAATTGTTCTTTGCAATCATCATGGGATTTCAAGCACCTTTTTTCATCAGAAATTATTTATAAAACTGTATTTTCTATCTTTTCTCTGTTTGTTTATGTTTCAGCATTTTAGGGTTTGATGGTATTTTAAGTAAGCAGAGATGTTCTCGTTTCCTTAGCTTCTTCCTATTTAGACCTATGTTACAATTAAGACCACATTTAAAAAGAGACAGTCTTCTGTGGGTCAATAAATTCTGAATGATTATATTTGCTCTTGACCTCAAGAAGGTGTTCTGGCTGAGCACCAAGAGTGACACTGAAACCCAAGTGTCAAGTATGTTGGGGCCCGTAATTGGACCTTCTTCTTTTGGGGAAGACTTCCAAGAAACTGGACCCATTCTGGGTTAGAACAGACTAACTATTAAGCATCTTTGATCTGGAAAATGCTGTGAGCCAACCCTACTTAGTGTATCTTGAGGTCATCAGCAAAGTAGGGGCACAGTAAGACTGGATTTTAGAATGGTGGTTCCCACCACAAGAGCACATCAAAGTCACCGTTAAGCTTGCTAAACATAGAGCATCCTGAACAATGGATCAGAATTTCTAGAAGAGCAGCCAGGGCACCTCTATTTCTAATACATTTCCTAGGTAATTTTGATTCATACTAAAGTTCAATATATTCCCATTCTAGGGAATAAATTATGGGTCCTCAAAAATGTCTCCTCTCTGTTTGTGATGTAGACAAAAATCCGTGATTGGCAAACATTTGTATGTCCCTGCCTTTGGGAGCCCAGATGTGGAACAATGAGACAGTGTGCTTTTTGTTTGTTTCCCCATAAACAATTTTCTCTGGAAGAAAATTATAATACATTTCACCCTTGATTTTTCTTTAATAAATAAAAATTACTGAAAATCTAGATACCAAATCTGCAAGAGGCTCTATTTGTAACTGCACGAGTACTAGTTTTTGAAATTCATAAGTAATATTCAGTTATAGGTGGGGGAGGATAGGAGGGAGGAAAAATAGAAAACATAGTGACTAGGAATGGCATGTAAGTCACAAATGTATCACCAAAGCTTTCTCTGGAGATTAATCAACATTTTGTTATAGTTCATATGTCTCAGGTTTCTATAAAATAAAGCGAAATTAATCAAATACAAAGGTTTGGGGGACCTTTTCAATTTGTATTTACTTTGCTTTACAGTTGCTAATGAAGGCATCTGATTTGCAGTAACTACAAAGATTTTCAGTCATTGATTCTAGCAAGGGCTGCTTACGGAACAGTTATTCCCTATACATAATTTCCTATAATTATTCCCTATAAAGTAGAATTTCTGTTCAAAGCATCTGGGCACTTCTTTCTCTATGATAACATCCTTACCAATGTATATTCAAGGTCTGATGCTACTAAATTAAAAACTTAAATGAATAGAAGTTTCCATTTAGTTTCCCATTATACCTTGGTTATCTGTAAAAGAAAACTAGAAAATATTTGAATTCATTCATTCAATTAGCAGTAGTCTCTGTTGCTGAACAAAATCTATGGTACCAATTGTAAATATATAAAAATATTACTACAGATACTCTATTGTTACAATATGTTCTATTTCTACCTACACCAATATAGTATTCTTTTAAGATTTTTATAGAACAAAAATCAAGAACAAAATAAGGAACCCACAGAACTGGAAGGCTGAAAGGAATTTAAGCCCCGTGGGTTAAAAGCAATGTACTGGTTACTTAGATATTTTTTTCTATGTTACATAATTTTGGTTAAAAATATAGAGCAAATCTTAGCTAAAGAAAGCAAACTAGCCATTTCTGTTCTTATTAATAAGTGCACAATTAACCACTAGAAATGCCATCAATGCTAGATGTGATCAACTCATCTCCTAGAAATATGTTCTTACCTCTTTATGCTCCGTAGAACTTTCTGCGGCAATCATTCTAGATGTGCCCTGTACAAAATGTGCCATGGAAGCTGTTTTTCCTGGAGTCTTGGAAAGCAGAAAGAAAAACAGGGGAAAAGTCTCTTAAGGTATATTTTAGGGTGAGAGCAAGTATACAAAATTTAAAAAACACACATCACCGTTAACTCATAATAGAAAATAACAGCAATAGGTTTTCATTAAAAATGAACAGAAGTGACTGTGGATAGGAATTACACAGAATAAAGTTATAAGCACTGCAACTGGGATTTTAACTTTTCTTCTCTTCCAAATAGGGATTTCCCAGGATGTCTCAAATAGGCAGGCCGTGACTAAGACCTGGGGCAGATTAGCCTTGCTATAGTATGTAAATCGTCATTCTTCCTTTACTGGCAGTTTCTCCCACTGGAGGAGGAAGTTCTCCACCACAGAAAGCCTGGGCAATCCAAGTGTTTCCTCAGTAGCCTAACTGTTATAAATTCATTGTATTTCCCAGAGCAATTAGGTAACTGTTGACTTTTTGACAGCTCGGTTTCCCTAAAGGCGAGATTTTCTGGCAATACCTTCTAAATGTGAGTGTAGCTTGGTAGAACTTAATGAGTCATACATAATTCATAATACATAATAATATAAGTGCCACTAATTCTTATAGAAATAAAAGGGAAAATAATTCATTGTAAAGAAAATGGGCATTGTTTGCAAATCTAATCTTCTATATTGGCAGAAAGGTTAAACTTGTCTCAAGTTTAAGTCTGTCTTTTCTATAAATCAAGTCCAGATTGTCTCCATGACTCATTTGAAGTGAAATCTTCTCATGGAGAATCATTTTCACTTTAATTATTTGACTGTTATCATTTTAGGAGCCTTGAGGTAATGGAGCACTACTGGGTAGTACAGATAAAAGCGTGGAAATGGCAGATACTTGGAGCTGCATAAGTGAACTGCGATGGAACAGAAGACCTCATTTTGGACTTGGAACAAAAGGAAAGAGGCAAGGAATACAAAAAAGGAAAGAATGTGTAACTAAAAAGAGAAAAGAATTTATGGTCAATCATTTAACTTCATTAACCTGCCTACGAGATATTCACATATATATAGGATAAAGCCTAAAACTCCTAAAATTCAAAAGAGAGTGATTGAGTGTCCCACATTTGGCCCTCCCATTTCTCCTGAATATCTCCCCCTACTCTCCAACTCTCCCCTGTGCTCCAACCATCCTGACTGACCTCCCTTTCCTGAAATGAGTGAGATGGTTCTACGCCCCTGAGCTCTGTGCATGCTGTTCTTGCCACCTCAGATGTCTCCTCTCTGGGCCCTCCATCCAACCTTATGACGGGGAAAACCTAAGTCAATGCCTCTCTTTCCTTCTGATCTTCTCTTGACTTCCTCTAATCAGCTAAGGAGAGCACTTCATCATGCATTACGATTACATATTTCCATGTTCTTGTGTTAATCTCTGTGTCCACGCACCCAGGCACTGAGCTGTCTGGCACACAGCAGGCATTCAACACATTTTGCTACATGAATAAATGAATGAATATCTATATAATGATTTACAAAATCGATGAACTTTTTGCTAGTTTGTGTGTGTGTGTGTGTGTGTGTGTGTGTGTGTTTACTTTCTTCTGGTTTCTTGTTATGTTTGGGTCTACGCTTGAGTGAAAGGGAGTGACGCTGCTTTAAGGCAAAATCCAAAAATACAGGTAGGAATCAAATTGTTCATTCAGGGTTCTGAAAGTAAAAAGTTATAACTCACATAAGATCTGACTTTAGGGTACAGAAGCAGCGATTTCCTGAACTGACACTTTATCAACACTAAAATCTGCTCATCAGAAAAGAAAAAGAAAACTCTATTGTAAGAATATTTTTCTTCTGAAACATACCATGCACATACACACTCCATAGTTTTATATAGTGTAAGGTTCTCTTCAGCTTTAACTTTGTATTTGTATAGGGATGTGGTAACATTGACCTAGAAAAGTGGGTGGGAAGAACATTTTCTTGCCAGGAAATACCATCCTTGGCATTGTGCCTCTTGAGTCTCCCCTGTAAAATATCCTGATGCACATACATTGTTAGGTGTGATGGCTTCTATTAAATGGAAATTCTATACCTTTGCTTCTTTCTTTACAATTCCTTTGCCTCTTCTGTTATGCAGATAAACAACAAACAGATTTTCTATTAGCTCAAGAGAGCCATATGGTTATTTATGAATAAGTAATAACTCTTCTGAAGAGCCACAAGTTTGGTTTCAGAAAAATGAGACTTTCAATATGCCATCCCTAAGAATTAATTGGGTCTTTTCTGTTACATATGCTCTGTTCACTTCACCTCCATCCCTCTCACATTGTGCCACATATTTTAAGAGTCTGGCTTTTAGTCAAGCTTTGTTTCATGAGAAGTATCACTAGCTGAAATCACTTTCAGAGAAACAGAGGTGTCATTCCATGTTTCCAAGGCTGTTGTGAAGAGTCTTCATTTCTGAAGTCACTAAAATATTATACAGAGGAAAGAAAATTAAAATTAACAAAGGGAAATGTGGTAAAGGAACAAGGACTACCAGTCACTGGTCTATAACCATCATTCTGGTGGACAATAATTATCTTAAAATTAGTCCAAGAGGAGAGTACTATATTTCTATAAGTTATTGGAGGCATTCTTTGGCAGGTAAAAGAAACATGCCTTTTTCCTTTTTATGCTTTTACAATGGGAGCTGAAAAACCTTCTTTGTTTCCTGAATCTATTTGCATGAATTTTTAAGTGTATGTGCTATGTAGGTAGGAAAGAGAGGATTAGTAATGACTAAAAGATCTAGCTCTAGAATTAGATTATCTGGACTCACAGCTTGGCTCTGCCACTCACTGCTTGTGCCTTTGGTCATCTAAGATGCTTAAGGTCTCTAAGGCTCAATTTCCATTTTATACAATGGGATAGTAATAGTATCCTTCTCCTAGGGTTGCTATCTGAGCTTATATAGTAATAACAATTTGGTTTTAAAGATAGGACCATCAATCAAATTATTTATGAAACAAATAACATGACAAAAGGAAAGGGAAATCCACAATTTATGCATCACTCACCCTGTACTTGACATTGTGTGGGTTCCAAAGGAAAACAAAAGCAAAAATTCCCTGCTTATGATGAAATGTACACACACATACATATGTGTGTGTGGCTGTGTGTATGTCAATATATATATATTTGAAAAACTAAACAGTAAATGAAGACCAGGAAATGAATGATAGAGACAATAAAGCCTGTAAGAATTCAGAGGAGAGAGTGCTCATTATCACCTTTAATAGCTATGGAAAGAGTCAGAGTTTCTGCTGGGCCTTGAAGGGTAGATAGGATTTTGACAGAGAGTGAAAGCTGAGCTATAAATGCTGCAAAGGGAGCACAGTAAGAAACAGAACACAACTGGGCAAGCCTAGTTATGAAGGATTCTGACAAATCCAGTTTACCTAGAGTAGGGTCCGTGTGGTATTTTCAAAGTTTATTTGGATGAAATCATAAAAGATTTTAATTTCAGATTAAGAAATGTTGACCTTATAGGCCATATGGAGTTACTAAAGACCTTTGGGCAAAGGAATTACATGATCAAAGTGGTTTTTTAATTGGTTTTAGTTCATCATGTATTAAATGGGAGAGATTGGAAACTGCAATGCAGTTAATATACATTAGCAAAAGTAATATTCAAAATATTTATTTTAACAGCTTGTGACAATCAGAATATTTAGCACTCAGTTCACCAGGGGCACTAGGAATGGACCATATCCCTGGACTCGAGACTCCTGTATTAATTGCTTAATTGTCATCTCTGCTTGTATGCATAATAGTTACCTCCTTCTTCACCTGACCTGTTTGATCAGGATAGCTTAGTTTATGATTTTCCCTGCAAAACTTGCCTTCCCTGTTACAATTAATAACACCTTTTATTCTCCAGATCAAAAATCTTGGAGTCATCCTTGACTCTTCTTTCTCTTACATCCTGCATCCAATCTATCTGAACATTTTGTAGGCTTTTTGAAAATATATCCAGACAGGGGAGGAGCACATTGCCACAAAAGCCTAGAGACTTCTCAGTTTAATAAGCAAGTGGCAAGGTGAAATAAACTTACCATTTTTTCTTTCTTTTTTCTTTTTTTTTGAGACAGAGTCTCGCTCTGTCACCCAGGCTGGAGTGCAGTGGCACAATCTCGCCTCACTGCAACCTCCGCCTCGTGGGTTCAAGCAATTCTCCTGCCTCAGCCTCCCAAGTAGCAGGGATTACAGGCATGCACCACCATGCCTGGCTAATTTTTTTTGTAGAGACAGGGTTTCACCATATTGGCCAGGCTGTTCTCGAACTTCTGACCTTGTGATCCACCCGCCTCGGCCTCCCAAAGTGCTGGGATTACAGGCATAAGCCAACATGCCCAGCCTTTTTCTTTTTTCTTTTCTTTGCTTTTTTTTTTTTTTTAAGAGACAGAGTTATGTTCTGTAGTACAGGCTGGAGTGCAGTGGTACAATCATAGCTCATTGTAACCTCCAACTCCTGGGGTCAAGCAATCCAGCTGCCTCAGCCTCTTGAGTAGCTACAGGTGTGTACAACCACATCTGGCTATTTTTATCTTTTAAATTTTTGTAGAGATGTGGTCTCACTATATTGCCCACACTGGTCTTGAACTCGTGGCTTTGAATGATCCTCCCACCACAGCTTCTCAAAAAAAATGCCTTTTAATAACTTTTTCAAAATGAGGACTTTAATATTTGCTTCCTGATTTTATTCATAGGAACATTTTTAAGAGCGTGTCCAGCAGTGACTGATCTCTGACTGTGTGTCAAACCTAGTTCCACCACTTGCTAGTTATGTGACCTTGGGCAAGATGATTGGCATTTTTGCATGACACCAACTCACCATCATCTCTTAGCTGGATTACTGCAATAACCTAAGGGTTTTCCTGCTTCTATTTTTGCTTCCACTCCCCCCTCCCCATTATTAACACAGTGGCCACTGTGAGACTTTTAAAATGTCATTTCATGTCATTCCACTGCTCAGAACCTTTCAGTGGCTTCCCATGTCACTCATAGTGAAAGCAGAACTCTTTATAGTGGCAAGGTCCTGCACAATCTAGCCCAGGCCTCTCTGACCTCATTCTTGGTATCCTTCCGTTAGTCCATTCTGCGCCATGCCCTGGCCACACCGTTGCCCCTTGAACTTGTTCTCTCTTGCCTCGAACTGTCTTTTCCCTAGATCTCCACATGGTACATCCCCTCACCTTTGTCAGGTAATGGTGTAAGTGACATCTGTTTATTGAGTCTTTACTTGGCCTCCCAATTTAAAATTGCTCTCCACCCCAGCACTTTCCATTCACCTTTCCTGCTTTATTTTTCCATAACACTAAATTTTTTTCTTCTTTTTGTTGATTGCCTCCCGACACTAGCTTGTAAACTCCATGATAGCAACTTTTGTGTGTTGTGTTCACTCTGTGTTTCTCGAGCCCAAAGTAGTGCCATTTTAGTGCCTGTGCGTGTTCATGTGGGACTCACACATACAAATTGCCTTCCTTACCCCAAAACAAATGTATGATGCTCCCAAATCATACATCTTCTCAAGAGATTAAATGGGATCTAAAGATCAGAAACTTCAACTTTTTGGCTTCCAACTAGTAAATCACCTCTCTTTGATCCCCCAAACCTGGTTTTGAACTAGGAGAATCGGGGAATGGGGTGTCACAGATTCCATAGCCTCTTAGAGGATATTCACTTGTGTCCCGCCTGGTTGGAACTCTGAAACAATGCTTCTATGCGATATAGCGAGGTTGTTTGCAGTCTGTCTTGATTATATACTTTTAGTTTTTAGGGCACATCAGATACATTAGAAGGCAAATTGGCTTTTGTTGACGAGTCTGCAGCCTCTACAAAACTGCAGACTTCGTGAAATCCATGTTTAAAGATTTCTGAGTGCCCACAAAGCAGTAAACAATCTGACCCACCTTGACCATCAGTTCCTCTGTGAAGTCTCCCCTGGTCTTCCAGAGTGGAGTTAGCTACTTCCTTCTTTATGATCTCATGGTGCTTTGTGAAGCATCAACTCTAGCACTTATTGTAAAGCAGTTGTTAATTCGATGTACCTTTCTCCTCTGAGATGCTATAAGCTTCTTGAAGATGAGGTCGATATTTATCACTTTAGCCTTAGGAACTACCACAGTACCTTCAAGGTACAGAGTATTACAATACATTTTTATTGAATGAGTCCGTTTATGTATGAATCTATAGTACAAAATCATAGCACACCCCTGCTTTTCAGAACACAGTCCAGAACACACAATGACCACGGGGATACACAAAGTTATAGGCTTTGCCTCCAAACCAGAAATGATCAGGTAGGACTGTGAACACACGTTTAAAGAGCTGGCCTGTTTCCGTGTATTTTCTTTTTATTCATTTTATAGGCAAATATTTTACTTCATCCTATTTTGGTTACATGGTCAATAGTCTTTAGCCTTCATACAAATGCCTCTTAAAATTTTTTACTTGATTTTGATTAATATTTAATAAATAAATAATATAAATAATTAGATATGCTATGGGAAAATTTTTTAAAGGCAGAACTGTTGTCTTTAATAATACTTTCTACATTTTCATGGTGCTTTCTAAGATCTTATAAGTTAATATATTGAAGTATTAACTGATGATCCCCCAAAACACACACTATTCTTTTGTTTTATGTAGCTAATTCTTTCTTTGCTCGGTAAGAGATATCTTTTTTTTTTAAAGAAGGAATCTTGCTCTGTCGCTCAAGCTGGAGTGCAGTAGCATGATCTCAGCTCACTGCAATCTCTGCCTCCCGGGTTCAAGAAATTCTCCTGCCTTCGCCTCCCGAGTAGCTGGGATTACAGGTACCTGCCACCATGCCCTGCTAATTTTTGTACTTTTAGTAGAGTTGGGGTTTCATCATGTTGGCTAGGCTGGTCTCAAACTCTTGACCTCAGGTGATCTGCCCATCTCGGTCTCCCAAAGTGCTGAGATCACAGGCGTGAGCCACCATGCCTTGCCAGTAAGGGATATCTTTTGTCAGATTAAGTTTGTCATAGAATAAAAAGAGGAGAACAGCCCCTGTTTGGCCTTTGCATTTCAAAATAGACTCTCCAAACTCTAGACACCATCTGGAGAATCAAACCTTTGAATTTCAAGAGCTAGTGTTTTCAAAACAATTTTTAAAGATTTTAGGCTAATTTATTTTGTGCAATTTATTTTGAAATGCCTCAAAAAGTTACATGAGTTGATGGATTAAAAGAGGGGTGGATAGATGGATGAATAGATGGTGAACAAGTAGAGTAAAATGTTCATGTTCATGGCAGAATTTTGATGGTGGGTATATGTGTATACCATACAATTCTTTCAACTTTCCTACATGTTTGAAATGTTCATGATAAAATGTTAGGGGAAAAGTCTGAATCAAGGCATAAAAACTTATACCAAGAATAACCAATAAAACAAATTAGTAGATGAAGAGTCAGTGTAACCTGTCCTTACCACTTTCACCATCTGCCCCAGAAGAGAAAGGTTTCATGCCTCAGGAAAATGAAAATGATTCAGGCAAAAAGAGTACTGCCTGGATGTTTCTCAGTTCTCATGAGGAAATGGAGCCCTACTCCCCTACTTTTTGTTTTGTTTTGTTTTGTTTTTGAGATGGAGTCTCACACTGTCACCCAGGCTGGAGTGCAGTGATGCGATCTTGGCTCACCGCAACCTCTGCCTCCTGGGTTCAAGCGATCCTCCTGCCTCAGCCTCCCAAGTAGTTGGGACTACAGGCATGAACCACCACGCCTGGCTAATTTTTTTGTATTTTTAGTAGAGATGGGGTTTCACCATGTTGGTCAGGCTTGTCTTGAACTTCTGACCTCAAATGATCCACCTGCCTCAGCCTCCCAAAGTTCTGGGATTACAGGCATGAGCCACCACACCTGGCCCCTATTCCCCTACTTCTAGGTACTCATCTGTCATCTTCCAAATTGCTTACATTGAACATCAAAGAGCAGAGTCAGCTCCAGCCTTACTCACTGGGTTAAGTCCAGGGAAGGTACAAGCCTTGAAGAGAATTTCTCCACACCACCATGGTACACGGCTGTGACATGCATGGCCTTATGACTTGTCTAAGTAGAGAGGTCCTGAGACAACTCAACCTTAGAGTGGTGTGGAAGCAGAGCCAGAGATTTCCTATGTTCCTGGGAAGGATGAAAGAGTGGTTAACTGAGGGTTTGAGGAGGCCTCAGAGTCAAATTGAGGAGGATGTAGTGTTTACCACATGACCCTAAGGACTAGAGATGTGCTGAGTGACCTGGAAGCTTTAGTGATTGCCAGTGAGGATACAGGCCAATGAAAAAACCCGTAAGAGATAGACTACATCAGTGCCAATGGCAGTGTCAGATGGGGGATCACTGTAACCCTGATGTCTCCACCCCAAAGTTGCCAGAAAAATACAAAATATCCAGTCAAATTTGAATTTCAGATAGACAACAATTTTTTGTATGTTTGTCTCATACAATATTCTGCCGTTTATCTGAAATTTAAACTTAGGTGGACATCCTATATTTCTATATGCTACATCTGGCAACTCTATTTCACCCAGATTATTTCACAAAATCTGTTCCACAAATCCCTAGGTACCATTATGTGTAGGGACAGGGGATAATTCTTGCATACCACTGCACAGAAAATATAAATTGCCTGAGAAAACACTGAAGTGACTGAAATTTTCTGCGGTCAATTAGATAAATTATTTTCCAAAGGACAAGCTAGAGGTCCTAGAATGGAACTAAATTTAGTTAAGAAAACAAAGAAAATTACTATTTTGTACTAAGGAGCTATGTGGTTTAAAATACTTTATTTGCTTCAATCTGAACTTCATAACAGCCCCGTAAGAAGAGGCAGCTTTAATGCTAATGAGGACAAAGTTGAATTTAGAGATGGCAAATGACTTGCTCACAATTATGATGTGACAAGTGGGTGGCTGAACCCATATCAGAGCTCATTTAGTCTTCCTGGTTTACTTCCCCCAAAGAACCTTTTATCTGTGTGGGT
The DNA here is from genome assembly GCF_000001405.40 of Homo sapiens. Lineage (NCBI taxonomy): Eukaryota > Metazoa > Chordata > Mammalia > Primates > Hominidae > Homo > Homo sapiens. The sequence goes on from NC_000004.12 coordinate 121,173,144, forward strand.
AGACGTAAATAACACACCTAAAAATTGTAGCAGGAGACATCATTTACCAATGATGGAAAAGCATCGCAGGAGCCTAAGTCATTAGGAATATGATTCAGGGAAGTTTTATGGGAATTAAGCGTTTTTGAGGGATAGATATGAGGTGGCTTGACCTTTGACGTTGTATCCAAACAAAATCTTAACAAATTCCCACCATGGCATGCCTAGAGATTAATTTGCATTTCCAAAATAGAAATTAGTGGTCAGAAAAGAGAAATTCAGTCTTTAAAAACTGTAGTAGTCAGAAGAGAGAAAATTCAGCCTTCAAAAACTATAGTGGTTAGAAAAGAGAAATTCAGCCTTTTAAAACTGTAATCTGTGTTTGAGTTTTTTTTTAAAAATTATTTTCTCTGGAAGGAAATTAGCTGCTGATCATTTTATAGCAATGCAGATCACTCTGTTTTTCTCTTGTACTTTGCTCATGTGTTGACTTCACCTTCATTCATGTATGCACTTTTTTCTTTGAGATGGAATCTGGCTCTGTTGCCCAGGCTGGAGCGCAATGGTGAGAACTTGGCTCACTGAAACCTCTGCCTCCCGAGTTCAAGCAATTCTCCTGTCTCAGCTTCCCGAGCAGCTGGGGTTACAGGTGTGTGTCACCATGCCCAGCTAATTTTTTTGTAATTTTAGTAGAGGTGGAGCTTCACCATGTTGGCCAAGCTGGTCTCAAACTCCTGACCACAAGTGATCCACCTGCCTCGGCCTCCCAAAGTGCTGGGATTACAGGCGTGAGCCATTGCACCTGACCAATGTATGCATTCTTGTATTAAATACTTATTGATTATTGTCTGTGGACCAAGTATTGTGCTAAGTACTAGAATATGAAGATGAGCAAAAGGCACATCTCAGTTGTGTTTTCTGTTTTCTGAATATAAAATCTCAACATTAGAGGGGACCACTCCATTGATGATGGAATCTTTTCTGCATCATTCCTGCCAAGGGGTTGTCCAGATTAGCTTGGATACTTCAGGTGAAAGAGAACTACCTTCTTCCTGAGGCAATATATTTCAACACCGTATCTATAGATTTAGACACTATTTTTAAATACCAAAAGTTATAATTATAAAAATTAAGAGACTAGGCATGGTGGCTGACACCTATAATCCGACCACTTTGGGAGGCTGAGACTGGGGAATCGTGTGAGCCCAAAATGTTGAGGTTATAGTGAGCCATGATTGCACCACCATACTCCAGCCTGAGTGACAGAGCGAGACCCTGTCTCTAAAATAATAATAATAATAAACAAAATAAAAAAAATAAGAAAGAACATGTGCATATAAAGATGATGTAGGTATATGGAAAGGCTATGGTGAGGACTCAAAACATGGGTGATACAAGGAACACATACCAGAAGTGTTTTGTCTGAAAATAAGCCTGACTCAAAAAAATCTCCCAATATGCTAGCCTAAAAAATTGCAAACATTTGCTAAGTCGGTTTTAATGACAAACGTTTATTTTAAAAAGAAATCAGAATAGCTATCTTCCTCACTGGAAAAAAAAAAGGAATAATTGATCTTTTTTTTGCTACTTATTCTAGAGTCCCATAAGAAAACATATTTACATACTTTGTGAGTTATGCCTCACTCTCCCCACAAGTACAAAATAAAGTAAAAAGTGTTTTTATTACATTTCATCTAGAAGGTGGACATGAGAATGACACGAACATTCTTCAGCAAGAGCTTACAGTGTCCATTTTGCTGGTACTGTTCCCATACCCATTCAAAAATATTTTCAATCAAACTAGAAACAAGAAGGCTTACTTGAGAAAGAAGGCTTATTGATGCATTAGATTCCAAAACCCAGCTTGGGTTGAGATGTCCCTAGGAGACATCCACATCCTGTCACAAAGTTAAATAGATCAAGAATATAATGAACACATTTGCTAAACAACTCTTATGAACATGTTATTTATGGTACCTCTCAAGCCCAATATTTTGCTTCCTTAACATTGTCATGAGTTTACATATTTCTTAACCCACAGGCTTATGCTGTTCTTCTTCTTACATTAAAAGGAATACCTATCCAAAACTTCTTCAGATTTACTTGCTGAAGTCATGCAAGTCTGGAAGAAGACAAAGGTGGAGTGATAATTCCAAAAGTAAGGATAATACCTTTGGCTTTAAGTGTCCATTCAGTAGAAACCCTGAGACCTCAAGTTCTTTTTCTTCTCTTTGTAGGGTTCTAGGAAGACTTATATTCTTCTAATTAACATTTATAATTTCCACACAGATGCCACTTTTCACTTCAAGTCTTGGTTGCTTCCCCCACCAAGCCTCCCAGTGTTGTCGTCTGCTCCCTTGCCCACCCCATTGACCCAAATTGGAGCAGCCAGGACTGCTGTGTTCACTAAGGCAGAGAGAATCCTCTTCTACCTACTGCTTACATCTTCCAAAAGACAATCTGCATCTCCCAGTTTTCTGTAACTCTTTCTTTTGTGGAACATGGGACAAATTCTCCCAGTGATAGAACAGATGACTTCTGAGTAAATAGAAAGCATCCTACTCAAAAGTGTGTCTTATTTATCAACAAGAATGGAGCCTCAGTTTATATTCCCCCCTTGCACCACTTCTGTCCTGTGTAGAAATTTCTGCCCAATAGGTGGGTGGCTTTCAAAAGTTAGGGAAATATTTTCTCTCCTTTAATTTTTATGAGTTTTAATTATTTTGTGTTAGGATCCAATTTTAGTTCACAGACCTATGTCTCTGTTTTCCTGGGTTGTCTGGTGGTGTACTTTATTAGAAAATAGAGTTCAAGCTGGGCATATGCAGTCAGATCTCCTTATCTGGATGTATGCCTGATATTCATGTAGAGTGGAATCCTTTAAAAATCCTCGTAATGAATGGAAGGAGAAATATGTCATAAATTAACCATGGGATCAAATTAACTCTATGGTGATATTTTGGGAAATACAACCTGGCCTATTTATCCACTAATCTGTTTAATTTAGAGGGCTTATAATACTTTCAGAATCAGAATAGCCAAGCTTTACAGATAAAAGAAAGATGCATGGCTCATTTAAATAACTTCACCCATGTTGCCAGTAATGAGCGTCAAATGCCATAAGGTGCAGCGGCTGAGCTGACAGGCTCCTCACTGCCTGAGAACATGCAGGCAGAGCTTTTCAGCCAGGTGTCCAAAGGTTTCCCAGTGAAAGCTAAACAGATCCTCACACAACAATGCAACTTTTTTTTTTCTAGCAGAAAAAAATAGATCAAAACATTCCACAGCTACAACCTTTGAAATTAGATAATGAGATTCAAAGAGGAAGTCAGTTATTGTATGAGAAAACCATTAAAGAAAATTTTGAGGCTCAAGCTCATCCTACTAGCATTATGATGATGATGATGATGATGATGATGATGATGATGATGATAGTGTTGTGTTGGTTTAGCACTTTATATTTACAGGGTGCACTTTCTCTCACTTTGTATAATTATCACAACCCATTGTACAGATAAGAAAACAAGATTTTGATTAAAAAAAAAACAGCTTTCAAAAAAAGGGAAATAAGAAAAGGAAAGCCAGATTTTTTTTTTTCCTACAGTGTGGTTACAGAAAACATGTGTCAATTTACGGTAGTTTGCAAGAAGTTTTTCCCTCACAATCTTGTGAAGTGTCATAAGTATATATTAATCTCTGAACCAACCAAAGAAATTTCTCAAGGCTTTTTACCTTGGGAAGAGTGTCCAGGTCTAGAACTTGTCCCCAGCCACTGGGAGTTCCTCCCTTAACTTGTATCAAAAGTCATTAAAAGCCCATTTCTAGTTCTGCCTCTAAGTTAAAATCAGAAGCAATGGAATCCAAAGACAGGTTGGAGATTTTAGGTAAATTCAATTCTGGCAGGTCTGCTTAAAATTTGGGCATTTTCCCTTTCACTCCCAGGTTTCATCCTTGTTTTCAAGCATTATTGGAACCATATTTGTTTATCCAAGAAATACATTTCAAGCATCCTGTCCCTTTCTTTTATATTTGAAGATACATGACTGCAGATTCATATATTATTTTCATAATTTTCTCATAGTACTTGGACTATAACTTGGTTATATATAACTTTCATTTAACATTCATTTTGGAATCTTAATATCATTCTCACTTAGGCAATTATTTTTCCTTTGCCTACAAGATTTTAAATGACCTTTGGTCACTAACTTTCTACTTCTTCAACTCTCCCAGAATATAAAAGCACACTTTCATGCTCATGGAGTTCCTCATGTTCATCAATAGTGGTTTTCTGTTTCCTCAAAGCAGTGAGTCAGTCTGTTCATTTCTCTTATAGTAATTCTTCTTTTCATATTCTTGGCAATAGTAGTTGAACAAAAAGGGAACTTGACATATATCTCAGGCTCTTTCACTAAATAATATCTGTTTTATTCAGTCACACCCTTCACATCCCATAAAGTCATAAAGAAACCAATTTCCTGCTCCTGGAAAGGGAATCTACCTTATTGTTCTTAGGCTAACTTCATTCAGTGTGAAAACAAGAGAAGCCTTCACTCCCTGTCATTGGCTCACGCTTGTGTTAACCAAATAGAAATTTTCTTATATTTTTTCCCTTTCTATCAATATCTCAGCAAAAATGTGAAGGTCTTTGTTTTGTTTTAAATATAGGGTTTCTTTCTGCAGAATGCTATTGTGTAAATAGTAGCTCAGCAGGGATTCCACCTGGAAACTAAACCATGTTTACTCAAAGAATCAAATATTTGAAATACCTGCAGAGGACAATTGAGGAGGATATGCCAGTGGTCTATTGGGATAAAGAATGGAGACTCCTGGGGGCTGTTCTAGGAGAATTTACCCGGGGGAGAGAATCAAGTAACAGTGGCTTGATCCAAGTGTGGTGCTTTTAGCTCAAAGAGGAGGAGTTAGTCTGATGACAGTATCGTTCCTGACACCAGCTGGAGCTCTGCTCTAGTCTTCAAATAACTCTGAGGTGAGGGAGGGAAAATTAAAAGTAGAAAGTACAGGGCAATTGTTTTCATTAGACATATTTGAGTTTAGGTCCAGAATCTAAATCCCATTAGCTGTACAATCATGAGAAAATTGTTTAGCTGCATTGAACTCCAGTTTCCCCATCTGTAGAGGGGTAAAGATGAAATGAGCTAATGAATAGAAATACTTTGCAAAAATGCTGGCCAAGAGTAGGTGCTCAATACACAGCAGCTAAAACCTGAACAACGACAAAGTGAAAGGACTCTGACCCTCCGGCAAACACTGGAATTGCAAGCTAAAGTTGGAAAAGAAGAAGTCTCTTCACCTCAGTCGCAAGAGCAATAGTGTTTGGTTGCATTTGGAGTTCTCGAAGACATATTCCACATTGAGCACACTTGGCACAGTGAGTGGTACCCAAAGGTGCTCCTAAGAGTGGTACAGCAAACTTTGAGAAACAAGGACAGTTTGAGCACCTGAAAACTTTCAGCAGTCAATAACTTCATGACACCAGGATGGGTAAGACCAAATAGTAGCTTCCATACAAGAACTGAGAGATTAAGCTTAAGAGTGTACATTTGATACTCCCCTGCAGACTCTGAGAACTATTTGTAGGGGAATTATAGGGATAAATCGATGTATATTCAGTGTTACCATGTCTCATGAAACCAAACAAGTTGTTTACTACTGTTGCTTTCTAGAAAATTCTATGTTGTGATTTTTATACCTTCATGGAACACTTTATACCCCATCCTCAAGAAATCCATGAGTCTCTCATAATCCATATGAGAGAAAACACATAGATACATAAGTGATCATAAAAACAAAATGATAAAGTCTATAAATGACATATAAAGAAGATAAAGATGTAGGACAAAGCAGGGAGGGGGCTGAGTAACGCCATGTGGGACTAGAGAGGGTGAAAAGGTTTCAAAACCAGAAAGGTTTGAATTGGGATAAAAAAGGCAGTTCATCAAATGGGCAAAGAAGCAAGGATTTCCAGAAAGAGTAAACAGCATGTGAAATGATAGCACAGGAAACTTCATGGTTTGTTAAAGGCTTATGGGTAGCTAGAACACAGGGTGCACTTTGGGAAATAGCAGAATGTATAGAAGACACTAAAACACTACAGGAAAAATATGTACGAACTTGGCTTTCTATCCTGATACAACTTTGTGAATTTAGGCAATGTTTTAAAATTTCTATGAGCCTTAATTCCTCATCTGGAAAATGTGGATAAAAGACAGTCATATTTAAGTGTTGTTGTAGGTAGAAAACAAAATAAAATATTTACCCCAATAGGTATTTACCCCAACAAGTATTACATCCTTCTTCTAATGTTTTGTTCTAAATGTGACAGAAGCTATATCTTGGAGGAATGTATATATGATGCAAAGGCATTTGGTTTCAATGATGTGTGCAAAGAGATCTACTTTTAAGTTTTAACCACTTTTAGGTTTTCAGTACATTAGTAAGATCTATGTTGATAGAATGAAGAAAAGGAAAAAAGTCCAAAGATATAATAAAGGCAGATTAGACCTTCCCTTAGGAAAAGTCCAGAGTGAACGAAAGATGGCACTATTCTGTGAATGGTGCCACCTGAGTGGTGCAGCATGGTGGCCCTGAAGGAATCCAGGATTCCCCCAAGTTTGGATGATTGGGTGCCTAGTGATTCATTCACCAGCATAGAAAATGTGTGTGTGGTGGCCAGGGTGGGGGAGGGATGACAAGCAGATATAGCAGGAAATATATTGAATTCACTTCAGGAAAGACTGAGTGGAAAGAAAGTACATGTAGAAAAGCACTCCATGTTTAGTAAGTACATGTGTCTGGAGTCATTGTCATATATTTTGTAGTTTAATGAGCCCAGGACAGATCCTTGAGTAACACTAATGTAGCACAAGCAGGTGATGTAAGGGAAGCCAGTGAAGGTGAGTGAGAAGGAGAGACCAGAGAAAAAAAGCGGGGAGGGGTGGTGAGGGTGTCCAGGAATTAATATTATAGATGTCGGGCTGGGCGCGGTGGCTCACGCCTGTAATCCCAACACTTTGGGAGGCCGAGGCGGGTGGATCAAGAGGTCAGGAGATCGAGACCATCCTGGCTAACATGGTGAAACCCCGTCTCTACTAAAAATACAAAAAATTAGCCAGATGTGGTGGCGGGCGCCTGTAGTCCCAGCTACTCGGGAGGCTGAGGCAGGAGAATGGCATGAACTCAGGAGGCGCAGCTTGCAGTGAGCCGAGATCGCACCACTGCACTCCAGCCTGGGCGACAGAGCGAGACTCCGCCTCAGAAAAAAAAAATTATAGATGTCAGAGGAGTAAGATATTTTAAGAAAATTGAATGACTAAATAGTGTCAAATGCAAATAAAAAGACAAGTGAAAAGTAAAATGCAAAATGACCATTGGATTTATCCAGATAGAGGTTATTAATGGTGTGATAGCAGAGGGAAAGTTTTGGATGCTGTGATCAATGAGCTTGGCTATGTTGTGTAAGAGTGAGTTCAAACATTACCCATAAAAGAAGATGGGGTCTCGTATATGTTTGAAGTGGAGGAGAATGGTACATATTTTGAGCTGGTGAGAGGTGATGGAGAGATTAGAGATACAGGAACCCCCACACTGTTAAGTGATTGGTCTTATCATACAGTGGTGGTTTTCAAACTCAACTCGGTCCTCACTACTACTCTGCAACTCATTTTCGTTTTACTTATCTATTCTGTCTCCCTACCTTCCAATAGTCATTTCATATCTTCCCCAATTCCCTTAAGCCTTGGGTCTCACCTCTTACCCTCTCAGTCTCTGTAGATGTCTTTACCTCATACTTCACAAAGAAAATAGAAAACATCAGCTAAGAATCTGCTGCCCTTTGCCTGGAAGTGTGAAGTGCAGGAGAATGAGCAAATTTCCTCAATGAGGTCGTAGGAAAATCAGTATCTTAGAGAGAGAGACATAAATTTCAGTGAAGTCCCAAAAGGAGACATAACCTGTAGCTAAGAGGAAGGTAATAAGGATGTAGAAGAGGTTTTTACCATGTAAAGGAGGACCAAGAAGTCGAATGAACAGAATTGCAAAGAAGGTCAGTCATGAGCAAATAGGTCTTAGAAGATGATAATGGGAGGATATGAGGATGAGGGTACCAGAGGGAATTGATATTGTCACCATGAAATTTCTTTCTGAGGTTAGACAAGAAGGTGGCTGGAAAAAGCACATATTTCCATGAAGGAATAAATTTCTAGTTGGGAGTTGGAGGTGTATATGTGAGGGCTTCGAGTTGGGATGAGAAGAGCAGAAGAAAACAGAAGAAAGAGGCCTTATTTGACCTCATAACCATTAGTACACATTCATCTGTAACTCCAAAAATAAAGACAACCTGTTCAGGAAGAAGTGAGTTTTTAGACACGAAAAAGTGACTAAATGCAGAAAGCACACAACACTGTTCATGACATGAATGAAAGAAAGAGGTACAGGAGTATCCACAGCATATTAAGTGAAGAGGGTAAGTTAATAAGACAGGTGTGTGTGTGTGTGTGTGTGTGTGTGTGTGTAAAACACAGAGGTATCCCAAATGCTAAGAGATGGTCTCTATAGGTGGTGAGCCTACTGGTGGTTTCAGAGGCAGTTCTGTGTTTAGTGAAGTCTGAGGCCTATACAATTCTGGGATTTCCTTTAAAAGAAAAAAGAAACAAATTTATGGATGCAAATTAGTTATAAAAGTAAATATTTGTTTAAGGGAGGCCACACTCCATTATCTCCACAATGAATCTGTCTCTACATGATTTTTATAGTTTTCTGTGTTTATCCATATACATTTTCAACACTGAGTAAGAACTTCTTTAGAAAGAAGAACTAATGTTATTTTTATAAAGAAGTATAAATTACTTTTTAAAATGCCAGCCATGCTCTCAAACTACTCACATTCTCACATTAGATTTTTTTTTTTAGTAAGAATCATGAAAGATAGTTTTTAATTGGGAGGATTACAGAGTTTAAGAGTTCATGTTGTCATAGGATGCATGTCAAGAAAGTCATCTGTAAAATTCCTAGCTTGAGCCTACCCTTGAATTTTATTTGCTTATATAAAGCACCATAGACAAATACCCTGAAACGAGTGGAAGTTCAAAGTCAAACAACTCCTTTAATCAATGAAACCTTGCTTTTTCTTACAAAAATACAAAACGAAACAAAAACAACTACAAAAAATCATCGACATGAGTTGTGCTGATCTTGGTAACCCAATTTAAATGGGTTACTTCTTCCCAGGAAAGAGTTGTCCCTGCATTAAACATTCTTTCTAGTAGCATGATCTCCTCACCTTCTTGTAGTCACAGCTGCCTGGACACTTTAAAGTGGAAAGTGCCAGCAAATTCTTCTGCTGAAGAATTTCTTTAGTAACAGGAAGTGGCTGTGTGAGAGAAGTTTTATACTGCTTCAGTTTATCCTCTCAGCTGACAAGGAAGTACATGACTGACGGTAAATGACTTGGGGACTGTCTCCACAAATTCTTCTTGATGAATAAACTGCTGAAGGGTACATCGAGATAAGGAGAAAAAAGGTGTTTTCTTACCTTCAGAGAACATAGATTTCTGTGAGTTGGCATGGCCTCTGGGGTGAACCGTTTTGGATGAGGAGACGCATTTCTCTCAATCAGATCCTGGATTTTTTTGTCCAGCTCCATGCTTTCACATCTGCCCAGAAAGACATGGGAAAGTTACATTATACAAAGGTAATTAAAAATTATTCAGGCGTAGAGTGAGTTTATGGATGACATGGAGGTGTTATTTATGTATGATACTTCTCTACGATCTCCCAAACTCTAATCTCATTATGTTTTCATTAGTCCATGCCATGAGAGCACTTTGAAAGAGCATTAGAGTTTAATTTTCACTTACAAAGGAAGATACGGACAAGTTTAGGAATTTTCAGTCTGAGAACAATGGCAAGAATTGAATCGAACACTCACGGTGAGCCAGGTTCTTTCACGCATTTTCTTATTCAATGTGCACAGCAACCTATTAAAGTAGTCACTGTCCCAGGCATTAGACAGGTAAGTAAACTTGAGTTTAGGAAGTTAACTAATTTACTAACTTAAGTGAAGTCAAACTGAAACATCGGCAGGGCCAAGATCAAACTCAGACCTGTAGAATTCTACAGTCTGCCTCAACCATTTTTGCTGTATGTCTTCAATTAACCTGAAAACAAATCCCTAAGCAGCTACTTGCCACCACATGGAAATAATATATTACAGCTGAAGAGTATCTGGAAGCCCCCTTAGGAGAATCTAGTCCAGCTGCTTCCCAGAGGGAGTTGCTCATAGTCACATGGCCATTAGCTGATAATGCCAAAATTAAACCAGAGCTTCCTACTCAAATCAAATTTTTATTTTTCCTTTATACCAGGGGTCCCCAACCCCCACTGCCAGTCTGGCCTGTTAGGGCCACACAGCAGGAAGCGAGAGGCAGGCAAGTGAGCAAAGCTTTATCTGTATTTACAGCCCCTCCCCATGGCTCACATTACTCCCTGAGCTCCACCTCCTGTCAAACCAGCAGTGGCATTAGATTCTCATAGGAGCGCAAATCCTATTGCGAACTGCACATGTGAGGGGTCTAGGTTGTGAGAACATTATTGTGAACTGCACATGTGAGGGATCTAGGCTGCCTGCTCCTTATGAGAATCTAATGCCTGATGATCTGTCACTGTTTCCCATCACCCCCAGATGGGACCATCTAGTTGCAGAAAAACAAGCTCAGGGCTCCCATTGATTCTACATTATGGTGAGTTATGTAATTATTTCATTATATATTACAATATAATAATAATACCAATACAGTGCACAATCAATGTAATGTGCTTGAAACCATCCTACCCCCTGCCCCAGTCCATCGAAAAACTGTCTTCCATGAAACCAGTGCCTGGTGCCAAAAATGTTGGGGACTACTGCTTTATATGATGTTGGCATAATGGAGAAATTATCTGATTAAAAACAACTCACAAGGAAAAATGCATTAATTGTGTGATTTTTTTTTCTTTCTCTCTCTCTACATATGTATATTTTTTTGCCTGACTCATCATATCTCACCCCCTGAAAATAACCTCTTGGATTGAGGGAGGAGTTCTTGCAGGAGTACTTCTCAAAGTTGTCTCCAAATAAAATAAATAACCAGATGAATGGCCTAATCAAATGCCTGTATGGCAGAGGTTGCTAGGGTTGTCTGCTCAATCCACCACCCTTGTTGAGAGTAGCTCACAGGAGTAGGCTCTGACAGCCATGTTTCCATTGATATGACTTGAACTTGCCTTTTGGTTATAACTGATTGGACCAAGAGTAAACAATTGATCCCAGTTTGGCCAGTGGGATTCTCCTCTGTGTCTGGAGTGAGCTGAGAATGAATCATATGGGTAGAGAAATGCGGAGCTGAGAGATGGAGAGAGTCCTGACAATTTTCTGGTTTAGAATCAGCCCCTTCTAAGGCCTGACTACCTTCCAACTTTCAGATTCTGTGAAACACTCCATGTCATTATAATGAATTCTCTCATTATTTTTAAAGCTAGCTTTGCTTGGTTTCCGTTATCTATAATCAAAAATCCCTATATATGCACCTTGACTTTCATATTTATATTGTTTCTTTCAGGCTGTGAAATATCTGTACATCATGTGTCATTTATGATCCCATTGTAAAATATGGGCTACTGGGCCTACAGCAAATCCTTCATGGTGCAAAAGGTTGCATATGCATAACAATGAGTTTGGACCTATCTTCAGGTTTTTTCCACAAACCTGTGAGGAGGAAAGTCACAAAATTTGTTTAGTAACTGCCTTAAATCCTTCAGGTTAATTAGATTCCCAAGTAGCAACAGAATTGGACTAGTCTAAATGTTAAGCTCTTGAGGCAGCTTTCGGACCTATTCTGAACCAGACTTGCCTGCCAAGATGTCACAAGACTTTCTGGTCCTACATCCCTCTGTGACAGAAAAGTTACTGAGCCACTTCAATCCCAGGCAGGATCATTTGGAGATAAAACTCATCACGATCTACAAGTCCTCAAATGATCTCGTTTCCTTGCTATCTTTCTAATCTCACCTTCTACTCTCTTCCTTCATGCTCTTTTTCTTCCAGACACGTTTGCATCGTCAAACTTTATGGAACATGCCAAGCAGTTCCCACTCCAGGCCTTGGTGTTTGCTCTTCCTCTGCAAAACTTGCTATCCCACTTCATTCAGTGCTGGCTTAAATGTCACTTTATGGCGAAAGCCTCTGCTGACTAACCTATCTGAACTAGATTTCTGAGCCCCATCACTATTGTCCCTTAATTCTGTTTTATTTTCTTCTTTGAATTTTTTATTATTTTGATTTCTTATTTGTTTACTTTTCTCCTCCCTTGCCCCATCTATGTCCCAGGAAAGAGGAAAGGCCTTTGTCTGTGTTTATTCACTGCTCAGTCTCTTAGCACACAGTAGGACATCAATAAGGATTTGTTATTGAATAAATATGACTCCAGGAAGAGATTTAACTCAAAATACCTAATTATTAACTCAAATCTAACCAATAAATTAAGTGCTTACCTAAAATGTATGTAAATAAACTCAAACTCATAGGACTGATAAAGTGGAAACACAAATCAGTAAGCAAGGAAACACTAGCAGCAGCTTCAGAATGGACACTCAAGCTCAGCTGGTATTGCCCTCATGGCTGCCTTGTTCTTTTTTACTTGTATTATATGTGTTCTTTGATATTAAACAACAATTGAGTATCCATTATTGCAAGGTACTGACTTTTCACAGAAATAATCACATGCAGTCATCACTGTTAAAATTGTTTCAACTTCAGTGGCAAGCATGTTAGAAGCCAGCAGTTACTGTTCCCTCTTCATTTGGACAGAGTGGTGAAGGATCAGCCTCAGAGCTGGGGCCCTGCGTCCTCTCACGTGAGCCTGGTTCAGCACACGTCCCTCAGGACCACAACCAAAGAGGGACGGGCCCTCATGAGGATAGTGGTTTTCTGGGCTTGGCGCACAGTGAGACTGAGCGTGGTGACTACAGCTTCACTAACTTCAGCCACTGCAGAAAGAGGAGAAGTGGCAGCAAAGAAAAAGAGAACCATATGGTGGTGACCAGACGTGGGGGGGTTTGGTCACACCTATGGAGAGAGTGGGCGTCAGTGTTGACCGCTGTGGGAGGGATACGTTTTGAGCACTCAGGAATCCAGCTGGGAACTGAAAGCACACAGGAGGGGTGGAGCTCCAGGGATTGTAGCACAGTAAGGACTTGCACTCACTGTCTTTTCTCATTGCCAATATGATTGACATTGTCACTGTCACTATAATGAATATGCCTCAGAACTTGCATATGAACCCTCTGAAAGAAGCATTGTGATGCAGTAGAAAATCAACATGCTTTTAGAGTTGAACATAACAGTGGGACCTAGTGTAAGTCCTTTAGCTTCTATGAACCTTTTTGGCCTGTTTTGTAAATGGAGGAAAACAATGTAATGCTGTGAGGCTGACAGTAGGATTAGTGATGCCATATGTACAATGCTTAGCACAGTGCCAGGCATGCCACAGATGCTCAGTGATCGATACTATTGTTATTATTCTGAGGGTGTGGAATAGTTACCAAACATTCTAACAAACAAGTTTGGAAAGTAGGAGCCATAAATTTAGTATACCACCATAAAGAAAAGAAAAGCACAAAAAATGTTCATTGGGTTCAAAATATTCTCAAGAAGTTTAGTCACACCTCAAATAAATGAGAATTATGTCACCTACTTGGGCTTTATAACATTCTTAGGAAACCTTTTAGATTATTCTTTAATTAATATAGGAATTTGTACATGAAAATATTTTACATTCTCTTTTGAATTAGTGAAATCAATATGTTTCATAAATTTCGATTTGACCTAGATTTATTTCACAGAAGAAAGTGCTTATCAAAGTTCATTTTTTCCTATAAAGCTCAACATTCTGACAATTGAGAGGCAGAATTAACTAAAGTTGGAAAATCCTCCTTTTTTCTTGAGATCACTTAATAATTGCATCCAACAGTGTTGTGCTCTTAATACAATACTATGACCTGAGGGTAAAACAAACAAACAAAAAAAACACCCTACCAAACTTTTAAACACCAATAGAACAGATCCTATATAACCCTTGCATTAGTTCTGTGGGTACATAGTTGTTCCCACCTTGGGATCTGTTCCAAGAATCTGCTCAACTGATTGAGAGTTATGGCTCCAATGATCTCTGCTCTGGGCCCTACCTCTTACTCATACATATTTTTCAGATAGTAAGCTTGAGCGTCAGTGAGGCTAAGCAGTGAGGCTAGACACCTTCTCCCAGGTCACTTGACTCATGAAGAGCAGGGTAAGATTTCATGCTGAAGCTTGTGACTTTTTACTCTACATCTGGGATCTTAGTGACCTCAGCCATTGTTAATAAAGAAGGACCATGGAGGGCTATGCTATTTCCAAAGAATTTGTTTTAGGTTTTCCATTTTGACAGGCATTTCTGCTCTAGTTCTAAAGAAAACAACTATAGGTCCCTCCAACTGAAATGTAGCTGATTTGTAAAGTCAGATGTTCAGAGAGGCTTGGGAGATAAGATATAGGGATCAGGTCTATCTTTTATATTTTTGACCAAAGTCCATGGATGGGATTCAATCAAATTAAATACAGAATAATATGTGTGCTATGTGTTTATCGTCTCTTCCTGAAGATAGGGTCTCTAACAAGTTCTGGACCTCTCAAAAGCTTAAAAGCCCTGACACAACTTTAGTTACTTTCACATGTGACTACTTTTTTTGGTCTAAGAGTACACTTTTACTATGTTTTCTTTCTTTCCTTTTTTTTAACCATCCAGGAATTATAAAAATTCAGAAATGACTCTTTGAACCAAATACTATTACTAAAATCTTGATTTAAGGGGGCCTCTTGACTAAATTATAAATGAACAGGGAATTATGGAGGCAATATTATTAGGCAAAGAGTTTGAGGTGAGAGTAACAGAAATTAATGAAATTCAGTAAATATCTGTTGGGTCTTGGCTTCTTCACAGCTTATTTTAAACTTACATGGACAGAAATCTCCTTCCTTCCTGCCCTTCACTCACAAGAATAAATCAACATAGAAATTAAATAGAAATGATATTAATATGAATTAGATGTTATCAATAGGATAGTAGGTTTCACCAATTTGACAATGAAACTTAAAAAAAAAAACTCTCCCCTAAGTTATATATTATTGTGAACTGTTTTTCCCAGACTAACATTGGGAAATAACGGTCTGCCCTGTAATCTCTGTGAGCAGCCAGAGAGGACACAGGAAGAGATCAATGATTTTCAGGTGTTTGGAGCCCTCATATTTTTGTTACTTGTTCAAAGGTCTCCAGTACAGAAGTCTCCAAAAAATTATCTAAAGGGTCCAATATGTTGTTGAATGTCATTGTTTAATGAGCTCATCTAAAGTTTATTTAAATTTTACTAGTTGATTAGAACCTAAATAAATAGGATTCTAAACTTGTAGAATCCTATCTGGTAGAGAAGATAATCCAAAATGTTATGGTTTACTGCCTTGAATGGCAGTTTTGTATCTAATCATCCTGTTCTAACACTTCTCCATTAAATTGTTTATGAATACCCAGCTCCTCAAATGCTCCTGAAATGAGCTGTCTCATGTTTCAGGATACCTCATTAATTAATACATTGAATAAAACCTTGGACATGGGTTCATTTTGTTTGCATGACCATCATGTTTTTAACTTTTTGTAAATTATACATTAACACCCCTGGATATCAGTACTTTAAGACCATTGAATTTCAAGTTGACACTAATGATGCCTGGTGAGCATGCAACCCCAAACCACCAGACTTGGTTTTTATGGTTACATGGTACGGTTGCCTCATTAGTATTGGCAAGTAGTGTAAATTCTAGAGGAAAATAATTACATTCAATAGGAAAAACACATAACCACAGTCTTAGAAATAACTTGAAAAATCATTTAATTGACCTCCTGCATTAACATAACAAAGAAATGAGGCTCAGTGGGGCTAAGTGATAGCAAAGCCAAAATAAGAATTTAGGATGTTAGTGTTCTTTCTTCCTCCACACACTCGCCTACCTCAAATGCCACATTTCTTCCCAGTCCATTGCCAAGGTCACATTTTCTGCTTTGATCTTATGTCATAAACCATTATTTTCAGGAAAGACCCTGGAGAACAAAGCTCATCTTCAAATATGAGAAAAGGAAGAATTGACAGTAGATTCTTCTATAATGGAAATGCTTCCAGATGTTCAAACATCAGGAATCTGGGTGACCCAGAATGAGAAGTGTTGTGTAAAAGATGCTAATCAAGCAGCAATTTTCAGGTTTTAGTTTTTGTTATTATGATTTACTGTAACTATGCTCCTGGTGATTTTGTGAAGAAACAAGTGACTCATAAATTACTCTGTGTATGTGTGTTTTAGATGACTGAGTTCAGGTGTCTTAATTACTTGAGTAATTGGAAATATTAACAGTTGTGGCTTAAGATTGTAGTAGAAGAGAGAGGGTTTGCTGAGAGAATTTTGAAAGTAACATTTTCCTCGGACAAGAAGGAACATTTCTAAAGTTTTACCCAAGGCTATGTAATTTAAAAATTTAAATAGATATCGAAGAATTGTATTTGCATGTCTGAAATGAAAGCCCAGAGAATAGGGTGGGGAATGTTTCTTATAAACCTGGGCTCTGTTGTTGCCCTCAATCTGCATTCTTGGCTAGCTCCCTGTTTATTTCCTCCCTGCTTTTGTGATGTGCCAGCTCACTATACTGATGCCACAAACTAGATCCAAACCTCTTGTGGCTGTGCCCAGGAGGACCGTGCAGGCAGAGGAGCCAGTTTGGAGCAGAGATAGAGTGCAGCTGCAGGTGCTGGTGCTAGCCCCAGTGAGAGGTTAGGAGTGAACAGAGTTGTGTAGAAACCACATCCTCCTACAGGCATCCTGCTGACATAGGTTTGGCCTTCTTCTTGGGACTGCTCTGCATGGGTGAAACAATCTCATTCACAAAACAGAGTGACAGATTAAAACAGAATATAGAGCTTTTGAAAACACAGTGTTTTAACAGAAGATATTCTGATACATGCATATCTTGGCCTTTTTGCCTGGCGTGTTTACTCATATTTAGTATCCTTTGAATTATAAACTTCATGAAGGCAGAGACAGGTTTAGCCTGCTAATCATTGTATTTTTCAGAGCCTCACAGAGCCTCATCATTGTATTTTTCAGAGCCTCACATACTTATTAAGTATTTGACAAGAGAGTAAATTGACAAGAATAACTAGATCTGAATTGGAAGAGGAGAAGCTCCCATTAAAAAGTCCTGTGCAAGTTGGTCCCCTGTCTTCTTCAGATGCACTCTATCTAAGTTATCCATATTATGTCTTTCCTTCTCAGCCTCAGTAAATCCTATTCTGGGAAAAGGGGCTGACAAAGGCTTAACAGTTGAGTTGCGTAACAGGGGACACACCTGTCTGCTATAAGCCATAGAATGTCAATGTCAGTGAGCAGGGATCTGGAGGTATACTGGAGTTCAGAAGTCCTTTCCAAGTTCCCTGGAATTAAAGCCATAGTCAGGCCAATACTCGAAATAAATATGAATAAGGGTAGAACCTTAACCGAAGTGTTGAGCTCAATACTCCCCGAACAAACTCTCAGAGAGTTTCTTCATAAAAGCTCAAAGAAAAATGATGTCACATTAGATTTCATGGGTAAGGTAAGCCTGGAAGACCAAGTTATGCTAAGATGGGATCTTCTACCCAGGGAGCCAGGACCCTAGTAGAGAAAAAGGACAAAACCAAGAAGAGGGTCAAACACTGTTACTCTCACTACCATTTATTCCAAAGTTGAAAATTACACAAAATTTACCCTCTGACAGGGACACAGGAAGAACATAGCTTAATAGCATTTTGGGTCAACAGAGGGGAGCTTCCTTGTTTTTGTTGTTTTTGTTTTTGTTGTTGTTGTTGTTATTTTAGTATGGCATGCTATCATTAAGGTTATTTTTATTTATTTGAAATTCTATTTTCATGAAGAAGCAGAGACTATAAGGAATGCACAATCAAAGATTTAGAGAATAGGAAACATTGGCTCCTAATCAACTTTATGAACAAGGCTGAGCCCCTATATTTAGGTGAAGAAAAACTTGGCACTTGATCTAACATTTGTATCACCTGTTAATGCTTTTGCACCATTGTTCTACAGTGGAAATACACTCAGGTGGGTTTATTGATAAACACCTGGAAGAGAACAAAGTTAACCTAGCTACACATGCACAGAAAAATTATGTATTTTATTGTTAGTTTTCTTGGAAATAGGCATTTCAACAAGAACATTTAAATGATGTATTTTACAGTTGTGTCTATGTTGCAAAATGAAGTAGAGTATATAAGTTATGTCTGATACATTCACCTCATGTAACCACATCCTGTGTCAACTATAGTTGTCCTTTAACTTATCAAAATGTTTCTCTCAAATCGCTACCTGAATTTTAGACAGGTACAGTTCCAAGTTGTGACATTCTCTAGGAATATGAGAAGACTAAATTTTGAGTCATGTCTAATAATTTTCCCTAGTATCTCATTGTTATTTATTAACTATGTATTTAAGTAAAGATTATTATCATATGACAAAACACTACTATCTTAAAATTATTCTCTCAACTCAAACCAATATTGTTAAGGCTGAGTTTCATTGGGACAAATATTTGAAAGGACCTTTTTCTTTAAGACACAGCCATTGATAAAAATAATTTTATTCAAATCTTTGGAAATTATGACAAAGGTGGTGATAAGGACATAATTTTTATGAGTATATCTGGCATATTAAGTTATTTAGATACCATATATTTAAGAGCTGTCTAAAAATTTTATAATAGAAATGCATTACCTTTTTGTTTAATCATTAAATAACATTTATTTGAAACAACAGTTTAAATGTGAATTTTTTTCACATCTATATTGGAATTTCCTTTCAAGACATGATTACAAGTCTTGATTCTACCTCACCAGAGTCTTTTAAGTTCGTGTGCATACAAAAAAGAGATGCCGAGCCAAGTCTGACCGCTGAAGCAGTTTGCCAATCTCAATCGACGCCTGAACTGTCTGTGGGTGTTAAGGAATGTTAAGAAATAATGGAATAAATTATTGAAGACATTCTTTCTGCTTGAAATATTTGGAAGACGTCATAACAGCTTACAAAATGTCATAGGACAGCGTTAACGTCCCTTCTCATCTCTGATGGCACGTTCCCAGTCCCTTCGTGTAGCTGATAAAGCGCAAGCCACTTTTTGTCAGATCCTTTGCATGAGTTTTGTTTGAGATGCTACAAAATATGCTGAAACAAATCATGATCAGTTGTTATTATGTGTAGGGTAATTCTACCTATTTGACGAGAACTGCTCCTGAAAAGCTTCTATCGAGCTTTAAAACAGTTCATCTGCCGTTGGAAAAATTGCATTGATTTAATGATGCCTCTAGAGGGCACTCTGCACTCAGTTCAGGTCGAAAATAGTTTCTGAGATTGCTTGCTCTTTTCCCCAAGGTTTTCACTTTGAATTTTGAGTTCCGGAGAAGGGGTATGGGTGTAGAGAATTTGTAGTGTACATGTGAGTAATAATTATAACTCATTTCCTTTGTCTCATTTATGTTAAAACTTTTTTTAAAAATATGTAATGCTTCACAAATTTGCATTGCATCCTTTCATGTAGGCCGTGCTAATTGCCTCTGTATTCTTCCAATTTTAGTATATGTGCTGCTGAAGTGAGCACAATTATTTATTCCTTAATGAAGCTGGTTTTTAAGTTGCAATCATTGTTGGACATTTATATAATAGACTTACATCCAATAACTTTCCTCGTATATGCTCTGTAGAAGCTTTTCAGAAACAGTTCTCATTTTATATATATGTAGAACTACCCTATACATAATAACAACAGATCATGATTTGATTCAGAATGTTTCGTATCATCTCTAACAAAACTAATGCAAGGGGTCTGACAAAAAGTGGCTTCTGCTTTATCAGCTATACAAAAAGATTGGGACACGCTATCAGAGATGAGAAGAGACATTATGTTGTCATATGTAAGCTCATTTTTATAAAAAATTGCAATAATTCATATTCATTCTCTTCTTCTGTGATCTTCATATGGATGTGAAATTGATGAGCCTGGAATTTCTTTTCGTGCCAGAAATTAGGCAGGATTCAAAAAATTGATCCAATATGGCATACTTTCAATATCAAAATATGTAATAATAAGAATACATTAGAATTCATCAAATAAAGTAGGAATTACTAACCTATACTGATGCAAATGTTAAAATAAACATAAGTGGGGGTAAGAAAAGGCTTTTCTTTACATTAGAATGCCTACTGATAAGTGTAGAGAACATTATCCCATTAGAAAATCATTATTTGACAGCCGTCATAGTAATAATCTCAGTAAGAAGTATCAATAGATGCTAAGACTGGTGGCTGAAAATTTGATAAGAAATGGGATCTTTACATAATTTCATACTCCTACCACCAAGTATGTAATGAATACTAGGGGAAATGTAAAAGAATAATGCTACATTGGGGAATCTTGGCAGGTACCACTTTAATCAAATGATCAAGGTTAAAATCACCTGTAATGAGAAAAATCCAAACTATGATCATATGACAAGATGCATTAAAAAAAGTTTCACATCTGTAATATTCTTGCCAAGATTATACAACCTGAATCTAATTACAAGGAAACATTAGCCAAAAGAAAATTGAGAGACATTCTACAGAATATCAAGCCTATAATATTCCAGAGTGTCAGGTCATGAAAGTTAAGCCAAGACTGAGAAACTGACCCAGATTGTAAGAGAATAAAATTTATGAAAACTAAATGTAATGTAAGATCCTGGATTGGAGCCTTTTTTATGCAAAGGATATTAATGGGATAATTGGCAAAACCTGAATGGAGTTTGAGGATTAGATGTAGTAGTGTATCGATGTTCATTTTCCGATTTTGATGGTTATCTTGTGGTATATCCTTGTTTAAGGATACGCATACTAAATCATCCAGTGGTACCTTTTTAAAATTTTTTTCTTTCTCACAAAGCAGACTTTAAACTTTCAGTGGTAACTTATTTCCAAATGGCTGAGGAAAAAAATATTTTTGTGCACGTCTTAAAAATTTTTTGATAAGTTTAAAATTATTTTATAAGTGCAAAAAAGCAATTAAAATATTAAACCTAAAAGATAAGATCTGATTTGATCTTAAAATTATCTTTTGCTCAATGTAGAAATTATTTTATAAAAATGAAATTAGCATTTCATTATGTAGCAGGAACTAAGATGCAGACCAATAAATCTTTCTTGGGGTTTACGAAATTAGTGCAAACCAAAGCAACTAAGATGATTTAGTTTTTGTTTTGTTTTTCTAAAAGGATGTGGAGGAAGAGCATTTGTGTGCATCATATTACTGCGATGGCGTATTCTAGCCCAAGGATTCTAGAAAATGAAATGAAATACTCCCATCATAATATTTAAAGTTCAAATAGTAAAAAACACAAAATAAACAAAACCCCTAAACCTTGAGTGTCTTCATCTTTGCTCTATTTAATGGCTGGCATTTCACCTCCCTGTGGACTTCTCATAATAAACAAATAGGCTCTGTTGGAATCCTCAGATTATAGAAACTTGCTTTTGGAAATATGAGTGAGTGCTAATATCCATGAACAATAGAAAAAAAAAAGTACACACACACACAGACTTCTTCTCAGCAGGGTAGAGTGGCTCACGCCTGTAATACTAGCACTCTGGGAAGCCAAGGTGGGCGGATCACCTGAGGTCAGGAGTTCGAGACCAGCCTGGTCAACATGGCAAAACCCTATCTCTACTAAAATTACAAAAATTAGCCTGGCATGGTGGCAGGTGGCTGTAATCCCAGCTACTCAGGAGGCTGAGGCAGGAGAATTGCTTGAACCCCGGAAGCAGAGGTTGCAGTAAGCCAAGATTGTGCCACTTCACTGCAGTGCAGCCTGGGTGAAAAAGCAAACAAAACAAAACAAAAAAAAAACTTCTTAATTAAGTCAATAAATATTTTTTAAAAACGTCTTTGAGTAACCCCCATACACCTTCAAAATCAACTGTCTATATGCTCATAATTTCAGATGGGATTATAGAAGGAAGAAATGTGCATATAAGGGAATTTTTAAAATTATTCTTTAAACAACAGTGGTATGAGCCTTGACATCAGACAGCATCACATAGATTAAAATGGAATTATATCACAGCATTACCTTTGGCTAGAAAAGTTATAAAACCCAAGTATTATGGACCTTGTTTATTTATTTCTGATTATAGAGAGTGGACCATTTTTTCACAGGTGAAATGTCAAAAACATTGGGTACTCTTTGTTTATTATAACATGTCAAACAATCGAATTCAGATGGGAATTAACAAGGGTCATGACAATGTGGAGACCAGGAAATTAAAAGTTATTTGTATTAAAATTGTTTGGAATAAAATTATTTGTTGTTCTTCATAATCCTCTTTATATGATTGACATAAAAGCAAATCTAGTATTTGTAGTAATGCAGCTATACAAAGGCTAGAAGACAAATTCCTAAAACTGGGTAAGTTAGATTACTTGGCAGCAATGGCAAGCCTGACTATAGCTGGCATTTCAGAAATAAACTGACCAGGGCTGATAGCATTTGGTAGTAAGAACAAGGACCAGCAGGGAGTGAAGTGAACTGGTTTTGTGAGTGATGACAGGATGAATGGGAAACAGTAGCATTCTGCTAAATAAATGACATTTACACTCACGTTGCTGATGCTTGTAGAAATACATACAAACAAACAGACCTCCTGCCCAGACTAGTCACAGTGATGGCAGGATTCATGGAGCCAGGCACTGCATTAAACACCACACGCTTGATTTTATTAAGTCTTCAGAAGGCCTTTTTAAGGTGGAAACTGTCTCCCTGTTCTTAGAGTTGAGGGAACTGAGACTCACAGAGATTAAGTAATTTGCTCACGGTGAGCTCTTAACCACTGCATTTACTTAGGAATAAATGATCCATTTTCTGTACTCAGAAATAAATTGACAAGGTCTACAATACTTTCTTTTTATAGCTTTTGTGTCTAAAACTAATACTGTGATAAAAATCCATTTTAAACCTGTGTTTGTAAATTGCTAAAGGTAAAGAATTAAGACAGATCAACTAGTGATAATGGTAGAGGTAGGTCTTTTTAATAAGTTTTTTCCTGTAACAAGTATAGGTTTTTTTTAAGTTAGAAAATAAATCGACGAATATAATATTTGGCTCTAAAGAGCTAAAATTCTGGAATTGGTATAGGAAGCAATTTTGTGTGGTTGACTATGTAATAGAAATCATAACAATTAAATGTGAAATTCCCAGTTTGGAAAACCAAAGAATTTGTCACATTTTTTTTAATGGAATTACAAATTACCTGAGATATAAAGTATATACAGCTTTGAAGATGAAAAAAATTAACAATTGCTTAGTAATATACATTAATACCAAAGATAACTATAAATATTTAGCAAAGGCTCAACAAATGCTGAATAAATAAATAAATAGAAAAAGCAAGTACTTTAATCTTCTGTATAAAGGTTTTTATAATAATTGTTATAATAATACAATTTCAACGTAGAAAATTTAAAATAAAATTATGATAGATTTGCTTCTATTTTCTTTCGATTTATATACGTATTTTTAAAATTGAGATTAGAGATACATACTGTTTTATATTTTATTTTTTCTGATTAGTGTTTTATCAGTCATTAAAAAAATGTAAGAAATAAAATTCTCCTTCTTTTACTCAAAGAACCATGGGTAGAATAAGAATTCAGTTTAAAGCATTCAAGAACAAACACAAATAGACTTGACTCAAAGTCTTAATGAACTTAAAAAATACAATGTGTTAAATACATCAAAAATGGGAAAAAATCAACTAGAAAGCAGTGGGCTATTTATCAGTGCAATATAAAAGTTGTACTCATAAATTACAAGCAGATGGCTGCTAAGAGTTAAGAAACTTGTTGTTTAGCTTTACTGTTAAAGACTTTGGATGTTCTTACATGAATGCTCTCTTTAAGAACACCTAAGTCCTGCCGGGCACAGCAGCTCATGCCTATAATCCCAGCGTTTTGGGAAGCTGAAGCGGGTGGATCACCTGACGTCAGGAGTTCGAGACCAGCCTGGCCAACATGGTGAAACACCTTCTCTGCTAAAAATACAAAAATTAGCTGGGCGTGGTGGCGGGTGCCTGTAGTCCCAGCTACTTGGGAGGCTGAGGCAGGGGAATCGCTTGAGCTTGGTGGCGGAGTAGAGATTGCAGTAAGCCGAGATCAGGCCACTGCACTCCAGCCTGGGTGACAGAGCGAGACTCTGTCTCAAAAAAAAAAAAAAAAAAGAACACCTAAGTTCAAGCTAAAATACACATTTGAAGTATTTAAATTTTTTAGATAAAAATGAAGAATCGAAGAGAGTAATGAGAAAGAGATTATCTTTAACATGTAAATCTATTCCAAACCTAGCTGGAAAACTAAACATAAACAAAAAACTGGGAATTACCCAAGAATTCTGAAGCAATTTGGGGGCAAATTTAGAAATCCTCCTCAAAATACATTAGCCACCATGAAAGAGAAATGAAGATTGTTGGTATTATTCTTGTTAATAAGGAGAGCCGTATAAGAAAGTCAAAGTCCTTATCAGTGAGCAATGGAATGTCATGGTATAGATTCACTACTATTCAAGTGTTTTGCGCTATGGAAAGAAAAGTTTCTGTAATGACGAATCTTGCTTGACTGAATAAATACACATGTGAAAGATTCACTGATATTACAGGCAAAGGCAATTTTAAATATTGAGTAACTATGAAAATGTTCATCATGTTTTTAAAAATAGATCCTAGAAAAGAACTAGAGGATGCGGATAATAGATGTGTTTCTGGGTGAGTATAAATATTTGTTCTTTCTTAAGGACCTTGGCTAGGAGAAGTTTCATTCTTGTTTTTTTTTTTTTTAGAAATTACTTGTAAGAGAAAGTAAGCAATGACATTTTTAGGACTTTTCAAACCAAAATGCTAAAGCAAAAGGAATAAGCTACAGAGAAAATGCACAAATTTATAGGAATAGGCTGAAAAGTAGCACATGACCTTCATTGTAAAGAATTGCATTTAGAGAAGAAAATAACCCAAAACATATGGATTTGATATATATAGCATAAACTTTCTGGTGCAAAGAGGTTTACAAGGCATTTAGATTGTTTGCTTATGAAATCATTCTCACAGAGCTACAGTGCAAAATTTCTCAATGACTAGATTTTATCATTCATTTGGCAAATAACAACTGAGCACCTATTATGGGCCAGATGCATTTCTTAGTGGTGAGCATATTATGTCAATGAACAAAACAGAAAAAAATCCCTGTTTTCATGGAGCTTACATTTCAAGGTTTCTGTTAAAAACAAAAACTATAGCATTATTTTGCCTCTAAACAAACTTATAGTGAATTTACCCTCAAGTTCCTTAATAAACATGGCTTGAAAGATCTAGTGAAGGCCAACTCAACTGATCAAGAAGATGGGTTGCCTTAAGGCAAAATTTTTAAAAGTTGGTTTATGTGTCTGGAAAATATAAGTTCAAAGACAGTGTTAACAAAATCATGGAATACGTTATGAGAACAAGCTGTTCTTTCAAAGTAATGATGGCCTGAGCTGTCATAAAATATACATATAGCTCTGAGGTATTTAAAATTTTTAAATAAAAATGAAGAATTAGAGAGGATAATGAGAAAGAGACTGCCTTTAACATGTAAACCTTTAAAAGACATCTTTGAAAAGGGTATAGATCCTCTTTGATGGCCAGAGTCACAAAGTTGTAAACAATTAAGAGGAAGTTTAGTGAAATCCTAAAACCAACCAAACAAACAAAGGGACTTGAGAAAACTCAGATGTGACATGGCAGGTCCAGCTGAAAGCACTGAGCAAGGAGAGAGAGTGGATAGATAATTCAAAACAAAAAACAAAGCAAAACAAAAAACAAAACCAGAAAATTTAGGGAAACCTGGGACACACTCATGGAAATGGTGGCGATACAACTTCAGGGAACCAGGAAGGGATGGATGCTAGAGCTGGGAAACTGTTAGTAAAATACTGATAATATCTACAGCACACTAAGCTTCAAGATATCCTATAAAGCTAGTTGTTACTTAGACAGCAGTTTGCACTTAAAAGAAGTCGGACATGAGGTCTATAAGAAAACAATATTACTATGTTTCTAGCCCAGAAATACTCCTTTCTGGCAGAGGTAGATGGGCAGGAAAAACAAGGTCTTCAAAGGCCCTGGTTATGAGCAGGGATCGATGAATGGGAGGAGGAAGTGACACCTGGGAACCATTGATTAAAGATTTCAACCCATGACAAGCTGAGAGATCTGAGATTAAGCTTATCACTGAATTGATCTTTATCTCCCACATTCCTCTATTCTTCAATGGAATTAAGAATAGTGTGTGCACCAAGCTTCAACAGCCTGAGAAGAATGGCCTGGAGAAGAGAAAGCTGATCATGTAAACACAAATTCACAATGCCCAGAATAGAGGCATCATTCTTTTGGTACCCTCAGATAAGAAAGGAAACCAAGGAAGCCTAATCTTTTCAAGTGGCATCAGAGTAGGTAACTTGTCAGGGTAGGTACCTGAGGACGGTTGTGTAGGTTGCTGTGTAACAGCACATGGCTTAGGAGCGAAGGCTGGGATACAGCCCATTCTCTACTTGCCCAGCCAAGACACCTCGTGTGGGGCTGCATATGCCCAGAAGAAAGGGTGCTTTTTTCTCAATTACACAAAGGCACTACACAAGCTAGCATTGTCCTGGGAACTGCATCCCCTCAAAAACCACGGTCAGAGGCAGAGCCCTTACCTGTCAATATTGAGATGGCATTTGGCATTTCTTTCTTTTGTGTGTTGCAACACTGTGACCACGTTCACTGGGTTCCTTTACTGCCCCCACATGGGCACAGACATGCTAAGGGAGCTTCCTCTTGCCTTGGTTCTCACCCAAATAGGTAACACCAACCACCCCTGAGAATGCTGAACAATGGGTTCACCGAGACAACTGCAGAAGAGTTTCGACAGAGATGCTACAAAATTACAAATTCCCTTTTGCATAATCCACTAAGAAGAGGAATATTTACAGTCCAAGATTTCTCAAAAACTTTATAGTAGGGCCCTCAGTAGACTTTATTTAGACACAATGTCTCAAAACTGTACCTAGTTAGAACTTGTCAGGCTCAGGGGGTTTTCCACACTTCTGAGCAACGTTTTTCATCTTTACGCAGAGCTTTGACAGTTGGCAGCTGTGGGGTCCCTGGCAGTCTCTGGATTCATAGAGACCCCCGAGCACACATACCCTGACCAGTGGGCTCCTGTGGTGCTTTTAGTAACCACCAACAAACTGCTGTCTTTTCCTATGATAGAACAATCTAGTTCAAAGAGAACTGTTGCAAACACTTAATGCCAAAGCTATTGGTTTAATGATCCTGGAGTTACTGCCAGTAATCAGGCACCTTGGCTACCTTTTTTTCAACAGATTCTTTGTTGTTGTTTATTTTTGTTTTAATTTCCTCAGAGAGCTTTTTGTTCCTTTTTATCCAGCAGATTTCTGGAACCCCAGCTCAGCTGGCCATTTCAAGTCCTCTGTTCAGGCTCTGTTAAGAGAACAAACAAAACTGTACTGGAAAATCACTTATCATGGGTAGAAATAAACCCGGAGGGAAGTGTCACAAAGTGAAACTGGCTTTTTGGATCTGCTTGGTGAGAGTGAAAGTAAAGGTCAATTTTTGGTAAGATACTCTGAATATTAGCAAAAGTGGAACTGTGTGCTGGGGAAGAGAGTAGGAGTTGAAGGTCAAGGGGAACTTTGGTGGCTGCAATAACCATGATTAATTTATGAATGGACTCTAAGCTATGTAAATGGATGCTTCTGATGAGTCTGGATGAGTAGGGGGCAGGAAAGAAAGTTTTGAGGTATGAGGAAAGTCCAGAAAACATGCTAATCAAATGTTCCATGAAAGGGGACAACTGAGTGGCCATACTGATGCTTTATTTAGTGCTTGGAAGGACCACAGGAGGGCTTACTGCAGAAACCACAAGGACGTTCTATGCAAGATGGCGTGTGGTCAATGGCTGGCTTCTTACAAAGCAGCAGGGTCCAGAGTGGAACATCTTGTTACTAGGCATTGTTTTGTATCTCATGTGTTTAAAATTAGTTTTTAAGCATTATATTGTATGTCTCAAAATAAAACAAAACTCCCAAAATAAAAGACAATAGGTTTTCTAAGAAGACATAAATATGGTTCTACAGCATGAGTATCATGATTTTTGCCTTAGGCAAACTTAGAGCTAGAATGTTTGTAAGAGTTTTCTAGCTAAGCCTATCTAGCTTCATGCAATACATGTCTGCATGTTGTTCTCCCAGGCTTGTGTCATGATGGGAAGAGCCCTGGACCTGGAATCAGAAGAGTTGTATTCTAGATTAACCAACTAGCTATGATTTGGGCAATTACTTAGCTCATTCATTTGTATATTAATTAATACACACATATTCATTTATTCAACAGTTATATATCAAGAATCTGCTATGTATCAGTACATGAGGATCACATTTTCCTCATATGTAAATTAAGGAAACTGCCTAAACTCCAACATTGAAATCATATAATTTATTTTAAATGTCACATTATTTTGAAGCATTGAGATAAAAATCTAGGTCATCTCACAAACAAATGGAAACATAGCCCATGCTCGTGGATGGGTAGAATCAATATTGTGAAAATGACCATACTGCCAAAAGCAATCTACAAATTCAGTGCAATTCAAATCAAAATACTACCATCATTTTTCACAGAACTAGAAAAAACAATCCTAAAATTCATATGGAACCAAAAAAAGAGCCCACACAGCCAAAGTAAAACTAAACAAAAAGAATGAATCTGGAGGCATCACAATACCCAATTTCAAACTACACTATAAGGCCATAGTGACCTGACAAAGCAGCATGGTACTGGTATAAAAATAGGCACATAGACCAAGGGAACAGAATAGAGAACCCAGCAATAAGGCCAAATATTTAGAGCCAACTGATCTTTGACAATGCAAACAAAAACATAAAGTGGGGAAAGGACTCCCTATTCAACAAATGGTGTTGGAATAATTGGCTAGCCACATGTAGAAGAATGAAACTGGATCCTCATCTCTCACCTTATACAAAAATCAACTCAAGATGGAGCAAAGACTTAAATATAAGACCTGAAACCATAAAAATTCTGGAAGATAACATTGGAAAAACCTTTCTAGACATTGGCAAAACCTTTCTAGACATTGGCTTAGGTAAAGACTTCATAACCAAGAACCCAAAACCAAATGCAACAAAAACAAGATAGATGGGATTTAATTAAACTAAAAAGCTTCTGCACAGCAAAAGAAATAATCAGCAGAGTAAACAGACAACCCAGAGTGGGAGAAAATCTTCACAATCTACACATGAAACACAAGACTAATATCCAGAATCTACAAGGAACTCAAAGAAATCAGCAAGAAAAAACAGATAACCCCATCAAAAAGTGGGCTAACGACATGAATAGATAATTCCCAAAAGAAGATATAAAAATGACCAGCAAACATGAAACAATGCTCAATTCACTAATTATAAGGAAAATGCAAGTCAAAACCAAAATGTAATACCACCTTACTCCTGCAAGAATGGCCATAATCAAAAAAATCAAGAAATAATAGATGTTGGCATGGATGTGGTGAAAAGGGAACACTTTTACACTGCTGTTGGGAATGAAAACTACTACAACCACTATGGAAAACAGTGTGAATATTCCTTAAAGAATTAAAAGTAGATCTACCATTTGATCCAGGAATCCTACTAATGGATATCTACCCAGAGGAAAGGAAGTCATCATATGAAAAAGATACTTGTAGAAGCATGTTTATAGCAGCACAAGTCACAACTGCAAAAATATGAAACCAGCCCAAATGCCCATCAATCAATGAGTGGATAAAGAAAATGTGATATAGATAGATAGATAGATAGATAGATAGATAGATAGATAGATAGAAAGATACCATGAAATACTATTCAGCCATAAAAAGAAACAAAATAATGGCATTCGCAGCAGCCTGGATAGAATTAGAGACCATTATTCTAAGTGAAGTAACTCAAGAATGGAAAAACAAACATCATATGTTCTCACTCACAAGTGGGAGCTAAGCTATGAGAACTCAAATGCATGAGAATGATACAATGGACTTTGGGGACTCAGGGGAAAGAATGGGACAGGGGTGAGGGATAAAAGACTATACATTGGGTAGTGTACACTTTCCGGGTGATAGTGCACCAAAATCTCAGAATTCACCATTGAAGAATTACTCATATAACCAAACACCACCTGTTCCCCAAAAACCTATTAAAATAAAACATTCAAAACAACTTAGGTCATCTGATATAATACATAAACTTATTTATCAGGTTATTGGACCATGTATTTTCAAATAGTAGCCTGTTTTATTTTTTAATGGATATTTTACATTATAGAAATACACCCATTTTAACAAGCAAACATTAGAGAACACAAAAAAGTTAACAATATTCTTATGCTTCCTTCAGTTCCACTCTACTCTGATAATTAGTATTAACATCATTCTTCCATATTTTTCTCTGTGTTTATACAAATATAAGTAGAGTATATATACAATATATGTGTGTATATATATATACTAATACACAAAATATTTTTCTTTCTTTTTAAAATATATATATATTTTAAATTAAATATTTAATATTAAAACAAATATTGTATTATATATAACTCTGCTATTTGGTTATTTTGCATTTATGAAAAAATCTCTGACTATTCCTTCAGTTCATACATATTGCTCTAATTATTTTAAATAGCCAAATAATATTTGAAAATTATGAATGGACCAAATTTACTTTGTGAAAGAAAAATAAATCTTAGGGCCCAAAATCTCGAAGCTAAAGGGCAAAGTCAAGCTGGAAACTGCTTAGGGCAAACCTGCTTCCCAATCTATTCAAAGTCACCCCTTTGTTCATGGAGATAAATGCATATCTGATTGCCTCATTTGGAGAGGCTAATCAGAAAGTCAAAAGAGTGCAACCATTTGCCTCTTATCTACCTATGGTCTGGAAGCTCCCTACCCACTTCAAGTTGTCCTGCCTTTTTCAGACCAAACCAATGTTTGTCTTACATATATTGATTGTTGTCTCATATCTTCCTAAAATGTATACAATCAAACGGTGCGCTGACCACCTTGGGCACATGTCATCAGGACCTCCTAAGGCGTGCATCCTCAACCTTGGCAAAATAAACTTTCTAAATTAACTGAGACTTGTCTCAGATTTTCAGGGTTCACAACTTAATCATTTCTCTATGATGGAATAGCAAGTTGTTTCTAATTACTTTTTCTTCTTGATGTCACTACAATCAATGCACAATAGAAATACCTGTCTAGATATATTCTTACATACTAGTATTTTATTTATATAGAATAGATTTACCAACGTTAGATTGTTGGGTCCAAGGGTATGGACATTAAAACTTTTAATAGTGCTTCTTGGTTATTTTCTAAATTGGTTGCAATAATTTTCATTTCTATCAGCTATGTGTAAGAATTCTTATTTTCCTACAACTGAAGTCAGTCCTAGGTGTTATTGGTATATTTGCCAACCAAAGAATTCCATTGTTTTAATTTGTATTTTCCTAATTACCAGTGATATTGATCATATTTCAGTATGTTCATTATTCATTTGCTTTTCTCTTCCGTAATTGTTCATTCTGGTTCTTGACTGATTTTTCATTATGGGTGTCTTTTCCCTTTCCCATTTGTAGTAGTTCTTTGTCTAGTTAGCATTTTAACAGGTAATAGGTGTCATAGAAGAAATATAGAGCAATGTAAGTGGAATCAGGGTTATGAGGTGTTAGCTGGGGAGATGGGAATTGCAATTTTAAATGGAGTGATCAAAGGTGGGACTTATTGAAAGGTGACAATTGAGCAAGGAGTGAAGGAGGTGTAGTATGGGCCATGTGGCTTATTGGGGAAAGAGCATTCCCTGTAAAGGTAGCCAGTGCAAAATCTCTAAGGCTAGAGCTTGTGTGGTTTTTCCAACATACAGCAAGAAGGAAAATATGGCTGGAGTTGGGGGAGTAAGAAGGGGGATTGTAGCAGATTAAACCAGAAAGGTAAAAGAGAGCCAGTTCAAGGAGGTTCGTGGGCATTGTAAAAACTTTGCATTTTACTCTGAGTGAATGGGGGTTTTCAGCAAAGGAGGGATATGATGTGACATAGTTTGGAAAGATCACTCTCGTTGGTGGGTTTAGAACAGCCTGTAGGGAAGCATATGTAAAGGTACTGAGACAGTTTAAGAAGCTCTTGAAATTATGCAGGCTAGGGATGCTAGTGGTTTGGACAGAATGGTAGTGAGGGATGTGGAAAGAAAAGGTGGGATTCTGGGCATAATTTGAATTTAGCCAGTAGGAGGGAAAAGGGAAAGAGAGAAAAAGCTCAAGGATGCCTCCAAGTTCTTTCAGATTAAGAAACTGGAAATAATAAAGTTGCCCTTTATTGAGACAGTGTATTAGTCTGTTCTCATGCTGCTATGAAGAAATACCTGAGACTGGGTAATTTACAAAGGAAAGAGGTTTAATTGACTCACAGTTCTGCATGGCTGGAAAGGCCTCAGAAAACTTACAATCATGGCGGAAGGCGAAGGGGAAGAAAGGCACCTTCTTCACAGGATGGCAAGAAGGAGAAGTGCCGAGTAAAGGGGGAAGTCCCCTTGTAAAATCATCAGATCTCTTGAGAACTCACTCAAAATCTTGAGAACAGCATGGGGGTAACTACTCCCATGATTCAATTACCTCCCACTGGGTCCCTCCCACAACACCTGGGAATTATGGGAACTACAATTCAAGATGAGATTTGGGTAGAGACATAGCCAAACAATATCAGACAGGGAAGACCAAAAGAAGAGCAAATTTAGACTAGTCTTAGGAGATTCTTACTTGGGATGTCTTTTAGACTTCTCAAGTAGACATGTTGATTAGGTAGATGAATACACAAGTCTTAATCAAAATGAACCTTTTGCTAAACACTTTGCATGCGTTATCTCATTTAATCCTCTCCTTAACACAATTAGGAAGGAGCTGTTATTCCCTGATCCTCGGTTAAGTTAAATTTGATGATAATCAACTTGTTCCTTAAAAATAATCTGTAAATTATTCATTATGCTCACATGAATTTTATCATAAATTTATTGTTCTGGCTTTTAAAATATAAATGTATTTAAAGGTGTTGAGATGTTACATTTGTATATATTGTGTGTGTGTTTTATCTTTTCTTTTCTTTTTTGAGGTCTCCCTCTGTCACACAGGCTGGAGTGTAGTGGTGCAATCACAGCTCACTAGCCTCAGCCTTCCAGACTCAAGAGATCCTCCCACCTCAGCCTCCTGAGTAACTGAGACCACAGCAGCTGGGACTACAGGTGCATGTCACCATGCTCAGCTAATTTTTTCTTTTTTTATCTTTTAATACAGATGGGGTTTCACCATGTTGCACAGGCTGCTCTGAAACTCCTGGACTCAAGGGATCCACTTGCCTCAGCCTCCCAAAGTGCTAGGATTACAGGTGTGAGCCACTGAGCCCAGCCATGTTTTCTTTCTTGCACTAAGCTCCTGAGGGTACAGAGCTACCTAATTTTGAATTCATGGGAGTTGTACATGAATTCAAATATCAACTTTTCAATTTAAAATAGAAATAAGTTCAAATATAGACTCCAAAGGGCAAACAGCTAAGGCAAAAAAATGTGATCAGGTAGACGAAAATGTTTTCATTGGAAAAAAACAGTCATGGAAGATCATATTAGTGAAAATATAGTATGTGTGATCTGGGGTTCTTTGTTTTGTTTTGTTTTGCTTGCTGTTTATTTGTTGCTGTTGTTAATGACTGGAAATTGAAGAAGAGGAAGGAAGCCTGAATATTCAGAGAATTGTTCAGAAGTACAGAAAAAAAGCCTCAAGATCAGTAAAAAACAATGATCAATGACATATTTTAACTCAAAGCATAAAATAGACATTAAGCATTGACAGCTATAAAGCAGAAACTTCTAAATTAAAAAGAGCAACTAACAAGTCCCAGGAAAATCAAGAAAATTCCATTAAGTTTAAATCTATTAAAGTTTCATAGAAACCAGGATATGTCAATGAATGATTTATAATAGTTAAATGTTAATGGATTAGGCAATTAATTGTACGCAGATATCTTTAAATCTTACTTTCTGTATTATTTCATAATTTCAGTGATGTTTAAATGCTTTATTTAACTACTTTAACACTGACTTAAGATATTAGTTAATAAAAACAATAAGCCTGCAGATTTGGGGCATGGCAGCCACACAGAGGAGAGCAATGTAGACAAGGAGACCAAAAATCTGAAACTGCCTTTATAAAAATTATAACTGAGAAAACTATGACAGTGAAAGATATCTGACCTAACTGATCCCATCTTTCTTCTAACCTCCAAGCTGACCTTATTCACTCCTGGATGTAGGCCAAACTAACTTTGGAAGAATTTAGTTTATAGTTTAACTTTGAAACAAAGATGATAACAACCTGATATGGTTTGGCTGTGTCCTCACCCAAATCTTATCTTGAATTGTACTCCCATAATTCCCATGTGTTATGGGAGCTACCCAGTGGGAGATAATATGAATGATGGGGGTGGTTTCCCCCATACTGCTCTTGTGGTAGTAAATACGTCTCCTGAAATCTGATGGTTTTATCAGGGGTTTCCGCTTTTGCATCTTCCTCATTTTCTCTTGCGGCCGCCATGATTCTGAGGCCTTTCCAGCCTTGCAGAACTGTAAGTCCAATTAAACTTCTTTTTCTTCCCAATCTCAGATATGTCTTTATCAGCAGCATGAAAATGAACTAATATACAACCCTTTCCCAAAATAAACCCCCTTCTACCTGGGGACCAGACTGCCTCTATAGGACTAATAAATTATCCACAGAATTAGAAATTATGGTTTAGGAGTCATGCAGCCAGAGACATCAAGATTCGAAATCTCCCCAGTTGCTCCTAGGGATAACATCACTATTGTAAAACCCAGGAAGAGATATTTTACAGACCCTGAACTCAATGTGTCGGCTGGAGCCACCCAGATCAATAAACTGATTCATCTGGTCTTGTGGCCCCCACCCAGGAACTGACTCAGCACAAGAGGGCAGCTTCAAATCTGTATGATTTCATCTCCAACCTAACCAATCAGCACTACCCATGTCCCAATCCCCTACTCATCAAATTATCCTTAGCCCTGATCCCTGAATTTTCAGGGAGACAGATTTGAGTAAGAATAAAACTGGTCTCTCATTCAGCTGGCTATGCCTGAAATAAATCCTTTCTTTATTACAATTCCTCTGTCTTGATAAGTTGGCTTTGTCTAGGTAACAGGCAAGGAGAATCCATTGGGCTGTTAAAAGTGGGTGTGATATAATAAAAAATACATTCTTTGTCTCTGGTTCCTGGCACAGAGCTTCTGATACCCTTGGAATTTCTTAAGCGATAAGAATGACTGTCTCTTGTTATTTTAACTATACAGTCCTCTGGACTACACCTAAGTTATGCTAATGAAGTCTGTCAGGGTGGAATCCATGGAGAGCTTCAGGGTGGGGCCGCCAGAAAGATCAAATTTGTGATTAGAAGGTAAGAACTTTCAGCTCCATTCCCCAATCTCCAGGAAGGGGAGGGAGCTCCCCAATCTCCAGGAAGGGGAGGGAGCTGGACATTGGGATGTAAATACTCTTAAAAAATTTATGTCTACTGGGTTCTGTATGGATATAAATACTCTTGAGCAAGGAGATTTGGAAAGCTTCCTGGTTGGTAACACATTGATGTGCTGGGAAGATGGCAGGTTTGTTAAGGGCGAGGACGCTGTGTGACAGCATCCCCATGCCTCACCCTTTGGATTCTTTTCATCTGGCTGTTCCTGAGTTGTATCTTAATAATAAACTGGCAACATGTGTTTCCTGAGTTCTGTGAGTCCTTCTCATGAATTACCAAACCTGAGGATGGGGTTGTGGTAACCTCTGAATTTGTAGCATGTTGGTCAGAAGTATGGGTGGTCACTGGACTTATAACTGGCCTCTGAAGTGTGGGCAGTCTTGTGGGACTGAGGCCTTAACATGTGGGGTCTGTACTAACTTCTGGTAGTGTCAACACCAAATTGAATTATTGGACACATAGTTGGCATGGAGAGTTGTGGGAAAAAAACTACGCATTTGTGGTCAGAAAAAAGATGTCACACTGGGTATAATGGATGCTTAAATGAACTCAAGCAAGCAGCATTATTCCTAGAAGGAACAGTGAGCCCAGAGGAAATAATTAGGCTCCAGATTAGCCTTGTAAATTCAGACCAATAAAGTTATGGCAAATATCACACATATTTGTACCTCTGAAGCTCCATTAAACAAATACAGAAGATTCAAGATCTTCTATTTTTTATTCCAAATAGGAAGAGATAAATATCAATTATATTATTTTATTGATGTTTTATTGATCATTTTAGTTATGCAACTTTTATTCACTCACTCAACAAATATTTATTGAAGTTTGCTGCAGGCCAAGAACTATTCTACGTACTTCTTATGGTATATTTCTTACTGTAAAAAACTAGTTGGTGGCACATTTTTCTAGTAATGTATAGAGTTTTGCTGAATTTTACATGAGTGCTTCTAAGAAAAGAGAAAATTATTAAAATTTGAAGTATTTTAAGGTTTTAGAGTAAATGACTTACCTAAGAAGCGTGATTTGAACTCAGGGAGTCTGACTCAAGAAACCACACTCTTAACCATAATACTGATTTTAAATGGTGTCACTGAGATAGTGGATGCTCTTCACTTCTAAATAAATAAGAACTTTTGCTATCACCTTTGCTCAAAAGGGTAGGTATGAGGTGCCCTGAGCCCATGGATGAAAAGGTATTTCACCATCCTTTAATGAATTATAATTTATAATAAAGAAAGGAAAAATTACTATTACATAGAGATAAAATAAGTCCTTGTTTTCTGGAACATTTTTTAATAGCCTGAAGTTGAATCAGGTTTAGTAATGATATCTTGAATAACAGAAGTATTGGTGGTCCCCTAAGGGAATATCTTCTAATATATTGCCTGGACTTCTAGATGTTTATTAGATATTAATAGCTGCTTAAGCCAAACTCCTTCACACAGCCTCTGAAATCATTATAGATCAACAAGAAAAGCAAATAAAATCCTTATTAAGTACCAGTAGCATAAATAGTGTCTTAGTCTTCTTGAGTTGCCATAAGGAAACAGCATAGATTGGGTGTAAACAATGGGTATTTATTTCTCACAGTTCTGAAGGCTGGGAAGTTTGTGAGCAAGGTGCCAGCAGGTAGGTTTCATTCTAAGGCCTCTTTTCAAGGCTTGCAGTGTGCTCAAATGACCTCTTCTTTGTGCATGTGTGGAGAGAGACAGCAAGCTCTCTGGTGTCTCTTTTTATAAGGGCACTAATCCTATTGTACCAGAGCCCCACCCTTATGACTTCACTTAACCTTAATTACCTCCTAAGGGCCCTATCTCCAAATGCAGTCACATTGGGGTTTAGGAGTTCAACATACGAATTTAGGGGGACACAATTCAGTCCCACTGTTGTGTTCTAAAACAAAGTATGATGTAGCACAGCAAAAAATGAAAACAAAAAAGAGAAATCATCAAATGGTTTGGATCTTAAAATAAATATTATTTTGCATTTTAGTATGCTGGTATTTTCTGTCATAATTGAAAACCCTGATCTGGTAATATAAAGAAAATAAAGGAACTTACATGGTTAGAACAATGAAAATAACTGGACTTGGAAAGCAGAAATGTCCCTGACATAGAAATATTTCCTAGATGTGAAACTGAAAAGTGATTCTCTAGTTCAGTTGTCTTGGAAAGAGGGGTGATGTGTGATTTAAATAATTATGATCCAATTTAACTAACAGAGCAGAATATTTAGAATATGAAGTGACAGCTAGAGTCTTATGTCAATATAAATACTAGCAAATGATATAAAATACTAAAAAGAGGAATAAAAAGGTATTCAAAACAAATCCTCAATGTAACCTGCCTACTCTCTAAACTCATATTTGAACAGAGACATAAGTAATATCCCAAGCCAAAGCCTACAAGGGATGAAAACTCAACTCACTGAGGATATTACATTTAAATTTTCAATTTACGTGAAGGAATAAAAACAGAAAGATTCAAACCAAAGCCAAATTGAATTTTCCAAACTCTAGTCTCTTCATTTCCCCCATTATTTCTTCACTTAGTGCATTTACACAAATTCCTGTCAGAGTAGCACAGAGAGTTGTGAATTTGGTATTTCCAAATTGCCCTGAAAACTAGAATTTTACTAATGCAATACCTTCTATTATATTAACTGGCTTTGAAACTGCTTCAAATTTAAGCCACAGAAATGGAATGTACTGCCATGGAGGGTCTGTATATTGAATTATCAACTCAGAGATGTTTTCAGCATAAACTCTGAAGCCTTCTGCAAAAAGAGAGCAACTCCTTAGAGTTACCACACACAGAAAGGACAGATTTAAAATTCATTCAGCTGGCTGCAGGTTGTCTGTGGCCTGCCTGGGGCCTCCTACAGACCTCCAAGCAAGCTCTGTGCCACCACAGCTTTTATCAAAGACATTTCCATGGAAGTAAAAGCTGAGTGATTTCCAGTCTCTAGACACACAAATTTTATGCTGGTACCAGTACTTCCCAGAAAAATGCTAAGTTGATTCTTGGGAAAATTCTAATTTGGTATTCTTTTCAACATCTCCCAAACACTTTCTGGCATACAGTAATAGCCTTACAAGTGATTTCTACATTGAATCCAAGAGTTTATGCAAGCATAAAGTATTCAAGGCAGACAGAACAAAAGGTGTACTCTAAATATCTTCTTGGACCTTCTGGATAAGGTAGGCCTCAAAATATGGAAATCTGTGTTTATCCCATGGGCGTTGTTTGCATGGAAGAGGCTTTTCTGAAATGTGCTTTACAGAGCCTGGTTCAAAGCACAAGTTGTCCCAAAGCTCCTTGTCTCAAATCTCTGTGAATTTATCCATCCAATAAAACTTAATTTCATCTAATATATTACATATAAATAAATAAGATTGAGAGACTGCTTTCTTAGTGTGGAAAGAGAAGAAACTTAGTCTATTGTCCAGAAACCCAATGTGACTTTGATGTTTATTAGTTTGAAGACATGTAATTTCTGAAAAACTAACAAATTTGAATTGCAAATAAATTAGTAAAATTTATGAAAAAAATTATGATTGGTCTATGATGTTTTGCCTGTCATTAAAAATACTTATTCATCAGTGCTGCTGCTTGTTTAGTGAAAAGAAAAATACTTTTATTTAGCTCTTCAAACTATAAGGTTCTCTTCTACTTAACAAAACAATATGAATGGACGGAAGATACATTTTCAGGGATGTCTGTCTTTATGAAAAGGTGTGAGATAAACTTAACTTACCGCAACTGTATAAATGATTCTTTCTTCTGCCTTTCCAGAATAGTTTAATTTAGAGTCAGGTAAGAAGGGGGTTAAAAATAAAGAGGCCAAAAGAATTGTAAGAATGCCTATGATATCATAAAAGAGATCATTTTAGTTTTCACTTAGCACATACATAGTACAACTAAAACATCTGCCTGTCACTCCATAAACATTCCTACACTTCTCTTCCTTTTACGAGAAAAAAAAATGGAGCTTTAAGGGACTTTTAATAGCCAGCAGCTGTTTGGCTGCTCAATGTTGCATCTGGAAGAGAGTATGCTACTCACATGGAGAAAAAAAGACAAAAGTATTGTTTAATTTTCTTAATGTCCACCAATGCTTTACATAAAGGACGTTTGAATGACTTGAATATGAAGAAAGACACAGAGCTCCTTAAGTGCATCTGAAATCCACCATATCATTACCAGAAGGCATGAAAAACTGATGGCATTCGATCCTGTTTAATATTAGGTTGAATGACTGCTGTTGTGAATGAATTTAATGCCAGGTAAAAGGGTCACTTCATGAGAACACAAAGTCATCTCATTCTTCTGAGATGAGCTCTACTTCAGATTAAAATGAATCATAGTCATTTTTCTTGCATGGTTATAATTATAATTTTCTGAATGCATAATCCATTTTTTTTAAAAAAAGACATTCTTCAGCCAGGCACGGTGGCTCACGCCTGTAATCCCAGCACTTTGGAAGTCCGAGGCGGGTGGATCATGAGGTCAGGAGATCGAGACCATTCTGGCTAACACAGTGAAACACCATCTCTACTAAAAATACAAAAAAATTAGCCGGGCGTGGTGGCGGGCGCCTGTAGTCCCAGCTACTAGGGAGGCTGAGGCAGGAGAATGGCATGAACCCTGGAGGTGGAGCTTGCAGTGAGTCGAGATCGTGCCACTGCACTTCAGCCTGGGCGACAGAGTAAGACTCCGTCTCAAAAAAAAAAAAAACAAAAAAAGACATTCTTCTTACAATATTACCACAGGAAAGCATCTGCTTTAGAAAAATTAAAATATTAAAATGAGGAACTGGTATTACAAGAGTACTTCAAAAAAAGGATGACCCCAGGATCATACATGTTGAGTGGGACTGCTTTCATAATAACAATATACTTCAAAACTGTGTTAAAGGGAAATATAAAAACTATAAAACATCATGTTTACTTTGATAATCCCCCATACTGACAATCAAAAGTATTCCTTCCGCTCCTTTATTTTCCTTTGAAAGGAAACCTGGTGTGGCAACCATAATATCAATACGTAGGACCGAAAGCACTTCAATGAGAAAGGAGTCAGTTCAGGAGTGATAGAGGGAAAGATGACTCAGGTGCTCACTATTCTCTTCCTGTCCTGTTGGCTCTCGCCTCTTGTCTTTATTCTTCTTTCCCACTTCCCTCAGACAAAGACATGGACCGCGGCCCCTGCCTCACTGCCTCATCCCTCATCCTTCCTTCTGCACTTCCGGGTATATACACCCTAGAAGGCAACTTGAAAACCAGCTTCTGAACATTTTAGATTACTATTAAAGAACCTAACCCTATCTATTTCTTTCAGAAATACAAATTTTTAACCACTGTAGAAAAAATGTTAACTACTAAATTCTACATAATTTTCATCATTGTTAAATAGAACTAAACAGTAAATTGCATTGCTGGCTGTGGAGAAGAGGCAAGAGAATGGGACTCAGGAGCTCACACAAAGTCCTCAGAATTCTCCATGTAGAAGGAAATGGCTTGTGAATATGGAGAGGTGGCCGGGTGAGGATTGCCCCTACCTCTTAGAAATAATAGGTTTCTCCCTTCCTTTCTTTTTCCCTTCCTTCTTTCTTTCTTGTCTACACGGTGAAATTTTGCCAAGCATATGCTTCTGCTACCAAAGGAGGATGGGTATCATCTTTCCTAGAAGTTGTTCAACATCACATCATATATTTTTTGCTTCTGTAATGCCTATAGTATCTTAGAGGTTGTCAGTATAATAACTTCATCCTTAAATGACTCCTGTGATGTAAATTTCAATTTTACTAATATTTTATTCAAATGTATATAAAACAGATCAATGCTTATTGTAGACCCACAGTCTTTGAGGGGAGTATTCTGCTGCATGTCGAGTCTTTCCGTTGAGGTAGGTAAAATCATATTGACAAGGAGAGACTTACACACCCAACACAGTTCTAGAATAATAAAGTATAGTGCACAGGAAAATGCTAAATTATATACAATTGAAGGCTAAAATGCTTGTTAAAGATACTGAATGTAATTGATTGAGGTGAATGGGAGAAATCAATATTTCTATATTTATTTGAAATTCAGATCTTTTCCCTTTCCAATTAATTTTAAACACTATTGTTAGAGTAGCCTATTGGAAATCCTTGGCTCAAAATTCTTAATGGTACCCCTTGTCAAGTCATGATTTTCATATTGAAAGTACAGATGGGCCTCTTTTAATGAAAACGTTCTCATAGAGAATCTGAGAATATGACTCCAGACACACAGGATCTCAGAACCCTAGTTTAAGAAATACTGACTTGAGAACTTGATCATTATTATTTCTTGAAATTATCTTTCACTTGAAAGGTATCACAAAATAGAAGTTTTGTCTTTATAAACAGAAATATTGGCCTGTAGAATAAATTCTCAGCTATTTAGTCTCTCACTCAAGAGAGAGTATCAACTGAGTTTCCTTCTTTTTACTACACACCACCTGTGGAAGCCAAAACAAACTGTTAGTTGATCCAGACACAAATACGTGACTTTCCTACCACCACGTCTTTGTACACATTCTGCCTTCAGCTTGGAATAGCCTTTCCTTCTATTTTTCCATCTTTCTCCTGTTTCTCTTTACCAGAAATTAGGTTAAAGCACTTCTTCGTGTATTTCTATCCCACTCTCTGGAAATCTCACTTTCCTCAGATTTCCAAGAACAGTTTATCTGTGCCTCTTTTATGAGGCAGAGCATCCTACCATATATGATGCTTAGGCATCTGCATGGCTTTTCACTTCTAAACTTCAAGCAGCTTGAGTATAGGGTCTGAATCTGATTCCTCTTCTGCAAGTAACAAACACAATATCTTGCATGTATTAGGTGCCACATTAAAAAAAAAAAAAAAGAAATAACTGAACCAACGAATAGAAGGAGGCTTTAAAAAAAACTTTGAAAGATTGATAGAATGTGGAAAGCGCCTAAGTAAGGGATTTTTTTTCATAAGGAACTCAGTAAACTTCTCACCCTCCTTCAGGTGAGCTAAGGATTAAGCAAATCAGGAGAAAAGATACAGCAACTCCTTCAACTTACTGGTGGAATACAGTTGTTTCCTAGGAGAAAAATTTGTGCAATTACAGAAAAACCATCCACCAAGGCTTGTCAATGGAAATTTACAAATACTTTAAAAATCAAATTATCTTCATAACCTACCATGACTTTTGCCCTCTGGATAGCAATAAAAGAAAATATGTTCAGATAGATAGGCCATACTGTTACCCGTCATCTTTTCCTTTTCTATTCTATATAGCTCCATTCAGACAGCTTCTCTTCTACTCTTAATACACTATCATTGCCACAAAGCAGAAGTGCTCTAATTAGAATATTAGTATTAGAAGCATATAATCTCCAAATAAACTGTTATTACCTTTCAGAATCTTCAGATTGATTGGTGAACATTACCAGTTTATCGTCGTGTTTCTCATTTTTGTTCATGAGCCATCCACATGGAATCTAAAATAAAAAAATATGAAGGACATGAGGCTCAGATGTACGTCAAGGGAAGTTAACTATGTCAGTCACCAAAGGAGAAAACCACCTGTTAAATGCATTTTTCATCAAAAGCCATGTTTTTATTCTCATGTCTTGTTTTCAGCCCTGCCAGACCTGAGAAGACAGACCACAAGCCTGCCTTCTGCCTAGTTTCAATGAAAGGTAAACCACTGGGTGTAAACACAGGCTCAGTGAGTTAAGGAAGAATCTCATGACAGGGAGAAATTGTCCAGGAGCAAGTAAAAGAAAGCTAGACATTCTAATACATAGAGCATGAACGGTTAAAGTTGTCAGACTGACATGTTTGTAGTTTAATTAACCCCAGTCTAGGAATGAGTTCTCCAGGAGTGCCTACTGACCCCAGGACACCAGCAGCTTTCTTCTAGGAAGACCGCTCATGCCAGCTTTTTCTCCAACAGGAGTTTATGATTATTTCTATGATTTTCAGGGTAACAAGGGAAGTGGTAATGGACAATGAAAAAAAAGAGAAAAAAAACTGTACTTCCGACAGAATTTGTTTCTCATTTTTTAAATTTATTATTAAGTTTCACTTAAGTTTGGTGCAACTTAAGCACCAAACTGTGGACAAATATTATACAGACTACATAGTATGTCATGGGACTTACAGTAGAATCTTGAGATTGAAGAATTTGAAGAATTGTGTATGCTTTAAAAGCCAATTCCTGCAGGCAATTAACACATTTTAAATGCATCTGGAAACCACCAATTGCTGAGAACCCATCAGAAAATTTAGGAGTTAGGCCCATGGGAAACACGAAGCCAGTTTGTCTGAGTTTCA
Source organism: Homo sapiens (assembly GCF_000001405.40). Taxonomy (NCBI): domain Eukaryota; kingdom Metazoa; phylum Chordata; class Mammalia; order Primates; family Hominidae; genus Homo; species Homo sapiens. The sequence continues at coordinate 121,217,339 of NC_000004.12, forward strand.
AGCATTTCTGTTTAATTGTAACAACAACCAAAAAAAAAAGTTTGTTAAAATGCTCCAGGAAAGATTCATTTCAGCTATTGGCAAGCTGGCTGTACATAGTGTTGGAGGGTGGCTTTTTATTTTGTTTTGTGTTGTTTTCGGCTTGTGACAGCTGTTTGAAAATCATCTGTTACCACCATGGTAGCCAGTTACTAGATGAAAGCAAATGCCTTTCTGGATGACTGGAGGAGTTGGACCACCAACTAGTAGAGCTATGTTTTAAAAATGCAAAATTGCAAAACTGCCCATCTTGTTTATATGGAACGCTGGAGATATTACACAATTCTGCAAATATGTTGAAGAGGAAACCAAGTGATAACCATCTGATAGAGTGACTGCAATAAGTGTCCATTTCTGAAACATGAAGGCTTAAATATTTAACTAATAAAGAAATTTGTAGTAAGGTTTTTAAAATGTCTTATATTCTTTCACTATTTCAAAAATTACCGTTAAAATGCTAATTTCCAAGCATATGCGAAATTACACATGGAGTCCTGGAGTATCAGGGAATGATAGAATCTGACACTGTGGAGAACACGCTAAGAATTATAATGCCATCATTTTACAGTAGAGGAAACAGAACTCCAGAGAAAACAAATGACTTGGCTAATTAATGACTGATCTAGGATTAAACACCAAACCATCTGACTCCTAGTCATGATCTTCCATTGTTGTTCATAACTGAAAATTATACAGAGGAAATTTTAAGTTTGAAATAAAATAAAATTAGATACTGATATATTTTAATACTAATATATTTTAAAACTAACCTACAAAATTTTTACATTACAGATACAACATCATAACACTATATTTCTTAGGCAATGTCATTGTATTATTTGAACTCTGGTAGTAAACACCCCAAAAATGGCATGTGCAAAGGGAAATCTCCAGATTTAATATTGTATAGTTTAAGATTTACAAATAATATCTTAGAGGCACTGGAAACAGACAAGATGGAAATGGTCTCAAAGACATTAATTAGTTTACTGAACATTGTATTTCCTTCCTAAATTGCCTTTTCCTAGGCTAGAATTTTACATTTGTTATTATTCTATCCAGGAAGTAAAAATATTAACCAGTGACAATCAGAAAAGTCAATATCCCAGGCATAATTATAATTTCCAATAGTTTATTTTCCTTCCTTCCTCCCTCCCTCCCTTCCTTCCTTCCTTCTTTCCTTCCTTGCTTCCTTCCTTTCTGCCTCCCTCCCTTCCTTCCTCCTTCTCCCCGTCCCTCTTCTTCTCCCTCTCCCTCTCTCTGTCTCTCTTTCTTTTGAGACGATGTCTCACTATATTACCCAAGCTAGAGTTCAGTGGCTGTTCACAGGCACCATTACAGTGCACTATAGTTCTGAACTCTTGGGCTCAAGCAATTCCCCTCCCTCAGGATCCTGAGTAGCTGGGACTCCTGGGCTCAAGCAATTCTCCTCCCTCAGCCTCTTGAGTAGCTGGGACTACAGGTGTGCACTACTTTCCCTAGCTATAGCCACATAAAATTTCTGAGAACCAAAAGATTTACAATTAAAAACCACAGAAGTGGCCAGCCATGGTGGCTCACGCCTGTAATCCTAGAACTTTGGGAGGCCGAGGCAGGTGGATCACCTGAGGTCAGGAGTTCGAGACCAGCCTGACCAAAATGGAGAAATGGTGTCTCTACTAAAAATACAAAAATTAGCTGGGTGTGGTGGTGTGCACCTGTAATCCCAGCTACTCAGGAGGCTGAGGCAGGAGAATCACTTGAACCAAGGAGGCGGAGGTTGCAGTGAGCCGAGATCACACCATTGCTCTCCAGCCTGGGCAACAAGAATGAAACTCCATTACAAACAAACAAACAAACAAACAAACAAAAAACCCATAGAAGTAAGAGTATCCAACTGGCTGAGCATCCTCTGAAGCTAAAAGCAAACACATGTCTTTGTTTCCATCTTTTGATTACTTCTCCTTTTTCCTCCCTCCTCCTCCTTTTCCTCTTTTTTAAGGAATTCCTATACTGCTAAAGAAGCAGCTGTTGCTTTCTGTTTCACTTAGCCGAAAGATGTCCTCTGTTCTTGGATGCATTTCAGCACATCAGTGAAGATCATAAGCTGTTTGATTGTTTAAGCAGAAGTTTACACAATCCATAGTTCCAAAATAACCCAACTTTGAAGGATAAACTTACTTTTGGAAGTTAACCAAGTTTTATGAGCTTTTGGACATTTCTGGTGACAGCTTTTAATATACTTGGATTTCTAAAGTCAGATTCAAGGGCAGGGTGTTCGTATTACCAGTCATACTCAAAGTTTACTCACATAGGTTTTACAGACCTTGAAAATGTTATATAAAAAATTACCAACGAATTCTTATACTATTGTTTACATTTATGTTGCTCAAGTCTATGTTATACATTGAGAGGTGTCCAAATGTAATTCACATACAATCAAATGCATGAAAACTTAAGGTAGAAAGGACTAGAAGCTGACAAGGCATATTTATTTAAATAAAATGTGTTTCTTTCTGGGTCATACAATTTACAACACATAATACCTTCCTGGAAACTGTTTCATTTCACTATCTTTACTAAATTAACATTAAATGTTAACCAGGTTCAATACATTTAGGATAAAATGTCCTCATCAGGTACTAAACCATCATGAAAATTACTATCCTTGTATCCATATATAATAAATAATAAAGATTCTATAAAGTAATAGGCTGAAAACCATACATATGTGTACATTCACATGCTTACAGATATAAAAGTACTTATATTAATTTTTTAGAAATGACATTATACCATTTAAGAATACATGAAAAGCTTTCTTATTGATCACATAAGAGACCTACAGGTAGGCAGTCAGTTAATCAAAATATTAGTTAAAGCTGGGACTCATGAAGAATAATACATTAATACCATATTAATTTAATGTCACTGAAAATACATAGGTGAACATCATTGCTAGGCTCTGTTTTCTAAGGAGAGATCTATTAGTGGTTGTCCACATGTGTCTTCTGGCCCACAATAAATCCTTGGTGAATTCTAGTTTTGGTTTCTTTACAAGGGAGCAAAAATTTTAAGACATAAAGCAATCTGAAAACAGAATGCTTTTAGGTTTTTATGATAATTAACTACTTTTTTTTTGTATTTGCCCTCACCATCATCCAATTCAAATTTGGTAACTTAACCTTTACTAGATGTTTCCAAGATGCTAAAACTAGCTTGTACTGAAACAATGTTTTTTTTTAACCTTTTGGTACTCATGTATCATCGGCTTATATACATTTTATTTAAATATATAATGGCAAAAAAGTAAAATTGTCATAAATAGCGTGGGGGAATAAACAAAGCTGATCCTGGGTAAACGTACCACTTAACTTTTAGAGTCAGAAATAAGTGAATGTCCTTAGCTGTGAGCATTCAGCGTGCCTTAAGTGCCAGTCTGTGTGTTTTACTGAGCGAATGGACAGCAGGATTCGTTCCTGCTGTGATTTGGCTGAGTAGGGGATGAAAAAGAGCAATACGTTCAGTCAAGAGTGGGAAAATGCCTGCAGAGTCAGGAAGCTGACATAAATTGGTGACAAGTGGTGGTAGGGGCTGTGGTGAGTAAGTGAAGACATATCCTCCCCAAAGGTATTAAAATTCTGTTTAAAAAAATCAATGAGAACAAATAAAACATAATGCTCTTTAAAAATTTTTGGTTTACTGTTAGCAATTCTCATGGCCTTTTGCAGTTTCCAAAGCTTGAGATATTTGTTGCCAATATGTGGATGATAATGGACAACATTTTGAGATCCTTGCTATTATTGGTAAGAAAGAAATGTAAAGAACTATAACATTTTTAGTATAAAACCTTGGTTATGTTTTTCTAATAATATCTTTAATATTCAGTCTAAATCACTCTTAATATATAAAATAGCCAGTTTGTATGTTCAAGAAGTTTTATCCTTAAAGTTCCCTATCAGTCATTTTATCTCCATAAATATTAAAAAAGAAAAAGGAATTCACTTAGCCTAGAAACAGGAACAGTAAAGCAGATCACGTGACTATAAAACTAACCTAAATTTACAAGCACAAAGCTAAAACAGCAATAAAAGATTTCAGATAATTTCTATGCAAAATGAGGCAAATGCTCAATGTTGTTAAGAATATGATAATGATATTCAAAAAAAGGATATGTTACACATTTTAATTCATTTATTTCCTCTAGCAAATAAGATTCCTATACCCAACAGGTACTTAAGGACCTTTGATTACAGTGTGGAAGAAATTGGAGGAGAGGAAAATTACACACCACTCTCATTTACAGTAATGGCTCAAGGGAAATTGAGAACAAGAAAGAGATTTTTGGCTGCACATCGTTTGGCTAAACCAAAAGAAAGAACTACCCAACAGAGCTGTAACTATTTTTTTTTCCACTTCATATTTCTGAGAAAGGTGTCAAATCAGGGGACTTTCATCACCTATTTCCTTCTAAGAAGTCTTTTTGTTTTATAGCAGTAAAGTTTTTTGCCACCACAGGTTCTCTACAGCTCAATCACATCAGAACACCTGCATTTCTTCTTCATGCAAAACTGACATTTGAGGACTGAATCTAAAAAAGTTCCTGAACCAGGAGTCAGGAGACTAAGATTCTGTCTGTCACCAGGGCTATCACTACATTTGCTTGTCCCTGAATGTCGATCACCAGCTCTAAAATGAGAACAGATTGTACATTATAGTAGCTAAGAGTGCTCCTAATACTTAAGTGTTATGAAAACTGGTCATCCTAGGATTTTTGCAATGTTGCTATATTGCTCTTGATGCATCTTAGAGGCTTAGTGAAATATTAGTGAATTTCTTCCCCTGCGAAGAGGACCTAGTTTTCCATAGAATGTTCCTTCATTCTGCAGAAAAATGAGCATATCCTTGTTCTGAGTCTTTATTCAGCTCTATTTGGGAATATTCCTGTATTGTGGATTTCTACTGATAAATTTCATCAAAGCACCCCAAATTACAAATTCGCTTTTTCAAACGTGTATTGGAAGGATGATTGGGTTTAGAGTCAAAAGATGTGTATTCAAATCTGTCTCTCACGTTTAACAGACTATATGTCTTTGGGCATATTATTTAAATACTCTGAGCCCCACTGTCCTTACCTACAAAGTAAGGATAACACTTCCCTTCTTCAAGGAAAAGTCCATAATGATTAAACAAGACACTGCATTTACAAGCAACTTTCACCTCAATTGCACTATAAGGTGACTTTTCTAGTGTTGCATGGCAGATAGTAAGCTCCAAATAAATGTGAGAGAATTTAAATTTTGTTTAATCTTCAAAACTCACTGGAAAGCCTGTAGAGAAAGCGATTTTTATGGGACATAAATGTTATTATACATGTTATTAGTTATTAATTGTTGGTTGTTCTGCTGAAAATCATGAAAATGTGGAGCTGAGGGTGTTTTTTGTGCGTTTTTTTTTTTTTTTTTTTGAGACGGAGTCTCGCTCTGTCACCCAGGCTAGAGTGCAGTGGCGCGATCTTGGCTCACTGCAAGCTCCGCCTCCCAGGTTCACGCTATTCTCCTGCCTCAGCCTCCCGAGTAGCTGGGACTACAGGCGCCCACCACCACGCCCGCCTAATTTTTAGTATTTTTAGTAGAGATAGGGTTTCACCGTGTTAGCCAGGATGGTCTCGATCTCCTGACCTCGTGATCCGCCCGCCTCGGCCTCCCAAAGTGCTGGGATTCCAGGCGCAAGCCACCGCGCCCAGCCAGGTGTGTTTGTTTTTATGAGAATATGCTTCAGGTGAAACTAGTAACGGATCGCTTTCATATCCATTACAGGTGTGCCAGCCTTGGCCCATCCTTAGCCTCCTGCTAACTGTATCAGTTCCTCCAGGCAGATGCTCACCCGCTTGAAAGGGAAGTAAAGGACAGCCTGAGCCAATTTATCAGATATCTTTGCATACCAGGATTTTGTTCTGAAGTAATAAATTTTGTTTTATAACTATGCATTAATTTTGAATGCAGTTTAGCAAGCAATGACCAAACTTAAACCTGGTCTTGTACAAAAACAATTCAAACTTTAATGCTGGATTCGTTCTCATTATTTCCATGGTAAAGTAGCTGAAAGATGGTTTTAAATAATAACACACAATAATATTCATGTCCTATAAGAAAATCACTTTTGCTACTTGCTTTCCAGTGAGTTTTGAATATCAAACAAGATTTAAATTCCACCACATTTATTTAGACCTTACAAGGCTCCACAGAAACTAGAAAAGGTAAAAATGCCTCATTATCACACGTGCATTTCATCATAGCTTTATGAGATTCAGAGCATGAAGAGCAGAAGCCAGAGCTGTGTCCTTGAACACCTTTCTTAGCTTCCCTATCCATTAGCACAGTAGGTATATGCATAATTGTAATACTAGTTTTTCTACTCCTGTCAACAGATCATTAGCAACTAAGAGGAAAGAGTATAATGAATTCTGATTTCCATCAAATTTTCAGCAATAGAAGCAATATCAGAGACTATTCTTTCAAAAAAACATACATTATTACTATTAAAATCAATCAGTTGTGCTAAATCTAACCACGGGAGGCTACACAATGATTATCCCCAGATTAACAAACATCAATACAAAGAACTATGCTGTCTCAATTCCTCAAATGAAAATAAATGGAAGACTGTTCAATTATAATAATGAATAATAATGAATGATCTCAGCTCTCTGATTTTAATTAGTGCTCTCTGCTGATAATAAAAAGTTGAGATGCCAGCACTTTGGGAGGCCAAGGCAGGAAGATCACCTGAGGTCAGGAGTTTGAGACCAGCCTGGCCAATGTGGCGAAACCCCATCTCTACTAAAAGTACAAAAATTAGCTGAATGTGGTGGTGGGCGCCTGTAATCCCAACTACTTGGGAGGCTGAGACAGGAGAATCACTTGAACCCAGGAGGCAGAGGTTGCAGTGAGCAGAGATTGTGCTACTGCACTTTAGCCTGGGCAACAGAGCAAGACTCTGTCTCAAAAAATAAAAAGAAAAAAGAAAAAAGAAAAAGAAAAGTTGAGATGAGACTTGATCCCTGAGCACTGGACTTCCGATACAGAATCCACACTTTGGCTTTTACCTGTAAAGCTCAAGATCCTCTCAGACTAATTATACCTTAATGTTCATGTTGTTCATGGTTATGTTTTTTGATATTTTTATTGCTTTTAAACAAGTGACAGAACACTCTCTAATTAGAAATTCATCTTATTGTTTTCACCCATATTTAGGCAGGTTTTAATTTGTCTACCTTAAACTCTTTAAAGTTGATAATCTTTCTACTCATTTTTTTCTGTTAAATGATTTTAGGTATTTCTTTTCATTATAAATAAAATTTGATTTTTATAGCTTAAAGTTAAGCTGAACAATTTTTCTCTTATTTTAATATCTATAATTGTTTTGCCTTTCGTAATTTAAAAAATGTGAACTATCTTCCTAGAAGATTTTTGAACACCTTTCTAAGTAAAGAGTTTGGGGGAAAATGACAACATATTCTCTAATATTGAAAAAAAATGACAACATACTGAACAGCATACTGAATATAGTGTGTCAGCATACACTGTGTCCGAGAGTCATCTGGCTGTAATCTATATATCTATATTTATTCACATCAAAAGGAAACATTTCACCATATTTGAAATTTAAGATGTAATTGAAAACTGAGAAAGGGATCATTTGCCTTCAAATGTATTTTATTAACTATACTGCTTAAGACTACATTACATCCTATATCCTTTCTTCTTGCAGAATTCATACATGTCAGATTAGCAATGGCAGAGAATGACTAATTTTTATTACTTATCACAATGATCCATTAACTATGTACTAATTGCCCCTTGTGACTGTCATCCAAGGTTTTTTACATACTTAGATTAATCAAGAGATTCATTTGTTTGGATTGTGCTTTGCAACCGCTAGAATATTTTCCCCCCATATGATGTCTTTGTTTCAAAACAATGGAGATATTTAATCTTGGTCATGTTTTCAAATATAATTGATTTTTTACTCATGCTCTGTGCAATTTCATTAGAAAAGCATTTTTTCTTCTTGTTTTTTTCTTTAAGACTTGTGGATGTACACGTGAAAAGTGATTTCTTTTTGTTCTAAGGTCTTTATCCTTCATGAAATAAATATTTGAAAGATCCAAACTGTCACAACTCCAAACAGATGGGAGTACAACTATGAGTAATAGGTGTTCCTCTAATAATTCATCATTATCTGATCTTAACAAGAAAGCAGTGTTTAGAAAAAGAGCTAAAGAGTAAAGTGTTAAAGAGCAATTTTTAAAAGTTAACAAAGTGAGGTCTAAGGTTTTATCCTCAGCAGGAAGTATTTAGTTGGCCAAAAACTTAGTAAGCACCTTTGCCTTCCCCTTCTCACTCCTTCTCTACCTTGGCCCCCGACCTGGACAAGGAGGCCCCCAGGACTTTTGAGGAATCAGGGACTTTGACTGATGAGATAAATGGGAACTTTGCCTGTCTCTTCTACACTGTGCCACAGGTCTCTTTGACAGCTATGTGCTTTAGGTTCCTTTAACAGGAGGAGTCATATTTAACAGTCAATTTCCCATGTTTAAAAATTATTATTTCTTCCTCATTCATGCCTCATTAATGTCATTAAAATTGGGAAATTGTATAATGGCTGCAAATTTCATTGAGAGAATTGTACTGGAAGCCAATGATAATTAAATATATACTTGGAGAGACAGTAGGACCAAGCAGAAGGGGAGACAGAAAGAGAGAGAGACAGAAAAACAGGCACAGTGAGAGATCAAGACAAAAAAGAGAGAAATAGACAAAGGGGGACAGAGACAGAGAGTGACAGGAAAAGAGACAGAGGCAGAGGTACACATAGGAAAGAGAGAGAGAGAGAGCGACAGAGGCACAAAGAAAGAGAGACAGAGTGAAAAGGAAAAGAGAAAATGAAAAGGCATAATGTTTTTCTCTTCTAGACTTTAAAAATTCATTAAAATTCTGATATAAAAAATACACTAAAAAAGTTGAGAAGATCATATCTGAAAATAGTTTGTTAACGTTGATCCATTCCACAAATATTTGCTTTTTGCTCATTAGGTTAAGGCCTGATTCAGGCCTTCCACTGTGGGGACAGGTCTGTGCATGCAGTGCCACTTGAAAGGACACTCTGGGAGTCTCTGCCACAGGGCATTGATCGAGATTCCTAAGAAGAACAAAGTTCTCAGCATTTCACAGCAGGGAGTTTGCGGTTAAGCCAGAAAGCAAATGTTATCAGATTCAAGAAATATCAGCACTGCGCCTGTAAGCATCTAGTCTACCTTTGTCTACTGCTGGCTTTTAAAATGAACCTTCCTTGCAGGATAGTTTAACTGCTCACACTTAAATTATTCCTAGGGAAGTTTATTTTGCAATCTCGTTTGGGAAATTTGACTGTTTAAATAAAACAGTCCAGTAACTTTATATTCAGAAATACATTCTTTTAGAATGTTTTATGCTCCCCATTGATGTGATTCTATAGCACCATGAAGAACACGGTGAAAAATGTCCCCTGCAGAGGAACACACTAAATGGATGCTGGCTCTGCTCATTGCTTAATCAAGATTGTTCAACCCTGTAATATCCCAAGAGGGAAAGCATAATTATTCATATAAGTACTTACATTTAGTTATTATTTATAGGATTTTTAGAAGTAATAAAGCAAATAGGGTAACATTCACTTAGTTAAATGTGTCATTTCCAAAGCTTATTTTATCTGATGTGCACAAAGGGGCTAACTAACAAAAGCTGTAAAATAAAAAATGTAAAGGAAACACCATGCATTATTACATTTACAACAAGTTCTATCTTATTTCTCACCGGGAACACATAAAACCTTATCTTAATTGTTAATATTACTGAGTTCCTGATCAGTTATATATGTCTTTTTAATATGAGAACTTTATGCATTTTAAAAAAGAAATTAAGTTACAACCAACCCTGGTAAGTAAGCGAAATGAAAGTAAAGGCACAAGACATTATGTTACTCACCATGTTCTATCCTGAAAGTCCTTCTCAGATCTAGGTAAGCGTATTACAAGGTCTAATACGGAGACCTGTCTTTAAGACTCTTTGAATCAAACAGTAACTAAGTGGTTTAAGTAGAAACATGTATTTTGAAAGGTTAATCCACCCATACACAGGGAAACCCCTTTTTTAAGAAAGTCATTCTGCTGCCAAGAGACTATTAATATTCACCTCTCAGATACAAATACAACCTACAGATAAAAGATTCACAACCTATGTGAAAATACCACAGAGGATTCCCTCTTAGTCTCTATGTTGTAATGGAAACACAAGAAAACAGTATACCTCTTCAGGCAATCAGGAGTACTACAGGAAATCTACCTGCCCACTTAATGGAAAAGTTAGATCAGCTTAATAGGGCCACAACACATAAACATAAATTTAGAATTAGTATAACTTACTGTAAGGACCACATAGGTCACACACTCATTTCTAGGAATGTTCCTGTGTTTCATCTTCCTATTTCTTTCCCTGAGAGAGCTAGCACCCAGGTTAACATTTAAACAGTCAACCTTTAAAGTAATTTAGAAATAAGCTGGTTACCTTTTAAAAATAGGACTTGCTGAGTGTTTTCTTACTTAGAGGGGAAATTATATTTAGAGTCTCTATGTGGCTTCACTGGCACTATATCATTAGGAATTATGTGAATTTTTCTTGCCATACCAGAAAACAGTCTGCATAATCATTAGTAGTGGCAAACCTCTCCAAACTGCTAAAGACATTTGTACCAGTTTGGGAATAAAATGTTTGCTGATGAAGTGCCTAATAGTGATTATTATTGATTAGTTATACCATTTGCTTATATTGAAGTATTCATTTGTCAGATAGGCATGGTAAGATTAAGAAAATGGCAGCTAGCATACTGGCGATATGCTGGAGGAGACATTGTCTCAGAGTTTGATTGTTTGCTCTACTTTAACTCTCATCACAACAGGAGTTAAGACTTCAGAAAAGCAGATGGACAACGATGAGCCCCTTCTACACTTCCACTTCTACAGACATGCCTTGGGAAATGTGAGACAAAGGGGGCCTCAACATTATCTTTTTCATTACAAAATGCTGTAAATATCAATCCTGGTTGGTAAAGCTGTAACTGTTTCTTACATTTTTCTTTACTGTATTTTCTTTTTCTGTACTGTATCTTAGTTTCTGTATTTTCAAAAATTTTAAAAAATAATCTATTATATGATGTAGCTTGCATATGCAGTGAACTGAAAAAGAAAATCAAAACAGAGCTTAGGAAGTAAACAGTCCATCCTTAACCTGAGTTATGAAATTAAATACATCTGATATGAAAATTCCATTGTTTCAAGGTCCTCTAAAGCATTTTGAATATGTCTTTTAAAAAGCCTTTTAAATGAACACAAAATGACATTTACCCTGTTAGTTTCTTTCAATGTGAGAAAATTAATTACTTAATATTTCATAAGAGTATGCTATTTTAGTGCAATATCAAAAGAACAAGGAGAAATTAATCAGTCAACAGCAAGGAGGTTAAAAGTTTAAGCCATCCCTACAGACTGGAATCTTCAGATCTAACTAATGTCTTTCTTTCCTGAAAGTACTTTTAAAATTACAGAATGCTATGCAAATTCACAATGTGATTGCTATTATTAGAACTGAAGTTTTCCCAAAGTGTGTTGAAAGACGATCTTGTCTTAAGCCACATGTCTTTTCATTTGACAATCACATCAATTTAAGTGTGGAGGGAGAGTACAGAAGCATATTTCAGAGAGTGCTGATCCAAGCAAGAAGTTATTTCCATCAAAAACTATGGGATAACTCAGCTACTTGGGAGGCTGAGGTGGGAGGATCAGTTGAGCCCAGGAATTCTAGTCCAGCCTGGGCAACATAGTGAGACTCTGCCTCTAAAAAAACAAACACCCGTGGCAGGGTGCGGTGGCTCACGCCTGTAATCCCAGTACTTTGGGAGGCCAAGGCAGGCGTATTGCCTGAGCTCAGGAGTTCAGAACCAGCCTGGGCAACACAGTGATACCCCATCTCTACTAAAATACAAAAAAATTAGCCAGGCATGGTGGCATGCACCTGTAGTCCCAGCTACTCAGGAGGCTGAGGCAGGAGAATTGCTTGAACCTGGGAGGTGGAGGTTGCAGTGAGCTGAGATCACACCACTACACTCCAGCCTGGGCAACAGAGTGAGACTCTGTCTCCAAAAAAAAAAAAAAAAACAAATCACGCCTGTAATCCCAGCACTTTGGGAGGCCGAGGCAGGCAGATCACGAGGTCCGGAGATCAAGACCATCCTGCTCAACATGGTGAAACACCATCTCTACTAAAAATACAAAAATTAGTTGGGTGTGGTGGCGCCTGCCTGTAATCCCAGCTACTCAGGAGGCTGAGGCAGGAGAATCGCTTGAACCAGGGAGTCAGCGGTTGCAGTGGGCCAAGATCGCACCACAGCACTCCAGCCTGGTAACAGAGTGAGACTCCGTTTCAAAACAAACAAACAAACAAAAAAACCCCAAACTCTGAGATGGATGGTGAGGATGGTAATGCTAGTCAAATGAAAATGTAGAAAGACACCATATTTATTTATCTCATGGAACTGTTATTGGCAGAGAAGAGTCTATAAAACAGAAAGACAGATGTTGTTATCACTGCTTCTCACCGTTCTAACTGTAGAGGGGAAACTGGACTCTGTTGAATGCCACCATGAAATAAATGCATTATTTGCACATAAAATGCTGTATTGCTTCTTGTATACATCTAAGCCACCTGACATCAACTGTGAGCAGAAACTGGCAATGTGCCAACTAAATGATTTTTACTGTTCACAATAGAGTATTTTGTTTAGTGATTTACCTTCAGGGAAAAATGAGGAAATGAGTTAGGAAAAAAATTAATAAAACTTGAAGACCAGTGTCGAAAGTGATCGATCCAAAATTAATTTCACATGTCTGAGGGTACAAGTGTCTGAAGGAAATGGGGGAGGAAAGGAGAAAATGAGACTGGCGAAGTAAGACAAGGCCATTTAGAGTTGGGGGGAAAAAAGCAGTCATATTCAATGTTTCTTCTTTTATTCATCGAGAGTATTAAAGAGCCTAAGATAACAAAATTTCCAAGCTTTAGGCTTGAGAAAGGGCAAATCCAACTTGTCTCTGAAGATGAGCTGAATGCGTCACTCAAGAGTAAGATCTCATGGACCTCACCGCGTGCCTCGTGTGTAGGCTGTCCACAGGTGTCCTCGAGAAGACAGGCAAAGTGCTTCCACATGCTTACTTTCTGGCGAAATTCCAGGCACTCTCCTCCCTCCCTCTCCACCACAGACTCAGGCTGCTTTCCCTCTCGGCCTCCCAACATTCAAGTTCCAAATCATGGGTAAGAAATGGAGATTGAGTGGAGACAATAAATGTAGTTGTCACAGTTGAGGAAATTATTTTAAAAGTCTTCACCACCATAGGGTGTTTCTACAAAGTGTGATAAAGCCAACCTGGCAATGTTTGTCCCATTTAAGTACAGTTTCCTCAGGAAGTGTTCGATCTGGATTTTGTCTGTTAGGTGAGAGCTTTCTGTGGATTAGGGACATTTAATGACCCTCCGGTGTCTTTCAAGATGGAGGCCATGGCCTCTTGCCAAACTTTGGTCTTTATTGTTTTGATGAGAGAGGCAAACTAGAGAGTATATTCCCATGGCAACTTCAGAACATCATCTGTAATATTACTTAAAGGACAGAGGGTGGCTGTGCTAGAAGTCTCAGCTGGACTGGATATCAAACTAGAAAGGGTAATAATATGGGCTTGTGTTCTACTCTCTCCTGGCTCAGTTTATTAGGAACAAACTTTAGTGTTAGTTTGGGCTTTCTGCTCTTCATAAAAAAGAATGGCATTTTTTTTCTCACAGATACAAACTCATATCACAACTAGAAGTATGGCTAGCTGATTTCAATATTTGATGACTCTTATTTTAGAGAAACAAGTCGTTCAATGCATTTTTGCTACATTCTCTTCCATTACTGTATATGTGCTTTTGTCTTTACTCTGACATGGATAGCAAAGGGGTAAACAACACATGATTTAAATCATTAAAGTATCACAGTTCTGCTTTTTCCTAAGAACTGTAGTCAACTTTTGTTCTGTAAAATGCTGCCAAAAAGAGGATATATCATGTAAACTATTGGGACAGAGGATGGGCATAAATCTCCTTACTAAAGAGGATGAAAAAAAGGAGATGAACCATGGATGTAGATAAATCAGAAATGCAGCTGTTTGGGACCAAAGTCCAGTTATCACTGTAAGCCAGGCCCAAAAGACATGGTGATCTTTAAAAGGCAATCCCAGGTGTTGACAGAGAAGTCCCCAAAGAACTCCTTGACACTCGGGCCCTTTGACTTTTACCCTCACCATATCTGTATCCTTTTCTGTTTTTTAATACAGAGACATTTGAAGGGACATTTTTCTTATAGCAGTTTCTTGTTTTCAGTTGAAAATCTAAAATGGAAAAAATAACTTCTAATGTTAAGCTGTGGTTTCCACCTTCTATGACCTTCATTTACAGTCAGTTGTTTTTATATGATCTTCAGATCTTCACTCCAGCTCTACGGTATTGTGGGGTTCATGCACTTGGGAATAGACAGGAACTCTGGAACTATCAAAACAGTTACGAAAATGATTAAGTTTATGGATATTTTAAGGTAAAGTCATTCACTAAGCTGAAGTTTGAGAAGAGCCCTCATTGTTTTATCCCAAAAGACCCAAAAGATTATATAACAAATGTAAAAGTTTACCTCTAGCACTTTGAAACTCACAAAGACATTTTAAAGCTTGTATCAAAAGTAATTTTATACACCAAGGAGAGAAAACTGTTTATAGAAGTTTAATTTAAACCAATGCATTATTCTCCAGGGGCATTTGTTCTAACATACTTATTACATATCAGATTCATTTAATCCCTGGAGGCTTCAATTCCTTTATCTAAAAATGAGACTGGTATACATAGTGCCTAAAAATCCCTTCCCAGTCGAAGAGTTTAATTTGATATCACCCCAAATAGCAAACAACACATTTCCATTTTGATTGGTTTTATGGCATGAAAACAATAGTCTTCTTAAGGTCCTTTGTATCATTGTGAAAAAATATCCCAAAACTATGACCCTCACATTGCTCTACAGTGTGTATACTCTGAGTTGATTCTACTTACAGAATTAATAGCATAACTGATTTCAGATATTAAACCAAAGTACCAAAGACCTAAAAGAGTTGGACTCCCAGTACAATTTAACAGTTATATAACAGAATGCTTAATTTCCTGAAAAGGAGTAATTAGGCCTTTAGAAAAGCTGTCTTCTTGTGTACTTCATTGTGCTGTAAAAACATTTGACATTAAGAAGAAGTACTTCAGTCTTAAGACAATTTTCTCTATTTTACAAAGATGCTAGGATTCTGGAAAGTCAAGCATAGCCAAAGACCCAAAATAATAATTATTTTTAAAAATATTTTAAATTACAAAGCCAAACATAAGAATCATGCAAAATTTAAGCAGTATAAAACTATACTACATGAAAAGGAAAAAAAAGGAGAAGTAGACTCCTATTATTAGAATGTGATTTCCAAAGATGACAGTCATTTTCAGAAAATTTGGTGTATATTCTTCTAATACTTATCTCCTCTATACATATAATAAGTGATATTGTACAAGGCGTAACATTTTGTTACTGAATGAAGCCAACAAGTATTCTTATTGGTAATAATATTTCTAATTGGGCAATACTAAGAATACTTCACACAATCTTCTATATCTATTACAATGAAGAGAGAGAATAAAAAATGTCATAAATTCAACAGGCTTTCATAGTCTCTTGTTTTTAAAACTGTAAATACTAAAAAATTGTGTAATATAAGGAATAAGCATATATGGACAGAGTTTATTGCTGAAATAAGTATTTTACAATTATTGTTTAACTTAATAACATTATCATTGTTGTGGTATATAATTAATTGTAATGGAAGGAATTCACACATGTGATTTTGATGACAATGATGATAGAAAATAATGATTAGCAATTATTTCTGATCATCTATGGTATACCAGATGCTTTACAAACATTATCTCCTTTCTACTTAAAGTGGAGTCTTTGGATCAACAGTACTGGTATTACCAGGAAAATTGATAGCAATGCAGAATCTAAGGCCCAACACACCCTGGTTTGTGAGTCTCAGAAGCCTGTATTTTTCCCACAATCTCATACAGTGATTATTATGACTTTTATACAAATAAACCAAGAATTTCTAAAGTCAGTTGGGGTGAAAACCTGATCCAAAGCTAAACTTTAAAGATTTCATTGTTTCCAATTTCTCTCTGCCCATTCAACTTCTGCATTCACTTCCATTTTTTCTGCTTTACTTCTCTTGAATATATCCAGACCCCACCAAAGTAGTTTGATGTCTCAGTCACCATAAAACAAAGCCCAGTCCCCTTGAGGACTGATAGAACCTGACTTTCCACAGATTGGGTCATTTACCTGCAAGGACCATCTAAAGAATGTAATAATTTACTCTCTTGACTGTAATTCTCACAATAAATGGTTAAGAAGCATTTCTGGAGAAACTGTAGTAAAACGTATGTCACTGTCCACATTGAGAAAGTCAACATTCATTTTGCACTCCAGAGTCCTAGTTACAGTCCAGCAGGATCCTCATCTTTGTTTTTCCTGGTCAGTGTCATTGCACTCAGGAGCCTCTGCCAGATTTAGCAGAGTAGTGTCTGGATGATTCCTTCTTTCATTCCTAGGACTGGGAAGAGGAGTGTGCTCGGGCTGGGACCATGGGTAACATGAAAGAGAGTATTTGTTTCTCTGGAAAACATCGTCTCAAGTTACAAGCCAAGCTGCCTCTAGATGTCCCTTTTCAACTCATTCGAAAAAAATACAGGGCTATGTCCAAACCTCAATGTTGAAAGCATTTAGGAGGTAATCTTTCTTTTTTTTCTTTTACATTTTAAATTGATGCATAATATATAGAAATAGTACATATACATTTGCATTTGATGAGTTTTCAAAAACTAAATACACCAGCGTAACCAGCACCCACATCAAGAAGCAGAATGTTATCAAGGAGATAGTGTTTTCATTACCTATCCATGGCAGAGTTTGTGAATACCAGGGATAAGTGGCCCTCCCATTTGTGACTCATCCCATCCTGATGAAGACAAATTAGTGAATGGGGTCTCCAAACTGAGATCCAGTCTGATCGGAGGGTATGGAGTCAGAGAATAAAGTTATAGGTGAGGTGTTTGCTGACTGCAATTGGAGAACTTGCTTATTTCTAGCCCCAGGTTCTTGTTTGTTGGGTCTGACTTCAGAAGCTATGGCAAACTTACATTTTTTCCAGCTCTCGGAGTCCACATTTTCTTGAATTGGATCTCCTTCATTGTCCTGCCCTTGAAGGGCCACTGGAAACATCTTTTCGTATTTCATCCTAGTGTGGGAGTATCAAGATTTTTCAGCCATTCTTGGCTATAAGTGTATTTCACTTGGACTTGGCCTATTTCTCTTTGTTCAAGCATCTTTTTGTCACTTCTCCCACCTGATCTATGTGATTGCCTTCCAAATGGAACAGGAAACCATGTGAATCTCAGTCACTGTCTACTCTAGACCACTTGTTCTTGGGCAGTGAGGCCCCTGTATATGATTTGTATGTGTCTGAGACCATGAGCCACCCCAGAGTTGAGGTGTGGAATCTCATATATGGCTGTTGATTTTTTTCAAACTCTGAGGCTTCCGTGCTGTCTGTGTCACTAGTGTATTCTAACAAAACTCAGAATTGTTCCTCAGGATCTTAGAGAAGTGCTTTCTATGAATTTCTCTAGTTTATGTTAAAAATAATTTATGCACATGGTTCAAAAGCCTGCTTGATTATAAGTCATACAGTAATAGCTACCTCCATATGGAATCTGGTTTATATCAGTGAAGCAGAGCAGTAAGTCTCTGATAATCAAAACAAACATAAGGCTGGACATGGTGGCTTATGCCTGTATTCCCAGCACTTTGGGAGGCCAAGGCAGGTGGATCATCTGAGGTCAGGAATTCAAGACCAGCCTGTCCAATGTGGTGAAACTCCGTCTCTACTAAAAATACAAAAATTAGCTGGGTGTGGTGGCAGGCGCCTGTAATCCCAGCTACTCAGGGGGCTGAGGCAGGAGAATTGCTTGAACTTGGGAGGTAGAGGTTGCAGTGACCTGAGACTGTGGCACTGCACTTCAGCCTGGGCAACAGAGCAAGACTCTGTCCCAAAATAATAATAATAATAACCTAAACACTTGTTGTTTCCTAAGAAATTTAGTGCTTCATGGAGTTGGGTAAAAGGTAATGGCAGATTTACCGCTTCATAAGATAGATAATGAGTTTTCCTTAAATTATTGAAGCAACTCAATATTGTGTAAGTTTGGTTCTCTACCTGAAATAGCCAGTTTTAAACCATGCATTCTTCCCAAAATTGCAATTCAGATTTCAATGAAATTTCATTAATATTTCATTGGTGACTAGCAGAGTTCTAAAAAAAAACAAAGAGAGAGAGAGAGAGTAAATGGGAATAGATCTCTTGAGGCATAGGCTCAGAAATGGTACAACTATGCTTCCTGCATATTTTATTGGCCAAAGCAAGTTACAAGGGCATTCCAGATTCAAGGCCTGGAAAAATAGATTCCACCTCTTAATAAAAGAAGCAATGTGACTTTTTATTGTCTTCCACCAAGAGGAGAGACATATTATCAGGTGCCTCCCATGCCCTACTCACTCTCCTCCTTGTTAAAGCCAGCCAAGCCCCAGAAGTGTGATTGCCTGGCCTCACCAGCCTCTGTGAGAATTAAGAGCTAAATAATTGGTTGTTATATTATATCACTAAGTTTTAGAGTGATTTGCTATACAGCAAAAACTAATAGACTGCCTTATCAGGTACTAAAATATGTACAACTATTAAACATTACAATTTAATTCTAGTTTTACTTTTGTCTTTTGGAAAACTTTGAAGGATATCCAATTCACAGCCCACAGGCCCACTTCCAAGAAAAGAAACAAATAATGCAAATGATTACCTATTATCTTTTGCTCTGACATCTCTCAAGCAAGTCTGGAGACCTTCTTTCCTCATTCTGAAACCACATCTCAAACTTCTGCCTAGCACGCTCTCCGCCCAGGCTCCTCAATTCCCGTCTCTGACAGAGCCATGCTTTGCTGCCTCTCTGAGGGAGTGACTCTGGGGACCTGTCCCTGCCTATTTGGGGGTAGCCTGAAGATCCAGCAGCTGCACGTCCTCTGGTCCTTTGCTCATAAAGACAGCTGTGGCCAGTGCTCCTTGGAAAGCTGGGCTCTGTTCTCACTTTGATTGCTTTTCTTATGGGAAAAACTCCTAAAGCTCTTTCAGAAAAAGATATCCACCTTGCACCTAAGCAAAACCTTCTGGGGTTGATAAGTGAAAATAAAAGAGCCTCAGAGTTGTGAATGATTCACACATTCATGTAGAGTTCTGTATACGCCTTTTGGATAAATGGCCAAAGTCATCCCCAATGGATGTACCCGAACTAAGAGTTCAAATGGGGAAAAAACAAAGTGAGGTGAGGCTTAGTGCAAACAAAGTTTAGAATTAGAAGATAACTTTTTATAACTTCCTCAAGTTAGCAAGTAGTTTCAGAACAAGCAGAAATTGGAAAGCAACTGTTGTTATAGTAGTTATTAAAGCCTTAATGGGAAATGTCTCAGTGCAAGTTGAGCTTCAGCTGGCAGAACTGCTAGACTATGGGCAGCAGAGTGCTCTGCGGGAGGCCAGGATGTCTGACTTGCCAGAGAGTACAGAAAACCCAGTCAAAACATTGAACCAGGATATTAAGTTACCGGAGAAACTCAAAACACAGAACCAAGGGGCAGACAGGCCAGAGTAGTCAGACAGTAGGACATGCTAGATCAGGATCAGAGATCACATGGTGGAATCAACCATTAGCATCAGTAGTCAGAACAACTACTGTATCCCAGGACCCTTTGAGATGAGACTAAAATTTCCTACCTGTTCTTGCCCTTCCTATAAGGGGTCTGTGTCATCCTATAAATGGAAAGTTCATCTAGACAATATTTCCTGCTTCATGCTTCAGAAAATCCCGGGATGGGCAGTGAGGTGAGACTTAGGATCATTGCCTATGAGCAGCAAAGGGTGGAAAAGATCAAAGGGTTGTGAGGGTATCCAATTCCCAGGACCTTTCTTTGGGTCCACATCTGCACAATCATAGAACAGTAATATTGGAGATCAAAGGTCTTGGCTTGAGCTGAAACTACTTCCTGACTTTTTGCTGTGATAGTTAGAGGTAGACAGTTAAACTAGGTTGGCCAAAAAGAAGAGGAATCAAGGTAAACATCAATGTGGCAGTTACTCCCAATAAAGCAGATTTGAAAGTATTTCGAAAGGTTCAATAAAATAATTGTGTGGTTATTGGAGATTGTAGAAAAGATATTGTGGGTTAAAAATTACAATCTCCCTCTCCCTCTCCCGCTTCCTCTCCCTCTCCCGCTCCCGCTCCCGCTCCCTCTCCAGCTCCCCCTCCCGCTCCCTCTCCACCTCCCGCTCCCGCTCCCCCTCCCTCTCCCGATTTCCACAGTCTCCCTCTGTTGCCAAGGCTGGACTGTACTGCCGTGATCTCGGCTGGCTGCAACCTCCCTGCCTGATTCTCCTGCCTCAGCCTGCCGAGTGCCTGGGATTGCAGGCGTGCGCCGCCACGCCTGACTGGTTTTTGTATTTTTGGTGGAGAGGGGGTTTCGCCCTGTTGGCCAGGCTGGTCTCCAGCTACTGACCTCCAGTGATCTGCCCGCCTCGGCCTCCCGAGGTGCCGGGATTGCAGACGGAGTCTTGCTCACTCAGTGCTCAATGTTGCCCAGGCTGGAGTGCAGTGGCGTGATCTCGGCTGGCTACAGCCTCCACCTCCCAGCAGCCTGCCTTGGCCTCCCAAAGTGCTGAGATCTCGCAGCCTCTGCCTGGCCGCCACCCCGTCTAGGAAGTGAGGAGCGTCTCTGCCTGGCCGCCCATTGTCTGGGATGTGAGGAGCCCCTCCGCCCGGCTGCCTCATCTGGGATGTGAGGAGCGCCTCTGCCCGGCAGCCCCGTCTGGGAGGTGAGGAGCAGCTCTACCCGGCCACCACCCCGCCTGGGAAGTGAGGAGCGCCTCTGCCCGGCCAACACCCCGTCTGGGATGTGAGGAGCGTCTCTGCCCAGCTGCCCCGACTGGGAAGAGAGGAGTGCCTCTGCCCGGCCACCCCGCCTGGGAGGTGAGGAGTGCCTCTGCCCGGCAGCCACCCCATCTGGGAAGTGGGGAGCCCCTCTGCCCGGCCGCCCCGTATGGAAAGTGAGAAGTGCCTTTGCCCGACCGCGACCCGGTCTGGGAACTGAGGAGTGCCTCGGCCCGGCAGCCGCCACGTCTGGGAGGTGTACCCAACAGCTCATTGAGAACGGGCCATGATGATGATGGCGGTTTTGTCAAATAGAAAAGGGGGAGATGTGGGGAAAAGAAAGAGAGATCAGATTGTTACTGTGTCTGTGTAGAAAGAAGTAGACATAGGAGACTCCATTTTGTTCTGTACTAAGAAAAATTCTTCTGCCTTGGGATGCTGTTAATCTATAACCTTACCCCCAACCCCGTGCTCTCTGAAACATGTGCTGTGTCAACTCAGGGTTAAATGGATTAAGGGCGGTGCAAGATGTGCTTTGTTAAACAGATGCTTGAAGGCAGCATGCTCCTTAAGAGTCATCACCACTCCCTAATCTCAAGTACCCAGGGACACAAACACTGCGGAAGGCGGCAGGGTCCTCTGCCTAGGAAAACCAGAGACCTTTGTTTGCGTGTTTATCTGCTGACCTTCTCTCCATTATTGTCCTATGACCCTGCCAAATCCCCCTCTCCGAGAAACACCCAAGAATGATCAATAAATACTAAAAAAAAAAAATTACAATCAATCTCTCACCTGGAGAATTCCCTCAGTGATTATGAGTTCATCCAGTTGCCATCTGTTGGAAATCTTGACCAGTGAAAGGATAGCTTGAAATCACACACAAAGTGTGACTGAACAAAAGTGCTAGGTCAGAGTCTGGAAAGTTAAGTAAAAGATAACTCCCTGAGGAAGGTGGTTCTGAGTAGAGCAGATTCTAGAATTATCATATGAGTACTGTTCTTTAGAAAGGAGGATGGCTTGCCTGTCCATGAGGCTTGTATGTACAATTCTGGAAGTTCTGTGGTCAAAAGGAGCCTTCTGGCTATTGACCTGAGAATTTAGGATTATGAAGTCAGGTTTAGTTATACTTAGAGGGTAGAACTAAAATATGTTGTTCAGGAATATATGTACATCTTTAATAATCATGTTTTTATCACAACTGAGGAAGAAGTGTATTATCTTAGTTCTGTATAAATTACCTTGAAGATAGTAGCATGTTGTTGGAACACAGAAATTTCTGCAATAAAATCTCAAAAAGGCATTTTACTTTCTCAGCTCAGATTTTGACCTGAATATACAAACTTGTAAGAATTGTTGTCACTCTATTTGCTGATAAGAGCATGTAGAATCTTGAAGGTGAAGGTAAAATGACTTGAAGATGAGACTGTTGCCCCAAATAATTAGAGAGAGCAGATAAAATAAAATAAGTGGCCATCAAAATAGCTATATTTTAGAGAAATTGTGAAATCTACATGACACTACAAAGAATTGTACCATCTGCAGTTAATTATGTCAAGCAGATACAGCTATAAATTGTTATCCACGTTTTTGAAGAGAACTTGTGTTCTTGCTTGTCTCACTGATGAATAATTTGCCTTGACCTTATTGCTTGACTTGTGGCTGCCCACCAGTTACACACCCATTGCTTCTTCTGATTTCTGGCCTCTCCAGTGGTGAGCTTCCTCTCTGGGGCTCACACGCCTTTCTTGGCCTTGGCCTTGGATCTCCAGGTTCTAGCTTTTGGTGCTAATGTCTCCACATCACATTCCACACCTCTGCAAACAGCACGGTGACTTATGGCTTATGGAGAACCACCTTCACGTCCAAGCCATCAAATGAACCATGGCTTAATTCATGTCTTACCTGTAAGATTTGGACTTTCTTTGGAATAGGAAGAAACTTTTGCTTAAGGACAATGGAAACAGCATTGCCTCCCTCTCTCCCTGCTACACATGATACTGGGGTGCAGTATCCAGATCTATTGAGATTCTTGCCACAAGGCAAGGCAGCCAGAGGGAAGGAACATTTCTTCCTCTGAATTCAGAGCACACAAGCTTTAATTCTGCTGGAGATTGGTAGGCCAAAAAGGTAGGTGTTTCAAATTTCCCATGTGGGTCTACCTGAGTCAGCTCTTCCTCCTAGCCTATCCACAATATGGGCTGCTGCTCTCCTGCTCCTGGCTCCTTCCTCACTGCCAATGTACCCACTCATCTCTTTCACTCAAGACTGCCAGAGTTTTTTTTTATTATTTTTATTGTTTATTTCCATAGGTTTTAGGGGAACAGGGGGTGTTTTGATACATGGATAGGTTCTTTAGTGGTGATTTCTGAGATTTTGATGCACCCATCACCTGAGCAGTGTACACTGTACCTAATTTGTAGTCTTTTATCCCTCACCCTCCTCCCACCCTTGCCATGGAATACCCAAAGTCCATTGTATTACTCTCATGCCTTTGCATCCTCATAGATTAGTTCCCACTTATGAGTGAGAACATAGGACATTTGGTTTCCATTCCTGAGTATAATATTCCTGAGTATAACCACTTAGAATAATGGTCTCCAATTCTACCCATTTGCTGAGAATGCCATTATTTCATTCCTTTTTATGGCTGAGTAGTATTGAGATATATATATATATATATATATATATATATATATATATATATATATATAATTTTTTAAATTATTTATTTATTTATTTATTTATTGAGATGGAGTTTCACTTTTGCTGCCCAGGCTGGAGTACAATGGCATGATCTCGGCTCACTGCAACCTCTGACTCCCGGGTTCAAGCGATTCTCCTGCCTTAGCCTCCCAACCATCTGGAATTACAGGTGCCTGCCATCACACTAATTCTTTGTATTTTTAGTAGAGACAGGGTTTCACCATGTTGTCCAGGCCAGTCTCGAACTACTGACCTCAGGTGATCCACCTGCCTCGGCCTCTCAAAGTGCTGGGATTACAGGCGTGAGCGTCCGGACTCACGGTATCTTTATCCACTCACTGACTGAAGGGCATTTGGGCTGGTTTCATATTTTTGCAATTGCTAACTGTACTGCTATAAACATGTGTGTGCAAGTATCTTTTTCATATAATGACTTCTTTTTCTCTGGGTAGATACCCACTAGTGGAATTGCTGCATCAATTGGTAAGCCTGCTAGAGTTTCATTAAAATGTGTACTTGAGGTCAGTGCTCTAAACACTATCAGAGTTTTAGTTGCTTCTAGATTCCCAAAGCTAAATGTGAGGGAGTCAGATACTTACATGATTTTCAAATCCTGGCTTTGTGATCTCGGCTAGGATAACTTTTAACCTCTTTGGGCTTTATTTTTCACATCTGCAAGTAGGATTATTATTGTTGTTATAATCATCATTATGGAGTTGTTGTGAGAATTGAAGAGGATGTATGTACAGTACCTAGAACATGTTATGTCAATCAGCTTGGGCAAAAAAGAAGGGCCCTGGATCATGAGGCTTAGACATTTAAAATTTTTTGTGGGAATAGAGGGAGTTGAGCTGGCCTTGATCACAGGCTACCCGGGAAGATAAAGGCCACTTTTGATCTCTAGTAGCAGTTGTAAGCTGTCTTCTGAGTTACATTTCTGTTAACTTTTCAGGAAATTCTTGATAAAAATTACAGCCTGATCTCAGTTGTGCAACAGGAATTTTGAAGAGCAGCCACCCTCCCTGAAGCCATCTAGGGAACACCAGCAGAATCACACTGGAGGACTGGTGTCCACAGAAGGCCACAAGCTTGTGAAGGTCAACTCAGCTGTGGCAGCTGAGCAACTGTCGGGCAAGTCTGCTGGAATCTGAAAACCCAGAGACATTTGTCCTGGGGGATATATGGTATGGTTCCCTTGGGTTCTCAGAAATGACTGAGATGACATTTTGAGAGAAGCTAAGTTTTGGAAATTAGGCCAGAGACTTATGCCAAAATTGTGGATAAAGAGGAAGTTCCTGTTTGGGTTGTAGTGACAGGCTGTTGAGACTGGTGAAGTAAGCATCACACTCAATTTACCCCACACTATGAGGAGCAAAAGAGTTCTTAAAAAGACAGAGAGGCATAGCCTCATCATCAGAGCTCTTTAGGGAAACTGGGGATTACCTCTATATGTCAGATTTTCAAATTAGCGTTGCACACCAGAGACCTCTTCAGGTGAGGTGAACTTGTAAAAATACCTGAGAATGGTTGTGAAACTGTAGTGTGCTGCTGCTGTGACTTCTGTTTTATTTTTTTCATTTCATTTACTTTTCTATATACGAGTGTGTGTGTTTGTGCACACACACAGAGTATATATAAGACATAGATACTTATAGTACATAGAAATGTATTTGTATAAATACATGTATGATGTTGAAAGTTTGAGATTCTTTGTTTTTTGATAAAAACTAGTTAAAATTGTTATTAAGATCTGAAAATTAATTCAGTCAGTTTTAAGAGACATAGAAATTCAGAGCAGCAATCCCTGTTTGGTAAATGCTTCTGTGGGGGACAACATTCTCCACTAAGGTAATTTTGAGCCACAATCTTAAATCAAACCACGAAAGATAGAAATTATTTCCTTGGAATAAGCTGTGAACAGTATTACCTAAGGCTTTGGATAATTTCAAATGAAATGCTGAATTTAGTATATTGAATGACACAGCATCTTTATTTTAAAATGGAACAAGTCAATAAGGTATTTACAGGAACACACAGCTTGAATAATAAAATGTGTGTGAATAGATCTTAATAATTCATTCCATGTGCTGATGCAATTTGATACAAACTCAAGCGTTTTAATAAGAACTGTAAGCTGTTTTTTGAAATTATGTATTGGATTAGAGAGAGAGAGAGAACAGACCAATTAAGCAACGAAAAAGAAGCGGGGAATTGCTAATGCTGAATGAGTAGGAGCCATCTGGAACTATAAAGCGTCCCCAACAACCTACAGCTTCCCACACAGATCGTAACCTCCTCCTCCGATACCCGCCCCCACTACTTTGTGTAGGAGTTTATCTTTTCCAGCTATCACTATGGGTAGGGTAAAAACTACTTTTATAAAAATTACCTTCATGGTTACTGAAAGCTGAAGAGGAATACTTCACTAACCATGGGTCATGACTCATAGCGTAAATACTTATCTAGTAAGCATTTATAATATTTCTTTGGTGCTAATTTTCTCATTGAATAAAGTTTGCTTTCATTTTGTTTCATCCACATCATAGCGGCACTTTCTGGCTGAGCTGCTTAACCCTCTGAATTCAACTATTTGCAGAGGCATAAAGAATTTTGATGACTATTTCATTATGCTTCCTCTAAAAATATGTTTTAAAGTCTCTAAAGATTGTTGACTGTGTGCAAAACACTCTAAAGCTTGTTTCAAAGTAACATAAAGCATTTAGATGAGAAAAGGGAATATACACAATCCACTTCAGCTACACATAAACTGGTTCATGTGTTAAGGACAGTTCTAGAACTTTGGAAACTTGGATAAGGACGCTCCTTCTGAGTATAGTTCTCATAGCACAATCCCAAAGACACTGGAACCAACTTCAACTCCCACTGAGCTTAGAACCTACCCTTTACATTACCCTAGAAAAACAAACACACTCTTTTATGTAACCCCTCTCCCCATTCTCCCCCTTCTTTTACAAATTATATGCTAAAATGCTCCCAACGTACTTATAAATAGATCCAATAAGACATCAATTTCTACACCTTCCAAGAGGGAGGGGAAACAATCACAGGAAATGAGGTGAAAACAAATACTATTGGCCGGGCGCAGTGGCTCACGCCTGTAATCCCAGCACTTTGGGAGGCCGAGGCGGACAGATCACGAGGTCAGGAGATCGAGACCATCCTGGCTAACACGGTGAAACCCCATCTCTACTAAAAATACAAAAAAAATTAGCCAGGCGTGGTTGCAGGCGCCTGTAGTCCCGGCTACTCGGGAGGCTGAGGCAGGAGAATGACATGAACCCGGGAGGCGGAGCTTGTAGTGAGCCGATATTGTGCCACTGCACTTCAGCCGGGGCGACAGAGCGAGACGAGACTCTGCCTCAAAAGAAAACAAAATAAAAACAAAAACAAACAAACAAAAAACAAACCAAATGTTATTAACCAAATTACTAAAATAAAGGAAACTTGAACACTAAAGAATAAATAATTTTCACAAGAACATTCTAAAGCAAATTGTAGTATCACTTTATTTTCATTATTGTAGTAACATTTCTTCAATGACTTGGTATCAATAAATTGTATACAAATAAAAGTCCTGTGTTGGCTTAATATTTCATTTTTCAGCTTTTGTGTTAGGGTCTATAAACAAGTTTATTGGTACCTGTGTTTACAGATGCACCATATTTAAATGTAGTATAAAGTCTGATATATATGAGAATACGATGGGATATGTGTATGTGTGCTCCTGTGTGTCTGTATGTGTGCCCTTGTGTGTGCAAGAGGGTGTGTGGAAGTGTTTGTGTATGTATAAAATGCTGTGTGTCTGTTTAATTAAGAGTGTTTCTGATAGGATATGATTCTAGTGGGTTAGGGAAGAAGAAGGTGAGAGGAGAGTAGGCCAAGGTTGACACAGAGGAAGTAAATAGGTAAATAGAGAGAAGTCAGGCACAGTAACAAGGTAAGCAGGATATTGGTGTATGCTTCCCCTGGTTTATCTGACATTTTCCCCTAGGTGTTCCTACTCATCACTAGCAAACCTAAATCTATATTGACCCATCTGCACCTCTGGAATTCTCAGCATCAATCTCAAATTATTGAAACTAGTCTTTTGAGGATAGCCTGAAATATTATTTTGGCGAAAGAAAAAAAAATCTCGGGCTGGGTGCGGTGGCTCATACCTGTAATCCCAGCACTTTGGGAGGCCGAGACAGGTGGATCATGAGGTCAGGAGTTTGAGACCAGCCTGGCCAACATGGTGAAACCTCGTCTCTACTAAAAATACAAAACTTAGCTGGGCGTGGTGGTAGGCGCCTGTAATCCCAGCTACTTGGGAGGCTGAGGTAGGAGAATCACTTGAACCCAGGAGGCAGAGGTTGCGGTGAGCCGAGATGGCGCCACTGCACTCCAGCCTGGGCAACAAGAGCGAAGCTCCGTCTCAAAAAAAAAAAAAAAAGAAAAAGAAAAAGAAAAAAAATCTCTACATATATTTTCCAAAATCATATTTGAAAATCTCAATGATTTAATTGATTTATAGATAAATTGTTGGTAAAATACATTCCTTAAGTGAATTTAAATATAATAAAGTAAGGTTTCATTTATCCTCTGATTAAAGTGATATTTTATTGAAATTTTGTCATTTAAATAATGACCTTTCCCTTTGTTCAGTGCCATTGCTTATATAAATTAATGTTTCAGCAGAACAACGGTGAGTGGCAGACTCTCATTGTGTGTTTCTAAAGTTGGTCAGATACTGCTAAATGTCATTGTAATTATCTCAGAAGTTTCCCATTTGGCGTTATGTGGATGAGAAAAACTGTTTCTTGGCTAGGCTAAAGTCTCTCTAGCCTTGAAATTATTAGGTTATCTGTAATCTAAAATATTTCATAACAGGTCAATAACAAGAATAAAAATTTGTCATCTGGTGTCAGATTTTAAAACTAAGTTTATACCTACCTATTTATAATTTTAAAATGTTTACTTTGACTTTCATATCCTCCAAATGTAATTTCCCCCCAAATCTTTTACAATTATATATTTTAAAACTTTTTGTTTACATTTAATTTTCCAGAAACTATATTCATAAATTTTTTCTGCATCAACTTTATTTTTAATACTTAAATGTCTTGAAATATGTATGATAAAACTCTGCTGCATACATATGAGTAGGGAAAGAGCCGTGTCTTTAACACTGCCTCTAGCAGATAGTGTTTATTACTAATTTTCTTTCTGTGGGAGGTAGGGGAGATTACATAGTAAGAGTAGAAATATTAATTTATTTTTTGTCATTTATTCACTCAGTCAATATCTATAGAGTACTTCTGATGTGCCAGGCACTGTTTTAGGTGGAGAACAGAAGTAAACGAAACAAAATTGTATGCCCTGGTGGAGCATAAGATTAACTAGAGAAAGACAGAATGCTAACAAACAAAACATGGAATGTGTCAGAGGGTGATAAGTATGCAGAAATACAAAACAGAGACGGGGAAGGGGTGTGGGATTTGGTAGTCAGAGAAGGCTCTACTGAGAAGGTGATATTGAAGCCCAGATAGAGAGAGGGCAAGGGAGTGTGGGAAGGTGTTCCAGGCCCAGGCAACAGCAAGGGCAAAGGTCACAAAGAGGAGGTATGCTGAAGGGAGAGGAGAGAGGATGAGGTCAGAGGAATTAAAAAGGGCACATTGCATAGGACTCATAGTCCTTCATAAGGCTGTTGGCTTTTACTCTGGAAGACACTGAAAGACATTAGATATTTATGAGTGGAGAAAAAACGTAATCTCACTTTTTTTTTTTCCCCCAAAGGAATCTTTCTAGCTGCTATGTTCAGAATAAACTTTAGGGGAGCAGGGATAGAAATGGGACCAGTAGGAGGCTATTTCAGACACAGGATTCTGATGATAGGGTTGTGTGGGTGGAGTATAAGCTGAAGTTAGACCAAAAGGATTTGCTGGTGGAGTGGATGGGAGGTATTCGAGAAAAAATATTCAAGGATGGGCCAGGCACGGTGACCCACGCCTGTAATCCCAGCACTTTGGGAGGCTGAGGCGGGCGGATCATGAGGTCAGGAGATCGAGACCATCCTGGCTAACGTGATGAAACCCCGTCTCTACTAAAAATACAAAAAAAATTAGCCGGTCGTGGTGGCAGCTGCCTGTAGTCCCAGCTACTCGGGAGACTGAGGCAGGAGAATGACACGAACCCAGGAGGCGGAGGTTGCAGTGAGCCAAGATCATGTCACTGCACTCTAGCCTGGAGAACAGAGTGAGACTCCATCACCAAAAAAAAAAAAATCAGAATTCAAGGATGACGTCAGGCCAGGTGCTGTGGCTCACACCGAGGCAGGTGGATCACTTGAGGTCAGGAGTTCAAGGCCAGCCTGGCCAAAATGGTGAAGCCCCCTCTCTACTAAAAATACAAAAATTAGCTGGGCATGGTGGCAGACACCTGTAATCTCAGGTACTTGGAATGCTGAGTCAGGAGAATCTCTTGAACCCAGGAGACAGTTCTGTAGTGAGCTGAGATCATGCCTCTGCACTCCAGCCTGGGCAACAGACTGAGACTCTGTCTCCAAAAAATAAAAATAAATAAATTAAACTAAATTAAATTAAATTAAAAAACAAGAATTATGTCAAAGTTTTTGGTGTGAGCAACTAGACAGCTTGTGTTGCCATTCACTGAGATGGGGAAGCCTATGTGAGGAGGAGGTTGAAGGTTTAAAGAGGAAGATCTAGAATTCAGTTTGTGAGATGTTAGAGTTAAGATGCAAATTAGACATCCAAGTAGAGCCATCAAGTAGGAAGTTGTATATATCACCTGGGAATTAAAGAGAGAAGATCAGCTCAGAGATATTGATTTGGGAAGCATCTGCAAATAGATGGTACTTAAGGCCCTGAGATTACATGAGAGATCACCAACACACTGAGTATAGAAGAGGTCCAGTGATTTAGCCCTGGGCCACTCCAATATTAAAAGAATAGGAAAGACGAGAAATCAGAAGAAAGACTGGTAAGAAGCATCAACTTACCAGGGAGAAAACCAGACAGTATGGTGCCCTGGAAGCCAAGTGAGGAGGGAGGATCTGCTGTGCAATCACTTGTGATAAGTAAGCGACCTGAAAATTTCCCACTGGTTTTTAAAAAGTGGACTTCATTTAGTGACCTTGACAGGAGCTATTTATTTTGGAGGATTGAAGTGAAAGCCACATTGAGAGAGCTATAGAAAATATAGAAGAATGTGGGAGTCAAGACAAATTTTAGTATTAACTTGGTATTCTGCTGTTCAGTTGACCTCCCCTGACTCAGGCCTTGATATACCCAGATGTCAAAGGTTAGAAACCATCACGGTAGCTCACCGCAAACCCCTGGGGAATCATGACTAGAATTCTTCCTCTAATTTTAGGAGATGGAAGACAGCACAAGAGAGTTTTTTTTTTTAAATGGAAAGAAAGTGAAGATCAAAATTATTAAGCAATCAATAAGATTATTAATAATCTTTAATTTTTATTCCTTCTGTCTCGAAGCTGTGTCTTCTCACTGCTCTTTCCTCTAAACTACCATGTTCAGTTATTACCGCCCACAAGCCTCCAAATAAAACTCTCACAGTAGTAAATCACAGGCCCCAAAGAGTCAAAGTTAATGCCTTGTTAAAACATAATGGATAGAACATTATGTTGGTCTGGCCACTGAGGGCCTGTGTGAAAAAGGGAACAGATGGCAGGAGTCCAAACTTACAACTGCAAACATAGCTAGAGAGTTGGGCATGGTCAGCCCAGTGGGAGATAGATTCAGGCAATCCCCAGGGAGGTATGGGGTAATGACTGGGTTAGCAGGGTCAAGGATGAAGGAGATGGCTTCAGCCAGGGTCATGAATAGGAAGTGTACATAGTCAAGTTGGAAAAACTGGCTGAAGTATGGTCAAGGAAGAGGGTCAAGGCTAGTTCAGAGGTAAGACAGACCTTTAGACCAGAAATGACCTTTTTGCTTCATTGTGCACCATTATGCATTACTTCTTATCCCAGTTACCCTCAGTGATCCATCCTCTGTGATCAAGTCTGCAGCTGGCCAGCTCCTTGTCTTAGACCATTTTCTGCTGCTATAACAGAATACCACAGACAGAGTAATTTAAAAAGAATAGAAGATTATTTGGCTTACGGTTCTGGAAACTGGGAAGTCCAAGAGGATGGTGTCAGCCTCTCCTGAGGGCCTTCTTGCGGAATCATAACATAGTGAAGGGCAAGAGAGAATGCGGGACAGAGAGGATGGGAGTCGGAACTTCACCTTTTTATCAAAAGCTCACACATGAAATAATTAACCCACTCCTGAGATAATGACACTAAACCATTCATGAAGGCAGAGCCCTCAAGCCCTAATCACCTCTTAAACATGCCACCTCTTAATCCTGTTACAATGGCAATTAAACTTTTAACATGAATTTTAGAGGGGACATCCAAATCATAGCACTCGTCAATATCCAAGGCACAGGTAAGGTTTGATAGAATGTTTCTCACATAAAGAAGTCCTTGGAATTCTTCAGGCGCCCAGCCTAGTGCTGAAGCTAGAACTTGGATACTGATCAGACCAGGCAGACAGGATGGCAAATCGCCATGGTTACCAGGTTCCTTCCTTATTCTCAGTCTCTCATCCCCATGAGTCTTCCTTTTCTGACTACTTCTGATGATAACTAGAATTACTGTCTGCATCAAAGGCAAGAGAGTTTTCACTGCATGTGATGGAAATTCAAACCAAACCAACTTAAATGGAAATCATTGGTTTATGTAATTTACAATTCCAGAGGTTTCAGGTACTTCAGGCATCAGGCTTATATATTTCTGTCTTCAAGTCCTTGCTCCCTAACAAACCCAGAGAGGTACACACTAAGTATGACCATTCCCTTTAACATACTGTAAGTATTTATTCTTAGGACATCTAAACTGATGTTCTATTCATGTAAATTATAAGAAGTGTGGCATCTTAGATAAGGAAGAGATTCTCCAGCTTGAAAATCATATTATTATAATATTTTTTCATATTATATGTAATTTCTTCTGCAGACAGCTTCTTTCAGTTTACACAAACCTTAATTCAGTACTTTTTAGTTTTTCCCAACAGAAACTCTTCTCTATGAAGCATGAGTGAGCAATGCAAATTTACCAATGATTTTGCAGAGGACATTAAGGGAGAGCTTGCATTGCATGACATATGGTATTTAACTCCAAAAATCGCCATAAATTTTTCTCAACCTTTCTTCTCAGTTACCAGCCTTTAGATCTCCCGCTGACCATCCTTCCCATGTGAAGTCTCAAATCTCTCCCCTCCTAAGCAGATAGTAGAGCTCTCCCTCATTCCTTGAAATCTATCTCAGGTGCCAGCCAACCTGTAACCCTGGAGACTCCAAACAGGCTCACCAAAGTGTTAACTCCAAAACTGAGTCTCCTCCGGGTGGAAACTCTTGGAATATGACCAAGAAAAGAATTTTTTCTTTGTTATTTGCATTTACATTGATGTCCACAAATCAATTTCCAAATAATATTTTTTAATTTCCCTAAGTAAAAGGAGAGTGTAAATACTATACTCTTCATATCTAAGAAAGAACTTTCAGTAAAGTCTTGTCTCTACAGTCAGTGAGCTACCACATCCTTGAAGATACAGGAATCTTTGCAAAGATTTTCCAAACAACAACTCTAAATGATGAGCAATTATGAGGAACTCACATAAACAAGGTTTTTCTACTTTCACTTGAGAAACAAAAAACTTGAGGTGGGAGAGATGAGTTTTATGGTTAAATTTTACAGTGATTATGAAAATAGTTAATTGGGTTAAGAGAAGAATATTCTGGGTCGGGCTTCAAAAATGCAGTGTCTCTCCCAGCCAAAAGAGTCATCGGCAGAGAAAAAGAAGAATTGCTGTCTCTATGGTTCAAAACCTTTTACAACAGAGGAAAATAACTGAGAAAACTTGTTAATATATGCACATTTTATTAATATTTACCTCAGTCTAATGTGATAAAAAGGAGCTAAGGGTAAATGAGTATAAGGAAGTGGGTTTGCATAGAATTTAAATTTATACCTACTGATCTTTCTGTTGCAGGCAAGGATATTTGTAGCCACATTTACCCTTACTCAAAAAATATCTACTGTATGCTAAATCTTATATCCACACACTATGTATTCACCATAAAAAGGCAAAAATGAAAATCCAACAATATGTATCAGTCCTGAGTAAACATAACTTCTCTCAGAGGGGCATTCAGAGGAGTATAGTGGACCAACAACTTTTTAAGGGGACAAAACTTATAGGACAAGAGAGACAGTTTATACAAAAAAACTTTCCACTTTTTTTCTATATTTACGTCACATTTTGAACTTTTATCGTGTTAACAAGATTTCGATCTCATTGCATGCTTTCATGTCTCTGCTAAACACAAAAATAAGCTGGAAGTGTGGGGGACACTAAATTCATATTGGGATGAGCAGAAAGTGATGCACTATATTAGGTATCCACCAATCTACTGACTGATATTAGCATTCCAGATATTCACAGACTTCAATACTGACTGTAATACTGAACCTTGCTAGTGTCCACTGCACAGTGGTCATGGCCCACAGCACCCAAAGGATGCAATGTCTTAGCCACAGTCGTCTCTGTTCCTCACCGACAACATGGAAAACTTGGCAAGGACACTTGGATTTGCAATTAAAATTCTAGGCCACAAACTTTCTTACCAAGAAATGTTCCTATAATTTGGGAAGGCTACATGCCTTCACCTTTTTTCTTGTTATAAAAAAATGATTTCAAAAAGCATTGTTAGCATCTTGGTCTGTCTCCTCCATGCCTTACAATTGCAGTCAAATAAAGTTGAAAACTCAAATTCTTTAATAGATTACTATAGGTTCTTTTCTGGTTTTGATATAAATTAGTATTATTGAGAGATCATCTGGGCTGTAAGAGACATCTTACGATAGTAAAATCTTGCCATAACTACATAAGTGGGGTTTTAAAAAGCCAAGGGTAAAATGCAGGGTTGCATTATTCGAGGTTAATGAGTTGCTTGTTGGATCTGTGTATCCAATTGACAAGAGAGATCTGGAAGCATAATCTAAATCCATCCCAGTCCCAACTCAGTTTGCTGCCACCTGGTGGCAGTAGTCCACAACAGCTTAACTATCTCAGTGGTCAGGAGATTTCCAGGACAGGCTCAATGAAACCCCAGCTCTGGTTATTTGATCCCCATTTCTCTGGCTGTAACTGTGGGATATTAGGCTAGGAAAATACTGAGGATGCAGGGAGCCACCCTTCACGTTATCACCTGCTTCATCACACAATGTTGCCTGACATTTCCAAGATAAGATCTTTTACCTGACCTCCCTTGAGAAAATAGTAGCAACCAATTGCCAATTGCTTTTTATCAGGATTCACATTATCTTGGTGCTGTATTGTTGAGGGGTTTATGTTAATTTGAAACACATGAAAAGTAACAGAGGACAAGAGCAAAATTCTGGAGCATGGTTCCAGGTAATTCTTCCATGTGCTCCCGGGTTTAACGTAATGTTAAGAGAATCGACTCCCAGCCAGCACAATGACTGATTGACAGAAGTGTGCTGTCTTTGGGCATGGATTCTTGCAGTTTGGAATGTCTCCCTGCTTCTGTTGTGTGAAATAATTGGGTTAACACAGAAGCTCACTACCTGGAAAGATTAAACATAGGGGCCTCATGTACTGTTTTAACTAAACCATTTCTTGAACATCTTTAATAGTTCCTGACAAAATAGGGTCTCTTTGACTGTTAAAATTGTTATTTTTAAAAACACTATGATACTTTTGTGTATAGATAATTATAGAGAAATTTAAAGTGACCCACAATCTCACCACCCCAAAAAATCAAATTATGTTTAAAGGAATACATAAATATATTTCAAAAATTCAAGTAGTGCTGAGAATAATAAAATGAAAATTAGAAAGTCTTTCCTCATCTCCTTCCCCCCTGAAATTACCACTATTAAGTTTCCTTTATAATGTTTTGGTTTTATGCATACAATAGAACAGTTCTGCAACTTACTTTTTGCACAAAATAACATCTTTTGGAAAGATATTTCCATATATCAACATATACACGTATAGATCTACCTCGTTAGAAAAGTCACAGAGAGAAAATCATTCACCATGTTATCATAGTTTTTATCCAAGTCTAGAGCCTGTGATAAAAGAGTTTCATACAAGTGTATCTTAGTCAACTTGAGTTGCTGTAACAAAAATAACATGAAATAGGTGATGTCAAGAACAGAAACTTATTTCTCACTCTTCTGGAGACCAGGAAGTTCAAGATGAAGATGCAAGTAACTCGGTTCCTGGTGAGGGCCTTCTTCTTGGTTTGCGAGTAGATGCCTTCTTGCTGTATCTTCACCTGGTGGGGACAGAGAAGAAGCAAACTCTCTTGTGTCTCTTCTTATAAGAGTACTAATCCCATCACAAGAGCTCCAACCTCATGGTTAATTACTTTCCAAGGGTGAAACCCTTCACCTCCAGATACCACCACTTGGGGATTAGGATTTCAATATCTGAATTTGGGGGAATTTAACAAATGTGCTGTCAATAGAAAAGTGTTTTTTCTGAAATGACCCCAGGGATCATGAGTGAGGCATAGAGAAAGTGTGCCTCACCTGCAAGATGGCCTCCTAGTTCCCTGCCTCCTAGTATTCACACTCTTGTGTAATCCCCTCCTGCATTGAACCTGGGGTGATCTATGTCACCAGTAGCATACAGTACAAGTGACAGTATGTCCCTTCTGAAACTAGGTCATTAAAGATAGTGTGGCTTCCTGCTTGCACTCTCCTTTGCCCTCTGTTACATCGCTCACTCTGGGGAAAGCTGGCTGCCACCTCGTGAGCAGCAGTCCATGTAGTGAGAAACTGAGTGCTCCTGCTCACATCCCTGTAAGTAACTTTAGAAGTGGGTCCTCCAGCCCCAGCCAAGCCTTATGATGAATGCACTCCTAGCTCACATTTGGAATGCATCCTCATGAGAGACCCTGAGACAGACAGAACCACTCAGCCAAGCTGCTTCTGAAGTTGACCACAGAGACTGTGAGAATAAATGTTTGTTGTCTTAGGCCGGGCGCAGTGGCTCATGCCTGTAATCCCAGCACTTTGGGAGGCCGAGGCAGGCGGATCACGAGGTCAGGAGATCGAGACCACCCTGGCTAACATGGTAAAACCCCATCTCTACTAAAAATACAAAAAAATTAGCAGGGCATGGTGGCAGGTGCCTGTAGTCCCAGCTACTCAGGAGGCTGAGGCAGGAGAATAGTGTGAACCCGGCAGGCGGAGGTTGCAGTGAGCCGAGATCGCGCCACTGCACTCTTAGCCTGGGCAACAGACAGAGACTCCGCCTCAAAAAAAAAAAAATTGTTGTCTTAAATCACTAAGTTTTTTATGTAATTTGTTGCATGGCAATAGATAGCTGATACAGGAAGTCAAGCAGAGGAGGGAAAGGCAGTGTAAGAATGTGTTGGTCACCTTTTTTTTTTCTTTTTCTTTTCTTTTTTTTTTTTTTTTTTTTTTTGAGACAGGCTCTTACTCTGTCACCCAGGCTGGAGTGCAGTGGCATGACCTTGGTCCACTGCAGCCTCAACCTTCTGGGCTCAAGTGATCCTCCCACCTCAGCCTCCTGAGTAGCTGGGACTACACACGCATGCCACCATGCCTGGATAATTTTTGTATTTTTTGTAGAGACGGGGATTCACTATGTTTCCCAGGCTGGTTTCAAATTCCTGAGATCAAGTGATTCACCTGCCTCAGCCTCCCAAAGTGTTGCGATTATAGGTATGAACCACCATGCCTGACATGTGTTGGTTACTTCTATGGTCAACTGATGCTCCATCCAGCAGGACCTTCTGAGGAGCCTTATGTAATGAATGTCAGAATTGTCCCTCTAGAAGATCCAAGGGGGAAGCATTTCCAGCAGCCCCATCCTTCATTTGTCAAGTATGCTCTATCAGTGTTAACTCTTCAGTACTTCCAGGTTACACGTGGGTGAGCACCAAGTGGCTTCCCATGGGCTTCCCATGCCACACTATGAGGTATATGACATAGCTCAAAGCAAGACTATCAGGTCGTGCCTGTACAAACCTGGTTGAAGCCTGCTCCAAACCATAGCTACAGGGATGGAAAAGAAGTACATCTGATGTAACCATATACATCACATTTCCCATGATCTTCCTTTTCATACATGTGTACACCACTTATTATTTTCAACATAGCAATTTCCTCTTGGAGTTTTAAAAAATATTGAAATTGAGTACATTCACTATAATTAACTTCTTACTTCATGTGATAAGTCATGTTTTATTGTTAATGTGTCTATTGCTTAATTCTATATGAATTTATAGTGCTCTTGAATTAAGAAAATCATTGGCCATGTGCAGTGGCTCACGCCTGTAATCCCAGCACTTTGGGAGGCCGAGGTGGGCAGATCACCTGAAGTCAGGAGTTCGAGACCAGTCTGGCCAACATGGTGAAACCCCATCTCTACTAAAAATACAAAACTTAGCCGGGTGTGGTGGCGGGTGCCTGTAATCCCAGCTATGCAGGAGGCGGAGGCAAGTGGATCACTTGAACCCGGGAAGCAGAGGTTGCAGTGAGCCAAGATCATGCCATTGTACTCCAACCTGGGCAACAAGAGTGAAACTTCATCTTAAAAAAAAAAGAAAAAGAAAAAGAAAAGAAAATTATCTTTCCTTTCAATTTGAAATTCCTTAAATTAATCAAAGATTACATATTTTAGTTGATAGTACCAAAATTAAAAACAATTTCAAATCTCCACATTGTTAATCCACATCTCTCATGTCCCTTTAGAGTCTGTGATTAAGAGAAGCAAGAGAAATTGAGCACTTTGGGGAGCATTATGAACTAAGATGAATAACCACTTCCTTTTGCAAATTAGAAATTGCAGCTGAATTCAACTGTGAGGGATGTTGAAACATTGATATTTTTCTTTTTATTTGAATTTTATTTTAATTTTCTTTGGTTAGATGACTTCTCAAAATTGCCCTTCTGTTTCTTTAATGTTGACCTTAAATGCATGGTGGCATTATAGCTGCACCAGGGAAAAAAAGATACTACTCAAATGGGACTCCTTGACTTTGTGAATCTTTCTTTTCTGAAATTAGATGGAGAAATGTGTTGGCAGAAATGGTCTTTAAGAAAAAGGCAGTGACTCAACTTCTGAAGTGAAGCCAGGTTCTCAGGCTACAGGGTGCTGGGGTGGGCAGAGAGAAAACTCATTTCAGTAGAGTACAGGAAGTTACTTAATGCTGCTTATGAGTCAGAAGAGGGTAGAATCAGTTATGATTGAACTCTCTTTAGTTCCACCTAAATGCAGATAGTTTAACATGTGTATAAAACATATATGTGTGTATTTTTATTCATCTGTGTCCTATGTTTTGCTTTGATAGGAACCTCCCAACCCCCATCCCTTTTCTTCTGTTTGAGTCCAATAGTAATGAGTCACTGACACCTATTGCTTTGAAAGTAAGGACTTTCTAGGTCAGAGATTTTTTTTTCAAATATTACTATACATTTCCCTTTATTCAGTGCCTTTAGTGGGATCACATACAGAGGTCTGTATTTCAAAGAATTCTTGATTTGAGAAAAAAAGAGATAATCTATGTTCACAACACATCTGGTCTGTGCTAGGCACTTTATATACTGTCTATTTAATCCGTAAGCACATAGTAGTCTTCACTCTGAAAAACAAGAAAATGGATACAGGGGCTCTGTTATGTTAATGTAACCACCCAAGGTTCACCTTGCCCTCTGCCTAGACAGAGCTGATTCATCAAGACAGGGGAATTG
The DNA here is from genome assembly GCF_000001405.40 of Homo sapiens. NCBI lineage: Eukaryota > Metazoa > Chordata > Mammalia > Primates > Hominidae > Homo > Homo sapiens. Next base: position 121,257,128 of record NC_000004.12, read on the forward strand.
CAATAGAGAAAGAGCAATTCATGCAGGCTGTGCAGGAGACCGGAGTTTTATTATTTCTCAAATCAGTCTCCCTGAGCATTTAGGGAGCAGCGTTTTTAAGGATAACTTGGTGGGTGGGGGAAAGCCAGTGAGCCAGGAGTGCTGATTGGTCAGATATGAAATCATAGGGAGTCAGAGCTGTCTTCTTGTGCTGAGTCAGTTCCTGGGTGGGGGCCACATGATCAGATGAGCCAATTTATTGATATGGGTGGTGCCAGCTGATCCATCAAGTGCAGGGTCTGCAAAATATCTCAAGCACTGATTTTAGGAGCAGTTTAAGGAGGGTCAGAATCTTGTAGCCTCCAGCTGCATGACTCCTAAACCATAATTTCTAATCTTGTGGCTAATGTTAGTCGTGCAAAGGCAATCTAGTCCCCAGGCAAGAAGGAGGTCTGCTTTGGGAAAGGGCTGTTACCGTCTTTGCTTAAACTATAAACTAAGTATCTGCTGGGCGCAGTGGCTCACGCCTGTAATCCCAGCACTTTGGGAGGCTGAGGAGGGCGAATCACAAGGTCAGGAGATCGAAACCATCCTGGCTAACACAGTGAGACCCCCGTCTCTACTAAAAATGCAAAAAAATTAGCCAGGCATGGTGGTGGGCAGCTGTAGTCCAAGCTACTCGGGAGGCTGAGGAAGGAGAATGGCGTGAACCCAGGAGGCGGAGCTTGCAGTGAGACGAGATCACGCCACTGCACTCCAGCCTGGGCAACAGAGCGAGACTCCATCTCAAAAAAAAAAAAAAAAAAGTAGTTTCTCCCCAAGTTTCTCCCAAAGTTAGTTCAGTCTACGCCCAGGAATGAACAAGGACAGCTTGGAGGTTAGAAGCAAGGTGGAATCAGTTATGTTAGATCTCTTTCGCTGTCTCAGTCATAATTTTGCAAAGGCAGTGTCATTAAGAGACTTCCTCAACATTCTTGGAAGTGGCAGAACTGAGACTAGAACCAAAGTCTGCCTCTTCACATAACCCTTGATTTTTCTACGCCACTATACTTCCTCTATATCTTCACAGTCCTTGCCTTTGCCAAGGTCCAATGCTGTGGCATTGGCCAGGTCACTACCTCTTGGTGTTCTTTCTTCTGAAAAATCTGGTACTTAGAATCCATGCCAGTTCAAACATTCTAAGAATCTTTAAGATACTGACCAGGTGCAGTGGCTATTTGTATTTGTATGTTATTTTATTTTTTTGTGTCGGGGCTCTCGGGGCCTGGCCACTGAAAATTAAAATTTGAATATTCATAAGCCATGCTTGATACTACCAGGACTGTTCCTTTTCAAACATTGATTATTGCCCCATTTTTCAGAGACTTGTTCCTTTGTTTGGATATTTAGAAATATTTTCCACAAGCAGAGAGGTCTTGGATAATCTGTATTCAGATGGAAATGGATTTAGGGTCTCTATCTGACAGTGGGCTTTCCTTTTCTGCTGTCAGGCCAGAATGTCTTGGGAAATTTTTAGGGAATTCTTCTAGATATAACTATTCCGCTAAAGAGAACAGAGAAGGATTTGTGGCTTCTATCCTTCTCTTTCATTGGAAGGAAAAAAGGAATTGGTAAGCAGCTGAAAAAAGCAGTATACTATCCCAATACCTGTAGTTTCATTACTGTATTTATAAATTGTTCCACCTTAACTTATAAAAGGTGCTCATGCATTCTCAATCTAGGTGACATTTCTGCTAATTTCAAGATAAGTTATTTCTGTTGGAGATGTTCTTTCATATAGCATTAAAATATAATTTTTCCAGATGCCATTACTACTTTAAAAGCACTTTAAGCTCAATTCTGTTTTCCTTCTTGGAGGAGAAAGAACCCAACTTTCAAAAGGTACCAGTGTGACAGAAATCTTGCGACGGTTGATGTGAAGAGCTTACTTCACAAAAGCAAAAGCACAAGAACTCTCTGATCAACTCCGTTCCTTTTGGTCTATTAGTCTACATTTTAAAACATACCCATTGTGAAAATTGAAGTAGAAAATGTGATCATTGCCAATTTCTCTTTGATAAGGTAGTGGAGAAATTTTAAAAAGACAAAAGGCAAAGAAATGAAAATTAATATAGGACAAAGGAATGCAAAGATTATTTCTTAAAGTTCTATTAATAATACTCCTAGCCTGTTGAGGTTGAAAGAGATAAAGTATCAGGCTTTGTATAAAATTTTGCTTTGCAGTTACATTTCTGTCCTTGAAATTAGAAGCCAAGATTCAGTGTTCAAATTATGAGGGCAATTTAGCTCAAAATGTATCTGAATCGAAACTTTTTGCTAAATACTTATCAGTTAGATTCTAACAGAATGATGATTTTGTTTACTAAAAATCTCTTCTCTCTAGGTAAAATTGAGACAACTATTGAGACAACAGTAGTTAATTAACCCCCTAATTGTCTATTGAATTGAAATTAGGATTTAATTAGGTCTAAATAGAGGAGAAATTGAATAGGCTATGTTTATTTAAATTAGCCCCCAAATAATTCTGCAACACAGAGCAAAAGAATAAGCAGAGAGCAGTGTCCACCTAGCTGCCAATGTAAAAAGTAAGTATTCCTTTCACACATATTATTTCCAGACCTGATATATACAAACTTATTGTATATAAGCTTTTGTTGCTCTCTGTTGTTGCAGAAAGCAACAAAATTTTTAAAATAAACATAATTAATACTACAACTATTACTCATGACTATTGATACTTCTACTAATAAAAATTACATTTTATTGTGCCCAACCACATGTCAGCCCCTGTGAGTAATGAAATATTGTTTCTTGGTAGTGCCAAATGTTCGTTTTCTTCCTACTTTTTGTGTTCTAATTTGTGTTTCTGGAGGTTTTGCAAATTAGCCTACTCTTCACAACAGTTGCACATGACTGGTGAGTAAGATTTTAGGTTATTAAACAATTCATCTTCATCTTAAGCTTGTATATATCAGGTGTGGAAATAATATGTGTAAAAGGAATACATTTTACGTAGACAACTAGATGGACACTGAACTCTAGAATTGTGGGATATATATTTTTTAATTTCCAACTTTTAAGTTCAGGGCTACATGTGCAGGGTGTACAGTTTTGTTACATAGGTAAACGTGTGCCATGGTAGTTAGCTGCACGGATCCACCCATCACCTAGTATTAAGTCCAGCATGCATTAGCTATATTTGATGCTCTCCCTCCCCACAACCCCGACCCCAACAGGCCCCAATGTATGTTGTTCCCCCTCGTTGTGTCCATGTGTTCTCATTGTTCAGCTCCCATTTCTTATAAGTGAGAACATGCAGTTTGATTTTCTGTTCCTGTGTTAGTTTGCTAAAGATAATGGCCTCCAGCTCCATCTATGCCCCTGCAAAGGACATGACCTCATTCCTTTTCATGGCTGCATAGATTTCCACAGTGTATATGTACCACATTTTCTTTATCCAGTTTATCATTGATTCCATGTCTTTGCTATTGTGAATACTGCTGCAATGAACATACACATGCTCATGTCTTTATAATAGAAATATTTCTATTCCTTTGTGTATATGCCCAGTAATGGGAATGCCAAGTCAAATGGTATTTCTGCCTCTAGGTCTTTGAGGAACCACCACACTGTCTTTCACAATGGTTGAACTAATTTACACTCCCACCAACAGTGTAAAAGTCTTCCTTTTTCTCCACAACCACACCAGCATCTGTTGTCTTTTGACTTTTAAGTAATAGCCATTCTGACTGGTGTGAGATGGTGTCTCATTGTGGTTTTCATTTGCATTTCTCTAATGATCAGGGATCTTGAGCTTTTTTCCATGTTTGTTGGCTGCATGTATGTCTTCTTTTGAGAAGTGTCTGATCATGTCCTTTGCCCACTTTTTAATAAAATTGTTTGTTTTTTTCTTGTAAGTTTGTTTAAGTTTCTTATAGATGCTGGATAATTGATAATGAACTCTAGAATGTGGGAGATTTTTAATAAAAGAAAATTTAATTAAATTTTCAAACAAAAAGTTTAGCTTTATTTAAATAATTTTTATTTGAATGTTTGTTATTCATTAATATTATTTTACATCTTAATGCTTATTATTTTGAATATTTAGAAGAAATTTGAATATTTAGAAGAAAACTAATTTAACATATAGAAATAACTTTAATGTTTGGAATTTTTACACGGTAAGTCATATTTGTGTAAAAATCTATTAAAATATTTGTATACTTTGAATACGATTGCCTTTATTTTTTTAATCATTTAGACCCTGTTAGAAGAACAAAAATTGTAAAGAAATTTTGATGGCAAAGCCATAATTAGCACCTTCACTACAATAAATATTTTTTTAAATTTGGAAGTAATACAGAATTATTTATAATTTATGCACATCTTCATTTTATTACTCATTCAAATATTGCCAACCAACATAATAATCACATTTATGCAGTCATGGTTAAAATTCACACATCTTTGCTATTTTGCTGATAAACTATAGCTTTACACATTTAAAAAATTTTATTGTGATTAAAGAATCATTTGTCAGGGTGAAAATGTAGAACATATTTTTAAAAATTGTTTGTACTGTTATTTGAAACTTCTAAAGATTTAGAATCACAGTTAAGATGACTTCCATTTGCATTCTTTACTAAGCTCTGCAAATGTTAAGGGTGGACCTGGAAGGAAGCACTTCCACTTTGGCAATTTCTCCAAATCTCAAACGCTAGTGCCAGAAGGGATCTTAGACATCCCCTAATCCAACCTCTTTATTTTACAGATGGGAAAGCATGATGACTGGCTATAACCCTGTGCCAAACCATAACGTTTTCTGAGGAGGACCAGGAAATGGAGCTCCGTGAAGCAGCCAGAGGGTCATGATCTGTGAGCCCAGCTGAGGGATGCCCAGGTCTTCTGTTGCAAACAGCTCACATGTCTTAGACAGAAAGTGCAGGCCCTGATAGCTGACTGAGTGAGACTAGCCTGTTCATGAGGCTTGTAGGCAGCTTGCACTGGCCATGGGCCAATAAGCAGGAGCCCTCACCAGTTGCTGCCTATCTCTCACTTGTGTATGTTTTAACAAGGCATTGCATTTGTAAGTGTATCAATATAAGACAATTCTAGAAGAGTTAATTACAAAGGAAGTAACACTACCCCTGTAGATAGTGCAGAACCCTTGCGCTAGAAGCAGCCAAGTTGGTACCACTGGGAGAGAAGCGGCCAGAACCCAGGAGAGAGATTAAAATGGGGAAGGGCGGACTAAGAGGGGTAGTGGTCTTGGGTGGGGAAACAAACCTAAAATGATTTCACAAGGAAAGAATGAGGGGGAATAGTTCTCTTATTTCATTTGACATGTCCCTCTGATCCCCAACCAGGGCTTTCCATTGGTGAAATCCACCTGGAAGTGAGAGGGTCAGAGACCTTGAAGATGCAGTCCTTATCAGTCAGCACTCCAGAGCAGAGAGGAGGTGAAAAGGGGTGGAAATGGATTTGAAGGGGCACATGGATGATATTTGTTACAGAAAATGAGGCTTCTCATCATGTATTCTGGAGCTTTTCATTGTCTTGCTAATCAGAAAAAGTAACAAAATGCAGTGGGGGCAGGGAATCAGTATAGTATCACCCTAACACCTGAACAAGCAGGGCCCCGGCTCAAGAGCCCTGTGCTATGAAGTGCCATTCTTGACATTTCTAAGACCCTCTGGTGCCTGGGACCAGCTGGCAGAGGCACAAGGGCAGAATGCTCTGAGCTCAGGGCTCTGTGGGTTCTGGTCTTTGCATCTTCCTATTTGGGGCAGTCTCTGATTCTCTTTCCCATACAAGGCATCAACAGATGCCCGGATTTATGCCTGAGGTGTTGTCCCCAGGCTCTCTGGTCAGGCCCTGGTTCTAGGAGGATGGCCTGGTAAGCAGCTCTCTACTGACTGCTTGCTTTCTTTCATGTGATCACAAGAAATTGGGCTATACCATGGTGCTGGCACACTCACACGAAGTACCTTTTGCTCTGGAAAGATGCAGGGTGAGCTCAGTCAGGCCTCTGGTCCACTGTGGATTCTTGGCCTATGGCTGCATTCTTGGCCTTTCACCAGCCCAAATTCCATCCAGGATCCACCTCTTGTCTACAGCACTTGAGGGTGGTGAGAGTGGCAGAAGGCATCCTTCCTTTAGCTTATGTGAGACCCAGGGAGGTCACCCCACCCTCTCAGCAGGCTTCATGCCACATATGGTTGACAGTCACAGTGCAGGCTGCACCTATCTAGTCTGAAAGTGTTAAAGACCAGTGACTGCTATTCCAAAGGGCCCTTTTATTCCATGTCCTCTCTTGTCTCTAATTGATATTATGATGTTGTTCTCTCAGGTCTTAAATCATGTCATATGAGGGAGTCCATTTTTTGCACATATAAGAATGCCCTTCTCACTCCACTCACTAGCCCCTTGCTTATACCTCTTGTTGACAGCAATGTATAGAGGAAAGTGTGCAGGTGACATTGAAAAAGTGATAGTTTTAAGAAGACAGTGATTATCGTCTAAAGAGTTTATAGGAGATACAGTTGGAAGACATGCTTTTGCTACAAAGTTCTGAATGGCAAATTTAACATGACCATCAAACAAATTATTGCTCATATTTTTTGCACAGATGGGGCAAGGCTTGCATTTGTGGGCCTCATTAACAAAGCACAGAAACAAACCCTTTCAGAGTCGCTGGAAGGCAACATCCATGGGTGGCATGATGGATAATATAGCATCAAAGGTAATGATCTAACCAGCAGTAAACAAATGGCAATGGGCAACAACAGAGGCAAGAATAGCTATATTTTCCCACATGAAACAGATTCTAAAGATCCATCACATTTTGAGTAATAACAGCATTACTATCATTTGCTTGTGGTAAGAAATATGAAATTAGCCAGAAACTGCACATTTGTCAATAAAGAACATTTAAAAAATGGTTTCCGGATCTGAACAAGACAATGCCTGGACACCACAAAGAATCTTCAGTACACTGATTGGATCATATGCAAATACCTAAGTACCTCTTCTCTACCCATTATTCTAAATCTTCATCAATAAAACACTGTAACTTGCAAGGACTGATGAATCTTGCAGTCTATTTTTAATCAGAATGTTAATAAGGACAGGGACCATACAAAAATTATTTGCATGGGGCCTGTATAACTTAGAAGCTCTGGGGGACCTTATAAGTAGCTTCCTCCCTTAGTGTCCAGGGACGGGGCAAGGGTAATGCTAACTACCAAAGGGGTATGATGCTGATGTGGGAAGATGCCTAGATATGTATCTGGAATTTTTTCTTTTAATCAGATGTGCCAAGGTGGCAGCCATAGAGACAACTACCTTTGAAGAAAGAGTTTTATTACTCACAGTTCCCAAGTGGAGGGGCATGCCATGCCATACAAGGCCACACACAGGGAAGCACCAGCTTCGATCAGAAGGCAGAAACAATGAGCAGAAAGTATGGGCAAAGGGCTTTTATTGTGGTTTTGGGGGGAAAGGAAAAGTCGAGGCAAGGTAAGCAGTTGAGGACTGGCTAGTTTGAAAAATTTCACTTGACTCCATAATATAGGGGTGGTCCCTAGCTATCAGTTCCTGGTCCTAAGTTGATTTAATGCAGGGGAAATACTAGTTTGGTGTGTGAGAGTTAAAGAAAGCAGGTGGTTTAGGGTATGGGTTTTGGATTGGTTGGTTTGCATATGAAAGACAAGTTGTTTACTCTCTATAGGAATTAGCTAGCCATGGGAGGGGCAGATTTTCTAGCATTAGCAAGAACCCAAGATATCAAAGATCATAAAAGACAGAAAGTTAAAAATATGACTAACACATAAGAACGTCACTGGTCTAAAAGACAGAAGCCTGGGTTCAAGTCCAGGCTGTGCTTCTTATTAGTTGTGTGGCCTTTTGTAAGTGAACTTGGCATTACAAATCCTCAGCTTCCTCATATATAAACTGTAGCAATAATATATGCATTACCCCACGCCTGTAATCCCAGCACTTTGGAAGGCCGAGGCAGGTGGATCACAAAGTCAGGAGACTGAGATCATTCCGGCCAACATGGTGAAACCCCGTCTCTACTAAAAATACAAAAATTAGGCCAGGAGCAGTGGCTCACACTTGTAATCCCAGTGCTTTGGGAGGCTGAGGTCAAGAGACCGAGACCATCCTGGCCAACATGATGAAACCCCGTCTCTACTAAAACTACAAAATTTAGCTTAGTGTGTTGGCGCATGCCTGTAGTTCCAGCTACTAGGGAGGCTGAGGCAGGAGAATCGCTTGAACCCAGGAGGTGGAGGTTGTAGTGAACCAAGATTGCACCACTGCACCCCAACCTGGTGACAGAGCGAGACTCTGTCTCAAAAAAAAAAAAAAGCATTGCCCACCAAATGGGTTTATTGTACTAGTGAAAGAAATCCATGTTTATAAACAAACTTGTTAAACCTTAAAATGATTTGAAATAGGTACATTGCAATAGCAACTTTGTATAAAAACAATGAAAGGTTTTTCCCCTAACAGCAATTTCTTAACAATCACATTTGGTCTATTTTATTCTCATTAGATAGTGAAAACAGTATCTCCAAGTTCATCTGTTCTTTTCAGTGGTTCAAAGCAGCACTGGTTAGCCCTCTATGTAATGAAGCCAGCCAAAACTGCATAAAAGTTTATTAAACAAGCCACATCCTCAAGAATATTTGATTTGGGCTTTCCAAATCACTGACAATTTAACTGCTCTGCGTTTTTGTTTGTTTGTTCATTTGTTTGTTTATGCAAGACTATATTTAATCTGAGATATAAGATGAAATTTTCCCCGGGACACCAAAAGCACCATGGGTTTCCTTTGATGTCATTTGTGTTATGAGTTTAATAATTCATTGACATTTCAGAAATGAAAGTTTTGGCCTCAACTCTCTTCAAAAGATGGAGCCCATTAGGTCAACAGGCAGATCAAGGGACTGAGGAGACTGCTGCTGACTTTCAATTTCCTCTTAGCCTAAGGGGTCTCTTTCACCCAGGAGAGGATAAAGACGAAGTGCTGCAGTCTAAATAGAAAATCAAGTGGAGAAAATGTGGGGCTCTATTTTCATTATTTGTCTAAGAAAAATAAACCTCTCCATGTCCATCTATGTTTTTAGTTTATTACAGTTCTTTTCATGCAAAGTGTTTTGAAAGAATAGAGTCCACAGTCCATTTGTCATTGTAGAGTTAAAGTGCTTTAGGCCTTGTCTCCAAGTGTATCTGGTTTAGACCTCATGTCCATAGTCACGAACACAAAACCATGAACTCTGGAAGAAAAGTCATGGTGGTATTGACCTTGGAGACACTAACTAGCTCAGCTTGAAATTCTTGAATATTGTGAAACCTGCATTTGATACAATAGGGGTGATGCACCACCACATTATCATAGATGTAAACACATGACTGTGGCTTACTGGTAGGAATAAGGTTTTCTCTCCATTTCTAACCTTAGCCAGATCATTATTAGAAGGTCATAAAATAGGCTAATTTGGAGATACCATAATTAAAAATGAGAAACCTAAGGAATATTCAGAAGGCAAAAGCAACTATAAACTTGGGAATATCCTTTGATGAAGGCTTGAAGGTACACTGGATTAATAGAGAAGTTTGAAAGAGACTTAGTTATAGTTTTCAAACTGTAGAAGGTTTTGAACAGGAGACAATGATTTTTTTTCCTTCTCTTCCGGATAGGCCTTTAATACTCAGCTTGAATTTTTTTCTTTCCATCTTCTCCCCAACTCTCTATTCTTTGAAACTTCAAAACCAATTGTTTGTTAAAGATTTAGGTTGCACATTTTCCTGTCAGTTAAACCACACTCATGAAACATGCAGAACCTTATAAATGCCACTCAATCACTAAAATCTATAATTTCTTTATCCACTCAACACACATTTTAGTCATTCCTTCCTTCAGTCTGGTGGGGGGGTCCTTCTTCTCAGCTACTTGACAATCTTCCCACCCCAGGGTCACCTCTCTTGCCCACCTGACTTCCAGGCCCTGCTGGGCTGGCTTTTCAGCCTCCAGGTTTCTCTTCTTTCCGTAGTTGGAGATTGTGTAATCGCTGCTGCAATCAAGTCTAGCTGAACCGCCAGGTCTTCTTCACAAGTTTATCAAATTAATCCTGTGACCTGGGGCAAATTACTTAAACTCTCTCAGTCTCTCTAAACTATAAGGGGGGATATTAGTAGCACCAAATGAAGCTCCTGCTTTAGGGCCCTTCATTTGCCTGGGAGGAAGGCAAGCTCTGGGAGGAAGGACCAGAGCAATGTATTTTCTAAGTCATGTCTTTTTAACATTTTGCAAAAGTGCTTTTTTTCTTTTTTTCTGTCTGTCTTCTTCTGTTGTAATTCCCCTCCACTGGATGGTATCTGAAATGGTCATAACAATTTTTGGGTCCAGCTACAGGGAAGTTTAGTTGGTGATACATTCAACTTGAGTATAGAAAAATATATTTATGTGTTTCACAATTGCTTTCATGTATGATTAAATTTTGCTGGCTATCCCCACCTAGAAATGTCTGCCTGCAATATTTTTGCTGCCACATGTGGCAACTCACCAGGTTATTATGGGAGAAAGATGCAGGACCTGTGGTCATGGCAAAATAGAAACATCTTCTACAGAGCCTGGCATCAGAAGTACATAAATGCAAAAGGAAAACCAAGATGTGAAGTGTACAAAGCCTGAAGATAGTCTGTGGAAAACTCTTCCCATCAGGTACAAAAAAGCAGAGGATTCAGATCCAATAGAGATCAGTTTGAATGGAAGGTATTGACTATCAGGGATATATTCAGTAATACAGCAAATACAAATGTGAATGCACCTATGCTTTCTGCCTTATTTTGATAAAAATTGTGCAAAATAAATCTTACCTGAATTCCTATGCTTGTAGGACACAAACCAATAGCAGCACTGTTAAAATAAATACCATTTATATCTGTGACAAACGTTAAGGAAGCCTGAAAAGTTTTCCCAAAATTTGACAACAATACTAAAAAATTATATTGCTAAGATAAGTTATCACTTTATGAATAATGAAATTAACAAACCATTCTTGACATTGGTGACATCACCAATATGAGTTGTGAAGTTGAAACTTTTCTAAATCAACAATAATAAATATTTTTTTTTATCAAGCATGTTAGAGGGAATTTTCTATTCTGTCTGAATCAGTTATCTATTGCCTCAGTAGTGCTGTGTAACAAATGACTGCAACACCTCAGTGGCATTCAACAATAAACATACTGTTTATGAGAATGAAGTCAGATGGGAGTTGACCAGATGGCTCTCTTGATCTTAGCTTGGTTTTCTCCTTTTCTGTGGGTAGGTTACCAGTAGGTTGATCTAGGCTGGCTTCAGCTGACAACCAGGGTGACTGGGGTATGCTGCACTTATCTAAGCTGGTCTAAGTACATTCTTATCAAAAGGCAGAGGTGTGAGAGAGAGGAAGGCCAACTGTGCAAGCACTTTTCAAACCTTCAGTTGCTTCACATTTGTTAACATCCCATTAACCAAATCCAATCACATGGTTAAGCCCAAAATCAAAGTAGGTGAGCACCACAAAGTTATATGACAATGGTGAGGATATTAGCAGGGCTGAAAATGGGGGCCATCTCTGAAATTTAATGCTCTCTATAAATAATACTACAACAATATTGTTACATGAGGAGGTGATCAAAGATTATGCAGCTAAAAATTTATGGATAAACTGTTGTATATGTATATTAGCAATTATTTAATAAAATGATAATGCTGATTTTGTGATGGTTCTTGTATTCATCATCTTTTTTAAAAATGTATACTTTATAGTGATTTCTCATTTTAAATGAATAGTTGTGATTGTATCTCATTTTGTTTTTGCAATTTCATGTTCTTTTCCTTAAGGAGGGACCCAAATATTTGAAATTCAAGCACCACAAAACTTGAATTCACCCCTGCCTACCTCATGAAGCGGTTGTGAAGATTGAAGGAATCTGCATATGTAAAGCACATAACACAGTAAATGGGAGCCATTGAAGCTGCTGAAATTTCTGCTCTGGTTGTACTCATCACACTCCATGGAGATTTCCTCCTAACTTAGTCTCTTTTCTTATCAGATTGCAGAGGCTGTTGACCCCATCACCTAGAACATGCTTGGCATTCAGGCAATGTATACATGTTAAATAAAGAAGTAAGCCTTTTTCTTGCTAAGCCCAAGAGCATATTCTCTGTCTTTATCTTTACAAACCTCTCTGTAGCATTTGAAACTATTGATCACATCTGACATTATTTGACTGCTCACTGTGGACCAGGCACTGTGCTAAGTATTAGGTTGGTGCAAACCTAATTGTGATTTTTGCCATAATGGCATAAGTGTTAGGTTGGTGCAAAACTAATGGCAAAAACCGCAATTAGTTTTGCACCAACTTAGTAATTTATATGCATTTTCTAATTTAATCTTCAAAACAACCTTATGAGGTAGGCACCTGACTTTTGGAGAAACTAATTAGCATATCTAATGCCATTCAAGTAGTAAGTGGTAGAGGCAGATTTCTAACACAGAATATGTAACCAAGCCCATGGGATTACATTTCCTTCTATATATGTTCAGTATGATGCAGTGGAAAAGGTACTAGAGTCAAACAACTGCTAGCATCTTTTGAGAACAACTCTCTGAGTAAGTGCTCTTGTTGGTATTCTTCTATTTTCATGAGGAAGTAGTGCTGAGAGAGGCTAATTCCTGTTGCAGCGGCAAATAAGAGGTAGAAACATGCCTGCCTTCAGAGGATACACTCCTAACTACTCTGCATTTCCACTTCCTACCATCTTGAAGGATTCTTCTTGTGTGGCAATGTACATGATTTCACCTGACATTAAGAGAAGCAAACTAAGTGACATTAGGTGGATGTTTCCATTGAGCAATTGTTTCAAGAACTGTGTACAGACACACAAAGGTATATTTTCATATCAAGAATCCTATAAGGGCTGGGTGCGGTAGCTCATGCCTATAATTCCAGCACTTTGAGAGGGCAAAGCAGGTAGATCACCTGAGGTCAGGAGTTCGGGACTAACTTGGCCAATATGGTAAAACCCCATCTCTACTAAAAATACAAAAATTTTCTGGGTGTGGTGGTGCATGCCTGTAATCCCAGCTACTTGGGAGGCTGAGGCAAGAGAATCGCTTGAACCCGGGAGTCAGAGGTTGCAGTGAGCTGAGATGGTTTCATTGCACTCCAGCCTGGGCAACAAAATGGAGACTCTGTCTCAAAATAAATAAATAAATAAAAGAATCCTATATGTTAGGTTTATAGAGTCAGGATAATGTTTTCCAACCACCAAAACAAATTGACTATTGTAATTGCCCACAGTCACTACTGAGAAGTGATCCATCTACAGGGTGACCCCCCTTGGGTCCTCTCCTTACCTAGCCTTACCAGCCTTCAAGTACATCCTGAATTCCATTGCAGAAACACTGCATACATGACTCACACCTAGTCAACCCAACAATTGTTGCACTGATTCCATTTTCAGAAATGTCAAAATCAGCCATTTCTTAATTTAGCAGTTTCAAAACACAAAATAAATGAGTCAGTTAAATATCAACATTATAAATAGACTTCAAAAGTGTGGTATAATAACTTCTGATGTTTCTAAATTTATTTGACAAAGTGATAGTTATATAAAATTACTGTAGAAAATGACTATAGATTTGATATTTTGAAATTAGGGCTTAGAAATAATACATATTAACTGTTTTTTGTTTTTTTTTTGTTTTTTTTGTTTTGTTTTGTTTTGTTTTTGTTTTGGAGAGGGAGTCTTGCTCTGTCACCCAGGCTGGAGTGCTGTGGCACAATTTTGGCTCACTGCAACCTCCACCTCCCAGGTTCAAGGGATTCTTCTGCCTCAGCCTCCTGAGTAGCTGGGATTACAGACGCCCACCACCACACCCAGTTAATCTTCGTATTTTAGTGGAGACAGGGTTTCACCATGTCGGCCAGGCTGGTCCCAAACTCCTGACCTCAAGTGATCCTTCTGCCTCGGCCTCCCAAAGTGCTGGGATTACAGGCCTATGCCACTGTGCCCGGCCTACACATTAACTTTAAAACATTAAACATTGTGCATATTATCTTTTTCTTGCTAAAAATTAGGCATCAAAATATTTATTTTGTTTTGTTTTCTATTGGTTACATAAAATCTAAACTTTAACGTGGTAATTATTTTTTAATTCCTTATTTATGAGAGTTAGCAGATTTAAATAAAATATGGGATGGGAAAATGAATCACCAAGTTCATGCCTTGAGGCTGAAGTGCTTGTCCAGGAGCTGGGTAGACAAGCTGACAAAGGGTGGCGTGATGTCCTCAGACACACGCAGAAAACTATGAGAGTGTCAGACATAGAAGCCACCATCACCCTTAGCCCAGGACCTGGAGGAGGTGCACTGAGGGAATTATCAGAGGGCGCTCTCCTCTTTAGGGGTGTGAAAAACAGTAACTCTGTTTGTTTGGCTCTAGTAGCCCCTTCTAACTTGGTTTTCATGGTGAAACCAGAGTGGCTTTTTTTCTAAAGCACAAATATGATATATTACTCCCTGGTTTAGCTTCCTTCAGTGGTCTCCAATGAAAACTTTTTCATATTCCATAATTAGACAGGGGCTCACATCTCTAGTCTCATCTATTAGCACTTCTCTTCATCGTACTGTTTAAAAAAATTTTTTTAAGCCAACCAACCAAACAAGGAAGAAAACTGAGCTTTTCATTCCCCGATAGTGTTGCAATGTCTTGCTTCTGATCCTTCGGACATCCTATGCCCTTTGTATGAAACAGCTTCCCTCCAGCCTGTCCCCTACCCTGCCCTGCAACCAATATCTATACACATTCCTGACTGCCTCCCCTTCACTTCCTATGCTTCCTTCGGGTCTGGATTCAGATTACGCTTTTGCCATAACGTCTTCCTGGAAACCAGCCCTTCTCAAGCTAGCTTAGTGCCTCTTCTCTGGGCTCTCATAGACCACTGTATTTCACCCTAGTGTAGCCTTTAGCATCCACATGGAGATTGCCTGTATATTTTTCTGTTTCTTTTTTGGATACATGTTTCATGTAGCCAGGGGTTGTTCCTTGTTCAGGATGGTAACCCAAGTTCCTAGCACAGTGCCTGACATAGAAGAAGAACCAAATAAATATTTGTTGCTTTAAACTGAGGATCATCAGATAAAAATAGAGAAAATTATATGTTTACACTATTATTATTATTATTATTATTGTCTGTCACAAGCTAATCACAAGCCTTTATAATAAAGTACACTGTTCTCATCTTTAATATCCAACATAAGCAAGTGTTACATTTGAGTTAGGGGTATTCCTCCTCTTGCTTTCTGAGGACCCTCTACTCTGGATTGGAGTAGTTTCTAATAAGCTATTTTAACTTTATTGTAAACTGTGACTCACCTTGAATTCTTTCTTACTACTGGAAATGTTTACATTATTATAACTAGAGAGCTTCTGAATGCAGCCAGGAGAATCAGCGCTACTTGCAACTCTTTTTGCTTAGTCATCTGTTCTTTCAGTGTTGCTGAGTAGGGACAAAATGCCTCTAATATTCTAAAGATAAGGGACTGACACCATACCTTTCTCATGCCTGAGGACATAGTGAGTCATAACAGGATGCTAATGTTTTCTGGAAACACCATCTCTCTGTCCGCTTAAGCCTACTGTCATTTGCAATCAGCTGTGTCATCTCCAGATGTGTTTTTTAGCTTTAAGTCATCAACATATAGCTTGAGTTGGGAAGCACATTTATGCTGTTGGGCTACCTGTTACTGGAACAAGTTATATTCAGGTAGTTATTTTGTGGTTGATCTCAGGGTTTGTTTTGACCCAAGCTTTAAGTAGTTGCAAAACTTAGAACTTCTCTGTGAGCGTGCATGTGGCAGATGTGTATAAGAGAAAGAGTGTGTGTGTATGAGACAGAAAGACAGGACTACATATCCTTTCATGCAGAGAGGAAAAGATAACAGAAACGTATATGTTTTCTATCAAAATATATATGTTTTCTATCAAATAGGAAAAAGTAATTTATTATCTTGAATTTAGGGTTACTTAGTGTGTTCTCATTTTCTATTGTTTCGTACAAACCACTCCAAAACATTTAGCTTAAAACAACATGTATTTTACTCACCTGTATTTGGACAGACCACAAGCAGGGTCCTATATTTGATCCACTGCATGTCAAAGCTCAGTGACTTCAAGGCTGGGGCTTGAATCATCAGAAGCTCGCATTGTGCTCACCACACACAGGTAGTTATGTGGCCAGTATAACTTTACATGTGGCCTCTACAGGTGGCTTTCTCATAGAATGTTGAATGTATGCCAAGAACAAGCAGAGAGAAAGAGAGAGAGAGAGGCAAAGAGGCAAAAGCTATGTCGCTTTCAAAAAATTTTTTTTGAATGAACACTTGCAAACATGACTCTAATTTATAAATTAGACAATAATTGCTTCTTCTTCTTCCTAAAATGTATTCTTTCTTGTAGCTTGATATGTCTCTAAGCTACATAAAATTTCTTATTATTGATATTTTTAGGTCATAAGGAAATATATCTCGGTTTTCTCATTATTATAAAAATAAAGATATCAAAATCCACTTAAGATAACTTCTTATGATCTTACTTGAAGATTATTTTGCCTGGGACATGAAGCAACATTCACTCATTCATTGTAACACAATATTTAGTGCATTTACCAAATTTTTGCATGTCCCACCATCTAAACCAAAGCATATCTTGATTCATTTTCTCCACTGACATGGAAATTTCAGATAATAAGAGACAAAGATATGCCTAAATCATTTTACTGCCCTTTATTTCCTGTAAAATATTATTCTAAAAAATATTTAGGTAATAGCAATACTTGCTCCATTCCTTTTTCTGTAGGTAAAATTGTCCATTGGGTTCTAGCCCCTAGAGCTAATTATTCTATTCCAGGATTGGGAATAGATGAGAAAAGTGTTACCCAAACTCACAGCTCAGTTTCTACAAGATCATTTCAAAGACTTGATACATGGAGAGAAAATGTACTCACTTTTTTTTTAACCAATGTTTACTCAAGTTCTTTATTGAGAATATTGATTATAATTTCTGCTTTTTAAAAGCTAAGTAATCATTATCATGTTTTATTAAGCTGAAGAAGACTGTGCAAGATGAAACAAGATTATTTAATTAACAAGAAACAAGAGATTAAAATATCCATGCTTCTCATTCCTTTGTTCTTCACAAGATTTGTTTTCACTCTGTTTCCCAGGTCCAGGAAAGGAGGATGAGAGCTGTGAGAAGCAATTTATTGTAATACTCTGCATCAGGGCTTCAGTATTTTTTTTCCCCCTACCATCTTTAAAGCTGCTAAGTTTTCTCCACAGAGTTAGGTCCCCTAGAGGCCAACAAAGACCTCAAGTAAGGGTTCAGATTGCTTAACAAAGTACCATATTCTAAGGGTTTCAGTTTCTATGTTTCCTATTAAAAATAAAAAATAAAAAAGCTGTGCTGGGGACAATAGTTTATGCCTGCATGACCCAGTGCTTTGGGAGGCTGAGGCAGGAGGATGGTTTGAGACCAAGAGTTCAAGACCAGCCTGGGAAACAAAGCTAGACCCTGTTTCTACCAAAAAAAAAAGCTAGCTAGACACCAACTTAACAACCTCTCTCCTAAATTCCTAAATTTCTAGCAAGAGTTTGCCTGCCTTTATTGTCTTTACTTCCTGATTTAACATTCATTTCTTTGCCCACGTGGATCTGATTTCTGCCACCTTCACTCCATTGTCTGCTTTCCTCAGGATCACCAACAACCTCCTTGGGCACTCTCTGGGGTCAGGGCTTAAAAGAACAGTGTTCTCTCATGGCTTCTGTTCCCATTTCTTTGCTGACAATGACCAGATTCATCATGGCAATTGAGACCATATCCCCATTCCCACCCCTGGCCCCTCAACTCCAGATCAGTGTAGTCACAGTCAACCAGACATATGTAAATGGTGGTTCCTAAAGAAATTCAAATTCAATTGGTTCCCTAACACATGCAGTCATATCACCAACCACACATCCAGCCGAGTCAGAAATGTGGAAATCCTCCTTTCTCTCCCTTTGTCCATTACTTCCAATCGGTGATTAATCGGTTTTTCTTCTTCAATATTTCCTGAGTTAATCTATGTCTTTCTTTTTATCTTCACTGCCATTAGTAAGGCCAGCCTATCATGATCTCTCACCTGACTTAGCGCTGTAGCTTTGTACGTGATCGGCTTACCCCCCAGTCTCAGCCCCAAACCATTGGCTACTCTGCAACTAGGATTTCTTTTCTTTGACATATTAAAGGTTTTATTATATCCCTGCCCTTAGCCTTTCCAGAGTTACCATTGGTCCTCACAATAGACTCAACAAGTCTTAACTTGCTATAAAGGACCACAGGATACAACCCAAATACCTCCCTGGTCTCATCATATTCCATGCCCTCCAAAGCCACTTACCACGTAAAATTAGCTTCTCCAGACATATTGGATTGCTTCAATTTCCAAAAATGCATCATAATTTATCTTACCAGGATTTCAAATGTGCTGCTTTCTTTGTCCTCCATATCCTACTCCTCCTTCAATTGGCTGAAATGTAGCCTTCTCAGGCTGGACTTCCCTGGCTCCCACCACTAAGTAAGCCACTCCCCACCCTGGGCTCCCATCACCCTGTGTTTGCCCCCATGCATAGCACTCTTAACACTGTTTTGATTACTTTGCTTGATTATTTGTGTATCATCACTCTTAGTCTATGTATACCTTAAAGGCAAGGATGGTGTCTCATTCATTATTGAATCTCCAGTGCTTGTTAAGTATTTGCTGACTGAATACAAACAAGAGGATAGAATTTAAAAATTGATAAGGAGCTAAGTATATGAAAATGAAGTTAAGGTGCTTTGGTTATCCTGAGAAGCAGACCATATAACTTCCATAAAGTTATTTATCTTACCACTTACAAAGGCTAGCTTAAAAAATTAATCTGCCATTGCTTAATTATTAAAGATGCCCAGAAACGTCATCTTGTTGAGAGTAGATGAATTCATCATAGTCATCCAGTGTCTAAATTACTTCTAAGAAGTTTAACAAAATAGTATTTATTTTCGTTGCTTGAGTGACACTAAATCAATACCTCCATGCACTAGGTGATCCTAAAAAATAAAAATGAAACTATTTAGGGGATAAACATGCAATTGTGCAGTGGCCTGAAATGCCCTTGATTTCACTAGGGCAAATGAAGAACCAAAAAGGGGTTCTCACAAGACGTTCTGGCTGGTGGCTTGGTGTAATGTCAGGCAATGCAACCCTGGAAAGCAGTAAAGACTTCGGTACATATCAAACCTCAGCTCCAAATGTGGACTTGATGGTTGTGCTCTAAGAGTTCTTTGCATCTGACCCATACCCTCCCTTCTCTCCATATGAAGTACCTCTCACTTCATATATAGCCATGCACCAAGACCAACTTTAATCCTGCCAAGTACACTTGCTTCCAAGTTTCTAACAGTCTGTCTTTCTCCATACTGGAATATCCTCACCCTTTCTTCCTGCAAACTCTTGTTGTTTTAGAATCCCCTTTCCCATTCTTTATGATTTCGTATAAAGATCGTGCACTTTCCCAGCAGATGTGTTTCAGTCCTACTTCCTAATTATTAGCTCTGTGATCTCGCATAAACTCTGCAAACAAAATGGAGATTATACCAGTCTGATGGGTTAATGTGTAGATGTGCTTTCCTATATGCACAACACTCGGTTCATAGATAACTGATTGTTTCTCTCCGTTTGAAAATGCATCTGCTCTTAGGCCAACCTTACAGAACACAAATCATTTCAATTGTCCTAACAGGTCCAAAACCATGTGTATTCTAAACTGCCCATGGTGTATCTTTTTATCTGCTTCTCTGTTAAAGTAATTTTTGCCTTGATTCTGGATGTTAAATTACTCTTGTGCATTTGTCTGCAGTACCTAGCTTTTGCTATTGTCTGTTCTAAACTCCTGTGGTTCTTATGAACAGTGGCTGCATGAGGCGTTTTATGGTTAGGAACATAGACTCTGGAACCGGACTACAGGCTGAAGTCTTGACTCCTCCTCTTGCTGCTGTGTGACCTCTGGCAATTTACCTAAATTCTCAATGTTTCAGTGTCCTCACATGTGAAATGGAGATAACAGAACTATTCTGAGGGTTCAGTGAGTTTATAGATGTTAAGCACTAAGAACAGTCTGATGCTTAGAGAGCACTATAATTATTATTGCACAATAATTATAAATAGTTATATTTTTGCACAATTGATGCCTTCAATATATTCTCTTGTTCTTTGACTACAAATACCTCTCTAATATTCAGCAGTAATTCCTGCAGACAGGTACCATGGTCTAAACTTCTTTATTCTCCTAGAAGCACCTAGACTAGGACAAGTTGCATAGTAATTCAATAAATTGTGATTATGGTTTGATTTGTAACCTGGGTGTAATCGTTCACAAATTCAGAATACAAATATGCTTTCATCTCTTGACTGTGTTTTCAGTTAATCAAGGCTCCTTCCACTTGCCTTCAGGGGTTTATGTGGTCCAGAATAGAGGCAGCTCCTCTTCCAAACACCAGGTGGTGTCTGCCACATGGCTACTCAGGTCCTGCGAACTCTGGTGGCTGCTACTACATCACTACAGGGATGTCCTGCTGGCTCTCAGATCTCTATCCAAGACATGATGGTGTCCATGTTGGACTCCAAGGTCAGATCTACATGCTCAGCCATTATTCTCCAGCATTTTACTCTGGCTGAGTCTAGAGGGGATTCCTGTTTGGAACGTGCCTTGTGTAAGAATCAGCCCTGGGCCATGAGCCTGGGGCCATCAGATTAGGTCATTGCACTTTCCCTTAAGGACTGAAAGATGTTCTTTTCTGCCCTCAGGTTCTGGTTAGGGCCGCTTTATTCCACTAGGAAATGTTGCCCTAACTTCAAATTGCAATGAACAGAGTTGGGGGAGTGGAGAACTTCTGTGCTTTCCTTCCCAGAAGGGTTTTGGGCTTCCTATTCAAATTTTTTTTTTAATTATTATACTTTAAGTTCTAGGATACATGTGCACAATGTGCAGGTTTGTTACATATGTATACGTGTGCCATGTTGGTGTGCTGCACCCATTAACTCATCATTTACATTAGGTATATCTCCTAATGCTATCCCTCCCGCCTCCCCCCACCCCACAACAGACCCCTGTGTGTGATGTTCTCCAACCTGTGTCCAAGTATTCTCTGCATGTTCTCACTCATAGGTGGGAACTGAACAATAAGAACACTTGGACACAGGATGGGGAACATCACTATTCAAATTTATCCATCTCTAAGTTATGCACACCAAAGGGCAGGACCACATTTCAAAAAACAAAAACAAAATTACTTAGAAGTCAAAAGATTCTGGCTTACACCTTCCAAGGGCAAGGTGCATCTCTTGGCCATTCAGAATATTTTCAACCCTCCCTCCCTGCCACCTGCCATCAAAGAAGTTCTGATCAAGAGGGCTTGGTGGATCCCGGAGGGAGTAACCTAACTGGTAATTGTTGAGCCTCCTCTAAAGGTTATTTTTAACAACCACCATTTAAGAGGCATAATGGTTGTGATTCTTTCACACTTTTTCTCATTTACATTTCAATAATCACAAAAGTCCAGGAGAAATGGACCATGAAATGCTGAAAAGCAATGCATACAATTCTGGGCAAGCTGAACCTGGCAGGGACTGCCCCAGTTTTAATAGTGTGAAGTTAAAATGTAATTTTGCCTTGATTTTGGGTATTAAATTAGTCACGATTTATACAAATGACTATTGTGGGGGAAATATGCAAAGCGAGTGTTCTGCCTCACATAGCTCTTCATCTAGGAGAGCCAGTCCAGTTCTTCACCAAAAAAAGACTCCAAACCACAATCACTCTATTCACTTAGAAGAACTATAATTATTACTGTTGTTGTTGTTATTCATGTACTACACACCGCTGTTAAACTGCCCAAAACACACCGGAATTTCTGAACATAAGTAAGAAATGAGTTCACAACATTCCTGGTTTCATGACAGAGATAAGAAAAGTATGAAAAGACTCTTCTGTTTTCACTTGCATGCAAGAAAAAGCAGCAGTTTACTTTCTTGTAGAAAGAAGGCTTTGATGGTAATACTGTACATGTACCTTTGTCCCTGTTAGTCATAGCTGAGATGGTTCTGAAGTTGTCTCTGGTTGTCACATAATCATTTGTTCTTCCCATTCACATGCTTTCCTCCTCACTCCTCACATTAACATTGAGGTCAGATTTTATGGGAAGCCACCAGGTACTCTGAGGAAACTAAGAAAAGAGGAGGGGATGGTCTATGGGCTGTTAGATGGCAAGGTTAAGTCTGGAAACTCAAGGAGGGAACAAAACAGACCTCATCAGGCACTTCACATTCCCAGAACAGGGAGAGTATTATTAAGAAAATATACTAATGTATATCATTTCCTCCTATGAACCCTGTTCCTGGCAGCCTCCCACCTCCTAGGCTGAGTTCTGAGACCCCCTGTAGGAAAAAAAAGAGCAGATCCCTTCAAGAACAGGTCTTCCACCAACCTTGCATCTTGAAGGCAGCTTTCTCCCAACCACTGCAGGACAACAGCACTGGAGCACAGTGTTTATCAAAATACAAAAGGATATGCTAACATACTAACTACTAAACATGTCAAAATCTTAGCCTGGCAGATCAGATCTTTCAGTTTTCTGTAAGAGAATTCCTTACCTGTAAGGGAAAAGAATGGGAAAATTTGCCCTTTCTAGTTTTGCTGGATTGTGGGAGGCAGATGGGCATCGAAGACTGGAGACACACAAGAAGACACCACTATCTCTGCACAAAGGTTCTATCTCTGCATAAAGGTTCTGGATGCAGAAGTCATGGCAAATAACTTGAAGACAATGCAAAGAGCAACACACCCACACACAAAGAAGGACTTTTGCATCTTTCTTGTTTGGGGATCCACAGCACATGCTGGGTGGCCAAATGGCCAGAGTGAAGGATCTCAGAATAATTTTTTAGAGTCTCCATCCAACCCTATGTAGTATAAACATACTCAAAACATCTTCAGTTTCCTCAGGAGAAATGTAGAAAGTAGTCAGTGGTCCTGGCTGACCAGCTTAGGCAAAGGAAAAGTGTCACTATAGCACAGGTAAAATGCTCCTTATCCAAGGGCACATACAAGCTGAGGCTCAGGTAGGAGTTGCAGCCAGACCTCAGGAAGAGAAATGGACCCAGCAAAAGTTGAAGTAGGACCAAGTAAGGAGCCCTGAGAAAGCTGAGTTCATTTGCTGAAAAATTCACCTTCATATGCCAATGGGTAGCACAGTAACCAGGCAAATAGGGACATTGTGTGACAGGGAGCTGAGGACTCTGCAAGAACTCGTGCAGAGATATGTAAGACTCATCATTCCTCTGTTGCTATAAGATGATGCACACTCTCTGCTCCAACCATATACTGTTGGGGAGTCCATCTGTGTATGTGTTGGAGTCTATTTAGAGCACTGGGGTGAGGAAAGAGGCAATGTCTGAATGACTGAGCATTATTCAAGACAATTTTTATATTATTAGGTCAAACTGGGGTTTCCAAACTGGACTAAATCTTTTCTCTCTACAGCTCAGATGAGGACTGATGAGAAAGATCAGATGAGTTCTGGAAAAAGAGAGAAATAATTATTTTGTTTGAACATCTGAATAAATCTGCATCTCTGATATACTTTTCTTTGAAAATTCCCAGAAGGCAGTTTCTATGTAAATGAAGAGAATGAAGTAAAATTACAAAGTCATTTACTCGCTGTATGCCCTATGGAGAGGATATTTCTTCTCATAACTGAAGTGTGAATCAGTCTTATGTTACCTGCCTCCAGACCCTATTTTCCTGCCTCACTCCATTAGTTAAAATAATCCAAAATCTTTTAAAAATTGTCTTTGGCCACTTTTCTGGTAGGAACTGATACCACAACTCTCATGTTTTGGGCTGATCCTACAAGGCAGGGAGGAAACCTGGTGGAGCTGGTGGGACCATTGTTCCAGGCTCTCAATCTGTGCTGTCCACTGACGGCAGCCCATCTGCAACTTTAGTGCTGAGGGAAGTATTCCTGCTCCCTGCTGCTAGATAACACGGTGAAACTCTACTAAAAATACAAAAAAAAATTAGCCGGGCATGGTGGTGGGCACCTGTAGTCCCAGCTGCTCAGGAGGCTGAGGCAGGAGAATGGCGTGAACCTGGGAGGAGGAGATTGCAGCTAGCCGAGATCGCACCACTGCACTCCAGCCTGGGCAACAGAGCAAGACTCTGTCTCAGGAAAAAACAAAAACAAAAACAAAAAAATACAGAATCCCTGATCCACCCTGGTTACATTACCATGCTGTGCTTTCTTTTTAGATTTCAATCTAAAATTTTATTAAAATTAAAGTTTTAATAAAAATTTTACTCCTTTGGGCAGTTTTTATTTGACCTTGGCTGATTTACAAGGTAAAGGGAATAGACTACATACAGACCAATTTTATCCTCATTTCTGTATATAGTTATTACAAAGTATAGAGGAGTTGACTCATGAAGAAAGCTCACATATTTGGAAAAGTATTGAAGGAAGGCTATGCCTAAGTAATTGCCTGGTTGTTACACTTTTCAGGTCTTCTTGTGTGTGTAAAATTGTTAAAATTTGATATGTCATTTTCTCCTTTTCCTTGTCCCATTAATAAGCAATGAGTTTTCTTTTGAATCAGACGCTATGTGCAATTCAACATCACTATGTTACGTAATTTGAGATTGGTATTCATTTTTCTATTCCTCATTGACTCAAACATTTTTACTGAGCAGTAACTATGTTCTAGGCGTATGGTAGATAGTAGACCTGCAGTGGTCAACAATAACTAATCCCCAACTTTATTTTATTTTATTATTTTTTTTTGAGACAGAGTCTTGCTCTGTTGCCCAGGCTGGAGTGCAGTGGTGCCATCTCAACTCACTGCAAGCTCAGCCTCCCGGGTTCACACCATTCTCCTGCCTCAGCCTTCCGAGTAGCTGAGACTACAGGCGCCTGCCACCACACCCGGCTAATTTTTTGTATTTTTAGCAGAGACGGGGTTTCACCATGTTAGCCAGGATGGTTTCGATCTCCTGACCTCGTGATCTGCTCGCCTCCACCTCCCAAAGTGCTGGTATTACAGGCGTGAGCCACTGCACCCGGCCTAATCCCCAACTTTAAAAGGTTCACAGTTTGTGTAATAAGGAGAATATTCCAGAAACAATCATGAACATCCTGAATATCTCATTACAACTAAATGGTGAGACATTTGTAAGTAATGTACCAGCCTTCATTAAGTACCATCTATGTCCATAAACCAGTAATTTTCATTTTTGAAAACTTGTG
This sequence comes from Homo sapiens, assembly GCF_000001405.40. NCBI lineage: Eukaryota > Metazoa > Chordata > Mammalia > Primates > Hominidae > Homo > Homo sapiens. Next base: position 121,282,545 of record NC_000004.12, read on the forward strand.
CACACTGTTCAGAAGCTAGATCTGAATCCTGCAATAAAACTCAAACTTCTAATTTTATGGATACTAGTGCAAATAATTCTGACTTAATCTATAAAAATTTTAAGATTACATGTAAGAAAAAGTTGTAGGCGCTAGGCATCAAAGAGGGTCAGGGAAGTTCCCCTAACATAGAATTGTCAAAGAAATAATCAAGATGACCATGATGCATGGCAAGAATGATCCATGAAAGTGATATCTACAATATAGTAGGAAGAACTTTGCGGAGCTCATCTTGCAGAAACGTCAATTTGAACAAGTATTTACGCATAACTATACAATCACAAGAGCTGAGGAGTCCAGGTGAGAGATTATAGCACCTGGATGTAGCACAGATGTAAGAAGAGATGCAATAAAGAGGGCAGAATGAACAGTGTCACATTACCCACATCACCCCTTCCCCAAGCTTGCACAGTATTGCATTTATAGAGAAACCCTGTATATGGGAAAAGGCAGTGAGGGTGAAGCACCTGACTTTGCCATAGATCCCAGCACCAGCCAAGTGAAACCAGGCTCCAGTTTGGCCCCCACAGTTCTAGGTTCCCGGCAGGCTCCCTACCCTAGACTTATCCTCTAGGGCTGCCCAACACCAGACTGGGCCCCACAGCTCAGGCTCCAGGCAGGCCCTCCAGATCCAGGTTTCAGGCCAGGATCTGTGGTCCCAGGCTTCTGGTCTACCCCAAAGCCAGGCAGGCCCCAGTAGGCCCAGGCCCAAGGCAAGCCCCTGCAGCCTCATGTTCTAGGTCCACTTAAGGCTTAAGACCTAGCCCCAGTGCCAGGCCAGTCCCCAGAGCCCCAGGCTTCAGGACCACCTCAGCCCCAGGTTAGCACCTGCTGACTCCAGCTTTAGGCTAGTCCTTGTGGCCCTGGGCACCAGGCAAGGACCTGGAGCATGACATTCCAGTGGACCTAGGGTCCAGGCCCACCTCTGTGGACCCAGTTTCCAGGTCTGCCCCAGGGCCCCAGGGCCCCAAGGCTCCAGGTCAGGCCTCACCAGTCTAGCCTCCAGGCCAGCACCCACAGACCCAGCTAGCTTCTAAGCTGGCCCCAACAGAGTAAGTCTCCAGGTATCTTCCCATGGTGCCCCAGACATGAAGCCAGTCCCCTTGAACCCAGGCTCCAGGCCCATCGTATGCCAGGCCAACCAAAGGCTCCATGCCAGTCCTCATGGTTCAAGGTTCCATGCCTACTCCAGTGGACTCAGGGTCCAGGACCACTCCAGCAAACCCTGGTGCTGGACCATCCCCTGTAGACCCAAGCTCCCGGCCAGCCCCTGTGGCTTCAGGCTTTAGACTCATCATGATAGACCAAAACACCAAGCTAATTCCAGTGCCAGGTTGGCCCCTGCGACTCAGGCTCAAGATCTACCTCAGCAGTAGGTCAGCCTCTTTGGACTCAGGCTCCAGGTTTGCCCCTGTGGACACAAATTTTATACCTGTCCCCACAGACCGAGGCCATAGCCATGCCCCTGAAGACCCAGTTGACAGGCTAACCTCAGTGGACCCAAGTACCAGGCCTATACACCCAGTTGACAGGCTCACCTGCTGACCCAGGCACCAGCCAGCTCACAAGAGAATTCCAGACCCCACCATGGACTCCACCAGATAGCCTGCCTAAAACCTCTTGACAGGCTGACTGGTAAAGGGCTTTTCTTATCAAGAATTCAGTCTTTTCCATGTAAAGAATGGAAGAGACCTCTTCAGATGCACAGAAACCAATGCCAAGCCACAAGGATTACAAATAATCAGAGAAACATGACACTAACAACAACAAAATAAAGTGACCCTTAACAAATTGGAAATCTATGAACTGCTTGACAAAAAAAAATTCAAAATAATTATCTTAAAGATCAGTGAGCTAAAAGAGAGCACAGACTGACAATTTTTTAAAAATCAGAAAAGTGATTCATGAACAAAAAGAGGTTTAACAAAGAGAAACCATTAAAATAAAACAAACAAAATTTCTGGAGCTAAAAAACACAATGACAGTAGTGAAAAAAATGTCGTGGAGAGCTTAAGCAGCAGATTGAATCAATCAGAAGAAAGAATCATTGACCTAAATGACAGGTCATTTGGAATTACCCAGTCAGAGGAACAAAAAATGAAAAGAATAAGAAATAGTGAAGAAAGCCATGGAAGTTTTGAGTCACCATCAAGAAAGCCAATGTATGTATTATGAGAGTCACAGAGGAGAAGGCAACAAGGATGACAGCTTACTTTACAAAGTAATGGGTTGCTTCCAAGATGGCCGAATAGGAACAGCTCTGGTCTACAGCTCCCAGCAAGATTAATGCAGAAGATGGGTGATTTCTGCATTTCCAACCGAGATACCTGGTTCATCTCATTGGGACTGGTTGGACAGTGGGTGCAGCCCACTGAGGGTAAGCTGAGGCAGAGTGGGGCATCGCCTCACCTGGGAAGCGCAAGGGTGGGGGATTTCCCTTTCCTAGCCAAGGGAACCCATCAATGACTGTACCTGGAGGAGCAGTACACTCTTGTCCAAATACTGCACTTTTTGCAACCAGCAGACCAGGGTGTGGGTCCCACGCCCACAGAGCCTTGCTCACTGCTAGCACAGCAGTCAGAGATCAACCTGGGATGCTGAAGTTTGGTGGGAGGAGGGGCTTCCACCATTCCTGAGGCTTCAGTAGGCGGTTCTATGCTCACAGTGTAAACAAAACAGGGAAGCTTGAACTTGGTAGAGCCCACTGCAGCTCAGCAAGGCCTACTGCCTCTATAGATTCCACCTCTGGGGGCAAGGCATATCTGAACAAAAGGTAGCAGACAGCTTCTCCAGACTTAAATGTCCCTGCCTGAAAGCTCTGAAGAGAGCAGTGGTTCTCCCAGCACAGAGTTCAAGCTCCAAGAGTGGACAGACTGCCTCCTCAAATGGGTCGCTGACCCCCGTGTAACCTGACTGGGAGACACCTCCCAGTAGGGGCTGACAGACACCTCATATAGGCAGGTGCCCCTCTGGAACGAAGCTTCCAGAGGAAGTATCAGGCAGCAATATTTGCTGTTCTGCAGCCTCCAGTGGTGATACTCTGGCAAACAGGGTCTGGAGTGGACCTCTAGCAAACTCCAACAGACCTGCAGCTGAGGCGCCAGTCTGTTAGAAGGAAAACTAACAAACAAAAAGGAATAGCACCAACATCAACAAAAGGGACCACACCAAACCTCATCCACACCAAACCTCATCCATAGGTCACCAATATCAAAGACCAAAGGTAGATAAAACCACAAAGATTGGGAGAAACCAGAGTGAAAGGCTAAAAATTCCAAAAACCAGAACACCTCTTCTCTTCCAAAGGAACACAACTCCTCCCCAGCAAAGGAAAAAAACTGGATGGAGAATGAGTTTGACAAGTTGACAGAAGTAGGCTTCAGAAGGTCGGTAATAACAAACTTCTCTGAGCTAAAGGAGCATGTTCTAACCCATCGCAAGGAAGCTAAAAACCTTGAAAAAAGGTTAGATGAATGGCTAAGTAGAATAACTTGTGCAGAGAAGAGCTTAAATGACCTGATGGAGCTGAAAACCACAGTATGAGAACTTTGTGAAGTATAAACAAGCTTCAATAGTCAATTCAATCAAGTGGAAGAAAGGATATCAGTGATTGAAGATCAAATTAATGAAATAAAATGAGAAGACAAGAGTAGAGAAAAAAGAGTGAAAAGAAATGAACAAAGCCTCCAAGAAATAAGGGACTATGTGAAAAGACCAAATGTTTGATTTGATTTCAAGTGTACCTGAAAGTGATGGGGAGAATGGAAATAAGTTAGAAAACACTCTTCAGGATATTATCCAGTAGAACTTCCCCAACCTAGCAAAGCAGGCCAACATTCAAATTCAGGAAATACAAAGAACACCACAAAGATACTCCTTGAGAAGAGTAAACCCAAGACACGTAATTGTCAGATTCACCAAGATTGAAATGAAGGAAAAAATGTTAAGGGCAGCCAGAGAGAAAAGTCAGGTTATGCATAAAGGGAAGCCCAACAGTGGATCTCTTGGCAGAAACCCTACAAGCCAGAAGAGAATGGGGGCCAATATTCAACATTCTGGAAGAAAAGAATTTTCAACCCAGATTTTCATGTCCAGCTAAACTAAGATTCATAAGTGAAGGAGAAATAAAATCCTTTACAGAGAAGCAAATGATGAGAGATTTTGTCACCATGAGCCCTGTCTTACAAGAGCTCCTGAAGGAAGCACTAAACATGGAAAGAAACAACAAGTACCAGTCACTGCAAAAACATGTCAAATTGTAAAGACCATCAATGCTATGAAGAAACTGTGTCAATTAACAGGTGAAATAACCAGCTAGCATCATAATGACAGGATCAAATTCACACATAACAATATTAACCTTAAATGTAAGTGGGCTAAATGCCACAATTAAAAGACACAGACTGGCAAATTGGATAAAGAGTCAAGACCCATGAGTGTGCTGTATTCAGGAGACCCATCTCACATGCAGAGACACAAATAGGCTCAAAATAAATGGTTGGAGGAAGATTTGTCAAGCAAATGGAAAGCAATAAAAAGCAGGGGCTGCAATTCTAGTCTCTGATAAAACAGACTTTAAACCAACAAAGATCAAAAGAGACAAAGAAGGCCATTACATAATGGTAAAGGGATCAATGCAACAAGAAGAGCTAATTATCCTAAATATATATGCACCCAATACAGGAGCACCCAGATTCATAAATCAAGTTTTTAGAGACCTACAAAGAGACTTAGACTCCCACACAATAATAATGGGAGACTTTAACACCCCACTGTCAATATTAGATAGATCAGCGAGACAGAAAAGTAACAAGGATATCTAGGACTTGAACTCAGCTCTGGACCTAGTGGACCTAATAGACATCTACAGAACTCTCCACCCCAAATCAACAGAATATACATTCTTCTCAGCACCACATCACACTTATTCTAAAATTGACCACATAATTGGAAGTAAAACACTCCTCAGCAAATGTAAAAGAACAGAAATCACAACGAACAGTCTCTCAGACCACAGTGCAATCAAATTAGGATTCAGGGTTAAGAAACTCACTCAAAACTGCACAACTACATGGAAACTGAACAACTGGCTCCTGAATGACTACTGGGTAAATAACGAAATGAAGGTAGAAATAAAGATGTTCTTTGAAATCGATGAGAACAAAGACACAATGTACCAGAATCTCTGGGACACAATTAAAGCAGTGTGTAGAGGGAAATTTATAGCACTAGATGTCCACAAGAGAAAGCAGGAGAGATCTAAAATCAATACCCTAACATCACAATTAAAAGAACTAGAGAAGCAAGAGCAAACAAATTCAAAAGCTAGCAGAAGACAAGAAATAACTAAGATCAGAGCAGAATTGAAGGAGATAAGAGACACAAAAAAACCCTTCCAAAAATCAATGAATCTAGGAGCTGGTTTTTCGAAAAGATCAACAAAATAGATAGACTGCTAGCAAGACTAATAAAGAAGAAAAGAGGAGAATCAAATAGACGCAATAAAAAATGATAAAGAGGATATCACCACCGATCCCACAGAAATACAAACTATCATCAGAGAATACGATAAACACCTCTATGCAAATAAACTAGAAAATCTAGAAGAAATGGATAAATTCCTGGGCACATACACTCTCCCAAGACTAAACCAGGAGGAAACTGAATCTCTGAATAGGCCAATAACAGGTTCTGAGATTCAGGCAATAATTAACAGCCTACCAACCAAAAAAATTCCAGGACCAGATGGATTCACAGCCAAATTCTACCAGAAGTACAAAGAGGAGCTGGTACCATTCCTTCTGAAACTATTCCAATCAATAGAAAAAGAGGGAATCCTCCCTAACTCATTTTATGAGGCCAGCATCATCCTGATACCAAAGCCTGGCAGAGACACAACAAAAAAGAGAATTTTAGGCCAATATCCCTGATGAACATCAATGTGAAAATCTTCAATAAAATACTGGCAAACCGAATCCAGCAGCACATCAAAAAGCTTATCCACCATGATCAAGTCTGCTTCATCCCTTGGATGCAAGGCTGGTTCAACATATGCAAATCAATAAACGCAATTTATCACATAAACAGAACCAATGTCAAAAACCACATGATTATCTCAATAGATGCAGAAAATGCCTTCGATAAAATTCAACAGACTTTCATGCTACAAACTCTCAATAAACTTGGTATTGATGGAATGTATCTCAAAATGATAAGAGCTATTTATGACACACCCACAGCCAATACCATACTGAATGGGCAAAAACTGGAAGCATTCCATTTGAAAACCAGCACAAGACAAGGATGCCCTCTCTCACCACTCCTATTCAGCATAGTTTTAGAAGTTCTGGCCAGGACAATCAAGCAAGAAAAAGCAATAAAGCATATTCAAATAAGAAGAGAGGAAGTCAAATTGTGTCTATTTGCAGACATAATTGTATAGTTAGAAAACCCCATCATCTCAGCCCCAAATCTCCTTAAGCTGATAAGCAACTTCAGCAAAGTTTCAGAATACAAAATCAGTGTGCAAAAATCACAAGCATTTCTGTGCACCAGTAACAGACAAACAGCCAAATCATGAGTGAACTCCTATTCACAATTGCTACTAAGAGAATAAAATACCTAGGAATACAGCTTACAAGGGATGTGAAGGACCTCTTCAAGGAGAACTACAAACCACTGGTCAACGAAATAAAAGAGGACACAAATGAATGGAAAAACATTCTATGCTCATGGATAGGAAGAATCAATATCGTGAAAATGGCCTTACTACCCAAAGTAATTTACAGGTTCAATGCTATCCCCATCAAGCTACAACTGACTTTCTTCACAGAATTGGAAAAACTACTTTAAACTTCATATGGAATAAAAAAAAAAAAGCCCGCATAGCCAAGACAATCCTGGGCAAGAAGAACAAAGCTAGAGGCATCACGCTACCTGACTACAAGGCTACAGTCACCAAAACACTGTAGTACTGTTACCAAAACGGGTATATAGACCAATGGCACAGAACGGAGGCCACAAAAATAACACCACATATCTATCACCATCTGATCTTTGACAAACCTGAGGCACAGAAGCAATGGGGAAAAAATTCCCTATTTAATAAATGATGTTGGGAAAACTGGCTAGCCATATGCAGAAAACTGAAACTGGGCCCCTTGTTTACACCTTATACAAAAATAAACTCAAGATGGATCAGAGACTTAAACGTAAGACCTAGACCATAAAAATCCTAGAAGAAAACCTGTGCAATACCATTCAGGACATACACATGGGCAAAGACTTCATGTGTAAAACACCAAAAGCAATGGTAACAAAAGCCAGAACCGAGAAATGGGATCTAATTAAACTAAAGAGCATCTGCACAGCAAAAGAAACTATCATCAGAGTGAACAGGCAACCTACAGAATGGGAGAAAATTTTTCCAAACTTTCCATTTGACAAAAGGCTAATATCCAGAATCTACAAAGAACTCTAACAAATTTATAAGAAAAAAGCAAACAATCCCATCAAAAAATGGGCAAAGGATATGAACAGACACTTCTCAAAAGAAGACATTTATGCAGCCAACAGACATATGAAAAAATGCTCATTATCACTGTTCATTAGAGAAATGCAAATCAAAACCACAGTGAGATACCGTCTCACACCAGTTAGAATGGCAATCATTAGAAAGTCAGGAAACAACAGATTCTGGAGACGTTGTGGAAAAATAAGAATGTTTTACACTGTTGGTGGGAGTGTAAATTAGTTCAACCATTGTGGAAGACAGTGTGGTGATTCCTCAAGGATCGAGAACTAGAAATACCATTTGACCCAGCAATCCTATTGCTGGGCATATACCCAAAGGATTATAAATCATTCTATGATAAAGACACATGCACATGTATGTTTATTGTGGCACTATTCACCATAGCAGACTTGGAACCAACCCAAATGTCCATCAATGATAGGCTGGATTAAGAAAATATGGCACATATACACCATGGAATACTATGCAGCCATAAAAAAGAATGAGTTCATGTCCTTTGAAGGGACAGGGATGAAGCTAGAAACCATCATTCTCAGCAAACTATCGCAAGGACAGAAAACCAAACACCACATGTTCTCACTCATAAGTGGGAGTTGAACAATGAGAACACAGGGAGTGGAACATCACACACCTGGGCCTATGAGGGGTGGGGGGCTAGGGGAGGGATAACATTAGGAGAAATACCCAATGTAGGTGATGGGTTGATGGGTGCAGCAAACCACCATGGCACGTGTATACCTATGTAACAAAACTGCACATTCTGCACGTGTAACCGAGAACTTAAAAGTATAATAAAAAAAATAAAAATAAAGTGCAGTTTAAATCCCCCCTCCAAAAAAAAAAGCAAAGTAGTGACAGAAAACTTTCCAAATCTGGAGAGAAAAATGAACATCCAGATTTTTAAAGCCCAAAGAATGCCAAATAGATTAAATATAAAGATATCTCCACTGAGACATATTATAATAATTTCTCAAAAGTTAAAGATGGAGAGAGAATTTTGAAAACAGCAATAGAAAAGCAACTCATCATATACAAGGAAACCTCATAAAACTATCTGTAGATTTCTTAGCAGAAACCATGCAGGCCAGGAGAGAACGGAATGATATTTAGCCAAAATGCTAAAAGAAAAAACTGCCAAGAACATTATACCCTATACGCTGTCCTTTAGAAATGAAGGAGAGATAAGGATGTTCCCAGACAAACAAAAGCTGCAGGAGTATGTCACCATTAGGCCTGACTTACAAGAAGTGATGAAGGGAGTTTTTCAATTAGAAATGAAATAATATTAATTAACAACATAAAACATATGAATGTATAAAATTCACTATAAAGGTAAGAATATCATCAAATTCAGAATACTGTTAAGGAATACTTTAATGGTGGTGCATAAATCACCTTTTCCTCTAGCATAAAAATTAAAAGCCAAAAGTATTAAAAATAACCACAGCTGAAATAATTTTTCAATAAAAATGCTGTATATAAAAGATATAAATTGTGACATCGACGACATAAAATGTTGAAGAAGGAGAAGTTAAAGAATAGAGTTTTTTATGTTGAAGTTAAGTTGTTATCAGCTTAAAACAGACTTCTGTAAGTGTTTAAAATAAGCTTCATGATAACCACAGAGAAAAAACATCTAGTAGATATCCCGCAAAAAGAAAAAGAAATCAGTATACAAGTACAAAAAATTATCAAAGGAAGACATTAAGAGAAGAAGAATGAAGCAAAGGAACTATGAAATAGTTGGAAAACAATTAACCAATTGGCAGTAGTAAGTTCTTACTTAGCAATAATTATTTTAAATGTAAATGGCTTAAATTCCACAAGCAAAAGACATAGAACGACTGAATGAATTAAAAACAAGATCCAGCTACATGCTGCCTACTTACTTTAGCTTTAAGAACACATATAGACTGAAAGTGAAAAAATAAAAAAAAGATATTCTGTGAAAATGGTAACCAAAAAAGAGCAGAGATAACTAAGACAATATAGACTTTAAGTCGAAAATTCCCACAACAGACAAAGGTCAATGTATAATGATAAAGAGGTCAATTCATCAAGAGTCTAAAACAATTGTAAATATGTATGCACCCAATATTAGATCACCTAATATATAAAGCAAATATTAACATAACTGAGAGTAGAAATACATAGCACTATAATAATAGTAAGGGACTTCAATTCCCCCTTTTTAACATTGGACAGATCATCCAGAGAGAAAATCAATAAGGAAATAGTGGACTTGAACAATACCACATACCAAATGTACCTAACAGACATAAACAGAATATATCATCCAACAGCAGCAAAGTACACATTCTTCTCAATTGCACACGAAACATTCTCTGAGACAGATTATATGTTAGGCCACAAAATAAGTGTTAACAAAATTTGAAAAATGGGAATCATATCAAGTATTTTTTCTGACCATGATGGTATGAAACTAGAAATACGTAATGGAGGCCTGGCATGGTGGCTCATGCCTGTAATCCCAGCACTTTGGGAGGCCCAGGTAGGTTGATCACCTGAGGTCAGGATTTCGAGACCAGCCTGCACAACATGGTGAAACCCTGTCTCTACTAAAAATACAAAAAATTAGCCAGGCGTGGTGGCAGGTGCCTGTAATTCCAGCTGCCTGGGAGGCTGAGGCAGGAGAATCGCTTGAACCCGGGAGGCAGAGGTTGCAGTGAGCTGAGATCATGCCACTGCACTCCAGCCTGTGCGACAAGAGCGAAACTCCATCTCAAAATAAAAAAAAAAGGTGGGGGGGAGGAATTGGAAAATTCACAAATATGTGGAAATTAAATAACACATTCCTGTGCAGCCAATGAGTAAAAGAAGAAACCAAAAAGGAAATTTAAAAAATTTAGAGACAAGGCCGGGCACAGTGGCTTATGACTATAATCCCAACTCTTTGGGAGGCCAAGGTGGGTTGATCACCGGAGCTCAGGAGTTCAAGACCAGCTTGGCCAACATGGCAAAACCCGTCTGTACTAAAAATACAAAAATTAGCCAGGCATGGTGGTGCACACCTGTAGTCCCAGCTACTTGTGTGGCTGAGGCATGAGAATCACTTGAACCTGGGAGCAGTAAACCAAGATCAGGCCACTATACTCCAGCCTGGGTGACAGAGCAAGACCTTGTCTCAAAAAAAAAAAAAATTGAGACAAATGAAAATGAAAACACAACATCAAAACTTAGGGACAAACACATTTCTAAGAGGCAAAGTTATAGCAATAAATGCCTACATGGAAAAAAAAATCTCAAATGCACAAAGTTTTCATCAAAGAACTAGAAAAAGAAGAAACTAAGCGTAGTCAGTAAAAGAAAGGAAATAATAAAAATCAGAGCAGAAATAAATAAAATAGAGACTAGAAAAAACAATAGAAAAGATCAATGAAACTAGGACTTAGTTTCTTAACAAGATTGAAAAACCTTCAGCTAGACTAACTTAAAAAAAGAGGGAAGACTCAAGTAAATAAAATTGTAAAGGGAAGAGGAGACATTAAAACTGATACTATAGAGATACAAAAGCATTATAAAAGATTATTAATAATTACATGCCAACACATTGGATAACCTAGAAGAGATGGATAAATTCTTATAAACATTCACACCCTTCCAAGGCTGAAACCTGAAGAAATAGAAATTCTGAACAGATCAATAATGAGTAAGAAGATTGAGTCAGTAATCCAAAACCTCCCAACAGGCTGGGTGTGGTGGCTTATACCTGTAATCCCACACTTTGGGAGGCCGAGGTGGTTGGATCACTTGAGGTCAGGAGTTTGAGACCAGCCTGGCCAACATGGTGAAAACCTGTCTGCACTAAAAATACAAAAATTAGCCAGGCATTTTAGTGGCACATGCCTGTAATCCCAGCTAATCAGGAGACTGAGGCGGGAAAATCGCTTGAACCTGGGAGATGGAGGTTGCAGTAAGTTGAGTTGGCACCACAGCACTCCATCCTGGGCAACAGAGACTTGGTGTCAAAAAAAAAAAAATACAAACAAACAAACAAAAGAAACAACCTCTCAACAAAGAAAATTCCAGGACCTGATGTGTTCACTCGTGAGTTCTACCAAACATTTAAGGAATAACTAATATCAATTCTTCTCTAACTCTTTCTAAAAAAATTGAGAGGGGAACACTTTCAAACTTATTTTATGAGGCTAGCATTTCTCTGATACCCAGCCAGAAAAGCACTACCAAAAAAGAAAATTACAAGTTAATATTCCTGATGAATATAGATGCACAAATCCACAACAAAATACTAGTACACTGAATCTGACTGCACATTAAAAGGATCATACAACATGATCAAGGGAGAGTTATCCCTGGAATGCCAAGATGGCTTAACACATGCAAATAAATAAATGCAATATATCATATTTAAAGGATAAAGAATAATAATTTTATAATCTTCTCAATAAATGCAGAAAAAGTATTTGACAACATTTAACATCTTTTCATGATAGAAACTCTCAATAAATTAGACATAGGAAAAATGTGTCTCAACCTAATAAATGCCATATATAACAAGCCCACAGCTAACGTCAAACTCAGCAGTAAAAATCTGAAAGCTTTTTCTCTAATATCAGAAAGAAGACAAAGATGTCCACTTTCACCACTTCTATTCAGTATAGTACTGTAAGTCTTAGCTACAACAATTAGGTAAGAAAAAGAAAAAAAAAAGGCTGGGTGCAGTGGCTCACACCTGTAATCCCAGCACTTTGGGAGGCTGAGGCGGGCAGATGATGAGATCAGTAGATGGAGACAACCCTGGCTAACACGGTGAAACCCCGTCTTTACTAAAAATACAAAAAATTAGCCGGGTGTGGTGGCACGCACCTGCAGTCCTAGCTACTCGGGAGGCTGAGGCAGGTGAATCACTTGAACCTGGGAGGCGGAGGTTGCAGTGAGCCAAGATTGCGCTACTGCACTCCAGCCTGGGCAACAGAGCGAGACTCCATCTCAAAAAAAAAAAAAGAATAGAAAAGAAAAGACACTCAAATTGGAAAGGAAGAAGTAAAATTGTCTGTTAGCAGGTAACGTGATCTCCTATACGGAAAACCCAGAAGACTCCACCAAAAAAAAAAAACAAAACTGTTAGAGCTAATAAATAAATTCAGCAGTGTTGCAGGATACAAAATCAACATACAAAGGCCTGAGGTCAGGATTTCAAGACCAGCCTGACCAACAAGGTGAAACCCCATCTCTACCAAAAATACAAAAATTAGCCTGGTGTGGTGGCAGGCGCCTGTAGTCCCAGCTACTTGGGAGGCTGAGACAGGAAAATTGCTTGAACCCGGGAGGTGGAGGTTTCAGTGAGCCAAGATCATGCCACTATACTCCAGCCTGGGCGATGGAGAGAGACTCCATCTCAAAAAAAAAAAAAAAAAAAAAAAAAAAAAAAGAATTTCTGTATAATAACAGTAATCTGTCTGAAAAAGAAATCAAGAAAACAATCCCATTAATAGCATCAAAAAGAATAAAATACTTAGAAATAAATTTAACTGAGGAGGTGAAAGGGCTGCACACTGAAAATTATAAAACACTGATGAAACAGATTGAAGGAGACACAAATAAATCGATACTTCCTTTGTTCATAAATTGGAAAAATTAATGTTATTAAAATGTCCATGCTACCCAAAATGATCTACAGATTTAATGCAATCCCTATTGAATTAGAATTAATGACGTTTTCACAGAAACAGAAAAACAATCCTAAAGTTTGTATGGAGCCACAGAAGAACCCTGAATAGCCAAATTAGTCTTAGGGAAAAAAACAAACACCAAACAAAAGCTGCAGCATGACACTGCCTGATTTCAAAATATACAAATTTACTTTTAAAATGCTACAAAGCTATAGTAATCAAAGTAGCGTGGTATTGGCATAGGCCAATGGAACAGAATAGAAGGTCCAGAAATAAATCCATGCATTTAGGGCTAATCGATCTTCAACAAAGGTGCCAAGAAAATACAATGGGAAAGAATAGTCTCTTCAATAAATGGTGTTGGGCAAATTGAATATCCACATGCAGAAGAATGAAATTGGACCCTCATCTCACAATACATATAAAAATCAACTCAAAATGGATAAAAGCCTTAAATATAAGGCCTGAAAATGTAAAACTACTGGATGAAAATATAGGGAAAACCTTTTTGACATTGATCTGGGAAGTGAGTTTTTGTATATTATCCAAAAACCACAGGCAACAAAAGTAAAAATAGAATGTATCAAAATGAAAAACTTCTGCAAACAGCAAAGGGAAAATTAAAAGTGAAGAGACAACCCACAGGTATATGAAAAGCTGCTCAACATTACTAATCGCCAGGGAAATGCAGATTAAAACTACAATGAAATGTCACCTCAAATTTGTTAGAATGGCTATTATGAAAAACACAAAGGATAAATTGTAGTGAGGATGTGGAGAAAAAGGAAACTTCGTACACTGTTGGCAGGAATGTAAATTAGTACAGACATTATTGAGAAAAGTATTGAAGTTTCATAAAAAATATAAATGCAACTACTATATAATCAAGCAATTTCACTTCTGTGTATATATCCAAAGGAAATGAAATCAGTATGTTGAACCAATATCTGTGCTTCTGTGATCATTGCAACATCTTTCACAGCAGTCAAGATGTGGGATCAACCTAAGCATCCCTCAAAAGTTGAACAGGAATGGATGGATAAAGAAAATGGGGAATATGTGTAATGGCATACTATTCAGGCTTAAAGACAAAGGAAATCTTGTCATTTGCAACAACGTGGATGAACTTAGAGGACACTTTGCTAAGTGAAATAAGCAAGGTACAGAAAGGAAAATATTGTCACATATGTGGCATCTAAAAAAGTCCAACTCATAGAAGGACAGAGTAAAATGGTTACCAAGGGCTGGGCATGGGAGCAGGAGGGTGGGGATGGGAGATATAAGCCAATGGTAGAAAGTTTCAGTTAGGATGAATAAGTTCTAGAAATCTATTGTATAGCATGGTACAGCATAGTGAGTATAATTAAATAATAATGTATATTTAAAAATTATTAAGAGAGTAGAGCCATAAAAACATAAGTATGGAAGGTGATGGATTTGTTAATTAGGTTTATTTAATAATTTCACAATGTATACATAGATCAAAACATCACATTGTATACCATAAATATATATATATTTTTTTGTTAATTATGCCTTAATAAAGCTGGGAAACACACATGACCCTTTTGGTGACAAGTGACATGTGTTTGTTGACCTTTTCCTCAATTTTGTTCACCTAATCTCCACTGTTACCTTATCTTTACTTTCTACTTATATATTTTTTTCTATTTCTAATCTTTCATGTAACTCCATTTTCCATATTTAAATATCAGTTTTTTTAATCTACCTCATTATCTCTCATTTCTTAAATCCCAAATTAATTTTTCACCTAAGCACTTCCCCTTCATCCTTCTTCTGCTACCCTGCACTGGGGGTCGGAGAACTGAGTTTTAATCCTAGCTCTGCCACTGTGTAGCTATGCAACAACTTTGGACAACTTACTCACCTCATGAGGTCTCATTTGCCTCATCTGTCAAGTGAGGGGACCTGAATCATTGGTCTCCTACCTCCCTTCTAGTTCTAACATCTCATGGTTCTATGGATTTTACTGGAAAAGTAATGTCCTAAGAGCTTTGCTAATGTTTTTATTGTCACTCTTTCTCTCACCGCTTTGGGCAAGACATACAAACATAGAACTACTTGTGCCTTTGTTACCCTTAATATTTTGGGGTTGTTGGCTCCCTAGATCTGAGAAAGAGAAATAAAGTTTTTTCTAGATATTTCAGAATGTGGAAATATTGCATATTTAAGCCTAGGCACTTTTTACTGTCTACTTACTGCCGTTCTCCCCATATTTTCATCTTTTCAGAAATGCAGGTCCTAACACATGCCAGGAGCCATAGCCATTTCCCACTGCAGCCAGGTTCTCTTACACACCTTTGAATGAAGGACTTACATCTCAAACATTGCCTGAGAGTTTCTTTCAACCCACCTGAGACATTTAAGTTCCTATCTCTGCTTCACTTCCTTCTTGATCTCATAAACCCAAAGTACCACCTACCAAGGCCTGGGCTTCTCTGAAGTTCAATGTTTCCCATTGGATGTATTTGGTATCCAAAGGAGAATCTTTATTTCTGTTTAAAAACTTTTTTTGTATACACGGATGTTGAGTCTGCAAACTCAGGATCTATAGCAGCTCTTCCTGCTGTATTTTTTCTCTACTTCACTTTCAGGCAAAAATTCTCTATACCTTCAGTCTTCTCCTTGGCCCCATAAGACATATTTCCTACCCTGGTGATGATGGAGGCTCAGATGGCCTGAATCTGAGTCCAATATTTGGGAAATGTGAGCTGGGCTCCATCATGGAAACATCTGGCTGAAAGTGAACTCCAGGCAGGCGTAGACATTCTGACACAGTTCTTGAAAAACATGCTCAGCCATGACTCTCCTCTTTTTAATCCTGCTGGTAAATTCATTCATCTACTCTGTAAGGTTTATTATCTATATAATAGATTGTATTCATCCAAATATCAAAGGTCATCCCCTAGCTACATCAAAAGTCATCACCTAACTAGTTTAGATAATAAACTAACCAGTTTAGATAATAAATCATACAATATACCTAGTTTCAGCACTGAATAGGTTTCCTGCACATATGTGGCTAAAATTCAACCTCCTACCTCCATGCTACTACTGTAAAGCGACCCACTTAATTACACTGAAACTAACAAATGATATAATCACTCATGTTTCTAAAGCACATCTAGCCTTGTGATAGAAAGAAAATTAATGAAATGAGCTTTGCTAAATTGTCTTGATTCCTTTAGAAAAAAATAGAACTTCTAACAATACATAATTGGATAAAAATAATAAACTATTCAATTTATGACCATGTGTTCAGAAGAAATTAGAAAGAAGTCTGCCTAAAAAGAATGGAGACGTGACTTGCTGTATTTTCCATCCTCCAAAGCTGCCTTATACACACCCACACACAGACCTGAGCAGGCTGTTAGCGCTTCATGGCTTATGCTCAATGAAGGAGCTGTAGTTTTATTTGCATGATCCACAGTTAACATTTTTCCACATGATGAAAAATGTTAGTAGCCAGTTCCACCTTTGTCAAAAAAGTAAGCCGTTCAGTTAAAAACAAAAATTTTAAACGTTTGTTTCAACAAAGGGTAAATCAAATATTCAGAATACTACAGATTTTGCTTAACTGGTAAAACTGAGTTATTGTGTGCTGGTTACTCATCCTTTGGAAAAAGAAGGCTTTTCAATAATGGCCCATGCTTTATTTATAAAAGGACCCTGGGAGACACCAGTGTTGAGAGAGATGGACATGTATTATGCTGGAAAGCGTACTTGCAACTAACACTGGTAATTACAGTAACAGCTGAAATTGATTGAGTTTCCTGAATGTTTGGCACCACACTAAGCACTTCACGTGCAGCACATCATTTAATTTCAAAGCAGCCCTGCTGCATCCGATGAGCTAGATATTGCAGGATCATATTTGCAGGATCATAATCTACCTGCCAATGATAAATTATAATGATTTTGTCATAAATTTTCCAGTGAAAATTTCTAATGATTCTCTGCTTCAGTGCTGGGAAATATTCACAGGGGTGTGAATTAGTAAATATGAAGAGTATTAATTATTTGTATTAGAAGATAGATGGAGTGTTAATGGGTATGATATATTGTAAGCTCTCCTCAATTAACCCTGAAAGATGATAGCAGAGAGGTTGCTAGTTAAAATTTTTGTAAGTTTAAATCTGATGACTGAAATATGATTCAGAGGAAAATTGTACGTAGTGTTAAGTGAGAATCATATGTCAAGGCAGGGGAGCTAGAATTAAAGAAGGTGGGTGGGTATTACTGGAAATCTTCAGAAAAAGCCCCTACCCAATGTAGGAACAAGTTGGGCCCAACAGGCTGTGACTTTTATATGTTGTTAAACAAGATGTGTCAAATGTATCCATATTTTTCCCATTCCAATTATTTTATATTTTCTGAAGATGACAAACAAATAATTCCTGCAAATCAACTTAAAATTTATTTGTTTATAAATCTTGCTCACTTGTAATTTATATATATATATATACACATATAATACACACACAAACACAAACACACATATATATGTTATCAAAAAGTTAAAGATTTTTCCCTACGTGGTCCAGATATGGCAGAAAGAGAAAATTGTGATTCGATCTCTCCATGGGTCCACAATGTGGTAAAAATTAGTAAAGAGGGTCAGAAGACTACCACCACCAGTCATTTGAAGGAACAGACCCCCAGTTTTTGCCACATTGGATTGACCTCAATCTGCAGTGGGGTAAAAAGCCCATCTAGGTTCACACTGACAAATGACCAATGCCGTCTGATGGCTCAGAAATATTGATATAAAAAATTGATCCTTTCTTCCTCAGAGCACAAAAAGCAGCATTCATATGGCATTTGATTTGATGAAGGGATAAGAGGAGAATCAAAAGAATCAACTGTCAACATAGACCAGAAAGGGAAGGCATCTCTACTTTTGGCAGATTCCTAATTAAACAGTAGCCAGATATAAGGATAAGACCCTCAGCCTAGCCTGAGGGTCTGACACCTGGGATGCAAAGTGATACTCTAAGCTACTGCTTTTCCACATTAAATATGCCAACTCACAATTGAGTGGCTAAATATTTTGAGTTACACCTCTAGTTGAAAGAATCCAGGGGACAATTTCTACTCTGAAATTCCCAAAATTTTCTCTATTGTCTACTTATTTGTGGAACCCAAAGATGGCAATAGGCTCATTTCCACACCAAAGCAAAAGCAGCTGGCTGTATAGTCCTCTTATTCCCCTATACCTTTGGTTCTCTAGGTTCAAGTGGACAAGACAGGAAGGAGGAAATAATGTAATAAAGTCACTGAGAAAAGCAGAGGCCCCAGTTCATTTTTACTTTAGTAAGTTCATTTTTACTTGACTAAGTTCTAGGTAAACATCAGTTAAGGAGAAAAACTAGAGAAATTTTAATAGTAGATTAAATTTCTATTCAAATTTAATTAGAAAATATTTTTACTATTTTACACATGAGAAATCTGAAGCTTATAAGAAAATTAATTTGACTTTACTGTCTACTTACTGCCATTCTCCCACATATTTTCATCTTTTCAGAAATGTAGGTCCTAACACATGCCAGGAGCCATAGCCATTTCCCACCACAGCCAGGCTCTCTTACACATCCTCGAATGAAGGACTTAAAACTCAAACACGGCCTGAGAGTTTCTTTCATCTCAGGTCTGTACTTATTCTAAAGTGCATCCTCCTAACCACCCAGGTTTTTCACTCCTTTAGGACGTATTCACCACCTCAGCCTAGGTGGTGATTTCACAGGGAAAACATGGTGAATCACTTTTTCACTGCCTCATTGACATAATGAGGATAATATACATATGAAGATTATATATATACATATGCCATTTACTACTTAAAGGCTGGGACTTGACAAGTCCTTTTCTTGAACACAAAGACTAATATCACAAAGGGCATCTTTTTTTTCAGTACCTGGTTTCTAGTTGCTAATAATCTATCAGGCTCATAATATAAAATAAATTTATGTTATTTTATGTGCCCTAAAAGGGCTATAAAGTACAAATAAACCTTGAGCTATCTTTCCTGGAAGTTCAGAAGAATACTGTGAGAGCATAGTAACACGAGTAGAAGAAAGAATGCCTGTACAATGAAGACATATTCCTTTATGGATCATTCCTGAGAGTAAAGGTTTCATAAAATTTGTTGGGAAACAAAGAAAATAGGTCATTTAAAAAATGTATGAGGCTGGTTTAAAATAAGCCAAATGATTGCATTCTCTTGATTATCCCAGATTTATCTCTTTCTTTCCTAGAATTAAGTGGGTCTGAAATAATGTTTGATTGATGTTTTTCTGGTACAAAACACGTATAACCTATTTGCTTATTAGGAGGAAATTCAGTTCACCATTGAACAAACCATTCTGGTATTAGTCTATAAATAAATAAATTATATTTGTGTAGCTCCTGTGGCTATGAAATAGTTAAATAATAAAAAGTAACAATATTTGGAACATGGGAAATGGGACTGATGAATTGAGGAAAAACATACATTCTCTATGATCTATTATTTTTGACAGAAAGAGAGAATCTTTTTCATTTTGGAAAAAATCTGGAAGATTTTCTTTCCAGACTTTTTGAGAGCATACAGTAAATACTTTTTTGCCAATAACAATGATAATGTCACAGAGAGAAAGAGTGACATGGATAAAGATGCTCCTAAGTAATAAGCTGCAATCAGCATTTTGCAGAATATGTTAAACAGCACAATTCTTGGATACCTGCATTTCATGTGTCCATGTAGTAGGAGCCAGAACACAGAAGTGCAATTTCTTAAGATGTTATTTTTAAAATGTGAATTTTCAGTAACTTACAAAGAAAGGGAACTTTGGATTATCTGTAACTGGTATTAAAAACTGTTACCAAAAAAGTTAGCCTTCCAACACAAACCTCATAATAAATAAATGGTATAGAACACAGAAGATATCCTGAAATACTATAAGAACCCAAAATAAAGTGGTGGATCCATAGATTTCATAAGAACTAAATGGTGTAGAAAATGGAAGAGAATGCAAAACACTTCAAAAGCCAAAATAAAATGATGGATACAAAGTGGACATGAAATAAAGTAGACAAGAGAAATAGGCTTAGTTATGATCCAGATTAAGCTGAAGTTAGCAGACGAGACTTTAAAATAACCATGATTAGTAAGTTAAAGAAAGTAGACCGAAATATGCACAACATTGAAGAAAAAAATGGAGGGTTACAATAGAGGATTTATAAATAAAGAATTTATTTTAAGAGCTCAAACAAACATTGTTGTGATAGTTAATTTTGTGTGTCAACTGGAAAGGAGAGCTCAGGTTAAACATTATTTCTGGGTGTGTCTGCGAAGATGTTTCCAAATGAGATTAGCATTGAATAAATGGACTCAGTAAGTAGACTCCCTGCCCAGTGTTGTTGGGCATCATCCAATCTATTGAGAGTCTGAATAGAAAAAAAAGGCAAAGGAAGGAGAATTTGTCCCTTTTACTTCCTGCCTCCCTGCTTAGCTGGGACATCTCATCTCATCTTCCCAGCTTTAGGATTAGGATTCATACCCAGCTTCCATGGCTCTCCAGCCTTGGGACCCAGACTGAATCACTGGCTTTCTTGGGTCTCCAGCTTGCAGACAGTAGATTATGAAATTTCTCATCCTCCATAATTGTGTGAGCCAATTCCTCATTATATATATTAATAATTATATATTATATAACATAGATTATATATGTGTGTAATATATAATATATATGTATATACATATATATTTTTTCTCTGTCTCCCTCTGGATTACCTTGAATACAATTCTAGAAGTGCAAAATACACAGTCTGAAATTAAGAACTCTTTTGATGGGTTTAACAGTAGACTGAACATAGGAGAAGATAGGATTTACAGACTCAAGTCAATAGAAAATATGCAAGAAGCACAGATAGAAAAAAGAATAGAAAGAACAAAACAAAACAGATAAGAAACGTGGAACAGGATTTAAAAAGTCTAACATGCATATAGCTAGAATCCCAAGGAGAGAAAAGAGAGATAAAAAAAGTTGAAGAAACAATAGTCAATAGCTTTCAAATCTCATAAAAAGAAACCCCACAAATTCAGTGAGCCCCAAGCAAGATAAATACAAAGAAAACTTCAGCTTTATTCTAAAAAGAAATAATAAGAGAAGATCTTTAAAAGAAAAAGATCATATTGCTTCTGGAGAAATATCAGGAAGAAATCCACTGACCAGAACTGTGCTAGAAGACATCATTAAAGAACTAAAAGAGAAAAAACAAACCTGCCAATTTAGAATTCTATACAGAATGAAAGTATCCTTCAAAAAAAAAGGCAAAGAAATAGACATTTCCATATAACCAAAGCTGAGAGAACTGTCACTAGTAGATCTTCAATACAAGAACTACTGAAGAATGTTCTTCATGTCAAAGTATAATGGTCCCAGATGGAAGAACAGAAGTACAGAACAGAAGTATAACACAGAAGTCCAAGAAAAGTTTATAACTTATGTAGGAGTAAAACAATGTGACAATAGCAGCAAAAAAGGATAGGAATGGTTAACTATTATAAGTTAAAGCACTGCAAGGAGCTTGACTATTGTGAACAGTGCTGCAATAAACAAGTGAGTGCAGATATCCCTTTGGTATACTGATTTGTCTTCCTTTGGATAAATACCCAGTACTGGGACTGACAGATCATATGGTAGTTCTATTTCCAGTTTTTTGAGAACTCTCCACACTGTTCTCCATAATGGCTGTACTAACTTACATTTCCATCAACACTGTATAAGAGTTCCCTTTACTGTGTATCCTTGCCAGTATCTGTTATTTTACAGATATCTGTTATATCTGCTCATTGCAGTGTTCGAGATATGGCAAAAGGAGACAAAATTATGGTTGCATTTTGTGATTTCTAGGGTAACCTCTAAAATGACACAAAAACATACAATAAAAAAGCTGATAGATGAGATAAAATTCAATAATAAAATGTAATTGATTAATGCAAAATAAGTAGGTATCTTAAGTCAGTAAAGAGTAAAAGGATTGTATAACTTTGACCTTTTTTAAAATACAAAGTTGACTTACAAAGTTGAGCTATTTGAACTAAGAGTGTCTACTTTGGGTTTTTCATGTTGTTTTAATATACTGTTAGAAACGACACTTACCTTAGTGCAGTTTCCATTTCACTTCCCACTGCATACTGGTAAGTCCACAACTTGGGACTATTGCTCTGTGTAAGTCAATTTGAATTGTACATTGGCATGCACTAGATTCTATCACCTTCTCAGTTCACTTGACACTTTATCTAGTTAAAAATTTACAAAACTAACAAACATAAGATAAGTATGCAGCATGTCCAACAGCCAAAGAGGCCAGAGGTCAGGCCAGCTCAAAGTATTTTTCACCAAAAGTATATCCTGTTCCTCTACCAGATATCATCAGAAGATAAGAATTATTCTACTCTTAAGATGTGAAAAAGAACTTGAGAGAGAAAGCAATTTTGTTTTTTTAGAAGGCAGTAAAGCAATCTAGATTCCAGGGTTTTAAAATACAAATCTCCAATTCTCACCCTAGGTCCATCCTTTTATTCATTTCCAATTTTGTAAATGCAGTGATTTTAATATACAAGGAACTCAAACAACTCAACAGTAAAAAAAAATAATCCCTTTAAAAAGTGGGCAAAATACATAAATAGACATTATTCACAAGAAGAAATATAAATGGCCATCAGACATATGAAAAAATTCTCAACATCACTAATCATCAGGGAAATACTAATCAAAACTACCATGAGATATCTTACCTCAGAATGGCTGGTATAAAAAGACAAAAATTAACAGATACTGGCAAGGATACAGAGTAAAGGGAACTCCTATATAGTGTTGATGGGAATGTAGGTTAGTAGAGCCATTATGGAGAACAGTGTGGAGAGTTTTCAAAATACTAAAAATAGAACTACCATATGATCTGGCAATCCCACTCCTGGGTATTTATCCAAAGGAAGAGAAATCAGTATACCAAAGGTATATCTGCACTCACATATTTATGGCAGCACTGTTCCCAGTAGTAAAGATATGGAATCAGCCTAAGCGTCCATCAGAGGACAAATGGATAAAGCAAATGTGGTATATATACACAATAGAATAATATTCTGCCATAAAAATAATGTAATCATGTCATTTGCAGCAACATGGATGGAACTGGAGGTCATTACATTAAGTAAACTAAGCCAGGAACAGAAAGACAAACAATGCATGTTCTCATTCATATGTGGGAACTAAAAAAGTTGATCTCTTGGAAGTAGAGAGTAGAATGGTAGACACCAGAGACTGGGAAGGGTGTGTGGGTAGGAGGGGCATATGAAGAGAGGTTGGTTAATGGGCACAAATATTAGATATAAGATATAAATTCCTCTTTTTTTTTTTTTGAGACGGAGTCTCGCTCTGTTGCCCAGGCTGGAGTGCAGTGGCGTGATCTAGGCTCACTGCAAGCTCCGCCTCCCGGGTTTACTTACGCCATTCTCTTGCCTCAGCCTCCCAAGTAGCTGGGACTACAGGCGCCTGCCACCACGCCCAGCTAATTTTTTTGTATTTTTAGTAGAGATGGGTTTTCACCGTGTTAGCCAGGATGGTCTTGATCTCCTGACCTCGTGATCCGCCCACCTCGGCCTCCCAAAGTGCTGGGATTACAAGCGTGAGCCACCATGCCCGGCCATAAGATATAAATTCTAAAGTTCCATAACAGAGTAGGGTGACTACAGTAAGCAACAATGTATTTTATATTTCAAAGTAGTTAGAAGAAAGGACCTAAAATATTCCCGACCCATAGAAATGATAAATACTCAAGGTGATGAATACCTCAAATATCCTGACTTGATCATTCTGTGTCTTACCCATGTAACAAATACTCACCTCTATCACATAAATAGGTAAAATATTATGTAGCAATTTAAAAAATTGTATCACAAGTCTTGAGAGTGTAGCCACTCTCAGGTTCTTTCCGGTTTTTGGCATCTTATTCCTTCTCTACGAACCAGGCTTCCAAAACTTATCCAGTTCTTGGAGAAGTTTATAGAGCAATTAGGAATATAGCATCTCAAGTATTGCCACAGACCTAACTGCATCATCATCTCTGTGGATGGGGCTCAGGAAGTCTTTAAGATACAGAAACCGCTCTTTCAGGCTATTTTTTAAAGGTACAAAACAAAAACCCTCTAGGTACTGAAAATGTCCTCTTCCTATAAAAACTATATGCTTTGAATCTCATAGCAGATCATAGTGCTATGACATTTCCTAAATAGAATTGGCCCACAGAGTTGTGGTTGGGTGAATCTCTATCAAGCATGTCTATTGGCAGGGCTGTTTATCAGTAGGAGTATGCTGTTAATGCAATTGCCTGTGTTCACAGATAGGTGAGTCAAATTAATTTCTGAATTGATGAGGTTTTCTAGGCATTTTTATTATTCCTCCACATATTTTTCAAATTTGCTGGAGGATCTCAAAAAGACATGGATGGAAAGAAATGGAAAACAGCCAATGATCTTCTTCTTCAGTTACATTGTCTGTTTTCTGAGTAAGTTAATGAGTCTCAGAATTTATCTTTATTTGTGCATTATTCCTCACATTCATATTCACTTTAATTTGTCTTCCAAAAGAATAGTTTTAGAAAAATGATTTATTGCACAAAACAAAAGTCAGAAAGAGACACAAACAAAGTTTTATTACCAAGGTAAGAGAGGGTATCTGGGCAAGAGGAAGTAAAACCATGAGTCTGCATGAAATGAAAAACACCTCCCTTATTCTCATGACTTCATCTTTCAGGCAGCTCCTCTAGTCCACCTTCCCACAGGCTAAGACAGGCTCTTGAACAGGTTGTCACGTTTTTACACAAGCCCAGGTGAACCCCAAAAGGAGCAAAACGAGATATAAACCGGGCTGTCAGGAACATCCACTAAACTTTAAAGCTCTGTACCTTTTGTCTTGGGGCCAAACCAACCTTGTGGCTTGCAAATTCCAAGCATCTTTTAATCTTTGCTTTCCAGACGTTAGAGGCAACTCACCAACATCTAACAACAAACCAAACTTGAAAATACTTAGCTCTGACCCAACCATGTGCCAGAGTTCCAGATGTCTTTAAAATTAACCTGTTCTCTGAGTCCTCTTAAAGGTCAGTTTCTTTTGCTACCAACTTGCCACTGTGCAGCAATAGCGCCATCTACAGAGCAATGTTAGGAAAAAGGACACCTGGTTAGGTGGAGGTCAAATTTGGGAGAAGGGAGTGGAATAATACATATATTTTTTGAAGTATAGCCCTTTACAGTCTATTTTCCAAATGCATTTGGTAGAATAATAATGTCATCTTTACATTTAAAGAGCAGCTTGGTATTTTTCACTTCCAAGAGTTTGTTTGAAAATGTGAAAAAGAAGAGATATAACAATAAACTAGAGAGGATAACAAATTTGGAATTAACAAATCACAATTTATGTAGCACATGGGTCATGGTAAGCTATATAGGGTCCTAAGGCCAGCAATTATGGTGGTAGCTCCTTGATGCCTTATCTTCCAGATTGTGGCAGAGGAAGTGGCTTCTTATCAGGGCAGTTACATCTCATGAGGGTAATTCCTGCAAATTCAGCCCGGAGCCTACTTCTCCAGCCCTTTTAAAAATCTGATGAGTCACCCCAAAACTGCTAATTAACCTCTTTTTACATGAACTGACTAGAGGATATTTTGTTGCCTTCAACCTAACCCTGACTCTATATGATGACATATTAATGAAATAGATTACTAATGGAATTGAGGCATGAGTCAAGGGGGCCTCTGCTACAGCTGCCACAGAAAACCAAATGCCTCCTTGGGCCCACTTTCCTTCAGAGGCAGCACAAGCAGCAGAAGATGGGCCTCCTCCTCTGTAAGTTTCATTTATGTTCTTAAAAGATTAAAAAAGTGACAGCTAACCTGTATTAGAACATAGGTGTGATGAGTGTGCCTCCTAGATCTCAAGCCAGTGCTAGGTCCTTGTGGTGGACCAGATCTCTTAAGGCATCTGGGAAATGTTGTCTTTAGCTTCCAGTCTGGCTGTCTTAGTGGTAGAGAGCCAGACTTCAGTACTGGCCTCACATGCTTTCAGCCTAAAAGTTCTTTCTGTAATTCACTAAACTCTCCTTTCATTTCAGAGGCAGTTGGTTTAGCAAGCGTAGCTGGTAGTGTACAGCAAGGGTCCCCAACCCCCGGGCTGGGGACCAGTACCTGTCTGTGGCCTGTTAGGAACCGAGCTGCACAGCAGGAGGTAAGCAGTGGGCAAGCGAGCATTATCGCCTGAGCTCTACCTCCTGCCAGATCTGCTGTCTGCTGCAGCATTAGATTCTCATAGGAGCACGAACTCTATTGTGAACTGTGCATGCTAGGGACCTAGGATGCGTGCTTCTTATGAGAATCCAACTAATACCTGATGATTTGAGATGGAACAGTGTCATCCCAAAACCATCCTCCACACCCTACCACCACCTGATCATCAATGGAAAAATTGTCTTCCGAGAAACCAGTCCCTGGTGCCAAAAATGTTGGGAACCACTGGCATACAGGGTTTTCCAAACTTCAGTCATTCTTATATCACAGTCAAGGCTAATATTTATAAGATGTTCAACTGCCACTGCTGATCATCCAGGGGCATGGGAAGAGGGCAGGCCTTAGAGACAGGTCTGACTTTAGATGCTGCACCTCTATTATCCTCACTAAGTTTCAGCCTCCACCTCTGCAAATTAAGAATAAAATTGCCTCTCCAGTCAGCCGGTGACTCTGAAAATAATAAAATGGTAGGTATTTTCTCATTTTTCAAAGGTTCTAATATAGTCATTGGCTGCTCTGGAAGTTCAAAGATGATCAACTTTTGAGGCATTTAAATATATGCTATTTGATAATTATTTTCAATGGTATATAATGTGTGAAAATATGGGATGTAGTTTATATAATAAAGCCAACATTGGCATCAGTATAAAAAAATGCTAAAACTCCTTTCATTCTTTCAGTTCTATGCTTATAATTTGTACACTTTTCTCTATGTATGTTATACTCCCATAAAAAGTTTGCAGTAAAAAATGCAAACTGCAAAGAGATTTTATTAAGATAAACCTGGGACACAATGAGGTGGATTAAGATAGAGACAAATATATTCCAGAAAAGAATGGGCAATGAATGTAGAGTAGGTATTCAGGTAGAATGAAGAGAACAAGTAAAAGATTTATATAGTTGTGTTCTGGGAGTCTCAGCACAGAGTATTTTTTTTAAACCCAAGAGCTTTTTATTTTACGCCATAATACAAATGGATTTAAGTCAAAACAGAAAAATGTGCAATTGTTGGAAATTACCCTTCAGTAAGGTTTCTCAGTTGGCTATTTAACCTAGTGATTTGTGTAAAGATTATAGTTTTTTTCCCCTTCGTCGTATAGTGTATTTCTTTTCTTTTTGTCTTCAAGTAAGTATTTATTTTTATAATATAATATCATCATAGTTACAGACATTTTAAATGTAGGTGTTCTTTCAAATGCTTGGAAAACATAAGTACTTTTTATCTCAGAAATATGTAGTGATAGTGTAGAGAGGGGGTTGAACTGATTTTTAAGTCGAAGATCAAAACATGCAAATACTAGCAGTCATATCACATGAGTTGTATGAAGAAGAAAATAATAGAAAGTCTCTAAAACCATAAAAGCTGAAAGAAATAAGAAACATATTTTAAATGTCTCAGAGTCAGATGTTTTCATCTAATATAAAGACACATGCACACGTATGTTTATTGCGGCACTATTCACAATAGCAAAGACTTGGAACCAACCCAAATGTCCAACAATGATAGACTGGATTAAGAAAATGTGGCACATATACACCATGGAATACTATGCAGCCATAAAAAATGATGAGTTCATATCCTTTGTAGGGACATGGATGAAATTGGAAACCATCATTCTCAGTAAACTATCGCAAGAACAAAAAACCAAACACCGCATATTCTCACTCATAGGTGGGAATTGAACAATGAGATCACATGGACACAGGAAGGGGAATATCACACTCTGGGGACTGTGGTGGGGTCGGGGGAGGGGGGAGGGATAGCATTGGGAGATATACCTAATGCTAGATGACACATTAGTGGGTGCAGCACACCAGCATGGCACATGTATACATATGTAACTAACCTGCACAATGTGCACATGTACCCTAAAACTTAGAGTATAATAAAAAAAAAATCATTTATTAAAACAAAGTTTTTATATTTTTATAATAGTGTTTCACTTGATAAATATTTTTGAATAAATGAATGAGGAAATTAAAGAACAAAAAAAAAAAAAAAAAGAAAATTACTCTCAAAGTTCGTTTACATTTCTAAGTGGCTCAAGTCATAGTGACTAAAATAAATTCTAATTTTAAAATTAGTAAATCTGAGTGTGCCCCAGCAGTATTGTCTTGAAATGAATAAAACTAGGGCAGGTAAAAACCTGGATTCTGCCGGTAAAGACAGTCATGGAGGCCGGGCACATGCTCATGCCTGTAATCTCAGCACTTTGGGAGACCTAGGCGGGCGGATCACTTGAGGTCAGAAGTTCAAGACCAGCCTGACCAACATGGTGAAACCCCATCTCTACTGAAAATGCAAAAATTAGCTGAGTGTGGTGGCGGGTGCCTGCAATCCCAGCTACTTGGGAGACTGAGGCAGGAGAATCGCTTGAAATCGGAGGTGGAGGTTGCAGTGAGCTGAGATTGCCCTACTGCACTCCGGCCCAGGCAGCAGACTGAGATTCATCTAAAAAAAAAAAAAAAAAAAAAAAAAAAAAGACAGTCATGGAAAGCATTTGGCTTTTCCATGACAGCTGTAGCAGAGGTCCCAGGGATGGCTTCCTCATTCTCTAGTGTTGAACAGTGGAACATGGGATATCCATTCTCCTGGCATGGATCATGGCAGAAGTGATCTGGTCCTGGAGCCAGCAGTGGGGATTGGCTCTCAATTTCCTACCCATCAATGTTTGATACTAACTAGCTGGAATAATGTTTTTAAAAGTCTGTTTTGCTTGAAAACACTGGGCAAGGGTATATGTGTCCTGTTGGAGCAAACTGAATCCTAACTAATGCAGGATGATAGAGGAAAAAGTGTTTGAGGAAGAATTGTATCCCATTTTCAGAGCTTGAATATAAAATCAACAATCATGTGCTTTGAATGTCTGAGTAGACTCTTGCCTATTGCTGAGAAACTGAAGAAAATATTACTGCATTTAGTTTTATATGTCTATATAGTAGAATGGCCATTACTCTGAATTTGCAGAGATAAATAAATAAACAAAGCATAATGAGGGAATACTATAAACAATTGTATATAGCATACAACAAATCAGATGACTTAGATGGAATTAACAAATTCCTAGAAAGACACAAACTACTGAAACTAGCTCAAGAAGAAATAAAAATTCTGAATAGATATATAATTATTGAATAAACTGAATTAGTAATCAAAAAAGTTCCACAAAAAAAAAGCTCAGGCCCAGATGGCATCATGGGTGAATACTACTAAATAATGCAATTTATGAGGCCAGTATTACTCTCGCATCAAAACCAGACAAAAATATCACAAAAAAGGAAACTACAGACCAATATTCCTTATGAATACAGATGCAAACATCTTCAACACAATACTAGAAAACTGAATCCAGCAGCATACAAGGATTGTATAACAAGACCAAGTGGGATTTATCCCAGGAATGCAAAATTTGTACAACACATGAAACTTAACCAATGTAATACATATTAATTAAATAAAGGACAAAAAACACACGAACATCTCAATAGATATTATAGAAATATAAGGGAATGTATCCAATTTGATAAAAGACATTTATGAAAAACCCACAGCAAATATGACACTTAGTGATAAAAGACTGAAAAGCTTTCCTCCAAGGTCAAAAACAAGACAAGTTGTTCATTTTTACCACTTCTATTCAACATTGTGCTAGAGGTCTAGCCAGGGCAATTAGGCAAGAAAAATAAGTAAAAGCCGTCCAGATTGGAAAGGAAGAAGTAAAACTATCCACAGATGGCATGATATTATATATAGGAAGTTCTAAAGAATTCTTAAAAATCTACAAAAATGTAGCCCAACTTTCAATTCTTTTAGTCAAAAGAAAGTTTGTAATTTGTGTCTTTTATCTTTATATAATTGTGTGTCTAACTTGTCTTTTAAAAAATTTTTGATGTTCCTGGGAAAATCTAGTTCTAATTAAGAAGACATTTAATTAAACCTATACAAGGTATAAATTTTCATAACAGCAAGATATAAATAAATAGATATTGGCAGTAGGAGTAATGAGTGATTCCATGTTTAAAAACTTCCCACCAGCCTAGCACGATAGGCACTTGATGGTTAGATTTACTTTTATTAATTTTTAAATTAAATTAAAGTCAAATAAAGTAATATAGTATGCTTTACTTTTTTAAGTTTTAGGTTTTAAACATTTAACCACCACCATCTTATTGAGCCTTTATATTATAACCTCATTCTATACAGAAAAAATATAAGATTCAAATAGATGAAGTGACTTGCCCTAGCCAATTCAGCAAACAAGCGGCAGAGGTGGGAACATGAACTGAGGACATGACCTTAGCCAGTGTTATATCCACTACTCCATGAATGACTAACCAAACAGGGAACGGGAGGGGCACAGGGAAAGTATTCCAGGCCATTGTGAACATCCCTCCACCCAGATTAGCAAGTTCTACCTTCTTGGAATAAGTGCCCAAGTAATTATCATCCCTGGATAAAGCCTTGGTGATAACCAGTTAATTAATCAGGGCTTCTTCATTGTTCAGTGCTTCCCACACTCCATGTTGGACAATAGTGTTCATACCAGATTAGCAAGTTCCGCCTTCTTGAAATAAGTGCCCAAATAATTATCATCCCTGGATAAAGCCTTGGTGATAACCAGTTAATTAATCAGGGCTTCTTCATTGTTCAGTGCTTCCCACACTCCATGTTGGACAATAGTGTTCATACTCTAACCCAGACCTTTTGTTAATCTTCTATTCCATTTTCCCACTCTCACTATTACAAATGTTTCATTAATGGAGGCCTTCCATCCGAATTTGCAAGAATTTCATGATAAAGAGATATAAAATGTTAGACAAGTTGAGAACTTATTATAAAGCTCTCAAAAGCAATGATTCAAGATCACAGTTTATATATATGTACAATCTTGTTTTCCTACACAACGTTCTTTAACAAAGCTTTAGTAAGTATTGCGTGGACTTTAGAGCTGCTGTATTTCCACTGAGCTATATGACTCACATTATTTATAAATACAGAATAAGGATAGACTCAGTGACCCTTGTGGAAAAAATTAGGATACATGTCAATTTAAGTCAACAAATGTTGTACCACTATGTTGTACAAAGCACTGTGCTTTTTTGTATCTCTGTCTCACACAGGTGTATATGAATAAACTTATACTCTTTTCCTTCAAAGATTAGTTGTCAAGATTAGACATAAATGCAACTAACTCAATATTGAGCATAAAATAATTAAATAGCATTTTCCTAAGCCATTTGGTAAAGAAAATATTTAATGCTTTTACCAATATAGTCAGTTGGCTTTTTGGGATCTCTTGGGAATTTCAGTGCTCCTGTAGTGAACCTTGATCTAGGACCAGCTTGCTTTTTCTCCCTCCTGTGCCTCCCTTTGTCAGCAGAAGCCTTACTGTTGTCACCAGTTGACAGTATTCATAAGATGGCTGCATCAGTACTTACCTAGAGTCCAGAAGGAAGGTGAAAACTTTTGTATCCCAAAGGTGGCAAAAACATCCTGAGACTAATTTTCATTGGTCAGAATTGGGCCATGTATTTAACCTTAGACTAATCACTATGGCTTACACTAATCATGGAAGATTCCTGGAGCTGGGAGCAGGGACACTTCTAGTCAAACACTATGGTCTAAGTTGGGGAAGGGGTGATATTCAGAAGGAAATTTTTTACCGTAAAAAGGATAGACATTATCAGTATGTAACAAAATAACAAACCACAATTGCCCACTACAGACCTTTAATGCCTTTTAATTATTGCTGAAAGGCATTAAAGGTCTGATATCTACAGAAAAGCTTGCAGAAATAGTGCAGTCAGATAAGAGAAATGAACTGTAGCATATCCAATAGCCTTCAGTGGTCCAGGTGGCAGTGTTAAGACAAGGTATTAAAATATAGAACTCAATATTTAGAATAAAAAAGATAAAACAAAGCCCAAGACCTACTAAAAAGGGCCTCAGAATCAGAATAGGAAGCTTCAGTGGACAAGACAATGAACCAGCAGCAACAATGCACAGCACAGAATCTTGTTTCTTTACCCACAGTGGATAAGGTTACCATCGACAAATGAAAATATGATGAATTTCTAAAAAATGCTACCACATATACTCATATATTCATATATTTATGGTTATTCAGATTCTGGTATCCAGAGTAGGCAACATAAAGGTCAGTAGCCCATCCACCACTCATTTTAACAGAAATCTGTCTGTATATACACATGCTGTAGGAGGACACAAAAACTATCAAGGTCTAAGACAACAACAGAAGACAGAGCAGGACTAATCAGTAAAAAGAGCCTTAGGACTTTGGTGAGAAGTCAATTCAGGCCAAGCTCTTCAGGAAGAAATGCAGGCAATATTGTTGTGTCCTTCACATAGGAATATGACGTAGGAAACATAAAAATATGTATTTTTACTTGCTTTTTTCTCTCCAATAAATAGTAACATCTTGAAGTGATTCAGCTATATATTTTTACCCTACCCCTCTTTTGACATAGTCATGTATTTATGAAAGATGTACTGAGGACAAGGATGCTATCTATAGCCATGGAAACACAAAGCTTTAATCAGTTCTTGAGCAATCTTAGGATCTAACATTTCTCCTCCTGTATTTTGAAAGCCCCAGTGAGTTTACATTCTCAGAGGACCTTATTACCAGCAAGGCCCGGAGTCCCAAGAGTAAAAAACATCTTCCTCTCCTCTGTCAGGGGTGATGAGGGTAAGGTGGTGTCTAGAGGCCCAGCCACACCAAATTTTCAACTGGGACAGTTATATCAGATGCCCCTTAATCTCCTCTATTTGCAAACGTCTACCAATGTGTTCTGTGCTACATCTCATACTTACCTCCTACTGTGTCCAGCCCTATTATCTGTGCCTTACAACATAGATTAACCCATCATATTTACTCATTCCTGTCCATATTCGCTCTCATCTTCCCCACTATCTCCTCCTGTTTTCTCATCATTTTCCTATTATTAAAAACAGAACAACTGTCACATTTTCTGGACAGCACCTTTTATTTCAGTGTTCTTTTGGTGTTCGCCTTCTCTGCTGACTATATTTCCCAGACAAGCCCATTTACTCTTTGGTATTGTTAGAAAATGTTATTAAGATCACATACCTTGGTTGACCACTAACTTGTGAAATCTTACTTTAATCTGGCCCAACTGTCCATTCAGAAACTCTCTCAATCATCCTTTATTTACACATTTCCCATAGTTGACTGTTGTGGACCATTTCTACACAAGCTAGCTTTCTAAATACTATCCTTACTCACAGTAGATGATGTTGCTTAAAACAATCTTATTTGAATTTCTATAAAATACTCCCTACTACCTCCAGAAATCTTTTTTCACTATTCTCCTTACCGGAATGTTCTTTCTTCTACAGATCATTCCAACTCCACAACTGGTCTAAATCCTTCAAATTTACCATTTCCTTATTGTCTTCTTGACTGTTCCAGGATCTTCTCTAAGTATTCATGGAAATATTTATAACTCTTATTTACACTTATCCTTTGCTTCCTAGTGTTAATTATCTTATAAAATTTTAAAAGAAACATAATAAATATCCTCCAAGAAATTTTAAGGAGGATTCTGGTGACATGAAGAGGAAATGGAAGTTATATCAAAAAACCGGATGGTTTTTATATAAATAATACAAAATTTGAAATGAAACAATTATGAATTGGGATGAAAAGACAGAGTGGATACAAAATAAACAAATTACTGAGCAAGAATATTATATTTCAAAATTCTCCCAGAAGAGAGAAAATTAAAATTCTCCAGCTTTTTTGATTTCATGTATCTATACACATACATGCAAACACAAAATAAAACAAAAATGTAATAAAATAAAAAAAGAAACTTTCCCAGAAAAACATTTAAAAAGTTAAAAAAAAATGAAAAACTAAGTAAAATGGAAAGAAATATCAAGCCTGTTTAATAAAAATTCCAGAAAGAAAAATAAAATAATTAGAGGGAAGAAAATATTTGAATAAATGGTAAAAACTTTCCAAAAATAAAAATCAGAAATCTCAGACTAAGAGTTCTTACAGAGTACCAAAGGAGCAAAAAGATCAACAACACCTAAACACGTTAGTAAGATTTTATAGAATCTGAAGATTCAATACAATTTCTTTCAAAAAGCCAATGTCATTTTCCACAGAAATACAAAACACAATCCTAAAATTTGTATGGACTCAGAAAAAACTCAGAATACCCAAAGTAATCTTAAGCAAAAAGAACAAAGCTGCAGGCATCACACTCCCTAATTTCAAAGTATATAATAAACTACCGTAATCAAAACAGCATGGTACTGGCATAAAAATAAAAACATCAACCAATGTAATAGGATAGAAAGCACAGATAATTGACATATTTACTGTCAATTGATTTTCAACAAATGTGCCAAGAACACATGATAAGGAAAAGACGATCTCTTTAATAAATGGTGTTGGAAAAACTGAATATCCACATGCAGAAGAATGAAATTGTTCCCTTATCTCACACTGTATACATAAATCAACTCAAAATGGATAAAAGACTTCAGTGTAAGACATGAAACTGTAAAGCTACTAGAAGAAAACAGGGGAAAAGCTCCATGGTATTGGTTTGGGCAATATTTCTTTTTTCTTTTTTTCTTTTTTTTTCCTGGGCTTAGCTCTGCTGAAGAGGCAATGATTCCTTGGATAGGACTCTAAAAGCACAGGCAGCAAAAGCAAATATGGACAAATGGGACTGCATCAAGCTAAGAAGCTTCTGCAGAGTAAAGGAAACAATTAACAGTGAAGAGACAACCCACAGATTGGGAGAATACATTTATAAACCATACATTTGATAAGAGGCTAGAAACAAATATATATTGGATAAAACTCAATAGTAAGAAAACAAATAACTGGATTAAAAATGGTCAAAGAATCTGAACAGACATTTTTCAAAAGATAGGATACAAATGGTCAGCAGATATATTTAAAAATTCTCAACATCTTTAATCATCAGGGAAATGCAAATGAAAACTACAGTGAGAATGTCAGAATGGCTATTATCAAAAGACAAAAGCATTGGTGAGGATGTGGAGAAAAGGGAACCCTTGTACACTGTTGGTGGGAATGTAAATTAGTACAGCCATTTTGGAAAATAGTATGGAGGTTCCTAAGAAAATTAAAAGAACTACCATATAATCCAGCAATCTCACTACTGGGAATGGAATATGTCCAGTATGTGGATGAGACATCTGCACTTCCAAATTCATTTCAGCATTATATTCACAATAGTCAAGATATGGAAGCAACCTAAGTGTCTATCAACAGAGAAATGGATAAAATAAAAATGGTGTGTATATGTGCAATGGAATACTATACAACCCTTAAAAAGGACAATTTGTCCTTCACAACAACAGAGATGGGACTGGAGAACATTATGCTGAGTGAAATAAGCCAGGCACAGAAAGATTAATACTGCATGATTTTACTTATATGTGGAATCTAAAAAGTTGATGTCATAGAAACAGAGAGCGAAAGGGGGTTACCAAAGGCTGGTGAAGAGGGAGAATGATGCGGAAAGGAAAATGTTAATCAAAGGATAGAAAATCTCAGTTACACAAAAGGAATAAGTTTTTATGATCTATTGCACTGCATGGTGACGACAGTTAATAATAATGTACTGAATACAGTAATCCCCCCTTGTCTGTTGTTTTGCTTTCCAGTTTCAATTACTGTGGTCTGAAAATATTAAAGAAAACTACCAGATGAAAAGAACTCATAAGTTGGAAATTGTTCTATTTAAATGTATGTATACATTTATTTATAATTGTTTTATTTTATTAATAGTTGTTAATCTCTTACTCTGCTTAATTTATAAATTAAACTTCATCATAGATATATATATGTAAGAAAAAGCATGATATATATATATAGGGTTTGGTACTATCTGTGGTTTTAGGAATCCACTGGGGGCCTTGGGATGTATCCCCCATGGATAAGGGAGGACTGTAGTATTTCAAATTTGTTTTAAAAATAGATTTTTAACATTCTTACCACAAAAAATAAATTGGTGAGGTGATGGATATGTTAATCAGCTTTAATTTTTCTACAAAGTGTACATTTTACCCCATAAATATACACAATTGTTATTTATCAATTAAAAATAAATAAATCAGAAAAAATATAGAATCTAAGACAAACAGCAAGTTTTAAAAGATATCAAAGAGTGGATGTGGAGAAATAGGAAGACTTTTACACTGTTGGTGGGACTGCAAACTAGTTCAACCATTGTGGAAGTCAGTGTCGCGATTCCTCAGGGATATAGAACTAGAAATACCATTTGACCCAGCCATCCCATTACTGGGTATATACCCAAAGGATTATAAATCATGCTGCTATAAAGACACAGGTACACGTGTGTTTATTGTGGCACTATTCACAATAGCAAAGACTTGGAACCAACCCAAATGTCCAACAATGATAGACTGGATGAAGAAAATGTGGCACATATACACCATGGAATACTATGCAGCCATAAAAAATGATGAGTTCATGTCCTTTGTAGGGACATGGATGAAGCTGGAAACCATCATTCTCAGCAAACTATCCAAGGACAAAAAACCTAACACCGCATGTTCTCACTCATAGGTGGGAATTGAACAATGAGAACACATAGACACAGGAAGGGGAACATCACACACCAGGGCCTGTTGTGGGGTGGGGGGAGAGGGGAGGAATAGCATTAGGAGATATACCTAATGTTAAATGACGAGTTAATGGGTGCAGCACACCAACATGGCACATGTATACATGTGTAACAAACCTGCATGTTGTGCACATGTACCCTAGAACTTAAAGTATAATTAAAAAAAAAGATATCAAAGAGAAAGAAGATATCTCAGACTGACATCAGAACTCTAAATAGACATGTTGGTATCAAAAAGACAAAACATCACAGATTTAGATGTTTTGAAGGAAATAAACTTAAAACTTATACTTTTTCTTTTTTGAGACAGAGTCTAGCTCTGTCTCCCAGGCTGAAAACTTATACTTTTATATGCAACTGAACCACCATGGAAATATGAGGGCATAACTAACCATGATTAACATATGTTCAGGCACACAAGCACTGGATATTTTCTGTTTGTCCACCCTTTCTGCACCACTGTGCTCCGTGTCTGAATCAAGGAGCACCTTTGTCTTTTGATTGTGCTTGAGGAATGAAGACTGCTAGCAGATCAGAGGGAGGAAGGAGTTAGGTCAGCATATTAATGTTTATGAGACTCTCCATGAGGGGTAGCAAAGGTTGGTGGCATTTTTCTACCCAGGACAATAGCACTTACAGGCAGTTCTTTCCACACAATTCTCTCTCTCTCCCCCTGTCTCTCTCATT
Source organism: Homo sapiens (assembly GCF_000001405.40). NCBI lineage: Eukaryota > Metazoa > Chordata > Mammalia > Primates > Hominidae > Homo > Homo sapiens. The sequence goes on from NC_000004.12 coordinate 121,320,486, forward strand.
TTTTTTTCTCTTCCTCCTCTTCCTTTTCTTTCTTTTCCATCTTCTTGCCTCCCCTTCAGGCCCAGGGGTGGAAAGGGTGCTTTGTTGTTATTAGCAGCTAGGTACACTAATCCTTTTGTTTTTCTGTATCCTGCTCAAGCCTTTGTAAGGAGTCCCTTTATTTATCTCTCTTCAAATTACTCAGTTTGAACGTGTCATCTGTTTCTGGACAGCACCCTGAATGATAAACATAGCCTCAAGAGGTTTGTTATGTAAGCATACATTAGAAAACATTTTTGAAGAAAGTTTTGTGAAGGCTTCTATTAAACATACGGGCCATAAGGATGAGTAAATAATCTATTTTTAACTTCTACAATCTATTCTCAACTTCCAAAAGCCTTATTAATCCAATTCTTCCTTTTTGTAGCATGCTTTATTTATGGTTTTATAAAGGGAATTTCTTATTAAATCTCTATAAGAATACGAAACAATTCCTTTCTAATTTTTTGTCACCTTGAATTATTTGATTATTCTAGTTAGTTTTCTATCTCTTCATCTTAGTTTTTTTCTTCCATTTTTCAGGGTTTCTAAAATATCAATGATCCTTTAAGAGTGCAGAAATGTGAAGCTGACCAAAAACTCTGTACATAGGTTGAGGGTGGCAAATGGCTGGCTTTGACTTAGGGTTATTGTGAATCTGATCATCACACTTGGGCACTACAGTATTCTAGAACACTGAGGTGTCTGCCAATATCTCCCCAGACTCCTTTAATTTCCTTCAAGAAGAAATGCATGTGTATATTTGGGATGGGAATGTTAAGCACTGAGGAATAAACACCTTCCTGGTAGCCATTCAATTTATGGCAGAAGATGGAATAGACAGTGATGTCTAACTCTTCTGGAGACATATCATTAATTCTTCCACTACTGTGGTCTGCTGTGGGCAGAGCCTGTGACTTTCTCTCTTTTTTTTCATGATTTCAATGCTTTAATCAACATCTAGGTTTTATCAGGATATTTATTGAAAATTTGTATTCACTGTGGCTATCCTCTCTTTTTCATCATGTTTGTGCATCTGTACATTTGCTGTTCCTTTAATATCATTTTGATAGGATCTCAGTAGGGGGAGAAATAAATATGTTTACATAGTCTGCTATTTTAAGTAAGAAATCATTCCTTAATTGTTTTTGAGCCACTCAGGCTGTTGGAGTTTAGAGAACATCTGTTACACTTGAAACGCCTCCTCCCTACAGACAAGAGATATAACTGGGTGCTTCTCAGATGTTCCTTTTCCTTGAAACTCCTTCATTAAAAAATCACCTTTGCCAGTTCGTTAAAAATTAATTTTTAAAATAGTTTATTTATATATAAGTTTTCTTAATAGTTTTGTAAACACGGCAGCAGCCAAGGATTCTGGCATAGTGACAGAAGCCACGAGACTCAGAACACGGGAATTCATTTACTTCTGTGCTCTGGTAATTCTAATGATTCAAATAGGGTCATTTTTTGTCATCTTATTTCATTTGCTTTTATTTTTTTTTCTTTTTTAGATACATCATAATCTCAGTTCTAGAACACAAAAATTTCTGTGAACAAAGGCAGAAAGGGGCCTGAGATTCAAGCCAGGAAATCCATGTCTGTTTTTAAAGCTATGAATCACCTGTTCTATATGACTTTTGCCAGCCAACCCTTTTCAATCTGTTCTAGTTCAGAATAGAAAGGATTTTCTTGATCTTGAGATGGAAGGAGACTGGCTAGATCTGACACAGAGCAGGAGCTCCAAAAAATATCTGTTGAATAAGTCAATGAGAACAACATACTGTCAGTTTACACTTCTTAATGGATGGGTATGGTGTTTGTTTTTTAACATGTGAAGGACTCCTGTACTCTCCATAAAACCTACAAATATGGCATTTGAAAAGTAGGTGAACTGCTTTTTTTACTCTACTAATAGCAATAACTTTTTAAATATTGTATTTAAAGAGCATGCTAGTCTTACAGATAATTGAATTAAACGGCTTCAGGTTAAACTTCAGGGCAGTAAAGCAGAAAATCATCATAAGCCTACTTCGGCAAGCTGAGAATGTAAAAATAACTCTTTATGGAGTGATAAATAAAGGAATTTTATTTTTGCAGACTATATGGAGTAGGCCAGGTTAAGCATTAGGGGTAACTTTCTGAATGTGTAGTTTTCACATTTTATTAGCATGACTTCACCTGCCACACGTGGCGATAAACATTCTTTGAAAATATAGATCATATGAGAATGTAATATCATTTATTTGGTTACTCCTCTACTGGCAGGCACTCAGAATTTTTTCCTATTGTTGAATTATTGTTTCTATTATGAACAACAGAACACATAGTTTTCAACAATTTATTCAATACATTTAGAGGACTTTTGATAATGCACTCTTTGAAAACTTCCCCATTGCTAAAAGATAAGAAAGAACAATTCATAATGATAAAATGGCCAATCATAAAGGAAGATCTGAGAATCCTATGTGTACATGTACCTGATAACATAGCCTTAACACACTAGCAAAAGCTGGTATCTTTAAAAGGAGAAATAAGCCAATATAAGGCATAGTGGAAGACTCTAACACACCTCTCTCAGTAACTGACAATCTAGGCAATCATGGGACCACAGGTGCAGGAGTGATGTGGAGCTATGTGCTACCTGTCTGTGCAGTTCATCTGTGCCCTCCTGATCTGTGGGATTCTGGATGTACCATTTCCATTTCATTATGAATTAATTATTTCTGAGACTGCCCATGCTTAACACTTGTTGGGTAAGACAATAAGACAGTACCCAACACACGATAAGAAGTTTTGGCTACATAGTCACTTCATAGTAGCTCACTTGGTCTCTTTAGGGGCCAGTAGCATTTCAGGCACTACCTTTTGATGATAAATTATTTGCTGCAAATAGCATGGGCTTGCTTCAGAAATACAGCGATAAGCACTATAACTTCTTGACTAGTACCTGTCAGAGGCTCCACATTGCATCTTTATCTAATATCGATGCCTTAGTACTATGGAATTTTATGGATCATATGATCCAAGTAACAGACTTTTCTCCTACTACAACCTGAATTATTGAATCTCTAATTCATATGGTTCAAATGACAGAGTTGCTTTGATTACAACCTTACCTGCTGCAGAGCTCTTTCTAGCTCTGGGACACACTCATATCTAGCAGCCTACCATTTCACCAATAAAATGATCAAAACATGGTTCTCTAGAAAAGAGTATCAAATACAAAGAGGCCTCCCAAGAATTGTACTTCTTTGTTAGTGGTAGGAAGTTCAAGGTACAAAAATCCATAATTTTCTTTGAAAGACCTCTAAAAACTTCACCAACATGGCATCCTCTAAATCTGTAAGTTTTATCACTGTTATCTCCCACTTTCTGGGGTACATGTTTCCCAATAGTACAGAGTCCTTGCTATATACATGTAGCAAGTGTGTGTGTGTACACACACACACACATACACACACATATATATACACCATATATATATATTCATAGTATCAGATACAAGTACTATAATGTCATAGAGGACCAATATTATCTTCTGTGGAATATCCAGACACTTCATGTTCCTTTGGGCTATCCTGTAAAGTAACAGACAGATAAACATAATTTTTGTTAAGACAATAGAATATACATTGTTGTTTATTCCATGTGAATGTAGATTACTGCTTATTCTCCTTCTTAACAGGCATTGAAAACAAAGCAATGGCCAGATCAATAGCTGCATAGAGCATACTAGACGCTGTGGTAATCTGCTCCAGTAAAGATACCACATTCAGCACAGCACAGCACTTGGGGCTACTACTTGTTTGTGGCAGTCTACGTCATGTATTGTGATCCATTTAGGTTCTGCAGGAGTCAATCATATTAGTGAATCCAATGAAGATATGATGGGTATATATGCAGTATCATTTAAACCTCTGAGTGCAGCACCAATCTCTGTTGTTCACCTGGGGCCAAAATATTATTTTTAATTCACTCTCTTGACTGGTGGTGGTGGGTAGCGCAGTTTTAAAAGCCTCCACTAGGCTTTTCCTACTATGGATACTCTTCTTCGGGTCAAGGAACCAGTATGAAGAGTTGTCATTTTTACATTGCAAAATGAAATTCCTTCGTGAAGTGTACTTTAAAAAATCAAACTATAACTTGTATACAATAAATTCAGCCTTTTAATGTATGCAATTTAATCAATTGGAGAAATGTCTAAAGCCAAGTAACCATTACTAAAATTAAGCGATAACACATTTCTATCATCCAAAAAAGTCACTCTCTTGCATTCAATTGGCTACTTAACTACTAGCCCATGGCAACCACCTGCCCGTTTTTCATTCCTACAGCTTTGTCTTCTCTGGAATTTCATGTAAATGGAATCATAGAGCACATAGTCTTTTTTGACAGGCTTCTTTCACTCAGCAGAATACTTTTGAAATTGATCCTTGTTGTCCTAAGTATCAACAGTTAATTCTTTTTTGTTAGTAAGTCATATTCAATTGGATTGCTTTACCACAATTTGTTTATCCATTCACCAGCTGATAGACCTTCGGGTTGTTTCCAGTTTTTAGTGATTATGAATTAAGCTGCTATGAACATTCATGTGTTTTAATTCGTCTTGAGAAAATATCCAGGAATGGAATTTCTTTTCTTTTTTTTTCTTTGAGAAGGAGTCTCGCTCTGTCACCAGTCTGGAGTGCAGTGGCGCGGTCTTGGCTCACTGCAACCTCTGCCTCCCAAGTTCAAGTGATTATCCTGCCTCAGCCTCTGGAGTAGCTGGGACTACAAGCATCCGCCACCATGCCCGGCTAATTTTTGTATTTTTAGTAGAGACAGGGTTTCACCATGTTGGCCAGGATGGTCTTGATCTCCTGACCTCGTGATCCACCCACCTCAGCCTCCCAAAATGCTGGGACTACAGGTGTAAGCCCCTGTGCTTGGCCAGGAATGGAATTTCTGGGTTGCAGAATAACTGTTCAATTTATCAGTTAATTGTTTCCCACATAACCGTGTCATTTTATATTCCCACCAGCCATGGGAATTCCAGTTGCTCAACATCCTTGCCAACACTTTTTAACTTTAACTATTCTAGGGGGTGTGTAGCACCATCTTACTGTTGTTTTGTTTTGCCATTTGTAATGACTATTGATGTTGAGCAGCTTTTCATATGCTTATTGATTTGTGTTTCTTCTTAGGTAAAATGTTTGTTCAAATAATTTGCCAAGTTTATTACTGAGTTGTGAGAATTCTTTATAAATAATGCATTTGTGGTCTTTACCAGATGTGTTTTGCACATATTGTCTTATAATCTGTGGCTTGCCCTTTCATTTTTATAGCATTACCTTTCAAATAGCAGAAGCTAATAATTTTGACAAAGTTAATTTTATTAATTTCCTTTTATGCTTCCTGCTTTTAGTGGCTTATGAAATCTTTGCCTAATTTATGGTACCAGGATTTTCTTCTATATTTTATTGTAGAGGTTTTATAGATTTAGCTCCTATGTTTAAGTATATGGTGCATTATGAGTTAATTTTTGTATGTAGTGTAAGAATCAAAGTCCTATTTTTGGTACTTGAATATCCAATTGTTCCAGAACCTTTTGTTTTAAGGTTATCATTTCCCCCATTGAATTATGCTGCTACCTCAGCCAAAATAAGTTGATTATATATTTGCACCTTTTCTTCTGGTATCTTTATTATTTTGCATTTAGCTAAATATCTATCCTTAGGCCAATGACACATTTTCTTGATATTTTAATTTATTGTAAGCCTTCAAGTAACATAGTATAGGGCCTGAAACTGGGTTTCTCTTTTTAAAATGGTCTTGGGACTAGTAATTAATCTTTAATCAAACTAGTATGTATAACACTGGTGTTCTGAACCATATCAAACTATGGCAAAAAAAGGAGCTACCCTTCATAGTATAATCAAAAGGGACATGAACTGTGAATATTTCTCAGAAGATCATATCTATTTATAGAGTGGAGAAAAGATACTGACCTCTGTTTGGCACAATGATCCATAATGAAATAAAAGGCTTAGAGGTCTGAGCGGTGAAACGTACTTTTTTACTGCTTTCGCAAATGTTTTACCTAAATGCTAATAGATGAAAAACTAGTTTTCTGTACCACTCCCAACCCTACCTCCTGGATCCAACAAAACCTTTTCAATTTTCACTCCAAGCACCAGGTAAAGGAAAACCAGATGGATAAAATGAGTGACAGGCAGCCTGTGGCAGAGACAAAAGGGGAAAAAAGCAGATGGCTGAGTAGAAGACAAAGGGAGTAAAAGACTCAGGGACTGTAAAGTCAGGGAAAAGAGAACAAAAGGCAGTAGTCAGGTTCCTTTTGCAAATCCAGGGTGAACTCTCTATGCACTCACAGGCTGTGTTATATCAGTGTATGGACTCAACGTCCAGATGAGACTCACAGCTTCTTTGGCTAATAGTAGGACATTTTCAGGAACAGATTGGACCACATTTACCTTTTGAATCTTTATAACAGAGCAAAGGGATTATATGTTTAAAGGACAAAAACAGTGTGCTATTACTACTTCTGTTTCTAAAACAGCTTTGATGCAATGTAAGCAAATTTTTTTAAAAAAAAAAACCTTTCATAAGATGTCTGGAAATTTTACAGTAAATATTTAAGGTATTACCTAATATCTAAATATTTAGGAATTAAAAGAAACTTCTAACCTTAATAATTACATGGTCAATAACAGTGCTGATTTATCTGTTTTTCATTAAGTCATATTTAGAGCATGTATACACCAAATGTAGAAAGGATTATATGAATATTTACCGACTGAGTAAGGATAACCAAAATCAGTGAATCCAATTCATTTTTAATGGTTTAATGTTTAATGATAATCATTGTTTTGCCATAGGGTAACTAGACCTGACAGGCAGTTTATATAAATAACCCATAAATAGTCCACATCAGTAGAAACTAAACAATCAGTCTCTCTCTTTTCTCTTTGTGAATTTTGCAGTGTCATATTGACAATTTTTCATAATACTGCACACTGCTTCATCTTTGTCTTTTTCAGGCATGCTTCACTGACATATAAAAAATTAAATGTCTGTATCTTGAAGATCCCAATAGTTAGTTCCTTGGTTACCAAATCTTAAAGCTTTACCTGTAAAATGTCCTATAGGCTCTTAAGCTTCTCTTCCTTTCTATTACCTGGCTGGGAGAGTAAGTGCTAGAAAACTGGAAGCAGAATAAACACTGGCTGTGAGGTTGCGGCTGGACTTTGGGAGTCTTAGCTGTTGAAAGGAAAATGACAGGGTGCTGTGATGGTGGCCTCTGTATCCATGACATTTGGGAACCAGAGAGAAGATTGAAGAGACAAGGATTGCACTTAAGGGAGGCTGGGGGAAGGAATATGGGTGAGGAACTCTATTTTCTTCCTGACCTAGCTCTTGAGGGTCAGCCTTGGGCACAGTACAATTTCATGGGCTTGGAGTTGATTCACTCCCTCATCTACTAACTGCACAGAAAATTCCTTTTATATAAGAAATCCCATCAGTGAAAATAAGGGGCTTAAAAAGATAACCCTATGTGATAGTTTTGTCTAAATATATCACAGAAATGAGGCTCCCCAAACTTTCTTCTTTTGATTAGAGAAACCAGTTACAACACAGATATGAAGGGAAAGTTGGGCAGGGGTTGGGGAGAGTCTCAGAAAGGAAAAGAGAACACAAACGGGAGATGTGAGACATGGGGAGCTTATGCCTCAGAGCTTGAGGCTGCTTTAGAGTACAAAGGGCTTGTCTGCTCATGCCTCATTTTATTCTGGCAGCAACTCCGTGAAGTGGAGGGGGCATCACCTCCAGTTTACACAGGAAAACATGAAGGCTTAAAAAGGCGACGTTACTTGCCAGTCATACAACAAGGCAGCAAGGTAACTGGCAGAACCATACAAAGCTCCAGTACAGGCATCTTCCTCTAAGTCTCATTCATCCGTCACTTGGCTGCTTCTCCCTTTGCTTTGACTTTATGATTGTGGCACAGACCTCATGTGTAAGAGACTGTATTACCTAAATTCAACAGTGCACTAAAAATCACATTACAGCATTGAAGTATTAACTTAGTTTTCAAGGAAGAAGATATTATTTTATTTTCTTATTCAATCTAGCAATACATAGTCACATTACAGTGACTGCGTGGGAGAAAAACTGCTAGCTAAGAACCCTGATTTCTGTACAAGATTTTTAAAAATCCACTGAAATAATCTTAAAAGTATGGTTTACGAATTTTTCAAAAAAATTTTTTTTGAGACGGGGAGTCTCGCTCTTTCGCCCAGGCTGGAGTGCAGTGGCATGATCTCGGATCACTGCAAGCTCCGCCTCCCGGGTTCACACCATTCTCCCGCCTGAGGCTCCCAAGTAGCTGGGACTACAGGTGCCCGCCACCACGCCCGGCTAATTTTTGTATTTTTAGCAGAGATGGGGTTTCACCGTGTTAGCCAGGATGGTTTTGATCTCCTGACCTCGTGATCCGCCCGTCTAGGCCTCCCAAAGTGCTGGGATTACAGGCATGAGCCACCGTGCCTGGCCTTCCATGTTGCTTTTTTAAGGCTAGTCAAGTGAAGCAGTGGGAATGAGAAGGAACACAGAAATCTGTTAAATGATTGTGATCAATTGGTTGTAAACATCACTGCACTTGGACTAGCCTCGTGTCATTTTTTAATGGAAACATGATTTGTTTTCTTCTTGTCATCATCTTAAGAATAAAAAGAGTATTTGACCTTTGCTCAAAATAATTTTCTCTTTGGGTTACAATCTGAAGGGCATTAATTATGAAGATATTGTTATAATTAATGCCCACTGTCTAAAGGAGAATTCTCAGCCAGTTCAGACCTAAAGAGAGCAAGATGTCGTTTGAGCTTTTTCTTCTCCTCTGTCTGTTCACACAATTTGACTTCAATGTTGCCATCACTGAATGCTTCTCCTTTGGTTTCCTCCACTGGATTCTCTCTGAGGGAAAACTTTGCTTTCTTCCGCATCATTGTAATTCCTGAATTTCCATGCCTTTGTGCTGGAGAGAAGGTTTTATTTACTATGCAATAACAAACTGCAGACAAAACATTTTTTTTGAAGTTTTCATTCATAAATGCATAGACAATGGGATTACAGATGGAGTTGGAAAATCCAATAATTTGCACGATAGCAAAAATCATCTTGATTGTGACATCATCATATTCCTTTTCAAAATTACCTGAAATAAAGTAATATTTTAGAATGTACGTTTATTTTAAGGAGTATAAAATAAAACTTCTGTTTGTCACCTGTCAAAGACTTAAACTTGTACAAGTATCTGAAGGTGTGAAAAGTTCTCAAGATCGTTTTGGGAGAGGCATCTGATATCTGAATAAAAACAACCTTTGTGATGAGTCTTCACTTAGAGAATCTAGGTTTACATGCGTAGCCTGGTGTCCAGCATATAGTAGGGGGCTTATAGCATTGCAGCTTGATAACTCCAAGCTTCATGTAAACTGGAAGCAGCAGTAACCCTTCAAATGTTCACTTGCCTTAGAGAAACAAAATCATACTGAGAACCATGGTAAGTCCTGGGTTATCAGAAAGAATATACTGCAGGTCTGACTGTTCAAGTCAGGGTTCTAAATGGGAAATGCTAATAGGATGTCACTCCTTTCCCAAAGTTTAAATAGCCTAGGGAGAACAGAAGGAGTAACATGGGAGAGGAATCTCAAAGCTTTGATCTTCTGTAATTATTAAAGATTTAGTCATAGTCATACACAATGACCTACCACATAATGACCTTGTGATCTTGAAGACATGAAAGAAATATATGAAATGTTAGGTATTTGATTATCCAAGTGAACAGCGACACATTTCAAAGATTCATTGTCTATTCTAGCAGGAAATGAATGAGAATGTCTATCAAATGAGAATGACAAGCACTCACTGTATTCAATCATCATATGGACAACATGGAATGGTGCCCAGCACACAGCAAAGAGAGCCACCACTGTCACCATCATAATGACAGCTCGTTTCTTCTTCCTAAACCCACAAGGAAACATTGTATTAGTTAACTTCTCCTTGGCAAATGTGCCAGCTTGATAGCAAAGCTATTAAAGTCTGAGCTTAGTTCACTCAAACATAATTTTTAAATTAAGCTCACGATAGGTTATTCGTGGGCTGATTATCATCTTTTCCTATTGATATTACCCTCACATCATAAATGTTCTTTGAATGTCTGCTCATTATGGATCTGGCACTCTGCTAGATGCATGACATGGATAATGTCATTAATTTACCCAATAAGGCATTTGATAGATGCAGAAATTGAGACACACAGAAGGTTAATTAATTTGCGAAGTTAGATGGCTAGTAAAGGCTGTATCTTGGATGTGAATTTAGGAAGTCTAACTTCTGTGACTTCAATATGAAGCTCTTACTCACTTTATATTAAAGAGCATTCATGCCTGTGGTAGTAAAATATCAATATTTATAAAATATGGGCCAGGTGCAGTGACTCACGCCTGTAATCCCAGCTCTTTGGGAGGACAGGGCAGGAGAATTTAGTGAGTCCAGAAGTTCAACACCAGCCTAGGCAACATGGCAAAAACGCATCTCTACCAAAAAAAAATTATGAAATATGGGAAGTTCCAGGGATATAATTTAAATGGATATCTATACGATATATCTTGGGTTTTTTTTTTTTTTTTTTTTTTTTTTTGAGACAAGGTCTTACTCGGTTGCCCAGGCTGTAGAGGAGTGGTGCAATCATGGCTCACTGAAGCCTCAACCTGGGCTCAATAAGTGATCCTCCCACCTCAGCCTCCACGTAGCTGGGACCACAGGTGCATGCCACTACACCCAGCTAATTTTTAAATTTTTTGTAGAGACGGGGTCTCACTTTGTTGCCCAGGCTGGTTTCAAACTCCTGGGCTCAAGCAATCTTCCAACTTCAGCCTCCCAAAGTGCTGGGATTCCAGGTGTGAGCCACCACACCCGGCCTGATATATCTTAAAAACATGATTAACCAGGGCTTCAAACTAATTTTCTCCATGACTTCTGTAAAGAGGATTTACATCTGCAAGAGCTCTACACATTTGCATGGTGCTTTAAGTTTATAAAAACTCATACTCATTATCTCATTATTATTATTATTATTATTATTATTATTATTATTGTTATTATTATGGAGATGGAGTCTTGCTCTGTCACCCAGACTAGAGTGCAGTGGCGTGATCTCGGCTCACTGCAACCTCAGTCCATCAGGTTCAAGCAATTCTCCTGCCTCAGCCTCCCAAGTAGCTGGGATTACAGGCACCCACGACCACGCCTGGCTAATTTTTGTATTTTTAGTAGAGACAGAGTTTCACCATGTCGGTCAGGCTGGTCTCGAACTCCTGACCTCAAGTGATCCACCCACCTCGGCCCCCCAAATTGCTATGATTACAGGCGTGAGCCGCTGCACCTGGTCCATTATCTCTTATTTCAACATGGCAGCTCTTTCTTTCAAGTAAGTGGGAGGAACCAACTTAACGATAGGTCCCAAGGTGCGGACAGTCTAGGAGCCCCTGTACATTGACAAGAAGGGTTTCTTTATTCAAACTGAGCACTAGAGCACTAGAGATCACTGCACACTTGGAGAGATGATAAAATCCCACCAAATCACCAGACTCCTCCATTTAAGGCTTTTTTTTGCTTTGTTTCTAATAGTCATTCAGTGTAGGTTATTAAATAAATGATATGGACTACAAGTATCATAGCAGTAAGTCATGTTTTAAAATTTCTATTAATGAATAAATTCAGAAAGCAAAGCCCTTAGGTAAAAATAACTCAATAATAATAATTTAAAATAAATAGCATGCTTCGGTTTCCAAAGGATTTTCATACAGATCAATCTCATGTCTTTTAGCATTATCCTTGGGTGGGATTAACTAAGGATGGATGTTATTATGCTCCTTGTACATATGCGGGAAGCAGGGCCTTGGGAGTGAGACTGATGTATATCTTGTGGCTGGTGAGTGATAGAGAGAGTACCCATAGGACCACAGGGTTCTGACACCAGCCCACAGTCTTCCTACCACATCATGTATGTTCTAAATTCCAAGTCAGTTTCTACCTATAGCTGTAACTTCCCAGTTGATTTGCGAGCTGGTAGTCTTGTTGTTTCTTTCAGACACATGTAAAACTTCAAGAGTTTAAAATCAGTCCATGCCCTAAATTTGAATTGCAAAGGATGCTTAGACTAAATTACCTAGAGGTTCTGAGAGCCCTGGCAACCATCCCTTCCAGCACAATTAATTAAAAATAATTTAAAGAGGTGAATATTTCATTAAACAGACCTGGCTATTTTGGACATTTCTTTTCCATGAATAGTTCGAAGCACTGAACCATCCCCAACTCTTTTCTTTATCCAAAGTTCATAACCAATTTTACTGTACAGAATAAGCATCACCATAAGAGGCAGGAGGAAGAGGATGACAAGGATGAAGGTGGTGTAGATCTTCTGGTGCACAGGGCTGGTCCACTCTTCTAAGCAGCAGATGTGTTCCTTTTCATATAGGAAGTCATATTTGATCTTCATAATAAGAATAATTCATTAAAAGAACCAGTAGTCAGCATCAAAAAACAGAAATCAGCCAAGTATTATTGCAACACAACATTTTTTAAGTTCTTTCAAATTTGTCCCCAGCACGTATTTCAAATGAGATACATTTTTAATTGTTCTTTTGTTGTGAAGCATAGTTTTTCCACTTCACTGCTTAAGTTCTTAAGAGTTTTATACCAGCTTTTCTATTCTAAATGGAATTCAGGTCCATAGCCTGTTTACTTTCATTTATTGTCTTTCTCAACTTCTATTTCCACTAGTCACAAGTTTTCAATCGACTGAAAGAGCACTATATTTGCCAAAGTATATACTGAAAAATATTTTGCAATACATGCTAGGTAGTCTAATATTAAATTATTTTGCTTCTTCAATTGTTGAGACAGATTTTTGACAAGGCATGAGACATCTTTCAATTGAAAAGTACTGAAAGCTGCGTTTTGTTACTGCTACTTCATATATTGCAATGATCAGATTGCTTAGAAAGATATTAAAGAGGCAACTGGCAGCTTTTATCCTGAGATGAATGAGAAATTGGGATTCAAACTATTGCCAATATACAAATATTCAGATTGTACCTGCTGGTTTATTCGTACTATTTCTGGTAGACTCATCTTATAAGCTCAAAAGTATTATTAACAACAATAATAAATAATAGAGAGTGCTTTAAGGGCTAGTTCAAGAACAAACTAAATATTTAAAGCATATTCAGAAGTCACTTTTTTGGGTAATAGGAATAAAAACGAGAATATTTATCAAAACCATTGTTATTTTAGTTACTGTGGAGCTGAATACTTGGGTCTCAGACATATTTCTGCCTACATTCCCAGGAAATTTTATCACCAGTCTTCAATGTGAATTGAATGAGGGACAGCAACTTTTTGGTTACTCATCAAAGGTAAGAAAATTCAAGTTCTGACCTAGGTGTTACTTACAGATGCAACTAGGAATAACACTCACTGAAAAATAATCTCAAGATTCAAACTCTCTGGAAATAGGATGTTAAAATGAAATTCATTCCAACTCCATGGAAGCAAAGCATGCAAAGGCCAATGACCAGGGGGTATGGACTGACACATCTAAGAGCATGCTGAACTGGAAGTCTTGGATCAGGTTCACATAGCCCTAGGGACTACGGACTTCCTGACTTCAGCAAAGTCCTGACTGTGGACTTCAGCAAAGACTTCCTGAGGGTATGCTCAGATGGTTTTATGGAAAATTTCAGATCTTTGATCTTCAATTTCAGATCTTCTATTTCCAAACATACACTTCTCTAAAATTCCACTGCCTAATATCGTCCCCAAGTTTGAAGTGTCACGCTGGGTCTAAATTCCCACTTCCTGTTTCATAATCACCCTTTTCCCAAGTTACAGAAATCACATCTCTCACCCATAATGAATCTTACCACGGGGCACCAAAACAAGACATAATTCAATGACTGATGTCAGTGAAGCCACATTGATCAAGGCATCATAAACACATGGCAGGGCTTTGTGCTCTTCTCTCTCTTAAATATATTTCTATTCAGGGTAAAGCCTGGCAGAGAAAAAAAGGTATTTGACAGGTGTTGAGAAGTTGTGAATTCACATTTTTCATACAGTAAGGAGGCAGGAGCAATGACAATTTTAACCGTCTCGTTGCTTCTATCACTTGAAAATTGATAAATACATCACTCATGAGAGAGACCCCAGTACAAGTGAAGCAGAGAGCGGCAGTGAGAAATGCTGAAGGCAGGGTGCTTTGTATCATCCCTGTGATAAGTTCACACTCACTGCAAGCTCAGGACGATATTAGGCAGTGGAATTTTCGAGAAGCGTACATTTGGGAATAGAAAATCTGAAATCGAAGAGTGAAGATCTGAAATTTTCCATAAAACCATCTGAGCATGGCCTCAGGAAGTCTTTGCTTGTCCTAATAGAATTTAGGAGTGAGAAGGTAGCCATGGGATGCATATTAATACATTTGTTTAATCAGATGTTTTCCTGACAGGAAGCAACTTTGACTAGACTCATCTATTTGACAGTGAGGACTGGCTTTGCCAATGACATGACATGCATTTTCTACAAACACAATTAATTATGTATTTAAAAAATATTTAGGGTATTTTTTAAACATATAAAAACACTTTTTCTATATTAAATAAAACAAAATGTTTTTGTTTTATTTAAAAATGGATACATCTGTTTGTTTTCTATGGGCTAGAAATGGACCACACAATTTAGAACTAGAGTGAATCATTATGAAAAGGCTCCACCAGTCTGGGCTTCCCATTGGAGATAAGGGCAGCATCCTCAGACAGGAGCTGGCATGATCCCTTGCCAGCCCGCTGGAGGTCTCAGTGCTGTTATCTTTGAGAAGTCCTGAAGCAAACAATCAGTCACAGGCAATACTGTCACACCTAGAGGGCATTGATTCCAGTGACATCTGCCCGCTTCCTCTCCCCATTTTCCTCATCAGCTTCTGATGAGAGAGAGGCAGCCAATTGTATGGGGGGTGGGGGGTGGGGCGGGGAGAGGAGTGGGGCAGGGGAGAGAAAAAGAAACACAAGGAGAGGAAACAGAGAAGAAACTGACCATAACTCCTTCACATTTCTAGGCCTGAAAACTATTCACACTGAGGGAAGGGAAAAATTATAAATTGATTAAATAAGAGTATGATTTATGTAATTGTATTACTGGACAGGACAGTTTAATAACAGAACTCACACTATTCTTCTGAGTGAAAGTAACCAGAGAAATTTTATTATCTGACTGGAAGAGTTGCTCAAGATTTTTTCATTCATGATATTTCACCAAGAGGACTAAAAAAGTCCTTAGATGCATTTTTCCAGGTAGCAAGGGATAAAATAAAATTACTTTCTGCTCTCACCTATGGAGTCCAGCTCATTCAACAAATTAGTTACATGAAAAAAATCAGGTTACTTTTTTAATGTTCTCTTATCTTAGGCTCATTTGTTATCCTTGAGGATGACATGACATGGACAGTAAAGTTTCACATTTGCCTATCTCTACTTTAAAAGGTAGAACGGGATAAATCATTTAAAACTTATCTTAGGGGGTATGTAAGCAACCCCCTACCGTCTTTGAAAACTCCTGTCTGGGTAGATCACCTATGCAAGACATGTTAAAGTCCACCCTAACAGACAGGCTGGGCTGTCTGAAACCAACTCAGCACTCTCCTTCCTGTGAAGCCCCACACATGGCTGGGCCTGTCTGACAAAGGTGTGGGGAAAGGAGAGAGGTTGATTAAGATGATCTCCTGATATGTTTCCAGTTAGAATTTCAATGTGTCAATGAATAGGAGGCAGGTAAGAAAGGACTTCTGAGAGTCAACTAAGTAGATAATTTATTACAATTTTTTTTACGTGACTTAAAAATAAAAGAAAAACCTAGAGCAATCATTCAACTCTTAAAATGTAAGAAAACATTTAGGGACACTGGGAAAAGCATACTCAGCTTGCAGGAAAATGTAGAAACTGACCTGTGTATTTTTGAAAAATTGTATTTTAAGCATTAGAGTCCTAACAATGTATCAGGAAGAGCTAGATAAAACAGAGAAAATGAACCTTAAAAAATCATTTTATTCCACTTAAAAGACCTCCAGTGGAATAGCTGAGGTCATACAAATTTGCTGTATTGCTCCTGCAGGAAGGAAAATAATTACAATTAAGAGGGGTGAGAAAATAGTTCAACAATATGATTATACATCTCAACTGGAGTCTACCTCAAGTTGTTGCACGTGCCACATGGGTGATCCTACGATGACTGCCACCAGCCAGACCACACCTGTAAAAGTGTTAAAGTCATGAGAGTATGACTCAGTTGAGTAAAACACATCCATGCATAATTATCTAACCCTCAAGATTCCCTATGAGAGGGCAGCTGTTCTCTGCCCTAGGGCAGTGCCATGGTCTCCCCCAAGTTTCATGCTTCCACTCTTTCACCATCCTCAAAACTGCTGCTGGAATAAACTTCCTAAAACAAGTTTTAAACATTTAATAGTGTTTCACTGCCTACAAGATAAAACCCAGTTTCCTTAGCATGGCCCATGAGGTTCTCTACCATCTCAATTGCCTCTCTCTCCTCTTTCATTTCTGTCCATGCTCTTCACACCGCAGTCCTCTACTGAGGAGCCTGCAGTGCTGGTTTCAGTTTCCGTATCCCAGAATGCACTGCGCCACTCCCTGGCCACCCTATCCCCAGTGTCTATCTGTGGACTCATTTTCCAGGACTTGACTCAGAAATCACCTTCTCTAGGGAAACTTTGAAGGTCACTACTATTTCCAAATAAACTGACTACTAATTCCTTGTTGTCTCTACATGCCCTCTAGTGCAGTGTCTTCGTTGCCCTTACTCACTTCTCAATTTCCTCCAAACTCCTTGAAAGCAAACACAATGCCATTTATTTTTGTGTTTCCTCAAATAAGAGTCCTAGGAAAATTCCTGGCCCTCTGTAGGAGCTGATCCATGTTGGTGGAATGGATGAATAACTTTTAAACATGACATAGACCACTCTCTGTCACCTCTTTTTAAAATCAAATGTACATTTATCTTAAGCACCATAACATGGGCATCACATGTATACATATGTAACAAACCTGTACGTTGTGCACATGTACCCTAAAACTTAAAGTATAATAATAAAAAAAAAAGAAAACAAACACTGATAACTTCAGAAACCAAAATGCTCTTTCCAAATTTCCTGTCTTCCACGAACTTGTTGAGAGGGATTGCTTTAATGATGTACTCTTAGAAAAGAAAAACAGGGATTAACTACCAAGAACAATTTCAACCCGTGTGTTTTAACAGACATGGAAGAGGACGGAACCAAGGGCCCCAACTTTGATTTGGGGGAAAAGTTTCCAGCTCGAACTCTGCTTGTTCTTTCTATATTGGGTGGAACATTAAGAAAACAGTTTATTGCTTTGGGTTTCAATGACTCAATTAAGCCATAATTGGGGTTTATTATAAAGAAACACATAATTTGGTGCTGCCTATAAAAATTCATCATGATCCAATGATACCTGGCAGCTGTAGGACTCACAAGTCTGTCTGTCTGGCTGTCTCTATTTCTCACTCGCTCTTTCTCTTTCTCTTTTCTGCCTCCCTATTACCATACACATCTGTTCTATTTTAATCACATATAGTTATCTTATGTCCAATCATTTTTCTGGGCTTTAGTACAAATTCTGGAGGAATTGAGTCTAATTTTCATAGCTCATTGACTACCTTCCTGGATCCCTGGATGGTTCTGAGATAGAAGGGCTAGAGTTGGATGAACAATACTGACACAGTGACCACATCTGGGCAAGAAAGCCTAGAGGACCTAGGCCAAGCTTGTCCAATCTGCATGTGGCCTAGGAAGGCTTCGGATGTGGCCCAACACAAATTTGTAAACTTTTAAAAAATATTATGAGATTTTTTTGCGATATATTTTTTAAGTCATCAGCAATCGTTAGTGTTAGTGTATTTTATGCGTAGCCCAAGGCAATTCTTCTTCTTCCAATATGGCCCAGGGAAGCGAAAAGATTTGACATCCCCTGTCTAGGTCTAGGCAATCTCAGCTGGAAGGAGGAATGGGGCGTGACTGACAAACACTGACTGACAAGGCTGAATGACAGTGTGACAAAGCTACAGGAGACATTAGACCACAGTTCACAAAAGCCCCCATGGCGAGATGAGTCTAGTTGATTTTAAAACCTTCTTGTTTCCTATGTCTCTTTTGAGTAGGAACTGCCTTGACTGCCTATTATCAACTATGCTTTGAGATGTTGTCACTCGCGCTACTTCTCTTTCCTTTTAAATAACTCCCCTCCTCCATGTAATCCTTTCCTTACTTGCTTTCCATCCCCACATGCTGTTTTCAGGAGTTCTGATGTTGGAAAGATGTCAATTATTAAAAGCCCAGAAATCTCTGAATTCTTAGTAGGAAAGATATGACATAAAATTAAAACTAACTAACTAAAACTAACACCTTTCTCCCCTAATGATTCAGCTATTATTTTCAAGCTATTTAAAATGACTTTGGCATTGCAAAGCCTGCAGGGGTTCTTTCTGCAATTCCACAGCCCAATACTGGCTAAATTCTTACAGCAGAAATAAATGTTTACTCATTCTTCTCAAGTGAGATATTAGTAAAAATTGCTTTATTTGATTATCACATTAGTTGCTTGCTACACCTCTGATTATTTGCTATATTAAATTCAAACTACTGTGAAGCACACTAAGGTTTTAAATGGCTCAATTATAATTACTGAATAGAGAAATGCTTCCATTTTACTGTGTTAGACTTTAGGGCATTGCTTCAAATTTACCATTTATCATGAGGTATGTGTTCATTGTGACTTGCTGACTCAGGAACAATTACAGCAAGCTGACGATCCAGAAATGCCTAAAGGAAAAGTATGAAGTGGGTGGAATGTGCCTTTGCCAGGCATCCCCAGCACTCAGAACCCACTGTTCTCATGTACCCTGTCACTTTCTACCCTTGTGTACTCACCACAAGGGCAGCAACCCTGTTCTCCACTTTTCTAAAACCACATTTCCTGCTCCCTATCATTATCAACCTGCCTGGCCAGGTGCAGTGGCTCACACCGGTAATCCTAGCATGTTGGGAGGCCAAGGAGTACAAGGAGAGGCCAAGGGGGAATGGCTTGAGCCCAGGAGTTCAAGACCAGCCTGAGAAACATAGAGAGACCCTGTTGCTACCAAAAATAAAAAAAATTAGCTGGGTGTGGTGGTGGGCACATGTGGTCCCAGCTACTTGGGAGGCTGAGGTGGGAGGATCATTTGAGCTTGGGAGGCTGAGGCTGCAGTGAGTTGTGATCACACCACTGCACTCCAGCCTGGGCTACAGAATGAGACCCTATCTAAAAAAGAAAAAAAAATCGACCTGCCCTTGTTAGCTTGGCTTGGAGTCTTCTTATCTCAAGATGATAATTCCCAGCTGGGCATAGTGGCTCATGCCTGTAATCACAGCCCAGACTTTTGAGACCAGCCTGGGCAATGTAGTTGACACTCTGTCTCAAAAAAAAAAAAAAAAAAAAAAAAGATAGTTCTCAATCTAATGAGTGTTAATGTGGCAATGCCACTGGTAGGTTATCTTAGATTAGCTGAACATAGTGCTTAAACGTTTAAGATGTAAACTGAAAAAGTATACCCAAAATGATACATTTTCAGTTTTGAGGTCAGCCTAAAAGAGAGATGGTGTGGAGATGAAGGCAAACAGGGAAAGCACTGAAACTCTCAAATTATATTCCAATGCCTACAAGTTAGATAAGAAGCTACTCTTCTAGTTTAAAAATATGGTTCTCTATTCTGTAATGAAGAATGTCATTCACACTGCCATTGGCACATCCAGTGGCCTCACCTAGCATTGTGAAAGCCCTTCGGTTGGTGTATTGCCACTTCATTTTAAAAGGATGCACAAGTCCCTGGTGCCTTTCCACAGCAATGCAGGTCATAGTGAGGATTTCTGTCACAACAGCGGTAGACTGGACAAATGGCACCATCTTGCAAATGAAAGCACCTGCAGTAAGGAAATAGGACAAATCATACATCAAAACAAAAAGAATAAAGGTTTCATCTGTGTCTTTGTAATTATCACTATCAGTCCATTCTGAGCCTCTGCCAAAAAGTTTGATAATTGTAATTACTCTGTAGACACAAAATAATTGAAAAACATTGCATTGGTTTATCTTTCTCCCTCTAACTGAACTTTATGTTCCTAAATGCTATGCAATTATGTATAATAAGACAATGAAAGGACAAATCAGTATCTAGCCATAGAAACAGTGGAAAAAAAGCAATATGACTTTTGCTTGGGGAAGAGCAAAGTCATTGTAAACTGGCCTCCTGGGCTCTACACTACAAAGTAATCTTTGATTGTCTCTTTTCTTTTGGCTTCCTGGCAAATCACAACAAAGAATAGTTCTCATCAAAGACTCCCATATTTCTTCTTTTATCATTTATTCTCCTTTGACTCCCTGCCTAAGACTTTATATATGTATTACACCATTACACACCAAACTGATTTTACTTTCTCTAATGCAACGGTCTCAAAGTGGTGGCCACTAGGCAAGTTTTGGCCTGAAAACATGCTTTATTTGGTTACACAATAGTTTAAAATATTTGAATGTATTGTCAATCTTTTAAAATGTTTATACTATCTGTCTGGCCTCTTTACCATTTGGATTTGTGAGTCTTGGTCTGGCACCTCTGGTCTTGAACCCATGCTGCTTGCTGCTACCAAATTCATCATTCCCAGCTACAAGAGGATCATAAACTCAGGGAATGTGAAGTTGGAAGACTCATCAGAGGTTATCTAGTTCTAGTTTATACCAAAAGCAGAAATTCTCTCTTCAACTTCTCTCTGAAATGCTCTGCCAAGCTCTGCTTAAATACAGGTTGAACATTTCTAATCCCAAAACCTGAAATCTGAAATGATCTAAAACCCAAAGCTTTTTTGAGTGCTGATATGATGCCACAAGTAGAAAATTCCGCATCTTCCCTCATGTGACAAATCACAGTCAAAACACACAAAATCATTTAATATATTGTATATAACTACCTTAAGGCTACGTGTGTAAGGTATATAAGAAGCATAAATGAATTTCATGTGTAGACTTCGGTCTCATTGCCAAGATACCTCATTATGTCTGTACAAATATTCCAACATCCCAAAAAATCTGAAATCTGAAACACCTCTGGTCTCAAGCATTTCAGAGACGGAATACTCCATGGGAATACTCCTTGCTTTCACAGCCCCGCTTCAGGTCTTCTCATGGCTTTTTCTGCTCCTTGGAATGCTCTTCCCTGAGATCACTACCCCACATCCTTCCCTGAAGTCTGCTAAAATGTCACTGTGATGGTTAACTCTATGTGTCCAGTGGACTGGCTTAAGGAATACCCAGATAGCTAGCAAAATGTACTTCTGGATATGCCTGCGAGGGTGTTTCCAGAAGAGATGAGCATTTGAATCAGTAGAAGACAGGAGAAGATCCTTCCTTCCTAGTGTGGTTGGGCAGCGTCCAATCCACTGAAGGCGCGAATAGAACACAAAGGCACAGGAAGGGTGAATTTGCTCTCTGCTGAAACTGGAACTTGCACTTTCTCCTGCCCTTTGACATCAATGCTCCTGGTTCCCACACCTTCTGACTCAGACTGGGACCTACACCAACAACTCCCTGGGTTCTCAGGCCTGCAAGCTTGAACTGGATCTCCACCACTGGCTTTCCTGGGCATCTAGGTGGCAGATAGTGGATCATGGAACTTCCCAGTGTCTGCAGTTGAGTGAGCCAATCCCTCATAATTAATCTCTCCTAAATATCTCTAAAATATCTTATTGGTTCTGTTTCTCTGTAGAACCCTGACTAATGCAGTCACCTTCTCAATGAGGCTGACCTACTCTAACAATCATATTTGTAACTGAGCCTGTCCCATTCCCTATCTCCTCTCATTCCTCATTTCTTTTATTCTACTCTTTTCCCATTCTCTTTCACATGTTAACATACTGATATATAATATATATGCTGCTAATTTGTTTTTTATTTTTATTATTTTATTACTGTTTTATTATTTATTTACCCCTACTAAAATATAGATGCCAGAGCAATAATTTTTGTCTATTTTTTTCGCTGATGTATTCCCAGCTTTAAGAATGGCAATACGTTAGGCCATTAATAAATATTCATTGAATTGAAAAGAACAGATGAGTAGGAGGCTCATCACTCCTAAAGGCATCCCATTCTATTTTAGAGAGGCCCTAATTGGAAAAAGTGCTTTTAAATTCCACTCATTCCTAGCTTTGTTCTCAGAGTCTCAGAACTAACCAACTATCTTTTCCAAACAGTGGCTCCACATGTATTTGACAGAAGCCTTCATGTCACTCCTGTCTTTCCTAGTTGTCGCAGCTGTTTCTCATTTGCTATGCTTTTCAGAACTTTCAAAAAGGTGAATGGAGAAGGGAACGCCCATGGACCATGGCCATGCACCAGGCAGAAGGGAACTCACCAATGTTCAGGATATGGCTTGGCCAAGGCAGAAACTGTGGGACTGTATCGGCTCCCCAAGTCTGAACACCCTCTTCTGTAACTGAAACTGATGTTTACATCAGCCTTCTGTGCTAGACTTTTCAAATGGCTGGCTTCCGTTGAACTTGAAATCAACTTGAAATGAACTGGATCACTTTAATAGACATTTTGTTAACCCAAGACTCCCTTATCACCTATCCTATCCCTAAGGGGAAAAATGTACTTAGATATCACTCTAGATACTCCCTTCCCAATCCTTTTTGGGGGCTCCAAATGGCAACCCAAGAACCAATCCCACTCACTTCTATTCCTTGTTACAATTTCCCAAAACAAAATCCTGTTCAAACTTAAGGCCGTCTTTTATTTAGAAAGATGGTTTAGATGCCAACGGTGGGAATTTACTTTCAATGTTAATAAAGTCCACTGTGTTTGAATAGTTACTATACTGTGAATAAATCAGTTTACCTCAAGTCCTGGTTTGGATGTGGTACTTGAATAAATGAATATGGGTATAAATTATTAATCTGCATATTTATCCTAGGTTTTTTTTCTCTTTTCTTGCAAATTTAATCAGAACTTTTTCTATTGAGAAGAACCTTGTACTTTTTAACATTTTATAAATAATTTGGTTGAAAGGAAATATATTTTAAATACAACTATCCAAACAAAAGAAAATTTTTGCTGTATTCATTTTAGTGTTATCTCATTATAGTGTTATCCATCCTGAATATATTCAGTTTGTGTATTACAGCACAGGGTATCTGTCAATTGATTCATTGATATCAGTATACACTCTGATTCTGCTTTATCTGATTTCTTAGCCACTCTGAGCCTCAATTTCATTATTTGAAAAAAGGGATTAATAATACCCATCTGTCATAGGACTGATGTATTTCATAAAGTGACATAAACAGCTAATACTGGATACATTCTTTAATAAATGGCAGCTCTTTCATCATTAGGCAGCCCTATTAAAAGAATTAAGGTAAATATGATGCACTTGGGGCTGACATGTTCTTTGTGGATAAACTGACCATTAAAGAACACCTAATCTAATAACCTTATTTCCCAGAGAAAGACACTGCAGTTCAAAGAGGTTAAATGATGTGCTCAGGTCCACACAGCTATTTATTGACAGAATGAGTCCAGGTTGTCAGACTCCAGTTCCTTCCATTACGTCACCCTCACTTATCTTACTGTGCCCATGCTATGTGGCAGTTTTCTTGTCTACCTGCTCATAAATCATCTGTTTAATAACCCACCTGTGAATTTCACACCAAGCTATAGTATAATCTGTCATCTTACTGTTTTAATAAATTCAGAACAGCATTTGCCCTATTCATTACTTCTGACATTTCTCCAACCAGCTCTCTAAGAAATTACTGAGAGTGTTTCCTTGATCACATTTCCCAGTTTCTTCAATGTTCTGTCATGTAATTTATCTAGGATGTAGATTTGAGTTCTTTTAAAAATAGGTACATGCTCTTTTGCTATCTACTTACTTATCGTGGATATTTATTTTCACTCTAACCATCTTTGCCCTTTTTAATTGAGAGAGCACTTTTCAAGGTCTAGACGACTAAAACAAAATAAACACTGAAGACTTCTGGTTTTCCTCTGCCCTTCATTAAGCCTATCATCAACTCTCCCTTTCTTTTTCAGCTTCTTGTTCTGGTAATCTCTCTGTTAGCTCTTCAGTCAGCTTATTCTACCCTTTATCTTTCCCAATGTGAATTGTATGGGTCTAAATTATTTGTAAGAATGTGTCTTTTGTGACATTTCTTCCCATAAATCTGGTAATTTTAAACTGGGATAATCCTACATTCCCTGCATAGGAACTGTTTACTTGGGATATCCTTCTCTTTTTTCCTTACAGGATAATTAGATGTTAGTATCACAGTTGTGCTTCTTAAAGTCGGCCTGGAATGTGTATTTCTCATATTTTGATTTTCCAGCATCCACCTCACTTCTCCAAATGGCAACACAATTTCTTTTTAGAATATTAACTCTTCCCCACTGTGGGCAGGTTAGGTAAGAACTCCTACTTAGGAGGACAAAGCAGTAATAGGTGAGATCCTCTCTAGTGTTGAAAGGTTGAATGCAGATGGAAGAGAGGTTTGGGATGGTGTGGTCACGTGCTCACCAGATCATAAGTGCTAATAGGTCACTGCTGAGTTATGGCTGCTGACCTCTGAGCTCCCTTGGTCGCTTTCTGTTGTAGGTCCATTTCTTCAGCTTCACGCTGATCCTGTGAGCCTTCAACATCCTTCCAATACATTCTCTTCTCTTAAGTTACTTAGCTGTCAACTGTTGCTTGCAACGAAGTAGACTTATTTGATATACTTCTCTTTTGCTACCTTATTCTCTGGAAGGTAGGTTTTTTAAAAATGTAGTGTACTATGGGCTATGTTCTCTCTGTGTGTACTGTTAACTATAAGATTAGACAGTCCCCAGTCCTACTACTATAGTTTGCCTCCACTGCTGCTTCCATTTCTACTATGTCTGACTCTTGGGATAGAAGCTACAATTATTTTATTTTGCCTACTGGATTAGGAACAATTGCTTTGGTTTAATATCTACTGCCTTCCATTCTCAACTTAAATCATTTATACAACTCTATTGCCCAAAACATGGACCTTTTGCTCTCACTGAGAACAGTGTTCACTCTCCTATCCACTCAGCCACCACCACACAGAGCAAGTCTTAATTCAAAGAGAAACAAGACTACATTATTTCTAAACATGATGCTTGAAAATTGAAAACAGTTTGGGCAGTGTTCGTATTCACTTTAGTGTGTAACAGGGACTTTTAAAAGGATCTGAATGGAAAGGACAGAATGAAAAAAACCTGAGTCTTTAACCGTAGAGAAGATTTAAAACATTATTAATTTAGAAAATAGTATAATGAGGTATAATTGCATGAAAGTATCTAATGATAATAATTACTCTGTGAATAATTTGTTCCAAGGTTGTTGAAAAACAATGTGAATAGACACATTGCAGTTTCATAAAGGAAAGTTTACTTGATGCAACCACTATTTGAAATAATGGTCTAACAGATTATAAAACAATCTGGCATGTAATTACCTTAATTTCATGTGCCAAATAAACAAATCATATTCAAACAGTCTATGCGCCCTTGTCCCAATACAACCTGTAGGGTCCATAGGCACAGACCTGGGGGTGGAGCTCTAGCCAGGGACCATGTCCTTCTCTTCCCAGCACTTCCCTGCCCCTCTTCCTGTATCATTAATATATAGAAACGTGATTGTGTCTTTATCTTATATGCTGTGACCTTGCTGAACTCACTTATTACCTCTAGGTGTTTTTGTAGCTTCTTTGGAATTTTCTACATAGAAAATAATGTCATCTGCAAATACACTTGTATTTCTTCCTTTACAATCTGCATATGGTCACTTATTGTCCTTGTTTCTCTTAGTGGTTTTACTTTGAGTGCAATTTTGCATAAGAGTGGTGAGAAGCAGATATCTTTGACTTGTTCTCAATCTTAGAAGAAAAACATTCCGTCTTTCACCGTAAAATATGATGTTAGCTGTAGGTTTCTTGTAATGCTCTTATCAAATTCAGAAATCTCTGTATTACTAACTTGCTGAGAATTTTTGTCATGGATGGGTGTTGAAATTTGTCAAGTGTTTTCTTAATTGGTGTAATCATATGATTTTTTTCTTCTTTAGCTTGATGGATATGGTAGATTACACTGATTTTGGAATTTGAGCCAGCCTTGCATACCTGGAATAAATCCTACTTCATCATGATGTATAATCCTTTTTATACATTGTTGGATTCTGTCTGGTATTATATTGATATTTTGTGTGCCCATGTTCATAAGAGCTATTCGTTTGCAACTTTCTTTCTATTGAACTGTCTTTCTCTGGTTTAAGTGTCAGGGTAATGAAGGCCTCATAAAGTAAGTTGGGAACTATTTCTTCCAATTCTGTTTTCTGGAAGAGTTTGTGTAAAATTGGTGTTAATTCTTTTTTAAATGGCAAAATTCTCCAGTGAAATCACCTGGGTTTGGAAATTTCTTTCTTGAGAGCTTTTCAATTATAAATTCAACTTTTTTATTTCTTACATTAAAAAATGTTTTTATCAAAGAATTATGAGCATGTGGTTTAAAATCAGAAGGGCTACAATAAAAAAGAATAGGTGCCTGCCTATTTCCCATAAACCACTTTTTTTTAATTCTACTGCTGGGGGCACTACCATCTCTAAATAAATTGCCTTATACCGCTTTTCTTTTAATTTATTGATTTCAGATGATAGATATAGATTACCTTCTTGGGTAGATGGGCTATTGGTTCACTTTTGTCATTTCCCACTGTTGCTTCTCCCACAGCTTCTAATTTTCTTACAGTTATAACACTGTCTTCAATAATTTATTTGGAAAGGTTTTAGGGGATGTATTTCTTAAACTCTAGCATGTAGTTTCTTCTACTTTGACGCTTAAAGTAATATATTAACGCCCTCTCCATTAGTCTATTAACTTCCAACAGTTTATCTTGCCCCCCACTTGTGAGATGATACCTCATCTCTGTACCTCTCTCCTCCTATTTTCGCATTCTTCTTTCTCCAAATGTCTTTTATCTATAACTTTACATTTACTCTGTCAAGACTGATAGTTTTTCATTCTGTTCCACAGGATATTAAGTATTCTTCCCTTGGCCTACTTTTTAATTATAAAAGATTAAAACCATAAACAGCATTTTATTTACCATGACTAATATTAACTACAAAGCCAATGTGTATGTTTTAAATACATCTCCCTTTCAGTGACTTTATAGTCAAGATCCTTGTGAATATATTTATGTCTCTAAAGCATACCTTATTTTAATCTGCTTTTTATATGGATATAACTTTTTTATAGAGTATTTTTATTTAATTTTTCCTGGAATTTTGGGTTGTATTTCTTTTTTCTAGCTGGAAGAAGAAGATATATCTTCTTCACCACAGTATAGTAGTTTAGAGTATAGGCTCTAGAATTGGGCTGTCTGAGTTTGAATCATGGGTCCATCACTTGCTAACTGTGACCTAAGGCAAATTATCTTACTTCACTGTGTCTTGGGTTTTCTTATCTATAAAATGTGGATGATAATAACAGTACTTCCCTCATAGGACTGTTGAAGGATTAATGAGAAAACAAGCCTACTGTGTTTAGGCCAATGTCTAGTACTATGTGAAAATGCATTAGCTATTCTTATTATCATCATCATCATTTTTACTATTACATATCAACTTTTAACATCACATATATTCTGCTTGGGATCAATTCAAGTGTTTGTTCTTTTAAGACTTCCTTCTAGAAGACCACTGACTTCCAATTTTGATGACTGCAGTTTGTGTTTTGCTTTGTTTTATTTTTAATGACTGCTCTATAGCTGTCATCATTAAATTCATTTTCAATCAATTTCTTCTCCGGTTTCTTTAATTTCATGGCTTCTCATTTCTTGTATTTTACCTATATTTTGCATAATATTTTTCAAGTAACTTCTTCAAAATAATAAGGAAAGTAAGCTCTTTACATTCTTATATATCTTAAAATGGCTGTAGTTTGACTTAAATTCAACATCATCTGCCTTTAGAATGTTGAAGACCTTACTTTATTGACTTTTAGCATCCACTGTTGGTGCTAACCTGTCTATATTGTCAGCTTGATTTTTGCTCCCTTATAAATATCCTGGTTACGGCCGGGTGCGATGGCTCATGCCTATAATCCCAGCACTTTGGGAGGCCGAGGCGGGCTGATCATGAGGTCAGGAGATTGAGACCATCCTGGCTAACACGGTGAAAGCCCATCTCTACTAAAAATACAAAAAATTAGCCAGGAGTGGTGGCAGGGGACTGTAGTCCCAGCTACTCGGGAGGCTGAGGCAGGAGAATGGCGTGAACCCGGGAGGCAGAGGTTGCAGTGAGCCAAGATCGCGCCACTGCACTCCAGCCTGGGTGACAGAGCAAGAAGACTCCATCTCAAAAAAATAAAGTAAAATAAAATAAAATAAAATAAAATAATTATCTTGGTTACTGTTTGGAAGATTTTATTGATCTCTTTGTAATTAGAAATCTGAAATGTTATGGGGATGTGTTGAAACATGTGTCCTTTTTTTTACTCTTTTTCCATAGCCCTGTGTGTGCCTTTTACATTTGGCAACTCTCAGTCCTTTACCTCTGTGTTTTAATTTGTTCCTTTAAAAAATAACTCCTGTTGATCAGATATTGGAATTCCTGGATTGATCCTCCTATGTTTATACCTTTTATATACAGATATAGATATAGATACAGATTTGCCTATTTGCTCCACATTATGGAGATGTTCTTGTTTTTGTCTTCCAACTCTTCTAATTTATATATAATTTCAGCAATATTTTTATTTTCAAAAGCTTTTCTTGCTCCTAAAATAATTTCTTTTCAGAGAAGCTTGTTCTTGATTTATGAAGTCAGTCTCATCTTAAATCCAGACACATACCCCCCATTTAATATCATAAACCCCTTCCTGAAAATGAGATATTCTATGTGGAAATGTGCCCTCGTCACCGATTTCCTATTGTTTAAAAGGCCAAATTAAACATCTACCAGATTTCATTAAGTATAACTAAAACATAGGAAAGCCAGCATTTAAAATATAAAATCCTAAAATATTGGCCCCTGATTACAAAACAATTAGAATGGTTATCAAATTGTTCATACGCATGCTACTCTGTATCAATAACATGCCCATTTTTCATGGTACGTCATAAATATTTTTCTCCAATAAGGCATAGCAATCAGCATACAGCAATTTATACATGCAATAGAAAAATGCAGGTAAAATTTACAATGAAAATAGGGCAATCACCTGGGATGATCCGTTACTCCTGAAGAAAAAAGCAAACTGGAAACTTGAAGAAAGTGGAAAGGGAAGGATGGTTAAAATGTAGTTATTGTCAAGGCCTATGGAAAGTGACATCACAGGTGAGTTGGATGACAAAAAGGGCAATTTCATGCAAGAAACAGGCAGAGATTCTTTGTCATTTTCATTGGGTAGGGACTTGTAAATGATGAATGGATCTTCAGGGGATGCAGGTGTCATTTTAGGATGAAAAACTACAAAATCAAACTTTACTTAACTCTCTTCAAGTTTATGTTTATAGAATTTTTGGCACAGTGTTAGAAGAGTCAGGCACTCACAGTCCACCAAGTTCAAGGATAATATTCTTCACTGTATTTGTTTAGTCCCCATATTATTTTCAGCGAGCGGTGTCTGGTGGTTTGATTGAAGGCTCTCCCCGTTATCACTATGATCAACTATTTCAGATTGACATTCTGAACAAGTTTAGTACTTGATTTCTCAGCGTGACATTTAAAGAATCCATCAATATCTTTTTCAATCTCTTTTCAAAACAAGTCTTCTTTGCAAGAGTAACAATCACAAAGAATGGTTTACATTGAATAAAATGATATGATGCCTCTCTTAGTGTCAACATTCGGCACATGCATCCCTTTGTGAACACTGGACATGCTTTTCAAAACAACTACTTGTGATTTTGATGTATTTGGAAGGTATTTTATTTTTGGAAGGTAGCTTGATACTTTTCCTATATATCATTTTTCTTATAATATTAGATTATTGAGTTTGGGCACATAAACTTTTCTTATATAAATATCAGCTAAAAGGTCGCTGTTGAGTGATATATTCATTGCAGAAGTTTGAGACTTATAAGCCAATACTAATTCCACTGGGAAAATGTCAAATGAGGAGACATTCTTATGGATATGTTTTTATGTATAAAAATACTAATTAGAGTTTATTTCCAAATTCCCTTCTATGATTAACCATTTCTTCCAGGTTTCATTTATTCGTTTGTTTTGTTCTCCTTTATTCTTGGGCTTAATACCTAGGTGATGGGTTGATCTGTGCAGCAAAACACCATGGCATACGTTTACCTGTGTAACAAACCTGCACATCCTGCACATGTACAATAAAAGAAAGAAGGAAAGACAGCTTTCCTCAACTGTCTGACAATCCTTGGTTGTCCTTTCAGATTTTAGAATGGGACAGATTGAAAGACCACTAGCTGCTCCGTGTACAGGTAGGAGCTGTCCCCTGGAAAACTTTGACTTAGGATGAGTGGGTCTTGATATTGTGAGTCTCACAAATATCAGACTTTTAGGTTTTACTTTGTGGGAGCCACAGCTCATATGAATTCTGTAGTTCTCTTCAGAGTGCTTCCTTCAATTACTTTGTAAGAACTGTTTGTGTGTATATTCGCAGCAAAAACAAGTTCCCTAGTGCACAATTTTGTCTATACTGGTATGTTTCTTCTAATTTTCATTATTTTAATAGCTACAAATACAGCTTTAGAAAGGTAACTGAGTTGCTTAAACTTTCCACTAATGACAAAAATTAGATTTTCAAATAATAGAATAAAATGAGCCTGGGTTAAACATTAGGACAGTAAAGCAGAAATCAGAAATAATGGGGTTTCATTATGTTTATAATGTTAAAATAACCCATCATGAAGTAATAATGGAAGGAATATTTTTGTATACCAGGAAAGAAATGGAAAAACTTTAGGCATTAGAAAGAATTTCTTGAATGTGATGGTAATCAGGCAACAAAGCACATCATAAAGTGAACTTCCTCAGAAATGCTTAATAAAATATTAGGAGTACTTATGTAATTTATGTACTCAGTTGTTCACCAAAGATACAACTCCGAGTTAGTATAAAGTAATGTAAAAAAAAAAAAAGAATGTTTAAATAAATTGGGGTATGCCAATATAATGCAAATCATTCAATCATTAATAATATTTCAAAAGATATTTAACAATGCAACCAAAAAATGAAATTAAACAGTAAACAAATAATATATTCATGTACAGACATAGACAAACACTAAGAGGTTTCTATTTTGCTACAAATGTATGTGGGAAAAACTTAAATACACTAAATTTAATGCACTGATGTGATCATCATAATTCTCTCTGGCGGTTGGAATAAATATTTTTTGTTTTCTTTACATGTATTTGTTCTATACATTCATTAGAATGTTTTGGATTATGAGTTAAAAATTCAATTCAACTGGTTTAAACAACAAGGGAAATGTATTATCTAACATAAAAATAATTTCAGAGGTAGGGCAGTAACAGAGTCATAAATGCCACAGCTGAATGACTTCACTACAGTTCTGAGTTCTTTCCACTGGATTTCTTTATCCTCCTCAGTGTGGTTTGCTTTGTACTTATGATTGTCACTTTGGCAAATAAGATGACTGCAGTATCTCCAAGCACTGCATCTCAAAAAAGATTCAAAGACCAAAAGCAGAAAACGAAGTATGTACTTTCTCAAGCCCTTCATAAAAGTAAGGAAAACCTCAGACTTTATGGCAAGAATGTACTACATGCTCATTTAAAAAATCATCACTGGCAAGGGGAATTGAAGTTAAAACACTGGCCTAATTTTTTAAAAGTTATTTTTAATTATAATGAATACATAATGGTTATACATATTTACCAGGTACATGTGATGTTTTGATACAGGCATACAATATGTAATGATCAAATCATGGTCACTGGGGTATTCGTCACATCAAGCATTTATCATTTCTTTGTGTTAGGAACATTCCAATTCCACTCTTTTCGTTATTTTAAAATATACAATAAATTATTGTTAAACATAGTCACCCTATTGTGCTACCAAATACTACATTTTATTCATTCTATTTGTGTTTTTGTATCCTTTAACCATCCCCTCTTCACTACCCTTTCACACTACCCTTTCTCTGGTAACTATCATTCTACTCTATCTCCAAAAGTTCATTTTTTTTCTTTCGTTCCCACATATGAGTGAGAACACGTGACATTTGTCTTTCTGTGCCTGCCACATTTCACTCAACATAACGTCCTCCAGTTCCATCTATGCTGTTCTGAATAACAGAACTTCATTTCTTTTTATGGCTGAATAATATTCCATTGTGTGCATGTACCACATATTCTTTATCAATTCATCCATTGGTGGATATTTAGGTTGATTCCATATCTTGGCTATTGTGAAGAGTGCTGAAATAAACATGGGAATGCAGCTATCTCTTCAATATATTGATTTCCTTTCTTTTGGATGTATACTCAGCAGTGGGACTGCTGGATTGTATGGTAGTTTTATTGTCAGTTTTGTGAAGAACCTCCATACTGTTTTCCATAGTAGCTATATTAATTTACATTTCCACCAACAGTGTATGAGGTTTCTGCTCTCTCCCCATCCTGGCCAGCATTTATTATTGCCTCTCTTTTGGATGAAAGCCATCTTAACTGGGGTAAGATTCTATCACATTGTGGTTTTCATTTGTGGTTCTCCAATGTTAGTGATGTTGAGCATTTTTTTCATATAACTGTTGGCCACTTGCATGTCTTCTTTTGAGAAATATCTATTCAGATCTTTTGCCCATTTTAAATCAGATTGTTTATCTCCTATTAAACTGTTTGAGCTCCTTCTATATTCTAGTTTCTAATCCTTTGTCAGATGGGTATTTTGCAAATATTTCCTCCCATTTGTGGGTTACGTTTTCACTTTGTTGACCGTTTCCTTTGCTGTGCACAAGCTTTTTAGCTTGATGTGATCCCATTTGTCCATTCTTGCTTTGGTTGCCTGTGCTTTTGAGGTTTTACTCAAGAAATCTTTGCCCAGATCAATGTTCTGGACTGTTTACCCAGTGTTTTATTCTAGTTATTTTACAGTTTTAGGTCTTAGATTTACATTTTTAATCCATTTTTGATTGATGTATAATGGCAAGAGATAGGGGTCTAGTTTCATTCTTCTGCATATTGATAACCAGTTTTCCAGCATCACTTATTGAAGAGACTGTCCTTTCCCTAGTATATGTTCTTGGTACCTTTGTCAAAAATAAGTGACTGCAAATGCATGAATTTATTCCCGGGTTCTTTATTCAGTTCAATTGGTCTATGTGTCTCTTTTTCATGCTAACACCTTGCTGTTTTGATTCCTATAGTTTTGCAGTATAATTCGAAGTCAGATCGTGCGGTTTTTCCACCTTTGTTCTTTTTGCTCGGGATGGCTTTGGCTATTCTGGATCTTTTGTGGTTCCATATGAATTTTAGGATTGTTTTTTCTATTTCTGTGAAGAATGCCATTGATATTGTGAGAAGGATTGTATTTAATTTGTATATTGCTTTGGGCAGTATGAACACTTAATAGTATTGATTCTTCCAACCCATGAACATGGCATATTTTCCATTTTTTTATGTGTGTCCTCTTCAGTTTCTTTCACCAACTTTTTATAGTTTTCATTGTAGAAATCTTTCACTTCTTTGGTTCTGATAGTTTTTTGGTGGAGTCTTTAGATATTTTTTAAATTTCAGATCATATCATCTGCAAACAAGGATAATTTGACTTTTTCCTTTTCAATTTGGATGTCATTTATTTCTTTCTCCTGTCTAATTGCTCTGTCTAGGACTTCTAGTTCTATGTTGAAAAAAAGAGGTGAAAATGAGCATCTTTTTCTTGTTTCAGATCTTAGAGGAAAGGCTTTCAGTTTCCCCATTCAGTATGATACTAGTTGTGAGTTTGTCATACATGGTTTCTATCATGTTGAATATGTTCCTTCTATACCCAATTGTTTGAGAGATTTTATCATGAAAGATATTGCATTTTATCAAATGCTTTTTTGGTATCTATGAAAAAATTTCATATGATATGAAATGATCATATGGTTTTTGTCTTCCATAGTGTTGATATGATGTACCACACTGATTGATTCGCATAGGTTGAACTATCCTTGCATCCCAGAAATAAATCCCACTTGATCATAATAAATCATCTTTTTAATGTGTTGTTGAATTTGGTTTTCTAGTATTTTGTTAGAGGTTTTTGCATCTATGCTAATCAAGGATATTGGCCTGTAGTTTTTCTTTTTTCGTTGTGTCTTTGCCTGGTTTTTGTTTTGGGGTTATACTGACTTTGTGGTATGAGTCTGGAAGTATTCCTTCCGCTTTGATTTTTTTGTAACAATTTGAGTAGAATTGGTATTAGTTCTTCTTTAAGTGTTTGGTAGAATTCAGCAGTAAAGCCATCAGGTCCTAGACTTTTCTTTGATGAAAGACTTTTATTACTGCTTTTGTCTCATTATTTGTTGCTGGTCTATTCGGCTTTTGGATTTCTTCATGGTTCTATCTTGATAGGTTATAGGTGTCTAGGAATTTATCCATTTCTTCTAGGACTTCTAATGTATTGTCATACAGTTTCTCATAACAGTCTCTAATGATCATCTGAATTTCTGTGGTATCAGTTGTAATGTCTCCCTTTTTGTCTCTTGTTTTATTTGAGTCACTCTCCTTTTTTCAGTCAGATTAAAGGTTAGTTGACTTTGTTTATCTGTTCAAGAAAACAACTTTTCCTTTCATTGATCTTTTGTGTTTTTTAAAAGTCTTAATTTCATTCTTTTCTGCTCTGATCTTTATTATTCCTACCTTCTACTAATTTGGGGTTTGGTTTGTTCTTGTCTTTCTAGTTCTTTGAGATACATTATTAGATTGTTTATTTGAAGGTTTTCTGCTTTTCTGATGTAGGATTTTATTACTTTAAATTTCTCCCTTAACACTACTTTTGATATATCCCGTAGGTTTTGGTATGTTGTGTTTCCATTTTTATTTGTTTTAAGAAATTTTAAAAAAAACTTAAAAATTTCTTTATTGATGCATTGGTCATTGAGGGGCATACTGTTTAATTTCCACGTGTTTTTATAGTTTCTAATGTTCCTCTTGTTATTGATTTCTAGTTTTATTCCATGGTGGTCAGAGAAGATACTTGATATAATTTCATTTTTCAAAAAAATTTTGAGACTTGTGTTGTGGCCCAACATATGTCATAGCCTAGAGAGTGTTCCATTACTGAAGAGAAGAATGTGTAGCTGCAGCTGTTGAATGAAATGTTCTGTAAATATATATTAGATCCACTTGATCTATAGTGCAGACCAAGTCTGACATTTTTTTGGTTGATTTTCTGTTTAGATGATCTCTCCAGTGTTGAAAGTGAGGTGTTGAAGTACCCAGCTATTACTGTATTGCAGTCTATCTATCTCTGTCTTTAGCTCTAATAACATTTGTTTTATGTATCTGGGTGTTCCAATGTTGCTTAATTTTTAAAAAATTATTTCAATCTCTTTGTTAAATTTCTCTGATACAATTCTGAATTCCTTCTCTGTGTTATCTTGAGCTTCTTTGAGCTTCCTCAGAACAGTTATTTTGAATTCCCTGTCTGAAAGGTCACAAATCTCTGTCACTCCAGGACTGGTCACTGGTGCCTTATTTAGTTCATTTGGTGAAGTCATATTTTCTTGATGTTTGTGAACATTTGTCAATCCTGGGCATTGAAGAGTTCAGTATTTATTCCAGTCTTCACAGTCTGGGCTTGTTTGTACCTATCATTCTTGAAAGGGCTTTCCACGTATTCAAAAGAGATTGAGTGTCATGATCTAAGCCTGTGGTCACTGCAGTCTTATCAGTACTAGGGGGCAGCCTAAGAGTACTGCAGACTCCTAGGTACACTGCTCTGATGGACTTGGGTAAGATAAGGAAGAATCCCTGAGCTACCAGACAAAGTCTCCAGCTCTCCTCTCTCTCTCTTTCCCCTAATCAGAAGGATATTCTCCATTATGGGCTGCCTGGAACTAGGGGAGAAGTGATGCAAGCACTCTCATGGCCTCCATAGCTGGCACTATGCTGGGTCACACCTGAAGCCAGCATAGTCCTGGGTCTTGTCCAGGGTCTCTGAATCCTACTGCTTGGCTCCACTAGGGCTGAGAGGGGGTCTATTCTTTCTTGAAGAATATGCCCACACAATACCTTGATCATACCAGGTTTCCGTTAGCAAAGAATAATATCAAACAAAACCTAAATAAAGAGTTACTCTATACTAATGCACAGGGTGTTTGTATTAGTTTCCTACTGGTGCTGTAACAAAGTACCACAATCTTAGTGACTTAAAACAACACTAATCTATATGTTACAATTATGGAGGTCAGAAATTTGAAATGGGTCAACAGGGCTGTGTTCTTTCTAGAGGCTCTAGGGGAGAATTCATTTCCTTGCCTTTTCTAGTTTCTAGAGGTTGTCTGCATTCCTTGGCAGACAAGAGAGGATCATTGCCCATATGATAATGATAGCATATTATTAATTAAATGCCATGGACCTGAGATCCTAAGAGAGAGCATGAAAGCAAGAATAGTCAAGAACGTAGGGGGTGGAAAGGAGAGAAAGAAAGAAGGCAGTCGAATATTTCTGCAACAGAGATAAGGTAAAATAAAAAAAAATTTAAAGCCGTAACCAGGAATTCAGACCACTCCCTATCTGCTGATCCAAACAGTAACTACCAGTTACATTTTCAGCAGTCGCTCAAAGGCAGATATTCAGATTCCCTCCCAATTCAACTCCCTTCCCCTACACTGGGAATTCTAAGACGTAGCGCCAGATTCCAGGTCCTAGAAAGCACTGGTTCTTGACTTAGCTATATGTTGGAATAACCTGGGAGCTTTAAAAGAAATTGATATTTAGATCCACTCTGAAAGATTGTGAATTTTAGGGCATGCTTGGGGACTTAAGCTTTTTAAAGTTCCCAGGTGATTTAAATAGGCAGCAAAGCTTAAGAACCAAATAGGCCAGAGAATGGATTTGAGAGAGAGCCCTCACTTCAAGGTCTACGTTTCTAACACTGCTTCCAACTGAAGAGGTTAAGGGGCTTCAGGGGGAGAGGATATTCTTTGTCTTTCACTCAGATTTATTTTATATTCTATCTTCTCTTTCATTCACATATTTGTTCATTCACTCACCTATGGGTCATACACTACTCCAGGCTCTTTAAATACAGGCTGTGCAACATATATACTCTCCCACCTCCTCTTCCTAGAAGGAGACTAGACATGAAACAATATCTCACAAATAACCATAAAATTACAAAGTAGTATTCAAAGCAATTCTTTTTGAATATAGTCAAAATACTTTTTAAAAAAGCAAAAATCTGGGTTAAAGTTGATTGTGAGATGACAAAAGAAAACCATGCCTTAAAGTAATAATAGCAGGTAATACCTAGAATGTTGTTTATTGCTTATTGTCAACATTATAAGAGATACCTACACTGGTAGACTGGTAAATGTTAACAAGCAGCTCTCCAAGTTAAAAAGACCTTGCTTTGTAATGTTAGCTAATTTTTCTGATGTAAATACTCCTGACAGAGCCAATTTCAAAACTACCAACACAATATCAATGAATGTGGAGTTCAGAAGAGATGTACACAATCAGCTCTCATGGGCTGGTACAAACTAGCACAAGCATACCATTGGCTATCTGATAATGTTCAAATAAATGATAACTGAAAAGAATTCCAACTTCCATACATATTTTATTTATTAATTTTTGTTTTGTTTTCTCTTCTATTATTTCTTTGTTTCTGAATCATTTTCTTTATTCTTAACAGAATAGTTGGGGGAAGGGAAGTTTGTGTTTTATAGATGACTCATCTTTCATCTCTTTCCCTGCACTGCTCTCATAAACTTGTGGTGTTTTGCAACAGCATGAAATTGCCTCTTTACTCTTTCCTGCTCTATCTCTTCTTTTGTCCTTATTTATGACATAAGCTTGCCAGAAATGTCCTTGATCATGGCTGAGCCACACTGATCACAATGTTCTAAGTTATAAAACTAATTTCCACTGTAGGAACATTTCTTGAGCAGTTACCATGTGCTAGGTACTGATCTAATAAGCATTAACACCATCAACTCATAGACTGTCTTGACAACACTAAAAGATAGGTGATATTATTATTTCTGCTTGTATGAGGGATAAATGAGGAATAAAGTAACTTGTCCAGGGTCATGTGTATATCCAGTAAGGGATGAAGACAAATAGTCTGGCTCCAGAGTCTGTGTTTGTAACCACTATGGAAATGCATCCCCCAAATCCCAGGTTTTCCACAATTAGTGTAGAGAATAGGCCTTACAAAGGAAGTAAGTATTCAAGGTGTTTCAATGGTTTGGAAGCACCAATATGACCTCTTTTAAATTGCTTCATTACCTGCCAGATTAATAGAACTCTATTCTCTACCTATACATATGTTTAGGTTTGGAAGACAGCTGATGTGATGGTTAATACTGTCAACTTGATTGGATTGAAGGATGCAAAGTACTCTCCCTGGGTGTCTTTGTGAGGGTGTTGCCAAAAGGGATTAACATTTGAGTCAGTGGACTGGAAAAGGCAGACCCACCTTTAATCTGGTGGGCACAATCTAATCAGCTGCCAGTGAATATAAAGCAGGCAGAAAAAACTTGAAAAGGCGAGACTGGCCCAGTCTCCCAGCCTGCATCTTTCTCCCATGCTGGAAGCTTCCTGCCTTTGAACATCAGACTCCAAGTCCTTCAGTTTTGAGACTCGGACTGGCTCTCCTTGCTCCTCAAGCTTGCAGACAGCCTATTGTGAGACCTTGTGATTGTGTAAGTTAATACTTAGTAAACTCATATATATATGTGTGTGTGTGTATATATATGTGTATATATATATATGTGTGTGTATATATGTGTGTATATATGTGTGTATGTGTGTGTGTGTATATATGTGTGTGTATATATATATTTGTGTGTATATATGGGAGTGTATATATATATATAGGAGTGTGTGTGTGTATATGTGTGTGTGTATGTGTGTGTGTGTATATATATATCTCTCTCCTATTAGTTCTGTTCCTCTAGGGAACCCTGACTAATACGGCTTATTATCACCATTTTCCTTCTTTTCTATATCTCATCTCTGTAACTTGCATGTGACCCTGCTCCTTTCCCACCTCGTTTTTCTAAACACTATTATTTTTTTCAGATCTTATTGGGGTAACATTTCTCAAACATTTTTTGAGCAACAGAGTTCCTCTATTATGAGTTAGTAATCTCTGCACATAACACAGTCCAAAATTAAAATTTATTGTGTACAATGAGTACACGACAAATTTGCTTTCAGTAACTGTGTTTACTACAGTAACAAAAACAGTCAGAGAGCTATGTAGCCCTAGGCAGAAATCATATATAAGATGATAGTGATTCTGCTCTGTCACCACTTACACCTTTCAGTGTAATCTAATGTAAAATGGTTTGCCTTTGTCATAGGCTCACCTACATACAGACATTACAAGATGGATAAAAACTTAGTACTTTCTTAGAAGCTAACCACAGGTAAATCATTTTTTCATTTAGTTGTGTTCCTTATAAATTGCAAACACCGATTCTTCCAGTTTAGTATCCCAATTCTGAGAGCTGGCTAGAACAAAGCATTATCACTTCGATGGACCAGGATTATGATACTGCTGAGTTCTGATGGGTTTAATTTTTTTTTAGGTCAACTGTGCTTGCCTGGTTCCCCTGGGTAGCCTGACTCCCCTGATAGTAGTGGTTTTGACCATGATCATCTCACACACACACGTATCCAAAATTTTTACTACAGTAATGCTCTTTGATATTTTCTATTCCACTGTATTTCCATTTTGTAAAACTGCTAATATTGACTCACCAAATGACTTCATGACTCATTCATGGGTTGCAACTCTTACTTTGAAATTCACTGCCTCAGTAGTGTTGCCTCTGCTGCAAAATGAAGCTCAAACTCCTTAACACAGCACTAGAAAGTTCTTCAGAATCTGCATCTTCCCTTTCTTTCCAACTTCATTTCTCACCACATCCCCTCTGAATGCCAAACTCCAGGCATACAGAACTATTCACATTTTCCAAAAAGCTTGTTGTCTCTCCCCAAGCACCTTCCACAACATACACTGTGTGCTGTTCGCCCTTGCATCCCTAGTTCAACATAGTGCCTAGCATGTGTTAGGCATTTAATAAATGTTAGTTAAATGAGCAAGTGAATGAGGAAATGAACAAATGACAAAAATGCTATGAAAATCTATTCAGAAGAATGTACTGTTACAATAATATCTCACAGATTTAACTCTGAAAATCCAGCCACACGCTACAGAAACGAGAAAAAGCACTCAATTTCCCTAATTATAATTAGAGAAATTTGTAATTTCTGGAAACCAGGATAAATAGTTTCACAAAGACCATATTTACTTTGAGGAAAATTTCACTCATTCAATTTGAATCAGATGGATCCAGTCTTCAATAGATAAAGCAGACAAGTAAAAGTGATAGTGTATTACATTCTGCACCCTCCTTGGTATAATGATGATGTGGAAGTTAAGCTTTACTAGCATAGAGTCCTGATTACTGTAGCAACTACTTCTATGATATTATAGATAATCAGAGAGAGATACGCAGCCATGGTCTATTTGCTAATAAAAAGTGCTCAGTGGTGGCCTACCACTACTGGCCAAAATAATCTATCCCGTGTTCCTCAGAAGCAAAAGTGGAACACAGCAATGATATATTTTAGGCCACTAGGTCTCAAACTTTATTGAACATATGGACCACTTAGGGAATTTTGTTAAAATGCAGATTTTGATTCAGTAGGTATGTGATGAGGCCTGAGACGATTCTGAAAAAGTTCCAGGTGATGCTGATGCTGCGTGTCCATGGACCAGGCTTTAAACAGCACGAAAAGTTCACAATAGATTGAAGAATTCCTGTTGCTCCTAAGGAACAATATTTCCCAGACTAAAATATTTTTTTCACGAGGTAACTAGGCCGCAAGTTTGTAGTATGACAACTTGACCTAATGACATGTAGTGCTGGAAGCAAAACAATTTAATAAAAGGAACGGCCTCTTCCTTCCTTTGCCCACTCCCAACACTGCTCCTGTTCCCTTTTCAAATTACAAAGAACCAGTACTATTTATTCTAAAATAAGATATCTTCCAGTTGCCAGTGAAGCAACCACTTTTTATTTACCTCCATATAAGGAACTTTTTAAAAACAATAACTGCAATTGTCTGCAATATTCTATATTGCTGCTACCCAGAGCTAAAACATGTTGAAAGATGTGTGAAAGCCATGCAGAGCCCACACAGCTCAGTATATAATTCTGGCTCATCAGCCTCTCACCTAATGATTTTTGTTAGAGATTTTCTTAAGGTTTTTTAATGAAAGATAAGGAAATCCCATTCTCACAGAGTCAGCTTCCCATCTGTCAGTAACATCTGTAAATCAAGATTTTCTGACCATAATAGAACAATATGGCTGGTTTTCTTTTAGTTCTCTTTCTTTTTTAAAAGCATTTTTTTTTCTATGTACCTTTATCCAGGAAGAGGGGAAAAAGTGGGGAGAGGAGACAATGTATGCAGCTGCTTTCACTATAAAGTCTTTCTTTGGCATGTTGACGTAAGAAAGGCAAAATCCCAGCAAGTTATTTTCTGGACATCAACAAACTGATTCTAAAGTTTATATGGAGAGGCAAAAGACCAGGAATAACTAACACAAAATTGAAAAAGAAAAATAAAGTTGGAAGGCTGACACTACCCAAATTCAGACTTATTTTAAAGCTACGTTAATCAAGATAGTGTGGTATTGGGGAAAGAACAGATGAATAGATCAATAGAATAGAATAGAGAGCTCAGCAATCACATAAATATAATAAACTAATCTTTGACAAAGGAGCAAGACAAGAAAATGGAGAAAAGATAGCCTTTTCAACAAATGGCACTGAAACAACTGGACTTCCACAGGAAAAATAAAAGAATCTAGACACTACGAGAAAGACCACTTAAAAAGAAGTCTGCCTAGGATAAAAGCAAATCCAATTTAGATAACTAACCATACTTATCTGACATGAAATACCCATTATTGTTATTGAAATAAACTTGTAAATATATCATGCAGAGCTGTTCTTTCAAAAACTTCAGGCTTTCATAGATAAATGTAAAAGAAACAATTTAACCTCTCTGGAGTCCATGCAAGCCTAGCACATTTTGCATCCTCCAGAGATTTCTTAAAGAAGGAGCCAAAACTAGGCCGGGCAGAGTGGCTCATGCCTGTAATCCCAGCCCTTTGGGAGGCCAAGGTGGGCAGATCACAATGTTCAAGACCAACCTGGCCAACATGGTGAAACCCCGTCTCTACTAAAGATACAAAAAATTAGTTGGGCGTGGTGGCGCACACCTGTAATCACAACTACTCAGGAGGCTGAGGCAGGAGAATCACTTGAACCTGGGAGATGGAGGTTGCAGTGAGCAGAGGTCGCGCCATTGCACTCCAGCCTGGGCAACAGAGTGAGACTTCCTCCATCTCATAATAAATAAATAAAGAAAGAAGGAACCAAAACTATATAACCCTTCACATGTCAATCATGCTGGCCTAAAGCACTGCCCTTCCTTACCAACCCTGCTGAAGCAGAGG
This sequence comes from Homo sapiens, assembly GCF_000001405.40. Classification (NCBI taxonomy): domain Eukaryota; kingdom Metazoa; phylum Chordata; class Mammalia; order Primates; family Hominidae; genus Homo; species Homo sapiens. Next base: position 121,363,438 of record NC_000004.12, read on the forward strand.
TCTCATGTGCATCACATGAACCATCATTGCTACAAAATAGCCTTGCCATAATTCTAATTATTTTAGGTTCCCCCAGCCCTTTTCCAATTGAACCATACTGGACCCCAAATCTAGGCCAACAAGGTTCCTTCTTTCTCTTTGGAAAAAGAATAAGGAAATACAATGAAGGTAGAGTTAGGAAATGAATTTAAAAGGATATATAGAAAAGCCATATGGTAAGAGTAAGAGTGAGGGGCCACAGGGACTATGAGAAAGTAGAAAACCTGAAGACAAGTTAGTATAACAGGGCTAAAATTTATTAATGTATGAGTTTTCCTAGCTTCTTTCTCTCTTCCACCCTTCACTCTTTCACTAAGAGAAAGCCTTGCTGAATATTTCCCTGTACTGGCCATTTAATTATCCAGATTGTGGGGAATATCAGGATGGGATAGTTGCATGAATAAGACTGAATTGAAGGAGAAAGAGAGAGAGGCAGAACAGAAATAAAGGGAATGGTGAAGAAGGGAAAAAGAAAAGCCTGCACTGGAGTGGAGAAAAGCAACCAGACAGCGAGAAAGTCTAAATGATAACTGGCTGAAGTTATCATTTTCATAATCAAGTCATAATCAAGTCAAGGAACATTCAGCTGGGGTCAGACTGGGAACTTGCCACAAAAGGGTTGAGGGAGCTTGAGGTCCTGCGTTACAAGGGCAGGAATCAGTAGGATGGCTCTGTATGAATACGGGTGTGGTAACATCATGCCTACAGTCCAGGGTGGCCTGGAAAAACACTCTACAATTGGGCATGTCTTTCAAAGCATGAGCCTTGCAAAGCATGAAAGAGTTTTGTGGAATGTTACCGAATGTAACAGAAAAAACTTGAATGGAATGAGAGAAAGGGGTTCTAAGGCATGTTAATTGAAATGTCTAAAAACTTTTGGCTGGGCATGGTGGCTCACGCCTGTAATCCCAGCACTTTGGGAGGCCGAGGCGGGTGGATCACAAGGTCAGGAGATCGAGACTATCTTAGCTAACATGGTGAACCCCTGTCTCTACTAAAAATACAAAAACAAAATTAGCCAGGCATGGTGGCGGGTGCCTATAGTCCCAGCTACTCTGGAAGCTGAGGCAGGAGAATGGTGTGAACCTGGGAGGCGGAGCTTGCTGTGAGCCGAGATTGCGCCACTGCACTCCAGCCTGGGCCACAGAGCGAGACTCCATCTTAAAAAAAAAAAGAAAAGAAAAAAGAAAAAGAAAACTTTTTGAAATATGTAATTAAAGATTAAAATTATTTTACGTTAGTGCTGGTCACTGGACTAAATTTCTTTGAGTTTGACACTGTACCTAGCCTGGTCTTTCTGGAGTACTAGGATGTATTCAGCCTACAAGAGTAAAGGGAAAGGTAGAGGATATGAGATAGTAAAAACATAGAATAAACCAAAAGATTAACCACCATAGCAGTAAAAAGCAATTCGATTTAATAAGCAGGTCTTTGTTTACTACTGGAGAGAAGTAGAGTCACATTCATGGCCCAGCCCTGGAGATTCAGGAATTCTTTATGCTGAGCTCCATACAGCTGTTTTTTGGGGTTCCATTTAAGTCTCCATGAGACCTACTAGTTACTGTCTTTAAATTTAAAAGAGATCCCTCTCTTCATCATTGCTACAAAATAGCCTTCCCATAATTCTAATTATTTTAAGTAAGTTGAATCTTTTTTCTTGCAAAACTACAATATTCACAAAAGATAAATACAATCTCATCCTTATACACAACACAAAAAAGGAATATAACTGATTCCTAAAAAGCTGTGGGCGGATCATGAGGTCAGGAGATCGAGACTATCCTGGCTAACACAGTGAAACCTCGTCTCTGCTAAAAATACAAAAAAATTGGCTAAGCATGGTGGCAGGCGCCTGTAGTCCCAGCTACTCGGGAGGCTGAGGCAGGAGAATGGTGTGAACCTGGGAGGCAGAGCTTTTAGTGAGCCGAGATCACGCCACCGCACTCCAGCCTGGGCAACAGAGCGAGACTCCATCTCAAAAATAATAATAAATAAATTAATTAATTAATTAAATTATATATATAATATATATAATATATATTATATATATTATATATAATATATATTATATATAATATATAATATATATTATATATAATATATATTATATATATTATATATATATAATATATATATTATATATATTATATATTATATATATATTTTATATATTATATATTATATATATTTTATATATTATATATATATATAAAACTAGTGTCATCTCTTTCCCAGAAATCACTGTTTGGATCAGGTTCATATTGACACTTAGATTTTGATCCAGTAAAATTCATCGTAATAAGAATAAATCCTTTATTGTTTGTAGACATTACAGTAAAGAATTTTTTTAAAACCAAGCATGTAGTTTTATCTGTAGAATAGCTTCATGGTTACTTTTACACTTGAGCCAATACAGACTTCTATGAATATGTATATATATTAGGGGCCTCTGCATTAGTAGACTTGCGGGCTGGGTTACTTATAGTCAGTGTGCAAGAGTCAATTTTCACAAAGATCTATGAGGAAAAGATCATGGCAGACTTTCACTACAAAAATTTGTCTTCCAGGTCTCAAACTAGTACCTGAGTTCGAGGGGTGGAACTGCTGAAGGCACCCCTGCACAAACAGGGCCAAAGCAGGTGGTGAAGCATAATTCACTGCAGAAAGTGAAATTCTTCCCCGTCAGTATAACCAGTGTGGTTAAAAACCCAACACTGAAGCAGACTGGTTGGGTCAAAGCCTGGCACCAGTATTTCCAGTCTATATGAGCTTGGGCATTTTACTTACTATAAAAAATTAAGATTTTTTTTTAAAGGCTACAAATTCCATTACTTTCTGTGAGCTCTCTAAAACATGATTTTGCCACTTGTCACATCAAGTGGAGGAATCTGTTTCCCTATTCTTTGAATCTGGGCCAGTGATGTGACTTGCTTTATCACAGAAGTAACATTTGTGTGACATTCAATCCTAGGTCTTGAAAGATTCTGGTGCTTCTATTCTCTCTCTCTCTTTCAGAATATGGTGCCTCCACACAAAGAATTCTGGGTATCCAACCGAAAGAGGAAACCATGTGGGACAGGGATGGCCTGGCCCTTGCTGAGGTCACCAGTTAAAACAATGAGCCCCTATGAGGTCACCAGATAGATGTAGCACTGAGAGTGAACAAAGTGAGACTAGCAGAAGAACCATCCAGATGAGCCAACCTGAAATTGCTGACCTGTAGAATCATGAATGATTCTTTAATCACCTAAATTTTTTGTGATTTGCTGTGCAGAATAGCTAATTAATACACTAACACCTCTCTGAGCCTCCATTTTCTCATCTGTAAAATGAGGATAATATTATATTTGGCACATAGTAAGCTCTATGTTAAGACTTTGGTATCCATTTTCATATTATTATTTCCACTTCTCTGCAGTGCATAGCAAGGCTCTAGTGCCCAGGATTGCCCAGATCTCAGCAAGTCTGCACCAGCATCACAGGAAAGTCAAAGGACAATATTCATACACCTGACATCATTGTTTCACGGTCACTCTCACCCTGGTGTCCAAATTGAGGTGCCGTCATGTACCTCTTTAGGCTATGAACTAAACAGCAAGAATGTCAACAAGATAACTGGCTGCACATGTCCATTATCAAGGGAGGTTCCGCTGGGGTGGGATAGGGAGTCAGGCACACAGGGGTTGAGAAAAGTTGTCTTAAATTACGAGACAGAGGCAGGGGACAGTGGGACCGCTTCCTAGGAACATTGGTGTTGCAACATTGTGCCCACAGTCTGGGTGGCCTGGAAAGACACATGAGCCTTGAAAGGAACTACAAAATCAGCTTCAGTCCCAACAAATTTTTTTTAACACCACTTTATCCTCCTCTAGAGATGTATTATTGCTTCTGAAATAAATGAAAGCAGCACCCTTTTCTGTTTTCTGAGTACAAATGATTAGTTTGAATCCTCATAGTTTGAGCATAAAAGTAATTCTTTTCATGTAAATTGTATTTATGTGAAATAACTACTTCATTGTATTTTATCATAAATAAACTATAATGGACCTGGTTTTTACAGTTGCTTTGTAAAAGTACACACCAAATATATTTGAGATATTACTAACAGTGCAACAAGTTTTTAAAAAGTTCTCTAATGTCCTTATTGTCTCTAAAATTATTCTACACACAAATGTAGCTAACACTTTAAGTAGCAGAACTTCGAATATGTGAACAACAATTATAGTTTCCTTTCTTTGGATACCCTCTAGGTGCCTGGTCCTTTTGACACCTGGGGTCATTCATTGTCACAGCAACACTGTAAGGTGGGAATAAGTTTTCCTAAGTTTACATATTAGGACACCAAAGCAAAGAGAAATTAATACCACAGTCAAACATTATCTTTGCCAACCTACAACATTTGCAGATTTTTTTTTTTTGGAGAAAGTAGTAAGGATTTTTATTGTCAAAACAAGAGATCACAATAGAAGACACAAATAAATTAATTCTTATAATTTTAGACTCCAGGGCCTCTCTATGGAAAGGCCAGCTTCTTACACAGACAAGGTACTATCCAAAACAAAAAATTGGGTATTTGAGACAGTATTCAAGACAAAAACTGAACTTGTACACAGTGAGGAGAAATAAAAAAGTGGTTTCCCTATTTCCCTCCCTCAGTAAGGTTATGTATTGCATAAAGGGATGAGGCTCATTTTGGTGAAAAATGCTTTCATACAGAAAATTTTGAATTCATTCTCCTCCTCCCACAGACGTTCCAGGCCCTGACCTGAACAAGGAAATCAAAATAAGGTAACACCACTGGCTCCACATAAACCTCAAGACTATAATCTAACTGTACCTACCATCTCCTTTACTTTAAAAAAGTTTAAGTCCATTTACCTATACCAAGTCAGTAGACTGAATTTTCTCTCTTAGGAAGCTTTTAACCAAATTGCAGCTAAATTAATCTCACTTTAAAGTGCAAGAAAGGCTCTGCTAGACTAGTGTTTGTTCTGTGGCATAGAAAGAGAAGCATGCCTCCCCTGGCACTGGCCTAAGAGGCCCCACATGAAGAACTGGTTGCAGGACAGTGATCCATTAGGTCTACCAAAAAGCAGGGGGACTCAAGGTTCAGCCTAGAAACAGGGGTCCCTGCCAAGTCTGGTTTTACCTATACCCAGGTCCCAAACAAATCTTGGGTCCCCTTACTGATAAGGCTGGAGCACAGCACCAGCCATCAACAGGGCCAGAGTCGTCTCAGCCAGTCAGTGAGCACCTCTACGCCATGATTTGTCAATGCTCACATGGATAGTGGTAAGGAATCAAGAAGCCTGGGTTTTGGAACAGCACAAACATTCTTTACCTAGTAAGCAGTGATTGAAGTTCTTACCTAGGGTAAATGATGAAAAAATAGGTAATGAGGTCCCCATACACCACTGCTGAGAATATTTAGTCTAACTTTAAAGCAGTACAAAATGGCTTCTTCCACACAACAGGGGCAAGCTTTGTATCAATATTTCTCAAAAACCAATTGTATCTCCAGCTCTAGCCTCAATTTAACAGGTTTTTTACTTTATTTATTTATTTATTTAGAGACGGAGTCTCACTCTGTCGCCCAGGCTGGAGTGTAATGGCGTGATCTCGGCTCACTGCAACCTCTGCCTCTTGGGTTCAGGCAATTCTCCTGCCTCAGCCTCCCAAGTAGCTGGGACTATAGGCACCCACCACCATGCCCGGCTAATTTTTGTATTTTTAGTAGAGACAGGGTTTCATTGTGTTGGCCAGGCTGGTCTTTAACTCCTGACCTCAGGTGATCCACCTAACTTGGCCTCCCAAAGTGTTGGGATTACAGGCGTGAGCCACTGTGCCCAGCTGATTAAGTTTTTAAATATACCTTTCCTATGTCAAAGCCAAGATAAAAGGGCAGTGGAGTGCAAGAAACCTTCTTTACCAGAATCCCTGGAAAGAAAGGGCTCTAGAAGCCAGTGGGTGTGAGCACATTCAAGTCACGGGGTTTGAGATTATGTGCCCGTGGTGGCTGTTTCCTCCCTTCCGTCACTGGGAAGTCCATCTTGGGTGGCTTCAAGGCTGCTGGATCTTCAGCCATTCGGTTGGCCTGGGCACGGATCAGTTCCATTGGAGAGGGCTTCTGGGCTCCTCGGTAGGCCTGGGTGGCAAAACTTCCAGAATCATACTTCTGAAGGGATCTCAGTCCAAAGAGGCCCCACTTATCTGACAAGTTTCTGTCCTTATCCCCACTTCCAGAGTCCATGGTGCTAGGATTTGGGCCAGGTAAGGCTGTGGAAGAACCAGAAGTGAACCAGCCCCTGGGTCTCTGCTTAGGTGAAAAGTGAGAAGTGGTGCTTGGGGTGGACAGGGCTGATGCAGGTGGCCTCTCTTCTTTTGTTATCTCTCCACTCTGCAGCTTTAGTTTGTGGAGTGCTTCTGCTACTCTAAGGTACTTGGTCTTCTGAGTGGTGACACCCTTGTGGGTGTGTAGCCAGGATCTCTCAGCCCTGCCTGTTGCCCAAAATGCTGAAAGCTTTCCTGGGTCTGTTTTGTGATCACATAATTCATGACGACATGGGTAGCTTTAGCCTTCACCACTGGGAGCTTGTCCACACTGTCAATGGCCGATGACAGGGACTGGCAGGGGAGGGTAGACTGGCCTCTCCTTCCTCCACCTTGGTGAGGTGCTGATACTTGTGCTCTGAAATCACTGGCTTCCAAGGGATGCTGCCCATGTCTGATGGAGGAGGAGTCATGGGTGCAGGGTCCTTGAGGGTATCATCATAGCTGAGTGCCCGGCGGTATATCCTGAAGGGCAGGGACATCTTGCCTAGAGGCCCACTAGCCTCAAGAGCAGGCACTTCTGGTTGTCTTGAAGCCATTGAAAGGCTGAGATCCAGGTGTTTTTTCTATATAGAATCCCTGCCACCACGGTGAAATGATGTGACGACTAAGCTGACAGATGGATGTTAATGAGGAACATGGTCCAGCTGCTGCAAATTAGCAAAACTTCCCAGGAAGAGTCCATCCAGAGGTTCTGCTATCCTGCTGCCGCGGGACTGCCTGTGGCCGGGAGTCCGGCACTAAAAAGATTCCAAGGGCCTACATCCCCAAGAGGCTGTGGCGCATCTGGACCCAAGCCATGGTGAGAGTGGCAGTGACTTCAAAGGTCTCCAGGACTCACTAGGCAACACTACCCGACGTTTACAGATTTTAAATGCATCTCAATCCCACAGGAAATTTTTTTAAAACGTTAACATATTTTCATACATGTATTAAAGGGGACTTTAAAATGAGATTGCATAAATGAAAATATGTAAATACTATATGCTTCATAGAGAAATCAAATGGGAAGTAAGAAGAACTAGATATGCATTATATGCATTAATATTTTTGTGAAAATAAAGCTTGATCTAAAACCTGTATCTTTGTCATATTTTCTGCCACCACATCAACCACTGGGGGGCAGCATCAAACATTATTTTATAACTTCTCTCCTTGGTCTTCTAATAGGGGAAGCTTTAATGCCAGGCCATGTAACTTATAATCTAGTTAATACAAACACTAATAAAGGATGGAACAGGATTAGAACCCAATATTGTTTGATTCCACAATCCATGTTTGTTTTCACAGCATCTAACTGTTTCTCTATCCTTCTATTTCTCCCAGGATGTAGGAACATGCTGTCTTTTAAGATTTCTATTACCCTGAATAGCCTACAATCTCTCTGATATGACAGTAAATGTGTTTCTCCAAAACCAAGCTACAGGTAGGACTAATTTAGTTTTGCAAAGACAGATAAAAACAATAAGCACTTACTTAATTACTTCGGAATTCATCCTTAAGAATCTTTAGTTTTAAGGCATAAAATGAAACAAATAGTATAGCTTCTGCTGAATTTTTCTTAAAGGCACAGACTGAGAGGGAACTGCCAATATCAACTTCTAGAACCCCGTTCACTGACCTTTCAATAATTCCTTAGCAGAGGGAGAAGGCATATGTCCACTACTAGAAGGAATTGGCAGCCTGGAAGTTGGTCCACTGGGGAGTATATATCAATAAATGAGATGGGAGCAGCAGAGGGAGATCCCAGCACTCCATCCCAGACCAGGAAAGGCAGACAAGGAAGAGCCACTCAGAACTCTGGTTCAGCTTGGTCCTGAGAAACCTAGTGCAGGGCTTGGCCTTATGGGAAGACATATGATCGGGGAGCTTTAGTCCCTGTAAGTTGACTCACTCCACTAGACATAAATGGCCAACTCTGCTAAACATATCTACCCTGAGTACCTTCCTATGGAAGAACTTCATGCTAAGCAGTCAAGCCTTTCCAAGGGGCTTAGTGGCTAACAGGGTCCCAAGTGTCACTACTACAGTTGTTAGCTTGTCACACTTCCATTGATTCAGTTAGTAAGGAGACAATGAGCATCAATGGATTCAGGAAGTTTATTACTTGCACAGATGCCAAAGGCAAGATCAACACAGGAAGACACTGAGCCTTGAAGAGCAAGATGACTGACAGTATGGGCAATGGGTTGCCCTGCTGGGGAGGAGCAACCCTTAAACCACGGCCAAGAAATTGTACAGACTTACACAAAAGACTGTAGCTGAACCTTAAGTGGGAGCAAGGTGGGGAGAAAGGAGGGAAGTCTTACACTCAACGGAAACCAAACGGGAGATAGATAAGAGAAGGTCAGTCTCCCACAAGACAGGGATAAGAAACTGCCTCACAGTGGCTCCTCAATAGGCTTTTCTTCCTGCTGTAGGGGGTATCTCTGGGTGTTTGAATAGGAGTGACGATGGCGCTCCCTGAGGTGCGTGATTAGTTCTATGGGTAAGACAGCAAGGCCAAACTGGCTAGAATCCTTCCAGAATTTTCTGCAACTACCGGGAAGTATTCTCTCTCATTTCCTGAGATAAAAAGTTTTATTTTTTGTTCTAGAATTTTTTATTGTGGTAGAATATATCTAACATAAAATTTATGATTTTAGCCATTTTTAAGTGTATGATTCAGTGGCATTAATCACATTCACAGTGTCGTGCAATGAACACCACTATCTGTTTCAAAAACTTTTTCATAACCCCAAACAGAAATCTAAGCATTAAGCAATAACTCCCCACTCTGCCCTCCCCATAGCCCCTGGTAACATTAGTACCTTTTCTGTCTCTATGACTTTGCTTATTCTAAATAGTTCATGTAAGTAGAATCACACAACATTTGTCCTCTTGTGTCTGGCTTATTTAACTGAGCATAATGCTTTCAAAGTTCATCCATGTTGTAGTAAGTATCAGAACTTCATTCCCTTTCATGCCTGAGTGATATTCCACTGTGTGTATACACAGCATATTTTGTATATCCATTTGTCCATCGATGGACACTTGGTTTGAGACAGGGAGTTTTAAAGAAAATGTAAGCTTATAGCTCCTGGGGTCATCTTTCACACTTGGGCAAAAGACAGCTCTAGAATGAAACCACAACACAGAGGGAAGTGGAGCTGGCCGCCGAGGGGGAGGATGATCACTGTTGAAGACCTTAATCCAGTTATGCCTAAAACCAGCCCTAACTCTGACCTTTTCAGTTGCAGAGGTAGAATATTCCCTTTTTTTTCTTAAGGTAATTTAAGTTGGGCTTCTCTTCCCACAAACAAGAATCCTAATAAATCAACAACTTATCAAAGAATAGTTATGTTTTAGAAAAGCAAACTAAAAGGGAATTCATTTTATGCCTCCTAAGTGCACAGTGAAATATTTAAAACTTTCTTACTGCTAAATCCTTGTCATTATTTTAAATGTAAACTGTTCTTGTCCTAAGTAGAGAGAATCTTTTACATAAATGCTGTTGCTGTTACTGCCACTCTCTCACCTACCAAAAAAATTTAGTGACCTACAGCATCTTTTCTTCTCAAAGTGTGCACGTAATTGATTCTAGGAAAGATCAACCAGAGGCTGTCCACAGCATAATTCCTGACTTTATTTCCAAACTACTGTTGCTGTTGGACCTCTGTTTAATTTACATCTTTTTTAATACTTCCTTATTTTAAAAAGACTATTCTTCATCAATAGCTTTTATCATTTCTGTTGACTTTTTAAGCCCCACAATACTGTTGATTTTACACCAATCTTACCATATGTAAATTTCCCCAAGAACTCTAAAATTTCTGAAATATCATAGAAAAAAATTATATAACACATGTAACTGATGTTTTCTAGTCACTGATTGAATAATAAAATGGGACCGAAGAAGTTCCAGGTTAAGCTCTCTGTTCTGAATTGGCCCTCAAAATTAAGATCTTTTCACTAAATGAAGTTCAACAACCTCCTTTAATTCATTTCACAATGTATCAGCTCTCAATCTCTAAAAACACACCCTAACATTTCATGTTGTGTACAGTGAGTGCTTTCTTTCTCTCCCTCCTTTCCTTCCAGTTAAATCCTTTCATTTTTCATATAAAGTCATGCAAAATTCTAATTCTTAAAAAGAGAGACAGGAGCTGTTATAATGAAGCTTGGAGCTTCGCCTACTACCATTCTGTTACCCGCCCACATCCGCTGTGGCCCTGGGCAAAATAGACTGAAAAACCTTTGTGGTGAGGTGTGCTAATTTATAACTAAAGTTCTATTCTCCAGGCAAGAGAATAATTCTTCTTATATTTCTTTGTATGTCTTATATTCCAATCTTTTCACCATTTTTGAATCCTTTCCAAATTCATCTTGAAAGACTCTAAAAACGTTAAGGGCTTTAGTAAAGACGCAATAGGCTGCAGAAAACGGAAGAATTGCCTCTGAGCTCCTTGTTGGACTCCAGTTAATATAATCTACTTTTGCATTTTCTAAGCATTCTGACTGCCATTGCTATTTTTTAAATATATAATAGCTATATTGAGCTGGTACATGGGGTAGGCACTATACTTTTTTAAAAAGTGTTTACATCTATTATTTCTTTTAATCTTCATATCAGCCTGAGTCCTGGAGCTGTCAGCATTTACACTACATCAATGATTTTAAATCTTGGCTGCAAATTATAACTTTTCTAACTTGGGGAACTCCTGGTGCTGTCAGCATTTACACTACATCAGTGGCTTTCAACTTTGGCTGCAAATTATAACTTTTCTAACTTTGGGAACTTTTGAAAACTCCATACCAATTATAATCAGACCAATTAAATCAGAATCTCCAGGGGTAGGAACCAGGCATCTGTGTTTTAAAAAACTCCCAGATGATTTACTACATGTTGCCAAGATTGAGCATTACCACTCTAAGAGGAATTCTCATATCAGCTGCTGAGAAAATTAATTTTCTGTGTTTTCTTACCCTAATACTCTTCAAAGATAGTAAAAGTGCATGAATGTGTACTTCCCCCAACGATGCTGCCATTACTTAGAATATATTTCAAACTCCTTTTTTTTGGAATTGCTTTTAGTCAATTTGCCAGCCACTGCTAGAAAATTCTTTTCACTGCCCACGGCAGGATTTGGGGGAGTGCTGCAGAGCTGTGTGTGCACCTGAGGAGACCATCCTCCCTCTGGCTGTGCCGGAATCCACAGCAGGATGAAAGTGGATACAGAACCCAGCAGGATCCTAGCAAGGCCACTACTCCAGGCACACCCCAAACACTCCCCATTTCATCTTCTTAATGCTTAGAGTCATAAAGCAGGCTAGCATTAGAACTGATTTTCTGTCTCCTCCTGGGAAGTGTTCAGAATTAACATTCCTATGCCTTAAGTTTTCATTTACCTCAGCTACCACGAGTCCCATTCTCTCCCAGCCTATCCCTCAACTTTGGACTCAAACCCATCAGACTGTGAACATCCCCTAATCTGATTCAAGCTCCCTACTCCTCAATACTTGCACTGTGTGCTCTGGAACCCTGACATCTACAAAATGCCCTGCATTCTCCATTACTTCTTTGAATGCTTCCTCCCCCTTCTTAGTCTAATGGAAACTTGGCTTTTCCACAGAAACACAGCTTTCTCAATACCTGCAATATCCCAGTGCACACAGGAAATACCCAAGAAATGCTGAATACAGGAATGACTCATAGTGCCATTAATAATACTTTAGACTTTGGGCAGAGGAACAAGATACCATGAGAGAATGAGAGATGCTGGTAATATATTCATGTGTAAGTGCCAAGTCTTCAGATCAGGTGAAAGACCATGGCTTATGATATTGATTAGATACTATTTCAGAACCATCAGCAAAGAAGTGAGAGTCATGACTATAGCCTCTATGCAGAAATTGATGATGAAAGAAAAGAGGTTGCATGCTAAGCTTCAGTGGACACTTACTCGCAAAATAAGAGAAAGATTGAGAACTCTCAAAAGGCAGAAAATACAGAGATAGGGACATAAAGGAAACAAAGAGGCAAAAAAAGACTAGTTCATGGAAACTTAGAGAAGAGAGTGGTGTTCTGCAGCACTGGTCACAAGCAAAATCAGTTCTGTATTTAGCTGGAAGAAACAGAACATGTTCAGTGAGTGAATTTGGAGGAGCATTTGGACATTGTGAAGAAAAAGATAAAAAGGAGGAAAAAACAAAACAAAATGAGGAGGAACAGGCTGCAGATAAGGACAGGTAAATTTGGTGGCCCTAAGGAGGCAATGGACAAATCCACTTCTGCAGTCTAGCCCAGTAAATCAGAGAAGAGAACAGAGACAAAACTTTCCTAAAGGAAAGGGCCATGGCAGAGCAACTCCACCCTCATATGAGTAACAAAAAACTCATAAACATGTGCCATTTATAATATTTGGGTGCAGAGAATCGCCACTTCTGCTAGCTCCATGTTGGAAGGAGTCCTGGGGAGTAGAGAGTGAGTCAACTGGTAGATCAAAGGTAAGCCAATAAGGCAATGATGGTAAGGTGGATGAAAGGAATTGAATGTCAGCTTGCCTCCATGCTGGGCACACTTAGATGCTGTGGATCAGCTGTATCTCTTTCCAACTTTAGTGTAATTCATGTAAAAACATGTTTGTGGCTACACTTTGCCTCACCTATTATTCATGGTCCCAGCAGTGTACAAAAGAAAACTCAATGTCTTTGCTCAGTGGTGTGCTGGGAAAGCAACTGTTTGATTTCTGGGTTTGTTTTTTTTTTTTTTCACTTTTTTAAAAAACAGGCCTAACTAGTAAGTGCTGATTTCCATGATGTGAATACTCCCACCACAACCAGTTTTAAGATAACAACATGATGTCCCTGAAAGGGGACCTGAGTAGAGTTGTGCACACTGGGCTCTGTAAGGCAGTGTGGCTGGCTCCAAAGAGACAAGTGTAACTGGTTTGGGCTGGGGCTGGCGCAGGCCATTTTCAAAAGCCCTTCAGGAGATTCTCTGTGTAGCCAGGTCTAAGAGCCATTACTACTTCAAGTAGTACTTAACAAACTTTTTTTTTTCCTTATAAAGACCTGAGCTGACTTCTCTAGTGCTTATCAAACTTTAATGTGCACGTGAAACAATTGAGAACCTTGTTAAAAAGCAGGTTTTGACTCAATAGGTGCTGCTGGTCCCCAGCAAGAAAGAGGAATGGACTGAAAGAAGAATAAAACAGTCATTCACAGTCTTAGCATTGTCAGAAATATTTGAGAGACAGGCAATGTAGAGATGTGACAAACTGGAAGTCCATGAATTATTTCTGACCAAGCCATAGAGATGTTTTCTTTTACCTGATTGCATTTTACTTTTTGTATTTGACTTAGAAGTCAGCATCATAAAAATCTGTATTCCCAGCTTTTCAGAAGGAGAGGTGGGGAAGCAAGAACAACAACAAAAGAAGATGTGACAATCCTGGGCACCACTCCAGCATGCTGCAATCCTGCCCCCTTTAGAGGAGACAGTCTTCCTTTTGTCGCCGTTGCTTCCTGGTGATCTTCATTGCTTTGTTTGTGTTTCCTACCTCACCCCTGAAGGAATTTGAGGGGTATTCATATTTTAGGTTTTTACATAACTATATATATATATATTTTTTTTTTTTTCCTCCCCAGTTGCACTACTTTTCTGTCTCATTTCCTGCCATTCCCCACATATAACCTGTGCATTCTTGCAATGCCTTGCACGGTATTCTTGGAACACACCATCTTCTTTCTTCCCTCCAACTTGGCACTGACCCCTATTCCTAGAACACACTCCATCCTCTGCTGGAAAGAGTCTAAATTATTCTCTGAATTATTCTTCCAGACCCAGCTTGAACATCACATCCTTCAGGAAGCCTTCCTGACTCTTCTGTGCTCGTAGAGCAAAGTGGATCCTTTTTCTATCAAATCCTGTTTTTGCTCATTTTGGGGCCATCTCCTATTCTCTGAGGTCCTGAAGGGCACAGATAGACTTTACTCACTTTTGTACTCTCAAGGTAGAACACTTTTCCAGATAGGAGATCCTCAATAGCTTTGTAAAATAATAAATTATGAATTAATTTTTGGCTCTTAGATTACATTCTCTTGAACTTTGGTTAATTTATCAAGGAAATTTTGCCATGATTATCCTGTCCTATAATGCGCAAGTTAATTCTATTTTCATATTGATCTCTAGCCCCTCTGCATGCTCTCACCTCTCCCTCGCACTTCAATTTTGGTATTATTTACTCAATTTATAAGATCATTATTTATTCTATAAATCTGGTCCCAGATAAACATAGGCCACCTCCAATTAAACACCCCTTAATAGAATTAATACCTTATACTTTCATGGCATGACCAATATTTTTCAAAGCACTTTTACTAACACACTTTATTCTCACACTAACCCTATAAAATAAATGAGCAATATATTACTCTCCTTCAGTATTTAGAAGCTAAAGTGAAATGTTCTCCATGAAGTAAGAAGCAGGGAGAAAAGAAAACTTGAGAAAAACCTTGGCAGTGCCCAAATAAGCCCTGAGGATGGAAGATGCACCATATGGCCTTTCTTGGCCATGATTCCCCAACATGAACTGGAGCTAAAGATCTGGCTCACTGCACTTTTTTTTTTTTTTTTTTTTTTTGAGACGGAGTCTTGCTCTGTCACCCAGGTTGGAGTGCAGTAGCGTGATCTCGGCTCACTACAACCTCTGCCTCCCGGGGTCAAGCCAAGTCTCCTGCCTCAACCTCCTGAGCAGCTGGGACTATAGGTGCGTGCCACGATGCCCGGCTAATTTTTTGTTGTTGTTTGTATTTTTAGTAGAGACGGGGTTTCACCGTGTTAGCCAGAATGGTCTCGATCTCATGACCTCGTGATCCGCCCGCCTCGGCCTCCCAAAGTGTTGGGATTACAGGCGTGAGCCACCACGCCTGGCCAGACTCACTGCACTTTCAAACTTCTCTAATCCCTAATATTTTACTGAAAAATTGAGACCCAGACATACTAAATTAACATGTATTACAGCCAAAATAGTAATCCAGTTCTTTTGATCCCCACCATAAAATCCCACTTTGCATAATTATTTTCACCTTTACAAATGGAGCTATAATCATCCCCAGCACAAAGAAGCCTCATAAATCTGCTTTCACAAACATTTAGAAATGAAAACTCATGTGCTTTTCCCCAAAAACCAAGTTCCGTATGATGATCAAAAAATACCCCATTAATTTTATGGAGTTAGTTGCACTGAGCAACTTTAAAATGCCCAAATACAATTACTGCATCAGAGTGCATAAGAAAGTCTCTAATCCATAAATCAAGGTCTTACTTTCCACATTGTGTATTACTTTCAAGTCAATGCTCTGTACTCAATGTTTAATGCTTTTTTGAAAATATTTACATTATAGATTGATAAGAATCAAGGACTTTAACATTCTGACTGACTAACAGCAAACTCAGTTTAAGCTAATGAGAAAAAAAGCAATGCTCACGATCTCAAATTGGTAATGGTAGGATGAAACACCCTCCATGAGTTTAAGAGAATTAGTAATGGGATAGAAATAGCAGAGATTGAAGGCATAATGATCTATTTCTCTTACATTTCTAACCATTTTGATGTGGCCACAAGAATACACCCAACCGTGAAAAAGGGGAGGCCCATGGTGCACCTTAAGCACTGGTGAGAATACAACACACTACTGCTCCTGGGTTTACACCAGGGCATTCTCCAGCTGTGTTCTTGGAAAAGCTGGATCATCTCAAGAAATATATCTTTTTTTCCAACCTCCACACACTGCTCCCAACTCAGTGACTCCACCTCTCCTCTGTCATTTTTTTTCCCCCATTATACGGAAGGAGGAGAATGTTATCTCTTCTTTTATAATAGGAGGGCATCAGTTTTCTGTGTTCCTTCTTCCTGCATGACACTTAATACAGTTTTTAAAAGGACTAGTTCAATATATTTTTTCTGCACATGAATTATATTTGTTTTATGCTCATAGGTACAAGAAGCTGTCTGCAAGCAACTGGGAAGTGAGGCTGGAGGGTGGGGGAATGAGGAAATGAGATTTTTAACTTTGGTTTAATTATTTGAAATATTTTTATCTCACTTTTAGTAAGAAAACTAGGGGAGAAAAACCTGGTAATGACGGGAAAGGGAGCTGAAATAAGTGGCGAGGGGTGCGACTTCCTGCCTCACTGCTCGGGACCTTTCCGAAGCTTTTCCCCAACCTATGTCTCTAAGCCACAAGGAGGAAGCACTGGAGGGGAATCAGAGGCGGCCAAAAGAACTTATGTCCAGGTGAACACAGGTGGCGAAGTTCTAAGAAAGAGCACCGGATTCATTTGACAGAGAAGTGTAAGGAAGAGACAGACGAGAGAGAGACAGACAGACGAGAGAGGAGAGAGAGAGAGAGAGAGAGAGAGAGAGAGAGAGAGAGAGAGAGAGAGAGAGAGAGAGAGATCCCCTGAAAGGCAGAGGGTTAAGAGAGAAGGAGCGAAGGAGCGGGGCGCGACTCTTACCCCCCAGCCAGTTGTCGGAAATGTTCTGGAGCATGGTGACGGGAATGCAGAAGAAGGTGATGAGCAGGTCACTGAGCGCCAAGGAGCAGATAAAGATGTTGGTGACGGTGCGCATGGCCTTGCTGCGGGTCACCACGTAGAACACCAGAGCATTGCCAAAGAGCGCCAGGGCGAAGATGAGCACGCCGGTGAGCACGAGGGCCAGCTTGGCGCGTCCCGGCAGCTCTGGGGTGTAGACGAGCGGTCGCAGCCGGTACAGAGCGATGAACTGCTCCCGCGTCAGGTTGTGGTCCCGCAGCAGCCGAGAGAACTGCTCCGGGGTAATGTTAAGCGCCTGCATTGCTGTGCGCTCCCGGGACGCGGGGCCACCGCCCGCTACTGGCTGGCCATCCGCATCTGCGGGGCAGCGAGGGCTTCGGGGGACCAGCCGGAGGCCGCCTCCCTTCCTCTACTCTGGAGTCAGCCGCGCGGGAGGGCTCTAGGCTGCACCCCGGGAGGTTCGGGAAAGGAGAGCAGCTCAGGGATCAAACCCACGATAAAGAGGCGGGAAGCCAAAGCACTGGGAGACTCGATCTCAGTGACCAAAAAATGTTCGCGGTTCAAATAAAGTTCTTCCCTTGCTCTTCCCTAAGGCGAGGCGCCGCCACGGTCTGGGGTGCTGGAGCGCCACGCGAGGGTCCTGGCGCCTCTGGCTCCCCGCCTTCTGGCCATGCGATGCGGACGCCGGACCCGCTTGGGGAGCGGTGGAGGGTGGGGCTGAACTCGGTGACGCCTCCCTCACACCCAGCTTCAGTGGCGCCAACGCCGCTTCCCCGCACCCTCAGGGCGAGGGAAGACTTCCCTGGCTCACCAACTTGCTGCCGCCCAGCGCCTTTCTCAGGGCATGGCCCCAGTCAGGTAATGCTTGTATGTGAAACTGGGTATTGGGGGGTTCCACAGTTTCAAGTTTCTCCTCTTGCGTAATAATGGGAGCCACAACTACCCAAGGCAAATAGGGCTTATTTTAAATTATTTTCTGTATTGAAAAATAATTAAGATAGTTAAAATATAGAACTTGGGAAATGGCAAAGATAATACAGAAAGATCCTGCGTACCCACCCTTCACCCAGTTTCTTTCATTCATTACATCTTATTTAACTACGGAACAATACAAAACCAGGAATTTGACACAGGTACAGTGTTTGCATGTTTTTATCTCAAGTGTAGATTCCCGTAACCGTCAGGATACAAACTCTTCTATCACCACAAAAATCTCCCTGGTGCTTTTTATACTCACACCTAGCCCCTCCCTCCACCATCTCTAACTCCTGGCAACCACTAATATGTTCTCTCTTAACTTTTGTCAGAACATTACGTAAGGGAAATCATACAATATGCTGCCTTTTGATATTGAATTTTCTTCGCTCAGCCTAATGCCCTTTAAATCCATCCAAGTTGTTGCATGTATTAATGGCTGTTTCTTTTTATTGCTGAGGCTGTATCACCGTTTATTTAACCATCCACCTCTTGTAGAACATTTTGGTTGATTACCATTTTGAGCTATTAAAAATAAAGCTGCTATAAAGAATCATGTACAGGTTTTTGTGTGAACATAGTTTTCCTTTCTATAGGAAATGCCAAAAGTTTTGATTATTGAATCTGTAATGTGTATATTTAATTTTTAAAGAGATTGACTACTTTTCAGAGTGGCTGTACAAGTCTCCATCTCTACCATCAATGCATGAGAAGTTACGTTTCTCCACATCCTTGCCAGCATTTGGTTTTGCTGCTTTTTTTTTTTAAGCTATTCTAATAGATCTGTAGTGATATCTCTTTAGGGCCTTAATTTACATTTACCTAATGGCAAGTAATATTGAACATCTCATGTGCTTATTTGCCGTCCTTGAATCTTCTTTGGTGAAATGTCTTTCCATGTGTTTTGTCCGTTTCTAATTGCATGGTTTAGTTTATTTGCTGTTGAAAGTTCTTTTTATATTCTACATACAAGTCCTTTGTTAGTAAACGGTTTGCAAATATGTTCTTCCAGTCTGTAGCTTGTTATTTATCTTCTTAACAGGGACTTTCACAGAACAGCTTTTAGTTTTAGTGAAGTCATATTTATCAATATTTTCTTTTATAGATAGCTTTTAGTGTTCAGTCTAACTTCACCAAAGCCTATTTCTCAAAAACTTTCTCTTAGGTATTTTTCTAAAAGTGTTATAGTTTTACATTTTATGTTTTGGGCTCTCTATTCTGTTGAATTGATCTATGTGTCTATCCTCCACATTCTTGACTACTGTAGCTATATAATAAGTTTTGAAATCAGGTAGCATGATTTCTCATACTTCATTCTTATTTTTCAAAATTATTGTAACTATTCTAGGACCTGTGCCTATTCATATACATTTTACAATCAACTTGTCTATGTCTACAAAAAACCTTGCTGGGATTTTGATAGAAATTGACATATTTACTAGGTTGAGTTTTTCAATCCATGAGAAGAATGTCTTTCCATAAATTTACATCTTTGATTTATTTCAAAGGCATTTTACAGTTTTCAGCATGTAAGTCCTGTACATATTTTTAGATTTGCACCTAAGTATTTCATTTTGGGCGGACATTTGTACACGGTACTGTACTGAATTTCTAATTTTTGGTTCCATGTGTTCATTACTAGTATGCAGAAATCCAATTTATTTCGTATGTTGATCTTGATTCCTCCAATGTTGATGAATTCACTTAATTTTATTAGGAGGTTGATATGATTTGGCTCTGTGTCCCCACCCAAATCTCATCTTGTAGCTCCCATAATTCCCATGTGTTGTGGGAGGGACCAGTGGGAGATGATTGAATCATGGGGGTGGGTCTTTCCACGATGTTCTCATGATAGTGAATGGGTCTCATGAGATCTGATGGTTTTAAAAACAGCAGTTTCTCTGCACAAGTTCTCTCTTTGCCTGCTGCCATCTATGTAAGATGTGACCTATTCCTCCTTGCCTTCCACCTTGATTGTGAGGTCTTCCCAGCCATGTGGGACTGTAAATCCAGTAAACCTCTTTCTTTTGTAAATTGCCCAGTCTTGGGTATGTCTTTATCAGCAGTGTGAAAATGGACTAATACAGAGGGTTTTTTGGTAGATTTCTTGCATAGACAATCACATTATCTGAGAAGAAAGACAGTTTTATTTCTTCCTTTCTGATTTGTATGCTCTTTATTTCTGGTTTTAGCTGTTGTTTGTTTGGTTGTTGTTTTTGTTTTCTTTTGTTTTTTTTTTTTTTTATTTTTTGCCTAACTGCAATGGTTGGAGTACACAGTTTACTATGTTAAATGGCAATGGAGAATGGAGATCATCCTTGTCTTGTCCTCAATCTTATAAGGATGTATTCAGCCTTCTTTCACCATTAAGTATGATGTTAGTTGCAGATGTTCTTTATCAACTTGAGAAGGTTACTGTCTATTCTCAACTTCTTGAGAGATTCTATCAATGGTGTTAAATTTTGTTAAATGATTTTTCTGCATCAATTAATACTATCAATGTGATTTTTTTCTTCAGCCTGTTAAAATGGTGAATTGCATTGATTGACTTTTGAATATTGAATCAGCTTTGAATATTTGAAATAAACCCCATCTTAGTCGTGGTGTGTAATTCTTTATATATATTGTTAAATTCTATTAGTTAGGATTTTAAAGAATTTTATGTATATCTTCATGAGGGCTATTGGTCTGTAACTTTTTTTTCTTTTTGTATTTTTTATCCTGGTTTTGGCAGTCAGGTAATAATAGCATCATAGAATGAATTGAGAAGCATTCTCTCCTTTTCTATTTTCTGGAAAAGACTGTGTAGAAATGGTATTAATTCTTCTTTAAATGTTTGGTAGAAATGGTATTAATTCTTCTTTAAATGTTTGGTAGTATTCTCTAATGAAGCCATGTGGGCATGAAGAGTTCCTTTACAGGTGTTCCTAAATGATGGATTTAATTTTGTTAATAGTATAGTGATATTCAAATTATCTATTCCATATTGGGTGAGTTTTTTTAAGAATTGATAAATTTCTTTTGAATTTATGTGTGTAGAGTTGTTAATAGTATTCTCTTAATATCCTTTGTATGGCTGAAGAGTATCCCCTGTCTCATTCCTGATTTTATAATTTTTGCCTTCTCTCTCTCTTTTGTCAATCTAGTTAGAGGTTTGGCTATTTTATTGCTAGTTACAAAGAAACAATTCTTAGCTAACAACTTCTCTATTATTTTCTCTATTATTTTCTCTTGAATTTTATTGACATCTGCTCTTATCCTTATTATTTTCTTCCTTCTACCTGCTTTCAGTTTATTTTGCTACTCTTTTTCTAGTTTCTTGAGGTGGAAACTTTAATTATTGACTTGGAACTTTTTCTCTTTCCTAATGTAAGCATTTAGTGCCATAAATTTCCCTCTCAGCACTGGCTTAACTGTGTCCCACATGTTTTATGTGTTATATTTACATTTTCATTCAGTTCAATGTACTCTTTAATTTCCTTTTAAATGTCTTTTTTGACCCACGGATTATTTAGAAATGTCTTATTTAGTTTCCAAGTGTTTGAACATTTTTCTGCTATTTTTCTGTTTTCTAGTTTGACTCCCTTTTGGTCAAAGAGCATTCTCTGTATAATTGCATTCTTTTAAATTTGTTGAGGTTTGTTTTATTGCTAAGGATATTATATATTTTGGTATATGCTCCAAGGGCATTTGAAAAGGATGTGTTCATATTGTAACTGTTGAAGGAAACCTAAGGGAAGATGTCCAATCATAACCCATTGTAGGAGCAATGGTTCACAAATGAGTCCAATTCTCTGGACTAGGGGCTGAAAGTTTGGGTCATAGAGGATGGCTCTCGAATTACATAGGAACCACATAGATGGAAGACATGCCCTGCCTCTCCCTGGTCCACAGTGTTGGGATCAAAGAAGGTCAGCAGCATAGCTGCAGGCTGATTCCAGCCCCATGTGACCCAGAGAAGAAATCTCAGGGCTTTCTTAAGGCCAGAGCAGGTCTGGTATGACTATATTTAATTCCTTGTGCTTTATGTGGACATACATTATTGCAGACAGCAATAGTGCTCATCTTTCCCGGTTCTACTCAGCACTCTTCAAAACAAGTAAAGGAGTATAGGGGAACAGGGAAGTGTGAAAAGCAAAGATCAACTCTCATAGTGGCTCCCTAGGATATTTGAAAAGCCTATGAATCCAGATTATGAGAATTATTCTTTGAAATAATGCATGATTGAAGTTAGAGTTTGATTGGAGCTAAGTGTACAAAAAAGTGACATTAGCCTCTAAAGTTTTAAACTCTTTTGGGTCTTCCTCCCTCTATTGATATTGCACTAGTCTTCGTTTTCACGACTTCTCTACACCTCTTCAACCCTCATCTCTTCAACCTCCCAACCCACTTTATCTCAACCACTCACATCTCACTCACCCAGTTCGCTACCTGGTGAAAATACCCCTACTAAGGTAGCCCAAGGCTAATCTCACAAGACACTGCCAGTACTCCTGACCTTTCCTTCTCCCCCTAGAAACTCTTCATGACCATTTCCTGAAATACCTGCTTATTGTTTGAAAACTAGATAAGTACATGAATATTTATGCCTCTATTCAATAACGTTTTTGGATGTCTGCTGCATGCCAGGCACTGTGTTCATCATTAAGAGTAGTATGGTGAAGAAACAGACCCAGTCTTAAGGGGTAACTCCCACAAGGGCATGCAACACAGCTCAGCCTTTGGGGAGCTCATTATCAGTTCAGGGTCAACAAACTACAGCCTGGGCCAAACATGGTTCACTATCTGTTTTTGTATAGCTCATGGGCAAGGAATAGTTTTCACATTTTCAAATCATTTTTAAAAAGCATAAAGAGAATATATTTCATGGCACATAAAATTGTATGAAATTCAACTTTCAGTGCCTGTAAAAATAAAAACATTTTACTGGAACATATCATGCCCATTCATCTACATATCATCCTTGGCTGCTTTCACACTACTATGGCACAGTTGCATATTTGTGATAGAGACTGTATGGTTTTCAAAGCAGAAAATATTTACTCTGTGACCCTTTGCAGAAGCAGTTTGCCAGCCCCATCTTGTTAGAGGGGCAAGAGGGACAGAAATATTCATAGCTCAAAATAAGGTGACAAGTGCCACATCCACACACAGAAAGAACATGTTCTGGAAATTCAAGCAAAGGCAAATCCATACATGCTGTGTGGGGAATGTGGAGTGTAAATCAAGGCTAAAAGGAAGGATAAATTGAAAAAGAGAAAGGTCACAGAGTGAGTAGCCTCTCCAAAGGCACAGAAGTAGGAATGATTATGTTAGAGAGAGGGATAAAGCGAGCCAGAAAGGCAGGATTGGCTTCTGATGCTTATTGGCAATTCTCATGATTAGAAAACAACAGTGACAGAGGGTCCATTTTCCAAAATAAACAAGCTAACAGGGTGAAGAAGAATCGCCAAAGAGCTTTCTACCCTCAAAGATAGGAACATGGAAGAAAGTATCTGGATAAATACAAAAGGAGAGGCAACTAGTAATTTTATGAGACTGTCTGCACTTTATCTTGTCAGTGAAATGTTGCAATAATCAAACCTTCCTTAGAAAAGATTACCAAATTGTCAGAGATGGGGAGTTCACTAGATGTTTGCTAAAGGTATAAGTAGTCTAAAGGCATAGCATGTGGTGTTTTCCTCACTTTCCTGAGAATTTTGTCTTTCAGAAGGAAAAAGTTTCTGGGAGACTTGGTTTTCTGTTCTTAATTCTGCCCAATGAGGAAAGAGTTGATACTAAGGTGGAAGTGACAGAAGCTTGAGAAGCTGCCAACTCTGAGGGAGATGAGGTAGAACATACTACATATTGTCAGATAGGGATTCTAAGCTTCAAGAAACCAAGTTAATGATATTTAGAAAAGATTGTATGATCTCTTGGCTATAGTTTCTAAAATGTAAGCTGAATAAAGAGGACTGAGGAGCTTTAAAATTTCTGACACCATAGTAGCAGAGTATCTCAATGAGAAATTTTAAAAAGCAGGGGTAGTAGCCACAGTATGCTACAAGTTTGCATGGAATCAATATTCTGGACTCTGCTACAGAGCAGGAATTTTATAAATTATATGAGGGATGTGTGTGTGTGTATACATGTATATATATATGTTTATTTATGTATACGAACAGATACAAAAATATCTAAAAAGAGTAATTTCAGGAAGCCCAGAATAAATTGATTTTTTGTGAAAAGTGCTTTCAGCAAAAGAGAGAGAATGAGAGAGATTATGTAATTGTATATATTGGGTATTTTTATCCATGTTAATTACCATAATAAAAGACTGGAGGTAACTTATGTTTAAAAAATAATTGCACCTAAAGATTGCACAAAAAACTGCTATGACTCGTAAGCAATTCTAGCAAAGTTACAGGATACAAAATCAACACACAAAAATAAGTTGCATTTCTATACACTGACAAGAACAACATGAAAAGGAAATTAAGAAAACAATTTCATTTGCAATAGTATCAGAAACAATAAAATACTTAGGAATATACTTTACCAAAGAGGAAAAAAGCTTGTACACTGGAAACTACAAAATGTTGCTGAAAGAAATTTAAAAATACACAAATAAATGGGAAGACATTCAGTGTTCATAGATTGGAAAACATAATGTTGCTAAGATGTCAATACTACCCAAAGTAATGTACACATTTCATATAATCCCTATCAAAATCCCAATTATATTTTTTGCAGAAATAGAATAACCTATGCTAAAATTTGTATGGAATCTCAAGGGACCCTGAATGACCAAAACAATTTTTTTTCTTTGCTTGGGTGAAAAGATATCCAAAACAATCTCGAAAAAGAATTAACATTGGAGATCTCACATTTCCCAGTTTTAAAACTTATAACGGATCTATAATAATCAAACAGTATGGTGCTGCCATAAAGATAGACAGATAGATCAATAGAATCAAATGGAGAGCCCAGAAATAAACTCTCACATACATGGCCAAATGATTTCTGGCAAGGGTACCAAGACCACTTAATGGGGAAAGGACAGTCTTTCAACAAATGGTGCTGGGAAAACTGGGTATTAGTATGCAAAATAATGAATTTGAACCTTTACCCTACACATACAAAAATTAACTCAAAATTAATCAAAGACATAAACATAAGAGCTAAAACTATAAGACTCTTGAAAGAAAACAGTGGAAAACCGTCATGACATTGGATATGACAATACTTTCTTGGATATGACACTAAAAGTACAGGCAGCAAAAGTAAAAATAGATAATCTGGATCACATCCAAATTTAAAACTTCTATGCCTCAAAGAACACAAGCAACAGAGTGAAAAGGAAATCTATGGAATGGAAAAAATTTTGCAAATCACATATCTAATAAGGCGTTAATATACAGAATATAAAAATAACTCCTACAATTTAACAACGGCAACAACAATCCCCTTAAAAGATAGGCAAAGGACTTGAATAGACATTTCTCCAAAAAATATATACAAGTGGGCAACAAGCATGCAAAAAGAGGCCATTATTCATTATTAAGGAAATGCAAATCAAAACCAGAATGAGATGTCACCTCATACCTGTTAAGATGGGTATTGTCAAAAAGACAAAAGATAGCAAGTGTTGGCAAGGGTGTGAAGAAAAGGGAACCACTGAACACTGCTGGTTGGAATGTAAATTGATAGCACCATTATAGAAAATAGTATGGTGGTTCCTCAATAAAATAGAAATAGAATTATCATACGATTCAGCGATTCTACTTCTGGGTACTCAGAGTAATTGAAAACAGCGTCTAGATGAGACATTTTTACACCCATGTTTATGGCTACATTATTCACAACAGGCAAAAGGTGGAAGCAACCCAAGTGTCTATTGACAGATAACGGATAAACAAAATGTGGTATACACATACCATGAAATAATATTCAGCCTTTAAAAGGAAGGAGAGTTTGACATATGCTATAATACGGATGAACCTTGAGGGCATTATGCTAAGTGAAATAAGCCAGTCACAGAAGGACAAATACTCTAAGTTCCACTTATATGAGGTATCTAGTTTGGTCAAAATCATAGGGAATGGTGGTTCCTAAAGCCTGGGAAGAGAGTGGAATGGAGAGTTGTTGTTTAAGGGGTATAAAGTTTTGATTTTGCAAGATGAAAAGGGTTTTGGAGATTGGCTGCACAACAATGTACAGTACTTAAATGGTTAAGATGGTAAATGTACAGTATAACCTGTTTATGTTATGTGCATTTTACCACAATTTTTAAAAGGAAAAATGCAAAAATAATATCTTTTAAACAATACTTGGTCTGCATTGTTTCATTTAATTTTCATAACAATCATATGAGTTAGGTGCTTTTATTAGCCTCTTTGTACAGATGAAAAAGTGAGGCATAGATAATATAATGAAACTTGCTCAAGGTCACACAGCTAAAAACTGGTAGTTTGTTTCTCAAAATTCCAGGCAGTCATACTCTCAACCCTATACTGTCTTTACTACCAGTGAGGAAAGTATAAACCATGAGGACAGAACAAAAAGAAGGAGAGGGAGAAGGAGACATGAGGTTGGTAATGATAAAAGCTAGGCAGATAATTGTATCAGCAAACCTAGATTATGGGACACTAAACTAACGGATTAGAAGACTTAGCTGTCAGCTTCTGACAGCTATGGAGTCAGGGCCAAAAGAGACGTATAAGGGAGAGTTGAAATCCTCATAACCTAAAAAAAAAGGAAGCACACTGTCAAAAGGGAACAACTTTCTTCGGATTTTGACCTCTGAGAAAAATTTACCACAATAGTCTTCATATAAGAAACACTGAAATACATATTGGATGGTGTCTTTAATAACCATGGGCTTTCTGTAAACTTGATGACAAGCAAAGTATAATTGCTAATAGCCATTCCTAATAGCAAACTTGATGCAAGCTGAAGGCATAATTCAAGTCATAGTTTATAAAGTGATTTCTACAAAGAGCCAGAATAAGATAATGCAGGTACAGTATCTTGCTTTCTAGTGATCTGACCTGAGCAGAGGAAACTTAGCAAATGATAACCCTTCATATTTCATAAACTACTAGCCAGACTTTGGACAGGAGCCATATGGCAAATGGCTCTAAATTGAGATAAATGGGGTAATCACTATTGTTGATTAAAAAGAGATCCATGTGCTCTGTACATGACGTGTCTGCCAGTGAGTGAATTCATTATGAAAGCTAAGGGGCTCAGCTGTGTTGTTTCACTGTTCAAGTGAATCCCAACAATTCTGCATGGAGATCAGCAACAGACTGTGTAAGTAAAGCATGAAGAGAATTTAACCAACGTGTTTGAATAATCATCACCAAAAATCTTTTGGAAATCAGATGTCCAAGAAAAACAGTGAAGACTAAACATGGGTAAACTCTCAATTTCCTCAAGAAGGAAAGTGGGGATTTTAAACAGTGAATTTGAGGCCAGCTCTACTAGACTTCTAGAATGACTTAATAAAGGGAGGGAGATTATCAAGACAAGTTTTTTTATAAGAATTTTGCCAAAGTAGCTACATTTTTTTAAGTATAGCTGGACTAACAGAACAATGGTATACCTGTTGTTGATGAAAATTAGCTATTATGATTTCTTTTGCCAAAAACAAAAGGCAATCTTAAGTTTAAAAGAATGTTATGATTTTAACACTCAAAACTCCTAGGTAGTGTTTTCATTTTCATTAAAATTCTTATTTTTGCACCCTCCCTATTCTCTACTGGGGAATAACTTTATTTCCCAGGCCTTAATATTTGTTCTTTCAAACACAAATATTATTTAAGGATTCAATCACTAATGAAGCACAAAAGAGATAATGTAGCTGAATTTTAGAAAGGTCTTCTTAGAATCTGTATTAGTCCCTTTTCATGCTGCTGATAAAGACATACCTGAGACTGGGCAATTTACAAAAGAAAGAGGTTTATTGGCTTACAGTTCCACATAGCTGGGGAGGCCTCACAATCATGGCAGAAGGTGAAAGGCACATCTCACATGGCGGCAGACAAGAGAAGAGAGCTTGTGCAGGGAAACTCCCCTTTTTATAACCATCAGGTCTCGTGAGACTTATTCACTATCGCGAGAAAAGCACAGGAAAGGCCTGCTCCCATAATTCAGTTACCTCCCACTGGGTTCCTCCCACAACACATGGGAATTCAAGATGAGATTTGGGTGGGGACACAGCCAAACCATATCATAGTCCTTTTATAGGATTTTTGAATTTAAATTTTCACCTCCCTAATGGTTATCTGACTTGTCTACAAGCTACGTGGGGTTAAGATTTCATATGATATATTGCTGAGTGAATAAGATGATGATTCAATGTAATGTATTCAAGAATACATATGCATATTAAATGAAGAGACAGTAAAGGATTAACATCAGTTTATTTCTAGATGGTATAAGTACAGATATTTTTTAGTTTCTTTGTTTTGGTTATAAGTGTTTTCTATTTTTCCTGTAATAAAGATATATATAAGTGGAGAAAATTTTGCAAGTTTTCAAAAGTAGCAGTGCCAAGAATGTCAAAATTTAAAATTTTTATAATTGGATATGGACATGCTTGGAATGTATTTGTTTATAACTTTTAGCCAATTAGGTTTAGGGGACAGAAATCCTAGCTTCCATCCTCAGGGAAAAGTCATAAACACATTTTAGGATATCTATTTACTTATTCATCAAATACACATTGTTCCCAAGATATGCCACATGCTATATTGTATATTAAGAATAAAATGATAAATTAGATGCAACTTAATCCTGGGTGGCAGAGCCTTTTCAACTTCATATAAAAGACTGAGGCCTAATTTTCCTGAGTCAGAAGTTCTCAGGCTTGGGGACACATTAGAATCACTTGGGGAGCTCTTGACACCACCAATGCTGAGGCCCCACCTGCAGGTATTCTAGTTTAATTAAAAAGTGATCCAGGTGGCACTAATATGCAGCCACAGCCTGCAGAATGTTTCCTGAATGGGTATTGAACTTGACAGGTGAGTGCTATGAGGAGGGGTGCACAGGGGTACAGGGAAGGATGGGACTGGGCTGGAGGCTGTCACCGATCATGGAGATGGATGAGGGAAGTGGGGTGTGTAGGAAGGGATGATGCCCATTGATGATCTAAAGAATATTGTGTACCTGCTTACAGATTTGTCGTGTTTGAATATAATTTTTAAATGTTTTCACTAAAAAGAACCTGGCCCCTTTAATAAAGGAGCAGTATGTGCCAGCCATCCTGAGACTGGTGGGGAAAACTGCTAGAAGCCTATGACATAGCTCAGCAATAAACAAACTCCCATGTGGATATAAATAACTTATCACAAACACCAGAACCAGTGGAGAAAAGGCTGCCAAACCTCAGGCTCAAATGGCACTTGGGACAGGTCATGTTAGAAAAGAGCCATAACCAGAAATACACCAGAACTCCAGAATAGAGAAGGTCACAGGACAAGTCTCAACAGTAAGTAATGACGTGAAAAACTCCGTCAGAGACTGGCAAATGGAATCCAAGCACCTGGCCATAGACGTAGGGCAAGACTAGGCACTGAGTGTCAAGGAGATCTGTGGTAGGTGGCCAGTCCAGGCTAGGGGCTGGAATTAGGGGCTTGGACAACAGACCCTAGCGGGGCTTAAGGGAATAGGACAAGGCCATTAGGTCAGGGCCTGTTCAGAGGCATGTACATGAAGGTGGGAGTGAAGAAAAAAACAGAGACACAATTATTAAAACTAAGACATAGAGTGTGGCCACAGAAATAAGTCAACAGTCTATTCAAGAGTGGGCTAAAAGTCAGACTGTGATCAATGAGCATGTATACACTCACTTTATACTAAGTGTCTCTTGTGGTTCAGGAGTGGTCCCTGGTCCCACACTTGGCTCCACTGACACCAGCAGCAATTAAGTGGGTCCAGCTGCAGGACCTCAAAAGGGTTGCCTGTCAGGGAACCCAGCTGGTCATGACAAAGCAGAGTGGCGATAGATTCCAAGAAGTAGGGAGCAATCTGAGGTCGCCCTTCTCAGGGCATGTGGCTAGGAGAACCCTCTCTTCCTCCTACCACACACCAGAAGAAGGCAAGCTCTCTTTCCTGGGTCTTGTGGGCCCATGAGCAGTTTGGGTCTTTGTGGAAATTGGGTGTCAAGAAAGCTGAGGGGGGTAAATGAGGAATGTTGGGAAGGCAGTGAGCATGAGGAAGGAATGCCAGCAACACAGGGAAGAAACACTGGGGAGCAATCTCCAATTCCATGGCAGTGCAGCCGCAGGTGAGAGGAAAAGAGCTTTATTCTGAGAGCAGAAAAACAGAATATAGAAGCAAATTAAGCAGTTATTAATAAGAGTTGGTATTTATTTAGGAAGTTTCATATTGTCCTCTATGTAAAGCACTTAGAAGTGTGGCTCATTCATAGTAAGTGCTCTGTGAATGCCTGCTGCTGCTGCTACTACAGCTACTCTATTTAACAATATGAAAATTTAAAAGGAGTCAGAATAGCATAGGGGTTCACAGCCATACTGACAGCAAAAATCATGACCCTGTCACTTATAATATGGGTAATTTTAGACAAGTTAATTTTTGCCCCTTATTTTCATCAACTATAACATGGACAAAACAATAGGGTCATAGTGAGGATTAAATGAGGTTATATTCATAAAATGCTGATAAAATGCAGATATTGCAGATAAAAGAAGACATAGTAATAGAGCCAATGTAGAACAATAAAACAAATACTCCCTATTATGTCCTGTTATAATAATGGGATCATTTAAAAAATCTCCCTGTAAATCAGTAGTTCCCAAATTCAGCTCCATGTTGGAATTGTCAGGGGGAACTATAACAAGTACGATATCTGAATCTCAACCTGTGAGATAGCGATGTAACAAGTTTGAATGTAGCATGGGCATCAGAGATGGTAACAGCTCCCCAGATGACTCTAATGGGTAATTAAGTTTGAGAGCCCCTAATGTATAATAAATAACGACTCCTTTGCTTTAAGTAATAGTTTTGTTGAATTAAACGGATAATTTTTATAACAAAATAATCAATGAGTCTAATCTATCTACTAATGGCAGCTAATCAGACTACAGATGTATAACCAATGCAGAGAATCAGCTTTGTGGCCTGAATTTGGGAGGTGATAGTGTTAAATTCATAATGCTTGCTCTATGGATTCTTATACTATGAGAAGGATCATAAAAATGGTGCAAACCAATAAATAATTGCTGAATAGATGGAGCAAGAGATTGATGGAGCAGATGCTTTGTCAAGAGAGCCACAGGGGGGGAAAAGGCTGCTCTCCTTAGAATGGTGCATGTGCTTATGCACTTCTTAAACATATTAGGTCTGTATTACTCCCCTGAGTTGGTTTAGGATGAGGGTAACACATAATTACTTATATTTCCATGATAGTGTAGCCTGCACACCACTAGTTTAAACAGACATTCTCCCTCAGGGCCACTTCTGAGGTACTGCTACAAACGCAGTTACTAATGCTCCATTTTCCAGAAAATGCCAGTGCCATAGAATGGAAAATCCGTTTCCAATTCAGTCTGAATAGCAAATAGTTCTTCCGCCAAAGGGAGTGTTTTGCCTATTAGCACGGAACAATCTGATGATTGCAGAAAGACCACAGCCACGAAATAGCAGGCAGACCCAAGGTGTTCAGATTTGAGGGTCAGGTGTGCAGAGTTCCTGACATTAGTGAGCAAGGCAGGCAGCCAGAATTTCGTGCAGTGTTTTGGAAGGAAGCAATCTTTTCTGAAGAAATTTATCGCATGATGCTTGAAGACCAAATTTGAAACAACAGGGAAAGGCAGAGACATTTTTTATAATCTATATTAGAAACTCTGAGTTGAGAAGTAACCAATGCATTGGACAGGGAAGAGATTTTAGCCACACTGGCTAAAGGCTATCACCAGTTCTTTAATGTCAAGGAGGTAGATATGATTTACACCCACTGAATTATCTTCTGTATGGGCCTGTATTTCTACATCACTCAGAAGAAGCCCAAATTCACTTGGATCTTGGGGTTAGGACCTAAGGGTTCATGGAACCATCCGGTGACATCTTGCTACCAAAGTGCTCTGGTTTACTGGTGACAAGCTTTGTCTCTCATGGGCCAGTGACCATCTCAGCAGGTTTAGTGTTAAGACACTGTTGATAGCACATCTGAGAAAATCATGTGCATGATTAAATGTATGTAATTACCATCAAAGATTATATTTAGAGTGAGATGCAGTAAATCCATGTCAGAGGTGTCTTGGTACAACTGACTCAGATGCCCAGGGTTTGCATCCTGGCTCTGTCATCCTCTCACTGGGGAAACTTGGATGCAGTTTCTTCATCTGTAAAGTGAGACCATAAAAATACTTTCTCTCATGAATAGTGCCGCAATATTCACAATAGCAAAGACTTGGAACCAACCCAAATGTCCATCAATGATAGACTGGATTAAGAAAATGTGGCACATATACACCATGGAATACTGTGCAGCCATAAAAAAGGATGAGTTCACGTCCTTTGCAGGGACATGGATAAGGCTGGAAACCATCATTCTAAGCAAACTGTCGCAAGGACAGAAAACCAAACACCACATGTTCTCACTCATAGGAGGGAATTGAACAATGAGAACACTTAGACACAGGGTGGGGAACATCACACACTGGGACCTGTCATGGGGTGGGGGGCTGGGGGAGGAATAGCATTAGGAGAAATACCTAACGTAAGTGACGAGTTAATGGGTGCAGCAAACCAACATGGCACATGTATACATATGTAACAAACCTGCACATTGTGCACATGTACCCTAGAACTTAAAGTATAATAATAAAAAAAGCCACAAGGATAGCTTTAGAACTATGAATATGTATGCGCACCAAAAAATGCTACCACGTACTAATAAAGCATTAAATTAAAAAAAAAAGCTTTCTCTCAAAAAGGTGTTATGAAGATTAAGTAAACTCATACTTGTAAATAATCTAGAAGAATCCCTTCTATATTTAAATTCCTTAAATTTACTTAAGAAGCTATAGAAATGCTTCTTAAGTAAATTTTCACAAAGTCTCAAATTAAAAACTCCCTTCTGACTTTATTATGTATAGACATCTGAACAGGGACACCCATTTGATAATTAAAGTCCCAAATCTGGCATTCAGAAGTAGAGGAAATAAGCCTTGCTTCTTGCACGAAAACATATTGCCAGAATTATTTCTGAGTGAGAGTTGTGTGTAGGGAAAAGAAAGAGAGATAAGATGTTACTGTGTCTATGTAGAAAGGAAAGACATAAGAGACTCCATTTTGAAAAAGACCTGTACTTTAAACAATTGCTTTGCTGAGATGTTGTCAGTTTGTAACTTTGCCCCAACCTGGAGCTCACAAAAACATGTGTTTTATAAAATCAAGGTTTAAGGGATCTAGGGCTGTGCAGGACGTGCCTTGTTAACAAAATGTTTACAAGCAGTATACTTGGTAAAAGTCATCGCCATTCTCTAGTCTCAATAAACCAGGGGCACAATGCACTGCGGAAACCTGCAGGGACCTCTGCCCTTGAAAGCGGGGTATTGTCCAAGGTTTATCCCCATGTGATAGTCTGAAATATGGCCTCGTGGGATGAGAAAGACCTGATCATCCCCCAGCCTTACACCCATAAAGGGTCTGTGCTGAGGTGTATTAGTAGAAGAGGAAAGCCTCTTGCAGTTGAGATAGAGGAAGGCCACTGTCTCCGCCTGCCCCTGGGAACTGAATGTCTCGGTATAAAACCCGATTGTACATTTGTTCAATTCTGAAATAGGAGAAAAACCACCCTATGGTGGGAGGTGAGACATGTTTACAGCAATGCTGCTTTGTTATTCTTTACTCCACTAAGATGTTTGGGTGGAGAGAAACATAAATCTGGCTTACGTGCACGTCCAGCCATAGTACCTTCCCTTGAACTTAATTATGACATAGATTCTTTTGCTCACATGTTTTTTTGCTGACCTTCTCCTTATTATCACCCTGCTTTCCTACTACATTCCTTTTTGCTGAAATAATGAAAATAATAATCAGTAAAAACTGAGGGAACTCAGAGGCCGGTGCCAGTGCAGGTCCTCCATATGCTGAGTGCCGGTCCTCTGGGCCCACTGTTCTTTCTCTATACTTTGTCTCTGTGTCTTATTTCTTTTCTCAGTCTCTCGTCCCACCTGACTAGATATACCCACAGGTGTGGAGGGACAGGCCACCCCTTCAATGTGTTATAACAGCCACTCAACTCAGGGGACATCCAGGATGACAGTGATGCAATTTAAGAACCTGTGGATGTCATTTGCTATTACTCTCCCGTATCAGGAAATAGACTATAAATACATTCCCTTAGATTCCCTGCATACCAAATAGCACATGGGATTCATCCATTCATCCTGAAACTATATCCAGTGTTTGCATTTGTTTGGCTTCATGATTGGTTTGTTAGTTTGCTTTTTTGAATTTGTGTTTAATGTTTAGATCTTTTACCGTCTGGGAAAAGACCCACAGATTAGCCATGAGATTGTAGAAGCCTATTCTTCTCAGAGTTTTCTGTGGTTGGCAAGCTCAGGGCAGAGATGGCTCTTTCGATGATGGATGTTGGCCAGTGTCCACCAAGAGAAAGAAACACTGGCTAAAGTCCCACAGTCTTAGCGGGCCTGTATTTCTATATCACTCAGAAGAAGCTCAAATTTCCCTGAATCTGGGGGTTAGGACCTAAGTGTTCATGGAACCACCTGGTCACATCTTGCAACCAAAGTGCTCTGGTTAACTGGTGACAAGCTTTGTCTCTCATGGGCCAGTGACTATCTCAGCAGGTTTAGTGGCAAGACACTGTTGATAGCACATCTGAGAAAATGACAGATCTTCCAGCAGGAGAATGGCTCTAAGCAGCTCCTCCAGCTATACCTGCCTGGAGAAGGAGGAAGGGCAGGCATGACAGCACCATGTATTCTGGGTGACATAAGCAACTGACCCCTCCTACTAGTGTTTTAAAGGTTTCCTCCTTTTTAATGTGTACAATACAAGTGTTAACAAGAATCTGAGTCAACACAGATGCCAGAATTTCTGGGGACCTTTCCAGAAGAGCAGGTGACCTGGAGCCCTGCCATTCCATAGTGGATCTGCTTTCTCTCCCTTTGCTCTTCTCTTTCCAGCTAGACTTAACAGGGTAGTTTTGTGTTAAAATAATCACTTAGAAAATGGAGGTTATATTAAGAAAGCAGCTCAAAATTTACCTTGTTTCATTAAAAAAAAACCAGGGAGTAAATTCTCCAGTTTGAGCTGTGAATGAATGCTTTGGTGGCTTTGAAGATGCCAGTTCCAATCAGTCTACTGTTTATCCAGAATGGGACCCAAAGCTTATGAAATCAGGCCTATTGGAGATTGTACTATTTATAATGCCTAGCCCACCCCAATAAGCTTTATTTTCTAGGTGCCAAATTTCCCTTTTATGTCATTATCCACTGTCTGAGGTTAATTATTGAGCTCCTACACCACTGGAAGGACAACGGGAACATGCAACACATCACTTTTTGTATAATGCTCATTGCCCTGCTTCTAAATCCTAAACAAACCGTCATCACTTTAAGTTAGCAAGTTCCCATTATTCCTTAGAGAATGCTAATTTGTGTGGACTGAAATAATACAGTGGAAAATATTTGCACAATAGTATGTTTTTATCCTAATTTTATATTTTGCTTAATTTTACAAAGTAGCTAATATTATCAAATGTAAGTATTTATAATGAAAAATATGGCATTATTAGCTTAATATTTTGCTTAGTTTTACAAAGCAGCTAATATTATAAAATGTAAGTATTTATTTATTTTTATTTTTATTTTTATTTTTATTTTTTGAGACAGAGTTTCACACTGTCACCCAGGCTGGAGTGCAGTGGTGCGATCTCCGCTCACTGCAACCTCTGCCTCCCAGGTTCAAGCAATTCTCCTGCCTCAGCCTCCCAAGTAGCTGGGATTAGAGGCATGCGCCACCATGCCCGGCTAATTTTTTGTATTTCTAGTAGAGATGGGGTTTCACCATGTTGGCCAGGCTGGTCTCGAACTCCTGACCTCGTGATCCACCTGCCTCGGCCTCCCAAAGTGCTGGGATTATAGGTGTAAGCCACCATGCCTTGCCATGTAAAATGTATTTATAATTACACTGAGAAAATGGCATTATTAGCTTCTTGGCTTTATAGACATAAATATATTTTTATTAAAATATATATCTATCAGTTTAAGTTATAAAACATGTCTGGATTCTCTGAAGGTATTTTGGAACACAGTCATCAGCATTTATTGACATTTCTAGGTTCTATGTATATCTACCACAGTACCTTATCCAATACTTTATATAATGTTTAAGTTGCTTTCATATGCACTATTGTTTTCATCTTCATATCTGCCCTGTAAAGAGGGAGTCAGGCATTTTCTACATTTTCATGCCTACTCATTAAAGGTATCGCTTCTCAGTGAGAGGTGTGACATTTGTGTTAAACTTTAATTCTAAAATATATGTTAAATGTTAATTTGAAGATTGAAGTAAAAGAATAAAAGCCTTTTCGTAATCATGCTTTCCTTAAGGATTGTATTCATTTGAATTGAAGTTTCATAGTAATTATAAAGCACAATGATTCTTTGCAAAAATAAAACATTTCAGTATAGAATGACTATCTGTTATTGCTTACCTAAAAATGCCCTAATCAGTTGATTTTTAACTTATTTCTAAATATAGAGATAGTCTAACAAAAGCCATGTATTGCAGTTTGCAGGAAAAAAAAGAGCAGGAGAAAAGGAAAAAACATGGCTCACATTGAAAATGTATTTTAAGGCAAATTGGTAAACTGTTTTGAAGCCATGTATATGGAGCTTGATTAAAATACTTTATTACATTTTCTTTATATGTTTACAATTTTGAGTCATATTAGAAAGACTGTCTTCATTTTCAAGAAATGAATTTACCCATGTGTTGTTCTGATACTTGTATGATTTCATTTTTAATGTTTAGATTTCTGATCAATTTGAGATTTAATCATAGTGTAACTTTTTCTTTTTCTCAAAAGCTACCACTTGTCCCAAACTCACTAATTAAAAAGCTCACCTTTATTAAGTACACAATCATCAAACATTGTATCCATCTTCAGGATTCACTGACATTGTATGCTTCTATATATGTCTACCACAGTTTCTTATGCAATACTTTATTGTGTTTAAATTGCTTTGTACCTGGGTCTACTTCATAGGTACCTGGGTCTACTTCTTGGCCTTGCCCTTTACTCTGATGTCTGTCTGTCTTTTCATGTGTCTATATCCATGATTTTAATTATAGAGGCTTTATGATTTGGTATCTGCTAGGGCGAGCCATCCACTTTTAAGATCACTGACCAGCTTCTATCCCAGCTCACCCATTCCTTTTTCTCAACACAAGCATTCAGGCTGTGGCTGC
Source organism: Homo sapiens (assembly GCF_000001405.40). Classification (NCBI taxonomy): domain Eukaryota; kingdom Metazoa; phylum Chordata; class Mammalia; order Primates; family Hominidae; genus Homo; species Homo sapiens. The sequence continues at coordinate 121,400,777 of NC_000004.12, forward strand.
ATATTAGCACCACTTGAATCACTTTTTAATTAACTCAGAATGTCTGCAGGTGGGCCCTGAGCAGTGGTGTTAAGCGCTCCCCAGGTGATTCTAATGTGTGTCTAAGCCTGAGAACTTCTGACCTAGGAAAATGTAGGCCTCTAATATTTATATGAAGGCAGAAAGGCTGTGCCATCTAGGATTAGGTTGTATCTAATTTACCATTTTATTCCTAATAGGTAACATAGCACGTACTATATCTTGGGAACGATGTATATTTTATGAACAAATAAATAGATATTCTAAAATGTGTTTATGACTTTTTCCTAAGGCTGGAGGCTAAGATTCCTGCCCACTAAACACTTTTAACTAGAAAATTTAAACAAATACATTCTAAGCATGTTCACATCCAATCATAAAAAAATAAAAAAATTAAGGTAGGGAGACAGTGTCTTGTTCCTGGCTTTAGCAGGAATGCTTCTGATTTTCCCACATTAAATGAGAATCTGGCATTATCCATTGACTCTTAGTTCACTAATGTGTCAGAAATAAGTATTAAATTTGGTTTAATATCATTTCAGTATCTTAAAACTTTTTCCTTTGATGTAATTATATAATTGATTTTATTAATAGATTTCATAATATTGAAAAATTATTGCAGAATGAAAGACAACCTACTTGGTTCATGATTGTTTAATGTTCTAGTGGATTCTGTTTGCCAGCCTTCTATTTTAGGAGTTTTCACTAATATTTGAGGAAAAGGTTTTATAAGGGTTAAGTGTCAAAGTTAAACTTTTCTTATAAAAATAATTTGGACATTTCCTTTTATTTTATTTGAAAAGTTTGATTCACATTTGAGCTATGTGGTCTTTAAAGATTTAGTTTAATTCTTCCATAAAACCATATGGGCCTGTTGCTTTTTGTAGGGGTGGAGAGTTGCTGATATGGTTTGGCTGTGTCCCCACCCCAACTCTCATCTTGAATGGTAATAATCTCCACATGTCAAGGGCAGGGCCAGGTGGAGATAATTGAATCATGATGGCAGTTTTCCCCATACTGTTCTAGTGGTAGTGAGTAAGTCTCACAAGATCTGATAGTTTTATAAATGGAAGTTCACCTGCACATGCTCTCTTGCCTGTTGCCATGTAAGATGTGCCTTTGCTTCTCATTTGCCTTCTGCCATGATTGTGAGACCTTCCCAGCCATGTGGAACTGTGAGTCCATTAAACCTCTTTCCTTTATAAATTACCCAGTCTTGGGTATGTCTTTATTAGCACTGTGAGAACAGACTAATACAGTAGCTCTTTCATAATTTTATCTACTTTCTAATTTTCTATGAAAATTGGCCTTTTGAACTTTCTGCCTCTAGAGGGGTCAATTTTGGATACATTATATTTTTCTAGGAAATTTCCCACTTTCTTAGGTTGTCAAATGTATTCACTAAGAGTTGTGCAAATTGTTTCTTAGGAAATTAGAGATTTTTTTCGATGGTTATTTCCCCCTTTCATTTCTTTGTGTATTTATGTTTTTTTTTTTTCATTTTTACTTGATTAAGAAAACTAATGATTAATTTCCATTGTAATTTTTTCAGAGAACAAGATTTATTATAAATTGTTGCATGTGTTTGGTTTATTTTGATATTCTTTTTTACTTTTATGAGTTAAATGTTTTACTCTTGGTTTTATTGACATAACTATTGGAGGCTTTAGATTTTCTTTTTAGTGCTTTAAGGATTCAGATATGTCAAATTTTTATTTTAACTTTGTTTTAGAAATTCTGTAGTTTGGGATGTATTTGCCTTTTGACCCCAAATTTTTTTTGTTTTTATTAATAATAGGTTGGTGCAAAAGTAACTGAGGATTTGCCATTATTTTCAATGACAAAAACCACAATTATTTTTGCACCAACCTAATCTTATTGCACTTTGTGATCACACATTGTTGTTTATAACTTCTGCTTTTTGGAATTTTATTATTTTCCTATTGCTGCCATAACAAATTAACACAAAGTTAACATCTTAAAATAAGACAAATTAATTTTATTACAGTTCTGTAGGTCGTAAGTTAAGATGAGCTTGGTGAGTTCTCTGCTTGAGGTCTCACTAGCCTGAAATGAAGACATCAGCTGGCCTGGGCTGATGTTCTGGGGGAGAATCTGGTTCCAAGCTCATTTATGTTGGGGACAGAATTCAGTTCCATGTGGTTATATGACTGAGGTCCCCATGTCATTGGTGGCTAGAGGCTAAAAGCCAGTCTTTGCTCCTGGAGGCTGCCCATATTTCCTCCTCATGCTTTCTTTCAATGTGGCTTCTTCCAGCAATAACAAGGCAAGCCTCTCTTAGGATCTGAATCTCTCTGAATTCAACTTCTGCCTCATCTCCTTAACTTTACCTGGAGAAAGTTCTCTGCTTTTAAGTGTTCATGTGATTAGATTGGGCACACCCAGATAATTCCAAATAATCTCCCTATTTTAAGGTTTACAACCTTACTTACATCTGCAAAGTGCCTTTTGCCGTGTAATATATTCACAGGATCTAGGGAATCATGGCATAGACAGCTTTTGGGGGTCATTCTGCCTACAACAGGAACTTATCAAGGTTGCCTTTTGGACCTAACACATGGTAGAGTTTTTAAGTAGCTCATGTGCACTAGAAAAAGAAGGCTTTATTCTCTTATTGTTCAAAATTATATATATATACATTTTTTTGTGTGTATACACACACACACACACACACACACACACACACACACACACTTATAGGACCTCCTTTGTTCATTATTTGTTAGATCTTCTATATCCTTACCTAGTATTGTCCATTTGACCTGTCTTTGGACCAAGAGTAGTATGGTACAGTCTCTACCTTTTAGAGTTTTTCTGTCTATTCCTTTTCAAAGTTTCTGCTTTATATAGATTGTGTCTGCATTAAATAGTGCATAGATATGTATAACTTTATATCTCCATTGTAAATGGCAGCTTTAACATTATAAAGATCCTCCTTTTTCTTTATTAATGATTTGGCTGACTTCTGCCTAGTTAGATTTCAAGACTATAAACTTAAACTCTACTCTCATTTGCACTTGAACAGTACACTTTCTACCCATTTACTTTTAGAGTTTCTGAATAATTTCATTTTCAGTGTATTGTCTGTATGTGGCATAGAATTGTTTTGCTTTTAAGCTGATCTTATTTATTTTAATAGGTAAATTGAATCCATTTGCATTTATAAATATGACCAATATTTTTAATCTCTATTTTTTCAGTTATCTTATGTTGTATTTCCCATGTGTCTTTCATTAGTTTGTTTTGTTTATTCTATTTTAAATATTTTGGTTTAAATGTGCATAGTTTTGTACTAATGACTTTTAGACTAATACTTTTAAATAATTCTGTAGCCTTCCTTTTTCTTTACTTAGGCTTTTATTATTACATTTATTAGCTTTAAAAAATATCCTTTAACTACTGTCTATTATTTGTGCACCATCCATGAGCTAATTTTGTCTTCTCCTTCTCTTTCCCTTCTCCTTTCATTTTTTAGTTTTTAAAGCATATATTGATAAGCTTTTATTCCACATTTGTTTTAATCTAAGTTCTCATTAGTAGTTTTCTGTAGGTTTCCTGATCCGCTATGATGACGTTCATCTTCTAGTTGATTCCTTACAAAGAACATATAGATGAAATATATCCTTGAGTTCTTGCATATTTTTCTATGGCCTTTGTCTTAGTCTGCTCAGTGTTGCTATAAAGGAATACTGGAGACTAGGTAATTTATAAAGATAAAAAGGTTCATAGGGCTCACAATTCTGATGTCTGAAAAAGTGCAAGACTGTACATTTGCATCTAGGGAGGGCCTCAGGCTGCTTCCAGTCATGGTGGAAGGTGCAAGGGAGCCAGCACATGCAGAGATCACATGGTGAGAGGAAGCAAGACAAGGAGGAGGGAGGTATCACCCTCTTTTTTACATTCAGCTCTCTCAAAAGCTAATAGAGTGGGAAATTATTCCTGAGGAAGGGCATTAATCTATTCATGAGAAATTCATTCCCATGACCCAAACACCTGCCTTTAAGGTCTCACCTTCAACATCGGGGATCAAATTTCAACATGAGGTTTGGAGGGGACAAATAACAGCTTTAATACAAACCTTTTGCCTCCTTTAGTATGTTGCTGTTGAAAAGCATTCTTACAGTAACTTACTTTTCCTTCCTTTCTAAAAGACTTCATCTATTTGCTTGGAAGCCAGATAATTATTTGTCTTTGAGACCCCATTGTTTTACTATGATATGAATCAGAAATGAACTTCTGGATCATTATCAGGTATTTAGTGGATACAAGGGTACTTTCAGCATGTAAATGTAATGGTGTGTGTCTGTGAGTGTATATGTGTGTGTTAGAAAAGATTTCAAGTATAGTTTTAAATACAATATTCTTTCTAATTTTATTTTTTCTCTTTTTAGGAACTCAAATTATATATTATATAATATGAACAGAATCCTCTTTCCCCATATGCTATATGTCTTACTTTATTTTATTACTTTTCTTTTTTTGTCTTTTAAAAAATTTTGTTTTTCCATAGGTTATTGGGGTACAGGTGGTATGTGGTTACATAAGTAAGTTCTTTAGCGGTGATTTGTGAGGTTTTGGTGCATCCATCACCCGAGCAGTATACACTGCACCCTATTTGTAGTCTTTTATCCCTCGCCCCCCTCCCACCCTTCTCCCAAAGTCCCCAAAGTCCATTGTATCATTCCTATGCCTTTGTGTCCTCATAGCTTAGCTCCCACATACCAGTGAGAATATACGATGTTTGGCTTTTTTCGTTCCTGAGTTACTTCACTTAGAATAATAGTCTCCAATTTCATCCAGGTCGCTGCAAATGCCATTAATTCATTTTTTTAATGGCTGAGTAGTATTCCATTATGTGTGTGTGTATATATATATATATTATATATATATATATATTATATATATATATATATATATATATAATATATATATAACAGTTTCTATATCCACTTGTTGATTGATGGGCCTCTGGGTTGGTTCCACAACTTTGCAATTGCGAATTGTGCTGCTACAAACATGTGTGTGCAAGTATCCTTTCCGTATAATGACTTCTTTTCCTCTGGGTAGATACCCAATAGTGGAATTGCTGGATCAAATGGTAGTTCTACTTTTAGTTCTTTAAGGAATCTCCACATTGTTTTCCATAGTGGATATACTAGTTTATTTTCCCACCAGCAATGTAGAAGAGTTCCCTGATCACTGCATCCATGCCAACATCTACTGTGTTTTGATGATGGCCATTCTTGCAGGAGTAAGGTGGTATCACATTGTGGTTTTGATTTGCATATCCCTGATCATTAGTGATGTTGATCATTTTTTCATATGCTTGTTGGCCATTTGTATATCTTCTTTTGAGAACTGTCTATTCATGTCCTTAGCCCACTTTTTCATGGGATTTTTTTTCTTACTGATTTGTTTGAGTTTGTTGTAGATTCTGGATATTAGTTTTTGTCAAATGTATACATTGCGAAGATTTTCTCTCACTCTGTGGGTTGTCTATTTACTCTGCTGACTATTCCTATTGCCTTGCAAAAGCTCTTTAGTTTAATTTAGTCCTAGCTATTTATCTTTGTTTTTATTGAATTTGCTTTGGGTTCTTGCTCATGAAATCCTTGCCTAAGCCAATATCTAGAAGAGGTTTTCCAGTGTTATATTCTAGAATTTTTATAGTTTCAGGTCTTGGATTTAAGTTCTTGATGTATCTTGAGTAGATTTTTGTACAAGGTGAGAGATGAGGATCCAGTTTCATTCCCCTACATGTGGCTAGCCAATTATCCCAGCACCATTTGTTGAAAAGGATGTCGTTTCCCCAATTTATGTTTTTGTCTGCTTTGTCAAAGATCAGTTGACTGTAAGTATTTGCTTTTATTTCTGGTTTCTCTATTCTATTCCAATGGTCTATGTGCCTATTTTTTTTTTTTTGAGACAGAGTCTCACTGTGTTGCCCAGGCTGGAGTGCAGTGGTGAGATCTCGGCTCACTGCAAACTCCACCTCCCGGGTTCAAGCAATTCTCCTGCCTCAGCCTCCTGAATAGCTGGGACTACAGCCACACACCACCACACCCAGCTAATATTTGTAATTTTAGTAGAGACAGGGTTTCACAATATTGATCATGCTGGTCTCAAACTCCTGACTTCAGATGATCCACCGGCCTCAAACTCCCAAAGTGCTGGGATTACAGGCATGAGCCGCCACACCTGGCCTCTATGTGCCTATTTTTATACCAGTACCATGCTGTTTTGGTGACTATGGTCTTATCGTATAGTTTCAAAACAGGTAGTGTGATGCCTCCAGGTTTATTCTTTTTGCCTAGTCTTGCTTTGGATATTTGGGCCCTTTTTTGGTTCCATATGCATTTTAGAATTGTTTTTTCTCATTCTGCAAAGAATGATGGTAGTATTTTGATGGTTATTGTATTGAATTCATAGACTGCTTTTGGCAGTGTGGTCATTTTCACAATATTGATTCTACCCATCCATGAGCATGGGATGTGTTTCCATTTGTTTGTGTCATCTATGGTTTCTTTCTGCAGTGTTTTGTAGTTTTCCTTGTAGAGGTCTTTTGCCTCATTGTTTAGATATGTTCCTAAGTATTTTATTTTTGTTTTTGCAGCTCTTGTAAAAATGGTTGAGTTTTTTATTTGATTCTCTGCTTGGTTGCTGCTGGTGTACTGAAGAGGTACTGATTTGTGTACATTAATCTTCTATCCAGAAACTTTGCTAAATTCTTCCATCAATTCTAGGAGGTTTCTGGAGGAGTCTTTAGGGTTTTTGAGGTAAATGATCATATCCTCAGCAAAGAGCAAGTTTGACTTCCTCTTTACCAATTTGGATGAACTTTATTTCTTTCTCATGTCTAATTACTCTGGCTAGGACTTCCAGTACTATGTTGAAGAGGAATGGTGAGAGTGGGCATCCTTGTCTTGTCCCAGTTGTCAGCGGGAATGCTTTCAACTTTTCCCCATTTAGTACTATGTTGGCTGTGGGTTTGTCATAGATGGATTTTATTACATTCAGGTGTGTCTTGTATGCCTTGTATGCTGATTTTGCTGAGAGTTTTAATCACAAATGATGCTGGATTTTGTCAAATGCTTTTTCTGCATCTGTTGAGATGATCATGTGATTTTTGTTTTTAATTCTGTTTATATGGTGTATCACGTTTGTTGACTTACATATGTTAAACCATCCCTGCATCCCTGGTATGCAACCCATCTGATCATGGTGTGTTATCTTTTTGATATGTTGTTGGATTCAGTTAGCTAGTATTTTGTTATGGATTTTTGCATCTACGTTCATCAGGGATATTGGTCTGTAGTTTTCTTTTTTGGTTATATCCTTTCTTGGTTTTGGTATTAGGGTGATGCTGACTTCATAGAATGAATTAGGGACAGTTTCCTCTTTCTCTTTCTTGTGGAATAGTGTTGAAAGGATTGGTACCAATTCTTCTTTGAATGTCTGTTAGAATTCTGCTGTGAATTCATCTGGTCCTGGACTTTTGTTTGTCGGTAATTTTTTTTGGTACCATTTCATTCTTGTGGCTTGTTATTGGTCTGTTCAGGGTGTCTAATTCTTCCTGATTTAAGCTAGGAGGGTTGTATTTTTCCAGGAATTTATCCATCTCTTCTAGGCTTTCTAGTTTATGGGCAAAAGGTGTTCATAGTAGCCTTGAATGATCGTTTGTATTTCAGTGGTGTCCTTTGTAATATCTCCCATTTAGTTTCTTAATGAGATCATTTGGATTTTCTCTTTTTTTCCTGGTTAATCTTGCTAACGGTCTATCAATTTTATTTATCTTTTCAAAGAACCAGCTTTTTGTTTCATTTATCTTTTGTATTTTTTGTTATTGTTTCAGTTTCATTTAGTTCTGCTCTGATCTTGGTTATTTCCTTTATTCTGCTGGGTTTGGGTTTTGTTTGTTTTTGTTTCTTTAGTTCTTGAAGTGTGACCTTAGAATGTCAGTCAGTGCTCTTTCAGTCTGTTTGATGTAGGCATTTAGGGCCCTCTTAGTACCGCCTCTGCTGTATCCCAGAGGTTTTTATAGGTTGTTTCATTATTGTCATGCATTTCAAAGAATGTTTTAATTTCTATCTTGATTTTGTTTTTGACCTAGTGCTGATTCAGGAGCAGGTTATTTAATTTCCATGTATTGGCATGGATTTGAAGGTTCCCTTTGGAGTTGATTTCCAGTTTTATTCTACTGTGGTCTTAGAGAGTAATTGATATAATTTCAATTTTCTTAAATTTATTGAGGCTGGTTTTATGACCTATCATATGGTCTATCTTGGAGAAAGTTCCATGTGCTGTTGAATAGAAGGTGTATTCTGCAGTTGTTAGATGAAATGTTCTGTATATATCTGTTAAGTCCATTTCTTCCAAGGTATAATTAAAATCTATTGTTTCTTTGTTTTCTGTCTTGATGATCTCTCTACTGCTGTCAGTGGAGTATTGAAGTTCCCCACTATTATTGTGTTGTTGTCTATCTCACTTCTTAGGTCTAATAGTAATTGTTTTATAAATTTGAGAGCTCCAGTGTTGGGTGCATATGTATTTAGGATTGTGGTACTTTTCTGTTGGACAAGGCTTTTACCATTATATAAGGTCCCTCTTTTTCTTAACTGCTATTGCTTTAAAGTTTGTTTTGTCTGATATAAGAATAGCCACTCTGCTCGCTTTTGGTGTCCATTTGCATAAAATACCTTTTTTCACCCCTTTAAGTTTATGTAGCTCTTATGTGTTAAGTGAGTCTCTTGAAGGCAAAAGATAGTTGGTTGGTAAATTCTTATCCATTCTGCAATTCTGTATCTTTTAAGTGGAGCCTCTAGGCCATTTACATTCAGAGTTCGTATTGAGATATGTGGTACCATTGCATTGATCATGCTATTTGTTGCCTGTGTACCTTGGATTTTTGTTTTTTGTTTTTGCTTTTTAAGTTGTATTTTTGTTTTATAGGTCCTGTTTGATTGATAATTTGAAGAGGCCATTTTGATGTGTTTCTGGGATTCTTTTCAAGATTTAGAGGTCCTTTTAGCAGTTCTTGTAGTGGTGGCTTGGTAGTGGCAAATTCTCTCAGCATTTGTTTTTCTAAAAAAGACTATCTTGCCTTCATATATGATGCTTAGTTTTGCTGAATACAAAATTCTTGGCTTGATAATTGTTGTGTTTGAAGAGGCGGAGGATAGTGCCCCAATCCCTTCTAGCTTGTAAGGTTTCTGCTAAGAAATCTGCTGGTAATCTGATAGGTTTTCCATTACAGGTTACCTGGTGCTTTTGCCTCACATCTCTGAAGATTCTTTCCTTCATCTTAACTTTAGTTAACATGATGACAATATGCCTAGGTGGTGATCTTTTTGTAACGAATTTCCCAGGTGTTCTTTGTGCTTCTTGTATCTAGATGTCTAGGTCTTTAGCAAGCCCAGGGGAGTGTCTCTCGATTATTCCCCCAAATATGTTTTCCAAGCTTTTAGATTTCTCTTCTTCCTCAGAAACACTGATTATTGTTAGGTTTGGTCATTTATAATCCCAGACTTTTTGGAGGCTTTGTTCATATTTTCCATGTTTTCTTTTCTTTGTCTCTGTTGGATTAAGTTTTTTCAAAGACCTTGTCTTCATGCTCTGATGTTCTTTCTTCTACTTGTTCAATTCTATTGCTGAGACTTTCCAGAGCATTTTGCATTTCAATATGTGTGTCCAATGTTTCCTGAAGTTTTGATTGTTTTTTTCTTTATGCTATCTATTTCCTTGAATGTTTCTCCCTTCACTTCTTGTATTGTTTTTTGGATTTTCTTGCATTGGGCTTTGGCTTTCTCTGGTGCCTCCCTGATTAGCTTAATAACTAACCTCCTGAATTCTTTTTTAGATAAATCAGGGATTTCTTCTTGATTTGTATCCATTGCTGGTGAGCTAGTGTGAATGTTTGGGGGTGTTAAAGGGCCTTGTTTTGTCATATTACCAAAGTTGTTTTTTCTGGTTTCCTCTCATTTGGGTAGGCTCTATCACAGGGAAGGTCTAGGGCTGAAGGCTGTTGTTCAGATTCTTTTGTCCTACGGGGTGTTCCCTTGATGTAGTACTCTCCTTCTTTTCCTAGAGATGTGGCTTTCTGAGAGCTGAGCTGCAGTGATATCTCTCTTCTGTGTCTAGCTACCCAGCAAGTCTACCCAGCTCCAGGCCGGCACTGGGTGTCGTTCGCACAGAGACCTGTGATATAAACAGTCTATGGGTCTCTAAGCTGTGGATACCAGCACCTGTTCCAGTCAGGTAGCAGTGAGGTGAAATGGACCTTGTGAGGGTTCTTAGCTTTGGTGATTTAATGTTCTATTTTTGTGTTGGTTGACCTCTAGCCAGGAGTTGGTGCTTTCCAGAGAGCATCAGTTGTGGTAGTATGGGGAGGAACAAGTTGTGGGCAGGGCCCTAGAAATCCCAAGCATATATGCTCTTTGTCTTCAGCTACCTGGTGTGGATAGGAAAGGACTGGGTGGGGGCAGGGTCAGGCATGTCTGAGCTCAGACTCTCTGTGGTGGGTCTTGCTGCAGCTGCTCTGGAGGTTGGGGGTGAGGTTCCCAGGTCAATGAAGTTGTGTACCTAGGAGGATTATGGCTGCTTCTGGTGAGTCATGCAGGTTGTCAGGGAAGTGAGGGAAAGCCGGCAGTCAAAGGCCTCACCCAGCTCCCATGCAATCCAAAGGGCTGGTCTCACTCCCACTGTGCCCCCCTAACAACCTTAAGTCTGTTTCCAGGCAGGGGGCAAGCAGGGTTGAGAACTTGCCCCAGGCTGCCTGCCTCCCAGCTGTGAAAGAAAAGGACTATGGTTCTTCCCCCACCTGTGGAGCCTGCACACCAGATTCATGCCCTCCCCCTGAGTTCTGGCCAGCAGGCTTCTCACCCGGTTCAAATTGTTACAAAGTTCAGCTGGAGACTTCCTTCTTCCTGTAGTGTTTTCCCCTGCACCTCTGGCTGCTTTTTCAAAGGATCCCTGTGATGCCAGCCAGGAATGGCCTGTGAGCTTCCACAGCCTTTCCCGCTGCTTCCTCTACCCCTGTATTTCTCTCGGCTCTCTCAATTGACTCAGGTCCAGGTAAGGTCAGAAATTTCTCATGCAAACTAGACCTTCAGTTTCTCCAGTTGGGGGGCAGGTGTGTTCAGGAGCAGAGGCTCTCCCTTCCCTATTTTGGCAGTTTGGGCACTCACAGTATTTGGGGTGTCGCTCGGGTCCTGCAGGAGTAGTCCACTTCCTTCAGAGGATCTGTAGGTCCTCTTGGGATTCCTGGTTTGTTCTTGCAATTGTTCTGCAGCTAAAATTTATGATGTGAGCTTCCACACACTGCTCTATCCATCCAAGTTGGAGCTATAAGCTAGTCCTGCCTCCCATCTGCCATGATGCTCCTCTGCTTTTCTTTATTATAGTTTAATTCTTTAAATATTTTTTAAATAACACAATATTTGTACATATTTATATGGTACAGGGTGATATTTCAATTATACAGTGTGTAATGATCAAATCAGGGTAATTTGCATATCCATCACCTTGAGCATTTATCATTTCTTTGTGTTGGGAATGTTCAAAACTCTCTCTTCTGGCTACTTGAAAATATTCAGTAAATTACTGGGGTTTTTCTCAATTTTTATTTTTATAGATTTAGGGGTACAGTGCAGTTCTGTTACATGGATATACTGTGTAACAGTGAGGTCCAGGTTTTTAGTGTAACCAATGTACATTGTACTCATTAGGTAATTTCTCATCCTTACCCCTTTCCTACAGTCCCACCTTTTTGCATCTTTCATGTCTATAATTCCACTCTCCATCCATGCATACACATTATTTAGCACCCAATTATAAGTGAGAACATGCAGTATTGAGTTTCTGTTTCTAAGTTATTTCACTTAAGATAATTGCCTCCAATTCCATCCATGTTGCTGCAAAAGACATGATTGTATTCTTTAATGGTTGAGTGGTATTCCATGATGTGTATGTGCTGTATTTTCTTTATCCAATCATCCATTGATGGTCACTTAGTTGATTCCATATCTTTGCTATTGTGAATAGTGCAGTGATAAGCATATAAGTGCAGGTATCTTCTTGATATTATGATTTCTGTTCCTTTGGGAAGATACCCTGCAGTAGGCTTGCAATTATTATTAATATAGTCATGCTACAATGCTACAAAACACTTGAACCTATTCCTCTTATCTACCTGTAATTTTGTATCCTTTAATCAGCCTCTTCCTATTGTCCCCACCACTCTTCCCAGCTACTTCCCAGTAACCACTATTCTGCTCAATATTTCTGTGAGATCAACTTTTTTAGCTTCCACATAAGAGTGAGAAAAATGCAATATTTATTATGTGCCTGGCTAATTTCACATAATGTTCTCCGGGATCATCCATGTTGTTACAAATGACAAGATTTTGTTCTTTTTAAAGGCTGTATAATATTACTTGTCCATTATGTATATATACCATATTTTCCTTTTTAAAAAACATTTTTTATTTCCATACGTTATTGGGGAACAGTGGTTATTACATTAGTAAGTTCTTTAGTGATGATTTGTAAGATTTTGGTGCATCCATCACCTGAGCAGTACACATTGCACACAATTTGTAGTCTTTTATCCCTCACCCCCTTCCCACGCTTTCCTTCTGAGTCCCCAAAGTCCATTGTGTCATTCTCATGCTTTTGTATCCTCATAGCTTAGCTCTTACTTATGAGGGAGAACATATAATGTTTGGTTTTTCATTCCTGAGTTACTTCACTTAGAATAATAGTCTCCAGTCTCATCCAGGTCACTGGGAATGCCATTAATTCATTAATTCATTCATTTTTATGGCTGAGTAGTCGTTCATCATATATACATACATACACACACACACACACACACACACATATATATATATCTCACAGTTTCTTTATCCACTCATTGATTGATGGGCATTTGGGTTGGTTCCACATTTGCAGTTGCAAATTGTGCTGCTATAAACATGCGTGTGCAAGTGTCTTTTTCGTATAATGACTTCTTTTCCTCTGGGTAGATACCCAGTAGTGGGATTGCTGGACCAAATGGTATTTCTACTTTTAGTTCTTTATGGAATCTCCACATTGTTTTCCGTAGTGGTTTTGCTAGTTTACATTCCCACCAGCAGTGAAGTGTTCCCTGTTCACCACATCCATGCCAACATCTATTATTTTTTCATTTTCTGGTTATGGCCATCCTTGTAGGAGTAAGATGGTATCGCATTGTGGTTTTGATTTGCATTTTCCTTATAACTAGTGATGTCAATCATTTTTTTGTATAGTTGTTGGCCATTTGTATGTCTTCTTTTGAGTACTGTCTGTTCATGTCCTTAGCCCACTTTTTCATGGGATTGTTTGTTTTTTTCTTGCTAATTTGTTTGTTGTAGATTCTGGATATTAGTTTTTTGTCAAATGTATAGATTGTGAAGATTTTCTCTCACTCTGTGAGTTGTCTGTTTACTCTGCTGCCAGTTCCTTTGGCCATGCAAAAGCTCTTTAGTTTAATTATGTCCCAACTATTTATCTCTGTTTTTATTGAATTTGCTTTTGTGTTCTTGGTCATGAAATACTTGCCTAGGTCAATATCTAGAAAAGTTTTTCCAATGTTATCTTCTAGAAGTTCTGTAGTTTCAGGTCTTAGATTTAAGTCCTTGATCCCTCTTCAGTTGATTTTTGTATAAGATGAGAGATGAGGACCCAGTTTTATTCACCTACATGTGGCTTGCCAACTATCCCAGCACCATTTGTTGAAGAGGGTGTCCTTTCCTCACTTTATGTTTTTGTTTGCTTTGTCAAAGATCAGTTGGCTATAAGTATTTGGTTTTATTTCTGGGTTCCCAATTCTGTTCCAATGGTCTGTGTGCCTACTTTTATACCAGTACCATGCTGTTTTGGTTAATATGGCCTTATAGTATAGTTTGAAGTCACGTAGTGTGATGCCTCCAGATTTGTTCTTTTTGCTTAGTCTTGCTTTGGCTATGTGGACTCTTTTTTGGTTCCATATGAATTTTAGGATTTTTTTTCTAGTTCTGTGAAGAATGATGTTGGTATTTTGATGGGAATTGTGTTGAATTTGTAGATTTTTGTTTCAATACGGTCATTTTCACAATATTGATTCTACCCATCCACGAGCATAGAATATGTTTCCATTTGTTTGGATCATTTATCATTTCTTTCAGCAGCATTTTATAGTTTTTCTTGTAGAGGCCTTTTGCCTCTGTGGTTAGGTATGTTCCTAAGTATTTTATTTTATTTGCTGCTATTGTAAAAGGGGTTGAGTTCATGATTTGATTATCAGCTTGGTTGCTGCTGGTGTATAGAAGAGCTACTAATTAGTATACTTTAATTTTGTATCCAGACACTTTGCTGAATTCTTTTATCTGTTCTAGGAGCTTTCTGGAGGAGTCTTTAGGGTTTTCGAGGTAAATAATCGTATCATCAGCAAACAGCAACAGTTTGACTTCCTCTTTACAAATTTGGATGACCTTTATTTCTTTCTCTTGTCTGATTGCTCTGGCTAGGACTTCCAGTACTATGTTGAAGAGAATTGGTGAGAGTTGGCATCCTTGTCTTGTTCTAGTTGTCAGAGGGAATGCTTTTTAACTTTTCCCCATTTAGTATTATGTTGGTTGTGGGTTTGTCATAGACGGCTTTTATTACATTCAGGTGTGTCCCTTGTATGCTGATTTTGCTGGTGGATTAATTTTTTGATGTTGTTGGATTTGGTTAGCTGGTATTTTGTTATGAATTTTTGCATCTATGTTCATCAGGGATATTGCTCTGTAGTTTTCTTTTTTGGATATGTCCTTTCCTGGTTTGGGTATTAGGGTGATACTGGCTTCATAAAATAAATTAGTGAGGATTTCTTCTTTTTCTAACTTGTGGAATAGTGTCAATAGGATTGGTACCAATTCTTCTTTTAATGTCTCATAGAATTCTGTGAATCCATCTGGTCCTGGACCATTTTTATTGGTAATTTTTTTATTACGATTTCAATCTCACTCTTGTTATTAGTGTGTTCAGGGTATCTAATTCTTCTTGATTCAAGCTAGGAAAGTTGTATCTTTCCAGGAATTTATCCATCTCCTCTTGGTTTTGTAGTTTACGCATCTAAAGCTCTTCATAGTAGCCTTGAATGATCTTTTGTATTTCTGTGGTGTCAGTTGTTATATCTTTAGTTTTGTTTCCTATGAACTTATTTGGATTTTCTCTCATCTTTTCTTGGTTAATCTTGATAATGATCTATCAATTTTATTTATCTTTTCAAGGAACCAGCTTTTTGCTACATTTTTATCTTTTGTATTGCTTTTTTCTGATTTCAATTCTTTTAGTTATGCTCTAAACTTGGTTATTTCCTTTCTTCTGCTGGCTTTGGGTTTTGTTTGTTTTTGTTTTAATAGTTCCTTGAGGTGTGACCTTAGATTGTTTGTGCTCTTTTAGACTTTTTGATGTAGGCATTTAGGGCTATGAACTTTCCCCTTAGCACTGCCTTTGCTGTATCCTAGAGGCTTTCACACGTTGTGTCACTACTGTCATTCAGTTTGAAGAATTTTTAAATTTCAATCTTGATTTCATTTTTACCCATTGCTCAGTCAAGAGTAGGTTATTTAATTTTCGTGTATTTGCATGGTTTGGAAGATTCCTTTTGGAGGTGATTTTCAGTTTTAGTCCACTGTGGTCTGGAAGAGTGCTTGATACAATTTCAATTTTCTTAAATTTATTGAGGCTCATTTTATGGCCTATCATATGGTCTATCTGGGAGGAAGTTCCATGTGCTGATGAATAGAATGTATGTTCTTCACTTGTTGAGTAGAATATTCTGTAAATATCTGTTAAGTCCATTTGTTACAGGGTGTATTTTAAATCCAATGTTTCTTTGTTTACTTTCTGTCTTGATGACCTAATGCTGTCAGTGGAGTATTGAAGTCCCCCACTATTATTGTGTTGCTCTCTGTCTCATTTCTTAGGTGTATTGGTAATTGTTTTATAAATTCAGGAACTCCAGTGTTAGATGGATATATATTTAGGATTGTGATAGTTTCCTGTTGAACAAGGCCTTTTATCATTATATAATATCTCTTTTCGTCTCTTTTAATTGCTGTTGCTTTAAAGTTTGTTTTATCTGATATGGCTACTCCTGCTTGCTTTTGGTGTCAGTTTGCATGGAATGTCTTTTTCCACCCCTTTACCTTAAGTTCATGTGACTCCTCATATGTTAGGACTCGTGAGGTAAGAATTGGTAAAATCTTATCCGTTCTGCAATTCTGTATCTTTTAAGTGGAACATTTAGGCCATTTACATTCAATGTTAGTATTGAGATGTGAGGTATCATTCCATTCATTGTGCTATTTGTTGCCCGTGTAATGTGGTTTTCTGGCTTTTTTTTAATGTATTTTTGTTGTATAGGTCCTGTGAGATTAATGCTTTAAAGAGGTTCTGTTTTGATGTGTTTCTAGGATTTGTTTCAAGAGTTAGAGCTCCTTTTAGCAGTTCTTGTAGTGCTGGCTCAGCAGTGATGAATTCTCTCAGCATTTGTTTTTCTGAAAAAGACTATCTTTCCTTCCTTTATGAAGCTTAATTTTGCTAGGTACAAAATTCTTGGCTGATCATTATGTTGTTTGAGGAGGCTGAAGATAGTGCCCCAGTCCCTTCTAGCTTATATGGTTTCTGCTTAGAAATCTGCTGTCAATCTCTTAGGTTTTCCTTTATAGGTTACCTGGTCCTTTTGCCTCACATCTCTTAACAGTCTTTCCTTCATCTTAAATTTAGTTTACCTGATGACAGTGTGCCTAGGTGAAGATCTTTCTGTGATGAATTTCCCAGGTGTTCTTTGAGCTTCTTGTATTTGAATGTCTAGGTCTCTAGCAAGGCCTGGGAAGTTTTCCTTGATTATTTCCCCAAAAATATTTTCCAAACTTTTAGATTTCTCTTCTTCCTCAGGAACACCAATTATTCTTAGGTTTGGTCATTTAGCATAATCCCAGACTTCTTGGGGACTTTGTTCATATTTTCTTATTCTTTTTTCTTTGTCTTGTTGGATTGGGTTAATTAGAAAATCTTGTCTTTGAGCTCTGAAATTCCTTCTTCTGTTTGTTTGATTGTGCTGCTGAGACTTTCCAGAGGCTTTTCATTTCTATAAGTGCATCCATTGTTTCCTGAAGTTTTGACTTTTTTATATTTATACTATTTCTGTTAATATTTCTCCCTTAACTCCTTGTATTGTTTCATGGATTTTCTTGCACTGGGCTTCGCCTTTCTCTGGTGCCTCCCTGGTTAGCTTAATAAATAACCTCCTGAATTTTTTTTCAGGTAAATCAGGGATTTCTTCTTTGTTTGAATCCATTGCTGGTGAGCTAGTGTGATTTTTTTTGGGTGTATTAAAGAGCCTTGTTTTGTCATATTACCAGAGTTAGTTTTCTGGTTCTTTCTCATTTGGGTAGGCTGTGTCACAGGGAAAGCCTGGGGCTGAAGGCTGATGTTCAGAGTCTTTTGCCTCACAGGGTATTCCCTTTATGTAGTACTCCCCTCCTTTTCCTAGGGATGTGGCTTCCTGTGAGCCGAGCTGCAGCATCTCTCTCCTGGGTCTAGCCACCCAGGAAGTCTACTTGGCTCTGGGCTGGTACTGGTGGTTGTCTGCACAGAGGCCTGTGATGTGAACCATCTGTGAGTCTCTCAGCCATGGATACCAGCACCTCTTCCAGTGGGAGTGGCAGTTGGGTGAAATAGACTCTGTGAGGGTTCTCTGCTTTGGTTGTTTAATGCACCATTTTTGTGCTGGTTGGCCTCCTGCCCAGAGGTGGTGCTTTCCAGAGAGCATCAGCTGTGGTAGTGTCGGGAGGAAGAGGTGATGGGTGGGGTGCTATTACTCCTAAGAGTATAAGACCTTTGTCTTCAGCTACCATGGTGGACAGGGAAGGACCACTAGGTGGGGGCAGGGCTAGGCTTGCCTGAGCTCATACTCTTCTTTAGTGGGTCTTGCTGTGACTGCTGTGGGGGTTGGGCGTGAGGTTCCCAGGTCAATGGAGTTATGTTCCTCAGAGAATTATGGCTGCCTTTGCTGTGTCATGCAGGTTGTCAGAGAAGTGGGGAAAAGCCACCAGTTACAGGCATCACCCAGCTCCCACACAACCCAGAGGGCTGGTCTCACTCTTACTGTGTCACCCCCAACAGTACTGAGTCTTTAGGCAGTCGGGGAGCAGAGCTGAGAACTTGCCCAAGGCTACCTGCCTCTCATCTGCAAAAGTAAGTAGGGCTTTCATGCTTCCCTCACTTGTGGAGTCTACACACCGGATTCACTTCCTCCCTCGAGTTCTGGCCAGGATACTTCTTGATCTGTTCAAGTTGTTACAGTTCAGCTGGAGGTTTCTTTTCCTGTCACCTTTTCCCAGTACCTCAGGCAGCCCACCCGAAGGACCACTGTGAAGCAAGGGAGAAATGGCTTGCCAGCAAGCCTACGGGGCTTTTCCCGCTGCTTCTTCTACGTCTGTATTTTACTCAGTTCTCTAAACTGACTCAGCTCCAGGTAAGGTCAGAATCTTCTCCCATGATCTAGACCTTCAGGTTCCCCAGTGAGAATGTGTGTTTGGAGGCAGATGGTCCCCCTTTCTCATTTCCACACTTTGGACGCTCACCATATTTGGAGTGTCTCCCGGGTCCTATAGGAGCAATCTGCTTTCTTCAGAGGGTCTGTGGGTTTTCTCTGTTTTCCTGATTTATTCCTACAGTCATTCTGGAGCAAAAGTTCACAATGCAAGCCTCCACATGCTGCTCTGTCCATCTGAGTGGGAGCTGCAATCTAGTCCTGCCTTCCATCTGCCATACTCTCTATACCGTATTTTTTTATATAAATCTGTCTGTTAATGAATACTTAGGTTGATTTCATATTTTTGCTACTGTGAATAATGCTGCACTAAATAGGAGTGAAGATATTGCTTCAATACACTGATCTCCTTTCCTTTAAATGTATATCCAGTACTGGGATTAATGGATCATATGGTAGTTTTATTTTTAGTTTTTTGAGGAATCTTTATACTGTTTTCCATGGTGTCTGTACTAAGTTACATTCCCACCAACAGTGTATAAGTATCCTGTTTTCTCTGCATCTTCACCAGCATTTGTTATTTTATTTTTTATTTTTTGTCTTTTTGATAATAGCTATTCTAACTGGGGTGAGGTGATCTCATTTTGGCTTTTATTTGCATTTCCCTAGTGATTAGTGATGTTGAAAATTTTCATATACCTGTTAGACATTTGTATGTCTTCTGGAAAATGTCTACTTCACTCATTTGCCCAGTTTTTAAATTGGATTTTTCTTTTTTTCTTTTTCTTTTATTTTTGCTATTATTTTACTTCCTTGTATATTCTGGCTATTAATTTCTTGTCAATAAATAGCTTGCAAATATTTTCTCCCATTCTTCAGGTTGCCTCTTCCCTCTTTTGATTATTTCCTTTGCTGTGCAGAAGCATTTTAGTTTGATATAATTCCATCTGTCTTTTTTTTTTTTTTTTTTTTTTTTTTTTTTTTTGGTTTGTTGCTTGTGTTTTGAGCTCTTATTCGTAAGTTGTTATTTTTTTTTCCTGGCCTTTGTCCTGAAGCATTTCCACTATACTTTCCCTTAATTTTATAATTTCCAGTCTTACATTTAAGTCTTTTGAGTTGATTTTTGTATATGGTGAGAAAGATGGATCTGATTTCATTCTTCTGAATGTGGATATCCAGTTTTTCCAGCATCATTTATGGAAGGGACTGTCTTTTCTCCAATGTACATTCTTGGTAGCTTTCTTGAAAATCAGTTGGTTGTAAATGTATGGATTTATTTCTGTCTTTTCTATTCTCTCCCAATGGTTTATATGTCTGTTTTTACAACAGCATCCTGCTATTTAATTAATATAGCTTTCTAGTTCATTTTAAAGTCAAGTGGTATGATGCTGCCAGCTTTGTTTTTTTTGTTCATGATTGCTTCGGCTATTCAGAGTCTTTTGTGGTTACATACAAATTTTAGAATTGTTTTTCTATTTTTGTGAACAATGTCATTGGTATTTTGATAGTGATTACATTTAATCTGTAAATTGCTTTGGGTAATATGGTCATCTTAACAATATTAATTCTTCCAATCTGTGAATATGGTATGTCTTTATTTTTTTTGTGTCCTTTTCAAATTCTTTTAACAGTGTTTTGTAGTTTTCATTGTAGAGATGTTTCACCTCCTTGGTTAAATTTATTCCTAGCTATTTATTTTTTTTACAGCTATTATAAATTGAATTGCTTTCTTGATTTATTTTTCATTTAGTTTATTATTGGTATATAGAAACATCACTGATTTTGTACATTACAACTTTACTTAATTTGTTTATCAGTTTTAAATGTTTTTTGTTAGTCTTTAGGCTTTTCTACATATAAGATCATGTCATCTGCAAACACGGGCAATTTGATTCCCTTCTTCACAATTTATATGCTCTTTATTTCCTTCTCTTGCCTTCATCTTTAAATTTTTTTTCTCCCCATCTTCTGTTCTTTGCCATTCTTTTCGTCATATCTTTTCTCCCTTGGGCACTTGTAATT